>NC_000003.12:101205574-103705574 GCF_000001405.40 Homo sapiens | reverse complement strand
CTGACCTAGACTACAAAAGGATAAAAGTTTGAACTATTTTGTTTTCTACTCTAGTGTCTTGTCCAGTTCAATATTTTAGGAAGCGATACAGCTTTAATTTTCAGATTTAAAAATAGCTAAAAGAAAAGGAGTCATTATAAGATGTAAAGTCATTGGATTGTTATTATTTTTGTTGTTATTGTTTTGTCTTTTTGTGAAATATTTTTTCGGTATTTAAACTTTTCCTACTCCAGGACTCAGTGTTGTGGTACATTGAGAAGAGAGAAAAAGCAAGCACACTTTGGCGTAGAAAAAGTTTACCATTGAGTTGAAGAACCCACTTTATAAACAAAAAAAATTGAGGCCAACCTAATATTAATGGATTTTGATTTTTTTTCTCATGTTTGTTTCATTTTACTTTTAGATAAGTTAAAAGATGAGGCTTTTAAATTTTTCATTTATAGGGAGGAGGGTGAAAATAAAACAAATAACAAAATAATCTAGAAACAGCAGAGGCAGTCTAAGAAACTGTAGAGGCAAGTGCTTCTGTTATAAAATCAGCATTTTAGTAATGTGCTTTTCAAAGACTAATATACTATTATCTGCAAGCTGTTTATAGTAATACATTATCCAGGGTGTGTGTGTGTGTGTGTGTGTGTGAGAGCATGCACGCACATGTACATTATCCTCTGATAATAAGAAATATCACAGCACTAAGTAATACCCATTGAATAACTGGAGATTTTGTTCTTTTTTGTTAATTTTTTTGTGATCAACTTGTCTTGGATGTATCCAGCAACTCAAAATTAATTCACAACTTCACCTCTTTGTATGGCCCAGATATTCTTCTTCAGGAAAGAGGATCAACCTGCAGCTCAAGCTTACTAACCTCCAAATATTAGTGAGCTACACCACTTCTTTCTTTTATTTCTGATGTACTGGAATCAACTAACAAACTTTATTTTTTAAGAAAGGAAGAAGCAATGAAACCAAACATGTAGACATTGTCCAAATGCTGTGGGAAAGACTATATCATGATCTTCTCAGGCACTTAAAAGATTAATTATATGAACAAGTGCTGTCCTGAAGTGAGGGGAAAGAGAGTTTGGCAGAATTCAGTGCAAATAACTGGGGCTATCAAACAAGTGAGCCTAAACTCAAGTCTATTGCAAATATTTTTAGGTACATGGCCCTTAATGAATATTCTGATTTCACCTTTAGTGGCCCTGAGCAGTATCTTGTTATTCCAATGGTTGAATAGATTTTAAATAACCAGTTAAATAGAATAAGAATTTTAATAGTTTAAAAGTTTATACAGATTTTAGAAAAGTCAACTTCCAGAGTGATTCCTAAACCAAAATTTTTCCTTTCCTTTAGTTGCAATCTTTTGTTTGTAGAAATTATTCTTTATTTATTATAGCCTTTCCTATGAATTAGTCGGGTAAAGGTCGAGCAGCATATGAGGGCAGTGAAAGTAAGTGGGATTTTTATCTATTTTTCTATTAGTTCTTGCTTCATAATGATTGGTTCACCGCTTGAATAGGAAAAAGAACTTGGGCTACAGATAGCTTGGGGCTGCAGAAAGAGCCAATAAATGTTATTACAAGAGGAGATGGAGAAATCTCCACTGGGTGGTGGCAAAAGGAGTCTCAGTTGGTAAGAATAAGATGATATTATGTGATGGGTCAGACTAGAAGAAAAGGAACAGATATGAAAGACAAGACTTGAGTTCTAATCTGTGTGTGTGTGTATGTGTGTGTGTGTGTCTGTGTGTGTGTGTGACCATGCACATTATATATATATATATATATATATATATATATATATATATATATATAATATTTTTTACTTAGGAATTAAATGACCTTAGGCAAAACATTTAACCTTTTAGAGATGTTTTTTGCTTGGATGCTATGGGGTGCTCATTTTCAGTGATGCTTTTGACACTCAAATGAGATAATGTGTGCTGTATAGAAGTATCTTCTCTGCCTACAGGTATCCTACAGGTATACTTGTTTCCATTACAGATAGGCTACAATTGCAAAGAAAAGTGGGTAGGAATAAAAAATTTTTGGAGAGAGATATCTTACCGTTTTTTAGAAGAAAGTAATAACTATTTTCTTTATTCATATAAAGGTTCAAGCTCTTTTATAGCTAAGAACATACCTTGGTCATTTCTGCTTTAGTGTCTATTTTCTTATATTTTCAGCCTAAGTAATTCATCAAGAAGGAAAATTCTCTAAGACTTTAATATGTAAATAAGAAGATAAGATATGGATGCAATTTAGCAGCATGTTTTGTCTTTTCTTAATTTTTAAACATTCACACGGACTTTTTTCTCCTCTCTTCCTAGAATGTCCTTATCTAACAGCATTCATGTGATTAAGTCAACTTTGCACTCTCTGTATAAGCCACATTCAAAAACAGCCTCATATCTTCAGAGGCAGCTCTAGGCAAAGTTTAGAAGTCCACACATTATTTTAGGGTGGCTCTCCTGTTACCCCATTCCTTTTAGCCACGTATGCTCTGTATCACTCCAATAGCACCATTTTCTTAGCTTGTTATCCTCCTTGTTCTCAGATATTACTCTAAGATTCATCACAGCTTAATAAATAATTTTTGGAGATCATTGATCTATTGAGATTCTGATTAATTCCCAAATGTGAAATTTGAAATCAGTTATAATAGTAGGAATAAACATTGGGAACAGGAGGTCTTCTCTTATATGAAACCCCCATACTATATCACTTCTGTATCCTAAGCCTTCCATTTGCTAGCTCACTCTGACTGTTAATTTGTCATTTTTTATAAACACCAAGCTTTTCCATCAAGGAAGTGAATATTCTTGATGTGGCTTCTTTATACGCTGTTAGATACTTACTTATTGCTAAGATTGAGAAAAGCAATAAAGGAATGTTGGTGTTAAAGAAATCTGATTATGTAATGCATATTGAATTTAATGTCAGACTGATATCATGTATCAAAAATACAATTTGGTTGGGATTTTACCTTATTACATATACCACCTAGCATTTGTTCTTGCATAGTTGTTTATTTGTATAACATGATCTCTTTTGGCCCTAAAAAATGTGCAACTTTTATACAGAAATTAGATATCTTCACTAGATTTAAGTAATGATTTGCATTCAATAAACTCGTGAGGGCCTTATCCATATTAAAGATGCCCCGACTATCAATGTGGAGCCCTTCACAGTAGACAGCCAGCTTGCTGCTCCCCTTCAAAGTAGGGTAGCATTCTATCTGTGACCTTGAATTCTCAGTTGAGAGCATAATGACTTCTGCTTAATTTTCTCATTCCCTTTTTATTCTTTTATGGTAATTGGATGCATGAGGTGTTAGAGACTGCTCTGTTTACTTGAGAAAAGCTGTTCCTCTTTCATGACTTAAATATGTATTTAGGATATTCCATCAAATAACATGTCCTGGGGCTGTGATACACAATGTAATATATTTTCTAAAAGCTTCTTTTAAAATTACATAATAGAGTCTAATTTATCACATGCTTCTGGCTAAAGAGAATCTTTGGGTGCTCAGTTCTTTTGAAAATGGACGCAGTTTATCTTCTAATCTCTGACTTGATTCATGAACTATGAAGTATTTTCATGCTATTTTTAGGGGTGAAAATTTAGTTGGAAGCAAGGGAGTAAGGGTCTTATTTGAAATTATGTTTACACGGTTTCCACATATGTTACAAAGTTTACGCGTATTGTGAAACTATGTTTACACAATAAAAAACACATTATTTTTATTTAGAGGATAGATAGATAGATAGATAGATAGATGACAATAGACACATACATACACATAGATCAGTTAAAAACAGCAATATTTTCTAAAGGTGTTTTTAGCACTTTATGAAAGACTTAGGAAACCTCACTTTTCATAAACCATATCATATAAGGTAGCTTTGGCAAAACTGATCAAGACCCATATCTAGAGTTTTCTTCAACTCACCTATCCTAACTACTCCTAAATATGATTTCAATTGAATCCATGCTTTACATATCTTCTGATTTATACAGGTTGTAGTTCAGGTCACTGTGTGCTCTTCCACCTGCCCTAGCAATTAGGAGACTTGAAGCAGAAGGTATTTTGAGACAAATTTCTTTTAAGAGAAAATAAGGTAATATTTTAAACAGATTTTTGCATGTGCGTGAGTGTTAAGTTCTTAGCTTAACATTAATATAATGGACCATTAAATAATGGTCCATTATAAGGGGACATATGAACATGGTGCAACTATTCCTTTAGCCATGTGCACTATTAATAGTGTTTTGAATTAGTTAAATAGCCTGGGGAGATATTTTACATAATGTACATATTTAAGATGGAGACTTTAAAGGAAAGTCAATTAAGTCAATCTTGGGTTACTTTAAATAATATATGTAACTTAATTTAAATGACATTTTAATTTGAAATTAGTATTGATTTTAAAATAGGTGATGCTGGGCTTTTTGAATAATTTTTACAAACTTATTTTCTTTACTGTTGAGGACTTCTTTCTTAAGAAACTAACCAAATAACATAATACAGTTGATCCTCATAATTGGTGATTTCTGTATTTTCAATTTTGCCTACTTGCTAAAATTTATTTTTAACCCCAAAAGTAATACTTGCAGTGCCTTCAAGGTCATTCAAGGGCAGGCACATATGTAGAGTGGCAAAAAAATATGTCAGGAAAGTCTGAGGTCCAATAAGGCACAGCTTTGCACTTATTTCAGCCCTTATACTATAAACTACGTCCTTTTTTCCATCTATTTAGGGCCACATTTTCTGTATTTCTGTTCATTTTGTTTGGATTTCACTGTTTGAAATGTCCTCCAAATTTAGTGCTGAAAATGCTGCCTTGTTTTCCTGAACTCAAAAAGGCTATGTAGTGTATCTTATGGTGAAATTATGTATGTCAGAGAAGCTTCCTTTAGGCATGAGCTCTGGTGCTGTTGGCTGTGAGTTCAATGTTAATTGTTCAACAAAGTGTCTTTAAAGAGAAACAGGCATAAAATAATCTATCAATCAGTTTGTGAAAATGTAATTAGAGGCTCTCAATTACTTAACCCTGTATCTTCCATATGGGGTAAAAATTCAGTATACACTAATTCAGTGTTTCAGACTACTAGACCATTACTAGGTAAATAATAAGCATCGTATGTGTATGTCTTAAGTATCTAAGCACCAGTGACTTTGTTAATATTAGTTTGCTTTATGTAGTTCCCTGTACAAGGCCATTTGTAGAAGCATATTTGGTTTAATATATCTGATGTGACTGGGGCAAGTGGCTTTTCCATTTTTAGAGAGAGGATAAATAAAGGGTTTTAGTTCATTTTTCATATTTTTCACCACTCTGCATTGATCTCCTCTTGACTTCAAATGTTTCATCACAGGCCAGATTGTAGACATGAAGTAGGCGAATGGCCCAATCCTATAAAAAATATTTGTAGTTGTATTTGTGAGAATAGGTTTTACACCTTAGGGTATAAATTAATCACTACCTGGGGTGAGAAAGACGTTTGCTTCTGTTCCAGGTCATGATACACTTTGAAGTTATATGTGCATGGGGGGTTTTCTTCTTTATTTGAGGATTTTTTTATGGGATCATAGTTGTGATAAGACTAAAAAACTCAGCATCACAGTCGACACCAAGATTATGTTTACAGATTATTTTATTTCCCTTCATGCATTACCTATATAGCAAAAGTCTCCCTTATGGTTACCTTTTATCCACAGGAAAGGAAGGAAAGATACTATCAAAAATCATACATCTCAGATAAGATTCAGCATTAAAGAGCTTATGAAATACAAACCTTAGAAATTCTTATTAGCTTTGCTTTGGTGATTGAATTCATCCAACCATCAAAGAGAAATCTTTTGCTGTTGCTACAGATGATTCATAACTTTTGTTCTGAAGACAGATTTGTATTTGTAGAGCTATATATGCAGTCAGATTTTATGCTTCCTTTATTGGTACCCAAAGATTTGTTTGTAATTTAGTGCTACCTTTGCTCTCTTGCATTAGATGTCTGGAGAGAGGAAATAAGGAGCTGGAGTCATGATTTTTTCTCTAAGATTTTGGAAGCTGTTTACTTACCCTATATCCTTTTGTTTGACTACAGCACTATAAAACTCTGGAAAAAATGTTCATAGAAAAAAATGCTGATGTGGCCTCAATTTAATCAGCATGAACAGTGGCGCTATAATAACTTCCGTGTAGCTAGTAAACCACTCTTGTTGTAACCATCGCAAGAAATATTCTGATGAAACAGAAAGCCACTAAGTCTTTGGACTGGCAAAAATATCTTTGATAATAAATACTGTTGTCTCAGTTGTCTCTAGATAAGAATTTAATGAGTTAATAATTATTTATAATTTGAAGTTCAAAAGTGCATTGAGCTATATTATAAAACTTTAAGGTCATTTCTAACGATTGGAGGTTAGGATTCTATATTTTAAGGTTTTGATTTGTCATTACAAAAGCACTTACCAGGTCAAGGTAGAACCAGGTCAGAGAGTCCAATAGCATATTTCTTTTTATGATTTATTCTCCTCCAGAATGCCAATATATACAATAGAAATGCTGATGGTTTTCAAAATTTTTATTGTAACTCTATCTATAACCATTTAAAAAGTAAATATTTTGCTCAGTAGTTATCTTTGGCATTCACAGAACACATTGAAATAGAGCCTTCTGTTGCCTGCCTTTTGAGGGCAGATACGCACAGTCATCACAATTCATAATTATGTCCAAAACATCATCAATGTGTTTGGGTAATTAAGACAAGAGTTAATGATAGAAATAAGGTACTTATGGAGAATGAGAGCCTCTCTAAGTATGAAAAACATGAATATTTTAGCAAGGGTTGCTATCATTTCCTTGGGACAGCAAGGTACAGATTTAACATGTCTACTTTTCTGTCTTTCAAACACATGCCCAGTGGCTATGTTGAGCCCAGATAGATGCCTTTGCTGAAGCTTTAAGCCAATAAGACTGCATGATCCCTGATAACGAAGCTTGGTTACAAAATCACAAAGAGACTTAATAAAAGACTCTTTACCTTAATTCATGACCATAGTCTTTTCACCAGCAATTTTTTTAAGTTGGCCACCTCATATCAGAGGTCTTTTTGTTCCTTGCTTTAGAATATTTTTTGATATCTGAATAAAATTCAGTTCTTACTCCACCTTATATGTCTCCGTGTTTAGGTAGCTTCTGGCTGCTTCTTTGAGATACATTTTATCAATCCATCTGCCCTCTCTCTGCAAAGTATCCCCCTTATTATTTCTTATTGCCTTTGTACTTTATCTTCCCTTTGTCAAGAAATTCTTTGCAGATATTTTCATGGCTTGCATCCTCACTTCATTAAACATCTCTTAGAAAGACCTTCTCAGACCACATATTATACTCAATACCCTTACAGTACTTTATTTGTATTCATAGAACTTTCAACTACCTGAAAATATAAATTATCTATTTATTTATTGCCCACTGGAAGGTAATCTCTTACAAAAATTGACATAGGTTTTTGTGCTTATTGATTTTTCGTGGTATTTCATCACCAAAAATGTACAAAGTACATTGTAGGTACATAATAAATATTTTTTGAGTAAATGAATAAATTAAACAATTTCATTGCCATATTTTTCTTTTTATCTTTTTGCTTCGTTTTCATCAGCAGCAGGAAACATAGAAACATTGCAATTAAAATAAGCCACGATTATTTAAAGTAAGAAAGAGAGCATGTGTATGTATTATTTAGGCAACAGACACTGACAGTGGAAGAGAGCCACATCAGGTTCAAATCCTGGCTCTTAAGCTTGCTAATTGTGCAAACTTCGACAAATTATTCAACATCTCCGTATCTCACTTTTTTCCTCTATAAAATGAAGCTAATCATAGGACTTACTATTTATTTCATTAAATTATTTTAGAGATTAAGTGGACTAATTTAGGTAAGGCCTTTGGACAAGTGTCTGTTATACAAATACTTATTTAGTTGACTACTATTGTTAGTCTCTGGGTTAAAATATTTGGATAAGAAAAAAGACTGCTTTTGTATACACTAGAGAGAAAAGTTTTAGTAGCATTTGTATCCAAGTGGGGGTTGAGGTGGAGTTGGATGATGATGATTGGAAAGAATTCGATTAGAATATATAATTAGCTCTCTGCTTTTGCTAGCCAGTGAACTAACAAAGACAATGAATTTTATTCCAAATCTTTCAAATGCCTCCTCTTGTTGAAATGAATGAGTAATTAAAAAAAAAAAACACCTCTATATGCCTAAATCTGTTAACGTGAGTTTAACAGTTTTTAGTTCACCTGCACAAATTAGCCATTTACATTGCTTTGTTTAGAGAAAATGTTTACCTGTGTTTCGTCTTTGGAAGCTAGGAAAATCCAACTTGGAAATAGGAGACAGATGGGAGGTGGATATTTACAACTTGTACCACTCCACGTCAATAAGCAAATGCCAATCAATATCTCTAGGTCAGACCTACCTCTCAACAAAACATTTACATGATGCATGCATTCAGTGACTGATACTGCTTATCAATCATGGTTCATTCCTTCTGGAGAGCTAAGATGCCTTTAGGATCCTTCCTCATACAGCATCCCAAGCACACACTCTACCAATAAGAACTGATGTACATTCTCCATGAGCATGGAATTTTGTTTCCTTGGTTTCTCACCAGAGCTCTAGAACAGTCCCAGCACTGAGTAGGTTCTCAGTAAATATTTGTTGAATAAGTGACTACATCATTTTCTGTGATTTAGTTTTTTTTAAATTTCAGGTAGTAAAATCATGTTATTAAGGCAAGTTTTGATGTTTCCACACACACAAGAGACACTGAGAAGGTAATACCTCAAGTTGTTTACATTACATCTAAGGTTTTATAAATGAGATAAAGAATGTTATTTATAGGACTTCTGTCAATCTACCTGCTGTGCTAAACTATTTACTCCTCTGCTTCATTGGTTCTATCTATGGCTCAGTTTATGGTGGTGGAAATATATTTTAAAACCTTCCCAGCTCTTCAACTCAGCCCAGGTATTTTTCCATGACCTACAGCCCCACTCTGACATTCATCCTTATATTTATTTAGCCTCTTCTGGTCTTTTAGTCTTATTCATACTTTTACTTCCCCTTCATTGCCTCCTTTCTAAAGATCTGAGAAATCACCTTGGATCACCAACATGGCTCTAATCTAAGACTTTCTTTTCCACCCTTCTCTAGTTCTGCTCTCTCTGCTTCTGGGAACCATCACTTCATTGCTCAGCCAGGTGACCTGGTATATGAGCCATGCTTCCTGGGTATTCTACCTGAACAAAGCCTCAGCTCTCATCTTCTCACACTTGATCTAGATACAGAGTGAATAAAATCATTCTCATAGAACAAAAACACACACCTTGTTCTTCACAGTTGGAACCACCTAAAGCTCAATGACAGCAAGATAAGTGTTAAGTTCATAGTTCTGATGCCACACACATGTAATCTGATGTTTTGAGAATTGTCCCATTTTAGGGGATATAAGTGTACTTAAAAGGTCACACAATAAAGACATTTCACTGTTTCCCAAATAGTTTCTTATTTCAAACAGCCACTGTGTGCATACAATCTACGTTGAGGAATAATGGTCCTTTGTACATATTTATTCAACACAGTATTAAAATTTAACATAGAATTTCTGTAGGTGTTGCTCAGGTCTTGCAGAGGTAATTATTGGAATTTTGCTATAATTTGTTCTGAGTGATAGAATATATGTTGCTATTTAAGAATTTATAAGTAAGACCAAACGTATCTTAACGAGAAATTAATTTTTTTGATAAGAACCGAAAGAAGGATATTTGAAAATTTCTCTTATTCTACCTAATACTATAGTTTAGGAGTCTCCTCCATACAATGGGTAACCCTGGATGCTGAGACAATCACCCACGCTTCTCTGTGCCTTAATTTCATCATCCATAATGCCTGGGAACACCTAACTCATATAGTTTTTGTGAAGATCAAAGATATTTATATATGTAAATCACTTAGTAAAGTGCTGGAAACATAGTGAATACAAAATATATGTTAGATATCATTGTAATTATAATTCTTATTATGACACACATTTTAATCCATAATTAAGTCTTAATCAGTTTTCTGGAATTAAATTTATAGAATATAGACTTGCACGGGGTAATTTTCCCTAAATTATAATACATAATTATGTTTCTTTGAGTATAACAAGTGTGAAGTGAGAGGAACAACAAAAGGATCAAAGACTGTTTTAAGAGATACTCTAATTCTTCTCTAAACATATCATTTTGACACGACAAAAATCTTATTTTCCATAATTATGCTTAATATAGAAAGGAAAACAAAGGATAAAAGAAATTATGTAGCTTGAAATGTAGGCGAGACATTCCTAGTGTGATTTTCCTTGGTATTTTTAAAGCACGAGAAATGAGCTGTGCCATAAATCTGTGGTTAGAAAATACTTCAATTGTAGACAAAGAAAAAAAATGAGAAGCATACCAGATTCACCTGATGGTTGTTAAAAACTCCATCTTCCCCATGATCTTTACATGCCTTCATGTGGGATAGTGAATGCTAGTGTACGTGAAAATCATTAAAAGACATGAGTATAACTCTTCAGCTACATTTCCCTTATCATTAGTGACAATGCAACATGAAGAGTGACTTCTATCATATGGGTTTTTAATTCAACTCTAATTTCTGAGGCTAAAAACATAAATGAAACCCAAGGGAGATATAGACATCTTTGTCATAAGTCATAAACCTTAAACCTGATTTGGTACTCAGGATCAGGAATGTAATACGCAAGGCCCCATGCAAAATGAATATGCAAGCGTCTTGTTAAAAACTACTAAGAATTTTAAGATGGCAACAACAAAACCTTAAACCAAGGGGGCAACACTACTGTGTTCAGTGTTACTGTGCAGGACCTACACTCATGAAGCTATCCACATTTGTACCATAGTGATAAGCAAGAAATAAACTGCACAGAAATCTCAGTACAAAAGTCATGACACAGTGCTTGATCTTAACCTATTGTTACCTAATAAAAAAAAGTGTAATGTATCAATTTATTAAATGAATCACACTGAGGGATCATAAAATCATGAAAAAGTATCTCAAACACTCTACATTTATTATTTTAAAGGATGAGTACAAAGACATCCCTACCTTCCTAATTCTCCTGCTCAATAGTTCAAACTGAGTAGAGAACACCTACCTGAATAGCTTTCCGGAGATGTGAGTATTCCTCACATACATCTATAGAAGTTTGTCTGAAATTTTGTTTTTAATACTCCAACATCAGAATCACTGCTGGGTGCTTGCAAATTTTCAGATTTCTGGGCATTACTCCAGACCTATAATATTTCTGGGACTGGGTCTAGGAAACTAAACGTTATACAAGTTTATCTGATAGTATTTATCTATACAAAGAAACTGCTGATCTGGAGAATCATGGAAATAATCATAATAAAAAAAATGGCATGTTAGTGCTGGTGCAATATGAGTCACCCAGTGTATTAGTTTGCTAGGACTGTCATAAGGAAATACCGTAGACTGGGTGGTTTAAGCAACAAAACATTATTTTCCCATAGCTCTACAGACTAGAAGTTCAAGATCAAGATATCAGCAGGTTTGGTTTCCTCACATGATATTTCCTCTGTGCACAAATATCCCTAGTTTCTCTCTCTCTCTCTGTCTCTCTCTCATTCCTGCATGCATGTGAAAATTTCCTCTTCTTATAAAGATGCCAATCAGATTAGATTAGGGCCCACTCTAAAGGGGCCTTCATTTTAACTTAATCCTTCCGTTGAAAGGCTCTATCCTCAAAAATAGTCAAATTCTGAGGAACTAGGGGTTAGGGCTTCATGACATAAATTTTAGAAGGACACAATTCAGCCCATAGTACCCAGGCATTGAAACTTCCATATATCCTTGTCAGATTAGAAACATTTGACCCTTTCTTACTTTGCTGGTATTCTTTCTTCCAGATTTATCTCTTTTTTTTTTTTTTAATTTAAGCTTGCTGGCCCTAAAAATTTTTATGAAACTCTCCCAGGATTAAAGATATCTATTCTCAGAATTATTGTGCCTATGTTCTTGCATTAGCGTAATAACAGTGATTGCAGAAACTGTAAACAATTTCTGCTGATTGGGACTGAGTTGGCAAATTAGTTCTAAGGGAACCTCTGGTCCAGTTTTACTCCAATGTACATCACTACTCTAATTGCACTAAAATAGTGTTGCAGCACAGCTTGTATTGACCTATATTTTCTTTTGCTTAGATGACCCAACTTCTCACAGTCTAATATTCCATACTACACCACTGTCTTCAATTGTCTTTTGCTTTTGAACTTTTTTTTTCTTATACATAAACTTTAAGTTCTGGGATACATGTGCAGAACATGCAGGTTTGTTACCTAGGTATACATGTGCCATGGTGGTTTGCTGCACCCATCAACCCATCATTTACATTAGGTATTTCTCCTAATGCTGTCCCTCCCCTAGTCCCCCACCCCCCAACAAGCCCTGGTGTGTGATATTCCCCTCCCTGTGTCCATGTGTTCTCATTGTTCAACTCCCACTTATGAGTGAGAACATGCAGTGTTTGGTTTTCTGTTCCTGTGTTAGTTTGCTGAGAGTGATGGTTTCCAGCTTCATCCATGTCCCTGCAAAGGACATGAACTCATCCTTTTTTATGGCTGCATAGTATTCCATGGTGTATATGTGCCACATTTTCTTTATCCAGTCTATCATTGATGGGCATTTGGGTTGGTTCCAAGTCTTCACTATTGTGAGCAGCACTGCAATAAACATATGTGTGCATGTGTTTTTGTAGCAGAATGATTTATAATCCTTTGGGTATATACCCAGTAATTGGATTGTTGGGTCAAATGGTATTTCTGGTTCTAGATCCTTGAGGAATTACCACACTGTGTCCACAATTGTTTAACTAATTTACGATCCCACCAACAGCGTAAAAGCGTTCCTATTTCTCCACATCCTCTCCAGCGTCTGTTGTTTTCTAACTTTTTAATGTTTGCCATTCTAACTGGTGTGAAATGGCTTTTGAACTTTTTACAGCCAATTTTCCTAAGAAAACAAAGACACAGTTTCTTGAAAAACAGAAGATACTTTTCCTAGACTTATCTCTTAGAGTGTCTTCTTCCAGAAATGAGAATGCTTAACAAATCTCATCAATACACTTCCCTGGACATACACCATCTTTGCAAAGAACTAATGGCAGTTAACTAATGTTAGTGTAACTCTTTGTTTCCCTACCCACAACATTTCCAGTTTTTTTTCCTCTTTCCCATAGTTTAGTTGCTTACCTAATTGCTGTTGTTGTAATTATTTAAAATTTCTGCCAAATGTCAAAAATCTAGAGCAGTCTGATTTTCCTAATGTCTTTCTGTATTAGTCAGGGTTCTCTAGAGGGATAGAACCCTGACTAGCACGTACATATTGGAGTTTATTAAGTAGTATTAACTCAAACAATCACAAGGTCCCACAATAGACAATCTACAAGCTGAGGGGCAAGGAAGCCAGCCCGAGTCTCAAAGGAAGGTAATCCTAGTCTCAAAGGTGAGAAATTTGGAGTTCAATGTTTTGGGGCAAGAAACATCCAGCATGGGAGAAAGATGTAGGCTGGGAGGCTAGGTCAGGCTAGTCTTTACACGTCTTTCTGCCTGCTTTATATGTGCCAGCAGATTATTAGATGGTGGCCACCCAGATTAACAGTGGGCCCGTCTTCCCAGCCCACTGACTCAAATGTTAATCTCCTTTGGTAACACCCTTACAGACACAAGCCGAATCAATACTTTGCATCCTTCAACCCAATCAAATTGACACTCTGTATTAACCATCACAAGTCCACCCCTTGTCAACTTGAATCCATACACATCTCTTGAGATCATATATACTCTTCCAATAAAGACAATAATAAGGTCCTAATTATGCCTAATATAATACAACTAACTATTCTTTGTACAACCAGAAACACACCAATCCTCAAGCCAAATGCTGTTAAACAAAGCTAACAATGCTTTAATTTTGATATGAACTCAATAAAGGTTATGTCATATAATGAAGGAAAAAGGAAATAAAATGAAGATAATTTATTAGTACAAGTGTATTCATGCACTAACATGTTTTTAACAAAATAAGGAGGAAATATTCATGACAGAGTGGGGCACTGCTGAGAAAATACCCGAAAATGTGGAAGCGACTTTGGAACTGGGTAACAAGCAGAAGTTGGAACAGTTTGGAGGGCTCAGAAGAAGACGGGAAAATTTGGGAAAGTTTGGGACTCCCTAGAGACTTGTCGAATGGCTTTGACCAAAATGCTGATAATAATATGGACAATGAAATCTTGGCTGAGGCTGTCTCAAATGGAGATAAGGAACCTGTTGGGAACAGGAGCAAAGGTGACTCTTGTTATGTTTTAGCAAAAAGAGTGGCAGCATTTTGACCCTGCCCTAGAGATTTTTGGAACATCAAACTTGAGAGCGATGATTTAGGTTATCTGGCAGAAAAACTTTCTAAGCAGTAAAGGATTCAAGAGGTGACTTGAGTGCTGTTAAAGGCATTCAGTTTTAAAATGTAAACTGCATAAAAGTTTGGAAAGTTTGTGGCCTGATGATGCAATAAAAAAGAAATCCCATTTGCTGAGGAGAAATTCAAGCCTGCTGCAGAAATTTGCCTAAGTGACTAGGAGCCAAATGTTAATCCCCAAGACAATGAGGAAAATGTCTCCAGGGCATTTCAGAGGTCTTCACAGCAGATCCTCACATCACAGGCCTAGAGTGCTAGGAGAAAAACTGGTTTTGTGGGCTGGGCCCAGGATCCCTGTGCTCTGTGCAGCCTAATGACTTGGTGTCCTGTGTCCCAGCTGCTCCAGCCATGGTTGAAAGGGGCCAATGTAGAGCTCAGGCCATGGCTTCAGAGGGTGCAAGCCCCAAGCCTTAACAGCTTCCACATGGTGTTGGGCCTGCAAGTGCACAGAAGTCAACAACTGAGGTTTGGGAACCTCCGCATAGATTTCAGATGCCTGGGTGTCCAAGTAGAATTTGCTGCAGTGGCACAGCACTCATGGGGAACCTGTGCTAGGGCAGTGTAGAAGGGAAATGTGAGGTTGGAGCCCCCACAGAGAGTCCCTACTAGGGCACTGCCTAGTGGAACTGTGAGAAAAGGGCCACTGTCATCCAGACCCCAGAATGATATAGCCACTGACAGCTTACACTGTGTGCCTGAAAAAGCTGCAGACGCTCAATGCAAACCTGTGAAAATAGCCAGGGGGCGATACCCTGCAAATCCCAGGGACAGAGCTGCTCCTGGCCATGGGAGCCCAACTCTTGCATCAATGTGACCTGAACGTGAGACATGAAGTCAAAGGAGATCATTTTGCGGCTTTAAGATGTGACTGCCCTGCTGGATTTTGGACTTGCATGGGGACTTTATGCCCTTTGTTTAGCCCAATTTCTCCCATTTGGAATGGTTGTCTTTACACAATGCCTGTACTCCCATTGTGTCTAGGAAATAACTAATTTTCTTTTCATTTTACAGGCTCAAGGCAGAAGGGACTTGTCTTGTCTTGGATGAGACTTTGGAACTGTGGACTTTTGAGTTAATGCTGAAATGAGTTAAGATTTTGGGGGACTATTGGGAAGGCTTGATTGGTTTTTCAATATGAGGACGTGAGATTTGGAAGGGGTTAGGTGCAGAATGATGTAATTTGGCTGTGTCCCCACCCAAATCTCATCTTGAATTCCCATGTGTTGTGGGAGGGACCCAGTGGGAGGTGATTGAATCATGGGGACAGGTCTTTACTGTGCTGTTCTCATGATAGTGAATAAGTCTCATGAGATCTGATGATTACATAAGGGAGAGTTTCCCTGAACAAGCTGTCTTCTCTTGTCTGCCACCATATGAGATGTGCCTTTCACCTTCTGCCATGATTGTGAGGCCTCCTCAGCCACATGAAACTGTAAGTCCGTGAAACCTTTTTTTCTTCACAATCTTGGGTATGTCTTTATCAGCAGTGTGAAAACAGACGAGTACACTTTCCAATTAGAATAAATATAAAACTATTTTCTCACCTACATTCTGGTGCTTTTATTCTAGGATATCTAACCAGTACAATGCCTGCATCTCCATTTCCCCCAGCAATAGTCTGGACCCTCCTACTGTTTGAATCAGGGAACTTTGACAAGGTTGTGAATGCCAGAGGTTCTTTGTTACCTCCTCTTCTCAATATTCTTTTATTCAGCCTCTGAAGTAAATCCTGCTCTGTATCTGAGCTTTGACTTGTTTTCTTTGATCACTGAAAAAGATCAATTAATTCTATTTTTCCTTGCTGATACCATTTATGGTTTATTTTTTCCTTTCTTTTATCTCTCAGAGCTCTTTAGTAAAGTGTAGGGTGAGATACAGCATTTGTGAGATCTGATTATTTGTTTTGCAGCTCCTTTAGAAATAATGGGCCAGATACAGTGGCTCATGCCTGTAATGTCAGCACTTCAGAGGCTGAGGCGGGTGGATCACCTGAGGTCAGGAGTTTGAGAGTAGCCTGGCCAGCATGGTGGAACCCTGTCTCTACTAAAAATACAAAAATTGGCCAGGCGTGGTGGTGGACACCTGTATTCCCAGCTACTTGGGAGGCTGAGGTTGGAGAAGCTCTTGAACCCAGGAGGCACAGATTGCAGTGAGTGGAGATTGCACCATTGCACTCCAGCCTGGGCGACAAGAGTGAAACTCCATCTCAAAAAAAAAAAAAAAAAAAAAAAAAGAAAGAAATAATGAAGCCCACACAATTTTCTAATGTCTTCTGGAACCTATCTAGTTTTACATATCCTCACTTGTCACGGAAATAATGGTATGAAATATTTTACCTTGGGTACAATATCACCAAGAAAAATGAAGAGCCATTATGATCTGACCACTTTGAGGACACTTTTGACATTAACAATTATCATACCTTAGACCAAAAAAAAACAAAAAGAAAGAAACGAACTTTCATGGGGAGATAGTTGTCCACCTAAAAGACTGTTTGTTATGAGAATTTCTCTTACTTCAGGTTCTACACTTTCTAGGTGAATAAAGAATGACTTTTTAATCTTGTGGTTTGATAAAATTGTCAAGGCCCTGGGACATTGTTTAACCTAGCTGTAATTGATTGTTCCTTTCTCCTTCTCCCACTTCCACTTTCCTTCCCTTTTATTCCCACTCTCTCTCTCTGTCATGCTTTTCCCCCTTTCCCTCCATATCTATATCTCTATATCACCTTTATTCTTCTTTCTATTTCTATCTTATATTCCTATTTCTTAGAAAACTGAAGATTAATCAAATTAAGGGCTGCCAATATTTGTACATGCTAGAAATGGTCAAGACAGTGTTAAAAATTTCTAAAAGGAGTAAGTAAAAATAAATAGTTTTGTTTTGATCTTTAAAAATGTTTGCTCTGCAAGAAATTGTTCATTCTAAAATTTCACTAAGAAATATAATTAAGTAATATCTTTGCTCATTGTAAGACCACTAGTTCTAAGATCAGATGACAAGGAGATATTTTAAACAATATTTAAATAATTAAAAATTAAAGACAAGAGTTAAAGCTCATAAATTTTGTTAGAAATTTTTATTTGATATCCATGATAAATAGAGGAATTTTTGATACTTTACAGTGAGGTAATTAATTTGACCAAAAATTATTATCTGTCTTCTCTTTCATTTAATTGTATATATCTAAACTCAACGTAATATTCTAGATTTTGAAGAAGTAGAATCAAACTCTATTTCTTTAAGAATTCTAAATGTGTATATGTTTTATGTTATCAAGTTATTGTTCTTAAAAATTAAAATGATAACAAAATTGTGTTTAATTGAATGAATTTGTAATTTGTAGATCTTTAGTTCACTTTAATATCATTACAAGTTTTAAATTTAATAAATTTATAAATATTTAAATAATTTTGATATGTAACTTCGTAACTAAATTAGTTCTACATTTTTAAATAATTAGAAAATCAGGTGATGTGCAAATGATTTTGGATAATGTTAGTTATGTGGGAGTTTTTGCCATTTTTAAATTTGGAAAGCTAATATGAAATGTGTGCTCCTGGAAAAAAACAGCTATATATTTATTGATTTCCTGTCTTCCACTTTTCTTTGGGTCAAGAGATAACAAGAGTTGGTCACTTTGGTTAAAGGTGATTATATAATGATTAACAATATGTTAGGTATAATAATTACAGGAACATATGAGTTTTCATACAAGGTAACAAATACCATATGTCAGTTTGTTTAGAGAATCGCTATATGTAAAATTATAAATTTAAATGTAATATGTGCATTATCTTATTTACTATGCAGATAAAGTTAATTAAACTAAATGTAAAACTCTAATTTTATTATTTATGTAGTTGTACATTTGTATATGTCTATCTACATATATAAGGTACTGTAAGATTATTTCAAAAGCTTATGAATAATAAAAATAAAATTTAAAAAACAATAAATATCTTAAAATTCTTAATAAAATCAACTCAATAACAAAAGTTCATTCATAAGGAAAATATTTAGTAATAAATTATTTCTTCAAGTTGTATGTGGATGGTATATAAAATGGGAAGAAATTGAATTTACATTTGTCTCTTGTGAGGCAACCAAGTTATTCTGTACCCAGACAACAAAAGTTTTTATTTTCAAAATATGTTAACTCTCTGTATTTCTCATAGTCTCTTGAATCATTTCAATGTTCCCCTATTTTTGAAAGAAAGGGTAATAATCAGTTTTACTAATTGTTTTTCAAATGTTGCCTTTAATTATTTACCAATCTTTAAAAATTATAATTTATTTTCAAGTATTTTCTCCTCTTTCAATTCTTAATCTTTCTTTTCTAAAACTCAATCCTCATACTCAGAATCAACATATTAAGAAGACTTTTTTTATGTCTCAATTTTTCTTTGAGACATAAGCTTTTTAACTAATCTTACCACACCTTATATATTTAGGTAGACATATACAAATGTACAACTACATAAATAAATAAATTTGCAGCTTTTACATTTAGCTTTAAGCTTAATGAATTTTATCTAGATAATAGTTATGACAATGTACACATTATATTTTAATTTATTAGTTACATAATTCAAACATTTGCTCCTTCACCTTATAAAAAGAAAGACAATTTTTTTAAAAAAGTTTATCTTTGCATTCACTAAATGCCAATTAGCTAAAAGCTATTATAAAAAAGTATTTCACTTACGAAATTTAGGATTAAAGAGAAAAAAATAGACACAGTAAAAGAGAAGTTTAGTCTTTATTGATTTACTATGTAAAATATGTATTATATTCCCTTTATGGCTCAAAAGCTATGTTCATACCATTTTAAAAGAAACATTTGCAAGAGTAATTCCTGATTCAGCAATTTTACTTCTGGGTGTACATCTAAAGGCAGTAAAATCACTATCTTGAAGAGCTATCTGCACTCCCATTTTTATTGCAGTACTATTTGTGATAGCCAAGATATGGAAAATAACCTAAATGCCTACTGATGGATTAATAAAGAAATTATTATATATATGTGTGTGTGTGTGTGTGTGTGTGTGTATGTGTTTGTGTGTGTATACATGTTTGCAATGAGATAGTATTCAGTTTTGAAAAAGAAGGCAATGCAGCCATTTGGAACAAGAGAGATGAACCTGGAGGATGTTATACCAAGTATATGTTAAATCTAAAAAAGTCTGTTTCATAAAAACAAAGAGTAGAGGGGTGGTTACCAAGAGTTGGCTGGGTGAGATGTTGGTCAAAGGGTAGAAACTTGCAGTTATAAGATAAGAAAGTTCCAGAAACCTGATGTACAGCATGTTCACTGCAGTTAATAAAAACGTATTGCATACTTGACATTCTCTAAGCAAGTAGATCCTAAGTATTCTCAGTGTGCACACACACACCCCCACACACCCCTCACAAAATGAAGCAACTATGTGAGGCAATAGGAATGTTAATTAGCTTGATCATGGAAATTATTTGACAACATATACAATATATATAAGCATTGTACGCCTTGAATAGATGTGTGTATACATATTTGCAATGAATATAATATGCCTTGAATAGATATAATTCTTACTTGTCAATTATGCCTCAATAAAGTGGGGAAAATAAGAATGAGCAAAAGAGAACACTGTCTATAATTTGATTTTGTTTTTTAGTTTCAACAACTTGTTGATTATGGAAAAAGAGTGAGGTACCCATCACTAGATGCTCTTTGCCCTGGCAGTTGGCTACTGTACTCACTGTTCATAAACTGTTCTTACTGCTGTAGTTGTCAAGGACTGCATACTTAATTAACATGCATTTCATAGCAGGAGGGCTTTCATTCTCTTCCGTTCTAATAATGCTTGCTCACATACTATATCAACAGCAATTATTCTTGGCCTGACGCCCCTTGCTCTTTCTCCATAGTGCAGTGCTTTGACATCAAGTAGCTACTCGTGGTTGTTGCTTGCAGACATTGACATTGAGAAGGAGATACGAACTTGAAAGTGTGTTTTCAGTTTCTGTGATGGACTTCTCCTGATACACACATTGTCATTTATTTCATTTCCCTGTTCTCCTTTTCAACAATTGTTAAAAGCTAGAAATTGTAATGATAAAATATGAATAAACATTTTTTCCTGTAAAAAGCTTAAGGCATTTTATATACTATTTCCAACCGTAACAAACCCTTTACAAGCCTCTTATCAGTTGTATGAATAAAAATCCATTTTGACTTTTTATTTATTAATTTTAAATGATCACTCAATTCAAACGCCTGAAATATTTTTTAAGAAAACTGATTACTAATCTTTTTAAAGCTATTGTGCTGGGATGAACCACTGCTCATGCAGTCGCTAGAGATTTAAAGGTCAGAGCTGCTGTTTGTGTTTGGCTCCCAAGAGCTGAACCATTTCACTTTATTTTTTTCCTGTAATTTTAGCTGTTGTAATTATGTGTTCCTTCTGAGTAAAGGGCAGAGTGGAACTTTCAACATATCAGGTACCTATCGCTACTAGTACAGCCCTCTAACTGAAGTAGGATGTTTTGTTTGTTTTTTTAAAAAAATATTTATTTAGAGTATGTGTATATGTGTGTGTTTGTGTGTGTGTGTTTCCCCTGTGGGGCCTTTCAACAATTCAACGTATCTATATTTGTTTCTTAATTATTTTTCTCCCTTCAGTTCCTTTCTCCTTCTCATCACATTAACTCAGATACAAAATAATATGTGCAATACGTTTAATTATTTCCTCAGTGGAAAATTTCTGCTCTATGATTTAATTTTTCAAGATATAGGAAAGTTAAAGGCATTTATTTTGTTTCTTAGAGAAAATTATATTGAGGAATGTATTTGGGGTCTTAATGGGAGAGATTTTTCTTCAGATCTGGAAGCCTATGGTAGTCTGAGAAATCACATAACAAACATCCAAGAAAAGCCAGATTTTAATGAATGATCTTGTGTCATTAAAAACCCCCAAAATGTAACACTTAGGCTCTGCATCTAAGACAAGCCCTTAACAAACCCTTGGGCTTGTTTTAAAAACTGTCATTTTGCAAAATACACTTGAGTTTTCTCATTGCTTCCCCAGTTTCTCCCTTTATTTCTTTCTGTGGTAGTCTTCTATGTGATTGAATACTTCAGTAGATGATGGTAAGCTTTTAATTATTTTCTGTAACATATTCAGCTTCTTGAAGTCATCATCTTCTATGCAGAAGGCACAAAGGAATGAGACAACCTTATAAGAAATTAGAAAGGTACTATATATTTAAAGTATCAGAGGGAATAATTCCTCCTCTCAAAAAAAAAAATAAATCTATCCCTAGGTACTGCCAACTTCAAATCCTGCATTTTCTCCAGTAAGCACATACTATCTATTTTTGTTTCTTTCAAAGGCCCTCACACTGCAGGGGCTCTGATATATTCAAATGAAACTTCTTGAAAATAATGCTTTGCACCTTTTCCCTGCTGTACCAGAGGCATATAGTCTCAGACGGATATATGAGTTGTGCACTAAGAGTCTGTAAGTTGGTTATGTTGAACTTGAAATAAATCTTCCCACTGAGGGGGTGAAAGAAAAAGTTCAATAAGATAGTTATGTCTCCAGGCCAGCTCATCAGAACAAAATGTAACTAAAGATGAAATTGTTTTGCTATTTTAGCTTGATGATCTTAAAACTACCTGCACATCAGAAATTTACCTTTGGTGCCTACTCAAATAAATAGATTTCTGAGTTACTGTAACCTGTAACCTCCATCTTACCCAAAATCAGCACAGTATATCTAGAGAAAGTTTTCCTACAACCTGACTAAAAAAATATAATAATAATAATAATAATAATAATTCCACAGTAACTTAATATTTTAATGTGAAATCAATTGTACGCACAGTGTGTATATTATGTCTAGAGCTAAAAGGAGGCTACAATGACTCCTATGCATTCCATTTAGCTTAAGAGAGTATTATTATTTCCTTGGAAAACTTCCTGTATGACTGTCCCCATCTTGTTTCTTTTCTTCTCACCTCATAAGGTAATACCAACTTGAATTTTGTTATAATTTTTCCCTTGATTTACTTGATGGCATTTCAATGCATACATATATTCATTTAGATGAATAGATATCTATTTTTAAAATTATATAAATGGAAGCATACTTCATGTGTTTTTCTATGACTTTATTCTTTCAGACAACATTGTATTTTTGAGATTAATGATATTTATGAACTTCAATTTATTCATGTTCAATACCGTACTTTACTTGATATATCAAAATGTATTAATTTAGTTTATTACTAACAGCTATTTGAGTTCATAACATTTGTATCCAAAAGCCACTGCTAGATTCTAAACTCTTTCTTTCAAATACTATAATTAATCTGCAGATTTTGTACATTATTTATATGGACGATTTTGCCAACAGTTAATGGCATTTTGATTTCTATTTTTCATTCATTTCCCATTTAATTGATTTCCCTTTATTATTACACTGACTAGGAACTTGTTTAATCCAAGTTTTCTAGAAAACACTCAAGCAGTAAGTATATGCTAATCTTTTATTTAAGTGGGATATAGTCCTAAAAGTGAAGGGAAAAATAAAAAGATAAGGCAGAAAAGTAATGACAATATAGTATGCTACCTAGCTGCTACCAAAATTAAACAAACAAAGACAAAACATATTGCTGTGGTATACAAGATATTTGTAGAGACACATAGCTAACCTCTGTGTCTTGGGGCATTCTATCAACAGGAGGAAGGGAGCAACATTTTTCTGCCAGTTCTCTGTCATGCTTTGTGTGTCATGTAGTTCTATAGGTCATTAACTCTCCTAAACTTTTTAAAAATTAACAAATAAGAGTTGGATATATTTATGGAGTGCAATGTGATATTTCAAAATGTGTTTACATTGAGGAACAATGAATCAAGCAAAGTAACATACCATCACTCTTAAATTTTTGAGTTGTGTTACCAGACATCTTAAGAAGCCTTGGGGGAAGCCAGATTTTCTGCCCTACACTCTGGTATTTCATATAAATCTAGGTAAAGCAGAGGGAGCCAGAACTTCCAAGGGTACAATCAGTTTGATCCTAGGTGTGAGATCTTCTGCACCTCTTGTCCAGGAATACTAAAAAGTCTAATCCTGGAAAAGACAATGGCAGCCAAGATAGTTAACAGACAAGAAGGTGGCCATGATCCACTGGCAAGCAGGGAAGGTGGGAAAGTGACACCAAAGAGGTGGGGGTGAGAGAAGATGAAACTGAGTGATTCTGGTAAAAATTGTGTTGAAAACATATGCCTAGAACAATTTTGAAACAGGAATCACAATGATTCCAGACATCTTTTTAGGTATTTTTCTCTGGCCTTAGGGGAGGGTTTGAATCCTTGCTGTAGATTTTGTATTTGTTTATATGTTTGTTTTTGCCCTTCTTCAGATTAAGAAAATTCCCATCTAGTTTTTTTGGTTATGGCTTTTGAAACTACAAATGAATACTGAATCACATCAAATGTGTTTTTAAAAAGCTATTTGG
Source organism: Homo sapiens (assembly GCF_000001405.40). Taxonomy (NCBI): domain Eukaryota; kingdom Metazoa; phylum Chordata; class Mammalia; order Primates; family Hominidae; genus Homo; species Homo sapiens. Next base: position 103,681,502 of record NC_000003.12, on the reverse strand, counting down.
ATAATCTTATGGTTTTTCTCCTGTTAAAATGTGATATATTAAAAGAGCAGTGTCTTTTAGTTTATCTTTTTCCTTTAGATTAATAAATATTATTAATATTTTGTTCAGAAATTGATGGTGTAAATGCGTTCTCTGTTTCATAATTTGCCGGCACTGGTTTCTCCGGCTTCACTGATGGAATCCAGATCTTCATCCTTCAGGTAGCTGAGCCCTCAGTTTTCTTGCCTTTGTTGGGCTTAGCCCAACTTGACAGGTCCTTTCAAACCGATGTGAGCCATTTATACTCTGCAAGTTTACTTTCTCAGAAAGAACTACACCATATCTCTAACACGTTCTCTTACTGCTTTGGTCGCATGATTGGTCCTTTTGCTCAGATTATAAACTCATGGAATGCAGAATATGTGCCGAAACATCAAGCCCTTCAATATTTAAACAAAATAATGAACTAATTTTAGGTGTGAAAAAATATGAAGATAAATTTGGGGATAGTGCAAGGCCTGAGGAGCAAATTACCTAGGTATAGGAAGAAAACCACTACTTGACCATTTCCTTAAAGGAGCAGAGTGGTGGCTTTTGGGTTGAAAGTGCAAGGATAAAATAGTAGATGAAGATTCTACCTGTGGTATAATTCTCAGGTTGGCAAAAGCATATTATTATGAGCTGCAAGCATGAAGGGTGGCATTAGCTTGTCTGTTTCTCATATTACTTTCTCCTTAAGTTCTGTCACTAAGATGTAGGTATTGGAGTTGGGAAGGTGAAGTGGAAAACTCTGTTGAGTGCCACAAATTGGAAAAAAAAAAAAAAGAAACTAAATTTGAGAGAGAAAAAGAGTTCCTCTAATGCTAAGCAGAAGGAGCAAATCCTCCTGCACATTTCTACACAAAGAACAATAAACAAACAGAGACAAACACAGGCTTAGTGATATTTTTCTCTCACTCATATGAAGCCTCTTTTTTCTCGTTGAGTATCTGTGTGTGTGTGTTTGTGTGTGTGCTTGTGTGTGTGCATGCATTAAGGATGTAAACTAACAACTTTCTCATCAAAAATTAAATTTTCAAACATATTTGGAAAAAAAATGTCATTGGTATGTCTTAACATCAAGATTTCAACTCATTGCCAGCAAGTGTTACCCATATTAACCTTTAGTTTAACTGTGATCAAGTGAAGAAATACGTCAGGGAATATACTACTTTCATGATTGTCTCTTTTTCTAGAGTAGAAAAAATAATCAAGAGAAATATGTAATGAGGAAATGATAATGCATGAAACTATCAGTGAATAAAGAAGTCATCTGGCAAATACTACATTTGAATGATAATGAAACAGGAAGAAGGATAAATACTAGATCAGATTTATTCAGATTACATTAAAGAAGGCTATTAGAAATTATTTTAAAAATCACATTACAGTTTATAATGACCAGTTTTACAATCTCTCCCTCTATTTCGTATAGGTAAATTTGTTATAATTCAATGAAGTGCCTTTGTTTTATGGCAATTTCATTTTCATCTGCTATATTTGGCTTTTAAATTAAAGAATTTGGATAATTTATATTGTACTGACATCTGGTGGACTTGGCCTTGATACAGCCAGGAAAAAGTAATGATTGGAAACATCCATTAAGGTCAATTGAACAATCCATGGTAGCCTCCAAGTCATACACTAAATCAAACAAGGATGAGAATGCTATTTTATGTTTGATCAACATCCCCTCACTTCATTTGAAGGGAAACAGCTCTTGGCCACATAATGAAGCTACTTTAATAGCAAACTCTTCTCCAATTGTCTCCATCTTTTTGAAATCCAAAAGGTATAGTATTTAAGATATTATCTTATGAGAAACCTGCTACTTTCTTATTTCTTGATTTCTAAAATTTTTTCATGGTGGTGTTTCTTCCACTCTGGACATACTTAGAAACCAAGTAGATAAATGATACACACACACACATACACACACGTGTATGTATGTGTGTATTTATATATATATGTATATCCTAAACACACATATATATGTGTGTGTGCATATACCTGTGTGTGTCTTTCCATATATATATATTCTTATATATATCCCTATATATATATATTCCTATGTATGTCTCCCAATATATCTATTTGCTGATATATACATCTCCCTATATATATATGTAAAATCCCAAAATATATATCCCCTATATGTATTCATATCCATATTTATATTTATATATAGCCATATATATATATTTATATATAGCCATATATATATATATATGTAGTAGGAAGCTCTTGCCAAACTACTTGAAAGCAATTCAAATATGCACGATATAAAGAAGGCTCACAAATTTCAAAATTATTGGATTGTATTTTATCCAGTTTGGTTTTTCCACTTGACTAAATTTAGTTAGCCAAAAGCAGCATGAGAAAATTACTTTTCTAAAAACAAAAATTTCCCCTACTTTTTTTTCTTTGTTAGACTGCTGGGATCTACCTCTCGTATCCATTAGAACTAGAGGGACTCAAAATCAGTGAAATGCATCTCCAAAGCTTTAGTATTTAAAAAGGCCTTTACTATTTTATGCTATCCCACCCCAAAAGGATTTCATTTGTTGTTTGCAAGTTGTAGAGGAAGAAAAGGGCATAATTTCTGAATAATAATAAAAAGTAAAATTAGAACCATTATATATGATTTTTCAATAATGTCAGTACTTCATTATAATTGAATTATCAGTCCATGACACTGCTGTCAAAATTATGGATAAGAAACCTGTTAACATATTTTATTTAGGCTGTTTCACTGGACCCATTCTCTCTGCTTGTGTGGAATGAAGATAATGGCTTCTTGTACATTAAACTCCTCAACACACATAGGTACTTAGAACAAGAGTATAATTGTGATTATTCTGATGTTGGAAAATGCAAAATTACTGAGTCAAAAAATTGTTTATTAAAATCTATATCACAAAATTGACAAGGTAATTCATATCACAATATCTTTTAATCTTAATTCCAAATAATATTTAAAACTAAGTTTTTATTTTTGGGAAATTATCTAGCACGTCCTCACCAGAGCACAGGTATAATTCACAAAGATGAGAAAAGAGAATCAATAGTTCCCTGTCTACAAGAGATTTATGAGGGAAATATTTAATTTAATTGAGTGAGCTTACTTAAGTGGGGATTTAGCCCATGAAATCATCCACTGTTTGCAAAGTGTTACAAACTTAAAAATTTATGTATATGTATTTATACATGATCTATATATGGATATAAATGTAGCCTGGTTCATACATAAACCATTAATTTGGAAACTGTTCAGTTAATTTCATTAATGAAAATGTCATTTTGAGCTAAATAAGTTAGTTTGAGCATATAGGTAGATTATATTAATCAGGTAATTACAAATTTGCTCAATCATTTTTTGCAGATACAACTTTGTATATTAATATACTGATGCAAACCCTACATTTTATTTTATCTCATAGTATCTGTTCAAAGCTGCAATACTATTTGTCTTTCCTGAAATTGCCATTTTATTGTTTTATTGCTTTCTATTCCAATGCTTCCAGATATAATTGTGACAATTTTCTTCCTTCTCATTTATATTATTCAATTCTCATGAAAAATCCTATTATTATGCTGCTTTTTCTGCCTTTTATGCTCAAAAATGAATATTGAGATATTATGTGCAGTGTTTTTCTTAGGAAAAAGAAATTTAGTGAGTACTTTTCAAAAGCTATCCCAGGACACTTACCATAAGTTAGTGAAAGAAAAAAAGGAACTTTAGGCATCATTGTTTAGCTCTTCTTAAACAATCAAACTATATCTATCTATGTGTCTATCTATCTGCCTGTCATCTATCTAGGTACATACACATATACAGTTATGTGTGTGTACATATATAACTACATATATATATATATATGTAGTTATATTGTTATGTATTTGTATTGTTGTGGTTGTTAGGACTGAAGGCACCAGTTCCTGTTAGCATTTGTGAATAAAAATATTATTATGTATGCCTTCACTAATAATTTCCCTAGAGGAAAAATGATGCATGCCAAATACATTGTCAGTTTGAACAGTTATGTTTATTACTCAAGATACACTGTGTAATGCATCCATGTTAACTGGCATCAGTGACTCCATCTTCACAAACTGCAAAAACCTGTGTAACTTGGACAAAGAGTCTTCACTCTGAAGGGCTTATATATCACTGAAAAAAAAACTTTTTCAGAGGCTCATAGAACATTGTTTTACTCTGCAATTGAAGAATTTGTGATTTAGCAAAGTGAATTATCTAAAGGCAAATGAATAGTGATAGAGCGACTTCCAGAACATAGTTGGTATACTTTAAATTTTTTAAACCATGGAATGCCTTTATATCATTAATTTATTCCTAAACGTGGATATCCAGGGTTAAGTATCATCACTTAAGGCAATTTACTGAAAAATACGGTCAGTTGCAAAAACAAACAAGCACTATAACAAAACAAGCAAGTGACAGTAGTTACGAATGACTTCTGCTTACAGTACAAATTCAAGGATCCTTATGTCATTGACTTTTTTTTAGAAGTAAAGATAAAGAAGAGACTTATTACACCTTTATAGGCAGAAGCAGAATAAAACCAGGTATCAGTAGAAGGATAGTAAAAAGATGATTTGAAAGCTCAAAATATAATCACAAGGTTTTTACCACACAGTAATCACATAAATTTAGGTGTGAAAATTGAAAATATAAAGAATATAGTATTTATCAGAAAATTACCAAAATTTTTTCCTGTTATGCACTGTATCACAGCATATACTGTATTGAATATCATTGTTAATAAATCAACAAGGAAACTAAGTTTCCTGAAATTGCATTTAATATTAATACCGTGTTCTGACTACCATAGCTGGAGCATGATGTTACAACACCATCAACCTGTGAACTCTCCAGGTAATTATCCAGCCACTTGATCAATGTAATGGCTAAACTTGGTGAAGTAGGTTGAAGGTTATGTTGTTCAATGTGAATTATCTAGTTTTGCTCTACTAGCAAAGTACTTTCCTCTTCCACTTAGCTGCAGCCTGGCTCCTAAATGGAAATATGTACAAAATAATTATTGGCTTATATTCCTATTTCTAACCAGCACAAATATAGCATCCAGGTTGCATCACTTGACCTTTTTGTACTCATATATACCTGCTTTTATATTAATGCATCATCTGGATTTAATTATAACGGGCCTAACTCCATTGTAACGAAGATGTCTGCTTCAGGTATTGAGTTGGAAGAATAAAATCTGAGGTGTCAGGACTATCTGTAAAATCCATTTTAAACCTTTCAGCTGTGTTTATATGAAAATCTGATCACTGAGATTGGACATTGAAATAAGTGACTATGATGAACTGATTTAAAGGCAAGATCAGATATTCAAATCAAACGATTTACATTTTTTAGGTCATGCAAATAAAAAAATGTTTTCTACCATAGACAAGGTAAAACATACCATTCAATTTTTTAAACATTCAAGCCCAGTGCAAAGCATTGCCTAACTGACAAGCACAGGACATAATATTCAAAAGCATCTTGGATTTCATCATAGCTTCAATTTTGACATATTGGATAATCTATATAACTTTTCTGAAATTTGGTTTTCTCCTCTGGAAAACAGAAGTGCCAATGTCTCTTGACCTTCTATTCAGGTTTCTCCAATAATCAAATATGGTAATCACATTAATTATCTATTGATACCTAACAAGTTACCACAAACTTAGTGGCTTAACAGAATACACATTATTTTGTAGATACTGTAGGTCAGGAATCTAGGCATGGCTAAGCTGGATCTTCTGCTTCAGGGTCTTTCAAAAGGCTACAATCAAAGCACAATTTAGCACTGGGGTCTAATTTGAAGATTCAGATGGGAAAGGATATGCTTCCAAGCTGATGTGGTTGTTGATGGGATTCTGGTCCTCCTGGGTTGTTGCACAGAGGACCTCAGTTCCTGACCACTTGTTGACAGGAGGCTGCCCTCAGTTTCTTGCCAGATGGGCCTCTCCATATGGCAGTTGAGCAAAGCCAGCAAGGGATAGAGTCTGTTAGCAAGACAGAAATCACAATCCCTTGTAGCCTAATCACAGAAGTAACATCCCATCACCTTTGCTATAACATATTAATTAGAAGCAATTTGCTAGGCAAGCCACAGAGGAGACTGTGATCACTGGGGCTGTCTTTCTGCCGTAGGAATCTAAGAGTACCTGGTAAGCTTTTAAGAACACAAAAATGTAAACTTTTAAGTTGCATATCTGAAAAGTAAAAAATATCTCTGCCAAAGCATGTGTTTAATGGCAAGAAAAGCTCTAAATGCCCAAATTTCTGATATTTCCCCTACTGAAGTTACTTTTTCATTAATCTGTACATTCTTAACATTCATAGCTAAGAAACACTATCACGTACTGTCTATTCCCAGCCAAATTACTAAACTCAAAGTTTTAGCCTTCTCATCTGTAATAGTTCACTGTGGATGATTATTAACTAACATAAAATTAAGTGGCCAGGCATGGTGGCTCATGCCTGTAATCCCAGCATTTTGGGAGGCCGAGGTGGGCAAATCACTTGAAGTCAGGAGTTCGAGATCAGCCTGGCCAACAGGGTGAAACCCTGTCTCTACTAAAAATACAAAAATTAGCTGGGTGTGGTGGCTGGTGCCTGTAATCTCAGCTACTCAGGAGGTTGAGTCATGGGAATTGCTTGAACCCATGAGGCAGAAGTTGCAGTGAGCAAAGATCGCACCACTGCACTGTCCAGCTTGAGTAACATAATAAGACTCTGTCTCAAAAAAAAAAGTTAAGTAATGAGTACTATTAAAAACATTTTAATTATATTTTAATAGTAGAGTTAATGTTATAAGTATAATATTGTTGCTATTGCCTTACATGTTCGTCATCATAGACTAAGATTTATAACAGCAAAAGATATTAAATCATTTATATTTCTCCACTTTTAAGCCTAAATTCTCTTTCTGCTTTCATGTTTAATTGCACTTTGACATTCGATATGAGGATGAGAAATTATCTAATACATTACATATTTTTGAAATTTGAAGAAGTATTGAGTATAAAAGTAATTTTTTTGTTATTAGTGGAGCTCATCACAGGCTAGTTTATTATTAGCCAGAACTGCCAACTGAGAGGCCTCTAGAATGAACTCTTCTGCTTCCAGCCAATCCATGCTTTTGTGTAAATCATGCTTCAACGTTGTGTCTAGCTGGACCACCACCTTTAGGAATTGAAGAACACTCTAGCCCCACCAACCTCCTTTCTTTATGAATTTTAAATGTAACTATAGCCTGTTCTACACAATTTAATATCTAAATATGTGATATCTATTTTTTCTACATTTAAAGGGCAAACTCTTTCAAGGTATGCTCATGAGTATTTTGTATTTATAATTTTCTCCACTACTTACCACAATGATAATAAAAGTAGGCAGTAAATAAGTATTTATGGACTTTATTACTAACAATCTAAATGTAGTTAGTAGTTAAAAACAAAACAAAATTTAAACTTGGATTAAACACTATAGGAATTGATGGAGTCATCTCACTGAGAAGTCCAGAAGTTGGGCAGGCTTCAGGATTTGTTAGTCCAGAAGACTCGATGAGGAAATCAAAGACTTGATTTTCCTTTTCAAGCATTTCTAGAAAGACTTCTCAAATTCATGTTGACATTAGTGTTAATTAGGTTATATCCCCAACATAGACAAATATTGTAGGTGAGAGAGAGTGTGTGTGTATGTGTGTGTGTGTGTGTGTATATATATATATATAAATACATATTTGATTAAACTTTATCCATATATGTAATATATTCTTTATTTTATTTTATTTTATTTTAATCAATTTTAATTTAAATAGCCAGGCATGGCTAGTAGCTACTATATTGCACAGTGCAGGTTTAAAGCTTATAGGCTCCATGGAAAAGAAAAAGACACTCATAAAAAACAAAGAATACTCAAGAGGTACAATGGGGAAAATAGATCATAGATAGACAAAAAATAATACTCAGTACATAAACTAAAAATAGGTTGTTTCAAACAACTTGAGAGCTAATTCATGGTATACTTGAAAACACTTAAGTTATTAACCTGTAGCCACAATATTCTGTAGCTAATGCTTTCATAAATAGATTATAACAGTACATGTCATCTCTATTTTCATGTAAAAGCCAGGATCTTACAATACTACCCAGTCAAACATAAATTAACCAAAACATGAGGTACTTAACCTCTGCCCCTATAGCTAAGTAAATCTAGCATAGTAAAATAAATAAAATGTTATTAATTATTTGGTAAATATTAAGAAAGAAAATCAGCTCCCAAAAGTCGGCTTTCTGGATTTGTCTATGTTCATCAAATGAGCCTGATAAAAGTGAAATTGTCCTTTTGCTTTGTACTATATTTCAGAAGTCCTGGGGATTATACGCTGCTTGAAGAGAAAAACTATTTTGATTTGCATGCACGTGTTCAATTTTTGTGCTGTATTTATTAGAAAAGTAACACGTATAAATTTGCCTTGGTGGCACAGTGGCTGTGAAAGGTAACTGAATTATTTGGCTTAGAACTATTAATGATTAAAAATGTCAACCTTAATGTTGCATTAATGTAATATTTAAATTTAACTCTTTAAAAAATTTAATCTTGGCATCATGTAGATTGGCAAGTTCAGGAGCAAATGGATCACTAGGAATTTTAAAAAATCTGCTTTTGACAGATTGCACAATGCTTTTCTAGTATATGTTGAATTTTCTAGTATATGTTGAATTTCTCCCTTAATCTCCAAATTGACATATATTGTACTGAAAATGGAGCTTGATTCCCACAGTTTTCTTGAAATAAGCACCATTTTAGTTCTGCACGGTACAATGACTATAAAATATGTATAAGAAGCAGATAATGACACTCAGTCTTAGTTTTGGTTTCTGTTGTAGCTGAATTGAATCATTGCCCTAGAGGCGCCTGGGTGCAGCTTCCACTACAACATTCAGCTCCTTGCACTTCAAAGGTAATTGTATCATAGAGTTTTACTCTCTAGACATCATGATCAGAAATACAAGCTGATAAATGTGAACATAACTTGCTGAGCTGAATCAACAGATACATTTTTGGGTTATATGAGATTGAAAAGATTTCAAAGTTAAGATTGCATCTGTTCCAAATAAACCCTGCCAACCAGGTTTCCACACACAAAAAGATAGTAACTAGTGCAAGATGTAATTTAGATTTGCTTACTTAGGTCCATTCTTTAAAAATTAGTTTTGAAATATCCTATAAGCCCTGGTAAAAATATTTCTAACCGTTGAGTGAAGACAAAATTATTGTAGTAGCGGTCTTCTGCATGTTATAGATTGGCAATAGGTGGTTGTTAAAAAAATGAATTTTCTTTTGTTAAGAGTTCAATCTCTGCTTCTTTATTAGAAGTCTTTAATAGTACTTAATATTATAAAATAGCTGCACACTGTACTAAGGTTTGATTATTTCCATTAGTGTGCTCATCACTATGGAGAATAAAACAAGTAAAAGCCAGGGTCCCTAACCTCTAGTTGTTTATTGTGGGCCAAGGCAATTATTTAGTTTCACAAAAACGTTCTCTGCATCCTCTTCACCCTCTTAAAATATCCTACATTTTCTCATCTTACTCAATGGGCAATGTGAAAAGAACAGTCTCAGACTGCCTCAGCTGTATTCCTAAATCCAACACCTATCAACCTTAGTAAGCATGAAAGAATTGCTATGTTAAGGTTGGCTGCAAATACTTAAAGAAGTCCCAAATGAAGAAGAACACTGACAATATAGATTATTGTGGGAATCTCAAGGCCTATAGAATTCTTAAGCAGAAGGAAAGTTAGAAGTTCATATGGCAAACAAGTGAGGAATTTAAGTTCAAAAGTAAGTTCAAATAGAGTAAATATCTTGCTCCAAGTTACCCACTGACTCAGTGGCAGCCCCAGGAATAGATATATAATCTCTGTTATATGTATATATATGTTATATGTAATCACCTGTTACCAAGCCCAACATTCACTTTACCTCAATTAGAGTGTCTCAATGTAGAATTAAATTTTAAAGCAGACCTAGAAAAAAAAGTATTTATTTTCTCATTATCATGTGCCAAAATTGATAAGAAAATGGCCTCTCACACAGATATGAATACATTTTATTAAAAGTAGCCACTTTATTGAAAATGTTATTAATTTTTATGAAATTTTTCTTCATTGAAGCCTCATCAAAATTCTTTTTTTTCCTGCTCAGTTGTGCTTTCCTATTCTTCACAGATATTCCTGAAAGTGTTCCCAATATACCTCCCATATGCAAGTCTCAAAGTCTTAGATTCTACTTTCCATAGAATCTGACCCACAAATTCCTACCATTTTATTAAAAATGGCCTCAATTAAACTGCACTAACTGCAGTCCAGCTGAGCTGCCAATAGATGTTTTTGCTGGAAGAGTTCTAGTGGGTCAGCTGAACCAAATGCCTAGTGAAGCTTGATCTGAATCCAGCTCACTGCTTTCACATCATATTTTAGCCACTTTGAGTGTAAATTCATTGAGGCAGGGGCCATGCATCACTTGTTTTATCTTGTACATCTATGCCAGATAGAGTACTGGCATATATTAGGTGCTCACTGAATATGGGTTGAGTATAGTTTAATGAATCTATATCATCACCGCAGTGATTTTAAATGAATTGTTTTGCTGTTTTCCTATTTTCTGTCCTACTCAATGTGATCAGCTGGGATGTATCATGACGTAAAATTTCAGAATTAAAAGTTTCTGGATTTTCTCTTGGTCAGGATAGATGTATAACCCACCACTTGCGGGATTAAAGATGTAAAAGCTTATCTCTTATTACGAATGAAAAATCTGCATTGAAGAGATTGCATAAATTTACAAAATTATGAAATAGCTGAAGATAAAAGGAGGATTAAACTGATATCATTTGCACTCTGATTTCTTTACTTAGATGTCATTAGCCACATTGGCAAACATGCTGCAATGCGGAACCTGGCCCAAGTTCCAGAGTGAAGCCCTCAGTAAATATGTATAAATTAATTGATTGAAAATATACTCAATGTAATTTACCTTGATGGCCTAAACATTTTTCAGAGCAAGTATACCGCAAAAATAGATTTTGCAACTTCTAATTTTTCACCTTTTGTTCTTCCTCTCTTCACTCTTTTTGTAACTACCCAATTCTCTAAAATTGTCTACCACCTTGTGAACTTTTCAAGTGTATATAGCATCCAATAATTAAACATTATTTACTTTCTCAATTGAGCTTTTTCTATTCATCACAGCTGAAGATTTTTCTATCTCCTCTCATACCATAAAACTTACTGCCTTATTCCATGTATTTAGCACCTATTATTATGCTCCTGGATTATTAAATAACATTTTCATATGTATGTGACAAAATTTCTTCACAACCCTTGAAACAATTGCCACAGATTTTTATTTAATCCCAAGGCAGGTTAAGTTATTGTTGATTATAGCTAGTGTAAGAATTTTTAAAGTATAAACCTATAATTACAGGTAATTATAATCTTTATGCAGGTGATTCGGATTATCTTAAGAATTAGAAAATAGAGGTCATTTATATCCATATTTGGATAAGTATGGTTGAGTAAAAAGTAAACTAGACTAAAGGTGAAAAAACTCAGGTTTTAATATCTAATTATATTTGTGATATTGGACATTGTTTGAGTATCTATTTATCTGAGAATACCAAGATAAAAGACAGTTGTGAGAACAAGATAAAGTTAGCTATCATAAAATGCAGTGCTATATTTGCACAGAAAAAGGAAGGGGCACCTAACTTACTATTTTTAAAATGTGAACTGGAATAAAATACCTGAACTAAGTCCTGAAGAACAGAAGAAATGAGCCAGGGGAATATTGGGAGGCAAAAACATTTTAACTAAAGATGTGTGTTATCAATGGCCTGGTGGCATGAAAAGGAAGGACGGTTCAGAGAATTGCATATATTTGCATAGCCAGGTTAGGCTAGCACACTTGGGTAAAATACCAAAGAAATCTGATTTCATTTTATAGACTATAGGGAGTAATCCAAGACTTTAAACTCTATTTAAACATTCTATTCTGAAGTCTGTTTGAGCTATTATAATATAAATACTGACATAAATGGGAAGATTTAGGGAAAATGATAATTGGAAGTAGTTCAGAGATAACTAAAGGAATATTTGGCTACAAAATCCTCTTCAAAACTAGGAAGGGAAAATCTCCTCACCAAACTGTGGGACAAGTGCCTTCATCACTCTTCTGTTTTTTTTTTTGTTTGTTTGTTTTTTGTTTTGTTTTGTTTTTTGTCACTGAAACCCCAAACTCCTGGGATCCAGGGTTCCTCCTGTGTCTGCCTTCTGAGTAGCTGGGACTCCTGAGTAGCTGGGACTACAGATGCGTGCCTCAAAGCTGGGTTAATGTTTTAAATTTTTAGCAGAGATGGGGTCTTGCTATAAACTCCTGGCCAAGGAATCCTCCTGCCTCATCCTCACAAAATCCTGGGATTTCAGGCATGGCCACCACTTCCGGCAAAATAAATTTTTAAAAGACTTTCTTTCTTGCTCTAAAAGGGAGATGCTACACAGCTCAAAATTTCTAAACATTTCAAACTCTCCAGGTCTGCTCTCTCATCTGTGGAGAGAGACATTCACCTGGGGAGTCTGGATTAGATTTCTGATTTGCAGAGCTTGTTTTATTTTTTTATACGTAGTGGGCTATATTTTACTTGTTTTATTTTTAGTCCTTGATTTGCAGAGCTTGTTTTATTCATTTACCTGTCTTGGGCTATATATGAAGAAATAAATGTGTTGATTCCAAATATAACTTATTTTGTTCTTAGTCCTTGGCAGTGATAAAACATTCACAATTGTCCACTTCTTGGAGTATGATTTGCTTTGTGATAATCTCTTCTATAGCATAGTTTCCAGGACTCTATCATAAAAAGTAAGGATATTTAGTGAAATATACAATTTAATTTTAATTTCTAATTATTTACCCTCTTGCCTGATTTCTAGACAACTTATTAGGAGCTATTCTTGTGGACACAACAATGGATAAATAATGAGGTCATACTCTAAGTTAGATCATATTGTCTCCAATACTTAATTTGTATTTCTCACAATGCCTAACATAATAATGGGCTCTTATTAATATCACTTTTTTAAATATTTTGCTGAATGTCTATTATGTTCCAGTTGATTTGATAAGGTGATTTAGCCTCTGCAACAATTCTATATGACTATAATATTCCCATTTTGCAGGAAAATCAACCATGTCTTAGAAACCACTCAAATGACATAAGTTCAACTACTAAATCAAGACTTGAAAAGAACAGTAGCTTAAATAAGAGATGGGATTATATAACATTCTCGAAATCAGAATAGACACCCAAGGGTAAGCAGGGTGGCTCCAGGGTATTGGTGATATAGGCTACTTCTTTTTCTCCACATGTCCAAAGATGACCCAGCACCATATTCACTGGGTCCAAATTTTGAAAAGCATGATAGAGGAAAGACATGAAGGGCACATGCTTTCCTGTGAAGAAAACTCGGAAGTTGCATACATCGCTCTTACTCATTCCATTGGCTAGGACTTAGCCACAGAACTATACCTAGATATGAAGGATGTTGGGAAATGTCATTTTTAGCTGTCGGGAAATGTCATTTTTAGCTGGCAGGAAATTATGTTTGATGTTAAAAAGCAGTCTGAGCTATGTATTTGTGGAGTAATCATTTAAAACTTTCCATCTTAGTCCAAGGGCTATGCCCTAAATCAGGGGCCAAAACTTATTATTGTAAATAATGTTTCTTATTATTGTAAATAATAATAAGCTGCTTATTATTGTAAATAATGTAATGGAACTCAGTCACACCTGTTCATTTATGTATTATCTATAACTACTTTCTCTATACAGAAGCATACTTGAGTAGTTACATCAGAGACTGTGTGGTCCACAAAGCCTAAGATATTTACCTTCTGGCCATTTACAGAAAACATTTGCCTAATCTCTGGGCTAACTAATCTTGTTTGGTTCCCTTTGTTTGGTTCTCACTCTCACACCTATTGAATCTCCACCTTTTATGAGTGTATGACATTGCCCTATGCTTTGGATATGGGAGATTCTGACCATTATAAGCTCCATGGCCATGCTTATGTAGTTTCCTATAGGATCTGGCCAATGGAATAAATTGGTGAGATCAAAGTGCTGGAGAAGAGGAAGGTGTAAATATTTCTTTTTTCCACAAACTGAATGCGTTGTTGCCATGGTTCTGAGTGCAGTTGTATTTGCCTACAGCAATAGTTCAGGTGAGGCACTGCCCCTTCTGTGTTTTCAGCTCACTCAAGGCTCCAGTCATACCATAATTCTCCCTTTCCTCATCAGACCTGGGAGTGTATTCTGTTCCCATTGTTGCTAAACCTTGAATGCATTCACTCGGTTTCCCTCAATAGCTTCTCTCCAAAATCATTTTCTCCTTCGCTGATACCATGATTGACAGTCATATCTCTTCCAGATGACGATTCTTTTAAGTCTTTGGGTATGATAATATGTATTTTCTTAAATAAAAGTAATAATGAAAGTAAGAAGGCTGGGCGCGATGGCTCATGCCTGTAATCCCAGCACTTTTGGAGGCCAAGGCAAGTGGATCACTTGAGGTCAGGAGTTTGAGACCAGACTGGCCAACATGGTGAGACTTCGTCTCTATTAAAAATACAAAAATTAGCTGGCCCTAGTGGTGTATGCCTGTAATACCAGCTACTCGGGAGGCTGAGGTAGGAGAATCCCTTGAATGCGGGAGGCAAAGGTTGCAATGAGCAGAGATTGTGCCACTGCACTCTAGCCTGGGTACAGAGAGAGACCCCATCTCACAAAAAAAAAAAAAAAAAAAGAAAGAAAGAAAAGAAAAGAAGTAGAGCAGAACAACTTAAAATGCTTGAAAGAAAGATATCAATCTACCGTGGATCACACTGGCATGACCCGAGGCAGGCAGATCACAAGGTCAGGAGATCGAGACCATCCTGGCTAACATGGTAAAACTCCATCTCTATTAAAAATACAAAAAATTAGCTGGGCTTGGTGGCACGTGCCTGTAGTCCTAGCTATTTGGGAGGCTGAGGCAGGAGAATTGCTTGAACTTGGGAGGCAGAGGTTGCAGTGAGCCGAGATCACACAACTGCACTCCAGCTTGGGCAACAGAGCAAGACTCCATCTCAAAAAATTAAAATAAATAAATAAATAAATAAAAAGTCGAAGTGAAGGTAAAAGTTTGGATCAGAGAGGCACAACAATGGAATCAAAAGGCAGGACAGATTTGGAGTGTGAAAAGGAATCAACCTACCATTGCCAGCTATTAAGATTCAGGAAGAAGGTCATGTGTAAAGGCATGTGGACAACCTCTAAAATCTGGGAACACCAGCAAAATAATGGGGACGTCAGTCCTACAACTGCAAAGAACTAATTATCAATGACCTAAATGAGCAAGAAAATGGATTCTTCCCTGGTGCCTCCAGAAGGAATGCAGACTGGTGAGACATATGCTAGACTTCTAACCTAAAGAACTATAAGATAATAAATAAAGTTTTAAGTCATTAACTTTATGGTAATTTGTTACCGTGGTGATACAAAACTAATACAAAATTATTCCACTTATATTGAATATTCATGAAACTTCCATTAAGAAATTTTATATAGACAAAAAAGAGCCATCAGGTTTATTTACCATTTATTCTATAATAGATGATTTGAAAACACTTTAAAATGGATGAGTATAGATAGTTTACGTTCAAATCAGTGTTAAAAGCGGGTGAGTATAGATAGGTTACATTCAAATCAAAGTGTTATTGAAATGGCCATATTTGTGATGAGCAAATATAGAACATCAGAAACATGGGATGATGGGAAAAGGTAAGAAAAACAGTGCAATCAATGGGTAATGGAGTCGGGCTGATGGAAAGCAGAAGATAATGATTAATGCAAAATCAGGACAAGTTGGAAGTAATGCAAATTGATGAGTGAAAGCAAATCAATTAAAATGGAAATTTAAAATAAGAACAAAGGAATAGAGAAAGGATAGAGGAATAAAAAAGGAAGGAAAAATGAAGGTAAAGGTAGAAGAAAGGTAAAAAGTTAGAAGATGAAAGGTAGAAGAAGCATACCTAATAAAGGAGAATCTCTTTTGTAAAAAACACCTAAAAAACCAATGCTTAATTCCAGATACCCGATATCTGATCATTTATATACAGAGTCTGGAATCCTCCCTTTGTAGATTTACTTGTTTATCAAGAATGCAAGAGGCCAGCTACTCTTGACTCCTATCCCTTCATTCTGTCTCAAATTTTGCATCCATACTCCAAATTCTCTTTGTTCATTCTTCTACAAACTATTACCTTCCACTTGCATCTTTTTTTTTTCTGGAGGATTTACATTTCAGATTTTGTAGCCTCACTTTACCATGTGACTTTTTCTTACTCACATTTTTTTTTTAATTTAGATGTTTGATTTTATCCTGACAACAATCAACTTGTGTCAGGCATGGATCCAAGATTACCAGGCAGCAAGGGCATGAAAGCGAAAACCAGAGATGAGGGCAAATTGGGGTAGCATGAGACATCAATCATTTGTGTGGAAAGATAATTGCAGGTGCTTCATTTCTTGGATTCTCACCTCTTGGAGCAATAAAACACAACAAAATGCACTGTCTGGGAAGGAGGATAAATAAGAGTGACTCATTTCAGTGGAGAAGGAAAGCAGAGTGCATTGATGATTGTAGCTATGTTATTTGGACAAGTACTAGAATTGTGAGGACATATTTTCAGTTGGAATTAAGTTCAATTTAGGTCTTATTATTTTACAAATATTTTGAGGCTGATTAGCTCTAAGTAAATAATCTAATAAGTAAAACTTATTTTTGCTATCACCTTCTGAATGGGTTAGTAATTTAGAAAACCATGCATAATTTGAGCAGATCCTGTATAAACAGCTATTTGCATATCGAGGATAGTACTTTAATAGTTGATCCATTTTATGCTCTAAATCATGATCAATACTTGGAGTTAGACTGCATTTATTTTATCTTCCTGTTTATACTGACATATTTGGGACCTCTGATTACATGTATATTTTGCACATGTAACTCAAACATGTCTGTTTAAGTCTCTTGGGAAATTATTTACTTTTTTAAAGACCTTGAAAAAAATCCTTCAGTATGAAACAGACTTGCATTTTTTCTTTTCTGTTTTTTTTTTTCTTACTCTGGTAATATATACATAAAATAAAATTTACCTTTTTAACAATCTTAGGTGTACAGTTTAGTAGCAGGAAATATATTCACATTGTTGTGCAATCAATGTTACCATTGATCTTCAGAACATTTTTATATTCCCAAACTGAAACTCTATACCCACTGCACAATAGTTACTCATACCTGCTTCACCCAGCCCCTGGCATTCACCATTCTACTTTCTTTCTCTATGAATTTCAGGTTCTCTAGGCATTTCACATACACTGAATTTTACAATATTTGTCTTTTTATGTCTGATTTGTTTCCCTTAGCAAAATTTCTTCAAGATTCAACCATGTTTTAGCATGTGTCAGAATTTCATTACTTTCAAGGTTAAATAATATTCCATTGTATGTATATAGCACATTAGGTTTATCTATTCATTTGTCAATAGACATTTGAGTTATTTTCACCTTCCAGCTGTTGTCAATAATGCTGCTATGAATGTGAATATACAAATATCTGTTCAAGTCCCTGCTTTCAATTATTTTAGTCATAGAGCCATAAGTGGACTTGCTGGATCATACAGTAATTCGGTGTTTAATTTTTGAGATAACTCTGTACTGATTTTCACCAAGACTGCACCATTTTACATTTGACCAGCAATGCACAAGGGTTTCAATTTTCCCGCAATATTGCCAACTTTTGTTATTTTCTGATGTTTTTGGTAATAGCTATCTTATTGGTTATAAAGTGGTATCTCAATGTAGTTTCAGGGTTGCATTTTTTAGGAGTACAAAGATGATCAATTGTATTTCCAATCTAAGAGTTCCCCTGTGGAATTCACAAGGTGAGGGGTGCAGGTCACCTGATGAGGTACAGAAACAAGATAACATATACTAAGAGCCAGTTGCAGCTTTGCTGGAGGTGTTTCATCTGGTGATTATTATTAGCTTTATAGCCTGCAGCTTCTTAAATACTGCTTCAACTAGTGTCCTTATTTTGTGTCAAATCCATTTGTAATGTTATATTGTGCTCAGAAGGTGAAACAGGGGTTGTTAAGTGACAGCTTCAGTTTCGTAGACGCAGAGAAGATCAATATAAATAAGCTTTAATAGTAGAGTCATCCAGGCTGGGAGAAGTGGCTCATGCCTGTAATCCTAGCACTTTGGGAGGCTGAGGTGGGTGGATCACCTGAGGTCAGGAGTTAGGGACCAGCCTAGCCAACATGGTGAAACCTCGTATCTACTAAAAATAAAAATAAAATAAAAATAAAAATTAAAAAAATTATCCGGGTGTGGTGGCACACGCCTGTAATCCCAGCTATTTGGGAGGCTGAGGCAGAAGAATCACTTGAACCCAGGCGGTGGAGGTTGCAGTGAGCTAAGATCATGCCACTTCACTGCAACCTGGGTGAAAGAATGAAACTCCATCCCAAAAATAAATAAATAAATAAATAAATAAATAAATAAATAAATAAAGTAGAGTCATCCAATGGAATAACAGCTACTAGGTCAAATAGTCAACACCCCATCACTGAAATATTCAAGAATAATTCACAGCCTATTTAAAAAGAAATTCCTGCATTGATTAGAGACTAGTCCCAATAAATGCCAAGACCTCTTTTACTTCTTGGATTTTGAACATATTAGTTATCTTACATTGAACTATCTACATTACACTCCGAAAGTTGAGCACTAACCTTAAAAAAAATAGTCTACCTCACGTCTGTGACATACATTTCAACTGCTCACTGATGTCTGGCTTTTATCTCCTTCCAGACACAAAGAATATTGTATTTTTCTCACCCTTTTGAACTGAAGTATGACTACTTCTGGTGAATGACTTATGGGTGGAAGTGATGCAAACCACTTGCATGCTGAAGTATTTAATTGCAGAAGAGAGATTCTGAAGCTATATCCTTTCTATGTCACAGTAAACATGGAAGAGTGTTTTGAGAAGGAGTTTCCTCGGCCTGAGCTCCTAAGTGATCACAGCAAATAATGCTCACGTACCCCTCTTCCAATCTCTTCTCACACACTCCAATTACATTAGATGTTTTTGTGTGTGAGTAACTTAAACAATTAAAGTAACAATCACATTGTTTTAAGCCACTATGTTTGAGGGTTATTTTAGCTTATTTTTTACCACAACAAAATCTGACTTACACCGACAAATATAGTGTATGCTTGAAGTTGGCTTCTTGTTTTTATCTCTGTGTTCCTATATTCTGATTTACTGAGAATGCTCATATATCCTACGGCATATTCTAATACCAAAATCCTAAAATCTATAATTCTAATATATAAAAATTTGCATTAGGTTATTACAGGTACAGGCAACCCACAAAAACTCCTCCAGGTAACCTCAGGCATTATATCAATTTCTGGTTTAAACTCCCAGGAAGCCTGTAACCCTATCAGAATGTTCTCATGAGAAAAGTGATATTCAAGGTAGAGTGTCAGAAAAAAGATCCTTTTACATTGATTTCTTCACATAACTTTGGGCAATTCATAAACTTCTCATAGTCTAAATTGATTAATTTGAAAACTGAATCATAATAATAATTTCTCTAAAATATCTCTTCCCAATGTGGTTGTAGGTATCAAAAGAGACAATATGTAAGCATTATAAGTATTCTAGAATGCAGAAGCACATTCTGAAGGAAGACAAAGCCTTTAAAAAATAGAATCCAGTTTACACAGATAGCTATGCAGAAAAGCAATTTAAAACTAGCTTTCAAGAGCTTAGAACTTCTCTACAACCATTCAATGCATGCGTCATCAATAGATGTAAACTGACTTCATCATATTTCAATGGTACAATGGTAGAGCATGCATAGGTCTACATTATTCCAGTAAAATAGAAACAATGCTATGTGCACAACTATATGCCTCTAGGAGACAATTCATACCAATTTACAGACTGACAAAATTGATTCAGTGGACACCATAAACCTCTACTCTCTAGTGTAGCCTGTGGAAGAATCTATTAAGTTTTAAACAATCACTTTTTAAATTATGAACAAGGTATCTTAACCTGTCTAAGGTACAGTATAATATAGTATGTGCTTGTTACTGAAGTACTGCCCAGTAGAGTCCTATGAAATCTTTAAACACTACACTCAATATAAAGAAAGATTTCATTTTCAGAACATTCAAGTTGCTGCCTGAATTTGACTCTATAGATTCCTGGCTCAAGCTGAACACTTAGTCATCCTGAGTTAGAAATGTCCCCTGCATCTGACCTCACACATTATGCCCAATGCTATAAATTGTTGTTGAGTTGTAATGTTCACTTACTCTGCTTTATTAGATACAAAATGATTATCATTGCTCAGGCTATAATTGCCTTTATCGAATTTGACCACTTGAAGACAATTGATGAGAGATGCTCTGTTGCTCGCATGCTGTAACAAATTTTAGTCAAAAAGCCCTGTCTATTCTAGATAGAGAAAAAAAATGTATGAGAAGAATGGCTTAAAGTTCACATACTCGTAGTCTAAATCACTTTCTCAGAACCACAAAAACTGATAAGTACACACATGGGTTGAAATTGTCTAGTGTTCATATGCAGTTAGGCTTAAAATATCCATTTATATGTAAAATATGATAATATATGCCCTGTGAGCATTTGTTCAATTTTTAAATGCAGTATTTTAGAATATAAGGGCAGACCTGATACATTATTTGTATTAGAAAAATAAGTACATTTTCCATAATATGATCAAATTTTCTATATGAAATTTTGAATTGTAGATTTTAGCTTAGGCAAGTAAAATATAGTATTTGTACAAATATCCAACTATCTGGAGGAAGAAAACGATATATGGTGGCTTTCTTACAAATTACTATCTTATGTAATACTCTTTGTATTGTTTTTCTAGGGCTGTTGTAACAAATCACAACAGCTTAAAAACTAAAGAAACTTGTTTTCTGACAGGTTTAGAGGGCGAAGTCTAAAATGAAGGTGTCAGAAGAGCCACACACACCCTACAAAGGCTCTAGGGGAGGCTCCTTCCTTGCCTCTTCTAGCTTCGGGTGGCTCCTTGGCTTGGGGCTGCAAAGTTCCAGTCTCTTCCTCTGTCTTTACATGGTTTGCTCCTCTGTGTGTTTCAAATTTCCCGCTGCCTTTCTCTTATAAGGCCTCATATGGACACCTGTTACCAGATTTAGTACCTACACTAAATCCAAGATAATCTTATCTTAAGATTCTGAATGTAACTACATCTGCCAAGACTCTATTCAAATAAGGAAACATTCACGAGTTTCAGGGGTTAGAAAATGAACATTTTTTGGGAGTTGGGGAATGGCACCCTCACTATACTCTTCTAAAATGTTTTAAGCATTTTTAAAATATATTTTATGTCACAGAGGTTATTCATATAAAAGCTGTAAACGTTTTTTAAAAATTAGTTATGGCAGCTTAATCTGTAAGCTGAAATAGACATTACTTGCTCTATCTATATTACAAGAATGTTATAAGAATAAAATAAAATATTAAATTTAGCAATAAGGTGAAATAAAATTATATATGTGAGAGAACCATGAAGCGTGAAAGTTTACTAAAATAACATGCATGAACAAGGAGTAGGATTATTATATCTTCATTTTGCTTGGTTTATGATAGTCCCTCTAGCTTGAAAAACAAATGATAAGACGGAAAAAGAATACTCTGTCAATGATAGCTTTCAAATATCCGTTGGACAGACAAATTAGTTGAGGTGATACATTTCATTTAAAATATGCGCTATAAAGGAGTATCACTAACTCTCAAATCTTTTAATGTACTATTGATAGATTTAGTATCTGTAAGTATTAGCTTTATTCACAGTTTGAATTAATTTTTTCAAATAGAAAAGATATGGTTTAACTCTCTTCAAAAATTTTACTTAAATTGTCATTAAATTTCAACTATTCTGTAATATTGTTAAATTAGTTATGTGATGAATAACATGTTTTGAAATATGTTCTTCAAAATATGCTGCCGTTTGTCAAATACATAGTCTGTTCTTAGGATAGATTTTCTAAGAGATTCCCTAACTGCTGTGATTTGGATAATTGATAAGTTGTTCTGTGTACTATAGCAGTTTAGTTGGAACTGCTTAATTCAATCCACAATGCTTTAAACCTCTTCATACCGGTAAATCAAGTTTACTATCAACAGACAGACAATTTCATTTATCAAAGATAACGAATTTGTAATCTACACATTTATATTTAGACAGAATATTATCTTGCTGATGATTTGACTTAAATACAATGTAATGTCTTTCTCTAGTAATTATTATCTGTTTATCAATTGACTCGTTTCTAATTATATATTTTGACTTTTTCTTCTTGTGGTTTCCTCCCTTGTCTCTTGAGGTTTGCATGCTCATATAGACTAACATCCTCAAATGCCTGCCCTTCCCCACTTATATGTCCTTGCTTTAGTTCAGCTTAATGCTTTGGGTATAGTTAATATTCTCATTTTTTTGGTAATCACCATTCCCTGCTTCTATAATAGTTAACCCGATGCTCGGTGTAGCTCAATGTAATATGCAGACAGATTTAACAGTCTGCTACTCTCTGAAAGTTCATGCCTCTCTACCTCTAACATGCTAAACTTTGAAGACTGAGAGAATTTGGCAATTCTCTAAAATATTCACAATTATATCACAGAAAAATATTCTAATTGTGAAAAGGCAGAGTAAATGGAAAAAACAGCAATAAGAATGTTTATGTGAATGTGGTTCAATTCCATATGTACAAAAACCAAACACAACTCTATAAGTTGAAAAACCATATTGTCTGACATCTCTAAATTTTTGCATGAAGATGCCTTTTGGTGGGAAAGTCCTGTCTAAAAAATAAATGTAATTAATTATAGATCATCATATTCAGCCTTTTTTGAAGGTGAAACATAAACCTACAAGATAAAATGACATGTACGACCCCAACATTTTATACCATGACTTCTAGATAGGAGAAACCATGAACAACGCCAGCAAATGAACTAATGAGCATCTCCCTTCTTCTCTTCCCTATGTATCATCAGCAATAGAAAGAGAAAAAATCAGCATAATCTTGTTGATAAATGAACACTCTTGATTCCTATCCTTGTTTCCAGATGCTCATAAACTAAAATTCTATGCTTCTAAAATTTCCAAACGTAATAGTTTATAGGAT
The DNA here is from genome assembly GCF_000001405.40 of Homo sapiens. Classification (NCBI taxonomy): domain Eukaryota; kingdom Metazoa; phylum Chordata; class Mammalia; order Primates; family Hominidae; genus Homo; species Homo sapiens. The sequence continues at coordinate 103,658,079 of NC_000003.12, read as the reverse complement.
CCCGGAAATCAAGCTTTGGGGTCTTTTTTTTCTTGTTAAGTGAGATCAGGCAATGAAAATAGATACTCATACAATATAAAGCTTTTACGTTCCTGTTAGCCAGCCAATTTCAGTCAGCCAATTTTTTTCGGCCACTCTTGGCAGCTGATATGCTATTTCCGTGTTTGCTCTTCATTATGCTTCAGGAAATACGAACTCTATCAAGGCAGAACTATATGGTGGTCTCCTCAGCTAACTTCTTAGCTGAATTAAAAGTAACGTACCCGTAATTTGCACACAAGTTTTATGACTCTAACATGGTAAGCCATGTTTGAGTTTTCATTAATGATCTCCTGAGTTTAAATCTATGTTCCTTTGATGCTTACTCAAGTGATGCCAAAATCAAATAGAGCATGCATACAAGCAGACACTAGTGAAAAAGCTAGTAGATATCTCTAATGATATATTTTTAAAAATATTCTATCATATTAGAAAAACACATAAAATTGACTTCTAAAGGACATTTCCGTGAAATATGCATAATATATAAATATGAAATACTAGTAACTGAACAAGACAGATATATTTATTCTACTTATTAGAAGTCAATTTAAAACTTCAATATCATAGATAAGACTATATAATCTCCATTCATAATGAGATCATCTTGTCTACAAAGTACATTTCAATGTTTACTTTGTACTATTGTATGCTTTAAATTCATTTTTCTTCTAATTTTTTACTTAAAGAATCTGTAAACCCTTCATTTCTGATAAATTATTAATTTCTCTTTGGATTATTCTGTCTATTTTTCTTCCCTTCTTTCAATAACACTATTTTTACAGTCATTTCTATCTGGTAGGAATTCTGTTAAGGCTCTGAAGTAACTATGATGACTAAGATATGGTGCTTTCTATCAAGTAGTCAACTACCGCAGAGCTTAAAGAAGGTGACAATTATAAACATTGATTTTCTTTCTAGTTCAAATAGAGATAAAACACATTTATACATAGACATGCACACATACAAAGGAATATCCTACGTTGGCATGGGGGCTATTTCTAATACAAGAACAGTAACATAAATTTACAAACACAAATTTAGGAACAGATCATGAGCATATGACAGCCCTGAAGGTTAATTCTCTTTAGCGTCTAGGTAAATTCATCTCTACATGCGTGAACCTGTGTGTGTGTGTGTGTGTGTGTGCATGTGTGTGTGTGTGTGAGAGAGAGAGAGAGACAGAGAGAGAGAGAGAGGAGGGGAGAGAGAAGAAGAAAAAGAGTTTTGCTATATTGCAGCTTTCTTAGGAGAAACAAAAATGGCAGTGTTGAAATTCTTAGCTATAATATACTATGTTGAATGAACTCTTAGGAAATATAGCCTATATTGTTACATATTAAATATGGCACCTGAGAAAATAGTAATAGAATAAGTGCACATGATTTTGTTTTTTCTGAATGAGAAATCATTAATCCTTACAGCCCCATTAAGCAAGTAATTTAAGACAAAGTGTGCTCAACATTTTAGCCACCCTTATCTCCAACGAAGGTACTTGACATTCCCTCACAGATTTCTCAAAGCCATACTTGTATTTGTTTGCTAGGGCTACCATAACAGAATAGCATAGACTAGGTGGCTCAAACAACAGAAATTATTTGTCTCATAGTTCCGAAGGACAGAAGTCTGAGATCAAAATGTTTGCAGGATTGGTTTCTTCTGGGGTCTCTCTCATTGGCTTGTAGATAGCCGCCTTCTCCCTACATCTTCACATGTTCTTCCCTCTGTACATCTGTTTTTTCTTGTAAGCACACCAGTCATACTGGATTAGGTCTCACCATACTGACTTCATTTTAATTTAGTTATCTCTTTAAAGACCCTGTCTTCAAATACAGTCTACATTCTAAGGAGCTTAGAGGATAAGACTTTAACATATGAATGGGCAGGGGCACAATTCAGCTCACAACGCCCTGTTCTGTTGCTTGGTGGAAACAAAAGCACCCATTTGATACCAGACACAAGATCAGAATCTTGACATTTTGTTGTTCTAAATTTGACCCATAAAAATTTATCACAGTTCTTTGAGATCTTGAAATCTCTTGACAGTAGGTTTTATATAAAAAAAAGTTAATCAAATCCTTTCAATGGCATCAACCCAGCTAACAAGAGTATTAGGAAGCATTTTGAAAACTGAAAGAAAATCTGGCAATTCTTTAAAATATTCACAATTAGGTAACACTGAAAAATATTCTAATTGTGAAAAGACAGAGTAAATAGAAAAACAGCAATAAAAACGTTTATGTGTTTATGTGAGTGTGGTTCAATTCCATATGTACAAAATCCAAACACAGCCCTATAAGTTGGATAACCATATTGTTATGGTCATCAGTGCTGAGGACAAGAACTTTAGAAATTATAAGGTAGTAGCTAGGGAAAATTTTATGTATAGTGGTCAATTATAGCCACTCAAATTTCACTATATAGGAAGTAATTTGCATCACTCAGTATAAAGGCCAGCTCTTCCCTCATTAAAATGGAGAAATCAGCAATCCAGTATTATGTCTAGATAAGTAAACAAATAAAAATCCTAAGAAATAAGCATGGGAGCGTATTAGGGATCATAAGTATTTATGCATTATGGCTATTTTATGCCCAGCTTTGCAGCTATTTCAGTTTAAAAACTGCACTTCCAGTTACCTTTCCTATAAGGTGAAAGATGAATACCCTCCAAAAACAATATTAAGCCTTAAATACAATTTACCCACCATGCTGGCAAGTGAAGTCACACTACTCACCATCTGTCTTAGTGAACATAGGAATGAAATTATTGACATAATTTAAATAGATGTTAGGATAATATCCTCACATTTTTGCCCAAATTATTTCTATCTGTTCAAAATAACTTTATGAACGTACATTTAACACTATAGTTTATGGTTGTAAATTGGAAAAGTCAACATATGTGTGCATAGTATATCTGTGTGTGTACATATATTTTCTAATTATCATTCTATAACACAGAAAAAAATCGTGTTTGGGTATTTTGATTTTTCTTGTATAGTGTAGTGAACACCAGGAATTAAATAAATCAGCCATCATCCATTCTTTTTCAATCTGTAAATTAGGCCCCATCTATTTAATGCATTTTCATGGAATTGGAAACTGCAGGTAAATGAAAGGGAAGCCAGCTATTTGCTCTTTGGGGGCTATTTTGATTTTCCTTCTTGGACAAAGCAATGTTTATTAACATGAAGATTCTTTACACTAGTTTCCAGTGCCTATGGTATCTATTCTCCAGCTTTCTGGATGTCAAAAGATAGAGTAGTAGCAATGCCTTTGGATTTCTAAATTCTAGATAGCAGTTGAGGGCACAGAGTTTATTCTTAAATTCAAATTCTGACTTTCAGAGTAGCTTCCCTGGGGGGTCAGTTCTAGTAGACAAACCTGCAGTTTAAGATTAAGGTCTACCTCTCCTCTAGTCCTAAATTTTTGTAAACATCTAATTGTCTCTATTTAATCTCGATTAAAATACCTAATGTGGCTCCTGTTTCTTACACTGTATTTTGAGTGATAACAGTGGTTGGTAAGTGAGTGTCAGCCTTTAAGGAATGAAATCTGGTTTCATTGGATAACACAGCAGAGAACATTTTCTTATCCCTAAAAACAGAATAGTATTAATATATGGCATATACGGGCAATATAGTTACTTAAATTGTCCCCTAGGGTTATATGGAATAGAGAACCTATTTATCTCACTGAGGTAGAAAGTAAAACGATGGTTACCAGAGGCTGGGAAGCATGGTGGGAAGAAATAAGAGAGGGATTGGGAAATAGGTAAAAACATACAGTTAGATAAAAGGAATAAGAGCTAGTGTTCAGGATCACAATAGGATGACTATGGAGTTTGGAATGCTCCCAACACAAATAAATAAATGTTTGACTTGATGGATATCTTAACTCTCCTGATCTGATTATTACACATTGTATGATTGTAATATCACATGTATTGTGTAAATATGTACAAGTATGTGTCCATGCAAGTTTAAAAATTTTCAAATTTTAAAGAAGAAACTATTGTAAACAAGAATTTAGTATAATTGATAGATGATCAAAATACTATTATAGTAGAATTAATGAACACAAGAATGAAAAATGTGACAGCACTGAGCATTTTTAAAAATAAAAATTTTAGGGTTTTACATTCTCAGATCAAGATATGGTCAGAATATCAGAGAGTTTCTATGAATACATACACATGCACATAAACACAAACACTCATAGTTCTTGTAAAAACAAGGTCAACAAAATGAAAATATCAGGAACAGAGTCGAATCATGTAAGTTACTTAAATACAAGTGGAATTCTCACCCTGTTCAGGTTGTTTCTGTAGAAGTTAAAATATTTGGAAACCATCTAGCAGCTGGAATAAAGACATTTAGGTGATATCAGCATCAAAACACCCTGACCTCCTGAAAACACACTGGCTATCACTGATTAGTCAAAGTCCTTAATTCCCTGTCTGATAAATTTATTTCTGCCTTGTTTTGAGACCTCTCCCGATGCAGTGTTTTATTGCTATTTTTGTTTTCTAAATTGTTTTTGCTTTGTTTTGTTTTATCATGTTGATACCAATTTCCCTAACAGCTAATCTCTACCACTCCTCATTTTTTTCAGGAAAATAACTAGACTGAGGTTCAAATGTGCCTTAAGGACACAGGTAGAAAATTTTATCCAGGAGGTAAAGGTTTACATGACAAGGGAATTATAGAAGTTTACTAATTTATATAGGCAATATTGTGACCGCCATACACAAAAATATATTTTAACAGTGCTAGAGTAAGAAAAAGAAATATAATATCAAATAAAGCCAAGTGTATCAGTATAGATACACTTATCACAGTTTCTGGGAGAAAGTCTAACAGATTGCTCAGCTGTTTAGCAAGAAATTTAGACCTAATGTTGTACTACACTAAATGAAGTGAAGAAATTAATTGGTATAATGAAAAGGGAAGCATCCACAGGCAGGCTGAGAGCATTATTGAAGGGAGATGTCATGTACCCACCTATTTAATAAGAATATCTTCAGGAAGACTCAACAGATGTTCTTTTCAGCAAGGCCTTGTACTTGTGACTGTCGCCTGCAAAATGAAAGCAAAGGTATGACTGTTACTATCGATGTGAGATCTTTGATTATACTGAGGATTATATAATACAAGAATAACAGAGGAGAAGCATTAGTACTTAACTACCACGTACTAGGAGATTCTGATTATCATAGTGGGTAGCAGGGAGGCAGCAGTGACCACAATACTATTACACACAGTAGTCTTTGCTATTACCTAATCATGACTTCACCAGGACTGAAATAGATGAAAACCCTACTAAGAGAATACTTGATTATACAACTAAATAATAATAATAATAATAGAAAATAAAATTCAAAAAATTCCTAACAGAGTCCTGAATTCAATCACTATAATGGAAAATTATGGAACTTTTTCTAATTCTTTTACCTGTGTCATTCCACAGAACTTGGCCCCATGAGTTGAGGGGAAGCTATATATCTTGAGAAAAACCTCTCAAATTGCCCTAAGTATATTTTCTACATTTTCCACCCAGCATTCACTAAAATGATTAGGGTCCATCTACAAATATTAATGGGTACTCGGGAAAAGGTAGAAAGTTGGACATTGGTTCTGAGCTAATACCAAACCCCAGGTATTAGGATACAACTCTACTACACTGGTCAGAGGGATAGCTTATGGGGATAAAAATTTAGCCACATTAATCTAATCTATATATCTGAAGTTTTATTTTGACTCTGGGTCACACTCTCTTGATTCTTTGCATGTCTCATAATTTTTGATTATACGTCAGATGTCATTGTGCCTTAATGAGTCTTATAGGCTGAAGCTTTTCTTTTCTTCCTTCCTTCCTTCCATTTCTTTGTCTATTTCTCTCTCTCTACCTCCCTCTATCCTGCCCTTCCTTCTTTTTTTGCCATTTACCTCTTTTTCTTTCTCTCTTTTTCTTTTTTTTAAATAAGAATCGGCATTTATTTTTCCTGTAAACACAAAGAATGAGATTAGGGAGACCCAATAAGAAATTGAGTTTGTCTGAAGAAGGGTTGCAGTTAAATTACTTTAAGCAAAACCTGAGAGTGCAAGCAAGTCTTTCCTTGAATTTCAGCACAGTACCTAACTTTCTGTTTCTCCACTGGTTTAATATCTTTGATCATATTAGAAATTGAATTTGCTTTTCAATGCCATTTTGGCTGGATATATCACCTCACTTTTTCGAAACTTAAAGGTAAGTTTAGGCCTTTTCCTTCAGGAGAGCTATTTAACTAAAATACTGTGAAACTTATTGATCTAAAAATAGTCAGAATACAAATAAGATGAACTTCAAAACTTTTAGAACACAAAGATGCCACACTGGGAATCTGATAGACCTCAAGACTATGAGAGCATGAGCTTTTGAGGCTGGGAAAATCAGGGACTGTATTACCCCAACCGTGAGATTGTGAGAGTGCACATTAAAAGAATAACTGCACACTGAGGTTCCAATACTGCATGAGACTTTTAGATAGTTAGATAAGAGTGCAGGACTGTCAGATACTGATGTCAGGAGACTCCAAGATTTCTAGACCACAAGATTTATTTCCACCCTCCTGTCCTGTCTCTAGTCTCTACTTTCTCAGCAAAATCCCCATTTAGGATAATTATTTGGCAGAGAGCATTGTCTTTGCTTTGGGTGTTACTGTAGATTCAAATCCAGCACACAAACCAATTTGTCAAAAGATTGACCAGTGTTTTCCAATCTAAGCAAAGGTATCATTCCATGGTAGGATTATTCCTCTGTCTGTCTAGTACCCAACATCATCTGGTGTCAAGTCTAAAAACATCTTTCATTCCTTAGTTATCTAGGGATAGCTCAACTTTATGGAATGCGGGGCTTCGATATTTCTTTATTTTCAGATCTCTCTTACAGTTTTAAAGAAAAGAATGGATTTTTAAAAGCTTATATGGTGATAATGATAACTTTCATTTTCATTTATATCCTAACTAGAAAAAGACCCATATAATATGTTTTAATATTTGGTAGTTGCACTCTTCAGGATTCTTTACTAGTATAAGTGGTTTCTGTTTTGTGTTTCTGTTTTTGATTTCTCATTGTTTTTCTTTTATCTTTACTGAAAAAAATAGTGTTATTAAGAAATGACTAGAATATGATAAGAACCTCACTGATACAATTTTTTAAACATGATTTTGGTATATGCCTAGTTGTACCTAGAAACAAAGTATTTCTTGTAACTGATAGCTCATGGACAGAAAAAATATGCAGTTAATACACTGACATACTCATGTCATTCTCTTCATCATTTAAAAATAATGTGTAACATGGGAATATTAATGAATTTTAAGTAAATGTATTACAGTATTATGTCAGAACATGAGGTACTCTCTTCCTCCTACTGCCTCTATAATGGGACTCAAGGACAGATATATATATATATATATTTTTTTTCTGATTTTTTAAGTCAGAAAAAATCAGAAGTCTTGAGTTCAAATACCAATTCCACAGTCAAATATTTTGTAATCTTGACCAATTTCACTCACCTCTATACTCCCTAATATTTAGTTTGTCTGTACATAAGACATAATGATGGCAAATACCTTAGAGTATTATGTCAGATGGAATGATTGAATGCAGGCAAAGCACTTACAACTCTGAATTTAATGGCTTTTTCCTTCTAATCCTCTCATCTCTTTGCCTATTGCTCTTCTTGTGTTCTCTTTCCTTTAAGTTAAAATAGATGCTTTTCTGATAGTATTCTGTAAATATTTGTAAATAAAACTCTAATTGTCTACTGATCTTTTGTAATCCTCATATCTTATAAAGAAAAATAATTTGCCAGGAAAAAAAATGTAAACAAAACTATTTTCTGTGGTAAAACCCAATTCCATTGAATTTTCTTTAGAAAGTGTTCTTGAAACTTGAAAATAGCTTTCAATTTGCGATTTGGTGAAGTAGGCTATAGAAGTGATTCCATGTCAACTAGTTGTGTGACATCAGATTGTCTCTGTTGTCCTCTGGTATAAGTTTCTTCAATTAAAAGAGAGAGAATATTTGGTTATGATCACTTAGAACCTATTTGTGTTTTAAAATACTTTGAAAATAAATACAGGTAATACTTTGTTTTATGACCATTAAAAAAAATCATTTTAACCTAGTTAAATCTTGGAGCTTTGAGAATACTACTTAAATATGATTCCTTAAAATTACTAATATTTTGGTACATAACCCAATAATGTGACTAGCCTTAACTGAAATAAGTATGGAAATTTTGAGGTTAGAGCTTTTCTTAAAACCCAGATTGATCATTCTTGAAAATTGCTCTTTAAATTGAGGGAATCAAAAATTACTAAAATAGTAACAGTATTTGTCAAGGTATATTTAAGTGTGTGACAGTGACAAATAATAGTACTTGGAGCATTTATCTTCAAAGGAAGGAAAGAAAAATTAGGGCCTAGAATAAAGTCTATGCAGCATAGCTTGCCTGGAGCAAGGATTATAATCTTTGATCTGTCTCCTTCCTTAGTGGAACTCCAGGGAATCCACAACCAAGCCCAGTAGTTGTCACAAATGCCGAAAGCACAACTTTATCAAAGTAATGTGCTTGCCCTTGCCACTAATAGGGCTATACGACTAAATTCTGCGTGAAGTGTACAATGTGAGTTTACAGTGTGAAAACTGGGTTGTTCTTTGGATCCTATTCAAATGTGACTTACTCTATTGTGGAAGAAATAGGCAATTCCTTCTTTCTTTATTTCTTTATGGTGAGTGGTATATTAATATTTGAAAAACAATGCACTAAAAAATTCAATCAGGGCTCTGTCTCTATTCCTTCCCTGGCCAGAATTTAAGAATATTCCTTAACCCAGATTCTAGGTAGAATCAAGATAGTTCAATCCTATTACAGAGAAAAATTAAAGCTATCAGCCGATAATAAATTTGTGTGTGTGTGAAATAAGAAAATTCCTGTCATAAAAATAATTATCACCAGAAATCATAAAAACTATACCTGATAATTGCAAATACTTTTGTGAATGAATGAATGGACCTGGGCATTGTTAACAATTCAAATAATTTAGTTGTCACATACGGCCTATGAAATATACATTGCTCTTTATGTTACTGAAACTCCTTTTCCATACACTAGTTTTCTGCAGAATGTGACTGAGTGTGGTCACCTGTCATTGATATTAAAATATCATATGCTTATAATTAAGTTCTCACTTGGGAGAAATAACATATCATATTCCTCTGGCCATGGATGGAGTAGACCTTAGCTTCAATGTTTGTAGTGCCCCTAAAGACAGAAACAAATACACACAATAAAATCCTCAACTTTGAATCTTTATAAAACTATGAAACAAGTAGTTTGTTCCATAGTTCACTCCTAGGGTTGAAGTATATTACTTTGGTTTATCACTTTGTTGAATATATATAAGTTGAGAATCAGTTACACTTTTTATAAGGCACAGACACTCAACTGATGCTTGAATTGCTTGAAAGAGTGAAACGGTGAAGATACAATGAAACTCACAACATAATATGTAGACACTGGGAACTCTTCTCAAACACTGGGAAAACTTCCCTTCTGAGGCCACTACAGGGTATGTTCAAGGATAACTACAACTTGGATCTAAAAGTTGGTATAAGGTTGGGGGATGTTATGAACTTAATTGTATCCCCCCTCCAAATTTCTATATTGTAGCCCTAATCCCCAGTGTGACTGTGTTTGGAAATAAGCTTTTTAAAATATAATTAAGGGTAAATGAAAGTTATAACAGTGGAGCCTTTTGTCCTTACATAAGGAGGAAGAGATAGCACGAGTGTGCATGCTCAGAAGAAAGGTTATGGGAGGACACAGTGAAGATGCCCATCTGCAAATGAAGGAGAGAAACCTCACTAGCAACTATCCCTGCCAGCACTATAATCTTGGGCTTCCAAGCTCCAGAACTGTGAGAAAATAACCTATATTTTTTAAACAAACCAGTCTATGGTATTCTGTTATGGTAGTCTTAGTACACTAACACAGAGGATATAGGAGTTTGGGGCTAGGAAGGCATAAAAGTCAACCAGAGTTAGGCAGGGCACAATAGCTCACATTTATAATCCCAGCACTTTGGAAGACTGAGGTGGGCAGATCGCCTGAGGTCAGGAGTTCGAGACCATCCTGACCAACATGGAGAAATCCCGTCTCTACTAAAAATACAAAATTAGCCGGGCGTGGTGGTGGGCACCTGTAATCCAAGCTACTCAGGAGGCTGAGATAGGAGAATCACTTAAATCCCGGAGGCGGAGGTTGAGGTGTGGCAATATTGTGCTATTGCACTGTAGCCTGAGCAACAAGAGCGAAACTCCGTCTCAAAAAAAAAATAAATAAATAAGTCAGCCAGAGTTGTGGTGTTAATATCTATCATTTGGGTGATCCCAGACTGGCACATGAGACACTCGAGAAATATTTCCTTGTATTGTTTTCCCAATAGCTATTATCAGTAAAGAAGCCTTATGAATAAATACTAGGTCTCCGGGTATGCTGATTTCCCATATTGTTACTAGATTCTGTTCAGACTCAGAAAACTTAGACTTCAAAACTTGCCAGACATAGTACCCCAAATCAATCTTATCTCTATAGGGCACAAAAAGATGGTTAAGCAGACGTTCATTTGCATTGGCTCATCTCAACTAACACAAAACCAAACCCATTTACTAAAGCATGGTTTTCTGTTTCTGGATAGAATTTCATATACATAGCCCTTTGGTGTGTTAAGCAGTTGACTCAAGAGTAGATATTTGTAGGTTTTTTTTTCCCCAAACCTAGATGCTCTATAGATAAAAGCCCACCACAGTTATCATCTTGAAAAAGTTTAAAACTTGGCTATGCCCTATAGTTTATTGACTGGTTGATAGACAGATGCTTACTCCAACATCCTCACAGTCCAGACTTGCATAGAACTGTAACCTTTTGATTCTGAAATCTTGACTCTAAATACAGGAAAAAGAAAACAATTGGTGAATTCAACCCTGGGGTTGGTATAAAAATATAAGAGATCATCAGCAAAAGACAAGCTTTTAACCTAATTTTGCCCTCAGTCTTTTGATTTATTGTTCCTTATTTGTGACTGTTCAACAGAGACACTTTGTATTACTTTGTCTACTTTCTTGCAGATATAACCAGATGTGGGATTGATTGACTCTGATCATATTTGTTTCCCTGGAGAATTTTGTCTCTTTAAAACTTTATTTTATCTATACCATTGAGCAAATATAATTCATCATATGGCATAGTTGCCCACTGAAAACTCAAAGTTCAACCGAAGCACCAGAGTATGTACTCTGTAAGTGTTTTGCAGTCCAAATTCATTGCAAAATACCATTATAGAAAAGAAAATAAGTACATGGGGCAGGGTCTTGGGAGTGAATTTTTTAAGGAACATTTTATCTCTTTGGTAAAGATCATTAACTATCATATAACAAACACATGTAATCATCCGTGGTGAGTCTGTTTCTGAAAAACTCAACAATCAATAAAATAAGGATTATAGGAATTTTCTAATCTATTTAAAGTGTTCCAAGGACAAAATCATGATGATTCCAGGCTAAAGTAATAAAGCATTTGCATGGAAAGGATAAAGCATGAAGCAACAGTGGGCTAGAGAGGACATCTATTGTCTCTAACAAGCAGGGATCAGGCTATTTTCCTTCAGATTTTCACTTGCTTTCCTCCCCTAATTATATAGTGATTCTAAAAGCTGAGGTTCTCATGTAAATGATGAGTGGGAACATGAGGCAATTTGAGAGAAAATGGGCCCAGTAGCTATTCTTAAAGTTAAATATAGAGCACATTTTTCTCATCTGCCATCATATTTTATGGCACACATGAAGTATTTACATTAACTACCCTTCAGGTATTTACTGTGTATGTCCTCCAACCCTTACTTCTCATGCCATCCCCCAGGTAATACTTTCAAAGTTTAGATATGGTATAGGCAAATCCCTATGTAAAATCCTTAAACCCCCATTGCTCTGGGGATAAAGACCTAAATCTTTACATAAGCATCATGATAGCCATTGTTTACTTATCCATCCTCATCTCACACCATGTCTCTCCTTAGCTCCACATAGCACAATCACACTAGTCCTGTTTTTTATTCCTGTAATGTGTCAAGATTTGACCTGCCACATGAACAGTGCACATGTTATCCTACACTGAAAAGTTCTTACATCACCTCTGCCCCTTTCCCATCCCTTTTGGAAAGATCCCTCAGACCTCAGCTTAAGTTTTAATCATGTAGGAATGACTTTCCTGACCTCCGAGTCTAGGTCACTAATCTTTGTTATCTTTCCTCATAGGACAGAGGCCCTTTCCTTTACAACAATTGTAGCAGTTTGTATTCATACATCGCTTCTGATTACTTGATTAATTCTTCCCCTCGTCTTATAAAATCAGGGTCACATCTTGCTCAGTACTGTCCCCTTCATTCTGAATATATCTGTCAAACACACACACACACACAGCTAGTATTTGTGAAATAAATGAATGAATTTATACTTTAAAGGATTATGCATAACGAATTCCCAAACATCACTAGGTAATGGGGGTAAATCTGTATATAACATACAACTAGGAGTTTTAAAGAAAGACAGCTATTAGTATGCATCTTAACTAACCAGTGATAAATTGTTAAAGTAATGGAAAACAAATACATACACGGCAGGCTTTATAAAAACTGATTTAAAATGATTAAAAACAGGAACATGTAATTACTAATGACAACTTTAATAGATTCTGAGGATACAAATAGGCAGAGGGGTTATGCACCTAGGTATTGATGTCAACATGGTTTTAATGACTGTTTAAAACTGAGACTGTCATACTTCAAATCAAAATTCCTTCATAAATGATACCTTTCTGGAACCAAAACTATCTATATGTGCTGAGGGCAGCATTGTTTTTCTCACATACCAATTTCCTGCAACTCCTAGCTCAGCTCAAATTCTTAGTATACTGTGGGAATAATTTCAAAATTTGGTCATTAAACAAATCTATAACAAGAGATATGTCATTCTTATTCTTGATAACAAACAGATGTTCAGAGCAGCTTGTGTCCAATTATGATACGAATGCTTAAAATCTGCGTTAATATACAATCTCCACTCTTCGTAATCAGAGGCAAAGATGAGTGTGCTTTTTCAGAGAATTTATTTTAATGATGCTTTAATGGGTAGTACAAGCTACAATGAATAAAGTCAGCACTGACAGGTGGCACAAAATCCAAAGACAAGCTATCATTCCCTACTCTACAAAGAGGGTTTTGTGGTTGCTTTTTTTTTCACTCTACTTCGTAATACTGCTTGACCACAATGGCCACAGCAACCACAAATCACCTCCAATGTTTTTCTAGATTACATTATGGAATGAATGGCTTATCATAGAATCTCTTGTAGAAAGAAAACAAATGTCACAGGATAAATTAGGTTACACTGGAAGAACCATATTCATTTCCTAGGAAAAGAGAAACAAAAATTTAAGAACATACACTCCAAAGACACAAACACTATCTTTAGTGTATACACGTTTTACCTTGTCATTACTATAAAATTGTTTGTGTGTGCCTATATGTGCCTGTGTGTGTTGTATGTGTAGTTTCTAAAATACTGCATGGGATTTCTAGACTTCATAGTAACAACTTTAGAAGTTGTCAGTTTAGGATTTCCTCACTCAGAACTTTGTCAAAAGACTGTGATGTGCCTCACAGAGAGCCTTAAGAACATGTGCTCATTAAGTATTTGTAAATTACATTTTGTAAGCTTTTGGTCTATTGACTGTATTCACTTTCAACAATTTCCTCATAGGAACTAGAATTTCCTTTAGAATAAAGTGAATTATCTAAGAGCAAAAAGCAGTTGGATTTCTAATAAAGGATCACCCTCATCAATCCTGATTTATTGAATTATCTTTTATTTCTTCTGGTATCGATACTATGGTATGATGGTCTCATTTATCAAACAAGTTATAGAATCAATATTAATTAATTAATTAATTTACCAATTAAATTCCTTAGATAATGAAATGAATAAAATCTTTTCATTATATTAGGTGATTATTTTTAAGTATACATTCTAGAGAATAATATTGATTCTGTTAAACTCAATTGTTTAAAAGTTTGATACATTTTAAAATCTTATATTGAGATTATAATTGACCCAACTACTATTTTTTTAATTTGTTTAAATTACAGAACATTAGTGGCATATAAGAAATACAAACTATCATAAATGGAATATCAAATAAGAGCAATTATTATTAATAATAGTATTATTTATATCTAATAATAGAAAACTACATCATGACTTTAGAAGATTATCTTAATAGTAATTATTTTCATACTTATGAGAATTTATACGATAATTAATCTGTTTATTGGAACAAAAATCTCCAAATGGACTAGTGATTTTTGTCCGTTTATGTATGAGTGAAATCGTTTTACCTTAATAGAAGACCTTCTCTCTAGGACAATATTTTTATATATGTATTTCTAAATAGATAGGATTTACTTAAAAGATGCTTTATGTTTTACAATAGAAATAGAAAATAAAAGTATAATTAATTGATGTGTTAGTAGTTTCCCCATTTATATATATATATATATATTATATATATATATATAATTTTTTTGATGGAACATTCTGCCATAGTACCTTACACTATATTTTTTTACCGCATGTTATAAAAACATGTATGTTATGTTTCTTTAGCTTATGAAAATATTAATGCTTACATGCAGGTGAGCAGTGTAAACACATAAATTATTTGAATAGTGAAGAATAGCTGAATCATTCCTAAATTATCACATTTCTAATAAGTTGACCACCATGGGAAGATCTGCAGAATGAAATCAACTACTAAAGGTGTAACTTCTAATGATCAATATGATTGGGACAAAAATTAATAATGTGTCAATATTCTTAACATCTACCTTTCTCTCCAACATATTCTTTGGCATTTTATGAAACTGAATAATGAAAATAATAAGAAGAGGAAAAGAGGGGAATTTTTTTCAGAATAGAGTTGAAATTACTTAAGAGGGCTCTAGGGAAATTGTGGAATTAAGAAGAAATGCCAAATGAACTGGATGAAACAGAGTTTTATATGACTGCTAACATTTGAGGGGGAATCATCAACAAGTAGGGAAAATTGACAGTGGGTGAGAATTTGAGAAAAGTATTAAGTATATTTTTTATGCATTAAGATTGTTTTCATTTTGATTTCCATGTCCTCAAGGTATGGTTTAATGATTAAAATGAGTTTTAACTCAAATTATTTGCTGATTTGTGCTTCTTTGAAACTATATTATTTAGATACCGGACAAGCTCAGTATCCACTTAACATTTTGGTTACATACACCAATGTCTATAATAAAAACTAGATATCTCACTTCATTAAAAAGTCCAATATTTTTAAGGATGAGTTAATAGGTCAACATTCTTTGCTTAGTTTTTTTAATGTAAAAATATTTTGTTAATGTATTATGCTTATTAGAAATAAAGTCTGTGAATAAATGCTGTTAATAGTTTCACATTAAACAAGTCAATTACATTATGACAGAAAATTAAAACTATTAATTGTACTCAAATTGCAGTGGAAACAGAAAAATATAAAATTTTTCATGAGTTCACATAAATGGAAGCTGTTATAGATAAGGAGCTAAGCAAATATCTATATCAATGTCTACCTGTCATCTCAAATCTATATATCTACTTCTATAATTTTATAACAACATTTTTCAGAGGTGCAAAAATCTGAATGTTCTGCAATAAATAATAATTAAATGACATATGCTGCATACATAATTGAAAACAGTATGGATTTTAAAGACTGAATTATATTTCTATGGATTTATCAGAGATACAACCATAATTTATTTTACAATTTAATAAATCAATCTTTATAATAATGTGTTAATACCATTCTGTTTTCATTGTGCAAGGAAGCATAGTATGTATATGTTCATCTATTTCAATATTTTTGAGGATAGACAATTGTGTAATCAAGAGCATACTAAATATGATTTTAATTTTTAGGGAGTTAGAACTTGAATGATTTAAAGACATATTATCAACTTCTTGTTTACAAATTCATAGTGTTTAATTTGTTACAATTCCTATTTATTTTTGTCTTTTTACAATATTCAGTAAAGTGGAGAAGGAAAAAATGTATTTCAGACAACTCAAGTATTTATAGTTGATATACAAATGTACACTGCTTAATTATAAATTATTACATTTGCTTGCTCCAACTTAACTATAGCAATCCATGTTATCTTGACAGTATCAAAACAGTAAGTATCTGTCATTACTGATTTGATAAAATATAACTTCCTTTCTGAGTGCACTATTCCAGTGAAATTAAACTTCTGTTGATGTCAAGTTATGTGATCATCTAACTCTTTTAAATATAAGATATTCTGTGCTTGGATATCAACTTCTAATATTTTGAAAGTAATACTATCTACTATGAATTACAGGAACTGTAGAATAAAAATCAGTAAAGGAAATTGGGTCTAATACCTACAAATTTACTGTGTAAGTAGAGTGACCTTAAGATTTATGGTCAGAAAGCACAGGAGAGACAGAGCAATGTTTTTTCTTCTTCCTCTGTTGATAATTGTGAGAAGATACATGGGCTCCTCAGATGTAAAATTTAACATTCTATGATTCCCCGCTATTTCGTCCACCTTAGAATTGCAAAGACGTTTTAAAGTTATCCATTGTTTTCTACAGGTTTTTTTTGACCCAAGACAGCAGCAGTTCTGCCTTTTTGTGACAGTAAAATTAAAAATTAAGGCAATCACATAGACTATTTTTCTTCAAGAGTTTTGTAAACACGTAATTCCCTGTTTCTCTCTTTCATCTCTATCTAATTTAAGGGGTAAAAGTGGAAGCAAATAGCCCAGTTCTGTGCCTATTCCACTAATGCAGGCAGGAGGGGTTGGTAATAGGAAGTTACACTTAAAGTCATGTTCTGGAGATATTGGAAGATGACCCAACAGGATTTCTTCATGACCTAAATGTCAAATTTAAGACTGAGGCCAAGAACTGCTTTAAGGATAACTGTAACTCTAATGTCCCATGGCATGTCAACTGATGCCATAAAGAAGAGAAGAGGTACCCAAAAGAATGACAGAGATTAACTAGTGACCAAGTAGGAAAATCATGAGAGTGGCATTCGGATGCAATGGGAAGAAAGTGCATCAAAGGGAGACAATCATCAACGAGGTCAAATGCCACCTAAAGGTCAATAAAGATGAAGACTCATAGAGATGAACAAAACTAATAAGATTTTTTTAAAAATGGCACTTGCAAGAACAGTTTTAGCAAATTGTTGAAGACTAAACATCAAAAAAAAATTGCAAGGAGATCACCTACCTTAATTTTAGGCTCAGTTTTATGAGAATTACGGGAGAAACGAAACAAAACCTGATAGAATTTGAAAAAGCTGCGGGGAACACAAGTGCCTTCAAGAGGGGGCAAAGTTTCTGTTAGAGTGAGAAAGTTATGAGGATGATCAGAAAACAGTTTGAGTTTGAAAACCATGAATAGAAGGAAAGGTAAAGAGTTACAGGAGCTGGTAAGGGTGAGATTGATAGAACAGAGTATTTGACGATCATACAGAGATTGGGCTCATGGGATAAAGTGCCCTCTTTTGTTGGCTAATATAAAAAAGATAAAAGACATAATGAAACACTGAAAATAGGGTCATTTAGACATACATATTTTAATATTACATATACGCCCATATATGTATATCCACCTGTTCCTGATTTTCTATTCTCATCACAGCTGGAATCTGAGCATTCCAATTTCATAGTGCCAGTCCCACAAACCAATCATCTTTCAAGTGTCCCATAGCTTTCCCAAAAGAGGAAATGCGTGCTACTTTCTCTCTGAGTGATTTCTTCTGTTATGGCACTTTCTCACTGGTGCAGAGCCAAAGCTAAGGGAAATGGCTTGTTTGTATTGTTCTCTCTTTGCAAGCCAAATGGAAAATAGCAGCATTTTTAAACACCTGTTTTGAGACTTCTCTAGTTACAGAAAATAGTTGAGCATGATACAGATGAGCCGTGAGAACAAACTGAACCCTTAAAGAATAATACAATGATACTCAACTGTGACGAAAAATTAAAACAAACAAAAAATTGCATGGATCTTGTAGGAGAGGTACACTGAATGTTAAATAAAACACTTCCTGAACTATTGCAGTTGCCTGCCACCCAGGATCTGCTATTTAGAGTGTGACTTTTCTCTTTTTTTTAGGCTTATTGATGGGAATAAACATATCTAGGTAAACTTGCTGTGGTCTAATTAATGAAAATTTCTGTAATACCTTGAATTAAGGTGGCAAGTCGGGGAAGAGACAGATTTTAAATACCTATTAGCCTCTAGTGAAGGTATCTGTGCCCCAAGCATTTTCTCTAATTGATTGACTATTTCTCAAATATATAGCCCCATGTGAAAATGTATGCAAATGCTCCTCCAATGAATACAATCAAAACATTATTTTAAATGTTGTTACATTTATAGGCATTTTTGCCAGTATGTTTTCTCATTAAAACCACATCTGGGAATCTGATGTTTTCATGTTTAAAAATTTTTTTTAAGTATGTATTAAGCTATTTAGAGGGAACTATCTTTTTGCTGTAGTAGAGTGATAATGACTTTTTAAAAGAGGGAATCCTTTGACTTTGGTAAAAGCTGAAATCATAATCATAGATCATGAGCTAACCCTTCCTTGCCTCATCTTACTCATTATTAATTCAATGTTCAGTATCTCCTGAATTTATCAAAATGTTCAATAAAGCAAATTCATAGTAAATATTATTATAAGTTATAAACCCAATCACTCACACCAGTCTTAAATTCATGCAGAATAAACTACTATTCAGAGGAGTGACAATCAGATGTTTTCAGACCTGTTTATGTTTCAGGACACAGACTCCCAGGCTCCCTCTCAGATGTACCAAATTATCTGAGAAGTCTCATTATCTGTAGTTTATAAGGCCCTCTAAGTGATATAATGCATAATGGAATTGGAAAACAAGGAGTTAAGTGATGTGAACATATTTGTCTTGCATAAGTGTACTTTCAGGAAAAAGAAAGCAATGATATGTAAGATACCCTCCTTTTGGTTATTAATCAGTATTCAAAAGTTATAATTATCCATCTTGAGACCTTAATATCTCGGCTTGAATTCGTTGATCAAATCCTTTATTATCCAACAGTTCTTTCTGGTTGGCAGAATGGGTTACATGTAGTGTAGGGTGAAAAGAAGATACCAAATATGAATAAGGAGACAGAAGGCATTGCAGGTATATCTTGCATTTTCACAATTTTGTGTGAAATAGCTTATGTTAGAGAAAGAAGCCAGGCTCCAGTTAACATTAAGTGACACCAGTGCTTAGTCTACTTCATTATAATTGAATTTCTAGATGAGAATAACGACCAGTATAACTAGGGAGGAAGGACGGTTTACAAGTTGAAAGAGTTCTTCAGGCATATACTAAAATGGAATTAAATATTGGAAGTAAATTACCTTTAGTCTTGATGATGATGTAGTTACTATAAGCAATCAAAAATCACAAAGTGCCAAAGTGCTTCTGTGTACTCCAATACATGGGATCAAATGCTACTAGCTAATTCATCAGAAAGCTCATGCCACATTTCTTGGCTGCGTTATGAGATTTTCTTAAAGCAAGGCGACATACACAGGGGTCTGCACAGGGAGACTTGACATGAGCCTGAAAGTTTGTCATCCAAATCTATCCCCTCTTGCTAAATTCTGAAATTCCATAATAATTTATGTTGTCATTCTGTTAAGTCCTGTCTTCTTTATTTCTAAAATGACATGGAGGTACTCTTAATAAGAAATAATATATTATTTCACTAGTTTAATAGTATACATTAATTTATAAATATTTCTGTTTCTGTTAAAAGAGATTAGGTGAGATTTGGGTACTTTATGGAAAACAAAACAAAAACACCAAAATAAAAAAAAAAGAAGAAAGACCACCATTTTCATATTAATAATTTATCTTAAAGCAATCCTTTTTCCTTGGGCATCACTTACTCTTCTGCCTTTCTAGCAAAACAGTAGGACTCTGGTCACTGCTACTAGCTAGGCACCCAATATTCAGATCCCCAAATACCCTCAACATCTGGCATTCCTGTTCACATCTCATTCCCAATGATATGTATGATTTTTAAAAAGATTCCCCAAAAGAAAGCTGATAAACAGTTTGCCTCACTGGGACAAAGCTATATTTTATTCCATGTATTTGGGTATTTTGTTTATATAATATTTATGAATAAAAAATATATATTTTCCTTAGAAAAAGACAAAATAAAATATAATTATGAATTTGACATGTTCTATAGGATTTTAAAAACAAGGAAACAAAAAATACTAAACGTCCTTTGAAAGTTTCTAGAATTAGAATTTGATCTAAATTTGTGACTTGGTGGATGTAGAGAGAACAAAAAGGCATACATATTTCAGCCCAGAGGCTTATGTTTTTCTCTGAACTAGCAGATTGTTTTCAGAAACATGCCACAGACTGCCAGGAGCTTTGCTCTGCATTCTATGCCATTCCTAGTGGGGGTCAATGGATAACGATGCTTCCCCGACACATTATCTAATCACAGGCGAGGCTTTTAGCTTTATTGCAATCACTATACTGTATGATAGAATAGAACTAGTAATGGCTTAACTTCTCTGGACTGGAGGTAGGAAGTACTTTACAAATTTGTCTCAGCTGCTTTGTATCAGTTGCAAAAGGCATTTCTCTATTGAACCACATTTCTGTTAATGCTTTGCACACACACAACTGGGACCACGAATAAATCAGTAATAATTTAAATTGATCAAAACTCATGTTCTATGTTCACATTTTAAAATTTAGTCCAAAAACTCACTCTCCAGAGATATCAAAGACCCCTAATAATTCAGTAGTTTATTTTCAAGATGCATGGCTCAATTTGATGATGGCTTTTTTACTAATGCTAAAGACCAATTTTGCATTGACATAAGATTTAAAGGTTGAATTTAGAGACTGAATATTAGAACAGTGCTGTAAGTAATTAATATTTTCAAAATATATAAAGAACATATGATTATAATTCTGAATTGGGCAGATTTTGACATGGGTTTTTATTAGTTCATGAAACATTTTTATCATCTTTAAGCTTCAGATGAACAACTGTAACTCTATTAGGACCCCAAATCTAAAATTAAGTCTAGGTTTATTCCATGCAAAAACTAATCATTGGGACTCCACCTTCCGTGAATGAGGTCGTGGAGTCTGACGTAAAACTAGAGTGCTTTTTAGCTCCTAGTTTGGTATAAGAATAAGACCCATTTGCATTATCTTTAACAACCTATACTTTTTCTCTTTAAGAAATTACACTTATTTTTAAAAATGAAAGAAAAATCATCAAAAGGGTACAATTAAAATAAACACAAATAAGAAAAAGAAATTTATCAAATTTATTTTTACTGTATATATTTAGGTTTATAACATGATGTATCACTGTACATATACATAGTGAGATGATGGCTATAGCCAAGCAAATTAACATATCGATCATATGGATATCCACTGTTACAGTCAGGTAAATTAACATATCCGTCTATACCCTTTGTGTGTGTGTGTGTGTGTGTGTGTGTGTGTGTGTGTGGTAGCATAACCTAAAATCTACTCTCTTAGCAAACTTCCAGTAGTATATAACACAATATTATTAACTATAGTTCTAATGCTGTACATTAGATCTCAAGGCTTATTTATCCTCCCTGACACTGTACCCTTCAACCTCGATCTTCCTATCCTCCAAGCCATTTTTCTACTCTCTGTTTCTATCTATTTGAGAATTTAGGGGAGACATTTGAGTGTGTGCGTATATGTGTTTTGATTCCACGCATAAGTGAGATCATGCAGTATTTTTCTTTCTGTGCTTGATTTATTTCACTTAGCATAATGTCCTCTAGGTCCTCCATTGATGTTGTCAAAATAACAGTATTTCCTTTTTAAATAATGAATTAATGATATTCCATTATGTGTACACACACACACACTCACACAAATATTTTTCTGTATCCATTTTCTTTATTCACTCAACTGAAGTGTCCACAAATTCACTGGACACTATTTGTGGACTTTTTTTATAGACACTTCAGTTGTTTCCGTATCTTGGCTATTGTGAATAATACTGTGATTAACATAGAGTGCATACATCTTTATGAGGTGGTGATTTCATTTCCTTTGTGTATATATGCAGCAAAATGATTACCAGGCCATACATTAGTTCCATTTTTAATTTCTTTGGCATCTCTATATTGTTTTCCACAATGGCTAAACCAATCTACATTCCCACCAACAGAGTACAAGGGTTCTCTTTTCTGCACGCCCTTGCCAACACTATTATTTCTTGTGTTTTTGATAATAGCTATTCTAACTGGTGTGAGGTAATATTTCATTGTGGTTTTAATTTGTATTTCCCTGATGAGTCCTAATACTGACCAGCTTATCCTATACTGTTGGCCATTTTTACCTCTTCTTTAGAGAAATGCCTATTCAGGTCCTTGGATCAATTTGATTAAATTGTTTTGTTTTTTGATCTTGAGTTATGTGAGTTCCTTAGATATCTTGAATACTAACCTGTTATATGATATATGGCTCACAAATGCTTTCTTCCAATCAATTGGCTGCCTTTCATTTTGTTCATTGTTTCCTTTGCTGTGCAGAACCTTTTTGGCTTGATGTAGTCCCACTTGTTTACTTTTGCTTTTATTGTCTGTGCTTTTGGTGAGATAACCCAAAAATCCTTGCTAAGGCTAATATTAAGGAACTTTACTCCTGTGTTTTTTCTAAGAGTTTCAGGTCTAATGTTCAGCTCTTCAATATTCATTTTGAGCATATTTTTGTGTATAGTGTAATATAAGGGTCCAGTTTCTTTCTGTCATTTTTCTGTTTTTTTTTTTTTGCATGTGAACATCCAGTTTGTTTAACACCATTTATTGAAGAGACTCCCATTTATCTATTGTGTCTTATTGGGGTGTGGTCAAAAATTGGTTAAGCATATATGCTTGGGTTTATTGCTGGGCTGTCTTTTCTGTTATATTGCTCTGTATGTCAGTACAGATATATGTTTTTATGTCAGTACCATATTGTTTTGATTACCATTGCTTTTAATATAACTTGAAATCAGGGAGTGTGATGGCTTCAACTTTAACTTTCTTTATTAATATCATTTTGACCTCGGGGTATTTTGTGGTTCTATACAAATTTAAGAATTGTTTTTTCTATTCATGTAAAAAATGTCAGTAAAATTTTGACAAAGATTGCATTGAATCAGTATATCACTTTAGGTAGTATGGACATTTTAATATATTAATTCTTCTGATATGCAAAAACTAGATTTTTTTCATTTACTGTGTCTTTTTCAATTGCTTTCATGAATGTTTCATAGTTTTCAGTATAAGGATCTTTCACTTATTTGGTTAAATATATTCCTAAGTATTTATTTCTTCTTGATGCTATTGTGAATGGAATTGTTTTCTTGACTTCTTTTTTGAATATATCATTAATTGGTGTAAAAAATCTAACTTATTTTTTGTATGTTATTTTATATCCTGAAACTTTACTAAATTTGCTTATTAATTCTAACAGTTCTTCAGTGGCGTCTTTAGGGTTTTTTATACATAGGGTCATGTCAACTTGCAGACAGGAATAAAATGAACCTTGAGGAAATCTTATTAATAATTATATTCCCAAAATTGGGTAATCTAGAGAAAACTGATACATACTCACAAACTTTAATCTAAGAGACTGAATTAAGAAGAAAGAGAAAGCTTGAACAGTTTATTAACAAATAAAGAGATAAAAGTAACAATCAAACACCTCCCAACAAAGAAAAGCCCAGGACCAGAAAACTTTATGGCTGAATTCTGCAAAATATTCAAATATGCAATAATACCAATCCTTCTCAAACTCTTCCAAACAATAGAAGTAGGAATAATAACTTGAAACTCACTCATGAGGCTGGCATCATCCTAATACCAGAACAAAAACACCACAAAAAAAAGAAAACTACAGGTAAATATCTGTAATAAATCTAGAGGCAAGGATCCTAAATACTAGCAAACCAAATTCAGTGACACATTCGAAAGATTGTATACCATGAACAACCAAAATTTATCCCTGGGATATAAGTTTGGTTCAACATATGCAAAGCAGTTAAGGAGATACACCATAGTGTCATAAAGAAAGATAAATACCACATGATAAACTCCATAGATATAGAAAACATATTTGACAAACTTCAACATTGTTTCATAATAAAAGTGCTCAAAAAACTAGGTTGCTAATAGGTCTAGTACCATATTAAATAGTAGTGATGAGGGTGGGTATCATTGCTTTATACCAGATCTTATAGAAAAAGCTTTCATTTTTTTCAGATTAATTATAATAAAAACTGTGAGTCTTTCATTATTGGTCTTTATTAGGTTAGAGACTGTATTTGTTCTCGTGTTGCTATATAGAACTGCCCAACACTGGGTAATTTATAAAGGAAAAAGGTTCAATTGACTCACAGTTCCATACGGCTGGGGAGGTCTCAGGAAACTTACAATAATAGTAGAAGGGGAAGCAAACATTTTCTCCTTCACATGGCAGCAGGAAGGAGAAGTGCCGAGCAAAGAGGGAAAACTGCCTTATAAAACCATGAGATCTCATGAGAACTCACTATCATGATAACAGCAGCATGGGGGTAACCACCACCATGATTCAATTACCTCCCACCAGGTCCCTCCCACGACACATGGAAATTATGGAAACTACAATTCAAGATGAGATTTGGGTGGGGACACAGCCAAACCATATACCACCTTAGCTTCTCCCAAATCTTATGTTTGCACATTTCAAAACACAATAATGCTTACCTAACAGTCTCCCAAAGTCTTAGTTCATTCCAGCATTAACCAAAATGTCCAAGTCCACAGTCTCGTCCAAGTCTAAAGTCTCATCTGAGATAAGGCAAGTCCCTTTTGTCTGTGAGCCTGTAAAATCAAAAGCAAGTTATTTACTTCCTAGATATAATGGGGATAGATGCATTAGGTAAATACACCCATTTCAACTGGGAGCTATTGGCCAAATTAAAGGGACTCCAGACCCCACGCTAGTCTGAAATCCAATAAGGCAGTAGTTAAATACTAAAGCTCTGAAATAATCTCCTTTGACTCCATATCTCACATCCAGGTCATGCTGATGCAACAGGTCATCTGTCACAGCCTTGGGCAGCTCCACCTCTGTGGCTTTGCAGGGTATATTCCCTCTCACAGCTGCCTTCACAGGCTAGTGTTGAGTGTCTGTGGCTTTTCCAGACACATAGTGCAAGCTGCTGGTGGATCTAACATTCTGGGGTCTGGAGGACAGTGACCCTCTTCTCACAGCACCACTAGGCAGCACTGAAGTGGTGACTCTGTGTGGGGCTATGACCCCACATTTCACTTCTACACTGCCCTAGCGGAGATTACTCATGAGGTCTCCGGTCTTGCAGTAAACTTCTGCCAGGACATCCATGCATCTCCATACATCCTCTGAAATCTAGGTAGAGATTCCAAAACCTCAATTCTTGAGCTCTGTTCACCCACAGGCCCAATACCATGTGTTAGCCACCAAAGCTTGGGGATTGCACCCTCTGAAGCAACAGGCTGAGCTTTACTTTTGGCCCTTTTCACTATGGCTGAGACTGAGGGCACCAATTCCCAAGACTGCATAAAGCAGCAAGGCCCTGGGCCCAATCCTCCTAACCATTTTTCCCTCCTAGGCCTCCAGGCCTGTGATGGAAGGGGCTACTGTGAAGACCTCTGACATGTCCTGGAGACATTTTCCCCATTGTCTTGGTGATTAACATTTGGCTTCTTGTTACTTATGCAAATTTATGCTGCCAGCTTGAACTTCTCCCCAGAAAATAGGTTTTTCTTTTCTGCCCCATTGTCAGGCTGAAAATTTTCCAAACTTTAAGCTCTGCTTCTCTTTTAAACCTAAGTTCCAATTCCAAACCATATCTTTGTAAATAAATAAAACTGAATGCTTTTAACAGTGCCCAAGTCACATCTTGAATGCTTTGCTGCTCCTAAATCATCTCTCTCAAACTCAAAGTTCCACAGATCTCTAGGACTAGGGCAAAATGCCACTAGTTTCTTTGCCTAGCAAGAGTGACTTTTACTCCAGTTCCCAACAAGTTCCTCATCTCCATCTGAGACCACCTCAGCCTGGACTTCATTGCCCATATCACTATCAGCATTTTGGTCAAAGCCATCAACAAGTCTCCAGCAAGTTCCAAACCTTCCCACATCTTCCTGTCTTCTGAACCTTCCATGTCTCTAGAAAGTTTCAAGCTTTCCCACATGTTCTGTCTTCTTTTGAGCCCTAGCTTCTGCCTGTTACATTGTTCGAAAGTTGCTTCCACATTTCTGGGTATTGTTACAGCAGCATGCCACTCTCTGTGGTACCAATTTACTGTATCAATCCATTCTATATATAAAGAACTGCCCAAGAGTGGGTTATTTATAAAGGAAAGAGGTTTTATTGACTCATTTCTGCAGAGCCTCAGGAAACTTACAATTATGGCAGAAGGGGAAGCAAACACATCCTTCTTCACGTGGTGGCAGGAAGGAGAAGGGGTGAGCAAAAGGGGAAAAGCCCCTTATACAAACATCAGATCTCATGAGAACTCACTATCATAGGAACAACATGAAGGTAACCACTCCATGATTTAATTGCCTCCCACTGGGGTCCCTCCCATGACATGTGAGGATTATGGGAACTATAATTCAAGATGAAATTTGGGTGGGGACACAGCCAAACCATATCAGAGACTTTTTTTCACTATGAAAATGCTTTTATTGGAGTGCAATGTCAACACACACACACACACACACAAAAAAAAAAAAAAAAAAAACAGCAAGTGAACAAATAGTGAGATGTTGGGAATTATAAAACAGATTTTTAGTGAATAAAGATTTCAAATTGCTTCTACTCTTTACCCAGTTACAGAAGACTCTAGACTACTTCCCTCTCAGCCCAGTCCTCCCAAATTTCCTCCTCCTTGGCCATGGCATCCTGGTGCTCTTGATACTTGGACACCAGGTTGTTCATGCTGCTCTCAGC
Organism: Homo sapiens; assembly: GCF_000001405.40. NCBI lineage: Eukaryota > Metazoa > Chordata > Mammalia > Primates > Hominidae > Homo > Homo sapiens. The sequence continues at coordinate 103,630,804 of NC_000003.12, read as the reverse complement.
CTCAGTGAACTCTATCTCATCCTTGCCCTCACCCAAATACCATTGCAAGAAATCCTTGCATCTGAACATGGCCATGAATGGCCCCAAGATGCACCTAAACAGCTCATGGATAGCCGTGTTGTTGCTGATGAAGGTGGCAGACATGTGGCAGACTTTTGCAACATAACAAAAGCCAATAGTAAAAAGCCCACAATTTATATTACAATTAGAAGGAAAAAAATGAAAGCTTTTTCTCTAATACCTGCTATATGGCAAGTATGCCCACCCTTATCACTACTATTTAACATGATACTAGAAGTACTAATTAGAGCAATTAGACAAAAAATAAATAAATAAATAAGACATCCACATCAGAAAGAAAGAAGAAAGCAAATCCATTTTATTGCATATTAAATATAAAACATTATATAGTACAAATTATCATATGTAATAATAAATTCCATTGTAATATAAAGCCTTTTTGGAAATTATTTAAAATCCTACCAGTGAATGATTTTCATATCACATTAATGAGTTTAATTCATGTGCCCAATATGGGTTTCTTCACAATTTGAACATATTGCTTATAAAAGTAAAATTTTTATTTTTGGCTATCTATTTTATAGCAGATTTTTAATTACAAAACTTATTTTCTAATATTTTCTTGAGATAATAGGGTGTTTATAATGCCATACATATAAGATTTTGACAAGTGGGTTATCAGACTGTCTCAACAATTTTATTATAAGTTTGTTCTAAATTTTTAGGTTGTTATAGATTCCGTAAAAATCTTTTACATTTTAAATATTTTTATCTTGCAAAACCATTCCAGGTTTAAATGACAGTGAATACTAAAAGTTGAAACAATTTAAAAAAAAAAATACTTGTTTCCAAAATGGTGGCATAGATGAAAGCTGGCTTCACTCATCCCCACAGAAAACCAAAAGAAAATTATATAGCATTGAGATTAACATCAGCAATATCCCAGAACTCAAATATGAGGTTGAGTCGGTTCCTGGGGCCACAGAAAAATAAAAATACTTCAAGCAGAGGGTAAGGGAATTGGATTTTTATATGAATGATACTCCTTCCCCAACCTGCCTGGCACCAAGCACAAAGGAAATTTCCCCAAACTTATGGTTTCTTCACTGGAAATAGTGAGACTGAGGAGGATGACTAGCTTCCCAACCACCTTGGGCTCTTTGACAGGAGAGCTGTTGATGAGTCAACCCAAAGGAAGCATCATGTGGGCCTAAAGATAAATATATATCTAACAATAGTCAGAGACAAATGAGAGAGGCAGGACTATCATATCCAACCCCTGAAACCTCTGCTCTGTAACTCAGCCAAAGGAAATGGCAAATTAGCGTGGCTATTCAGCAGAAACACATGTTAGCAGGTACATTCCACACAGGGCTCCTGAGCACAAGCCCCTTGCCAATACTACCACACTGATGATCTCTTTTTGGGACCTCCTCCATTCCCTATTGGCAAAGGTCTGGTTGATTGCGAGAGCTGAGACAAACTTGGTCTTTAGTCACCATCTAGTACAAAAATAGAGGAAGTGACCTAGCATAATAAAATATAAGAAATTCAACAGATAATTTACGAAGACTCTCTAAGCGAAGATAACCAATAAAAACCAAATCAAGTCAGAGAGAGAAGACTGGAATAAATAATCTTTCATTGCAAAGTCATAGACATGCATCCACAAGCAACAACAGAAAACAGGGAACCATGACTTCCCAAACAAGCAAACCATAGAACCACTGAATGGCCCTGAAAAGATGCCAATACGTGAGTTATCTAACCAAGAATTCAAAATAGCAGTTCTAATAAAAATCAGCAATCTCCAAAATAATCTATACAGAAAGGCAATTCAAAAATTTATCTGAGAAATATGACAAATAGATTGAAATAATTTTTAAAAATTGAACGTAAATCTTGGAACTGAGAAGTACACTTGCTGAACTTAAGAACTTATTGCAGTATTTTCACAGCATAATTAATCAAGTGAGGAAAAAAATCAGTAAGCTTGCATAGGCTATTTTAAATTACACAGACAGAGGAGAAAGGAAAAGAATAAAAAGGAATAAAGATCACCTATAAGAAATAGATAATTAACTAAAAAGACCAAATCTAAAAATTATTGGGGTTCAAGAGAAAGTTGAGCAAGAATATGTGGCAGAAGGATTATTAAAAAAAAAATTAACAGAAAACTTTCCAAAACTTGAGGAGGACATAAATATTTAGAAACAGGAAGGACAGAGAACATCAAACAAATTTGACCCAAATAAGTCTATGCTAGGGCATGTAATAATCAAAGACCAAGAACAAAGAGATAATTTTTGAAAAGCAGCAAGTTAAAAAAAAGCATATAACATATAAAGGAACTCCAACTAATATGACAACAGACTTCTCAACAGAAACCTACAGGCTATAAGAAAGTGGGTGATATTTCCCAATCATTGGAAAAAAATAATAAACTGTCATCCAAGAATACTTCATCCAGAAAAGCTGTTTCTCAAAAACAAAGGAGAGACAGTGTCTTTCCCATACAAACAAAACCTGAAATAATTCACCATCACAAAACCCATCTAACAGGAAATGCTGAAGGGAGTTCTTCACTCTGAACAAACAAACAAACAAACAAACAAAAACAAGCAAAAGAAACCAAAACACTAATGTACAAAAAGAAAACATTTGAAGGTATAAAACCCACTGGTAAAATAATGTGCAAAGAGACAACCCAGAATACTGCAACACTATTAGTGTAATATGCAATTCATACTAAAAATAGTTTTTAGTATTAAAACTAAAATACAAGTACATCAAAACAATAATAGGTACATCAACTTGTTAAGAGACAGGCAATGTAAAAATACATAAATTGAGATGAACAAAAGTTAAAAGATGGGAAATCAGAGTTAAAATCTAGAGAATTGTTTTAAGTTCTTTCTTTTTTAAAAATTTTTTTGTGATCTAAGGTAAGTTGTCATCTTATTAAAATAAATGGTTAGAGCAATTAAGATATTTCTAAAAGGCTCATGGTAAACACAGTGCAAAATTCAATAATAGATACACTGAAAATAAAAAGCAAACAAAAAAAAACCCCAAAAAACAAAAACATACTAGAGAAAATCATTGAATCACAAAGGATGACAGCAAGAAAAAAAGAAAGGAAGAGAAGAGTTACAATGCAAGCATAAAACAGGTAGCAAATTGGCAGTTCTTAGTTATCAGTAAGTAAGTTCTTAGTTATCAGTAAGAACACTGAATGTAAGTGGACTTAATTCTCTAATTAAAAGAAAGTGGCTGCATGAATAAGAAAACAAGATCCAACTATGTGCTGGCTATCAGAAACCCACCTCACCTATAAAGACACACATATTTTCAAGGGGAACAGTTGAAAATACGTACTTCATGCAAATGGAGACCAAAAAAATAGGAGTAGTTAAAATAGACTTTAATTAAAGACTGAAAAGAGACAAAGAAGATCAATGTATAATGATAAAGGGGTCACTATAGGCTTAGGATATAATAATCATAAATATTTGTGCACCCAACACTGGAACAAGTATATAAAGTAAACATTAACAGATATAAGGGAGAAATAGACTGCTATACCATAATACTAGAAGACTTCAGCAACCCATGCTCAGTAATTGACAAATCATGTAGACAGAAAATCAGCAAAGGACCATCATAGATAAATGACACACAAAACCAAATAGGCCGGACATTTACAGCACCTTTCACCAGACTGCTACTGAGTACACATTATTTTCATCAGCACATAAAACATTCTCCAGAATATACCATATATTAGGCCACAAAACAAATCTCAACAAATTCAAAGAAGTAGAAATTATATCAAGTATCATTTCTGACCATAATAGAATAAAACTAGAAAGCAATTACAAGAGGAATGTCAAAAAATGTACAAACACATGGAGATCAAACAACATTCTCTGAAGTAACCAATAGATCAATAAAGAAATTAAGAAGGAAATTTTAAAATATATTGAAACAAATGAAAATGGAAATACAACATATCTATTGGATGCAGCAAAAGCAATATTAAGAGATAAGATTATATCAATAAATGCATACATCAAAAAAGATGAAAGACTTTAAATAAATAGCCTAACTATGTACCTCAGGGAATTCAAAAAGCATGAACAAATGAAATTCAAAATTTGTAGAATAAAGTAAAGAAGAATTAAAAGATCAGAAAAAGTAAATTTGAGACCAGTAAGGAACACAGAAGACCCAACAAAATGAAAAGTTGTTTTTTTAAGATAAACAAAGTTGAAAAACCTTAGCTAAACTAATAAAAAAAAGGAGAGAAGGCCCAAATAAATACAGTCACAAAAAAGGGGACATAATGACTAAGACCACAAAAATACAAATAATCATTAGAGAGTATTACAAACAAATATACAGCATCAAGTTGGAAAACTTAGAAGATATAGATAAATTCCCAGACACATACAGCCTATGAAGATTGAACCATAAAGAAAAAGTTAACCTCAACAAAGCAATGAGTAAGTGGATTGAAGCCATAACAAAAGATCTCATCAAAAAAAGTCCAGGACCTGATGGCTTCACTGATGAATTTCACCAAACATTTAATGAAGAACTAAAACAAATTTTTCTCAAACTTTTCAAAAAAATGAAAACAAAGGAATACTAAACTCATTCTAAAAGGCCTGCATTAGCTAGACACCAAACCCAGACAAAGAAACCACAAAAAAATTAAACTACAGGCAAGTATCACCAACGAACATGAAAGCAAATATCTATCTTCAACAAAATTCTAGCAAATTGAATTCAACAGCATATTAACAAAATCATTCGCTATGATCAAGTGGTATCCTTCCCAGGGATATGAGGATGGTTCAAATATGCAAATCAGTAAATGTGATAGATCACATTAACAGAACCAAGGAACAAAAACCATATGATCATTTCAATAGATGCTGAAAAATATTTGATAAAATTCAACATTCCTTTATCAATAAAATCCCTTAACAAACTGATTATAGAATAACTATACTTCAAAATATTAAATGCCACATATTACAAACCCACAGCCAACATCTTGCTGAATGTAGAAAAATAACCTTTCCTCTAAGATCTGGAATCATACAAGAATGCTCACTTTCACCACTTTTATTCAACATAATAATGGAAGTTGTGGCCAGAACAATCAGACAAGAGAAAGGAATAAAGGACATCCAAATTAGAAAGGAAGAGGTCACATTAGCATTAGAGCAGATGAAAGAATCTTATATTTAGAAAAAGCTAGATTCCACCAAAAGACTTTTAGAATTGATAAATTCAGTACGGTTTTAGGATACAAAATCAACTTACAAAAATCAGTATCATTTATATACACCAACTGCAAACATACAAATAATATAAAAACCTAGGAATCAATTCACCCAAATATGTGAAAGATCTATACAAGGGAAACCATAAAACACTAATGAAAGAAATTGAATAGGATGGAGAAAATGGAAGGATATTTCATGCTCATAGATTAGAATTACTATATTAAAATGGCAATATTACCCCCCAAAATTTACAAATTCAATGCAATTTCTACTGAAATATGAATAAGATGGCATTTCTATTACACTATTCACAGAAATAAGAAAAATCTAAAATTTGTATGGAACCACAAAAGACCCCAAAGAGCTAAAGCAACCCTGTGCAAAAGGAGCAACATTGGAGGCATCACACTTCCAGATTTCTGAATATATTACAATACCATAGTAACCAAATAAACATGGTACTGGCATGAAAACAGACACATAGTTCAATAGAACAGAATAGAGGACACAGAAATAAATGCATCCATTTACAGTCAACTCGTTTTAGACAAAATGCAAGGAACATCAAATGGGAAAAGGACAGTCTCTTTAATACATGTTTTGGGGAAAGTTGGATAGCCATAGGCAGAAGAATGAAACTAGACCCCTATCTTTCATCATACACAGAAATCAAATAAAGATGGATTAAAGACTGAAATTTAACACCTGATACTATAAAACTACTAGTAGAAAACATTGAGGAAACATTCCAGGACATTGGTCTGGGCAAGTATTTTTTGTGTCAGACCTCAAAACACAGAAAACCAAAGTGAAAATAGACAGATGTGATTACATCAAGTGAAAAACCTTCCTCCATATGGAGCTCAAACAACTCAGTAGTAAAGAAACAAATAATCTAATTTTTTAAAAAGGAAAATACTTGAATGGACATTTAATAAAAGAAGACATACAAATGGCCAAAGGGTATAGGAAAAAATGCTCAGCATTATTAATCATCTGCTAAATGAAAATCAAAACCGCAGTGAGATATAATCTCACTCCAGTTAGAATGTCTTTTATCAAAAAGGAAAAAAGGAAATAACAGATGCTGGCAAGAACATGGAGAAAGAGGAACCCTTGTACATTGTTGATAAGAATGTAAATTAGTATGGCCTCTAATATGGAGTGTTCCTCAGAAAACTAAAAATAAATCTACCCTATGATCCAGCAATTCCACTACTGGGTACATATCCAAAAGAAAGGAAAACAATACATCAAAAAGATATTTGCACTCCTATGTTTATTGCAGCACTTTTTTCACAATAGCCAAAACGTGATATCAGCCTAAGTGTCCATTACTGCATGAATGGAGAAAGAAAATGTACTATATACAAACAATGAAATGTTATTCAACCGTAAAATATTAAATTTGCAGCAACATACGAGGAAGAAGTCATTAAGTTAAGTAGAACAAGCCAAACACAGAAAGACAAATACTGCATGTTCTCACTTATATGTAGGACTTAAGAAAACAAAAAGTACTATTTGTCAGTGAAAAGCTAAAGGGCCAAGAAATCTAGCTAAATTCTCTCTTTAGAACAATTTTGAATGAAGTATTTCATTATAGACAAGTAGAGAAACTCAATACAGTTCCAACTTGAAAAAGCTTTTGCCTGGAATTGATTGATATGTCAAAAAATGAAGACATTTCTGAATATAAAAAAGATGGACAAGAAAGCAATCAAAACCAAATAGAAGTCAATACGTTTTTGTTGTTGTTGTTGTTGTTTGTTTTTTGTTTTCCCTAGACTCTTTCATATAGTAAAGGTAAATAATCACTGTAGGAATCTTATTTTTATATAAGATTAGGAGTTCGTATGTCATGAAATTGAATAATAAATAGAATGTGTTATGTTCTAAAATAGAGAAGCAAAATGTAAGACATTTTTCAATTAAAAATGAAAATGATTATTATTCTTATGCAGCTAAGAATAATAAATCAAAAGTCACCTGAAGGGAAATATGCTTCTGTGTTTATTAAAATATGTAGAAATGGTGTTTTTTAAAATAAAATAAGAATTAAGGGCAAGAACACTGACGTGTGTAAGGCAAAAATACACATTGAATAAGTGCTATTTTACCTTAAAATTAGATTCAAATTATTATATTTATCAGGAGATCTCTACTAAAAAATGGAATGTGTTTTTAGTTTATGAACTTCCTCAAAAGATTTTGACCACAGAAAATCTAAGAAAAACTTACCAAAGTTTTATGTATAGTCAGAAATTAATTATCCACATTCTTGATGGAGTGCTTAGATGTACATTCCCTGAAAATAACAAGATTTGAACTTTAAGATTTATCCATTACATTTGTCCTTCTAATGCCTATGTGCCTAATTTTATAGTATTCATAATTTTCTCTTCTTACTGAGAGCCCAACAGCTTTTATAGGCTTCAAGGCTCACAAAACTTATATCTACCCATGGAAATATTATAGCTTAGATTAAAGTAACAGACACAATTGACAAAACATTATTGTTATCATTGTCAAGTACTTATGCTACTTTTCCATAGTATTATTCTGTCTCCATGTTAAAAAAACACTTTGAAGCCCTCATTTTCAAGGTGTTCTGTGATATTTGTCAGTCTCTGTGTAAGAAATAAAATGAGTTGCTGTAATTGCTTTTAGATCAAACTGGGAAATGCTCATCAGAAATTGTTCACAAACAGTTGAACTGCAGCACTATTTGTACTTCTAATGTTGAAAGCCTGTAGCATACCTTCAATAGTCATTATTTTTAAGAGAGCTTCTAACCTGGAGAAAGGCAATACCTCCTTTTCAATAAGCAAAATCTTGACTTAAAAAATGTTACACTTAACTTGTGATGTTAAATTGTATTTGTAGATTTGTCAAGTAAATAGAAAATAATGGTTTTATCATCTCCTGCCAAAATGTGCATGCGTGTGCATGTGTGTATTTGTATGTTTGAGGAAGGTGGTATGAGAGGTAGAGGGGCCTGGGAGCAGGTTAAAAATTAAACTAGGAGGAAAAAAAGCATAGAAAAGAGAGTAGACATCGGAGTCCTCAGCTGCTGAGTTAATTAAAATGTTATTGCCATTTTTATAGGAGTTCCAGAGGAAATCAGAGTCTAACCTGTCTCAATATATGAATCCTAAGGTCTCTGGCCCCATAATCTTATTGCTGAATAGGATCAGCCTAGAAATTTGTAAATTATATTAAACAAAATTTAAACATAGATCCAGACAGTAAATCTAACCCAGTTTTAGCAGTCAGCATTTTTCTCCCCATCAGATAGCTTTCAGAGCCTTTTCATTGATGTGAAGATTAAAACAGAAAAAAAAAATCTTTAAGAAAGCGATAAGAAGGCTGTTGCTACAGTTTGGATATTTGTCTCCTCCAAATCTCATGTTGAAATTTGGTCCCCATATTGGAGATGGGGCCTAATGGAAGATGTTGGAATTATGCGGGTGGATCTTTCATGAATAGATTAACGTCCTCCCTGGGAGGATCTGAGTGTGTTTTCACTCCATTAGTTTTTGTGAGAGTTCCCAGAAGGGTAGTTGTTAAAAAGAGCTTGGCACCTCCATTTCCTTTCTCTTGCTCCCTCTCTTTCCATGTGATCTCTGCACATACTGGCTCCCCTTTGCCTTACACCATGAGTGAAAGCAGACTAAGGCTTTCACCAGATCCCAATCTTCTAGTAAGCAGAAGTGTGAGCCAAATAAACCTCTTTTTCTTTTTCTTTTTCTTTTCTTTTCCTTTCTTTTCTTTTCTTTTCTTTTCTTTCCTTTCCTTTCCTTTCCTTTCCTTTCCTTTTCTTTTCTTTTCTTTTCTTTTCTTTTCTTTTCTTTTCTTTTCTTTTCTGTTTTCTTTGCTTTGCTTTGCTTTGCTTTTCCCTTCTCTTCTCTTCTCCTCTCTTCTCTTTTCTTTTTTCTTTCTTTTCTTTTTTTTCTTTTCTTTGAGATGGAGTTACACTCCTATTGCCCAGGCTGGAGTGCAGTGGTGTGATCTTGGCTCACTGCAACCTCCACCTCCTGGGTTCAAGCGATTCTCCTGTCACAGCCTCAAAAGTAGCTGGGATTACAGGTGCATGCCACCACACCCAGCTAATTTTTTTAATTTTTAGTAGTGACGGGGGTTTCATCATATTTATCAGGCTGGTCTCAAACTCCTGACCTCAGGTGATCTGCCCGCCTCAGCCTCCCCAAGTGCTGGAATTACAGGCATAAGCCACCAAACCCAGCCAAATTTTTTCTCTTTATAAATTGGCCCAATCTCAGTTATTACTTTATCGCAACACTAAACAGAATAAGACAGATGATTTTCTTTCATTCCTGCAAAGGTCAATTACATATATATTTCGTGTGCATACTCCCACATGTAATCTTCATACTTAGTATTTTATTGTATTTGTATGAAATATCTTTGGCTTAAATTCTATAGCTTAGAAGAAAACAATAATAATTTTGTTTTTTTAATAAAATGTGTATGGATGTAGTTTTCAATATTAACATGAAATTATTGTTATTTTATAATATGCCTATGATCCATACTTGCTACTTTACATTCTGCTATTTACTGTGTACATAAAATATTTATGTTAAATTTGAACTCATTGTATGTTTCTTAAAAGTGTTGCGTCTTCTTAGATTTATGCCATCTACATACTGTTTGTGTGTTGACATCTGTTACATGTAAAAGACTGCATTAAAAGAATATGACCCTCGATGATTTTTTCTGATTCCCAGGAAAGAGATGCTTCTTTACGTTTAATCCCTTATATGGTTTGGCTGTGTCCCCACCCAAATCTCATCTTGAATTGTAGTTCCCTCATGGGAGGAATCCTGGTGGGAGGTAATTAAATCATGGGGGTGGTTACCTCCATCCTGTTCTTGTGATAGTGAGTGAATTCTCACGAGATCTGATATTTGTATAGGGGGCTTTTCCCTACTTGCTTAGCACTCATTCCTGCCACCATATGAAGAAGGACATGTTTGAAGTAAGGTGCTGTTATAAGGATACCTAAATACGTGAAAGCAACTTTGGAACTGGGTAACAAGCAGAGGTTGCAACAGTTTGGTGAGCTCAGAAAAACACAGGAAAATGTGTGAAATTTGAAACTTCCTAGAGAGTTGTTGAATGGCTTTGACCAAAATGATGATAGTGATATGGAAATGAAGTCCAGGCTGAGGTGGTCTCAGATGGAGATAAGGAATTTGTTAGAAACTGGAAAGAGGTAATTATTGGTGTGCTTTAGCAAAGAGACCAGCGGCATATTGCTTCTGCCCAAGAAATCTGTGGAACTTTGAATGTGTGAGAGATGATCTAGGGTATCTGGCAAAAGAAATTTCTTTTATATATATATATAAAATTTTTTTTATTATACTTTGAGTTCTAGGGTACATGTGCACAACATGCAGGTTTGTTACATATGTATACATGTGCCATGTTGGTGTGCTGCACCCATTAACTACACATGTGCCATGTTGGTGGGCTGCACCCATTAACTCATCATTTACATTAGGTATATCTCCTAATGCTATCCCTCCCCCCTCCCCCCACCCCACAACAGGCCCTGGTGTGTGATGTTCCCCTTCCTGTGTCCAAGTGTTCTCATTGTTCAATTCCCACCTATGAGTGAGAACATGTGGTGTTTGGTTTTTTTGTCCTTGCAATAGTTTGCTGAGAATGATGGTTTCCAGCTTCATCCATGTCCCTACAAAGGACATGAACTCATCATTTTTTATGGCTGCATAGTATTCCGTGGTGTATATGTGCCACATTTTCTTAATCCAGTCTATCATTGTTGGACGTTTGGGTTGGTTCCAAGTCTTTGCTATTGTGAGTGGTGCCACAATAAACATATGTGTGCATGTGTCTTTATAGCAGCATGATTTATAAGAAATTTCTAAATAGCAAAGCATTCAAGTGAAAGTCAAGCATAAAAGTTTGGAAAATTTGCAGCCTGATGTCATCAAAACAAAACAAAACCAAACATTTTCTGGGTAAAAATTCAAGCCAGTTGCATAAATTTGCATAAGTAATTAGGAGCTGAAAGTTAATCACCAAGACAATGGGGAAACTGTCCCCAGAGCATGTCAGAGACCTTCTAGAGCAGCCCCTCCCATCAAAGGCCCAGAAGCCAACAAGGAAAAAGTGGTTTTTTCTGCTGGGCCCAGGGCCCACCTTCTGCTCGGTGCAACCTTGGGACATAGTGCCCTGCATCCCAGGTGCGTCGGCTCCAGTCATGGCTAAAAGGAGCCAATGAACAGCTCAGGCTGTTGCTTCAGAGGGTGCAAACCCCAATCCATGGCAGTTTTCACGTGATGTTGGGCCTGTGGGTGCACAGAAGTAAAGAACTGAGGTTTGGGAACCTCTGCCTAGATTTCAGAGGGTCTATGGAGATGCCTGGATGTCCAAGCAGAAATATGCTGCAGGTGTGGAGCCCTCATGGAGAATCTCTGATAGGGTAGTGTAGAAGTGAAATGTGGAGTTGGAGATCCCACACAGACTCCCCACTGGGACACTGCCTAGTGGAGCTGTGGGTAGAGGGCCACCATTCTCTGGACCTGAAAATGTTAGATCCAGTTACAGCTTGCACTGTGCACCTAGAAAAGCCATGCAGACACTCAATACCAGCCTATGAAAGCAGCTGGGAGGGAGGGCTGTAACCTGCAAAGCCACAGGGGTGGAGTTTCTCCATGTTGTGGAAGCCCACCACTTGCATCTGCATGACCTAGAAAAGAGACATGGAGACAAAGGAACTAATTTTAGAGCTTTACTCTGCTAGATTTTGGACTTGTATGGGGCTTGTAGCCCCTAAATTTTGGTCAATTTCTACCTTTTGGAATGGGTGTATTTACCCAATGCCTGTACCCCCATTGCATCTAGGAAGTAACTAACTTGCTTTTGATTTTACAGGCTCCTAGGCAAAAAGGACTTGCCTTGTCTCAGATGAGACTTTGGAGTTGGCCTTTTGGGTTAATGATGGAATGAGCTAAGACTTTGGGGGACTGGTTGGATAGGCATGATTGTGTTTTGAATTGTGAGGATATGAGATTTGGGAGGGGCCAGGGGCAGAATGGTATGGTTTGGCTGTGACCCCACCCAAATCTCATCTTGAATTATAGTTCCCATAATCCCCATGTCATGTGTCACGGGAGGGATCCCAGTGGGAGATAATTCAATCATGGAGGTGATTACCTTCATGCTGTTCTTATGATAGTGGTGAGTTCTCATGAGATCTTATGGTTTTATAAGAGGCTTTTTCCCTTTTGCTCAGCACTGCTCCTTCTGCTGCCACGTGAGAAGGATGTGTTTGCTTCCTCTTCTGCCATGATTTTGTTTCCTGAGACCTCCCCAGCTCTGCAGAAGTGTGAGTCATTTAAATCTCTTTCCTTTATAAATTATCCAGTCTCAGGCAGTTCTTTATAGCAGCATGAGAATGGACTAATACAATCCCCTTGTAAAGTTTGAGTGTTTGTGTCCTGCAAAAATCCATATGTTGAAATCCTAACCCCCAAGGTTATGGTATTAGGAGGTGGGGCATTTGGAGGTGATTAAGTCATGAAGACTACTTATTTGCATAACTCATTGTATAATTGTCTATTTCTTTAATTTTATATATATATATGTGTACTTATTTCACTATGACTGATTGTAAGTAGATAAGAACACAGGCTCCATCTTATCTGTCTTTGTATCAGCTCTCAGCCCACTCACACTCTCTTTAAAACTAAAGGATCCTCTCCATGAGGTTAAAAGTTGGCTCAAGTTCATGCAGCTGAAAGAAACATAAGACAGCAACATTCTCATATATTAGACCACTAACCCCAAAGGTCTTGAAATCTTCATACACTTTTCTAACTACCAAAAAATTAAAATTTTCTGAACACTGAGTTATGTAGCCTTACATGTCAGTATTCTCAATATTAATATCATCTAAAATAAAAGAGAAAGGTAGAAAAAAGTTCAGATACTAATGTGATAGTCTATGAGTGATGATTAACCTTGTAGAGAAAAAAAGGTTAATATTTGTTATGAAGTCTCTTTCATATGCCTTAATTTCAATATCTTATTGAAAGTAGATGTTCATGGACAAAGACCTATATAATTAATTGAAGGCTATTTTTCCTAGTGTAACATGTCATTAATCATTCAATAATCACCTATTATGAACTATTCCAAATGTATTTGTGCCATGATGTTCAGATTTGTGCATAATGTATAATTTCTTCAAAGCAACAAATCAGTTTAAAGCTTATTGTTAATGTTCTTTCTTCTTTGAGGAAGTATTACACTGATATTGTAAAATGTGCAAAATACAAAATGCACTAATCTTCAAGTATATAGCTAGAATAATGTTTTAATATATAGACAATCATGTATCTACTTCATAGACTAAGATTTGAAACATATCTAGCTCTCCAAAAGATTCTTTATTCCTCATTTCTTGGCACTTCAGAAATAATATAAATTCTGTCTCCTATGACCATAAAGAAGCTTTATCTGTTTTTGAGCTTCATATAAATGGAACCAGGCTACATGTGCTTTTTTCTTTCTTCTCTCAACTAATATCTGTGAGATCCATCAATGTGTCATGTATCACATTTTTATTATTCAATTTTTGGCCAACGTTTGGGTTTTTCCAGTTTCGGTGTAACTGGGAATAAAGTGAATGTGAAAATTCTTGTACATATTTTTTCATCAACACATGGGCTCATTTTGGGGTAGATCTCTAGGAGTAGAATTGCTGAATCACATGGAGGGCCCATATGTAAATTGTAAGTTGATGTTTTAATGGAAAGCATAACATATTTATGTATAAGAAAGCAATATTCAGAACTATATAGTGGAAACATTTATAGGTTTCAGCTTGAATTTTGTCAGCATTATATTAAAAGTTGTGTAAGATAAACATTTTCTTTTCTTACACAGTCAACACATAACAGACACTATTTCCCTTCTGGTTATCAAGGTGTGTGTGGGATTTTCTTTTACCAACATCCAATGAGTTATCCAGTGGATGCCAACTGGGTGTCTTATAATTCAGTTCAATTCTGACACTATCTACCTGGAGTTAGTCAGATCCCACAGGTTAAGGGCTCAGCCACACAGGACTTTTTTCACTTCAGATGTTAGTTGCAAGTAATAGATTGTCAGCTATACTTCTGAACCACCTTGCTATAAATCCGGATCCCCATTACCTTCTCCCTGAGTTTGATTACTTTGTCAGGATACCAGTTTATTACAGAAGGTATTGCAAAGTATACACTTAGACAGCCAAATTAAGAGATTATGAAGGACAAGGTATATGGGAAGGGGCATGGAGCTTCCACATCCTCTCAGGGTGCATCACCTCCCAGGCACCTCCGGGTGTTCAGCCATATGAAAGTGCTACAAACCCAGTCATGAGGGGCTTTTGTGGAAGCCTCAATACATAGTCATGACTAATTACTCTATTGGCCATTGATGATCAACTAAACCTTCAGCTCCTATCACCTTCCTGGATGTTGGAGGGTGGGATTGAAAGTTCCAATCCTCTAATCACTTGATGTTTCACCTGGCAACAAGTTCCCTATCCTGAGGCTATCCAGTAATCCATCAAGAGTTGCCTCATGAAAACAAAAGATGCTCCTAAGAATTATCCAGGAAATTCCGAGGGATTTAGAAACTGTCAGTGCTCCTTTCACTCAGGAAATTATAGAAGTTTTAGGAGCTTTGTGTCAAGATCTAGGGACAGAGACAGATAGAGTTTATATGTCTCTTATAGTATACTATAGAATAGTAAATTGAGTTATTGAATTTTGAATTAGTACATATACTTATTGGTAATTTAACTTGACTTACTTTACATTCTATACATTTTGATATAAATATGAAGAAAATAGATTATCATGTTAGTACATGATAGTTTTGTAAAAGGAGCTCTATAAATTGTTCTTTTATTTTTATAAATTATAATACAAGTTATAGTGCTATAATTCTGTGAAATCCCTGGATATTTTTCCTTCAATAATTTGTAAAAATTATTTGCAGTACTCCCATCCTAAGAGAAGACTCTAATACTCCATCACTTCATAGCAAAGATGGGTGGATTTTGCTTAGAAACTGAAGGAAAAGGAATTCTTCATTGTGAGGGAAGCAGAGAGGGCTTTGAATGGAATAAACAGACTAACAGCCTATCTGTATCTATCAGTAAACTGGAATTTCATCATTTCTCACTTCTAAGCTTTGGCACAAAAGAGGAAATTGGGAAATATTGAGAGGACAAAACCTCAGATAAATAGAGAGGAAAGCTAACAGCAAATGGGCATGTGGTCTTTTTTACATTTATGAATCTGGAACAAAGGACATCACAAAATACTGTATTTCATGCAGAGGGGGGTGCATTTGTCAGGCATTTAGGTCTGCATGTGACATAGGAATGATACTATATTCTTATGTAAAAGGTAACAGAATTGAAAACCTGTGCACCTGCCATGGTGTAGCCTTGGTGATGGGTGAAGTAATCCTGTAAGAATAAATGTCAGGTCAACTCCTGAAGCCAAGAATGGGGTGAAACACATGGTTCATTGGTTTTAGAGTATTTGTACTGCTCTGATGGAAGTGGGCCAAATTAACCTTAACCTTGAGTTTGGAAGGGTGGGGCAAAGAACCAAATCATTGGTGTACCAGGAGATTAGTTACAACAGTAGTGAATACCTCAGCAGCCAGGGCAGATGTTTACAGGAAGAAATATAGTGGCATGTGTCAAAACTCAAAAACAGTCTGAGATAAGGAGTAATCACTGTCCAGGAGCCAGGGTCCTTAAACCACCATGGCAAGTTTGCCTGATAAACAAATTTAACTTAAACATGGTTTGAAGGGAAAAGGAAGAGAAAAAATGGTGAGAAAGAATAACAAACCTCAATACAGAGTTTAAATTTTAAATTGAATAATACCCAAAATGAAATTATTAAATTGTTCACCCATTTAAACATAACTGACATTTGCTGCCTAGATACATTCTAAGTAGAAGCTAATATTTATTTTTTCCTCCTTCCATCTTCATGTCATTCTTCTATATATTTAGATTTGTGTATGTGTGTGTGTGTGTGTGTGTGTGTGCTTTCAAGATGTAACTGTATTTATGATTATAGAAACAATGTAAGTTAAGCCTTCTACTATAATTATATGTCATTGGCAAAAAGCCCAGTTGTGATATGCAAGAATGATTTAGAGGGCAATAAATGACAAAACATAATGTGTGTGCATCTTTTACATGGGCAAAGAATCTTTAAAATAGATGGAATATGGATTAATTGATGATTGCAAAGCCTTGAATTGAGTCAAAAATTCTATGTTGAAGAATTCCTTCACAGACCCACTCATAAACTTAAATGGTTCACAACACACCTACAGAGGGCTTGGAATGCTTGTGATCTTTTCCAGGCAACCCAGAATACAAGAGACACACATTCATTTTTATTATTATTTTCCTGCTCCCTTCAAGGAAGGTCACCCCCTGTCAAGCAGCCTGTTCTCTCAGCCATTCTCTCCTGGCAAGTCATCTTTCAGGATCTCAGTCAGAACAAAAGCAATTTAAACCCTCACACATGCTACTATTCCTTTTCCCTTGACATTTTATTATAACAAATGTCAAACATACAGAAAAGTGTAAATAATTTTATAATGATCACCCAAATGCTTACTACCCAGATATTAACACATGTATTACATATGTATTCTTTCCTCTACCATTCATCATTCCATCATATATTTTTATATCTTAAAGTAAGTAATGCAAAATTCACTTTTGAATTATGTAAACCACATGCCATAATTAAGTAAATTTCATGCTATGCTCACTTATTCAGACTTTCAAATTTTATGAATTATTGAATACTACATGTATTCACGCACTGACCTACTACTGCTCCGTACCCAGGGGGATAAAAAAAAGAGTGAAAATGTTTTAACAAATTCCCCTTTGAAGTAGAAATCATGTTCTCATTTGGACAGTAATTTTTATATGTCTTTATAGTACTTCTAATTTTTAAATATTTTTGGCTTGTATGTACTATCTCAATCTCTGAATCAACTTATATAATTGCTTTCTTTCCTACATGTTATTATGGCTTCAGATCAGCAATATCCAAGCTATAAAAGCACAAACTGAAGAAAGGCCTTTCTTCTGGTTCCAGATTTTGTGCTCTTTTGTTGTGCAGCAGTTTTCCCTTACCCATAATTTTGCTTTTTATGGTTTCTGAAAATATTAGATGGAAAATTTCAGAAGTAAGCAACTTATAAGTTTTAAGTTGTGTGCTGTTTTGAGCAGCATGATGAGATCTCATGCCCTCTCTTTGCCCCCTAGCTGCCGAACATCAATCATTGCTCTGTTCACCATCTCCATGCTGTCGACCTGCCCGTTAGTCACTTAGTAGCCCTCTCAGTTATCCGATCAACTGTCAGGGTGTTGCAGTGCTTGTGTTCGGTCACCTTTACTTTACTTGAGAATGCCCCAAAGTACAGGAGTGGTGATGCCAGCAATTTGGATATACCAAAGAGAAGCCATAACGTGCTTCCTTTAAAAGTGAAGAGGTGAAAGTTCTCAACATAAGGAAATAAAAAAATCGTATGCTGATGTTATCAAAATTTACTATGGTAAGAACAAATCTTCTGTCCATGAAATTGTGAAGAATGAAAAAGTAATTTGTGCATGTTTTATACAGAGTTTGGAACTATTTGAGGTTTCAGGCATCCACTGAATGCCTTGGAAGGTATTCCTCATGGATAAGGAGAGACTGCTGTACTACACTCTGCACAATTTTTCTGAAGTAAATTAAAAATAAAATTTAGCAAGCATTCTGATTATTTTCTACTTTGTTATGTATAAAACTCCATTGCTTTTTGTCTTCATCTTAATTTTGCCACCAAGCTCATACTACTATTATACGGATCCATAGGGCTTACTGAGAAATGCTTGAAATTTCTCACATAAGGGTTTCTTTTTAAGTATTCTGTAATGTAGCTTCATTAATGAGCATGTTGCTTGGAATTATCAGATATTTCTGCGAGCATTTTAAAAAATCACCCTTTACCCATACAGCAAGCTGTTTTTTTGAATACTGTGGACAGGCCGTCTTACATGTAGAGTTAAAAGAAGACATTTTTAAAAGAACATGAGCAGAATTTAGAAAGCCAGCGTTTTTGTCAGTGTAAAATAGAATGCCAATGTTAGAGAAAATCTCCTGATATCAGGATCCAGAAGCTTCTTCGCTGCAGAATAAGTCAAACATCCAAACATAACATCAGGAAATAACAAAGCTGTTAGCAGTTTTCTTGTACATGCTAGGGACGCAAATCACAATCTGTCTTCCAGAAAATACCACCTGGAAACTTTGAAAAGGAATATTCCTGGAAGTCTCCCAAAAGACAAAAATCAGTCCTACTAAATTTTACCAGACTGCAAATTTGATGAAGAAATTGTATAATACTTTGAACAATTGCATTCTCTAGTTTGCATAGCCAGGAGTGGGATTGCTGTATCAAAAGTCAGAGGCATACACAGAGGGTTTACCAAATTCAATTTTAATAAAAATTCCATACTGTTCATTATAAGGCTTGCACTATTTTGAATCTCTGTCAACAACAAATAAATATTCAGATTTTACCCCACATTTTTGCTATCATTCGATGTTATTACACATTTTAAATTTTACCAATTGTGGTAGTAGGTATGATATAGTGTCTCTCTGGGACTCTATTTTGTATTTCCCTGTTATATATGCACAAAACTTTACCTTTTTAGACATATAGGTATCTATATCTTTTGTATCTTTGTATCCTATGCCATACAAAACAAACTCTTAAGAGGTTGTATGAGCAGTCAGCAACAAAACTGCATGGCTATCTTGTAATGTAAAAGTAGCAAAGCAGTGTTTAAGACCACAGAGTCTGCAGTCAGACTACTTGGATATGAAGTATGTCTGCCACTCTTTCTATCTCAGTGAACTTGGGAAAGTAATTAACCTATCTGCGCCTCATTTACCTAGACTTTAAAATTGATATAATAACATATATTTTATGTTATCATACGTTAGAGTTAAGAGTATTATATTGAAAAAATACCCAATATGTTCAGCACATAGTAAACAATGTACAGTAATTAGCAAGGAACATAGAGTGTTGTATTAATACCTCCGTCTGAACATCACAATGGAATAGTTGAAGAAAATGAACCTCAGAAGAGCTGAATGATAGGCATTTTGGATGACTTACTCCAAATATTTCTGGTACAAAAGTCTAAAAATAGAATACTACTTTTATCGATGGCTTAGCTGCCAATTTGATTTCCAGCCTAATGGATACACTCGATTGTATAGTAATTAATCATTAATATGACAAACAGAAATGATAATCAGCAGTGTGTTTATATTATTGTCTCTGTTCCTTGCCAGTATCTTGTGATCTTAAAACCACATTTAGAAACTAGTTAATTTGCAAACTGACTAGATTGTCCAGAAGTCAGCAGCAGAAATTTTCTGAGTTAAATGAAAAATTTCTTCCATGGCTTTAAGAAAATAACTTTTTAAAAATTGAAAAATAGTAAGTTCAAACATAAATAATTTATTTTTTCTAACCTTTAATTTAATTGTTTAATTTTTAAAGATAGTGTCTACTTAATGATGTTTATTTATAAATTATATATTCTTAAAATATATTTTACCCCCACCTGGGTGGACTTCAACTGCCAATTTTCAGAAAAACTATTTGTTTTATAAATGGACTGATTTCTACACACAAACTAATTTTTTATTCATTCATTCATTTTTTTTAAAATTTAAATAGTCAATGCAGTTCATATTTTGGAAATAAAGGGATCATCATTCCTTCTTTTTTGACATTAATTTTTTCAACTATTCCATTGGGATATTCAGACAGTTAGTCATTAATAGAATACTCTGTGTTCCTTGCTGATTCCCTTATATTATTTAATATGTGCTGAATATGTTTCCAAGTATTTTTAAAAATATTATAAATAACAGTCCTGGCCGGGCGCAGTGGCTCACACCTGTAATACCAACACTTTGGGAGGCTGAGGTGGGTGGATCACTTGAGGTCAGGAGTTCAAGACCAGCCTGGCCAACATGGTGAAACCCCATCTCTACTAAAAACACAAAAATTAGCTGGGCATGCTGGCATGCACCTGTAATCTCAGCTACTTAGGAGTCTGAGGAATGAGAATCACTTGATTCCACGAGGCAGAGGTTGCGGTGAGCCAAGATCGTGCCACTGCACTCGAACCTGGGTGACAGAGTGAGACTCTGTTTCAAAAAATAAAAAATAATATAAATAAATAAATAAATATAATAAATAACACTCTTTATCATCACTGTAAATCTGTGAGGTATGTATGTTTTCATCCCCATTTTAAAGACTAGGTAAATTAGTCATATATATATATATGTTATCTTACTGACTTGTAGTTCGGTAGACCCAGTAAATATTAATTATTGGGGTTCACATCAACTGACAATTCATGCTGATCATTTAAATAATTATTGTGAGGGTGAATTTTATATATTAACTTGGTTAGGTCATAGAGTACCCAGATATCTGATCCAACATTATTCCGGGCATTTCTGTGATGGTGTTTTTGATAAGCTTAATATTTACATTATTGGACTTTGAAAAAAACAGATTGCCATCAGTAATGTAGAAGGCAGTTGAAGGCCTGAATAGTATAAAAAGAAAGTCCTCCCCCAAGCAAGGGAGAAATTATCTAGCACACTGCTTTTGGACTTCACTGACTTTCCCAGTTTCTACAGCAGATGGCATTCAGACTTAAGCTGGAACATCAGCTTTCCTTGGCCTCTAACCTGCTGGCTGGCCTACCCTGTAAATTTTGAGTTTGCTAATGTCCATATTATGTAAGCCAGTTCCTCAGAATAATTCATTTCTATATATACATACGTATTCTATTATATCAATTTCTCTGTAGAACCATGGCTAAAACAATTACTATAACAAATTACATATCCTCAAGACCTTTCTGCTAAGACCAATAAACTTTTACTTTTCTTGCTCCTTTGGTAGTTGGGGTACAAGTACACTGGAATATACATGTATATATAAACACATACATACACACACATATATAAATTTATTTACCCTATTTTATCATAGGACAAACTTTGTCATATAAATGCTTAAAAGTTTATATCTTTTTAAAAAATGTTATTTTATTTTTTCTTACAAATAATAATTATAAATATTTATGGGGTACAATGTGATGTTTTATTACATACATGCATTGTGGAATGATCAAATCAGGTGTTTGTCACCAAAAGAAAATGATAAGTATGTGAGGTGATGGATATGATAATTAACATATTAACGTGATAATTAACATGACAATTATCATATTAATCACCTCACATACTTATTTCTTTTGGTGATAAACACTTGATACTGGGTAATTTATAAAGAAAATATATTTAATTGGCTCATGGCTCTGCAGGCTGTACAGGAAGCACAGTGGCATCTGCTTCTGGGGAGTCCTCAGGAAGCTTCCAACCATGTTGGAACACAAATGAGGATCAGGCACATCACCTGGCAAAAGCAGAAGCAGGAGAGACTGAGAGAGAGAGTTCAGGGGAAGGTGCCACACACTTTTAAATTACCAGATCTCATGAGAACTCACTCCCTATCATGAAGACAGCACCAAGCCATGAGTGATGCACTCCCATAATTCAAATGCCTCCCACTAAGCCCCACCTCCAATATTAAGGATTACAACTCAACATGAAATTTGTATGGAAACAAATATTCAAGCTATATCAATAGCTTTGTAATATGTTTTGAAGTCAGGAAGTGTGATGTGTCAGGCTTTTTGTTTTGTTTTGTTTTGTTTTGTTTTTTGGTCCAGGATTGCTTTGGCTATTTGGACTCCTTTTCAGTTCCATAAAAATTTTATAATTTTTTAAATATTTCTGTGAAAAACGACATGGGGATTTTGACAGAGATTGAATTGTAACTTTAGATTGCATTTTGGTAGTATGGCCATTTTAACAATATTAATTTTTCCACTCCTGATTATGGAATGTCTAATTATTTGTTTCTGTCCTCTTGGATATCCTTCATCAGTGTTTTATAGTTTTCCTTGTAGAGGTCAATCACCTCCTTGGTTAAATTTCTCCCTGGGTATTTTATTTTTCTGTGCATAGCTATTGTAAATGAGATTGCCTTCTCGATTTTGTTTTCAGCTGTTTCATTATTGGTGTATAGAAACACTACTAATTTTTGTATGTTTATTTTGTATCCTGCAACTTTACTGAATTTGTTTATCTGTTCTAAGCATTGTTTGGTGCAGTCTATGTTTTATTCTAAATATAAGTTCATATTGTTTGCAAGCAGGAACAATTTGACTTCCTCTTTTCCAATTTGGCTGCCTTTTATTTACTTCTCTTGCCTGATTTCTCTGGCTGAGACTTCCAGCACTATGTTGAATAGGAATTGTAAAAGTGCGCCTCTTTGTCTTATTCCAGTTCTTAGAGAAAAGACTTTCAACTTTTCTCTATTCAGTGTGATGTTGGCTGTGGGTTTGTCATATGTATTACTCTGTTCTGATGCTGCTACAAAGAACTGGTTGAGACTGGGTAATTTACACAGGAACGAAGTTTAATTGACTTACAGTTCTGCTGGACCGGGGAGGCCTCAGGAAATTTACAACCATGGTGGAAGGGGAAGCAAACACATCTTTCTTCACAAGGTGGTAGGAAGGAGAAGTGCTGGCCAAAGCGGGAAAAGCCCCTTATAAAACCATCAGATATCATGAGAACGAACTCACTACCACAAGAACAGAATGGGGAAACTGCTCCTAAGATTCAAATACCTCCCACTGGGCCTCTCTCATGACACGTGGGGATTATGGATACTATAATTCAAGATGAGATTTGGGTGGAGACACAGCCAAACCATATAATCATATATGACCTTTATTATTTTAGTGTATGTTTCTTCTGTGCTTAGTTTGTTGATAGTTTTTATCATGAAGAGATCCTGAATTTTATCAATGCTTTTCCTGTATTTGCTGACACGATCATATAGTTTTAGTCCTTCATTACTTGATGTGATGTATCATGTCTATTGATTTGTACATGGTGAACCATCCTTGCATCACTAGTACAAATTCCACTTGATCATGGTGTACTATCTTTTTGATGGTGCTATTCAATTTTGCTTGCTAGTATTCTGTTGAGAAGTTTTGTGTCTGTTAATCAGGGATGGTGGACTGTAGTTTTCTTTATTTGTTGTGTCCTTGTCCAGTTTTGGTATCAGTGTTATGCTAGTCTGGTAAAAGGACTTAGGTAGAATTCCCTAATTTCATGCTCTTCAATTTTTTGGAATAGTTTGAGAAGGATTGGTATTAGTTCTTTTCACATTTGATAGAATTTGGTAGTGAATCCATTCAGTCCTGGGTTTTTCTTTGTTGGAAGAGTTTTTGTTACTTAGTAAATCTCACTTTTTTGTTATTGGTCTGTTCAGACTTTCTGTTCTTCCTAATTTAGTCTTGGTAGGTTGTATGTTTCCAGAAATTTATCCATTTCCTCTAAGTTTTCCAGTTTGTCATCATATAAGTATTCATAATAGTTTTTGGTGTTCTGTTTATTTCTGTACTATTAATTATCATGTCACATTTTTCATTTTTTATTTTATTTGGGTCTTCTCTTATTCTTTTTTGTTTAGTTTACCTAGCAGTCTATTGATTTTGTTTTTTTCTCAAAAAACCAACTTTTCATTTTGTTATGATGTTCTACTGTTTTATGTATCTGTTTCATTTATTTCTGTTACGATCATTATTATTTCTTTTCTTTACTAATTTTAGGTTTGGTTTGTTCTTGCTTTCCTAGTTAACTGAGATATATCATTAGATTGTTTATCTGAAATCTTTCTACTTTTTGATGTAGGTGTTTATTGCTATAAACTTCCATATTAGGACTGCTTTTGCTCTATCCCAAAGATTTTTATATGTTGTGTTTTTATTTCGATTTGTTTCAAGAAATGTTTGGATTTTCATCTGAATTTCTTCATTGATCAAATCTTTGTTCAAGATAATGTTGCTTAATTTTCATGAATTTGTACAGTTCCAAAGTTTCTCATGGTATTAATTTCTGGCTTTATTCCATCTAGTTCTGATAAAAGGCTTGATATGATTTCAATTATTTTAAGTTTGTTGGGACTTATTTTGTGGCCTAACATAGTCTGTTATAGAGTATGATCCATGTGACAAGGACAAGAATGTGTATTCTGCAGCTCTTGGGTGAAATATTCTGTAAATATCTCTTAGGTCCATTTTGGTCTAAATTCCAGTTCAATTACAATGTGATTTTTTGTCGTTGATTTTATGTCTAGATAATTCATCTAATGCTGAGAGTGGAGTGTGACAGTCCCCAACTATTACTGTATTGGACCTTAACTCTATCTTTAGGTCTAATTATATTTGCCTTATGTATTTGGGAGTTCAAGTGTTGAGTGCACATATATTTAGACTTAGATCATCCTCTTGTTGGATTGATCCCTTTATCATTTTATAGTAACCTTCTTTTTCTTTTTTTACTGTTTTTGCCTTAGTGTCTATTTTATCTCATATTAAGTACAGCTACTTCTGCTCTGTTGTGGATAAAGTATGTTTCTTGTAGGCAGCATATAGTTGCATCACTTTTTTAAAATTAATTTGGCCAGTCTGTGTATCATTTAATTGGAAAATTTAATCAATTTATATTCAAGGTTATCAATGATATGTGAAGTTTTATTCCTGTCATACTGTTAATTGTTCTCTCACTGTTTTGTATATACTTTATTCATTTTTTTCTTATTATTTGTCATTGTACTTTGGTAATTTTTTGTAGTGGGACCATTTGAGACCTTTCTCTTTCTTTTTCATTTGTTTGCTTTAACAGTGAGTTTTATACTTTTGTGTTTCTCACTTCAGTCAAAACAGCTATTATTTTTCCCCCATTTGGTAGTTTGTCTGTTTATTATAGCTTTTTTTTCTGTGAAGAAGCTTTTTAGTTTAGTTAAATCTCATTTATTAATTTTTGGTTTTGTTGCAATTAATTTTGGCACTTAGCCCCAAATTCTTTGCCAAAGCCAATGTCAAGAAGAGTATTTTCCTAGGTTTTCTTTTAGGATGCAGATAGTTTGAAGTCTTACATTTAAGATTCTAGGTCTTAAATTTTTAATCCATATTGAGTTAATCTATGTACATGGTGAGAGGTAAGGGTCCAGCTTCAATTTTCTGTATATGACTAGTCAGTTATTCTAGTACCATTTATCAAATAGGGTTTTCTTTTCCCATTACTTGTTTTTGTTGGCCTTGTCAAGGATCAGATCATTGTGGATGTGTGACTTTATTTCTGAGTTTTCTATTTTGTTCCATTAGTGCATGTGTCTGGTTTTGTACCAGTACCATGATGTTTTGATTACCATCATCTTTTATTCAACATAGGACTAGAAGTCCTAGCCAGAGCAATCAGGCAAAAGAAACAGATAAAAGGCGTCCAAATAGGAAAAGAAGAAGTCAAATTATCTCTCCTCACAGACATTATGATTCAATACTTGGAAAACATTAAAGACTCCACCAAAAGGCTACTAGAACTGATAAATTATTTGGGTAAGGTTTCAGGATACAAAATTGATATCCAAAAATCGGTAACATCTCTATACACCAATAATGTCCAGGCTGAGAGTCAAATCAAGAACACAATTCCATTTACAAGAGCTACAAAGAAAATGAAATACCTAGAAATACAGCTAACCAGGGAAGTGAAAGATCTCGACAAGAACTACAGAACACTGCAGAAAGAAATCAGAGCCAACACAAACCAATGGAAATATAGTCCATGATCATGGATTGGGAGAAGCAATATAATTAAAATAGCAATACTGCCCAAAGCAATTTACAGATGCAATGCTGTTCCTATCAGACTCCCAACATCATTCTTCAGATAATTAGAAAAAATTGTTGTAGAATTTATATGAAGTAAAAAATGAGCCTGAATTGGCAAAGCAATTCTAAGCAAAAAGAACAAAGCATTTTCTAATATTTGAGTTAACTTTTATAGAGGAAGACATTTTTTCTCAAGATGTGCCTATGTTGATGGTTGGGAAGTGTACCTCAGCTTTGGTTCTGGATTCTTGCAGTAGGGTAGTCTTCATATGATTTAACTGACTGTGTACTGAATCAGTGATGTCTGTAATTTCCTCGGTGGCTTGGCTGCAGTTCTCAGTACAGGCTGTGGTGACACTTTGCTGGGGAGAGAATGTCAGGTGGGCAGTCCTCAAGCCTTGGTGATTACAGTAGTGGCCCGAGCATGCCTGTCATTTCACGCCTGGGCAGCATATGTAGACATTAGTTTTAGCAGGTGCAGGTGGTCCAATTTTTGGACCCCCCCCCCCAGGCAGTTTGCTCAGGTGTTGGCAGTGGCAGTAGTGGGCCAGTTGGACAAGTGGGTCCTCAGGCCCCTGGACATTGTGTGTGGCATGAGTGATGGTAGTAACAGTAGTAGGACAACCCTTCGGCTCACAGCTGGCACTCACTACTTTTAGTAGTAGCCACAATGAGCTGGGCAGGCCAGTTCCCAGGCACTCAGCTGGCATGTGCTGGTGGGTGCCAGTGGTGTTTGTGGCAGGCTAGGTGGACATGTCTTCAGGTTTCTAGGGGGAGCCCACATATGCCTAAGGTGGAGGAATGGTCAGGGAGATTACCATGTCCACAGGCAGCATGCTTGCCCATTAAAGGGATGGTGCCAGGCCAGGCGGGCTTGACTTTAGGCCCTCAGTGGTGTCCAGAGTCACAGGCTGTAGTAGGTAGGGCCGGATGGTCTGCAATGGTGGTTGTGGAGAGCCTGATCTCAGGGCACATGCTAGAGCTCAGAGGTCATTTTGATGCTGGAGAGAGGATTGCTCTTAACAACCCCAGAAAGGCAGCTCTTAAACTCAGGCTACTGCTCATTTTGGTTGCTGGTAGCAGCAACTGCATTGGTGTGTGACATGGGGAGGGATCCTGGTGTCTGGATGTTAGCTCAAGCCCAGAAGTTGTGCTTCTGGTGTAGGCCAGGCTGCACTCCACAGCCCCAGACACGGAACTCTTAGACTTTAGGTAATATTTGCTTTGTTTTCTGGTGTCAGCAGCAGTTGTGGCAGTGTGTGATCAGGAACAGGATCTGGTCCCTGTCCAGGAGGTAAAGCTCATAGGTCTGCTACTAGTGAGGGCAAAAGCGGGAGATGAGGCTTCTCTGCCCATAGTCTCAGGCAGGCACCTCTCAGGTTCTGGAAAGTATATGTTTTGGTTCCCTTTGTCCTGGGGCAGCCTTGTCAGTGTGTTGCATTGCCCCTTCTCTGGGGAGCAGGACTCTATTTGGTCTAGAGTGTTGAGGACCCCACAGGACCTCAGCACTGTGCCAGCTCTGTGCCAGTGCAGATCTCCAGGTGGATGCTCAGGGTGTCACTGGAGGTTTTGGGGATGGAGAGGTGCAGGGACTGTTGAGTCCCAAAGCAGAATCCTGTCTGGTGGAGGCTGAGTTGTCAAAATTACAGTGTGCTGCAGCTGTTTAGGTCTTGAGGGTGGGAATATATGACTCAGTGCAGACTCCCTCTGTAGAGCAATGTCCACATGGGGTCCCCAGGCTGCCACCCATGACAGCCCCAGGGCCTGTGTGTGTAGAAGAACTCTCCCATGGCTAGGATCAGAATAGTCTGTGGTGAAAACGTGGACAACTGAGGGTTTCACTTAGCTTTCTCCACAATATTGAGCCTCTCCCAGCAACCAGCCAATCCCAGAAGAACTGAGTGCCTCACTTTCCTTTCTTGCCATGCCTCAATTGTTTTTCATGACTTATCAGTTGAATTTCATTGTTCTCTCTCAGATGCTCTGTGCCAGATGTGATTATCTATTTGTAATTTTGGCTTTTTTTTTCCTCTGGAAACAGCAAGTGTCCAATACCTCTAGTCAGCCATCTGGCTTGAGAAATACGTAATACCTTTTGAAATACCATTTGTCCCCTTAGGTGTTTATATTTGGTTGCCAAAGTTCCTTTCTTGGTAGATATTTAACACTCTGAAGGAATCTTTCTGACATCTTTTAGTAATATTTTAAATTCAATAACACATCATATTTTGTCAGAATAAATACAATGTAAACTCTCAAAATTCAGATTTAATTTCTAAGTTCAAGTTTCTTCCAACAATAAAGTGGAATATAATATATTCCACAAATATAATTCAGTGTGCTTAATATACCTCTTGCCTCTTACCTATTGTTGTTTGTGCCTAGACATTTTTCACTTTTTAAGCTTTGAAGGACAGGTACAAACCTCTACAAGGATGCTTCTTCTCAATATCACATTATACATTTTTATTTCTTTATTTTGACTTGGAATATTACAACACTGTTAATCCGTTTCTTTTACTTTATCACTCTAAGAATTTGATATAAACCTCTGCAAAAAAAAGTGTTATTCATTTCAAAGTTGGAAAAAAAGTTCATATTTTCCTCTACTTGCACATTTTGGAACATCTTTTAGCTGTGTACACTGATGTAATCCCAAATCTGGGATAAGGTTTGAAGCCATGGCAGCTGCATAACTCTCACAATAATTGCTAAGAGAATACAGATGTCATGTCAGAAACATGGGATCTGTGTGCATAGAAACTTCTCCTTCTAAAAAAGTCAACATCTGCTCATTTTGATCATAAACTATGTTTGAATGAATAACAGATTTAAAAGTGTTCTGATCTTCCACATGAAGATTTCTAATGACTAGATTTTTAAAATATGTCCATTAGCTAATTTTGCATATTATAAATATTTTCAAAGTCATATTGAAATGGATTGAATAATGTATAATCAATTTAAAAAAATAAAAATTAAACTCGCTTAAAAATATTTAAAACTACTAAGATGTTTTAGGCAAGTGTTTAGACTAGGTAATGACTTACTCACTTTTCTTCTTTATTTACTAAGGAAAATGGGCCATGAATCTGTTTATTCACGTATGAAGTGATACCATGATAATCTAAAATGCTTAATTTGCCTGAAAACTGACACAATTCACTCTTTTCTCATCATCTTGTCTAATGTGATGATAGCTTTGTCCTGTCTTCAACTACAGAAATCATGTATATCTCAGATCATCCATGCAAAATCCCCTGTCCTTGGAAATCAAGGAAATTCTAAGTTTTAAACTCTCTCTACTGCACCTGACTCAATAGTTAAATATTTTAGCTTGTTGTGATAAAGGTTGACACATATTTCTAATATAATTTTAATTCTTTGTATCTCTTCTTTTGATTTATCTATAGCTAAAGTTTCTACTAAAGTAATACACATATACTGGTATGATTACAGGAATCACACAGATACATATAATTATACTGGAGTATTAGCCTCAGAACTTTGGACAGCACTGTCATGTTGGGGTGTGATGGTTAATACTGAGTTTCAACTTGATTGGATTGAAGGATGCAAGTATTGATCCTGGGTGTGTCTGTGAGCGTGTTGCCAAAGGAGATTAACATTTGAGTCAGTGGGCTGGGAATGGCAAACCCACCTTTAATCTGGTGGGCACAATTGAATAAGCTCCCTGTGAATATAAAGCAGGCAGAAAAACATGAAAAGGTGAGACTAGCTGAGCCTCCCAGCCTACATCTTTCTCCCGTGCTGGATGCTTCCTGCCCTCAAATATCAGACTCCAAGTTCTTCAGTTTTGAGACTCAGACTGGCTCTCCTTGCTTCTCAAGCTTGCAGACAGCCTATTGTGGGATCTTGTGATCATGTAAGTTAATACTTAATAAAATCCTTTATATATCTATCCTATTAGTTCTGTCCATCTAGAGAACCCTGACTAATACAGATTTTGGTACCAGGAGTGGTTCTAGAGGAACAGAATATGAAGTATGGAATTTTTTCATTGATTTTGGTGTTTCTGAAGTTGGCTGCTTAATATGATTGACTCAAAAATGCTAAGGACTCTACTTCTAATAGTATGGAGAACACTGATAGTCCTTGGCATAAACTGTTTAGAAAGTTATGCAAAATAAATGAGTTGACACTCCTGATTCACCACTTATCAGAGGCAAGGAGGTTAGTAACTCTATACATAATATATTTGACCATATGGGAAGAACCAAGGAGCATATTGAAACTGGTTGGTTGCTCCTAAATTCAGTGGACAAAGTGATGAAAGAAAATGATGAACTCAAGGATTCTGTCTCCCAGCATCAGGAGCAGATAGTGAGCCTCAAATCTGCTAGGATTGCCCTGAGTGATTCTTATCTCCTGAAGAGAAAGAGCTGAAATTGTGGAAAAACAGACACAAGCTCTTATCATGTGAGTGGCTGACCTGCAATGAAAGGTGCATGCACAGCCTCGACAGGTGTCTACTGTTAAAGTGAGGGCATTGATTGGAAAAGAATGGGACTCTGCAAGTTGGAATGGGGATGTGTGAGAGAACCTGATGAAGCTGGGGACATAGAGTTTGTAAACTCTGATGAAGTTCTTTTGCTAGATGGAACAGCCTCCCTATCCCCAGTAGTGGCAACATCCCCTACGGGACCCATGCTGCCGTCAGCCTTTCCACCTTCGTCTGAGGTGATAAACCCTGCACTGCCTGAGGCAACAGCGATGGCCTCCCCTGAGGCAGTTGCCAGGCAAAATAATGTTGATTTTCCTCAGAAGCCATCCCCAAGACCCCTGTTTGCTTCTAGACCTATAACTAGACTAAAGCCCTGGTGGGCCCCTAGAGGTGAGGTTAAGAGTATCACCCATGAGGAGATGCACTACATTCAAAAAGAACTGCTTGAGTTTTCTAATTTATATAAACAGAAATCTGGATAACAGGCATGGGAATGAATATTAAGGATATGAAATAATGGTGGAAGGAACATAGAGTTGGATCAGGCTGAATTTATTGATTCGGACCCACTAAGTAGGGACTCTGCTTTTAATGCAGCTCAGGGAGTTAAAAAAGTTTCTAATAGATTATTTGCTTGGTTAGCTGAAATATGAATTAGAAGATGGCCCACTGTAAGTGAGCTGGACATCTCTAATCTCCCTTGGCTTAATGTAAAGGAAGGGATCCAAAGGCTTAGGGACATTGGGATGGTGGAGTGGATTAGTCACTTTAGACCCACTCATGCCAGCTGGGAGGATCCAGAATATATACCCTTGACCAATGCCTTATGAAATAGATTTGTGAGGGCAGCACCTGCATCTTTGGAGAGCCCTGTGTGTCTTCATCTTTGAAGAGCCCTGTTGCTCTTCTCTGTATGTCAGATCTAAAAGTGGGAATCACAGTCACTCAACTACAAAATGTAAATACAATGGAGAATCCCAAGATGAAAGGGGCCAAGTGGTGGCTCTCAGCCGTCAAAGGCAAGGTGAGCCTTTGCTTGCTACCATAATGGACAGCAGAGACAAAGCAGCCATCAGAATAATTTGACTCATGTAGAGTTCTCACTTTGGCTAATTAATAACTGTTTTCTAGAAGTGACATTTGTAGGAAGCCTACTGCATTCCTACTTAATTTATATGAGAAGAAAACTTCTAGGTCAAATGGATAAAATACTAATTTGAATTACAAAAATAGAGAATCATGACCCCTCAATCAATTTCCAGACTTAAACGAGTTTACAGACCCAGACCTCCTTGAATGAAGGGGAGGCTAGATTCCCTTAAGGAAGACCCCACTACATTACCAACAATGTATGCAGTGAATCTTTCTCTCATCCTTCCCCAAGGAGACCTCCGGCCTTTTACCAGGGTAACTGTGCATTGGGGAAAGGGAAATGGTCAGATATTTTAGGGACTACTGAACACTGTCTCTGAGCTGATGCTGATTCCAGGGGACCCAAAACGTTATTGTGGTCCTCCAGTTAAAGTAGGGGCTTATGAAGGTCAGGTAATTAATGGAGTTTTAGCTGAGGTCTGACTTACAGTGGATTGAGTGGGTCCCCGGACTCATCCTGTGGTCATTTCCCCAGTGCCAGAATGCAAAATTGGCACAGACATATGTAGCAGCTGGCAGAACCCCCACGTTGGCTCCCTGCCTGATAGGGTGAAGGTTATTGTGGTGGGAAAGGTCAACGGAAACCATTAGAGCTTGAAAAATAGTAAATCAAAAACAATATTGCATCCCTGGAGGAATTGTGGAGATGAGTGCCGCCATCAAGGATTTGAAAGACATTGAGGTGTGATTCCCACCACATCCCCATTTAACTCTCCCATTTGGCCTGTGCAGAAGACAGATGGATCTTGGAAAATGACAGTGGATTATCGTAAGCTTAACCAAGTGTTGACTCCAATTGCAGCTGCTGTACCAGATGTGGCTTCATTGCTTGAGCAAATCAACACACCTCCTCATACCTGGTATGCAGCCATTGACTTGGCAAATGCTTTTTTTCCATTCATGTCCATAAGGCTTTCCAGAAGCAATCTGCCTTCAGCTGGCAAAGCCAGCAATGTATGTTTACAGTCCTACCTCAGGGGTATATCAACTCTCTGGCTTTGTGTAATAATCTTATTCAGAGAAACCTTGATCACTTTTAGCTTCCACAAGATATCACACTGGTCCATTACACTGATGACATTATGCTGACTGGATCCACTGAGCAAGAAGCAGCAAACACACTGGACTTATTGGTGAGACATTTGCATGCCAGAAGATGGGAAATAAAATCAACTAAAATTCAGGGAACTTCTACCTCAGTAAAATTTCCAGGGGTCCAGTTGTGTGTGGTCTGTCAAGACATTCCTTCTAAGATGAAGGATAAGTTGCTGCATTTGGCACCCCCTGCAACCAAGAAAAAGGCACAATGCCTAGTGGACCTATTTGGGTTTTGGAGGCAACACATCCCTCATTTGGGTATGTTACTCTGGCCCATTTATCAAGTGACTCAAAAGGCTGCCAGTTTTGAGTGGGGTCCAGAACAGGAGAAGGCTCTGCTACAGGTCAAGGCTGCTGTGCAAGCTGCTCTGACAGTTGGGCCATAAGACCCAGCAGATCCAATTGTGCCTGAGGTGTCAGTGGCAGATAGGGATGCTGTTTGGAGCCTTTGGTAGGTCCGTATAGGTGAATCACAGCAGAGGCCTCTAGGATTTTGGAGCAAGGTTCTGCCATCTTCTGCAGATAACTACTCTCCTTTTAAGAGACAGCTTTTGGCCTGTTACTGGGCTTTGGTAGAAATTGAATGTTATCCTTTGGGTGATCAAGTAACCATGCAACCTGAACTGTCTGTCATGAACTGGGTGCTTTCTTTCCCATTTAGTCATAAAGTGAGTTGTGCACAGCAGCATTCCATCATCAGATGGAAGTGGTATATATGCGATTGGGCTCAAGCAGATCCTGAAGGCACAAGTAAGTTACATGAGGAAGTGGTTCAAATGTCCATGGTCTCTACTCCTTCCACCCTGCCTTTTCTTTCCCAGCCTGCACCAGTGGCCTCATGGGGAGTTCCCTATGATCAGATGACAGAGGATGAAAAGATTAGGGCCTGGTTCACAGATGGTCCTGCACAATATGCAGATACCAGACAAAAATGGACAGCTGCAGCACTATAGCCTATTTTTTGGACATCCCTGAAGGACAGAGGTGAAGGGAAATCTTCCTTGTGGGCAGAACTTTGAGCAGTTCACCTGGTAGTGCACTTTGCATGGAAGGAGAAATGGCCAGATGTGCGATTATATTCTGATTCATGGGCTGTAGCTCATGGTTTGGCTGGATGGTCAGGGACTTGGAAGAAGCATTTTTGGAAAATTGGTACAAAGAAATTTGGGGAAGAAGTATGTGGATAGACCTCTCTGAGTGGTCAAAAACTGTATATTTGTATCCCATGTGAGTGCTCACCAACAGGTGACCTCAGCAGAGGAGGATTTTAATAATCAAGGGAATGGGATGACCTGTTCTGTGGACACCACTCAACCTCTATCCCCAGCCACCCCTGCATCACCCAATGGGCCCATGAACAAAGTGGCCGTGGTGGCAGGGATGGAGGTTACACATGGGCTCAGCAACATGGACTCCCACTCACCAAGGCTGGCCTGGCTATGGCCACTGTTGAGTGTTCAATATGCCAGCAGCAGAGACCAACACTGAGCCCTCCATATGACACTGTTCCTCGGGTTGATCAGCCTGCTACTCGGTGGCAGCTTGATTATATTGGACCTCTTCCATCATGGAAAGAGCAGAGGTTTGTCCTCACTAGAATAGACACTTACTGTGGATATGGGATTGCCTATCCTGCATGCAATGCTTCTGCCAAGACTACCATCTGTGGACTCACAGAATGCCTTATCCACCATCATGGTATTCCACACAGCATTGTCTCTGACCAAGGCAATCACTTTATGGCTAAAGAAGTGCAGTAGTGGGCTAATGCTCATGAAATTCACTGCTATTACCATGTTCCCCATAATCCTGAAGCAGCTGGATTGACAGAACAGTGGAATGGCCTTTTGAAGTCACAATTACAATCCCAATTGGTTGACAATACTTTGCAAGGCTGGGGAAAAGTTCTCCAGAAAGCTGTGGATGCTCTGAATCAGTGTCTGATATATGGTACCTTTTCTCCCATAGCCAGAATTCACAGATCCTGGAATCAAGGGGTGGAAGTGGAAGTGTCACCACTCACCATCACCCCTAGTGATCCACTAGCAAAATTTTTGCTTCCTGTTCCTGTGACATTATGTTCTGCAGGCCTAGAAGCCTAGAGTGAGAAGTACTGCCACTCAGAGATACAATGATGATCCCATTAGACTGGAAGTTAAGATTGCCAACTGGACACTTTGGGCTCCTCCTCCCTTTAAGTCAACATGATAAGAAGGAAGTTACAGTGTTGGCTGGGGTGGGGTGATTGACCCAGATTATCAAGATGAAATCAGTCGACTAGTCCATAATGGAGGTAAGGAAGAGTAGGCATGAAATACAGGAGTTGCATCAGGGCATAGATCCATAACATGCCCTGTGATTAAGGTCAATGGGAAACCTCAACAGCCCACTCCAGGCAGGACTACAAATGGTCCAGACCCCTCAGGAATTAAGGTTTGGACCACCAGGAAAACAAACAAACGAAACATGACCTGCTGAGGTGCTTGCTTAAAGCAAAGGGAATACAAAATTGGTAGTAGAAGAAGGTCATCATCAGTACCAGTTACAACCATGTGACCAGCTGCAGATATGAGGATTGTAACTGTCATGGGTATTTCCTCCTTTTTTTTTTGTTAAAAACATGTTTTCTGCATGTATACAGTTGTACTGAGAAAATATCTTCATTTTATTTCCTTTCTCCTTTATCATGTGTCATCAGATTTATTGATTTCATATCTGCATTTAAGTATGGTTAACTTTATGTAATAGCATTTGGGTTGGGGATTACTGCATTTCCTGTTGTATGAAGAATAGTTGTATTATGTTAGGCATGCTTATGACTTTATTATCATCTTTATTTAAATATTATGTGTGATCTCAGGATATATGTATGGGTTCAAGTTGACAAGGGGTGGGCTTGTGATAGTTAATACTGAGTGTTAACTTGATTGGGTTGAAGGATGCAAATATTGATCCCGGGTGTGTCTGTGAGGTTGTTGCCAAAAGAGATTAACATTTGATTCAGTGGGCTGAAAAAGTCAGACACACCCTTAATCTGGTGGGCACCATCTAATCAGTGGTGAATTAAGTGAATATTAAGCAGGCAGAGAAATGTGAAAAGGTGAGACTGGCCTATCTCCCAGCCTACATCTTCCTCTCGTGCTGGATGCTTCCTGTCCTCAAACACTGGACTCTAAGTTCTTCAGTTTTGAAACTTGGATTAGCTCTCTTTGCTTCTCAAGCTTGCAGACAGCCTATTATGGAAACTTGTGATTGTGTAAGTTAATATTTAATAAACTCCTTTATATATCTATCCTACTAGTCTGTCCCTCTAGAGAACACTGACTAATACATGGAGGTAGTGGATATTCACTTAATTGAAAAATAAAAAAGATGGAATTTTTTTGCAGATGAAAAACAGTTTGTATCTAGCAATTCAGAAAAGGAAGAAATGATTATCGCAATTCATGGCTTCAGCTGAATAATACAACTCAGCACTGAAGCTCGGTTTTAAGAGAACCATACAGGCACAGAGCTATTTTGATACTTCCTCCTATTCCAACTAATACCCTACTTGTTCTGATTTTTGTCTGTCCTTCACAACACTAATCTATTATGATCATTTTAATCCCTTTTTTCAGCTATCGTCTTTAAGTTTTCTTCATTGGAGTTACCAAAAATGAAATAATCCTCTTGCAAAATGAATTTTTGTATATAAAATGGAGATTTCAGATATGTATTTCTTCACTAATTAGTGTTAAGTGAGACTATAGTACTAACTAGTAACCAGACTTTACTTTTACCCAATATTAACCACAATTCCACAGACATGCCAATAAGTCCAGAGTTCATAAGCCCATAATTCCTGTATGTGTTTGTAATCTAATTTGGTGATAATAGCAAGAATCTTTAGTCTCATGGAATACAATAGTCATTCCAGCAAAATATTGACCATCTTTGTATTATTCAAAACCCAATGAAGCTGAAAAATGTTAACTTTTTTTTGAACCTAGGTTAATTGAACTCTTCTTTTAATTTTCTTCTAAATTCAAAAAGATAAATATTGGAGAAAATAAGAAACATCCTTATAGAAACTGTCAGCCATTTATTTACAAAACAAATTAAAATGTAGCACAATTTAATTATATGTAATATGTATATATCAAATGTTTTCTACATACAGGACACTGAACTAAGAATTATTATTAATGATAGAATAAGAATGTCAACATTTATTCTGCTAAATAGATCAAATCTAGTATTACAGACTAATATGTACAAAAATACTAGATGGTCTATAATTGCTATGATGGCTTCAGTAACAGAAAACTGAAGAAAATCTTCCATGAAAACGAATCATGCTACTCCCAAAGATTTAACCAGCCAAAGGAGGCGATTTGGAGAAAATATTTAAAGTGAAAGAAAAAGGACTTAGAGCAGACAGCAATATGTATGTTTACAAGAAAGAAATGAAGACCAATATAAATGATGCACAAAAGTAGAGTGGAGGTAGATGTATTTATAGTGGAATACTATGAAATCCAACCAATGAAGAGTTGTATGTACCTGTATGTCTGTGCTTATGAGAAAGACAGTTAAAAGACAGAGAAGTGAGGAATAGTAATGATAATGAATGTATCAGTATTTTTAAAATATGTCTTGCCAAAAAAAAGAAAGAAGCTAGACACAGATTTTTTCCTACCTTTCATTAAAAAATATAAAATGGGTCATAGACCTACTGTAAAATGCAAAATTATAAAACTCTTAGAAGATAGCATTAGACAAAATCTATGTGATATTGAGTTTTGGCAGTGACATTTTAGATAAATACCAGGAGAAAAAAGAAATAGTAAGTTGGATATCATTAAAAGGTAAAACCTCTACTATGTAAAAAAAAAAAAAAAAAAAAAAAAGAAAATGAAAGAGAATCATTTGGAGATATTATTTGCAAAAGTCATATTTGCTAATGGATTGACTAGTCTCCAAAATATAGAAATTACTTTTAAAACTTAAGAAAATAAATAACACAATTAAAAATTGGACACAGGTCTGAAGAGACACCTCACCAAAAGAGATACATATATGACAAATAAGCATTTCAAAAAATGCTTGATATCATAAGTTATCAAGGAATTGCAAGTTAATACAAAAATAACAAGTTCTATATTATTTTAATAATGAGGTAAAACTGCAGAGTGAAAAACAAAGAAAAATACTCTAAACAACCAAGGAAGAGAGATATTTATACAGAATCAGCAATCAAAATAGGAGATTTATCAACAGCAACAATAATCAAAAAGCCTACGTTATAATACTTTCAACATTATAAACTGGAATTCATGTCAGTCTGGACTTGTATACCAAGATTAGGTTATTAAAAAAACTATAGCACTATTAAGATATTTTCAGACCAAACTAGATAAGAGATGTGTATATGTGTGTGAGAGATTAAGATTTTAGATATTAGTTGCCAACTCAAAGATTCCCTAAAACATATACTTTATGAAGTACATATACGTTAAGATACTTTAAGAAGAACATTGAAGCTAGATAAAGAAAGATATAGTGCCATAAAACCTGAAAAACTTTTGGGTAAAACCAACTCATATTTAATGAATAAAAATAATACTTGGCAATGCTAATTTATGAAGTAAACATTTTAGATGATTCTAGAAATACTGGACAATGTTGTGGAATGATCTGTTAAATAAGAGGGTTTTTTTATATTGTACAGAAGGAGACCTGTTATATTGATGACTTTTAATGTTAGTTAAGACAAAAAGAGAAAATTTACAATAAAGTATTTGAAAAGACTTAGAATAGATATATATTTTGAACATTTCAGGAATAATATACTTAAAATAAGCTAGAATTTCAAAAATAATAAAAGTGAAAAAGTTATACAAAAGAAGGACTACATTAAAATCTTAAAAATAGTTGGTGAGATAAATTTAAACATATCAGTAATAATAAAAAACATAATGTGCTGATTTTTCCAGTTAAAAGACAAAGATTGTCAAATTTGTCTTTAAAAGGACGTTTTGAATTACATGGTGTTCAGAAGTGAAATGCAATGTAAAGAAGATAAAGATTAGCAAAGGTAACAGAAGGAACAGAGATATACCAGGAAAACTAAACAAACAAACAAAAAACTGTGTGTATTGTATATACAATAATATGTGCTATGTATATGTATAATCTTACATATAATGAAAATGAATTCATACAAAAAACCATTATTAGATATAGTGTCATATTGTTATGATGATGAATTTACAATTAACTAGAAAGACAGTAGTTCTAAATATGTTTATCTTATATCTTTGTCAGAAGTTTTCACAAAATTATGAGAAAACTGGACAGATCCATGATCATAGTAAGAGGTAGTTAAACACATTTTAATTATAATTATAGAGGTCAAAACTTAAGGAAAAATACACTTTATTCATATAAAGTTTTTAAGAATTATTTGTCAAAAATAAATTATGCATTACTCAATAAATAACTTTTTGACAAATTTCAGTGAATTGGTATCAATCATATTTATCTAAACATTAATTAGATGAAAAACAATAGAAAAATATGTATTATATTAATTGTTTTCAAATTAAAAACAGAATTGTAAACAACACAAAGGTTGAAATAGAATCACATCAAGGAGAGCTCTTCAGCGCTGAAGAGTAAGAACTAATGAAAATACAATTTATCTACTTGTAGCATGCACCTTAAGCAGTGTACTTTTTGAAATACGTAGCATTAAACACTTATATCTGACCACAAGAAAGGCTAAACATGAAAGAGCTGAGCATCTCACTCCAGTTGAGTGTACAAAACACAAATAACAACAAACATGAGAAAAGACATTTCAAGGAAAAAAACAGGGAAGATTTGCAAACCAACTTGTATTTTGAAAAATCTAATGAAACAGACTTCTGGGATTACTTAAAAAGTAGAGAAGTAAAAATTAATAATTGAATGTGTCAATAATTACAAAAAAGTCATGATTAAAAAGTCATCTGTTGATATTTAAATAATTTTATTATATTAAATTTTAAATATCAAACCACATATAAAATTACCTGGATAAAGTATAACTCACTAAAACTAACAAGAGAAGAAATAGAAATCCTGGACAGATTATAATCATTAAAGGCATTTGAGCAATATTTGTGATCCACCCATTTTTTTTTTAAGCAAAAGCAAAGGAAGAAGAAACACACAATAATAGTTATTGAGACTTACATGAGTAAGTTCTAAGCCATCCCATTACTGGGTATATACCCAAAGGATTATAAATCATGCTGCTATAAAGACACACGCACACGTATGTTTATTGTGGCACTATTCACAATAGCAAAGACTTGGAACCAACCCAAATGTCCATCAATGATAGACTGAATTAAGAAAATGTGGCACATATACACCATGGAATACTATGCAGCCATAAAAATTGATGAGTTCATGTCCTTTGTAGGGACATGGATGAAGCTGGAAACTATCATTCTCAGCAAACTATCACAAGGACAGAAAACCAAACACCGCTTGTTCTCACTCATAGGTGGGAATTGAACAATGAGAATACTTGGACATAGGAAGAGGAACATCACACACGGGGGCCTGTCGTGGGGTGGGGGGAGCGTGGAGGGATAGCATTAGGAGATATACCTAATGTAAATGACGAATTAATGGGTGCAGCACACCAACATGGCACATGTATACATATGTAACAAACCTGCACGTTGTGCGCATGTACACTAGAACTTAAAGTATAATTTAAAAAAAAGTGAAAAAAAGAAACATTGCCATGTCTATTGACTTCAAAACAAAATAATGAGATAAAGAATAGCAGAGAAAATTCTTTCAAACTAATTTGCTATGTCAGCATTGTATTGATACTAACATAGACAATGTAAGAAAAAAAATTGCCAGCTAATCTTACTGAGTCTAAACAAGATATTAACAAACTAAATGTGTGTGCACACATGTGCAGACACATAAACACACTCTAATTTGCAGTCTCTAACCATTAAATTACAAAACAAAAATCACATAAAATTAGAGATAAATGAGAAAAAATTTTGTAAATTTATGTATAAAATGTTACAAAACATTGCTGAGAAAAGTCACAGTAGATTAATGCTCTTGTCCAAAGATAAAAAACATAGAACTAAGAATGAATTTCCAGTTTATAGGATCCATGAAACTAGAGAGGAAAAGTTACACAATACCATTAAAGAACAAGTTGACAAATCTAGAACACAGGAAAACTGACTGGTTTATTCAATACCACAATGTCATAAAATTTGAGGGAGAAATGCGCAATTTGTTTGAGGCTTAATTGCAGGAAACCATCTGTAAAAATAATATTTTGACACAATAAGGAAAATTTAAACATAAGATGAGATCTCAATAATACCAAGTAATAATTGCTAATTTTTTAACAGATGATAATAGCATTTTGGTCATTGGAAAAATGTCCATATATTTTAGAAATACATATAACAGTTTGAGAAGGTAAATGACCTGAGGCCTAGCATCTGCTTTAAAATATTTCAGCCAAGAAGGGGGAAAGACTAGGAGGGAGAGACAAAACAACGTGTCAACATTTGATAACTGTTAAATCAAGGTAATGTGTGTATAACTACATTCAATATTACTCTGTAGTTCGTTTACACTTCAAATTATTCATGATAAAAATTTTCTAAATTTTTGAGAATTCATATTTTAAAATTTAGAGCAAATGGTGTGCCTAATTGTAAAAATGATAGAAACATTTCCTTTAACATCTGTAGTAGGTGTGTATTTAAGACATTATTAGTTTTGAAACTATTTGTAGATCTTTATGCTTGTTTTTATTATTGTAATTATTTTTACTACTAGTAACACAATTTTTAAAAATATCAAAGATATTCCAAACTTCTTTCTTTAAAAAGACACCTAATATGAAAATTTAAAAGATAAATTAAACTATATCTGACCACTAACCAGAGCATTCCTTGGAGAACTGTAGTGCACCAACTTGCATTAGTAGCCAATTAAGCAGTATCATAGCTATAACCTATTGTTTTTAATCATAATATTTTTATTAAGATTAATTACAAATGTTTCTGATTAAAAACCTAGTAGAGACCATAGAGATAATTTGAATAATCTCCTTACACACTGAAGATCTGTGGACCACATGGATATAAGGTTTGCCCTTGTTCACATAGCCAGTTAAGACTAAAGCCAGCACTTAGGCACAGCTCCTATTCAAAATACAATTTAAAACAAGTTATTATATGCATTTTACAATTGTGTATTTACATAACAAAATTATTTATAATTAAAATTTTAATTAATTAATAAGATGCCTGCTTGATTATAGGCATATGCTTATATGAATACCCAGAGCGTTTAAGCATTAGTCATAACATAGGTACTCTGGTTCACTTCTCTTCATTCTTAGGACAAATATTTATCTCACACAGAAATAAGAATTATTTAAAATTCTTTTTCTTTGATTTAATAATTTTATTTCCTCTT
Source organism: Homo sapiens (assembly GCF_000001405.40). NCBI lineage: Eukaryota > Metazoa > Chordata > Mammalia > Primates > Hominidae > Homo > Homo sapiens. The sequence goes on along the minus strand of NC_000003.12, from coordinate 103,588,329 downwards.
TCATACATTTTCTGTACATTATTTTGAACTTACATGTCAAATTATGATGTTCAGGAAAGGGAATTTCCGTATTTTTTTAAGAATATGAGCTCCAGAAAGAGGCAGTACACATTATACAAAGCCAGGTTGACACCTTACATATGTAAGGGAAGAAATGAACAGTAAGATATTCACAGACAATCAAACTTCCACAAAATGCATTTCAAAATATTGATTTAATTGATTATAACTGCATTTGAATACAGTAAGCAACTATTAGTGAAATCTTTTATAATGAGGAGATGTGAGCATTTTGCATCTCATCTGATAGCATATGTACCAAATGCATCTAAGGAGACGCTTATTCCAATGATATCATATTTCTAATATACCTTCATATGGCATAATTAAAGAATCCCATCCTCCTTTCAGTGGTGAAGTAAATTTCATGGTTTATCTCATTTCTGTCAATGTGTTTCACTACTCATTTGGAGGCTAAAAAGATATGATAAAACAAATAAAAACAAAAGTACTGACACTGCAGTGTTGTTCCTTGAATCATTTTTATCTTCACAGTGCAACTTTTACAACATTAAGTATGAAAAAATAAAGAAGATCCCTCATATTAAAGAAAACCAACTGTGTACTGTAAGAAAACACACACACAAGACACACACACACACACACACACACAGACACACACACACAAAATCTCCTGCTAGAAAAAATAAGAACATTTATGTCATTTAAAAGGAATTGGTCATCTCTTACAAATCATTGGCCTGAAGACTAAGTAATCAATAAACAAATCACATTGAAGTAAATGGTAATTGTTTATTAAAAGATACCAAAATAATTATGAGAACTATATACAATTTCAATTAGAACGTGTGTAAAACATAACTCACATTGCAGTCAGAATCAGTTTATATGATGCCTCTGGACTCAGTGCAGAAATTCACTCTGTCACCAATTGGACAAGTACTCCTCCAATTTCTACTGGAACTTTTCCAGCTAAAAATATTTTCTCTAGTCACAATATTTCAGATTTCCTTGTTGAAAGTGTAATTGTAAGCTAAAGCTCACCTCTCACGTCTTCCTCACATTGCTCTTAGTTTTGTCCTAACAGCTGTAACAACTAAATCCATTTTCAGTTTGTAGCCCATTAATATTTGAAAACACTTACACTGTCTTTTCTCAGACACTCTAAAATAAATATCTATCTATTTATTTATTTATTTATTTATTTATTTATTTATTTATCTGAGTCTTGCTCTGTAGCCCAGGCTGGAGTGCAGTGGTCAGATCTCAGCTCACAGCAACCTGTGCCTCCTGGGTTCAGGTGATTCTTCTGCCTCAGCCTCCAGAATAGCTGGGACTACAGGTGCATGCCACCATGCCCGGCTAATTTTTTGTGTATTTTTAGTAGAGATGGGGTTTCACCATGTTGGCCAGCTTGGTCGTGAACTCCTGACCTCAAATGATCTGCCCGCCTCGGCCTCCCAAAGTGCTGAGATTACAGGAATGAACAACCATGCCCAGCCTAAAGTAAATGTCTTTAGTGGTCGTGGTTGTTTGTCTGTCCATCATCCATCTTTACCTTTCTGCTTCATGATAGAGCTTAAATTTTGTTCAATTGTCTACTTTTATTTTTTCATGCAGTTCATGCTTATCAAGAAAAGATACCACCCACCAGGTCCTGAGATTTGTCATGACCAAACTAACCACAGGAATTCCAATCACTTTGACAATAATAGATTCAGAAGCCTACGCTTAAGTCAATTAGCATGTGTCACTCACTTGGCCAAAATTATTGATTCCTGGATGAACACCTGACCTATGCCCACTCAGAGGGAAGTAAGAAAGTATCAAGTCTCACTTGCCAATGCAGTAAGTTTTGAGCAACAGGGGACCCAATTTTTGGAATTAATGACCCCAAGGATACAAAGTTAAGACCATGACATTGTGGAAGCACTGACAAATCCAAAGATTGAAATCTGATGTACCTCTGAACTTCATATTAGATGGGTTTACAGATTAAGGCCATTTGATAATTTCTTTCCCCTATTGCTTCTTAAAAATGTATACATGTGTGTGTGCGTATATTTCTCCTGGGGAAAACGTTCCCAAATCATGTAATCAATAAACATGATAATGTAAAAAACAATTTCATTTGTTTCTATTCGTGTTATTTTCCCCACATAAATGTTTCTATATAGTGAGACTCATGATGGTGTAAAACGAGCAGGCAACAGTGTCACTGTGGAATGTCATTCTCGCTGATTTATCCCACAACTTTTATTCCTTTGGGTTCAGATCCTGGGACGCCTTGTTAAAATGTTAAAACCTTATCATAAAGGAATAGATCTATTGCCCAGCAATCCTTGTCCTTAAATCATTTTATCAATAAAATCAGCTAGTCAGCCACTTAACTTAAGTGAAAGCCCACAGAGGAAATCAACATTACCTATGTTATAATTTTTCTGGGTCTATGTCTTTTACTAAGAATGAAGGCTTAGAGGCTGTTGTGAATTTAGAATTAAAAATATAAGTGACTTGGATAAATATGCATTATTATTCGCTTACTTTAAGAGATACAGATTCCTTCGATTAAAAAGCCAGAAAGACATTATGTTAATGTCGTACCTACTAACAACGTAAGAATCTTCACCATTCTTTAGAAGTCCAGTAATTTGTTTTTCTGAAATTGAATATATTTGTTTACTGTCTCAGAGAGACAAATATATTTCTAGAATCCTTTGAGGCTTTGATATCTTTTGCCTGGATACCAAACTTTTTCATGCATAAGCATTTTTATGTACTTCCAATGTTTTAGTTTGATTTTGTTCTTCCAGGGGCTGAACAAACAGCTCATTTGCTTTTTTGTTGTTGTTGTTGTTGTTGGCAAATATCTTCCAGTTACAAGGGTTTTAGTTTTTATTGCTTTTATTAGTAATCACTGTAAATGATACATTATAAATGAAACAAATGGTGTTTCTAATCAATATTTTAAGAGACATGGTATATTTATATCTAAAAAGTTAATTTCACGGATTGTGTTTTTAAATTCTACTTCCTCAAATTTCCTAGAAAGTTAGAATATGGAAAAAAGAAAAATTTATAAATTATCTTAAAAACATGTTCTTTTATTTTGCAATTTTGAAAAGAGAGAAACAGAAGCTGTGTTATTCATTTATATTCACCGTATTTGTTGATAACAGAGCTAAAATACTTAAGGTAACTCAACTTTCAGGGCTATTTTACTATTGTGCCAGTTATCTATTGCAATAATAATGCTATGTAACAAACAATTAAACAATAAACATTTATTAGCTTACTAGTCTGTAGGTTCTCTGAGCCATTATTTTTCTATTCCAGGTTGGGCTCAACTGTTCTCATCTGTGCTTGATTATGCATTTATGGTCAACTGATGGGTTGGCCGAGGGCTGGCGTTCCTGTCTTCTTGATTGGAATCTTTCACATCTCTGGACACTGGACTTGGCCATTTTGGCTGACTATGCCCCATGTGGTCTTTCCTCCTTCACCCCAAGCTTGTCCACATATTAGGGGCAGCATTATAAAAGTGTGACTGAATGCACACAAGACCTACTGAGGCTTTGGTTTGTAACTCATATACCCTCACTTCTGTTGCAAGATACAAAGCCAGCTCAAATTCAGGAATTGGGGAAATGGATTTATTTCTTAATGAAGAAGGAACAAATTCATATTGCAATAGAGTGCATATAAAAAGGGTTAAGAATCTGGTCATGTTCACAATCTTTCTACTACAAACTACATGGACTTTTTCTTTATTCTCTATTTCCATTCCTTGAAAGCTCTGTTTATCCTCAGCTTCATGCATAACCTCAAAAGTAGCATCATCCATCCCCAAGTTATTTGCTTTTTACTAACATATGCAATGCTGACAAATTACTATTCCATAGTGTACTTTTGGTCATAATCTATGGCATGACTCATTATCTTTATGGAAACCCAATTTTTGTCTTCTCTATGCTATGTCATTACTATTCTACGTATGATATTTGATATCTGATTAATCAATTTTAGTGCAATTATTTTAATATAAAACATACAAAGGTATTTTTAAGAAAACATTTTTTTCAATCTGACAAGTAAAGCAGAGCTTTTCCAAGCCGGAATCGGTCAGAGCATTAAGGTTGTCTTGAAAATGGAAACCAAGTGTAAAATCTTAAGTTGTCTCTACCTTGCTAATTAGCACTGAAGTCCTTCTTGCCGAGATATATTCTTCTTTAGTTTCTATTCATGCATATATGATTTGACAACAATAAGCTGCCCAACCTTTTCCAGCTTAAATTCTAACAGATAAAAAAAGACAATAAAAATATATTATCATGTAGTTATAAGTTCCATAAAAAGAAATAAAATTTTATTAGGGAAAGACAAGAAATCTTATTTTGTCATAAATTGGCTCCTGCAGTGAGACCTGGGGTTAGTGAGAAAGTTATTCCTTATCATTAGAGTAGTTCTCAAGTGGCTTTATGACGTTAGAAAGACTTATATTTGAATCTGAGCACGATGGTTGATTGAGTGCATGACCTCGAACAGCTCACATAACGTTCTTGAGCCTCAGTTTCTTTATTCGTAAAATATGGTTGTTTGAAAATACTTTGAGGAATTGGCATAGGGCTTAAACAAGGGAAAACATAAATTAGACTCTCAGTGCCTTTCTTATATCAGAGGCTACAAAAACATTTGCCATTTTATAAACTGTATTAGTGCTCAAAACTACATAAATGTGAAAGACATGCAGATTGTCTTCTGAGGTGGCTTGAAATCGTTTTGACTAAGTTTTATTGGGGAATGGTGGTATATTTCTGAACTTCTTATGTGTATTCTTCTTTGTGCTAGATTCAGCATTTTCTCCTGCTATGATACCACATTATTTCTTTAAAACTCCTCTGACAGCATCTCTGAGATGAATGAATGGTTAGTGTCAGTGTCACTGACCTTTTAAGAGGACTAAGTCTGGAGCCAGTACAGCTGGTTTTCAATCTAGATCTGCCACTTACTTGCTGTACGATTTGGGTATAAACCATTCTATCTTTCTGTGCTTAAGTTTCCAAAATAGGAAAAAGGGATGATAAAAATAGCACCTACATTATGAAGCTGGTATGAATATTAAACAACTCAATGTTTTAAAGTACTTAACACAGTACCTGACACATTAGAAGTCTTCCATCTCGTGTAGTATTATTATTATCCAAAATAAAGGGTTGTTGGCAGAGCGTGGTCGCTCATGCCCATAATCCCAGCACTTTCAGAGGAGGAGGTGGATTGAGGTCAGGGCTTTGAGACTAGCTTGGGCAACATGGTGAAACACCGTCTCTCCTAAAAATACAAAAAAATTACCCGGCTTGGTGGCGGGCGCCTGTAATCACGGCTACTCAGGGAGGCTGAGGCAGGAGAATCACTTGAGTCCGAGAGGCAGAAGTTGCTGTGAGCTGATATCGCGCCATTGCACTCCAGCCTGGGTGACAGAGCGAGACTTCGTCTCAAAAAAAAAAAAAAAAAAAAAAAAAAATATATATATATATAAAATATAAAGGGTTGTAAAACAGATCGAGAGTAAAATAATGAAGGTTCGTTTATATGCATTTGTCTAATGCACATTACAACATATAATGTGTGCTAAATTAAGATATTACAATTGACTTTTTTTTTTCTTGTAATGTAGTCTCTCTCTGTTGGCCCAGGCTGGAGTGCAAGAATCGCTTGAACCCGGGAGGCGGAAGTTGCTGTGAGCTGAGATCGCACCACTGCACTCCAGCCTGGGTGACAGGGAGAATCTCCCTCTGAAATAAATAAATAATATAAAATAAAGGGTTGTAAAACAGAGATTGAAAGTAAAATAATGAAGGTTCGTTTATGTGTATTTGTCTAATGAACATTACAACATAGAATGTGTGCTAAATTAAGATATTACAATTGACTTTTTTTTTTTTTTTTTTTGAGACGGAATCTCGCTCTGTCGGCCCCGGCTGGAGTGCAGTGGCGGGATCTTGGCTCACTGCAACCTCTGCCTGCCTGGTTCAAGTGATTTTACTACCTCAGCCTCCTGAGTAGCTGGGATTACAGGTGCTTGCCACCATACCTGGCTAATTACAACTGACATTTAAACTATTTTATCAGTGATAATGGTTACTGAAAATTTTGTTTCTGTTTACTATCACTTGATCACTATGTCTCAAAGTTTTAACACAATGTTATATATTTTTATTTTTGATAATATATATTGCAAAGCACCTTATTTCTTGGTCTTATCAAACATTTAATGCCTACGGGTCATCATGGACATGCATTGGACAAACTCTAGTGAAGTGAGTCTATGTATAGTAGGACTTATGTAAGGGGGAGTAATGGTGAATAAGTATTATGGTATATACACAAGAGCAATAGAGAATGTTACCGTATTTAAGGGGTGATCATCATAGATATGTCTCCAACTTATTGTGAATTTCACTACTGATGCATGTCAGGGACTTTAGAGAATGGGCAAGTAGGGCAAAGCATAGGAAGGAGCATTGCAACAGTTAACATTGCCTACTACATGAATTAACTGGAGAGGAAAGGAGAAAATTATAAGTGAAGAGCTCCTCTGAATTCACAAAGCAGAGACAGCAGCAGATAAAAGAGGAACTCAAACAAAACGCATAAAGTATACCAATTTGTTTCAGTTCAGTTCAGAGAACACTGAGGAGAAATTTAAACGGTTCTGGTAAAAATCTATTCTACTTCAAATTAATATATATTTTTATTTTTCTCAGCATATAATTTTTTTCATCACCACAAAAATATAAAATTTATATTCTATATCAATTTTAGAATACTATTTCTACTCATGTTATCATGTCACATATTACTCAATTGAAACATGGTGGTAAGACTTCTTAGAGTTCTGCCAGTCCAGCTTCCTGAGTGGCCACCTACATTAAACTCTGGTTTTTGACTTCCAGAGTTAGAATACTCAGGCCACCAATGGCTCAGGTTATAGCTCTCAGGTGGTGTGAAAAAAGGTCTTTCTTGTATAACCGCAGAGAACAGAAAAAAGCAACTAAACCTCCAGAATCTAGGGAATGGGAACCTCATAAACTTCTTCCACAGATATATACATATACACATACACAACAAACTGAGCTGCCATTAGCATTCAAATTTGTAGATCAAAACAAATCATATAGGAATCAAGATAAAAAACTAAACTAGTCCAGGAAACAAAATTGTGAGGCAAATTAGAGAATTAAAGCATGAGATATACTGACTTGAATGACTGTAGTGTATGATAAGTACATCTGAATGCTTTGGATCTAGTAAATTTTCCAGATTCCTTTGGCTGTGGACACACAGTTTAAAATACTTTATTGAGCATCTGTGATGATAGAAAGGACTAAAAGCACTGGAAGGAGGTGGTCCTGACTACATAGAAAAGAATAAACCTTTATGTCCATATAAAACTTCCATTAATGCTAATCAGAGCCTTGCTTATAAATCTGAGCACATCAAAGAGAATATATATATATGTATATGCATATATGTGCATATGTTTATATTTTGCTCTTGAGCTTTCACTATGAGTACATTTATAATGATGATAAGTAGGTCTTCTTTTAAGTCACTTATAATTTAAATATATTAATATTTTTGGGCATGTAGTTTTTCAAAACTTTTCGATCATTAAAACTTTAAATTCTTATGCAGAATAATTTACAATCTACTATAACTCTACAGATTCTTCATTGCAGATGAGACTATAAGACTTTTCTAGTTTGCACTTTACCAAATATTTGATATTACATTTAACCAAACCTATAAGGAGAAGGAGAAAAGCACAGAAGATAAAGGCAATGGTTGGAGCTAAGGGGAAAGTAGAGGGAGGTGAAGGAGGAGAAGAACAAGCAGAAGGAGGAGGAAAGAAACCTGTAGCTACAACAGCATAACAGTAGTCTAGCTAGACTATGAGAGCCTCAAGAATGGATCCTTCTTCTCTTCTTTTCTTTGAATTTCTGGAATTTGGGGCAATGCCAGGCACAGTGTAGGTTAGCAATGAATGCTTGCTAAACCAACCTAAACTGAGAGAATGACAAAGGTTACTACTGAAGTAAACAATGCCTTCACCAGTTTTTCCACCTTCTGGAGGCTTTATAGAGAAGAATTAAGCAAAATAATTTTTTAAGGTTCATTTGAGTTAAAAATTACTCTGAAATAGTGTCAAATAAAGGGTAGTGCTACCTATAGGGTAAAAGAAAATATTAATTGTAATAATACTAAGAAAGACTTGGAGATTGTGAACTTGGGAGAATCATGATAATATTTCCGTAATTCTAAATGTAAAGCAAACTGTAATGTTATATACATATGTCCTATTTCTGGATCAAAGTCACATACAAAAATAATTGATAACCTAATGTTTAAGGCAAAGTAAATTTAATTTTTTTAGGTTTTTAATGCCAATTTTTGAGGTTTGTGAAGGTAAGGAGATTCCCAGCCACCCACCCTGCCACATACATCCTTGTTTGTAATGCACAATTAATGATGGAAATCTATGTCAAAAATTGTGGTGTGCTTGGCTCTGGCACCTCTATTACAACACTTGCTACAATCATCTGGTTATTTATTAATCTCCTTCACCCTCTTAGAAACTTGTCTGCTTTTCACACTTATTTGTTTATTTCATGTGTTCCCATGCCAGAAAAAAATGTATGCATTAAAAGATTTAAAGATGAAAAAAACAACCAAAGATAAAAAGACAACATGGTCTCTGGCCTCACAGTTTATATTCCAACAGAAGAGTCAATGAAACAAAGATACAAACAAAGTAATTACAAATTATATTAGTTGCAATGTAGAAAAGCAATTATCCCCTCAGTAATAGAAAATATATTCATTGATTAATAATTAATTTGACTTAAGAAAAAGTTCAGTTAGTTTTTTGGCATTTTCTTCATACGTATAGCAGAAAGTAATTTTCCAAAAAGAGGCAAAAGTACAATTTCTTCCAAGGAGATTTCTCAGCTTAATTTTGAATAGAAGCATTTACGTCAGTGTATACAATGTAAGATAATGCAGTACACAATATGTAGACACAATATAAAACAATACAAAGGGGTATTTAGAGAGGTTTAATCAAAGTACTATGAAACAACAGAAGGAAAGACTTATTCCAGTAGAAGGAATAATTTGTTGACAAATATGTTGATGGAAAGCAAGAGGTAGTGCAAGGGTTACAATAAGAGCCAAAGCCAAGGAATTTGGTTATGGTAGACTAATCTTGAACCAGGAATATTAGGGAAATATTTAGTAATTCAGTTGCCAACAACCATCTAAACCTGTATGATAATTTTGTTTAGGCTAAATTCTAAATAAAAATTAAATAGATTTTTTGTGTGTGTGCGTGTGTGTGCACATATGACAGTTGACGTTCTCTCCATAGTTTTATGATGGCAATTCACACACAAAAAACTAGAGATCTTTATATTTATAACTGACAGTCAGATATTTGCTAGAAAATTTTGAAAGATTTGTGATGAGGTGCAAAGCTACTGAAATTTTCCTGGGACTGATTTTAACAGAAATGGAGAAGCATAAATTTTTGAAACTATTTTAAATCTTTCCTTATATACAAGCAAATCTTATACATAATACAAAGAAGGACTAATCGGACAAAATTTCTGACTTTTTAAACTTTTGTTTAAGTGAAAGAACAGGAGAACAAATTGTTGTATTTGACATTTCCTTTTAGGATAGCTGGAACATTAATGAATGGGCCCAAGGTGACTGAATGATATTAGCTAGTTATTCATAAGTGAAACACCTGAGACATTCATTCCGCTGTTGATATGCTATCATCAATTTTTCATTTTTTTTTTCTGTCAGGTTTATTACTGGCAGTGAAAAAAATGCAGATAAAACTGATACACCCAAAGCAATTCAATTTTAAAAGATTGATTTTGTTTTCTAAATTGCAATTTAATATAATCTCTAATGGGAGTTTTAAAATTTTTCCTTTCCTTTTAATTTTTGTCATGGTATTAACAGAAATTTTATTGTTGTCTTATATGCGCTAAGCTCCTGGTATCAAATTATATTTTGGCAATGTCATTTTTCAACTGTATGTAGCATATTTCTTACAGACCTCAATGCTACTTCACAATGGACTGTACTAATTCTTCCTAAATATACAATATTAATACTCTGCGATTGGATCTACTTTTAAAAGAAAATAAAGCATAGGCTATTTTATAAAATAGTAAGGAAAAAGGAAGAGAAAAAGGAACACAATGATTTTGGGTTAAGAAATCAGGTTACTATAATAGCATTTTAGTATATCTTGCTCTCAAATCCAAGCTAAACGTTAGAAATGACTGTATTCACTATCTCATATTTAAAATCCAACCTACCATAATGCTATTCTTTTCTTATTCTTATCAAATAGTACTCCATTCCCTAAACCGATTTATTACATCTCAAAACAGAACTGGTAATTTTTTAAAACTGCACTATGGATTACTATCCCATCAACCAGAATGACATTTTTTTGTCCTCTTCTTTTAGATTCACTACATCCATTGTTCAAAACTAATAATCCATTACTGATTCTTTAAAAGCTTCCCATAGACAATGCAGCCTGAACAGATAACTTAGACTTCTGAGCTTTTATATCAAGGCAAGTTTCTGTCACTGGCAATAGATTGGTTACTGCCAAGTAACATTTCTACAATTGTTTTTCAGAACTTCTTTTTAGGTCATTTTTGGCACTCTCCAAGTAGCAAGTATTTATGTCGTATCTCTCTATGTAAGATTTTGAGGACAAGAACCACATTTTAAATCATTTTTTCCTCAAGAACACAATTCAGAGTGCTGAAGATATGATTTTTTTTTCTATTTTTAATCTGTGAAATTTTGCAGTAATATTTCTATCTATGGAGAAATAAAAATGTTTACCTTCATTTATTTATTTACATATCCTGTCAATAATTACTGATTACCTACTAGGCACAAAACACTGGGGACACAAACACTAACATGACACTAGTTTCACCCCCAAAGAATCACGATGGTAAGAAGTTGTTCCTTCTACCTGTCCCATGTTAACTAGATTCACAACGACTACATCCTTAGGGAATTCAGTACCTGTTTACTTACAAGGTTGTAGAATGAAACCAAAACAAATTAAGCATAGTTTAACTTCCATATTCAGGCTACCAAAAGAGATTCGGTTTCTAGAAAAGCTGAACTTTTCTTTTAATATGTTGAGATTTCAGTATATAACAATCTTAATTTCTCCTTGACACTTGTAAGAAATACTAAACAAAAATAGATACAAATGTCATTCAATAAAATTAATAAAGTAGTAATATAAAAATGCTGGATAGCATTTTGAGATGAACAGATTTTTTGGTTTCTTACAGTAACTGAAACATAAAGAGTTGTATCAATCACAAATGCACTTTGGTAGAGATGATTTCACCATGCTAGGATGTTTTACATAATTGAAGAAACTAATTAATTCTAGGTGCAGCTAAATTACAAAGTTTAAATAGTTGAAAACAAAATTGAGAAAGCATTACAAAATTCAAATTGCCATTCTACAGTTATTGGTTTGTTAATATAAGTATACAAATGTATATACATGCACACCTATATTACAATATCTAATTTTTTTGCATCTTTTATTTTTTTAACTTCTATTTTTGAAGATACTTTCCTTTCTACAGTAGATTATTCTTTCTCTGTTTGACCTGATGAAGATATTATGAACTGCAGAATCAGATGCACGCTTTTTAAATTCCAGTTGCCCAAATTTACTGCTGCATAACTGGGGTAAAGTTACTAAAAGTTTTTTGTGTGTCAGTTTCCTCATCATTAAAACTATCATAATAAAAAATATTCATGATAAAGATAGAACAGATTGATGTGTACATTGTTTAGTAAAAAGTTTGGTACTTTTTACTATTGTGCACCCAAAAGTCATTTTTTATTATTGCAAGATTGTGAATTTTGTACAGATGAAATTCATAGCATATGAATACTAGACTGGAAAAAGAATTAGGTGATAAAATATTTCATTTTTTGCCCTGTTTTATAAGTACAACTATGAAGTGGGATGACTATTTTAATATTCTTATTAAGTGGAATGACTATTTTAATATTTCTATTGTGATAATATCTGCCTTTATCAAATTATTTGGGCTATTTTTAATGTTATGCAATGTATAAAAGGAAATTAATACATATTCTTATGGAGATATTAATAAAAGTACATTGTAAATTGATGTAAGATGTAAGAAGCTGGAGTATGGGAGGCTTGGGAATAATAGGTCAGCTTAGAGTGTCCTTTGTCCTAAGTTATTCTATCAGAATTTTTCAATTTAAACAGTTTTGATTTATCTATTTCTTTTATTTTTCTGTTACTAATACTGATTTTTATTTACATAGCTTTTTGGGTTTTTTGTACATTGAATTTACTCTAGGCCTCTGCTAAAAAAAAAGAATGAAAAAACATTGCATGGAAGATCTGGGAACTACATAATGTGTGCTTGCTGAGTACAAATAGAAAAAAGCAAGGGTGGTTACCAAGAAAAAAAAACTGATGCTTATGCTAGGTCGTACTGTGATCTTGAATGTGTGTGAAACCATTGCTAAGTTCAGAATAAAAACACATTCTTCAAGATGGCTACATGCATTGATTACTAAGAATGCAGTTTGGATAAATCCATGTATCTAAGGGATCTTGCCAGCTCTATGAATCCAGCTCCCAGTTTTAGACCAGTAATGTGTAGTTATTCCCATCGGTTGATGAGACAACTGAATCCCAGAAAGCCTTGGCTAGTACACTAAACTGGCTTTTCAATCACAGTTAAAACAGTCTCAAAGCTAAGAAAAAGTGTACGGATACTTAAATACATGACTTTTCTTAGAGCAATTCTAGACTTCATTAAGATTCTTTGCTGAGTTGCAAAGATGAGTTGTTTGAGAACGATGAACTCCTAAATGACTATCACCATTTTTATCAATTCCAATTGATTAATCGCCCCACAAGTATTAGTGGATGTAGATCTATACCACAAAAAAGAAAAATGATCATATAGAACCAAAACCTGCAATCAGTAATGCACGCTTTTTAGCAGGCTTAAATATCTACTTTCCCACATAGATGCTTTACAGAGTCTCAAAAAAACATTACCTACCATTCATATTAAGCTTTCTTATGCTTTTATATGCACAGAATCTTAATGCAATCTTACCTTGGTGGTGACAGTGAAAATAGAAAAATCCTTACTAATCCCTTCTAATCTTTTTTCAAGATTTGAGATTTTGGAACATTTTAGTTATTAAAATTTGTCACTCAAACTTTACATATATTTAACTTAACATGTGAATAATCTTCTGTGTCTGGGGTATTCAGACAGTCAGTTTCATTTAAAAAGTAAAACTGTGTTTTAGGCATTTCTTTAAGTGGAAGTGGAAACAAGGTTATCCAATGTTCAATTTCTGTTCTAAAAAAGAAGTTATATTTATTCAAATAATATAAAGGAATTCTGAAGTACAAGAACTAGTGTTAGCCAGGAGTCAGAATATGCAGAGGCCCATCAACATCTACATATGTTTCAAGAAAGCTCTGATATGCTCTGTCATTTAGTGAAGCATAGAAAGAGAAGGTGTTGCCATTTTATGACCATGTTCTGAATCCCCACCCTGTTGTCCCACTGCCATCCTAAGTACCTTACTCATGGAGAGAACCCTCCACTAGAGTATATTTCATCTGCTATTTCATTACAACCACATATGAAAGCTGAGACATCATTGTTTTTGTATTTTAAGTGAAAATACAACAAAAAACAACTAAAAACAACTGGCGTTGTTTTTCCCCCTAGCTCTTGTAAAAACCTGGACACAGAATCCTCCTAAAGATCAGCTTTAATATTATTTTTAAATATTCTTTAATAATGCCAGGAATAAAATAAGATGCACAAATATTCACTACCACAACTTGAAGCAGCATGATTGTATTTCTTCTTTTTAAAAACATCTCTGCTGAATGTGGCTACTTAGGAAATACCTGGTTCTACGCAATTGCACAACAGGAAATAATCAATGCAGTTGCCTATAGGGCTAGAAAGGTAACCAAAATTTTATAGTGGGAGCAAGTTGGTTCTGAGAGAAAATAAGCAATAATGACTGTGGTGAAATAAAGTGTTTTCCCTACATGGGTCAGCTACTTATTTATAGTGAATTGTTGTCTGGTAAAGATGGGTTGCATGCTATCCAGGAATAGCTGCGAGAACAGATCTTTTGAATGTGTTGGCATTAAATTAATTTAGAATTAATATTAAATACACACATTCCCCTCCATTCATAAACACACATTGTGGGCTCAACAAAACCTTTTGTAATGAAGTAAATTATGGACATCTAAGTGATTAATGATCAGTATGTTTGGGGATGATTAATTGTATTAAGCTGATTATTCATAATGGTACTTTAGATTTAATTAATATTCACTGAAGCCCACTGTGTATAAGGCACTTTTATAGGTGCTGTGTGAACATAAATATAAATGGGACATGGTCTTTTCATCATATGTCCACATACTCTTCTGGAATGTTGGTATATAATACTGAAGAAGGAAATTCATAAATGGAAGACATCATTGCAGAAAAAAACCTAGTCATACAAATTTGGCTTGACTTACCTCTTTACCATGTGCTGTGTGACTTTGGAAAACTCATTTAAATTCTCTGATTCTCATTTTTCTTATCTCTAAAGTGCTGCTTTGCTGTAATTTGAAGTCAATAACAGATATAAAACACTTAAATAGCTGATAAGTGCTAACAAAAACCTCAAACATGAGAAAAAATAAACCCAACCCAGCACCCTTTGCAGAGTTGTAGTGACGCAGATAACATATATAAAGCGCCTGTTCAGTACACAAATTTTTAAGCACTCAATAAATCACTACCTTGGAGATTATTAGATCTAAGTATATCTAAGTGTTTATAGGTTTTGTAACATGTGGATGAAAAATTTTGATTAAAATGGATTCTTTTCATGTGATGACACAATTGAATCGATTTGTCAATTTTCTTAGTATCTGTAAATATCAGAGATATAAACTTTTTGAAGGAAAAGGCTCAGTATAATAAGATCAGTCAATTATTTATTCCCTAAATGGATTCTGTTGCTGTAAGCAAATGCCTACATTATTGCAAGATACGTGGCAGGCTAAAAAAGATACATTTTTGAATAAAGATATGATATTTCTGGAAAAGTTCTTTGCAAAGAAACATAACATTTTAGAACCTCATTCACATAGAGAAGTCTTATTAAATTCAAAATGAAGTAAACAAATTAATAAAACTACTAATTTTATTGTATCTATTACAATGATGAAGTAAACTCATCTTAAAATCATATTTTCCAAAATATTTAAGTGAATAGGTTTTGTAAACTCTAAATAAATACATGTTTTAGGTTTCCTGTCCAGAAAAGAAAAAAAGAAACCTCCAGGCTTACAAGACACTTTATCCTAGAAAATCCACTCTGCCAATTAGACAGTGATACATGAAGTAGAAATATCACAAATTCTGACCATCTGTAAATTAGAACTGTATCAGGATGGAATGGGAATATCAAAGCCAAGGGCTCTTTCTGGAAAATGCCTTCCATGGTTTGGGTCTTAAATCTTGGAACCATTAGCAAGAGTGCTCTGGATGATCAAAACTGTTTACAGGTGGCAAAGAGTTTTATTTATTGTGCCATTTTCTACATTGAATTTCAATCCTCTGGAGCATTTTTTCACACTCTCTGATTTTCAGACACTCAGGGAAAAGTAAAATATAGCATCAAAATAAGATAGGTCTCCAGATGGACGGATCAGCCGTGTGTCATAGAATGCCTAATGCCGCCTTTGTTTCACCAAATCCCAGGCAACATTTCAAAGCCTCATACAGTGCCCCTGAGACTGGAGACCTGTTTGTAAATTACTGATTTAAGTTACTGTGCATCTGAGTGTGTGTGTGTGTGTGTGTGTGTGTGTGTGTGTGTGTGTGGGCATGTGTCTACATATGTATTACATTCTGTAAGCATCACTGACGCTTACTATAATTAGTCAGAAGCAGTAATAGTGAAACCTTGTGCACATGTGACATCATCATTTGAAAATGATATCTGGATTTTACTCCAAAATAGCAAGTTGACATTATCTTGAAAGCAGACACAAAGGTGCCTGAGGAAACAAATGTCTCTGTGGGTTGTGCCATCTGCACATGCATTCCAACCTTACTCTCTGAGAATTCAAGACATGTATTCTGCTCTGTACTTAAAAAGCAAAAAGAGATTATCAGATTCAGAGCCAATAAGGATGGTTATTTCCAAAATCATATGATCCAGAACTGTTTAGCACACTGAATTATTTTGTTTTTATTTAATCATATATATATATATATATATATATATATATATATAGTAGATTTTAAAATGTAAAAGTAGTGCTTATACACTGTGGAAACTAGAAGATGTTTTAAAATCTAAAGTTGACTATCACTTCTTTCTATATTTTTTAAATCTATATTTTATTTATAAACTTGTAATTCTACTACAATAACATTTTAACCTCCTTTTTATCTTATAAAAGAAGGTAATATAGATTCTCATGACATTAAATGGTCTGCTGAAACTTCCATTTAATGGATACATCAAAATTTCAAAATATTATAATATAGATATGTTATATATTATTTTACCAAATACTATGTAACTAGCTTCTGTTATGTTCAGCCAAACAACCTACTGGAAATTAGTGTCCTTTATTTTAAAGAAAGATATTTGTACAAAATAAAGCTGTTATCTCATTAGACTATTTTTGACAGAGAAGAGCTGGAAATCAGAATAATAATGTAAACTATGAAAAAGAACCAATAATTAATATTATTCTACTAATGTAATTAATAAGATAAATCAAGACGAGATATTCATCTACTTCAATACACACAGATAATAACTGCTGAATTGTTAAGAAAATGTGATTCAATGATTAACATTCTCAGTAACATGTTGGCATGTTTAGGTATGGCTAGGAGTAGCTTGAAAAAGCAAATCGTCTAATGATGATGATCAGAGACTTTTCATGGAAACAAATTTGGCAAAATTTGGAGGTATCATTCACCCTTCTGTCTCTCTCTGTCTCCCTCTCTGTCTCTTTCTCTCTGGTAGTGATTGATGGTTTGAAAAATGAAATCATTGAGGAATGCCTATGTTTTAACTTGAGAGTTAAAAAGGAATAATAAGATATAATTATTTCATGTGTTATTACAGAAGAATATTTTTCTCAACCCACACTTGAAAATGTCAGAGAAATAAATAACAGATAAACTATTATAAAAAATAAGGTAATATTTCATACCCATGAATAAACATGAAGACTTGCCACGCATGAACAAGAGGAGTTCAGTATGGTATCATGACTTATGTTAAGTGTAACAATTTAAAGATAAAGTGGAAGAGAATAAAATATAATATCAAAATATGTGTTACCTGGTCAACCAGGACAACAGTCAGAGGTAGAAGGATAACTATTGGCTATAATTAATGCAGAAGGTATAAGCTAGTAGGTGCAGCTTGCACTGGAATTTGTAAAGCTGATGGGTTTAGGGAAGATCAAGGTAATGGGGATTAATTTTCAGAGATGATTTATATAAGTAGGAAAGAATTTGCCAGCATAGACTATATAACATCCTCTTTTTACCTACATGGGACTAGCTGTGCATTTTTGCTTTTGAAATGGTGAATTTTCTATTCTCTAATAAGTATATTGTAGATGAGGATCTGGGTTCTAAGTCTACGGTGCTGAAATCCCTTTGTAAAACTAAAAGCAAAGTCAATTGGACTTTTCATCTTTAAGAATATTTGCATTGTACTAAGTTCCATTAAACTAGATAAAAATATCCATGAACATCTAGGGAAAATTAATCTAAATTCTGAAATCATTAGACAAAACCAAGTAGTTTCAGAACAGCTCTTCTAAACTCAGTAAGCTGTGTTATAAAAATATGTGGAATTCTACTCTTAGAGAATTATACATCAATTTGATTAGGAATGACAATATTTCAAATCCCTTTCATTTTTATTCTTTGAATTTATTTTTTTATGAATATTTTTATTTTAAGCTAATATAATTTATGATATAACCATATGACATTTGTAAATGTGATCCATTAAAAGTATGGTTTAGTAAAAAATTTAATGACATATAAAATGTCTACTCAAATTTTGAAATTTAAAATGAATGATACAAAATGGTATATACAGTAGGATACCAATTTTACCTTTTTCTGTTTTTCTTTTTTCTTTTTCTTTTCTAACTGGTATACTCCTTCTCTAACACAAATTTCCTGAAACAAATAAAAACAAAACAAGACGATGTCAGAAATTGTAAATGAAATGTCTAGATAATGAGATAAAGATAAAAGTCTCTATTAGGGACTTATTCCTCATGAGTTTTCCAATTTAAAAAAATGGTCTTAAAACAGATAAGTAAAAATACATGTAATTTTGTGTATATGTGACTATGTGCAATTATATATATACGCAATTTCATATATAGTATATATAATGAATGTGTGTATATATGCACACACACACACACACACACATATATATATAATTGGACATGATTTTTAAATAACTCTGCTTTCCTACCACTTCACTAAGTGCCCAATTATCTATGCCATCAATGGCTAAATTGAGTAGTAATTTCTCAGACTTCATCTTACCTGACCTCTCAGCATCTTGACATAGCTATTCCTGCCTCCTTCTTGGCCATTTTCTGCACTTGGCTCCTGCTAAATCACACCATCTTTCTTTTCTTTGTCATTCCCTTTCTGCTCTTTGTTGGTGTCCAGTGCTGGATTTCTTTCATTGTTCAGTCCTCTAAATGAGGATGCATCAGGGCTTTCCCTCAGCGTTCTTCTGTCTTGTTTACATTCACTTGCTTGGGGACCTCATGCAGTCTTGTGACTTTAAATGTATTCTGCCTGTTTTAAATTAGATTTGACTTCCTACAAACAAAAATTTGCCACAAAAAGTGGCTTAAAGTAAGCAAAATATTTCTCTTTCATTAAAAAAGCCCCAAAGTAGCCAGTTTAGAGTAGGCATGGGAGCTTCACATTTATCTGCGACCCGAGCTCTTACAGTTTTTCTTCCTTTCTCAAAGTCACAATTTGGCTACTGGACCTTCCTGTGTTCAGTTGCAGGGTGGATAGGTAGAGGAAAAAATACACCACATAATTAAGCTTTCTTGCAATATTAACTCTGTTAAAGGGTCTTCGTAGAAGCCTCACCCGACAACTGATGAGTACATCTCACCGACCAACCCAATCTTGGAAGTAGGCTAGGAAATGCCTTATATTTAATATGGACATATTATTTCCACTAATTAGAGTATTCTGATGGTTAAGTAAAATTAGATAGTGGATATCCAATAGACAATGGATAATTTTACTATAACATTTTATATACTGAGGGCTCCAATTTAATTTGGCTCAGATCATCCAACTACCTACTGAATACCTCCAACTACCTACTGGCCACCTCCACTTAGGTAGCCAATGGTTGTTTTACTCAAACTTGACCAAAATTAAAATCATAAATTATACCCAGAAACCTACTCTTACTGTGGTTCCGCATGTCATTTATTCAATTTCTTGCCCCTACACTTTGCATTCTCTCTTGATCCTTCTCTTCCTGAAAGCTCTCCACTCTCCATAAAATTGCAAAAAAATTGTTTATAATAGCTAAATCTAACCACTTCTAGCACTACCACCATTATTGCTATTACCTCTCATGTAGATTTCCATTCTTACCTGCCATAGTTCATTGCAATATTTAAGAAGTAAGTGTAGTGATATCATCCCCTGCCTGAAATCATATAATGGCATTCCATCAAAGATAGGATACAAGTAAATTTTTGACATGGTTTACCTATATAATCTACCCCCAAGTATTGTTCTGACATAATTTTTTTTTCCTCCTGCCCCTCACCCCCCAGATTCATCTCTTCTAGCCACGCTAGTCTCTTTGCTATTCTTTTAAAGGTAAATTATTTTCTTGCTTCAGGGCCTTGTATTTTACTTTCCTCTGCTGGAAATGCTCTTTCCCCAAACACTCACAGATAACCCTCAGGGCTCACTAGCCTTGTTCACTCAAAGAGCACCTCTTCTGAAAAGCTTCCCCTGACCACACACACACACACACACACACACACACACTCATACATACAAACATACACTTATACAAACAGACATACACAGAGGCATACATAGACACACACACACACTCAAATATCATGCCCTCTCCCTTTGCCCAGTTTTAATTTCTTCATAGCTCTAACAACACCTTGTCATTATCTTATCTGTTCATATATTTTAATTTATTTATTGCTTATTGCCTTCTTTTGTATAAGCTCTGTGAGGTTAAGGACTTTATTTCTTTTACCAATGCTCTATACATAGTACCTAACTAAAAGAGTTCTTGGAACTTAATAGGAATTTCACTTCCTTTCTATAGGCTTCATTTTCATTATATATATATATATATATATATATACATACATATATATGTATATACGTATATACATATATATATGTATATACGTATATACATATATGTATATAGATAGATAGATAGATAGATAGATAGATAGATATAGATGTGAGATTCAAGGAAGTGGAGTCAAAAATAATTCCAAAATATTAGATTGAGTGATAAAGTACAATTTATTGGTAACATGTATAATCTAAAATGTGTTCTACAAAAATACGTTTTCCCAAGGATAAAATATATATGTATCAAAAGCCAAATCTTCAAGGTAACTTCAGGATTTAAAATTCTGATATTTTAGTGAGTACTTAAGAAAGATTTCCAAACAAGACTATCATGTTTGAACAAACATTTTGGAAAGATTAATCTGATGGTTATTTGTAAGAAGTGTCCATTGACTGATTCTACAGAAATCAATTAGGAAACTTTTAACAAGAGTTATATGGGTAAGGTTGTAGGTATGAGGTTATTCACAATCAAGTTAGGATGGCAGTAGTGTGTGAAAGTGCTTGAAAAGTTACAGGAGATTTAGAGAAAAAATAGATGTGAGATTCAAGGAAGTAGAGTCAAAAATATTTCCAAAATATTAGATTGAGTGATTAAGTACAATTTATTGGTAACATGTATAATCTAAAATGTGTTATACAAAAACACGTTTTCCCAAGGCTAAAATTCAGAGTTGAACAGGTGTATTGGTCTTCATTTTTGAAATGAAATGAACAACTAAGTTACTTGGATGAATATTGTTTGGATATTAAGACACTTTATATTTCAACCTTATTTCTGCCTAGACACTAAACAACCAGTATATAATCAATGCTTGCATCCAAACTAAAGTATTTCATTCTTGCTGAAAAAAGAAAATATTTGTCATTGTATCAAAAATTGTGATTGAATAAAATCATATTAAATCATTTACTGTGTATTTAAGCTGATAGATAATATCCTCTCTCTTCTCTAACACATGCACACGTGAGAGCACATGCACACACACACACATCACATCACTTCTAGAACTATTAAGAAGATTGCTCCACCCGTCTAGTCATTGTTATAAATTTCTGTCTCCCCACCATAACACTGCTCTTGGAAGGGCTCCTCTTTCTCTCCTGTTATGTTTTAGTTCCCAGCTGACACATTATAATAGTACATTTTCATTAACTCCAAAAGTAAACTAGTCTGCTGATATCACACACACACACACACACACACACTCTTCTTCAGTTGTCATTTATTCTTGACAACGTCTCCTACCCTTCAATTCTCCACTTTCTAAAGAAAATATGAGCCCTCCAAGCGGGACTCTATACTTATACCAGAAGCAAGGGACAGATTTCATTTATGCAGATATTCCCTTATATTGTTCTTCTTGCTTCTCCACCAATCAGTCTCTACTTCCCCTTGTACTTCAAGGTCATTGATTTTTCAGTTATACCCTCTTTTCAAGCACTCTTCACAACTGAATCTTTCCACTCAGATTTTAAACAGGCTCAAATTTATCCCATATAAAAAGTAACAAAACAAAACCAAATAAACAAACAAAAAACTTTCCTCACACTGGCCTTTACCTACCACCCTGTCTTATGACCATTGAATGAAGTGTGTACTTATCCAGTTCGAACATTCTCATATGCCATTCATTATTCATTCTTTCACACTGCTTGTTAATCATATGCTGTAGGCAAGAACTCCACTGAAACCGTATCAATATATCACCTAGCTCTCTGCTGTTAACATGAATTCTTTCTATTTAACTTAAACTAGTGCAGTCCGTTGCTGACTCTCATCCACTTTGAAGCTGTCTCTTTTCCTTCCTTCAGTGACAACATCTCAGCTCATTTTCTATCTTCAGTTTCTGCCCATTCTCCATCTTAGTCTCCTTTCTGTAGTTCTATTTCTCTCACAGCAATAAAACCATTGCCCATGATGTTATCCCCAAAATACTTTTTTAACATTCTTCTTTTACCATACATATTATTTCATGTTAGTTGCATTTACCCCTGTGGATTTAAATATTATAATATTTGATGGATTTTTAAAACATCTATATATCCATTCTGATTACTGTATCTTGGCCTCCAACTAAATCTGTATCATTTGCCTTTCTCCTGATCTTCAGTTTTATATATTACCTTTTGCTGAGTTCCAGAACTGTATATTCAGGAGTTTAATATAGTTTACAAAATATGAAAATGTAATTCGGTGGGGATATAAAATGCAATTACTATATTTTAAAAATAATATAAATGATAGTTCCTTAAACTCTATATATCTTGCTGAATTCTCCATTTACATGTAGCAAAACTGTGGGTGCTCATTTTATTGTACATTCCAGTGCATCTCTTGGCCCACAGTGGGTGTTTAAAAAATGCTAAATAGCAGCAAATGCAGAGGTAAACTATACAATTCTGTTCTAATCATCTATTTGCTGAATGATATGCAAAATAACTTCTACTATTCCTTAAATTGATGATTTAGTTGTCAATATTGAATTTTGTAGGATTTCTACTTATCACAGCAAATTGCAATTTTAATCTTTGGTTTAGAACAACTCATTAAAAGCATTCAGTTCATCAACGTACTATTTGGTAAATATTTGACAAGGCTTAATCACCTGAATTTTTCCATCTGAAGCTATTTATCACTTTGATATTGGAATTAGATTCAAAATCTACCTAAGCAAATCTATCTAAGTGGAAAAACTCTGAAACTTAGTTTACTTGATTTGGTTTGGATAAAAACATGCTTCTATGGGGAGATCTTGTACTCTTGATATGAATATCTGAAGAAAAGGAGGCCTATGCATTTTGAGAAATGAATAATTTATATACCAAATTAAAAAGTTGAGACAGCTAAATTCAACCACTGCAACCAAAATGGGAAATTTTAGCTTAGACTTTAAAGATGGTGGGTCATCGGGGGAACCAGACCCCAATATTTCAACATAGTTCCTTTCTATTTTCCCTAAGTGTCGGCCGGTCTGAGAAATAAAGAGCAAGAGTACAAAGAGAGAAATTTTACAGCTGGGCCTCCGGGGGTGCCATCACATATTGGTAGGACTGTGATGGCAACCCCGAGCTGCAAAACCAGCAAGTTTTTATTAGGGATTTTAAAAGGAGAGGGGTGTATGAATAGGGAGTGGGTCACAGAGATCACATGCTTCAAAAGGCAATAAAAGATCACAAGGCAAAAGGGCAGAGCAGGATCACAAGGCAAGGACAAAATTAGAATTACTGATGAGGGTCCATGTCTCACTGGGCACACATTGTCTTGGTAAACATCTTAACAGGAAACAGAGTTCGAGAACAGACAACGGGTCTGACTAGAATTCACCAGGCTGGAATTTCCCAAACCTAGTAAGCCTGAGGGCACTGCAGTAGACCAGGGCATATTTCATCCCTTATCTCAACGGCATAAGACAGACACTCCCAGAGCAGTTGTCTATAGGCCTACCCCTGGGAATGCATTCCTTCCCCAGGGTTATCAATTATTAATATTCCTTACTGGGAAAAGAATTCAGTGATATTTCTCCTACTCACACATCCGTTTATAGGCTCCCTGCAAGAAGAAAAATATGGCTGTATTCTGCCCGACCCCGCAGGCAGTCAGACCTTATGGTTATCTTTCCTTGTTCCCTGAAAATCACTGTTATTCTATTCTTTTACAGGGTGCCCTGATTTCGTATTGTTCAAACACACATGTTTTACTAACAATTTGTACAGTTAAAGCAGTCATCACAGGGTCCTGAGGGGAGGTATATCCTCAGTTTATGAAGATGACGAGATTAAGAGATTAAAGACAGGCATAGGAAATTATAAGGGTATTGATTGGGGAAGTGATAAATGTCTATGAAATCTTCATAATTTATGTTCAGAGATTGCAGTAAAGACAGGCATAAGAAATTATAAAAGTATTAATTTGGGGAACTAATAAATGTCCTTGAAATCTTCACAATTTATGTTCTTCTGCCACAGCTTCAGCCAGCCCTCTGTTTGGGGTCCCTGACTTCCTGCAACAGTGGGTAAGGGTGGTATTGATCCTTCTGAACATTAGAAAGATGCTCAAAATCAACTTGAATATTAATACCTTTTTCTCTGATAAAAGTATTGCTTAAGAAATTAAAATATCTTCTTATCTCAGGATTCACTATTACAATGCAGTTCATCAAAAGGAATTCTAAGAAATCACTATATATAATCTTGAAGAATATGAAGTAAAAGTATGTTTTATATAAAAGATGTGTCCTTGGCTGGACACAGTGGCTTATGCCTGTAATCCCAGCACTTTGGGAGGTTGAGGTGGATGAATCACCTGAGGTCAGGAGTTTGAGACCAGCCTGACCAACATGGAGAAACCCTGTCCCTACTAAAAATGCAAAAATTAGCTGCGCATGGTGGCGCATGCTTGTAATCCCACATATTTGGGAGGCAGGAGAATTGCTTGAACCCCGGAGGCAGAGGTTGTGGTGAGCCCAGATCGTGCCATTGCACTCCAGCCTGGGCAACAAGAGCAAAACTCCATCAAAAAAAGAAAAAAAAAAAAAAAAGAGATGTGTCTCAGTCTATTCAGGATGCTAAAAAAAATTCATAAACTTAGTAGTTTGTAAACCATAAAAATATATTTCTCATGTTTCTAGAGTCTGAGAAGTGAAGATGTCCAAGATCAAGGCACTGGCAGGTTCGGTGTCTGGTGAGGGCCCGCTTTCATAGATAATGCCTTTCCACTGTGTCCTCACATGGTGGAAAGGGCAAGGCAGTGTGCTCTGGGGCCTTTTTGATAATGGCACTAATCCTATTAATGAGGGCTTCACTTTCATGACCTAATTACCTCCCATAAGTCCCACCTCCTAATATGATCCTCTTGGGGATTAAGATTTCAACATATGAATTTGGAGTGGACACAGACAGTCAGATCACAGCAAGATGCTTCTGTATCCTTTTAAAATGCTTTTGGCATCAAGTCGTTGTTGATCATTTCACAAATGGCAGAGTTTAAAAGGAGACATTAACTTATAATCAGAATTTTACTTATTAAAAAGTGAATTTTATATGGAGGAAGATTTGTAACATTTCTTTTGGAAAGACTTCTTTCCAGCTCTACCCCCATGATTCATGTATTTGTACCAAATAAAACATATTAAAGTTGCCGGAGGAGGAGCCAAGATGGCCGAATAGGAACAGCTCCGGTCTACAGCTCCCAGCGTGAGCGACGCAGAAGACGGGTGATTTCTGCATTTCCATCTGAGGTACCGGGTTCATCTCACTAGGGAGTGCCAGACAGTGGGCGCAGGCCAGTGTGTGTGCGCACCGTGCGCGAGCCGAAGCAGGGCAAGGCATTGCCTCACCTGGGAAGCGCAAGGGGTCAGGGAGTTCCCTTTCCGAGTCAAAGAAAGGGGTGACGGACGCACCTGGAAAATCGGGTCACTCCCACCCGAATATTGCGCTTTTCAGACCGGCTTAAGAAACGGCGCACCACGAGACTATATCCCACACCTGGCTCAGAGGGTCCTACGCCCACGGAGTCTCGCTGATTGCTAGCACAGCAGTCTGAGATCAAACTGCAAGGCGGCAACGAGGCTGGGGGAGGGGCGCCCGCCATTGCCCAGGCTTGCTTAGGTAAACAAAGCAGCCGGGAAGCTCGAACTGGGTGGAGCCCACCACAGCTCAAGGAGGCCTGCCTGCCTCTGTAGGCTCCACCTCTGGGGGCAGGGCACAGACAAACAAAAAGACAGCAGTAACCTCTGCAGACTTAAGTGTCCCTGTCTGACAGCTTTGAAGAGAGCAGTGGTTCTCCCAGCACGCAGCTGGAGATCTGAGAACGGGCAGACTGCCTCCTCAAGTGGGTCCCTGACCCCTGACCCCCGAGCAGCCTAACTGGGAGGCACCCCCCAGCAGGGGCACACTGACACCTCACATGGCAGGGTATTCCAACAGACCTGCAGCTGAGGGTCCTGTCTGTTAGAAGGAAAACTAACAACCAGAAAGGACATCTACACCGAAAACTCATCTGTACATCACCATCATCAAAGACCAAAAGTAGATAAAACCACAAAGATGGGGAAAAAACAGAACAGAAAAACTGGAAACTCTAAAATGCAGAGCGCCTCTCCTCCTCCAAAGGAACGCAGTTCCTCACCAGCAACAGAACAAAGCTGTATGGAGAATGATTTTGACGAGCTGAGAGAAGAAGGCTTCAGACGATCAAATTACTCTGAGCTACGGGAGGACATTCAAACCAAAGGCAAAGAAGTTGAAAACTTTGAAAAAAATTTAGAAGAATGTATAACTAGAATAACCAATACAGAGAAGTGCTTAAAGGAGCTGATGGAGCTGAAAACCAAGGCTCGAGAACTACGTGAAGAATGCAGAAGCCTCAGGAGCCGATGCGATCAACTGGAAGAAAGGGTATCAGCAATGGAAGATGAAATGAATGAAATGAAGCGAGAAGGGAAGTTTAGAGAAAAAAGAATAAAAAGAAATGAGCAAAGCCTCCAAGAAATATGGGACTATGTGAAAAGACCAAATCTACGTCTGATTGGTGTACCTGAAAGTGATGTGGAGAATGGAACCAAGTTGGAAAACACTCTGCAGGATATTATCCAAGAGAACTTCCCCAATCTAGCAAGGCAGGCCAACATTCAGATTCAGGAAATACAGAGAATGCCACAAAGATACTCCTCAAGAAGAGCAACTCCAAGACACATAATTGTCAGATTCACCAAAGTTGAAATGAAGGAAAAAATGTTAAGGGCAGCCAGAGAGAAAGGTCGGGTTACCCTCAAAGGAAAGCCCATCAGACTAACAGCGGATCTCTCGGCAGAAACCCTACAAGCCAGAAGAGAGTGGGGGCCAATATTCAACATTCTTAAAGAAAAGAATTTTCAACCCAGAATTTCATATCCAGCCAAACTAAGCTTCATAAGTGAAGGAGAAATAAAATACTTTATAGACAAGCAAATGCTGAGAGATTTTGTCACCACCAGGCCTGCCCTAAAAGAGCTCCTGAAGGAAGCGCTAAACATGGAAAGGAACAACCGGTACCAGCCGCTGCAAAATCATGCCAAAATGTAAAGACCATTGAGACTAGGAAGAAACTGCATCAACTAATGAGCAAAATCACCAGCTAACATCATAATGACAGGATCAAATTCACACATAACAATATTAACTTTAAATATAAATGGACTAAATTCTGCAATTAAAAGACACAGACTGGCAAGTTGGATAAAGAGTCAAGACCCATCAGTGTGCTGTATTCAGGAAACCCATCTCACGTGCAGAGACACACATAGGCTCAAAATAAAAGGATGGAGGAAGATCTACCAAGCCAATGGAAAACAAAAAAAGGCAGGGGTTGCAATCCTAGTCTCTGATAAAACAGACTTTAAACCAACAAAGATCAAAAGAGACAAAGAAGGCCATTACATAATGGTAAAGGGATCAATTCAACAAGAGGAGCTAACTATCCTAAATATTTATGCACACAATACAGGAGCACCCAGATTCATAAAGCAAGTCCTCAGTGACCTACAAAGAGACTTAGACTCCCACACATTAATAATGGGAGACTTTAACACCCCACTGTCAACATTAGACAGATCAACGAGACAGAAAGTCAACAAGGATACCCAGGAATTGAACTCAGCTCTGCACCAAGCAGACCTAATAGACATCTACAGAACTCTCCACCCCAAATCAACAGAATATACATTTTTTTCAGCACCACATCACACCTATTCCAAAATTGACCACATAGTTGGAAGTAAAGCTCTCCTCAGCAAATGTAAAAGAACAGAAATTATAACAAACTATCTCTCAGACCACAGTGCAATCAAACTAGAACTCAGGATTAAGAATCTCACTCAAAGCCGCTCAACTACATGGAAACTGAACAACCTGCTCCTGAATGACTACTGGGTACATAACGAAATGAAGGCAGAAATAAAGATGTTCTTTGAAACCAACGAGAACAAAGACACCACATACCAGAATCTCTGGGACGCATTCAAAGCAGTGTGTAGAGGGAAATTTATAGCACTAAATGCCCACAAGAGAAAGCAGGAAAGATCCAAAATTGACACCCTAACATCACAATTAAAAGAACTAGAAAAGCAAGAGCAAACACATTCAAAAGCTAGCAGAAGGCAAGAAATAACTAAAATCAGAGCAGAACTGAAGGAAATAGAGACACAAAAAACCCTTCAAAAAATCAATGAATCCAGGAGCTGGTTTTTTGAAAGGATCAACAAAATTGACAGACCGCTAGCAAGACTAATAAAGAAAAAAAGAGAGAAGAATCAAATAGACACAATAAAAAATGATAAAGGGGATATCACCACCGATCCCACAGAAATACAAACTACCATCAGAGAATACTACAAACACCTCTACGCAAATAAACTAGAAAATCTAGAAGAAATGGATACATTCCTCGACACATACACTCTCCCAAGACTAAACCAGGAAGAAGTTGAATCTCTGAATAGACCAATAACAGGCTCTGAAATTGTGGCAATAATCAATAGTTTACCAACCAAAAAGAGTCCAGGACCAGATGGATTCACAGCCGAATTCTACCAGAGGTACAAGGAGGAACTGGTACCATTCCTTCTGAAACTATTCCAATCAATAGAAAAAGAGGGAATCCTCCCTAACTCATTTTATGAGGCCAGCATCATTCTGATACCAAAGCCGGGCAGAGACACAACCAAAAAAGAGAATTTTAGACCAATATCCTTGATGAACATTGATGCAAAAATCCTCAATAAAATACTGGCAAACCAAATCCAGCAGCACATCAAAAAGCTTATCCACCATGATCAAGTGGGCTTCATCCCTGGGATGCAAGGCTGGTTCAATATACGCAAATCAATAAATGTAATCCAGCATATAAACAGAGCCAAAGACAAAAACCACATGATTATCTCAATAGATGCAGAAAAAGCCTTTGACAAAATTCAACAACCCTTTATGCTAAAAACTCTCAATAAATTAGGTATTGATGGGACGTATTTCAAAATAATAAGAGCTATCTATGACAAACCCACAGCCAATATCATACTGAATGGGCAAAAACTGGAAGCATTCCCTTTGAAAACTGGCACAAGACAGGGATGCCCTCTCTCACCGCTCCTATTCAACATAGTGTTGGAAGTTCTGGCCAGGGCAATCAGGCAGGAGAAGGAAATAAAGGGTATTCAATTAGGAAAAGAGGAAGTCAAATTGTCCCTGTTTGCAGACGACATGATTGTTTATCTAGAAAACCCCATCGTCTCAGCCCAAAATCTCCTTAAGCTGATAAGCAACTTCAGCAAAGTCTCAGGATACAAAATCAATGTACAAAAATCACAAGCATTCTTATACACCAACAACAGACAAACAGAGAGCCAAATCATGGGTGAACTCCCATTCACAACTGCTTCAAAGAGAATAAAATACCTAGGAATCCAACTTACAAGGGATGTGAAGGACCTCTTCAAGGAGAACTACAAACCACTGCTCAAGGAAATAAAAGAGGACACAAACAAATGGAAGAACATTCCATGCTCATGGGTAGGAAGAATCAATATCGTGAAAATGGCCATACTGCCCAAGGTAATTTACAGATTCAATGCCATCCCCATCAAGCTACCAATGACTTTCTTCACAGAATTGGAAAAAACTACTTTAAAGTTCATATGGAACCAAAAAAGAGCCCGCATCGCCAAGTCAATCCTAAGCCAAAAGAACAAAGCTGGAGGCATCACACTACCTGACTTCAAACTATACTACAAGGCTACAGTAACCAAAACAGCATGGTACTGGTACCAAAACAGAGATATAGATCAATGGAACAGAACAGAGCCCTCAGAAATAATGCCGCATATCTACAACTATCTGATCTTTGACAAACCTGAGAAAAACAAGCAATGGGGAAAGGATTCCCTATTTAATAAATGGTGCTGGGAAAACTGGCTAGCCATATGCAGAAAGCTGAAACTGGATCCCTTCCTTACACCTTATACAAAAATCAATTCAAGATGGATTAAAGATTTAAACGTTAGACCTAAAACCATAAAAACCCTAGAAGAAAACCTAGGCATTACCATTCAGGACATAGGCGTGGGCAAGGACTTCATGTCCAAAACACCAAAAGCAATGGCAACAAAAGCCAAAATTGACAAATGGGATCTAATTAAACTAAAGAGCTTCTGCACAGCAAAAGAAACTACCATCAGAGTGAACAGGCAACCTACAACATGGGAGAAAATTTTCGCAACCTACTCACCTGACAAAGGGCTAATATCCAGAATCTACAATGAACTCAAACAAATTTACAAGAAAAAAACAAACAACCCCATCAAAAAGTGGGCGAAGGACATGAACAGACACTTCTCAAAAGAAGACATTTATGCAGCCAAAAAACACATGAAGAAATGCTCATCATCACTGGCCATCAGAGAAATGCAAATCAAAACCACTATGAGATATCATCTCACACCAGTTAGAATGGCAATCATTAAAAAGTCAGGAAACAACAGGTGCTGGAGAGGATGTGGAGAAATAGGAACACTTTTACACTGTTGGTGGGACTGTAAACTAGTTCAACCATTGTGGAAGTCAGTGTGGCGATTCCTCAGGGATCTAGAAGTAGAAATACCATTTGACCCAGCCATCCCATTACTGGGTATATACCCAAAGGACTATAAATCATGCTGCTATAAAGACACATGCACACGTATGTTTATTGCGGCACTATTCACAATAGCAAAGACTTGGAACCAACCCAAATGTCCAACAATGATAGACTGGATTAAGAAAATGTGGCACATATACACCATGGAATACTATGCAGCCATAAAAAATGATGAGTTCATATCCTTTGTAGGGACATGGATGAAATTGGAAACCATCATTCTCAGTAAACTATCGCAAGAACAAAAAACCAAACACCGCATATTCTCACTCATAGGTGGGAATTGAACAATGAGATCACATGGACACAGGAAGGGGAATATCACACTCTGGGGACTGTGGTGGGGTCGGGGGAGGGGGGAGGGATAGCATTGGGAGATATACCTAATGCTAGATGACACATTAGTGGGTGCAGTGCACCAGCATGGCACATGTATACATATGTAACTAACCTGCACAATGTGCACATGTACCCTAAAACTTAGAGTATAATAAAAAAAAAAAAAAAAGAAAAAAGAAAAATAAGGAAATGACAGAAATTGCAGGAAAGAGAGAGACAGTGCAATCTGAGTTAGGTGTAAGTCTGGAGCAGGGGAATGTGCTGTTTCTTGGCCTGTGTGATGGATACATAGGTGTTTGTGTGTATTATTATTTCACAATAAAAACTAAAATAAATGAAAAAAAAAATATTAAAGTTAACAACAACCGAATATTAAAAACATTTCATTTATAATACAAAATCTGAGTCCTTTTCATAATGACTTTATGCTTGCAGATAATAAATGTGACTTACAAAGTTAATATTATTATTGATTCTACAACGTGAATAAGCTCAAAATACCCACATGCACAAACACACACACACACACAAACACAGGGGGCTCTATTACTGACTAATCAAGAATAAATTCAATGAAAACGAATAAAGTAATTTTTTTACACAATTTTGATGGAGCTGGAGGCCATTATTCTAAGTGAAGTAACAAATACAATATGTTGTCACACATAAGTGAGAATTAAGCTAGATGAGTGCTTTAATAGATATCAGAGACTCATAAATGAGAAAGGTAGAAGGGGAGCTAAATATTGGGTACAATGTACACTACTCCAGTGACCAGTGCAATAAAATCTCAGACTTCACCACCGTTACAATTAATCCATGTAACCAAAAACATTTGTATCCCAAAAGCTATTGAAATGTATATATTTATGCTTCAACTATATTATACAAATATTATTAACATACTTTAATTTTAAGGCACACTTTTTATACTATTTCATTATAAGAATTAAAAATGGTTGCATTAGTTTCGTGCCATAATAGCTTACGGCAAGAGATAAAAGCAGTGAGATTGATAACAAAGCTTTGCCCACACCTGAGTAGCGGACAGAAAATACTAGCTAATGACAATGCATTGTATACTTGAAAGCTGCTAAGATAATAGATCTTAAGGGTTTATACCAACGCAGAGAAAGGTAACTATGTGAGATTATAGATATGTTAATTAGCTTGATTGCAGTAATTATTTTCCAATGTATACATATATTAAAATACCATATTGTATTCCCAAACACATACAATTTTTACTTGTCAGTTATACGTCAGTAAAGCTAGAAAAAAAAGAGAAAGAAAACACTGGGTCAGACCATTACCATTAAAAGAATGCTTTAGGCTTCAGCTGAATTTGTCCTAAACTACAAAATTATCACCTATTTTGTCAATTATTTAATAGGGCTCTTTACTAAGATTAGTTTTGGTTAATGGGGTTGTGGTACATTATTAGTGCCACAAACTCCTACAATTTCAGTAAAAACACTTTTGTATAATGGTATATCTCTGCTACTTCTATCCCGAGGTCTAATCCTTTCCTCTATTCTCTTAATTTTGGGCTCACTTTG
Source organism: Homo sapiens (assembly GCF_000001405.40). Classification (NCBI taxonomy): domain Eukaryota; kingdom Metazoa; phylum Chordata; class Mammalia; order Primates; family Hominidae; genus Homo; species Homo sapiens. The sequence continues at coordinate 103,555,144 of NC_000003.12, read as the reverse complement.
TGATACACTTTAAATAATAGACTTTGGCATAAGTAATACTGTGCAATTTCCAGAGTATTAGCATCAAGAAGCCTTGCTTCTTCTGCCTTCTTCATCTTGGAATGCTTTCCTAAGAAAGTCATGTAAGGGAAGTGGTCACTTTTACTGGATGATTATGAGAGGAGGGGCCAGCGGGGCTTCCTGGGTCGAGTAGGGGCTCAGAAAGCTGTGAAACTCACTCATTTCCTGCATCAGGACTTACTTCGGTCCTGGACGGATAATATTGAAGATATATGCTTAAAATATTCCTAACACCAGGATTTGTGCATGTGTTTTCTTCCCCAAGAAAGCTATAAATAGCGAAAATTTTGCTGTAAGTTTCCCTGTGTCCTCTCTCCCTTCCCCCTCCCCCGAAACTAAAGTAAACAGAATGTTAACTGCCAGTTTTTCTGTGACCAGTGGACCTTATCTATGCTCCCAATTCCAATTCTTGTAAACATAATTTGTAAAGTCCTGTAAGATCCTGTCTCTTTTGCCATGCCACTGCGAAGTCATAAAGCAGATAAAACCTAAGTTGCAATTCCGGTTTTCCTCAAGATGTAAGACATGTCACAAATGGTTAATTGTCTTTGTTTCTTGCTCTGGTAAGAGCTTCCCGCCTCACGTATCTCCCGCGTTAGAGTTTAAAAGGCAATCACCTAAAACCAACAGTGGCTACGTGTTCGGGACCCCTTCCACACTGTGGAAGCTTTGCACTGTCACTCTGCTCAATAAAGCCTACAGCGTTTTCTCTCTATTGGTCCCTGTCTCCATCACTCGCCGCAGTCAGCCACCACACCAATTCTTTGGCGTGGCTAGGCAAGAACCTGAAGCGTTACAATTATTAGACATATGAATAACTAAGTCATTACAGATGACAGCCAGCACCAGTGACCAAATATGTATGTCACACTATCATGAATTTTCCAGCCCAACTAAACTTTCAACTAAATGCAGCTTCCCAGGTAAAAATGAAACAGTGATGATAGAAACAATAAGGAACCACTGTAATTCAAAGGACACTGAGAGATAGTATGACATTGTTTTAAAACTAGATTTCAGAGTGGTTTGGTAGAGATAACTGTTATAGAAACCGGTACTTAAAGTTGGGATATTGGTAAAACAAACATGCAAACAAACCCTAAAAACAAAAAAACTGGTAATAAATGAAAAAAGAAAGAAATGAAAACTGGGAGGTAGGTAATCAGGAAGAACAGTGAGAAAACTTAATTTTAAGGTTAGAAAAAGAAATGCCTGTATTATATAGTGGTGGAAAAGATTTCAACACTTGAACGTAGTAAATTCGAAGACAGAAAATATATCCTGTGGCTATGATTGAAAAAGATGTTCAGGAAGAGTGTTGAAGAATCCTTTGCCTTCTATTCATTTAATTACATTTTGTATAATAAGAACAGGAAATCAGAGTTAAACTGAAGAAGGTCCTATTCAGTTTGAAAGTAGACTTTAGCAGAAATATAGAAGGCTCCATACGTACTTTTTCCTTGAAAATAAAAACTGTATCTCATACTTTTCATTGTAAGAATGAATTTTTAAGGTAAGATTTCATATATATATATATATATATATTTCAGAAAGATTTTCAAGGTGAGAATTGAATTTAGGGTAAAGAGCACTTAACAACATGGCTGCAAGTCAATTTCTTAAGAACTCAGAAATATTTAAAGGTATGCTGCTTTTGAGTTCACAGATTTCAGACAAAGAAAAGCCCCCCCAGCCCACCCCCCACACAAATCTCATCCATACCTGGATAAGATGGAGATTATGAGATTGTGAATATTGAGCCTAATGCTATAATTAGGCTGATATTAGGAGGTGTTCTGGGAAAGGTTTAGCAAATATTACCTGTGGAGTAAATGTGAATACTTTGTACCCAAAGGGCAGAATGTGATTGCTATGATTTGAAAGTGACGACCCCCACCCCGCCCCCCACAAAGTTCTTGTATTGAACTCTTAATCCCCAATGCAATAGTTTTGAGAGGTGGGACCTTTAAGTGGTGACTCAGTCATGAGGGCTCTGCCTTCACGAGTAGATTCATGCTATTATTGTGAGGGTGGGTTATTGTGGGAGTGGATTCCTGATGAGAGGATGACTTTGGCCTCTTTTCCTCTTTCTCTTGTACATGCTTTCTTTCCCTTCAGCCTTTTACCCTGGGATGATGAAGCAAGAAGGCTCTCACCAGATGTGACCCCTTGATCTTGAACTTCCCAGCCTCTAGAACTGTGTGCCAAATAAACTTCTACAGTTTATAAATTACCCAGACTCAGGTATTCTGTTGTAGTAGCACAAAACAGACTAAGATAGTAGTAGATTGTTTAAAGGCTAAAAATCCATCCCATTGCAGTATACACACACCTTGCAATACTCCTTACATTCAGAGTTTTGAGATCTAGTTTTCTAACCTCCTGAAGTCATAGTTGATCTTGGGACTAGGTTTGATAAATAGAATATGGCACGTGTGGCCTTCCAGCATATACCAGTATTAACTGAGGGATGCATAATAATTTTCCGTGAAGACAGAATAAGGGTGCTCTAGGGAGAGTAAACAACTGTACTAAGGATCTGAAGCATTAAACAGTGTATGGTGTATTCATGAATACAGAAGTAGTTCAAATTGGCTGAATAATTTGTTTTGAAGAAGGAAGATACTACAAATATCCAAGAAAAAGATAAGGGAATCAGGGATATTTAGGAAGAGAAGAATCCTAAAAATGGTTAGAAAGTATAAATAACAAGACCTGATAATTTATTGTACATCCATTAGATAAGTAGTGTCTATATTTAATTTACTCAAATTATTTTATTCCTCTGACTTTCTAGATTTTAATGTAGAAAAATGTCAGAAAAGTCCTCCAAAGTGTCTGGCCAAGAAAATTTGAAACTGCTTAAGAGCCTGGAAAACAATTTTCCCAGATTGATTTGAAATTGCTTTCTATCTGGATGACACTGGTGTAATTCTCAAGACTGTTTTTTTTTTTAATGTTGTTTATTGATGTTTGGCTCCTATAGCTTTATATAATGACATAAAAATCCATACAGGGCTGGATATTCTCCAATCTTGAGGAAAAGTTGTGTTATCTACTCTGCTGTAGACAAAATTATTAGATGTTCTCATGCTAATGCATTTCCAAGAGAATTTAAAATTGTAAAATTGAAAAAAAACTATATTGACTTGCTTTGGGGACAATGAACTAATTGGGGCTCAATACCATGTAACTCATATATCATATATTCTTTTTCTTTCTGTTGTCAATTCTGGGATATATCAGTCTGATTAAAAAACAAAATTCTAAAAGGAAGCTGGAAATTGGTAATTAGGAAAATGGAAGATAGTAAAGAGGTCAGATAGGTGGAAAAGAAACAGATGGTGCAAGTTCTAGATTACCATACCTGGAAGGAAGATATATTAGATTAGCACAGGACATACAAGGAAGATTTTTTCACTTCCATGACATTACAATTTATTTAAACGACTACAGTTTTGTATGAAATCAAAACATGTAATTCCTGTTCTATTGCTGATATAGAATGTCAATTTATAATTTATTCTAGATGGTGGTTCTCAACGCGTGGCTCCCAAACCATCATTATGAGCACCACTTGAAAACTCGTTTGAAATGAATCTTCTCAGCATCCAATTCAAGACTTAATGAACCAGAAATGCTGAGCATGGAGCTGAACATTCTGTGTTTTAACAAGCCCTATAGGTGATTCTAATCACATTGTATTTTGGCAACCACTGAGCTAGAGGCACCAGTACTGACAATATTTGGGACAGTACACAGTTCTATCAGACAGCTTTCAGTGCCTGGTCAAATTAGCCATGTGACTTTTTTTTTGACAGAGTTTCGCTCTTGTTGCCCAGGCTGGAGTGTAATGGCATAATCCTGGCTCACGACAACCTCCACCTCCCAGGTTCAAGCGATTCTCCTGCCTCAGCCTCCCTAGTAGCTGGGATTACAGGCATGCACCACCATGCCCAGCTAATTTTGTATTTTTTGTAGAGACGGGGTTTTCTCCATGTTGGTGAGGCTGGTCTTGAACTCCCAACCTTAGGTGATCTGCCTGCCTCGGCCTCCCAAAGTGCTGGGATTACAGGTGTGAGCCATCGCGCCTGGTAAAGGCCATGTGACTTTTAGCATTCATCTTAACGTCTCTGGCTCCATTTTCTTTATAAAGTTAAAAAAAAAAAGAAGAGAGATTAAATTACTATTAAAGTCCCTCAAACACAAATATGTTCTGATGAATTTTATTTTTATATTGCCAAGTGTAGATACTTGAAGGGCTGTGAGACCCTACATGATCAGCCTTCTCCCCACCAAGCCTATTACCTCTCTGAACACACCTCAGTGATCTCCTGCTCCTTCATTCCACTCAACCACACTGCCCTCCCTACTGTTTTGTTGTTGTTGTTTTTACATGCCTGTATATTTCCATCTTAGGGTCTTCAGTTTGATTGTCTTATCTTTCCTTCAGAAAAATTGGTAACTGTGTCACTCCTTCACATCTTTGATTATCAGCTCCTTAAAAGGAATATTTTGCTGACTACCACATTCAAAATTTTAACACAAACCACACTACCTTGCCTCTTTATCCTGCCCTACTATTTTCCATTTTATATAGGAATAGTCACCTCTGAAATTATTATATAACTTATTTATGTATAGTATTTTTGCCCTAATCTATATCAAATATAAATTCCAAGAACCTTTGTTTTATTTTTCCACTCATCTATTCCATATCTGAAAGTATTTGAGAACTTAAAAATATTTCTCAAATGAATGAAGGAAAAATGAATGAGTTAATAAGTGCATGAGTGTAGCTTGGATGACATAGGTCATGTTACATAATTTAAAATTATATAAGATGTTGGCAGTTTGGCTAATATAGACTTATTTATGCTCAAATTGATCACTTGATGAATCCTTTAATCCAACTACTTCTAGGACTCTGAGATAGTTGTTTATTCAGTTCTTCACTTAATAAAGTATTAACACCCATGGCTCTTTCCCTTGCTTTCAGAATTATAGGATGATGCATTAATATTAAATGTTGAGGAACAATGGATGGTTCTACATAAATGAGTTGAAGTCATATAATATTCCTAAAGGTCTTTTTTTCATTTTCTTCTCTCTTCTTCTTTTCTTCCTTCCTTTCTCTTTTTCATTCTTTTATTTATTCACAAAATGTTTGTTGCATGTATTCTGTCTAATGCTTATCATTTTACTACGTGCCGTTAAGGCTGTAGTGATCAAGCAGACATTGATCCTGCCCAGGTGCAGCTACAATGTAGAAATGCTATACAGTGACAGAGACATACATTAACAAATGAATATACAAGAATAGATAAGATATAATTACAATTTTTTGCTATTCCCAAGAGTAACAAACAAGAGTACAATAACTAAAACTAAATGAAAGGTAACTATTTAGAAGCACTTGTCAAGAATAGCTCTTTAAGGAAATGTATTAGTTTACTAGAGTCACCATGACAAAGTGCAACACACTGGGTGGCTTACACAACAGAAATTTGTTGTCTCACAATTCTGGAGTCTTAAAGTCCATGATCAAGATGCCAGAAGGGTTAGCTCCTCCTGAGGACTGTGTGAGAGAGTCTATTCCATGACACTAGCCTAGCTTCTGTTTGTTTCGGGATGGAATTTTGCATTCCTTGTCTTATTAAAAACAACATCCCAAACCCTGCCTTCATCTTTACATGGCATTTTCACTGTATGTATATCCATGCCCAACTTTTCCCTTTTAATAAGAATATCTGTTATATTGGATTTGCAACCCATCCTACTCCAGTGTGACCTCATCTTAAATAATTACATCTGCAATCACCCTATTTCCAAATAAGGTCACATTCTAGAGTACTAGGGATTCATATTTCAACATAGGAATTTGGAGGTATGGAGGAGGCACAATTCAACCTATAACAAAAGCCAAAAAATATCATCTGGTTTCCTTAATGAAGACACAAGTGTTCTCCTGGGCTCAGTGCATCTAGACCCCAATAAAAGGGGTTCTTGCCCTGGACCCTACACTTTAGCAGGCCCAACTCTGGCCCTTCTCTAGCCTCACCTTTCCCTAAAGAGTAAAGAAACCATGTAGCCAAGAGAATGTGCCTGCCCAAGCACTGCACTGCCCTTTCTCAAACATGCGCTGGTACCTTGGAACCTAGATTTGTCTGACCACATGGTCCCAGGCTTGGTCCAGAACTTGAAGGAAATTAATCTCCAAGTTCAACTTCCTAAAAGCAAGTCAGATGGAAAGGAAGGAAGTAACAAATGAAAGAGAATATGAATGGCATTTGGTCTCTCTGCCATCATTTCTGATGTGGAACTCCAGAAAAGCCCCAAATTCTGAATTCGAATTTGGCCTACATGGTACTTATGAAACAATATTTGTCAATATTGGAGGAAAGTTATATATGTGACAGGTTTTATTTTTTTAAGCTTGATTACAGTTCTAAAATACTGAACTAATGTTACATGGGCAACTTTTTGTAAACTTTCCTTTTTTGATGGTTGATATTAGAATACATTTGATTAAAGTTAAAAATAACCCAACAGACAGAGAAGTTTATTCTTTAAACTAAGGATCAGCAAACTATAATTCATGGGACAAATCCAGGCTACTATTTGTTTTTATAAATAAAGTTTTATTGGAACTCAACTAAACTAATTCATCTACATATGGCCTATGGCTGCTTCAATACCACACTGGCAGAGTTGAACGGTTGCAAAAGAGGTTCCATGACTCACAAAGCCTAAAATACTGGCCTTTTACAGGAAAATACTATCTGGCCTTTTTTAAAAAAAGTTTGTGGACATTTCATTTAAGGGATAGAGAAGATAACACAAGAGTGAGTTTTGCAAGAAAATAAGAAAGGGTAGTTGCAAAACATAAGTAGAGTGATAAGAGTAGACAGAATCTCTTGTCACTCAAAATAGGAAGAATAAAAACAGAGTGAGCCAAGATAGGTGTATGCATTTAGAGGCAGGAAAATAATTCTTACATGCTATGTAGAAAACATACATACATGCACACAGACACACACACACACACACACACACACACACACCCCTTATGAAAGCTTTAAGCAAAAATATACATTTAAGTTTATAAAGATCTTGTTTTATAATGTTTGTAATCAAATGAATTTTACTTATCAAATGAACCTTTATGATAAATATTTTATGATACTTATCACCCAACATTGTAGTTATTTGTCTATTTTTCTGTCCTTGGTATAGAATAGAAATTCCATGAGGCAGAGGCCCTGACCACATTTACCTTTATTCACAATATCTATCACAATATTTGTCAGGAAGTAGATATGCAATAAATGTTTGTTATTTAATTAATAGCAAGTAGGCAAATAAATGACAATATTTCAAAGATATATTAGATTTTAAAAACACATGTATGCCCTACCACCAGAAGTGAAATTGTTGTGTCTGGTCTATCTATAGAAAGTTTAGGTTTGAGACCATTGCTCTATTCTGGTATATGTAGTTCCTTGATGGATGATTATGGCAATCTACATCCTTCCAAAGGACACAACTTTCCAAAAGGCAGAAGGAAGAGAGTTTAATCTGATTAATTTATTGTTTGCCTTTAAGTACAGATTTAAAAAGCATTAGCAAGAAACCTGTTAGCAAAAAACCATTGACTTAGTATATTAGAATATACTCTTTAAAAACATACAACTTTTTAAATCACCAAAATACCATTTCTCTGATATTGAATTAAGTAATGAAGGAATAGATATGTGCAGAGCATTATTTTGCATAAGAATAAGATCTGCTAAATTTAGGAAAATAGATGAAATTTATTCAGCAAAAAGTGATCTATTTTAAGATTGTCAGTATAATATTTACATTCATGTGGAATAATTGGCAGATATAAAAAGATACAGTTATTGTTATTTTTAATAAAAGAATATATAGATAACTTGCAATCCACTAGAAATGGTCTAAATATAAAACTGATTAAATATTTAAACTGGAAAATGGCTTACTTTTAATTTTTAGCTGATAATTATTGCACTGATTTTCAAAATTATACAGAAAACATTACATATTTACTTAAAATACTTAATTCTGCCTAAGAGTTATGGAAGGATTACCAAAACATAAAAGTTTTATAACTAAATTATAATTGGGCCTTTACAGTCAGAACCACAGAGGACATTTGCAGATACTTCTAAAATTTTAAGTTTAAATTTTATTCCATTTTGGCCAAATAAAATCTCAATCAATAACTACCAGAGCCCAAGGTCTAATCTCGCTGTTTTTTTGTTTATATTACTTTGCCTCAATTTATCAAACAAAAATATCGATTTTATATGGAATATTATTTAGGCTGTTATCTTTGAAACTTACTATTCAAATAGCACATTAAAAACGCTTTCCAAGGTTTGTATTAAACTGCTTTCCACAGTTTAATACATGAGATCTGCTTATGAACCCTGTGTTGAGTGTATTATACAATTTTACAAATAAGAAGAGTGAGCTTCAGGGAAACAATATAATTTAATCTTCAGTATGAATAGGAGTGTAGAGACATAAGCTTGTGTTGTATATTGCCAAGCCAGGCACTGTTCTTCCATTGAAGCATACAGGTGCTCACAAGTTTATAGGAAGAATAAGACAACTCCAAAATCGCTATATTTTTCTTAATACGTAAGTAGCTAAAGGCCATAATTGGCCTGCAAATAACATGAAATGAAGAGAACTCATGTCCAGTTGGAGATAGCAGGAAATATTTCATTTCGATTAAAACAATTAATATTGTTCTTTCTGTGCAATTAATAAACTTTCAGTCTGGGAATCTTAATTACAATTAACATCAGCATGCCAATTTGCCTAGTGAATATTATGTGAATCATATAAACTAAAGATGCATTAGACTTCAGGCCCTTGAAGCATCAAATAAATTCCTTTTTTACCTATAATCTATGGATATTGTAGAAAAAACAAAACAAAAACCATTCAAACAACAAAGGCTTTATGAAGAACACATTCTCAGTAAACATCAAACTGTATATTGCTGAGAAGAACTCAATACTGACAGTTCATTGATTTAGCTGAAACTAAGTCAATTTACTCTTCTAGGTCTCAGTTTCTTTATTTTAAAATAACTGAGGCTTGAGACAGATCGGTCATTTTAACTTTTCCCTTTTTTTTTTGGCAAAATTTATGGTAAACTCATATATATAAAACCAATAAAGCCTCCTGTTTGTCTGGTTAAAGTAGAGTTAAGGCTATCTCAGACACCTCTTAAGCACCAACTCAGACATTTTTGGACTCACCTGTCTCTTCTCTTTTCAGTTGTCCTGATGAGTAGCTTTACATGAGTTCTCATTACAATGATGCAGACCCGCCAGACAATGCCTTCACTCTGCTCACTCCATAAGTCACTGGCCTCTAGCTCTGGGCTTCCCTGTCTACACCAAGTCATGAGTAACCATGGCAAAAAAATATTGATCTGCTGGATATGGAAACCACTGGATAAATTCTTCTCTCTTTCTTCTTTTGGAGGAACTGTCTGCAGAGCAGTCATTTAAACAGCCTCTTCAAAGATGATTTTACTAAGGGAGAAATCAGTTGTTCTTGATATCAAGCAATATCCAGTTAAGCAATATATCCCCACATTAGGTCTCCCTCGCCTTCTCTAATTTATTCTGATATTCACTCACTCCTCCTCCTAGGGATCACACTCTCCAATAGGTTAGTATGCATGAGGCTTTGCTTCAGACTCTATTTTCAGGGAATCCCAGCCTAAGAAAAGACCCTGAGCCATTTTATAAGTCCAAGTTATAACTCTTTAGTAACCCCTATAAGAGCAAACAATTCCTGGACTAACCTGTACTAACATTCCATAATTAACAACATACTACCAAAATAAGGTACTACATAATTCAGTAATATATTTTATTTATTTTACTGTTTCTCCCTCCACTAGAACATAAATCCTATGAAAACATATTGTTTTTGTTTTGTTCACTGCTGGACTTTCAACGACATTAACCATTCTCATTTTCATGTGCTGAGTGTGAAGTGGACAGGATGAGTGAGGACATAACAGATATTCTCTTGCTATACACTCTGTGACTAAATATATGATTTAATTGTGAGAGAAACACAAGCACACATATTAGGTATCACAGAGATCTATGTCAGAGAGTTAAAAATGACTAAAACATGTCTTCAGAACTGGTCACCCCCAAGCTAACTACTAAATGTTACTTTAAACTCTTCATTATTTTCAATCCCAAGGGAGAAATGCTTCTTATTTCTTTTAATTTTTTCAATTAAAACATAAAAATGAAAAATGTTCAAAGTTACAAATAGTTTCTTTTGTTCTGTAAAACTACAGACTCATATGCTATTAGTAATAATAGGACATGTGTTCATGTTAAAAACTCTCAATAAACTAGGTATTGATGAAACATATCTCAAAATCATAAGAGCTATTTATGACAAACCCATTGCCAATATCATACTGAATGGGCAAAAGCTGGAGACATTCCCTTTGAAAACCAGCACAAGTTAAGGATGCCCTCTCTCACCACTCCTCTTCATAGTACTGGAAGTTCTGGCCAGGGTAATCAGGCAAGAGAAAGAAATAAAGCGTATTCAAATAGGAAGAGGAGAAGTCAAATTGTTTCTGTTTGCAGACGACATGGTTGTATATTTAGAAAACCCCATTATCTCAGCCCCGAAACTACTTAAACTGGTAAGCAACGTCAGAAAAGTCTCAGGATACAAAATCAATGTACAAAAACCACAAGCATTCCTATACACCAATAATAGACAGAGAGCCAAATCATGAATGAACTCCCATTCACGAGTGCTACAAAGACAACAAAATACCTAGGAATACAACTTACACGGGATGTGAAGTATGTTTTCAAGGAGAACTACAAACCACTGCTTGAGGAAATGGGACACAAACAAATGGAAAAACATTTTATGCTCATGGATAGGAAGAGTCAATATCATGAAAATGGCCATACTGCCCAAAGTAATTTATAGATTCAATGCTATTCCCATCAAGCTACCATTGACTTTCTTCACAGAATTAGAAAAAACTACTTTAAATTTCATATGGAACTAAAAAAGAGCCCATATAGCCAAGACAATCCTAAGCAAAAAGAGCAATGCTGGAGGCATCACTCTACCTGACTTCAAAATGTACTACAAGGCTACAACAATCAAAACAGCATATACTGGTACCAAAACAGATATATAGTCCAATGGAACAGAACAGAGACCTCAGAAATAACACCACACATCTACAACCATCTGATCTTTGACAATCCTGACAAAAAGAAACAATGGGAAAAGGATTCCTTATTTAATAAATGGTGCTGGGAAAACTAGCTGGCTATATGCGGGTAACAGAAACTGGACCCCTTCCTTACACCTTATACAAAAATTAACTCAAGATGGATTAAATACTTAAATGTAAAACCCCAAACCATAAAAACCCTAGAAGAAAACCTAGGTAATACCATTAAGGACATAGGCATGGGCAAAGACTTCATGATTAAAACACCAAAAGCAATTGCAACAAAAGCCAAAATTGACAAATAGGATCTAATTAAACTAAAGAACTTCTGCACAGCAAAAGAAACTAGCATCAGAGTGAACAGGCAACCTACAGAATGGGAGAAAATGGTTGCAATCTACCCATCTGACAAAGGTCTAATATCCAGAATCTAGAAGGAACTTAAACAAATTTACAAGGAAAAACCAAACAACCCCATCAAAAAGTGGGCAGAGGATATGAACAGACACTTCTCAATAGAAGACATTTATGCAGCCAACAAACAAATGAAAAAGAAACTCAATATCAAAGGTCATTAGAGAAATGCAAAACAAAATCACAATGAGGTGCCATCTCATGCCAGTCAGAATGGCGATTATTAAAAATTCAGGAACAATAGATGCTAGCGAGGCTGTAGAGAAATAGGAACACTTTTACACTGTTGGTGGGAGTGTAAATTAGTTCAACCATTGTGGAAGACAGTGTGGCGATTTCTCAAGGATCTGGAACCAGAAATAACATTTGACCCAGCAATCCCATTACTAGATATATACCCAAAGGATTATAAATCATTCTGCTACAAAGATATATGCACATGTCTGTTTATTGCCGCACTAGTCACAATAGCAAAGACTTGGAACCAACCCAAATGGCTATCAATGATTGACTGGATAAAGAATATATGGCACATATACACCATGGAATACTATGCAGCCAAAGAAAAGAATGAGATCATGCCCTTTGTAGAGACATGGATGAAGCTGGAAGCCATCTTTGTCAGCAAACTAACACAGGAACAGAAAACCAAATACCACATGTTCTCACTCATAAGTGGGAGTTGAACAAGGAGCATTACATGGACGCAGGGAGGGGAAAAACATAGGGGTTGGGGGTTAAGGGGCGGGAGAACATTGGGACAAATACCTATTGCATGCGGGGCTTAAAACCTAGATGACCGGTTGATAGGTGCAGCAAACCACCATGACACATGTATACCTGTGTAACAAACCTGCACATTCTGCAAATGTATTCTGGAACTTAAAATAAAATGAAAAAAATAAATAAGTAATAATAGGATATGTGAAAAAAATAAATTAGTTTAACTGTAAACACTCCTCCAAATGTTTCTAAAATGGCAATTTTATGTTTACAGGTCAAAATATTAGATAATGTGTTTTGGGCATATTTGTGAAGTTAGAATAATTTATAACAGAAAAAAATGTAACTTTTACAACAAACCATTTTAAAAGTACTTCATATAGTGCAAACTGCTTTGGGATTGTTGTGTGATTAACCCTAACAGAGTATGATATCTGGGGAAAAAATGCTGCAGATAAAGTGCATTAGATAGAATGCTTCAAACAATTTGTTCTCCTTCAATTGATTTTTAGGCTTCTAATTAGAATGTTACTCCATGATTTTTGGTAATTGAATATTTAAATATGTGAAATTGCCCTTAATAAAAATGTGTTGACTGATAGTCATAGAGTAAATGCTTTATAGAATCCCTACTATGTGTCAAGAAATGAATCTCCTTTTCAAGGAACCTAATCTTGAGAAACGTACTACTGTTGTTAATGCCCACCCAAAGTATTAGTGGAACCAAAATAGCAGGAAAAATAAAAACATGGAGAAAAACTGTCCTCACTGCTGCTCAAATACTCTATGGTTTTATCATCTCATTGGGTGTATCTTACTATCTCATTGAGAGTAAAAGCCCATAGTGCTTTAATCACCTAGAGGGCACTATGTCATCTGGGTCCTCTTTACTTCTTGAGTCTTATTTTTTTCTTATCACTCTCCTTGTTCATCCTGATGTAGCAACACTAATTTTCTAGTTGTTACCCAAATATATGAGACTTTTTCCCACCCCAAGTCCTTTGCACTGGCCTTTCCTCTAAAAAGCCGTATAGCTTTCCCCACGTGTCCCACCTCCACCTGTCCCACAAACTTTGCTGAAATGCTACCATCTCAGGATACTTATCCTAATCCACCCAGTATAAAATTAAACCAAACTTTAAACACTTCTTTGTGTGCTCCAATGTCATTCCTCACATTTAATCTGCAGTATTTACTTTCTAATACATTATGTATTTCGCTTATATGTTTTACTTTTTTCCTACGCCAATACAAGCTAAACTCTATGAAGCCACAGGATTTTATCTTCTTTTATGTCTCCTTTGTTCCTCAATATATCCTCAGTGTCTTGAAAAGTGCCAGCACAGAAGAGATGTTCAATGAACATTAATTGAATAAAGACTTAAATATAAATAATATGAACTGAAAAGTTTTGATTGCATGAATGATAAATCAAAGAACATAAAAATCTCAGAGCAGCTGGGCATGGTGGCTCACGCCTGTAATCCTAGCACTTTACGAGGCCGAGGCAGGCAGATCACCTGACTTCAGAAGTTCAAGACCAGCCTGGCCAACATGGTGAAACCCCGTCTCTACTAAAAATACAAAAATTAGCTGGCCGTGGTGGCATACGCCTGTAATCCCAGCTACTTGGGAGGCTGAGGCAGGAGAATTGGTTGAACCTGAGAGGCGGAGTTTGCAGTGAGCCAAGATCATGCCACTGCGCTCCAGCCTTGGGCGACTGTCAAAACAAACAAACAAACAAAAATAAAAAACCTCTAAGCTGGGTTTGGAGTAATAGTTTTCTAAAATAAATAAAAGTCTGGAAGGAGGGGCCACCAGCGCAAGGCCCTACATTCCATTCCACTTTTCCTGAGCCTTCAATGCTGCGGGAGGTGGGCTAGGACACCCAGCAGCAACTCACTGCCACTTCTGACGGCCGTGGAGGTTTCAATATCCTGTCATTTATACTAAACAGTCCTGTGTCTAGCTGATCTGTGTCTAGCTGATGATGATGATGATAGCTAATATTAATGATTTGTGTTCCATAAACCAAGCAGTGTGCTAACTATTTTATGTATTATCTCACTTAATCCTCAGGGGAAACATAAGAAGAGATGCCTGCATAAAAGATTGACAACAGCTGGACTACATGTTTCACTGCTGAACTAGTTCCTCAGGAATCCTGGCTATAGAGATAACCATGAGAGACTGGATGGCTGTTACAAACCCAGGTCTGTCTTCACAAAGCAAAACTATCTCTAAGTATAGCTCAGAAGCAAAGATATCACCACCAAGTTTATACTTATAGCAAGTGTCATGTTCCTCAATAGTTTTATTTAAAAATGTGCACATTTTTTGTTGGTGCCTTCTGCATAAATGATAATATTTAACAGAGTATTTATGTCTTGATCCAGAATTGACTACTTTTGGCTTTCCTCAGTTATGTGAAGGATCCAAAGGTAAAGAGATAGAAATAATTAAATATGGCAGCTCTTTTAAATTATATGAATGAGCTACTACTACTTCAGTAGAAGGATCTTGTAGCTCAGGAAACACAGAACCTGGAACTGGGAGGTGACATGGACCATCTACAGAACTGCTAAATGAAACTTAAGAAACTGGAAACCTCCAAGAGGGAAATGATTGAGCTTCAGGAAAGAGACAGTTACAATGCAAGAACAGGAATTTGAATCAGCTATTGAAAAATGAGAAGGATAAGGTACAGAAATTACGAAATATTATTGTAAGTTGAGCTATTCAGTATTATCATGATATGATATGAAAAGAGTGTGAATATAACAAACTGAAGGAAAGTCTACATCAACCTTTTATGAACCAAAAAGAATTAAAAATAGCTTTAGACATTTTAAATAATGTGGGGAGAGCTGATGGAAAAAGAGGCCTCTGGAAAACTGGTAAGACAGAAGTCAGGAATTTGATGAAATGTATAAAATTATCTTGAATGATTATGAGTATTGTCACAAACAATTCCTAATGGAAAATGCTGATAATGAAGAAGTTTCTTCACCAAATGGAAAAGGATATGTTTTTTCTTCTTTCTCCTCAAAAGAAACCTAGAGAAAGAGAAGATGGTAGTACAGGAACTGTTATCTCAGATGTTGAAGAAGATGCTGGGGAAATGAGCAGAGACAGTATCTGGGAACTTTCCTGTGAAACTGTGAGAGAACAGCCTACAAACAGCATCAGAAAACAGTGGGGAATTTTGAAAAGTCATGGAGAAAAACTTGGTAGCCACGTTTCAAAGGTACACTTAGAAAATTTAATGATGAAGATTTAATCTCAAAACAAGACCATGAACAAGAAGCTGAAAAACTCAAATTAGAAATTCAGAAATGTAAAGAAATGATTAAAACTCAGCAGCAACTTTTACAGCAACACCTCACTACTGCTTGTGATGATGATACCACTGCACTATTATAAGACTGTTATTTGGAAGAAAAAGGATGCCACAAAAAATGGCCCCTTTTTAAAGAGCAAGGAGCAAAAAAATAATTTTCAGAGAGAAAGACGAAGCTTTACAGAAGCAGCTATTCACCTAGGTTTGGAGAGAAACATGTTTGCAAAAAAAAAAAAAAAAAAAAAAAAAGAAAAGAAAAAAAAGAGCCAGTTGATTAAAGCAACAGCTTTTAGATATGACTACCATTGACCACCAGAACTCAAAAAATGTTAAACTTTTCAGTGTCTTCTGAGGAAGTTCTGATCAGGACAATCTTACGGCGCACTCCAGGCAATGGAAAGGAAACCTCAGAGTGTGCATAATGGTCTCCAGTTTGCATGTCTAAACTTACTGAATGTCTTCTTGCTTCACCTTCTACTGAAGATTTCTTTTCAGATGCATTCCTGTGTATCTGAACATACTTCAATAAACGTACTGAATATAACTCCTGAATAAATTGAACCAAATCATGTTGAAAGAGAATCTACAAACGAGAAATGAAGCATGACAGCAAGACCTGCATCATAGGAAGATTACCATATTACATGCTCCCTGACCCACACAATTTCTCATGGAGAAAAAGATGACTTACCTTAGACATGGGGACTGGAATTTCTTTTCATTAACCTATTCACCACATTTCACTTCTAAGTTGAAGTCAATTATATCTACTAATACAAAAAAAAAAAAAAAGCTGTGTAAAGTTATTAATATAAGCCGAGCCTTGATATATAATTACTCTGTAGGTAATGAGAAGGCACCAGAGCTAAGGGGGAGGGTTACATGGTCAGGTCTTTGCTTATAACTTAGCAGTATATTGGCTTTGAGGGGAGGACATTCAGAGGCAGGAAGATCAGTTATGCCAAAGTGGCAGCAGAGAAGATTTGAACATATCTACAGAGTAACTAACAATTTAAATTTCTTGTGAAAAACCATGTTTGCAAAAAACTTTACCTCAGCAGAACTTGATCCATTCTTGCAGCCCATGGTACTGAGGGTTTGAGGACTAACGGACAGTCTTGTGGCCCAAGAAGCAGAACTCTCTGTGGCATGCTAGACTCCTTCATGAAGAAAATAATCTTGGAATAGCCAAAATATTAATATTTTAGCACCCCTGTATATTTTGATTAATTGCCCAAACAGAGCAATTTAAAATTGCATCATAGAGTCTATACCAGACAGAGAATACTTTATTTACTAAATAATTACCAGTGAAAAATGTGTCTTTCCTCTTTCAATACTGAAGACATTTTGCAAAGCAAGGCCAGAGATTTTGTAGAGTGCTAACACATAATCTCACCTAGTCATGCTTTTGCTTTCTTCCAGGATAAGAGAGAGCATAAAAAAATAGGAAAATGCCAAGCAATAAAAATCTAAGACATAAATAAATTATCCCTCTGAAGAGCTTCTTTATTTGGGCGTTTCATATTCTGAGATTTAAACCTATGATGACTTGCAAGCTTTGCAAAAGAAAATATATATTCTTGCTTTATTTAGAAGCTGACACATATAGCCAATATGTTGAGTACTATTCCTAATGTTTGGGTGTCATGGAAATAAATATAGGTTGTGATTGGATGTTTTAATAGATTGTGATTGGATATTTTTAGTCACAATTTAAAGGTAAGGAGTAATAAAACTGAATATTTTCATAAGTTAGAATAAGAAGTTGAAGGAGTTAAACTTTCTATATATCGAGAAAACAGAATTTAAATGATTCAGGTTTCCTCTACCCAGCCATAGTTTCAAAGTATGGGCAAATGATTTGTGTGGCCACAGTGAGAACTCCTGAAGGCACTGCAAGTCATTAAATGAGAATTCTTTAAAATGTGTTCTGTAGTTAACTCAGTTTGAAAAATGACTCGTATTTCCTTTCCCTCTGGAAATTAACAACATGCATTAAACATTAAAGTTTTTGAGAAATCATATAGGAGAAAGTCAAACAAAAATAATAAATAAATTTTAACCTCTTTACATTTGCTTAATTAAGGTTTTTCAAATTTACTTGACAATGGAACCCTTTCATCATGAAACATATTGCCCTCTTCAAGAAACTTGTGGAAAAATTATACCCTGGATCATTATCTGGAGCCAAAATTATATCTTTTTCATTTTAAAATGTCTAACATTGTTCACATTTGTGGTATTGAACACCTAACAATGAATAAACGTGTTTCTCAAATATCTCATCAAAAATTAGCAGTTTGTATAGTGAGCAATAGATCAACATTCTCTTAAGACTTTTTTTGTTCTATTTCATATTCCTTCTTTTTTCTTTCTTCCTATTTTCATTTCTATGTTTTTTCCAAAAAAAAATAACTGCCAGTTTTCAGACACTGCAAGTCATAAAAAAATTCAGTTAGTTTTCATTTCAATGATAAAGTTATGCCTGATCACATTGAAGAATTTAGAAGAAAAGTGATAGAAAATTGTCAGTAATCTAAAAATGAATGACTAAATATTACACAGTATCAGTGCTGAGTAAGACAAATTACTGCCCTCTTAGTATTTACAATTTAAATAATAAAAATATGCAGTTTAGATACAAAAACACATATACATATACAAATATAAATCCAAATACAGAGAGTTTTTAGTATTCTCAAAGTTATTTAATAAATTTCAGGTTTTATCATCATGACTACTCTAGGAAGTGTGCATATATTACAAACTGTCAAACCAGGGCTGAGGGAGGTTATCTTAGCTTGCTATTGTTCACTTATTAGGAGAGAAAATAGGAGTACATAAATAATTTATGTGACTATACTTAAAATGGTTGCCTGGAAAAATCTCAGTTTACCCCTGTTTTCTTGCCATAATAATTAATGTAATTCCTTTTGATTGTCAATGTGCCCAATTTAGACAATAATGCATGTAGTCAGCTATACATCAACAACAAAGTTGTTACCCAGTTGAGTATAAGGTGAGGATCATTACATATTACAATGAGTGAATACATTTTTCAAGAGATTTCTTTCTAATCCTCTAGGATCTCAGGAAGCATGCTGTGTTCTGTCAAAAACAAAATGTTCACTCTAGATCTATCCTGGAAAAACATGGGACCCTCTAATTTAGGGTTAATCTGATTTAGAAGTGATTTTACTACTGAAATTCCTGATGAGATTGTGTGTGTCTCTGTGTGTGTGTGTATGTGTGTGTGTGTTGCTGTTCACATAACATTCTTCTTCAAAGGCTAATCTGAAACGTCTCCATTTCATTAATGGAAAATAATTAGATTATTTTAGCCTTCTCTTTTAAGAAGACACCATTGCAAAGTAACACAATTTCCTTGATAAATAACAACTTGATTTCAGATATTTTAGGTGTCTTTAAAACAAAAAGTTGGTTAATTCTACATCTTCTCAGAGCATAGGGAACAATGTTTTGGGACGTTGCCTTGCTCTAAAATACCCTTATCGATGTTAGAGTTACAGAAATAACTTTCTCAAGGCAAGTTTAAATTCGTATCTGTTACTTGTTGAAGGTGTCCAGGTTCTTGGCATCTTGGACAAAGAACTGGACAAAATGCACAAACAAAGCAAGGGAAGAAGGAAGCAACAGAAGCAGAGTTTTACTGAAAATGAAGGTACACTCCACAGGGTGGGAGCGAGTCTGAGCATAGGGGCTCAAGAGCCTGTTACAGAATTTTCTGAGGTTTAAATACCCTCTAGTGGTTTCCTTTG
This sequence comes from Homo sapiens, assembly GCF_000001405.40. Taxonomy (NCBI): domain Eukaryota; kingdom Metazoa; phylum Chordata; class Mammalia; order Primates; family Hominidae; genus Homo; species Homo sapiens. Next base: position 103,535,547 of record NC_000003.12, on the reverse strand, counting down.
TTTACTTGGTCTACATCTTAATAAATGAGGATGAAGTAAAGTTGCAAAGTCATTTACTCTGTGTGAGCCCTAGGTAACTGGAGAGGATGTTTTCTGTCATAGTTGAAGTGTTTCCATTTGATTTAGTTCTAGAAAGTCAGCAAGAGTAAGACTTACGTTCCCTGCCTTCAGACCCTGTTCTCCTGCCTCATTACTAGTAACAAAGTGAAGTATTTTTATTTATTTAATTATTTGTGCTTTCTAGGAAAATGTTGAAGCATAACACGTTTTTATGGGAAATTCTACACAATGTAACCATTAAGTTCTTAAGGATTGACAGGTGGCCCTGTGAGTCATAATCAAGGTTCTGTTCACTCAAGATCAGATGCTAGAAACTTGTTCAAATGCACTAGCTGGAGAGTGTGAAATAAAATGTATTTTAACAGGTAAAAAGTCATCTTAATAGGTACAGGCAAACTGTAGAAGAAGCTCTTAATCAGTCATCCCCTTGAGTAGCTTCCTTACCTCCCTCCTCTCCTTTATAACCACATACTGTAAAGCATAATCACCTCTGCAACCATTTCCTCACCTCCTACTCAACTCTGAACCCACGACAATTAGCCTTCTGTCTCCATCACTTTGCCATATCAGGTCTCACAAAACAAACAAACAACAAACAAACAAACAGTGACTTTCACATCAATATATCTCTCAGTAATATAGAAATTCCTCCATGACTTTTAAGTCTCTGCATTGCTTAGCACAAATATTTACTTCTTAAAACACTTTATTTTTAGGATACAGAGGCTTCTTATTTCCTTCCTGCTCTGGCAGATCCTTCTGTAATTTTTATTTTTATTTGTGGCTTATATTCTTTTACCTGTGCTTATATCGTTAATATCCTTTTTAAGTCATGTGACAGGAAATTAAGTCTTGGGGCTCCCCAAATCACTAAGCTGAAGGGAAAAGCCAAGCTGGGAACTGCTTAGTGCCAAGCTGCCTCCCATTCTATTCAAAGTCATCCCTCTGTTCACGGAGATAAATGCATATCTGACTGCCTCCTTTCAAAAAGCTAATCGGAAACTCAAAAGAATGCAACTGCTTTTTTCTCATCTATCTATGAATTGGAAGCCCTCTCCCTGCTTGAGTTACCCCGCCTTTCTGGACATGATCAATGGACATCTCATATATATATTGATTGATGTTTCCTGTCTCCCTAAATGTATAAAACCAAGCTATGCTTGCCCCGACAACCTTCGGCACATGTCATCAGGACCTCCTGAGGCTGTGTCACGGGTACATCCTCAACGTTGGCAAAATAAACTTTCTAAATTAACTGAAAGCTGTCTCAGATATTCGGCATTCACAATCATTTCATATATTCCAAGGTCTCAAATATTATCTATAAGCAAATGGCTTACAACTTTATATTTTTAGCTTTTTGTTAATTCAATACATATTTATTGCATACTTGCTATTTTTTAGGTATAAAGTGGTGAGCAAGACAGTATGACTGTTGCCTTCATACTTTAATGGAAAAAACACACTGAATCAATAAAATTGTGCAAATAAAAATATGCCTATAATAATGATAAGTTCTATGAATAGAAATTGTATAATAAAATAGTATAACAGAACTCTGTACTATCTTTTGCAACTATCTTTGCAAAATATAAAATTATTTCAAAATAGAAAGTTTATCAAAAAATGGGCAGGTAAGTAGTCTAATATTTTAGTAAAATGTCTTATAACATAGTATTATTGCTATGAATTAAACATGATAGCTAAATTGATAAGTGCTTTAGAGTAAATGAATAGGTTATTAATAATAACTGTTTTAGAATAAAAGAATAGGAGATTGATGAATGTTTCAATATAAATGATGGCAATGTGATTGTTAAGTCTAGCAATAAACAAATGTTTTTCTCCTAAAAAAAGTGTATAGCCATTTTTATTTAATCTTCATTTATATCTGGATATTAGAGAATCTCAGAAGTGAATTTCAAGTTGAGACATTCACATGAATTTCAATACATCCACGAGTAAATTATCTTTCTTATTCTAATCTTATCCTCCTCTACTGTTTCCTTAGTAAATGTGAGGGACAACTTTTTAGAAGTCAAAGAAGAAATCTGACATTTAGCTTTTCCTCACCTAATATATCCCATTAATCAGTTACGCTATTCCTTTTTTTTTCCTTCTTCTTCCTCTGTTTTTTTTTTTTTTTTTTTTTTTTTTTTTTTGTGGCAAGGTCTCATATTGCCTCCCAGGCTAAGTGCACACTATCAAGCCTGACTAAACTAATTTTGCAATTTTTGTGGAGACTGGGTTTCCCCGCATGTTGCCCAGGCTGGTCTGGAACTCCTGGGCTCAAGCCATCCACCCGTGTCGGCCTCCAAAAGTGCTGGGATTATAGGTGTGAGCCACCATGCGTGGCCACATACTATTTATTGTAATTACTGAGTCATTACTTTTCTCCCAAAAGCCAGTACCATAATAGAAGTGCAACTCACATTTTTTCTTTTGATTCTCTGCAAAATCCACTATTTTTGAGGAGATTTTTAAAAAATCCCTAATCTAATCTCTATTGATATAACCAGATTAATTTTACAAGTGCAATCCTGATTATGACATGTTTAAAATTATTTAGGACTTCCCAATAATGTTCAAAATTTTTATCCTGGACTCCAAAGCCCTGTATATTTGGGTCCCCTACTTACCACTTAGGTTTAGCTTATCTCATGTAACTCTCTCCAGCACTCTTTATGTTTTTTTTCTTCTCCACTATAATTGGCTTCTTCCATTTGTCTTAGTCATCCGTATTGTATAGTGTTCATAAAGTTACTTACTCAACTTGGAAATCTGGAATCATTCCCCTACTTTTTATTTTGCCACCTTCTGTTTCTCCTTGTTTCAAGTTATATTGACAGTTGCTAGAAACTATCCCTCACTCATCTCAGCCTCAATATCCCTACGTAAGAAATCTCTGTCATAAGCTTTCATCACAGTCTCAATCTAATTCTTAGTATGGGTAACAATTATATTCAATAAATGTATTGATTTATTTGTCTAGTTGCATTGTTGTAAAAAAAAAATTAAGCCCTGGGATGATAAAACTAATACGTATCTTCTTTATCATTTTATCCCCAAACAACTATTTGAGAAGAGAAGAATCTAAATTTCAATTTCCTTTTTATTCTCCACCACAGGGATGGGATGGTACTAGAGGTACAGGTCTACCTCAAAGTTTTGTAAGGCAGTTCAGACAAGTAGACAGCATGTTCTAGATGACAGATAATAGTACTAGAAAACAATTAGTACTAAAAGTCAACAGGAAATCTAGAGAATTGAATTCCAATAGCAAATTATGTTGGTAACTGAGACATGAGTAGTTTGCATACATTAATATTAAATAATAATTGAAAACATTTTAGGTAGGATAAACAATTATGAAATTTTTAAATAGATAGCATTGTCCCATCAACTGGGCTCAGGTTCAGCATCAGAATGTAGCTCCTGAGGAAACTAACAAAACCCTAAAAATTAAATCAGAATCTAAGGTAAAAAAAGGAAAGGACAGGACCGGGTGCGGTGGCTCACGCCTGTAATCCTAGCACTTTGGGAGGCCGAGGCGGGCGGATCACAAGGTGAGGAGATCGAGACCATCCTGGCTAACACGGTGAAACCCCGTCTCTATTAAAAGATACAAAAAATTAGCCGGGCGTGGCAGCAGGCGCCTGTAGTTCCAGCTACTGGGGAGGCTGAGGCAGGAGAATGGAGTGAACCCGGGAGGCGGAGCTTGCAGTGAGCCGAGATTGCGCCACTGCATTCCAGCCTGGTGACAGAGCGAGACTCCGTCTCAAAAAACAAAACAAACAAACAAAAAATAGGAAAGGACATGAAGAAGTTGGTTATAAAATAGGAGTCCGGGAGGTGAGGGGCGCCTCTGCCCGGCCACCCCTACTGGGAAGTGAGGAGCCCCTCTGCCCGGCCAGCTGCCCCGTCTGGCAGGGAGGTGGGGGGGTCGGCCCCCTGCTCGGCCAGCCGCCCCGTCTGGGAGGTGAAGGGCGCCTCTGCCCAGCCGCCCCTGCTGGGAGGTGAGGAGCCCCTCTGCCCAGCCACCACTCGGTCTGGGAGGTGTGCCCAGCGGCTCATTGAGAACGGGCCATGATGACAGTGGCGGTTTTGTGGAATAGAAAGCGGGGAAAGGTGGGGAAAAGATTGAGAAATCGGATGGTTGCCGTGTCTGTGTAGAAAGAAGTAGACATGGGAGACTTTTCATTTTGTTCTGTACTAAGAAAAATTCTTCCGCCTTGGGATCCTGTTGATCTGTGACCTTACCCCCAACCCTGTGCTCTCTGAAACATGTGCTGTGTCCACTCAGGGTTAAATGGATTAAGGGCGGTGCAAGATGTGCTTTGTTGAACAGATGCTTGAAGGCAGCATGCTCGTTAAGAGTCATCACTACTCCCTAATCTCAAGTACCCAGGGACACAAAAACTGCGGAAGGCCGCAGGGTCCTCTGCCTAGGAAAACCAGAGACCTTTGTTCACTTGTTTATCTGCTGACCTTCCCTCCACTATTGTCCTATGACCCTGCCAAATCCCCCTCTGTGAGAAACACCCAAGAATGATCAATTAAAAAAAAAAAAAAAAATAGGAGTTCAAGATGGCTACTAGGAACTTAATCAGAAATACACTTATATACCAATCAAAAATCCCAGAGGAACAGAATTCACTTATACCAATCAAAAATCCCAGGAACAGAGGAGCAACAGGAGTGAAATGAAGCTAAATGCCAACATGTTGAGTTTAAGATAATTATATCCCATTACCTAAAATCTGGGCCTGGGAAAGTGATCTATTTTCCAGCTTTCCACCAGCCCAGTCTGGAATGAAGCAGATGAGCTTGATTAATATGAATTGTACTCGAGAGAGCTCAAACTTGTGAGGATCAATGAGAAAAATAAATAATTGTCCTTTAAGTGTAAAGGTAATAATCTGAAGAGGGGCTACTCTAGGAGGAAGCACAAAGAACACACTTAGAGAAGTGGTAGATTAAGAGCCATGAGAACTGATTATCAAGCAATAAAATGAGAGCAGCAGAGCAGACAGGAGGTAGATAAGCAGAATAGTGTGTGTGTGTGTGTGTGTGTGTGTGTGCGTGTGTGCGTGTGTGCGCGTGTGTGCGTGTGTGCGTGTGTGTCCAACCTAGATCTCTTTTCCAAATTCCAGATTAACATATTCATCTCTCTACCTAATATCTCACTTGGATATCTAATACACATCTCAAACTCTATGTGACTTAAACTGAAATTATTTCACTCCCTTGCAAATCCTCTTCACCTAAAATCCTCCCAATCTGGTTTAGTAGGAACTTCAAATTTTGCTCCATTATTTTTCTTATACCCCATGACCAATCCATCAATAAATCCTATGGGATTTAATTTCAAACTATATACTCAATCAAAGTACTTCTTACTATTGCTGCTTTTACCATCTGGTCAATGTGCTATCATCTTTTGCCCTTATTGATCTCACAGCTTTTACCATTGATTCTCATGGGTATATTCTTAACACAGTAGCCAGAGTAAATCTTCTAAAATGAAAATCACACCATGTCACTCTTTTTTTTAAAGAAAATGCTTGCAACGGCTATTCATTTTACCCACAGTAAATGCTAAAATCCTTTTTGTGAAACAGTTGTCCATGGATCTCTTGTTTGCATAATAAGCATCCTTGGATGATAGAGATAGTGTCTTCCTCTAGGGCAGAGGAAATATTTGTTTCTGAAACAGGACAATAAAAGATACTGTTTCCTTTCAGGGTAAAAGTTGGCACAGTTTGCTAGCTGCCCCCTCATATGATTGGAAGTTTTGATGGTTAACCTTATGTTTCAATTTTGTTGGACCATGGAGTGCCCAGATATTGGCTAAACCTTATTTCTGAGATGAGATTAGCATTTGAATAGGTTGACTGAGTAAAGCAGACTACCCTCCTCAATGTGGGTGGGCATCATTGAATCTGTTGAGGGCCCGAATAGAACAAAAAGGGGGAGGAAGGAAGAATTTGCTATCTGCCTAACTTATGAGCTGGGACATCAGTCTTCTCCAGCTCTCAGCTTATGACTGTCTGTCATCTGGCTTTCAGGTCTTTGGACTCAGTCTGATCTACGACACCAGCTTTCCTAGGTCTCCAGCTTGTTGACAGCAGATTATGAACCTTCTTAGCCTCTGTGTTCACAATAAATCCTACATGATTATAATAAATCCTCTCTGTCTTCTCTGTACATATATATATATACACATAAACAGATTATATTATACACATATAATCATAAATATATGTAAAAATCATAAATATATAACATCATAATATATATGTAAAAACCATATCTGTAAAATTATGTATATATGAACCAATAGGATATATACATACATGTGTGTATATATCCTATTGGTTCTGTTTCTCTGGAGAACTCTAAGAAAGAAGTTTTGTAAGTTCAGGATTTCTCATCTGTAGCTACTATGCTACTGTGTTTGCAGTGTCCATCTGGGCCACTTGATATTGCTTCTGTGGGACTTAGGAAGCGTAAGACACAGGTATGAACATGAAGTGCATACTGCCTGCCTTTCTGTGAGTAATAAAGTCCATTTTCTCTTATGCAGAAGTCTCATTGCTTCTCTCAACACCTCTGAAACTGAGGCAGGCTCACTTATTAGTTTGTAAATTAAGTCAAACCTTAACCCTTAGCAGTCTTTAACAATCCTTACAATCACCTATAGCTGTGCATGAATTAATCCATTGACTCTCTGACGAATCATTCTCATGTCCTATTCAATGTCCTACTGTGAGTTCCATCACTTACTGAGTTCCATCCACAATGTCCCTTTGCTTTCCCTAGGATACTCGTAGTCCTACCTCAGGAAATTTGCAGTAGTTGTTCTTTCTTGAAAAGCTCTTCTCTCAAACATGCACATGGCACTTAACATTGTCATTAAATGAAAAAAAAAAATAGTATCAGGTGAATCAACAAATAGAATATGTGTAATCCAAAAACTGGGTCATTTTTTTTTTTAAATTACAATCGGTTTATTCAAAAGAATCTTACTTTTTAAAAAACATACTCTTCCCCCAGTTAACTAGATTCTCTATTTTTTTTTTTAAATAAGGATATTGAATAACTTGCTTGGCTATTCAGAACTATGTTGTTTTTGCTGTCATTTAAATTCTAGGTTGAGACAGTTTAATTGTTTTTTTTTTCTTTTATTATTATACTTTAAGTTTTAGGGTACATGTGCACATTGTGCAGGTTAGTTACATATGTATACATGTGCCATGCTGGTGCGCTGCACCCACTAACTCGTCATCTAGCATTAGGTATATCTCCCAATGGGTCATTGTTAATCTCATTAACATTGTAGAGTCTTTCTGTTATTTGACTTGGCTGATTCTCTTCTATCAGGGAGCATGTTCTTTAGGTAATAAAGCTACTCTCCATGCCTAATTGTACATGAAGTTTATGTAAAAATTACCTCTGAAAAGAAGAAGAAAATACAGATTGAGAATGAGGAACAGTGAGAAACATTGGCCAATTGTAAAGTAAACACAATTGCAAACTATTTCTTCTCAAATTTCCACATTATATTGTTGAATTAAAAGTGCTAATTTCAAAAGACAAATTAATAATACGACTTTATTGTTTTAGTTATCAGATAATTTTTTAATCCTTTCAATACTTCTTACCTCCCTCTTTGTCAGACTTGCATTTAAATAACCTAATTATCTTGCCATTCTTGATTGTTTTTAATCCAATGAAAATTAACTTTTAGAATTAACTCTTTAGATCTTGGGACCTGAAATCCAAACTCTTCCTTGGAATTTGATGCAGTCTTCCTGGCCAATGTGCAAATGGGCTAAGGAGAACTTTGACAAAATAGTCTTAATATGGACAGTGCTTATTAGATGCCTGCATATTATTCAACATTAAACCAATAGTGAAAACCCTCGTTCAAGCTCATGTGTTCTGTAAGAACTAATGAAATATACTGCAATTAGACCAAAAATTTTAATTAGGGGTAAAAATGGGAGAGCCAAATCTGATTTCTCAGAGAGAATAATGACAAAAGCACAATCTATTATAGGAAAAAGCTTTGAAATAGAACCCATGAAAGTAACTAAGGGAACAAGAGGAAATAATAATCAGGGAGGGAAAACTCTGAAGCAATTAGACATTTTTTGGAACTCTGGAAAATGTGCAAGGCCAGTTCTTCAATAAAAACAGTACAATACTTGATATTTGACAAGTCTTATAGCACTCTTATGTATAATAATTAAACATTTGTTGAAGATGAACATGTTCACATATTTTTTATAACAACTTCTGCACTTATTCAATAAATCTCTTTCAAAATAATATAATTGGAAAGCAGATTTTTAAGTCTTTAAAATGCTAACCATTGCCAATAGGGTCGAAATTCTTTGCTGAAAGACATCTTGAATAAAAATTTTGTTTTTCTATTACATTAAAATCTCTGATCACGTCATACGTTGGAATAACTGCAAAACAGATTTTATTTGACAATAGTGTATTTGTCAAAAGCTAGTTGGAATAGCTGGCATTTAGTATGTGATCTGTGGAAATTAGCATTATGGTAGACAGGTTATGGCAGCATAACCTTTTAAAAGAAGGGCTGGCTGTCCGGCTCTGGAGTGCGATCTGAAAACAGCTTCTGGTTGTCAGCTTTTTCAGGGTTTGACGCAATAGCAGAGGGCTTTCTCCCCCGAGTTACCCTTACCTGTGACCCAGTAAAGCAGGAGAACTAAGGAGGAATTTACAAACGTTTCCCATTAAAAAGCAAACAGCAAGTGTTTTAAGGTACATGAGCAGTAGAGACTCTGCCACAAACTACTCGATTTTGCTGTTGTAGCTCATAAACAGCCATGGATAATACATAATGGATGAGCATGGCTATGTACCAATAAAACTGTATTTATGCACGTTTAAATTTGAATTTCATATAATTTTCATGTCAGAAAATATCCTTTTGCCTTTTTTAACTATTTAAAAATGTAAAAAAAAATAGTCTTAGCTCACAGACTATAAAAAACATGTGGCAGGCTGACCGTATTCTGGTGACCCCTGGTAAAAAGATCTCATCTATTTCAGCCTGTAGTGCGACAGTGTTTTAGACAATCCTTGCTCCAGAGCTCCTCACCAAGTTCTCTGATTATTTGTTTGGCCTTTGATGCACTTTCACTCCTCCCTCTACTCAACCTGCTTTCGTCCCTTCTGCTTACTGATGTTGATCCCTTACCAACGTTTTGCATTAAAAACTCAGTCTCAGCATCTGCTTCTCTAGGACCTAACAAGAGACATATAAAAATTGATATCATTCGGTATTTTCTCCTCTAAAGATGATATTAAGTTTCATTTTTCATTGCCATCATTGAATCAGAGAGAAATTAAAGAGGGTCAGAATAAGTCTCCCTCTACCCACAGAGAGATCAGCTATGTGTATATAGAAGTCTAGAGGAAAAGGGGAAATATATGTGATAGAAAAAGAAGCCACTGGTAAGCTAACTGAATGTTTTAGTCTGATATTTACTTGCCTCAATATAGTCTGTTCATATTCATTTTGAATTTTTCTTGTAGGACTCTCAAATAGTTGACTCCATTTTCTACCAGACTGCCTTTTATTTTTTAACCTCTACCAATCACCTACTTCCAGTCACCTTTTATTAGACTAAGCAATCTCAGTTACTACTGCTAGCTATAGATAGTTTATTTTCCATATATAAAACCTCTTTCCCTTTTCATTATCCTCATTTATACAGTTAGGTCCCCATCCTATCCCTGACATGTTTCTTCCATCTCAACTTTGCCATCACATTGAGGCACTTCTTGGTCTCTCCACATGTTGCCTATCAAAACTTATCTGCTGTAACCCCGATTCCAAGTGAGTTCTTGCTCTTGGTTATCAACCACTTGGAAAGTATTCAGTATGTTTTAATCATGTATTAAATGTGGATGGTGCTTTTATATTTTTCTACTTCCTCATATTAGCATTTAATACTTTATTCCATAGGAAAGAATTCCCCCTAATAGAATGTCTGGTTATTTGACACCTACAAAGCAGGCAAATTTTGAGCATGGAAAGCTACCTGGTGACCCTCAGTCAAACCATGTGGAGATTTGCCAACAGGAAAGATTAGCCTGGCAGCACACAGTACCGAGTCATAAACTATTTGACTCTAAAACCTGGATATGGCAATGATTGTATCAGTAGCCATAAATCAGGCAATTATCTGAAAGTGGGGAGAAATATGGGGTTCACTTTCAGCACCCCAAAATCATTTCACTTTAACAAGGAAACACACATTTTAATTCATTATTACTTTCATACTTCTTTTCTTTATTCATTGATTCTGAAGAATAACTAGAAATAATTTCCAAACTGTTGTTTACCTTTTCCACCACTCTTTGTAATCAAATTTGCATTTGTCCTTTGCTTTGTGGACAAACAAATGATTAAACATGTTTTCAATTATTCTTCGGTGTGCCATTAGCCTACCTCTTTTTTCCTTTTATTCCATTTGGTAAATAAAATAAAAATATTTAATATATGTGCTGATATATTTACCTTTGCATTAGATTTTCCCCTTTGTTTTTGAAAGAAGTCCCCTTCTTCAGGTAAATAATATCAAATAGAGTAAATTTGATCAACATTGTTGCAGGAATCCATTTTTCACAGTCAATTAGAGAAGCAGAAAAGGAGGAGCACCACCCTTCTTTCTCTTCCATATCTATTATTTCCAACTGGCCAGGCAAATTGATAGTGCATGTGAAGATGGCTGTGGAATCATGGCAAGCTTGTAACTGTGATATGGTCTATGAAATTCTGCCTGCATACCTATACAACTCCAAGCAATGTTTACAAATTCACACTACTCCTCTAGTAGGACATTTTGAGAGGAAAAATACTTTTTATGAAGAAAATTTAGGGTTTTAATAATATTTCTTTTGATTAAAGTATAATACCAATTTAGTACCCAAATTATTGAAAACATGGTTAAGTTCAAAGAAGATAAATGAAATATCCAAAACCCCATAATAAAATTGAAGCTTTATGTGTGCATATATGTGTATACTTGTGTGTATTTGTGCACTCATGTTTACTTGTATTTACATACATAAACTATGAGAATCACTCATGGTGTTCATTTCTCAAATTAACACATAGTCTACTGTGAGAAATTGAATCAATTAACTTATTTGTGTATTATATCTTGGAAGCCCAATTGGATATTCTAAATACTGGGCAATTAGAAATGGAATGAGCCGATATATTGGGTGGGTGAATTCTTTATACTAGTTTTGTTTGCTGTAGATCTCTATTTATTTATTTATTTATTTACAATAACATGTCTATAATCTGTTTTTTCCATCCATTATGTTGGTGCAAAAGTAATTGTGGATTTTGCTATTACTTGTATTTATTTGTAATGCAAAACCCGCAATTAGTTTTGCACCAACCTAATAGAAAGCATGTTCCATTGGGGCTAGGTCAGCAGTGTATTGGCTCACCACCTCTTCCTCAGATTACCTGATATAAATCAGGTGTTCAGTGACTATCTGTGGGTAGAGGTAGATATATGATTGCAGATTACAATTAGCCTTTCACTGTGCCAGGGTCTGATACAGGCATTGCAGAGCCTCATGTTTACACAACTGAGGACTCTCTTTTTTTTTTAAACAAATATTAAGACATTAATACAAACTTGCAAGACATCTTCCAGAGTCTCAGAAGAAGCCTTGGCTAGGGAGGTGCCCCCAAAGCTTAAGCTTTATTATTTCTTTGGAAAATTCACCTCTGCTTTCACTATATTTGATATATTAGTTTTAAATATTTTTGTCTTCACACATTCTGTCCTGGTCCATTTTTTTCTCTTTGTCTGCATTTTCTAGCTATATAGATACAATGTTCTATTGGATCTTCTTGTTTGTGAATGAAGAGATTTTATTTAATAAAAAGACATTTGGACATTTGATTTGGTTCTTCCCATGGTGTCTTCTTATGAATTGCTGTATGTTTTCATATATCTGATAATTACATTCTGTTTTCTCATACTTATACAAGGAATTCTACACTCACACAGCATTAGAAATTAAGATAAAATGTGTAAAATTCTGTTGTTTCCTGTCCTGAGTATTTAACCCCCATATGAAGAATGGAAACGGTTAGATAAGCCAGGGTTGCTTTGCCAGGACCCTGTGCTCATTAGCTCTCTGCATCACTAAGACATCTTGGAAGCAATGCTTTCTACCTGACGGTGCTATCCTCATCCCATGCTTTCTATCTGAGGGCGCTATCCTCATCCCATGCTTTCTACCTGACGGTGCTATCCTCATCCCATGCTTTCTATCTGACGGCGCTATCCTCATCCTATGCTTTCTACCTGACGGCACTATCCTCATCCCATGCTTTCTACCTGACATTGCTATCCTGTCAAGGGGTAATGAAGTTCATGACAATTTTTATTTGTTTTTGTTTTGTAGAGAACTACCATCCAACAGAAATACAATGTGAGTCCCAAAATAGAGCCACACATGTAATTTTAAAAAGTTACTTAAAAAAGTAAGAGAAAACAAATAAAATTAATTTTAGTAATATATTTTAACCCTGAATATATGAAATGATACTATCTGAAAATATATTTTATTGTCACATAATAATTATACATATTTATATGGTATACATGTAATGTTTCAATATGTATATACACATAATCATTAAATCATGATAATTAGCACACACATCACCATAGATATTTATCTTTTTATTGTAAGAATATTCAGAATTCTCTCTTCTACTTATTTGAAATACACTATGCATTATTGTTATTGTCACCATACTATGCAAGAGTACCAGAAATTATTCCTTCTATCTCACTGTAACATTGTACCTATTGACCAACCTCCTCTAATCTCCCCTTACCCCACTCTCCTCAGCTCTAGAAACCACTGTTCTACTCTCAACTTCAATGAGATGAAGATTTTTTATTCCAAATACGGGTGAGATAATGAGGTGTTTGTCTTTCTGTGCCTAGCTTATTTCACTTAACATAATATCCTGCAGGTTCATCCAAGTTGTGTCAAATGACATTTCATCCTTTTCATGGCTGAATAGTAGTCCCTTGTGTGTATACATACCACATTTTCTTTTTTAAAAAAATAATTTCAACTTTTATTTTAGATTCAGGGGGTATATGTGAAGGCCTGTCACATTAGGACACTGTGTGATGCTTAGGTTTGATGTACAAATGACACTGACACCCAGTGAGCACACCCAATAGGCAGTCCTTTCAGGCCTCACCCCATTTTTCTTTCCTTATTCCACTAGTCCCCATTGTCCATTGCTTCCATCTTTATGTCCATGTGTACTGAGTGTTTGGTTCCCATGTATAAGTGAGAAATGCAGTATTTGGTTTTCTGTTCCTGTGTTAATTGCCTAGGATTCTAGCCTGCAACTGCATCTATATTGGTGTGAAGGACATGATTTCATTCTTGTTTATGGCTAGGTAGTATTCCATGTGTACATGTGTCATATTTTCTTTTTCCAGTCAACCTTTCATGGGTGCCTAGGTTGATTCAATGTCTTTGCTATTGTGAGTAGTGCTGCAATGAACATATACATGTCATAACATGCCTTTTAGGCAGAACGATTTATTTTCCTTTGGGTTTATACCCAGTAATGAAATTGTCATGTAAAATAGTAGTTCTGCTTTAAGATTTTTGAGAAATCTCCAAACTGTTTTCCACAGTGGTTGAATTAATTTACATCACCACGAACAGTGTGTAAGCATGTCATTTTTTTCCACAGCCTCTCCAACATCTGTTATTATTACTTTTTTTTACTTTTTAGCAATAGCCATTCTGACTGGTATGAGATGATATCTCATTGTGGTTTTGATTGACATTTCTCTTATGGCGAACTTTTTTTTTTCATATGTGTGTTAGTCACTTGTATGTCTTTTTTGAGAAGTGCCTGTTCATGTCCTTTGCCCGTTTTAAAATGTTTTGTTGTTATTGTTTGTTTGGGTTTTGCTTGCTGATGTGTTTAAGTTCTTTATTGATTCTGGATATTAGACATTTGTCAGATACATAGTTTGTGAATATTTTCTCCCATTCTATATGTTGTCAGTTTACACTGTTAACAATTTCTTTTTCTGTGCAAAACCTCTTTCGTTTAATTAGGTCTTACTTGCCAACTTTTACTTCTGTTGGAATTACTTCTGAGGACTTAGCAATAAATTCTTTGCCTAAGCTATCTAGAATGGTATTTCCTAGGTTTTCTTCTAGGATTTATGTAGTTTGAGGTCTTATATTTAAATATCTAATCTATCATGAGTTAATTTTTGTCTATGGTAAAAATGGGGTGGGGGGGATTCAGTTTCATTCTTCTGCATATGGCTAGCCAGTTCTTCCAGCACTGTTTATTGAATAAGTGGTCCTTTCCCTGTTGTTACTTTTTGTTTACTTTTTTCAAGAATCAGTTGGTGGTAGGTGTGCAGTTTTATTTCTGGGTTCTCTATTCTGTTCCATTGGTTTGTGTGTCTGTTTTAGTACTACTACCATACTGTTAGAGTTACCATAGCCTTATAATGTAGTTTGGAATTGGGTAATGTCATGCCTTTGAAACAGTTCTGAACCTATAAATTGCTTTAGGAACTTTGGCAATTTTAATAATATTGTGTCTTCATTCCATGAGTATAAAATGTTTTCTCATTTATTTGTGTCATCTCTGATTTCTTTTAGCAGTGTTTTATAGTTCTCCTTGTAGAGATCTTTCACCTTTTTTGCTAAATGTATTCCTTAGTATTTTATTGTTTGTGGCTATTGTAAATAAGTTTTCATTCTAGATTTGGCTCTCAGCTTCAACCCTGTTGGAGTATAGAAATTTTTGTACATTAAATTTGAATCTTGAAACTTTACTGAAATTGTTATGGGTTCTAAAAGGCTTTTAGTTGAGTCCCCAGTATTTTTAGGTATGCAAGCATATCTTCTGCAAAAAGAGATAGTTTTTCTTCTGTATTTATTTGAATGCCTTTTTTTTTCTTTTTCTCGTCTGATTGCTCTGGCTAAGACTTCTAATACTATGTTGAACAGGAGTGGTGAGAATAAACATCCCTTATTTTGTTCCTGTTCTTAATAGGAATGCTTCCATCTTTTGCCTATTGAGTAGATGTTGGCTGCAGATTTGTCATAAATGACTCTTGTTATTTTGAGGTATATTCCTTCAATACCTAGATTGTTGAGAGTTTTTATCATGAAGAGATAAAAGATGTCAAAGAGATAAGAGATGTTGGAGTTTATCAAAAACCCTTTTGCTTCCATTGAGATGATCATAGGATTTTTGGATTTAATTCTATTTATAGGGTGAATCACATTTATTGATTTGTATATGTTGAAGCAAACTTGCATCTCAGGGATAAAGTCTACTTGATCATGATAAATTAACCTTGAATATTCTGCCAGATTAGGTTTGCTAGTATTTTGTTGAGGGTTTTTTCATATATGTCAAGGATATTGGCCTGTAGTTTTTTTATTGTTGTATCTTTGCCAGGTTTTTGGCATCAGGGTAATGCTGGCTTCATAGAATGACTTAGAAAGGAGTCCTTCCTTGATTTATTTTTTTTGGGGGGTGGGGGAGCAGAATGTCTTCAGTAGAATTGGTACCAGCTTTTCTTTGTATGCCTTGTAGAATTCAGTTGTACAGTCATCTAGTCTAGGGTTTTTTCTTGATTGGTAGGTTTTTTATTAATGATTAAATTACAGAATCTATTCAGAGTTTCAATTTCTTCTTGATTCAATTTTGGGAGCTTGTGCGTTTCCAGCAATGTATCCATTTCCTCTAGATTTTCTAGTCTGTGTGCCTAGAGGTGTTCATTATAGTCACTGAGGACCTTTTGTATTTCTGTGAGATCAGTGGCAATGTCACCTTTGTCATTTCTGATTGTGCTTATTTGTATCTACTCTCTTTGTTTCTTTGTTAACCTAGCTAGCCGTTTATTGATCTTGTTTGTCTATTTAAAGAAGCAACTTTTGTTTAAATTGATCTTTTGTAAGAGTTTGGGGTCTCAATTTCATTCAGTTTTACTCTGATTTTAATTAATTCTTTTTTTATACTAGCTTTGGGGTTATTTTGTTCTTGTTTTTCTAGTTCCTGTAGTTGTGATTTTAGTTCATTAAATGAAATCTTTCTAACTTTTCAATGCAGGCATTTAATGCTATAAACTTTCTTTTAACACTGCTATTGCTACATGTCGTAGATTTTGGCAGCTGTGTCTTTGTTTTCATTTATTTTAAATAATATTTTTTAATTTCTGCCTTAACTCTGTTGTTTACCCAAAAGTAAGGCAGGAGCAAGTTGTATAATTTGCATGAACTTGTACCATTTTGAGTGATCTTCTTGGAATTGCTTTCTATTTTCTATTGGTTCGAGAGTATGGTTGGTATGATTTCCTTTTTTTTTTAATTTATAAAGCCTTGTTTTATGGCTAAGAATGTAGTTGAGCTTAGAGTATGTACTGTGTGCACATGAGAAGAATGTATATTCTGTGGTAAATGGGTGGAGTATCCTGTAGATGTTTATTAGATTCCACTGGGCAAGTTTACAATTGAAGTCTAGAATTTCTTTTTAAGTTTTCTGCCTCAAAGATTTGTCTAATGCTGTCAGTGGGGTGTTGAAGTCCCCTATTATTATTGTGTTGCTATCTACAGTTTTTTATAAGTCTATAAGTACTTGTTTAATGACTCTGGGTCCTTTGATGTTTGGTGCATATGTATTTAGGTTAGTGAAGACTTCTTGTTGAATTGATCTTTTTATCATCAGGTAAAATGTCTTTTTTTCCCCTTTTTACTATTTCTTTTTGGTTCAAAGTTTGTTTTATTTGTTATAATAATAGTGGTTGCTGCTTTTTTTTGTTTTCTGTTTGCATGATGTATCTTTCTTCAATTATTTACCTTGTGTCTATCGGTGTCATTACATGTGAGATGGGTCTCTTGAACACAGCAGATGGATGGGTCTTTTTTGTATTATACAACTTGCCACTGTGAGACTTTTAAATGGGGCATTTAGATCACTTACATTTGAGATTAATATTGATATATGAGGTTTTGATCCCATTATAAAGTTGTTAGCAGGTTGCATTGTAGTTTCTGTTGTGTATTTGCTTTATAGGGTCTGTGGGCTATGTGCTTAAATGTGTTTCTGTGGTAACAGGTTTAATTATTGGATTTCTATATTTAAAACTCCCTGAAGGATCTGGTCTAGTGGTGACAAATTATCTAAGCTATTGCTTATCTGGAAACTATTTTATTTTTTGATAGCTTATGAAACTTTGTTTGGTGGTATATGAAAGTCTTGATTTGAATTTCTTTTGTTTGAGAATGCCAAAAACAGTCTCCCCAATATCTTCTGGCTTGTAAGGTTTCTGCTGAGAAGTCCACTGTTACCCTGATGTGGTTCCTGTCATACATGATCTGACCTTTCTCACTAGTTGCCTTTAAGATGTTTTCTTTAGTGTTGACCTTGAACAGTCTGGTGACTATATGCCTTGGTGATATTCATTTTGGGTAGTATCTTATAGGTATTCTCTGAATTTTTTGTATTCAGATGTCCACTTCTCTAACAATATTAAGAAAATTTTCTTGAATTACTCCCTCAAATATGTGTTTCAGGTTGTTCATTTTTTTCTCCTTCTTTCTCAGGAATGCCAATAATTCACAGTGTGGTCACTTTACATGATACTATATTTCTCAAAGACTTTGTTCATTTATAAAAGTTATTTTTTCTTTACTTTTGTCTAAGTGTGTTATTTCAAAACCCTGGTCTTCGAGCTCTACAATTCTTTCTTCTGCTTGGTCCAGTCTATTGATAAAGATTTCAACTGTATTTTGAAATTACTTAAGTGAGTTTTTCAATTCCAGAAGCTCTGATTGCCTACTTTTTAAGATCTTTATATTTTCCCTCATTCCTTGGATTAATTTAGAAGTTTCTTTGTGTTGATTTTCAACCTTGTCTTGGATCTCATTAAGCTTACTTGCAATTCATATTTTGAATTCTTTATCTGTCATTTCTGCATTTTCATTTTGTTTAGGAACCATTGCTGGAGAGCTAGTGTGATCCTTTGGTAGTGTCACAACATTCAGATTTTTCATAGTGCCAGAATTCTTGTGCTGGTTCCTTCTCATTTGTAGACACTGGTACTTCTAACTTTTGTACTTATTTCAGTGCAGATAGGATTTGCTTTTCTTTCCCTTTCCCCACTCCCTGGAGGGTGTGACGGAAGAAAATGCTGATTAAGATGTATTGACTTTGCTTTTGCAGTCTTACGCATTTCTGTTGGCAGGTTTTATATTGGGCCATAGGGTCCAAGCTACAGACCAGTAGATGGTATTTATGGATAAGAGCTTGCTGTGGCCAACATCACTGTGCATATACTTGATCCTTGTTTACTGGAAGAAGCTCTCTGTTGCCCCAGGGAATGGGCTAATCCACGGAGTGCTCAGCAGTCTGATCTTTACCTGATTAAGAGTATTAGTAAGTTTCTTTTACCACATTTTTTTACTTACCTCTCAAAATAATATTAATTTTGTTCGCCATAATATGTTAACAGTCTGCTTAATACTTCCTTTAACCTAAAGGTAGTTTTAATTATTGATAGCACTTTTTTCAGTATCTAGCATATAACTGACATTCTTTCTTAGTTTTAAGAGCAGATGGTGATTTTAATGCTATTTTTATAGAATTTATTATCCTTCTCTTTTTGTCCTTTGATTCCAGTAAAATTCAGAAATAGAAATATTAAACATTTATACTTAATCTTCATCTTAGCCAGTGTCCATTTGAATTTATTTTTTGAACAAAAAGAGGCAACATGATTATATTATAGAAAACAAATATTTTTTCTCGGAAATTAGTTACATAATGTAAAATCAGATGCTAGCAGAGAAAAAGAATCAATATGTGTCAGGAATAGCAACGTGCAGGATAAAGCAAAGCAACAGGTAAACAAGACTATAACATTAAAATGAAAAATTAAAATATTATTTTCTTTTGATATTATAAATGTTTCTTGATTTCTTAACCAGGTTGAAGTTATCCTTATTATTCATTTTGTTTTATATTCTTTTAAATAATATTTTTAAGAAGCATAGACTAATATTTTTCTTCTTAAAGACTTGCATTGCGTATGTATGTATGTGTTTTAAAATACTCAAAGAGCTATATTTACTAGCTGATTTTGAAAGCAAATGCATGGAGCTCTACATTCAGTGCTTAGAAAATACAGTTGAAATTGTTGGATTCCATCTGTCCAACAATGTAAGCAAAAATTTTTAAGCAAATGTCTAAAATGGTAGTGAATCACTCTATGTCGGTATTGCACATATTAAATTAAAATATTGGTTGATTCCTATTTTAGTGGTATTTATAAAGCGCCTATTATGTGTCTGGCATAATTTTAAAATCATCATATGTAATCTGCTTCATAGGAATTTGAGTTAGGTATTATTTTGTAGGGGCAAAAATGTGTGATACCAATCCTTCGCCATCATAAGGGTCATTGCACAACTCATACAACAAAAGGCAAGCTAACAAAAGAAAAACAGCAAATTTATTCAATCAAAATTTTACTTGACATGGGAGTCTTCAGAAATGAAGACCCCGAAGATCTAGAGAAAATGTTATGTATGCTTAGGATTGATGAAGAATGGAAAGCCATGTAGAAATGTGATTAGACTAAAGTTAGAATCTGATGGTAGTAGACTGAGGATGGAAAACATAGCAAGACCTGTCTATTTCTATTCCTTTTTTATGGCTCCATAATAATTGTATATATGTAGGCAGTACATGTGTTATTTTGATACATGCATAGACTGTGTAATGATCAAATCAGAGTAATATCCATTACGTATGACTTTTATCATTTCTTTGTGTGGGAACATTACAACACCTCTCTTCTAGCTATTTTGAAGTATACAATAATTATTTTTAACTGCGGTCACCTTATTGTGCCATTGAACACTACAACATATTCCTTTTACCTAGCCATATTTTTGTACCCATTAACCAACTTGTCTTTATCCCTTCCATCCCCCCGCCTACCCTTACCTATGTGAGCCTATGGTAACCAGATTCTTCTTGGCCTCTCTGTGTAGCATTCCTTCCCTCTGGGTATGCGCAGGGTCCCTCTGGAATGGCTAACTTTCAGGAAAAGTAGGTCAGAAAATTCCTTTATGACCAGCTCTTACAGAGAAAGGTGGGGAAAGGTCAGAGTGACTTTCTTGCTTCTGAAGCCGTCACAATCTCCTTCAGCTCGAAGTCCTTTGGGGTAGTGCTTTCTGAGCTCTGCCAATTTCTATATTTACAAATGAAGAAATTAAAGGTTGTAAAGATCAAATATCTTGTTCAATAACACAAATAGCAAGCTTTACTTCTGTACCAAAACATAGGGTTCATTCTAATGTTCATTTTCTTCTTAGTTTGCTTTAATATTTTTTAATTTTTTTATTAAATAGTTGCAAAAATAATGAAATATAAGATGGGAGCTACTTCCTTATTGCCCTTATTTACAAACTGGTTGATATTACAATGTAGAAAAACATGTAAATGGAGCATGGTTAAAAGGGAGGAAAACATATATCTAGCTTGCATCAGGGGACACAAAAATAACACTAATAATAGAAACAGCACATGTACATTACTACTCTGAACTAAAAAATGATGAGGTTTATACATTTAGAAAAGAGAGCTTTAAAGGTATACAGCCTGCAGGGTGGACATTCTGACAGGCTGGGAAGCATAGCCTCCATCCTGAAGCCAGAAATGACATTTTAAGGGATGGACAAAGGGAACAGGAATTTATGCTGCAGAAGGTGGACAAATATACAAATTTAATAAGCTATAGGAGGATTCATGAATATTCATGAAAAGAGAAATGTGTGCATGTGCAATTGAGTTTTATGCCCCTTCATGGATCCCATGTACAAAAAGTGATGGTGTTAGCATAATCTGAGAGGGGAGTATTCAGCCCTCTGACATCAAAAGATGCAACATGGGCCAGGTGTGGTGGCTCACGCCTGTAATCCCAGCACTTTGGGAGGCCAAGGCAGGCGGATCACGAGGTCAGGAGAAGAGACCATCCTGGCTAACATGGTGAAACCCTGTGTCTACTAAAAATACAAAAAATTAGCCGGGCATGGTGGCGGGCGCCTGTAGTCCCAGCTACTCGGGAGGCTGAGGCAGGAGAATGGCGTGAATCTGGGAGGCGGAGCTTGCAGTGAGCCGAGATAGCATCCCGCCTGGGCGAAAGAGCGAGACTCCTTCTCAAAAAAAAAAAAAAAAAAAAAAAAGGTGCAACACGAAAACCCTTACGGCATACTCGCTACTCGCTACAGACTGGCCAGAACCACTCCATGGTCAGTGCTCTACAGACTGGCCAGAACCACTCCATGGTCAGTGATCTCTTATCAGGCAAAAAAAGGAGTGGCATAAGGTAGTTTGTTGATATCATTGGTGTAGTCTTTTGAAAGGGCTGGTTTCCGTTAAGTCCTTAGGCAAGAAAGGCTAATCCTGGTTACGTAGGGAGGGTGGGGGTATAATGAGGTTGTTCCGATCCCCCATTGCATCATGGCCAATGACTCAGTTTTCAAGGTTACTCCAGGGGTTCCCTTTGCTAAGAGATGGTCTCTTTAGTCAACTAGGGGCTTAGAATTTTATTTTGAGTTTACACCACTTATATTTAAATAGACTTTTAAAGCACTTTCACAAAAAGTCCTTGGAGGAAGACTGACATCTTGATTTTAAAAGATATTTATATTTAAAGCTGATTATTATCAGCATTAAATAGTAATGCTGATTAGTATGAAAATTTGTCCCATTTCTTTTCTTTGTGTCCAACCTGCCAACCTGTTCTTTCTCTCTCTATCTCTATATATATATACACACACACACGCACACATATAACATATACATATAACGTATATAATATATGTATACATAACTTATGTCAGGTCACCATTATTTAAAGTGTGATTGACATTTTTACTTATAAAACAGATTCACAGAGTAGCATACCTAAACATTGCCACTGACATTACTTTGGGGAGAATGTAGACATTTGAATAGGGGAAAAAAAATGGGACTAATGACACAAGACAAAAAAAGCAAGAGGTGGTAAAAGAGAATAAAGGAAAAGAAAAAAAAAATTGACCTCATAATAACACAATTGAAAATGACCACAAAGTCTGAAACCTGGAGAGATGAAAAGTAATCAGATTTCAGTTTCACTTCAAAATATCACTTACTGTTACAGAAGTGCTTACTTTTCTTCTCAATTGCAGTATATTCTCCTACTTTCATCTTTTACCACTTTAATTTTACAAGTCAATGGCTAACATTGCTATACATGGGTAATAGCTAGGTTGATGGTGAGTCTTTCATTTGTTTCAATTCCTGCTACAGAAAAAATCGGGCAATTCCTGCTTGTCCAAGTTGCTAAAATGGTCTTTACCTGTCTCAAAAAAATTAAAGTCATCCATGATGGGTGTGAATTTAAATAACACAAACCTAAAATAACTCTAAGATAAAGCTGTTGGAACTTTAAATTATTCTGAGCCTTGAGAGGAATGTGGCTATACTGCCAGAGTCACCTGGCATGTGGCTGCCACTTTTGCTTTTTTTTTTTCTTGTAAATAATTAGGAGGACCAAGTGGTGGCAGAGACAAGGCCCTCTCAGATCACTGCCTCTCCTCACAGAGTAATCAAGTAACATTTCTTGGAATGTAACAACTGGTGAACAATCAAATCGCTGTGGCATATACACTGGTTTTATGGAAAATGTACTCCTGCTGGAGCTTCTCTGTCTTTGCCTATATAAGTAAAACTTAACTTCTCCACTTTGAAATGCTGACCCTATTCGTTTGGAGTTGGTGTTTCTGGGCAGCTATCCTCAAGCTTTGTGCTTGAATAAACTCTATATTTAATTATGTTTTCTAAATCTCATTATTTAAGGTTGACACGACCATTTCTTTTCAGGTAACTAGAGGCAGAAGGTACTACTGACAACTTGTCAGTGACGTTTTCATTTAGTGGCTAATTAGTTCCTAGAATAGAAGTTCTCCTGTTTCTCTGCAGGATAACAAAGCAATAGTTTTAAATCTCTAATTGCTTCTTTGTACCTTCAAATGTTACCTGACCTGTATTTTCAGCACAAAACTTTCATCAGTTTGTATAATAATGGCTCCAATCTTTAACAGAAAGGTGTAGAAACACTTAATGGCATTTGGACATTAATCTGTGTTAAACTGTGGAGAAATTCCTTTGGAATGGAAAAATTAGAGCCATATTAATACCTTTCTCTTGTGCTGTGAACAATAAATGCCAAGAGGCTTTCTTCTCCCTTAATGATTAACTGCTTTTGGAAAGTGCTGCCATTTACCACATGTAAATTTCTTGCTTTGTAGATCAAATGTGACTAAGAACACTAGGTTGTTGGCTCTTCTGAATAGAATTAGAAAATACTAATTATAAGACTAACATACCACAATCACGCTTAATTTGTATAACTCCCTTAATGCAAGATGAATGAACCCTGTGAGGCAAGGTGAGATGGAAACAATAGAATTTTTACCTTTTGTCTATTTATTTGCTCATATGATAGAATTGAAGGCAGGAGATCAGAATTCTTTGATTATATAACCTTTAAAAAGTTGTTTTAGTCATAAAAAGCTGGTAGATATAATTTAGCCTTTCTCTATGCCTCCAATTAAAATAAGCTTTTAATTTACTACCATATTTTCAAAAGTACGTGGATAGATAGTCAGTGTGGATGACTAGGATTGTAACCTTTACCATAGTTTAAATATAATTTTATCTCAGGTCCCTTTTATAACATCCTAATACTAAATAAGTATATTATGATAATTAATAATAAACATAATGTGAATGAAATATTTCTGAATAACATAAAATAAAGAGGTTACAGATTTCTTAATTTGGTAATGATATAAGAAAAGAAGAAAGAAATGAGATAATGAGAGATAAATGTTCTGTATTATAGTTTCATCCATATACATTTCTTCTTTCAAGATCAAAAAACAAAGTAAAAGAAAATAAAGATCAATTAACTTGGGAGTTAAAATTTCAAGGACCGAGAAATTAACTAAAACCTAATATGTTTTAAGAAGTAAAAGTATGCTTTATGTAAGAGGAATAAAAGCATATATTTTCATGTTATAGGAAACTCAAATAAACACATGGAACTGTGAATGTGTGTTTGAATAGAACTAAAGCTTTGAGCCTGGAAACATGCAAAATGGACTTTGAAAAGCAATAAAAAGAAAGCTGAGCAGCTGGCTAAAGCAAACGTACAATGAGAAGATACCAAAAATTAACTTAAAAATTTAACATTTAGATAACATAATAAAGATGACATTTTGTGAGTTCCAAACAAAAATTTCCCAAAAATAATAGTATGTAAGCCAGACAATATACTCCTTTGTGCGAACAGAATACACACACTCACACACACATACATACACACATGTTTTGACAGTATATTTTCCTATAGAGTTATTATCTTTTCAGAAATAATTCAACTCTTTTGGAATTCTTTTCATGATAAGCAATTACATAATGGGATGTCTAACCAAACTACCATACAGAATGAAAGTAATTTTAAAACAATGTTCCTGATCATAAAGACTGTCAGCAGACTGTTTTGCTTAGGATTCATTACAAAAGAGTTTGCCAGATAAAAGAAATATTTTTAGAAATTACACAGGAAAATAAGGAGGACATGTTTGGAGAAATAGTTGTGAGATATATTCATATAATCAGTGCACATTAAGCCAGGACCTAATGTGTGCATTATGCTAAGGGCTAAATGCCAGAAAGAACTAAGACATATCACAACAGATAACATTTATTAGGCATCTAATACATGCTAGCCATTATGGTAAGAAATTCATACATTTGTCTCAATAAATTTATTATATCCTAACAACAATTCTGTATGTAGTAGATATAATTGTGCTGACATTCCAGATAAGGAATTAAAGACAGGTTAAATAACTTTCACAAGATGGACATCAAGAAGAGGCCAAGATAGGCGGGGCACAGTGGCTCATGACTGTAATCCCAGCACTTTGGGAGGTCGAGGCACAAAAATCACTTGAGGTCAGGAGTTCGAGACAGGCCTGGCCACCATGGTGAAACCCTGTCTCTACTAAAAATACAAAATTAGCCAGGCAGGGTGGTCCACACCTGTAGTCCCAGCTAGTTTGGAGGCTGATGCAGGAGAATCTCTTGAACCCAGGAGGCAGAGGTTGCAGTGAGTCCAGATGGCACCGTTGCACTCCAGCCTGGGTGACAGAATCAAAACCCCATCTCCAAAAAAGAAAGAAAAAGAGCCCAAAGCAGAAAGTTAGGAAATAGAGAATCTAGGCAAATCTATTGGAAGTATCCTTAAACAATGTGATTTCTCTGCATATTTGAGCTTGTTCTCTAGCGTTCTGTGGAAAATTAATCCTGTTTCTAGGAAAAAATTAATGTCAGTGGCCTACAGCTTCTCAACAGCTGAGTGTGAAAGTTCGGTGATTACTGGTATTATGTCTTTAACAGCTTGTTATAACCATCTTCTCTTTCTAACTGGCCTGACATTTCCAATGAAAGAATACATTCCTTTGAGTTAGAATATAAGTACAGGGGACTTCATTGGCTCCAGATGTGTAGGTTAAAATGGACATATTTTGACAAATGGAGAAAACAAAAATCTCTATTGATAAACTTTTACTCATTACACAGATTATCTATCAAGTTTTGAATAAATTACTTAATTTCTTAATTTTACCTTCTTACACCACAAGCAAAATAGTAGGAGAAGATGGTCTCAAATTATTTTTAGCACTGATATAGCAAA
This sequence comes from Homo sapiens, assembly GCF_000001405.40. NCBI lineage: Eukaryota > Metazoa > Chordata > Mammalia > Primates > Hominidae > Homo > Homo sapiens. The sequence continues at coordinate 103,509,583 of NC_000003.12, read as the reverse complement.
AATCTATGAAGCTAGTTAGTTAATAGAAAACCCCAGAGCTCACAGTTGATTTAATACAAATGAATTAAGACAGATTATCTTTATTATTGGACAGGGAAACACTTAGCACAAGCATTGATGTGTCTTTCCTGGTAGGGTTTATTGCAGTAACATGTAGCCTGGAATGAAACCAGCTTATCAACTTTTGTTTCTTTCAAGATTTTAAAAATAAAACTGGTAAAGGGAGAATCTTTGGGGGAATCATTCAGGATGTGTTTGCTGTTTTTCCATGCTTTGGGATAGGGTTTTATTTATCCACTTATAAGATATGAATAGTCTTGGGAGGTACTCAAGCCATTATGAAGACGAAAATGTTGCTGAACATTAGGACAATATATTTTTTTCTTCTTATGTGTCACAACGCTAGAATAATTATTAATGAACAACCTGAAAGTTTGAAAGTATCTGAGAATGTCTCTCTCTTAACACTAATGTAGTATCCCTTCAACTCCTATTTAGAAAACGAATCAATATGCTTAAGAATTTATAATTCTATCTTTTAGAAGTAATGCACTACTAAAATTCCTACTTTTTTCTACCTCTTATTGTTATACTCAAGATGTGACAAATGTAAACATTTTACAGTAACAATAATTAAGTACATATTTATTAATATCATGTCATAATATAAAGTTGCTGTGTATTTTTTGAAAAGATCAAAACATAGATGATCCCTAGTCTCAACAGCTTAATTCCTTCCTATGGATGGATGGGTGAGGAGACAGGAAAAGTCTGTGAAAGATTCATTACAAAGAAACCTTGAAAGAACAGCAAATTAGTTTGAGGACTTATGTCTACTAACATCCTGTGGACATAAGCCTTAAAGCTGACGGGTTTTTTTGTCCTTTGGTACCCCGTTATCACAATGATATTTTCAAACTCTCTTATACAACCAACTTATTAAAACTTTAAATTGGGGCAATACTGAATACAGAAAATGGAGTAAAAGAGAAACATGGAGGATATATTTCACTGATTGAGAATCCTTAGCAGAAAATCTTCATAGACTTGTTTCATTTCATTTTCATTCAAGTTTCCAAACCAAACATCAAATTTAACATCATATTCCATTTTAGGTAAAGAGCTGAATATTTTCAGAGCATACTATTTTTTCTAATCACTAAGGTTACCATAACTGTTTGCTTAGAGAACATACATTTGGGGGATTGCAACGGAGAAAGTGGATATTTAGAGTTTCTCTCTACTTTTTCTATTCATGCATACTAAGTCGTTTGGGCAATCTCAGAAGCGCATTTCTCATAATGCTTCTGGATCTTTCAACCTCATTCTTAGCTCCCAAGGAAATCATGGCAGTAGAGGAAATAAAGTAGAGCAATGCTGCTAGTATTTTACTGTGTGTTAGAATCACCTAGTCAATTTTACAAAAATCTGTGGTATTCATACCTTCCCAACCTGATTTTGATTTCTGAATATTGGATAAGAGAACTAGTAATGTGGAATTTTAAAAACTACCTGATGCACCTTGGGAGGCCAAGGTGGGTGGATCACCAGGTCAAGAGATCGAAACCATCCTGGCCAACATGGTGAAATGCTTTCTCAAATAAAAATACAAAAATTAGCTGGGTGTGGTGGTGCATGTTGGTAGTCCCACCTACTCAGGAGGCTGAGGCAGGAGAATCACTTGAACCCGGGAGGCAGAGGTTGCAGTAAGCCGAGATTGCGCCATTGCACTTCAGCCTGGTGACAGAGTGAGACTCCTTCTCAAAAAAAAAAAAAAAAAAATGCCTGATGCACATGATCCTTATACATTCTTATACATCTTTACTGCTCTAGATAATCCCTTATAACTAACTTCCTCATTTAGTTTCTCTTTTCAAACATGACATGAGATAATGGAGGAATCTTGCTGTATGGAGAAAGAAAGAGTGGTTAATTGTAGGAATAGAGATCTACATATATTATGAATATGAATGAACACCAATACCACATTTTTTATTTATAAAATGTAATCAACACAAATATTAAATACAATCACTAAATCAGAAGAAGACAATATCAAATAGAAACCAAAAAGTTGGAAAATGCATATTGCTAGCTTTGGAACAAAGGCCTCCACTTCACATATTCTAGTAAATCATCTGAGCAACCATCTTTTGCTCTAATGTTGTGGGAAGTCAGGCACCCCGAATGGAGGGACTGGCTGGAGCTGTGGCAGAGGAACATAAATTGTGAAGATTTCATTTTAATGTGGACATTTATCAGTTCCCAAAATTAATACTTTTATAATGTCTTACACCTGTCTTATTTTAATCTCTTAATCCTGTTATCTTCATAAGCTGAGGATGTACATCACCTCAGAACCACTGTGATAATTGTATCTAACTGTACAAATTGATTGTAAAACATGTGTGTTTGAAAAATATGAAATCAGTGCCCCTTGAAAAAGAACAGAATAACAGCAGTTTTAGGTAACAAGCGAGGACAACCATAAGGTCTGACTGCCTGCAGGGTTGGGCAGAATAGAGCCATATTTTTCTTCTTGCAGAGAGCCTATAAATGGATGTGCACATAAGAGAGATATCACTAAATTCTTTTCCTAGCAATGAATATTGATAATTAATACTCTGGGAAAAGAATTGCATTCTTGGGGGGAGGTATATAAACGGCCGCTCTGGGAGTATCTGTCTTATGCAGTTGAGATAAGGACTGAAATATGCCCTGGTCTCCTGCAGTACCCTCAGGCTTATTAGGGTGGGGAAGAAACCCCACCCTGGTAAATTTGAGGTCAGACTGGTTCTCTGTTCTTGAACCCTGTTTTCTGTTGTTGCATTATCAAGACAATACGTGCACAGCTGAACATAGACCCTTATCAGGAGTTTTTTATTTTGGCCTTTGCCTTGTGATCTTTGCTTTGCCCTTTGCCTTGTGATCTTTATTGGCCTCAGAAACATGTGGTCTTTGTTCTCCTTTTTGCCCTTTGAAGCATGTGGTCTTTGTGACCCACTCCCCATTCGTACACCCCCTCCCCTTTTGAAACCCTTAATAAAAACCTGCTAGTTTTGCGGCTCAGGTGGGCATCATGGTCCTACCGATATGTGATGTCGCCCACGGAGGCCCAGCTGTAAAATTCCTCTCTTTGTACTCTTTCTCCTTATTTCTCAGCCTGTTGACAGTTATGGAAAACAGAAAGAACCTATGTTGAAATATTGGGGGTGGGTTCCCCCGATACTCTAACAACTCTATCAAAAATATTTAATGATGCCAGATCACCAAAACCAATTATTATTCCATTTTCCTCATTGTACTTATTTTCATCATTAAATACTATATTTTTTCCTTCTTAACTTTTTTCCAGTAGCTTCTCTAGTGCTTAGCAGTTTTGTTTCTCTTCCAAGCCTGCTATAGTATCTGTCATCTCCTCATATTTCTCTTTTTTTATACCATTAGAAATTTGAACATTTCTAATGACAAAATTTTAGCCAGTCACTATTTCCTGTTTGCAGTTTTCTCCTCCATATTTCCATAGAATACTTATTGCCTGTATCAAGCTAAGTAGCAGAGTGAAGAGAACAACAGACTAAGAATTCCAGTATTTGGTTTATTTTGGGTTATTCATGTATGTTTATTGGATAACCTTTAAAAATAAATAACTATCTAAAATAATGATCAAAATACAGAAAATTTATAAAGATTAAATTACATTATATATGTGAACCAGATAAGATTATAGTAAAATACAAAATATGTAATATATAATAAGGTATAGTTAGTATCTTAGTACTCTTATACTATAATTATTTTTGTATCTGATGCATATGCTACAACTGATAATATGGGTCATATTTATACATTTGTATATGTGTATATGTCTGTGAATATATATGTATGTGTGTGTATGTATGTGAGTGTGTGAGAGAGCAAGGGTGTGTGGATGTGGGCGTGTATTTTTTTCTTACAGAGAAAGGATTTGAAGTATCTCTTGTGAATTACTTAAATTCCCACAAATATAAACTCTGGCCTTTACATCCTGTAATACTTTGTTTATGCCATAGCACCCATCACAGGACATCAACAGATAGTAGATAATATATGCCTATGAACTGATGAATCTTAGAGAAGATACATGAAATGTATAGAACATGCACCCAGATTTGGACTGAAATGGCAGAAGTTGCAATTGAATTTTTTGTACTGGTCTGTCATAGTCCTTCTCATAGAAATCTAGAGGACTGTAGAACATATCTTTTCTTCATTTTTTTAGTTGTTAACATTTGGACGCACTGGTTTTAGAAACATGTCAGTATTTAGTTATGCTTTATTTTAGTTTATCATATCTTATTTTATTAATGTTATTCATATTTTGGAAATGTGCCCATTTATTTAGGAACATTCAAATACTTCCACTTGTTTCTCCTCCTCCTCTGAGTTTGATTTCATTTCTTATCCCTTTACTTTTTAAAATTTTCTATTACTGCTACTGCCTCATCCTTTACTGTGACAATTTGAACCGATTCTTGTATCTGTTAATAACATATGTAGAGGTATTCTTAACTTTCTAAACAGACCTCATTTAGATGATATTATTTGTGTTTGCCTGAATTAATATCATTGTCATAATTTTTTCTGTAAACAAAGTTATGTTTTAGTTGTGGCTGTGATTATTTTATAAAAATAGTAAATCATTTTTTTCTATGTTTTTCTTGCTTCTTAGAAAATCTAGTTTCATTTACCTTATAAATAAATGGACTTTCATATAGTACATTTACTAATTACATAGAAACATTTTGTTTCTAATTATTTTTACTTTATTTTAAAAATAGGGCATAATTTATATACAGGAAAATTCAACCCTTTCAGTGAATAATTTTGTGAGTGTTGACAAACATATAATGTTTGGAATTACAAACATAATAAAGATATACAACAGTCCCATTGGCCTCATAATCCTGTGTGCCATGGTATACTCAATTACTCGTATCCTCAGTTGTAGAAACTACTGATTCCTACAATTTTGCCTTTGCAAAATGTCATATAAATGGAATCACACAGAATGTCACTTTAAAAAATGTCTCCTCACATTTCACATAATTCATTTAAATTATATTCATGTTGTTGCACAGATTCATAGATTGCCAATTTATGTTTCTGTGTAGAATTCTATCATATGGGTATACCATAGTTTGTATATCTTTCCTTTCTGAGGGACATTTGGGTCATTTTCAGTTTGGGGCACTTATAAGTAAAAACTCTATAATCATTTGAATATCAGTTTTTTTAAAAATCATGCTTTTTTGAGTAATTCCTCATAAACGGAATTACTGGTTTTCATGGTATTTGCTTGACTTCATAAGAATTTTCCAAACTATATTTCAAAGTAGCTGTACCACCTTGCACTGTATGAAGGTTTTGGTTGCTTTGAATCCTCATCCATACTTGATATTATCGCTTATTTTGGTGTTAGCCATTTTAATAGATATGGGATGGTATCTTACTGTGGATTTCATTTGCAGTTCTCTAATAACTAATGATATTGGGAGTATTTGAATATATTTACTTGCAATCTGTATATCTTTTTGTTTAAAAAGTCTCTTCTAAATTTTTTTCAGTTTTAAATTAAATTGCTCATTTTCTTATTGTTAATTTGTAAGTATTATTTATGTTTTCTAGAAAAAAAGTACTTTATCAGATATGTAATATAAAATTTTTCTATGTGTCTATGGCTTGTATTTTTATTCTCTTAATATTTTTTCACAGATAAAATACTTTTAATTTTAGTAAAGTTAATTTATTTTTCAACCTTTTTTTCTTTCATTGATTGTATCCTTGGTTTTATTTCTGAAAACTTATTCCATATCGGAGGTCACATGGACTTTCTTTTATGTTTTCTAATAGATTTAAATTTCACATTTTGCATCGTGATCTCTGATTTATTCTGAGTTAGTTCTTGTAGAGTATATGTTAAGATTTTTTTGTTTGTGTGTTATATATGGATATGCCATTATGCCAGCAGCATTTGTTGAAAAGCATACTCTCCCTCATTGAATTGCCTTTAAACCTTTGTCAGAAGTAAATTGACCATATTCATGTGAGGAACTTTATGAATTCTCTGTTCTGTTCCACTGATATATGCATCTGTTCTTTTGGCTAATACCACACTGATTTTTGCAGCTTTATAATAAGCCTTTGAATTTTGTAGTGTTATTCCTTTGACTTTGTTCTTAGGAGCAGTTTTGATTATTCTAGGACTTAGGATCACTGCTCTCTGGTAAATTCAAAAAAATTGTATATTTTCAGATTATCTGGCTGAGTTTTTGTCATGTGGATAGGAATGGTCCTCTTTCTAGTCTTCCACATGCAAAATGGAAGCCCAAACCTCTTAATTTAGTTTTATTATCATTGAATTAAGTAGAATCTTTCTTTTCTTTGCTATTTTTAGGGCCATTGGAATTTTTCTTCTGAAGTATTAATATAAATAAAACAAATGTGTTTATTTCCTTTTTCACTTTTAAGTAAGATTTATATGTGAGATATAACTCCTCTCTCAATCAAATGTATTCCCAAGACATGTGTCATTGGTAGTAAGGTTTAAACATTTTTCTAATAAAGCTATTTGTGTTGTTCTTTAACTTACATTTCCTTTTTCCAACATACTCAACAGAGTTATGTGGTAGAAGTTCTAGTCACTTTTTGTAGCTGAGGAAACTAAAGCATTTCACGATTAAATACATTGGCAAAAGATTACACTATATTAAAACCAAGGTGTTAACCAAATGTCTTCAATGTGGAATGCAATCATAAGTTTCTGTGAAATTTTAAAGAAGTGGAGCCATATGGTCTTAGGAATGCAGTCTTCAAATGGTGACCTTGAAAATAGTTTTTTGATGTTGCAAGTTAGAAGATCACATAATAAACTAACTCATTTTCTGTGGCTCTGGAATTTGGAATCACTGTTTCACAGATTAAGGCTGAAAATGAAAGAAACTGGATGTGAGAAGAAAAGTAGAAATTAAAGAAATTTTTCAAATTATTTTGGGTAAACTCCCAATATTAGCTAATAGATATTTGAAGCAGGTAACCTGAAACTGTATAAATGGAATTTAAGTCATATTCATTGTCCAGAATTTAAGTAAACATAGTGCATGTTTCAACATCAACATCTATTCCTATTGACCATTTACCTATGTCCTGAAAAATAAATGGTCTTATTTATACTCATAGCTCTAAATTCTAAAAGAATATTAGACATATTTATTCTACTGGTAATAAGCTGTCTACTTTGGAAACAGATGATAAGCTCTGTTGTCTTCATTTATGTTGTATACATTTCTGATAATATGCTAAAATTTATTTTGCTTTGAATTTCAAAATTTTCTTTAAAAGTTGGTTTTACATTAAATTAATTATACTGAAATATATATTTTACATAAATATGCAAAATTAATATAATGTTGATTTTTTACCTTTTAAATATATGTAGTAAAGATACATGGATAGTATGAGAAAATAACAAATAATATTTAATTAATTAGTTTACATTATTAAATATCTGCCTCTGTGATCTCCAGGTTATATCTACTGACATAATGTAAGGTACATTCACCATTGCCATATTACACTTTATGAATGTTGTTGACAATTTTGGTTTTCTTGAAAGAACTTTGAATAATACATTAAAAGAATTCTGGTCTAGTATCTATTGCTATTTCCATCAAAAGATAATGTGCATCCCACAACAACTGCAGAGAAGTGAAACGTGAACATCATGGCAATTGTCTTAACCAATCCCATCATGGTATATTTGGTTGAATCTTCCTTCTTAGAGATGCCAGAGGATTTGAAGAACTCGGCCTAGGGTGTAAATAATAGTAAAGGTAGATTCAATCTGAAAGAAAAGTTGAAAGAACTTTTCCTTATATAAGTTATAATATGGCTGATCCCTTCAGCCAGGAATTATTAATAGAGAATAAATAACAAGAGAGTGAGAAAATACCATGGCTTTGTAGGTATAGATTTATCATGTTGTTGAAAAGCTAAAAATTATTTTTGATACAGGATGAAACAGGTATATTTGTGATTTTTTTCTTTTTCTTTTTTTTTTTTTTTTTTTTTTGAGACGGAGTCTCGCTCTGTCACCAGGCTAGAGTGCTGTGGTGCAATCTCGGCTCACTGCAACCTCCAACTGCCTGGTTCAAGGGATTCTCCTGCCTCCACCTCCCAAGTAGCTGGGATTACAGGCATGCGCCACCATGCCCGGCTAAGTTTTGTATTTTTGGTAGACATGGGGTTTCACTATGTTGGCCAGGATGGTCTAGATCTCCTGACCTCGTGATCCGCTCGCCTCGGCCTCCCAAAGTGCTGGGATTACAGGCATGAGCCACCACACACCCGGCCTATTTGTGATATTTTATGAAAGAAAAGTAACATACATTTTGGAATGGGAGACTTACAATATTACAAACTTTCAAAAATTACGAATATTTTAGTGAAAATGAGATTTATGCTGTGCAATGAGAGTGCAGATAGTGTCCCTTATTGCTAGTATGGCAAAAGTGCCAACCAAAGTACACTGAGTACCAGTCTGATACATTTTTGGACCTTTTGTCTTAAGATTCCCCTCTCCCATATACCAGCTGCAGGTACATGCATAAATACGACAGCTATTGAATCTGTGTTTATGAAAAAGGCAATATCTAGTCCTATACCACAGTTACAAGAACTTCTTCAAATTATGTACTAGACCTGTATTAGGTTATACTCAAAGATTCATAAATTCACAAGAATATGTCAAGATGGAATTTACCTTACCTAGCATACTTATTTTCCCAGATAAATAAAAAAAGTTTAAAGGGGTTCACTCCATGAGAGTTAAGCATTCTCTGCTGTATTATCTTCACAATTCTCTGGCTTTTGATACTGATAAAACTTTCATTCTCTCCCTTCTCTCCCAAAATACCCCACTCTACTCTCTAAAACTCTTATTCTTTAATTAACCAAGACCTTTATAGCCATGACATCACTCAGAAATACCTTTCTTCTATTTGCCGAAAATAAATTTTCATGAACCTCAAAGATTATTCCTGATACAGCTCTTTGAAACTCAGGGAAGTTATTTTCTTATCCTAGGTCTCAAAGCTGAGATTGCTGATTTAATTGCTCCTTAATGCCGCTTTGGGATCACTGTTCCATCAAATTATTGGAAAACTTTTCTGCCTCATAGTTTTTATCACTATCCCAACTTCTTTCTTCCTCCTGGGAAGTTTCAATCTCACCGTAGACTCCTCGGTCACACACACTGGCCTCTCAGTTCCTTGACGTTCTCATCTCCAATGACTATCTCCATTATACTTCAGCCACCTGCTTCCAATCCAACATCCAAAAGAGCTCCACTGTTTTCAGGAATTCAAATATCTCTATATCTTACGATAACATTCCTCTTCCCTGCTTGTTTCTGCAGCCACTGCTGTTACAACTGTTTCATTAAATGACTGAAACATCAGGTCATTTTGTCTTAGCACCCACATTACACCCATAACATGCAGTGTCAGTTCTAATGCTCCTCACTTTAGAGTTGATTCCTTACCTCTGTCTTTGCATTTTAATCATGTGCCCAAACCCCAAATATGACTAAACTCAAATACTTACCATTTTGTTTTCTTTTTTCATACTCTCTACAGTGACTGATATGTATTTAAATCAATCATTCCATAGGACAGATTGCTACCACCATATATTCATTCTTCACTTTATGCAACAGTGTTATTAAACTTTTCCATATTCCTCACACATCAGACTATTTTTCATCTCTCACTGAGAAAAGATCCTGTGTTCAGAAATAAAGGAAGCTGCCAGATGGAAACCCCTTCAGCTTCCTATCAAGAGATCTGCCTCCACACCTCACTTGATCTGTCATCCATAAACTATTTATTGCTTGGCACTGGAAACCTTTTAATGAATAAAACAGACTCAATCCTTGTCCTTACAAACTTTATTTGAGAAAAGGGATATTATACAAATAGAGAAAAATATATACACGTTTTATCATAAGTGCAATTCATAAAAAATACAGATCCTATGGTAGAGTAACATAACATGTAGAATCTTTTTTTTTTTTCAGTTTGGGCAGTGATCCTGTAATTTTTCTAGAGAAGTGACATTTAAGTTGAATGCTAAAAGATGAATAAAAATAACCATGTGGACAGTGGGAGGAAAAGCATACCAGAAAGATAAAACAGCATGTGGGAAAGCCTGAAAAGGAAAGGAGTTGGTACATTGTAGAAAGGTTTAAAATACCAGTGTGGTTATGGCATAGTGAGTAAGTGGAGGAGCTGCATTTGATGCCTATGGAGAACAATGCTGAACAAAAATCTGGGGAAAGCATGCAGATTAGCCTTCTCAATTCTAGAGTTAGACAGAAATTCTGTGTTTTAAATCTGACAGTACTTGTCTTTAGTTATATGACCCAGGGGCAAATGGTTTATTTATTTTTCTTGTGCCTATTTTCCTCATTTATAAAACAATAATATTATTTCCTATACAATATTAAGTAGCAGATTATTATGAAATATAAATTGTTCACTATGTACAGGAGATTTAGAATGGTTCCTGGCTTAAGATAAAAGCACAATATATATTAGTTAATTGTTGTTAGTTTTTTGCTTTAGTTCACTTTAAGGAATTTACTTTTCATTTTCAAAAGCATGTGCTGTCATCTGTAAGTTTAAAGTTGGAAAGTGACATTATATCATTGACATTTTGAAACATAACTTAGGCTGATCATAAAAATTGGATTGAAAGAAGGAATAGTGAAATCTGAAAGGCTATTTGGGAAACCAATGCAGTAATGGAGAGGAGAAATGATAGCGAATTAGCTAAGGCTAATAATCCAAGGGTTAGTGTAGTGAATGGGTACCAGTGGAGGAAAGTAAATTCATTTTAGATACATTTTGGTGACAATGAGTACTGAACTTGGTGAAGTATTAGTGAGAGGGAATAAAGAGAAGTGAATGCAAAAAAATCATTCCCAGGTACCTGGTTACTGGAAGCATGTTTATATAGATGAAAAAGAAGGCGGCAACTCAAGTTACATTTTCCACAAAATCATCTCTTTGAAATATGAACACCATAAAACTTATTCTCTTCTCTATGTTTGTTTTCAGTTGTAACCTATTCTCTTCTGTTTGTTTCTAAATGTGAGCTGACCTATTTTTCTACTACTTTTAATAACTTTAATTATCTATATTATTAGTATATGGTGTTCTTTCTAATTAGTGAATGATTGCTGTTATCTTTTCTCTTTTATTTGAAATATATTCATGACAAAAATAAGGAAAATGGTATGTACTTGAAAAAACAGGCATATAAAACTTTAACATATAGGTGTAACAATTGTTTTAGGCAATGAATTTTGTTTCCTGTAGCACTTCATACCTCACCTCAAACCAAGATGATCAGAAGCCTAGAAAAAGACAAACAGGAATGGATATAGAGGAAGACTGTGAAACACTTCCGGATACTGGATGCTGTCTTTTAGGAACCTAACTCTATTACCAGAAACTTCCCTCACAGAACTATAGGCTGTCTGTAGGTTTGGAAGAACATTAAAACAGTTGGATTCAATCAGGAAACAGAAACCACACAATAATCTGTATAGGCAAAGTTTAATATAAAAATTATTACTTCTAACAAAATATTTGATTAATGAGGGACTGGCTAGCATATTACTTAGGGTTCTTGAGAGAAAGAGAACCAATAGGACATATATAGAGAAAGACCGATTTATTTTAAGGGAATGGCTCATCAGATTCTGGAAGCTGGGAAATCCAAAATCAGTAAAGCAAACTAGCAGTCTGGAGATTCAGATAGGAGTAACTATTGCAGCCTTCAGTGTGAAGGTAGAAAACTAAGGCAGAATTTCTTTTGGAAACCTCAGGCTTTTCCTTTCAATACCTTCTACTAATTGGAAGTGGCCTACCAAAATCGTAGAAGTCTGCTTTACTTAAGGTCAACTAATTGCAACTGTTAGTTACATCTAAAGAATACTTCCATATCAACATCTAGAGTAGTGTTTGACTAAACAACTAGTCACCATAGTCTACCCAAGTTGGCACATAAAATTATCATGGTGAAGAAAGTATAGTAAAGAGAACTCTAAGAAATACAAGAATAGTAACTATAAGGAGAAGTCAGTACCACTTGAACTATGATAAAACAACTAAAAAAGAGAAATCCCTACACCAGGGTTGAGATTCAGACCTTGTTGAAGAATGAATTCCTCACTGGATGGCAGAGAAGTAGCTGTGTTATTGCACTCGTGAATCTTACAAGAAATCTGCCCTCTATGTTGCCACAGAAATCCATGTCACGTTGGACGCACTCCACTATGGAACTTCAAGACAGGGGAGCCAGGGAAGCTACTAGTCGTTGGATGTAGCTGACTGCCCTGGACTACAGGAGCTGGACACTGAAGGAGCCACCTGTGCTGCAGAAGCCTGATGCTGGAAAAAGTGCTCTCACAATGTTAGAGCCAGGTGCTGGAGAAAACTTGAACCCTGCTTGCATTAGCTGATAGAGAAGCTGCTCGTGCTGGAGAGCCAGCACTAGAAAACTTTCCACACTCTGTAGGATAAACTCCGAAGAAGACTTCTGTGTGCAGGAGTCTGCCAGGAACGCATAGGAACCAGGAATGGAGGCCTCGTCCTCCTGTATTGTCTCTGAGTTATGTTTTAAAATGTCAATGACATAATGTCACTTTCCAACTTTAAATTGAAAAAGGTTTCAATTTTTCCAGCTGACAAAAAAAATTAAAAAAGGATTTAAAGAGTCCGAGCCCTCTTTGCAATGATAAATGAATTAGGAGCTGAGATGAAATAAATGAAAATCCGTCACAATTGTGTGTGGTGTCTTGTGGAGTCTATTTCATACAAGAAGATCTAAAGCTGGAGGAGCAAATTTGATAAAGGGCTGCAGTAAAATTGGATAAGCAAACATGTGCCTTCTAGTTCTGCCCTCACATCCATATAATGTATAATGAAGCTGTCTATGGGAGAGGTGTCAAAGAACATCAAAAATGAGGATGTCATTAAAAGTGGATCTGTATTCAAAAATATTGCTGCAGGCAGGTACGAAGAGCCAAAAATCATTAAGCTAGAAGAACTAATTGTCTTTCAAAAGTAGATCATCTGACAGAGTTAGAAAATGCATGGTAAAAGTTGCACTAGTACTCACTCCTTAATTCTAGGTCATGGTCTTGAACTTCTTACCACAGGACCAAAGGAAACTGCTTTAAATTTACTGTAGCTACAGAGGAATCCTATTAGTGGGGGATCATTCTCAACAAGTCTAGCAAATTGGGCAGTCCCACAGGAATAAGTACAGGAATAGAACATATTTTGAAATTTACTTTTTGCATAGCCTAACATTTTACAGCAGGTGGGGTCGTGGGACTTCAGCATTTTATGCTGAAGACAACAAAGGAATACAATCCAAAACAATGGAAAGCTCCAGTCCCTATATCAACATAATTTCACTGGAAAATCTTATAGACAATGTTGGCTTTCTTTTCCTCTGACAGCTCTGCTAGTATAAAGATATTGGTTATATTCAGCTAGCACAGAAAACATGCATATAATTGAATTTTTGTAGAATATTTTAAAATTTTATGAAACCCAAGCAATGGATTTCTATAATTCCTCTCTCTAAGAGAATTGAGTAAATTAAGCATTTCCTATGGTTCGTCTTGGTATTTGCATAACTTGTCACATCAGGTATTTAAAGTTCCTGCCACCTGAGGATTAACTGCACAATTACCAGTGACATTAATCTATTATTTAGAGAAACACTAGAAAATCTTTTACTACAACCATACTTCTATGCTCCTGCACGATACAGTGGTTTATCCTTTTGCAAAACTAAATGTGAATTCAGCATTACTTGCCTTATGGAATTAAGAAACTTTACTAAACTTTACTAAAGTCTTCTATATTTTAGTTTAAGTGTTTGCTTTATGGATGAGAAATGCTGGTATTTTAAATAATATTTGGCAGGCTTTTCTTTAAGTGGAACGTAGATTTTCTTTTTTTCTCTCTTTCTCTATGCTCTCTCTAGATATTTTTTATTCGTCAAAACACTCTAGTTGTAATAGATCTGAAATTATGCTCATTGAGGTAACACAGGGTGGATGGAGTGGGAGATGGATCTTGGCATCACTCAGCAGCATACAGCATAGAGTGCAGATGGGACAATATAATACAGAGGAGCAGTCTTAAAAGCCAGCACTCAATGATCTATTTTTCTTTTGCCCAGATTTTGGTTACAAAATGAGTTTACATTCATGTGATTGTTTTTAGTTCTAATATTCTATGTTTTTAGTGATTAAATGTTGTTATTCTAGTGTAAAGATGGAGAAACAGCAGCACTAAGAAATTAGTAACTTCCAATAAATGGTACTGCTTTTTGATACTTAGTGTATGGGATAATATAAGAATTAAAATAACAAAGATTTTGACCCAAATAAAGGTGGAATATAGGAGATCAGAAAGTAACATCTTGAGCATTTTGATGAAGAAAGCTTTCTGCATTATCAGTATTATTAATATTAAACCCACAACTGCTACTGTCCATAAACCTGGAAAGTCTTCTTTCTAGTCTTTGAACATATAGTAATAGTATTCTCCTACTTTCTCTTGAAACAGCAATTGCTCTGCTGTATATATGACAATTTTCCAGTAACAAATAATATGCATTAATTGAGTAAAGGAATCTGGACTCATTCAATTCAAGAGAAAAGAATTTATTGAGACTTTGCAGAGAGACTCCTTGGCTCTAGATATTTTAAGTCTCCTCTGCTGCGCAGCCAAGTATCACTGCCATTATCTCCAAGACAATACACCCTCCCTCCCTTCCTCCCTCCCTCCCTCCCTTCCTTCCTTCCTTCCTCGTTTCCTTCCTTCCTTCCTTCCTTCCTTCCTTCCTTCCTTCCTTCCTTCCTCGTTTCTTTCCTTCCTTCCTTCCTTCCTTCCTTTCTGCCTCCTTCCCTTCCTCCCTCCATTCTTTCCTTCATTTTCTATCTTTTTTATCTTTCTTTTTGTTTATTTTAATCAAGCCCTTTCTTAAAGCTCTATTTCTAAGCTTCTGATTGATGAAGAGCCAGAACTTTTAAAAAATTATTCTGCCAGTTTTATAAAAGCTAAGATGAAAACACCTTCAATTATTTTTATTCCAGTATCTGAAACCCTAGTAGAATTTGATGCCCACACTCTGAAATTTCTGCTTTACATTCTTTATATATCCCACACAAATATTATGATTTCACCCATATAATATAACTCAAAGGATATGGTTAACACAAAATATGCATTGTTCATAAGCCACAAAGCCCAGAAATTTCAATAAATTAAGTGTTCTCTTAGTCACTATATTTACAATGCTTACCTCCAAGTTTCCCAGTGGTTTCTTAGCAAAATATTAATTCTCTGAACTGCTTTTTGAAAAAAAGTTTCTGTAGATAAATAATTTTGAAGAAAAACCCTGCCATATCCTCCTCTGGAGATTTGTAATACATATTAATGTTTCTGACAAATACTAATACAAAGATGTTTCCTCGCAAACATATTTGACTATAGAATTATTTTATTGTTAATGTATATAAATAATTCACAGATAACTTCTTAAAATCTATTATCTTATTTGATTCTTATCAAATATGGCTAATATTGCAACCCTTTTACAGATGGAGAGTGGAATTAATAGATATCTCATAAGTCTTTTCAAGATGAATTTTAAAAAGTGGAAAGAGGTAGAATTTGAATCTTGATATGTGTAGTTTTTATCTCATAAAATTTCCCCAAAGTGAACAGAAGCTACGATGATTACATGAAACTCAAATGTAAGTAATTTCTTATTTTTCTATGAGCAGGTTTTGTGAATAACTCTGGCTCTGAATATTCATTGGTTCCTCCTCTCTATGCCAGGCTCACACCTCTCCCTCACTGCATTTCCAGCGAAGAAGCTTTGCTAATCTAATTAGTGAAAGCCTATCACATTCTTTGAGCTGAGTTTAATAGTAGGATATGATATTATTTGTTAAAAGAAAGGAGCAAACACTTCACCCTTTCTCACTAGTGTATTCTGGTTCTAGCTTCTAAGGCAGGCTTTGGTTTCTCGGGACAGTTCATTCAGGCATCCTTATCCATTCAGCTAGTTAAGTACAAAGCTCAGGGTCTACTCTATAGTCCTTGTCATCTCAAATTGAGGGAGAAGCCTTTATGTCATGAGCTCTGGCCAAACTATGGAGAAAAGCCCTGTACTGAGGGACAGTGAGGTATTTGTATGTACAGGTGTTAATAGAGTATTACCTATTTTATTTATTTTATTTGGTTACCTTTTATTTTATTACCTTTTGGCAGTTGCTTATTGTTGGAATGGTCACATTTAAGAAGGGCTAGTAGGATTTGAGGACCAGAAGCACATTTTAAAATCATATTGGTAAACAAGATCAACCTGAGCACATCCTTGCACTAGGCAATGTGATTCAGGATATGACAGAACTGGGAACTATAGTCATCATTATTAATAATGAATAGCTACTATCTGCTTACAATGTATGAGCCAACATGCTAGAAAATGTAAGCAAGTTATATCCATTTAATTCAGAGACTCTCAGCTCTCTGCCTATCAGGAGAGCTTTTATAATATGCTGGTATCCAGATAGCTTGAGTTGGGGAATGATTCACTTACATCGAAAATTATATTTAAAATAAATAAATTCACTTACAAGTAACTATGGTAAACTTACAAATAACTATGGTCATCTTTTGACTTACAAATCCTGAACATAGCTCCCATGCCTCATGGCTGAAGAAAATTAGTTACATTTATTGAAGGATTTACCCCAAATTGCTTTATATATCTTTAGTAAAAGTTAAATATGTATTTTCTATGGGTAACTATTACTGAGGTACTTAGATATTTTGATGATTACTGACCCGGGTCATACTTGAAACACTGCTAAAGATCTAGATTATATTTTTCCTGTTATAAAGCTCCTGAGCTTTCCAGTCTCTTATCAGCAACTTTTAAGTACTGAGATTTTACAATAAAAAGAAAAGTTGACATGGTTTTATTCACTCTGTTACTTACAAAATGCCAAGAGGGTTTCAAAGTCATTATAATTATTATTGTGAAGTGAAATAGGAATAGGCAATAAAATAAGATTTTATTGCTGCAGAAAAAAAAATTCAGCCTTCTGTAAACATCAGAAAAGTCCTACTATTCTTGCAACAAAAATTAAAAATAAAGTTACTGCCTCTGAAAAATATAACAGTAAACATATTACAGTATTCAGACCCCACATTTAAATAATATACTTTAGTATACAAGCCTCAAAGTAACAAGTACTTTACTTTTATGTAAATTGTTTCCTTCAAAGATATAAAGGTACTTTATATATGTTATTTGTATAGTCTCCTCATGTCGCATCTGAATTAACATAAAACATCACTCAGTTAAATATGTGTCATCTGTGTATTTAAATACAGATTCATGAATTAGAAACACAGGAAATTAATTTTTAAACTTCATTTATCAAACTGAAGGCTAGCAAATCAAAAATAATTATATGAATACAAGTGTATATCTAGGCTTCCAGATATTAGTTACATTAAACTCATTGCTAATCAAAAGCTGAATTTTAAAATATTAATCCCAAGAAGTAAAAATACACTTTAAATAACTTTTAGCGGATCAATTTATGAATATGGCTAGTTTAAAATATAAATTTACATATATCTATAGAACGAATTCAACTATTTCATTTTATAAAAATGTAAACATTTTTGGCTCAGCAATATATACTTTAAGTAAGCTTTTTAACTTTGAATATCAGTATTACATAAGTAAAGCATTGTCCTTGCATAACCATCATATTGACAAATGTATTAAGAAGCTGAGAATCATTTACTTTCCCTGGGCTGAGTCTCCATATTTGTCGAGTTATAGATTTTACTTAATTTCTGAGGTATAGATCAGTGCTAACAATGATGATCACAATTATAATATTTACACAGATAATTAACAGTTTAATAAATCATTATTTTAGCAAGTAAATAAGCCATTCTGGATCCCCACTGTCCTATAATCCTCACATTATAAATCTCATTTTTCCTTTTACATCACTTTCAATTTCATTCTCACACTCGTGGCCTTTATTCCACATCCCCCCTCTACTCTCTTTCACCACTTCCCTACCCCAGTTAATTCTTCCTGTTTCTCCTTCATTAATCAAGTACTGAGTGTCTACCATTGTTTGGACTAAGCTTTCATTTGTCACTAATATAGATATATTCACTAATAGTCTGAAGTAGAATATAAACATTAAACATAAAAATGAATTTAGTTGATGTATTTAAAATCTGACACTTATTTTGAAATAAAAGTTTATAAGTAAACAAATATAGAGCAGGAAGCTCTAAGTTTAGTGGGAATCAGGAAAAGCTTCTCGTTGGAAGTAACATTTAAACAGCAACCCAAATAGGAGTTGGAGTTCACTAGATAAAACAGGTTGAGAGGAAGGGGTGTTGCAATTAGAGAAGAGGATATTTAAAGATCTTAGATTAGAAGTGAGTAGTGTGGCCAGGCACGGTGGCTCACGCCTGTAATACCAGCACTTTGGGAGGCCAACGTGGGAGGATCACGAGGTCAGGAGATCAAGACCATCCTGGCTAACACGGTGAAACCCCGTCTCCACTAAAAATACAAAAAAAAAAAAAAAAATTAGCCGGGCGTGGTGGCGGGCACTTGTAGTCCCAGCTACTCGGGAGGCTGAGGCAGGAGAATGGAGTGAATCCAGGAGGCAGAGCTTGCAGT
Source organism: Homo sapiens (assembly GCF_000001405.40). Classification (NCBI taxonomy): domain Eukaryota; kingdom Metazoa; phylum Chordata; class Mammalia; order Primates; family Hominidae; genus Homo; species Homo sapiens. The sequence goes on along the minus strand of NC_000003.12, from coordinate 103,490,722 downwards.
GAGCCGAGATCGCACCACTGCACTCCAGACTGGGCGACAGAGCAAGACTCTGTCTCAAAAAAAAAAAAAAAAAAAAAAAAAAAGAAGTGAGTAGTGCAAGCTTCAGGAAACAACTGTAAGATCAGGGTGTAGATGCGAAGCAGTGGATAACTAGGTGGCATGAGGCTGCAAGAATAGGGGAGAGAGGGAGGAACCTTATGATAAAGGTCTTTAGTGTTGAATTAACTATGTAATACCTTATTATATAAAAGCAATGTGATACCATTTCTAGGTTTTAAGTAAAGAAACGACAGAAAAACATCTTAATTCAAACACTACTTTAAACTAAATTAAAACACTAAAAACAAATTATCACTCTTGTCACATAACAGAAATCGAAGACTGGATATGAGACTAAGTTGAGAAATAACTAAATTGGACTAGAATGATAATAATGCGTTCGAAAAAAGGACATTTCTCTTAGATTTAGAGATCAGAAGTGACGGTTATTGGAAATAGATTGGAAGAGAGAATAGATTGGATATGGAAATTGATGTCGTCTTGAATCTAACTTTCTTACAGTGAATTTTCTGCTCATCTGAAGCTAGGAAGCAAAGCACCAAGAGAGAGTCACGTAACCTAAAGAGATAATGTGATTGAGAAAAGAGAGGGCCGGAGAATTATTTTGCTCTGAGTCAACAGAGCAAACTGAGAAAGCAAACTTTCTCAACAGAGAAAGACTGAGAAGGAACAGAAAACAAGTTAGAGAAAGATGGTAAGATGGATGCGTGGTACAGGAAATAGCCAACATTATTTTAAGAAAAAAGCAGTAGTCAACCATTTTTAGTGTTAATGAGTGAATAAAGTAAGTAGTGAGGGACGTCTCAAATTTATCCAAGATTTGGCTGGTTTGTGGATGTTATTTAAAACTCAGTTTTGATGAATTATTTTGAATATAATATAGTCTCCTGTGAGATGAGAAAAAAGTGGAAGGTGTGTGAATACTAATAGCGAGAGTATAAAAGTATTTCTAAAATATTGGTTTTGAAGAAGCATGAAGGATATTACCTTGATGGGGATATGGTCTTTATAATTTTACTTTTTCGTTTGTTTGTTTTGTTGTGTTTTGCTTTTTTTTTTTTTTTTTAAGAGAAAAAGTACCGGAGTTTGCTTAAACAATGAGGAGAAAGAATGAGTAGATGAAAGACAGACGTGAGAGAGGAAATAATAAACCAGAGAAAGTTGTTGTTACACTCAGCACTGGTGATAAAGTTAGGAATGACAAACAAATCATAAAGGGATAGATGGTGCAAAGATTGGATGGAGAACATGTTTTGTGTGTGGCTAATTTATGTGTTAGTTGAATTTCATAACTAAAACAGATACAATTTCATTGTCTTCTATGTGAAACATTAACTAGTGAATGAACTGTTTTAGAAAATATTCTCTTACATTGACACTGAATGTTTAGGTCATTCTTGAATAAAATATTTACAATTATATGTTCTATAAAATAAAATTATTTTAATAATTTGGTTACTAGTAAATGTGTAAAGGTTTGTTTAGAAAATGTCACCTTAGTAAACTGTTTACTCTAGGTTTTTCATCATATGGGATTAACTATTAGCTTAATATGTATGACTCCATTTTTCTTCAGTTATTTTATTTTTCCTCCTATTGATTTATCTCTCTAGAACATATACACACTATTTCCATATACAAAATGTTTCCCTTGACTTATCTTGCTAAAACTCCTCAGTCTTGGTCATTGTACAATATAGTTACACGTTGAAGGAATAATCATGCAGACAGATTTAGAAAGACTCTAAATTCTTTAAAATACCAATGGTGAATAAATTTGCAAATGCCAATGAGATTGATTTAACAAATAGAGAATAAAGATCTTTTATTTAAAAACTTTCTAAAGCACACATGGACAGTTCTAATGCAATTTGAACAGGTATTACAGGTTGAGTGTCCCTTATTTGAAATGCTTGGGATCAGAAGTTATTCAGATTTTGAATTTTTTTTCAGATTTTGGAATATTTACATTATGCCTACCCCAATCAGACATCCTAAATCTGAAAATACAAAATCTGAACTGCCTCATTGAATATTTTTAGCATAATATCGACACTCAAAAAGTAAATTGAATTTTGGAGCATTTTGGATTTTATTTTTGTATTTGAAATGCCCAAACTGTATTAAATAAAAAGGTACCATATCTCAAACATGGAAAAATGATAAAATAAAAGTATAAAGCTTTAACTTGTTATTAATTTTAGCAAATGGGCATGAAAACAATTTTATTTAACTCCAATGATTTTTTTAATTTGCCAATAGAAAAATTAGGTCATTAAATACTGAATGTAAGAAAATATTATGTATTTATTCAATAATTTAAATAATTTAAAAGACAAGTTAATATTTTTAAATATTTTTATTTTATGGAAAGTACAAATAACATAACATTTTACTATCTTAACCAGTTTTAGTTATGCAGTTCAGTGGCATTGAACACATACATATTGTTGCACAACAATCACCACAATCCATCACCAGAACTCTTCATCTAAAAAACTGAAACTCTATGCCTACTGTCTCCTGCCTTCAGCCCCAACTGTAATTCTTCATTCTTTCTCTATGATTTTCACTACTCCCGGTACTTCATGTAAGTGGAATCATTCAATATTCACCTTTTTGTGACTGTTTTTTATTCATCTAGGATAATGACCTCAAGGTTGTAGCCATGTTGCAGCATGTGTCAGAATAGTTCATCCTTTTTAAAGCTTAATAATATTCCATTGTGGGAATACTATTTAGCCATACAAATAATAAAATATTTATTTGTGGCAATGTGGATCAACCTGGAGGACATTATGCTTAGTGAATAAGCCAGGAACAGAAACACAAATCATGCGCGTTCTCACTCACGAGTGGAAGCTAAAACAGTTGATCTTATAGAAGTAGAGAATAGAGTAGTGGTTACTAGAGACCGGGAAGGTTAGAGGGTAGTAAGGATAGGGATTGGTTGTTTAACAGATACAAAATTACAGCTAGATAGGGGAAGTAAGTTCTAGTGCTCTACAGGCAGCACTGTGGGGTGACTACAGTTAATAACCATTTATGGCATATTTTCAAATAGCTGGTAGAGAAGATTTTGAATGTTCCCAAAGTTAAGAAAATATATACATGCATTAAAATAAGACATTGTACACCATAAATATATACAATTTTATGTCAGTTAAAAATAATAAATAATATTCAATTTTTGTGTACATGTAAAATCACATTTTGTTTATCTATTCATCTACCAATGGATATATATATATATATATATCACATTTTGTTATTCATCTACTAATATATATACCAATGGAGATATATATATATATATATATATAAAATATAGATCACATTTTGCTTATCTGTTTATCTACTTACATTGCTTTTATCTTCTGACTACTGTGACTAATGCTGCTGTGAACATAGATGTGCAAATATGTCTTTGAGACAATGCTTTTGATTATTTTGGGAATATACCAGCAGTGAAATTGCTGAATCATATGGTTAAGATGATTTCTAAGTTTTTCAAGAAATCACCATATTGTTTTCCACAGTAACTGTACCATTTTATGTTCCCACCAACCACCAATAATATAAAAAGTTTTTACTTTCTCCATATCCTCACAAACACTTTTCTTTTCTTTTTGAGGTAGTCATCCTAATGGGTGCAAAGTGATATCTCTTCATGGTTTTCATTTGCATTACTCTAATGATTAGTGATGTTGCACAAGTTTTCATGTGCTTATTGGACAATAAATGTAACTAATTTTCTTCAGCAATGAGGCATTGGAGCTATGTTCATGATTTGTAAGTCAAAAGATTACTAGAGTTATTTGTAAGTGAATTTGAATAAAGAGCTATTTTAAATATAATTTTCAATGTAAGTGAATCATTCCACAACTCACTCTATCTGGATCCCAGCATATTATAAAAGCTCTCCTGATAGGCAGAGAGATGAGAGACTCTGAATTACATTTGGAGAAATATCTACATTCAAGTCTTGTACCCATTTTTGAATCAGGTTTTGTTTTATGTTATTGAGTTTTTAGTTAATTTATTCTGGTAATAATTCCTTATCAGAGATATAATTTGCAAATATTTTCTTCCTATCTGTGGGTTGCCTTTTCACTCTTGATAGTGGCTTTTTATGCACAAAAGTTTTTAATTTTCATGAAGTCCAATTTGGCTAAGTTTCCTTTAATTGTCTCAGCCTTTGGCATCATATTTAAGACATCATTGTCAAATACAATGGCATGATGTTTTTTCCTTAAAATTTTTATAAGAATTCTAGAATTGTAACTCTTACATTTACATCCTTAAACATTTTAATTTTTATATGTGGCATAAGTTAAGGGTCCAATTCCACTGTTTTGCATTTCAATATCCAGTTTTCCACACACAATTTGTTGAAAAAAAATAGCTTTTCCTCTTTATTGGTTTTGGCCTCATTGTTGAAAATCATTTGACCATATATGTAAAGGTTTATTTCTGGGTTCTCTAATGTATTTGATTGGACTATATATTGTCTTTATGCCAGTAATACAAAGTTTTGATTGTTGCAGCTTTGTAGTAAGTTTTGAAATATGAAAATGTAAGTCCTGACCAGGTGCAGTGGCTCACACCTGTAATCCCAGAAATTTGGGAGGCCAAGGCGAGCAGATCACTTGAGGTCAGGAGTCTGAGACTGGCCTGACCAACCTGGAGAAACCCTAACTCTACTAAAAATACAAAAAAACTAGCTGGGCATGGTGGTGATCACCTGTAATCCCAGATACTTGGGAGGCTAAGGCATGAGAATCACTTGAGCCCAGGAGGCAGAGGTTGCAGTGAGCTGAGATTGCACCACTGCACTCCAGCCAGGGTGAAAGAATGAGACTCCATTTCAAAAAAAAAAAAAAAAAAAGAAAAAGAAAAAAGAAAACATAAGTCTTTCATCTTTGTTTTTCATGTTCAGGATTATTTTGGCTATTCAGTATCTCTTGAGATGATACATAAATTTTAGGATGTATTTTTCTATTTCTGAAGAAAAAACAAAGATTACTTTGGGTAATATTGACATTTCACTAATATTAGCCTTCCAATCCATGAATATGAGTTCTCTTTCCATTCATTTTTATCTTCTTTAATTTCTCTCAGCAATGCTTTGTAGATTATTTTTCAAGTTTTTTATTTCCTTAGGTTTAGTCTTAAGTATTTCTTTATTTTTGACGTTATTGTTTTCCAAGATTTACTTTTCACATTATTACTTGTTAATATATAGAAATACAACTGATTTTTATGCATTGACTGTGTATCCTGTTACTTTGCTAAATTCGTTCATTAGTTCAAGTAAATTTTGTGTGTGTTGGTAGAAGCTTTAGGGTTTCTACATATAAGATCATATAATCTGCAAAGAGAGATCATTTTGCTTCTTCCTTCCAGATTTGGATGCCTTTTATTGTTTTTTATTGCTAGTACTTCCAGGACTATATGGAATAGAAGTGGTGAAAGCTGGCATTCTTGTCTTCCTCTTGATTTTAGAAAAACAGCTTTCAGTGTTTCACCACTGTGAATTATATTAACTATAGGATTTTCATAAATGTCCTTTATCAGCCTGAAGAAGTTCTCTAGTTTTTAAAGTGTTTTTATTATAAAAATATTGAATTGTGTCAAATGCTTTCTCTGAATCAAATAAGGTAACTGTATTTTTTACCTTTATTTATAATGTCATGTATTATATTGAGAGATTTTTATATGTTGAGTCATTCTTTTAATTCAGGAATAAATCCCATTTTGTCATGATGTAAAATCCTTTCAACTGTTGATGTATTTAGTTAACTAGTACTGTGTTGAGAATTTTCACATCAATGATCATAAGGAATATTGGCCTGTAATTTTGTTTTGTTTGTAATGACTTTGCCCCTTTTCTGTATCAGGGTAGTGCTGGCTTCATAAAATAAGTCAGAAAATGTTCCCTTCTTTTCAATTTTCTGAGGTAAGCTTGAGAATTTATGTTAGTTCATTGTTAAATGGCAGAATTTACCAGTGAGGTCATCAGATCCAGTGCTTATATTTTTTGAGAGGTAATCAGTTACTAATTCAATCCCATGACTAGTTATAAGTCTATTTATACTTTCTATTTCTTTATGAGTCAGTCTTGAGAGTGTCTGTGCTTTTAGGATTCTTTCCATTTCATCCAGGTTATTCAATTGTTGGCATAAAATTGCCTGTAGCATCCTCAGATAGATAGATAGATAGATCGAGAGAAAGAGAGAGAGAGAGAGAGATTTTTACTGCTGTAAGATTAGTAGCAATATCCCCTTTTCCACTTCAGATTGTCGCAATTTGAATCCTTGCTCTTTTATATTAGTCTATTTAGATAAAAGTTTGTCACTTTTGAAAAAGAACAGCTCCAGTCTATAGCTCCCAGCATGAGCGACCCAGAAGACAGATGATTTCTGCATTTCCAACTGAGGTACTGGGTTCATCTCACTGGGGCATGTCAGACAGTGGGTGCAGGACAGTAGGTGCAGCCCAACGAGTGTGAGCTGAAGTAGGGTGAGGCATTGCCACACCCAGGAAGTGCAAGGGGAAAAGGAATTCTCTTTCTTAGCCAAGGGAAGCCATGACAGACAGCACCTGGAAAATCAGGTCACTCCCACCCTAATACTGCACTTTTCCAAGGGTCTTAGCAAAAGGCACACCAGGAGATTATATCCCATGCATGGCTTGGAGGATCCCATGCCCATGGAGCCTCACTCATTGCTAGCACAGCAGTCTGAGATCTAACTGCAAGGTGGCAGCTAGGCTGCGGGAGGGGTGCCTGCCATTGCCCAGGCTTGAGTAGGTAAACAAAGCAGCCAGGAAGCTCGAACTGGGTGGAGCCCATGGCAGCTCAAGGAGGCCTGCCTGCCTCTGTAGACTCCACCTCTAGGGGCAGGGCATAGCTGAACAAAAGGCAGCAGAAACCTCTGCAGATTTAAATATCCCTGTCTTACAGCTTTGAGGAGAGTAGTAGTTCTCCCAGCACAGAGTTTGAGATCTGAGAACAGACAGACTGCATCCTCAAGTGGGTTGCTGACCCCCGAGTAGCCTAACTGGGAGGCACACTCCCCAGTAGGGGCAGACTGACACTTCACATGGCCGGGTACCCCTCTGAGATGAAGCTTCCAGAGGAACGATCAGGCAGCAACATTTGCTGTTCAGCAATATATGCTGTTCTGCAGCCTCCGCTGCTGATACCCATTCAAACAGGGTCTGGAGTGGACCTCCAGCAAACTCCAACAGTCCTGCAGCTGAGGGTTCTGACTGTTAGAAGGAAAACTAACAAACAGAAAGGACATCCACACCAAAACCCCATCTGTATGTCACCCTCATCAAAGACCAAATGTAGATAAAACCACAAAAATCGGAAAAAAACAGAGCAGAAAAGCTGAAATTCTAAAATCAGATCGCCTCTCACCCTCCAAAGGAATGCAACTCCTCACCAGCAATGAAACAAAGCTGGACGGAGAATGACTTTGACAAGTTGAGAGAGGAAGGCTTCAGATGATCAAACTTCTCCGAGCTAAAGGAGGAAGTTCAAACCCATTGCAAAAAGCTAAAAACCTTGAAAAAAGATTAGACGAATGGCTAACTAGAATAACCAGTGTAGAGAAGTCCTAAAATGACCTGATGGAGCTGAAAACCATGGCACAAGAACTACGTGACAAATGCACAAGCTTCAGTAACCGATTTGATCAACTGGAAGAAAAGGTGTCAGTGATTGAAGACCAAATGAATGAAATGAAGTGAGAAGAGAAGTTTAGAGAAAAAAGAGTAAAAAGAAAGGAACAAAGCCTCCAAGAAATATGGGACTATGTGAAAAGACCAAATCTACGTCTGATTGGTCTACCTGAAAGTGACGGGGAGAATGGAACCAAGTTGGGAAACACCCTGCAGGATATTATCCAGGAGAACTTCCCCAACCTAGCAAGGCAGGCTAACATTCAAATTCAGGAAATACAGAGAACACCACAAAGATACTCCTCGAGAAGAGCAACTCCAAGACACATAATTGTCAGATTCACCAAAGTTGAAATGAAGGAAAAAATGTTAAAGGTAGCCAGAGAGAAAGGTTGGGTTACCCACAAAGGGAAGCCCATCAGACTAACAGCAGATCTCTCAGCAGAAACTCTACAAGCCAGAAGAGAGTGGGGGCCAATAGTCAACATTCTTAAAGAAAGGAATTTTCTACCCAGAATTTCATATCCAGCCAAATTAACCTTCATAAGTGAAGGAGAAATAAAATCCTTTACAGACAAGCAAATGCTGAGAGATTTTGTCACCACCAGGCCTGCCCTACAAGAGCTCCTGAAGGAAACAATAAACATGGAAAGGAACAACTGGTAACAGCTACTGCAAAAATATGCCAAAATGTAAAGACCATCGCGGCTAGGAAGAAACTGCATCAACTAACGAGCAAAATCACCAGCTAACATCATAATGACAGGATCAAATTCACAAATAACAATATTAACCTTAAATGTAAATGGGCTAAATGCTCCAATTAAAAGACACAGACTGGCAAATTGGATAAAGAGTCAAGACCCTTTATCAGTCTGAATACATCGGTGTGCTGTATTCAGGAGACCCATCTCACGTGCAGAGACACACACAGGCTCAAAATAAAGGGATGGAGGAAGATCTAACAAGCAAATGGAAAACAAAAAAAGGCAGTGGTTGCAATCCTTGTCTCTGATAAAACAGACTTTAAGCCAACAAAGATCAAAAGAGACAAGGAAGGCCATTACATAATGGTAAAGGGATCAATTCAACAAGAAGAGCTAACTATCCTAAATATATATGCACCCAATACAGGAGCACCCAGATTCATAAAGCAAATTCTTAGAGACTTACAAAAAGACTTAGACCCCCACACAATAATAATGGGAGACTTTAACACCCCACTGTCAACATTAGACAGATCAACGAGACAGAAAGTTAACAAGGATATCCAGGAATTGAACTCAGCTCTGCACCAAGTGGACCTAATAGACATCTACAGAACTCTCCACCCCAAATCAACAGAATATACGTTGTTCTCAGCACCACATCACAATTATTCCAAAATTGACCACATAGTTGGAACTAAAGCACTCCTCAGCAAATGTAGAAGAATAGAAATTATAACAAACTGTCTTTCAGACCACAGTGCAATCAAATTAGGACTCAGGATTAAGAAACTCACTCAAAACCACTCAACTACATGGTAACTGAACAACTTGCTCTTGAATGACTACTGGGTACATAATGAAATGAAGGCAGAAATAAAGATATTCTTTGAAACCAACAAGAAAAAAGACACAACATACCAGAATCTCTGGGACACATTCAAAGCAGTATGTAGAGGGAAATTTATAGCACTAAATGCCCACAAGACAAAGCAGGAAAGATCTAAAATTGACACCCTAACATCACAATTAAAAGAACTAGAGAAGCAAGATCAAACACATTTAAAAGCTAGCAGAAGGCAAGAAACAACTAAGATCAGGGCAGAACTGAAGGAGATAGAGACACAAAAAACCCTTCAAAAAATCAATGAATCCAGGAGCTGGTTTTTTGAAAAGTTCAACAAAATTGATAGACCACTAGCAAGACTAATAAAGAAGGAAAGAGAAAAGAATCAAATAGACACAATAGAAAATGATAAAGGGGATATCACCACGATCCCACAGAAATACAAACTACCATCAGAGAATACTATAAACACCTCTAAGGAAATAAACCAAAAAATCTAGAAGAAATGGATAAATTCCTGGACACATACACCCTCCCAAGACTAAACCGGGAAGAAGTTGAATCCCTGAATAGACCAATAACAGGCTCTGAAATTGAGGCAATAATTAATAGCCCACTAACCAAAAAAAGTCCAGGACCAGACGGATCCACAGCTGAATTCTACCAGAGGTACAAGGAGGAGCTAGTACCATTCCTTCTGAAACTACTTCAATCAACAGAAAAAGAGGGAATCCTCCCTAACTCATTTTATGAGGCCAACATCATCCTGATACCAAAGGCTGGCAGAGACACAACAAACAAAGAGAATTATAGACCAATATCCCTGATGAACATTGATGCAAAAATCCTCATTAAAATACTGGTAAACCTAATCCAGCAGCACATCAAATAGCTTATCCACCATGATCAACTGGGCTTCACCCTTGGGATGCAAGGCTGGTTTAACATATGCAAATCAATAAACATAATCCAGCATATAAACAGAAGCAAAGACAAAAACCACATGATTATCTCAATAGGCGTAGAAAAGGCCTTTGACAAAATTCAACAGCCCTTCATGCTAAAAACTCTCAATAAATTAGATATTGATGGGACGTATCTCAAAATAATAAGAGCTATTTATGACAAACCCACAGCCAGTATCATACTGAATGGGTGAAAACTGGAAGCATTCCCTTTGAAAACTGGCACAAGACGGGGATGCCCTCTCTCACCACTCCTATTCAACATAGTGTTGGAAGTTCTGGCCAGGGCAATCAGGCAGGAGAAAGAAATAAAGGGTGTTCCATTAGGAAAAGAGGAAGTCAAATTGTCCCTGTTTGCAGATGACATGATTGTATATTTAGAAAACCCCATCATCTCAGCCCAAAATCTCCTTAAGCTGATAAGCAACTTCAGCAAAGTCTCAGGATACAAAATCAATGTGCAAAAATCACAAGCATTCTTAGACACCAATAACAGAAAAACAGAGAGCCAAATCATGAGTGAACTCCCATTCACAATTGCTTCAAAGAGATTAAAATACCTAGGAATCCAACATGCAAGTGATGTGAAGGAAATCTTCAAGGAGAACTACAAACCACTGCTCAATGAAATAAAAGAGGACACAAACAAGTGGAAGAACATTCCATGCTCATGTATGGGAAGAATCAGTATCATGAAAATGGCAATACTGCCAAAGGTAATTTACAGATTCAATGCCATCCCCATCAGGCTACCAGTGACTTTCTTCACAGAATTGGAAAAAAACTACTTTAAAGTTCATATGGAACCAAAAAAGAGCCTGCATTGCCAAGACAATCCTAAGCCAAAAGAACAAAGCTGGAGGCATCACACTACCTGACTTCAAACTATACTACAAGGCTACAGTAACCAAAGCAGCATGGCACTGGTACCAAAACAGAGATATAGACCAATGGAACAGAACAGAGCCCTCAGAAATAATGCCACATATCTACAACCATCTGATCTTTGAAAAACCTGACAAAAACAAGAAATGGGCAAAGGATTCCCTATTTGACAAATGGTGCTGGGAAAACTAGCTAGCCATATGTAGAAAGCTGAAACTGGATCCCTTCCTTACACCTTATACAAAAATTAAGTCAAGATGGATTAAAGGCTTAAAGGTTAGACCTAAAACTGTAAAAATCCTAGAAGAAAACCTAGGCAATACCATTCAGGACACAGGCGTGGGCAATCACTTCATGTCTAAAGCACCAAAAGCTATGACAACAAAAGCCAGAATTGACAAATGGGACCTAGTTAAAGTAAAGAGCTTCTGCACAGCAAAAGAAACTACCATCAGAGTGAACAGGCAACCTACAGAATGGGAGAAAATTTTTGCAATCTACCCATCTGACAAAGGGCTAATATCTAGAATCTACAATGAACTCAAACAAATTTACAAGAAAAAAAAAACAACCCCTTCAAAAAGTGGACAAAGGATATGAACAGACAATTCTCAAAAGAAGACATTTATGCACCCAACAGACACATGAAAAAATGCTCATCATCACTGGCCATCAGAGAAATGCAAATCAAAACCACGATGAGATACCATCTCACACCAGTTAGAATGGCAATCATTAAAAAGTCAGGAAACAACAGGTGCTGGAGAGGATGTGGAGAAATAGGAACAATTTTACACTGTTGATGTGACTGTAAACTAGTTCAACCATTGTGGAAGACAGTGTGGCGATTCCTCAAGGATCTAGAACTAGAAATACCATTTGACCCAGCCATCCCATTACTGGGTATATACCCAAAGGACTATAAATCATGCTGCTATAAAGACACATGCACACGTATGTTTATTGCGGCACTATTCACAATAGCAAAGACTTGGAACCAACCCAAATGTCCATCAATGATAGACTGGATTAAGAAAATGTGGCACATATACACCATGGAATACTAAGCAGCCATAAAAAATGATGAGTTCATGTCCTTTGTAGGGACATGGATGAAGCTGGAAACCATCATTCTCAGCAAACTATTGCAAGAACAGAAAACCAAACACCGCATGTTCTCACTCATAGGTGGGAATTGACCAATGAGAACACTTGGACACAGGAAGGGGAACATCACACACCCCCAGGGCCTGTCGTGGGGTGGGGCAAGGGTGAGGGATAGCATTAGGAGATATACCTAATGTAAATGATGAGTTAATGGGTGCAGCACACCAACATGGCACATGTATACATATGTAACAAATCTGCACGTTGTGCACATGTACCCTAGAATTTAAAGTATAATAAAAAAAAGGAAAAAAAAAGGTTTGTCACTTTTGTTGATCTAATAAAAAAGTAACTTTTGGTTTTATTGATTTTTTCTATTATTTTTCTATTCTCTACTTTGTTTATCTATTCTCTAATCTTTATTATTTACTTCCTTGTCCTAGCTTTGGACAAGGAAAGCTTTGTTTATTTTTCTACTTCCATGTATAGTTTGTATAGTTTGTTGATTTGAGAACTTTCTTGTTTTTTTTTAATGTAAGCATTTATAGTTATAAATTTCCCCCTTAGCACTGCATTTGCTGCATCTGTAAGTTTAAATATATTTTGTTTTTATTTTCATTCATCTCTAAGTATTCTCTAACTTACCTGGTCATTTCATTATTAACCTACTGGTTGTGTAAGAATGCATTGTTTAATGTCCCAAGTTTGTAAATTTTCTGATTTTTCTTCTCTTCTTGAGTTCTAAGTTCATCTTGTTGTAGTTAGATTAGATGATTTGTACTCTATCAATTATTTTAGATCTATTGAAAGTAAATTGGTTGCAAAATAAATGGTCTATTGTCGAAAAATGTTCCATGTACACTTGAGAAAAATTCTGTGTTAGGTAGAATGTTCCTTATATGTCCATTAGATCTAATTGTTTTTTTTTTCATTTTTGTACAGCTATTTTTTTTAACTTATCTTCTGTCTCCTTATTTTATTCATGACTGAGAGTTGTTTACTGAAATCTAAAATCATCTGGAGTGGCCTCAAAGCACCTAGAGAGGAAAGGCTTGGAACAATTTTGGGGAAGAAGGGGTAGGATGTTGCAACAATGACTGTTCTACTTTGTCACAGTTAATGATCAGAAGTAGCAAGCAGAACACAAATACCCAATATTTAGAGTACAGAGGTCCTATCATCCTTCATGGATCCTGAAAGCTGTACGCAGCTTGCTCCTGGAACAACTGCACAGCTCCCTGCTACAAAGAAGGATGATGGATAGGTAATCTGACTGAAATTGAATATAATTATCCACAATCTACTATTTAAACCATTTTCCTAGAAGTTGCAAGTCTTCAGTAGACATCAGAGTTCTAAAATAGTTACATTAGACAGATTTTTCCAGTTCAATTTTTGTCTTCGTGGGAAGACATATTTATAGTATTTTCCACTCCACCATATTTCCAGAATCTTCTCATTTGCTTTAGTCTTTTGAGTAAGGAAACTGACATTGAAGGTTGGTGACATAAAAATCCATGGGAATTTTTTAAGTAATAATAAAAAGGAGAAAAGCAAATGTCACCAAGCTTAGGCAAAATTCATTACTAATATTTTGGTGAAAATAAAATTTGTTTTAAGTCAATAATTCATTTAACTAATTGACATAATTTTTCTGATGTGCTATTCAAATCAAAAGCTGAAATCTGTATGTCCCAAAAACTGGTTAGAAATTTTAAAATAAAGATAGACATACCATCTTAAAATATAGCTTATATTAAATTTTATCAAGGAATAATCTGTGCCATGTAAACTGGATTAATAAAGTTGAAAAAGGGCAAGAACATCCAATTTGGTTCTGAAGTTTGCTGGTGAATAAATTCTCTATTCCTATGTCTTTAATCGTTCTTGTCGAGAATAGATTTTTAATTTTATCATTTTTTTCAAAATTTGTGAACCAAATTATGCTTTTCACATTTTAATGTGATTATTTATATTAATTAAATTTATAAATTTTCTTCCATTGAACTAATTGTACATTTCATTTAATGCTATTTTTAGTCATACTCTTAATAATTATGGCTTCATTATCTAGAAATAAGATAAACACATAGATTTGGGCAAGAAAAGGCGCTATATTCCCGGGCTTTTGATATCAATGTATTATTCACATCCAAATTGGAATTTGAAAATGTTTTAAATTATTCTATTACCTGAAAAGTTATGGTAATCACCTGGTTCTTTGGAGACTTCAGTTACGAATATACTAAATTTTCTCCAAGCATACAGCGTACACATAATTTTTTTCTAAATTTTTAATTTTTCTTTATAATTCATTGATTTTTATCACCCTAAAATTGTCTTAATTGTATCTCTACAAAAGCAAACTATAAGAAGTTTACAGACAAGTGATACATTTGGGAAATAATCTCAGAAAATGAAGTGCAGATGTAGGGAAATGAGATATAGAAGGAAAAAAAGACAAGAATATTTAATGAGTGGGCTTCAACCATAGGCAACTGGGGCTTAATCTTTGGGGTATTCTTTGAGAGACATATTAGAATATACCTCAATTCAATCCAGTGTAGGTTGCAAAATATGAGATATTTTTCCACCTCTTCAAAATATACATATATCTTGGGGTACTAAAGCTCTGGCACTCTGGCTTGCCATAACTCAGGCAGAGAATATTCCTGTGGCCAGGTATAGCCTTAGACAGAGAGAGATGTGAGTGCTTGAGGTCAGAAGCTATCAGTCTGTACAGATACTGTCCATCAAATGGAAGATGACCAACAGGTGGTCAATGGAGGTGAGAGCATTGGCTACTTGTCTCTTAATTTGTTTTCAGCAAATTTTATTCTCCATTGGCTCCCGTGATTACTTCCAATTTAATTTTTTTTTTGCTAGAGTTACTTTGTTTTTTAATTTCATATCTTTGTATGCACCTGCTTTACATTAAATGTGTTGCTTAAACTAGTCTGTTTCCTGTTAACTTCAAAGAAATGCTCATTAACACAAAATGATATGAGATGGTCAATCATTTCTTCTTCCTAGGTATACATTTTTCATCACCAATCCGGGAAAACAAGCTCTTCTCACATAATTCCTACTTTGCTATAGCTGTTTTTAGTCTCCTTTGCTGATTCCTTCTCTTACTGATTTCTAAATATTGCAGAAATTGGGATTCTGTCCTCTGACTGAATATACTATTTAAAATCACTTGTTATATGGTTTCTAAAGAAACTCTAGACAACCTAGTTAACTATTCCCAACCCCCTTACATGCGGTTTTCCCTTTCAAAGTAAAAAATACCACCTGATAACTTATATCTTTTTTTAATCTAAGATTTATTCTCCTTTTTTTCAGATCACACAGATATATTTCAGAAAACTTCTGCATGCTATCACTCTAGAATATATTCCCAATTATTTCTCTCCATCTGCCCTACAAGTAGCCTAGACTTATCCTCACCCTTTTCTCCCTAGACCATCACAGTTGTTTCCTAACTAGTTTTTCTTCTTATATACTTCATCTTCCTAGAGTATATTTCAACACAGCATATTAGTGATTTTTCTAACTCTCTCATCAAAACCTTCCAGATTCTCAAAACATTTTAAAATATCATCCAAAGCTCTTATGACAGTGTATAAATAAATGCATACCATTCTCTTCCTGGCACATTCTGACCTCCTTATAATCTGTCTTTCAATGTCATTGGGATAAGTTATATTACTTTGTTCCCTTCCTTATAATAAAATAACTCATAATCCATCCTGAATGGTTATATGAAATGTGAACAGAATAAGTATTCATTATTCTGAGAAGATTTAAGAACCAGTATGTATTTTTTTTCCTGGCATGTTAACCAATCATGTTCTACACAGAGGTTGCTAATTTAGCCTAAATTTTTGAATTAAAAGAGCATTGAGCAGAGTTGTACCGACTCCATCATGTAAGTATAGCATATAAATAAGGAATAAACTCCTATTCTCATAAGTTTCTGTATAATCTGATATATCATATATAATCTGATATGTCATAATTAATAGCCACATCAAACTCATTTCTCTCAAACATAAACAGTTGCTTAAAGAACTAGCTGGCCGGGCATGGTGGCTCACGCCTGTAATCTCAGCACTTTGGAAGGCCGAGGCGGGCAGATCACGAGGTCAGGAGATCGAGACCATCTCAGCTTACATGGTGAAACCCCGTCTCTACTAAAAATACAAAAAATTAGCCTGTAGTCCCAGCTACTGGGGAGGCTGAGGCCGGAGAATGGCGTGAACCCGGGAGGCAGAGCTTGCAGTGAGCCGAGATCGCGCCACTGCACTCCAGCCTGGGCGACAGAGTGAGACTCTGACTCCGTCTCAAAAAAAAAAAAAAAAAAAAAAAAACTAGGCCAAATGACTAAAAGAGAAGAGAAAATTGAACTGCCCTCAGCCTTCACCACAATAGTATTCAACTGCCAAAGACTAGGATTAGTTTCTTCCAAGTTGAGAGTGAAGAAAGTGTAGTTTAATAATATACACCCAACTAAAATTTCACTCAGGTATCTAAAGACTAATTCTGAAACATAAAATAATATAATAAACCATTAGCTCTTCCTCAATAAAAAGACTGAACTCTGAAATCAAGGCAAGTTAGAGATAAATTTAAATGAGGAAATATGCAAGCAAAGGGCTCTGACAAAATGACAGATGAATAGTACTCACACCTTTTAACATAAAATCAAAACCAAACTTTTGGAATTACGTCTATAGAACAAGATAAAGTTATAAAGATTTAAATTATAAAAATGATGATGTTAGAGTTAGTTCAGCAATTATTTTATTGACACCAATTATTTTTAGTTTTTCACTTGTTAAACTTTTAAATTTTAAGTGGCATGGTACTAAAATATTTTTCTAAGAGCCTATCTATATGTCTTTTTTACTTTCTCATTATCCATCTCTTTTAGAATATGGAAATGAGTATGCATGAATGTATTATCAGGTTTGGACTATTTTAAAAATATTTTTGGTTTATAATCTCCTTAAATTACTCATAACAAACATGTTTCCTGTTTACAGAAACAATAATTTTTTTAATGAAAAGGAAATAGAAAAGACTGGAAGAAAGTCATGTTTGTCAAGTCCTCATTATGCATTATGTTTACTAGATTTGTTTTAAAGTATTAAATACTATTTAGAGATACAGAAATTACTTCCAGTGTACCTTTTAACGACAATGCATGTTAATGAGAGGGCATAGAATAATGGATTAATGGATTTCTGTTCTTTTTAATTTCTTTTTTTCTTTCTTTTTTTTTTTTAGCCAGAGTCTCGCTCTATCGCCCAGGCTGGAGGGCAGTGGTGCAATCTCAGCTCAGTGCAACATCTGTCTCCCAGGTTCAAGCAATTCTCCTGCCTTGGCCTCTGGAGTAGCTGGGACTACAGGTGCTCATCACCACGCCCAGCTAATTTTTGTATTTTTAGTAGAGCCCTGGTTTCACCATGTTGGCCAGGCTGGTCTCTAATTGTTGAGGTCAGGTGAGCCACCTGTCTCAGCCTCCCACAGCGCTGGGATTACAGGCGTGAGCCACCATGGCAAGACTGAGCAGAAAATCACTTAGGAAAGCTTTATCAGAAATTCTTTATAATTTCTTTAGTAACATTTGACTTTTATTACCTTGCACAACTATTTAATTTCTTTGTATATCTCTTTCTACCAAGACATTGAACATAAATTGCAGCCTATCACAGTAACTATATGTGTAGAATAAGTTTATTTGGTGATGTTGTACTAAAGGGAGTCAAAAGAAAACACTCTATTGAATGCATTGTCTAAATCTAAAAAATGTATTAACTTATATCCCCAGTTTAATCACATTTGGCGTTCAGCATTAGTTATATCTGCATACCTTTAGTTATCTCATAGTACATGCTAGTTTTGTCTTTGAGACTACAAGACAGCATGATTTTATTTTGGTTGTATGAGAATGTGGAATATAATATATTCTTGAATCTAAAACCTGTTTTACTAAATACATATATTTAGTAAAATATAAATTACATATATATCAATTATTGCACCAAAATGAAGTTACAGTAACTTGTTATAACATGTCTGAACATGAACCATTTTGGGGCATTAAGAATAAGACATAAGTTTGAGGAGAGCCTCAGTCAGAGCAAAATAAATTGTGCTAAATTGACACAAGAACAAGCATCGAATTTATGGTGATGCTTAGGTGGAAGAATGGTGTAATCATTGATGCTTTACAAAAAGTTGATGGGGACTATGTCCCAAAGAATGCAGTAGTTTTAAAAATGGATAATTCATTTAAGAAGATAAGAGACAATATTGAAAACGAATCCCCCATCAGCCGATTATCCACATCAATTTGCGTGGAAAAAGAAATCTTGTCCACACCCTAATTGAAAAGAGGACTGACAATTAATAGCAGAAACAATAGTCAACATTATAAATACCTCTATTGGTTTAACTCCATTGTGACTGAAAAATTAAAGTTCAGAAAACTTTTCACTCAATAAATGTCAAAAGTGTTGAGCCCAGAACAGATGTAGATGAAGGAAGAGCTTTCAATGAAAATTGTACACAAGTAGGATCTAGATTCTGAAAGCATTTATTTGGAGAATTGTAACCAGAGATGAAACATGGCTTCACCAGTACCATCCTGAAGATAAAGTACAAGAAAAACAATGGTGACCAAGAAATAGAAGTGTCCCAGTCAATGTAAAATTGAGCTGGTCAAGAGAAAAGGTCATGGCAACAGTTTTTTGGGAGGCTCAAGGCATTTTGCTTCTTGTCTTTCTAGAGAGCCAAAGAATATGAGAGTGTTTTGAGAAAGCTAGCCAAAGCTTGAGCAGAAAATCACTTAGGAAGGCTTTATCAGAGAGACTATCTCCACCAAAACAATGCTCCTGCTCATCCCCTCATTAAAAAAGGGCAATTTTATGAGTTTTGATGGTAAATTATTAGGAATTTGCTTCTGGTACTGATCTGGCTTTTTCTGACTTCTTTTTGCTTCCTACTCTTAAAAAATATTTAAAATTTTCTTTATCTAATTATGTAAAAAAGGCTGCATTGACATTGTTAAATTTCCAGGCCCTTCAGTTCTTTCTTTAGGGAAAAATTAAATGGCTCGTATCATTGCTTACAAAACTGTCTTGAGCTTAATAAAGGTTATGTTGAAAAATAAAGTTTATATTTATATTTTTATATTTTAATTTTATTTTTCACAAACTTTCTGAGGTCCCCTTTTATATGTTATATATAATATAGCAGAGTATATATTTTAATATAGTAGAGTATTTATTTGAGTATATATATGTATCATTTCTATATACATTCATAAACAAATTTTAAGATCACATTTGAAGTTATGTCAACATTAAAATTAATATCCATTTTGTTTAGTAATATTCATATAGGAGTTTAGTGAATTTATATACAATATATTTAATAACACCAAACTTTTACAATGCATATATATCAATTTGCTTTTAGACTGATTTATTATTTCTTATTCCAAATTTATGATTTATATATTTTTCAAAAAGAAGTACGAAATGCAAGATAATCAGCACAGGTTCCAAACTGTTAAAGAGAACAAGTGTTTCACTGAAAGCCAGACTGGAGAACCACAGTTTTTAAGGGTGGCAAGGGGCAAGAAAAAGAGCAATCTTTCCCTATGACTGCAATACAGGGGCTGTCATAATGGGTGCCGTTGTCCAACAGCAGTTATTACGGTAACATAATGTTTTCCTGCTCTAACCACTCTAATGCTGTTTTACTCACTAGTCACAGCTGAGAATGACATAAAAGCCTATGTCCTCCTGACTTCAGGGTAACCGGTAAGCATGCTTTATTTCATTCTTTCACAACCTCGCAAAAGGACAATTAGTAAGATCTTTCTCCCAGAATAGTAAAGTAAAATATGGCTTTGAAAATATGATGATGGTATGAAGAGCTTCTGTTTCGGATGAAAGATGAGGTCACTAAGAAATTCAGAAGTCCCTCTTACTGCCTTTTGCCCTTATCTGAGTTTATTGGGACAAAATGATCAGTGTTACAGAGAAAATATGAAGGAATTCCAATGTGCAAGTTTGCAAACCTAGAATATCCTGTCACAAATATAAATTTAAGAAAAATATATCCTATGCAGGGTATACCATTGGCAAAAAAAAAAAAAAAAAAAAAAAAACAAAAAACTGTCCAAATGAGGCTACATCAGGAAATTCATTCAGGTGACTTATTTTATTAAAGTATCAAATAAAAGCAATGGTTAACCCTTAGTTAGTCTTACTATCTTAATCTTCTTCCTGTTAGTATGGACTCTTTTTAATGAATTCTACTAGCTAAGAGAAATTCTTGCCTCCCTCCAGCAATCATTTTCTTCTTTCCTGTCTTCCTTTATTTCTTCTCTCTCTCTCTTTCCCTCTTTCTCTCTCTCATTTATTTCATTTGTTTTTACATAATATACAGTTTACCACGCTTTAATATATATTGTAATTTATCTATGATTTAATTAGCATAGCATTTTACATCCCCCGCCTTCGTCTGAAAACACTCATGTTCTACTTACCTTACTTGCAATTATTACAGAGCTGTATATGTAATTATTACATATTGTATACAATATGTGAATACGATTGTATTCACAATCGTATTCACATATTGTATATGTGAATGCAATATATTTGTTAAACCTAACTACATTTGAGTGCCCTCCAGGGGAGAGAATCTCACTCACACATGGAAATGACAATGCTTTTCAGTGATATTTGTAAGGGGAATCTAGAAAGAAAGGTCCAGCTCTCACATTCTTTCCCTGGGTGAACTGACTGTAAAATTTCTTTGTGGGAGCTATCTGCAGTCATGTCTTTCACATAGTTTAAGGAAAAAAAAAATCATTGAGTGGAAATTGAGATAATTTCACAGAGAGAAATGATAAAAATAGGGAAAAAGATGTGGCAATGCCACACTCCCCACAACCACTATTCCTGGCTTCCAACTCCATTCCCGCTATCTGAAACACACGTTTCTAATGTTTCTTTAAGCTGTTTTAAGTCAGGTCTCTATCATTTACAAGCAAAATAATCCTTATTAATACACTAGATGCACGAAGAATTATTTACTCAAGAATAAGCCCTTAGAAGATAATTTTACAAGTTTTAGCTAAATGTTTAAAACTATGTCTCCCCACAGGAGTAAAAGAATCCTTAGTCAAATAAATAAAATCTTACTTAATGAAAATCATTGTTGCTATTAAGGTGCACCTGGGTGTCATAGGGCAAGTTCCTAGGAAATAGCCTTTGAGGTATAGATTTGTGTATAGGATGTTTACTCAGAATGTGTATGGATGTTTACTCATAAGTATTGGTCTCAGGAACAATACTTATGAGAGGAAAGCATGTTGGCATAAGGGAGAAGTTGAACTGTGATGTCATGTCAGTATAGACCTCAGCAGATCTTTGAGGGTGCTGAAGATCTCAAGATGGGATGATTTGCAAAGATATCTCCAACTGAAGCAAGAAGGGGTTGGGAGTTACCCCCATATCAACCAGTCATTGAATGTAGGCAGTGACATTTGACTGAGTGTAATTCTCGCAGAAGGATTCAGCCATGAGGTATTAGTAGGTGAATACTTAGCCTGATGGAAAAATTCACACCTAGGTCCTAAAGCAGGAAGTTATAGGCAGTATACCACAGCATTCACTACATTAGATAAAGATAAAGTGGCATTCTTTGTCCTTATTTAAGTACTATTTAACTAATTATTTTAAGAAGACATTAATTAGCCTCACATGACTCTGTACCTAGTGGAGTAAAATGTAAAAGGGATAGGGAAGCTTAGTGATGGACAACCAGTAATCACCCAAATTAAAAAAATAATTTGCCTAGTGAATATTTTCATTTTACATCCCAGAATAGGGGTGGGACATATAAGGATAGTGAAAGAGCCTACTGATTCACAAATATTTGCTATGTCCAATGTCTAATTAATTTCATCTGATCCTAAGAATATTTTAATTACTTAAGAGATGTAAAGATATAATTTTAAGTAAGAAAGATTTTATAATATATAATTCTTTACTGTTGCTTATTAGAGTGTAATGGCATTCATTATAGGGTATATGTGAAGAGAGAGCTTAGGAGCCAGAATGAAAGTTAAATATTGCTCATACGTTTTACAATATTTTCTATACTCATTTCATTAACTAGCCCAGCACTGCAACCACAGAAACAAGCTGTTATTTAATGCAAATGTGATCTCTCCTCTGATATTTTCAACATCTTATATTTATTAAACAGAAAAAGTAGGCAGGAAAGACAAGTTTTTATTTTTTGTATCAGATGCACATGCTCTGTCATGAGGAAATTATTATAACTTCTACTATAACAATTTTTTAGAATATACGCTGGGTATTCTCACTGAACATCATTTACTGACATTCTTCCCTGAATAACATTACTTTAAAACTCCAGATTATTCAAAAATCAAATAGCATAGAAGCACTTTTTCAGAACCATAAGGTCATTGCACATGAATTTTTTTACCAGCATATTGGCAATAGTGGAAGCACAGTGTCAGAAAAAAACGTTTACAAAGCATTAGACTATAGTAAAAGAATTCCAGCCTGGAATTATTGAACCACTAAGCTTTGCAAAATTCGTTATAAAAGTTTAAGCTATTCTCAACATTTTTATACAACTAAAATAATTTGCTTTTATTTAACTAGAGGTGTATTTTCCTTTTAAATCAGGAATTAATTAATTGATTTTAGTATTTAATTTCCTCTGCTGATCATACGTATTTTCAAGCATAGCTCTACCTGCTATTTTTACTTTATTATTATTATTTACTAAAAGGCAAGAAAAGCTTTGTTAGTTAAAATAATTCTTTGATAGAAATGGCTTTTTAAAACTTAAGGCCTTGGGGAATAATAATAAAAGCCACTTTTTCAAAAAATAGTTTGGTAGTTGTTGATGTAAAGAAAGGACTTTGGAGTCTGTAAACTAGGGTTTTAATTCTGTCTGCTGCTAGATAACTATGATTGAGTAGTCATTTAAAATGTCTGATGATTGGTGAAATCAGATAATAGAATAAGTCAACTTGAAAAACATTTTTCAATTCTAATATTCTTTGAGTATTTCATTATCCTTCTCCATTCCAGTGCCTCTATCTGACCCCAGATGTGCTTATTTAAATAACAGTACCAGATCACTCTTTTCCTTCAGAGAATAGGGCAGATATAGGTAGTTTTTCCACTCATTTTTGCGAATATTCATTTATTATATTTTGCTGAGAGTAACGTAATATAATTATAACATTTTAAAAACCTAAAAATAAATAAATAACAGAATCAGGTACTGTAGTGTAACAAGCAAGAATAAAGCTTGTACAATGTTCAGGAAAAGCATGTAAAAAACCTAACTAACTCAGGACTGAGTATGTTGGGGATACAGGGAAATAGTGTGCAACTTTCTGGAACACACTTTCTTGCTTAAGATTCTACTGACATTTTCTTTCAGGAGAAGTATGAAATTCCTCAGGTTGCTCTCCAAGCATAGAATAAGCCTAATCTCTCTTATAGATTATTCACAATACAGATGCAAACATTTGTGGGGTTTTGTTTTTATGTTTTTTGTTGAGCTTTGTTTTGTTTTGATAGAGTCTCACGCTGTCACCCAAGCTGGAACACAGTGGCATGATTTCAACTCACTGCAACCTCCCCTTCCCGGGCTCAAGTGATTCTCATGTCTGAGCCGCCCAAGTAGCTGGAATTGTAGGTGCATGCCACCACGCCCGCCTAATGTTAGTATTTCGGTAGAGACAGGGTTTTACCATGTTGCCCAGTCTAGTCTCAAACTCCTCGCCTCAAGTGATCAGTCTGCCTCCTCCTCCCAAAGTGCTGGGATTATAGGTATGAGCCACCATGCCCGACCTGTTTTTATATTTTTTCCTTCATAATTCGATAATATTTGTGGCAGAACCAAATCACAAATGAGAAAAGATAAAGTTCTTTTAAATTGTAAATAATTGATTTCTGAGTACTTTCTTTTAAACTTTTGAAAAGTCATTTCAAATAATTGTTTCTTTATGAGAAGAGTTTAAATATAGGAGAAAAATATGAAGTATGCTATTAAAGGGGCAAGACCAGCTACTTTTATTAAGTTTATCTTTTAAAAATCTATTACAATGCTTTTTTTTTGGTACAAGCTCTAATCAGTTTTTTCCTCTACCTCCTCCAAACAAAAGCCCCAGTGTATATCTGCTCTGACAAGGAGTCCTGAAATTTCTGCAGTCATTCATATCCTGAAATCCAATTAGTGCTCAGCTGGTTTACCTAACTACATCTCACTATGCGGCTGTGGAGTTCATCTTGAACGGTATTCTAAATTCTTCAGTAAAGCGGTTACTAAAAATTCAAAACAGTATTAGCTGACAACAAGAACAATACCATTTTATTTTTAAGGAGCACTTTGATGTTAAGTATGCAGATGAAAGCCAAAATTTATTATGCAGATAATTATAATTTCTGTGAAGACACTATGTCTTTGTAAACATCTACCCAACAAATTGAAAGCTGGTGTGTAATTCTAAGTATTTATGTTTTTTTTTTATTTTAAGAACTCAGTGTTTCACAAGAAAAATATTATTATTAGGCAGAGAGAGACAAATATCAACTGTTGTCACGCATATGTGGGAACTAGAAATGTTTATTTCATGGAGGTAGAAAGTAGATTGTTGGTTACCAGAGGCTCAAAAGGGAGACAAGAGGGAGAAATGAAGAGAGGTTGGTTAATAGGTACAAAAATACAGTTAGATATAATAAGTTCTAGTCTTGATAACACAGTAGTCTTTTATAGTTATCAGTAATTTACTCTATATTTCAAAATAGCTGGAAGATTTGGAATGTCATCAACACAAAAAAATAATAAATATTTGACCTGAGATGGATACCAAATTATCCTAATTTGATCATTACAGATTGTATGAATGTATCAAAATATCACAAGTATTCTATAAATATGTGCTATTATGTATTAATGGAATGATAATTTTTTAAATAAAAATTTTATTATGAAGATTATATTTTTGTACATGAAATTTGAATATTTATAATTAAATCTGTAATCTATGTTTAAACTTTGTAGAATTTATCTTAAAATCTATAGATGGCATCTCATTTTGTATTTTCTCAAATATCACCCAATCCCATGACTTCATTGGCCATCTGTAAATAGATGATTTCTAAACTTTAATCTCTTTTTTTAACTATACTTTAAGTTCTGGGATACACATGCAAACGTGCAGGTTTGTTGCCTAGGTATACATGTGCCATGGTGTTTTGCTGCACCCATCAACCCATCATCTACATTAGATATTTCTCCTAATGCTATCCCTCCCCTAGTCTCCCACCCCCCAACAGGCCCCCGTGTGTTGTTCCCCTCCCTCTGTCCATGTGTTCTCATTGATCCATTCCCTCCTATGATTGAGAACATGTGGTGTTTGGTTTTCTGTTCCTGTGTTTGTTTGCTGAGAATGATTGTTTCCAACTTCATCCATGCCCCAGCAAAAGACATGAACTCATATTTTTTATGGCCGCATAGTATTCCAGGGTGTATTTGTGTCACATTTTCTTTTCTTTACTTTTTTTTTTTTTTTGAGATGGAGTCTCGCTCTTTAACCCAGGCCAGACTGCAGTGGCGCTATCTCGGCTCACTGCAAGCTCTGCCTCCCAGGTTCAGGCCATTCTCCTGCCTCAGCCTCCTGAGTAGCTGGGACTACCAGTGCCCACAACCGTGCCTGGCTAATTTTTTGTATTTTTAGTAGAGACGGGGTTTCACCTACATTTTCTTTTTCCATTCTATCATTGATGGGCATTTGGGTTGATGCCCATCAATGGGTTGATTTGTGTCACATTTTCTTTTTCCAGTCTATTATTGGTGGGCATCCAAGTCTTTGCTATTGTGAACAGTGCTGCAATAAAAATACGTGTGCATGTGTCTTTATAGTAGAATGATTTATAATCCTTTGGGTATAGACCTAGTAATAGGATTGCTGGGTCAAATGTTATTTCCGGTTCCAGATCCTGGAGGAATCCCCACACTGTCTTCCACAATTGTTGAACTAATTTACACTCCCACCAACAGTGTAAAAGCGTTCCTATTTCTCCACAGCCTCTCCAGCATCTGTTGTTTCCTGACTTTTTAATGATCGCCATTCTAACTGGCATGATATGGTATCTCATTGTGGTTTTGATTTGCATTTCTCTAATGACCAGTGATGATGACCTTTTTTTCACATGTTTTTTGGCTGCATAAATGTCTTCTTTTGAGAAGTGTCTGTTCATATCCTTCTCCCACTTTTTGACGGGGTTGTTTGTTTTTTTCTTGTAAATTTGTTAAAGTTCCTTGTAGATTCTGTACATTAGCCCTTCGTCAGATGGATAGATTGCAAAAATTTTCTCCCATTCTGTAGGTTGCCTGTTCACTCTGATGATAGTTTCTTTTGCTGTGCAGAAGCTCTTTAGTTTAATTAGATCCCATTTGTCAATTTTAGCTTTTGTTGCCATTGCTTTTGGTGTTTTAGTCAGGAAGTTTTTGTCCACGCCTATGCCAGGAATGGTATTGCCTAGGTTTTCTTCTAGGGTTTTTATGGTTTTAGGTCTTATGTTTAAGTCTTTATTCATCTTGAGTTAATTTTTGTATAAATTGTAAGGAAGGAGTCCAGTTTCAGTTTTCTGTATATGGCTAGTCAGTTTTCCCAACACCATTTACTAAATAGTGAGTCCTTTCCTCATTGCTTGGTTTTGTCAGGTTTGTCAAAGATCAGATGGTTGTAGATGTGTGGTGTTATTTCTGAGGCCTCTGTTCTGTTCCTTTGGTCTATGTATCTGTTTTGGGTACAAGAACCATGCTGTTTTGGTTACTTTAGCCTTGTAGTATAGTTTGAAATCAGGTAGCATAATGCCTCCAGCTTTGTCCTTTTTGCTTAGGATTGTCTTGGCTATACAGGCTCTTTTTTGGTTCCACATGAAATTTAAAGTAGCTAAACTTTAATCTGTAACACAGGCTCTGTAATATTCAAATTAAAGTCAAATAATGAAACACACATCACTTATTCCTTTAGTTTTCAACTTCATTTCTTCTATCTGCCATGCATGGCAGCTCTGACTCTAGGTCTTGAGGATCTTCAGAGTTCTGCCACACACATCAGCTCTATTTTTTCTAAAAGAGTCCCTCTAAGAAGCTGCTTTCTTCACTCTCCTTCATTTGTCACCTCTCCTTCTCAATTTCCATCCTCAAAAAATGGATGAAATAACTTTTACTGATGGCATCTCTTTTTTATAAATTTGTATTTTTATTTCTTTATTAACATTTTAATGAGGTTTTAGGAGAAAAAGAAGATAAAGCATTTCACTCAAATCACCTCTTTAACCAGAAGCCCACTAGGCATTTTAAAATGTTGTCATAATTGTTTTCCCAAATGTGCCATTCATAAATGCATATGTGCAACATTTCCATTCACTTGTTAAATAGACATTCTGTAATTGCCATGATTTATTTACTTCTGTTGGCTTAATTGTAAAGTTTTATACAAACTTTTAGGCCATCTCATGTTTGTGGATTAGAATCTTCGGAGATTTTAACAGGTAATGCATCACTCTGGCTAATTTCTGCCTATTCAGAAGTTATTTTTTCCTGCCATCTGCTGTTATTGTGCTAGTTATCTACAACTACATAAAAAACAACCCAAGAAACTTAGTGACTCAAGCAGCAACCATTTTGTTATTTGCCACCAGTCTGTGATTTCACAGGGGCTCGGCTGAAAGGTTCTTCTGCACTCTTTTAAGGTTTCTCCTGTGGCTGCAGCCAGAGGTAGTCAAGACTGGAACATTCAAAATGGCATCTCCCTGGAGACAGATCAAAAGCTGGAATCTTCCTCTGGCAGCTATCTTCAAAAGTGAGTGTTTCAAGAAAACAACCATTAGTGTGTAAAAGACACACAATTTAAAACTTATCGATTGTTTACTTCTGGTATTTTCCATTTAATATTTTTGAGCCAGTTTATTGCAGGTAACTGAAACTGCAGAAAGCAAAATCACAGATAATTGGGGACTACTGCACTCCTTACTTCTCCATATTGCATGCTTTTTCCATTATTCAGAGGGCTTAACCCTTATTAATTATGGAAGCCCATCCATTCCTCAAAGCCAGGCTTAGATTCTTCTTCATTCGATAACACTTTTTTTGACCCGTTGATAAATCCTATTTCTTCTTTGGTCTATTATATTTATAAATTAAAACTGCTAAGTGTTATATTCAAATTATATACCAACATATATAGATCTATATAATGCTTCCTTTTAAGTAAAAATCAAAATCAAAGTGTAGTGACTAAATCTTATTTCTATTTGGATAAGGTCACTGGTGAATATCCTACACATAGCATATCCCAAACACATAGTTATTGAATAATTATTATAATCACTTAATCTACTAAGCAACATATATTATGTGTCAGTTTCTTTTCTAAGCGTTTTACATATCTAAATCTCTCTTTCTGACACACACATACATATATACCTACACACACCTAAAGATATACCTACACACACCTAAAGAGAAGGTACTTTTTAAATCTCCATTAAAAAGATAAGATAAGTGGGGTTGAGAATATTTTTCAAACTTTTATAGTGAATCAATAGTAAAAAAAGATTTGGAGTTGGTCAATCTTGAACCAGAGACCATGATCTTAGTCCTCTTGCTCTACTGAATAATTATTCATTGACTTAAGTTTCTCAAAAAAAAAAGTATCTAAGTAAAAAATAAAGTTTGTAATTAATCTTTTTTTTCCTACTAATCTTGTATAGAATCATAGACATTCATAGGTAAAAATAACTTTAGTATTCACCTAGTGCTATAGTCTCCTTCCAAGGAAGTGGTAACATTAGTGATTTGTTCAAGAAAGATCAAAGATACGATTTGAGATTCCCTTACTTCCCTACAAGCTGTTACACTAGGTCTAATATCACAAAAGTCCATTCCTATAGCAATTATGAATGTTAAGTATACCAGAAAAATTGAGAGAACAGGAAAAAGTGGTTTGGAAAAAGGTTTAAAAAATACTCAGAAGATTCTGGAATCAATTGAAAAGGCATACTTTTCTCTGACACTTGGAAAATATTTAAGTCATGCAACAGTAAATAATTAGAGAAAATTGCAGTGTTAAAAACCTCTATATATCAGAGTATATATACTATATAGAGAGAGCAACAGGGAAATAAAGGGAGAGAGAGGGAAAGAAAAGAAATGGAGGGAGAGACTGAGAGAGAGAAATGAAGAGAGAGAGAGCCAAAGACAGAGACAGGCAGACAGAGAGAAAGTCAGGTCAAAAGTGAAGCCAACAATATATCATGAAAGATCTGAAAATGAAAACATCCAAAAGAATACACCCATTTTCATTATTCTTGCTGACCGTATGCATATAGAGCACACCCCAAGGTTCTGGAATTTTTATATTTATATGACCAAGTATCTGATGATATTCAGACCCTGAAAATATTAAAATGGTGAGAGAAAAGTTCTTAGAAAGTAAGCAATATATTAGAAAAGTAGGGAGTAGATTGTCAATAAAATAAATTTTTCAGCCTTATCTAAAATTTGCTTTAGGATTATTTTTTGAAAACCAAAATAAACCTTGATATTAATAGAAAACACCTCACAAACCATTTTATGTAATGAAATAAAAATTTATCATTTTTCTAAATGTCTCTGAAGGTAATTTTCTTTAGTTTTTTAAGGGGATGTAATTATTCCCCATTTCTATCTTTGACTAACTTCTCAAACAAAAAATATCACAATAAGGACATGCAAATATTTTGCCATTGGAAACTTTATGAAGGCAACATACTAATTTTAAAACTCTCTTTAGGAGAAAAATATGAGCAAATTTTATTTTTCATATACTTAACCTCTTTTTTCTTCGTATAGGGTAACAACAAAATAGATGTTAGCTGAAAGACCTCCTATGGTATTCAGAAATTACTTCTTGGAAATTTTACTTATTACAACTCCTATTTATAACCTCATCATAAAACCACAGTTATTTTGTTGTTATTGTTGAATAGAGTAGTTCAAAGTCATTTCATATTCCACAAGCATATAAAAGAAAAACACACTAAGACTGCCTTTATTTTAAGCTACGTATTTTCCTTCTATTGAGTGATTTTTACCTTGAAAAAACATTATGTAATAAGGATTCAAAATCACATGTTTTAATCAGGATCCAATCAATAAAACAGAAATCACTCTAGTTTCTTTCTTTTTTTTTTTTTTTGTGAAAGAAAGTAAGGAGGGGCTAGATTTGGGATTCAATATAGAGGACTAGTTAAACAGGTTTCAAAGGAGCTAAGAAGACAAAGGAGAGGCAGGCAGACACATCAGAGAACTGCAAAGGCGGAAAGCTGCCAACTTGCATGGATCTGGGAGACAGAGGTACGGGTGCCATTTCTAGGGTGGAGAATCTAGGGCCATTAGAAGGAAGCTACAATCAGCAGGCAGACTGCACTCCACAGATGGAATGAGACATCCTTTAAGATGTGTACGAAAGAGGAGATACTGCCTCTTTAAGAGATGCCATGAAGCAAAAAAACTTCCTGTTCAGGTGACAACCAACCTAATGATAAAGAGCAAGGAACCCAGCTAACTATAATTCTCTACTAAAATGTGAAAAGGGGGAAATTCGGTTTTTGGATATCAGAGCAAATACACAATTGGTCAGCACAGTTTAGAAATCGTATTTGTCCAAATTACTTGTAAATATGAATTTAAGGCAATTCTACAATAATTCGAGAATGTTTTGAAAGTATTTTTGTTGAATAATTTCATTGTAAAAGTTAAAGAATAACACTTTCCATTAGTGTTTTCTACAATGATAGAAGCATTCTATAAATGTATGGTCCAATATTGTAATTACAAACCACTGAGAATTTGAAATGTGGCTATTATGACTGAGAAACTGAATTTTCATTTCATTTAACTTTAATTAAAATTAAGAACTGTATGTGAAATGTTAGTTACATCCAAGAGCTGTATGTGACATATTAGTTACCATATTGTATAGCACAGAACTAGACATCAAGACAACCAAATTTGCACAAACTAATTTATCTAGGCCTGGTATGGTGGCTCACACCTGTAATCCCAGCACTTTGGGAGGCAGAGGTGGGCTGATCGCGAGGTCAAGAGAACGAGACCATCCTGGCCAACAAAGTGAAACACCATCTCTATTAAAAATACAAAAATTAGCTGGGCTTGATGGCGCACGCCTGTAGTTCCAACTACTCAGGAGGCTGAGGCAGGGGAATTGCCTGAGGCAGGGGACTCACTTGAACCTGGGAGGTGGAGATTGCAGGGAGCCGAGATCATGCCACTGCACTCCAGCCTGGTGACAGAGCAAGACCCAGTCTCAAAACAAAAAAGAAACAAACAAACAAACAAACAAACAAAAATCTAGTTGACCTAGATGCCTTTGTAATTTACCTGACACATAATAACTAAAAATAAATTGACAATTGTGTCAATCTCCAGCAGAAAAAAAAGATGTAAAATGAATTATGTTATCTAACTAAATTATTAAGTATAATTACTTCAGGGTATCTTTACTCACCTCTTGTTTTTAAACAATTTTAAAAAATTGTATTTTCAGTTCAGAAATATTGTCCAGTCTACTCAGAAATCTTTCTTAAATATAAAAATGATTTTTACTAAATCACTCATTTGCTCCTAAAGTTATCAGAAAAAAAAATGTTGCTGTTGTTTTTAGGAACATTGCATATATATTCAAAAATATTTAATGAGTGAAACATTCATAGAAAAAAACTCAATGAAGACAGAGAGAGAGGACCACTCAATTGAGAGAGAAAAGTCTAAATTACATAAAATTATAAAATCTATAAAACTTGTTCACTATTTTATATTTAAGTCAAATAACAATGAAGTTATTTCTGCTTAAAGTGTTTTTAGTGGCTCGTGTTGTACCTACAGAACAACTTTAGTTTTGCAAAGATTTCTGACATACATTTAGTTCTAAGGGAATTCCCAAGTATGTTCAGTGCAAGTGTATTTGCTGTTTGGTATTCTGGAAGCTGAAGATAACATCATGTATTTGTGATTTGTAAGTCGTTATTTACAACTCCAATGTTTTCTGGCATTTGCTCCCAAGTTTTAGGCTTGGGCTATGCCTTCTTACATAATTGAAATAACCTATAACTTTGTGTCATGTAAGTTATAATTTTAAAATAAGCATTTTCTCATGTCATTAAAATTTCATAAAGCATAATTTTTGATGGATGTATAGCATAGGCAGATTTTAATTTACAATATAATTTTATATTATTTGTTATTTCAGTTTCTTTTTAATTTTGTTGCTTTTGATAATTTTATCTGAGCATATTTTGAATTATTTTTAAATGATAATTTTCTAGAATTACTAGGTCAAATGTTATAACTACTTTCAAGCCTCTACATATATACTGCTAAACTGCCACCTGGAAATAATGTTTACTTTCAACTCATCTATTAATAAACTATATGAGAATATATAATGAATCATTATAAATAAACTAAGAAACTTAATCCAAATCTAGGTTATAAATAAAACGTTGAACTACTGGTCACAGTTACAGAATCAGTACTGAAAAACATTAGTTTAAACTGCCTTTGGGGTTAAATGGTTTTCAAGCTTTATTTTACAAAAGTGTCACGTAAATTAAGAGTGCACCATGCTTTTGTTTAAATCCCTAAGTCAGAGAATGAAATACGCTTTCACTAAGGAAAAACAGATAGGATCCTGAAAAAAAATTAAATATTGTGATGGTCAGTTTTATGTGTCAACTTTGCATGGCTGTGGTTCACAGTTATTCAGTTAAACACTACTCCTGGTGTTGCCATGATAGAATTTTATGGTGGCACGTCTTAGTCCATTTAGTGTTGCCATGAAGACATACCTGAGACCTGGTAATTTATTAAAAAGAAGGAAATATTTATTTGGCTCATGATTCTTCTGGCTAGAAGACTGGGCATCTGAAGAAAGCCTCAAGCTGCTTTCACTCATGGTAGAAGGCAAAGAGGAGCCAGCATGTGCAGAGATCACATGGCAAGAGGGGAAGCAAGAAAGAGGGAAAGGGGAGGTGCCAGGCACTTTTTGGTAACTACATCTTGTGGGAACTAACTAGGTGAGAATTCATTCATCCCTCCCCTAGGGAGAGCATTAATCTATTAATGATGAATACACTCTCTCTATGACTGAAACACTTCCCATTAGGTACCACCTCCAACACTGGGGATCAAATTTAAGCACGGTATTTGAAGAAGACAAACATCCAAAAAATGGCAAGGATCTTAAGAAAATTTTTCATGATAATCTGAGTGGACCTTACTTGAATTCATTGAAAGAGTTTAAGTGTGGAACTGGAGGGGAAAAAAAAAGTCACTATGGATTACAGCTTCATCTCCTGCCCAAGAGATAACAGCCTGACCTTTCTGGAAGCCTGCCTTATAGACTTAGAACTTGTCTATTGAGCCACCAGAGTGGTGTAAGTCAATGCCTTGCTCTGTGTGGATGGTGGTGGGGGTGGGGGTGTGTGGGTGTGGATGTGTCTCCTACTGGTTCTTTTTTTTTAGTGGAATTCTGACTGATATAGGTGTTATTATCATTAATATTTACATAGTTACATGCACATTGGTATAATAATGACAAATTTGTATATTTGGGGTACACTTATCTTATTTTTGCCTCTTGTATAATTATTTTGCAGAACTCAACACTTGATCTTCCACCCAAACATGTTCCTTGCCCAGTCTACACCAGCATTATTTTATGTGATCCCACCCTTGTCTTTTCCAATTTCAGCTACAATAAAGCACAAGCATAATTCTTTATAACTCCCTTGTTTAAAACCTTTCACATTTGGCTTTTCATATTTAACATTAATTTTGGTACCTATCACATGGCCTACAAGACCCTACGTTATCTGGCCCTTGCCCACTACTCCAATTATATCCCTTGTCAGTCTGCTGCTTATTCACATTATTTTAGCCAGCTACCCTTTCTATGTTCCTCAAGAGTTCATCCTGCACTCCTTTACATGTCTAACTCCTAAAAATTCTTCAATGTTTAGCTTGTGTTTCACTTTTTTGAAGAGGCTTTCCTGGGAACTCCATAGTACTTATGCCCTTACAGAATTTTATACTTTCTCTCATAACCATTATCACTATTTTAATGGTTTACTCATTCAAGTAATTATGTGTTTTATATATGTCTCCTCAGCTAGACAAAATGCAATGTGGTGGGTAGGTACCTGTATTAGTTCATTTTCACACTGCTGATAAAGACATACCCAAGACTGGGCAATTTACAAAATAAAGAGTTTTATTGGACTTACAGTTCCACATGGCTGGGGAGGCCTCACAATCATGACAAAAGGCAAGGAGGAGTAAGGCAATCTTACGTGGATGGCGGCAGGCAAAAAGACCTTGTGCAGAGAAACTCCTGTTTCTAAAACCATCAGATTTCGTGAGACCCATTCACTATCACGAGAACAGCATAGGAAAGACCCGCCCCCATGATTCAGTCATATCCCAGTGGGTCCCTCCCACAACACGTGGGAATTATGGAAGCTACAAGATGAGATTTGGGTGAGGACACAGAGCCAAACCTTACCAGTTTCATATCTATTTGTTTGGTTAGTTTTTTTTTTTTTTTTAATTCCTTTAGGCTGGATTCCCTCCCCCACCCCGCCCCCCCCCAAAAAAACCCTGAGTAAACGTCTCATGTAGAGATAATTATTTAGAAATGAGTTCTTCAAGATAAAGTATGAAAACAGAGGACATATACAGAAAATAAGGGAAGACAACATGAGGATATCTTATCAAATTGGCTACCACTACTGGTGACTGACATTTAGTTCTACTTTACATTCTGAGGATCCTGATAAAAAGTATGTCAAAACTGTCCCCCAATGTAGATGAAAATAAAGGGTGTATTTATTTCTTGATGTTGTCTTCCCAGCATTAACCCTCCCACCCATTAACATTAAATTGTTCATGTATGAATTTTAAATGTGTTCCTGTGTCATCCTATGATACAGAATAAGAGAAATCAGCAGAAAATAGGAAGTATATGTTTTGATGACAGAGGCAAGATGCAGTAAGATTACATCTCTACAAAAGTGATCAAGCTTTACAGTGTAATAGTGGACACAGATGTTAGTGTATGAGGCGTGGCTGGTAGGATATGAAATAGTGCAAAACGCATAAGTTACAGCTCACCACTTGCACGCTCCTAAAGGAAGTACAAATCATCACAAATAATGTAATATATGTGAGTTAATAAAATAAGCTACCAGTACCCACCACCTCAGCTGATACCAAGGCCGTTAATAATATTTTCATTTTATTTCTAAATCACAATTTATGGTTTGCTTTTACCCTTAGCTGAAAAGTGGTGGATCTATGTTGCTTCCCTGATAAGATGACCCTAACCTTCATTTATGAGGAGACTAAGTCCTTAATTTACTTTCCCTTGTTAACCTGAGGTTCCTTCAATACATAATCCACCGTTATGAAAGGTTGAAGACATGAACCAGTGGATATGCCTGGTTCCAGACGTATTTATTCTTTCCTCAATTATGTAACTGCTATCTTACTTCCCCATGATACACAGTGTCAATGACCCCATCATACTCCTAACCCCCCTAGTATATAAACTACATTTTTTCTCTAGGGTCCATTGGCATGGGAAGCACAAAGTGACTGCAAGGCATATAAAGCATTACACAGAAATATTACTGTGCTCCCTAGTGAAAGTATTTTCCCATAGGAATCAGAATCTCTAGTCTGCAGTAGTGGTCACTGTAATGATAGGGACCAAATACACAAGTAAGTCATTGGACTGAGGGTGAGGGGAAAAAATCCTGTGTCTACCCTTTGCTTCACAGATTACTGTTCAGTTACTGAGCACAGAGTTTTATATATCTCAGAATATTTAGAAGAATCTAGGAGTCCAAAGTTTTTCAGGCTCATCTTAAATTTCAGAGGACCATTCTTCTCCTATCAGGTTCTTGATTTTGATGGGAGAGATATATAAAGGCTACATTTTCAGATGTGTATGATGCTCTTCCACCCTTATGGAAGACCAGGGCCTAATGCTTAGCACAGTCTGCCATGAAACTGTGAGAAGCAAGTCTTCTTAAAGGCTACTATGGAAGTTCTCTGGCTTTCCAGAAATGGCTTGAGTTGTTTAGATGTTTAACTTAAGCATGCTATTTTATGTTTAAGACTTCCAAAACAGTTACAAAAAGCACACATCTGTGCATTCCTGTATAACCCTTACCCTTTCGTTTTAAATGTTATAACCCAAAATATCATTTTCTCCCTGCACCTAATCCCAATCATTTCAGTGAAAGTCAGAATAATTTTGTTGCTACCACAAGTACATGGTGATTGCTATGTTAATTACCAAAGTTGTAGAAACTTGATTCTCTGCTGATGGCTATGTGATGCAACTTTAAAATCCTGCCTGAAGTTAACCAGCTGCATTATTCTAGATACAAAGACAAAGGTAAAGGCTTATATGAAGACAATTTATTGGTAATTTGATTTCAAGTAGTAGGTGAATGAGACTGGTAATCTGGAAAGCTAAGGAGGATAAATTAATACAAAGATATAGTTATCTACTCCTGTGGGATACTGGGGCTCAGTTTCAAAGAACATTTCAGGGTTCTTATGAATCTGATAATTTGTCTCCAAAAGAGATAAAAAGGAACGTATTTCTTCTTTAGTGCTTATTCCCTATTGATCAAAGGCGACCTTGTGTGCATCAGTTCCTGCATGAATAGATTGCACATTCTTGAGTGTCAAATGATGTCCTTCAGTCATCCACATTAAAGCAACTGAGAAGCCCTTTGAAGAAAGCAAGAGGCACATGATGCAGCACACAAAGCAAGGACCTAACAGGTTTCACCTATGTAGTTTGTCATAGCCCATGTGGAATTTATCCCTAAAATAATAGCTGGAGTTAAAAAATGAGATGAAGAGGTAGTGAAGTCGTAAATAAAATACAAGTATGATGCAATATCTGATACTTAACACAAGAGAGAAAATTAAAAGTCTTTTAAATGAATAAATGAATGCATGTGATATAAGTAATATCAGATATAGCTAGTGGCCACATGGTTTAGGATACAATTACTTATGTAGATTTTAACTGAAGAAAACATTGCTTATCAGTGAATACAGATTGGTATCTACCTATACATTGTTACCTCCAAATACTACATAATTTAGAAAAATAATATTATGGGATATCAATCAGTCAACCATTTACATGTAAGTAATATATATTCATGTATTTAAGTATGTAGCTTGGGGAAGGTGAAAAATCAAGGAGGTTCTTCCAAACACTTTTACTCCCCAAGTTTTCTCTTGCCTTTATATTATTTAAACATTCTTTCTCCAAATTTACAGAAAGATTGCCAAGGAAACCAGAAATTAAGTTAAAATAAACATTGTTATTTATGCTAGGAAATAAAATATATACTGTTCATACTGACCCTTTAGCTCCATGCTCCGTTGAAGACAGCATCGTTGTCTTTGGAGAACAGCTGCAATAATTTTCCCAAATCTTTTTGTTTTTCTTTTGGTAGTTTCTATATAATTTAGATATAATTTTGAGAACTTGGAAGAGTATATCTTCAGAATATCTAAGTACAAAAAAGTTCAAATGTTCTGGATCTGGCCCTGTGAGATAATAATTCACTTTTGAGAACACACTGCATTTTGGAGTTGCGTATGTGTTTATGGCCATGTCAGATGTTTTCTCTGAGTTTCAATTACCTTAGCTAAAAAAGTTAGATTTTAAATGCCAAGTATCTTTAGATCTATTTTTAACTATTAGAAATGCATGATTCTATCCTGGAGGGTGCTCTATTGCTCATTTCTTAATCAGATTGTTAGATTTTTTCCTATAGGATTCTTCGAACCCCTTATATATTCTGGATATTAATCATTTGTCAGATTCACTTTGTTGATTGTTTTGTTTGCTGTGCAGAAGCTTTTTATGTTTAACGTTATTATTTATAAATAGGGACTTACTTACTCTTGCTTTTTTAATATGTGTTTTCTATAGTTGTTTTTCTTTTTTTTTTCAGACTTCCCCTTCTTTCCTTCCTTTCTGTCTTTCTTTTCATGAAGGTGATTTTCTCTGGTGGTATGATTTTATTTCTTGCTTTTCTTTTCTTTCTTTTTTTTTTTTTTGATGGAGTCTCGCTGGGTCGCCCAGGCTGGAGTGAAGTGGCAAGATCTTGCCTAACTGCAAGCTCCGCCTCCTGAGTAGCTGGGAATACAGGTGCCCGCCACCGCGCCAGGCTAATTTTTTTGTATTTTTAGTAGAGATGGAGTTTCACCATGGTGTGGTCTTGATCTCCTGACCTCGTGCTCAGCCCACCTCGGCCTCCCAAACTGCTGGGATTACAGGCATGAGCCACCGCGCTGGGCCTATTTCTTGCTTTTTATTTTTTGTGTATGCCTTGAGGCTACCAAGAGGCTTGTAAACACTATCTTAAAACCCATTATTTTAAACTAATGACAAAACTGATTGCAAAAAAACAAAAAACAAACAAAAAAAAAAAAACACGAAAAGACAACTAAAACTCTACACCAAGCTTATCTAACCTGCTGCTGTGGGCAACCTGCAGCCCAGGATGGCTTTCAATGTAGACCAATACAAATTTGTAAACTTTCTTAAAACATGAGGTTTTTTTGTGATTTTTAAAATCTCATTAGCTATTGTTAATGTTAGTTTACTTTATCTGTAGCCCAAAACAATTCTTCTTCCAATGTGGCCAAAGGAATTCAAAACACTGGACACCCCTGCTCTACAATTTAACTTCTTGCCCCTGTTTTTTTTTTTTTTTTTTTTAACTTTTTGTTGTTTCTCTTTATGTCATATTGTACTACGTATTGAAAAGTTGTTGTAGTTATTGTTTTTGATTGGTTCATCATTTGGTCTTTCTACTTAAGATAAAAGTAATGTACACACCACAGTTACACTGTTATAAGATTCTGTGTTTTTTGATGTGCTATTACCAGTGAGTTTTGTACCTTCAGATGATTTCTCTTGCTCATAAACATCCTTTTCTTTCTTATTGAAGAACTTCCTTTGGCATTTCTTTTAGGACAGGTCTGGTGTTGATGAAATCCCTTAGGTTTGTTTGTCTGAGATAGTCTATATTTATCCTTCATGCTTTAAGGAGATTTTCACTGGATCCCCTATTCTAGGGTAAAAGCTGTTTTGTTTTGTTTTTTTCCCTTCAGTACTTTGAATATGTCAGACCTCTCTCCTACCTTACAAGGTTTCCACTGAAGAGTCTGCTGCCAGACATATTGGAGCTCAAATATTTGTTATTTGTTTCATTTCTCTTGCTGCATTTAGGATCTTTTCTTTATCCTTGACCTTTGGGAGTTTGATTACTAAATGCCTTGAGGTAGTCTTTTATGCAGTAAAGCTGCTTGATGTTTTATATTCTTCTTGTACTTGAATGTTGATATATTTCTTTAGGTTTAGGAAGTTCTCTGATATTATCCCTTTGAATAAACTTTCTACCCCTATCTATTTCTCTACCTCCTTTTTAGGGTCAATAGCTCTTAGATTTGCCCTTTGGAGGCAATTTTGTAGGCATGGTTCATTATTTTTTCTTCTTTTTCCTTTTGTCTCATCTATCTGTGTATTTTCAAATAGCCTGGCTTTCAGCTCACTAATTCTTTCTTTGTCTTGATTAATTTTGCTATTAAGAGACTCTGATGCATTATTCCATATGTCAGTTGCATTTTCAACTCTAAAATTTCTGCTTGATTCTTTTTAATTATTTCAATTTTGGTTACATTGATTTGATAGAATTCTGAATTTCTTCTCTGTGTTATCTTGAATTTATTTGGGTTTCTTCAAAACAGCTATTTTGAAAACTCTCTCTGAAACTTCACATATCTCCATTTCTCCAGGAATTGGTTCCTGATGCCTTATTTAGTTCATCTGGTGAGGTCACGTTTTCCTGAAAGATCTTCATGTCTGTAGATGTTTGTCAGTGTCTGCGTATTGGAGAGCTAGCTATTTATTGTAGCCTTTGCAGTCTGCGTTTGTGTGTGCTTGTTTTTCTTGAGAAGGCTTTTCAGGTGATCCCAAGCCTAATATGTGATTATTGCAGACTTGTAGAAATACCACTTTAGTAATTTTGGATAAGATCTGAAAAAATTATCTGGATTATCAGACAGAGACTCTTGTTCTTTTTCCTTACATTTTCCCAAACAAAGTCTCTCTGTCTGCTATGCCACCTGGAACTGGTGATATGATGCAAGCTCCTCTCTGGCTACCATCACTGGGACTGCACTGGGTCAGACCTAAAGCCAGCACAGCACTGGGTCTTGCCCAAGGCCCACGCTAATCACTAACTGGCTACCTTATGTTCACATAAATCCCTAGGGCTCTATATCAGAAAGTGGTAAAGGTAGCCAAATGTGTGTCCCTTCCTTCAGGGCAGTGAGTTTCTCCAGCCCCTAGGCAGGTCCAGAATTGCTGTCTGTCAACCAGGGATTGAAGTTGAAACCTTAGAAATTTCCCTGCAACTAAGATAATAGACAAATGGGAACTAATTAAACTAAAGAGCTTCTGCATGGCAAAAGAAACTACCATCAGATTGAACAGGCAACCTACAGAATGGGAGAAAATTTTTGCAATCTACCCATCTGAAAAAGGGCTAATATCCAGAGTCTACAAATAACTTAGATGAATTTACAAGAAAAAAAAAGACAAACAACCCCATCAAAAAGTGGGCAAAGGATATGAACAGACACTTCTCAAAAGAAGACATTTATGCAGCCAACAGACACATGAAAAAGTGCTCATCATCACTAGTCATCAGAGAAATGCAAATCAAAACCACAAGGAGATACCATCTCACACCAGTTAGAATGGCGATCGTTAAAAAGTCAGGAAACAACAGACGCTGGAGAGGATGTGTAGAAATATGAATGCTTTTACACTGTTGGGAGTGTAAATTAGTTCAACCATTGTGGAAGACAGTGTGGTGATTCCTCAGGGATCTGGAACTAGAAATACCATTTGACCCAGCAATCTCATTACTGGGTATGTACCCAAAGGATTATAAATCATGCTACTATAAAGACACATGCACACGTATGTTTATTGTGGCACTATTCACAATAGCAAAAACTTAGAACCAACCCAAATGTCCATCAATGATTGAGTGGATAAAGAAAATGTGGCACATATACACCATGGAATACTATGCAACCATAAAAAAGTATGAGTTCATGTCCTTTTCAAGGACATGGATGAAGCTGGAAACCATCATTCTCAGCAAACTATCACAAAGACAGAAAACCAAACACCGCATGTTCTCACTCATAGGTGGGAATTGAACAGTGAGAACACTTGGACACAGGGCGAGGAACATCACACACTGGGGCCTGTTGGGGGGTGGGGGGCTGGAGGAGGGATAGCATTAGGAGAAATAGCTAATATAAATGACAAGTTGATGGGTGCAGCAAACCAACATGGCATATGTGTACCTAAGTAACAAACCTGCACGTGGTGCACATGTGCCCTAG
The DNA here is from genome assembly GCF_000001405.40 of Homo sapiens. Taxonomy (NCBI): domain Eukaryota; kingdom Metazoa; phylum Chordata; class Mammalia; order Primates; family Hominidae; genus Homo; species Homo sapiens. The sequence continues at coordinate 103,448,783 of NC_000003.12, read as the reverse complement.
AACTTAAAGTATAACAAAATTAATTGATTTAAAAAAAAGATGGCACTCAAAGCACAATACAAAGTCCTTTCTGCTCTCCCCTTCCTTTCCACAGGTAGAGAAGCCTGTACCACCACCACTTCCAGATCACAGGGTTTCTGCCAGGCCACCACTGATATTTACTTAAAGCCCAAAGGCTCTTCACTTAGCTTGTGGTGAGTGTTGCCAGGACTGGGACACAGCCTCCAGGGCTGTGGGCTCCTCTTTGGCCCAAGGCAGGTCCAGAAATCTTGTCCAAGTGCCTATTCCCAGACTCAGGAACCCTATGAGCCTGCTTGCTGCTTTTATCCCCCGTGGCCAAGCTAGTACCTGAGGAGCAAGGCAAAGTCCCCTTTACTTTTCCTTCTGTTTTTCTCAAACAGAAGGATTATTTCACCGTAGCCACCTCAGCTACATGTGCTGGGTCACACGTAAAGTCAACCCTTTTCAGAGCCCAAGGCCAATGGCATACTACCTAGGGGTCACTGCTGATTATTCATGACCCAAGGGGTCTTTAGTCAGCAGGTAATAAATCCTACCAGGACTGGGTCCTTCTGTCAAGGAAATGGTTTCCCTTTTGTCCCAGGGTGTGTCTACAAATGTCTTCTGGGAGCTATGACTTGGAATGGGAGCCACATCACTGCCTGGTTTCCTATCCTATGGTAGAGCTGATACACAATATGCAAAACAAAGTCCTCCTTGTTCTTCATTCTCCTTTGCTCAAGCAGAAGGAAGGAGTCACATTCATTGCTGTGAGCTGCACTGTCTAGGTTTGGGGAAGGAGTGACACAAGCACTACCTTAGCTGCCCTGGCTGTTCTCTCCCTAGATCACATCCCACCCTAGTCCACTGGCTCTGAGCTCAGCTTAGCACTAAGAGTTGCCTAGGAATTGTGGTCCTTGTGTCCTAGACTGCCTTTCATGTTAACCTAGGATCCCAGAGCACTTTGACCCATAGTGGCGAGGTTTGCCAAGAAATTCAAATTCTGACCACTGAGATGGGTGATTCCCCTCCAGTTAGATCTGATGCAAATTATTCCTTTGTGCTCAGGCACTATCTGAGCCCAGCACAGCTTTGCTCTCCACTGCAACCAGGTAGCACTGAGTCCAAAGTAAAGTCCTCCAGTTACGGTGCTCTCTTTCTTCCAAATGCACGGATTCTTTTTCTGTATCTTGCAGCCACTGTTGGGGAAGCAGGGAATGGTGGCTCTGGCAATTCAGGACTATTTCTCTAACCCTCTTCAATGGCTCTTTCAGTGATATAAAGTTAGCAGACTGCTGAACTGTTCCAGATGTTTTAAGCTTTTTCCTGGAGGAAGAAGTTATTATGGCTGGCTGTCAGGCCTCACCCTTCCTAGACTGGTCTTGTGAAGGGAGAGACGCCCAGTTCCTGCACCAGTATATGAACCTATGTCACGCTTTTCTCTGTGTTCTAAAAGTGGAGGCTCCTGTCTCATTTGAACTCAGGCCACATATCTCAGCTTGATACCCCTAGGTGGTGTACTCAGATCCTGGGAAACTGAGACCAGGACTGTGAATTTGCCCTCTGGCCCCTTGGGGTCGAGCACCAGTTGTGCTCGGGGTGGGGGCTGAACTGCTACCAGGCCAGCAGCAAAACACTTAGGCAGGGCGGTAGGGGCTGTGCTGTGGGCGTGTCTGTGAGAGCAGCAAGGCAGGCAGTTTTGAAAGTGACTGGCAGGCAAAGGAACACGTGGATAAAACGTACTTCATTCCAGCAACAATGGTGGCCTTGCTTTCTCCCAGCAGACAGCAGCTGCTGCAGCCAGAGTGCAAGATGGAAAGCTTAGGCGGAAGGAAAGCTTAGATGGAAGCTGCGGCTGCACTATGCAGTGAAACCTTCTGAGATCTGCGTGGGTTTCAGGTGTGCCTCTGCCTGATCTCCAAGCAGTTCTCTCTGCCAGTTCAAAGGTAGATAGATGGGAGTTACAGTAACTCCCGTAACCAGGATCCCAAAGATCCATGACAGGATTGTGGTGCCCCAGAGTTCCTTCCCTAACCCCTTTCTTACATTCATTTTGGGACTGGTGGCCAATCCTCGTACCCAGCATCTCCAAGCAGGCTCCCCAGCTTCCTCTGTTTTCAACTATGCTATCTGCATTTTCTATCAACTTTCAGTGTTTTCTCTCAAAAGATCTGTTCAACGTGTAATGGTTCACTCAACATTTTGGTTTCTTTTGGTGGGAGAGGCATTTTCTGGCTGCGTCTAGTCAGCCATCCCCTTGGATAGTTGTATATAAAAAACTGCGGCGCCTTTTTGAGACTCTGGATATATTTATCTTACCACAGAAAGCATTTCTGTTTACTTATGCCAGGTAGCTGTGTTAAAGTTATCAGCAATCCCAGATAATGTGAAACACATACATTATAAGCATTATCGCGTGATTCTAAGCTTCTATGACTCTCAGGGCTGGTCTATGTCCTGTCCACTTCAATCTTAGGTTGCAACTTTTGTGGTTTTAAAACACATTTTCTCATATTTATCATGAAACTTTTCTTCTGGAAATCCCTGAATTCCATCTCCTCAGAGACTATTGAAAGCTCTTTTCATGTTCTCAGGTGCACTTTCAAACTTAGCATTCTTCTATAAGGAAAAATAATACGTGAAATAGGAAGATGAAGATTCACCTTGTCTTTTCTCCTTCATCTTGGCTCCACAATTTATTTCTGCATTTGCGGCTCATTGTTATCTTCAAATAGTGTGTATTTAAAATATTATACAGCTTTGGTAACTGTTGACATCAGAAATTGTATTACTCTGTTTTTTTTTTTTTTTTTTTTTTTTTAAATGGAGTCTTGCTCTGTCGCCCAGGCTGGAGTGCAGTGGCACGATCTCGGCTCACTGCAAGCTCCACCTCTCAAGTTCACGCCGTTCTCCTTCCTCAGCCTCTGGAGTAGCTGGGACTACAGGCGCCCGCCACCACACCCTGCTAATATTTTTTGTATTTTTTAGGAGAGACGGGGTTTCACCGTGTTAGCCAGGATGGTATCTATCTCCTGAACTCGTGATCTGCCCACCTCAGCCTCCCAAAGTGCTGGGGTTACAGGCGTGAGCCACCGCGCCTGGCTATTTTTTTTTGTATTTTTAGTAGAGACGGGGTTTCACCGTGTTAGCCAGGATGGTCTCTTATCTCCTGACCTCGTGATCCGCCTGCCTCGGCCTCCCAAAGTGCTGGGATTACAGGCCTGAACCACCGCGCCCGGCCTACTGTGTTTTCATGCTGCTGATGAAGACATACCTGAGACTAGGCGATTAACAAAATTAATGGACTTGCAGTTCCATGTGACTGGGGAGGCATCACAATCATGGTGGCAGGTGAAAGGCATGTGTCACATGGCAGCAGACAGGAGCCCTTGTGCAGGGAAACTCCACCCCCCCTTTTTTTTTTTTTTTTTTTTTTTTTTGAGACGGAGTCTCGATCTGTCCTCAGGCTGGAGTGTAGTGACATGATCTCGGCTCACTGCAGTCTCTGCCTCCCGGGTTCAAGCCATTCTCCTCCCTCAGCCTCCCAACTAGCTGGGATTACAGGCATGCACCACCACACTTAGCCAATTTTTGTATTTTTAGTAGAGACGGGGTTTCACCATGTTGGCCTGACCTCCTGATCTGCCCGCCTTAGCCTCCCAAAGTGCTGGGATTACAGGCGTGAGCCACTGCACCCGTCCAGAAACTCCCCTTTTTAAAACCATGGGATCTCATGAGACATATTCACTATCATAAGAACAGCATGGGAAAGACCTGCCCACATGATTTAATTACCTACCACTGGGTCCCTCCCACAATGTGGAAATTGTGGGTGATACAATTCAAGATGAGATTTGGGTGGGGACACAATCAAACCATATCAGAAGTGTTAGTAAAATTTAATTCATTTGTAATTGTAGAATCTGGACTTATATTAATATTTATAATTGACATTTTAAAAATTTAAATATTTTAAATAATTTGAATATTAACAAAGAAAGAAATCCCTCAAACTGAAAAGACATTAAAACAAATGCCATAATTTTTTTATCAATTTGGAGACATAACTACAAATTAAAAATATAACATCTGACTAATATATTCACAGTGGTTTTGCAGAATAATTTTCGAAGATACATAGTTATCAGGAGGGAGTGATGGCTCATGCCTATAATTTCAGCACTTTTGGTTGCTGAGGGAGGAGGATTGTTTAAGGCCGGTAGTTCAAGATTAGACTGGGCAAGACCCTACCTCTACAAAAACAAAAATAATAATAATAACAATAATAATAATAATTGAATTATTATTTATCCAGGCATGGTGGTGTGCTCCTCTGGAGGCTGAGGCAGGAAGATCATTTGACCTTGGGAATTTGAGATTATAGTGAGCTAAAATTGTGCCACTTCACTTCAGCCTCAATGACAGTGCAAGCCACTGTCAAGAAAGAAAGAAAGAATGAAAGAAAGAAGGAAAGAAACAAAGAAACAAAGAAAGAGAAAGAAAGAAAGAAAGAAAGAAAGAAAGAAAGAAAGAAAGAAAGAAAGAAAAGTAGAAAGAAGAAAGAAAGAAAAAAGAAAGAGAGAAAGAAGAAAAAGAAAGAAAAACAGAAAGAAGGAAAGAAAGGGAGGAAGTGAGGAAGGAAGGAAAGAAGGAAGGAAGGAAGAGAGGGAGGGAGGGAGGAAGGAAGGAAAAATAATGCATGGTTGTCTTACAAATATAAAGATTTGTTTTAAAATATATTAATTAATGAGACAACTAGAAGATATTACAATTTAGTTGAAGGAGAAAGCAAAGAACCACATTTTTATATTCAGTGTTTATATCAATTTACATTGATTTCAGGAACACGCAAATCAATTTATAAAAACTGGGTTATTCATTGGGCAATAATCACTTGAATTTATTGGACAAAAGTAATGTGTATTAATATGTACAATAATTATTTGTATTTTTCTTAGTTTTGCAAAACAGCCTAGTCAAAAATTGCGCATCTCAATTGTATGAGATAAGCTCCAGAGGCTCCACCATTTCTTTTAAAAAAACAACCAGCAATCTTTTATGCGGATTCCAATTTCTTAATTTTTCTCTACGATTGGATGATATGTAAAGACAAAGTAATTAAATTACATTTAGAGTTTATTTAATGGTGTTACTCTTCCTATACAGTGCTGGTAGTTTTATTTTGAAACTGTCATATTGTAGTATAGAATACAATAAATAATAATATACTCATGTTCTTTAGAAACTTTTCAACATAAATATATACCAGTAGGAAGTAAATTGCATTATATAATATCTCTGTAGTCTTTAATATTTAAATTAGATTTATTAGTGTGATATTACGATTTTTCTTTCTCTCTCTCTCTCTCCATATATATATATATAATATATATATATATAAAATATATATTTGCTATCTATATTCACATAAAAGTCCTGGAAGCCTTAGCACTAAGGGCATAATGCAATCCAGTTAATTTCCTGGGAAAAAAGAACAAATACTTGGTAGGTATATAGTTCATTACAGTGGGCAGGAAATTAAAATATCCAAATACCACCTATATGTAACCACCTAAGTGAAAACATACCTTTAGATATAACTTAGCTTCAAATCAATAAAATAAAAAGGAGAATTGAAGGAAATGTTCTTTCTTTGGTATAGGACTTTAAATTTAACAATTTAAAAAGTGCCTGGTGCGGTGGCTCACTCCTGTAATCCCAGCACTTTGGGGGACCAAGGCCGGTGGATCACGAGGTCAAGAGATCAAGACCATCCTGGCTAATATGGTGAAACCCCATCTCTACTAAAAATACAAAAAATTAGCCAGACGTGGTGGCGGGTGCCTGTAGTCCCAGCTACTCGGGAGGCTGAGGCAGGAGAATCACTTGAACCCAGGAGGCGGAGGTTGCAGTGAGCCGAGATTGCACCACTGCACTTAGCCTGGCAACAGAGCGAGACTCTGTCTCAAAAAAAAAAGAAAAAAAAAAAAAAAAGAGGGACACAAATAGCAAATAGCAAATACAAAAAATACAAAAACATTAAAAACATTTTGTATTAGCTATCTATGTACTAATGTATTAGCATGCTGACTGGGTAATAGATGATACTATGCAATTATTTTAGTTTTCTTAGATGTCGTAATATCATTTTAATTACATAATGAAATGTTTTTTGAGATGCATAATGTAATATTTATGGATGTAAGCTTATAATGTCTTGAATTCACTTTAAAATAGTCTAACAACAAGAAGCTGCTGTAAGGGTGGATCAAACAAGCATGGCACAATGTGGATAGTTTTTGAAGTCGAGTGGTAAGTATGTAAGTGCTCATTGTGCTTTGGGGGTTTTGTGGTAAAAATTAAATGAAAATTAATGTGAATGTATTAATGAAAAAGTTCTTGTCAGAGAAACAAGAAACATGTTTCAAAATTTTTTTTCTGGTGTGCAATTCTGTATGATAAATACTATTCAATCCTTAAATATTGGAAAAATAAAACAGAACTTATCCAATACCCTGAGACAAAAGACCACCTAGTATATTCTTATTATTAAACAAAGAGAAATAAGCATAAATGCAAAAAATTAAAAATAAAAAAGAATTCTGTTCCGAATGTTCCAAAGTGAAGAGTGGAGAATTCTTCTATTTTAAGGAGGCATATACTCAGAAAAATGAAGTCCTGTGCCTTTCTTATTCTGAATCTTACATGTTGCAGCTTTTATCAGGAAGAATTATGATTGATAAATACTTTTATAGTTCGCTATTGATTTTAGTTATTTCAGTGTCCATTAAACATATGATGCATCTTGAATATTATTTCCACTAAGCTAACCTCGGTCATGTGGATGAAACAAGCAATCTTCCCTGTATTTGCACTCTAGAGACATACAGGCATAGGTAATGGTAATAATGAACATGGCTTTTTTTGTTTTGGTGACATTTAAGTCTATTAGAAATGCTCAATATATCTCATAGATCTTTTATACGAAACAGGCAAGGATTAAAAAATATTATAATTATTTTTCTATGTAGGATATTACTTTTGTTAATATTGTAGACACTTATCCACATATACAAAAATACAAACTGTAACTCTCAGTTCTTTAATGTTATCTGAAAAATCTCACTCAAAAGATAATTTTAAAAGTCTCTTCTAAGTTGTATTTTTAAAGAAAGGAATTCATATTGTTTCAGATATCAGTAAAACGATTCAATAAAGACTATATATTGAGAAGCCTGCAATTCTTATTAGCGAGGTCTTATAATCTCCTTAATTATTACATATATTTTATTCAAGATGCATGAAAATGAATATTCAGGGCAAGAAGTGGTCAAAATTTGCTTCATAGAGATCAAAGTAGATAGGATAGTTGAAAAAGTACATTCAGAAAATCTGTTCTTCTGTAATGCCTTAGACAGCCAGATTCAATAAATCTGTTTGCTTAAATAAATCTTTGGACTAACCTCCTACTCTTCCAAATAAGACTTAAACAAAATAACATTTCCTGTAGATTCAAGACAAAATACCATTTCCTGTAGCTATTTCAAGTTCCAAATGATTAATTAATCATTGAGTTTAAACACTCAGTCACTTTCCCACTGATAGAAAACCTTTCATCAGCATGCTCTATGTATCTGTCATCTCTCATTTTCACGTATAGGCTCAAATTTCTCTTCATCTTCTTATCCTTTACAGGAGGCTATTTTTTTCAAGAATAATATTCCAAGCTTGAAATACTTGGATGCAACAGTCCAATTAATCACTATATCCTACCTCCCACAAAGATTGCTCAAAGGATGAGAGGATAATTTATCAATGGCTTCTGCTTCCCATGTCACTCTCTGTACTGCACACCCCTCTGATGTAGTTAAGCAATTCTTTGAGCTTCAGTCATAATGTGGCTATGAGCTACATGAATTAGAATTTGACTTATTGAGTTCATAGTACTTGTAGGTATCATTGTAATGGCTTTGATACTCCAGTATCTTACTCCCTATATTTGCTAATTACTACTGTCTCTCTCCTTAGTGATTACAGGCTTCTTGAAAGCTGTAAAAATGTCTACTTCACCTGGTGGAATAAAGTGGTATAACAACACAGAAATTAGAAGGGCTTACTGCCTATGTGATATAAGCATATGATATATACTCAGTCAAGTTTCAAGGTGACAAATAATTTGACTCTGATATTACAATTTCTGTTATGTTGGGAGTCATTTGAGTAGGGTTTACCACAGATGTAAATATGGTTTAAGTCTTAATTTTACTGTAGAAAAAATATTTTCTTTGTTCTGGAAAATTCAGAACTTCAAAAAATTGCCCACTTTATATTCAATATGTAGTTTGTTAAGTTTCTCACAGCACCATAATGAAAGAGTCAAAAAGAGGCATAGAGGCTGACAGGTTAGCTTAAAAGAAAAGGCCAAGAGGCCATAACAGCAGAGAATAATAATGCTAATAACAGTGGATGCTTACAGGTAAGTGTCACAGAAATGGGCAAAGAAGACAGCAGCAGATCCTGGGGAAGGCTTCAGAATATTGTTTAAGACAAAACATCCCAGTTTTTGGAGAACGCTTATTTTCATGGTAGACTGAGGTGCACGTTATATTTAGCTGCTACATTTAGTTGCCATATAAAGCTCAAACCACCTGGTAACTTTTTTCTTGCTCAATATCCTGTGGCATTTGATAACACTTATTTGTGGAATATTTCTCCACAGACTTGTACTAACTTCAAGCCTCAAACACTAATTTCCCCTACTGAATTATCTCTGTAAATCACAATGACATCATAGTTACATTTAAATTGTGCTTTAAATCAAGAAATTATCAAAGAACCATGTTGTCAGAAAGAGTGGAAAAAACTGAACTTGCCATTTGTTGATGAAGAGGTGTTATTGCAAAGGCAACAAATTAAGAGAAAATATCTTTACTTGTTTAGAGACATTTTGATTGAAATAAAACATTGAACACAGTTAATATTTCCTGATAGTTTACAAAATCCTCTTGATATCACCGTTTGAATGTTTATATTTTACCTGAGGTTTAAAAATTTTATGCTATTTTTTCTCATAACAAATCTATGATATTAGTAATTTTTTATTACCATTTTACATATGAGAAAACTGAGGTAAAGTGAGTATAAATAAACTTGACTAAGATCATATAATTCATGCATCAACACCAAGATTCAAACTCACCAGAGTCTTGTTCTAAGAGTGCATGATTTTACACACTCCTTTATATCATATTTCTGATATAAATGTTGTCAAATACTATTCAGAATATCATTTCATAATTACATTTGTATGTTGCTTTAGGATCAAAAAATATGTTTTCAGGTGAGTGCCAATCCATATATTCACTGGGCTCATTTATTTATTAATCTGTAAAATAATTTTAGATAGCCTACTTCGTGTTAGCCATCGAGCTACACCCTGACAATACAAAAGTGAAACTACATATTGTCTATTCTCAAGTCCATAGAAGTAGATGAAACAGATGGTGTTTTCCACTGTTCATGATAAATACTGGAAATACATATTTTTTCTTTAGAATTTTCTTTGAGTTTATAGCACATAAGGGGCAACCAAAACATACTGCACACTTCTGCTTAGGTTAAAATTGATACTAGTGACAGTGTCAGGGAATCTGAAGAAATTTAATTTTTCTAAAAGATTACTGTGTAACTGAATGCTTTCTTTGGTATAAATTGTAAAAGTGGCCAATTATTATCCAACCCTGTAAACTATGACAGATTTATTTCCTGAGGGCTGTGGAGCTTATAGTCTTCCCCAGAAATATGCTTTTCTTCTATGCTGGGTATATGGATTGGTTTTGTGTCCTCACCCAAATCTCATCTCGAATTGTAATCCCCATAATCCCCCTGTGTCAACGGAGGAATCTATTGGGAGGTGATTGGATCATGGGGGCTGTTTCCTCCATGGTGGTCTCATGATACTGAGTGAGTTCTCATGAGATCTGATGGTTTTATAAATGTTTGACTGTTCCTCCTTCACACACTCTCTTGCCTGCCTCCATGTAAGATGTGCCTGCTTCCCCTTCCACCATGATTGTAAGTGTTCTGGGGCCTCCGCAGCCATAGAAAACTGTGAATCAATAAAACTCCCTTTTTTAAATCAATTACAAAGTCTCAGGCAGTTTTTTATAGCAGTGTGAGAAGAGACTAGTATAGTAAATTGGTACACAGGTAGAGTGTGGTACTGCTATAAAGATAATGTAAAAATATGGAAACAACTTTGGAACTGGGTAATGGGCAGAGATTGGAAGAGTTTGGGGAGCTAAGAAGAAGAAAGAAAGATATGGGAAAGTTTGGAACTTCCTAGAGACTTGTTGAATGGTTTTGATTAAAATGCTGATAGTTATGTGGACAATGAAGTCCAGACTGAGGCATGTCAGAGATCTTCACAGCAGCTCCTCTCATCACAGTCTCTGAGGCCTAGGAGTGTGGGAGATCAGTCAGTGGTGGGAGAAGCTACAGGGAAAGGAGCAGGCCTTCTGAAACGTCAGAAGTCTCTGCAAAGCTTTGCGTGAGAATAGCTGAAGGCAGCCGTTCTCTAACCCTGAGGCAAAGGGCAAGGAGTAGGTACAAGGGAGTGTAGGGGAATTTATTTTAAACAGGCCTGTTGACTTATGTTGACCAAGAACCGACCTTTGATCATCTTACTTGCAGATTGTGTTTGCTCCAGGCTTTTGGCATTATGTCTACACCAAATAAAAACAAGCAGCTCCAGTTTATCAGGGCTGCTGCACTTTGGCCACTAGAGCCAGTCAGATACCTAGCTGCTCTTACACTGCATACCTGTGTCTGAATACTCCTTTCATCAGTCACTTGGCCAGGGTCTGCAGGACAGACCTGGCATAGGAGGGAAAAATGGTTTAATGGGCAGGGCCTTGGACCCCGTTTCTCTGTGCAGCCTCAATCTTGATGCCATGTCTCCCAGCTGCTCTACCTCCAGCTGTGGCTAAAAGGGGCCACCTACAGCTCAGGGCATTGTTTCATAGGATGAAAACCTCAAGTCTTGGCAGCTTCCACATGGTGTTGGGCCTGCAGGTTCACATAAGTCAAGAATTGTGGTTTGGGAACTTCTGCCTAGATTTCAGAAGATGTAAGGAAATGCCTAGATGTCCAGGCAGAAGTCTTCTGCAGGGGAAGAGCCCTTATGGAGAACCTCTGCTAGAGCAATGGAGAAGAGTAATACGGTGTTGGAACCCCGACACAGAGTCACCACTGGGGCACTGCCTAGTGGAGCTGTGAGAAGATTGCCACCATTCTCCAAACCCCAGAATGGTAGATTCACCAATGACTTGTGCTGTGCACCTGCAAAAGCCACAGGCATTCAACGCCAGCCCTTGAGAGCAGCTGTGGGGGCTGAAGTCTGCAAAGCCACAGGGGTGGAGCTGCTGAAGGTGGTGGGAGTCCACCCTTTGCATCAGTGTGCCCCAGATGTGAGATATGGAGTCAAAGGAAATTATTTTGGAACTTTAAGATGTAATGATTGCCCCTCTTCTGGACTTGCATGGGGTCTGTATACCCTATGTCTTGGTCAATTTCTCTCACTTGGAATGGGAGCATTTATTCAATGCCTCTACCTTTATTGTGTCTTGGAAGTAACTAACTTAATTTTTTTATTTTACAGCATCCTAGGTGGAAGGGACTTGCCTATTCTCAGATGAGACTTTGGACTTGAACTTTTGGGTTAATGCTGGAATGAATTAAGACTTTGGGGTACTCTTGGGAAGGAAGGCATGATTGGTTCTTAAATGTTAAAAGGATGTAAGATTTGGAAAGGTCCAGGGTGGAATGACGTGATTTGATTCTGTGTCTTCCTGCAAATCTCATCTCAAATTATAATCCCCATGATCACCACTTATCAAAGGAGGAATCCTGTGGGAGGTGATTTGATCATAGGTGTGGTTTTCCCAATGCTGTTTTCATGATAGTGAGTGAGTTCTCTCAAGTTCTGATGGTTTTATAAGTGTTTGAAAGTTGCTCTTTCACACACTCTTTCTCAACTGCCACCATGTAAGACACACCTGCTTCTCCTTGAGCCATGATTGTAAGTTTCCTGAGGCTTCCCCAGCCATGCAGAGCTGTGAGTGGATTAAACCTGTTTTCTTTATAAATTACCCAGTCTCAGGTAGTTCTTTGACAGCACTGTGAAAACGGACTAATACAGAGAGGTATCCAGACACAAATTTTGGGTTACTTTGATCAGGGAGAAAGGCAGCCTCCATGATGCTTGAACAAACACAAAAATCCCATTAATTACCCACTCCAACTTCCTTAGCTAAAATCTATCAGATTTTCTGTGCTTTCTTCCACACAAATATCTAATCGATAGATTGCTAGTTGGTGACTTGTTTGTACACTGTTATTGCACTTGGTAAACTTATTGACTGATTTTATTTTTCACCAAAACTATTGATAGGACAAAGATTAAGGGACATAAAGTCTTATCTGTTCCATGAATCCATAGCTGCAGATAGAAGCATAGATACATGAAGTCATGTTATATGATGTCCAGTTATGAAGTTGAATTTAGTCATGAAATTGAGTTTAATTGTTAGTGTTTTTCCTCTTATAATTTCAGCTAACTTTCTTTGAATTTTTATGGAGTTATGGAATTTTATCATCATTTCTTTTTTACTGGAATGTGTCTACTTATATATATTTATTTGTATCCTCCAATCTGTTGAAAATTGTATTGAACAGCATCGGAGGCATGCCTGACACTCTTCAGGGTAGAATGGAAGATAAAGTTCACCCAAGGGGCTCCTCTCTGGTCTATTTTCAGGCAGAATGGTGGAATTTTCAAGAACACAGACTGTATTGTTAAACATATCCAAGTTTAAATTCTGCTCTTTCACATGCCAGCTTTTGCAAATAAATGTTTAACTTCATCAAGTAATTTATGTAGGAAATGTTGATAATGAAGTTCCTTGACTGAAACAGTTGCTGGGGAGAATTTAGTAAGATAATTAATGAATGTATTTAGCACTGAGTCAGAGACCCATTAGCCATACAAAAATAAAAATACATGTGAATTTATTATATATGTATTAATGTATTGGATCTGTAATGGGGAGAATAAAGTTAGGGCCTGGATTTCTCATGTATTCATTTGCAAACATTTACTGTACCCTCTTGCTGTTTCTATCTCTATTCCCTGCATTGCAACTAAACAACAACCCCTTTCCTGTCAGGGCAGGGATTTTTTATTTAGCATTGTAAATCATTTGTAATTAAGATATTGCAGTCCTGTCTTTAGCATACTAAAGCGATACTAAAATTTTATAAGATGTGACTTCAAAATATTATTGAAATATTGAAAAAGATATTATTTTTGGAAATTTTTAAATTGGAACTTTTTATTTTTAGAGAGAGAAGTATAAAGAAATCAAATTTTGACAAACTTTCAAAACCCTCAAAAGCCAGAATTAATTCCATTTGATGAAAGGAAAGAAATGATCTAAAAAAACAGAAAAAGGTGCTAGGTTAATTGATTTTCATTGTAGAATGAAATAATAATAGATAAAAAGTGATGATTTGTAGTACTTTAAAAACTTACAGTATGAAGCATGCATTGTTCCTTGAGTTTTCTAATTAAACTATTATTATTATATGCTGCTATATCACTAGATAGAATCTTGGCCTTTGCAGCTTAGAGGAAAGGCTAACAAATAAAGTTAATATACTAAGAAATTTATAAGATAATTACTGTATAGTAGGAGAAAATATATACTGGAAACTTAAAACTGATTATTTACAAACCATTTTATCACGTTTAAAAATTATTCTTTACTGTAAATTAAAACAAGTTTCCGAAAACATAGAGGAAGGTTAAATTTATCTTTGATTAAATTACTATGTAAATAAAACATCTTACAATTTTTATTATACAAATAATCTTTATAAAATTATTTAATTTATATCAACTTCTTTGTTAACTAAATTTTATTGGTTCCACTTTTTCATTTATGGGATATTTTGTGAACCTAATTTCTTAGCTACTTTATTTTTAAGCCCAAATATGTAACCATATGAACTCTGTAACAAAATATACGAACTGAAATTGTTACCTTTAACACCAATTAAGAGGATGTAATTTTCTTATGCCAAAATCCATCTTAAAGCACCTTCAATACATTCAAAATAATTAATTTGATTATCTTCAAAAGAGAAAATAATGGTGGCATTCCTAATTGCGAAGAAGTTTCAGAATTAACATTTCGGGTGCCATTAGAAAAATTTTACTTGTGCTTTCGAATGGGAACAGATTTCTAATGCATTATTTATGCAGCAGACTGTAACCACTCCTTCTGTGTTCTCTCGGACTTTTTCATCAATGCTCACAGAGCTCATTTTTCAAAATATGTATTATTTTCCCAATAAATCAAGCAAGCTCTATGGGAGCATATTACATCCTTTCATCTAGAAATATTACAGAAATACAATATTTAAAACTTACCAAGTGTAACTGATAAGCTCTCTTCACTGCTATAAATTTATAACGATCTAGATATGGTTGTTTTCTGAACCATATTTTCTCTTATCTAAACACTATGGATTATTTTAAACGACACTGTTCATTACTAAGTTCTCTTTCAATACACTTTTTATTTTATTTACTTATTTTTTTGCATGAAACGTGCCTCTTAGCTTTTGAAGGGGAAAATACATAGAAAGTAAGAGAGAGTATTTAGATATCATAGGTAATAAAAATTACGTATGGAAAAATAGTAGACGTTTTTAATTTGCAAGATATCTTTTTTTTTCTCCAAAATTTAAAGCTACTCTTAACACAAGTTTCTTGTTTGTATCTAGATAGTACAGAGAGTTTGATGACTTATCCTAGAGTGACGGAGCTTATTAAAGTTTCCAAGATTGGTTACCTCTCTTACTCATCATCTAAAACGCTCTGGAGTTGTGATGGCAATTAGTTCTACTGGCCAGTTTAGTTTTAGGCTTTGGTTTTACAGCAGTTACTGAGGAAGTAGAAGAAAAAAAGGATCTTAGTGATTTTTAATATAAGAAGGAGAAAAAAGTTTGGAAGAAATTGGTGTTAGGTAAAAATATACACCTCATCAGGATGTAAACTATAGTTTGGATTATCTTGTAGCTTTGATATCTATAATAATAACTATATCTATTTTTAAGGTGTACTTAATAATGTTATTTATTTTTTGGGTATGGATAAAGCATTACAGTATGTCAATGCAGTATTTTAATTAATTAATTTTTTTTTTTTTTTTTTTTTTTTTTACGGAGTTTCACTCTTGTCTCCCAGGCTGGAGTGCAGTGGCATGATCTCGGCTCACTGCAACCTCCACCTCCTGGGTTCAAGCGATTCTCCTGCCTCAGGCTCCTTAGTAGCTGGGATTACAGCCACCACACCTGGCTAATTTTGTGTGTGTGTGTGTTTTTTTGTTTTTGTTTTTTTTTTTTTTAAGAGAGATGGGATTTCATCGTGTTGGCCAGGCTGCTCTTGAACTCCCGACCTCAGGTGATCCACCCACCTCGGCCTCCCAAAGTGCTGGGATTACAGGCGTGAGCCACTGCGCCCAGCCAGAATATTTCTTTTTAAAGAGGAACTACATAGCTCTAAGCTGATATATCTAGAGCCCAAAAGTATGAATTACAGAGTAACTTTTTTTGTTTTCTATCAGGAGTTCGGATAAGGTCATTTTATCTGTACTTAGAAGCTGTATGTTGCCAGAGTGATATGGTGATTAGGATAAACCCTAAGGTTTTCTAATGAAGATCACAAATGTGAAATAGTAGAATCTTTACTCAATTTCCTGGCATAATTCCTTAGTTCCAAAGTGTAACCAAATTTAAAAAGCAGAAGTCTTATAATTAGCAATCAATTTCATTGTGTTTACATGAGGAAAGAAAGGATTTTTATAGAAGTAGTACATTTCTGTCCTAAAATTCTTATTTGTCTATAGCATTTAAATGACTATCTTCTTAAAGTGTGTGATTTTTTTGTCAGTGGTCCAAATGTCTAGTAGATATTGTCCCTGTCTAGTCAGTAATTTCTTCTCTATTGTGTTTAGTCAAGAATATGGAAGAAAATTTAAAAATATGACATTAAGCACGCAATATTATTGAGGAAAGTTTGCCATTCTAATGTATAAACATTTCCCTTTATTTCATTTAATTAGAGTCTCAATGAAATCATGGGCTACAGTGGGATTTAAATTACCTAATCTTGAGGGTCTTGATGGTTAAAGTGCTGTCTGTGAATCGATACAAACAGACAGTGATGAAAATGATGTCTGTAGATTTTAGGGTGATTATAAATGAAAACATGGGGGAGAAGAATATGTACAGGTAAAACTCAATTTCAGAAGATCTATAATTGATGGTTTGAAAAGTCTTAGAAATTAGATGAGCAAATGTGGAGTATAAGATCCAGGACACATTGAGTGAAGGAAGAATACCTGCATTAGTTCTCTGAAGTTCATTGGTTTCATTATATTTCTGAAAGTATGGTATTGACCTAATAGTGGTAATAAAGATAACCTAATGTCATTGGAGGAGAAGAGAATATTATAATAGTTCACTTTATGAGACTTCTAAATGGTGCAAATGATTTCCTAGTTGAAATCTACTGACATGGATAATTACGTACCAATCTTAATGTCACCTAAGGAATCTGTGACAAAGTCGTAAGTAAAAGGCAGGTCATTGCTTTCATTATTCACTGTTCTTGCTCTCTGATTATGATAGCTTCACAATTCTTTTATTTTTAAAGTTTCAAATAATTCAAGAGTGAAGGTTAATGCTATGGTTTGAATGTTTTTATCCCCTCCAAAATTCATGTTGTAACTTCATACCCAATGCAAGAGTATTAGAAGGGGCAGGCTTTAGGGGTGGATTGAATTGTGAGATCTCTGCCGTTATGAATGGAAATAGATGCCTTTCTAAAAGGGCTGGAAGGAGTTTGTTCTTTTTCCCCTTCTGCCTTCTGCCATATGAGGAAGCAACATTCCTTGCCTCCGCAGGATGCAGCATTCAAAGCACTGTCTTGGAAGCAGAGACCAGACTCGCTTCAGACAATAATCTCAGCGCCTTGATCTTGGACTTCTCAGCCTATAGAACTTTCAGAAATACATTTCAGCCTTTTACAAATGACCCAGTCTCAGGTATTTTGATTATAGCAACACAAAACAAAGACAGTGACACATGGCTATGGTTTCCTAACCAGTTATATTTCATAATATTTCCATTCAAGGAAATTACTATTCATTTTTTCAAAAAGATATTTTTCTCAAATTTTAAGGATCATTTCTCCCAATAATGTTGTTAAATTCATGAATTAGTGAGAGGCATTATAAAGTAATGGCTAAGAGCACAGATTCTGGAGCCAGACTGCTGAGGTTCAAATCTCAGTATTGCTACATACTGGCTGTGTGACCTTACAAAAATTACTTAATATCTCTGTGCTTCAGCTTTCTCATCTATAAAATATTATGTGTATTTTAAAGATACTTAAGTTATATTTTATAATAGTTAAATGAGTTGAACAAATAAAAGTTGTATCAGAGTATAGAATACATTGTTTATAAAGTATAGGTTTAAAATTATATGCACATTTCTATGGTCTCAGCTTTTTTTTTTTCCCTCTGCATGTGAATGGGCAGTTTGTTTAATAGGAAAAAGCGTTATTTCAGTCGGCTTAATATAAACATGGAAACAATTATTTATGAACTATGAACAGTAAATAAAAAATACTAATTATTATATCTGTGTTTTACAATCTCGAGCAAGGTTCCAAGATATTTGTATTGAATTTCTAGAACTTTAAATTGTAAAAAAATAAAATCTGTATATTATTTTTACTTCTTATTTGTAGAAAGGAAAATTAATAATAGAAGTAGAAAGTCATTAAAATACTGTGGGGCGAGAAAGAGAAAAAAATATTCTTGTAGTATCTAAGGTATTTTTAGTCAATATATTCCACCATTGAAATGATTATTGATGATTGATAATTGTAGAGAGCTGTTTCATAATTAAAAATAATTTCCCATTTACACATTATATGAGCTAACATATAAAATACATTTAACTGATTGATTACTTACAATGAATAAACCAGCAAATTTTTTGTTGTTTTTTAGGGTATTTAAATTCTTTGATTATTTATCTAATTGATGCTTGCAACATCCTCATATATATAAAGCCAGTTATTACTCTTCCTGTCAGAGATGAAAAAGACATAGCAAAACTACTGCAGTTATGAAGAAATAAAATCATAATGATGCATATTAGTAGAATATACCTATTTTACAGTATTTTATTTCTTTTTTGTCAACAATAAAAGAGCAATTAAAATGATTGTATTCATTTACCAATAAATACATAATCTGTAATGTCAAGGTATTTCTTTGCGATCTCAGCTCAACAGCTCAATGACCATTCTATTAATATCATGTAAAGAAAAAGCATAAAATACTCAGAGCAAAACTGAAAATTCTGTCAGAAGCTCATCAGAATGACAGAAGTCATCATTCGATTTCTAAATTACTAATCAGCAGAGGCAACCAAATCCAATCTATTACTTTAAGATGTATTTTAGAAAATTGGACTTTTTTTTTCAATAATTGATTCTCTGAATGCTTACTTAATAAGCGGTAAAACATTTGCAGGTTTCAAAAGCTATTATCAAAAAGATAAGACTGACAAGATGATGCCTACGTTTATAGGAACAACTGACTTGAATGTTTTGACTGAACTGCTTATATGCTATTTATTGTCACCTTGCTGGTCAGCAATTTTTCTTTCTCTTAAGTATTGTGCTTGCGTTAATGTTAAGCTGCCTTCAGGTTGTGATTTTTGATTCCAAATTCTTATGCTTTACATGTTTTATTGGCAAATAAATTAATATTCTAGTAAATTATGATTCTAAAATAAAAATATGTCTAATGTAATAAAAATTATATCATCCTTTACAGCAAAGTAGATTCACATATTTATGAAATAAGTGATAAAGTATTATGTGATTGTCCATGGGTAAACAAATTTGACATGGTCTCTACTCTCATGTAACTTTCATTTGGTGATTGAGAAAGAGGAAAATTAGATAACTAATTTTTACAAATGTAATTTTGCATAAGTAGTATATTTAAAAATATCAGAAATAAAGATTATCCTGTGGGGGTTATCTATGCTAGTTAGGATACAAGGTAAGAAGACCTCACTAAGAAACTGACTGAAGCAAAAACTAAAGGATGAGAAAAAAAATAGTCATATAAATAATGTTTTTTTTTTTGCCTTTTGGACTAGTATATATTTAGGGCATAGAATAAAAATATAAATTTATGTCATAGTTCATATTGAACTGAATAAGCACCATAATGGTGATGAATGGTGAAGCATTTTGTCACTCAGGGAAGACAAGTGCATAATTATCTAATCCATGATACCAATCCATGATACCTAATGGATCATGATACCTAATTATCTAATCCATGACACCAGTGGGTAGATAATTAAATCAGAAATGAGACCTTAATAAAACCAGAAACAAGCTCTGCTCAATTAGTTTTCTCACACAATCACCAGGTTGAGATTAGCAAATACTCTTGTCCAGTCCCTAGGTTCAAGGAACCAATGAGATTACCTCCCAAAATCCTTAGATTTAGGGAGCTGAAGGAAAACAAAACAGATTTCATGGAAGGGCCAAAGAAAAATCTCTGCCAGAAATAACTAAAGTAACTCATTACCACACTACAAGATAAAAATATCCAGCGCAGGAGTTTAGGAGATTGGACTTACCACCTTGGATTTGGATCTCCCCAGCTAGAAATAAGCACAAAGTCTCTAAGAAGCTGGGATTCATACTTGGGTGAAGACATTAGGATCTAAGGGTTGGTTCACATACCATTTGTGTCACAGCACCAGAAAACTGTTAAACTGTGTTTTTCAACACATCTGGACTTAATTAAGGAGAGATTTTATTTGAAAAGATTACTGTGGTAGGAACAAATGAATATTGTAATACAGGTAAAGGGAATATTGAGAGAGAAAGACACTTTGACTGTCAGATCTACAAATGTTGCAAAGGTAGGAAGGAGAGTGTTTTTTTCTTTCATAAGGAGGTATAAACCAGGACAGAAAAACCTAAGTAGGATGGAGTGGGTGGCACAGTTGATCAGGGAATCGCATTCCTTGTGGTCTGTCTATACTCAGGATGAGCCATTAAAGACAGGTTGTATGCTGGCTCAGGCTGACAGTGGATCAAAATTGAGGACCTGAAGAAAGCAGAAGTCTTTTGCCCAGACTTATCAATGGGAACAAACAGTTTCGTCATCATTTATGAGGCAAAGAAAGGGAATTTGGAGGGGATGTGCCATAGGTAAACAACGGGGAACGTCCATGAGTCTTATCTAAATTATATTGGGAGGAGTGGTAGGACATTTCCAAGAACAAAAAAAGGATTGGGATATTTATTTCATTGTTGCTATTTTCCAGGGACATAGGTTTGACAGTGTAAAGTTTAATGTTGCCAACTCAAAATTGCAAGTTGTGTTAAGATCTATTTCATGTGTCTCTTATTCTCTTTGGGCCAGGAAGTCAAACTGGCTGAATCATGTTCTTCTTATGGCAGAAGCTCAAGAAACAAAGGAGAAAACACAAGAACAATACATGTCCACATTCACTCAGCTTGTGCCATGCACATTGGCCACAGCATCACATTGTCCAAAGTCACATGACTTAGTCCAAATCCCAGGACTTAGGTTATGCATACCTAGTACAGTAAGAGAAACAACAAAATCACATAGCAAAGGAATAGACAGAAGAAAGAGTGAAGAATAGGTAATCACAATAAAATGTCTCATACTTGTAGAATGTAGAACATCAAGATCTGAAGTCTAGATTTTTGTATTAGTAGAGATCTGGATGGAGATAACAGTGTAAGGACTTCATCTATCATGTGATCACAATACAACTTCATAGGTTCGCCTTTATATTGTATATTACACCTTCATAGTGCTTCACAGGCTTTTTTTTTTTAATACCACTTATTCAATCCTTTTGACAAACCACCTTCATCTCTTACTTCATAGTTTGTGTTTTCTGTCATCTTCCTCATCCCAAAACTTTATATCTAGAACAGTTAGAAAAATTTAGGATAATAGAAAGGGGCATTTTTTTTCTTCTGTACTTAAAAGTTTATACAAAGTAGTCAAAATCCAGATCAATTTTGATTTCTTCCTTTTGCTTGTCAAAATTTGCAACTCCTAAAATCTTCCTCTCTGTACTTGTTGAACAACAAAATTGCTTCTCTGCTAATAAAAATATGTCATTTTATATTGAGGTGCACCTGATTACTGTAGTTCACAGTTGCTTTATTTCCTTTTTATTCTACTAATCATCAATCACTGACAAGCAATATCATTTCATTCATGCAGCAGTGTTATCTTAACATCACTCTATCATATTTAACCATGTTGAATGACAATAATAAGAATTTGAACAAAATGATTGGTCTGATGCCTAAAGGTTGGGGGAAAAAGTATCATGCAGTCACTGTCTAAATCAACACAGCTTTTGAAATCATAGTTGAAATACACTATGCATTTTGTATTTTATGCATAACTAAATAGAGACTATATGAAAATCTTATGTCAGTTAAACTTTCCAATTATAGCTCATGGCTCAGTATAGAATGAGGGCTTTGTTCTACATTTTCTGATATGCCTCTTTATTTATTTAAAATATTTCACAATAACAGCAATTAAAAGAATACCAAAGAGATTGTATATGTCTTCCCTAAGAAACTAACTCCTTGCATCAGAGGATACTCCTTGGGCTACAGAGCAGGAATCAAAGTTGGTATGTCAATAAAGTTTCTTGGATGAAAAGCGAACCTTCTCCAGAGGAGGGAGATGTAAGGAATGTTCCACCACACTGTTTTACAGAACACTGGTGTGATTATTTAATCTGTTAAAAGGAATTAAAGCCAAAAAATGACAGTAATCCAGATATTTCTTGATTCTTCTCAATTGAAAAACAACCATGTTAGAAAACAGACCAGGTAAATTTGAAGAAAAATAGGCACTTATAGTTGATTATTTATTAGATTTTGAACAAGTAAGTACCTAAAATGTATCTTTGCTAATTAAGATTGACAAGTTTTAGAGAAAATAGAAAGTTCTACAAAGCCTCAAATTGAATAGAACTTTTCTTAATAGAGGGAATAGCTGATATTATCAATTGTCTGTGAAAACATAGTGAGTATTTGAGCAAGTTGAACAAACCTTTGCTGGTTAAAAAGGCTGATGTTTCAAAGAATGTAAAGGTCCTGAAAATTTTGGATTAAAATTGAAAACAAATAAGTCAATCCCATCTACAGCACTAAAGAAAGGTAAAAAGAAATGCATTCTCTTCTATTGATGCTTCAGAGGAAAAAAAGTAATTGTTTGCTTATGTAGCATTTTATATTTTATGTTAAGAACTTTATGAGATCAATAATAAATATTTTTTACTACCTGAGTATATTCAATTTTCTAAAGAGTTAAGGCAATCATGTTTTTAATAAGAATACTAACATCATTAATAAAATTTAATACAGATAAATATTTGCCAAGAATTTACAGGGTCTGAGATTTTATTGCACTTGTAAGCTAGCACTTCATCTTCCAAAGATAATGGACTCTGCAAGATGGCATGAGATCCTTGGATGAGGATAGGACTATATTACTCATGGCATAGGAAACAATATGACCTTCATAATTCCATTGGTTACTCTTGCCCCCAAATACCACAGGGACTTGTGTATTGGCCAAAGTATTTCCTGTGGACATAATAAATTTGTGTCATCACTGAGGATCCCCAAATTTAGGGAACCTCAATTTAAAATAGTATGCTAACAAGCCTGACCACCGTTGCGTAGGAGGGAGAATTTATGCTTAGTATTCTGGATAGCAAATAAGTCTACTTTCTGCCCTAGAGGGAAACACTACATTTATAATTCTAGGCTTTTAGTATGCAGACATCTTTGAAGAAACAGTTCAGAACACAAGCTGTCAATACCTCTGCTCAGTGGTGCCAAGAGACCCAGGGAAAATATTCACATAATATTCATCTGGCTTTTCTACACCATCTTGGCTTCTGATAACTTTCCCATGGGTACACCAGTCCATCACCCACTTTGATACATCTGACCAATGGCATGGGACACAAACTGTTCAATATTTTTCATGCAGCATTTGACTAAATTTAATGTAAACAGAACTCCATGTAGCAGGGTGCAACTAAGATGCAGTTTTTGACTTCAGCTATACCACCCAGTATCCCAAGTAAGCAAATCCCTAAACCATCAGAATCTACCTTGGAAAGCCAAGGAGTTTCTCCTTATGTTTGTGTATTGGACTTTTCTTCTGGCCAGTAACATTATTCTAGGTATCGCAGGATACATGAGCAAATGCACAGACTCTACTTTAGCCTGAATGGAGCAAAACGATAGCCATTCTATCATGTATACAAATTCTGGCTGGTACATAATGTCTCACTAAATGACTCCCAGGGTTGAGGTGGTGTTTCTTCAACATTTAGCATTTTCCTATGACCGTTCTTTAGATGCAAGTCACCCTGCTTTTGGGAGAAAGGCAAAATAATTCCTAACTGCTACATAAGAAGTACAATTTCAGTGGCATACATAATAACCCTGGCAACAAAGTTTTATTTATAAGTATTACATACTTCCAGGTAGAACTTATATCTGGTGGAGTAGACAGGTTGACAGTTGTTCTAAAGCAGCATAACTGGCTGGTGGCAGGCCTTAGGAGTTTCAGTTATATTTGAATAATTGAGCATAGTTCTTGTTTTTGGAGGGACAGCCTGGGCAGTAGTTCAAGATGTTCTCTTTATCTACACCCCCTGTAGGGTAGCATTTATTGACATAGGGAGGGTTGGGGGAAAATTCCAGAAACATTTTCCAGAGGAGGGGCAGAATCTGAGGCCATCCAAATTGTTGGGAGAAAACGGTATTCTCCCATCTCCATGGTTTTCTCCTGTTTCTGTATTTATTCAGAGCAGAAGCTTTGATAGGTATTGTTTTAGAGTATCTGTTCAGGGATCTTTGATTATCAAACCAGCTTTGAAGGTAGAGGCCATGTCTACCTCCAATGCAGAGGGATAAAAGAGCAAATATTTTTGTCATCCAGGAGAATAAAAATAGTGTCTTTTTTTGGGGTAAATATTAGGTAGCTTTGTTAGGACCCCCTTATAATATTTACTGTTCTTTAAACTCTATCTTCTTCCACTGTGATGCAAATCCACTGTGTGTGTAGCAGCCCCTAGACTGTTCCACATGCCCGTGAGGCTTGGGGACAAGAAGATCTAGTATGAATATGAAATTCATGACGCCTGCTGTGCCATAAGTAATGACGCCCTCTGTCTCTGACCCAGGAGTCTCATGTCTTTTGCCAGCATGTATGAAACTGGTCTGCTAACGTGCTATCTTGTAAGCGGGATAAAATCTCAGCTGCTCCAGAGTTCTTGATAGTCTTTAGTGTGAAGCAGGTTCACTGTGTGCCAGTTACCAACTTGTCTGAGTCTGGTGATACAGAATATCATGCACACCACAAGTTACATGAAGCAGATGTATTACTTACAAAGAGGCAGCAAGGACAACAGAAGCCTAGAATTCATTATATACTGGTCTCCCAAAGCTCAGGAAAGCTGCCTGGGGCAGATGGAATTTCATCTGTTCATGCCCCAGTTTGCACTGCCGCTGAGGGACCCTGAAAAGAAGCTTGCCCTGGGTTTTGTAATCTGAGGCCATGTTGCATGCTAGAATAAAGCACTGAACGACATTCTGATGTGGAGAGAACTGGAACAGAGTCCAGGCTGTTCTAGCCAGCTCCCCTCTTAGCCCAGGATGTTGCATTCCCAGCATATTCTACAGTTATTCTTGCAAACTACAAGTGAAAAAAGAGGTGGGGAGAACTGAGTTAGTCCCAGGCCACCCAGAGCACTGTCCTGCATTTCAAGTTTAGTATAAAAGTGTGTAAAAAAGAAATCATTAATTTGCTGTCTGGATTCTAAAATTTATAGTTTGAAGAAAGGAAATTTGATTATCTGCCTAATATTGGCTTCGATTGCAAATACTCGATAACCAACAACAAAAGAAACAAATGAGATGATTTTGGTAGAGTATCAGCAGAGGAAATGAAAATCTTTATCAGGTCAGAACCCAACTTTATCAATCTCACTATCTTTCTGAAAATCAAGGAGGATGTATTAAACCTCTTCCTAGTCTAATTTTAGACCGCATGAATTCATGATGTCTGCCTTTATTCTCAAGGCTTTCCAAAAACAAAAACAAAACAATTTTCAACTTGACTTTAATGACCACTGAAAAATAATTAGTAATTTTGATCCCTTTGACTTCCCATGATGTATTTAGATATTAGTGCTTGGACCTGAAAAATAAATGTAGAAAATAGTCTTCTAATTCATAAATTCACATGGCAAGACTTTCCCCCTTTATATAGCGAGCTATATTATGAACAAATTTTCCATATTATTTTCATGATAATATTATATTTTAAATATTTGAAGAGGAACTGGAAACTGCCCTTAGGGAAACTCTGTGCTAAAATATAATTCAATAGTAGCTGGTAGTTAGGAAAATACTGAATTATTTTTACCTTATTGGAAAAAATACTCCATTTGAAAATACCAAATTGAGTTTATGGCAAGCCATTAGAGTATTCAGAATATAAATTACCGTTGTGGGAAAGGCTAAATAGAGAAAACTGAGTAAAAGGTAATAATATGGCTTTCAATAAAAAGATAAATATAGCACAAAATCTTTTTATATGCCTAAAAATTATTGAGCATCCCAAATTATTTTATGTACATTATATGTGTCAGTATTTATTATAGTAATATTTAAACATGATAAAAACTTACAGTAATTATTTTTTACTTGATTAAAAATAAATCAATGATCACATAGGTAAGAATTTTATGAAAAATAACTTTTTTTTTTTTAAATAAAAATGCCGGCTGGATGCAGTGGCTCATGCCTGTAATCCCAGCACCGAGGGAGGCCAAGAAGGGTGGATGTCCCAAAGTCAGGAGTTCAAGACCAGCCAGCCTGACCGACATGGTGAAACCCTGTCTCTACTAAAAATACAAAATTAGCCAGGTGTGGTGGCACATGCCTGTAATCCCAGCTACTTGGGAGGCTGAAGCAAGAGAATCACTTGAATCTAGGAGGCAGAGGTTGTAGTGAGCTGAGATCATGCCATTGCACTCCAGCCTAGGCAACAAGAGTGAAACTCCATCTCAAAAAAAAAAAAAAATGCTTTAAATGTGAGAATTATGGCACTATTATATTTTTGCAAACTTCTGTAATGTGCACTAAATGGAAAACAGCTGGATTATCTTATTTGCTTCTGCATTTAATCTGTTTTTATAGGCTATTTTGTTGAAGTTTATAAAGAAAATTCCTCCTCACACAAATATGAAGCTTGTTCTCAGCCCATATTTTGAGAACTGTCCTACATTATGATAGCATCACAGTATCTGAAGGAACTTAAGCCATTACTTCATATCCTAAATACTTTTATTAGAGGAAACTGAGGTCCATGGAAGTGACTTATTGAAGGACATAGAGTTTGTAATGGAACTAAGATTCCATTACATAAAGCTAAGATTAGAGGCAAGATATCCTAGTATTTTTCCAATGTTCTTTCTGTATTAACATAGCCACAGACAAACACATGCGGTTCCTTCTCTGCTTAGTTAATAAACAGTACAATTTCACAAACTATAAGATTGACCATTCTCCCAGAACTTCACCTATTTAATCACAAAATTATATGGCAATCTTTAACTATGCAAGTGAGATTAATTACTGACCCCAAATTGCGTTCTAAAATTTTGTCGTCTTTTCTTGCTTTCAAATACATAAAATGTACTTCCCTATCTATAAATGTGCACTTTCCTATCTAGCATTAATTTCACTATCATTTCCAGAACCTAGACTCATCATACATTTCTCTCACTGTTTTAAAACCACTAAGTTGCTGACATTATCTAAAGTGGCATTGAAATGTTTCTTACAGACATGCACAATTTTGGTGTCCAAAATGATCGATTGTTTACATGACATCTACTTGCCAGGTAACAGAACAGACGAAAAAGGATATTGCATAAAGGACTAATTGAGGGATTACATTAAATTCCAGAAATAGTTCATATTAATGGTGCTTACTGTGTGGCAAATAAACTAAAAGCTTAGAAAAACATATGTAATTTGTTTTTCATAATTACCCTATGATGCAAAATTTTTTCTTACTTTTTTTTTAGTTGAGGAAACAGAACAAAACGAGTAGCTTCCCCATGATCACGGTATGAGAGAAATTTACAAGTAAAAACCAGAACCTCACACCTGACATCAGACCCAATCAAATAACCATTATCTTAAATTGTCTTCTAAACAGAAATAAGTATTTTAATTTATTTAATGACTTAATGTGTTCATCTTATTTGTCATCCTTATTTATTTTTCAGTGAATTGATATTAATATCCTCACAAATTTTCTAACTGAAACTACAAGTGGCTCCATTTGTTTCTTTATCATAATTGGGGTGGGAGGGGGAAGAAAGTGTACATTTAAAACCAGCATGAGATTTTATGCAACGATGGAATGTCAGAGGGTGTGTTAATGAACACCTCTTGTTTTGTTTTTTAATAATGTGATGGCTTAGTCAACTTAGGAACACTGAGCTTTAAATAAAAAGATGAAGATAGATAATAGATCGGGTACACTGAAAGATATTCATTTGGGGAATTAATTTATAATGTTGAAAACATAATTACTGCCTGACTGAAATACATTTTTTCTCTTATGGACATTTATTTTTAATTCATTAATTTCAATGCTCATTACACTCTGATTATACTCTCTTTCTGGAGGAAATAAGATTGGAAGTGCCTTGCATTGTGTTCATTAGTTTTTATACAGAAATTATAGATTTGACATGTACTTGAATTCATTGTACTTTCCTACCCTTCATTTTCTATTTTAAATTGATTGTGGTTGGAAGGAAAAAGAAAGAAAGGACACTCAGTTTCAAATCTGTCCCTGAGTCATGAGAGCTTATTTAAAGTATCATGAATGGTACATCTATGAAAGCTTTACTTTTAATAAAATTACCAATGAGCCATGTAAGTCTTGGGGAAAATATAACACATATCTGCAATTCATAACTACTTTATAGTGATTTCTTCTTGTCACTTGATACTGATAGTCGAGAGTACCTCATTATTTTAGGGAAATTAATTTATGAACATTAGAGAGAGCATAAAATAACTCTTCCACTTCTATATGCTATAAATGTATCAGATGCATTTCATATGCAGTGTTTGGACTTTCGCAGTCACTTGAGCAAGAACTTTTTGAGTTAAGCATCAACTCAAATCAAGAGGTGTTCATTAATACACCCTCTGACATCATGGCACTTCACAGACAGCTCACTCTTACACATGTCAGTTTCCTATGCATTATTAGGAATTCTGTGTGTATGTGTATATAGAGACACAGAGAAAACTATGTGCATTGAAGAACATGATGATAATTGTTACTGTAATTAATAATTAAATGTAATAAAAATGATAAAGCGTTCAGAAAATGATTTGAAAAGCTGTTAGAATCTGTTGGAAACTGAGGAAGCAAATGACTTTCTAGGAAGAATAAATAGCATAAATAAAATCACGAAAACAGATTCAGGAAAAAAATAGCAGACAAGATTAAAAGATGGAGAAAATGGAAAATCATATATATCAATTTTCATAATAAACATGTAATATTCTTCATTTGATTATCAATACAGTGCTATTTTATAAAAAATAAAAATTGAAAATCACCATATATGTGAAGTAATACAACAGAAAGGAAAAATATTGTAATCCTATTTTATTTTCTTTTTTTAAATTACACTTTAAGTTTTAGGGTACATGTGCATAACGTGCAGGTTAGTTACATATGTATACATGTGCCATGTTGGTGTGCTGCACCCATTAACTCGTCATTTAACATTAGGTATATCTCCTAATGCTATCCCTCCCCCTCCCCCCACCCCACAACAGGCCCCGGTGTGTGATGTACCTCTTCCTATTTTCTACAGTTAACCTCTTTCAACGTTTTGGACTACAGTTTGGTTGGCCTATACTTTCTTCCCTTTAAAACTGGAATAGTTATTTAATAAAGAAAAAAGGCTAATGTGCAGAGAAAAAACATAGGATATTGTATTATCCTCCTGAAGTCCACTAGCCACCAGCGAGGCAAGCAGGAAAATAAATAAAATAAAATATAAATCAGGAAAATAAAATAAAAAGCTTGTATTGAAGGCTTGTATTTTTGAATATGTAAATAGATTTTAGAAAGGGTTTTTAATTTTTTTTCTAGAGACTGAACCGGTATTTATTATCCCAGCCTTATTCACATTGTTCTCCATACATGGATTCTTAGGTGTTGGGGGGCAGTCATCTGGACCATTTACTCAGCATTCTTCCCTACTTTTCTGGGCACAATTTCTATTTTTTTTTTCCTTGGGGAGTACATCGCTCTCTTTGTTTTAACTTGTTATCCACTTCTGTCTTTATTATTCTACTTTTTTATTATACTTTAAGTTCTAGGGTACATGTGCACAATGTGCAGGTTTGTTACATATGTATACATGTACCATGTTGGTGTGCTGCACCCATTAACTCGTCATTTACATTAGGTATATCTCCTAATGCTTTCCCTCGCCCCTCCCCCGACCCCATGACAGGCCCCAATGTGTGATGTTCCCCACCCTGTGTCCAAGTGTTCTCATTGTTCAATTCCCACCTACGAGTGAGAACATGTGGTGTTTGGTTTTCTGTCCTTGAGATAGTTTGCTGAGAATGAGGGTTTCCAGCTTCATCCATGTCCCTACAAAGGACATGAACTCATCATTTTTTATGGCTGCATAGTATTCCATGGTGTATATGTGCCACATTTTCTTAACCCAGTCTATCATTGATGGACATTTGGGTTGGTTCAAAGTCTTTGCTATTATGAATAGTGCCTCAATAAACATATGTGTGCATGTGTCTTTATAGCAGCATGATTTATAATCCTTTGGGTATATACCCAGTAATGGGATGGTTGGGTCAAATGGTATTTCTACTTCTAGATCCTTGAGGAATTGCCACACTGCTTCCACAATGGTTGAACTAGTTTACACTCCCACTAACAGTGTAAAAGTGTTCCTATTTCTCCATATCCTCTCCAGCACCTGTTGTTTCCTGACTTTTTAATGATTGCCATTCTAACTGGTGTGAGATGGTATCTCTTTGTGGTTTTGATTTGCATTTCTCTGATGGCCAGTGATGATGAGCATTTTTTCATGTGTCTTTTGGCTGCATAAATGTCTTCTTTTGAGAAGTGTCTGTTCATATCCTTTGCCCTCTTTTTGATGGGGTTGTTTGATTTTTTCTTGTAAATTTGTTTAAGTTCTTTGTAGATTCTGGATATTAGCCCTTTGTCAGATGGGTAGATTGCAAAAATTTTCTCCCATTCTGTAGGTTGCCTGTTCACCCTGATGGTAGTTTCTTTTGTGGTGCAGAAGCTCTTTAACTAAATCCCATTTGTCAATTTTGGCCTTCGTTGTCATTGCTTTTGGTGTTTTAGTCACGAAGTCCTTGCCCATGCCTATGTCCTGAGCGGTATTGCCTAGGTTTTCTTCTAGGGTTTTTATGGTTTTAGATCTAACACATAAGTCTTTAATCCATCTTGAATTAATTTTTGTGTAAGGTGTAAGGAAGGGATCCATTTTCAGCTTTCTACGTATGGCTAGCCATTTTTCCCAGCACCATTTATTAAATAGGGAATCCTTTCCCCATTTCTTGTTTTTGTCAGGTTTGTCACAATTGCTTCAAAGAGAATAAAATACTTAGGAATCCAGCTTACAAGGGATGTGAAAGACCTCTTCAAGGAGAACTACAAACCACTGCTCAATGAAATAAAGGATGACACAAACAAATGGAAGAAAATTCCATGCCCATGGATAGGAAGAATCAATACTGTGAAAATGGCCATACTGCTCAAGGTAATTTATAGATTTAATACCATCCCCATCAAGCTACCAATGACTTTCTTCACAGAATTGGAAAAAACTACTTTAAAGTTCATATGGAACCCAAAAAGAGCCCGCATTGCCAAGACAATCCTAACCAAAAAGAACAAAGCTGGAGGCATCATGCTACCTGACTTAAAACTATATTACAAGGCTACAGTAACCAAAACAGCATGATACTGGTACCAAACCAGAGATATAGACCAATGGAACAGAACAGAACCCTCAGAAATAATACCACACATCTACAACCATCTGATCTTAGGCTTCTTTTATTTTCATAATATTTCACAATTTTAGCTGCCTTCAAAAATTATTAAATGGTGTGAAGACAAGGGCTATGTTGGTGTTACGAGAATTCGAAAAACTCTGCCTCAGATCTGTAGGTAAAACTGTAATGTATTTTTTAAAATTTCATTCTTACCCATAAGCATTAGATGATTCAGGAATTACTTTATACTTTACCTCTTAGAATATTATAAGATTCCTCAATCTTCATTAGATTGATTTAAGCAATTATATGATATTAGGCATCATCTAGAGAAAAGTTCTAAAGATATGCAAGTCATAAATATATACTTCTGCCTAGTAAATAAAATGACAAGAAAATATTACCCCATGCAATTTTGTGTACAAGTTCACGGCAGTACACATGAACACAAAAATGGATTAACACACATTTACTTTCAAATAGCTATTTTTTGGTTCATAGTTTACATATGGTTTTACACCTTCCTTGTTTACTTTTTCAATTTAACAAATAAGAATTTGTGTCAGTATTTTAAACAAATTTAAACATTTTTGGAAATAAAATAACTTAATTTTTCTAATTCTATTCTAATTAACATCGTACATTTTATCTTTTCATATTGTATTACTAAAATAATTTTTTTTGCATTGTAATTTTAATTTCTTACATTATAATTTTCCTAAGGTAAATAAAAATAATTTTTATGTCAAAATGGGATTATACTAAGATTTTTGAAATATGACACAAAATTATTATCCAAAAGAAAACAAGTTATTCACCCAATATGTACAAGAGTGCAACTTTCTTTCAGGCTTATGAAGAGCGAGTACTATTGTTTCTTAAAAGTTTGCTTATCTGAAAAAAAATTGTAATGTCGTTTTAAGCATTTTTGTAGAATTATTTTATCACAATATTATTTATGTTACCTATAAATTGAAAGAAACTTAAGGGACTAATAATATAGGTATGGATAAAAAACTTTTGGTGTATATAAAAAATTGAATATTATACAGTAATTAAAAATTATGCACTTGAAGCATATTAAATGGTAAAATTTCTTACATAAGTGGATAAAAGATGATCCATATCATCATCAGAAGACATTAGGCTATTTATATTTTCTTCCACATTTGCAGTTATACACCATATTTGGAAGGAAATATACCAATTTCCTATCGACGTAAGGTTATATGAGATGTTTATTTTATTTTTGTACTTACTGTATTTTCATGTTGTCTATAATCATTAAAATCACCTGTAAAAAAGAAAAACAATGCAGGTATATTATGTACAAATTATGTTCTATTTATCTCTTCACTTTGGAAGATAATAAGTTATAAATTTATTCAACATCTCTAATTGCTGTTATGAATAGTTATGTGTTTTAAGGATGTTTAACTTTTGTTTATATATATATATATACATACACACACACACATATATACACACATATAAACATTTTCTGTGAATTTATCATATGAGTTCTTCATCTTTTTTTCTATTATGGTATGTGTCATATTTTCAAATATTTCAGGTTATAGGAAAAGTAGCGGTCTTTTTTCATTTCTGTAATTATGGTATATGCCCATTAATACTTTGTAGTGTTAAACCCAAATCCATAACACTGTGTAAATTTTAGTATTATTTGTCCTCATATTCATTCCTTCCCTGTCTTTTTTCCAGGCGAATAAGTGGTGGAAGGGGACATGGATCCCTTATATCATTTTCATGGTTACTGTGTTATCTGGCTTCCTGCTGGTTTTAAAAACATGTGGCACTAGTTAGGGATTGAAAAGTGTGAGAAAGGGAAATACCAGGATATTTATTCACTACTCTCTCGGTATCAAGAGGTATCTCAGCAATGGCTGCGTCTCCTCTCTTTCTGGGTAGATCACACTGTATTGAATCTAGCTTTTTTGGGGAGAGCTCAGCCCTTATGCTCTAGTATGACTTCCTCCCTTTGTCCCTCTGGTCTAGGGATAAAGTTGACTTCATGCTGTTGAAAACTTCTGGGTTTCTACACTGTCTCTTATAGCATCTCAAATTCTCCATCACTGTAGGATCCTGCATTTTATTTGTTCTTGCAATTACTTGAGGTGCTTTCTGTTTTTCTGATTAAGTCCAGTTTGTTAACACTGTTGAAGGAATATGCACGGTGTGGTATTTTCAAGTATGTCATTTCAGTTCATCCTTACACATCTGTAAGAATCACAAAAGAGATATAAGGAAAATGGAAGCCCAGACAGACTGACTTCTTTAGACCACATAATTAACAGGTAACAGACCAATAATTTGGGGTCAGGATCATAGTTCCAGAACCCACATACCTGAGTAGTGAAGTAGGTCTACAGAGGTGAGTGTGATGATGTTGTTAATAATCCTCAAAGACACAACCCTGAATGTTGAAATCTTAAAAGATCAAAATTCTTGTGTTTAAAATCTCAAACATCTAAAATCCAGGAAAAAATAACAATTCCAAGATATTAAAACGCTGAATATTGAAATCCTGAAAGCCAAATTCTTGGGAAGGGATTAGTGTGCTTTTGGTTAGAAGCAAGAAAGTTGCATCATGTTGGGAAGAATTACTACCTTGTTCGTTTGTTTCTTTCTTTTAAGTTTTATTTAAGGTTCAGGGGTACATGCGCAGGTTTGTTATAAAGATAAACTCACATCATGAGGGTTTGTTGTACAGGTTATTTTGTCACCCAGGTACTAAGCACAGTACCTGACAGGTATTTTTTCTGTTCCTCTACCCTCAAGTAGGCCCCTGGGTCTGTTGTTTGCCTCTTTGGGACTGTTTTTCCTACTTATAAGTGAGAACATGCAGTGTTTGGTTTTCCATTTCTGCATTAGTTTGCTTAGGCTAATGGCCTTCGCCTCCATCATGTTGCTGCAAAGGAGAATATCTCATTCTTTTGTATGGCTGCATGGTATTCCATGGTTTCTTTATAAAGTCTACTATTGATGGGCATTTAGGTTGATTTCATGTCTTTGCTATGGTGAATAGTGCTGCAGTAAAAATACACATGCATGTGTCTTTTGGTAGAATTATTTATATTCCTTTGGGTATATATCCACTAATAAGATTGCTGGGCCAAATGGTAGTTCTGTTTTTAGTTCTTTGAGGAATCGCCACACAGCTTTACACATTCCAACCAGCAATGTGTAAGTCTTCTCTTTTCCCTGCAACCTCTCCAGCATCTATTATTTATGACTTTTTAATAGTAGCCATTCTGACTGATGTACTGTGCTTACTACCTGGGTGACAAAATAACCTGTACAGCAAACCCTTATGATGCGAGTTTATCTTTATAACAAACCTGCGCATGTACCCCTGAACCTTAAATAAAAATTAAAAGAAAGAAACAAACAAACAAAGTAGTAATTTCCCCTAACATGATGCAACTTTCTTGCTTCTAACCAAAAACACACTAATCCCTTCCCAAGAATTTGGCTTTCAGGATTTCAATATTCAGCGTTTTAATATCTTGGAATTGTTATTTTTTTCCAGGATTTTAGATGTTTGAGATTTTAAACACATATCTCATTGTGGTTTTAATTTGTATTCTCTAATGATTAGTGATGTAGGAGATACCATTCTAGACATAGGAGCTGTAAAAGATTTCATGACGGAGATGCCAAAAGCAATCACAACAAAAGCAAAAATTAACAAATAAGATCTAATTAAACTAAAAAGCTTCTGCGCAGCAAAAGAAACTAGCAACAATGCAAACAGACAATCTACAGAATGTGAGAAAATATTTGCAAACTATGCATCTGACAAAGGTCTAATATCCAGAATCTGTAAGGAATAAATTTACAAGCAAAAAACAAACAACCCCATTAAATAGCGGGCAAAGGACATGAACAGACACTTTTCCAAAGTAGACATACATGCAGTCAACAAGCATATGAAAAAGTGTTCAAATGTTACCTCAATGTCTCTATTGGAAATTAAGTATGGTTTAAGGAGCTACATATGGATGCCAAGTTGGCAAGAGGTGTACTTGTGGGCTTAACTTTAGGTGTCAATTTGACTGAATTAAAGAATGCCTAGAATCCTGGGAAAGCATTGGTTGGGGTATGTTTGTGATGGGGCTTTCAAAGGAGATTAGTGTGTGAGTCTGAGTAGACTAGGGGGCAATATCTGCCCTCAATGTTGACAGGCACCATTCAATTGGCCAAGGCCCAGAGAGAACAAATACAGGAGACAGATTAGTCTATTTTGAGAGCTAGGACAGACTTCTCTTTTGCTACCTTGCATGTAAGAACTCCAAGCTTGCCGAGTTTTGGACTCCAGGACTTAGAAGTGCTGCAAGTGTTTTAAACATCATGGAAGTGAACATGCAGAAAAAAAATGTAAGAAATTTTCCCTGCCAAATTATTCAGTCATAAACAACCTCTGGTCCTTCACACATAGTGCCAATTCACTACGCTATGTATTTCATGTTTGCATCATTTCCAGTACTGGAGGTATACATTGTGTAAAGACTTTTAGAGAGTTCTAATTTGCTTTATGTGTTTTATGTGTTTTGTGCACATTTAACTCCACAAAAGTGCACTACCACAATGTCAGCTTTGTGTGTAAGCATTGTGTTTGTATATGAAGATGTTGAAACTTCCTCAATAAATGAAGAGAAGATTTTATTTTACATTTGCGATTGTTAAAAGCAAAACTTTTAGAGTTTTCTATTTTTTTGGGCAATTGTATATGTATATGTGACCCATTGTGGTTTTTAAATCAGTTTTGCCAAAAGAATTACATGGTTTTTCATGATTTTCAAGTAACTGTTGTTATAAAACTGGGTACACACAATCATCAACCATAATGATATGCATTTATACATTTCGTTTTTTGGCTTTTCGTGAATATAATTCATCTGCTCATAACGGTTAAACTGGTGCAACTGTCATTAGTGCACCGAAGTGTTTATGCTTGCAAAAATGTATATGTTATTATCATCTAATTTTTGTGTAAAATGACCTATGAAAAGTTCTGCTATGTATTTATATGTTTCTCAAGTAAATCCACTTTCAAAAATATAAAGAGATAATATTTAAAATTTTTTTTCCAATTATATTTTCAGGATTTTGATCTTTCAGGATTATGATTCTTGGAATTTAGACTGCTGGGATTTTGATCTTTCAGGATTTCAACATTCAGGATTATGGCGTTTTAGATTGTGTCTATCAGTATTATGGCCCAAACTCAAATTGAACCAGATTGTAGAAGTCTTGGGTGTTAGGCTTGAAATTATATAAATAAACCTTCGTTAATATTTTAATTATATATATTTTTAGAAACAATATTTTGGAGAAAATAAAGTTTATAATATTGAACTCCTAAAGCAGACCTAGATTAAGATTATGTCTAATTACCTGGTCATTTGTGAAAGATATTTAACTACTAATTTCTTAATGCTGAAGGATGGTGCTAACAGAAAGGTTTGTCCTTTATGAGTAGTGCTTTTCATTCATTCCATTCACATACAATTTATTTGTCATTATCAGCGTTGTCTTAATTGTTCATGCAAATAATTCCAATAGATGAGACTTTAAACCCCAGCACAAGTAGATTGGCTTACAAATGATGAGATTTATGTGAGTGTGTGTACATTTTTTTTTTTTTTGGCTAGTACATTTATTCAGTGATTCAGTGGATGAAGGAATGAGAAACAGCATTTTTTATTAAAGATCAAGATAAACACATATAAGAAAGCATCAAATGTCACTTAAAACATTTTATTAACAAAATAATGAAAAGAATAGTAAAGGAATAGATAACAATAAAATGATTATCTACATAAGGAACAATCAGCTAAATCAAATATTTTCACTTCTGCTGGTTACCTTAGATTCTTTCAAAAAGTAATATGTTAACAACTGAATGAAATTTGTGAGTATATTCATTCCTAATCCATTTTTTAATCCTGTGGAGATATAACCACTTGCTTACATTAGATGTTTATAACTATCATGCATATTGTTACATTTTGCATGATGTTACAGTTTGCATGAATAATCAATATATAGCATTTTCACAGTTAATACCTTGTTTAGATGGAATCATGCCAAATGTATATAGCTTCCTTTAAAAATCACATTATGTTCATGAGATAAATCCATGTTGATAGATCCTTTTAACTGCTTTAGAGAAATCCATTTGCTTAGGGACATATCAGATTTTTGTCATTTCTTTTTCTTTTATAAACAATGTTTCAGTAAATTTAATCATAGGTATCTGCAGACCT
This sequence comes from Homo sapiens, assembly GCF_000001405.40. Classification (NCBI taxonomy): domain Eukaryota; kingdom Metazoa; phylum Chordata; class Mammalia; order Primates; family Hominidae; genus Homo; species Homo sapiens. The sequence continues at coordinate 103,411,130 of NC_000003.12, read as the reverse complement.
GCATGGGAGTCCCTAGGGCATATAAGTGGAAACTTCTGACCTAAAATTTATTTATCTTCAGAGCTGACTGATATTACTGAAGGATTCCCAAAGTGGTTATGTAACTCTATTAGGGAAATACATGGATATTTTCCTCCCCTACCAAATCGCCAGCTTAGTATTGGTGAACTTTAATGTTTGGTCAATAGGTGACTTGGAAATGGTATTGCATGAATGTTTTAATTTTCATTGCTCTGGAAAATCAAGCATTTTTCAAGTGTTTATTGCCCATTGGTTCATGACCTTCAGGCATGTTTTCTTTCTTTCTTTTTTTCTTTCTGACTGTTCATCTTTTAATACTTAGTTTCCAGGTGATTTTCATACATTTTGGAGAGTAATAATTTTGTCAGTTATAAGTTCCAAACACTTTCTCCAGTCTATGCCTTATTTTATCACATTTTATGATGTCTTTTTATTATAAAGAGTATTTCTATTTTGTTGTCACTCTATCTTTCCGTCTTAAATTGTATATATTAATTTTGATGCAGCATTTTTCTCGAACCCTTTGCCAGACTTGCGACGGTGGTGCCCCATTTACTCCACCCGCTGCGCTCAAACCCTTTCAGGAGGGAGCATATGCGTGAGCGAGTGTGGGATCGAGTCCACCACTTTGGGCGCTGGCAGGAGCAAGCTCCGTGCGGGCCCCTAGGTGGCGCCCAGGTTGGGGTGCCTGCGACCTCTGAAGCCCCTGAGGGTATGTTACAATGCTCCCTTAGCTCTGCCGTCCATGGGCAGCGTGTTATCAGCTTAGTGGGCCCCCTTGTCTCTTCATGTGGGGTGGCTGCCCTCTGCCAGCAAGGGCAAAGGGGCAGTGTGACAGCCTTTTTTGGGTACCCACTCTCGGTAGGTCCCGAGCTCTTGTCCAGAGTCCAAGAAGTATGAGGTCGCCTGGACACTTGAAGGCAGGGAATTTTAAGTAATGGAAATGGCTCTCAGGAGAAAGGTGCTAGAGAAGGGAAGGGACAGGAAGGTAATCTTCCCCTGTCGTCCAGCCATCTCCAGCTGGCTCTTCTTGGAAGTCATGTTGTCTCTCAGAAGTTAAGCTGTCTCTCTTCCAAAGTCCGGCTGTCTCTCTGAAGACAAGTCACCTCTCTCCTGTCAAGCCTTCTCTCTCTCTCTACCGACTGAGTCTAAGGTCTTCATAAGCAGAGAATCGGGGGCGGGCTGGGCCGTAGGTAGTTTTGGAAAAGGCAACATTCCATTGGCTAAAAGACATTATCCAAAAAGAAACAATTGGGAGAGAGTGGGCAAACAGGGATAGAAGTTCTCACTTTGAAGAGCAGTTTCAGGCTTTTCTGCTTGAAGGTGGAGTTTCGCCAGGGACCTGCCTCTTTCTGCCTAGAATGTCTCTGGCTCCTGCCTCTATCGATTTCTCTGTACTTGAAACTATTTTATTTTCTCTGAAATGTTTCAAGGTCTTTCTTTTATCATGTATCTTTAATTCACCTGAAATCAGTTTTGCGTATGGTATTAAGTAGGGGCTCAATATTACGTTTTAGCATGTGAATACAATAGTCTCAGAATCATTAAATGAGTATTTTCCTCCAATAATTTAGGATATAACTTGGCTCAAAACCAGGATATTATATACGGTTGGGCTTATTTCTGGAATCTCTATTTTGTTCCATTATACAATTTATCTATTATTGTGCATATTCCACACTATTATAAAATAGGTGTATATGACTTGTTACTAGTATAGGAAGAATTCTTAAGTTTTTTGCTTTCCGTTCCACTAAAGTTTTATGATCAGCTTATTAATTTATTTGAGGAAACCCGTTAAACTTTATTGGGTTAAACTAAAGGCAAAGATTAATTTGAGATGTATAAGCATACTTATAGTATGTAATTTTCACAAGTATAGGATATATTTTTATTTGTGTTTTTTGTGTATATCTTTAAAGAAAGTCTTAGCTTCCTTATTAAAGGTTCTATGCAACATTCTCTAATTTTTACTTATTGACAGCTCACAGTTTTTACTGCTTAGCACTGAAAAAATTATTTTTTCTAAGTACATCTTGTGTAAATAGTCTATGGAAACAAAATTATTTTAAGCCCCAGCTAATTTTTACTTTTTAATATTTTGATGTATAGATTTTCTCAATTAAGTTCAATCATTAATTTGCCATTTTAAGTTTTGAAAATCAAATGTAGTTGAATAAAAGCTATTTTATATTGTTCATTTTCTGTATGTACAAATAGATCATTTGTGAAAAGAGTGTTGTTTTATCACTCAAATGTACATATTTCCTTTTACAATTTGTTGTGCATGTGATTTAGGTATAATTCTCTATGAAATTGCCTCTTCAATATAATATTTTTATATGTTATATTGTCTTATATGTAATCAATGTTCATTTATGGTTTGTCTGACTTTTACTATTGCTTTTCTTATTTTTTCTCTCATTGTATTAATCAAATGTCTTCTAGAAGTTAGTATTATTAGTGTTTTTAATACCTTTTGCAATCTTTTATTACATTTTTTCTATTGTATGAATTTCCACACTTATACTATTTTCTATACTATGCAGTTTCTGTTAATTTTCTCAGTTGTCTTTCTAATCTCTATGTTTGGATGTCCAGCCACTAATATTAGTCCTTTGTTACTTTACAAACATAAAGGGCAGAAAATTTTTTTACAAATACTACTTCAGCTTGAGCCCTCAAATTTTGACTTTTACTGTATTATTATTGAATACTAAGTATTTTCTAAATTTCATTAATGCTTCCATGGAATTATATAGTATATTCTAAGAGTAATTTTGAACTAATTTGTTTTCATGGACACGTAAAAGTATCCATAAAATATTCTAGTCATCTTGTTATTTTATCTATAGTATTGCATTGCTAGAAAACATAATCATATACAATTTTAAAATAGAAGCTAATATGTGATTCTACCAAATAATGAATGCATTCTTCATCAAATTTGATTTAAATTTATGTTTTTTATTTGTCGGTTGGTTGTTGTTATTGTTTTTTGTTGTTATTATAGCATGTAAGAGTGCTATTTCATTACTAGTTATAGAGGAAAAACAGTCTGCCTATGATTATCTCTACAAGTACTAACTTTCTATATGGTGTTTTTCTCTCACTATGTTTCCTTGAATTTCCATTGTGCATATTTCCAAGTAAGAATAATTTACTAGGTAAGAATACTTACCTGGAGTCTATAATAATAACAATGTAAATTTCTTGTTGAAGGGTTAGCTCACTTTATGTTCTTATTTATATCTGAAGTGATATAATTATTTAATGTTGTAAATATTTCCATAGTACCAGTTGAAATGCCAGTTGAACTTTCGGGCTTCACAGGGAGGAAAGTGTTACAGGGGAATCTGAATAATATCTAATGATTGCTGAGATGTTATTTCATTGCCTTTGAGGAGTAATTTCCTAAATTATATTAGGGTTCAGAATACCTAATATATCTATGGCATAATTGGGAACACCTTTGTTCATCAAATGTAATTATTCGGAAATATATGCAGTTATCAGCACCATCTCGAAGTTTTGGAGAGCTTTAAAATGAAGCACCTACATAAAACCAATAAATAACAATCCCTTCCTTGACCAAAGAAAAGAAAAACAAATAAAAACAAGAAAAGAAAAAACACAATCAATTCTTACTTGACTATCCCTTTTGAAATTTTATGCTGAGAAGCCTGGAAGAGGAAATACTATTCTTTGATCTTGTTACAGCTAGACATGAGGCAAAACAATGAAGTGTATCTTCATTCAAAAAATAGCTCTTTACTCAAGTAAAGACAACTAGACATGGTAGAGCTGATATTGGTGCTAAAATGGAATAGATTTGTTCTATCCAGAATTCTGACTCATGTACAAAGAATACCATTGCATTCTGATTTATATGTAAATAATGTCAACTGACCAATTCTAAAATTAGATGGTCATGTTCAAATGCACATGAAGAAAGGACTAGAGAATTAACCTGTGGATATGAAGAAAATTGAAGATTAAATGTATTTACATCTTGTAACTGGTATGTTCATAAAGTGCCAAGTTTGCCTGCCCAGGCACACCATTCCTTCAGGCAATAATGATTTCCTAATTTATATCAATTGAATCTTATGAATAAAATATGATTCTACTTTTATTCTTCAAATCTTTTACACTAAATTCTAACTAAGGAGGCTGATTTTCATCTACTCCCTTGCTGCTGTCTAATTTTTTAATGTAATTGGCAAAGGAAAAATATTATATTTCATTTTTGATTGAAAAAAGAATGCATTTGGCATTTGCAGATAATACAGTAAGGCTTTAAATGAGTTGTGTATCTCATCGAGATTAATCAAGCCTTTCTAATATGCACGGCCCAATCAAAGTTCCTCCTTGGTCTAAATAATTTTAATTAAGCAATTCTACCTTCTGCAGCGGTCATTACCACTAGATAATTGACTGAATCAGTAATGAAGCATTCGGCGAATGCTAAACAAACAGCAAGGTTAATTATCTGGCAGAGATGTCTGTTATGGAAGTACAGTGCTGGCCTTCCAAGTTTTCTAATCCCCTGCAGCACCTCTTAGTAAATTATAATAATCCTCATTCAAATACATTGTGCAACTGCAGTTGCTATGCACCATGCCGGGTCAGATCAAGTGATCAAGAACCTTATTTAAATATAATGATAGTAAAGTGTGCTTTTAAAATTAGACTACTTCTGTTGGGCAGCATGTTTACTTTCTATAATTTAATTATTTCTTCGATTTTAAATTTTGGGATAAGTTTCCAAATTCTGCAGGTTGGTACCAGCAAAAGTGACAACAAAGATATATTTTGCCTAGAGACACAGTCCAGAAGGTTTATATGATGCAATATATAATCCCACAGCTTATCTGATTTTTTATATTCACTCAGCTATTGTTTTTCCCCTTCTTTCCATCTTGCCAATAAATCTGTTTGTCCTTGGGTACCTGATGAGTTAGATTGTTTTCAAGAAGCACACAGCAGGATTTTGTATTTAGCTGCATTTTATATTTAATTTCGTTCACCTGATTTTATGCCTTAAAACTGTTCAATGTTTTCATGTAGCAAAACAGTATTTGAAATATATTCCAAAGTAATTAGTTTTTAATAGTAAAATGAAACATTAACAAAAATAATGTTAAGCTAAAATGATTTGCTTTTTGACCTACAGAAATATCAAAAGCCTTTCCTTTCTTTTTGTCATATTTAATAACATTCTCAGCATAATTTCTAAACTCTTTTTCTAGGTCACAGAATTTTTTAAATATTTTAAAAACTCATAGATATTTAGACATTATAATTGGACTCCTATTACATAAATATGTTAAAATCTACCTAAGAAATAATTAAAATTTTTCTAAGAAGCTTTTAGAAAGTAATAAAAGCATCTTTCTTTTCCATCTTTTATCTGAATATAAAATTCAAAGCAATGTATGTATCTGATAGAATTGTGGAATAACAGAAAAATAATTATTACAAATGTATTAGTATGGATTATATTTGAAATATTGTCTTGCTTTATTCTTACGAGAATAAACCAAAGTTAATTCACATTCCCCAACACATGGTAAGTCACAATATGTATTAATAATCTACCAATGGTACTAAGTATTTTCACTTATTATGCAAGACTCAGTGTGAACACTACAAGGGAACTTAGACTTTTTAATTCCATACATTATAAAAATATATATTGTATAGTATATAAAATTATAAAAAGTTTTATATAAAAATATTATTAAAATATTATACAAATAATATAAAATATTAACTTTTGCCAGCTGACATCTGTAATCCCAGCACTTTGGGAGGCCGAAGCAGGTAGATCACTTGAGGTCAGGAGTTCAAGTTCAGCCTGTCCCACACAGTGAAACCACGTCTCTACTGAAAATACAAAAAAAAAAAAAAAAAAGTCAGGTGTGGTGGCACACACCTGTAATTCCAGTTACTCGGGAGGCTGAGGCAGGAGAATCGCTTGAACCTGGGAGGCAGAGGTTGCAGTGAGCCAACATAGGGCCACTGCACTTTAGTCTGGGCAACAGAGCAAGACTCTGTCTCAAAAAAAAAAATGAATGAATGAATAAATACATAAATATTAACCTCGCTTAGTAGTCAAGTAGAAAATATGAATTATATTAGATCCAGTTGGCTCTGGTGTTGGCAACATTTTCATTGAGCTATCTTCTTATTTGGAAGCCAAATGCAATAATTTTTTTCATAAAAATATAAATGATGCTTCTGGCTATGGAATTGTTGGAATCCTTTGATAGTCAAATCAACATGACACAGATTTTTTTTTCTAATGGGAGTTAAGAATACCCTGGTACCTCAAACCAAAACTAAATTCAAAAATCCACTAAAAGGTGTTACAACTAGTTTTCTAAATTGGAAATAAAGAAAAATTCTTAGAGCTGCCGTTCTGAATTACCATGAAATGCATAGAGAAGATTTTTCTCCTGCTGTAAGCTCTTTCCAAGGAGAAAATAATTTTCTGTGGCTTTTTATTTTCATTTATTTTTGCCACTGGTCCATCTTTACCAATATAAATGAACAAGAAATCTGATGTAGCATGAAAGAACAACAAAATCTTCCAAGATATCTTGTCTGTTTCTCAGCTTTAATTAAAAGTAAAATATGGCAAAAATCATGGGGGAATATATGAGCATTTTAGTCATGGGCTAAATCTTATAAGCACAAATTATATTTTAGCTAAATTTATTGAAATGTTTTATGCTAATAAGATGAAACATTTCTTAAATTTACATTTTTAATTATTTCTCTAATTAATTTTATAAGATTTTGCTCGCTCTTTTTACGTGCAGGTACTATCATTAATTGTACTATATGCATAGTGCTCTTAGTTGTAGGTCATTATCAAATACCTATTTTATCTTACATAATGATAGTTAATAGCGGTAGTTGACTTCTCATAACCAAGTTCATTCACTACAGACTTTTTCTCAGGAACGGGGCAGTCTCAAATAAAACATTAATAAGCTTTAAGAAATATATATATATATATTTTACAAGGGATTCTCATTATTTTGATATGCATTAAAATTGATTAAAATGGACAAACTGACAGCACACAACAGTACATTTTATAAAAACCTAGGGCTGGCTTAATTTACCAATTATTTTAAATACATGATCAGTTATTAAAAAATAATTTGTGTCATTATATTTTTCATTTTTTCTTCCTAAAATAGAATGTCTTCATAAATTCAACTCCTTGCATCTTGTTTCTCAAAAATTTATCCCACACAAAAAATTCATATCAGATGGCATATAGTTCTGTTTCATTCAATTTATAGAATTTTGAGATAAAGTAAATTAACATTAGTAGAAAAATATTTGCTAGGCGTGACCTTGGCCATCTATATACATACATTTCTACATAATTCACATAAAATTTGGGAATTAGATATTTTTGCAAATACTTTCTAGAACAATATCTTAAAGTTAGTCACCTAGAAAACTAAGCAAAACTTATGTATAATCACATAAAATTTACTTGAATGATTTAAAATACTAGAGATTTAGGGATATAGGAATTGCAGTTACGCAAATCAAACTAACAAAATTTGAAGTGCAGAATAATTACATTTTACAAACAAAAAAAACCAATGGAGATAACAGATTTTCATGGTATCCCTCCTGAATAGATCCCCAGCTTCCTCCTGGGGCATGTGGTGCTGTAAGTCTCCTGCAGGGATTCTTGCTATGAAAAGTGGTAAGTGATCCTATCCAGCCAGAAAAAGGGCAAGCTCTAACATACTCAGAATAACTTCAGGAAAAACAAAAGTGCTTAACAATTAGCACTAAAATGGGCAGGAAGGAAAAGATAGAGAATGTCAAAAATAAAAAAAAAACTTCACATCTTATTTAGTGGGGGCTATTTCTAGATACTCGGTATTAGTCAGAATGCATTTCCCCTTAAAATCATGTATGCTCTTTAAAATTATTCATTTTTGTTAGACAATATATGTACTTAAAACATTGCTATACTAAACAGAATAAGTACCTTTAAAGCCAAGTGAATAAAAGTGTTAAAAACCATCAAATATTTTTATCCAAATAGCCAATAGAAAATATGAAAAGATGAAACAAATATTTTAAATCTGCCTCCTTTGAAAGGGAGTTATCAAGTTAAACAAATCATTTTTGTGAAAATGATGAGATAATAGCTGACCGTCTATGTATGCCTTTGCTATGTTAATTCATATTATCCTCTGTGGTCCCCAAATCAGAATTTTAAGATATGTTAAAATTGAACTGATCCATCTATATGAAACTCTCACCAGGGGCATACACACACACACACACACACACACACACACTCACACACACCACATATACTACAAAGACTTTATTTCCAAATGGCTTCTCTTTCTTAGTGTTTAAAAGTGATAACTATTAGAAAAATAACCCCGGTTTTCATTCAAAAAAATCAGACATCAGTAATCCTAGCCAGAGAAAATATATTTACTAGCTTTGTTGATGTTCATAACGTATTTCTGACAAGAATTAATACCTTTTTTCCTCTTGTTCTAAATATGGAAGCAAAAAAAGAAAAAATAAAACTTCAAAGATCCCTAAATGCATTATGACACTAAAATGGATATAATCTATTTGTCCCCACATTCTTTGCTCATTTTATAAATATTTGGCCTCTCTTTTAGACTGAATTCAGGAAGAGAAACCCAATCAGTTTTCAGGTTTAATTTCAAAGTTTCACATTAGTCACACTACCTTGCCAAATTAGTTATGTAAAAGTTTCCCCCACACCCCGAATTGAATAAAAGATGTAAATTATTTTTACATAACACAAGTAACACGAAGTTAAGAGAAAGTTTCAAAAACAAATGCAACTTCTTACTATTTAAGAAAATAAAATTTATCATATTTTTTTTGGATAGTTGTCAAAGCTGCAAGAAAATTTTAATATTCTCTATTATTTATCTGCTATGCAAAAAAACTTTATATTTTTCCTTTTCATACATTATTTCTACTTCACAAACCATGATAAATTATGCAGTTATAAATATTATCAGAAATGATGTGAGGATACCGCTCATAGATATGGTAGGAAGAAAATGATGTGATTAATTTGATTAGTGGAGATTTGCTACAGTGCATCCATCATACACACACACAAACACACATACACACACATACAAAACATGCATGCAGATAAATATTCTCACCATAGTATTGCTCAGTCACAACATATTGTCCCATAATGATGATCAGTGTCCACCATTATAAGGAGTGACCCAAACTTTCACACATACTTTATTAGGACAATGACAACACTCATTTCTTTTTTATCTTTCCAAAGTCTAGCTACTAAGGAATGGAAAGAACTTGCAGATAACATGAATTAAGAAGAGAAGACAAGGAGAAAAATTTATTTCAAATCCCTGAGTACAATTACAAACTGTGATTTACACTTTATTTTAATGGATTCTGCAATTTTGTCTTTGAATTTACTCTCACACATTCTGATATATTCCAAAATGTTCTAAAATATTGAATAAATAAATGTTCAAAAGACTTCCCCCGATATATCATTTTTATTCTTAGTTGAAAATTTATATAGTAGTTTAGAAAATTATTTTCTGTAACAATTGGGAGCCATTTTGCAGATGAAAACATGCACTAAAATAAATAAATTAATATTTGAAGTTCATCATGGATTGCTACTGAATTGTGTGAACTAGAATTTACCACACCCTGCAAAACTTAATAATATTTTTAAGAGTTGAATACCTGATTCTGCTTATCTTTCAAAGCATCATCTCAGGAAATGAGTAAATTGACAATTTGGACAGCTAATTCAGGCTTTAGAGTAGTTTTCTTTAATAGTGAAAAAAGTATTTCACCAGATCTTATCCACCATCATGACTTCCATAAATTAAATACATAAATAAAAATGAATAAATAGAAATGTACTAACAGTATGTTTTTGGTTAAGAAGAGTAACAGAATTATTGAATGTTCCATGAAAGAAAAATCATCATTATGATTCTCAAGTTGGACTCAGGAAAAAAAAAATCTTATGTAGCAAGGGGACATAAGTAAAAATTTATTCCTGTGCCAATACAAGCTATTTCACATGAGTTCAACCAGCTCAGTTTAGTGAATACTTTTCTCTATGATCAATTTTTTTAACAAAGTTCTTCATAACACCTCAAAAAATATTACCACACTGATTCTAACAGCATATTAAAATAATCATATACCATAATCGAGTGGGATTTATCCCTGGAATGCAGAGAAGTTGCAGCATATTCAAATTAACAAGCATAATAAATCACAGTAATAGAGTAAAGGATGAAAATCCTATGGTCATCTTAATACACGTGGAAAATATATCTCACAAATTTAACATCCTTTCATTAAAAAAACTCAACAAATTAGGTATGAAAGAAATGTATGGCAACTTAATAAAAGTCATATATGACAAGCCCACAGCTAACATCATACCAAATAACAAAAAGCTGAAAATGTTTTCTCTATGAGGAACAATGCAGGGTTGTCCACTCTTGCCTTTCTATTCAACATAGTCCTGGAAGTCTTAGCCAGAGCAATTAAGCAAGAAAAAGAAGTAAAAGGCATCCAAACTGTAAAGGAAGAAGTACAATTATCTCTGTTTGCAGATGACATTTGATATAGTTTGACTGTGTCCCCACCCAAATCTCATTTTGAGTTGTAACTCCCACAGTTCCCACTGGGATGAACCCGGTGGGAGGTGACTAAAATATAGGGGCAGGTTTTTTCTGTGCTATGCTCGTGATAGTGAATGAGTCTCACGATATCTGATGGTTTTAAAATGTGACTTTCTGTGCACGAGCTCTCTGTTTGCCTGCTGCCATCCATGTAGGATGTGACTTGATTCTCCTTGCCTTCTGCCATGATAGCGAGGCTTCCCCAGCCATGTGGAACTTTAAGTCCAATTAAACCTTTTTCTTTTGTAAATTGCCTTGTCTCAGGTATGTCATTATCAGTAGTGTGAAAACAGACTGATACATCATTTTGCATGTAGAAAATGTCAAAGGCTCCACTAAAAAATTGTTAGAATTAATAACTCCTATAAGTTGCATAATACAAGATTATGCAAAACTCAATTGCATTTATATTCACTAATAACAAGCTACCCAAAAAAGAAATTAAGAAAACAATCCCTTTTATAGTGGCATCAAAAATAATCAGTAAATCCAATCAAGGGTATAAAATATTTGTATATTGAAAACAATAAAACATTGATGAAAGAAAGACACAAATAAGCAGAAAGATATCCTGTGCTCATGGATTGAAAGAATTAATATGACATTGCTACAATCCATTTCAATTATTCATTTTCTATAATTATCCAATACATTGTTACTATTTTAAATATATTTTAGAATTAAGATTTTTTTAAACTTGTACACAATAATTTATTTTAATTAATTATTTTTACTTTTTTTATTATGTAGATCCAAGTTAATCGATATTAGTTTTATTCTACCTGAAGAACTTCTTTTAATTTCTTACAGGACACACTTTTGGTGATTAATTTTTTTCACTTTTTGTTTGTTCCCCCTTTTATTTTGAAATACATTTCTGTAGATATAGAATTCTAAGTTGGAGGAATTTTTCTTTCAGCATTTTAAATGTTTTAAGTCAGTCTCTTAATGCATGCATGCTTTCTGACAAAAAGGCACTACAATTTTTATACTTGTTCCTCGATAAGTAAGATTTTTCTCCCTCTGTTTCTTTATTGATTTTCTCATTGCTTTTGGTTTGAATGCAGTTTGACTACTAAATGCCTAGGTGTGTATTTTTCATTTTTATCCTGTTTAGTATTCTCTGAGTTTCCTGGATTTATATTTTCAGATATATCATTAATTTTTAACATTATCCATAATTATTTCTTTAAATACTTCCTCTGGTCCATTCTCATTATTCTACCACAGATATTCAAATTATTATGTGCGTGTTTCAGCATTTGAAATTGTATTACACTTCTTGGACTGTTGGCCAGTTTTGAGATTTTCATCATACTTTTTTTTTCTTCATGTCTTTTTATGTCAGTTAGGAAGGATCTATTGACCTATCTTCAAGCTCTTTGATTCTTTTCTCAACTGAGTCCGATCTCCACGTGTCCATCAAAGACATTCTTTATTTTTATTATAGGGCTTTGGATTTCTGTTTCCTTTACAATTTTTCTCGTCTAATACCTCTGCTTTCACTGTCCATCTGTTTTTGCATACTTTCTACCTTACCATTAAATCCATTAACATATTAATTGTAATCATTTTAATTCCTTGTCTGATAATTCCAACGTCTGTGTCAGATGAGTTTTGTCCTGATGCTTGGTTTGTCTATTCAAATTATTTTTTCTTAACATTTAGCATGCCTTGTAAATTTTTAGGAAAGTCAGAGGTCATTTATTGGGTATAGAAACTGAGGTAAATATGCCTTTAGGGGGTACTTTGCTAATCTGACTAGGAGTTGGGCTGTGTTAATTATTTTATGTAACTGTAGGTGTCAGAAGGTAGAAATTCTGCCTGTGGGGTTTTTGGTTTGGACCTTGTTATCTTTGGGCATCCTCGAGAGCTCTTACCTAGACTTTGTGTTTTGTGGCTTTTTCAAATGTATTTAACAATATCCTGTTAGCTGGGCGTGGTGGCTCACGCCTGTAAGCCCAGCACTTTGGGAGGCCAAGGCCAGCGCATCACAAGGTCAGGAGATCGAGACCATCCTTGCTAATACAGTGAAACCCCGTCTCTGCTAAAAATACAAAAAAAATTAGCCGGGCGTGGTGCCGGGCGCCTGTAGTCCCAGCTACTCTGGAGGCTGAGGCAGGAGAATGGTGTGAACCTGGGAGGCGGAGCTTGCAGTGAGCCAACATTGCGCCACTGCACTCCAGCCTGGGTTACTGAGCGAGACTCCGTCTCAAAATAATAATAATAATAATAATAATAATAATAATAATAATAATAATAATATCCTGTTATACTCTAGCCCTCTAAGTGTGGCAAGAAGGTGTGGAAATCAATTACTCTATAGTATTATAATTAAATATTATCCTGAAAATTTTAACAAATTTTGCATAACATAAAATGTATCATCTTAACCACTTTTCACTGTACAGTTCAGGGGTAATAAGTGCATTCATAATGTGCAATCATCAACATCATACATTTCCACACTCTTTTTATTTAGTAAAACTAAAACATTAAACATTAAATTCACATTAAATTTATACCTGTTAAACATTAAATTCACATTTATTCTCTCCCAAGCCCCTGGAAACCATCATTCTACTTCTTATTTCTGTGAATTTTGACTATACTAAGTATCTCACAGAAGTGGAATCATACTGTATTCGTCTCTTTGTGACTGGCTTATCTCAAATTATAATGTCCTAAAGACTCATTACTGTTGTAGTATGTGCCAGAATTTTCTTGCTTTTCAACTACTCCACATAGTTGCCAACACTTGCTATTTTCTGTTTTTTTTTGTTTATTTGTTTATAGTAGTCATCTTAATAAGTATTTTGTGGCACCTCAATGTAGTTTTAATTTCTATTTCTCTAATGATTAGTGATGTTAAACCTCTTTTCATGTGCTTATTGTCCATGTGTATAACTTTATTAAAAATATACCTATTCAAGTTCTTTGCCTATTTTTTAATTGGGATGTTTGTTGTTGCTTTTTTTGAGTTTTAGGGTTTATCTATATATTCTCCATATTAACTCCTCATTGAATAAACATTTGAAAAATATTTTCTCCTATTCTGTGAGATGCCTTTTTCTGCTATATTTGGTTTGATAGTCTTCAATGTTCGTAAGGGGTATTGTTCTGTGTTTTTGTTTGTTTGCTTTCTTGTTTCTTTTCTTACAATGTCTTTGGTGTTGGAGTAACGTAGCCTCATAAAATGACTTAGGAAGTGCTCATATCTCTTCAATGTTTTGGAAAACTTTGAGGAGGATTGATGTTAGTTCTTCTTTAAATTATTGGTAAAATTTACCAGAGAAAACATCAGATTCAGGGTTCTAGTTTGTGAGGAGATTTTTGATTCTGATTCTATCTCCTTATTGTTATGGGTCTATTCAGGTTTTTTATTTCTAAATCAATGGTTCCCAACCTTTTTGGCACAAGAGACCGGTTTTGTGGAAGACAATTTTTTGAATGGATGGGGTAGGTTTTGGGATGAAACTATTCCACCTCAGATAATCAGGTATTAGATTCTCAAAAGGAACACACAACCTAGGTCCCTTGCATGTGCAGTTCACAATAGGGTTTGTACTCCTATGAGAATCTAATGCTGCTGCTGATCTGACAGGAGGTGGAGCTCAGGCAGTAATGCTCTCTTGCCCCACAGCTCATCTCTTGCTGTGCAGCTGGGTTCCTAACAGGCCACAGACCAATACTGGTCTGCGGCCCAGGGGTTGAGGACCCTTGTTCTACGTAATTCAGGCTTGATAGAGTTTGTGTTTTAGCAATTTGTCTATTTCATCTTAGTAGGATAAGTTGTTGGCATATATTTGTTCATAGTATTTTCTGCGAATATATTAACATATGAATATATGTTATCTATGAACATATCCATATTGTACATCCTTATGGGGTACATGTGATATTTTGATACATGCATACAATCTGTACTTGTATGCACCCATCACCTCAAACATTTATCATTTCTTTGTGTTGGGAACATTTCAAATCTTATCTTGTAGCTATTTTGAAATATGCAGTGAATTTTTATTAACTATAGTCACCCTACTGTGCTGCAAAACACAGACTTACTTCTTTTATCTAAATGTACTTTTGCAGCCATTAATCAACTTACCTTTATCTGTTTTGTTCATAGCAGTCTCATAATCCTTTATTATTTCTGTAAAATTGGTAGTAATGTTTCCACTTTCACATCTGGCTTCATGAATTGAATTTGGAAGTACTTCCTCTTCTTCTTTCCCCATAGAAACATAAATTTGAACAAGTTCACAAAACTAAGGAAGCCAAGTGAGAGATTATAGCACCTGATTGTAGCACAGAACTAAGAAAAATAAGCTGAGTTTAGTTATAACACATAAAATAAAAAGTATGAGATTAATAAGACAAGGGCTATAACAACATACATACATGTTTGAGAAAGAATATAAACAATAGTATATTAGATTAACAACAATGCTAAGAAATTTAAATATTAATGGCATAGATTATTTTCAATGTCCATACACAGTAAAGCTGACTCCAAAATTAATGAAAAGTCTAACAAAACTATGTCTTTATGCAGAAAACAAAGGAGGGGATTTGAATAAAAATAAATAAGAGAGCTACTTTAGATAGGACAGTGGTCAGGGAAAGCCTCTCTAAGTAGTAACATTAAAGCAGAGATCTTAAAGATGTGAGAAAGTGGGCTATTCCAATACAGGTAGTGGTAAAATTTACAGGTAGGAGTAATTGCAATTGCAGACAGTAGGATCTGGAACAACCTGATTTATTTAAAAAACAAGAAAGAGCACATTATGGCTTAAATGAAATGAATAATACATAGATATATAAATATGTCATTATGGATTTGAAATTTAGTGGTATTAATATAATTGTTGCATAAATTAGTTGTTATGGAATTATCATTAAAAAAATTCCTGGGCTATGCAATTACAAATATTTTATGTGGCCAATTCTTAAGTTATTAAAACATTTTCAGATTACAGAAAATTATTGTTAGGTACCTAGACAATTCAAGTCAAATGAGAAACTATAGAAAATATGTGTTTATAATGATATGAATATTAACCGCAACATTAGCAAAGACTAACAGAAATATTCAAAAACTATGGGAAGGTATTTTTCAGAGATTAAAGGTTGTTCAAGATTAGAAAATGTAATAGTAGAATCCATAGGCAGTAATAAATATTTTTTGAAAAATAAACCATTTCCATAGTTCTTAAAGAAGTATTTGATAAAATTTAGAATCCATTTACATTTAAAATTAACAACAAAAGATAGTAAAGTAGTCATTAATAATACCAATAAAAATAATAAAATAAGGTCTACCTCAGGCAATCATTCCGTATTATTTTTAATAGTAAATATCAAGAAAGATTTCAATTACAACTAGAAACAAAATAAATTTTCCATTAAGATGACTGATATTTCACCCTATCTGGGAATTCTAGTCAATATGACATTAGATAGAAACACAGATATTACTTCTACAAAGGAAAATCATATTCCTTGAAGATTATACAGTTGCTAATTTATTACTATGAAATGTGAAAATTTAGTGGTTAGGCATAAATAAACAAAAACATTTTTCTACTCCAAAAGTAAAAAATCATATCTTTGAGAATGTAATGTGGAAAATAGCTTATTTCTAAAAACAAGAAAATGTCTGTATATTGTCTTATAAGACAAGTAGAGAAACTCTATAAAAGTTATAAAATATGTAAATAAAGTATTAAATACATAGAGAAGCAGATTATTATTAAATTGGGATACTCACTGCCAAAAGTGTGTCTGCCAATTTCCTCCAAATTGTCTATACATGAAATACAATTTTACTTTAAATCCCATTATGAATATTTTGTAACACGGCAAAAATTCTACAATTAACAAGGATGAATAAATCTATAAACATAACCAAGAAAGGAAATAAAAAAAAATAGGGGGAATTTGGAGGACAGTATTTTTCTTCTCAATAATTTTAACATGATGCTGGCACAGGAAAAGACAGACACACCAATTGTATACTGAAATACAGTTATAACACAAAGTTGCTATTTTGAAGGTGAAGGCATGGATTTTTTTTTTAGTGTTTTTGAAGTCCAGCTAAAACAAATCTGTCATTGTGATCATGTTTAGAGGGTCAGAATAAAATTTCGACCCACCTGTGAAGAGTTAAGTATAGTGGAGGATGTCATTTAACAGAGTGCAGAAAAACGGTTAAACAGTAAAATAACATAATTACATAATAGATCCCCACAGTCATTTCTTTGTCAAATAAATTTTAAGATAGCCTTAAAGATACAGGAATGCCAAGTTGGTTGAGCCAGGATAAGTCATCTTCCTTTCATCCAGGCGAGTGAAACATCACGTAAGGCCTCACGTGTGCTATCATAGGTCACTGTAACCTGGAACTCCTGGGCTCAAGCAATTCTCCCACTTCAGCCTCCTGAGTAACTGAGATTACAGTCTCAGATGACCACATATGGCTTAAATTATTGATCTTAGGACTTTTCCATCTGATTCATAAAAATCACAATGTTTATTGTAATTTATTTATTATTAAAGGAAATATTTATGAATATTAATTTATTGTCAAAGGATATTAATATTAATTTACTGTTTGATTAATATTAACTTATTGTTACAGGAAATATTGCAAGTAATATGATATATAACTAGTGAAAGAAAGAAAATTTAATAAGTAGATGCATGTGAGAAACTCATCTATAAACTATTTTACACTCCATCTGCAGTAAAGAATGACCACTGGAATGCAAATAATTAAAGCATGAGCCAGAGAAAATGTTTATTATTGTTGGTGAAAATATTTCTTGATTTTCTCATGCCCATCATGAGGAAAAGAGATCTTTTATTCAATTTAGAAAATATTCCAAGTATAGTTTTCAAATATAAAATTTTAGGGGAGATTGGCTTGAGAAAGCAATTGCTTTGATGATATATGAATTATTTTGGGTTTCATTTTTTGGATATTTGAATAGCAGAGCTTGTTGCTGGTGGTCTGGGACATATTTCCTTGTTCCACTTTTCCTTTTATACAGTCAGATGAGAGTGTTAAATAACATGATTTTTA
Source organism: Homo sapiens (assembly GCF_000001405.40). Classification (NCBI taxonomy): domain Eukaryota; kingdom Metazoa; phylum Chordata; class Mammalia; order Primates; family Hominidae; genus Homo; species Homo sapiens. Next base: position 103,393,286 of record NC_000003.12, on the reverse strand, counting down.
TTGTGTTGGGAAAATCTCACTAATTGCTCTTGGAAAACGGTGACTTAGTCTAAGGATAAATTCTTACAGATATACAAAGTATATTGTAAGACCAACTTTTAAAAATTGACATTACTTGAGCTACTTTTACTTATTTTTCTTTTCAGTTCTTATTATTTTATGTCACTTCGAGTAATTTACTAATTTATAGTTCAAAGTCAGCTTAATAAGTTCTGAAACTTTATAACTACAGCCATCATTCTTTCAGTGTCAAACCATAATCTAAAAAACAGTTTCCAAAAGATATACTTTATAAAACTTTACCAAAACTTTACCTTTTTTTTTCTGTTGTCTCCTTTTTATTTTATTTTAACAGTTTAGCATACAACTTTTGGGTACAGACAAGTGAAACACCTCACTGTGAAACATGTACAAATGAATAATTTAAACTACTTACAAGTATAGTAAATATAAGCTTAATAATATTAATATGAGATGAAATGTGGAAAATAAATAGCACAAAAAAGTAACTATTTAAATTATAATATTTTGTTGAAGTTTATTTATTACAATTATTTGGTTTTTTGACCATTGGAAAAGTTACTTATTTTAATAAAAGTTCATGGAAAAAAATGAGCAAAGACAGACTTGTGAATTAGACAAAATCTCACTGAAATTTAATATACTCATCTCTCAAAGAGAGAATTATTCATTGGGCTGCATGAATGACAACTGACTGTATTGACCTGTCTCTAGGAGCCAGCACACTCAGGGTTTCTCCACTCTCTTTGTCTCCAAGTCTAAAAAATAGAGTCTATTATGACAAGTACCTATTACAGTGTGCTCTTCATGCAGTTGGCCAAAATCATCTAGGTCTCGCCCCTTTGGGAAGAAGGTGATTTAGACTATAACATTCAGAGCTAAGAAGAATTGTGGGAACTACTCAGACCAGTCTGATAATTTGTGAAATCTGTAGGCCAGAGTTGACATGACTACCTTAAAGTTACACAGCACAATCTTGGAGGAAATATAAAAACACATAGTATATATAATTAGTATCTAAACGCTGGAAGTAAATCATTATGCAGAACACATAATATGAAATAATAAAGCAATTAATTAATTAATAATAAGCTAAAATAAAGCACACAGAATGCTTACAAGAAACAAAAGTAATGAAGAGGGAAACATGGAAACTTTTGTTTTGGAAAGCACTGAGGCTTGCAGCTACACTTAAAAGGAAAGTACTGGGTTGGGCACGGTGGCTCACGCCTGTAATCCCAGCACTTTGGGAGGCCGAGGTGGGCGGATCACGAGGTCAGGATATCAAGACCATCCTGGCTAACATGGTGAAACTCCGTCTCTACTAAAAATACAAAAATTAGCTGGGTGTGGTGGCGGGCGCCTGTAGTCCCAGCTACTGGGGAGGCTAAGGCAGGAGAATGGCGTGAACCCAGGAGGCGGAGCTTGCAGTCAGCCGAGATCCTGCCACTGCACTCCAGCCTGGGGGACAGAGCGAAACTCTGTCTCAAAAAAAAAAAAAAAAAAAAAAAGGAAAGTATTGGCTATAAGCGGGCAAGTGTGTATTTTCATTAAATCAAAATTGAAGTGAATATTACATAGTTATTCTCATAACATGCTAGTGTAGAGTGCTGAACATACTGAAGAGCTAGAATATACTAGCTCTAACATACTGAAGTTGTTAGACTGTTAGATTGCCATATTAACAATTTGCTTTTGCATTGTATTTTCAATTTGTAATTTATATTATAAATGTTTCTACTCTGAAATTAAAGGCAAAGCAAATGCCAGTAAGAGAGGTAATTAGGATGCTCAAGTTTTCTGAAAAGCATCGTGACTTAATTATATAGGTTCTGGTGTCAATCTTTTGGTTCAAAATCCTCTCCATTACTTAGCAGTTGCACGACATAATTACTTAACTCGTCATTATAAAATTGGAGATATTAAGATGGCCTCCTACATTAAATTGTTGGAATATTAAATGAAATAATGCATGAAGAAAGTTTGGTGTTAAATGATCACTCAACAAATTTTATGCACTATTATGTAAAAGTGAAAAATTTAAATGTGAACACAAGCTTCACTTATAATTATTTCCTTTTGTTTAACTTATTTGCTTTTATAAAATATGTTCCGAAAGCTGCATTAAGGCCCACCTCAGAGACAGTGAACTTCACTGATTTCTTCACCTGTCCAGATTTTATTGACAAGTTTTTAAAGACTTAATTTTAATTCAAGTGGCTCTAATGTTTAAATAAATTTAATTCAAAGGGAGTAAAATAATACTAAGGTGCCTGAGATTTAATGGCCTCCGTATGATTCTAAAAATAAAAAGGGGGCGGGCACAGTGGCTTATACCTGTAATCCCAGTACTTTGGGAGGCCAAGGTGGGTGAATCATTTGAGGTCAGAAGTTTGAGACCAGCCTGGCCAACATGGTGAAACCTCACCTCTCCTAAAAAAAAAAAAAACAAAAATTAGCCAGGTCGGGTAGCGGGCGTCTGTAGTCCCAGCTATGGGGGAGGCTGAGGCAGGAGAATCGCTTGAATCCGGGAGGTGGAAGTTGCAGTGAGCTGAAATCATGCCACTGCACTTCAGCCTGGGCGACAGAGTGAGACTCCGTCTCAAAAATAAACAAACAAAAAAGATATTAGGCTAAGAAAAATAATTATGAGATAAAAATAACTACGAGGGTTTGGTGGATGAATACCTCCTTCAAACATGTGTAGTCTGAAACTACCTAAGTTCAGCCCTCATTTTACATTTATTATCCCAGTTTTCTAGAAATTACATTTGTATTGAGTTGATCTCAGTTGTTCATCTTATATGTCGCAGCTACCTACCTATCATAGCAGCTCACAGAGTAGGCTTCCAATTACCACAGAGTATGTGTTGGTTTTTCAGGAAAATCATATAATAATTTCCAAAAAGTTATCAGCAGTCACTGTTAATCAGTTTTATTTCTGCCCTTCATCATTGTCAGTCAGAAATCAAATTGTTTTCCCAAAAGATTTATTTTATGTAAAAAATTTTTTTTACATAATCTTAAAATTAGCTTTTGAGAATTTTTACTCTTGCTATAATTTTACATGACTAAATTTATTGACTGTTAATTTGAGCTGCATGGCTTGTGCTTAATTATACAAATTGATTTCATTTGTGGTCTGCAGATTTTCTGACAGGAATTCAGGCCATTGTTTCAGCTAACATTCACTTTGAACTTCAAACACAGGGAAGATAACTGAATATTTGACCTTGTGCTAATGAGAAAAGAAACCAGGATCACAGAGCAAAAAATTAGCTCCATATAGTATTCATCCTCTACTGCTCCTCACCAACTATACATTGTAAGATTTCCATTGCTATAAGATGGCAGAAAGAGATAGCTGAAAATGAAAAAGCTTGGTCAAATCATCCTATGGGTTAATCAAAAGGTTTAGGATTATTTTTTAAGTTGACCTTCTCTAGAATCTCTTTCCCTGTGATTACTTTTGCACCAACGTAATATATATTTTACATTTAAAAAACTTAAGGGGAATTTGCTCAAAGTATCTGTTCACAGAGACATCATCAATAATGTGTTTACTTATAGTGGGAGAAAAGTTAGTTGTCTAAATTACCTCGGACTTCCTATAAGAAATGTATATAACCACTCTTCTTCTTCACAGTGGCCCTGTACAAATCTGACATTCCTTTCCTTAAAGTACAACATAATAGGTGACACATTATGAACCAATTTTCTTTCAGTCAAATGAGTCTGCTTAGAGGAGAGCTAATAAAAGCTTCAGTAATAACAATACAGACAATTCATAGTATACTAGGGCCTATTAGTCTGTTGCATTGTGGTTTTGAAGTATTTACTAACCTTCAAATTAATTTGTAGTTCTGCTTGTATTAATGTATTCTAAATCAAGCTAGATTTATTGTTGCTAAAAAGTATTATGATGTAATACAGAACAATGTAAAAATCAACATTGTATGTTCAGTTATATTAATATAAAGTGAGATTGAAACCATAGTTAATATTCATGAAGTAAACAAGCTCTCATAACATTATATTAATAAATGCATAGGCATTAGGGCATTTATATAAAATATATCTGCTTTCATTGAAAATTCATGGTCATAAACACTAGTGATTTTGGAAAACTATGAGTATATGTGTAGATATATATTAAACAAAATGGAATTAAATAATTTTGTTTTTCCATGACTGTTTACATCAATTTATTGCTGATTTTCTTTCCTTATGGAACAAAGAATTATTTTATTCAATAGCTTCAGTGAATTCTTCCGCTTTAAAATATATTTAGCAAAATTAATTTCACTTCTGCTGTGTTCAAAATAATGGGCTAGAGCTCCAAAGAAACTTAAATGTATAAAACATAGTAACTACCACCTCTAAATCTTACATCTCATGGAAAGGAAAACAGACATTTATTTCTGCAGCATGATATACTAATCCATATTGAAGAAGGGGAAGTGGAACTGGGTTCTATTGTATAAGTTTTCTAAGGGTGCTGTAACAAAGTGCTACAAACTGGTGTCTTAAACAGTACAAATTTATTGTACTCCCGTTTGAAATCAAGGTGATGGCAGGTTAGGTTCTTTTTGGGGGTTGTGAGAGAGAATTTGTTCCATGACTTTCTCTTAACTTTTGGTGGTTTGCTGTCAGTCTTTGACTCGTTACATGCATTGCTACAATCTCTGCTTCATCTTCAGGTAACCTTTCCCTGTATCTCTGCACATCATCTTGCCTCTGTGCATATCTGTCTCTGTGTTTAAATTTCTCCCATATAAAAAGCCAGCAGTCATACTGGATCAAGGCCCATGCTAATGACTTCATTTTAACTTGCATAGCTCTCTGAACATTCTGTTTCCAAATAAGGTCATATTCTGGAGTGCTGGGGACTGGGATTTCATCATGTCTTTTTGGAGGATAGAATTCAGTCCATAACATCTACCTATACATTTTTTTTCCTGTTTGCTTCTGGAATTTCAGGTGACAGGTACTATCCAGTCAGTTTGTGACCTGACATTAATTTATTGACATAGGCGATGAAGAAACCTTCTGGGAATGAATTAAACACCTAGGGAAACAAACTAGGCATAATGAGCTTAGTCTGTCTGATGTACCAATAAATTGCCAAACAGCTTTAGAACCAGGAGAGTTATTATGTGTTAGCAGCAGCATAAAACAGACATTTATTGTAGGAACCTGGAAGAAGTTATGGTTGTTTCCATCAAAGGCAGATGGAGTTGTTGGGTCCAGTTAAATTATAATCATGTCTAGCAGAAACAGCAGAGGTGTGCAAGGCACGTATCAGTACCGAGAGAAAAAGAGGAAAGAAAAATAAGAGGAAAGAAATAGAAACATCACATGGTAGCTCACTTATCCTGAGGTTATGGAGGAAGCTTGATAGGCATGCAGGTAAGTGGGACTTTATATTAGCAGATTAGTTAGTGGATTAGGACAAGAGTCAGAAAAATAAAATGGTCGCATATGAAATTTAAAATAAATCATCAATGTGATTATGAGTTGTACCTAAAGGTAAATGGGCATATGGCGTGTGAAAGTGTTGTAGACCTGGGGGTATAGCACCCTGTTTTCAAAAGCTAATTTTAAGTCTAATTCTATCCTGGTATGTATGAGTGTCAAAGGCAGGACAATGTATTTCAGTTGGTCACTTTGTTTACATTTTGTTGGAACTCATACTGAGGTTCATCCATTTTTAACTCGATATTTCTGGAGCTATATCTTTATGTTAGTGAATGCTGGAAATATGTTTTAACTTTACAATTAGGACCTGACAGGAATGCTTGCTTAGACTGACATCACCTACTCAATCTTCAAGATCCAATTCGAGTACTGCCTCCTCTGTAAAATTGCCCTTGCCTCATCTTTTAGAGTTATGGGCTGCCTGTTTGGTGTTCTTATGGAGCTCTATTTACCATTTTTATATTTATCTTTCCCAGGAGACTATGATCTCCCAGAAGATATGGAATGCATCATATTTCTCTTTAAATGCCTAATGCCTAGAACAGGTTCTAATAATTACTGAATGAATGAAGACATGAATGAACAAAATTTGGCCACAAAATAGCTAGATAATGAATGATATTTTTAAAAAACTGAAATACAGTTTTGCATAAACTTTTTTCATTTATAACTACTAGCGGTTGTGAGGTGAATAATACCACACGATACAAATTGAAGCATAACAAAACTATCAATATATATTAAACATACATGTATATATGGATTATACATGTGTGCATGTGTATTTATAAAATCTCAACATTTGTTTGTAATTGTGCAAGCAATGCTGTTAATCATTGTAGAATGTGCAACATATCATTGTCTGAGTTAGCCATATATTACATGTGAGGACACTCATAGACCATGTATGAATATTTATTTCTATTTTGGAAATTATAGCTATGCTTGTATTGTTCTATGGGGCCATTAATAGAAGGTCCTAAAGATTTAATTATTTTAAATATGCAGAAGAAACAAAACAATGTTAATTTACCTAAGCACAGTAAATACTGTTAAATGATTATTCGTGTTCTCATTATTAATAATAGGCAAATGCCATCTCTGTTACCAGATGGTGTGGGGCAGAGTATTTTGTGATACCTCATCAATACTTTCATCTGAGAGCAGGTGAATGATATGCTAGCCATCATATTTTACATATGCAGAGATTCTATGATGGATATACGTTTCAGCATAGGCAGTTTGGAGTAAACAGAACTCCCTTTGCAGCCTTACACATGCAATCATTAATTCAACAGAGCTTTCTTCAGGGTCTGTCATCCTCGCAGACTGTTAAACATAATTTTGTTTTAGTGATGGGAGATGTGAAGCCCTGGTTATGTGGATAACCAGATTATCATTAACATTTCTAAAGTGCTTGGAGGCTCCTTTAAGATAAGAGAAACGTTATAAATATTACTGTGATTATCTTTGTTTCTCTTTGAGAGAAATATATTGTAAATCGCAAGGCTTTACCCTTTTTTCATATAAAATATTTGTCATGTTGATGCATTCTCCAGCCACAGCCAATGAAGAAAAATGTTTGCATCACTCTCCTCACAAACTGTGGGTAGAGAAAGACGTCAAATTGAATTAAGAACACATCAGTGAGCTCTAAATAAATGATTCAGCCTGAAGGCTGAAGTGTTACCTTTTATTCTGTGGCCCATAATTGACACAAAATGTGTGTAGAGTAATTCATAAAACACAGACTATGCAATAGTGGAATATTTTATTACAGTGAAAGATCATTATTTTTTACAGTCAAAAAGAAGTGCAAACGCCCTGATCATTAAGCAACATTCCATATGCTAACTTGAAGAGTAAGATTATGTGCTGAGAGAACATTTTAATATGATTCGATAACATAGTAATTTCTGTTTTCTGAATTCTGAGACTGAAAATCTTCTCATAATGAATTCCACACAATTTTTTTTTGTATCTTAGACTTTTAACACTAAGAAATCATGGCACTGTCTTTAGAAAAATTATAAAATGTTGAAAATTTTGAAAACAGTAAAAATGATCTAGTCCCACACACAACTTAAATGGTAATAATAATAATAATATTTATGCACACTATAATTTGCAAAGTTTACCTTACTTAATTTTATAAGAAATACATGAACAAGTCCCAAAGAGTTTAAGCTTTGCCCAAAGGCAGCAGAATTAATGCACAACTAGAATCCATGTGAAACTGGGTCAGCATTGGAAGTACTTGCTCCATTACACTGGTACAGTGCAGTAGAGGCTGAAAATTTGCCAGTATAGTAATATTTTTAATGATTCAAGGCATTTTCCTCTAGAAGAGATTTTAATGCTCTTAGCCAAAAAAGTAAAACCCCTCAGATTTAATACAAACAATTTTAAAATTTCAAAGGCATGAAATATACAGAAATAAATTGATGTTGATGTATAAGCATCTGGCATTTTCTGTATATCAATTATATGGTGGCTAAGGTTTACAAGGGAAATTTCCCATTGGGAGAAATAATTTAGTTTGTCTATTCTTTGTTGTTTTACTAGTTAAGCCTATACATAAAGTATATCTGATTAAGATTTCATTTCGGAATATAGCTTCTCTTCTATTACCAGTGGTGTTAATTTTTAACCTATAGGGGTTTTACTTGTCACAGAACCAATTAATTAACATTATAAAGACTGCTATAGAAATTCTATATAGAAAAAACGATTATCTTTGTGTTGACATAAATAGAATTCGAAACATAAAAACAGTGTTGAACATTGTTATCACCCCCATAATTTGTTTATTCATATTTCTCTCACTGTTATTCCTTCTCTTACAAATCTCATATTTTTCACTAACGAAGTTATGATTCTTTTGTTAAAACTCACATACATTTTGCATTGATATTATTCATTTAACATGTGAGATTTTGAGTGAGTTATGCTTTCAGTCTCAAGATTTCTCTTACTCTTTTCTCAAGCATTCACGTCCTTTGGATTCTTGTCCAGTATATATATATATACATATACATATATATATATGTGTATATATATATATGTATACAAATATACATGTGTATATATACACATGTGTATATATATACATATTTGTATACAAATATACATGTGTGTATATATATACATATTTGTATACAAATATAAATATGTATATATGTGTATATACACACATGTATACATACATATATACTATATCTATACATGCACACACACACACACATATAAAACTTAAAACGATCTGATCAAATAGTTTTAGGAACTTTCTATAAGTGAAATTCCAGATTTTACCTTCTACACGGTTAGCTTTACTTTGACTAACTGATAGGGAATGGAGGAAAGAGCAAACTGCTTTGGAAATATTGGGATACAACACTAAATATAACACATATGAGAATTTCAGTCTCCTGTTGTCCCATTTTACATAGATATTAAAATATATATTACTTAAAGTTTATAACTTGAAAACTATTATTAAAACTGATCTTTAATAGCGACATTCAATGTAAAGCATTAAAAAAATAAAGTAACCAAGAATCTATGAAGCTATTGCTTCAAATTTAGGAAACGTCTTACCTACTGTTCTCTTTCAATAAGTTTATAGGTACTGTTGTTTAACGTAGGACCTCACTGTTAAGGCACAAATTATTTCAAAGTTACTCTAAAGACACTCAGAATATCTCCAAAAACAATGCAATAAGGAGAAGAATACTTTTGGAATTTATTTTTTATTTTAAAGAAAATTGAATTATTAACCACAAGATATTTTTCTCCCCTCTGGCTGTAAGGTTTGTACAGACTGGTTTGGTAAATACTAGACTTTTGAGTCTTACATTTTTGAAGCAATTGTTAACACTGGAATTTAGGATATGTACAGAGAAGCTGGTATCAACACCACTACAAAATTATATTTTTTCACAAATATAAAAATATTTACATAAAAAATTTTAAGTATTTGCAATAAATATATGTATATAGATTGTATGTATTACAGTATTCTTATTTTTCATTTTATTATTAAATAAAAGATCATTAAAAGTGAAAATAAAAGAAGTATTAGGATTCAATCTGCCAAACAGGACATTGAAAAGACTCTTGTCTCCAAACCAACAGGTTTAATAGTTGGTAGAGGTGAGAGGCAGAGAGGAAAAAGGGCTAACAGAAAGTCTACATATAAAATAGGATAACTAATCTTCATATTACAGTTTAATTATATTATTCTCACATTACATATATTACTATCCTAATAGTAACCCCTTCTCTCACTCTACCTCAAGTGTTAAATTGACAAAGATAGCAGCCCCAAAGAGAAAGTTGTTTCTGTCTCCCTTTTGTAGGCTTAATTTCTGATATGAAGAATGAATTATAATAGAACGTTAATAGTTTCACATGACAGTATTGTATTAGGGTCTCAATTTCTCACCTAAAAAATTTTAATTTTGGTTCAGACAATACACGATTACAAGCACCTTTATATTGACATTTAGTTTTACTTAATCATTCTTAAGAACACATTTTTATATTTTCCAATATTTTCATAATTTCCTTTGTGGATTAGACAAACATTAAGAAGGAAATTGTTACATTAATTCATCTTGACCTCCAGTATTATAATACTTTATAGTATTAAATTTTAAAAAGTATCATTAAAAAAAAAAGAAAACCTCTGAACCCTTTTTCTTAGAAGACCTTTAGGCTCCAATATACACATTAAAGGACCTGATGTATTTTAATGAAAATTCTAAGGGAAAGTTTTAAATTGAAAGGCATTGACATTTTAATTATGAAAAACAGCCAATTTAGGATAAGGAAGTTAGAAACATTGTTAAATACAACGAGAATTGTTGTTGTGTGTGTTAACCTAAAGAGCGACTGCACTGGTCCATTAATACACATATATTTTATTTATATTAATATGCATATGTACATAAATATGTACATAAACATATATAACATAATATCCAGACATTCATACAATATGTGTACTTTAAAATTTGTATAGTTTTTAATTTTATAGTTTATGTCATGTATATGCATTATATATAATGTATTTATACACACATTCATAAACATCTATATATTTATTTATACTTTGTTACTGTATTTGATATACATTGGTATACTTTCCATATGTTAACACCACTGTATCTTTCCTTTCCAGCAATGGGCTGCATGCTGGTTATTGCTAACTGCCTGCTCTGTTTCCTCCCTGTGTCTGGTTACTTACATATATTCTCCCTAATTGTACAAACATTGTTCTCACAGAAAGCAATAAATATCCTTGAAAATAACCACATCTGCAAAATGATAACAGATGAATAAAATACTTTTGCAAGTATTTAAGAATTGTGCCAAAAAATATGCCAAGCATATACCTACATTTAATTTAGCAGTGTTGTTACTCAGTATCATTCTATGGAGAAGGAAAAGTGTTAGCAGAATTCTAGTAAGTAAGGAGCACAGAGGACTTTAGAAAGATGTGCCAATCAAAACAAGGACTGGCTCTCTAGTTTTATCCCCAGAAGGTGGATGGACAGAGGCCATAAGGTCTGAGCCGATTTCCAATAACTCACCAAGCAAGGCAACATTCAGAGACATTGCAGGTGACAACATGCCATCCTGATCTTCTGTATGTTTTATAAAGTCTGGAGACGGGCCTCAACCAAGATCTTGGAATGATGTTCCCTTTGGTCAAATGGGTAAGTTTAAATGTTTCCAGAGAATGACATTGTAATAGTAGGAGGAATTTGGGCTTCTACATAAAGCTAGTGATCTTATAGTTGTTAGATTATGATTCATGAATTTTATATATATTTTCATACAATTCTGTGGTTTCAGGGAGATTTGTAAATGCTAAAATATGTTTTGCACCAGGAAATCCTGGAAAAAAATCTGTGTCTTCTTTGGTTCAATCATCTGGTCTTCCTGTAAGGACTCTGAGACAAGTATACACCACACACACACAGGAGATAAAACATTCTTAGCAGATGGGCTAGTGTCCTCCTATCACTTTCACAGGCCTCTCTGGTTCCTAAAAAACAATTTCTTCTCCCCTAAATCAAATTCTTATCACTGGTAAAAGAGCTTTTAATATTCTTGGTATTTGAAATGTAAGTAGTAAAGGAAAACACAACGAATAAACTGTCTCAGTGACGCTGGTACCGGATGCTCACCCAGAAGTTGTAAAGGTGAGGGCTGAGGGTAGGAGAAAAGGTAAGAAAGGGCAAGTGATAAGAAGAGGGTGTAGCCAAGCTCATTCCTTCACTACATTTACATTATTCCCAGTCCCTGAAACTTGAATATCTGGTTGGATTAGTGAGAGAAATGGGACCAATGCCAATGACAGGAGTTTTTTTTTTTTTTTTTCCAAAATATGATCATAAGAAATTGAACTGTTCACGTAACGATTCCATAATGAGGAAATATCAGATCCTTCTTAGGAATATGTCAAGAATGTTTTTCTAACTTTTTCCTAACACAGAACCTTGATTTATAGGCAGTGGCCAGTGCAATTACACGGAAAAATGCAATTAGATGCAAAAATAAGTGGCAAAGTAAAATGATTTCTATCGACAGATATTATTTAAAAATATTTCGAAAACCCAAACAAATTAATGAAAAAAATACTACTAACAAGAAAATATAGTCAAGTAGCGGCATATTAAATTAGTGAATCCAAGAGACTCCATGTTTAAAAAAAATTCTATTAAAATATAATGGATAAAAAAGTACTCATTTAAGAAGACTCAGCAAAAACTATCAGAATAAACATAGGAACTGTGTAAAAACAATATGAGATAACGACAAAATATTTTGTTAGGAAATAAAAGTAAACTAGATCAAACGTAAAATATACTTTGTTATCATACTTATCATGCCTCTCAGTTAGTTTATAAAGTTTGGGTAATGCCAGTAAAAGATGATAATCAGTTTGTTTATTTGTTTGTTTGTTGTTTATTTTTGATCTAGTACTTTGGAAGACAAGTAGTTAATGATGGGGAATGGGAGGTAGGGAGAGAGAGAAAGCAACTGATGACTGTGGCTGTTGCTACCAAACAGGTTTATCAGACAAAAAGGACAGGGGGAAAAAAAAAAAAAGAAAACAAAAAAATTACAAATATACCACAAAGAAAAATGTATTATGCATAATACAATCATGTGTCACTTAATAAAGGGAAATATGTTGTTAGGCAATTTTGTTGTTGTGCAAATATCTTAGAGTGTACTCACACAAACCTAGATGGTATAGCCTACTATACACCTAGGCTATATGGTTTGGCCTATTGCTCCTAGGCTACAAACTTGTGTAGCATGTTACTGTACTAAATACAACAGGCAATTACAACACAGTCTTAAGTATTTATGTATAAACATAAAAAAGATAGAAAAAATTGTATTATAATCTTATTTGATCACTGCCTTATGTGCCGTGAATTTTTGACCAAAATATAACTGTATAGTGCATAACTGTATATAAAACTCTCCACCAACCTAAGAGAATAATGGGAAATAAATGAACTAGAAACAGGAAAAGAAAGGATGAATGGTTTTTAAACATACAAAAAGATGATCAACTTCACTCTAAGAAAATCTTATTAAAGCTAAAATGAATTAGTTCTCATATATGTCAAATATTGCAAAGTTTGACACCCTATCTTATTGGTATAAAATCCAACAAGGAGATAATTGTTGAAATTTAATATTTCATATAAGTTTTTTTTCAACCCAGAATGATCATTTTAGGAATCTATCTCAAATGAAAATATGGAATAACCCATGCAAAAATTGTGCAAAATAGCTCTATTTTTAACAACAAAATATTGCAAATAACTCAAAAGTCTTTGAAGAATGAATTAGCTAAATAAACTGTGGCATAGCTACGCAATGCTGCTGCAAATTTAATGGGGAAGATCTCATAGAGTATTATGGATATGTGTAGATATGTTATGGAATATTAAGTAATTTGCAAAATATTTGAATCGTATTCTAAGAGAGGAATAAAACATGTGTATTTATGCACATGTTTCTGTGTGTAGATATATTTATTTGATTATATTTTAAAAACAAGAAATTAAAGCGTGAAGCAAAAACCAAATAAAAAAATACTGTTTGTCAGGCCAGGCATGTTTGCCACACCTCTAATCCCACCACTTTGGGAGGCTGAGGCAAGAGGATCACTTCAGACCAGGAGTTTGAGACAAGCCTGGGTAACACAGTGAGACCCTCTGTCTTTACAAAAACAAAACAAAACAAAATAGCCAGGTGTGGCGGTGCACATCTGTAGTCCCACCTACTCAGGAGTCTGAGGTGGGAGAATGGCTTGAGCCTAAGATGTCAAGGTTGCATTAAGCCATGATTGTGTCACTGCATTCCAGCTTTGGTGACAGAGAAAGACCCTGTCTAAACAACAACGACAAAAATTTGCTTATAGGAGGATGAAGGGAACAGAAATAGATGTATATGTTTAGAAGTTAGATGTCTAGAAATTGATTTATAATTTGTTTTAGAATCATTTACATTTTATAAAAATTTTATATCTTTTAAATAACTAAAATTAATAAAAATATTTTCCTCAGATAACAAAATTTAAGTCAGGGTATGGTGGCTCATGCTTGTAATTCCAACACATTGGTAGCTTGATGGGGGCAGATCACTTGAGGCCAGGAGTTCAAGATCAGCCTGGCCAACATGGCAAAACCTCATCTCTACTAAAAATAAAAACATTAGCCAAGCGTCGTGGTGCATCCCTATAATCCCAGCTTCTTGGGAGGCTGAGGCATGAGAGTTGCTTGAACCGGGAGGCGGAGGTTGCAGTGAGCTAAGATCATGCCACTGCACTTCACCTTGGGTGATAGAACAAGACTCTGTCTCAAAAAAATAAAAAGTAAATAAAAATAAAAATAAAAACCAACTCGAATAGAAATAGATGACCTTAATTATATATAAACTTGGTGACATAATCACAAAGAGAAGAAATGCTCCATATGTGTTAGCTGTTTGAGAGTACCACATAAGTTTTTGAATAATCTTAAGAAAAAGATTGCTCAAATTTCATTTATTAGTCTCTATTTTTGGTGACAAAATTGATACTACTATTTTGAAATTATATGCATGTTGAATATAAATGAAGTAGGTAATTATATTATTAGAACCAAGATATTCCATGAAAGCAAAGAAATGAAAATATAAATTTATGCTAATAAAAACACTTCAATTTTAATTTTCATTTGAAAATCACAGTACAAATTTACAATCTTCTCTCTTAATTGAGTGTATGCTTGCTACTGTCTGAAAATGTAATATTCAATATGATGGCATTTCAAAATGGATCCTCTGAGAAGTGATTAAGTCATCTTGAATGGTATTAGTGACTTTAAAAAAGAAGCCAAAAAAAGTTCCCTTGCTCCTTACACCATGTGAGGACCCAGTGAAAAGGCACCCTCTATGAATCATGAAGCAGGCCCTCAGAAGACACCTTGATCTTGGCCTTCTTAAGCTCCAGAACTATGACAAAAAACTTGCTGTTTATTATAAGTTACCTCTTCTGTGGCACTTTGTTGTAGCAGCCCAATTACTAAGACAAGGTTGTGTTGTATTTATTTATATAAATACTAATATTTATATAAAATATATGAGTATATATTATTATGTATATATATTTATGTGCTACAACATATAAACATAGATATTTATGTGCCACAACATGTAAACATATATAAACATACATGTTCTTATATGTTTGTATGTTCCCTTGCCCTTGAATCTAACTGGCTTCAAAATTCTCACATGTATCTATGTTTATATAGCATAAAACTTGTTTTCTTAGCATAAAACATATATATTTACATATCATAAAACATATACATAGCATAAAACATATACGTTTGTATGTTTATATGCTATATGTTAACATTCTGTATAGGACTATGTATATATGTTTATGTGGATGTCATATACATCTTATGTCACCACTAAGAAGAGTACTAAGGAACATATTTAATAAATCTGTTATAAGCTATTTCTCATTCAGAAAACTCTCTATTTTCTCCTTTCCATTACTCAAGGTTTCAGATTTTCCTTCAAAACCAACCTGGTCTGATGCACTTTCATCCTTAAATTGTTTTTATTCTTCATTTTCCATGAGTTTGTGGGATTTCCCTAAAAGAAGATCCTTTCATTCCTTTAAATCAACAAGCTAAAGCTTAACTCACCAACCTCCCTGCTGCTGAAAAGCACCTTCTTCACAAGGTACCTATCTTTGATAACTGTATCATTGTTTGGCCAAACATAGCATACTTTCCTTGCCCTTGAATCTAACTGGCTTCAAAATCTTCACATTGTTTTCCAAAAGAATCTTATATTTTCTTTATTGTCCCCATGTTCATAGACACTTGGCTAATTCTGTTTCCTTCATCACTGCTTAGTGTTTCACTTTCTGCCTCAAGCTCTCCTTACCTTACCAATTCCAGTTCATCTTATAACCTATGGCTATGCTAAAATCTTGGATTACCACTTTATTTGTGTCATTCTGTAGTATTTTAGAATACATACAATCTATTATTCTTGTTGTTTTTGAATTAGCATATTATGGCTAAAAATTATGCGGAATGAGGTCAACGTTTGTGCCCCACACCTGTGGAAACCTCTTTTAGACAAAACTCCACTTTTATTTTTATTCATTTATTGTTTTTTTTGTTTTTTTTTTTTAATTGAGACAGATTCTCACTCTGTTGCCCAGCCTGGTGTGCAGTGGCGCGATCTCGGTGCGATTCTCCCACCTCAGCCTCCTGAGTAGCTGGGCTTACAGGTGCGTACCACCATGCCCAACTAATGTTTGTATCTTTAGCAGAGATGGGTTTTACCATGTTGTCCGGGCTGGTCTCGAACTCCTGACCTCAGGTGATCCACCGACCTCGGCCTCCGGAAGTGCTGAGATTACAGGCGTGAGCCACCGCGCCCGGCCAAAACTTCGCTTTTAATCAAGCGCTTACCTTTTTTCCTGTCTTCAGAGCATGGTTGAAAATCAGTGTGGGAGTACCTCTGAAACAGTCACTAGCTTTGGGAAGTCAAGGGATGTAAATTGAGCCAACCTGACTAGAAAGAAGAGTTTGTTTTTTATGGTTGATTATGGTGTTTCCCACTTCATTTCTTCCAAAGATAAATAACAGCCCAGGTGCTGATAGCTGCCATCTTTTTGCCATGAAGAAGCTCCACTTGAGGACAAAGCTAACGTGTTGATAAGAACAAAACTGAGAGAACTGCATATAAATATATCTGAAATACTAAATTCTAATATTTAATTCTAATATTATCACTTTTTCTCCTCCAGTTTTCTTGCCGTCTAACTTGCTTTCTCTCTACTTTAAGATGTCTTAGTCCTATTGATTGAAATCTATAGGCGGCTTTTATTGATTTCCCTAGGTAGAATTTCTTCCTACTCCAGACTCGTGTAACATTAACCCGCTCTAAATCATCATGTGTACTCATCCCATTTTAATACATTAAATGTTTCTAAAATAGGACATGTATCCAATTCATTTTATTTTTCTCCTTTGAAATTCAAACAAAATAACTGGTTCATGTAGATGGTCAAGAGCTAGTCAAAGGCTTTTTATTAAATGAATGATAATTCGTTTGGCTTTTTCACTAATCGGAGTTGTCGGGAAATATTTAGCAAAGACTGAGAAGTTTTCCAGCGAATTTAATTTAAACTTTCCAAAAACCATATTCTGATGCAGCAAGATAAGGCAATTTTCAATATGGGACCCAGAGAAGAAAGAATTGGCAAGTTGGGAACTATTATGTGAGCCACCTGAGAAGGACTGTCATTATTTCTTTGGCCAAAAAGAACTAAACCTAGTTAATCATATTAGATAAAATTACATGAATACATTAACATAAAAAGAGCCACAAATATCTCCTCACAGTCTATCAGTGGACTGAAGAGGATGCTGTAATTATCAATTTACCTAACCAACCTAATCTCTTCTACTTTTATCTCCACCCTCCTTCAAAAAGTGTTTAAATTTTTATGGTAATATTTAGTGGACAAGAAAAGCATAGAACCTGAGAGAGAAAGAGATTTATAATTTTAAAAAGAGTTAACACACACAATAAGGTTCTAGAGGAGAGAGTAAAATCTAACAGGTTGGAGCAGAAAGAAGTTTGTTCTGCTTTGGGGGTAAGCTGGTGAAAGAGGAGTTTCACAGAGTATATGATACATTCATGTTGAATATAATAGAAACAAGGATAGAAAAGATTATTGGCAATCAGAAATATTGAATTGAATTTTCTCTAATAAATGATAAAAGATGGAAATAAAATTTTAATTGACTATACATTTTACATATTTAATTCATTTTATAGTGATAACTGTAAGATTGCCCTATATAATCACATTGTCCATAGAATTTATAAAGCTAAAATATAATGTATTTAATGTAGACCAAATAGAACATTAATTTATTCTAAAGTGGATGTTGTAGCATTTTCAACAATTTGCTTTTGGTTTTAGAAATGAATCATGTATCAAATCACCTTCAGATAATTCTACATAAACATATATTTGATATATTCCACTGGAGTAGGAAGAAAAACGGCCACCCAAAGACATCTGTCTATTAATCCCCTAGAACTTGCGAATATGTTTTATTAGGTGACAAAGGGAGTTTTGCAGATGCGACTAAGGTGAAAGACCTCGTAATGAGGACATTATTCTGGATTATCAAGGTAGACCTAATCATGAATCTTTAAAAAGCAAAGAAACATGTTATAACTGTATTAAAATTAAAAGATAGTGATTCTGCTTTCTTTGAAGATGGAGGAAGCAACCCAGGAGCCAAGGAATATGGGTAGCCTCTAGATGCTGAAAATTCAGGGAAACAAGTTCTTCCCCAGAGCCTCCAAAAAGGGGTGCAGTTGGCGGGCTGCAGTTGGCCGGGCACAATGGCTCTGGCCTGTAATCCCAGCACTTTGGGAGGTGAGGCGGGCGGATCACGAGGTCGGGAGATCGAGATCATCCTGGCTAACACGGTGAAACCCGGTCTCTACTAAAAATACAAAAAATTAGCCAGGCTTGGTGGCGAGTGCCTGTAGTCCCAGCTACTCGAGAGGCTGAGGCAGGAGAATGGTGTGAACCCGGGAGACAGAGCTTGCTGTGAGCCGAGATTGCGCCACTGAACTCCAGTCTGGGCGACAGAGCGAGACTCGTCTCAAAAAAACCCAAAAAAACAAAAAAAGTTCTGCCAACATACTGATTTTAGCCTAATATAACCAGTGTCAGACATTTGACCCACTGGACCGTATGAATATAAATTTGTGTTTTTGTAGGCCACTAAATGTGTGATAATTTGTTAGAGCAGCAATAGAAGACTAACATCTACTTTCTTGGCAAGGATGTGTTTACAAGAGAATACAAACATATTAGTCAATAATCTTTTATAGAATTATCTGAGGCTAAGTTAGATCCGTGGTTCTTCACCTTTTTGCCCCACAGTAACACATATTTACATGAGTAACCCTCGTGAGCCTACTCAGATTTTGACTGTTAGTTTGCTATATTCTTAGTTACGTGCACTCTTGGTGAATGAAAGGTAACTTTATAAGTTTTTAGCACGTTAATGTAGCATTTGAATGTGTTATGATATTTTGGTGGAGAAGAGTTGTGTAAATAATTCAAAATGACAGTAAGAGATAAACTATCTTCATTGAATTAAATCTAAATTTATTTATTCTAATATTAATAACTAATTTATATTAAATTGACTTTTGTATAAAGTACAAACGAATGAAGAGAAAGAGATCAAACCAATAAAGATTTATAGATTTATGAAAAGATGATCTTGATAGAATTAAAACCGTACTGATAAAATTTAAGCTTAATTTGGAGCATAATGTGAAAGGTAAAAAAATAAATTTTATCTCAATTAACAAAGAAATTATTTGGAAACAATTGCACTGACTGATATTTTTGTTGTTAATATGAAAAAAACACATTTTCAATAACATTTTGTAAACTGAACAATAAAATACAAAAGGAAAGGAGATTAATTTACATGGAAGATGTGAATAGGAAATTATTTTTTCAAATATCTCATACACTGGGAATGACATACTAAAGAGAGTAGTCTATTTCCCCTTCTCTTTTCATCGGGGAGAATATAGTCTCAGAAAGGCTAAAGATCAATTTCTCATAGATTAACAAGATTTTACAGAGAGCCATGGTTGAGTAAATGTATCCAAGATTTGGTTTCCCTATGTAGAGAAGAATGTCTACTGCCAAACTTCCATGGATCTTTAATTCATTTAAAGATTTAAAAGCACTGGAAGTTAAAGGAACTCACTTATTTTACTTTGGAATGTTTGTTTGAAGTTTGTCCAGCAAATAACAGAAATTAAAACGCCAAAATTCAGATACAAATTGGAAAAAATATATATGTAATTTTTCTATCAGGTAGTATATATGAATACTGATTTAACTAAGAATCATGGAAACCTGAGACTTCATTCAAATCCAAGATAGCTGTTCAAGAAATACTGCCCGCCTTCCCCGGAGCTCTCCTTTTTTCTGTCGTAATGCTTGATGCCTCGATCAAGCCCACTAGACAGCTGCCTCTTTTTAAATGATTTCTTAACAACTTACTGTCTTTCTTTTTAAGTCACAGTCTTTTTACAAATGTTGATGCACATTTTGATTTTTAATCTTTTTCCTTTATTTTTCTCCCAACTCAGTTCACAAATCTCCCTGAAAATATCAATATAGCTTCAATTCTTATAATAATATATGTTGATTTTATATCATACATTATTGAAAAAAGAAAAAAGATTGGAATCAGATTATCAGTAATTCTAAGATGGTGGCTTTTGTTCAGTGACAAAAAATGAATTAGAAGACGGCTAAATATCCAGTAGGTTTTTTTAATAAAATAAAAGTAACAACATACATATTTTAAGACAATCCAAAAGATAAAAAGGTCTGATATATCTTCCTATAAAAATTTGTATACACTTATTAAATTAGATAATTGGAAAAGCTATTATTATTTTTCAAAACTAATCTACTTTACTAAGCATTTCAGGTTAAGTTTGATAGATATATTAGAATATTGCATCTGTTTCTGTGTACAAGTTGATTTTCAAGTTAAATGTTTCACAGCATTTAAATAAGTTGACAATCCCTAATTTGTCTTTATGTTCTTGATTTTGAAGACAATAAAAATCTACATGCATTTTTACCAGTTGTTATTCATTTATAATGTACTTATTAAAATTATGACTCATTTTAATTTGATAGATAATTTTTCAAAGGTGAAAATAAATGCAATAAAACATGGCTTCAATTATGCTCTAAACCACTTCTAAAAAATAAATTATTCACATTTAAATTTGCTTTGTTAAGTAGTCATACTACCTTGTGAATTGAATTGTTTTCAAACTGTAATTCAAGCTCAGCATGTTAATATTTGTGTGGATTAAAAAAAAAATCCACTGCGTCTCTCATTGCATCATCCACACAGCATATCTAGCTTGTAAAACGGAATGGATGCCAATCACACAGAAGGCACAGCTATGCTTTGCCAACTTGTAGCATTTACTGTGATTTATTGATTGAGGATTTTATAAAAATACTTTAGAATTTATGCTTCATAGAGTGTTTGCAAATTTATCATGAAGGTTCACCGACCAAAGTTTTCACAATAAAGTATCTTTATTTGAAAGGATACACAGACTTTTCTGAAATTCCATATGGACAGTTAAATATAGCATCATCATCTGTGAGTAATAGTAATGAATATTACTGATAGGCACATGAATTTAAATGTAAAACTATGTAGGCATATCATTCCTATGGTAAAAATCAGGGAGAATATTAAATGATAAGATTTGAGAATTTAGTATTTGCTCAGGAGAAGGTACAGTTCTTATATTCAAAATATGTTCTCGCTGATCTTACAAAATGGAATGTGTTCTCTATTGTCCACTCTCTCTTATGCTTTCCAGCACACACACTTTAGTCCTGCACATTGAGTATTTCTTCCTAAATTGACTGCATTTTCCCTTTAAAATGCCATTGCCTATCAGACTTTCCATTTTTTTAAGAATATTCTACTGCAATGGAACATGTAAATTTTGTTAGCAGTGGATCTTACACATATGTTACTCAACAGATTTTCTAACAGAGGAACTAAAGAGAAGAAAAAATGTGTAAGAATAAAAGGTGCAGCACCAAATACAGTACTTCAAAGAGCTGACTTGACAGGTTAGTAGAAGACTCAAGAAGCATCTATAAATTACCAATTTTATTTATGAATCAGCATTGATTTGGTACCATTTAATTAAATAAATTACCGTTATATTTTATGTGCAATACAAGTAACAGAATACACAGCTTAATGGCTGTTTCCTTAAGTGTCATACGATGGAAGCTTGCCCTGAGTACCTTAATTTTTAAAATTGGTAATTGCACGAGATGACTACTGATGAGAAAAATATACATTTCATGCCTCGAGAATTTTAAAGAAACCGGTTGTTGAGTTTAACACTTCATTAGTCACTTCATACATCACAAGCTCTTTATTACTTTTTTTTTTCTTTTCCTATCAAGAAAGATTTCCATAGCAAGTAAAAAAAAGCACAAAAGAATATCAGGGATTTTTGTCATACATGAAATAAAAACGTACGTGAAGAGAGAGGGAAAGGGAAATAAACAGGATGAAAGTGACCCTTCAAATGACACAGTGATGATGACTAGTGACATTGTGCGAAGGTACCAGTCATCTGACCATCTGCTCCAGACAGCATAACATACAAGGTTAAAGAAAAGAAAATACTTAGCAATTAATACTTTACTCAGTTTTTACTAGAACCCTCTTTAATTCACATAGTCATCATTTAATGGAGATGGGATCCCCAGAAACAGAACTGTTGTGTGAGAAGGGTTCAAGATCCCACCACAATCATCTCAGTTCAGGGCCATGGAATTTGTATAAATCTTGTGAAAGCCCGAGGGAGAAAAATGTCGTCTTTAAAAAAGATTCTTTTAGGCCGGGCAGGGTGGCTCACTCCTGTAATCCCAGCGCTGTGGGAGGCCGAGGAGGGCGGTTCACGAGGTCAAGAGATCAAGACCATCCTGGCCAACGCGGTGAAACCCCGTCTCTACTAAAAATACAAAAATTAGTTGGGTGTGGTGATGCAAACCTGTTGTCCCAGCTACTCAGGAGGCTGAGGCAGGAGAATCGCTTGAATCTGGTGGGTGGAGGTTGCAGTGAGCTGAGATCGCACCACTGCATGTACTCCAGCCTTGCAACAGAGCAAGACTCCGTCTCAAAAAAAAAAAAAAAAAAAAGTCATTTAGTGAAGAATCTGAAATCTGGAGGCTATTTATTGAATCCTTCACATCTAAAAGGAATAAGAGTCCATCCATTTATAATCAGAGTGTCTTAAAAACAAAGTAGTAATGCCTGAGTGAGCCTCGAGAAAGTGAATGAATCTTCTCAACTTTCCTCATCAAGGACTTACCTAGAACATGGCAATATTTTCCTGAAGTTATTTCTGACTTAAACAGCATCATCTCTGCCTTTGTTCCTTAGGCTCAACTTGCCCCAATATCTTTCTTAATTTCCCGCTGTCCTAACAGAATACCTGAGATTGGATAATTTATGAAAAGAATAAAACAGTAATGTCTCACAATTCTAGAGGCTGGAAGCCCAGAATCAAAGCACATGCATCTGGTGAGAGCCTTCTTGCTGTGTCAACACATGGCAAAAAAGCAAGAGAGAAAGGAGGGGCCAGACTTGCCTTTTTACAGTTGCATTAACTTCACCCATAAGGACAAAGCCCTCATGGCCTAATCACCCCTTCGAGGTCCCACTTTTTAACACTGTTACAAAGACAGCTGAATTTTAACATGAGTTTTAGAAGAGACAACCAATTAAGCCATAGCAACATCTACCCACTTATTCTCATCTGTTTCTAAAGATTTCCATTTTCTTTGACCTGTGTTCATGTAATTCTCAAGCCCTTTACAGGCACACTTCATTTTATTGCAGTTCACTTCGTTGCACTTCACAGATACTGTGTTTTTTACAAATTGAAGTTTTGTGGCAATCCTGCCTCAAGTAAGTCTAATGGCACAATTTTTCCAACAGCTTGTGCTCATTATGTCTCTGTGTCACATTTTGATAACTCTGGTAGCATTTCAAACTTTTTCATATTATTATATTTATTATGGTGATCCATGATCAATGATCTTTGCTGCTACTATTGTAATTGTTTTGGGAACCCAGGGACTGCACCCATATTAGGCAGTGAACTGTGCATATTATGACCGCTCCACCAACTGGCCGGTTGGTTCTCTCTCTCCCCACACCTCCCTATTTCCCGCAGCAGACCAATATTAAAATTAGGCCAATTAATAACCCTACAATGGCCTATAAGTATTCAAGTGAAAGGAAGAGTCACAAGTATCTGACTTTAAATCAAAACATAGAATTATTAAGCTTGGTGAGAAAAGCATATCAAAAGCCAAAATAGGACAAAGCTAGGCCTCTTGCACCAAACAGCCTAGTTGTGAATGCAAATAGAAAGCTTTTGAAAAAAATTAAAAGTGTCACTCCAGTGAATACACAAATAATAAGAAGCCTTAGTGCTGATATGAAGAAAGTTTTAGTGTTCTAGATAGGAGATCAAACCAGCCACAACATTTTCTTAAACCAAAGGCTAATTGAGCAAGACCCCAACTGTTCAGTTCGATAAAGGCTGAGAGAAGTGAAGAAGGTGGGGAAACAAACTTTGAAATGATCAGAGGTTGGTTCATGAGTTTTTAAAAAATACGCTATTTCCGTAACATAAAAGTCTAAGAATAAGTATCAAATGCTAATGTAGAAGCTGCAACAAATTATCCAGAAATCTAGCTAAGATAATAGATGAAACTGGCTACACTAAATGGCTAATTTTCAAGGTAGATTAAACAGCCTTATATTGGAAGAAGATGCTATGTAGGACTTTCTTAGCTAGAGATGGGATGTCAGTGCCTATCCTCAAAGGACAGGCTGACTCTCTTGTTAGGGACTAATGCAGCTGGTGACTTTAAGCTGAAGCCAGTGCTCACTTACCCTTTCAAAAATCCTACGGCCCTTAAGAATTATGCTGAATCTACTCTGCCTGTGCTCTATAAATGGAATAACAATGCTTAGATGATAGCACACCTGTTTACAGAATGGTTAGCTGAATATTTTAAGCCCACTATTGAAGACTACTATTCAAAAGCAACAACAAAAAAAACCATATACCTTTCAAAATATTGCAGCTCATTGGCAACACAGCTGGTCACCCAAGATCTCTGATGGAGATTTACAAGGAGATTAATGTTGTTTTCATGCCTGTTAACACAGTATCCATATTGCAGCCCATGGATCAAGGAGCAATTTCCACTTTCAAGTCTTATTTTAAAAATATATTTCATAAGGCTATAGCTGCCACATATAGGAATTTCTCTGATAGATCTAGGCAAATAAATTGAGAAAATTCTGGGAAGAATTCACCATTCTAGATGCCTTTATGAACATTGATAATTCATGAGATAAAGTCAAAATACCAGTATCAACACGTGGAAGAAGTCGATTCCAACCCTCACGGATAACTTTGAGGGGTTCAAGACTTCAGTGGAGGAAGTAGCTGCAGATGTGGTGGAAATAACAAGAGAAATAGAAATGAAACCTGAAGATGTGACTGAATTGCTCCAATTTTGTGATAAAATTTGAACACATGAGGAGTTGCCTCTTGCGGATGAGCAAAGAAAATGCTTTTTGAGATGGAATCTATTCCTGGTGATGATGTAGACATTGTTGAAATGACAGCAATAAATACAGTATATTACCTATACCACTTTGATAATTCAGCTTCAGGGTCTAAGAAGATTTACTCCAATTTTAAAAGAAGTTCTGCTATGGATAAAATGCTATCAAAAACATCACATTCTACAGAAAAATCTTTCTAAAAGAAATAGTCAGTGGTTACAGCAATCTTCATTGTTGCCTTATCTTAAGAAATTGGCACAGCCATCCCAACCTTCAGCAACCACCATTCTAATCAGTAAATAGCCGCCAGCATGGAGGTAAGATCCTCCAGCAGCAAAATGAGTATGACTTGCCGAATGCTCAGACAATCATTCACATTTTTAGCAAAGAACATCTTGAAATTAGGGTATGTACATTGTTTTTTAAGCACAATGCTATTGCATACTTAACAGAGTATAATAAAATATAAACATTACTTTTATATGCACCGAGAAAGCAAAAAAGTGTGTGACCTGCTTTATTGTGACACTCTCTTTATCGCAGTGGTCTGGAACCTAATCCACAATATCTCTAAGGTATGCCTGTAACTGTCCTGACTAGGATTCAGCGTAAGCTTGACTAAGCTCAAAACAAAACATTGGCCAACGCAATGTACTGCATTTCCAAATGTCATTTGCCTTCGTCTTTTCATGGGCTCTCACAGTGCACTGTGCCTCAGAAGAACAGTCGTCTGCCTCACCTGTCTTCCCAACATTTGTTTTTATTATTTTTGTAACTTTTATTTTGAAAAAATTATTTATTCACAGAAAGTTGCATAACCAGTAGACAGGGTCTATGTACTCTTTACCCAGTTCCTCTAAACAGTTATACCTTAGGTAACTGTAGTATAGTATCAGAACAAGTAAATGGACATTGGTGCAAAGAGTGTGTATAGTTTTACGCCGTTGTATCACCTGTGTAGATTCATGTAATCACCATCACAATGAAGATAAGGAACTATTTCATCACCAAAAAGATCTCCCTTTTACTCTCCCTTTATAGTCATAAAAACCACCTTGTCCACTAGCCCCGCTCACCCCTCCTTAAAGCCATGCCATCATTAATGTGTTCTCTATATCCATAATTTTATCATTTTAAATAATGTAATATTATATTAAAAATGTTATAATTTAATAATGTTAATAAATAGAAGCTTACAGGGTATGAGCTTTTGAGGTTGGCTGTTTTCACTTAACATTTATGCCTCTTTTATAACTGAATGTTTTCCCCCACTTCAGATGTATATATTGAACTGCTTACTCCCAAGGTGATGGTATTTGGAGATGAGATCTTTGGGAGGTAATTAGGGTTAGATGAAGCCAAGTGTGTGGGGCCCCCATGATGGGATTAATCCCTTTATAAGAAGAGACATCAGAGAGCTTGCTCTCTCTCTACACACAAGATAAGGCTGCGGGAACACTCAGTGAAAGGGTGGTCATGTGCAAGTCACAAAGAGAGCCCTCAGCAGAATCCAACCATGCTGGTACCCTGATCTTGTACTTCTGGATTCCAAAACTATATATATATATAAAAACAAATTCTGTTGTTTTTGTCACCCAATCTATGGTATTTAGTTATGGCAGTCTAAGCAGACTAAAATAGTTCTTGAGATTTACCCAAGCTGTTGTGTGTATCAATAGTGCATGCCTTGTTGTTGCTGAGTAATATTCCATAGCGTAGTTGTACTACAATTTCTGTTATCATTAATGTACCAAATACATGGTTGTTTATAATTATTGGCTATTACAGAAAAAACCTGCTATGAACATTCATGCAATTCATTTGTGTGTCAGGGTGTGTGTGTGTGTGTGTGTGTGTAAATAAATTTTCCTTTCTCCAGGGTAAATGTTCATGAGTGTGATTGCTTGGTTGTATGTTAACAGTATGTGTAGTTACTTAAGACAATGTTAAGCCTTTTAAAAGAGTAGATATACAAGTTTGGATTCTCCCCAGCCATTTTTAGCAATTCAGTTTCTCTGCATTCATTCGACATTTAATATTGTCAAAATTTTTTATTTTAGCTATTTTAATATGTGTTTAACAGTACCTCATTATGGTCTTAATTGTGTTTCTCTAGTAGGCCATAATGATAAACATGGTTTCATGCATTTATCTGTCAACTGTATAGCCTCTTTAATGAAATTTTAACTGTTGAATTTAAAGAGTTCTTTATATATTCTAAATAGGAGACCTAATTTAGATATGTGTTTTTTCCCTAGTCTGTATCTTGTCTTTTCATCTTAACAGAATTCTTGCAAGGTAAGCATTTGTAATTTTGAAATTTGTAATTTGAAATCGAATAAATCATTTAAAAATTGTATGAATCATGAATTTGATATCATATCTATAAACTCTTCATCAAACCCTAAATCCTAAAGATTCTCCTCTATGTTTTCCTTTGTAAGTTTTGATATTTTAATTAATTAATTTACTGCTTTGGTATCCAGTTTCTCTAGCCATATTTATTGAAAAAGTATCCTTCCTCCATTGAATTCATTTTGTACCTGTTGTAAAAAATCAACTGGCTATACTTTTATGAGTCTACATTCAGGTTCTTTTACGTGTCTATTACTCTGCCAATATTACATAATACTGATTACTGTATCTTTCCTTAAGCCTTAATATTAGAAAGAGTTTTCTTTCGATTTTATTTATCTTTTTGAATTTTCTAATTTATTTAATATTTTTGTTTTCCATATAAATCTTAGAATAATCTCATCTATATCCATAAAAATATTTTCTAGAATTATAATAAGAATTACATTAAAGGTATATATAACTTTAAAGATAATTGAAATCTTTACTATGCTAATTATTTCACTCCATGAACATAATATTTCTCTTGAAATACAGTCATCCCTTGGAATACACAGGGAATAGTTTTCCAGGAACCCTTGCTGATATCAAAATTTGCGGATGCAGATCTCACAGACTGGGAGGGCCAACTGTATTTAGACTTTCTTCTAATTTTTTTCATTAGTATTTTGTAGTTTTCAGAACACAAATTTATTAACTTTATTTTAGGTTTATTATTTTGTGTATTTACATTTAAATGTTTCTTTTTTAACTGTTAAGTTCAGGGTTAGAAGTGCAAGTTTGTTACATAGGTAAACTAGCGTCATGAGGATTTGTTGTACAGATTATTTCCTCATCCAGGTATTAAGCCTAGTACCTGTTAGTTATGTTTCTTGATCCTCTCTCCCCTCCCACCCTCTACCCTCTGAAAGACCCCAGGATGTTTTGTTCCCCTCTATGTATCAATGAATTATCATCAATTAGCTCCCACTTATAAGTGAGAACATGTGGTATTTGGTTTTCTATTCCTATGTTAGTTTGCTAAGGATAATGGCCTCCAGCTCTGTCCATGTTCCTGGAAAGAACATGATCCTGTTCCTTTTAAAGATGGCATAGTATTCCATGGGGTATATGTACCACGTTTCTTTACCCATTCTATCATTGATGGGCATTTCGGTTGATTCCATGTCTTTGCTACTGTGAGTAGTGCTTCAATGAACACACGCTTGCATGTGTCTTTATAATAGAATGATTTATATTATTTGGGTATATACTCAGTAATGGGATTGCTATTTCTGTCTTTCTGCATTCATTTGACATTTAATATTGTCAAATTTTTTTTATTTTAGCTGTTTTAATATGTGTGTAACAGTACCTCATTATGGTCTTAATTATGTTTCTCTAGTAGGCAGTGATAATAAACATGGTTTCATGTATTTATTTGTCAACTGTATAGCCTCTTTAGTGAAATTTTAACTGTTAATTGATATTTCTGTCTTTAGGTCTTTGAGGAATTGCCACTCTTGTGTTACACAATGATTGAACTAATTAACATGTCCAGCAACAGTGTATAAGTGTTACTTTTTCTTCACAACCTCACCAGCATGTTATTTTCTGACTTTTTAATAATAGCCATTCTGACTGGTGTAAGATGGTATCTCATTGTGGTTTTGATTTGAATTTCTCTAATGATCAGTGACGTTGAACTGTTTTTCATATAATTCTTGGCTACGTGTGCATCTTTTTGAAAAGTTCACGGCTTTTACTAACTTATTATGCAATTATTTTTCTTGTAAATTTTTAACTGCCTCATAAATTCTGAATATTTGACCTCTGTTCGATGCACAATTTGCAAAAATTTTATCCCATTCTGTAGAGGTTGTCTGTTTATTGATAGTTTATTTTGCTGTGTAGAAGTTCTTTAGTTTAACTAGATCCCATTTGTCAATTTCCACTTTGTTGCAATTGCTTTTGGGGTCTTCATCATGAAATATTTACCCATGCCTCTGTCCTGAATAGTATTGCCTGAATTGTCTTCCAGGGCTTAGGAAGGAAACTATAAAAGTTTACAATTTTATGTTTATGTCTTTAATCCAACACCATTTATTTTTGTATATGGTGTAAGGAAGCAGTCCAATTTCAATCTTCTGCATATGACTAGCCAGTTATCCTAGCAGCATTTACTGAATAGGGAATCTTTCCCCATTGCTTGTTTTTGTCAGGTTTGTCAAAGATCAGATATTTGTAGTTGTGGGGTCATATTTTTGGGCTCTCATTGGTCTGTGTGTCAGTTCTTGTACCAGTACCATACTGTTTTCATTACTATAGCCGTAAAGTATAGTTTGAAGTTGGGTAACATTATGCCTCCAGCTTTGTTATTTTTGTTTAGGATCGCCTTGGCTATTTGGGCTCTTTTTGGGTTCTATATGAATTTTTAAATAGTTTTTTTTCTGGCTCTTTAAAAAATGTCAGTGATAACTTAATGGTGACAGCATTGAATCTGTAAATTGCTTGGTGCAATATGGCCATTTTAATGATGTTGATTCTCCCTATCCATGAACACGAATTTTTTTATTATTATTTGTTTATGTCATCTTCGATTTCTTTGAGCCATGGTTTATACTTCTACTTGTAGAGGTCTTTCACCTCCATAGTTAATCCTATCCCTAGGTATTTTATTCTATTTGTGACAATTGCAAATGGGAGTTTTTTTCCTGATTTGTTTCTTGGATTGACTGTTGTTGGGTATAAGAATGCTATTAATTTTTGCACATTGATTTTGTATATTGAGAATTTATTGAAGTTGTTTATCCACTTAAGAAGCTTTTGACTTGAGACTATGGAGTTTTCTGGATATAGGATAATGTTATCTGCAAACAGGGGTAGTTTGACTTCTCTTTCTATTTGAATGCCCTTTATTTCTTTCTCTTGCCTGATTGCCCTGGCCAGAACTTCTAATAATCCACTGAATAGAAGCGGTGAGAGAGAACATCCTTGTCTTTTGCCAGTTTTCAAGGGGAATGCTTCCAGCTTTTTCCCATTTAGTATTATGTTGGTCATGGGTTTGTCATACATGGTTCTTATTATTTTGAGACATGTTTCTTCAATACCTCATATATTGAGAGTTTTAACAGGAATTGATGTCAATGTTATCAAAAGCCTTTTCTGCATCTATTGAGATAACAGGTGTTTTTTGTTTTAGTCCTGTTTATGTGACGAATCACTTTTATTGATATGCATATGTTGAACCAACCTTGTATCCTGGAGATGAAGCCAACTTGATTGTGGTGGATAAGCTTTATGATGTGTTGCTGGATTTGATTTGCCAGTATTTTGTTGAGTAATTTTTTCATCAATGTTTGTCAAGGATATTGGCCTATAGTTTTCCTTTTTTGTTTTTGTATCTCTGCCAGGTTTTTTTTTTTTTAATCAGGATGCTGCTAGCCTCATAGAATGAGTTAGGGAGGAGCCCCCCCCCCTCAATTTTTTGAAATAGTTTTAGTAGGAACAGTACCATCTCTTCTTTGTACATCTGATAGAATTCAGTTGTGAATCCACCTGTTCCTGGGTTTTTTTTTTGTTTAGTAGGCTATTTATTACTGCCTCAATTTCACAACTTGTTATTGGTTATTCAGGGATTCAATTTCTTCCTGGTTCAGTCCTGGGGGGGTGTATGTGTCCAAGAATTTATCAATTTTTTCCAGTTTATGTGCATAGAGATGTTCATAAAATTATCTAATGATTTTACTTCTGTGGGGTCAACAGTAATATTCCCCTTATCATTTCTGATTGTGTTTATTTGAATCTTCTCTTTTCAACTTTATTAGTCTAGCTAGCAGCCTATCTATTTCATTATTGTTTTCAAAGAAATAGCTCCTGAATTCTTTAATCTTTTGAATGGTTTTTCATGTCTCTATCTTTTCTGTGTCTCTATCTCCTTTAAAACATTCCTGAAAAGTATTGTATGATAATTTTGGTTTCTGTGTCTCATTATTATTGTATAGATACATGATTGATTTTTAAATTTGATCTTGTATTTATGATTTTGCTGTAGCACTTATTAATATTTGATCATTTCTGGAGTTTCTTTTATACATATACCAGTATGTCATCTGCAAATAGAGACAGTTTTTATTCCTTTTGGAAATATACGTCTTGTCTTTCCTTTTCTTTCCTTATTGTGCTTTTTAGTAATTCAATACTATGTTGAATAAGACTGGCAAGTGTTGACATTCTTGTTTATTTTCGGTCTTTGGGGAAAATAATTCAGTTTTAGGTCATTAAGAATGATGTTTACAGTAGGTTCTTTTCTTTAAAAGTCCACCATCATGTTGAAGAAATTCCCCTCATTCCTACAGTGCCTGAGAATTTCATCACGAATAGTGGTTTTTATTAAAAGCTTTTTATTTGTCAATTAATATTATTAGGTAGGCTTTTGCCTTTTAATATAATAGTTCACATACATTTATTTTTATTGAACCAGTAGTTTAGGAATGAAAATATTGGCTCTTTACCAGGTCTTCTGTGACACTATTCCTATAAGGGGAAGAAGTGATTCATGACAGACAAACAAGTGTGAAACTCTAGGCTCCCCTCTCTTCCGTTGCTGATGGAGCTGAGTAGGGAGTCAGAAGATTGTTTTCAATGATATTTAATTAGAGTTGGCTGTTTTTTGTTAGGTTGTTCCTTTTCTTGTATTTGGGCTATTAAGAACAGGTAATTCTTATGAATGCTTTATTTTTTTCTCTCTCTCTACTCATTGTTATTTCCAGGTGGACTGCTTTCCTAGCACCTAGTGGGATATATAAAAGAAAAAGAGAATCCAGTACCCAGGAAGCTTACTTCCATGTTTTTCCTCAAGTCCTGATATACATAGTCAATATGCCTTCTTCTCTTTCTATTTCAGGATCTTATGTTTGTTTTGCATGTGACGTTTGGGGGTTTTAGCTGTATTTATTGCTAGGAATAGGGAGAAGTATATCTATTCCATCTTGATTAGAACTGAAAGTTTTCATGTACCTTTTAAGAGCTTAATCACATTAATTGTTGTGCATTGCTTTGCCAGTAAATCTGGAGCATTTTATTGCCACCAGATTTTTCAATCCTTTCAGAAAAAAAAAGTTCCATTAACAGCAAGTGGTAGATAATTTATATGTAAAATAGAAGAAAGAATCGACACTTTATATATTTATCTTAGACATAGGTCTGCCCTAGAATTTGACAGATACTGTTAGTCACTACGGAATACAAAAATGTATGAGAAATTGTTACTTCACTAAAAAAAAGGTAAAGGATTGATTAGTAGATACAGAAAATTAACCACATAATAGAAATAACATGTGTACAATTTAACAAGTGAGGTATGCCCATGATAATATCTAAATACTAAAGAAGGGAAACATAATTTGAGACAATGGTTTCCAAACGGCATTAAATATACCTAGTGGATTTTAAAAATCAGAGATGCTAGGCACCAACCCAGAGTTTCTGATTTAGTGGAGCCAAAATTTCATTTTTAACAAGTTTTCTGGTGGTGTTAACATACTGGTTCAAACACCACATTTGAAAATTACTAGTATAAGGACTCTTTAAAAAGTCTCTGGAGAGCATAATTCCTGGTACTGCTTATAAATGAATAAGAGTTCACTAGAGAAATCATAGTACGATGCTTAGCTGTCAAAGATGTTCTAAAGATGAGCTCTTAATAAAGACGTAGGAATTAAATATTTTGCATGAAGTAGTTATTCCAAGTCTTAGTTTCACAGTGCAGAAACTTTGATTGAGGGAGAAACGTTATTAATATATATAGAAATAAGATAATATTCCAGTTTCAGATTTGGGTTGAAACAACAAAGGTCAAATTTCATCAAAAGGCATCAGAAAAGTTAAAAAGAATGAAGTCATTACTAATGCATTAGTAGAAAAGGGGTTATACATCTTTAAGTTGAAACAAGTTTTGGTTCCATTTAAGGCTAAATGTCAGCTTATTTTTATCTGATCAGTCTAATTAAAAGAAGGTGAACCTATGAAGGTAAGACCAATGCTAGATTTGCTAAGTGAATTTCTGTTTTTTTTTTTTTTCCTGAATCACATTTTGGAAATATTTGATTGTACAGTGCCTTATAATTAAAAACTTCTATCAGATGCTTCATTTCATTTTCTTCTTACTAACAGCCTGAAAAGATTGTTTCTCTTTCTCTCCGATAAAAATCAGAGACAAGTACCAATAAAGCCTGGATACATGGGAAAGTCATTTTGTTCTACTTTCATAAATTTCAGGTTCTCATGCTGTATATTTTTAGGTTAACAATACAGTTTCATACAAAGTCTCCTTCTTATCTTACATTCTAGTTTACTTCTTCAGTATATAAGTAATTCCAAAAATTTGTTTAATATTACTTTTTAAAATTATTTTTACTTTTCAAATTTAAATTATGAAATAAACAAAGTGTTCCCTATCGGAATTATATAACCCTTCTATTATTTCTTTAGGCATATCTGCTTGGGAAGATTATTGGCCAAAGATGCAAGCTAATGAAATGTAAAACCTGCCATAAAGTATTACAGAGATATTTGTAAAAATGGATGAGATGATTTATTGTTTCTATCCAGTATAATCACAGTCATATCACCCTCAGAGTTCCTGAAAAATGTTCAACAAGAAGTCAAGGTCTGTTAAATATATCATCTGTTTATGGACAAAGATTATAATAAAGTAATCATGACTGTGAAATGTGGAGCCATACTTCAGTTTTGATCCCAACACCTCTTCTTAACAGCTGTATGAAGTTGAATAGGTTACTTGATTTCCTGTCTCAAAATACTCATCTATAATATTAGGATAATGATTATAGTAGGACTTTTGTCCACAGGCATGTTGTCATATTAAATTTAGATCAATATATGTAAAGCATATATATAATTCATTTCTTAAGTGTTCGCTAATGTTATTGATTACATAGAGAACTCATTTAATATGGGTCACCAGCCACACAAAGAACTTACAAAACTAAAATAAGCCAAACAGCCTACTTGTGACCCTTCCCCTTGAGACCTCACTGGAATCTCAAAATAACATTCGAGTTGTGATTAAAGGTAGCTTTAAGGTAGGAAAGGGAGATTAAAGCCACAGAAGAAGCTAGAAGGAGAACAGCTATTCTTTGAAGTTTATAGTAAAGTAGCCCCAATATTTCCATCTGGGACTTTGGAGGCAGAGACAGTTCTGAAGAGGCCACATCTCTCTCTCTCTCTCTCTTTTGAATATAATTACTCCAGTATTTTGGGGGGAAAAAAAACAACTCTCCATCTGGAAAAGCTTATGCATACAAGGAAACAATTAGATTCAGAAAGGATGTTTCCTCTTCAGAATTGTCTCTGGCTCCAAAGGGTCAGGTTGAAAAACTAGGACTATTTTACTCTAAACCTAAAAGAACAATAGAGCCTCATTAATATCCTTAGATTTTTACCTGCCCAGTAGTTTTATTTTCCTTCTTTATTTGAAATAAGGGAAGGGACTCATGGTAAGGGTGAGTTGAAAGGAAGCAAATGATGGCTTGTGGTCATCATCTCAAAGAACACTTTAGCCCCTAAGCAAGGGAAAAGGGTGCTAGGCAAATTATAACTGGCAATGATTAGGATATGTCTGCCTGTTCTCTGGCTACAACAATATGGGCACTGATTTTCTTCAAATGCTCCTCTGGAACTTGAGCATCATTATTAGCACACCACACATGTGAACCATTCTGCACAGTGAGACATCTTGGCATTGCCCATTGAGTGCAGAGTATGATATCCTGATTACACAAAACAGTTATTATTCATTGACATAATTATCTTGTCTCTCCACTCTCTTTCAATTTTGGACAACTTTAGGGTGACCTGACCACTGTTGCCCCATAGTCCACAAGGCAATATTAACAATTTATAAATGTTCTCATAAATAAATCTTGAAAAGAGAACACAAGTTTATAGAAAAACCTGCAATAAAGATGAGTCAGTCATGTGCATTCTAGTTTAAAAACAAAGCAAGCTAAAACTTTGATTGCATTTTGACAAATCAAAAGGAGGGAGTTAAAGCCGTTACTTGGTTAATAATTCAGAGAGGAAAGAACCTGATCTTTGGGCCTATACGTTTCTATTACACACAAAGGTCTAAAACTTAGATATGCATATTCTTTCCTAGAGCAGCCTGCAGTGGTCATTGACATGAGAAGTACTGATCTACACACTTTTTGTCCACTCTCACCACACACTTATTCCCAAACATATTTGCCTCCAATTTTCCATTCATGTTCTTTCCAAAGTCTTGAACTACCAGTGAAGTTGCATGCAGAATTTCAGGCATATTGCTAAGTTGGAATGCTTCTCTTTCATGTCAGCTTATGACCTGTTAATTGCTTAAAGGCCTGCTGACTTGGAAGATTCCCCTCAATACCATCTTTCAGGATCTTGCCAGTGTGAGGCTGTAGTGCAGCAGCAATCTATTTTTAGCTGTCACCATATATCAAATTGTCTCAACCATAAATGAGGACCAGGTTTTTATTCCACCCCCACTGGGAAGTAGATAACATCCCATAGGACCGTGGGTATATATTAAGAGAGAGGTTCAGTCAGATAGTAGTTGGTGATTTGAGGAATCTATGACTACCTCTTATAAACTTACTTATATCCTCTGAGCCATTTCAGACCTGATACTCAATGCCACTTTTATCATACTATGGTTTACTAATATGCTTGTCTGGCTGTATGACTTGATGGACCTGATAATACTTATTTCTGACTATACAATCATTTGATGTTCCTTATCAGGTGCTCAGCATTTGCTAGGGGCCAAAAACATGACAAAACCTGCTTTTCAGGTGGTAAATATATATCTGATGAATATGGCATGACATTATTCCAGAGTCTTTAGGGGTCTATACTGCCACTCCTCTAATAGGGCTCCAGAAATTCACAGAATGCCCTATGTACCAAAAATACATGTGAGATCATGGGATCTGTCATGCCACATAGCCCAAGAAGCAGGGACAATTTGTATAACAACCTGAATCTCTTGCAAAGCTCTCTCTTATGCTCTGGTGTCATTCAAAGCTGTTGTGCTTTCAAGACACTCAAGAAACTATTTCTGCATTATTGCCAAATCTAGTTTGTATTCTGTCTGAAATCTGAAGAGGCCTACAAGTGATGTGCATCTTTCTTAGTGATTAGCATGTATGTGGTCTTTACTTTGGAGCCTATGTCACAACATTCTGATGACACTTAAAAACTTCAGTGATATGGGATGCTGCTGAATTTGTGTTGTTTGGTTGTGCAAATGTTTTACTAGGGCATCCAGAGAACTTACCATTTCTGCTCCCAGATCCTCAGCCAACATGATGGTAACAATATTACAGATCAATGTGACTCCCAGAAAAATATCCAGATAATCAAGTTCCCTTCAGAATATATTGTCTAAAGGGTCTAATATTTAGCCATAAAAATGAAGGAAGTTTGAACATATTCTACAACATGAATGAATCTTGAGGACATTGTCAAATAAAATAAACCAATCACCAAAAATAAACTATTATATGATTCTACTTATATGAGGTAATCAAAATCATAGAAACAGAAAGTAGAATAGTGGTTGCCAAGTGCTGGGGATAGGAGTTAATCAGGAATTGTTTTGCAAGACGAAACGTTATAAAGATTAGTTGCATAAAAATGTGAATATATGTAACACTACTGAACTATACATTTATACATTTTTAGGATGGTAAATTTTATTATGTGTTTTTTTAACCACGAGTAAACATAATTTTAAAGGAAGGATGGAAGTCCTTTCTATCTATGACTCAAAACTTAAAGCACAGAATAAAAGATTGATAATTTTGACTATATTTTAAAAAATATTCTGCATGACAAAACGTGCACATACACAAGTATAGTCCACAGATAAAACATAAACTGGGAAAAATATTTTCAATTCATATCTTAGACAAAAGACTCATACCCCAAATATACAAATGGCTTAGAGAAATTGAGAAAAAATGACCAAGAACCCAATAGAAGAAAAAGGTAAAAATCATAACAGTTAGGTCACAGAAAGAGAACTGCAAATAGCCACAAACATACGTAGATTCTCAACGTCACTAAAAATTAAAGAGATGCAATATAAAAGTACAACACGCACCTATGTAAAGGTTACAATCAAATGATACATGCACTCTATGTTGCAGCTATGAATCCAAAATGGTACAGCACTTATACAGGGAATCTAGCAATCTCTTGAAAAATTGCAAATGTATTTACCTTTTAAATCACATATCCCAATACTAGAAATATATATCTTCACCTATTAAATGACCCTTGTACAAAGTTATTCATTGTAACACTGTTTGTAATAGAAAAAGAATGAAAATAGAGCACATGTTCATCAACAAGGACTGGTTAAGACACAAGAGAGTACATCTGTATGATTCCATTTATATGAAGTGCTAAAGCATGCAAAGCAGTCTATGATAATGGAAGTAAGAATACTGGTTACCTGTGGGGGATGGTAGCCTGGGAGCAAACACAAAAGAGACTCATAAGGAACCAGAAACAGCTTAGATACTTATGTGGGTGGTGGTGACACAGTTGCATACTTACATAAATATTGATTAAGAAGTACATTTCAGACAGATGTACTTTATTGTTAAGCTTGTACTTCAATTTTGAAAGTTTAAAAATAGGGGTAAGATAATCAGGAAAATGTAAATGAGAACCCCAACAAAACAGTCCTTTACAGTCACTAGGATGGCTACAATCACAAAGACAGTTAATAACAAGTGCTGGTGAGAATATAAAGAATTTGTATCATTTATACATTGCTACTGAGAATAAAATGGTGCAGCCACTTAGGAAATAGTCTGATCATCTTTCAAAAGATTAAACGCAGAGTTACCATATGAACCAGCAGTTCCATTTCTAGTTAGATACTCAAGAGAAAATGAAAATATACACCCACATAAAAACTTGTACATAACTGATGACAGCATTACTTATAGTAGCTAAATAGTGGAAGTAACCCAAATGATCATCACATGATGAATAAATACAATATGCTATATCATACAATGGAATATTATTAAAAATTAAAAGAAGTTAAAAACTGAAACATGCTACAACATGGAAGAAACTTGAAAACATGATGTTATCTTAAGGAAGCCAGTCACAAAGTAGCACATACTGGATGATTCCATTTAAATGAAATGTCCAGAATAGGCAAATCCACAGAGAGAAAAGTAGAAAGAGTGGTAGTCAGGGGTAAAGCGATTGGGGTAAATGGAGGTCATCACTAATGGATATTGGATGTCTTTAGGCTTATAAACTTGCAATCGTTGCACAACTTTATGAATGTATTAAAAACCAACATAGGCCGGGCGCAGTGGCTCACACCTGTAATTCCAGCACTTTGGGAGGCCAAGGCGGGCGGGTCACAAGCCTAAACAAGATGGTGAAATCCCATCTCTACTAAAAATACAAAACAGAAAAATGAGCCGTGTGTGGTGGCTTGCGCCTGTGATCCCAGCTACTCAGGAGGCTGAGGCAGGAGAATCATTTGAACCTGGGAGGGGGAGGTTGCAGTGAGCTGCGATCACACCACTGCACTCCAGCCTGGGCAGCATAGTGAGACTCCGTCTCAAAAAAAAGCCCAATGTATTGTCTATTTTAAATAGTGTGATATATAATATATGAATTATGTAATATATGAATTATGTCTCAATAAAGTTTTGCCAATTAAAAAAAGAGAGTAGGAGAGTTGATGTAGTCCTGTAGCAAGAATATGAGTGTATACTGCCTGCTGTGGTTGTTATTTTTGTGTTGATCTTTTTGTCCTTTGTAATAAAATAAACACTAATGCATTTTATTTAGTGTACTTGCCAATGAGAGGCTTGTGTGCCTTCATTAGATTGTCTATTCGATATGTTTTCCAATTTTAAAAGGTCATTGATTTGGTTGAATGTCTAACAAAGTAAACAGCAATTCTGAGCACTCTTTCTCTGAAATAAACCCCACTTGATCTTCATCTCTCATTACCAAAGCGCACTATCAAGTGACTAGGGAGCTAAACTAAACTTTATACTTTAGTGATAATGACTTTTTGACCAGTGTGGCGAGCTGAATATTTTACTAAGGATAAAACTTCTGGACCTCTTAGAAGCCAGGCAAGAAATAAATATTTGGGGAATTTTTTTTGACAAACTATAGTCTATAACACTTTAGATAAATATCTACATAAAATTCATTTATGTATTTTATCATAAGTATTGTGTATGAGTATGTACATAAGTTTGTGTTATTTGAATTAACATTTCTTCCTTTTTCAGAGCTGAAAAAAAAACAATAGCACATCTGTGTCATTTTCAGTCACCACATTAAAAAAATGTTAATTTATTATTTTTAAATATCTGGCATGAAATATGCATATTACTAAAAAATTGAAAATCTCAAGAGGAATCCACTTTAAATGCTGTCTAGATCTTAAAACTAATGTTAAAATACTAAACATCTTCTGGAATCAATTACTTCCAAGTAAAAAAACAATCATTTTTGTCACTTTTGCATTTTTTTAGTTTAATCTTTTTGTTCTTTAAAGTGTTCATTGAAATGAAATATGATATAAACTTTGCCATCACTTAAGAATCAAAAAATGACAAACCAGGACTGAAGACATGCTCCTAAAAAGCTTTTGATGATAAAACATCTTTGTAATGACAAGTAAATTCTAGAGATACCTGTCAGGAAA
Source organism: Homo sapiens (assembly GCF_000001405.40). Taxonomy (NCBI): domain Eukaryota; kingdom Metazoa; phylum Chordata; class Mammalia; order Primates; family Hominidae; genus Homo; species Homo sapiens. Next base: position 103,352,867 of record NC_000003.12, on the reverse strand, counting down.
ATTTTGTAATTCTCCTCTCTCCGGTCCATTTTATCTTGCCTAAGTGAAGCACAGTGTTAAGCAATTAGTTGGGTAATGTAGGAAAAAAAAAACCCACCAGTTACGTATGACTGTGAATTTGACTTTGGAGGTCACAGAATGAAAGGCATTGTACAGGTAATTATTTCTTTCACTATGATGGAGGTAATGAGGGAAATAAAACGTTAAGCTTTTCTGTTTGCAAAAGGCTGACATGAGACCAGAATGTAAGGTCTTTTTCTTTCCTCTTCTTCGTCTTCTTCTTTTTTAGGGGGGTGGTGATAGTCTTGAAATTAACCTTAATCTTTGAATATCCCCCAATTTTAGATTCCTTAATGCCCAGCTACTCAAATACTTCTAGAAGTGTCCACCATTCTTCTAATTCAGCTTCTTTTAACATCACAGTTAGAAGCAGACAGTTGACTGATAGTTCTAAAGAACCTCCTCCTCTAATTTAATATGAGATTATCCTCTTCAATGGTGCATATCACTGTGTTTAACATCAGCAAATGACATTTATGATGCCCTTTTATACTCAGTTACAAATAGTATTCCAGGAGGACTCTGAAATACCCAAAATGTAATGAGTAAAATGCCCTGCACATTACAATAAAATAATTGTAAAAAAATGTGTATTTCCAGACATCAGTCTTGTCAAAATAGCTAAATTCTGAGAATGTTTCAACACAGGTATAAAATAAACTTAAACTATTTTTGTGATTATCCTGATAGACAAAATTACATTAATGTATTTTTTTTACTCCACCAGTTTATATTGTTTATATTTTAAAAATATTAATTATGTATCGGTGTTACACAAAAGGCCAAAAGTTTCATTTTGTGTATATTTTTCTGTTGGGGAAGCCTACATATTCCTGCATGCCAGCTAATTAATGACTAAATAAAAATTTAAGTCAAAGTATATCAACATCTTAATAATAAAAAATTCTACTTTTTCAGATTTGCCGGTGGTCATTTATATGTTCATCAATAATATTCATGTTTTAAATCTAATAATTGTCTAAAAATTCTTATTTTATTTCACCTGGTGACAACATTGGGCACTGGTAATCATTTACTTTCCAAACACTTACTTCTTTTGTTTCAGAAAATCATATCCACCTGGGTTTCCTCCTATATCTCTGACCATTTTTCTCAGTCTCCTTTGCAATTTGACAGGCCTCAGGAGGTGACTTGTCCCAGGCCTCAGCCTTGGACCTCTTCTATGTGAACTCATCCACTCATACATCTGTAAACACCATCTATATGCTGATTATTCCTCCCTTCATATTGCTCCTTAATTCTAGAATCAAATATTGAACTCCCTACTTGACATTTCCCAAGGAGATTTCCAATAGAGATCTCAGACTTAGCATGTACAAAACTGAGCTAGTCTCACATTTTCCCTGTCAGTTAATAGCAATACTATTCTTCTAGTTGCTCAGGCTAAAACATTGGTATCACATTGGTGTAATTTAGCCTGAGCAACTAGCTAAATCTCTAAGTCCACTCTGGTCAGTCAGAAATCCTATCTACTTTGCCTTTAATATATTCAGAATTCCATCACTTCTAATTAGACCACTCTCTTCAGCCTGATGGAAAACACCAGCATCTCTTACTTTCTCACTGTTCTTTTGCAGTTTATCTTCAATACAGCAACTAGAGTATTATTCATATGTAAGTCTGATTACATACTCCTTTGGTTAAAACCTCCCAATGACATCTCATATCATGGAAAAAACAAAGCCAAAGTTCTTATTATGACCTAAAAGATCCTACATGATCTGGTTGCTAGTTACTCATCTGACTTATTTTCTTGCTGTCTTACTCTTCTTTCTCTTCACTCTGCTCTAGGCCACATTGTTTTTCTTGCTGTCCTTTATTTTCTTTCTTGTATTTGGTGAAACACTCCCCTGTGCTCTTTTACTAAAATTTCATTTAAGGTTGAAATTGAGATCATTATCTTCTTATATTCCCTTAGCTATTTATTAGATCTTGAAGAATTATTTAAGTTGGATGATGGAACTGATACACTACCTCCACCAAAGCAAATGCTACCAGGGCTTTCAGTAATCATGAGTACACAGGCAGATCAGATGTGGGAAAAACATTTGAAAAAGTAGTTAGCTATTTTTGGTAGGATTGTCAAATAAATATGATGATGTGTTTTATCATTACATTCAAGTAAAAGGTTTGGGAGAAATAAAAGAAGAACAAGGCTGTGCAAATTAAAAAAAAAAGAAACAAATACCATGAGAATATCTAGATGGCATCAAATTAGAGCCTCTGTGTCTATGTCTTTGGTTTTTATGATGTCATTTTTTATGTAACAAACAGAGAAATTTAGATGGCGTCTAGTATCTTTGTTGTAATCTTCACTGTATTTTAATGTGCTTTTTCTTATATGGACTTATTTGTACTAAATCTAAGGATCAGCAGTTAATAGCCTACCATGCTTCACACGAAAAGGATGGTAAGAAATAGACATTGAGTTGTCAAGCTAAGAAACTCAACTTGTTGTCTTTATGCCTGATAACCAAATAACATGTTTTTATTTTCCCACAAATGATGTCAACCCCAGATTTTAAAATTTGGCCACTAAATTATTAACTGATCTTTTAAAAACAAAAATCATTAGAAAAATACATCCAATCAAATAAATCCACAAACTCTTCTAACTTTAAATTAATCCAATATCTTTATAAGTTAATAGAAATGTTGCAAAAGTCCTTAGGGAGTGTAGAGGGTAAGGTAGACATCTGGAACAGAAGAAGATATGGAAATACGTTTAAAGTAATTAAACACAAAAGTCTTTGCTTTTTATGTATGATTCCTTTCTCTGGCCCCACTACGTCATTTGCATCTGCATAAATTCAAGGCTTTGTAGGAGAATTTATTTATGGAGAAAAGAAAGAAACAGCTATACCAAATGAAAGTACGCCTCCACTGTTCACAGAACTGACAATGTTAACGGCTTGCCTGTAAACAGTGTTTCCTTTATAATCTTCCTCCACCCCTGAACAATTTATACAATGATTATTACTTAGCTTAAAAAAATCTGTGCTTTGTTCTCACTTATAAGTGGGAGCTAAACATCCAATACTTATGGACATAAAGATTGCAACAATAGACAGTGGGGACTACTAGAGCAGGGAGAGAGGTGTGGGGGCAAGGGTTGAAAAACTAACTGTTGAGTACTATGCTTAGCACCTGATAGTGGGAGCATTACCTCCGCATCATGCAGTATACCCAGATAACAAACTTGCACATTTACCCTCAGAATCAATAAAAGTTGAAAAAATGTATGCTTAATCTCTAATATTTAGAATAAAACAAATCATCGGCAAGTTGCATTGCATCCCAAATCAAATGGACATCTCAAAGTCCTTTTGAAGAGAAACTGCATTAGGATTCTCCTTATTCCTAATTCTAAAAATGCACACTGTGGTGTGACATGTTTATAATACTTCTCAGTGTGCTGAGGCAATTAGCTTGTAAGTTTATATCTCCATTATGCAATTATATAAATTCAAACTAAGGAATATCAAAGTTTCTGCCAGACTGGTATGCATTAACCATAATGTAGGTATCTAGTTTCATCTTTTGACTTACTAATAAACTCTAGATGACAATGAAGGAAAGAGAGACATAAGGAAGGATACAAACATGGAGTCAAAGGGGCCTAAGAAAAATTTCTGCATTACAACATTTAATCTGTTAAAGCATCAAAGACATGTTGAGAATATCCCAAGAAAAATCTCTGGTGAAGGAACAAAGAAAAGAGGTCAGGCACAAGGTAGTCTTCAACTGAAGCATCTCTCAGTGGCTTTGCTGTAATGTAAGACCACCTTGGCAACAGCGAGGAACAATGGTCAATGAGAGCTCAAAGTTTATTATCAAATTTTCAATACCTTGAATCACTTTCTATCATAGTGTTTCATCTTCATTCCTAATTTTACTGATCCTGTGGCAAAATGTCAATGGTAGTTTAAATACAATATATGTCCAGATATTTAAAACATATATATCAAAGTCAGTAAATGTTAAATAAAACATGACTCCCCCTATGGTGATATTTATGCCTCTTGAGTAGAAAAAATAAAAAATATTTCTCAAATTATTTTTATATAAGTGAAAACTATAAAAATATCAAGGACAAATGAGATTAATGAGATAATTACAGAAACTTAATGTTCTTGAGATGAACTGCTGATATTTGGTGAATATTAAAATGAGCAGATAATTGACAAATTATTATATATTAATTCAATAAAACTTACTTGATTTACCTTTATTTCTGCAAAATCGCCTTATATAGTTATAATGAAATTCTCACATTATTTGAATTATTTTAACTATAATGATTTAAATATTTTTAATATGTTCAAAGTGTACAAAATGTGTTATTTTTATTAAATATGCAAATTAAGATCAGTGTAATTTTGGAAATTTTAATATCAGATCTGTTTTCAAATTATCTTTTCTAAAATATTATAAGTAGTCTATTATGTTAATCAGAATATTTTAGAAAAGTAATATAAATATATATTGTAAAATCAAATAGTACCTGAGCATCAATATTTTAAATCAAAATAGTTACATAAAGTGGTACTGTTTAACCATTTACAAATTTCATTAAATTGTACAATACTTTGTGCAATTCTTGCCTTTGATGTCCTTTGATCCTTCAGTATAAATAATTACATTTCATGTGTTACATCTGAACCTACATATACATGCAACTACAGACATCTACTTTCTTATTTTCTATATTTGAAAGTGACATGAATTTTTAAATATTTTATAACATTCCTCAGTAATCACAAGCAACTATTATAAATACAACATTAATTCCTCTGTATCTTTGGAAATGGGAGGTGGAATATGAAAGAAAAGCAAGAAAATGATAATTGGCATTATGTTAAAAGATACTTTATTATGTAAGACTATCACAGTGATACACTTTAAGAGACAATATGACAATATAATTTGTTGCCTCACCAGAAAGCAGTGTCCATCTCTGATGTTGAGAGGCAGATACCCCCCAACCTCCTGAACAATCTGAGGCCATCACTTTGTTCACCTTAATTCCCAAATAGTGTTTGTTAATCAGGACAGCATATTCTCAGAGATATACATTGTAATGTTCCCGCAATAAGCACTGCATCCTTACAGAAAATGACATTCATAAGTTCTTTAATAAAATGTGTGTGTGTGTGTGTGCGCGCGTGAGTGTGTATGTTAAGATAGACATGGTCCTTTAACACGTAAGGGCCAGAGTAGTGGCCTGTCTTGCCTGGGATTGAGTGATATTAAATTGTTGTCTAAGCATGTTTCCATACAAGCAATCCAAGCACCTTGTGTGAAAACTACTTTATTTATTTAAAAATGAGAATCTGCTTAGTTTACAAGGTTCTAACTCTTCAGATGGAAGAAATGAATATGGTACCATTTCTTGAAGAAAAAAATAACGGTCGAAATAAGAAAGGTGATAAGTTGAATAATGTAATTACTGAGAACATCATAGTAAGAAAATTGCATTTGTAGATAAGCATACACCAGAGGTGTATTAGTTTTCCATTGTCACTGTAATACACTTCCAGAAGTCAGTGGCTTTGGACAAATCGATTATCTATCCCACAGTTCTATAGATCAAAAATTCAACACAAATGTCCTTGGACTAAAGTCAAGGTGTCACTGGGGCTGCATTCCTTTCTGAAAGTTCTAGTAGAAAGTCTATTTCCTTGCCTTTTTCAGGATGTATACGCTGCCTGTAATCCTGGGCTTGTGGCCTCTTTCTTCCATCTTCAAAGATAGCAATATAGTATTTCTCTGACAATTTCTTTTTTTAAAAAAGATTAGGTAAAATTTACATGACATAAAATTAGCCATTTTGAAGTGTAGATAGAAGTAGCATTTAGCTCATTAATAAAGAATGTTTCCCAACTACCATCTCTATCAAGTATCAAAATATACTTATCAACCCAAAAGAAAACCCTATACCCATTAAACAGTCACTCTCCATTTCCCCTACACTCTCCCAGTCCCTGGAAACTGCCTATTTTCCTCCTGCCTATGGGTTTCTCTATTCCAGATATTTAATATAAATGGAATCATATACTATATGTAATGGTCAATATTGAGTGTCAGATTGATTGGATTGAAGGATGAAACGTATTGTTCCTGGGTGTGTCTGTGAGGGTGTTGTCAAAGGAGATTAACATTTGGGTCACTGGACTGGAAGGGGCAGACCCATACTCAATATGGGTAGTCGCCATCTAATAAGCTGTCAGCGTGGCTAGAATAAAGCAGGGAGAAGAAGATGGAAAGAGCAGACTTGCTGAGTCTTACGACCTTTGTCTTTCTCTCGTGACTTCCTTGCTCCTCAGCTGGAAGATGGCCTATTGTGGGACTTCACCTTGTGATCATATGAGTCAGTAACTCCTTAATAAAGTCCCTGTCATATATACATCTATCTGGTTAGTTCTGTCCCTCTAGAGAACCCTAACATATTATGCGATTTGGCTCTTTTCACTTAATATAGTGTTTTTAAGATTCATCCACATTGTAGCATGTTTCAGTACTTCATTACTTTTTATAGCTGAATAATATTTCATTGTATGTATATACCACAATTCCTTTTTTAATCCATTTATTTGATGACATCTGGGTTTTTTTCTACCTTTGGCTATCAGGAATAGTGTTTCTATGAATGTGTGTGTACAAGTATTTGTTTGAGTTTCTGTTTTTACTTTTTTGAGTATATATGTGTGAGTGGAATTTCTGGGTCATATGATAATTCTGTCTTTAATTTTTTGAAGAGCTATCGACTGTTTTTTACAGTAGTTGCACACTTTTAAATCACCACCAGCAATGGATAAGAGTTTCCATTTCTCCACATCCTCACTGTGATGGTTAATACTGAATGCCAACTTGATTGGATTGAAGGATGCAAAGTATTGATCCTGGTTGTATCTCTCAGGGTGTTGGTAAAGGAAATTAACATTTGAGTCAGTGAGCTTGGAAAGCAGACCCACTCTTAATCTGGGTGAGCACCATCTAATCAGCTGTTAGTGTGGTCAGAATATAAAGCAGGCAGAAAAACATGAAAAGACTATACTGGCTTAGCCTCCTAGTCTACATGTCTCTCCCATGCTGGATGCTCCCTGCTCTTGAACATTGGACTCCAAGTTCTTCAGCTTTGGGACTTGGACTGGCTTCCTTGCTCCTCAGTTTGCAGAAGGCCTATTGTGGGAACTTGTGATAGTGTGAATTAATACTCCTTAATAAACTCCCCATATACATATACAGGGGAGTTTATTAAGGAGTATTAATTCATGCTATCACACTACCTATTAGTCACGGTTCTCTAGAGGGACAGAACTAATAGGATATATATATATACAGACACACACACATATATGTATATGAAGAGAAGTTTAGGTGAATATACATATACATACACACAAACCCCAGACCCCAGAATGGTAGATCCACTGACATGTACGTGTGTGTGTGTGTGTGTGTGTGTGTATCTTTATATATTTTGGATACTAGATTATTATCAGATATAAGATGCACATATTTTCTTCCACTCTATAGGTTGTCTTTTCACTCCTTGATAATGTCATTTGCTGCACAACGGTTTTTCTTTTGATAACATGGTACAGAATATACTTTTTTCTTACTCATTCTATTGGTGTCATATCTAAGAATCCATTGCATAATCCAAGCCTAGGAAGATATACATCAAATTTTTCTTATAAAAGTTTTATTTCTAACATTTTCATTGCTGAGCGATTTTGAGTTATTTTTATGAGGTAGGGTCCAGCTTTTCTTTTTTATGTAGATTAGCTTTTCCAATGAACATTTCCCTTGAGCATGACATTTGATCATGTTTAGAGTAAGTTTTAAAAACAAGAAGAGTGAGTTCTCCAAGTCCTAAACTTTGTTGTCCTTTTCCAGTATTGTTTTTGCTATAGAGGCCCCTTGCAATTCCATGACAATTTGAGGATTTGCTTTTCCATTTTTACAAAAAGGGCCATTTGTATTTTTATAGTGATTGCATTAAATCCATAAATCACTATGTGTTGCATTGCCATCTTAACAATATTAAGTCCCCTAATCCATAGACACAGAATGTCTTTTCATTTATTAATCTTCTTTAATTTTTTAAACAACATTTTGTAGTTTTCAGTGTATTAGTCTTGAATATTTTTGGTAAAATTTAGTGTTGAGAATGTCATTATTTTTGGTACCGTTGTAAGTGGAATTGTTTTTCTAATTTCAATGTTCCATTTTTTATTGCTAGTATGTACAAATACAATTGATTTTTTGTGTTGATTTTGTATCTTGCAACTCCATTGAATGTGTTTATTATATTTAATAGTACCATTTTGTGGAATTTTTAGAATTACACACACACATGTATTTTATACATATATGTATATAAGATCATCTCTTCTGTGAATAGGGATGGTTTACTGCTTGCAATAATCTGAAATAATCTTCCCATGTTAAGGTCTTAACTTTAATCATATTTTCAAAATACATTTTTGCCATGCAGTTTACATCTTCATAAGTTCCAAGAAAAAGAATGAGGGTATTTTTGCTGTAACATTATTCTGCTTTGACCATAAGGGAAGATGGGAAAGAATAAAAACTTGGGCTGCTCATATTTTTCTTACATCTTATTCTACTTTTCCTTAGCATCATTTATCACAGAATTTTTAAAAATTATTTTATACGGCTGGGCGCGGTGGCTCACGCCTGTAATCCCAACACTTTGGGAGGCCGAGGTGGGCGGATCACGAGGGCGGGAGATCGAGACCGTCCTGGCTAACACGGTGAAACCCCGTCTCTGCTAAAAATACAAAAAAATTAGCCGAGCGTGGTGGCGGGTGCCTGTAGTCCCAGCTGCTCCGGAGGCTGAGGCAGGAGAATGACGTAACCCGGGAGGCGGAGCTTGCAGTGTGCTGAGATGCTCTACTGGACTCCAGCCTGGGAGACAGAGCGAGACTCCGTCTCAAAAAAAAAAAAAAAATCTTATACATATTTATTACTTTTTGTCTCCTTTATTAGACTCCATGCTTCATGTAGGTCTTATGTATCTTGCTGCTATCTCAATGAGTAACACACAAGAAATATTCAATAATATGTTTATGAATATTGGCTGACTGATTATGAAATGGTCTCTGTAAGGACACAGTGATTCTTACGTTGGTTGAATTTGTCACTTTCGTGTCCTGTAAGATTTAGCAAGGGTTATTGTTTTTATTCCTACAGTTTTCTCTTCTATCCTAGATGAAACACGGAATCAACTTAGTCATACTGTTTCTAGAATTGTCCTATGTCCTTAGCTTAGTGTTGCCAGATAAAACACAGGGTTTCCAGTTAAGTTTATTTCCGGTATGCCACAAATAATTTTTAGTATAAAGACATCCTATATAATACTTGGAGATGCTCATACTAAAAAATTAGTCATGGTGTATTTGAAATTTAAATGTAACTGCATGTTTTGAATTTTAATTTACTAAAACTGGGAACTCTATCTAGGTCAGACACCTAGGTTTTCTATTTTATCTTATTATAAGCCAGGGTCTATCATATAGTGAATTTTAATATCTTAGCTTCCCCCTGGTTTCTGTTTCTGAATTCCTCTGTGGTAAAAATTGGCAAACTTTATCTATAAACGTCTAGATGGCAGATATTTTAGAGTTGAGGCACTTCGTGCAGTTTCTTTTGCACATTCTTCATTGTGTATTTTTTGCCCAACTTTTTAAAAATGTAAAAGATAAAAGATCTTCCCAACTTATGGATCATACAAAAACAGACTGCAACCTCACCACAAAATGTAGTTTCCTAACTCCTAACACTGGAATTATTATTAGATATAATATCAATTTCTAGAATAGAGGTCCTGGTTTATTCTTTCAGAAAACCACCTACCCTGTTTTTGGTTTGAAGACCTGATCTTAAACAATTACTATAAAGGCCCTTTTGATATCTTCTTTTGCTTGTAAAATGCCTGCTTTCTGGGATTTAAATCACTTCTCTGCTTACCTTCATCCTACAGCCCACTTTCATATTACAACCAAGGTCCTACAGCGCATCTTCATGCTACAACCATGCCTGATTTTCTACGTGAATGTAAGCAATCATCCATTGCCTCTGTTAGTCCAACTTATCCAAGAAACGTACCCTGAGATGGGAGTGGACATCAAAAGTTCTGTTAGATGAAAGGCATGTCATAAAATTCATGGGAATGAAGCCAGACACTCTCTGTCTGCAATGTAGCTGTGAACTTGCAAAAGAGAGAGAGAAGGAAAAAGGGGAGGGTAGAAGCCACTTGGATTGCAGCTCAGATTCATGAATATTCAGCAGAATTGATGGGGTGTCCCACAGACAAAGACTGATATGAGAGCTGTCTCTTGTCTCCCAGGAATAGACTTTAGTATTCCTGCCACCTCTGTTATTGCCAGACAGAGGCTCATGGGAAGTGTGTCATTAACATGAACACAATAATATTAATAAGTTTCAGGGCACAGTAGCCGGGACTATCAATCAATTAGGCTTCCTACAGTCAGAGATCTAAGAGGTACATTGTCCCATGGCTTAGGCCGGTACCACAGAATATCATAGGAAATAAACCACTGATCTTTTTCCACCCAGGAGAACAGTATACTATGTAGCTAGCTAGCTACCTGGATAGATAGATTGATTGATAGATTAAATAGATAGGTGTGTAGATAAATAAAGTATCTTTCTTTCTCACCAGAATCTCCCATCAATAACATCAATAACAACCTAAACAGAGCCCCTCTGTCACTAACAGAGCTGACAACTGTCTGTACCCTATTGGGACTAATGTGTGTGGCCAATCTCCTTTTCAATATCCTAAGCCCTTAAAACATAAGTAAAATGGTAGACATTTTTCTGGACACTGTCATTGTGTTAGGGAAATCACCAACCCCTGAACTGATCAGAATAATTCAAAATCCTCCTCCCCAACCAGTCTCTTCTAGGCTTTGCCTGTCAGCCAAAGCCTTGTTAGTTGCAGTGACATTCTAGATCTACTTTCAAATTTTGGCCTCTCGCAGACAGTAATGTTGTGAGCTTTAATGTTCCCCTAGTTGACTTACCAAGAGATGTTCATTTTCTAGCTTATAAAACAATAACATGCATAATTTTTTATGTATGTGGAAATGTTTTCTAAATTTCTCAATTAAAATTAGAATTTTAACATCATTATTGTTTAAGTGATTTCTATAAAACTGTTGACATGTGGATTGTGACCAATATTTGTTAATAATATTACAAATAACAAATGGTTTACAAAGTATATATGTTTTTCTCTGAGGCATAATTTCTGGAAATGTTTCTGATGCTGGAGCTTGTCACATGTTAGTGTCTTGCTTTCCTTCCTCAGTCACAGGATGAGTAAGCAGAATGTGAGGCTATATAGATCACAGATACGGCACAAAACTCAGCTGGTGGAAAATGTCAGGTACATAGACGTAATCATAATGAATATAAAGTTTGCTTGTAAGGATGAGCCTAAAAAGTTGTTGCGTAATAAGCGGTGTATGCAAGCCTGAAAAGTAGTTGCAATCATCACCTATATTTTCTGTAGAAATCATGTCCTGCATTTCTTATCTATACATGGACTATCATTAGATATATAACTCTGCTGTTCATTCATTACTTTTCTTTTTTTTTGAGACAGAGCCTCACTCTGATGCCCAGGCTGGGGTGCCAGTGGCACCATCTTGGCTCACTGCAACCTGCGTCTCCTGGGTTCAAGAGATTCTCGTGCCTTAGCCTTCCGAGTAGGTGGGTTTACAGGCATGTGTCACCATGCCAGGCTAATTGTTGTGTTTTTAGTAGACATGGGGTTTCACTATGTTGGCCAGGCTGGTCGCGAACTTCTGCCTCAAGTTATCTGCCTGCCTCGGCCTCCCAAAGTGCTGCAATTACAGACGTGAGCCACCGCATTCAGACATTAACTACTGTTCAAGCAATCAAATTTCTCCACATCGTAAATGGGGTACCTTATGCTATTCTCTTGTTGAAAACCTCTTTTTAGAGTTGTATCTCAAAAATAATCAGTGAGGATTGGAGAATATTGGCATTAAATGCATCTTAATTGTCAAATTTCTTATTAGTCTGGTCTTGGCATCAATTCTTTCTATAGCTTCACATCTCATCTCCATGTGGTGGAATCTGAGAAAATGAAATGTCCACCTTCTCTTTATATTTTCAGCAATAAGGAGTTTCTTACTATATTTCTATTGTATTTTCCATATTGTGCTTTTTTGACTGGGAATCTTCTCATGTCCATTCATCCATCTCAATCCTGTTTTAAAATATCAGAGAAAGAGAAAACTTTGTAGACAGTTTCTTATGGTAGCCTATCAGATGCCTTGAGAGATTGTTAATGTCCCCTCTTAAATATTTTCTTAATCATAAAAGGTAATTCTTAGTTTTTGTTATTCCTTATGGCAATTTCTAGTCAACTCATTATTTCCATCAAAATTCTGGAATAAATCCTGGCTTGCCCATCGGAAAGTTCTCATCTACATCAAACTGTGACTCTAAGAATATAAGAATGAAACTTGTAAAATAAAAACTGTTTTCAAGTGTTATCACTACTGTACCGTATACAACTGAATTTTTTGTGTGAGTGGTTAGATCATGTTAAGAATGGATGATTCTAGTCTAGACAAGAGAAATAGTTTACCCCAAACTGCCAAAAATAGCATAGTTACGAAGGGAATCAAATCATAACTGTGGAGGGAGGCCAACGATTCAGGCCAGCTTCAAGCATTAAGATAAAATACTGCAGCAAACAAACAAAAATTTACAAACTCGGAGGCTAAAAACCTCCTGGACAAATCAGGGGAATTGAAGGTTCATCAGAACAGGGAGTTCTTCCTGAGTGCTTTTGTGGTGCCTGTTGCAGGGCCCCAAAACAGAACTGTGAGAAGCAAGATGTCATTTCTGAATGTGCCCCATTTGGAAGGGGCACTTATTTAATCTTTACAACATTTAAAAGTTAGATGTTAACTCCATTTATGTGTAAAATTGCAGAGTACCTAAGTTTGTACACCACGCCATAAGTCACAGGTTTAATAAACACTCAGCTCCAAATCCCACAAAAATACCTGATCTTGTGTATGATGTCCTATAGGCTCTTCTCAAAATTACTAATGACAAAAAGTTAAAAGTAAAGATATAATCACAGCAATAAAGAGTCCCAAGGACATGTCAAATCTGATCAATAGATGTTAAAGGTTTTTGTGGGAAATGTTAAAGTTTATTTTTCAAATCCTTTGAGAATAACATATGGAAAGTGGGTTAAAAAACTGTTTGGGAAACTTAAGACAGACAAATAAAAAATATAATTAGTTAAGGATTTATCATTTGCTCAGTATGTGGCTAGGTACTTTTACAAAACACTCAAAAATAAATATTACAACCACCATTTTACAGATGAGAAAATGAACTATGAGAGAAGTTGATTAAGTTATTAGGATTATACAAATTTTAAGTGATGAAGACAAGACTGAAGTTAAATTCTACCTGACATGAATACCTACGATTAAGTTGCTACGCAATGACAAAATTTCTGAAAACACACCCTGTTAACCTATTTTTATATGGATTCTCAGAAAATATATATGTCAATATATTGATAATGATATCTAAAAATAGACATTTTATATATTGGAGCTTCTGAGACTTCCTTGATTTCCATTATTTTCTTACTATAAAAATCTTCTCTTGGGTTGACAACTATGCTCCAAAAATAGTCATGGAAATTGAAAGTTATAAATTAGAATTTGGAAGTTATAAACTCTGATAAAAAATGAATCAAGCTATTTAAATTATATTTAATGTATTCTACATGAAGAAAAAACAACTATGTTAGCCTTAATCATAATGTAATATGGTAGATGCCTAAAATAATGCTAGGAGAAGCTTCCTTCCATACAAGCAGCATAATTTTCACACATAAATTAATACCAGGCTGTCATCTAGTCACTTAGCAGATTAGAACACTAGGAGTTGGAAGATAAAACATTGATTTTATATCAGAGAATGAGGGAAAGTTCAAGCAGAAAGTGATATCAAATGGAATATATTTAAATAAAAAAGAATGAGTAAAAACACAAACTAAAAAGAAAATAGAAATGTTATCACTTTTTTTAAGATTTGGTATTCAACAACCTCGACCATCTGCAGTAACTGAAATATAGAAAGCAAACAAAAATTTTCTGTTAGTAATAAAATAATGTATAAAAGATTTTGTGGTTAACTCTTAGAAGACACCTTCAAAGATATCTTTGCACACAGTTCTATAAAGGTGATTATCTCTTTCTCCAGGCCCGAGGACGTTTGAGGGGCAAATTAGCAGGTGCATAAATAAGCATTTATAAAGCAGTAGCAAGAAGTGAAAACCTATAGCCTGACATTGAAGTGAGAAAGTAAGTATCTGTGAAATATTTCAGTGTCATATCCATTTATTATAGGGCAAACAGTTCTATATTCCTCAATAGCCCTTGAAGATATTATATAGGTATAATAGTTTACTAATGGAATCGTGCTTATATTAATGTCTCTGTGTCATTAGAAAAAGGCAAATTGTACTCTAGTTACAAAAAATAGAAAAATATATAATACTTTTAAGAGAGCACAATTTTGTTTTTCCATCAAGAATGGCTAAGCAGAGAATCTAAATAAACAAACACCTTTCACCCACTCCAAATTTGACCTTTAAATATACAAGCCTCAGTTAGCAAGAAATGTGCTTGGAAAATGAGACATCTTTACAGGCATGTACAATGTGCAAACACATATGAATAAGCATGAAAAAGAGAAAAAAGTTAATGAGAGACTGAGACACAGTAGGTGATTTTGAGTAATAAATTTGGCTTAGTCACATTTAATACTTAACTATTAATTTTTTACAAGATTAGAACAATAGAAGCAAAAAAGGGAACACATTTGCCTATCTAGGGGCTTTCTCTCATCATTTAAGTATTTTAAATGATTTTCATGTATAGTAACTCACTAGCCTCTCCTTCCCTCCTCAGTCCTTCTATAGATGTTAACAGAGGGTAAAGAACTCCATGAGACAAATAGACAAATCTATCCTTTCCATGATCAGCTCTTCTGTCAGGCAAGCTGATGCAATAAATCTTTCAAAAGGCAAATTTGTCAGTTGTTACTGAAACAGCATGTGAGTTATGTAGTCAGTGTTTCTAAGAGAACACAAAGAACTTAGGAAAAAGTTACATTGAAAGTTACCAATATGGAAAATGCACTAGAAAGAATCAGGTCAGAGAGGCAAAAGCTCAATTATAATCCCCCAAATTGAGATGGCAAAAGTCTCAACTGACTCAAATTTCTTGGCTCCTACCACCAGCTACATTTATATGGGAAATGAGTGGAAACTTGAGCTGTGCTGGCAGCCTAACACCTGCTCCCCCCTTTCCCCTTGGGTGGCTGAAGTAATTACCCACCTCTACCTGCACCAGCATAGATCTGTGAAATGTTGGTCATGTAGAGTCAATCATTGCCTTGTTCTAGGGTGCCAAATGATCATCTGCTAGTCAGAATTGCAATATTGCTGGCAGGCAAATCTATTCGTTCGTTCCATTTTTGAGTCTGGTCATGCCCAAATATTTGCTGGTCAATTTGCATTTGTTTCCTACAGTATGCACCCTATGGAAAGAATTGTAGTTTAGGTGAAATATGCTTTCTATATATAAGCTTTTAAAATGATTTTTACCCATGATTACATTTTAGAAATATCCTCAATTACACCTTTGAATATAATCATGATTTCCACAGAACAGAAACACACACAGAGGAGATTATGGCTCGTCTTTATAAGCACAGCAAAAAATGTGCCAGCTCCGTGGAACATTTATCAGCTTAACCATGACATACTTTAATTTATAGCTCAGACCTCAGCCATAAATCTATCCTACCTGGGCAAAATCATGAACAAGAGTAACAGCCAAGTTATAACATCACTCTGTATCCCTGTGAGCAAAATATCTAAGCAGGAAATTATTGAAAGTTTGTTTTCCCATTATACACCAAGTAACTATGAGAAAAATCCCTAAGTTTTCCTGTTTTTTTACACATTCTTGACTAGTAGAATAGAACCATTGTTTGTCATCAGAGGAAATTTTGTAACTTACAATGACAATGCAAGCAAACATTTTTTTTTTTCCCTCATCTGGAGAAGAGGCAAAAGTGGGCTCAAAAGCCTGGAAAACAACTGTACAGAAATAACAGGGATGAAGTGATAGAAAATCTGAAGTTGAAGAGTAAGAGTTCATGGAGTGCATGACATGTTACCTGAAACTATTTTTGTAAAAGAAATAGTAATCACATCTGCTGAGACAAAGAGAATTGAGATTGGGTTTAGATACTTGAGGGAAGAGCAGTTTATCCAGGCATATTGACAAAAGGAGAAACACATGAGCAGGTTCAGATTGATCATGAGTTTACAGTTAAAACTATGGTTTGAGGCCCAAGACTTTAGACAAAAAAATTATAAAATGCACCTGTATGATATTTGGTATCATAACTAAGTATAAGCCACTGATGCACTATGGTGTCTATCCTTGGACAGTGTAATTATGGAAAAAGATAGAAATGCTGAAGAGGTGTAGAAGGAATCCACCCATTCAAAAGTATCCAATATGGTTCAAAATTTATGCTAAAGACTTTTTGTTAATATAGTCAATGTAACAACTTTCTAAAATTGATATAATTTTACATAACAAATAAGGGGTCTAGAACAAGAAATTGGCATCAAGCTTACACATCTAATTTAGTAAAGTCACTATTTCTGTATGCAGGAAAATGTAAAAATGAGTAAAATCACACAGGCAGAGCTATATACAGAGAGAATCAAATAGTACAGAACTAGGCCTTTAAATTAAACTGAACATTGGACCTATCACCACGATATCCTCCTATCCTTCTTATATCTACCTATCTCTCCTATACCCACCTATCCCTTCTATATTCTGTGACACTAATATTTTCCCTTTGATATAAGTGTGCATGTAAAAGAATTATTTGAAAAAGATTTTAAAATATATTTCTATCATTGAGAAAAAAACAAAGTTGCTAGGGTGTCATGCGAGCTTAATCCACTTACGGATGCATTTATTAATTTATAGAAGAGGAAAAGCAAGGCTCATTTACTAGGCATTTTGTGAGAAAGAGCTAATTAATAATTGTACTTCAAGCATTTGAAGTGGTTACTTATGAAGTTCTTTCAAATACAACAAGGTAAATAAAAGTTTAAAATGTGTAATTGAATTTGAAAACTTTTAATAAAAGCTGAATATATTAGTGCTTTGCAGATGATGATTACACAAATTGTGTTGATATTTAATGACTATTCTATATCACTGTTAATTTTAATACTTTGTATAGAGAAATATTGTAATTACTACAAACAAATGCAACTGTAATTATTATTTTATGATTATACATATAATAAATTATTATAGAATAAAATATTTCCTAAAAGTTGTTTTATATTTTTATTTATTAATATGTGTACCAAATACATTAGGTATTAACTTTGTAAGATAGAGCTGGTAATATAAACACATGTTTTTAACTTTCTTCAGCTGAAAAGAATTATTGTGCAGCTTTTACAATCCAAGCCCTATAATATAAAACTGATAATAATAAAAATTGTTTTTAGGGTGATCACTGTCCAGTGGTTACTAAGACAGACATACTAGAATATCATTTGGTGTGCTGAAAAAGAAATAAGTAATGAAGCATTTGGATATGAACAAAGACATAATAATTTAGGTTAGAGCATTGTGGATCAGGGGATGTAGGAAACAATGGGAGTAGATGTAGCGGTGAGTGGTCAGTGGATAACGGTATGTAAGCAAAAAAGGGGAAAAATATACTTTTATTCATCTGTTCATTTATCAAATATATTTCAGATACCAACTGTGCACTGAGCAGTATCGTCAGTGTTTTAATTAATAAACATGTCTCCAATGATTGTTACGGAGTTTTGAGTAAGAAATTGTTTGATGGCATCAACTTATAGGTGAGTCAGACTGACCGATGTAGAAAAGCCTGATGATTCTCTCCACCTCCTGATATGGCATCTCCCTTAGACCCTCAAGATCAGACAACTTCAGGTATTATCTTAGTTCTGCCAGTTATGTGAAATAATTTATTCATTTACTTATTTACTCTCTATACATCACAAGATTTTCATACTTTAAATAAGTGTGATGTGTTCTTGTATTAGAATATTCTTATGCTGCTATGAGGAAATACCTGAGACTGGCTAATTTATAAATGAAAAGAAGTTTAACTGGCTCACAATTCCACATGGTCGGGCGACCCCGGGAAACTTTACAATTATGGTGGAAGGCGAGGCTAACAAGTCCTTCTTCACATGGTGGCAGGAGAGAGAAATACTGAGCAAAGGGGGAAATGCCCCTTATAAAACCATCAGATCTCTTAGAACTCACTCACTATCACAAAAACAGTGTGAGGGTAAGGTACTCCATGATTCAGTTACCTCCCATCTCTTCCCTCCCATGAAACGGGGGGATTATGGGAACTACAATTCAGGATGAGATTTTGGTGGGAACACAGCCAAGCCATATCATTTCTTTCTCAACACTGTTAGATAGTCAAAGTTAATGAGCAGCATTTAAATTCATAGACAAAGAAATAAGGGCTTAATATTAATCTCTTGAAATTGTATGAAATCTCATTTAATATTCAATGTATATATTTACAAAAAGAAGTAACATGATATCATTAAAATTTTGTTTAATTCTTAACCTAAGATGTTTTTATTTTTTAGCAGTGTTAGTGCTATAGGAAAGATTAATAGGGTATTTGTTCAGCTCTGTCTTACTGGTCTGGTTGATTAAAAGAAATGAAGATTGGTAGGTAAAATAATATCTGCTTGAACAAAATAGCCAAATAATTTTTTAAATGAAATGATGTCAGTCTGGAAGGATACCTGTTATAAGATTATTGTATTTCTTTACTCACTCTTATCCCCACTCAATTTGTGTATTGATTGATTCAGAACAAAAGTGATGGCACATAAAATAAATATTTAGTCTGCAAAAATCTGATGAAAATAGTAATTATTTTATATAAAAGAATCACATTTCACAACAGACACTAACAGTTCAAAAAGATGATCTAAATTGACAAACTATATGAAATAAACTGTAATATCAGAGATTATATATTTATTTGTACATTGAAATGACAAAAAATCATTGGAGATTGTATATTTATTTCTACATTGAAATGACAAAAACATTATTGAAAGAAATTAATTAAGACCCAAGTAAAAGAAAAGACATTCTGTGCTCATGGGCTGAAGACTTAATCTTGTTAAGGCAGAAATATTCCCAAAGCTGATTTACATATTTAATGTAATTCCTATGAAAATTCCATCTTTTTTCCCCCAGAAATTGATTCATATGCAAGGAACACAGAATAGCCAATACAATACTGAAAAACAGAACAAAATTGGAGAACACATACTTCCTTAATTTCAAACTTATCACCTCACTACAGTAATTAAGACAGTGTAATACTGGAATAAGGATGTGTATATAGATCAGTTGGATAAAATTGAGAGTCCAGAAAGAAGTCTTCATACCTATGATCAATTTGTGTTCAACCAGGGTGCCAATACAATTTAATTGTAAAAGAATCGTATTTGCAAAAAGTGGTACTGATAAAATCATAAATCAACATTCAAATAATAAATTTGGACATTTACCTTATGCTATATACAAAAATTAACTCAACATGCATCACAACCTAAATCTAAGAGGTACAACTGTAAAAATTTTAGAATGAAAGTTATTTGCAAATATTTATGATTTGGGGTAAGGGAATGATTTCCTATATGTGACACTAAATATATACGCAACAAAAGGAAAAAGTAGGTAAATTATCTTCATAATTAAAAACATTTGTGCTTCAGAAAACAACAACCAGAAACTTAAAGGACAATCCATAGAATAAGAGAAATTATTTGTAAGTTATATTCCAATAAAGGATTTCTATGTAGAATATATAAAAACACTGCAACTTAACAATAAGAAGATTTATAACATAATTTTTAAAAGGGGAAACTATTTGAATATACATTTCTCAAAAAAAATTGAAATCAGCAAAAAGCACATGAGAAGATGCTCAACATCATTAGTCATTAGAGAAATTAAATCAAAAGCATAATGAGATACTACTTCACACCTATGCTAACTATAATCAAAAACAAACTATATCAAATGTTGGTAAGGATATAGAGAAATTAATACCCTTATACATTTCTGATGGGCAAGTAAATTTTGCAAATTCTGCAGAAGACAGTTTGTTGTTCCTAACCTAATCATTGCATTACTACATGACCTAGCAGTTATACTACCATGTATATAGCCAAGAAATTGTAAATGTATGTTTACAAAAAAAATACAGGAATGTTCATGGAAACAATATTCATGATAGCTAAAGAGTGGAAAAATAACCTAAAAGCCTATCACTTGATGAATAGATAAACAAAATGTGATATATTCATACAATGGAATATTTTTCAGTCACCAAAAGGGATAAAGAACAGATACATTCTAGAACATCGATGTAACTTGACAACATTACGCTGAGTAAAAGAAGCTAGACATAACAAACCACATGTTGTATACTTTCACTTATATTAAATGTCTAACAAAGGCAAATATTGTAAACAGAAAGTTGACTAGTCATTGCCAAAGGATGAGGAGAGGGCTGAAAAAGTGGTGCTACTACTGATGGATACTGGGTTTCTTTTTGTGCTGATGAAAATGTTCTAGAATTAGTGGTGATATTTGTAAAACTGTATATACAAAAAACCACAAAGTTATTCATGTTTAAAGGGTACAATTTAGGATATGTTGTTGTATCTCAATAAAAAATTATATACAGCTTTACAATAAATAGCTTAAATTGTTAATAATTAATAAGTAAAGTACGTAGGCTTTTTCAGGAACCATAAAATGGATTTTCTTTGTTGTTTAGATTTGCTGAATCAATATTCAGTTCTCTAATTCCCTTGATTTGTTTTGAAAAATTCATTGCATTTTCTGCATGACACTATAATGGTGGATACGTGTCATTATTAATTTATCAAAACTCATAAAATGTACAACTCCAAGAATAAACCCTAATATAATCTATGGACTTTGATAATACTGTATCAAAGCTAGTTCATTGATTGTAACTAAAGTTCTACTCTGATGGGAGACGTTTATGGTGGGGTTGCTATGATTTTATGGGAGTAGGGGTGTATTAGGAGAACTCTCTGTACTTCCTGTTTTTCTGTGAACCCAAGACTACATTTTAAAAAAGGCTATTAAAACATGACACATCATATTTGAGCATACAAATCACCTTTATATGGACACAGTCAGATATGCATAAAGACCTCCTACTCAACTATGAATATCCTATCAC
Source organism: Homo sapiens (assembly GCF_000001405.40). Taxonomy (NCBI): domain Eukaryota; kingdom Metazoa; phylum Chordata; class Mammalia; order Primates; family Hominidae; genus Homo; species Homo sapiens. The sequence continues at coordinate 103,331,318 of NC_000003.12, read as the reverse complement.
ATCTTTATTATTTCTAAAGTCTCTAATAGATATTGATTTCTTTGCCCATTCTCTTAAAGTCAATTACCACATTAAAAAAATCTCCATGTTGTATTTTGTGTTTACTTTCATCTAAATTCTTAAATGCACTGAGATATAAGAGGAATAAACTTGAACCATCTCCTAAGCTTATATTGTTCTTCAAATAAATGGATTAAAAAGATAGCTTTGTCTAGAAAATGGCAATATTTGACATTAAATTCCAAAATCCATATAGTCTCACAATAATTGTTGTTTAAAAAATAATTTATCATTTAATACTAGCAAAAGATTTGAAAAGATGATCATTTTGTTCTATATCTCTTCAATATCTATGACTATTTTACTTAAATATTTTGGTGCTAATTTTAATTTACAGGTCATTTTCTACCAAGAACATAATCTGAAAACTGTAGCTAAACTGAAAAACAATGCAGTCTTATATGCTTTAAAGTATAAATCTGGGTTTAAATTTTCATAAAGAATCTCCAGAAAATTATCAAAACTCCCCAGCTTATTGTTACTGAGCTGTATAAATGCCATAATTAACACTATCTACAATTAGGTCAAATTCCTGCTGTCATGTAACTTTTTAATCTAAGAACAGGTAGAAGTTTCTGACAGGAAAACGTAGAATAAACTTTAATTTCAAAAAAATTAATATGATTAACATTTTAAGCAGCTATTTATATAATTCTGAAGATTATGACTCATATTAGTCATTTTTAAAGAGTTTAGAACAAGAACATTGTTCTTATCAGAAATCTCAACACTAAAAAATAGAGAAGTTGCTCTGTTTAAATGGGAATAAGGATGGGCATTTCATGGACTTCTTAGGTTACTCTCAGTCCTTCATCCCTGACAAGGTTTCTAAATTACATCATCAGGACCCTGAATGTCCAACTTAGATGTTCCAAAATCATTGATATTCAAAACAAAGTTTTAGCCTTTGACCTTCTCCTGTGGAAAAAAATGTTATAGGCCTTCAATTCCTTCTCTATATTGGTTAGGAATGGGTTCAATTTTGAGCAAATAAATACATAGCTTTACTTATTAAACTATTAATTAATTAATAATCTAAAGAGCAGTCTTTCCTCATAACTAGGGTGTCTGGATATAGGTAGTTACTTGCCCAAAGATGCCATCAACAATGCAAGCTGTTTCTAATATTCAGATTCAAAACTCGTTGGCCATATTCACAGTGGAAGTGAAAAAAGAGTTTGAACATAAATCTTTCCATAGGTAGAGTTGAGTGGGTTTTGTTTGTTTGCTTGTTTTAAAAGAAGCCACAGTTTCTTCTCAGTAAACTTCTTATGTCTTCTTGGCCACAGTATTGTCACTTTCTTCTCCTTATATTAATCACAGCTATGGGGGTGAGTTTTTATGACAGATTTGCCAAAAAATGATTTATTCTTTTGGTATTCATCAATCCGAGATCAGTGGGCTTGATCCTCTATGCAAATATACTATAATTATATTATAATAAAAAAAGATGTGTGTTTGGCAGGAGGAAATGGCTATGGGATAGGCAACTGCAGTGTCTACCAACCATTCTGTATGACACAATTACCTTTCTAAATTATCTAAAACATTAGTAAATTGGAGAGTTCAAATTCATATTAATATTTGAGGTATTCTCAAAAATGTCAACCATTATATTTTTGCAAACCTTAATGTTTTAGCACACTTAACAAAATATCAAAAATCTCCTTCAGATCTTGATGGCTTAATAGAGAGTATCTAGTTCCCCAAATAAGAAAATTGTGTGAGGTGAAAAGAAAAGAGGCTTTGGATTTGCTCAATGTTTTGAGGATTATGCTATTTCACAGGAATAATATAGCAGGGGAGATTATGATATATTAGATTAGAAATCCATCAATTTAAAGTGACAGAATTAAACAATTAATGAAATGAAATGGGTTCTTAGGGCATAGAATGGGAAAGAAACTGAGTTCGAGTTCTTGAAACTAGAGCTTAGGACGAGGTGGGAATAGGTAGTTTGTTTGAGAGGTGATCTCAGAAAGCAGAGCTACAGAGTATGATGTAGAGAAAAATAAAGTTGTATCAGCATGAAATTAATGAAGCCAGTCTTGTAGGCTGTGGGGAGTGGGGACTTGAGTCCTACTGGGATTTCCAGAGAAGAAAATACAGTGTTTGTCTGAAGGATGGAATGTCCCCTATTCTTGAGGGTTCTTCTATCGCTTTATCACTGGCTACCAGAACCTCAAAGAAGGTGCTGGCAAACAGTAAAAATATACTCAATATATCCTTGTGGTGAGACTTTGCTGGACTGGGATGAGCCTGAAGTGACAGTGTCTACCTTTTAACTTCAGCTTCCCATAGCAGTGGGTTACAAACAAATGATGTGTGTAAAGCACCAGAGAGGTGTTACAAATTGGATAAGAGTTTTACAGTTTATGTAATATGAAGATAAATTGTTATGCATAATAAAAAGTGAAGAATAATGTTTTAAAGTGAAGGAGGTAAAAAAAGAACTATTGACTGTACCTCATTTGCTGTTGAAGACACAGTCTAATCTATGTTATTCAAATGTCTCAGCAACCTGAAGAGGTAGGTATTGTCATTTATATTTCAAAGAGAAAGTTGGCTCTTTAGGTTCTCACAGGTAATAACAGATAATTCTAGAATATGAACCTTACTTGCTTGTAACATTAAACTGCTTGTTCTTAAAATGCAGCATATCTTTTCTTGAGCCAATTAAGTTCTTACCTAAAGTAAATTATGTTATAAGTTTCCTGTTTCATATAGGCAAAACACAAACTTTTTGTTGTTTAACTTCAGCTTTTATTTTAGGTACAGAGGATACATGTGTAGCATTGTTACATAGGTATACTGGACCCAGGTAGTGAACATAGTACACAATAATCAGTTTTTCAATCCATGCTTTCTTCTCTCACTCCACCCTTTAGTAGTCCACAGTATCTATTGTTCCCATATCGATGTCAATATATGCTCAATGTTTAGCGCCCACCTATAAATGAGAACAGTAGGTATTTGGTTTTCTGTGCTTGCATTAATTTGCTTAGTATTATGGCCTCCAATTCCATCCAGGCTGCTGCAAATGACATTATTTCATTCTTTTTATGGCTGTGTAATATTCCAACATTTTCTTTGTCTGTTTCATCACTGATGAGCAGCTAGGTCGATTCCATGTCTTTGCTATCATGAATAATACAATAATGAACAAATGAGTGCATATGTCTTTTTGGTAGAATTATCTATATTCCTCTGTGTATATACCTAGCAATGGGATTATTGCATTGAATAATAAATAGCTCTGTTTTAAATTCTTTGAGAATTCTAAAGACTGCTTTCCACAGTTACTGAACTAAATTTCATTGCAATCAAAAGTGTATAAGTAGTCACTTTACTCTGCAGCCTCACCAGCATCTATTGTTTTAGACGTTATAATAACAGCCATTCTGACTGTTGTGAGTTGGTATCCCATTGTGGTTTTTATTTACATTTCTCTGATAATTAATGATGCTGACCATTTTTTCATATGCTTGTTGGCTGCATGTATGTCTTCTGTTGAGAAGTATATGTTCATGTAATTTCACCACTTTTAATGTGGTTATTAGCTTTTTGCTTGTTGATTTGTTTAAGTTGCCTATATTTTGGTTATTAGACCTTTGTTGGATCCACAGTTTGTGAATATTTTCTCCCATCTAGTAGGTTGTCTGTTTATTCATAGTTTCTTTTGCTGTGTGACATTGAGAAGAGTATTTCCTAGGTTTTCTTCCAGAATTTTTATAGTTTGAGGCCTTACATTTAAATATTTAATCCATTTTGAGACAATTTTTGTATATAGTGAGAGGCAGAAGTCCAGATTCAGTTTTTGGCATATGGCTAGCCATTTACCTCAGCACAATTTATCAAATAAGGAGTCCTTTCCCTAGTATGTGTTTTTGTTGGCCTTGTCAAAGATCAGGTGATCTTGATTCTTCCAATTCATGAGTATGGGATGTATTTGCATTTATCTGTATCATCTCTGATTTCTTCCAGCAATGCAAAATACAAACTCTTAATAGTGACTTTCAAAGTTTCTCCTTATTCTTGTATCTTACTTCTTTGGTGTCAACTCACATCACACTCTGGCTCACGTTCAGTGAAATGGGGACTCAGTGCAATGGGAAAATGACTAGTCCATTGGCTTGACCCAGCTATGCTCCTAGCAATGTCTCCTATATGATGTTCCCTCTAACTGGAACACTGTACTTCAGATTCCTTTCTTCCTTTACATCTCAGAATAGATGCTACCTTTCCCTAAAATCTGTGACAACCATCCCCAATCCAGATCAAATCAGACACTTTTGTGAGTCTCCTGTCTCATTCTTACAGCTCCATGAAAGCAGGAACAAGGCCTTTCATTTTTCACTATTACATACCCAGACTCCACTCTCTCATTCTCCTACTATCACTTTGGGGACTATTTCTGAATTCTTTCCATGTTCTGCTATTTTAAAATTTGGTATTTCCCATGGATTTCTTCTGTGTTCTCTGCTTCTACAAAAAAAAAAAAAAAATGCTCTCTCTGACAAAAACCACATTCATTTTCCTGATCCCCAAATCTTTGTAAGCTTCCAGAGTGTTATGAATAATAAAAAGCAAACTCCTACACTGAATATCATTGATATTTCTACATTGTTGTGCCACAAGCCCATGAAAATTAAATGTATAGAAACAGGATTGGTAATTTATACAGATATCTCTTCCCATGTTATAAATTTGTTCTTTTATGCATAGAGTTTGATACTATCTCCTTTAATCCTTATGCCCAAACCACACAATTTCATGTGATTGTTTTTATCTGATACTTTTAAAACAAATTGAATGAAAATGCCTTTGAAATAGTAGATTGCTTTGATGATTACTTCAGAAAATTTGAAATTATTTTATATTTTTTATTATGAAAAGGTGAGTTTAAGGTAAAAATTTATTTTATATTAGTTTAGTATAGAACATGTTATAATCACTGTGGTAGTAATTAATTGATCCAGGCACTCATCACTAATGGATGTTGAAACTAGTAGGACAAAGTTGATGAGGAACACAGTATTTACATAGTGTCAAAGTACTTCTCTATAAATGACCTACTAATTAGTAACACTTTTTTTAGTTAGGAAACCTGGCAGACAGGACCTTAACTAAGTGATCAATTTAACATCATTAATAATGGGACAAACCAACAACCTGTGCCTTCTGCTATGACACAATGAGAAGGACAAAGTATTACTTTCTCTAATGTTCCAGTGAAAGATGCAAAATCTAAATATAATCATCTAATAAATCTAGTTCAGCTCTATAAAATAACTGGCCTGTATTTTTTAAAAAAAATATTGACATCGTAAAGTACAACGTCTGAAAAATTGTTCCAGAATAAACAGAATCTTACATTGAATTTAGAAAACACAGGATCTCAAACTAAATTTAGATTTAATGTGACACCCTGTATACAATCCTGGGACTTAAACAAAATTAACAATGAGAAGTTGGATGCAGTGCCTCATGCCTAGAAGCTGAGGCAGGAGGATTGCTTGAGGCTAGGCGTTCGATACAAGCTTGGGCAACATAGCAAGACAAAAAAATAAAATTAAAAATTAAAAAATAGCCAGGTGTGGTGGCACATGCCTGTAATCCCAGCTACTTGAGGGGACAGAGGTAGGAGGACTGCTTGAGCCCAGGAGTTTGAGGCTGCAGTAAGCTATGACTGCACCACTGCACCCCAGCCTGGGCAAGAGAGTGAGACTTTTAAAAATAATAATAAAATAAAATAAAATAAACAATGAAATTAAATGAAAAGTACAAATGATTATTTGGAAAAAGACTTTGCTCAAATTCATAAACAATTTTCATAGATATATTTTGTCATTTGTTTATATGTTTTTTCCCTAAATGAACTAACATAATTTTTTGGTGATAGACACTATTATAGTCAACTTCGGTGAATCCGGACTTGGATAGGCACAATGGATGCTTTTAATAAGTTGATTATATTCTACTTTTTGATATGTATGATAGATATACAGATATAAACTTTTGAAAATACATTTTTCTATTGTTTTAAGGATAAGAGCTGTCTATGACAAACCCACAGCAACATCATACTGAATGGGCAAAAGCTAAAACCATTCCCCTTGAGAACTGAATGAGACAAAGATTCCCACTCTCACCACACCTATTTATCATCATACTGGAAGTCCTAGCCAGAGCAATCAGGCAAGAGAAAGAAATAAAAGGCATCCAAATAGAAAAAGGAGAAGTCAAATTATCTGTCTTCTCTGATGATATGATTATATACCTAGAAAATCCTTAAGACTGATAAAAAGCTTCTAGAATTGACAACTTTAGTAAAGTTTGAAGATACAAAATCAATGTACAAATATCAGTAGCATTTCTATCCACCACCAACATCCAAGCTAAGCATGAAATTTACAACACAATCACACTTACAATAGCCACAAAGAAAATGAAATATCTAGGAATACAGCTAACCAAAGAGGCAAAAGATCTCTATAAGGAGACCTACAAAACACTGCTAAAAGAAATCAGAGGTGACACAAATAAATGGTGAAATATTCCATGTTCTTGGATTGGAAGAATCTATATTGTAAAAATGGTCATGCTGCCCAAAGCAGTATTTACAGATTCAATGCTATTCCTATAAAACTCCCAATGACATTTTTTACAGATTAGAAAAAATCTATTCTAAAATTCTCATAGAAAAAAAAAAGAACCAGTGCAATTCTAAGCAAAAAGAACAAAGCTGGAAACATTATACTACTGACTTCAAATTATAATATAAAGCCACAATAACAAAAATAGCATTGTACTGGTACAAAACAGACAGATAGACCAATGGAATGGAATAGAAAACACAGAAATAAAACTGCCCACCTGCAACCATCTGATCTTTGACAAGGCCAACAAAACAAGCAATTAGGAAAGAGCTCCCTATACAATAAATGGTGGTGGAGTAACTGGCTAGCCATATGCCAAAGATTGAAGTTGAACCCCTACCTTTCACTATATTAGCTCAAAGTGACATTAAAAATTTAAATGTAATACCTCAAATTATAAAAATCCTAGAAGACAACCTAAGAAATACTCTTCTCAACACAGGCCTTAAGAAAATAATTTTTGGCTAAGTTTCCAAAAGCAATTACAACTAAAACAAAAATAGACAAGTGGGACTTAATAAAAGTAAAGAGATTTTTCACAGAAAAAGAAATTGCCAACATAGTAAACAGACAACCTACAGAATGGGAGAAGATATTCACAAACTATGCATCCAACACAGGCCAATATCAAGAATCTATAGGAAACTTAAATCAACAAGCAAAACACAAATAACCATGTTAAAACGTGGGCAAATTACATGAACAGACACTTCTCAAAAGAAGACATGCATGCAGCCAAGCATATAAAAAATAGTCAGCATCACTGATCATCAGAGAAATACAAATCAAAATCACAATGAGATATGATCTCACACCAGTCAGAATGACTACTATTAAAAAGTCAGAATATAACAGATGCTGGCAAGGCTGTGGAGAAAACGGAATGCTTATACAATGCTGGTAGAAATGTAAATTAGTCTAGCCACTGTGGAAAGCAGTCTGGAGATTTTATGAACTTATAACAAAGCTACTATTTGACCCAGAAATCCCATTACTGGGTATATACACCCAAATGAAAATAAGTAATTCTACCAAAATCACACATACACTCATGTTCACCATTGCACTATTCACAATACCAAAGACATAGATTCAACCCAGGTGCCCATCAATGATAGATTGGATAAAGAAAATTTGGTACATATATACCATGGAATACTATGCAGCCGTAAAAAAAGAAAATAGTCACATCCTTTGCAACAATGTAGATGGAGCTGGAGGCCATCATACTAAGCAAATTAATGCAGGAACAGGAAAACTAATACCGCATGTTCACATGGATGGTGGGAGCTAAACATTGAGCACACATGGACATAATTAAGGAAATGATAGATACTGTGGACTACCAGAAGAGGAAGGAAGAGGGGTGGTTAAAATACTACCTATCAGGTACTATGCTCTATCAGGGTGATGGGATCCATACTCCAAACCCCAGTATCACTCAATGTTCCCATGTAACTATTCTGTACATGTAACCCCCGTATCTAAAATAAAAGTCAAAATTAAAAAACAAAAGTACATTGATCATTACATTTAGGAAATGCAGAATTTGTGTACTATAATTCAATTAAAATGTTACAATGATAATCATCACACTTTTTAATTCTGTGTCTGATAACATAAATCATTAAGTCATATGCAGGTTCATTTATATTAACTTTTTTTTCCTTTTGATTTCAGTTATTTAGACAGGTTGCCTGGATGTTGGTTAATTTTATATTGAGTGCTGACATTGTATATGAAAAATTGTAGGGAGAATTTAATTTTCTTCTGACAGATAGGTAAAATATGAGCAAATTACCTGAGCCAAACTAGGATTAAGAAATTTAATGGATGGATTTCAGATTTTTGTGAAAGGAAGGCTTCATTTAGATTTTTAGACTTTTGGTAATTTGTCAGTTTTATGTTTTTCTGTTAGTCCTGTTATTTTGTTGTTTCAATTTGGTTTGGTTTTCTGTCTCTTTTTTTGTATATATTTATGTAGTATAATGTGATATTTTGTTATACATTGTAGAATGCTTAAATCAAGTGAACTGACATATCGTGCACTTTGCATACCTTTTTGTGGTGAGAACATTTAGAATCTATTCTCTTAACACCTTTCAAGTATATAGTACAAAATTATTAACTGTAGTCGTTATATTGTCCTACAGATATTTAGAAAACTTACCTAAAAGACCTGAAAGCATAGGAAGAAATGAAGATTGTGTTCTGAACAGCAAAAAAAATTGTCCTTTCTCTTTCAGAAGGCATCCAATAAATAATAGCGATTTCTTTATCCAAGTTTTGAACGAATTAGTGATTAGACTAAAAGAAAGCCATGTGGAATTTAAACCTCTTTATCACTGATTAAGTGTAAGCTGACAATGTAAGAAGTTACCTTTATTTTTTCCATACAGGTATTAATGGACTGAGGCAGGCTTTCCAGAATGAGGTGACCTCCTTAAGTAAGACACGTGTGGAAAAGCAGGGAATCTCTCTTATTTACCATCACCAATTTTCTCCAAACTAGATAGACGTAGAATGATTGGTCCCTTTTTCTTTCTAAAGACCAGGTCAACAAATGACATTTCATTTAGTAGGTAAATCAGAGGTGGGGAAAATACAGAATAATTATTCTTTAGGTAATTTTATTTTTAAACTCTAAAAATGTAAGAACTATATTTTGTGAGTCCTCCAGTGTATCTCAGCTCTAAATAGCATATATGCTGGTAGTTTTCCCAAAACAGAGTATAGGAAAATGAAAAATGAATGTAAAGAAATGCAAAAGAATTTGGCAAATCTTTTATGAAGTATAAAATCAAAATGATATTTTTCATTTAAATTATGACCTCCAGAGTTCACATAATATATCAAACCACAATAGTATTGCTCAAAAAGTTTCAAAATCTTTCTTTGGAAATTGCTTTTGATATTACATGAATATCTTTTTCAGGAGATTATATTTTTTGAAAGATTTCAAATAATATAGAGGCGAGGTTTTTATTATTGTTATTATTATTTAACTAAATGAACTAAAGATTGGGTAATGCAGCTTTGGATTTAAAAAACAACTGCAATGTAACATATTTAAACTGATTAAATGAGTAATGCAATGGCCAAGAAACAAAGCAAAGTATGTTTCCTATAAATTGATTGAAGATGATTACAAAAGAAAAGTACCCATCATTTATTTTTGGAACAATGGGAATTAGTTTGCCCAAAACAAATTTATCAAGGTATAGCTTTGGAAGGCTAGCACTCTATTGAATGCATAAACTATGGTCTATTTTTAAAAGCTCCTGCTCCATTAAAAAGCTTGCACTCCTATTCTTATCATCTTCCAATCATACACTAATTTTATACAGCCTCAAATTTTTATCTAAAAATTGAAGAAAGTAAAAATCATATATTTGGACTTTTTTTAGGGAATCCTTATTAAATCATGCTACAAAGTGCTCTCCAAAATATTCTGTTATTCCGATGATTAAAATATCCACTAGATCCCACAGGCAGATTATATTAAATTAGTGTCTAAGACAAGTCCCACAACTACCTGAAATAGTTCTGCTTAATTGGAGCCTCAATGCATTGTTCAAGTACAGCAGAACTTTCTTATCATTTTTTTATTTCTTCTATAATTATCGTCGATCACCAGTGCTTAACTAAACAAAAACCTTCTATTTAAAGCTAATTTTATATAGTATAATTTTATCTAATGCTTCTGAATGTTTAAGGCATAATGCCCTGTTAATGGAGTTGAGGTTATTTTTCATTGAATTCTGAACAGAACTAGCATGACGATCAAAACTCTATGCTTTGACACAAGTAATTATTAAGTAGCAATCAATCAAATATATTTATTAGGAATTACTTTGCTTTAAAAAAAATCACATATAGAATCAGAATTTTAGAGTTGGATTTGTCTTTTCTCTATAAGCCGAGAAGAGCTATTGGCAGCTAACTTTGGAATATAAAAGATAAGGAGTTGATCTTCTTTAAATACAGCTGAACTTCATGGTCCACATGATGGAGATTCTCAAAATTAGAAAATCTTGGCTCTTCTTTTGACAAAGTCTAATTCTTCCAAATTGCACTGAGCAAGTGAAAAGATAAACCTCAGTAAAACGTTAACCTTCAGAAGAAGGCCAATGAGTTAGAAATAATTACTTTTCCATATTCTGTCCCTAATTGTGAACCCTAAAGATATCTTCCTTATATATTGAATTAAAATCTGCTCTTCCTTTTCCCTCCCAGCATTTTTTTCTATTACCTTCATTTAGATCTGCTTCTACACAGAAGGCCTCCATTATTCTCTATATGAGATAGCAGTTACAAGTTTTTTCCAAATTAAATGTTCACAGGTCTTTCCCCATAAACTAAAATATCATACTTTTATTTGTTTGTCTTTTAATATTGATACATATTTCTCATAAGATAAGCTATTGAAATTCTGGGAGAGAAGGTTTTTTATCATGCGGAATTCTCCAAAGCATTGCTGAATTCTTAGCATTCTTGCTCCTCTTATTAGATTCCAAAAGGCATTTACAGCTCATTGTGACAACTAAAATGCAGCCCTCGTGAATTTCTAAACATCCTCTGGGTTTGATACAGTCCTGATTGAAACCATATATATCCTTAGTCTAGGAGCATTATTCTGAATGGATTCTATTTTTTCACTAAAGTAGATGTCTTCCTAGAACCAAATGAAGTATAACTGTACAGAAACAGAACATAATGGAACCATCCCTTTGTTTGTATTCTGAACTGCTATAATAAATGTTATTTTATTATAGGTCAAATTTTTGGCATTGAGCCCTTCTTCATATACCTGCTGGTTATTTTTATGTCTTCCTTGGAAAAATATCTGTTCAAGTCCCTTGTCCATTTTTATTGTTATTTGTTTTACTGCTGTTGAGTTATAAGGGTTCTTTATAAATTTTGAATATTAATCTCACATTAGATATGTGTTCTGCAAATATTTTTCCCAGTCCATAGGACGCCTTTTCATTTTATCAATTGTGTCCTTTGCTGTACAAAACTTTTAGTTGTGTTTATTTTCACTTTTGCAGCCTGAGCTTTTGGTAAAATATACAAAAATCTTCACCAAGGCAAATGTCAAGGAGATTTTTCCCTACGCTTTCTTCTGGGAGTTTTATGGTACAGTATCAGGCCTTACATTTAGGTCTTTTATCCATTTTGAGTTGATTTTTGTATATGGTATAAGATAAGGGTCCAATTTTATTCTTTTTCATGCAGACATTGAATTTTTCCAGCACTATTTATTGAAGAAACTCTACTTTCCCCAATGTGTTTTCTTGGTGCATTTGTCAAAAATTAGTTGACCATACCATTATGTATTAATATCAGCTAAAGTTTTGTATTTTAAGAGATAAATGATAATTATCTTTGTGAGCCATCCAGAGAATCAATTAATGATCCAGACTGCTAGCCACATCATCCAGCTACTAGACATAATGCACTTCCCTCAATACATTGCTGTCTTCTTTTCTTCCCATAGTTCCTTCATTTGCTTATTTAAGAAGTGTTCCCATATTGAGTACCTCCTATGTGTCTACTATGGTAGACATAATAATAAAGACACTATTATATCATTATAACATTTTAGTCATTCATCTATATGCCGGACACATGTTTCTATGGATGGTGGCTAGGAATCTTTACAATTGTACCATGTAAATGATATAAAAAGATAATTCTTAAAGAAATATATGGTTGGAGATTTATTGCAAAATCTTACACCATTTTATACCAACTCATGTACCCTAGTTAAAGCAGAGAACATAATTCAAGAAAGTAATTTTTTTTTTTTTTTTTTGAGAGGGAGTCTCACTCTATCACCCAGGCCAGAGTGCAATGGCACAATCTCGGCTTGCTACACCTCTGCCTCCCGGGTTCAAGTGATTCTCCTCCCTCAGCCTCCCAAGTACATGGGATTACAGGTGTGCACCACCTTGCTGGGCTAATTTTTGTATTTTTAGTACAGACGGGGTTTTGCCATGTTGGCCAGGCTGGTCTCGAACTCCTGACCTCAGGTGATCCGCCCACATCAGCCACCCAAAGTGTTCCAAAGTGCTGGGATTACAAGCATGGCCACTGTGCCAGGCCGAGAAACTAATTTATGTTATATAGTGCTTGATAGTAAAAAGTAAAGATTTTCATAATCTATATATCAGTTTAGTTAAAAATAATTCTAAAACATAGGTAACAAATAGTAGAAAAAAAGAGCATAATTATTAATTTTAGAAGATCTAGGAGTGAAACAAGTACATCTATTTATGCTGTAGAGTTGAGAAGTTACCTAATGTCTTGAAACCTCATTTACTTCATTGAGAAATGGGGATGCTTGATTAACTTGTGAGGATTAAATGAGATAATATACAATTTCTAGCATATTCCAAAAATCAAAAATGCATTTTCTTTCTTTTTATGTAACTGCTTTTGAATAAGGAGAAATAAACTTTCTTTAGTCAATATACATTTGATACATGTTGGGATACCTTGCAATTGTACATCCAGTTATAGTTACCGCATCTCATATGGTTTATTTTACTTGAGATTCACAAAAAAGATTGTGAGACTCAAATGACAAAATAGATATTAGGAAGGTACAAAATAGGTACAACAACATTACTGTGTGGTATTACATAACATATCTTGACATAACTATGTAGGATTACATAACATATGTCTAGACATAACATAAAATGGAATAAGAGAAATTCTATTTAAAAAGAGACTCAGAAATCCAGACAAGGGTGTTATCAAATCTGACTTTTTCACGAAGATTCCTAAGGCAGAGAGCAGATACTAGCACCTTCCACTTCAGGGAGCATTAGAAAATGTGTAGCGCTTGTTTTTCTTTTCATTTACTATGCCTTCAAGTCATGTGTGCTTATGTCGTTGGTGACCAAGGAAGACACAAAGGAGTTCACAGATTACCTGATAATGACAACGCTATTTTGTAACACAATGTAAGCTTCAAAGTTTAAACCCCAACTCATAGTCTATGTTACTATATTAAATAAATTCATGAATGTAATCCACACAGGGATCTCTTTGGCCAAATAGATGCAGAAATATGAGTTTGAAAGACTTCCAAAGAAGAAAATGTATGACTTCTGTTGTCTGTGATGACAAGTAAAGGAAATTCAGTGTCATCCACTGATATGGTACTCAACCTGTACAGCGAGTACAATACTCTGCAGACAGAAGTCTTGAAGTGAGGGCATAAGGAAACCTATAAATTAATGAAAATTTAGAACAAAGAACATAAAATATATGCATTTACAATTGTATGTGTGTAAACATTAGTAACAGGTAAATGAATACACCTTCTTCTTAGTTTCTCATAAACATGGTAATGTTGAAACATTACTGGATATCCTAAAGTCACTTGTTCTTAGAATTAGTTTGGGAAGATTGCCTAGAAGAGATGAAGTTTGGGCACAGGTATTTAATTCATCTTTAGAAACTCCAGCATGAATTTGGCTACAATTATTTGATTGATTTCTTATCAGCGCCCTTGCCAATTTTCAAGCTAGTTGGATAGATTGCATTGTGTTTGTTTGTATCATCTCTGCATTTCCCAACAGAAGCAAGACAAGAACAAGGCAGAACATTTTGCCTTTAAAGTTCAGATTTGGAAATTATGATAAAAGCCAATATTCCTTGAAATAAAACAGTTGATGAGAAAGGGCAAAGCTGTGAATCTATCCAATTGTAGAATCCTTCAGGGATGAAAGACCAAAAGAGTAAATGTGGTTCCAATAACGAATTTACCACTAAAGTGAATACTAATTTCTTTATCCCCAGAGACTATTTTTATTGCCGGTATTATCATCGTAAAAGGACTTTAATTCAGACTGTCTAATTACACTGCAGGTTAATTCTATTAACTAGAAAATTTCCAAAGGACTTTAACATTTCTGATTATTAAATAAGTTTAAATGGTCTAACCAAATTGCTAATGACTGCTTCTCACTGCAAAGGAGAAACTACTTGATAAATCTGGTCTTCCTTCTGGAACAGGACAAAGGCTTGATTTTGAGGGCAACCATAATTTATTGCAATTATACTTAATGCATGGTAACAATGGTGGTATTATGTATAGTCAGTATTTTTTCCAATGATTGTTTCCTTTGCTATTGTCATTCTCATGTGTAGGTGTAAAGAGCTTGTTATTAGTGATAAAAGTAATAATGATAAAATAAATGGGCTTCCTTATTCATAAATGCAAGAAAGCCTCGTTTGCAATGTTGATGGAGTAAGAAGCTTCTTTAATGTAAGGCATCCTGTTACAATAGACAAATATAGCTTTTCTATACATAATATGTGGATTCTCTGAATGTGTATTTTTCGTTGCTGTTTTTTAACTGTAGACATCGGTCTAGACACATTAAAATGGTTAGGATTAATTAAAGCTGCTTGTTTCAGCTTTGCCTGAGCATTTAATGAATCCTTATTTGCCTGTAGAAGAATTTTATATTCCATTCCTTTCCCTTCTCTCACACCACTGAAAATTCTCCATTCATTGTTTAATTCAGCATTTCTCATTCAGTATTTAATAAGAGTTCAGCACAGTGAAAAACAATAGGAATAAAAATACCAATAAAACACAGCGGCTTATCTCAAGGAGTTTACAACTTTTTAAATGAGATAGACTTGCACTAATAATTGCAATGTGGGAGCCCATGAGATATTTAACTGGCAATACTGAGTTTGCTTTGAAAGAGGAGCCTAAGCATTTATGACTGGTTCCAGCTTATTGAAATAAATCAATTCAACACAAGAAAGAATTAGAAATACTCATTCTATAGGATTATCTGACCGTGCTATCTGAGATGCAGATTGGGCCAAACATTGAAGGATTTCATATACAATTTTAATTCCAGGTTGTCAGTGCAAGGAGAGGGCTGCAGAAACAATAAATAGTTTTAGGGAGTAAAATAGGAATCAGGAGTCAAGCGGTGAGTTTAACAAGAGGGAAATAAGATGCAGTATATAACATAAGCTGGCAATTGCAGAGGAACTACAAAGGAATCTATAAAAGTGATTAATGGTAGCTGCATTGCAAAGAAGAAAGACAAAAGGAAAAAGAGAGGGATGTGAGGAAAAGGCTTTCCATTGAAGAAATTTGGAATTATTAGAATTAATTTAAGTAATTTTATTCAAAACTATAGCCTATCCACTACTTAACCATAATTCCCCGATATATCTATCTTACAAAGAGGAGAGAATATGCACAAAGTTTAACATATAGTGAATGTGCAAAGTCAATTTTGTGTTTCATTCTTCCTTGTCTTGCCTCCCTCTCCTCATTATCCTTCTTAGAATGTTAAAACAAATGTGTGGGTCATGTATTGCACCTCTTCCCTCTACTCAGAAGTAGATGAAGAAATTATTTTTTAAAAATACTGATGAATAAGGACGTATGTGGAATGCTTTGGATTGCCAAAGGACGAAAAGAAAAAAGGATTTTTCTTAGGACCTCTGATTCTTCTTCAACAAGGGTTAAACAATTATCAATAGATAGGAAAAAGCAACTGACAGATGAAAATACAAGTATTAAGTGAGAGTATGAGGGAAAAAAATTCAGATGTTAGAGAAGAGAGGAAAGAGTGATGTAAAGATTTAAAGAGGAATAAACAAATAAGATTGGTGAGTTGGAGATTATTAGTGTCATTACTTGAGGATTTACATGCATATAATGATTGGTTTATGACAGCCAATGATATCATCTATTAAATCTTTTTATGCTCCAGATATGATGCCTTACACATACCATTTTCTTGAATTATCTGAACATATTAATTCAGTATCATGCATTTTAAGATATCCTTTTTTAATATCTTCATATTGAGTTGATCTACTTTCTCCTCTATACTACTCCTTATGCAACAGTAATGGTCACATTTGTCACTTAAACAAGAGGACATGTGTTACTTTCAACTCAAAGGTGCTTGTTCCAAACAAATACATATACATCAAGCAAAGTAAGTTTTCAACTCATAGTAGTCTCTGTAGATTGCGAATGTCTCTGAGATGATTCACCTCTAGTTAAAAATCTTCCATAGTCATTAAGAATCAAGTATCTTCTCTCCAATAGGCAGTCACAGGACAGAACACCCAGAGGCTAATATTCCTAATTCTAGTTTTACAATTCTGGAATGATGAAAGGGCATCATTCAAACGACCTCAATCATTACTAATTGACCAGCAAAATATATAATGTCATTATTCATATTGTTTTTTAAGACTATGATGAACTCAGTTTTTCACTCAGCCACAGGTAGCAAAAAATTATCTAAGATTGGCTGCTGCTACTGCAAGTAGCAGGGAGAAATAAAATGGTGTCATTCAAAGATAAATGATACTTGGGAGATCTTCTTTTTTTTTCTTTTATTTTCTTGAGTGAATACATCTTGAAGTTAAAAGCCCACTTTCTTAACAAAAAGCAACTTATTAGTTTTAGTCAATGCTAACAATGATCAGCACTTACAATTGCAAATGACAAGCTTTTATGTTATGCTTGTGTGTTTGTGGGTATGTGAGTATGTGTGCACAGGGAGGTAGGTGTGTGAATGTATACTGACTCTGAAGGATTCTGTGTGGACTGCTACACAGGCAAGTAGGAATGGCAGAGAAAAGGAAAATAAGCTTCCTTTGCTATCCCCTGACTCCTCATTTCTCATCGTATGACTTCTTCTCCAGGTTGAAAACCGTTCACCTTCATAGTCCCCAATACTTTCCTCTCTCATTGCATTTTATAAAGACTTTCGCTTTCAACTGAATAATATTTAACTGGAGTGTCTTGGAAATCTATCACCTATCTATCTATCTATCTATCTATCTATCTATCTATCTATCTATCATCTATCATCTATCTATCTATAATCTATCATCTATCTGTCTATAACGTTTATTTATCTCCTAATCTCTACATTTCCAACGTATATATTTCTGTGCATCTAAGAAATACAACTGTAAATATATTTTGGTAGGAGAAGTAAAGACAAATAATTTTTGTTCAGTTTCTACTCCAATTAAATTTGTTGTAGAAAAATAAGTCCTCAAATGAATTTGTCCTTCATTAGGAACAAGAGTATGGAACAATAGAATTTCAATAGGCAGAAAAACAGAAGAAAAAAATGATCCTAAAATATAAACTAATAGAAACAGAAGGGGGAAAAAAGCAGGCCAAATCCTGGACAAATGTCAAATATCCAGGATCTGAGTAAAATCTAGAATATTCACAAAGGCCAAGTCTCCATGAATCCAAAACCAAAAACTTCAGATTTCTGGAAATTACCTTCTCTGATTCCTCATTTGGCTCTCTAGTTCAATTTTGTAAATCTCAATCTCATAACAAGAATCTCACAGTCCTCTTCCGTCCTAAGTCCCTAGTCTATTACCATTCATGCTCAAAGTTTCAAGAACTACCTGCTGTAGCTCATAACCAAAGGGCTTATTACCATTTGCCAATTTTCCAGGCTAGCAAAGGAGAAAGGGAGAAGCTCTATTCCCAATGACTGAATCTAGATTTGAAGTAGATCCCATTTCTCATGAGAAAATACTTACGTGGTTACCAGAATCTACAGAAATACAATGGCAGCTAGCCTAGGTGTCTATCCAAAGGATTCAAGAGGACTTTGTAAATAAACTATACTTTGAGTTTTAATTAAATGTTTTTTCTCCTCCCTCTATAAACTTTCTATACTGTGTTGTTTAAGACCCTAGCTTCAGTTATCGTCAGTATCCCAGTAATCCCTTTCTTACCACCAGCACCATTTTGTCTAACCTCCAATTCAGACCACTGGTCTAAGCTACTAAAGTGTATATCCAAATGCTTACTTAATGTTTCACTTGGATGTCTCAAAAGGAACTGAACTCTGCACATACAGAATCAAACACATTAATCATTCCTCAGACCTGATGTCTCCCATTTTCCCATAACCTAGTGAATTAATCCATACAAGATTGAAACATAGACATTCATGAAATATAGACATTCATGAAAGTTAAACAAGATTGAAACACAGACATTCATAAAACCTCACACAAATGCCTATACAATATTATTTTTAAGAATACTTGCTAACACTTAAATAAAACTTAAATATAAGGTATGTTTTAAAATGATTTAGGTGAATTAACATATTTAATCCATATTAGTACTATTATTACCTTTACTTACAGGAAGATGGAAACACGGAGAGATTCAATAACTTGCCCAAGATCACAAGGCTAGTCATTGTTAGAGCTGGGTCTCAAACCTGTGCAGTCTGACTCTAGTCTCCATGTTCTTGTTCAGTAGGCTCTATTGCTTTTCTTACAAATTGCAGTGACTAACATTTGTTTAGCTGCTCAACATATACTAGGCATTGAAATAAGTAACTTTTAATTTTCTTTAAAGCTTGTCCTCGGCCGAGCGTGGTGGCTAACGCCTGTAATCCCAGCACTTTGGGAGGTCGAGGTGGGTGGATCACGAGGTCAGGAGTTTGAGGCCAGCCTGACCAACATGGTAAAATCCCGTCTCTACTAAAAATACAAAAAAATTAGCTGGGCGTGGTGGCATGCACCTGTAATCCCAGCTACTCAGGAGGCTGAGGCAGGAGAATTGCTTGAACCCAGGAGGCAGAGCTTGCAGTGAGCCGAGATCATGCCACTGCACTCCAGCCACTGCACTCCAGCCTGGGAGACAAAGCAAGACTCTGTCTCAAAACAAAAACAAAAACAAAAACAAAAAACAAACAAAAACTTGTCCTCATTGTTCAGCTCCCGCTTATGAGTGAGAATATTCAGTGTTTGCTTTTCTGTTCCTGTGTTAGTTTGCTGAGAATGATGGTTTCCAGCTTACATGGACACAGGATGGGGAACATCACACACCAGGGCCTGTCAGAGGGTGGGGGGCTAGGGGAGGGATAACATTAGGAGAAATACCTAATGTAGATGACGGGTTGATGGGTGCAGCAAACCATCATGGCACATGTATACCTATGTAACAAACCTGCACGTTCCGCACATGTATCCCAGAACTTAAGGTATAATTAAAAAATAAATAAATAAAACAGAACAAAGTACAGACAAATTAAACTATCAACTTTTAATGATTAAAAATACCTTGTCAGTTACTTTTTTCTTTAGTAAATACTGACATTTAGCAAAAGCTGATCTTTAGTAAAAACTTATCCTAATATCAGTCTCATAGAGAAATTTATGGTTATTCACCTTTTAAAAGTGGATCTTATTTATTTATTTTTAAATTTTGACTTTTATTTTGGATATACTTTTATTACTTTTATTATTACTATTATGTTTTCAAATAAAAGTATAATACTATACTTTTGCTTTGGATATACTGTGTGATACTGAGATTTGGGATAGGAATGATTTCAACATCCAGGTATTTGATAAGGACATCAAGATACACAGTTTTTTATTTTACAGATGAAGAAATCAAGGTGCAATTTTCACAACCATCTTTAAGTCATCAGATATGGTGCCACAATTTAAAATCTGTCATTATCATCTTGGAGTCATCAGATATGATGCCACAATTCAAATTCTGTCATTATCACTTCGGATTCCATATTTTTCTTCTCGAGACAGGGTCTAGCTCTGTTTCCCAGGCTGGAGTACAGTGGCACAACCATGATTCACTTCAGCCTGGACCTCTTGGGCTCAGGGGGTCCTCTCACTTCAGCCTCCAGAATGTCTGGAACTAAGCGTGCATACCACCACATTTGGATAATGTTTTTATTACTATTTTTTGCAGAAACAGGGTCTCCTTATATTGCCCAGGCTAGTCTCAAACTCCTGTGCTCAAGCAATCCTCCCATGTAGGCCTGCCAAACTGCTGGGATTACAGGCATGAGCCACCACACCCAGCCATGTTCCCACATTTTTAGCAGCCAACATTCTTTACAAATTGTATCAAAAGAAAATACAAATAGCCCAGGTTTTGATTAGAAGGACATGATTTTTTGAAGAATACTACAACATTTGTATGCATAAGCAAAGGTTCTGCCTTGTTAAGTATGCTATTCATTATGGCAAATAAATCTACATCAAACTTTGAGTTCTACTCTACTTTATCCTCTAACCTCATTTAATGTCCAAGCATTTTTTTTTTTTTTTTGAGATGGAGTTTAGCACTTGTTCCCCAGGCTATAGTGCAATGGCACAATCTCGGCTCACTGCAACCTCTACCTCCCAGGTTCAAGCAATTCTCCTGCCTCTGCCTCCCAAGTAGCTGGGATTACAGATGCCCGCCATCATGCCCAGCTAATTTTTTGTATTTTTAGTAGAGATGGGGGTTTCACTATGTTGGTCAGGCTGGTCTCGAACTCCTGAACTCAGATGATCCACCCGCCTCAGCCTCCCAAAGTGCTGGGATTACAGGCAAAAGCCATGGTGCCTGGCCATGCCCAAGCATTTTTAACCATGTACACATTCGGCTCTATTGTGAAAAAAAATTGGGTTTTCTATTGATGGAGAAAAATGAAATAATAAATTAAATAATTTGGGCTATATTTCTTTACATTTTCAGCATTATTTTATTTCCAAAGCAATAGCTTATTTTCTGAGGGATTTGGCTGCTGTGGAGTCAAATATGCCTCTAAATTTTGGAGCATACAATAAGGCTTTTAGGTTTTTCCTTCTAATTTGTCCTTTGAATAAATTAGAAAGCTCTAAGTCTTCTCCCTGCTCCAAACTCTGAAAAGTAAATTATAGTGCATATATCACCTTGGGAGTACATTGTATTTGAGTAATAATCATTCCTTTTTGACAACATATGTTATCTTATTTTTAATACTTCCAACCAGCTAATAAAAAGGCTATAAGATATATATGATATGTTTGTATTGTATACAGACATCATCAAAGGTTTTTTCATCTCTGTTTAAATTTTATGACTAGAGATCAAGAAATATACATATATAAGTTTTCTTTATATGAGTGCTTTAACAATTAAACTTAATACTTGGTGCTTCAAAAATGTAGAAATTTTATTTGAAGAATTTATAAATCAAAAACATATCTTCAAAATTTCTCCTGTTTAGTTATGTTTTTGACTGATATACTATTGATTTTTAATATCTATTTGTATCTCCTCCATTACAGTTAAAACACACGCTGTTTTAAACTCAGGTATTAATTTTACTTTTAGAATCACAGCAATGTCTTGAGTCTTCTGAGATAGATTCTCCTCATTTTGAAACGGTTGAAAATCCACTCATGATTCGAATATGAATCTGTTTATTCACTTGCAGAATTCAATTTTGAAAGTGGCTGGAATTCTATAGTATATTGATAATGAGTTTTGTTTAGGGAAAAAAAACACTCCTAAAAAGGAGAGCAATTCAGGTGACACTGTTCAAAATCCAAATGCACTCATTTGCTATTTAATTAGCTGTTTAGGTGCAAAGACTGCCACTGTGAGAGGACTTCAAAAGGAATACTTCTTGGTCTCCCTGGCAGGTGGGTGTCTCTGCTCCAGCAGTCCTAGTGGCGAGAGGGAGGATAGACATTCCCCAGGTCCTACCTTGAAAGGAAAAAGAGTGATAATAAGTGCCCTTTCCTCCCCTCTAATGATTTTTAAGGGCTTTATGCACATTATTTCCTGCTTTTAAAGAGATTCTCTTGTAGTTAGTAAAATACAAAGAAAGGAGAGGTTTGGGTCTTCATTTCTCAACGAGTCAAAAGCCAACATATCACAGGGGCAGATCTGCTGCCCTGGAAAAATTCTAGAGGGCAATTTCTCCTGTCCTCATGAAGGAAGATGGGCAGCTGATGAGCTCTCAGCCTCTGAGAGGAGAATTGAGTCCATTAAAAAATTCTTTCATTTATATAATAATTCCTTTCATTCCTTTCATCTTCAAAGTGCTTTGCAAACATTAAACTAATTAATTAAGTGAAAGCAATTTGTGGATTAAGGCATATAAACAACTGCCTGTCATTGGCAAGAAATACTTGTCCTTGTTTGTTTATCATTTCATTACTAGGCTTATGGGCGGCTTTTTAATTTTAATAGCATTATCTAAGACACCAAGGCCATGGGAATGGAAATGCCTCACGGTAAAGTCACCCTTTCACTATGCTATTAAATGACCCCAATCCACCTCAATGCCTCCCCTACACAACTTAATTCATTTAATAAAAGCAATTGAGAGAAGTTTCACTGAAGAAACTAGTGAGCCCTTTAAAAATAAAAATCTTAACCTTATTTCTTTTTATTCTGAATATTTTATGGAATAAACAATAAATTTAGATTCCATGGGCAGGCTATCCATTTTATTCATATATTTAGAAGAAATCAAACACTTCAAATCTCTGTTTATGAAGTGCTAAGTTAATAAGAAATGTGAAGTGTTTCATAAGGTAACTTCATATGTTCATACAAAACCTTCAAGAGCTTAAATGTCTTCCTAAAAGATTAATATATCACAGCTCCAAAAGTTACCCCTTACCTACCAAGGTTTTAAGATTAAAATGTGTATGCCATTGCCCAAACAAAAGGGACAGAGAGGGGAAAAAAAGGGAGGCTGAGAATAAATAGTTACGTTTTTAAGTTACTCTCTGAAAAAAATCCCTTCAAGAGAAAAAGCACCTTACAGATAAATTAGGATTTTTCTTTTCCCAAGCAGCATGTGAAATTTCAAGTGATCAAAGTACGTGCTATAGCACTTTGTACTGAAAAAGAGACTACAATTCTTCAGGGATAAATCATGCACTGATCTTAGAAAATGTGCGTGAGCAGCTAATTAATAGCTGAAATATCTTAAGGCATATCTACCTGCTTTTTATGACATGTAACTATGGTTAATATCTAATAATTTCTAACTAATAGTGAAAACCTGGGTACTCTTAATGTTTCAAATAGTGGAAGAATCAATACAATAACACCTCAATGCAAAACCCTTTCAGTAAAACATTTATTTATAGTGGGAGTCAAAAAACTCATTTTAATCAAGGGATTACAGATAATTGGGAGAGGATTTTAGATCTGAAAGGGGTAAAGTGTCCAATTTCCTCATTACATAAGTGAACAAACAAGTTCTGAATATTTGGGTAATAGCAAAGTCAGATAGCAACTTTGTGATATAAGTCAGAATACAAATATGCCACGTGATCTTTCCACCCTACCAGACTGCTTTCTTCCTATTTGAGAAACCTGCAAATCAAGCATTGTTTCATGATATTTTGCTATGATGATACAGAAGTATTTGTATGTGAGGATTTGTTATTTGGCCCCTTCTGCCCTAAGTTTGCTTGTATGTAACGGAGGGGATTGTCAGCACACAGCATTTGCTCTTTGTTAGTTTCTGAAAGGTGCTGATATTTTGTTAATGCTAAAATTTTATTTAACCATGATTTACTTAGCTTCTGCAGAATACATTTCTGCTACCAACGAATCAATTATTGACCTGTTGTGGGTCACTAACTTTTTGGTGGTTTATTGAAAGCTGTGGACCTTTAAATGCTTATCAAAATAACATTTTAAATGCCTAATATAAATTACATATGACTACAAAGAAATCAAATGATGGTGAAATACAATTACTAATATACATTCAAATTTGTGTTATATCAATATATGTGTTTTAATTAATGCCTTACAGTGCAGGTGTAATAATTACATTAATTTTCTAAGTAGTAATTGGTGCAAACAATAAACAATCTATAATGGAAAATGAAAGTATTTATGACACATATTAGTAACAAAATCATAGGCGCTTCTATCTATTATGAGTTTGTCCACATTCCAAAATGAAAGAAATGCCAAATTTTAGAGATTGCTTAAAAAAAAAAGATGTAATTTTTTTCTCCATCCAAAATCATGAAGCCTCTAAATTCTAACCTCATAGATACCAAAGGCTCTCACAGATTTGGAAACTCTCTTTCTATTGGTTTTTGTTTTAGATAACCCTATATGTTCCATTTTAATCCCTTTTCATCAACATATATTCTTTTTCCTTGTGACCTGAGACACTACTAAAGATTTCAGAATTTGAAGGCATTTATTCTCTAGTTCATTTTCTGGCCAGTCACTAAAGGTAAAATCTTTGAAC
Source organism: Homo sapiens (assembly GCF_000001405.40). Lineage (NCBI taxonomy): Eukaryota > Metazoa > Chordata > Mammalia > Primates > Hominidae > Homo > Homo sapiens. Next base: position 103,306,525 of record NC_000003.12, on the reverse strand, counting down.
AATGGATTTGTTTAACAACATGTAGCAATATGCTGCCAGCCTCTTTAATATCTCAAGTTGCTGGAGACACTTTTTTGTCTCTATAAAAATAGCAGCTTTGCCAACTAAAGCACTTTTGAAATCCAACAGCATGATAATGACAGCAGCCCCTAAGACTGCTAAGCTATAACAAGTTACAATGGTAAATCAGAGCTGTCTGAATATCTTAAGCTAAATATGAATCCTCACATGTGGGCTTGTTATGATCTATGTTTCCCAACCCCAACAGCGAGAAATAAGGCAACTACAATGCCAGGTTCTATGACAGCCAAATGGATCATAAGTCATCACACGCTCATTCTAGAAAATACAGATTGTGAGACTTTTAGATTTGAGCTAAACGTATCAGTCGTCTCCCATCCCAGCCACTCTCTTATTCCTGTCTTTGTCATCTTCAATTTGGATTTTTATAATGTTTTAACTCTTGTTGTTTATTATTATCTCATTTTAATTGTGTATTTCATGCCCACAGCACCTTGATCAGGGGAGTGTAATATAAATAAAATTATCTTGACACACAAAGACTGCAGGTGGTGTTTAAATTTGTTTTTCTTGTCTCTGCATGAAATCATAGAGGTATTTAATTTATTTTCTCTCTTTTCCTCTCTTCTTTTTTGCCCGATGACACTCAATCTAGAAAACACCTGGAAATAAACCATGTTTTTCAATAAACCTGCTCCTCTCTATCTTAAACATACCTTTTTAAGGTAACATAAATTGCAGTGATCTCCAAATACACCTGAAAGATTTTGGTCAGATTTATTTCTCAACAATTTTATGTCTTCTCTAGAGTCAAAAATCTCTTTTGGAAAATTTACATTATATAACCATATTAACAATATCATATATAAATACCTTATAATAAGGATATACATATATATTACAGCAGGTAGTTTCAACAGTAACCATGGAAACAACTAGAATGCAGTAATACTTTCAGAATTTGCATTGCCTACTCTGTGCTAAGGGCAGTGGATACCTGAATAAAAACAGCAACTTTTACCCAAGAGCCACGTTCTAACTTAGGCAATCTAAAATGTTGAAAAGAACTAATCTTATGTCTACTGTATGTCTGGGTATTTCATGCATTATTTGTATTAGTTACACTTTCTCAGCCATCTTGAGAATGCCATTGTATTCCTCCACTTTACATATGAGACAAATGGATTTAAAAGTAGTCAAATAATTTGTCTAACATATTGGAGCTGGTAAACATTAAAGCCAGGATTTAAATGCACAACTCTTAGGTTTAGAAACCGTGATCTCTTCAGAGCCAGGATTTAAGTGCACAATTCTTAGATGTAGAAGCCATGATCTCCCCACTATGCCAACCACCTATTTTAGAAGTCAGGTGAAGGATTTACCACATTAGAGTTTCATAGTTTGTAGTTTGGTGTGAGGGACTTGGGAAAATGTGACTTGAACTAAGACATCCTCTTCACAGGGTACTGACTGCATTTGGGGTAGGTGTACTGTCTAAGGAAAACTCTGTTGTAGATAAGAAAAATATTCTCTTAATAAGAGGTATTTTATTTGCATCTTCTATTTTAACACAACTGTTCTAACCAATTTCTTGAGAACTATGTTCAGTTGTGTAAAAATAACAACAAAATAATAAAGCACAGAAAGAAATTTGATTGAACCAGATGTTCATTTATTCAAAGACCTCTGTAGCTGCTGCCTGCCTCAGAGAGACATATGTGGGCATGGCAGAAACATTACTATCTAAAGCTGATGGTTTTGTTCCATTAACTATTTCCTCCTGTAAGAGGAAATTTATTGCCAAAAAAAAGTGTTATTGGCCAGGTGCGGTGGTTCATACCTATAATCCCAGCAGCTCACACCTGTAACCGCAGCACTTTGGAAGGCTGAGGTAGGTGGATCACCTAAAATTAGGAGTACAAGACCAGCCTGGCCAACACTGCAAAACCTTGTTTCTCCTAAAAATACAAAATTAGACAGGTGTGGTGGTGCACACCCACAATCCCAGCTACTCAGGAGGCTGAGGCACAAGAATTGGTTGAACTCGTGAGGAGAAGTTTGCAGTGAACCGAGATCGCACCACTGCAGTCCAGCCTGGGAGACAGAGAGAGACTCTGTCTCAAAAAAAAAAAAAAGTGTTATTAATGTTAGAATATATTGGGGGTGGGACCAAGGTGACCCTCTAGAAGCAGCAGCGTTCAGAGGCTCCCATAGAAGAAAACCATAATAAGCATGTGAATTCTTTACCAACAACTGAGGTATCCAGGTTCTCTCGTCAAAATTGACTAAAAGGCCGGTGTGGCCCACGGAAAGAAAGAAGAGCAGTGTGATGCAGTGGCCTACCTGAGAGCCACACAGAGAAGAGGAACCTCCTCCCCAAGCCAAGGGAGGAGTGAGTGAGTGCACTACCCAGCCTAGGAAACTGTGCTTTTTCCAGGGAACTGTGCAACCCACAGATAGGAATATCCCACTCACAAACCCATGGCACCAGGGCCTACCACGAAGCATACACAAGTATCAATAGCCAGACTAACCAAGTGGAAGAAAGGATATCAGAGTTTGATATCCTTAATTACTAAATTAAGACAGGTAGACAAGAATAGAGAAAAAAGATGAAAAGGAATGAACAAAGCCTCCAAGAAATACGGGATTTCATAAAAAGACCAAACGTATGGGTGATTGGAGTACCAGAAGGAGACAGGGAGAATGGAAACAAGGTGGAAAACACACTTCAGGATATTATCCAAGAGAACTTCCCCAACCTAGCAAGACAGGCCAACCTGCAAATTCAGGAGACACAGAGAACTCCATTAAGATACTTCACTAGAAGATCAACCCCAAGACACATAATCGTCAGAATCTCCAAGGTCGAAATGAAGGAAAAACTGTTAAGAGCAGCCAGAGAGAAAGATCAGTTCACCCACAAAGGGAAGCCAATCAGACTAACAGTGGACCCCTCAGTAGAAACTCTACAAGCCAGAAGAGATTGGGGGCCAATATTCAACATACTTAAATAAAAGAATTTTCAACCCGGAATTTCATATCCAGCCAAATTAAGCTTCATAAGTGAAGGAGAAATAAAATCGTTTACTGATAAAATGCTGAGGGATTTCATTACCACCAGCCCTGCCTGCAAGAGCCTCTAAAAGAAGCACTAAATATGGAAAGAAAAAAATCGGTACTAGCCACTGCAAAATCACCCCAAAATATAAAGACCAATGACATTATGAAGAGACTGCATCAAGTAGTGTGCAAAATAGCCAAATATCATCATGATGACAGGATCAGATTCACACATTACAATACTAACCTTAAAAGTAAATGGGCTAAATGTCCTAATTAAATGGCACAGACTGGCAAAGTGGATAAGAAGTCAAGACCCTTCAGTGTGCTGTATTCAGGAGACCCATCTTACCTGCAAAGACACACGCAGACTGAAAATAAAGGGATGGAGGAAAAATTACCAAGCAAATGGAAAGCAAAAGAAAAAAGCAGGGGTTGCAATTCTAGTCTCTGACAAAACAGACCTTAAACCAACAAAGATCAAAAAAACAAAGAAGGCTATTACATAATGGTAAAGGGAACAATTCAACAAGAAGAGCTAACTATTCTAAATACATAAGGAACCAATACAGGAGCACCCAGATTCATAAATCAAGTTCTTAGAGACCTACAAAGAGACTTAGACTCCCACACAATAATAGTGGGAGATTTTAACACCCCACTGTCAGTATTAGACAGATCAACAAGACAGAAAATTAACAAGGATATTGAGGACTTGAACTCAGCTCTAGATCAAGTGGACCTAGTAGACATCTACAGAACTCTCTACCACAAATCAACAGAATATACATTCTTCTCAGTGCCACATGGCAATTATTCTAAAATCAACCACCTAATTGGAAGTAAAACACACCTCAGCAAATTAAAAAAAATTGGAATCCTAACAGTCTCTCAGACCACAGTGCAATCAAATTAGCACTCAGGATTAAGAAATTCGTCAAAAACACACAATTTCATGGAAATTGAACAACCTGCTCCTGAATGACTCCTGGGTAAATAATGAAATTAAGGCAGAAATCAGTAAGTTATTTGAAACCAATTATAACAAAGAGACAAAGTACTGGAATCTCTGGGACACAGCTAAAGCAGTGGTAAGAAGGACATTTATAGCACTAAATGCCCACATAAGAAAGCTAGAAATATCTCGAATCAACACCCTAACATCACAATTAAAAGAGCTGGAGAGGCCAGGCAAACTAATCCAAAATCTAGCAGAAGGCAAGAAATAACTCTAATTAAAGAATAATTGAAAGAGATAGAGACAAGAAAAACCCTCAAAAAAAAAAAAATTAACAAACCCAGGAGCTATTTTTTTTGAAAATATAAACAAAATAGAACACTAGCTAGATTAATACAAAAGAAGAAAGGCAAGATTTAAATAGACATAATAAAAATGATAAAGGGGTTATCACCATTGATCCCCACAGAAATACAAACTACCATCAGAGAATACTATAAACACCTCTTCACAAATGAACTAAAAAGTCCAGAGGAAATGGATAGATTCCTGGACGCATACACCCTACCAAGGCTAAACCAGGAAGAATGTGAATCCCTGAATAGACCAAAAACAAGCTCTGTAATTGAGGCAGTAATTAATAGCCTACCAACCAAAAAAAAAAAAAGCCCAGGAGATGATGGATTCCCAGCTGAATTCTACCAGAAATACAAAGAAGAGCTGGTCTATTCCTTCTGAAACTATTTCAAACAATTGAAAAGGAGGGGGCTCCTCCCTAACTCATTTTATGAGGCCAGCATAATCCTGATAACAAACCTGACAGAGACCCAACAACAAAAAAAGAAAATTTCAGGCAGGCCAATATCCCTGATGAACATCGATGTGAAAATCCTCAAAATACTGGCAAACCAAATCTGGCAGCATATCAAAAAGCTTATCCACCACAATCAAGTGAGCTTCATGCCTGGGATTCAAGGCTGGTTCAACATATGCAAATCAATAAACGTAATCCATCACATAAACAGAACCAATGACAAAAACACATGATTATCTCAATAGATGCAGAACAGACCTTAGATAAAATTCAAAATCCCTTCATGTTAAAAACTGTCAATAAACTAGGTGTTGATAGAACACATCTGAAAATAATAAGAGCTATTTATGACAAACCCACAGCCAATATCATATTGAATGGTCAAAAGCTGGAAGCATTCCTTTTGAAAACCTGCACAAGACAAGGATGCCCTCTCTCACCACTCCTATTCAACATAATATTGTAAGTTCTGACCAAGGCAATCAGGCAAGAGAAAGAAATAAAGGGCATTCAAATAGGAAGAGAGGAAGTCAAGTTGTCTCTGCAGACGATATGGTTTTATATTTAGAAAACCCCATTGTCTCAGCCCCAAAACTCCTTAAGCTGATAAGCAACTTCAGCAAAGTCTCAGGATACAAAATCCATGTGCAAAAACCACAACCATTCCTTTAAAACAACAATAGGCAAGCAGAGAGACAAATCATGAATGAACTCCCATTCACAATTGCTACAAAGAGAATAAAACTTAGGAATACAGCTAACAAGGGATGTGAAGGACCTCTTCAAGGAGAACTACAAACCACTGCTCAAGGAAATAAGAAAGGACACAAACAAATGGAAAAACATTTCATCCTCATGGATAGGAAGAATCAATGTCATGAAAATGACTATACTGTCTACATTAATTTATAGATTCAATGCTATTCCCATCAAACTACCATTGACATTCTTCATAGAATTAGAAAAAAATACTTTAGTTTCATATGGAATCAAAGAAGACCTTGTATAACCAAGAAAATCCTAAGCAAAACAAACAAAGCTGGAGGCATCATGCTACCTGACTTCAAAATATACTACAAGGCTACAGTAACCAGAACAGCATGGTACTGATACCAAAACAGACATATAGACAAATGGAGCAGAACAGAGACCTCAGAAATAACACTGCACATCTACAGCCATCTGATCTTTGACAAACCTGACAAAAACAAGGAATGGGGAAAGGATCTCCTATTCAGTAAATGATACTGGGAAAACTGGGTAGCCATATGCAGAAGACTGAAACTGGACCTCTTCCTTACACCTTATACAAAAATTAACTCAAAATGGATTAAAGACTTAAATGTAAAACCCAAAACCATAAAAACCATAGAAGAAAACCTAGGCAATACCATTCAGGACATAGCCATGGGCTAATACTTCATGATAAAAATGCCAAAGCAATTGCAACAAAAGCCAAAATTGACAAATAGGAGCTAATTAAACGAAAGAGCTTCTGCACAGCAAAAGAAACTATCACCAGAGTGAACAGAAAACCTACAGAATGGGAGAAAATTTTTGCTATCTACCCATTTGACAAAGGTTTAATATCCAGAATTCACAGGGAGCTAAACATATTTACAAGTAAAAAACAAACAACCCCATCAAAAAGTGAGTAAAAGATATGAACAGACACTTCTCAAAATAAGACATCTATGTGACCAAAAAACATATGAAAAAAGCTTATCATCACTAATCATTAGAGAAATGCAAATCAAAACCACAGTGAGATACCATCTCACAGCGATCAGATTGGCCATTATTAAAAAGTCAGGAAACAACTGATGCTGGCAAGGCTGTGAGAAATGGAAAAACTTTTACACTGTTGGTGGGAATGTGAATTAGTTCAACCATTGTGGAAGACTGTGTGGCGATTCCTCAAAGATGTAGAACCAGAAATACCCTTTGACTCAGCAATCCCATTACTGGGTATATACCCAAAGGAATGTAAATCATTCTACTGTAAAGACACACGCATAGATATGTTTATTGCAGCACTATTTACAGTAGCAAAGACATAGAAATAACTCAAATGCCCATCAATGATAGACTGGATAAAGAAAATGTGCTACATATACACCATGAACTACTATGCAGCCATAAAAGGGAATGAGATCAACTCCTTTGCAGGGACATGGATGAAGCTGGAAGCCATCATCCTTACCAAATGAACACAGGAACAGAAAACCAAACACTGCATGTTCTCACTCTTAAGTGGGAGTTGAACATTGAGAACACATGGACACAGAGCTGGGAACAATACACACTAGGGTTTGTTAGGGGTGGGGTGGTGACAGGAGGGAACTTCGGTGCAGCAAATCACCATGGTACATGTATACCTATGTAACAAACCTGCACATGTATCCCATTTTTTTAAAAGAAATAAATAGACAAAAAGAGAATATAGTAGTAAGTGGCTAGATAGCCTTGCAAACGGTTGAGGTAATTTTTTGTCTTGGGATGGCAGAAAAAAAATTGATCAAAAGACATCAGATAGATGGATAAATAGGAGGATGATTGGGGAAAACATAGGAGAGTCTGAAATTGTGATTTCAACCTGATGCTAAGAATTCCCTTACCTCAGTATCCAAGAGAATAGAGACTGAATCCCAAAGTTTAGGGCAAAAGTGAAAAAAACATGCTGGTTGCACACCTATTTACTATGTGCACTTGAGATAACTGGATACAACCAATATTTTTTAACAAGTTGTATATTTTAGATATAGAATATTTCCTCTCACTTTAGATAAAGGAATAACCTTCAAATTCACTCACATATCTTTTGTTCTGCAGAAAAATTGCTATGAAATGAACCTAAAAAGAAAAGACATTTCAAGGCAAATGAAAGTGATATTATAATTCATATGCTAATATTAGGAAATAATTAAAAATGGATACATCTTCCCACTCCTCGGCCTGTTTGCTTTCCATTTAAGGAGAGTGTGTGGGTAGCTCAGGATAGTATAAATGAACCAGGAGCCTGTAATGTATGTGTTTGTATGTGTCTGTTTGTGTGTATCTTAAAAAGAAATGAATGGAGCAAAATAAAAGCAAACAAAAGTAGGAAGATTGAGATTAAGTTCCTCTTGGTAGAATATTTTTCCTTTCTTCAAGGGCAGAGATCATGTTCTAGTCTTAGCAAAATCCCTGGCACTTACTAGATACTAAGCAAATGCCAAATGCATAATGGAACAATAGGAGGGATGGGAAGAAGGAAGGGAGGGAGGGAGGAAGGAAGCAAGGAAGGAAGGAAGGAAGGAAGCAAGCAAGCAACGGGGGAAGGGGAGAAGGGAGAAGGGGGGAAGAGGGGAAGGGGCAAGAGAGGAAGGGAGGGAGCGAGGCAGGCTCACTGACATCTTATTTGTTCATTTATTTATTTTTATTTTTTGAGACGGAGTTTAGCTCTTGTCGCCCAGGCTGGGGAGCAATGACGAAATCTCGGGTCACTGCAACCTCCGCTTCCCTGGTTCAAACGATTCTCCCTCCTCAGCCTCTGGAGTAGCTGGGATTACAGGCGCCCATCACCACATCCAGCTAATTTTTTTTCCTTTTTTTTTTTTTTTTTTTTTGAGATGGAGCCTCTCTCTCTGTCGCCCAGGCTGGAGTGCGGTGGCGCGATCTCGGCTCACTGCAAGCTCTGCCTCCAGGGTTCAAGCAGTTCTCTTGCCTCAGCCTCCCCCGTAGCTGGGACTACAGGCACCCACCACCACGCCCGGCTAATTTTTTGTATTTTAGTAGAGACGGGGTTTCACCGTGTTGCCCAGGCTAGTCTCCAACTTCTGAGCTCAGGCAATCCACCTGCCTCGGCCTCCCGAAGTGCTGGGATTACAGGCACATGCCACCACGCCCGGCCTTAATTTTTGTATTTTTAGTAGAGACAGGGTTTCACCATGTTAGCCAGGCTTGTCTTACTCCTGACCTCAGGTGATCCGCCTGCCTCAGCCTCCCAAAGTACTGGGATTACAGGAGTGAACCACCACGCCCGGCCGAATTCTTATTTGTTGGGCAATATTTACAAGGCATTTCGTTCAGTTCTTCAAGGTAGAATCCACAATTCTGAAAATATTCCACTTGTGGCCATAGTATCAGTTTCTCAAAGTTGGGTGATGATAAGTGATGGTAGTTGTGAACCTGAATAATTTTCTTTACATTCTTTTAGACTCTGTTAAACGGGAGCTTAATGGTAGATGCCTTCGGATTAAATGCCTTTAGGTTCACATTTCTTAGAAGACACAGTGAAGTTATTTGCAAGAAGGAAAAGCACAGGAGTTAAAATTGATCCATTCCAGTGGAACAGACTTGCTCTATCTCTAGCTGCAGGGTTGATCTCCCAAATGTTAAGGTTGCCACAGACTTCAAAGTTTAGGGAGTCAGGCCCTCACGTCAATTAGGCCTCCTACCTCTTTGCTTGCATAGCACCACGTATATCCATAACATCACCCCAATCAAATCGGATTTATTTTTTCTTTCCATTTTCTTAAATCTTCATGACAGAAGAATTCACCCAAAAATGAATCCCATTGTCTACCAGTCATGTTGAAGATAGTGAGAACTCAAGAAAATGCCATTAAAATAATGGTGCAAACATAATTTAGCTTGAAATTATACAGTGTCTGCTTATTTTTGCTTTTATTTTTGTTTTTATTTTTATCTATGCCAGTCTTGTAGCAACAGGTATATTTCAACCTTTGTCAACCCTGAAACAGTATCTTACACTTTTCTTCTTCTTTTTAAATTTACTGTCCCATTTTATTGCCATGGCTCTGAGCACAAGTAAAGGCTCATATTTTTGGACTCTGTATAGCTGCAGAATTAGCCAAGTATTTACGAAAATAGTTAAAATAATAGTAATAAAAATAATAATCTATACCACAACAGAAAATGTTCATTGTTATTTAGTAGGAAACTAGTAGCAAACTATTTGAATTGTTTTGCTTCTGTGATAAAATATGTTCCCTATAGAATGTACTTCATCTCCATGATCATATCCAATGTCTAAATAAATGTAGATCAAAAGAGTTCACATTGATATCAATGCATCAAATATGAACAATTCTGACCAGCTTGTCAGAGTACAACCACATCCTCTCCTACCAATAAAATTCCTCTTAATACCACCTGAAAAATTACCTGCTAAGCATGAAGCACCTTTCTGTCAAACCAAAGCACGTTAATTTTATTTTCAAAGACACCATCGCAGGTAGAAGTATTACTTAAGGTGATTTATTTGCTGATTCCATGTAAACCCAAACTGCAGAAACATGTTTACATCCTCATCATTATAGAAATATGAAACATGCAATTGCACACACAACTTCTAATTGTGTTGCTTATGTCTTTTGGATTCATTAGGGGACAGGATTTATTAAATAAGCAAGTCCAGTTGTGTACAAAGCATCAATTTTGTGTGGAATGACATGCCACTGGGTACTTGCAAGAAATAAAAGAGCTCCCTCTGCTGCCAGAAAATGAATTTTTCATTAATTGTTATTAAAATCTCCCACCTAACTTCTCTGATGTTTACTTCATAAGTTATATTTTTTGTAATTACTGTTTCTGTTATCTTTAAAATTGTTTTATATTATACCATTTGATTTTTAAGAAAAGATAAGTAATTTAAATTCAATATTTAATTATTTCAAGTAACTCAAAATGGTCTCCACTTAAATAGTAATTACAAACAGTTCTTTGTTGCAAAACCAAAACATCAGTCCACACAGACTTGCATTAATCTCAAGAATGTTATAATTACCTAAAATTACATATGAATTAATATTTCAGCACATGCCATCAAAGAGTCTAACACATGAACTTTTCAATAAATGAAGTTGGTATCCTGAAGATGATTCAAAAAACCTCTGCACATCCATAGCATCCATAATTTATTAGTTTACCTATGCTTATAGAATTTTCAAAATGTGTCTTTTTCTGAATTTCTTCAGAGTCTGAAATAGGTCTAAATGAATCTTGTGACATAATTGAGTTCCTGGAGATGCATCTGTTATTAATAATAATTTAATTCTAAAACATATACACACAATGAAGATTACAAAAGTAATTTTACAGTGAAGATGGGAGTGGTCAATTGAGATTATTCACTAGATTTTCAGTTCTTGGAATTCACACTCTTCTTCAACTAAATTATAAATTAATATCATAGGTCTTTGAGGCCATAAGAGTATATAAACTGCTAATATTAAATTTTCTAAATCTGAAATTTTATCGTGATTTAAAATTTCATTGACAATTTTATAAGTATTATTAATGCGAAGCTTCAACACTGAGATTAATTTCAGTAATCTAGGAGCAACCTAGAAGAAAAAGATGGTATTGAATGGAATGTAAATAATGATTCCAAAAAGCATCAACACTTCCCTTGCTAGACATGGAGAGCTATTTATAATTCTCTCCCTTTACAATCACTTGTACATGCCCTAGGAGATAGCCAAAGGTTTCTAAATAATTATGCTAGCAATATCAGCATGTGCACATTATTGTATGAAACTTGCCTTTACAAGAATTTGATGCTTATACATTTTGCTGTGTTAACAAAGGTGTTTGATATTACAGATTCTTTTAATATTGGATTATGTATGTACCATTCAAACTAATAGATCCAAGCTTACCTTCCTCTTAGATAAATCAAGTCTAATAATCATGAATAGCAAATGATTGACAAGGGACTACAATCTAGCACTGAGCCAAGATGTTAGAAAAAAAATGGGTGGAACAAAACGGAGTAAAAGCAATCAAGAATAATCTCTAGAAAACAATAATTTGATATTTTTCATACAATAAATAAACCAAGACTCAGTTGTTGTAGCTTGGCTTTTACTGTGATTTTCATAATGTGCAACAGTAGAAAGTGTAAAGTGGGTATGTAAAAGTGCAAAGGGAATTTTATGAGGCAGACAAGCAGGGATGGTTAAAGATAGATTCAGAAATTGCTAGATGTTAGAGGCTGAGAGAATACACTGAGTCAAAGATTTTAGATCTGAAGACGTTAAGTCTATACAATCAATACTTATAGAAATAAGGATATATCTTCATGAAGAGATTAAATATATTTACTTTTCTGTGTAGTAAAATGACATATTATTCTCAGCATCGATGCAACTACATTTCAGGGATGTAGCTAAGTTTTTGAAATTTTTTAGAATTATATTACTACAATGTGAAGGGCATCACAAGTAAATTATAGTTTGAAAGCTTTTCTTTTGTAAAACTGGAACAAAATAAATATTACAGTTTTAATGCCAACATGTTTCCAGGTGAAGAGGGTATATGTCCAATATTCATTCCAAACTTTACAAAAAAGAAAAGAAAATGCTGTTATATTTTACAGCTATTGGAAAAGATCACTGGTGTTAAGACAGCTCTCACTTTTGACTTCCATTCTCTCTTTTGCAGATTTTTTTCAGTCTTAAAATATCTGTTATTGACGCATTTGAAACAACTGGGCCTTTGTTCCTTTCTTTCTCTTCTTCACCATTTCAATAAGTTCTATTTTCTATGTTTCTGACTTTATTTAATGAGAAGTAAGTTAAGTTTCTAAGTTATAGCTAGTGTTCAAACAAACAAATAAAATTATTGAAAATCCTTGATGCATCTGTTGTTATGGAAAGCATATGAAAGATTTACAGAGATTAGTATTTACCTATAGAATAAATAATTAGAGAATCATTATATTTTGAATTATTGTATGACTATGATCATATGAAGAGGTTAGTGATGGAAGAGATTATTTGTGAATTAATATAATCAAAGAAATCAGTGCTGAAACCTGAAAACTTGGAAGATGGGACACATAATATTTGGTTCACTGATATGAGACATATTTGTTTTTGAGCAGATTAGAAAGGATGTGAAAAAGTATCAAGCAAAATAAAAATAAAAATAAAAAGGTGTATTCCAGTGAAAAACCAAAAATATTCTCATTTTTAGAAGGATTCATTCCAGAATGGAGCAAGAATATGAAAGCAGGATAAACTGACTTGCCGGAAAACTTTATGTAGTGAGTAAATAAAGGTCTGACAAAACCATAATGAAGCTGGACTCCCGGTATTGCAGTAGAAAATGTAACTACTGCTTGAAAGGTTAGGGAGTCTCTCATGCCTGCTGCAACAGGTAGTGTTTCCACGAGTCCATTCCCTTTGACTGAGCCAAACCCATCCAGAAGTTAGAGTTATTGCAGGTTATGAGGAAGAAGCACGAGCATCTCTCTTTATTAAGGAAAAAGGAGGAGGGAGCAAGGCAAGCAGTGCAACTAGGGACCTGCTTCTCCTTCCATGGCTGGGCCTAATATAGCAATATCCCTCCCAAAAAGCTGGCCAATATAGGGATTGCACACAGCGAGGGCGTTTTACACCTAGGAGCTTGTCGTTAAAAAATCCAGCTCATTGACCCATTGAAATAACACTTTGGGTAAGTGTCTGCTCCACTCCTGTTCCATAGCACTTATTTCTACTTTTGTTTTCTGAACATGAGCCCCACATCCTTAACATTCAAGAATAATTTTAAACAAAGTTGGGTTATAAGTAAATTTTGTCTTTAACTTTCCTGTTAGGGAAAGCCTCTACAGAATAAGAGACAGTAATAAGCGGATGTACTAGCACATCTAGAGGCCATTCCTCAAGGGACACAAAAGGAACACTTGCAGAAAGCGTGGTGAGAGATGAGGAAATGATGATCATCTCAAGGTTGCATTCAGTTAAGAGGCAGTGTAGAAAAATGGGAAAGAGTGCAGTCAGACTGCTTGGTCCAAATTTGGGATACTTCACAACTAGTGTGACCTTAGCCAAATCTTTTCATTTCTTTATGCCTCCATTTTCACTTTTTGTGCAAAGGGGATAAAAATAGTACTTTTCCTCATGGTGTTTTTACAAGGATGAGTGATGTATGTAGTGTGTAAGGTACGAAGAACTTTGTAAACATTACAAAAATACAGCTGACATTTATATAGAAACTCACTTTACCAAGCCATGTGCAAATACGCAAATATAACTTCATAGTACTCTGCAAGTTCTTTTCATTATCATTCACATTTCACAGAAGAAACTGAAGCTTAATAACTTCCTGTAAATTTCTCGAGATCACAGAGTGTATAAAGGCTCAAAAGGATTTCATCTACTTTTGAAACTTTTGTTCCATCCTTCCCCCATCTGTCTCTGAATTCTGGTACTAAAATTCAAACACAACCTTTTGTGTCTAGGAATGCACAAACCTAGAGTATGGAAAGGAGGGGGGGCAATGGTCTATATTTTGCAAGCTCGCTAAATATTTTAAGCTTTACCCTCAACCCATTTGAGGCATGATATCCTCTGTACTTTTAATCTGCAATTAGTACAGTATTTTATTGTCTCCACCTTTTATTACTTTTATCAGAAACTTGTAAACATATTGTACTAAGAAAAGTTGTAATTATATTCTTCTAAAAATATTAGCTAGAAGTTAAATCTCTATTATGTCCATGTTAACCTGGAACTTTCCTTCCCTTAGTAACATAGTCACATTTAAACAATGCTGTGACATTTATAATTTGGAAAGCATGCAAAGTGAAATGAGTCTGATAGGGAAAAAAAATGCACAGAGAGCCTCAGAGCAGGCATGCTACAGCCAAGTTTAAAATGCTCATAGCTCTGTTCCAGACATTTCATGGTAGTAGCAAAAAGAAAAAAAAAGCAACATATTGCATTAACACAGAAGCATGAAAATGCCATAGCCTATTTATGGGAGACAGGTGTTAAATTATAGAATAGTGTATTGTTCTTATGGTATTTATGTCTTTCAAGTTTGACATTCCAGAAACAATGTGACTCGAGCTCATGAATAAAATTAGAATCATTTTCTTTCTTTCTTAAAAACAAGATACTGTTTATTTCCTCATTCTCGCTTCTATTGGAAAAATAAGTCGAGGTAAATTAATCTATGTATCTTACTAACACAATACAAATTATGCTTATGGGAACTAATTAAGTAGGTAAAGCACATTTTACATGTGGACTTTCAGATTATTTTTTCCCCGATGCCTGTGGTTTCAAGTTGCAGGAATTTGTTCAGTGACTTTGAGAATGGAGTAACCGTATTGCTTACAGGAAGCAGAGAATGATAAATAAAGACATTGGGGATTTGGCAAGAGCAAAAATAAATAAAATGTACCTCCTTCCAGAACATCTTAGATACTCTAATGTGATAATTCATAATACAGCTCATTTGACAGGATGGGGAGTAACGTGTGGGTTTGATCTACTAAATAGCTCCAGAAAAGACCATGGTTTTTTATACTGAATAAATAAAAGATACACTTGTACACACATAAACTGGGGAAAAAAACTGCTCATATTTAGTAAATCACTTTTTTCTCTCTATTACAACATATTTCTTTTTTTCTTTTAATCTAGTTTTCATTATAAATCAGACGAGTTATGCCAGAAGTGTGGGTTGAAGGAATTTTAATTAGTTGGTTCCTAGTAGCAAAATATATTGTTCAGAAAGTTAATTTAGAGCTGTAGTGTGTTTTGAAGATGAGGGATGTGTATGTGTGTGTGTTGGGGGGCATATATTGCATAAAAATGAGGATACATTATGAAAAGTACATTGTTAGGCAACTTCATCATTGTGTGAACATCATAGAGTGTACTTATACAAATCTAGGTGATATAGCCTGCTGCACACCTAGGCTATGTCGAATAGACTACAAACCTGTACAGCATGTTACATTACTGAATACTGTAGGCAACTAAAACACAGTGATACTTAGGCTACACTAAATTTATTTTTAAAAATATTTTTCCTTCAATAATAAGTTAACCTCAACTTACTATAATATTTTATTTATAAACTTTTTAGTTTTATAATATTTTTACTCTTTTGTGATAACACATAGCTTAAAACACAAACACATTGCACATCCGTACAAAGATATTTTCCTTCCTTATGTCTTTTTATATGAGCATTTTTCTATTTTTTATTTTATATTTACTTTTTAAGCCTTTTTGTTAAAATTAAGACACTTAATTATGAACACCACTGTCCTCCACCTGCACAATCTTGTCCCACTGGAAGATCGTCAGGGGCAACACATGCATGGGGCTGTCATATCCTGTGAGGAACACGCCTTCTTCTGGAAAATACCTTCTGAAGGACCTGCTTGTGGTTGTTGCACAGTTTACTTCTTTAAAAGGTATACATTCTAAAGTAATGATGATAAATATAGTGTAGCAAATACATAAGCCAATAACATAGTTGTTTCTTAGCATTCTGAAGTATTATGTCCATAACAGAAAATGTGATGGTCTGTTTATACCACCACTACCACGACGTGTGAGTAAAGTATTGCACTATGACGTTATGACAGCTAAGACATCACTAGGTAATAGAAATTTTTCAGCTCCATTATGATCATACATGTGGTCCATCATTGACCAAAATGTCAGTATGTGCCACACAGCTATATGTGTGTGTGTGTTTATATATATATATATATGAATATATATGTGAGTGTACCTGTATACACACATACATACACATATATACATTATATTCACATATAAACTATATTTTATGTCTGTATAATATTTGTGCTCACATATAAAACTCAAATATATCCTTTAAACAAATCTTTTCATCACCAATTAGTCATGGTGATTTGGGGCCATCCCTATATTATTACTAGTAGATGATATTAGCATATTACCTTCAATCTCAATGCCTAGTCTTCAAAAAAAAAACATTCAAACTATAGCAAATTAATTTGTAGGAGACTCTAAACTCTTTGATACTAGCAAGTTATCATTTAAGCATTTACTTCTTTCAAACAATCAAATACTAAGTCACCAAGTAGATTAATTTACAAATATTTAAAAGTATTTTCAAGCATCTTCTAAGTACCTACCATTTTATTGAATAGGATTCGCAAAAAATAAAGAGAAAGCACAGAGCTCTTCTAAAAGGAAATTGGAAACTGGGAGAGAAACTATACTCTTTGAATCAAATGGCAAAAATAGATATAGCCTGTGTGTATAGTAATACAATGTATGTGTATAAATATGAAGTATATATGTATAATTTATACTATTCAATAGACAACTCATTGGCTTATACTGGCGGGAATTAAAATAAGTTATTACAAATAATTGAAGGAAAAAAAGTTATGCTTGAACTGGAGAAAGAGAAATAAAAAAGATAAATGGATAAAGTGAAAGATTTGTTTTCATTTAGCATGAGAGTTCTACATTAAGTTTAGGCCAGAGAAGAAATCAGAAGACTCCCAAAGCACTAGTAACAAAAGTGAAAATAGACAAATGGTATTACCTCAAATTGAAAAGCTTCTGCACAGACAGAAAGCAATCAATAGAATTAAGAGACAACCTAAAGAATGGTGGACAGTGTTAACAAACCATGCACCTAAGGGGTTAAATATAAAATATATAAGAAACTCAAACAACTCAATAGCAAGGAATCAAATAGCCTAATTTAAAAATGGGCCAATGACCTGAATAGACATTTCTCAAGAGAAAACATATAAATGGCCAACATGTACATGAAAAAATTACTCAACATCACCAACCATGTGAGAATTGCAAATTGAAACCACAATGAGATTACCACCTCATCCTTATTAGAATGGCCACTACCAAAGAGATGAAGAGTAAGTGCTGGCCAGAATGTGGAAAAAAATGAATTCTTGCACATTGTTGGTGGGAATGTATAAGAATACAGCCATTAGAGAAAATAGTATGGAGATTCCTCAAAAATCCAAAAACAGAGCTACCATGTGATCCAGCAATTCCACTACCAGTTATATTCAAAGAAAATGAAATCACTATGTCAAAGAGATATCTGCACTCTCATGTTTATTGTAACATTATTCACAATAGCCAAGGTACGTAATCAACCTAGGTGTCCATCAGCAGATGATGGATAAAGAAAATGTGGTATACACATACAGTAAAGTATTATTCAGCCTTAAAAACAAAGGAAATCTTGTTATGTATGATAACATGAATAAAGCTGAAGGAGATTGTGCTAAGTGAAACAAGACAGGCACAGTGAGTTAAATACTGCATGATCTCATTCATATGTGGAATCTAAAAAAGTTGAACTCATACAAGTAGAAAGTAAAATGGTGGTCACCAGGGGCAGGGGGTGGGATCAAGTTGGCGAGATGTTGGTCAAAGAATATAAAATTTTAGTGAGGGAGAAGAGGGATAAGTTTTAAAATTTTCTTGTACAACATTGTTTCTATAGTTAATAATCATATGTTGTATTTTTTGAAATGCAGAGTAGATTTTGTGATCTCACCACAAAAAATGATATATCAGTTAATTCACATGTCTATTAGCTCAACTTAGCCATTCCACAATGTATACATATTTTAAAACATCATGTTATACATGATAAATACAAGCAATTTTTATTTGACAATTAAATAAATAAATACAATGTCGAAGGGTGATTTCCAGGATCTGAGGGGAGGGGTAAGAGGGCAGTTCCTACTTAATGGTTATATTGCTTCAGCCATGCAAGATAACAAATTTATAGAAATCTGCTGTACAACAATTTGCATATAGTTAATAGTATTTTACTACATTCATACAATTTGTTAAGAAGGTGGATTTCACATTATAATTTCTTTATGATAATAAAAAAATGGTAACACATGAGGGGAAAAGGAACTCAGTAGAGAATAAGAAACACGTGGCATCAGAAGCACAGGAGAGATGGTTTATGTTCTACAAAAAATGGAAAAGAGCATCTTAATCACAGCTGGAAGAAAATGCAGTACACTGAGATTCTGAGCTATAGTTAAAATGTACATATTGAGACTCATTTTCACAGCATTACAAGCAGAGTTAACATGTAACCCCTGCACTAAATATACAAAGAAATTATACATAAATGAAATTGTTGCTAGAACTTATGCCTTCATGCCTCTAGGTTTTAAATTTAGTATGCTGTGCCATTGATCTGAATTGCTTAATTAAAAATAACTGACCACTTTAAAAACTCTATTTTCCCACAGATCTAGTTTTTATGTTCAAATTCATTACCTACAACTTTTTTTAGCTTCAACATTTGTTGAAATTTATTTTTTGTTTCTAATCTAAAGTCATGCAATATGAAACAAAAAACACTTATTATCTTTTAACGTGTATTAACACTTCTATGCTACTCATTACTATAACCATACATAAAACTTGCTGTTAACAAAGTTTAAGACATTGGCTGGGCGCAGTGGTTCACACCTATAGTCCTAGCACTTTGTGAGGCCGAGGCGGGCAGGTAGTTTGAGCCCAGGATTTGGAGACCAGCCTTGGCAACATGGCAAAACCCTGTCTCTACAAAAATTAGACTGGCAAGGTAACTATGCCTGTAGTCCCACCTACTCAGGAGGCTGAGGTGGGAGACTGGCTTGAGCCTGGGAGGCGGAGGTTGCAGTGAGCTGAGATCATGCCACTGCCACTTCACCGCAGCCTCAGTGACAGAGGCCGATCTCGTCTCTCAAAAAAAAAAACAAACAAAAAAAAAAAACCAGACATTGTTTATAACATGAGTATATGTTTATACTTCTATAAATGTAAAATTTACTTTCAGAAGTATTATTTTACTTTGAATTGTATTCAACCTAAATCTAAGTAGTCAAAATGATTAAAAACAGAGACATCAGAGTTCTGTTTGCAGTACAGGAAAGGAAGCTCCTAACAGCCAAAAATTCATAGATAATGGATAAACTGAAATTTTAAAAATACAAAGTAAAGAAATAATATTTTTAAAACTACTTAGAAGAAAAGGTAAGCAGATTTTTGAGGGAAGTCAAATCTTGTCAAAACATACCACAGAGAAGTTAAAATTTGAAGAAAGGGAGCAGCAGTTCTATACTTTGTGCTTTTGCTGGAGAACAGTACTCAGCAGCGGCATGACATAGAATAGTTAATAACTTCAACAAAAAACTCACTATCTTCATGGCCTAGGAAACTAGGGAAATAAACTCATTGCAGGTGGGGCAGAGCTTACAGTTTGAGCCTACCCAAATAAATTGCCTGCTAAAACAAGCACAGCTTTAATCTTTGAAAGGATATAATAAAATGTAGTTTCAAAAACACAACATTCAAAAATTTTAAGATAAAATTCCAATTTACTCAACATGTAAAGAATCAGAAAACTATGACTAATTCTCAATATTAAAGATAATTAACAGAGAAGAACCCTGAAATAATGTATATTTAGATGTCAATACATGAGACTTTACAACCTTCAATAATGACAAAGAAAATACACTCATATTGAATGAAAAGTTAGAGAAACTCACCAGAAAACTACAATATTTTGTAAAATAAAAATTTTAACTGAAAAATAATACATAAAATTTGTAAAATTGGATGAGCTTAACAGTAGAATGGATATGATAGAGGAAAACAGCCAATAAACTTTAAGGTCAATAGGATCCCTTTAATATTTAATACAGAGAAATAAGGTTGAAAAAAATATACAGTCTTAGAGCTCTGTGATGAAATATCAAAACGTCTAACATATAGTTATGGAGTCTCAGAATAGGTGAAGGACATAATAGATCAAGACAAATATTTAAGAAAAAGTGAATGAAAATTTCCCAAACTTAAGGAAAGCCATAAATGTGTAATGCAGGAAGCTCAGTGAACTCCAAAGAGGATAAATATGAATAAACCACTCCTTGGCACTTCATAGTCAAACTGTTGACAACCAACTATAAAGAAAAAATCTTTAAAGCAGGGGAAAATACTAAAAATAAAACTATGGAACAAAAGACAATGTAAAAAATTCTTAAACTTTTCAGAAAATAAATTTTTAAAAAACTGTCGATGTATAATTCTTATCCAGTAAAATATTCATCAAAAATCAATGGTGTCATAATTTTACTTACATAAAGTATCTAAAGCAATTAAACTCATAGAAACAGCGAGTAGAATGGTTGTTGTCAGGGATCAGTGGGGAGACTGGAACAGACAGGGACTTGCTGTTCAATGCTTATAATTTTTCATTTATACAGAATTAGTAAGTTTTAGAGATATGTTATGCAACATTGTGCTTATAATTAACAATGGCACATAATCATTTGTTAGGAGGTTAGATCTCATTGTAAATGTTCTTACCACAATAAAGAAATTTAAAGTACATGTGCAGGGCTAGGGAAGAAGGGACCTTTGGGGGTGATGGTTATAGGATGGAGGGTTTCTTTTTGGGGTGATGAAAATATTGATTGTGGATGCACAACCTTGTGAATATGTAAAAAGCTACTAAATTGTACACTTTAAAAGGTTAAATTGAGTGTTATGTAAATTATATCCCAATATAAATGTTTTCTGAAAACTGAATGGTGACATTAAACCCATCCACGTTCAGATAAAACAAAACCAAGAAAATATGTCACCAGCATATATGCATAAATTACAACCTTCGTGGACTGAAAAATAATGGGACAGAATCAACATCAAAGTAAATATAGAAAGATTGTTTATGTTCTCTTAACTTATTTAAACATATATATTCAATGCAAAATATATTATACACTGATGTCATACAGATGACAAACATAGCATAAAGGGGCATAGTAGATGGAATAGATGGATATAAATAGTGCAAGACTTCCAGTTTTGTTCAAGAATAGAATATTAACTGTAACTACTAAGTGTAATTTCAGGATGTATATGTAGTTTCTAGACCCACCAGTAGTAAAAGAGGACATAAACAGGTGATACAGACAAGAAACTGGGAAATACTGGGTAGAAGAGGGTGGTTCCCCGGCAAAGGCCCCACCCTCAATCCTGGAAACCCATGGCCCTAAATGAGAACAGATACTCAGTTTTCACTCCCAAAAGTTGCCTTTTGGCCCACCAGACCCCTATATCCTGTACTCATATAAAACCCAAACCCCAGGCTGCAAGGGAAGACGAACAGAAGAGCAGAAGAGCAGCAGAATAGCACAGCAGAGAAGGAGGATCTGAACATTGAAAGGAGTTCTGCTGGGGATGGTCGGAGAGGAGATCAGCCGCTGGATGGCCAGACTCCAAGGGGAAGATCATCTTCCCACTCTATTCCCTTTCCAGTTCCCCATCCATCCTACTGAGAGGCACCTCCACCACTCAATAAAACTCCTACATTCACCACCTGTGATGGTTAATACTGTTAACTTGATTGGATTAAAGTCTGCAAAGTATTGTTCCTGGGTGTCTTTGTGAGGGTGTTGCCAAAGGGTGGGAAAGGCAGGCCCACCTTAATCTCGTGGGCACAATCGAATCAGCTGCCAGCGAATATAAAGTGGGCAGAAACATGTGAAAAGGCAAAACTAGCCTAGCCCCCCAGCCTACATCTTTCTCTTGTGCTGGATGCTTGCTGCCCTCAAATATCAGATTCCAAGTTCTTCAGTTTTGAGACTCAGACTGGGCTTCCTTGCTCCTCAAGCTTGTAGACAGCCTATTGTGGGTCCTTGTTATCTTGTAAGTTAATAGTTAATAAACTCCTTTATATATCTATCCTATTAGCTCTGTCCCTTTATGGAACCCTGACTAATACAGATTTCAGTATCAGGAGTGGTTCTAGAGGAACAGAATATTAAGGATAGAGTTAATTCATTGGTTTTGGAGTTTCTGGAGTTGGTTGCTTAATATGATTAGGCCTAAAAATGCTAAGAAGTTTACTTCCAATAGTATGGAGAACACTGATAGTCCTTGGCCTGAACTGTTTAGAGAGCTATGCAAAATAAATGCGTTTGCCACTCTTGATTCACCACTCGTGAGAGGCAAGGAGTTTCATGACACTATACATAATACCTCTGACCATATGTGGAGAAACAAGGAACATAATGAAACTGGTTGGTTGCTCCTAAGTACAGTGGACAAATTGATGAAAGAAAATGGTGAACTCAGGGATTCTGTCTCTTGGCTTCAGAAGCAGATACTGAGCCTCAAATCTGCTAAGATTTCCCTGAGTGAGAGTTTTATCTCCTGTAGAGAAACAGCTGAAATTGTGGGAAAAGCAGACACAAGCTTTTATCATTCGAGTGGCTGATCTACAATGAAAGGTGCATGCACAGCCTTGCCAGGTGTCTACTGTTAAAGTGAGGGCATTGATTTGAAAAGAATGGGACCCTGCAACTTGGAATGGGGATGTGTAGGAGGACACTGGTGAAGCTGGGGACATTGAGTTTGTAAACTCTGATGAACCTTTTTTGCCAGAAGAAACAGCTTTCCCATCCGCAGTAGTGACAACATCCCCTCCCTGACCCATGTTGCCATCAGCCTTTTCACCTATGTCTGAGTAGATAAACCCTATGCTGCCTGAGGCAAAATGATGGCCTCCCCTGAGGCAGTTGCTGGGCAAAATAATGTTGATTCTCCTCAGGAGCCACCCCCAACACCCCTGTTTGCTTCTAGACCTATAACTACACTAAAGTCCCAGTGGGCCCCTAGAAGTGATGTTGAGTGTTACCCATGAAGAGGTGCATTACATTTAAAAAGAACTGCTTGAGTTCTCTAATTTATACAAAGAGAATTTTGGAGGAAAGGTGTGGGAATGGATATTAAAGGTATGAGATAATGGTTGCAACGCAGGGAGTTGAAAAAAAAAAAGGTACTAATAGTTTATTTGCTTGGTTAGCTGAAATATGGATTAAAAGATGGCCCAGTATAAGCGAGAAGGAAATGCCTGATCTCCCTTTGCTTAATGTAGAGGAAGGGATCTAAAGGCTTAGGGAGACTGGGATGGTGCAGTGGGTTAGTCACTTTAGACCTACTCGTCCCAGCTGGCAGGGTCCAGAAGATATACCATTGACCAATGCCTTGTCAAATAGATTTGTGAGGGTAGAGCCTGCATCTTTGAAGAACCCTGTGATTGCTCTTCTCTGTGTGTCAGATCTAACAGTAGGGACCACAGTCACTCAACTACAAAATTTAAATACAGTGGGAATAATTGGATCCTGAGGTGTCAGGGGCCAAGTGGCAGCACTCAACTGTCAAGGTGGGCATAGCTACCATAGTGGACAGCAGAGGCAAAGGAACAATCAGAATAATCTTACTCATGTAATGCTCTGACATTGGCTAATTAATCATGGTGCTCCTAGAAGTATAATTGATAGGAAGCTACTGCTTTCCCACATAATTTATGTAAGGAGAACATTTCTAGGTCAAATGGACCAAAGACTAATTTGAATGATAAAAAGAGACTCACAGCCCCTCAATCAATTTCCAGACTCAAACCAGTTTACAGAACCAGAACTACTTGAATGAAGGGGAGGCCAGGAGCTCTTGAGGAATGACCCCACTACATTACCAACAATCTATCCAGTGAATCTTTCTCCCATTCTTCACCAAGGAGACGTCCAGCCTTTTACCAGGGTGACTGTGCATTGGGGAAAGAGAAATGATCAGAGATTTCAGGGACTACAGGACACTGGCTCTGAGCTGATGTTGATTTCAGGGGACTCAAAACATCATTGTGGTCCTCCAGTTAAAGTAGGGGCTTATGGAGGTCAAGTAATTGATTAAGTTTTAGCTCAGGTCTGACTTATAGTAGGTCCACTGGGTCCCGGACTCATACTGTGGTCATTTCCCCAGTGTGAGAATGCATAATTGGCATAGACAAACTTAGCAGCTGGCAGAACAACCACATTGGCTACCTGACTGGTCAGGTGAGGGCTATTACTGTGGGAAAGGCCATTAGAGCTGTCTCTACCTAGAAAAATCATAAATCAAAATCTCTCAGCATTTGCTTGTCTGTAAAGTATTTTATTTCTCCTTCACTTATGAAGCTTAGTTTGGCTGGATATGAAATTCTGGGTTGAAAATTCTTTTCTTTAAGAATGTTGAATATTGGCCCCCACTCTCTTCTGCTTGTAGAGTTTCTGCCGAGAGATCCACTGTTAGTCCGAAGGGCTTCCCTTTGTGGGTAACCCGACCTTTCTGTCTGGCTGCCCTTAACATTTTTTCCTTCATCTACAACTATCTGATCTTTGACAAACCTGAGAAACACAAGCAATGGGGAAAGGATTCCCTATTTAATAAATGGTGCTGGGAAAACTGGCTAGCCATATGTGGAAAGCTGAAACTGGATCCCTTCCTTACACCTTATACAAAAATTAATTCAAGATGGATTAAAGACTTAAACATTAGACCTAAAATCATAAAAACCCTAGAAGAAAACCTAGGCATTACCATTCAGGACATATGCATGGGCAAGGACTTCATGTCTAAAACACCAAAAGCAATGGCAACAAAAACCAAAATTGACAAATGGGATCTAATTAAACTAAAGAGCTTCTGCACAGCAAAAGAAACTACCATCAGAGTGAACAGGCAACCTACAAAACGGGAGAAAATTTTCGCAACCTACTCATCTGACAAAGGCCTAATATCCAGAATCTACAATGAACTCAAACAAATTTACAAGAAAAAAACAAACAACCCCATCAAAAGGTGGGCGAAGGACATGAACAGACACTTCTCAAAAGAAGACATTCATGCAGCCAAAAACACATGAAAAAATGCTCACCATCACTGGCCATCAGAGAAATGCAAATCAAAACCACAATGAGATACCATCTCACACCACTCAGAATGGCAATCATTAAAAAGTCAGGAAACAACCGGTGCTGGAGAGGATGTGGAGAAATAGGAACACTTTTACACTGTTGGTGGGACTGTAAACTAGTTCCACCATTGTGGAAGTCAGTGTGGCGATTCCTCAGGGATCTAGAACTAGAAATACCATTTGACCCAGCCATCCCATTACTGGGTATATACCCAAAGGACTGTAAACCATGCTGCTATAAAGACACATGAACACATATGTTTATTGCGGCATTATTCACAATAGCAAAGACTTGGAACCAACCCAAATGTCCAACAATGATAGACTGGATTAAGAAAATGTGGCACATATACACCATGGAATACTATGCAGCCATAAAAAATGATGAGTTCATGTCCTTTGTAGGGACATGGATGAAATTGGAAATCATCATTCTTAGTAAACTATCATAAGGACAAAAAACCAAACACCGCATATTCTCACTCATAAGTGGGAATTGAACAATGAGAACACATGGACACAGGAAGGTGAACATCACATTCTGGGGACTGTTGTGGGGTGGGGGGAGGGGGGAGGGATAGTTTTAGGAGATATACCTAATGCTAAATGATGAGTTAATGGGTGCAGCACACCAGCATGGCACATGTATACATATGTAACTAAGCTGCACATTGTGCACATGTACCCTAAAACTTAAAGTATAATAATAATAAAATAAAATAAAAAATAAAAAAATACAAAAGAAGAAAAATCATAAATCAAAAACAATAACAACAGCAACAACAACAACAACATTTCATCCTTGGAGGGATTGCGGATATTAGTACCACCATCTAGGACTTGAAAGATTGAGGCATAGTGATTCTCACCGCATCCATGTTCAACTGTCCCATTTGGCCTGTGCAGAAGACAGAGAGATCTTGGAGAATGACAGTGGATTATTGTTAGCATAACCAAGTGGTGACTACAATTGCACCTGCTATACTAGATGTGGTTTCATTCCTTGAGCAAATTAACACATCTCCTGGTACCTGGTATGTGGCCATTGACTTGACAAATGTCCTTTTTTCCATTCCTGTCTGTAAGGCCCACTAGAAGCAATTGGCCTTCAGCTGGCAAGGCCAGCAATATACCCTTATTTTTCTACTTCAGGAGTGTATGAGCTCTCCAGCTTTGTGTCATAATCTTATTTGGAGAGAACTTGATCACTTTTCACTTCTGCAAGATATCACACTGCTCCATTACATTGATTACATTATGCTGATCGGATCCAGTGAACAAGAAGTAGAAAACACACTGGACTTATCAGTGAGAAATTTGCATTCCAGAGGATGGGAAATAAATCTGACTAAAATTCAGGAAGCTTCTACCTCAGTAAAATTTCTAGGGGTCCAGTGGGGTGGGGCCAGTTGCAATATTCCCTCTAAGATGAAGGATAAGTTGCTGCATTTGGGTCCTCTTTTAACCAAGAAAGAGGCACTATGCTTAGTGGACCTATTTGGATTTTGGAGGCAACACATTCCTCATTTGGGTGTGTTACTCCAGCCCATTTATCAAATGACCTGAAAGGCTGCTGGTTTTGAGTGGGGTCCAGAACAGGAGAAGGCTCTGCAACAGTTCCAGGATGCTGTGCCAGCTGCTCAGGCCATAGGACCCAGCAGATCCAACAGTGCTTGAGGTGTCAGTGGTAGATAGGGATGCTGTATGGAGCCTTTGGCAGGCCCCCATAGGTGAATCACAGTGGAAGTCTCTAGGATTTTTGGAGCAAGGCCCTGCCATCTTCTGCAGATAACTACTCTCCTTTTGAGAAATGGCTCTTGGCCTGTTACTGGGCTTTGGTGGAAACTGAACGTTTGACTATGGGTCATCAAGTCAACATGCAAACTGAACGGCCTATCATAAACCGGGTGCTTTCTGACCCATCTAGACATAAAGTCAGTCATGCACAGCAGCATTCTATCATCAAATGAAAGTGGTATATACATGATCAGGCTCGAGCAGGTCCTGAAGGCATAGTAAGTTAAATGTGGAAGTGGCTCAAATGCCCATGATCTCCACTCCTGCAACCATGTCTTTTCTCCCCCAGCCTCCAAAGATAACCTCATGGGGAGTTTCCAATGATCAGTTGACAGAGGAAGGGAAGACTAGGACCTGGTTAACAGATGGTTCTGCACGATTGCAGGCACCACCCAAAAGTGGACAGCTGAAGCACTACAGCCCCTTTCTAGGACATCCCTGAAGGACAGTGGTGAAGGGAAATCTTCCTAGTGGGCAGAACTTTGAGCAGTGCACCTGATTGTGCACTTTGCATGGAAGGAGAAGTGGCCAGATCTGCAATTATATACTGATTAATGGGCTTTAGCCAATCGTTTGGCTGGATGGTCAGGGACTTGGAAAAGCATGTTTGGAAAAGTGGTAACAAAGAAATTTAGGGTAGAGGTATGTGGAGGGACCTCTCTGAGTAGTCAAAAACTATGAAGATATTTGTATCCCATATGACTGCTCATCAACGGGTGACCTCAGCAAAGGAAGATTTTAATAATCCAGTGGCAAAAATACTATGGTGGATTTCAAAGTTCAGTACCTGAAGCTTGTAGTCATTTATAATCCTTGTAGCAGGAAGTTTGTGAGGTGCATTCATGTGACTGCTGTAAGAATCATGGTACCAGAGAATACTAAAAACGCATCTACACAAATAAAATAGAAAATCTAGAAGAAATGGATAAGTTCCCGGACACATACACCCTCCCAAGACTAAACCAGGAAGAAGTTGAATCCCTGAATAGATCAACAACAAGTTCTGATTGAGGCAGCAATAATAGCCTAGGAACCAAAAGAAGCCCAGAACCAGATAGATTCACAGCCAAATTTAACCAGAGGTACAGAGAGGAGCTGGGGCCATTCCTTCTGAAACCATTCCAAACAGTTGAAAAGAACGGACTCCTCCCTAACTCATTTAATGAGGCCAGCATTATCCTGATAGCAAAACCTGACAGAGACACAACAAGAGAAGGAAACTACAGGCCAATATCCCTGATGAACACTGATGCAAAAATCCTCGATAAAATACTGGCAAACTGAATCCAAAAGCACATCAAAAATCTTACCCACCATGATGAAGCCGGCTTCATCCCTGGGATGCAAGGCTGGTTCAACATACGCAAAGCAATAAATGCAATCCATCACTTAAACAGAACCAAAGACAAAAACCACCTGATCATCTCAATAGATGCAGAACAGGCCTTTGATAAAATGCAGTATTCCTTTGTGTTAAAAACTCTCAATGAACTAGGTACTTATGGAACATATCTCAAAATAATAAGAGTTATTTATGAAAAACCCACAGCCAATATCATACTGAATGGGCAAACGCTGGAAGCATTTCCTTTGAAAACTGGCACAAAACAGGGATGCCCTCTCTCACCACTCCTATTCAACACAGTATTGGAATTTCTGGCCAGGGCAATCAAGCAAGAGAAGGAATATAGGGTATTCAAATAGGAAGAGAGGAAGTCAAATTGTCTTTGTTTGCAGATGACATAATTTTATATTTAGAAAACCCCATCATCTCAGCCCAAAAACTCCTTAAACTGATAAGCAACTTCAACAGAATTTCAGGATACAAAATCGATATGCAAAAATCACAACCATTCCTATACACCAACAATAGACAAGCAGAGAGCCAAATCATGAATGAATTCCCATTTACAATTGCTACAAAGGGAATAAAATACCTAAGAATACAGCTAAAAAGGGATGTGAAGGAGAACCACAAACCACTGCTCAAGGAAATAAGAGAGAACACAAACAAATGGACAAACACCTTATCCTCATTGATAGGAAGAATCAGTATCATGAAAATGGCCATAGTATCAAAAATAATTTATAGACTCAATGCTATTCCCATTAAAATGTTATTGACATTTTCACAGAATTAGAAGAAGCAATTATTTTAAATTTCACATGGAATCAAAGAAGATGCTGTAGAACCAAGACAATTCTAAGCAAAAAGAACAAAGCTGGAGGCATCATGCTACCTGACTTCAAACTGTACTACATGGCTATAGTAACTGAAACTGTTTGGTACTGGTACCTAAACAGATATATATGCCAATGGAACAGAAGAACAGAGACCTCAGAAATAACACCACACATCTACAACCATCTGATCTTAGACAAACTGAACAAAACAAGCAATGAGGAAAGGGTTCCCTATTTAATAAATTGTGCTGGGCAAACTGGCTAGCAATATGCAGAAAACTGAAATTGGACCCCTTCCTTACACCTGATACAAAAATTAGCTCAAGATATATTAAACACTTCAATGTAAAACCCAAAACGATGAAAACTGTAAAAGAAAACCTAGCCAATACCATTCAGGACATAGGCATAGGCAAAGACTTCATGACGAAAATCCCAAAAGCAATTGCAACAAAAGCCAAAATTGACAAATGGGATCTAATTAAACTAAAGAGCTTCTGCACAGCAGTAAAAACTATCATCAGAGTGAAGAGGCAACCTACAGAATGGGAGAAAATGTTTGCAATCTACCCATCTGACAAAGGTGTAATACCCAGAATCTACAGGGAACTTAAACAAATTTACAAGAAAAAGCAACCCCATCAAAAGTGGGCAAAGAATATGAACAGACACTTCTCAAAAGAAGACATTTATGTGACCAACAGACATGTGAAAAAAAGCTCAACATCACTGATCATTAGAGAAATGCAAATCAAAACAACAAGGAAATATCATCTCATGCCAGCCAGAATGGCTATTATTAAAAAAGTCAGGAAACAGTAGATGTTGGGAAGGCTTTCGAGAAATAGGAATGCTTTTACACTGTTGGTAGGAATGTAAATTAGTTCAACCATTGTGGAAGACAGTGTGGGGATTCCTCAAGGATCTAGAACCACAAATACCAGTTGATCCAGCAATCCCATTATGGTTCTATACCCAAATGAATATAAATCATTCTGCTATAAAGACACATACATAAATGTGTTTACTGCAACAGTATTTACAATAGCAAAGACATGGAACCAACCCAAATGTCCATCAATGATAGACTGGATAAAGAAAATGTGCTACATATACACCATGGAATACTATGCAGCCATAAAAAGGAATGAGATCATGTCCTTTGCGGGGACAAGGATGAAGCTGGAAGCCATCATCCTCAGCAAACTAACACAGTAATAGAAAAAACAAACACCACATGTTCTCACTCATAAGTAGGAGTTGAACAATGAGAACACATGAACACCGGGAGGGGAACAAAACACAACAGGGCCTGTCAGGGGATGGGGGCTAAAGGGAGTGACAGCATTAGGACAAATACCTAATGCAAGCGGGGTTTACAATCTAAATGATGGGTTGATAGGTGCAGCAAACCACCATGGCACATGTATACATATGTAACAAACCTGCATGTTCTGCCCATGTATTCTGGAACTTAAAGTAAAATTTTTTAAAAAATCATGCATTATGAGCAGAATAGAGTTAAGGACTGGAACTCAAAATTGGTTTAAAATATGCAAAGCAACTAATGTGATTCATGTTGTTAACAAAATAAAGTAGATTTAACCTTTAGAAAGTAATCATTGCAGATAAAGATATTAATGGAAAGATACAGCATTTAAAAAAATTAACACCCATTTATAATAAAAATTCTCAGCAAACTAATAATAAAAGCAACTTTTTCAATCAAATAAAAAGCATTTAACAAAAACCTAGAGGTAACATTGTATTTAATGGTGAAATATTGATTTTTTAGTTGTTATGTTTGAAAACAAGACAAGAATTTTTACTCAAATCATATGTATTTGATATTATACCGAAAGCCCCCCATCAAGCCCCAAAATATACAGGAAACATGAAGCTCTGAAAGGAAAAAGCAACTGCTTTTCTATTTACATATAGCTTATTTATTTAATATAGAAAATCCTTAGGAATCTACAGACAAGCAAGAACTAATAAATGAATCAAGAAGGTAATAGAAAAAGGATAATTTTGAAAATCAATCGTATTTTTAATATATTAGCAACAACGTTAGCAAATTTTTGAAATCCTTTTTACAATAACCTAAAATACATATAGAGAAATAAATTTAACAACAGCCATGAAAGTTTCTAGACTACAAACTCTGAAGTGTTTACAGGAAATAACATCATTCTCAGCAAACTATCGCAAGGACAAAAAACCAAACACCGCATGTTCTCACTCCTAGGTGGGAATTGAACAATAAGAACACATGGACACAGGAAGGGGAACATCACACACCAGAGCCTGTTGTGTGGTTGGGGGTTGTGGGGGGGATAGCATTAGGACATATACCTAAGGTTAAATGAGGAGTTAATGGGTGCAGCACACCAACATGGCACATGTATCCATATGTAACTAACCTGCACGTTGTGCACATGCGCCCTAAAACTTAAAGTACAATAAAAAAAAAGAACTACATAGATGGAGTATATGCCATGTTCATAAGCTGAAAGTCTCTTAATCGTTAGATTTTTATTCTACCCAAATCTGTGTGTACATTCAAATTATCCCATTGAACATTCCTGCAATTTTAAAAGAAATTAACAAATTGTTTATGAAATATTTATTTAAATGCAAAGGATCTAGAAGATCCAAAGATATTTTTTAAAATGAAACAGAAATTGGAAGATTTATTCCACCTGACTTTAAAACTTACAGCTACTACAGTAGCTATAAAACTATTGTAATCAAGAGAGTATGGTATTACCAAAAAATTGCAATATAGATTAATAAAACACAAGAGAGAGCCTATAAAAATCATTGTATAGAAAAAAATCATTCTATCAGCAACTTAATATCCATATTGTAACCAAGTGGCTTGGCCTTAAAATGTGTTTCAAAATTTTATTTCTTCTCTCTGGTCTTAGCCTTGTAACACATTTTGACTCTGTTTCCCTTCCTTCCCAGCAGGCACTCCCTTGCACTGTGCTCACTTATCTAAATATGCACCTGCTTACAAATTCCAGGGTCTAATTTTGAAGTAAACCAGGCAGGAAGACCCAGCTGTAGAATTCTCTGCATCTAGCAATTAACAAGGCAGTTAATCTACAACTTGGCCATTGTTGAGATGGCACCAGCCTACGCTTCAGGTGGACAGAAATTCAAGTTAGCTATCAGAACAAGACACGCAGCTCCTGCACCCTGCCTCACTCCCACATGCTTCCCATGCCAAGCTTTCCTTCTAAAATCTATCAATTTCCTTAAAATTTTGAAATTGTTTTTGAAGGCATGAGCCTGGCCATTCCCAACTGCCGGCATTTGAGTAAAAGTGCTCTCCTTTCACTGCACCTCTTTTATCATATTAATATTTTGGCTTTCAAAGAGTGAGCAGCTGGACCTGAGTTTAGTTTCAATATGGAAAACAATTCTACATTGAAATTAAGTTTGAAATAAATTATAATCTTAAATATAAAAGATGAAAGTTAATCACAGCAAACCAAATATATAAAATTTGATGTCCAACTGTTGGAAGTCCTTTATTTTTAAACTCAAGCCAAAAAAAAAAAAAAAAAAACACTTATCTTAATTGGTAACAAAGAGAATCACAGCAAATTTGAGTCAATACCCTACAGATGTACTCTGCTCTTATTGGAATTAAATGAAAGATTAACAAATTTAAAATTAGAAAAAATACATACATACATACATACATGAATTTTTTTAATTTGAAATTAACTTGTAATTGTTAAAATACTTAGATGAAAACAAAAATTCTACATGTCAAAATTTGTAGGATATAGCTACTGCAGTATTTGAAAGACATTTAAAATTTAGTCTTATGTTAGAAAATAAAAAAGAAAAAAATATGAATCCCTTATATTTATAGTTTAAGAACTTTAAAAAAGAAAAATAGGCTATACCCCAAAAATGTAGAGTAAAAAATATAATAACAATATAAGAGGAGGAGGCTTGGTGCAGTGGCTCATACCTGTAATCCCAGCATTTTGAGAGGCCAAGGTGGGCAGATCACTGAAGCCTGGGAGTTTGAGATCAGCCTGGGCAAGGTGGAGGAACCCTGTCTCTACTAAAAATACAAAAATTATTTGGGTGTAGTGGTACAGGCCTGTAGTCCCAGCTATTTGGGAGGCTGAGGTGGGAAGATCACTTGAACCTGGGAGACAGAGGTTGCAATGAGCAGAGATCGCAACTGTGTACTTCAGCCTGGGTGACAGAGACCATGTCTCATATATATATATATATATATATATATATATATATATATATACATGAAGATAAGAAGAAGATAATCTATATGGTTTGGCTGTGTACCCCACCCAAATCTCATCTTGAATTATAGCTCCCATAATTCCCACATGTTGTGGGAGGGACCAGGGGGAGATAATTGAATCAGGGGTTTTCCCCATACTGCTCTCATGGTAGTGATAATTCTAACAAGATCTGATGGTTTAAAAGGGGAAACCCCTTTCACTTGGCTCTCTTCTCTCTTGTCTGCCACCATGTAAGACATGCCTTTCACCTTCCGTCATGATTGTGAGGCCTCCCCAGCCATGTGGAATGGTGAGTCCGTTAAAACTCTTTTTCTTTATGAATTACTCAGTCTCGGGTACATGTTTATCAGCAATGTGAAATCAGACTAATGCAGTATATTGGTACCGGTAGATTGGGGCACTGCTGTAACCATACCCCAAAATGGGGAAGAGACTCTGGAACTCAGTAACAGGCAGAGGTTGGAACAGTTTGGAGGGCTTAGAAGAAGGCAGAAAAATGTGCAAAAGTTTGGAACTTCCTAGAGACTTGTTGAATGGCTTTGACCAAAATGCTCATAATTATATGGACAATGAAATCCAGACAGGTAGTCTCAGATGGATATGAAGAACTTTTTGGGAAATGGAGTAAAGGTGGCTCTCGCTATGTTTTAGCAAAGAGACTGGTAGCATTTTACCCTACCCTAGAGAATTGTGGAACTTTTGAACTTAAGAAGATGATGTACAGTATCTGGTGGAAGAAATTTCTAAGCAGCAAAGCATTCAAGAGTTGACTTAGGTGCTTTTAAAAGCATCCAATTTTAAAAGGAAAACAAAGCATAAAAGTTCAGAAACTTTGCCGCCTGATGATGAGATAGTAAAGAAAAACCCATTTTCTAAGGAGAAATTTGGGCCAGCTGCAGAAATTTGCATAAATAATGAGGCAAATGTTAATCATGAAAACAATGGTGAAAATGTCTCCAGGGCATGTCAGAGATCTTTGCAGCCACCCCTCCCATCACAGGCCAAGAGGGCTAGGAGGAAAAAATGATTTCATGGCCCAGGTCCAGGGCCCCTCTACTGTGTGCAGCCTAAGGACTTGGTGCTCTGTCTCCCTGCCACTCTAGCCACGGTTAAAAGGGGCCAAGGTGCAACTCAGGCTGTTGCTTTGGAGGGTGCAGGCACAAGCCTTGGCAGCTTCTTAAGTCATGTTGAGTCTGTGGGTGCACAGAAGTCAAGAATTGAGGTTTGGGAACCTCCATCTAGATTTCAGAGGATGTATGGAAATGCCTCGATGTCCAGGCAAAAGTTTGCTGCAGGGGAAGGCCCTCATAGCGAACCTCTGGTAGGGCAGTGCAGAAGGGAAATGTGGGGTTGAAGCCCACAGTTCCCACTGGGGCGCTACCTAGTGGAGCTATAAGAGGGTGACAGTCCTCCAGACCCCAGAATGGTAGATCCATCAGCAATTTGTACCATGCCCAGAAAAGCCACAGACCCTCAAAGCCAGCCCACGAAAACAGCCAGGAGGGAGGCTGTACCCTGCAAAGCCACAGGATTGGAGCTGCCCAACACCATGGAAACCCACTTCTTGCACTGGCATGACCTGGATGTGAGACATGGAGTCAAAGGAGATCATTTTGGAGCTTTAAGATTTGACTGCCCCACTGCATTTCAGACTTCCACAGGGCCTTCAGAATTTTTACTTCAGCCCATTTCTCCCATTAGGAATGGGTATATTTATCCAATGCCTGTACACCATAGTATCTAGGAATTAACTAACTTGCTTTTTGATTTTACAGGCTCACAGGCATAAGGGATTTGCTTTGTCTGTGATGAGACTTTGGACTGTGGACTTTTGAGTTAATGCTGAAATGAGTTAACATTTGGGGGACTGTTGGGAAGGCATGATTGATTTTGAAATGTGAGGACATTAGATTTGGGAGGGCCCAGGGGCAGAATGATGTGGTTTGGCTGTGTCCCCACCCAAATTTCATTTTGAATTGTACCTCGGATAATTCTCACATGTTGTGGGAGGGACCCGGTGTGAGGTATTGAATCATGGGGGTGGTTCCCCCATACTGTTCTCATGGTAGTGAATAAGTCTCATGAGATCTGATGGCTTTGTAAGGGATAACCCCTTTCGCTTGGCTCTCTTCTCTCTTGTCTGCCACCATGCAAGACATGCCTTTTGCCTTCCACCATGATTGTGAGGCTTCTCCAGCCACATGTAACTGTGAGTTCATTAAACCTCTTATTCTTTATAAATTACCCTGTCTCAGTTTTGTCTTCATCAGCAGCATGAGAATGCACCAATACAATATTCATGGGAATATTTGTAGAATCACTATTTTAGCAGCATTTTTAGTACTACAAAAAAAAAAAAAAACTTTGCCTATGGGAGGTAGAATGGATAAGTAAAATGAACTATATTCCTTCCAGGGAACATTTTTGAGCAATGAAAATATCCAAGAATGATTATGTGTATCAAGAGGCATGAGTTTCACAGTTAAGGCTGAATTAAAACAAAAAAATTCAGGAAAGATGTATATACAAAATTAACCATTTTATATAAAACAGAAAAATGTGAAAACTAGATAATATGTGATTTGACAGTATACCATTATGTAATTCAGCAACTTACAAAAAGCAAGCTAGTTATGAAAATAAAAATTCAATTCATGGTTAACTCAGGTGGAAAAAGAAAGAAATTCAATATTTTACAAGATGGAGAGTACATACAACCCATACCATTATTTATCCCTTTAAATTATTCTTTAAACAGTGGGCATAATAGGTTTCATAAAACTCAATAAAACTATTTATTGTAAAGCTACTGGATTGTATTGGAATAGCCTTATCTTTTCTCTACAAAATAGTTTTTATATCATTTCTAATTATATAAAAATTACAAACTGATTGTAAAATAATTGTAACTATGTGAAAGTATAAAAAGAAAGTAAATGCAAATGAAATCTCAACATCCAGAGAAAATAGCTATAAGGATTGTGGGGATTGTACTTCAGTGTCTGTCTACACGAACATGTGCACGTTCCTTGTTACAATGAGATAATCCTTTCAATTACGCTTTGCCTGGTGAACACTTGCTGAGGGCCAGGCACTTGGAAATGCAGCTTCAGTTCCTGCACCTCTTTCATTTAACTTGTCCCTGAGGAAGTCTCTTAGTTTTAACATCTGTAATATTGAATAAATACTTATTTAATGCATATCTGTTTTGAAACACCCACAAGTCTTCTGTTTAAAGGAACAAAAACAGATTTACATATTGGCCTGAAGGTTTAAACATGGGTTCTCTGAAAACACAAGCAGCAGGAAATTGTAATACTGGGGACATTGCATGAAAAATGCCCTGCCCCTGGGAACATAAATTGAAATTCATGAACCATCAACAGGAGCTTATCTTCATTGCCCTATGGGAGGAAAACAAAGGAAAAGTAATGGAAGGGTAATGAACAAAGCAGAAGTTTAACAGTAGAAAAAAGATGCACTTTATTTTCCTTCCCTCTACTCAATTAAGGTTATATGTATGGGATGTGTGTGTCTGTGTGTGTGTCTGAGTAAGAGTAGGATCATTCTACATTTTTTTTCTTAAAATGAAAACAAATATTTAAACACCTATAATAATAATAACCCTTGGCAGGAGACAGCCAACTGTCCCCAGCGAAAACCTACCTTCAAGCCTAAAACAGGCTGAAGGCTGAAATACTGGACTGCTGATCCCAGATGAAACCCGTGACCCAGAGGGAGAACTGCCCCTTTTGCCTGCCCTTTCCTGACTGATTCTTTCTAAAAAATGTCCCCATGCACACTGGAGAAATGGGGTGGAACCACAGGAATTTGCACCTTCTGCAGTGGGGAGGAGCCTGGCTTCTTCGGCTGGTGCGTGGTAGTGTGGTGTTCAATCTGAGCCTGTTAGTAGGACTTCTTGTTTTACAGCTGAGAGTTTTCTTTTAGTAAATTCTGCTCTCCTCACCTTTCAATGAGTATGCATGCCCAATCTTTCCTGATTGTGTGACAAGGAGCTGGTTTTAGCTAAACTAAGGAGCAAAAACTACTGCATCAATAATAGTAATAACATTTGCATTTACACACTGCTTTATAGATTTTAAGCTACTTAAATTTTGCTTTCTCATTTAATCCACATATCAACCACCTAAGATGGCAGAGAATGTATTATTCATTCAAAGAATTAAAAATCTGAGGCAAAAAAAAAGTTGTTTTTTTTTATGACTTATTCAAGGTCACAAAGTTTCTTTATGTTAAAACAAGAACACCATTACATCAAGTTGGCTGATATGCATGCAGTTTATGGGTCGCTCCTACTGAGAAACATAGATATTTTCTTTAAATCAAATCTGCAGGGAAAGCAATATGTTATCTAATAAAATACATTTAAATGCAGGACCATTTTAAGTTTTACTGATGTACTTAAAACTGAAGTTATAAGCTGAATTGAAAAGGTATTTCATTTTAAATATTTTGTAAACAGCACATATAAACATATGTGTATGCCTTGCAAACACAGCTTTTGAATGATGACAAGACCTTTAGAGATGTCAATCTAATTACATTTAAAGGAGAAATAAAATTTTAGAGATTGTAAGTTATCTAAGTTCATGTCAATTTTCTAGGATATAGTTTAACCAACGTGTAATGCAATATAGATTATAAAATAAAATATATGTATGTATAATGAGTTATAAAATATATTAATTGATGAGTTATATCATAATAAGAGGCTTGATTTAAATTATATATATAATGACTATTTCATAGATAATTATTTTAATTGGTGAATTACCTAATGTGGTACATTTTCTCTAGCTTCATTAAAATGTGATCAACGAATAAAAATTATATATATTTAGGGTGTAAAACATGATGTTTTGATCTATGTATGCATTGTGAAATCATTACCACAGTCTAGCTAAATAACATATCCATCACCTCACATTTATTATTTTTTTGCAGTGAGAACATTTAAAATCTACCTTCCTGGCAATTTTCAAGGATACAATGTGCTATCATTAACTATAGTCACCATGATGTGCAATAGATCTGCATAACTTTTTGTCTACTTGAAACTTTGTAGATTTTGACCAACATGTACCCATTACCCACACCCACCACAACTAACATTCTATTCTCTCCTCTGAGTTTGAAGTTCTTAGATTCAGTATATAATTGAAACCACGATGTATTGTCTTTCTATGCCTGACTTATTTCACTTAACCTAATGTCCTCCAGCTTTATCCATGTTGTTACACATGGCAAGATTTTTGTCTTTTTTAAGGCTGAATAATATTCTTCTCTCTCTCTCTGTGTGTGTTTGTGTGTGTCTGTGTGTGTGACTTTTCTTTTTTTATTTTTTTTTAGACAGGTTCTCACTCTCTTGCCCAGGCTGAAGTGCACTGCTGCAAACATGGCTTACTGCAACCTTGATTTCCTGAACTGAAGCGATCCTCCTACCTCAGTACTCCTGAATGGCTAGGACCACAGGTGCATACCACCATGACTTTTTAATTTTTTAACTTTTGGAAGAGATGGCATCTCACTTTGTTGCCAAGGCTTGTCTCGAACTCCTGGGCTCAGGTCATCTTCTCACCTCAGTCTCCCAAAGTGCTGGATTACAAGAATGAGTCACCATGTCTGACTATATTTTCTTTGTTCATTCATCTGTAGATAGACACTAGGTGGATTCCATATCTTGGGTATTGTGAATAGTGCTGCAATAAACACGGAACTTTTATATGTAAACTGTTTTCGTTGTAGTATAACTTATATTCAGAAATGTGTTCATCAGGTAAGTGTAAACTTTATAAATTTTCTCAAATAGACTGCATCGAATAATAAAACCACGCTTAGAATAAAAGTCAGAACATTATCAGAACACCAGAAATTCCTTCCTGCTTCTTTAGTGAAGCAATCCCATTCTGAATTCTAACAATGCAGAAGAGTTTTACCTCTTTTTGAACATTATATATATATGAAATACACATAAGCACTTTTTGACTCTGGATATTTTTTTGCTCGTCCATGGGTTTATGAGATTTATCCATGCAGTTGCATGGAGTTACATGTAGTTGAAACATAATTATTTAAAACCATTTTATTGTTGATGAATATTTAGGGTGTTTCTAATTTTTGGCAATTATCAATAGTTCTGTAAAAATTTGTACAACTGGCTTGTGATGAATACAGGTACACATTTCTATTTTGTCTAACCCTAGGAATAAGATGGCTTGATCATTGCCCTTGTTTTAGGTCACCTTTAATAGATATTGACAAATGGATATCCACAGTACTATGTGACAGAATCCATTGATCTAGATCCTTGAAAAACGTGATATTTGGTATCACATTGAATCAATAAGCAAACTTGAAAAAGTGTCTTTTAAAAAATATTGAGTCTTCATAACCACAAGCCTGGCATATGCTTTCATTTTTTTGTCTTTGAAATTTTCTCGTGTTCCATAATTTTCACTGTAACTGATTTACACAGGTTTTATATGACTTTTTTAAGCCTTAAGTGTAATTGATATTATAAATAGCATAATTTATGAATTTACATTTCTATTTGTTTGTTGTTGAAATATAGTAAATACAACTGCTTTTATTATGTGAACTTTTTTGAGATAATTATAGATTCAACTGCATTTGTAAGAATGCAGACAGATTAATACATTCTTTACTCAGTTTCTCCCAAAGAAATCTCCTTGCAAAACTCTAATACAATATCACAACCAATATATTAGCATTTTTCAAGTAGAGGCATATCAAAGTTGCAGTACCACAACAATCCTTCATGTTGCCCTTTAATAGCCACGTGCACATCCCTTTCTATCTCCATCCCTTACTCTTAGCAGCAAATAATAATCTGTTCTACATTCGTATAATTTTGTCATTTTAAGAATGTCATATAAATAAAATAATAAAGAATGTAGTCTTTTGTTATTGGGTGTTTTATTTAGCTTAGTTTCCTGCAGTTGCATCCAAATCATTGCCTATATCAATAGTTTTTTTTTTCCTTTTTATTACTTGAATAGTATTACATAGTAGGGATATACCCCACAGTTTATTTAACTAGTAACCCATAGTTTGAATTATTTGAACCCATAGGAATTTGAATTATTTCAAGTTTGGCGATACTACAAAGAAAACTGCTAGGAACATTGATGTGCAGGATTGTTATACATCTAATTTTTTATTTCTCTGGGATAAATATTCAAGAGTCCAATTGGTAGGTCATACGGTATTTGTATGCTTAGTTGTACGAAACTAGTCAAACTATTTCACTAACTGGCTGTACCATTTTACATTCCCACCAGCAATGTAAGAGCGATCCAGGTTTCCCTGCATCATTGCCATCATTTGGTTTTGTCACTATTCTTATTTTAACTATTCTGATACATGCATAGTGATATCTCATTATGATTTTAATTTGCATTTCCCTAATGGCTAATGATGTTGAACATCTCTTCTTGAACTTATTCGCCATCTCTATATACTCTTTGGTGAAATTTTAGTTTATGTTTTGCCCATTTTTGAATTGCATTTATTTTCAAGTTCTGAGAGTTCTTTATATAATCAAGATACTAGTCATTTATTAAATTTGTGATTTACAAACATTACCAAGTAGTATTTAGCTTTTCTTTTTATCTTATAAACAGGGACTTTTCCACGGCACATATTTTCATCTTGTTTTTATTTTATTTGGAGTGATGGCAAATGGTATTATGATTTTAATTTTGTTTTCCACGTGTTCATATTTTAGTACATGGAAATGTGATTGATTCTTATATGTGATCTCATATCCTGTGAAGTTACTAGACTCCCTTATTAGTTGTAGGAGTGGTTTCATTTCTTTATTTCTTATTTTTGTAATTTTGGACATTGTTTACGTGGAAAATCATGTTATCTTCAAATAGGGAGAGTTTTATTTATTTATGTTTTAAATATTCAAATATCTTCTGTTTCTTTTTCGTTCCATATTGCAATGGCTAGAACTTCTGACATTATGCTGGAAAAAAGTGGTAAGACAATATTTCTAGACCATTTTCCTGATGGTAGAAGTTTTTGATGTACCTGAGAAAATTCCCCTCTCTCCCTGGTTTACTGAACATTTATAATTATAAATGGCTTGAATTTTGACAAATATTTTTATGCATCAATTAATAGTGTTATTATTTTTTAATTTAAGTGTGTTGACATGTTAGATTACATTAATTACCTTTGAATGCTGATAAGACTTCATATCTGGATTAAATCCCATTTGGTTTTAGTGTATAATTATTTTCATAAATAATTTAATTTTATTTAATATTTATTGAAGGTTTTTGTTTTGTTTTCATTAGAGTCTGTGGTTTTCTTTTCTTTTGTTTTTGGCACTTTCTGTGATACAGACTGTGTTTTTGTTTTGTATCAGGGTAATACTATCTTCATTAACTGAGTTAGGAAGTACTCTCTCTTGTTCTGTAAAATAATTGGTAAAATTGATGTTAATTCATCTTTAAATGTTAATAGACATCACTGAAATATTGTGTCTGGAATTTTTTGAGGAGCTTTTTAACTATTGAATTTTGATATCCAGTTTCTTAATGTTTATAGGAATATTCAGATAACAATTTCATTTTGGTTGAGTTTTGGTAATTAGTATTTTTCAAAGAATTGGGCCAAATTCTAAGCAGGAAAATTTATGAACACAAAGTTCTTAATATATATCCTTGTTTTATTTTTAATGGCTGCAGGATCCGTAGTGATATTTCCTGTATCATCCTTGAGGTTGGTGATAATGTCTTTTTTTCTTTATGTATTTGTCAGAATTGTTAGAGTTTTGTTAATTTCATTAATTTTCCATAGAATCAGTGTTTTTATTAATTATTTTTAATTTTTTTCTTTCTGCTTAATTAGCTTCTTTTATCTTTGTTATTTATTTTTTTCTTTTTCCTATCTCTGGGTTTATTTTACTCTTCTTCCAGTTTCTTAGAGACTTAAAAAACGGATTTGAGAGCTTTCCTTTTCCAATATAAGTATCTAGTGCTATACATTTCCCTTGTAGTACTGTTTTAGATGCAGCGTATCACTCTTTATATGTTGTATTTTCATTTTCACTTAGTTCTATTAATTTTTAAAATTTTCTTTGAGATTATTCAATGACACATGCATTATTTAGATATGTGTTGTTTAATTTCCAAAAGTTTGGAGATTTCTCCTTTGAATTCATTCTTGTCAGAATATATACTCTGTAATACAGCAATTCTTCTAAATATGTCAAGATTTGTTTTAAGGTACATGATATTGTTTATTGTTGTAAATGTTCCATGGATACTTGAAAAGAATATGATTCTATGTTGTTGGGTAGAGTAATTTATTGATTGATGGACCAATTAGTTTGTATTGGTGGATGGCGTTGAGTTCTATATTTTTGCTAATTTTCTCTTTAGGTGTTCTATCAGGTGTTGATAGGTAGGTGTTAAAGTCTCCAACTCTAATTTTGGATTTGTCTATTTCTCTTTTCAGTTCTGTCAATTTTACTTCAAGTATTTTGAGGCTCTGTTATTTTGTGTGTACACATTCAGGATTGTTATTTCTTCCTGGTGGATTGCTCCTTTTATCTTTATGTAATGATCCTCTTTATTGCTAGTAATTTTCTTTTATTTGAAGTGTTATGTAGTTACTCCTGCTTCTTTTCTTTGATTAATGTTTGCATGGTATATATTTTTTCCATTCTCTTACCATCAAAGTAACTAGTTCAGCGTATTTGAAGTGAGTTTCTTGTAGACAGATTATTGCTGAATATATTTGTTTATCTACTCTGACAATCTCTGTCTGTAAATTGATGCACTTAGACCATTTAAATATAAGATATTTATTGCTATGCTAGTGTTTAAGTCTGCCATTTTATTATTTGTTTTATTTATCTTCCTCATCCTCTGTCTCTCTCATTTTCCTGTTAGCTTTTCTTAATTCCTGTAGGTTACTTGAACATTTTTAAGGAATCCATCTTGATTTTTTGTATAGTGTTCTTAAATATATTGCCATGTTAATTTCCTAATAGGTCTCTAGGTATTGAGATATACATGTGCAAATTACTACAATCTGTTTTTATCTATGTGTTACCACTTCAACTGAATTGTAAAAATTTTATTTTCTTTTAGGACCCTTACCTTAATTTCAGTTATTACATTTTTCAGTTCTATAATTTTTACTTACCTTTTTTAATAATGTCTATTTGCTGATATATTTTCTTTTTAGAACATTTTTTCAAGATAATTTTTAACTGCTTGTTAGAGTATTTTTATAATGGTTGTTTTAAAACTCTTTCTAGATAATCTCAATATCTGATTTAATTTGATGTTGACATTTGTTGTCTCTTCTCATTCATCGTGTGATTTTCCTGGTTCTTGCTATGAGGACTGATTTTAAACTGCATCCTGTAAAACTCTGAATCTTATTTAATCATTTATTTTCAGCAGGTAGTTCTGCTGAGATGTGTTTAGAGCTGGCCAAATATGAATGTTCAGTTCCTTTCAAGCCCCAGGGATACGAGAGTGGGGAAGCAGAAGACTGACTCATATTGCTGCACTGCTGCAGGTTAGAGGCAGTAGCTCAGCTCCCTATTAGTCCCTATGAACACCAAGGGACCGAGGGGTGGAAGCAGAGTGCTCATGAGCTCTAGTTTTCAACACCTGTTTTGCCTCATTGTTTCTGAGTGGAGTCTTAGCTCACCACTGGATCATTGCTAACACTGCCCAGGCAGGCAAATCTGAGCATGCCCACTTTGGGCAAGAAATGGAAGATCAGCCCCCTGCTCAGCCTTGCATTCTCCACTTTGTTAAGGGTAATAAGAATATCTGCTGCTTCTTCTGGGTGGAAGATAGATGGCAAGCTCCCTGCACAGTCTGCCAATACTATTTATCCTACCAGGAGAATCGGGGAACCACCTAATCCTGCCAGCATTGGATGGACATCACCTGCCAGCTCAGTACTGCCAACACTAACTCAGCAGCTGATTTCCACTCACTGGAATATAGAAGGTTAGCTCTTT
This sequence comes from Homo sapiens, assembly GCF_000001405.40. NCBI lineage: Eukaryota > Metazoa > Chordata > Mammalia > Primates > Hominidae > Homo > Homo sapiens. Next base: position 103,261,754 of record NC_000003.12, on the reverse strand, counting down.
GCTTGTCACTAAGGAGTCAATCACATGGTAGAATCTGAGTGTTGCATGTTTTTTCCAACAGAGGAACAGAAGATTAGTTCTTTTTTTCATCCTGCCAAAGCCATTCAGTGGAAGAGGGGTGTGGAGTAAAAGCACCAGTTCTTGCTTCCACCAGAAGGTGGGTGGGGTGAAAGATTAACTCCCTGCTCAGTCCCACTGAAGCCATAGGGGGAAGGCATGTTTTTTCCTTTGATGTTAGGCTGGGGGTGGGTGAGTGTTCCCCAAAAGGTCTTCTGCTGTTAGATCATTCCTTTCCCAGTGTTTGGGCTAGGAGGAAACAAGGTTCCTTGAGATTCCCCTCACCATCCACCATGCCTGTTGGCAGATCTAGGTTTGAGGCTTCTGCAATGTCCTGTTTGGGATACATGGAAGGCAGTAAGAAACCCCAGGGAGCTCATGTCTCTATCATCCTTAGAGTCTCAGGGTCCCTAGGCTCCTGGCCTTCATTGCATGTTGGTCTGTTGTGTTATATCCAGGTATTTTTCTTTTTGTATTTTTTTTGAAGTTGTGAGAGGGAGGAGTTAGGAAAAGTAAGGTTACTACATTGGTAGAAATGGGGAATCTGAAGTAGATTTTTGTATATTGGCTTTCTATAAATTGACCTTGATAAACTTATTTATTCAAATCATTTATGCATTGTTTTGGGTTTCCTATTTATTTATCCATTACATCTGCAAATAATGATAGTTTTTTTTTTGCTTCTTAATCCATATTCTTTATTTCTTTTACTTAATTTTTTGGTGTCCATTGTAATAAAAATGACTAAAGGTGTTAGTAATTATTATATTTGTTCTCAATCTGATAATCTGTGACAATATTTTACTATTAAATATGATGTTTGCTGTAATATTTTAAAAGTTTTAAATTTTAATTATTATGGATACACATTAGTTATACATAATGGTTATATTTATCGCATATATGTGATATCTTGATACAAGCTTACAATGTACAATGATCAAATCTAGCATAATTGGAATATCCATCACCTCAAGCATTCATCAATTCTTTGTGTTAGGAACATTTCAATCCCACTCTTTTAGTTATTTTGAAATATAATAAATTATTATTTACTATAGTTGCCCTATTGTGTCCCTCTTTTTTTGTGGTTGCTGCAAATCTCTTCCATTACTAACTGGTAAGTGGGTAAGGTAATGTTATTTTTTGTATAGTCTTTGTGTTAATGGGATGAAATACATTGATTTTCCTTTTAGCTTTTGTCTTTTCATTTTTAAAGTATTATTTGTATACAATAAAGTTTACAATTTTATAGGTAAAGTTTGTTGAATTTTGGTAATTGTGTATAACTGAGTAATCACCACCACAACCATAGAGCAGCTCCTACGCAATAAAATATTTTTTATTCTTCCTTTGAAATGAATCTCTTCCTCAAAGACTCTGCCTCAAGCAATACCTGATCTACTGTTTGTCAGGATAGTTTTGTTGCAGAATTTCACTTTTGGTACATAGTCTCTTCATTTGACTTTTTTGTTTTGAATGATGCTTTCAATTTTCATCCACATTGTTGATTGTATTGCTTTGTTTGTTGCTGAGTAAAATCCAATGGTATGGATATACCACAGTGTGGTTACCTATTTACCATTCCGTAGATATTTTGGGTTTCTTCTCTTGGGGGCTATAATAAACATTCTATTATGAATATTAACACAGAAATTTTTTGAATGACATATGTTTTCATTTTTCTTAGGTAAAGACCTGGAAGTGGAATGGGTGTGTTGAATACTAATATATTACATACTCTTTTTTTAAGGTGACTGTACCTTAAATCCTTGAATCCTTGTTACTAAAATTAATATGGTTTGGATCTGTGTCCCACCAAATCTCATGTTAAATTCTTATCTCCAATGTTGGAGGTGGGGCCTAGTGGGAGGTGACTGGATCATGGGGGTATATTCTCCGTGAATGGTTTAGCACCATCCACTTGCTGCTGTTCTCCTCATAGAGTTGTCACAAGATGTGGTTGATTAAAAGCATTTAGCACTTCCTCACTCTCTCTCTTGCTTCTGCTTCCACCATGGAAGAAACCTTGCTATCCCTTCACCTTCTGCTGGAATTTTAAGTTTCTTGAGGCCTCCCCAGATGCTGAGCAGATGCCAGCATTATACTTCCTGTACAGCCTGAGGAACTGTGAGCCAACTGAACCTATTTTCTTTACAGATTGCCCAATCTCAGGTATTTTTTATTGCAATGCAAGAATGAACTAATACAAAAGTGTAAGACGGATATAGTAGCTCAATATCTTACCAACACTAGATTGTATCAGTCTTTCCATTTTTTAACCTTAGCTATCTGTTCTTGCGTGTGTGTGTGTGTGTGTGTGTGTGCGCGTGTATGTGGAGAGTTTTCACTGTAGTTTTAATTTGTGTTTCTATAACTAGTGATGTTGGGAATCCCTCAGCTTATATGCCATTAATTTATCTTCTTTTATGAGATATTTGTTTAAATATTTTGCTCATTTTTATTGGGTTAAATATCGTCTTCTTATAAAAGTCCTTTGTGTACTCTAAATATAAGACTTTGGTGTATACTTGTTTTACAAAAATTATTCTCTGTAACGGCATTATCTTATATTAAGTGTCTTATATATATCAAAGGTTTTGAACTTTGATGAAGCCTATTTGATCAATTATCTTCAGGTATAGTTTGTGCTTCTAATATCAGTTTTTGAAAAAATTAATGTTACAAACAATTTGTTCTATTTTTTTCTAAAAATATAATAGCTTTTTATATTGAGAACCATTATCAATTTTAAATTAGTTTATGTGTATGTGTAAAGTGAAGGTTGAGGTTTTTTCTTTTATTCTATATAGAGATCTACTTGTTCCAGCAACATTTGTTGAAAAGACTATCTTCTCTCTATTTAATTGCTTTGGCACATCCATGAAAAATCAATTAACCATACGTGTGTAAGTCTATTTGAGGACTCTCTATTCTGTTCCACTTGAGCTGCATTTCAATCATTATGCCACTATTACACTGTTAGGATTCATGTAGTTTTAGTTCTTGAAATCAGGTAAAGTAAGAATTCTTTATCAAAATTAATTTAGCTAATCTGAGTCTTTTGTCTTTCTCCATTGATATGAAAATCAATTTGTTAATTCATTTAGAAAAGAAAAATAGATAAAAATTATTAAAGATGAAGAAGATTCAAACAAAACTCTGAGTCAGTTTGCTATTTATAAATCAATACTTCCAAAATCTGCAATTCAAGTTCACATGTAATAGTTAAAACATAGGTCATATACTGGTTCATAAAACATGTAATTACTTGAAAATATTTAAATAATACAAATTTTTTCAATATTAAATGTCAATGACAAAGCAATATTTACTAAATCACCAAACATTTGGAAATTAAGCAACATATCATTTCAAAATAACCTATAGGTCAAAAAAGACATTACAAAGAAAATGGTGAAGTATTTCAAACTGAATGATAATGAAGAGACAACATTTCAAACTTTGTGGAATACAATTAAAACTGTGCTAAAACGGAATTTTCTAGGTTTAAAGTTTATATCAGGGAAAAACGGTTTTAAAACAGTTACCAAAAACTTAAAATTTAAAAGTTGAAAAATTAAAGAAAAAACTAAAATAAAAATATACAAGTAGAAAATAAGGGAAAATGATAATAAAAATTTTAAAAATGGCTACTAGTTAACAGAGATTATCAACAAAGTTTGTTTTTTGATAAGGGAATAAATTGCTAATAGTTGATAAACCCTAGGAAATTGATCAAGTTTAATCAAGAGAGAAAACACAAATTATCAACATTATAATTAAAGAAGAAAACATCTAACAGATATTAAAATGAAAATAAAGAATTTAAAAAGTGAATAACTTTGTGTCAATAAATCAAAAATTTAGATTAAACATATCAATTCATTAAAAAACTTACCATAACTTACACAATGTAAATAGCCCAATTTTTATTAAAGAAATAAAATTTATAATTAAAATCATATCCACAGAGAAAATTTCTGATTCATATGCTACACAGGTTAATTCCATCAAACATTTCAACAATAAATAAACTATTTCGGAAAGTATCAGAACAAGGCACACTTCCCAAACAGTTTTTTGAGTCCAAAATAACTTTGACCCACAAAACTCACAAGAGCATAAAAAGAAAATAAATTCAAGAGCAGTATTTTCCACAAACATAAATAAACAGCAGGATTAGCAAAATATTACAAGTCAAATCTAACAACACATATAAAAGATGCAACATCATTACTAAGTGAAGTTTATCCCCAGTACTAAAGTTTTAGTTAAACATTTATAAAATCACATTTTAAAATTTTTTCAAATCTTAACCAGATTAAGAGAATTAAGAAGAAACATTACATAATCATCTCAATAGATGTAAGAAAAAACATTTGCCCCAAATGCAGCATAATTTGTGATAAAAGCAAAATAATGTATATACACAAAGTATTTTTAAATCTGATAAAAATCATCTATATATTTCAGCTAACTTAATAGTTAATATCATACTTAATAGTGAAATAATGAACAATTTTTTCATAAAAATCAGAGACAAGGCAAGAATGTGCACTTTTGCCATATCTACTAAACAGTTCTGTATTTCTTAACTAGTTTATTCAGACAAGGAGGCAAAAATCTAAAATTTGCAAGAAAGAAATTAAAAACTATTGCTATGGTCTGAATGTTTCTATCCCCTCCTACAAATTCATATGTTGACACCTTAACTTCAAAGATGATGGGATTATGAGTTACAGATTTTTGGGAGATGTTTATGTCATGAGGGTGGAGCCCTCATGATTAAGGTTATTGCCCTTAAAAAAGAGACTCCAGGGAGATAGCTAGCCTTTTCCATCATGTGAGGACACAAATAGAAGCCTTCATCTATGAGAAAGAGGACCCTCACCAGACGTTGAGTTTGAAAGCTCTTTGATTTGGAACTTTCTAGCCTCCAGATCTCAGAGCAATACATTTCTGTTGTTTATAAATTACCTCATCTAAAGTATTTTGTTATAGCAGTCTGAATGGACTAAGACACCATCTTTATCCACAGAAGACATAGTTGAGTACCCTGAAAATTGCCAAGAATAAACAAATAAATAATTTAGCAGGGCCACAAGATATAAGTTAATAAATAACAATGAATTGTATTTTTAGTTTTCCACAATAAACCATTGAAAATAATTTTTAAAATGGCATTTACATTTGAATAAAATATATAAAATATTTGGAGATATATTTAATGACAGATATGTAAGGTCTCTACACTGAAAATTATAAAATCATTTTTAGAGAATGTCAAATCTATAAGAAATAAAGTACACTAGGTTTGTGAATTGGAGGACTTAATTTTGTTGATGTCAATTATTCACAAATTCATTTATAGACAATAAAATTTTCATCAGATATTTTGGAAGAATTGAAAATCAATTAGAAAATTTGTATAGAAATGTAAAGAACATAAAATAACCAAAATAATTTACAAAAAGAAAATACAAGTTACAGCACTTAGTACTTGATTTCAAGTCTTATATCAAGTTACATTTATTAAGACCATATTGGATTGAGCTAAGCATAGACCAACAGAGTAATGGAAGAGATCAGTGATTTCAGAAATCAGATCACATAGATGCAGTCAACTTATTGTCAGTGAAAGAGCTAAGTCAATAATAAGGAACAATATTATTTTCAATAAAGTGTCCTGGGACAAATGGATGAACATTTAAACATATGAAAATACAAAATGGGCTCTCCCTCTCCCTCTCCCTCTCCCTCTCCCTCCTCTCCCTCTCCCCACGGTCTCCCTCTCCCTCTCTTTCCACGGTCTCCCTCTGATGCCGAGCTGAAGCTGGACTGTACTGCTGCCATCTCGGCTCACTGCAACCTCCCTGCCTGATTCTCCTGCCTCAGCCTGCCGAGTCCCTGCGATTGCAGGTGCGTGCCACCACGCCTGACTGGTTTTCGTATTTTTTTGGTGGAGACGGGGTTTCACTGTGTTGGCCGGGCTGGCCTCCAGCTCCTAACGGCGAGTGATCTGCCAGCCTCGGCCTCCGGAGGTGCCAGGATTGCAGATGGTGTCTGGTTCACTCAGTGCTCAATGGTGCCCAGGCTGGAGTGCAGTGGCGTGATCTCGGTTCGCTACAACCTCCACCTCCCAGCCACCTGCCTTGGCCTCCCAAAGTGCCCAGAGTGCAGCCTCTGCCCGGCCACCACCCTGTCTAGGAAGTGAGGAGCGTCTCTGCCTGGCTGCCCATCGTCTGGGATGTTAGGAGCCCCTCTGCCTGGCTGCCCAGTCTGGAAAGTGAGGAGCATCTCTGCCCGGCTGCCATCCCATCTAGGAAGTGAGGAGCGCCTCTTCCCGGCCGCCATCCCATCTAGGAAGTGAGGAGCGTCTCTGCCCGGCCGCCCATCGTCTGAGATGTGGGGAGTGCCTTTGCCCCGCCGCCCCGTCTGGGATGTGAGGAGCGCCTCTGCCCGGTCGCGACCCCGTCTGGGAGGTGAGGAGCGTCTCTGCCCAGCCGCCCCATCTGAGAAGGGAGGAGACCCTCCGCCTGGCAACTGCCCTATCTGAGAAGTGAGGAGACCCTCCGCCCGGCAGCCGCCCTGTCTGAGAAGTGAGGAGCCCCTCCACCCCGCAGCCACCCCGTCTGGGAAGTGAGGAGCGTCTCCGCCCGGCAGCCGCCCCGTCCGGGAGGGAGGTGGGGGTCAGCCCCCACCCGGCCAGCCGCCCCATCCGGGAGGGAGGTGGGAGGTCAGCCCCCCGCCCGGCCAGCCGCCCCACCCGGGAGGTGAGGGGTGCCTCTGCCCGGCCGCCCCTACTGGGAAGTGAGGAGCCCCTCTGCCAGGCCACCACCCCATCTGGGAGGTGTGCCCAACAGCTCATTTAGAACAGGCCATGATGACAATGGTGGTTTTGTGGAATAGAAAGCGGGGAAAGGTGGGGAAAAGATTGAGAAATCGGATGGTTGCCATGTCTGTGTGGAAAGAAGTAGGCATGGGAGACTTTTCATTTTGTTCTGTACTAAGAAAAATTCTTCTGCCTTGGGATCCTGTTGATCTGTGACCTTACCCCCCAACCCTGTGCTCTCTGAAACATGTGCTGTGTCCACTCAGGGTTAAATGGATTAAGGGCAGTGCAAGATGTGTTTTGTTAAACAGATGCTTGAAGGCAGCATGCTCGTTAAGAGTCATCACCACTCCCTAATCTCAAGTACCCAGGGACACAAACACTGCGGAAGGCCTCAGGGTCCTCTGCCTAGGAAAACCAGAGACCTTTGTTCACTTGTTTATCTGCTGACCTTCCCTCCACTACTGTCCTATGACCCTGCCAAATCCCTCTCTGTGAGAAACACCCAAGAATGATCAATAAAAATAAAAATTAAAAAAAAAAAAAAAGAAAATACAAAATGGATTCTTACTTTACATTACAGGCAAATGTTAATCTCTTAAAGTTGGGCCATAATTCTAAAATGTAAAGGCTAAAATTATAAATATTATAGAAAAAAACAAGGAAAATATGCATGTGAAGTTGGTGTAGGCAAAGGTTTTTAGGCAAGATAAAAATAATAAGTCATAAAAGAAAAAAATAAAATAAACAACCAAAATTAAAAGCTTCTGCTTATCAAAATATAAAGTAAGAAAGTAATAAGACAAGCCACAGTTTGGAAGAAAATATTTACATTATAATAAAAGAGAGTACATTGAGAACTCTTACAAATTGAAACATAAAAGATGAATTAAGCTTTCCCTCATACCCACACAAAATGGTGCAAAATACTTGAACAAGCAGGCATTCACAAAAGAAGATATGTGAATTGCCAATAAGAACATGCAGTAATGTTCAACATCGCTAATAATCTGAGAAATGCTAATGTAATTTTAGGGAATTACTACCACTATAGATCGAATGGCTGAATTTTTTAAAAAACAACAATATCAAATATTAATGACAATTTAGATTAACAGAAATTCATAAGTTTCATCCTAGAATATGAAATATCACTTTGGAAAATTGTTTGGAAGTTTTCAATAAAACTAAACATATGCCTATTGTATGATACAACAATTCTACTCTTAGGAACTCACTCAAGATAAACGAAAACTTACATTCACCAAAATCTTTACAATGATGTTCTTAACAGCCTTATTCATAATAACCAAAATCTACAAACCACACAAAGGTCTGTCAACAGCAGAATAGTTAAACAAATTGTGGTATATTCATAAATGGAAAAGTAAGCAACAATAAAAGAAATAGACTAGTGACATGTAAAACAACAAGGGTAAATCTCAAAAACAATATTTTGAGTAAAAGCCCTCAGATACAAAGACCACCACAGGCTATGTGACCCCTATTTACATAAAATTCAAGAACAGGTAAAATTTAATCTGTAGAGACAAAAAAATAGAACAGTTCTAGTCTCTGTGAAGTGAAGGAGACATTGGCTAGTTAGTTGCTTAGAGAACTTACTGAGTTGATGGAAATGTTTATTATTTGATTTGTGTGATGATTACATGGTGATTACATTTGTCAACTGCCTTAAAATGATTCGTATGTTTTGCTGTATTTTAATTAGGCCTTAAAAAACAAACATTAAAAGACAATGGGGATACTTTGTGAACAAAAGAAGACTTGGAGATCCTATCATTTTATTTTATTATCCGTCGTAAGCTTAGGCTACTTTGAGTAATATATAATCGAAGATATTACGGGGAAATCATGGGTTAATAAAAGTTAAGTCACTGTTACCTGGCAAACCAGATTTGCTAGAATTTGTGTTATCCTGTTGGCACTCTTGCTCTTGTCTAAGGCTGAGAACTTGTATTTGCTGGAATCCTTTTTCCTATAGGGTTCTAGGTTAGAGTTAGCTGATTAGAAGAACTCATACATGATTTCAAGTCATCTGGGAGGCAGAGGTTGTTTCCCTCAAATGGTTTCAATGGTCATACATGGCGATGAACAAGGTAATTTTCCCACGTGAGCCTTACCTTGTTCCTGTTCTCCTTCTGCCTCAAGTCCAGCTTGATTTTCTGGCTACTGGCCCTGCTGGCCAACAGCAGTCCCAAACTTACCACCAGGTGCTTGACTGAGAGCCTACACAGGCAGTGGTTCCTGTGGATCGTGGTGGCCACAAAGGCAGCAATTTTCATTTAGCAGAATTTACATTGGTGGTAGTTTCCACACTCTCTACAAGCTCCACTTTTGCGGTGCCACTTGAATATCTAGATTAGAATCGTTTTTTGAGTTTTTCTTCCAGGTGTATTTTGTCTGAGCATACTTGTACTCCACATGGCATAGATAATGATTATTTTTCTGATATGGTGATTCCCACTGCTAGGTATTGACTGTCTCATCTGCTCTCACATTCAAGTAATTTATAATTCCCATATTAAAGCTCTGTTTTCTTTTAAACTTCAATGACTGTTCTCCTGACTGATACTTAGGAGAGAAAGGAGTACATAATACTAACATTATATTCTTTTTTTTTTTTTTTTTTTTTTTTTTCCTGAGACGGAGTCTTGCTCTGTTGCCCAGGCTGGAGTGCAGTGGCGCGATCTCTGCTCACTGCAAACTCTGCCTCCCAGGTTCACGCCATTCTCCTGCCTCAGCCTCCGGAGTAGCTGGGACTACAGGTGCCCGCCACCATGCCCAGCCAATTTTTTTGTATTTTTAGTAGAGACGGGAGTTCACCACGTTAGCCAGGGTGGTCTCGATCTCCTGACCTCATGATCTGCCCGCCTCGGCCTCACAAAGTGCTGGTATTACAGACGTGAGCCACTGAACCCTGCCTATATTCTATGTTTTAAGAAAAACAATAATTACGGTTTTTGCATTGTTGGAATTTGCTGTTTGATAGTGGAATACATTCTTAAACAAATGTGGTTATGTTATACATCATTTTAATGGGCATTTCTTGTTTTACGTCTTTTTGTTAATGACTTATTACTTGCTGTTTATTTTGTGTTTATTTTAGACTATGGAAATAATGTTACACAAAAGCAGATTGGAACAATTTTCTTTATTCAAGTTCAAAATGGGTGATTAAACAGCAGAGTCAACTTGCAACATCAACAACACAGTGGACCCAGGGACTGCTAACAAACGTTCAGTGCAGTGGTGGTTCAAGAAGTTTTGCCTCGGAAGTGATCCAAAAGAAAAAAAAAAAGAGGTTTTGCAAAGGAGACGAGATCCTTGAAGATAAGGAGTGTAGTGGCCAGCCTGGAAGTTGACAGCAGCCAATTGAAAGCAATCACCAAAGCTGGTCCTCTTACAACCACATGAGAAGTTGCGGAATAACTCAACATTTACCATTTTATGGTCATTCAGCATTTGAAGCAATTGGAAAAGTGAAGAAGCTCAGTAAGTGGGTGCCTTATGAGCTGAGTGAAGATAAAAAAAAATCATTTTGTTGGCTGGGTGTGGTGGCTCATGCCTGTAATCCTAGCACTTTGGGAGGCCAAGGAGGGTGGATCATTTGAGGTCAGGAGTTCCAGATCAGCCTGGCCAACATGGTGAAACACCATCTCTACTAAAAATACAAGAAAATTAGCTGAGTGTGGTGGTGTAGACCTGTAATCCTAGCTAGTTGGGGAGGCTCAGGTAGGAGAATTACTTGAAGCTAAGTCAATAATAAGGAACAATAGTATTTTTAATAAATCAGGAGACAGAGTTTGGAATGAGCCAAGATCATGCCACTGCACTTCATCTTGGGCAACAAAGCCAGACTCTGTCTCAAAAAAAAAAAAAATAATAAAATAAAATAAAGTTGTTTTTAAGTGTTGTCTTCTCTTATTCTACCCAACAACAACAAACCATTTCTTGATCGAATTGTGACGTGCAATGAAAAGTACATTTTATACAACAACCAACAATGACCAGCTCTGTGGTTGGACTGAGAAGAAGCTTCAAAGCACTTCCCAAAGCCAAAAAAAAAAAAAAAAAAAATCATTTTCACTATTTGGCGCTCTCCTGCAGGTCTGATCAACTCCAGCTTCCTGAATCCTGGTGAAACCATTATATCTGAGAAGTATACTCAGCAAATCCATGAGATACACCAAAAACTACAATGCCTGCAGCTGCCTTTGGTCAACAGAAAGGTCCCAATTCTTCTCCACGACAATGCCCAACCACATGTTGCACAACCAACACTTCAAATGTTGAACGAATTGTGCTGTGAAGTTTTGCCTCATCTGCCACATTCACCTGACCTCTCGCCAATTGACTACGATTTCTTCAACCATCTGGACAACTTTTTGTAGGGAAAATGCTTCCACAACCAGCAGAATGCAGAAAATGCTTTCCGTGAGTTGGTTAAATCCCGAAGCATGGATTTTTATGCTACAGGATAAAAAAACTTATTTTTTGTTGGCAAAAGTGTGTTGTTTATAATCGTTCCTATTTTGACTAATAAGGATGTGTTTGAGCCTAGTTATAATTATTTAAAATTCAAAGCCTAAAACTGCAATTACTTTTGCTCCAACCTAATATTATTAGCAAGATGGCTATTTCAATATAACTATAAGCTGATAGTAAGGGTAATGAGTCATTTTACACATCTCTGAAGTAGCTAAGGGGCATTTTAATTAAGTTAACGTTAGGTTAACATATCTGTGAATTGTGACACTAGGTAGTCAGTTAATTTTTGTATTCAGACAAATGCCAATATTTGTGTTTCAGATTGATAGTGGGGTGGAGGCAGCCTATACTCATGGCTATTATTCAAGGATAGAGGCTTACGTAGGATTTTACATGTTCACTACATGAATCCCAGTATGCAGTTCACATTGACATACACCTTGAATATTAAAGAAGAAAGAGAATGGAGAAATCTGTAATCTTCTTAACTAGATTGGCTCAGAAATGAAACCCATCACTTCTGCTTCCACATAATTGGTGACAACAATAGCCTCACATACTTTCAATGGTCAGTGATTAGGGTGGAGAAGGGTGGAAATATAGTTGACTGCAATATGTTTCCAGAAAGAATTGTAGTCCATAAAAAGAGGCATACATTTTTTGATTACAGCTATGCATCTATGCCAAATCTGGCTATCAAATACCGGTGGAAAGTCTTCCTCCCCTCAGATCAGAATCCCAGCAACAGAGGGAGGGTAACCCAAAGTCTCACCTGCCTAATGTATTCAGTTCAATGTTCATATTCTCAATGTGAGGTTTCTCCATTGAATCTGGAAGAGATTCCTCTATTCCTGTAATCTATGAAAACAGAAAGAAGTACTCCTCCCTTCATAGACAGTTATGTACTTGGGATTAAAAAAATTTTTTCTATTATGTTCCCTGGGAAAAACTCACTTGTCCATTGTCTTCCCAGAACCCTGCTCCCAACTCCAAGAACTTCACCTATATCCTCAATGACTACATCTAACATGGATGTTTTGAGAATTTGTAGCTTTAGCAGCCTGCATCTTACTCTTTAACTTTTGTAAGCCAGAGTACTATTTTAAGGCTCAATCATTCAAATAATTTTTAGATCAACTTTTGGAATTTTTTGACAATGCCAATCCTTCAGAATCACAGTAGGCTTCTGATTAACTTCCTTCCAGAGAAGTCTCTTTGCCATAAACACAGCTCAAATTATTTCCTTGGCATAGTTCTTAAATCTGTTTGATTTATTTATTTTTTGACACTATGCTTTCTTCTCAGAACTCACATTATGTTCACAGCTGCCCCTGGAAACAGGATGCTGCCATTATCCCTGATTGTCTGCAGCACTGAGTTCTAAATAAAAGCATTACTTAGCCCAGGTCATATGACCACAGACTAGCTGCAGAGGAAGATAAGAGAGTATCTACCATTTTCAACTTCAGTCATGGCAGACAGTTTTTGCCCTTCACTAAGGCTCCAAAGTTAGGGAATTTCCTAAAGAAAAGGTGCGCATATGCTAAGAAGTCTCAAAAGTGAAGAATTCCCCTACATTAGTGTATGACATGATTTGAAATTTATACTGAATAATATTCAATCAGAGCCACTCTTTCCACTATCATCTGAGTATCCATTTGAAGTTAGTAATTATTTCTCTTTAGCTATTCTACATATGCTTTAATATTTATCCCAAATCTGGTTTAATTTACAGAGGCACAAACAGCCACATATTTTTCAGGAGGAAATGCAGGCAGAATAAGTTCAAAGACAGTACTTTTATATAATTCATTGTACCCCATTTTCCATGGGAAATTGTCTGTCCCACTGACGTTTTGATGTGCTCCTACTTAAAGCATTTTCTTTCCTAGCTCCTCTGGAAAGTAAAATACTGAAATTTTAAAATGTCAAATACTTTTTTCAGTTTTCATGCCTCTTAGTTGTTTTTCAAAAACCGGACAATATGCATTTAAAAATAAAAACCTGACACAAAGAATTCTGTGGTTGTAATAAGAAAGCTATATATAGGCCAATTAGGTTTGCTTAGTCATCTTTTCTTTGATTTAAGCATCCCAAGGGCAGGTTTATAAACACTTGGAGTATCTTATTAGTCTTCCTGTAATTGTAACCTGTCTAATTTGACCTCTAGCCTGTCTATTGCAATATTTGTTGTATTTTTCAAAGAGACACATAACTGTTGCCCATGCCAATTGTTATTGAATATTTAATAACATGCATTTTATTCTCATGTATCTCTTCTTTCCTTTTCTAAGGGAATTCTCCTCAGGTACCAGAAATGTATGTCAGTGATATACTTTGTTTACAGCACAAAAAACCATATGGTATTTTGACAAATATTTAGTTAATTGATTGTCCCAATTTAAGCTTTAAATGTGGTATAAAATAACAGAACTAAAAAAGAATTCATGTAGAATGAGATTAGGCATATTATCAAAATATTCTCTCCTTAATAAAAGTTTCAACAAATTTGTTATTTATAAGCATAATTTCATGTCTATTTCTCTGGCCAAGCAGAACAAGAAGATCTGGACTATACAGCTATTAACACCTGAATTACTCATCAGTAATAAGTAACTGCTGTGAGAAAGACTCATTATAGGAAACAAACAGGTTTTAATTCTTTCAGAAGCAGTACCCCTTGAATCTTTAACTGCATATGGCATCCAAGTATTTACTGAATATTCTATATATAGAAGCCCTGAAAAACTCATCTGAGCTCTGATTGTAAGGGTCTGTGATCTTATCAAGGACAAAAGTGAAATTGAAAAAAAAAGAATTTCTAGAAAACATTTGCATATTTTCAGAACATTCATTTATACTTAGAAAGCTTCAGACATTCAAATTGGAAACATTGAGATACAAAGTGATGACTCTTGTTAGTTTATCTTGTTTTTAATATAAACAGGAACTTTCCTGTTCACTGCAGAAACAACCTCAACTTTACAAACTCTGTTCTTCCTTCTTTAGCTCTAAAAAAATGTTGATATATATGAGAAGTGCGATACTGGAATGCCTGCAAGACAATGGCATTGAATTTTAAGAAAGTCTTACAGAAATATTTTATTACACGACATTGGTGACAGTTTCTGACAACCAAAGTACCATAAAATGGAATTGAATACTGGCAATTGTAATTTGAGCATTGTGAGAAGAACCCTGACTTTTCCAGTATACTTTATCTCCTAATCTTTCGCCTCTTATTCCCGCTCTCCAATTCAGATCATAAAATACATTGTTATTAGGTTAATTCGAATACATTTGATGCCTTAATAAAATGATCGTGTAAAAAATTAGAATTACTTCTACATAGTCTACCACTGAAAGACTTTATTTGCTGAGAATTTTCCACCAATAAAAGTTTTGAAAACACCACAGAATGCATCTAAGAAATTATGTTGTTATGCAAATGATCAATCTGCTTTTAGTTTGTACAAAGGTTTGCATACTTTATAAGCCTGAAAAAATACCAGAAGTTGAAAACAATTTTACATTTCTTAGACATTTAGTATATGATTTTTAAATTAATATTAGAATTGTATATAAGGAAGTAATTTTCTCAATTTTCTACAAAAGTAAATACACTTCAGTTTGTAGTCAGGACAATCAACAGTATTCTTTAAATAGATGGAAATGACTTATAGAAGAAATATTGCTGTTAATTATAGCAGCTTGTTTTTTAAAGCTTTTATTTTAGAGAGAAATTTCAACTGTCTGATCTCATCTGTCAGTATTTGATGGTGTCTCTTTAAGAGAGAGCATCCTTTATACCTGAGCTTTCAAGAAATTAAAGTATAAGGAATAAGACTGATGGAAACAATCATCTTTCTTACTAATAAAGTGAATATGGGAAAAAGTGACTGTTATCTCTGACCTAGTAGGCTTACTGATACTGAAAGATGCTCCAGCTCAGTCACTAGAGGCAATGGGCCATTCCAGGCCCTCCACTCTGGAGAGACACCACATAACTGAGATCACCTGGGAGCACATACCCCATGTAGGCAGATAACTTCCCAGAAAACAAGGAAAGAGAAAAAACCATGGGAAGTACGTTCAGTTCCTCATCCCAGTTGAACCAGTAAGATAGGTAACTCCTCCTTCCTGTATACCAATAATTGATGGAGCTGAATGAAAATAGAACTTTTACATAAGGAGATTTCTATTTGTCAGGAGAAAACATCAGGAATTGAGAAAAAGCATTCCTCAGTATCACCTTGTATTAATATTTTACTATAATGTAATAATCATTTTAAATTATTTTTGCAGATAGAATTTTATTAGTGACCACCCAGTAACATCTCTGTGAAAGGTGATTAAAAATTCACTTAACAGTAAGGGAGTAGGAGTGAATCCATACCTACCTCTTTGGGCGGGTGAAAGAACAGATGCTGCCATTAACCTTATGATTGACTGAAACAGTACCAGTGGAATCTTGTTGCTATTGAGCATTTGAATCCTGGCTAATGTAGTTAAGGGACTAAAATTTAATTTAATTTAATTTTAATTAATTTAAATTTAACTGAGAGAGTCACTTGAAGCTAGTGGCTACCGTATTGCACAATGCAATTCTATATCTTCAAGAATAGCAGAAATTCTTAGCCAGAAAATATCAAGACTAATGCAAAGAGTGGTACGATCAAGATTCATCATCAGAATCTGAAAAGAGGAGGGCTCTGAAACACTTCCCTGACTAACATATTGTGTTGACCACGCTTAGAGTCTGGCTGATGAGGCTTAGTTGACAGGCTCTGAGAAGCTTTCTTGTACATATTATTAAGAATAGGTTGAGAGAGTTTGAAGCATTTAAGAAGAAACTCATTAGTTTCACAAAAAGTGGTTGTATATAAATCAATGTTAGAGAGAAAAATATGGATATTTCAAAGGAGGTGGCTGTGACAGGGAATAAAGCCAGATAAGGAGTTAATTCTGGGACAAGTTTGGAGAAGATAAGCTCTCGTATTTATTGATAAAACCCACTCTTGGGTACCTGTGAGTACTCTGAGGCATCCTATTTGACACACTCCAGGGTCATACGTTAGAAGCTGAATCTGACTTATAACCACGTTTTTCACATCCCTTGTACCTATCCTACCCACATGTAGATAAAAATAACAGATAATGTTGGTCTTCAAGGAAAAGAATGAAAGAGGGAGCCTCAGCAGGGTTTTAGTCTCTGGGTTGGGCCATTTGTAAGGCCCTACTTTGGTTTTAAGAAATAGACATATAGGTATAAGTATAGATATAAATGATATAGATGTAGATAACTTCTTAAGACACTTATCTTTTTATTTAAACATATCTCTATGAGTTTCTTGCTGGTAGAAAAAACATTGCATTGATGAAATAAATTATTTCTCTATTAATTATTTCTGTTTGTAGTGTCTATCTTGTAATTCCCCAGCTAGTGGAATTCAATTTATCTTGTAAGAGCTAGCTTTGTACATTACTTCTTTTGAAGATTCCTCTAAGTCACAACACTGCTCTTCTACCCACTTGTTTGTCTAATTTATAATAGCCCTTAGTATTTACAGGTGGTGTATTCCTTTAAACTTCTCCCAGTCCCCAGATGGGCTGAACATCTACTATAAGCCAGATACTGTGCTAAGTATAGAAGGTATACATAGTGTATATAATGTGATAAGATCTAGTAGAGATTTGTACTTGGTCCTGTGCCACCTTAGAAGAGCAAGTAATTGATCTCATCTAGGGAAATCAGAAAGGTCCCTTGCAAAATTTTACATTTGAGCTAACTAAATAAAAGAGTAAGAAGGTATCCAAACAGATGAGATAACTGGCTGGTCCCTACATATAACAAGAATTGAAAAGAAAGAAATGGAATGTAATAATAAAAGAAATAGAAATGGGAATTGAAAAGAAATAGAGGACTAAATATTCTCCACATCCTATTTGAGAATTTGGTAATATGGGCCTGTACGCAACGTAGAGGTGTGAGAAATAAAGAGGGAAAAGGAAGTCACATAGGGTAAAAAAGCACGTGGGGCCAGTTATGAAAATCTTTAAATGCCTCTTGTCAGACTCTGATTTGTTAATTAAATATATTGTCTCCTCAACAAGACTCTGTTTTCATATTTTCCCACCTCTTCAGGTATTAAAGCTTATAGTTGAATTCTTTCTAAATGGACCATGGTGTTGGGAGAAAAAAAACACACAATAGATTCAATGGGAGCTTCCAGCTTTGCAAGGAATCAAAGGGTTTTCTGTAGCACTAGTAACAGCATATATCACTTGAGACTTCTCTTCAAAATTGTCTGTCTAGAGTTAAAAAAGGAGTTTATTATTTCCTTGATTTAAACATTGATACTTTTTCCAAAGTCAAACAAAATTTCAAGCATCTGTGAAGTTAGATAAGAAATACGTAAGATGAATTAATTTATTTAGATTGGATGGAGAGAATATTAGGCACCAGGACAAAGGGTATTAGGAAGCACTGCAAGATAAATAAAAGGTATTCAGGACAAGAGACAATTGTTACGTTCATCAGTTTCCTCTAAAAGCTTGGATAAGGGAACTTAAGCTACTGGGAATGAATAAAGTGGGATCCAGAGGGGCATTAATATTTCATGAGTTTTTAGCAATTATTTTCTAGGGAATTGAAAAAACGTTTGGTGGCAAGAGTAGGAAAATGAGAAGTTAGTCTATTCAGAAAAACATAAAAAGGATGATACTGCAGGGAACCTCAAATTTGACAGTAAGAATATTTAATTAAAAGTAACCTAATACAGTATTCCAATCTATTTCTAATTTCTTTTTCTTACACAGAACATTATTGTATCTATAGAGAGCATATTTTTAATATATGCACATGCACATATATATAACTGATACACATATATATTTGTATATGTATGTATATGCATATATGCATATTAATAATAAAGACATAGTTTCATTGCTTATGCCTCTATATTTTGTTCTATCAGAATCAACAGTATTAAAGCTTGCTGTAGGAAAATGTTTAACAATTCAATGTGCACTTCTCTCCTTCCCTCTTCATAAGAGAACTCCAATTGTGCTTAGGTGTTCCCCTCATGTAAAATAACACCAGTTCGATATTCTAGCCAATCATAACATTCCATTTTTCTTCATTGGGATTGTTTTGGATATATGAAACCCTGGGGAGGATCTGCCAGATGGTAGCTGAGAATACGTCCCTGACTCTTATAAAAGAGACTCTAGAGGTGAAAATTCCTTTCCTTTGTCTGATATTGTGCAGGAAACATTTAATTCAGCATTCCTCAATTAATCAAATACTGTACATTTCCAATAAGGGCCTGTTCTCAAGATTGGCTTTGGTTGGCTTCTGGTTACTGAGCTCTGAGCCCTTGGAATGTTCTCCCTGATAAGAGTTTTTTGTATGCCTGAGGCCTTGGGCTGTTCTGTACCAACTTGACAGGATGGTTAGTTAACAGTGGGATTTATGGTGAATACCTGTTTCTGCTCCGGGGGTCTGGAGTCTGAGAAGGTAGCGTCAGTCATGTTGGTGTGCATGGCCTACATAAATGACCCCCAATAAGATTTCTTGACACAAAGCCACATTGGCAATGCTTAGAGTGTATCGTTACTTATTTGTACCAAGAAAATTAAACACATTATGCAGCCCCAAAGAGAGAAAACACCTAGAAGCTTGTACCTGATGTCTGCCAGATTGTGCCCCATGTGCATTTTTCCTTTGCTGATTTCAATATCATCTTTCCAATGTAAAAAACTCCAAGAGTATGACAGCTTTTGAGCTCTCTGAGTCCTTCAAGTGAATTATTGAACCTGAGGGTGGTCTTAGGGATCCCTAACACAGATATGATGTCTGACACAACTGTAGCCCTCTTGAGGGCACTAGATAAATCAGCCTTAAGATAAAACCAATGCTAACAAAAATAACAGTTTAACCAGTTATCACTTTAAAACATTTGTTTTCCTAAGCCTAGATTGTGAAGACCTGAACACAGATGGAATTGATTTTTTTAAGTTCTTTTCCATGTAGTTGATTTCTCCCTTTCTGTTGAGAGATCCTAGAAGATTAGAACCAATTGCAAGGAGTTCAACTGTAAATTTCACATGAGAATTTTCTGCAAATACCTTTGATGATAATATTATACTTACTCACTATATTTGATAGGTAGTATTTAATCATTAATTCAGTACTATAACAAACACTTCCCCACAACCCCAGAGTACTTTTTACATAATTAATACCCAGAAGGATTAATTTCCCCACTATTAACATTCAGGGTTGATAGTGAAAATCATTGCAAGTATTTCCAAAATATTATACAAGAACTAAGAAGATAAAAGAAGGGTGGCTACCTGTTTAATGCCAGGAGAAAAACAAAATTTCTGAATTTAAGATAAAGTTTGACTATAATATTTGAATGTAATTATCTTTTTGGGATAATGGGCCATATAGTCTTTAGCAAACATTGGTTGAATCCTCCATTTTAATATTTCAACTTAAAATGGTTTCTTTTAATAGGTCAGTAACTCAATTAAATTGGTTCAAAGCAATCCATAACAAATGGGCCAGATTTTATTTGCATTACCATTCCCAGGAGCAAATTTGCAAGGATGTAGGCATAAAGGTGCATGTTTTACATTTTAGGGATCTGACATTGTTCTATGACAGCAAGGATCTTAGTTCAACGAAATGATTAATTTTTGCTTTAGAATATCCTCTCCCTTTGTTTCCACTGTCAAGTGGATAATTTTTATTCCAAAACACACATGAGAAAAACTGATAATTTAGGTTTTCTTCACAAGATCAAAGCTGTGCATCATAAGACAAGTGTAGAAGCACCATGCTCTCTACATTCTCAGAAATAAGCCTGATCTCTCTTCAGAATGGGGCAGTTAATTTAGTAGCTCATTAGTAAATGAAAAGATTTTATGGCACCTGTTTTATTTTCAAGTTTCAGTTATTTATTAATCAGTATAATCTCCAATAGATTACATCAACATGATTTCATGCATTTAGAGGAGAAATATTTCCTTGTTAAGTTGAAAATTGTGCAGATGGCTTCTGGAAGACCTTCATTCTAAAGTAGCTTTATAGTGAAACATTTCATTTAGAAATCTGGACCTTCTTTCTTTAGTTTGCTGTAATCCACATTCACTGAGTAGAACTTGTACTGATCATTGGGATCCAGTTTGTTCCAGGGCTCTGAGTTATTCTTTCTGTCCCAATTAACATCTGGATTGAACAATGCCAGAAACAAGAGATACAGTGCTGCTCCAGTATCTCCAACTCCAATAAATACAAAGAGGGGCATCAAGCTTGGATGCTTCTTGACCTGACTAATGATCTGGCAGAGTATGTTTGTGGCAGAGGCCTCCAACTGGAAAGGAGAGAACCAGCTTAGCCACTAGGCCCTGGGCTAAGTAGTATCTGCATATGTTTTTAAGTGCCACTTCACATGAGTAGCAAAGGGCAGAAACTGACAACTCACAAAGTAACCTAAGAGTGGCTTTAAAAAAATGGGTGTTTACATAATTCTGAATCTTCTCTTGAAATTATTGGAACATCTGTCAATGTGTCACATTCTTAAAATTGGCTGAGTCTCAGTAACAGAGGCTCTCCTCCTCTCCCAACAAAGGGCCTGGACTTTCCATCTTGCAAAAGTCCATTTTTTCCTTAGTGTCCCTCTGACACTGACTTCTAGAGTCAACTTCCTTTTCACTAACTCACCTCAGCAGCTTATTAAAATTGTCTGAGTCTAATGACTATTCTAATTGGCAATCTCTAATTAAAATCAAGATTCTTTAAGCATATTGTAGGAAAATACTTGTTTGATAATTTGAATTAAACTTTAACCTCCATGGAATGAAAGTGAGTTGAGTGTTAATGGCAGAGATCTTGTATGGGATGTCCAGATAGACTATAGACTTTGTCATTATTTTTAAATCAAGTTCAGGTTGGGACTCAAACCCATTAACACAAAGCCATCTTTCACCTACCTAGTGTGAGAAGGGAATAACCAGCACCATATAGATCAATAAAATAATTAATTAAATCTGTAAAATAATAATCATGATTATATTATGTGCATATTCCAGTGTGTTGACTATTAAGAGGTATTTGTTTCATGTGGTGCTTATGTGGACATTAGAGAAGAAACATTTTTTTCACAAGTCCTTCATCTTGTCATTGAAGCAGAAATGCTCAATAATGCTGTGATTCTGCTGTATTGTTTGTTAGATACAAACTTTTCAGAGAAAATCTATTGGGCTCAGGTCTTGTTCTAGCCATTGTACATCTGAATGGTATTAAAGTGAATTTCTCTAACAATAACTTTCACTATGCTTGCCACATTAGTAATGTATGACTAAAAAGAGGGAGGAAAAGCTAGAAAAAAAGATTTCTCCAGAAAACTTGAACAGAGATTTTATCCTGATTTGCCTTTTCATCTTTTTGTAAAATTAGCATAGAAAGGTAAACACAAAACTACATCTTAACTTTATAAAGGCATTAGCACCTTTTAAGCACCAACTTTGAAACTAGATCTAACAATATATTCATCATCAAATCAAAACAGCAAACTTAATAACAATTAGAAATGATACTGAGTGCAAAATCAAATAACCCAAAATGTCATGCGATCATTGAGAATTTCATCACTAAAGGCTTTGCCGGCAGAGTGATGGCCACGTGTGCAAGGTAATTATATGAAATGCCAAAAGACCAAGCTGATGGGGAAAAAAAAAGTATTTGGAAAAATTGAAAAATAAGCTTTCAACATTTTGAAATACACCCACATCTTGATAAGCAAACTAACCAACTCCACCTTGGGAGATAATTCTCCATGGGTAATTTCTCCATTGTCTTTCTGTGCAATGTTATTATGCACAGAGTCACTTGTTTGGGACTGTTTTTTCAAGGATGTCTATATTACACATGTCCTTGGAAAATGGAGACAGTGTGTCCCTGCAGGAAGCAAATATTGGGCAGGTCTGCTTACAGCCCAATAGAGAAGATTAACATTAACTGTCCTTGGTGTTGCTCAGGTGTGATGCAAACTCACTGAGTGAACAGATTCCACCTAGAATTCTCTGTCTTGCCCCTATAGAATTTGAGGAGCAAGAAAAACTGGTGTGAATGTAAAGCTTAGGCTGCTTGCTGTGCCACAACGATAAAGTCCTTTTATCTAAATCAGGATTGTCATGTCTTCTAATTTCATCAGTGAGATTTCGGACTTACTACACTGTAAGTGTTCGATATGGTAATATCTCAGATCCCTCATAATTTTTGACAATGCAGCAGAGCCTAAGGTAACATTTTTACCTTAGTAATTGTATCTGTTTCCAAACTTTGTAATTTCTGACTTATAAATGGAAGTTGATTTTAAAAGTCACCAGAAAATACAATTCTGGAATCATTTATTCAATCTTTGTTTTCTGGTAATAATTTGATCTCATGGCCCAGTTCATTGATTAAACAGTATAAATAAAACTTACAAATATTAATTAAAACCCCCCATTGCAGACCTTTCTGCACCTCTCTGCTTATAGTATAAAATTAGTCAACAAAATAGACATTAACTAAAATAAAAATATTGGGTGTGATTTCTGCTAAGTCAATAAATTTGAGACTTCGGTCATAATCTAGAATACAACACTGACACTGAAATTTCATTAATGCACATAGCAACTTCACGGCTGACTTAAATTTCCAAAGATGAAATCATGGGTCTGAATTGACCTAGCTGTCTCTGCTTCCTATGATTTCTTTTCCATGCTTTCTATGCTCCTCCTTCTTCGGGTATTCCAAAAGATCTTTAAAATTGTGCTATTAGAGATAGGGTGGTTTCTATAATATATTCATAAAATTACAGTTTATGAGATATATCCACAGATTCCATTGTTTTATTCCTGCTCTTAGTTTTTGGTTAAGAATAGCCCAAATTTTAATTTCTTCTGTATTCTCTATAATTGTGTCAAAATAGCATTGGAAGATAATATCCATGTGAAACAAGTTTCTGAAAATTAATGATATGTAAAGCTCAAAATAACTGCATGGTGCTGTTTTTCACATAAATACAATTTTTTTAAAATACATGACTCTTCTGACATATTCCCTTATAAAGCCATGTTAATAGTGAAAATGACCCCAGATCTGTTTGTTCCTCATTCATCAAGAGCAGTGAAATAGCTGGCTGGTAGATGTTATATGATATTTATCTTTTTCTGTTAGGTTATAAGAAAAGTAGTTCATGTGGCACGAAGACACACCCAAACTTTATTCATGAGTTTCCCATCCTAACACTAGCAACAGAAGAGTTATCACCTTTCCTTAAAGACTCCTGACAAGTAGTTTCTGAAATATAAGATTTTGGAGAACACCTAAATCTCTAAAATTATCTATATGAAGACTTAGACATGAAGATGTGAGTGAATTTGTCCTTGGCCATAAAGTCTGTCAAAGGGAAGACTGGAATTTGAATGAAAACATCTTGATACAGATGTTCATGTACATGGTTCATTGCTCCTCTAATCTACCACCCTCATAAAAATTTCTCACTTTTCTTGTAAATTTATTGCTAATTTTAAATAAACAATAGAATTGTAGACTGTCCAATGTACAGAAAATAGAAAAAAATTAGTCTAGACATGAGATAAATTCTTGTATCAAGCATCATCCTGTCTAGGAATGCATCCCCAACAGTATTTAACTTCTAGGCCACCCCATCCCTAGCCAATCTATCTTGGATACCTCCTTTCTGTTCCCTGTAGTTCCCTAGGTTTTTCTCAATCAAAACAGGAATACATCAACAACAAGTGTCCTTTTTTTTTTTTTTTTTTTTTTGAGACAGAGTCTCACTCTATCACCCATGCTGGAGTGCAGTGGCGTGATCTCGGCTCAATGCAAACTCTGCCTCCCAGGTTCACGCCATTCTCCTGCCTCAGCCTCCCGAGTAGCTGGGACTACAGGCACCCGCCACCAAGCCAGGCTAATTTCTTTTCTTTCTTTTTTTTTTTTATTATTATACTTTAAGTTTTAGGGTACATGTGCACATTGTGCAGGTTAGTTACATATGTATACATGTGCCATGCTGGTGCGCTGCACCCACTAACTCGTCATCTAGCATTAGGTATATCTCCTGATGTTATCCCTCCCCCCTACCCCCACCCCACAACAGTCCCCAGAGTGTGATATTCCCCTTCCTGTGTCCATGTGATCTCATTGTTCAATTCCCACCTATGAGTGAGAATATGCGGTGTTTGGTTTTTTGTTCTTGAGATAGTTTACCGAGAATGATGATTTCCAGTTTCATCCATGTCCCTACAAAGGACATGAACTCGTCAT
The DNA here is from genome assembly GCF_000001405.40 of Homo sapiens. Classification (NCBI taxonomy): domain Eukaryota; kingdom Metazoa; phylum Chordata; class Mammalia; order Primates; family Hominidae; genus Homo; species Homo sapiens. The sequence goes on along the minus strand of NC_000003.12, from coordinate 103,237,002 downwards.
TTTTTATGGCTGCATAGTATTCCATGGTGTATATGTGCCACATTTTCTTAATCCAGTCTATCTTTGTTCGACATTTGGGTTGGTTCCAAGTCTTTGCTATTGTGAATAATGCCGCAATAAACATACATGTGCATGTGTCTTTATAGCAGCATGATTTATAGTCATTTGGGTATATACCCAGTAATGGGATGGCTGGGTCAAATGGTATTTCCAGTTCTAGATCCCTGAGGAATCGCCACACTGACTTCCACAATGGTTGAACTAGTTTACAGTCCCACCAACAGTGTAAAAGTGTTCCTATTTCTCCACATCCTCTCCAGCACCTGTTGTTTCCTGACTTTTTAATGATTACCATTCTAACTGGTGTGAGATGGTATCTCATTGTGGTTTTGATTTGCATTTCTCTGATGGCCAGTGATGGTGAGCATTTTTTCATGTGTTTCTTGGCTGCATAAATGTCTTCTTTTGAGAACTGTCTGTTCATGTCCTTTGCCCACTTTTTGATGGGATTGTTTGTTTTTTTCTTGTAAATTTGTTTGAGTTCATTGTAGATTCTGGATATTAGCCCTTTGTCAGCTGAGTAGGTTGCGAAAATTTTCTCCCATTTTGTAGGTTGCCTGTTCACTCTGATGGTAGTTTCTTTTGCTATGCAGAGGCTCTTTAGTTTAATTAGATCCCATTTGTCAATTTTGGCTTTTGTTGCCATTGCTTTTGGTGTTTTGGACATGAAGTCCTTGCCCACGCCTATGTCCTGAATGGTAATGCCTAGGTTTTCTTCTAGGGTTTTTATGGTTTTAGGTCTAACGTTTAAGTCTTTAATCCATCTTGAATTGATTTTTGTATAAGGTGTAAGGAAGGGATCCAGTTTCAGCTTTCTACATATGGCTAGCCAGTTTTCCCAGCACCATTTATTAAATAGGGAATCCTTTCCCCATTGCTTGTTTTTCTCAGGTTTGTCAAAGATCAGATAGTTGTAGGTATGTGGCGTTATTTCTGAGGGCTCTGTTCTGTTCCATTGATCTATATCTCTGTTTTGGTACCAGTACCATGCTGTTTTGGTTACTGTAGCCTTGTAGTATAGTTTGAAGTCAGGTAGTGTGATGCCTCCAGCTTTGTTCTTTTGGCTTAGGATTGACTTGGCGATGTGGGCTCTTTTTTGGTTCCATATGAACTTTAAAGTAGTTTTTTCCAATTCTGTGAAGAAAGTCATTGGTAGCTTGATGGGGATGGCATTGAATCTGTAAATTACCTTGGGCAGTATGGCCATTTTCACGATATTGATTCTTCCTACCCATGAGCATGGAATGTTCTTCCATTTGTTTGTATCCTCTTTTATTTCCTTGAGCAGTGGTTTGCAGTTCTCCTCAAAGAGGTCCTTCACATCCCTTGTAAGTTGGATTCCTAGGTATTTTATTCTCTTTGAAGCAATTGTGAATGGGAGTTCACTCATGATTTGGCTCTCTGTTTGTCTGTTGTTGGTGTATAAGAATGCTTCTGATTTTTGTACATTGATTTTGTATCCTGAGACTTTGCTGAAGTTGCTTATCAGCTTAAGGGGATTTTGGGCTGAGATGATGGGGTTTTCTAGATAAACAATCATGTTATCTGCAAACAGGGACAATTTGACTTCCTCTTTTCCTAATTGAATACGTTTTATTTCCTTCTCCTGCCTGATTGCCCTGGCCAGAACTTCCAACACTATGTTGAATAGGAGCGGTGAGAGAGGGCATCCCTGTCTTGTGCCAGTTTTCAAAGGGAATGCTTCCAGTTTTTGCCCATTCAGTGTGATATTGGCTGTGGGTTTGTCATAGATAGCTCTTATTATTTTGAAATACGTCCCGTCAATACCTAATTTATTGAGAGTTTTTAGCATGAAGGGTTGTTGAATTTTGTCAAAGGCTTTTTCTGCATCTATTGAGGTAATCATGTGGTTTTTGTCTTTGGCTCTGTTCATATGCTGGATTACATTTATTGATTTGCATATATTGAACCAGCCTTGCATCCCAGGGATGAAGCCCACTTGATCATGGTGGATAAGCTTTTTGATGTGCTGCTGGATTCGTTTTGCCGGTATTTTATTGAGGATTTTTGCATCAATGTTCATCAAGGATATTGGTCTAAAATTCTCTTTTTTTGTTGTGTCTCTGCCTGGCTTTGGTATCAGAATGATGCTGGCCTCATAAAACGAGTTAGGGAGGATTCTCTCTTTTTCTATTGATTGGAATAGTTTCAGAAGGAATGGTAGCAGTTCCTCCTTGTACCTCTGGTAGAATTCGGCTGTGAATCCATCTGGTCCTGGACTCTTTTTGGTTGGTAAGCTATTGATTATTGCCACAATTTCAGCTCCTGTTATTGGTCTATTCAGAGATTCAACTTCTTCCTGGTTTAGTCTTGGAAGGGTGTATGTGTCGAGGAATTTATCCATTTCTTCTAGATTTTCTAGTTTATTTGCGTAGAATTGTTTGTAGTATTCCCTGATGGTAGTTTGTATTTCTGTGGGATCGGTGGTGATATCCCCTTTATCATTTTTTATTGCATCTATTTGATTCTTCTCTCTTTTTTTCTTTATTAGTCTTGCTAGTGGTCTATCAATTTTGTTGATCCTTTCAAAAAACCAGCTCCTGGATTCATTAATTTTTTGAAGGGTTTTTTGTGTCTCTATTTCCTTCAGTTCTGCTCTGATTTTAGTTATTTCTTGCCTTCTGCTAGCTTTTGAATGTGTTTGCTCTTGCTTTTCTAGTTCTTTTTTTTTTTTTTTTTTTTTTTGAGACTGGAGTCTCACTCTGTGGCCCAGGCTGGAGTGCAGTGGCGCTATCTCGGCTCACTGCAAGCTCCGCCTCCCAGGTTCCCGCCATTCTCCTGCCTCAGCCTCCCGAGTAGCTGGGACTACAGGCGCCTGCAACCACGCCCGGCTAATTTTTTTGTATTTTTAGTAGAGACGGAGTTTCACTGTGTTACCCAGGATGGTCTCGATCTGCTGACCTCATGATCCGCCCGCCTCGGCCTCCCAAAGTGCTGGGATTACAGGCGTGAGCCACTGCACCCGGCCTTCTAGTTCTTTTAATTGTGATGTTAGGGTGTCAATTTTGGATCTTTCCTGCTTTCTCTTGTGGGCATTTAGTGCTATAAATTTCACTCTACACACTACTTTGAATGCGTCCCAGAGATTCTGGTATGTTGTGTCTTTGTTCTCGTTGGTTTCAAAGAACATCTTTATTTCTGCCTTCATTTCGTTATGTACCCAGTAGTCATTCAGGAGCAGGTTGCTCAGTTTCCATGTAGTTGAGTGGTTTTGAGTGAGATTCTTAATCCTGAGTTCTAGTTTGATTGCACTGTGGTCTGAGAGATAGTTTGTTATAATTTCTGTTCTTTTACATTTGCTGAGGAGAGCTTTACTTCCCAGTATGTGGTCAATTTTGGAATAGGTGTGGTGTGGTGCTGAAAAAAATGTATATTCTGTTGATTTGGGGTGGAGAGTTCTGTAGATGTCTATTAGGTCTGCTTGGTGCAGAGCTGAGTTCAATTCCTGGGTATCCTTGTTGACTTTCTGTCTCGTTGATCTGTCTAATGTTGACAGTGGGGTGTTAAAGTCTCCCATTATTAATGTGTGGGAGTCTAAGTCTCTTTGTAGGTCACTCAGGACTTGCTTTATGAATCTGGGTGCTCCTGTATTGGGTGCATATATATTTAGGATAGTTAGCTCCTCTTGTTGAATTGATCCCTTTACCATTATGTAATGGCCTTCTTTGTCTCTTTTGATCTTTGTTGGTTTAAAGTCTGTTTTATCAGAGACTAGGATTGCAACCCCTGCCTTTTTTTGTTTTCCATTTGCTTGGTAGATCTTCCTCCATCCTTTTATTTTGAGCCTATGTGTGTCTCTGCACGTGAGATGGGTTTCCTGAATACAGCACACTGATGGATCTTGACTCTTTATCCAATTTGCCAGTCTGTGTCTTTTAATTGGAGCATTTAGTCCATTTACATTTAAAGCTAATATTGTTATGTGTGACTTTGATCCTGTCATTATGATGTTAGCTGGTTATTTTGCTCATTAGTTGATGCAGTTTCTTCCTAGTCTCGATGGTCTTTACATTTTGGCATGATTTTGCAGTGGCTGGTACCGGTTGTTCCTTTCCATGTTTAGTGTTTCTTTCAGGAGCTCTTGTAAGGCAGGCCTGGTGGTGACAAAATCTCTCAACATTTGCTTGTCTGTAAAGTATTTTATGGCTAATTTCTTGTATTTTTAGTAGAGACAAGGTTTTCACTGTGTTAGCCAGGATGGTCTCGATCTCCTTACCTTGTGATCCGCCCACCTCGGCCTCCCAAAGTGCTGAGATTACAGGCATGAGCCACCACGCCCGGCCCAACAAGTGTAACTTTCTGTTTTAGACTGAGAACTCCTTTTGTCTAGTGATTATGTTGTATCATTGTATCCTCATTATGGAGACCTGTGCCACACAATTGTATTGATACAATTGTATTGTATCAGTTGCCACACATGTATTGATAATGGCATGAATAAGAATTTTCCACATTGTCAGCACAATAATAAATATATTTGGAAAACTGTGGAGTGGTAGATTGGAGGTGGGAGGAGGGACAGCAAAGTCCCAGAATGTTGGGCAAATTCAAGCATAAGGAAGGGAGCAGGGCCTATTTATGTAGGGACAAGCAGTCATCAGATAACCAATGGAAGGTTTTAGAACAGAGAAACAGAAGAAAATCCCATTAATTTTCACCTTTAGGACTTGAGATCAAAATCAGCTTCTCACAAAGAGACTCCAGAGTCGGGAAGAGTAGAAAAACAGGCCATAAGTATCAATCAGAATCTGGCACGTGGAAGGCAAAACGCATGCATGAGAGGACTCTCCCAGAGCTTCTACATGACAACTCTTCATTTACCTGAAGGATATAAAAGCTAAAATAGGAAATCAGCCAAATTTGTGTTCAAGTATACAGTATCCTTTTTATTTATGTAGTTATTTTTTTACTTTTGTGAATCAGACCCACTCAGGCACTTTCTTCTTTCACACAGTCTCCTATAGTTTAACTGGCCCCAAATGTTAAACAGCTGAAATGTGACTTTGAATTGGAAGATTGGTTATTTTCTAACTCATGTCTAAACAAACAAAAATTCTGATAGTTCACAACTAATTGGAATATGTGCCAGCTTTTGCTGTGGCTAAATTTTGATATTTGAACAAGAGACATAATACTAAATTAAAGAAAGTGAATTTAAGTGAAAGGGAAAAATTCTCTGATTCTTGTTACCTTTGTGTTATCAAAAATGCATTGGCACTTGGAACATACATGCATTAGGAAATGTCTCAGTATCTTTGGTCTTACCTACATCGTTGGTATCCTAAATTAAAATTATATGCCTTCAATGATAATGTTGATTAATTTTTCTCCATGTCGATAATGACAGCCAACATGATTAATTCATTGTTTTAGTAATGCAAGGAGAGATGAAACTGATAAACATTAATCTAATCTGAATCTTTAAAACACAAAGCTAGTTTCATGAGTAGGAAGAGGGCACAACTATTTTTTGAGATTATTTTAACATCAATAAGAGATTCATTCACACAGCAGTGTGAATAATTGCTATTATTTTTCAAATTTTAAGCTATAAAGAGCTATGACTAAACTGAATGTAATAAAATCTTAAGATAATCATAACTGAAAGACTAAAGGAATAAAAATAAACTTGACCAAACACAATTTCAAGTAAGGCTAGATATGAACATATTGCAGAAAGAATGACTTAAAGATCTAATCTTTACAGGATATACTGAAACTCTGCTATTTTACATTTTCTGTCTCCACCATAGACAACAATACCTTCATATATTCTCTCCATAAAGAAATTTCTTCTAACCTTGTTCTAGTCTGTAGGGAAAAATTTGAATTTTGGCATGACTGATGAAGAGAGTTATCTGGGCAAAATCTTGGGCACACAAATTATCACCCTTGTGACTGATTTAACTGAGTTGGTGTCTCAGCTCTAAAATCTGAATTTCTTCCTTGTTCCCAGAATAAATTTTGCTCTTTAGCCTTCTGTTGAATTTTTTCCCCTCAAGGCTTAATGGACTTCTCTGAAGTCTTTTAAAACTGTTTTGGAAATGTAAGCCCGTTATACTGCAACATATCACATTTCTTAGCAAGAAATGTTGAACAAAATAATAACATTTAAGTCTGTAGGTTTGAGGTATACAAGTAGACATGAGGCAGTAGATGTTGAGATCAGATAGTGTCATATTTAATGTTTGTAGTAATGATGTGACAAAAACAAAGATTATTTTGTTTAACAATTGGCCTACTTGACTTTATATACTATTGCAAGTAATTTATATTTTAGTTGCATTGCCCTCCCCTATTACCACATTTAATATTCAGGCAATAAATGTAATATACGTTATGATGCTGAGGAACAAAATATGAAATTGTGGGGAGGGTCATGTTTCTTTATCCTGCTCCTTTTCATATTGCTCTACTTTTCTTTGGATTATTTTTTATTCTCGCTGGAGCAGTTGTGCTTTTGCTGATTACTTATTGGTCTATGGTATATTATTATAATTTTATAGCTCCTACAAGTCTCCAACGCACCCCTCCAAGAGTGTTTTAATGAATATAATTCTTGGGATAGTAACCAAAATCAAGTATCCAGAGGACCTGGCAACAGTTTAAAATTACTTCGGAGTAAGTCTATCAGGGTACAGGGTCATATACGCAAATTAGGTCACATGAAGTGCCGAGTATTCCATAGTTCCCCAAGGTAGATTTGCAAACTAAACTCTAATAGATAGTGACCCTGGGTTAATTACATAAAACATGTAATCTATTTATATTTTGTCAGTGTATCTAGCTGCCTGAAACTTGAATTTAAAAAACAAGAGCTTACCTAGAGTGAAACAGAAGTTCAAATTTCCAAATATCTCCCTCATTGTTGCATTTGATCTAGCAAACATCATATATAAGAAATGTATATAATCACTTATCAAGTAATTTTTTATCCTAAAGTTTTATGTATATATTAGACAAGAATACACAAAAATGCAAGTAACAGTAAAAGTTACTGATAATTCTGCAACTCCAAGGCAATGGATTTTAATATCTTGGCATAATGTCTTCCTATCTTATTTATCAATGCAAATAATTAAAATTAAATGTATAATAATATGCTTTGTCTTAAACAACCTGGTGGTACATATTTTAATATCAGCTTATGAAGTTGATATAGTAAGGGGTTATGATCATGAATCTTGGAGCCAGATCGCCTGGGGTTCAATCTCTGCTTTGTTATTTACAAAAATATGTGACCTTAGACAAGTTATTTAACTCTTCTACAACTAAAGCTTATAAAAAATAAAACTGAAATAATAATAGCATATTCCTTGTAGGGTTCTTGTAAGTTTTTAATGAGTTAACACAAATAAAGTGCTTAGATTAATATTTGGCATATTAGTAACCGTATAGTTAGCCACAATTATTTAATGTCTGTATATTATTATACAGTATATTATGTATAGCAACCAAATTATCCTATTGTTTTCTAAGGTTGACTTTTTTTCCAATATTTTATAAATAAAAATGTTTTAAAAACCTTTTTATAAAAACATATAATGACTGTTAGAATAATTTTCTTTAAAAACAGTCATACATGTGAAATGATTTAGCCAAATTCAGAATTCAAAGATGGTTCATACATTTTGACAGATTCTTCCCACCCCAGGAAGATAGCACAGTTTACAAAAGTGATTTACCATCATTCAGTAATACATACTTATTTACTTTAATGGTATAACACCGTTCATTTTAATTTGAAATTCTTTCATTACCTGCTAAAGGGAGTTCATATTTATGTGTTTACAATCTTATACAGGTTGAATTTTCTTTCTCCCAAATTCATATGGTAAAGTTCTAACCCTTAGTTTCTTAGAATGTGACCTTATTGAAAAATGGTGTTGTTGCCTATGTACTTAGTTAAGTCAGGACGTCATACTGAAGTAGAGTGGGTCCCTAATCCAATATGACTGGTATTCTTATACAAAAGCAAAATTTGGATACACATTCCCCCACCACCACACACACACAGAACATCGTGTGACTATAAAGGCAAAAATCAAAGTGATGCAACAGAAGCCAAAGAAAATTGGCTTCTAGAACTAAGAAATAACGAATTTCTCTTGTTCTAAACCACCCAGTTTGTCTGCATTGCGTATCATATACTACGTATGGATATTTCTTCTTTAATAAATACACTGTATGAGTTCTTTACCTACTTATAGGTCAAGCTTCCTATGTTTTTTTTTTTTTGTATTTAATTTGCTTTCTTACATAGCAGTGAGTCATATCCCTTTCTAATGTGTTAAATGGCACTATATCTAGAATGGTTTTTGGACCAACTCTTTTGCCTCTTCTTTTCGATTTTCTATTGTAGTTTCAATTAAGCTAAGCTTCAATTACTGTACTTTTAAAAAATAGAATATATTACCTGGGAGAACTAGATTTTTCATTTATTTCTCCCTTTTCAGAATTTTCATACTATTCTTATCTATTTCTATTCCCTTAGTTTTCTTGTGATTTCTGTTTTTAATTAGAAATTGTGTTTCAAATTTGATTAAATATTAAGCCTGGGGTGTTTTTACGGTAAAAGAAAAACAGATAATCCCTTTCCTGAAGGGGGGTAGGATCAGAAACAAAAGTAGAGAGGAAATTGTTTTATTACATTCACTTTCACACAAATGTAAAATCAATTTCATGATCGTATTACAGTTTGACAGTAGTGACAACTACACCTGAATTTAAAGTGAAATTATAATATAATTTTGAGAGAAAATCTCAGTGGTTTAAAATGAGTGGTTAAAAAAGAGATCACTTATCTATTTACATTTTCAAAATGCACGGAAGTTTAAATTAGTTGCAAATGGATGCAATTTTTCTTTATCTTAAACTATTTAAAAACTACATGCCAGCCAATTCCCTATTCCCTGTATCTTTCACCTATGTGCCTGACATGAGATTTAAACTTTATCACTCTATTTAGTGACTTAGTTGTTATTCCTTCTCGTTAAGAGCATTTTCTGTTTGACTTCAGTTAGAAGGAGTGAATGACACAATCTGCGATTTGCTTAAGGGATAAATCATTCTTAATCCATTTTTGTATAATCCCCTAGGCCTTGGAAAACTAATCGTGCTTCCTGTTGAAGTTAACTACAAGGGGTTTGATTTAGAGTCGGCTTATTATGATGGGTAGATGTGTTACAAAATTTGACTCTCCTTTATCCTTTCAAGTGATTAATTAATTGAAATGTGAAACTTAAACTACAACTTATTTGAGAAACATACTTAAAAACTGAGTTTGGATTGTCAAGGAAATTTTTATAATAAAAATCAGTTTCAAATAGTGAAGTAAATTTACAAAAGAGCAATCATTCAAACAATTGATATACAACGTGTAATTGTTTTCAATAAAAGCCCAAATCAAAGACCAATCAATCTATAACTTACAAAAGTGAGGATTTTACAGGAAGTTTCATACTATGATACTTATTAAATACATGTCCTGCTGAAAATACTGAAAGTCAACGTTTCAACAGAATATTTCTTTTCCATGGCATGGGTACCCAATTACTTTCTAAAGCTTATAGTTTTTCAGCTTGATATGATCTAATGAAACCTGGCTTTTTCCCCTCTCTCTCTAATAAAAACTATATCCATTCTATATACAGTGATATATTATGTTCAATATAAGACCTGAAAGGACAAAATGTACACCATCAAAAAGTCAATGAATCAAATTGGTTTATGTAGCTGTTCCAAATCAATATTACTAGAAAACTTCAGACTACAGTGTATGGTGATTTTTTTTTTTTTTTTTTTGGTCTGGTGTGTGTTTCCTATCCTTTGGTTTTATTACATTTTCCATTTTGACCTCTCTTTTAATACCCTTCAAAAAGATATTTAGATGGAATCTTATGACTAATAATAAAGTAGTGTTTGAATTTCCTTTTCTTTAATTTTGAAAATAAATTTTCTAGTGACTCACTGTATTATTATATAACTTGTTACAGTCTATAGGCCCCTTCATCCTTTTAACTGAAATATAAATAAGATATTTATATTACTCCAATAGTCAATTTATTGGTTTCATGCCATAATAATCTGGATTGCTGTAAGTAGAGGGATATCTGACATTAAATAAAGTACCTGGGGTCTCTTCCATTAATACTAATACATGGTATAAACCAAGGGAAGCACTGCTGCAGTTACTGGTGGTTTAGGAATCTGCTTGTTATAGTAACAGGACTAATACCTGCCTATATGATAGTATAATAGAATACGAGCCAGTGTATTGTGCTATCATACATCATGAGGGCTGGAAATATTATGGATATGACCAGATAAATATTCTCAACCTATTCTTATCCAAGGATAGAACGACTTAATTTCTGGCCACTTTGTCCTCATTCTAGCTACCTGTCTCCAAAATATCTTCCATGTTATTGAACTTCATCAGTTTTTTTTTTTTTTTTTTTTATACTTTAAGTTTTAGGGTACATGTGCACATTGTGCGGGTTAGTTACATATGTATACATGTGCCATGCTGGTGCGCTGCACCCACTAACTCGTCATCTAGCATTAGGTATATCTCCCAATGCTATCCCTCCCCTCATCCCCCCACCCCACCACAGTCCCCAGAGTGTGATATTCCCTTTCCTGTGTCCATGTGATCTCATTGTTCAATTCCCACCTATGAGTGAGAATATGTGGTGTTTGGTTTTTTGTTCTTGCAATAGTTTACTGAGAATGATGGTTTCCAGGTTCATCCATGTCCCTACAAAGGACATGAACTCATCATTTTTTATGGCTGCATAGTATTCCATGGTGTATATGTACCACATTTTCTTAATCCAGTCTATCATTGTTGGACATTTGGGTTGGTTCCAAGTCTTTGCTATTGTGAATAATGCCGCAATAAACATATGTGTGCATGTGTCTTTATAGCAGCATGATTTATAGTCATTTGGGTATATACCCAGTAATGGGATGGCTGGGTCAAATGGTATTTCCAGTTCTAGATCCCTGAGGAATCGCCACACTGACTTCCACAATGGTTGAACTAGTTTACAGTCCCACCAACAGTGTAAAAGTGTTCCTATTTCTCCACATCCTCTCCAGCACCTGTTGTTTCCTGACTTTTTAATGATTGCCATTCTAACTGGTGTGAGATGGTATCTCATTGTGGTTTTGATTTGCATTTCTCTGATGGCCAGTGATGATGAGCATTTTTTCATGTGTTTCTTGGCTGCATAAATGTCTTCTTTTGAGAAGTGTCTGTTCATGTCCTTTGCCCACTTTTTGATGGGATTGTTTGTTTTTTTCTTGTAAATTTGTTTGAGTTCATTGTAGATTCTGGATATTAGCCCTTTGTCAGCTGAGTAGGTTGCGAAAATTTTCTCCCATTTTGTAGGTTGCCTGTTCACTCTGATGGTAGTTTCTTTTGCTATGCAGAGGCTCTTTAGTTTAATTAGATCCCATTTGTCAATTTTGGCTTTTGTTGCCATTGCTTTTGGTGTTTTGGACATGAAGTCCTTGCCCACGCCTATGTCCTGAATGGTAATGCCTAGGTTTTCTTCTAGGGTTTTTATGGTTTTAGGTCTAACGTTTAAATCTTTAATCCATCTTGAATTGATTTTTGTATAAGGTGTAAGGAAGGGATCCAGTTTCAGCTTTCTACATATGGCTAGCCAGTTTTCCCAGCACCATTTATTAAATAGGGAATCCTTTCCCCATTGCTTGTTTTTCTCAGGTTTGTCAAAGATCAGATAGTTGTAGGTATGTGGCGTTATTTCTGAGGGCTCTGTTCTGTTCCATTGATCTATATCTCTGTTTTGGTACCAGTACCATGCTGTTTTGGTTACTGTAGCCTTGTAGTATAGTTTGAAGTCAGGTAGTGTGATGCCTCCAGCTTTGTTCTTTTGGCTTAGGATTGACTTGGCGATGTGGGCTCTTTTTTGGTTCCATATGAACTTTAAAGTAGTTTTTTCCAATTCTGTGAAGAAAGTCATTGGTAGCTTGATGGGGATGGCATTGAATCTGTAAATTACCTTGGGTAGTATGGCCATTTTCACGATATTGATTCTTCCTACCCATGAGCATGGAATGTTCTTCCATTTGTTTGTATCCTCTTTTATTTCCTTGAGCAGTGGTTTGCAGTTCTCCTCAAAGAGGTCCTTCACATCCCTTGTAAGTTGGATTCCTAGGTATTTTATTCTCTTTGAAGCAATTGTGAATGGGAGTTCACTCATGATTTGGCTCTCTGTTTGTCTGTTGTTGGTGTATAAGAATGCTTCTGATTTTTGTACATTGATTTTGTATCCTGAGACTTTGCTGAAGTTGCTTATCAGCTTAAGGGGATTTTGGGCTGAGATGATGGGGTTTTCTAGATAAACAATCATGTTATCTGCAAACAGGGACAATTTGACTTCCTCTTTTCCTAATTGAATACGTTTTATTTCCTTCTCCTGCCTGATTGCCCTGGCCAGAACTTCCAACACTATGTTGAATAGGAGCGGTGAGAGAGGGCATCCCTGTCTTGTGCCAGTTTTCAAAGGGAATGCTTCCAGTTTTTGCCCATTCAGTATGATATTGGCTGTGGGTTTGTCATAGATAGCTCTTATTATTTTGAAATACGTCCCGTCAATACCTAATTTATTGAGAGTTTTTAGCATGAAGGGTTGTTGAATTTAGTCAAAGGCTTTTTCTGCATCTATTGAGATAATCATGTAGTTTTTGTCTTTGGCTCTGTTTATATGCTGGATTACATTTATTGATTTGCGTATATTGAACCAGCCTTGCATCCCAGGGATGAAGCCCACTTGATCATGGTGGATAAGCTTTTTGATGTGCTGCTGGATTCGTTTTGCTGGTATTTTATTGAGGATTTTTGCATCAATGTTCATCAAGGATATTGGTCTAAAATTCTCTTTTTTTGTTGTGTCTCTGCCTGGCTTTGGTATCAGAATGATGCTGGCCTCATAAAATGAGTTAGGGAGGATTCCCTCTTTTTCTATTGATTGGAATAGTTTCAGAAGGAATGGTAGCAGTTCCTCCTTGTACCTCTGGTAGAATTCGGCTGTGAATCCATCTGGTCCTGGACTCTTTTTGGTTGGTAAACTATTGATTATTGCCACAATTTCAGCTCCTGTTATTGGTCTATTCAGAGATTCAACTTCTTCCTGGTTTAGTCTTGGGAGAGTTTATGTGTCGAGGAATGTATCCATTTCTTCTAGATTTTCTAGTTTATTTGCGTAGAAGTGTTTGTAGTATTCTCTGATGGTAGTTTGTATTTCTGTGGGATCGGTGGTGATATCCCCTTTATCATTTTTTATTGCGTCTATTTGATTCTTCTCTCTTTTTTTCTTTATTAGTCTTGCTAGCGGTCTATCAATTTTGTTGATCCTTTCAAAAAACCAGCTCCTGGATTCATTAATTTTTTGAACGGTTTTTTGTGTCTCTATTTCCTTCAGTTCTGCTCTGATTTTAGTTATTTCTTGCCTTCTGCTAGCTTTTGAATGTGTTTGCTCTTGCTTTTTAGTTCTTTTAATTGTGATGTTAGGGTGTCAATTTTGAATCTTTCCTGCTTTCTCTTGTGGGCATTTAGTGCTATAAATTTCCCTCTACACATTACTTTGAATGTGTCTCAGAGATTCTGGTATGTTGTGTCTTTGTTCTCGTTGGTTTCAAAGAACATCTTTATTTCTGCCTTCATTTCGTTATGTACCCAGTAGTCATTCAGGAGCAGGTTGTTCAGTTTCCATGTAGTTGAGTGGTTTTGAGTGAGATTCTTAATCCCGAGTTCTAGTTTGATTGCACTGTGGTCTGAGAGATAGTTTGTTATAATTTCTGTTCTTTTACATTTGCTGAGGAGAGCTTTACTTCCCAGTATGTGGTCAATTTTAGAATAGGTGTGTTGTGGTGCTGAAAAAAATGTATATTCTGTTGATTTGGGGTGGAGAGTTCTGTAGATGTCTATTAGGTCTGCTTGGTGCAGAGCTGAGTTCAATTCCTGGGTATCTTTGTTGACTTTCTCTCTCGTTGATCTGTCTAATGTTGACAGTGGGGTGTTAAAGTCTCCCATTATTAATGTGTGGGAGTCTAAGTCTCTTTGTAGGTCACTCAGGACTTGCTTTATGAATCTGGGTGCTCCTGTATTGGGTGCATATATATTTAGGATAGTTAGCTCCTCTTGTTGAATTGATCCCTTTACCATTATGTAATGGCCTTCTTTGTCTCTTTTGATCTTTGTTGGTTTAAAGTCTGTTTTATCAGAGACTAGGATTGCAACCCCTGCCTTTTTTTGTTTTCCATTTGCTTGGTAGATCTTCCTCCATCCTTTTATTTTGAGCCTATGTGTGTCTCTGCACGTGAGATGGGTTTCCTGAATACAGCACACTGATGGATCTTGACTCTTTATCCAATTTGCCAGTCTGTGTCTTTTAATTGGAGCATTTAGTCCATTTACATTTAAAGCTAATATTGTTATGTGTGACTTTGATCCTGTCATTATGATGTTAGCTGGTGATTTTGCTCATTAGTTGATGCAGTTTCTTCCTAGTCTCGATGGTCTTTACATTTTGGCATGATTTTGCAGCGGCTGGTACTGGTTGTTCCTTTCCATGTTTAGCGCTTCCTTCAGGAGCTCTTTTAGGGCAGGCCTGGTGGTGACAAAATCTCTCAGCATTTGCTTGTCTGTAAAGTATTTTATTTCTCCTTCACTTATGAAGCTTAATTTGGCTGGATATGAAATTCTGGGTTGAAAATTCTTGTCTTTAAGAATGTTGAATATTGGCCCCCACTCTCTTCTGGCTTGTAGGGTTTCTGTCGAGAGATCCGCTGTTAGTCTGATGGGCTTCCCTTTGAGGGTAACCCGACCTTTCTCTCTGGCTGCCCTTAACATTTTTTCCTTCATTTCAACTTTGGTGAATCTGACAATTATGTGTCTTGGAGTTGCTCTTCTCCAGGAGTATCTTTGTGGCATTCTCTGTATTTCTGGAATCTGAACGTTGGCCTGCCTTGCTAGATTGGGGAAGTTCTCCTGGATAATATCCTGCAGAGTGTTTTCCAACTTGGTTCCATTCTCCACATCACTTTCAGGTACACCAATCAGACGTAGATTTGGTCTTTTCACATAGTCCCATATTTCTTGGAGGCTTTGCTCATTTCTTTTTATTCTTTTTTCTCTAAACTTCCCTTCTCGCTTCATTTCATTCATTTCATCTTCCATTGCTGATACCCTTTCTTCCAGTTGATCGCATCGGTTCCTGAGGCTTCTGCATTCTTCACGTAGTTCTCGAGCCTTGGTTTTCAGCTCCATCAGCTCCTTTAAGCACTTCTCTGTATTGGTTATTCTCGTTATACATTCTTCTAAATTTTTTTCAAAGTTTTCAACTTCTTTGCCTTTGGTTTGAATGTCCTCCCGTAGCTCAGAGTAATTTGATCGTCTGAAGCCTTCTTCTCTCAGCTCGTCAAAATCATTCTCCATCCAGCTTTGTTCCGTTGCTGGTGAGGAACTGCGTTCCTTTGGAGGAGGAGAGGCGCTCTGTGTTTTAGAGTTTCCAGTTTTTCTATTCTGTTTTTTCCCCATCTTTGTGGCTTTATCTACTTTTGGTCTTTGATGATGGTGATGTACAGATGGGTTTTCGGTGTGGATGTCCTTTCTGTTTGTTAGTTTTCCTTCTAACAGACAGGACCCTCAGCTGCAGGTCTGTTGGAATACCCTGCAGTGTGAGCTGTCAGTGTGCCCCTGCTGGGGGGTGCCTCCCAGTTAGGCTGCTCGGGGGTCAGGGTCAGGGACCCACATGAGGAGGCAGTCTGCCCGTTCTCAGATCTCCAGCTGCGTGCTGGGAGAACCACTGCTCTCTTCAAAGCTGTCAGACAGGGACATTTAAGTCTTCAGAGGTTACTGCTGTCTTTTTGTTTGTCTGTGCCCTGCCCCCAGAGGTGGAGCCTACAGAGGCAGGCAGACCTCCTTGAGCTGTGGTGGGCTCCACCCAGTTCGAGCTTCCTGGCTGCTTTGTTTACCTAAGCAAGCCTGGGCAATGGCGGGCGCCCCTCCCCCAGCCTCGCTGCCGCCTTGCAGTTTGATCTCAGACTGCTGTGCTAGCAATCAGCGAGATTCCGTGGGCGTAGGACCCTCCGAGCCAGGTGTGGGATATAGTCTCGTGGTGCGCCGTTTTTTAAGCCGGTCTGAAAAACGCAATATTCGGGTGGGAGTGACCCGATTTTCCAGGTGCGTCCGTCACCCCTTTCTTTGACTCGGAAAGGGAACTCCCTGACCCCTTGCGCTTCCCAGGTGAGGCAATGCCTCGCCCTGCTTCTGCTCACGCCCGGTGCGCTCACCCACTGGCCTGCGCCCACTGTCTGGCACTCCCTAGTGAGATGAACCCAGTACCTCAGATGGAAATGCAGAAATCACCCGTCTTCTGCGTCGCTCAGGCTGGGAACTGTAGACCGGAGCTGTTCCTATTCGGCCATCTTGGCTCCTCCGAACTTCATCAGTTTTTGCAGTCTGAATCTATGTCAGCTAGTGGAGGCTATTCATATGGGAAATGAGATTTTGATTCTTTTAGATATGTCAGACAACTGAATCTACAAAATTGTTCCATTTAACAAGGCAACCATTAAGAAGAAAATGGCCATATCAATCAGCTTAACTACTTACCAAAGCCAAAAAATGAGGCTGAGCAGTTTGTTTTCTCTTGTAACTCTAGAGGCCCCAAAAGTATTGTACATATGGATTTTTATGATGCTGTCTGGATAGAGACGTCATTACTGCTTACTGATCGTGTTTTCACTGAAACCTCATCTTGAGCGGGTTTCACCTGTTTTTACCTGTAGAAATGATAGTGCAGGAGACTTGTAATCACATGTGTGTGGAAAGTCAGGCTACCTAATGTAAGGTCAATTTTCAAGATGCCACATGGTTTCTTGGCATCTAAAATAATATACCCATTTCAAAATCTACCATGTTGGCAAGACTGGTCAGTTGTAGTTCTGTATTTGAAAACATTCGGTGATTATCCTCAGTCACTTTATTACAGCATCTCTATTACTGAATTGCTTTTTTAAAAATTTATTTACTGTGTTACATTTTTCAGCAGTTTTCCACAAGGAAATGATGAGTGCTCTGTTCCCTGGATTTTCCAAATACATACATGCCTTTCAGATTATACTTTAAGGACAATTTTACTTGGAATATAATCCTTAAGTCCCTCGCTCCCACTTTCCTTAAACTTTGGTGGAGAGTATCTTATTCTCTTCTGCATTGATTTGGAAAAGGCTGAGGTCATCTTGAGTTTTTCTGTTTCTACCTGCCTTATTTCTCTGCTGCAGACCATTTAACTTTTTAGTCATCATAAAAATACAGTAAATTTGTCCATATATATGCTTAAGTTGATCATTCTGCAGGTTTTTTTCCGTTATAATTCTGTGCCCTTTTTGTACACAAATTCACTTTTCTTTCTTTTAGAAAAGTTTTACTATATTATAATTTGGAGTGTTATTAAAAAATTCATTTGTTTTCTTTTTCAAGATCACCACAAGTAAGCAATATCACATTGGTCTGTCTTCCATAAACATTTTTATCTTTATAATTATTTTATAATCACTGTGATTTCCCATTACATTCTCTCTCTGTGATTTATTCAAGCCTATCATGGTGTCATTTGCTGTGTTTTCACTCTTTTTTCTATTTTTGTTTCTTTAATGTTTGTTTATCATTATATTTTTATCTTCTATTTTTTAAAAAAATAGGCTAGTTTTCTTCTCAAATGTTTTTTGTGTTAGAATATCTTTCATGAAACTTAGAAAGCTTGGTGCTGTCTCTCTAAGAGAGAGCTTGTGGCTTCTGAGTTGAGACTAAGCGATATGTTTCTCTAATATCTTCCTCCATTTCTTGAGTCATTTCTCTGATGATTCAGCCATTGCTTGTGTTGCTTTATCTCCTTATGTGGTAATAGGTAGACAGAGTTTCTTTTTTATCTCTAGTCATATAGAATAAGAAAAGTTTGAAAGTGGAGAAAAGGAGTGAGCTGATGTCATCTGCAGATACAATTCTGGCCTTATTTGTAACCATTAGAAAATCTTTTCTGTTTCCTCTGACTGCTTCTTCTCTCCATCTTTGGTATTCCAAAGGTTTGCTTTGGCTCACAGCAAACACTTTTGTCATAGTTTGTTCCATTGCTATGTAGCTGCTTCAGGATAACATACAACACAGCTTGCTCTACTGGGTGCAATGATTACATAGTAAAGAAAAACAAACAAATAAAAAAACGTTTTACTTATATACATCTACTTTTACTTTTTACATATATTTAATCTACACAATAAGAAATTACATATTCTACTGTTTAATTACTGCTTCATATTTCCTGTCTCCACAGGTCCAAATGTCCTATGGTCATGAAGCCGTTATGGTCTATGAGTATTCTTTGTGGAAGTCTCATAACAACATTGTGAAGCCAGAGTCCTTCCTGCAGCCATGAGGCCCTCCAAGCTCTCTCCCCTGTGGCCCTTTTCATCTTGCTTTCTACTCCTCTAGCTTTTGCTCATTCTGTTTCAGCCACACTGGCCTTCTTCCTGTTTTCACACACCCACAGAATGCCTCTGACTGAGGCATTTTCTGTTCTCTCTTTTCTCAGCTGTTCATATGGCTCACTCCCCTACTCTTTCAGATCTTTATTTAAATGTGACTTTCTCAGTGAGGTCTTCCCTGCCCCCCCCCCCCATTTAAAGCTGCTATTTACCACATCCCTTTCTCACCAACACCACCACACAAACTCATTTCTCTATATTCTGGTCTTATTCTTCTTTATAGTAGTGAAGTCCTTCTAATATAGTATGTATTTTATTTTTTTAGGTATCTGATTCCACTCAGTTGAATTTATGATGTTTGGTTCATTGCTATGGTCTAAATGTGTTTCTTGCACCTAATAGACATGCAATAAATATTTTTGAATGAAAGAATAAAGATCAATAAAATAAATTTATTTATTGATGATTAAATACAGTGCTAATATTGGAAAGATGAACACACAGAGTTGACTTTTTTTTACTTCAAAGATAAACTCTTTATTTGTCTTTTTACAGGGTAACATCAATCACAATCTGATGAAATGCTGCTACCTAAAATTATCAAGATTATTAATTGAAACAGAATTTATACATTGTATCTTGAACAGAATATTATGTCCTATCCTGTCTCTTCAGGTTTCATTGTAGAAATCCATATATAAAGTGGAGATAAGACTTGTAAATCTGATTCTTGTATAAAACCTTAATTCAAATAGTAACAGTATAATAATAATAACAATCAACATTTGATTTGCATTTATTATGTAGGAACAAGGTACTGAGATTTTTACATGTATCACTATAATATATGTATAAGTATTATAAAGCTGAAGAAATTGAAACTGAAAGAAGTGAAATCACTTGTTCAAGCTCATATACCTAGCAAATAGCAAAGCCAAAATAAAAACTCCGGGAATCCTGATTACAATGTCCATACTTCTAAACACTTCAAAAATTATCTTAAAAATCAATACCAGTAAAAACAAAATATTTCCATAGTAACTAAAGTACATATAAATTCATGAAACAAAGGTAACCAATAAATTATTAGAAAGATGTTTTTCTAATGGCAGACACATTCTTCTAACAGTTGAGTGTATCTAAAAGAAGTTGACATTATTTTACTAGTATCTTATATATCTAATAAAGGTAAAAAAATGTAACTTCAATGTTTTTCACTTTGTCAATTGATAACAAACACATTCCGTAATACACCTTTTAGTCGAGTGTTATTAGATTAGTCCTGGAAAATATTTTATCAGCCACTATAAGCACCTACGTAAATTTGAAAACATATTTCTGAATTCTTGTTAAATATGTATCCAATTATTGCTAACATCTTCACAGAATAATGTATTAGTTTGCTGTTTCTATTTTCGATATCTTGATTTGAGCTAAATGTCCATAATTAGACATCAATATTCTGCCAAATGCCAGATTTTTAAAGTATATTTTAAACTAAAATAAAGAAAGCTTCTCATGATTTTCCATGTCATCAAATTATAATTCACAAAGGATGTCTACATATCCTCTATTCCACACTGATCTCTTAGAGCTTCCCATTCATTTGTATATCAAGCAATACTGAATGACCTTACTTCACCTGATATGCCATACTGTTACATGTCTGTGCAATTTTACTTTTCTTATCTAAACAATACATTTACAACCAAGTTCTAGTAGGCAAACTGCTCTTCATGTTTTGTGTAGAAACTTTACTCTTATAACAGAGTCAAAGCCAACTATGTTTTAGTGACTTGAACAGCTAAACATCCTTCTATCAGTAGAGTCACTCCATTATTAAACTTTTTGAGAACGGGAGCAATGTTTGACTAGTTTTGCATCCCAAGAGCCTAACATAATACTTGGGTTGTACTAGACACTCAATACTACTTATTAAATTAAAATTTAGTTTCTATAGCTTTATATTTTTATATTAAAATTTTCTTCTTTTGGGACATTTATACTTCAGGAATACTTTATCACTAGAGTTGGGCAACTTGTTACTGATGAATTAATATGTGTCTTTACCACAGTTCAACTTCTTGTAATTGGATTTTGGAAATAACAAATACAAGCAAAGCAGAAAAATAATTTTATTTTTAATATTGTTTTTCATGCCTCTGTGGGCAAAACAATAGGAAGATCCAGTCACAATTTTCAATAACGTTTTTACTAGGAAAAATAACAATTTTATTGGGATTTATAATTATCTGTAGTAATGCAACTGAATGAGATTTATTATAGTTTATTGTCATGTCTCTCTAACAATAATTTATGTTAATTTTGAAAACAAAAATGCGATTTTGGTGAAAGAAAATACTTGCATGATATATTAACTTCTCTTAACTTATAAAAAAGATTTAATGGCACAATGAAATATCAGAATGCCAAAACTAGCTCGGTCGGGGAGACCCTAACCCAGCAGCGCTAGAGGAATTAAAGACACACACACAGAAATATAGAGTGTGGAGTGGGAAATCAGGGGTCTCACAGCTTTCAGAACTGACAGCCCTGGACAGAAATTTACCCACATATTTATTGACAGTAAGCCATTGATAAACATTGTTTCTATAGATTATAGATTAACTAAAAGTATTCCTCATGGGAAACAAAGGCATGGGCCAAAATAAAGGGATGGGCTCTGGCTAGCTATCTGCAGTGAAATATTTCCTTAAGGCACAGATCACTCATGCTATTGTTTGTGGTTTAAGAATGCCTTTAAGCAGTTTTCCACCCTGGGTGCACCAGGTCTTCCTTGCCCTCATTCCGGTGAACCCACAACCTTCAGCATGGGCATCATGGCCATCACAAACATGTCACAGTGCTGCAGAGATTTTGTTTATGGCCAGTTTTGGGGCCAGTTTATAGCCAGATTTGGGGGCCTGTTTCCAACATGCCCCCCTTTTTTGTTTTGCAAAGCGATAAAAGCAAAGGCAGCTTTGTCACGGTGAGCTACTTCTCACAGGAATCAGGATCCGCATCTGCAGGCCATATAAAGACAAACAACACAGATTAATAACACAATCATCATTGAAATCATAGAGCTTCCAAGTGTTTTTAACCATTTTAATGGATTACTAGCTGCTAATCTGTCTGCAGCTCCTTCAAGCACTCCAGTTCCTGGGATTAAGGTCAGGTGTGCCTGGGATGCTTTAAATATTTCTTCTTTTAATTTTGCAATATCCAAAGACAATTTTGTAGGGTGTTCTTCGAGATACTTTTTTATTCTTTCCCAAATTTTGATCTTATTAAGAGCCATTAATAGTTTGCACAAATCCTTATGTTATGTCCTAGAGTGGGGCATATCATTTGAGGTTGAGGTGACATTATACCTCCATGTTTCCAGATAATACAAACTCTTGTCATATTTCTTATCATTTCTACCATCTGACCATTTAGTTCAGACCAGCTGAACATAGTGCAGCCATGGCATGCAGATTGAGAGGTGCAATTTAAGCTAAACGTCCCCTTAGGGGACCAATCAATAATGATTCCATAGGAATCATTGAGCAGAACCTCTGCCTGTTCTGCAATGCAATCTTCCTAAACAAGTACGTTCTTTTTTTCTAGCCAGGTTCAATTTTGTTTACAAATAGGTTTTTGAGGGTGGTTTTTGAGGCTCCTATAATGCCTTAATTATAGGAGCAGATTCATTATGGTAGATACTGAGATCAGAAAGCTTGTGTAACTGTGTCATAGAGTGATTACATCCAGGCATTATTGCCAGCCAAGATTGATAAATATGCCCAGTAAGTATAATTGTTCTCTATGTCAGCCCTTGTTGAAGGAATACTTATGGCAGTGGTGATCACTGCTATCATAGTTACCATTAAATTACTCATTGTGACTGGTTGTCCTGCTTTCCTCAGGTTTTCTTCCACCATCTGTGACAGCTTCTTGATCTGTCCCCAGGTGGGTGGCTGTGCTCAACAGGTGTTGCTCATGACAGTTGGGGTCCTCCTCAGTGTCAGTCTTGACTTGGCTGTAACCAGGGGGTCCTCAGGATTCTCCCAGAATCTCTTCCTCGGCATCTGGCTCACGATAAGGTTTCAGGTGTCTTGATGGTATCCAAATAGGCTACTGGTTCAGTCATGGAGAAACACAAACATAACCTCTACCTCAAGTTATTATTTTACCTATTTCCCAACTTTTTGTTATCGGATCTCTCCACCAATCCAGTTGTTCTGTTTCTGTCTTTGCGGCTGGTTTCTGTAGATGCTGTTCAGCTTCTGATAGCATCTGGCCTTTAGGCAGGCTCAAAAAATTTAAAGTTAATAATGTTAGATTCAATTGCATATGCGGTGTTCCATAGTCCCTGTTTTCCCCCCTCTGCTTTTGCAACCGCTCTTTCAGGGAGAGATTCATTCTTTCCACTATGGTTTGTCCTTGAGAATTATATGGGATACCAGTAATGTGTTTAATATTCCATATAGAGAAAAATGTAGCTAGAGCTTGGTTAGTATAGACTGGGGCATTATCTGTTTTAATAGAAGCTGGAATGCCCATCACCACAAAACACTGCAAAAGGTGATGTTTAACACAGGCAGAAGGCTCTCCTGATTGGCATGTAGCCTGGACAAAGTGAGAAAAGGTGTCCACACATATATGTACATAAGCTAGTCTCCCAAACGAGGGAACACGTGTGACATCCATTTGCCAAAGAGAAGTAGGTTCTAATCCTCGGGAATTAACTCCTCCTGTAAAAGATGAGGAATGTACAATTTGCCAAGTTGGGCATCACTGGATAATAGCTTTAGCTCCTTTCCAGGTAATGTTGTATCTGCTTTTGAGACCAGAGGCATTAACATGGGTTGAATTGTGAAAGCAAGCGTCTAGCAATAGATATTGCAGTAGCAATTAGGAGATCAGGCATTTGATTCCCTGCAGTCAAAGGTCCTGGAAGAGGTGTATGAGCCCTAATGTGAGTGATGTAAAAAGGGTGCATTCTACTCCTGACTGCTGTTTGCAATTGGGTAAATGAAGTCATCAGTTGTTCATCTGTATGAAATCATAACTGAGAATTTTCAATTAATTGTGTGGAATGAACCACATATGAATAATCAGAAATCACATTAATAGGCATATTAAAAGCAGTCAATACCCAAGCTCTGCTTTTTGAGCTGAAGTATAGGGCATCTGAAAAACTTTACCTTTCGATCTGGAAGAAGAAGCTTTACCATTACTAGACCCATCTGTCAAACATTCTCAGCACCTTCAATTAGTTTAAATTTAGTTATTTTAGGGAAAATCCAATTAGTTAATTTCAAAAATTGAAACAGTTTTGTTTCTGGAAAATGATTATCGAGAATACCCACAAAGTCAGCTAAATGGGTTTGCCAAAGAAGACTATTTATGAAAGCTTGCTATATTTGTGCCTTCATGAGAGGGACAATAATTTTTCCAGGATAATATCCATGTAATTTAACAATCCGAGTTCTCCCATTTCCTATCATAGTACCGATTTGATCCAAATAAGGAATTAGAGTCTGTGAATTAGTATGTGGAAGAAAAAGCCACTCTGCAAGATCTTGCTCTTGAAAAATAACACAAGTAGGTGAATGCTGAGTTGAAAAAGTTAGCAAATCTGGAGACTTCTTTGGACACATTATATTTATTTGAGCCTTATGGACTTTCTTTTTGATTAGCTGCAGCTCTGCCTCAGCTTCTTTTATTAATTGTCGAGGGCTAGTGAGACTAAGATCTCCTGTAAGCATAGAAAATAGATTACTAATGGCATAGGTAGGAATGCCTAGAGCAGGTTGTATCCAATTAATGTCCCCTAGTAACTTTTGAAAGTCATTAAATATTTTCAGTTGATCCCTATGTATGGTTACTTTCTGTGGCACAATGGTAGTGTCATTTAGTAAGGTCCCCAAGTAGCAGTAAGGAATAGTAGTCTTAATTTTGTCAGGAGCTATAATTAAACCAGCATGAGAAATCGAATTTTGCAAGTGATCATAACATTGGAGTAGTATTTCTCGAGTGGGGGCAGCACAAACTATATCATCCATATAATGAATAATGTAAAAGTGTGAAAATTTTTTACAAGTAGGTTCAATTGCTTGTCCTACATAAGTCTGGCAAATTGTTGGACTGTTTAACATGCCTTATGGCAATACTTTCCAGTGAAAATGATAAGCAGGCTGCAGGTTGTTTACTGCAGGAATTGTAAATGCAAACTGTTCACAGTCTTGCTCAGCTAAGGAGATAGATAGTAAAGAAACAGTCTGTTAAATCTATGTCGATTAAAGGCCAGTTTTTTGGAATCATAGCAGGAGAAGGCAATCCTGACTGTAAGGTCCCAATAGATTGTATAACTGAATTAATGGCTCTAAGATCTGTCAACATTCTCCATTTACCTGATTTTTTCTTAATTATGAAAACTGGAGAATTCCAAGGGGAAAATGTTGGAGCTATGTGTTTTTTTTGTTTTGTTTTGTTTTTTCAAATTGCTCAGCAGCAAAGTCCTCTAAAGCCTCCAGTTTCTCTTTACTCAGCAGCCATTGTTCTTTCCAAACTGGCTTATCTGTTAACCATTTTAAAGGTATGGGTTCTGGAGGCTTAACAATGGCCGCCATCAAAAATGATATCCTAAACCTTGGCAGGAACTTTGTCTTTCTGCTTGAAGCAGTTCTTTCAAACCTTGCAAATTTTTTCCTAGTCTGATACCAGGGACATACCCCACTTCATTCATCATATATTGACTTTGAGGGCTATATATTTGCCCTGAAATTACAACTTGTGCTCCCCCTTGTTGTAATAAATCTCTCTCCCATAAAGTTATAGGTACAGAAGTTATAATTGGTTGAATAGTCCCAGGTTGTGCATTGGGCCCTTCACAGTGCAAAATATAACTACTTTGATATACTTCAGGGGCTTTACCAACTCCAACTATTTTAAATTGAGCGGGTTGAATTGGCCATGCAGAAGGCCAGTGCTGTAGATAAATGATTAAAATGTCTGCTCCTGTATCTACCAAACCTTTACATTTCTTTCCCTGAATAGTTATTTCACAGGTAGGACGTTTATCAGTAATTTGATTCACCCAATAAGCTGCTTTGCCTTGTTTATTTGTGCTTCCAAATCCTACTGTTCGTTTAATTTCACTTTTTCCCCATTTCCACATACAGCACAATCAGGAGCTGTGCTATGTGCTCTCTTGGCTCTGCTTTCCAGGCAACAGAAGTAGATATAACAATTTGAATTTCCCCATTGTAATCTGAATCAATGACTCCTGTGCGTATTTGTACTCCTTTTAAATTTAGGCTAGACCTTCCTAGAAGTAATCCTGTCATCCCCACTGGCAAGGGTCCACAGACCCCTGTTGGAACTTTTTGCAGGGATTCCCCAGGCAGAAGGCTCACAGCTTTTGTGCAGCATAAATCTACTCTGGCACTCCCGGCTGTGGTGGGGGACAGACATTGTACTGGTGTGAGGGAATGGCATGAGCCGGAAATGCCCCAGTTTGGAACAGGGCCCGGGATGGGCCCCTCACGGTGTTTCCCAAATAGGGTTCCCACCTTTATCAAACATACACTGATTATCCCAGTGTTTTCCTTTTTTACATTTTGGGCATATTGCAGGCTCAGCAGTTTTCTTTTTTCCCCTATCTAGCGTCCTGACTCACTGATTTTTTCTACATTCTTTTTTAGTATGACCATGCTTCCCACAGTTAAAACAAGCTCCAGGAAACGGAGCATTTCCTTTACCCACTCTCAGTCCTGCCATTGCCTGGGCTAGCAGAGTAGCCTTATGCAGATTACATCCGATACTGTCACAGGCCTTGATATAATCAACTAAATGTACTTTCCCTCTAATAGGTCACAGAGCAGCCTGGCACTCGGGATTAGCATTGTCAAAAGCTAATTCTTAAGCAGCTGAATCTGCAGTCACCTTTTTAAGAGACTCCTATAACCGAGCTATAAAATTGCATACAGTTCTTTCAGTCCCTGCTTTACAGCACTAACGGAAGGGTATTGCTCTCCTCCTAAAGTGGTTCTTTCCCAAGCTCTAATGCACACTCCTCTAAGCTGCTGTATAGCATCATTCTGTATAGCCACTTGTGCATCTAAACCAGCCCAGCTGCCAACCCCTAAAAGTTAGTCTGCATTTATATTAATTTGAGGTTGGGCCTGCACATCGCAAGCAGCCTGAATGGAAGCTTCCTCAGCCCACCAAGTTTTAAATTGTAAGAACTGAACAGGAGTTAGACAAGCTCCAGTAAGAGTGTCCCAGTCAGTAGGAATCATCTGACTGGAAACAGCAACATTCTTTAACAGTCCCATTACAAAAGGAGAACCTGGTCCATATTGATAAATAGCTTGTCTAAATTCTTTGAGTAATTTAAAAGGAAAAAGCTCAAATGTGCTATAATATTTCCCTGTTGATCTGGGGGGGTGTATTCTAACAGGGAGCTGCCAAGCCTCTATATCACCTGCTCGTCTAGCTTGCTGAATTCCTGCCTGAATAGAACTGAGAGTGGTCACTCAAGGTGCTGCTCAAACAGTCACTGGGGCAACTACTTTTGCCCAGTGTCCCCTGGAAAAGAAAGATCTGGAGAGTCAGGCGACTCTTTTTCTTCAAAATAAGGATGGGGTGCAGAAGGGTAGGGATGAACCTCTCCCTCCTTTGCCACTTTAGCTTTAGCTGGCAAACAAACCTGTTCTGTTACTTCTTCTGTTACTTTATTATACTTTCCTTCCTCCTCATCATTAGTGTGAAAAGGTTCCAAGGTGGAACAAACCAAAGCCCACACTTGTCCCATTGTTACCCTGATGCTTCCAAGCTCCCCTTCTTACTCACCACTGGGATTGCTTAAGAGTGTATGGGTGTCCTCCAGCTTAGTTCCACGTTCTCCAACCGTTGCTCCAGCGACCCTCCAACCCAGGTTCGAGCCCCACATATGGGCACCACTTGCTGAGACCAGCTTGATCATGGAGACCCTAACCCAGCAGTGCTAAAGGGATTAAAAACACACACACAGAAATTTAGAGTGTGGAGTGGGAAATCAGGGGTCTCACAGCCTTCAGAACTGAGCACCCTGAACAGAGATTTACCTAAATATTTATTGACAGCAAGCCAGTGATAAACATTGTTTCTATAGATTATAGATTAACTAAAAATATTTCTTACGGGAAATAAAGGGATGGGCTGAAACAAAGGAATGCATCTGGCTAGTTATCTGCAGAAGGAACATGTCCTTAAGGCACAGATTGCTCATGCTATTGTTGTGGTTCAGGAACACCTTTAAGCAGTTTTCTGCCCTGAGTAGGTCAGGTGATCCTTGCCCTCATTCTGGTAAACCCACAACCTTCAGCATGGGCATCATGGCCACCACCAACATGTTACAGTGCTGCAGATTTTGTTTATGGCCAGTTCTGTGGTCAGTTTATGGCCAGATTTGGGGGCCTATTCCCAACATAAGAAGTATTAGTGTCAATTTACACACACAGAAATAAAAGCATTAATATTTTCCCATGTGAGTGATGACTACAGAAATATTGGTTCTGATATGGTGCTAATAACAAAAATCCAATTAATTTCATAATAAACAATTGCTCAATAATTGTAAGAGTCATCTATACACCACATAGCTTTTATTATTTTGACCAACTTAATTTATTTTAACATTGAGTTTTATTTCCTTCAAAGTAATTTACTGGACATCATACAGAGCTCTATATAAGTAAGGCATTTTTAGCTTTCAAAGTGTTTATAATCTAAGAGTACAAAAAAAATTCAAATGCAAGTATCAGTAGATGCTGTTAAAACAATTCAAAAACAAAACCTTTTTTAAAAATGGAATAACATAATTATTAAAATTAATTACTATAAGTGTTCAAGGTTAAACGATAGAAAAATATATTTATCATCCAGTAAACTATTAAAATTAAAACACACTATGTATTTTAACTACATGTTTTCAAATAAGCATCATAAATATTGATAACTATATTTATCTAATTTTTAAAGACTATAGGTGATAAAGTTTTTTTATGATTCCAGTTTTCTAATGTGTGTTACGGAATTTTTATTGTCATAATATATGAACTTAGGTAGTAAAACAGACAAAATTAATCAAAACAGTTACATATCTAATTTAGTGCTTAAGTAAAAAATTGTAAGTAGCTTCTCAAATTTATGATTTACCAGATATTACAGATATTACTGCTAAACTCTAGTGTAAATAATCAATTTACTTTTTGTTTTCACTTTTGATCTATTTTTATTTGATTGTCTTGTATTTTAGAGTGTTGATTTAAAAAAATTATGAAATAAATAACACTAAGGTCACATATGCTTACACCACAAATCCTGAAAGTAGTAGGCTAATGGCTAAAATATGGCCTTAATTTTCTTTATCAAAAAATTCCTAATACCTTAGATTACAGGTAACTTCAAATATCCTCATTTTGTTAGCTTCTTCAGAAAGGAAAAATTAGAGAATTCCAGTTTTAGGCAAGATGGCGAACTAACATATTATGGGCAAATATTTTATCCCAAGTACCTAGAATTACTGCATAAAATATAACAACAACAATAAAAGCAGCCACAAAATACATTATGGAGCTCACCAATAATAAGAAAGATAATCCCTATGTTCAGTAAACAAAAAATAAAGTAAAAAAACAGAATGATTTGTGTTTTAATGACTAAATACATGTTCTAGTAATGCGTTGGCCACAGTAGCCCAAGATTTTGGGGTTTTATGGCTACTTGATAGCAAAAGACCAAGCTGGACATCTGAATGAAGGCAGAAGTCCCAAAGATAAATGCATTTAGGGTAAGTGTGGTTACAAAGTGTTGTCCAACAGGCTAGGGAGAGAGCAAGGAAGCTTTGGCTGCAGAAAACAGAATCCCCCAGGCAAGAAAATCCCAAACTATGCCCCTTATATGTCTGATGATCACATTTACTCTTTCTAATTTGTTTAAGAAACCATAAGCCAAGAACGTAACATAAAATTTATTCATGAACTATAGACATTTGAAGATCTTGCAGACTCAACTTCAGTGAAGGATATAGGGATATACCTGGCCTGGTTATATAAAACCTACCAAACAGAATAGTGCCACTAAAATGAGCTCAGATATGCATGCACACGATCATATGGAGAAAATTTACCATTAATAAGAATCTTTAGTAAAAATATGCTAACAGATAAGTGTCACAACCAATTAAGAAAATAAAATAGCACAATAAAAGGCAACATTGCGTTTAAGTGATGAACAATAAAGATGAAAAAAAAACAAGTAATTTTTAAACAACACCAAAAATTACCAAGGATAATTAAGTGGAAAATTGGGAAATAAAGCCAGAGAAAACAAATAAATATATAAAAATGTAACAAAATATAAATAAGTATTGGCTGTATAAAGCAACAGCAATAACAATAAATTTGGAGGGACAGCATATTAATTAAGACAAGAAAGAAACTACAATGTTAAGATATGAGGGAATATACAGACAAAGCAGTCTAAATATTTGTTGTTATTAAGAAAAAGGATATAAATATTGATCATCTTTGAAATATATTTTGGTTTCTTTTTAGGCATGTTAAATATTTCAGAGTAATCCCTAAAGGAAGAAACATGGAATATAATATTTTCAACTCAGTAGAGATAAGAAAAGTTAAGTAGATGGGAATTAAACAATGAGAACACATGGACACAGGAAGGGGAACATCACACTCTGGGGACTGTTGTGGGGTGGGGGGAGTGGGGAGGGATAGCATTAGGAGATATACCTAATGCTAAATGACGAGTGAATGGGTGCAGCACACCAGCATAGCACATGTATACATATGTAACTAACCTGCACATTGTGCACATGTACCCTAAAACTTAAAGTATAATAAATAACAAAATAAAATAAAATATAAAATCAAAAAAAGAAACCTTAATTAATAAAATATAAAACAGAAAATAAGAAAAATACACTCATAGTAAATGGATAATAAAAAACACAAAATAAGATTGTATAAATTAATCAAATATGTCAACAATCACACACACACAAATAAATGAATAAATGCAACTCACCACTTAGAAGATAAATATTTTAAGAAAAATAAAACAGGTATATGCAATTTAAAGGAGTTACATCGAAAGCAAAATATAAGACAGAAAGGTAGAAAGTAAAGAAATTAAACATGATGTTAAAAACTAAGGAGAAAAATACAGTTAGCTGTATTAATGCACAAAACAAACATTAAGCAAAAATAATTTTTCAGAATAAAAAGTACTTAGATAACAATAAAAGAATCATAGTGTCTTATTATTTATTTGGTAATATGACATGAATTTTATACTCTAAAATACATTAAGCAAAAACATAGAATTACAATAAGAATGTGCAAATCCACCTCCACTAAAAGCTGATTTTTATAAATCAGCAATAGCTCAGACTGGAAGAATAATCGAAGTGTAGAAAATACGAACATCAATCTTCCTCTAAAGACACAATAGAACATTGCACCCGATACTGAAAGAACGTACATTCTTTTCAAGCATGCACAGAACATTTACAAAAATTGCCAATGTACTGAACTATAGTAGGAGGCTCAAAAAATGTCAGTCAATACCACAGAGATTGCGTTGTCTGATTCCAATGCAATAGCAAAAAGATTACATCAAAATCCTTTTTATTTGGAAATATCAACACATATTTCTAAATAAGTAATTGGTAATGGAAATCATAATTGAAGTATTCGATTGGTGAAAAAGTAATTGCGGTTTTTGCCATTAAAACTAGTGGCAAAAAAAAAAAATTACTTTTCCACCAACGTAATAAAATAAGTAATTAGAATGAAGAAAAATTAAAGCACTGTACATTCATACAGAGACTAAGTGAAAGCTAACTTGAGGGAAAGCCAAAGTATTACATTTATAAATTACAAAATAAAATATAAAGAACGGTTTAAGCATTTTGCTCATATAGTCAGAAAAAGAACAAAAAAGCAACATTTAAAAAATAGAATGATGGATATAAGAATATAAGGGTTAGAACCAATAAAATAAAAGCAATTAAAATAGGAGAGAATTCTTAAGACCATAACCTATATATTTAAGAAGGTTAATAAAATAACTTATAATTCTGGCTAAGAATGGGAGAAAGTATAGCTGAGCAAAACTGGGATTGAAAGGAAAGCATAATGACAGATAGAGTAGAAAAAAACAAATTATATAAACAAATTTATGCCTATAGTAATAAAAACTAAGGTAAACATTTACCGGAACAATTAGTCAAAACATTTTTAATTGTAAATAAAATAACAATATAAAGAAAGCAAATGGTAATTAAAAATCTAATCACAAGGATATAGTTTTTTTCAGATGAGTTATATCAAACCTTCAAGAAACACACCAAACAGTAGTGTATTTTAGGAATACATATTTATATTATAATGTATGAAGAAGAAATGAGATTAATGCACTAAACTCAATTTCTGAGAAGGGAAGAGCACACAAAGAGATAAAGGATAATGCTTTAGCTGTATTTTTAATGTTTTGTTTCCTAAAAAGAGAAAAATAGACATCTAAAAATACGAAAATGTTTGTATGTCTTTAATCTTTGTGTTGAGCATGTGAGTATATTTTCATTGTTTTTCTGTAATTTGTGCTTAAAGATTTTATTTAAAAGGAAATATTTAAAAATAGAAGAAAACAGTGACTAGAGTATAACTAGGAATATATGGATTTTTATCAGCAAAGTGCTTAAGAAAATGTTAAGCAAGATATTTAACAGTAGTGTCAAAGATTGAAAGTGCTATTTTTCTCCTTAACATGGCTGATGAGCAGCTCGAACAAAAATTCTTCTTGCAAAGAAGCTCAGATCATTAGGTGTTCGGGCGGGCAAAGGGCAAGAGAGTTTTTATTGATCTCTCACTATCTCTCAGGCATTGAGCTTTCTATAAGCTTGACATGCATAACATTTAATCTTCACTCTACATCCATAGTGAGGTAATATACCCCATAGGCAGGAAATGTATGGCTCAGAAAAAGAGAAATCATCTGTCTAATTTCATACAATAGGTAATTGGTAGAAGAGAAATTTGAAATCACACCTGTTTAACCCCCAAATGTATGTCCTTTTACTACAGCTTAGTAACAACTTATTCAAGATCATGACAGACAACACTAACCACTATAACACTACGTTTTATGCACTAAATTAACTGCATGGGTATAATAGCTCAATTAATTTTCAAACAAACTCTGTTGGCTTTATCCCCTCAGTTTACACATAGGAATTTTAGGTTTAGAAAGATCAAAACAATTTCTGACTGTACCAATATTAGTGTGCCTCAGTGAAGCCAAGGCTTGTGATATTAAACACTCCATTAACTCTCTACTAAAGTGATGTAGAATCTGGTTTTAGGTGAGACAGAGCCAGATTTAATTTATTTGCCCCACACAAGACAGTATCTAGAAGTTTTCTTTCCAGACTTCCACTACAATGTGAGAAAACCGTACTTAACGTGATTCCACAGGGAGATGCCGTGGTTGAAGACCCTGTGCATGGAAACGCTGTATTGGACTTGGACTATGAAGTGTGTGAAGCAGAGTATTTCACACAAAGCCATTCAACTTTTGTCTGACTGCCCTTTACTTCAATTCCTACCACCAGACCCTGATTTACAGCTGACAGAAACAGTGGCAACTTTAATTAAGTAATGTCATGTTTTATTTCTTCACAAAGATCTGTGGAATGTTAATGAAACAGGACATGCTGTCAAATGGAATGAACACCAGATCATGATCCATGTAAAGACCTGAGTTCCTTCCTTCTTCACTGCATATAGGAAATCTCACACAGAGGGTGCTCAGTCTCATTGAATATCGGCTTCCTCATCGCTAACATGGTAACTGAAGCCATAAGGCTTATGTGAAAGACCTACTGTAAACAGCGAACTACCATACTGTTACTGTTAGTTACTGTAATTTTAGAAGACTTAGTTTATTTTTATATATTAATCTCCCTTTGAGGACTACCGTAGTTCCTCTGCCTTTTTCCCCTGTGAAATTCTTATTTTTAAATAAAAAGAGGGGTAGAATTAAACTGATGACTTCAGCACCTAGCACTTGTCCTTTCCATATTCTGTTTCATTAATCATTAGAAAGTCAATTTCAAAATTGCAGCCCTTATATTTGATAGAAATGGACTGCAGAATTGGAGAGCAAGTTAGAAGCCATATTTGGGAAATATATACTTAGAGAAAGTGTTGGAAATTGTGAAACAGACAGGTTTAGGAGAGAAGATGAAAGAGGAGAAAGGAAGGGAGGAAATGGCAGGATTGATGAGAGGAGACCAAAGCAGAGGAGAAAAGCAGGAAAAGGACAACATTGGGGATTCCATATAATTCCATGGTTTTAGAAGGTAGAAGTTAAGAAGGCGGCAGAAAAAAAGAAGCAACTAGAAAGTTAAGATGAGAATAAAGAGGAAATAATTGTTTCAATCAAATAATATCAATATAATATAAATAGCAACCAAATATTGATGATCTAATAAGGGCTGTGCTGCTTAATGCACATATCTAATTGATCATGAGAACATCTAAGGCCAGTTAAGCAGGGTTCGTTAGATTGGTACTGATTTACTCAGTGTGGCTAGAACAACAGGGCCACATATTACAAACCGAACACTATGGGTTTGCTGAAATATCTCAGAGAAGAGCAGATTATATGCTTCATCTTGGGAACCAGTAAGAATTTCAAAACTAACAACTAGATCAATTTTTAAAAGATGTAGCTAGTATTTTTGTGGTAATTACATGGTTGGTATAGATGAGATACAACCATAACTTTAGCAGTTATTTCTAAATGTTTATAAATGAAAACCAACATGACTGTTAGAGGATTTTTCTGGTAATAGTGACCTATCACTAAAGGTCCAGTGAGACTGCAGAAATGTAATCAACTCTCAAAGACTCAATATCCAACACCCTTTACTCCCTCCACTCCTATTCCCCCCACCCCTTTCTCTCTCCCTTCCCGGAGACTCTTCTTTCTTGCTTACTTACATTCAGGAATATTGAGAAATAGCTATTGTCAGGAGCACATTTTATTTTTTAATTCACCAACTCTTATACCAGATCCAATAGAATATACATTTTCATAGACAGGCACTTATCATGTAATTTTCTTCTCCCAGTTCTTATTAATTAGATCATTCTCTTTAACTACGTTTTCTTCCCCCAAGTGGCTTCAGGATATTAAACCTTCACACAACATAATCAGTATGAAAAAAAGGGCTAAATCTGTATTGAATATGGTAGTTTCTGAACCTCTCGTTGCTCTGACTACTAGCTGGAGTGGCTAATACAAATATGGAATTCAATATCAGCATACAACAAAATACTGTAAGTGGCTAAAATTCCCTTGGAATAATGCAGAGAAAGGAATTAAGAAACTTGAGGAAACAGAAATGCTGCTCGATGTAGTTTATCATCTGTGTTGTACAGCTTCTGAGATTGCAAGAGATCTAAGAAAAGAGGTTACTTATTTCTGCTTTCAAATAAAAAACACATACATATGTGTACATATTCATATATATACTATATTTGTTTTCTGCTTATGTGCATATTAATGACTTATAAATAACATACATAAATATAGATAAAATATATAAGTAATATATCATAGTTTGGGTTATCCAGAATGGGAGCAGACATAGAGTTGGGGGTCCAAGATGTTTATTAGGATTAAATATCTTTAAAAGAAAGGAAATGGAACCAGGATTGTTTAGAGAAAAAAGCTTGAATAATGATACAGGACTGACCAATCTTCAACCAACCTATAGGGGTTATTGGGAGGGAGTATTGCCAGGAGAGTGCCCATGTCAGGTGGAAACGTCCTCACCTTTTTAGTCCCACCTTGCCCAGGCTTCCTAAGAAAGGGCATAATCTGGGAAAAGGCTCTCTGCAGCTAGAACAGACTTTGAAGGAGCTCACAGAGCCTGTTGCTAAAGAGTTGGAATGAAGAAAATTACTTCCTACATCTTATAGTTCTGTAAAATATCATTTTAGAGTTAGTACTTACAAAACGGATGCAACGCATGTATTCAAGGATATTATGACAAATAGGAATTTCCAATCCTTCTCTTGATTAATGACTTCTCCCTTCAAATCTCTGACAAACAAACGAGGGCAAATTAGCACTGTATTACTAGGTGGAGCTCCAGTCTCCAATATAAAACCACAGTAAACTAAGCAGAACAAATTGAAATTTTCTTTCTTCCTAAACAATGTAGGCTTGAGGGATTAGATACAAAGTAGGCCTTTCCTTTGACATACTTCTCAATGAATAACCAAACCTGAATCCAATGTTATTTTATTACCTATCCTGAGTAAATTTTTAAATGAGAAGATTCAGCAGAAAAAGAAAACTAATCCCAGTGTTTAGTGCAGAGCTCATCAGAGACCTTTTTTTTTTCCTTTAGGCACATTCACTGGGATCACAAACCGAAAAGAAAGCTGACGAAGTGCAACCATGCTCATAGGATTTTCCAGCCCCTGAAGGTAAAGTTCTCAAGCTAGGGAACCAAGTGTACCTCTCAGACTTGCATTTTGGATCTATGAGTCCAAAGAAGAAAGAGTGAGAGAAGGAAAAAGAGGTTCATCCCATCAAAGAAAAAAAAAAAAAAACAGTTCCATACCATATTTCTCTAAGCTTTGATTCATCTTCCTGAACCATGATCATTAATTCACTGAAAAGCTCAAAGCCCTGTAATTATAGTGCCTTAAATTTTTCTGGCATTTGGCCAATTTAGATTTGCAGTTCTAATCTATAGACATGAGATAGGGCCAAAATAGGGCAAATGCTTTCCTGCTTGAAGATCTTAACAAGATTGTGTCCAATTAAAGAGAATATGACTTTCTAACAGACGCTTTAATAAATTACTGTAGTCTACAATTTTTCTGAACATTCCTACTCTTCTAAAAACCCTACGCTGTTATGTCATGGTTGCCAAAACTTTAAACTCTAGATACATTTGCACTTCTCCGAACACCATATTTCTACTTGTCAGCCACCTAGATATTCTAAATGAGTTATAAAGGTTAAAGATGGTTTTGTCTTTTTTTTTTCTCCTTTAGGCTGAGAGAACAAGAAGTGAAATAGGTAGAATTATGACCCCTTCAGTTAATTTTTTTTCCCTTTTTAACAGTGGTCTCTGAAGATCTTCCAGTGCCTCTGACAAACTCTCAAAGAAGTGGGATTTCATGTCAAAATAGTAACTTCCAGGAGAACCTCTGAGAGCTGGAGTATGTCAGGTCCAGATGGTTTATAGCTGTTGGCTCTCAAGCAGATCTTCTTGGTCTTGTGCCCACAGTACAATAAAAGGCTGTAGGTTCTAGACAAAAGCACCGTTTTGTTATATTACAAACTGGAAGCAGTTTGAAATTCAAAAGATCAGTCCTAGCCCAAGTTCATTCCCTTCCCAATGATTAATATAACCAACTAAGTTTTTATATTTTTAAAACAAAACTAATATAAATGGGAAGGCATTTGGAAGCTGGGACGGTGCAGGCTCAGGTACATGTGCGTGGGTGTGTTTGTGGGGTATGTGTGTGTGTGTGTTTGCCCATGCCAGTGGTTGTTGAATGGGGACAGACAGCAGCTATAGTATGAGGAGTATAAATTGATATCTTGGAAGATTTGAACCAATGAATGTGGAAATAGCCTCAGATTTGATGGTGGTTTCATGAGTTAGAAACCAGAAATGACTCCTGTGCTGAAGACTAGGTCAGTGTAAACAGAAAGTGTCAGTGAGTGATATAAGAGACTAGATGCTCAAGGGCCCACTCCTGGGACAGACTCCATGATATGGGTTGTAACAAGTCGAGCCAATCATCATAAGCATTAAATGTTGCTAATATGAGGCTCAGAAATCAAGTGAAGTAAATTGTTGTTGATATAATTTGGATGTAAACTCCACAGTTAGTATTAGAGGAACTGCTTTGGAGGGATACAAGAATGGGAGTCTAAGAAGTTGCACATAGGGTAGAAACGGAAAATTTTTAAATGCAAGAAATATTGCCTCCCATGCGCAGCTTCAAAGCATTTACTGCTGCCTCATACAACATCCTGAAGAAAACTTTGAACACCTTGTGACAATTAATATTTGCTTATTCTTTCATATACCAGCCCATAAAAATATATTAGGCCACAAGGAAAGAAGATCAGAAATAGACCTCCAAGAAATGAAATAAGCTCTTCATTTTTCCTCATCATCTCTCCCTTTCACTCTAAGAATTTTATTAAAATTTGATTGTGGTAGCAAGGTGGATTTTTTTTTCTTTTTCAGCATGGATATATACAATTTCACTGAACTTCGTCTAAGAGAAGATTGGGCACAGTCTTCAAAAGGACATCAAAGAAAATATGTAGGCTGTTGAGGGGTCTGTAAGACTTTGAAAATTTATAGATATAGATGCAGATATACAATTTTAAATTTAAAGTCTACATCGTCTAATTTATTTCATACAGTCAAAAATCAGAGTTCCCTTCCGATAGATATGTGTTTCCGTCTTCCTTGGAACTCATATTAAAGGCGACATAGTATAAATTGAAAATCAAAGAGTTATACACAGAAGACACTGGTTTACTGCCATTTCCTGGCTTAGTGACCTTGCATAAATCATTTAAATTTTCTGTTTTTTTTTTTCTAAGTTGAGTATCAAAATACTTACGAGATTTAAATAAAGTAGTGTGAAGGTAATTATAATGAGTAATATAGCATTATATTATAATGAATAAGACAGTATTTTCTACAGTATAAATTATTTGATTTAACACTGCCCAACAAAATGAGAACAACTTACAAGTAATATACATTAAACAAACATTAATATAATCAATAACTAAAGAATTTATAACATATTTTAAAATTTTATATAAATAAAAATATATAAATTTTCGTACATCAAATTCATTTATCAGAGATGTTAATTATTAGCAGCAGAAAGTGCCTCTGATTGCTTTAAGCGATAATGAATTTTTAAAATGAATTCTGATTGGCTCTCAGAATGACTGAAAGGTTCTCTAACCAGGATCAGGAGCTATAGGGCCAGAAGCCAAGCTCAAACACAAGGTGTGAACCAGTGCAGTGGGAACACCACTGGAGAGCACAGTAATGCTTTAACCAGCCAAGTATCACCACCAACAACTTTGACTGCCCTGCTGCCACAGGAACATAATTTTTCTATAACTACAAATTCAGAAATGGTTTTCTTTGGTCCCTGTTCTATTTTCATTAGTTCCAAATTCAATATCTGGGGTTGATCTGTCTGGTTGGGGTAGCCTAGCTGCCTAAGCCCTAGCTGCAAGAGAGGCTGAAAAAGTGAGGGTCTGTTACATTCAGCATCTAAAACAGGTGATGGGCTCTGTCATCTGCCAAGTTGTGAGAAATACCTTGAGTATATAGAGGGCTTCAATCATGACATGCAAAAATAAAAAGAAAGGAAAAATGTATAAGGGACAGTATCTGCCCTAGTTGATATTCCTTTTTTTAAAAGATCTGATTCTCATTTGTGTGTTCTCATTAAAATTTGTGACAATGGTCTATACTAACACATCATTTTTTTGTTTAAGTATCTAATTACTAGCTACAGAATGTTTCTAGTCCCATACAGTTTCTTAAAATTTATTTTATCTGTACTTTTTATCTATTAATAGCTGTAGAGTGTGGCTAAATTCAATTAACTCTGCCAAATAATGGTTGCATAATTTGCATTTCAACCTAGGAATGATAGTGTTTTGTAGCCTCACTGACTTTATTTCAGTGTTTCCCTTGAATGTTTTCAAAATATATGTCCCCACGACCAGTCATAAATTCTGATATATTAGAACTCTAAGATGATTCCGATGTAGTTGGGCTTACCCAGTAATTTGAGAAACACTACTTAATATTGAGTGCCCACTATTCTGTGTGTCTGTATAAATTTCTGCAATTGTGGAGGAATCTTTATCTTTGTTGACATCAAAGCTGCAAATATATTCTGCCTTAAGAAAAGAAACATAAAATCTGTTGGTTTCTGTGTAATATCACCAAGTTCCTCCCACTTCAACATACAATGCAGGAATTTGTTACTTGCATAAGTGCTTCCATCCAGACTCCTAACATATTTTTAGTCAAAAACCATATATCGAATTTGCATATTATATTGTATAAGATATAATTTTTAATAAAAACAGATTTACCATTTTATATGTCATGTCATTAACATAGTTTAAAATTGTACTTTAGTTACATACCAATGAAATGTTGTATATATTTTCTCATCCCACCCCCTGTTAAGACAGTGCATAAAAGAAACTCAGAATAATATGAAGGTGATGAAGTTCCAAAGGTCCCCCAAAACATTTTCTTTCTGAATATTGATATATGTTTCCATATTTTGATAGCTGTTTTTATTGCCTTTCACAGAAAATCATAAAATTGAAATAATAGTCTACTAATAAGAAAGAACAGTAAGAATCCAGTGATATATCCCTTTTTTCTATTTAGTGAAGTTCTCTATCTATGTTGTCTATTGTTTTCAAAATATTTCTTCAGCATACTCTCTAAAAAAGATGATTTACAAAGGTTGTTCAGAGTTTAAACTGTGAATTCTTATCTTACACCTCTCTGAGTCTCTCAAGTCATGACAGTGTTTTAGAAATACCACAAATGAAAATTTTATCTGAAGCGTCTGATGCTCCCACTGTAGTGACCAAAGTTAATACAAAATGTTAGTGGGGACAGAGAAGTTTAGGAGGGCTGCTTATCAGATGTTAACACTTAGAAAATAGAAACTAGACGTCTGTAATCCCAGCAATTTGGGAGGCTGAGGCAGGCAGATTACCTGAGATCAGGAGTTCAAGACCAGCCTGGCCAACATGGTGAAACCCCATCTCTACTAAAAATACAAAAGTTAGCCACATATGGTGGCAGGCACTTGTAATCCCAGCTTCTTGGGAGGCTGAGGCAGGATAATTGCTTGAACCTATGAGGCAGGGGTTGTAGTGAGCTGGGATCGCACCAGTGCACTCCAGCCTGGGCGACAGAGTGAGACTCCATTTCAAAAAACAACAACAAAAAAGAAAATAGACTCTAGGTACAAATATCTATTGAACTGATAGAAATGTTTAGAGTCCTTATGTAAAATGTTTTGATTTACTTCTTAACATCTTAAGACTTCAACTATATGTGCACTTGTTGTGGCATAGTGCACCCCTAAGTACTTCATACTTTTCATCATGAAAAAAGAAAAAACAAATGGACAAAGAAATGATCAGGAGAATAATAAACATTTCTTACAATTTGAAATCTTATAGAAATTACCCTATACCATTTTATTTCTCAAATAGCTAGAATATATTATTTAACAAAAATAAACCTGTCTTAGTCTCTTTAACAGTTTCAAACTTTTAGCAGAGCTGCTGTATTCTTAAAGTAAAAACAAACAAACAAAAATGCTTATACGTTAATCAGTTTTACT
This sequence comes from Homo sapiens, assembly GCF_000001405.40. NCBI lineage: Eukaryota > Metazoa > Chordata > Mammalia > Primates > Hominidae > Homo > Homo sapiens. The sequence goes on along the minus strand of NC_000003.12, from coordinate 103,195,882 downwards.
TGTTCTGAAGCTCCTTTCTTACTATAAGATTAGTATTTTCCACTTTGAAACAGTACTGTATTTCAAATATATGGACAGTCTTTCCTTTGGTACCACAACAGAATACATAGCTTTGTCCACAGCACCAACAGAACAGAAAACAATATAAATAGGGGACATTACAATTCTGATGATGAACACAGCACCTTTATTAGGAGAAGGAAAAATAAACTGTTTGTAAAGGCAGAGATACAGATTAATGATCAGGTTTGAATTTGATAGTGCTAAAAAGTTAAAATCCAGCTATTGGATTGCATTGTATCTCATTCTGTCATTTCTTTCTCCAGTTAAACCCAGATTCGGAGTGCACACAGCTGGAAAGAAAATAGAAATTCGTGACTGTGGAGTTAATGCTCAACAGATGTGGAGGTTACCCAGTTACTCCACTGATCTTCCAGAGCAAGCATAGAAAGAATTTGAAACAATTCAAGCAAACAAGTACTCAGGCTGAGTCTATCTAGCACCAAGGAGAGAGACCGCATTTGTATGAGTCATTGACAGAGTGAAAATGATTACACCAAGTAATTCTGACTCCATAGATTTCCCGTTTTTGTGGTGTTCTCTGATATTCTATGCATATTTATGCTTTATCTTTTTGTTCACTATATTATATTTTTTTCTGTCAAGTTTTAGCTAGGCTTGGCTATATATATCTGAATTCTTACATTGAGTAGATTTTAAAATTATCTCATTGTCTTTCCTTATTTTAGTCATAATTGGTTAGCGTGTTTGCTGAATAAAGAGTTTACTGATTTTTGTTTCTTTTTTACCCTAGTGCTGAAAACAGCTTATGCAACTCTTTCAGCATTTACAAGTCTAATATTTATTGCTTGCCATCCTATTGCCCGAAAACACACTTTATTTTGGTTTTCTTTTTGTTTTTTATATCTGTGATCTGATGATCAAAATATTTTTAAAATAAAATTACTTATTCAGGCTAGATGTCATAACACAAAATTTTAAAACCCACAGTTACTACCAGTGTCTACCCTGTGAGTAAACTGCCATGATATTTAATTTTAAATGCCATCTTTTATTGATATATAATATTTGTACATATTTAGGGGGTACATGTGAAATATCTGCATATAATGTGAAATGATCAGGATAATTGAGATATTCATCACCTCAAACATTTAACTTTTCTTTGTGTTGGGAACTTTACAATTATCTTCTAGATATTTGCCATTATATGATAATTTGTTGAATGATATTCATATTTTTATCTTATACAATAAAATAATGATACCTAGAAGAAATTGTTTTTTCTTCTATGTAGGTGCATTTTTCTACCACTTAACCAAATTCTTTCAAATGACATTTTAAGATTGGTAAAACAATTTACTTTGGAGAATCAGAGATTTTTAAATATACTTGCATAGGTGATTAAATGAAAAAAAGGACAAAGAGAGAGGGAGTGTATATGAGGTAAGAAAGAGAGAGAAGGAAAAAAGAGAGAGGAATAAATCATTTTTGGCTAGGATTATCTCTTCCTTTCTGACAACTGAAAATAAAGGAAAATTGGAAAAATTATAGCCACAACTGCCACATCTGGTGTAAAGAAAGCAATTATAGTTCTCTACAATCCATTTTAGATTTGCTACAACCTGAGCTAGTACTTCTGATAGTCTAAGAAACTTACATGATGAGATGACACAAACTCCTTTCTCTGAGGGACCTGATTCCTGGTCACCATGACTTTCTCAGGCCATGAATGCTGTACTTGTTCATTCTCTATAACATTTTGGGAGAAGCATAGGAGGGATATCCCTATGGATTGCCTTGTGCTTAAAGTATTCTTCCTGATTCCCATTGTATAAGAGCAGTTCTATTCTTGATGTTCACAGCCAACTAAACCTGCTAGGATATCCTCTCCAAGATGACACCTCAGTTGCACATCCTAGAGACTGTTACATTACTATGAGGCTGGTAGTTTCTGAGTGATGCAACATGTGGTAGAAACAATAGAGCTCATGATTACATACCCATCGCTGCATCTCATTTGCTCTACAGTCTCATTTGCTCTAGAGCCCATGGTCTGTTGATGTTATTTAGGACCACACGTGAATGGTCCAAATGCCACCTTAAATAGTGGTATTTATTGAAGCACTGTGGTAAATAAAAGTAAATGTATTCTAAATATGTATTAATTCTTATCACTCCTTTCCAGAGTGGAAGATATCCAATGCAGTCAACTTATCATCAAATGACCAGTTGGCATACTTGAGGGTGATTTAAGTTTAAACTATGGTGATTCTTTATTACGGAGTAATATTTTGTTTTTATTCTTTACAAGTTGGCAGGTTGAACCTTTGGCAGAAGTTGTTCTTAAATCAACATGGGTGAATAAGAGCCTTAGAATTAGGCTAATGCATATCCTCCTGTCTTCCACAATGGCTACTTTATTCATTCACCCATTTTGCCAGCACTAGAATGTCTGATGACAGGGGATTGACTTGAGTCAACTTGAGGAATAATTCTCTCTACTAAGTGATTTAATGCATTTTCACTGATGGATCAGTTTTGGTAGATACAAGGATCTTCACATTTTGTGCCTATTCTCTTGTGCCTGTCTACATGCCCCTTGTCTAGAAACTCTTTTTATCTTTTTATCTTTTCTCCTTCCTAGCCCTGAAACTACACATTCAAGTTATACACTGTTGACCATGTTTGTCTCATTCCACACAAAGTAGATAACCAAGTGTATCAGCTATTGCTCTGAACTTTAAGAACTTCTTGTCATGACAGTCATTTAGAGCTGTCTCTAAGTGTGAATGTCATACAGAAGCACCCCACTTTTGGTTTACGTTTATAGACTCACGCTTTCCATTTTTGAACTCAGGATGGCTGATATGGTTTGGCTGTGTCCCCATCCAAATCTCATCTTGTAGCTCCTGTAATTCGCTCATGTTGGGGGAGGAACCCAGTGGGAGATGACTGAATCACGGGGGCAGGTCTTTCCCATGCTGTTCTCGTGATAGTGAATGGGTCTCATGAGATTTGATGGTTACATAAAAATGATAGTTTCCAAACACTAGCTCTCTTCTCTTGCCTGCTGCCATGTAAGATGTGCCTTTCACCTTCTGCCATGATTGTGAGGCTTCCCCAGCCATGTGGAACTGTAAGTCCAATAAACCTCTTTCTTTTGTATATTGCCCAGTTTCAGGTATGTCTTTATCAGCAGCATGAAAACGAACTAATACAATGGCTGTTTGCCTTATCTGTTATATGGTCACATTGATGCAACTCATATGCCACATGGCTGTGACCTCAGATAAATACACCAGTTGAACACTAGTGGATGACATGGGGTTGGGGGCAGACTCTGAGCCACATGATCGTGGAGTTTAATTGTGAAGCCCACCCGATTTTATTTGTATCAATTCAATCTTCTAATAATTTTCTTTAGAAAGGCCTGGTTTTGATTTTATGGGTCTGATAGAACCTGGTTTATGATGAGAAATTCTGACCATATGTTAATTTGATATTCCATGGTCAGGACCCACTAGCACATAATGAGTGGTTTCTTCAAATGGTATGCATTTTTTTTGTACCAACATCATGTCCTTGTTCCAGAACCTTACGTATCTACATTACACTGCTATTGATGTTTGCCATCTTTTCCACCACTAATAATCTAACAAAATAGGATCTGCTGGGCCATATGGCCAAAAGGGCAGGGTTGTTTTTACTGTATACCTGGCCAGCTACTGAGCAGCTTTCTGCTCTCCTTCAAACTTGGCATCCTCACCCATCACTCAGTAAATGGGTAGAACCGTATTAGCCAAGTGAGGAAAATGCCTTCAGAAATCTACCTGAATTAAAAGGTGTTGTACTGGAAAGTGTAAGATACAATAATTTGTCTTTTATGTCAAATAATATATCACAGGATGTCCCAGTCCATTGGATCTTAAAACCTTAATATATGTGCAAAACTCTTAAATCTTCTGAGAGTTTATCTCTCACCTTACAGAGCACTTAGATCTTACCAAAGCCTCCAACATACTTAACATTTCTTGCTCACTTTTTAATTAAGATGATGTTATCAATAAATTGATTCATTATAATGTCCAAAGGAACAGTTCCCTTTAGATTATATTATTACCTAAAACAAAAAAAATTAACATAGAATATGGATAAGAGTTTAAATGCATGTTGTTGTCTATCTCAAGTGTATACCAAATGTTGCTATCTCTTAACAGATATTTAATTATGAAATAAAGAGGGATATATTTAAGAGATATATTTAAGATGTACACATGATGATTTGTACATATTTGCCACAATCAAATTAATTAACATTTAATTTGATTTATGTTATTTATGACTCATTTAACAATGAGTACCCATTGCCACTCATGTACATTTGATCCCCAGCACGGAGTGACATTATACAATGTTTGTCTTTTGGTATCTGTCTCATTTCACTTAAAAATAATGCTCATAAGGGTCATCCATGTTGTGGAAAATGGAATAATTTTCCTCTTAAATGGCTAAATAATATTCTACTGTACATATCTACAATATTTTCTTTATCTATTTATCCATGGATAGATATAAGTTGTTTTCATAACTTAGATGTTGTGGATAATGTTGCAATGAACATGGGAGTGTAGGTATATCTGATAGGTACTGATTTCCTTTCTTTAGCATATCTATGCAGAAAATATTTGGATTAAATATGTTTTATTTTTAACTTTTTGAAAAGCTTTTATACTGTTTTTCATAATGGCTGTAGCAATCCACATTCCCATTAACTATATGCAAGGGTTTTCTTTTCTTCACACACTTGTCAACAGTTATTATCTTGTGTCCTTTTGATCATAGCCATCTTAATAGGTGTGAGATAATAATTCATTGTTGTTTTGATTTGCATTTCTTTGATTATTAGTGATGATACCATTTTGAAACTACCCTTTGGCCATTTAAATGTCTTCTTTGGGAAAATGTCTATTTAGGTTATTTGTTTTTGTTTTGTTTTGCTTTTTGTTTTTTTGAGATTGGAATCTCACTATGTTGCCTAGGCTGGAGAATTAGAACTCATCTGTTGTTCAAATTTTATCAAAGTAAGGTCTAGAAACAAAGACCACTACTTTCAGGAAGACTGGCTGACAACAACTGACAGATTCTGTCTCTTCCATTATGTATTTTTATCTATAAGATTAATGTGCTATTTAATTTAAACAATGCCTGTTTCTTTATGAAAATCATTTGCAATATTTTGGCTTTTTCTTTAGTTTTTTGGAAAAAAAATGAGACTGAGAATTAACAATATTTTATTATATTCCTTATTTTCTGGCTTATAGCACAGTATCTCACACATAGGAATTCATTAATACATACTTGTTGAATAGATGAAAATATGATTACAACTAAACACACATGCACAAATAATAGAGAAACAGGCAAAATAAATAGCAAAGTGTTTCTTCACATTATAGAACCAGAGAATACTGCCTTACCCTCCTCCTTACAGCAGCAGAGGATACTACTCCCAGCAAGAGAGGCAGTACTCTAAAGAAGAAAAAGTATTTAGTTGTAAAATAATATGCTAGAAGAGTTATAAATTCTTTTAAACCAGCTTTCATCTTTGTTCTGGAATAGATCTGTAACAGTACATGGCACTGGTATGTCAGAGTGACTGTTTCTTTTTAAACTTATCCTTGGTAAGTAAGTATGCACTTTGATTTTTAAAAATATCTCTTGAATACACATTACTCACAATCCTGACACAGAAATCTAACCAGGATGAAAAATATAAGAACTCTTGTTTCAGAAGCTTTCAAAAACAGAATAAAGTTTGTTGTACAGTTTGTACTACTTAAAGATACAAGTTATTCAGGGCTTATGCTTGTATGTTGTGTAACTCTGAAGCAACACCAATCTTATATGAATAACACCAGAGCATGTGTACTATATGCTTAAAAGATAAGAGAGTTGAAACAAGAAAATTAAACAAATAAAGACTACAGAAAAAAATGATAGAACTTGAAACAAATATATATCTGGTAACCTTTTTAGCAAAACTGAGCAGATGCAAAAAAAAAACCACTAAAACAGTACAAGGGTAAGAAAACAAACTACTGCTTACATATGTTTAAAGTTGTCCATTCAAAGCATTGTTTTGAAGTATACATTTTTATTTCCCTCTCTACTAGCTGACAAGAGAATATAACTTGTTAAGGTCTGAACAACAATATTTGAAAGTTATCTGTCTATTGACTACATAAAATGAATACCTTATGAAATCTCCATGAAGTAAAGATTAAAAATAATGTTTTCTAACATTGACCCTAAAAATTCTACAAATTCTTTTACATTATTCTCACAGTTCATTTTCAGGCTGCTATAACAGAATATTGCAGATTGAGTAAATTATAATGAACAGAATTTTATTGGCTCACTACTCTGGTGGCTGTGAAGTTCAATATCAAGAACTGGCATCTGGCAAAGGCCTTCTTGCTGTGTCATCTATGATGGAAGGCCAAAGAGTTGGCAAGAGAGAAAATCAAAAGGAAGCTGAACTCATCATTTTATAAGGAAACTGCTGCGATGATAACAAACCTACTCCCTTAATAATGGCATTTAGAGGGGCAGGACAGTGGCCCCATGAAGCAAACACCTCCCATTATATGCCACTTCCCAATACTGACACATTAGGGATCAAGTTTCCAACACATGAAATTTGAGGGACACATTCAAGTTATAGCACTTCACTCCTGGCCCCCCAAATCATATTCTTCTCAAATGCAAAATACATTAGTTCCATCTCAATAGTCTGAAAGTCTTAACTTGTTCTAGCACCAACTCAAAAGTTTAAAGTTTAGAGTCTCATCTAAATCACATATAGGTGAGAATCAAGCACAATTCATGCTGAAGCAAATTCCCTTCAGTCATGAATCTGTAAACTCAAACAAGTTATCTACTTCCAAAATACAATGGTTAGGCAGGCATATTCTAGACATTTCCATTCCAAAAGGGAGAAATAGGTGAAAAGAAAGGAGTAACTGGTCCCAAGTAATCCAAAATTCCATATGGTAAACATTAAAATGTTAATGCTCCAGAATCCACTTTGACTTCATGTAACAGCTGCTGGAAACACGGGAGCCCAGGCCCTAGGCAGCTTCACTCCCATGGCCTTGCTGGGTTCAGCCCATGAATCAGCTCTCGTCAGTTAGATTCTCATATCTTAATTTCTTCCAAGCTGGTGTTACATGCTGGTGGCTCTACAATTCTGTGTTCTAGGTTCCTTGCCTGTGGCTGCACTAGGCATTGCTGCAGTGGAGATTCTCTGTAGTGGCTCCAACCCCACATTTCTTCTGGGTATTATCCCTGTTGGGACACCCTGTGGTGGCCCTATCCCTGTGATAAGTCTCCAATGGCCCTCCATATTGTTCTTGACATCTTTTGTAATTTAAATAGAGGCCACCAAGATCCCAAGCCCACTCATTCTGCACATCTGCTAAGTTTGCATCACATGGATGCTGCCAAGGCTTGCTACTAGTGCCCTCTGGAGTGGTGGCCACAGCCACACCCAGTCCTGCTTAAGCTGGTGTAGCCAAAGAGAGCTCCACCAGAATAAAATGGGCAAAGTCTTGAGGTGGTCCTAGGCAGCAAGCCTGTGGACAGCATCCTGGGCCCAACTTCAAAATCTTTCTGCCCTTTAGATTTCTGGGGTTGTGGTGAAAGGACATTCTTCCATTGTCTTGATGAATAGAACCTGGATTCTTTCTACCAATACTATTAATAATTTTACAGTCACAGTGTCATTTAGCTATACCCTGGCACAATTTTTAAATTCTGTATGTGGCCAGGCTGTGAATTTTCCAAATTTTTATGTTTCATTTCCCTTTTTAATTATAAATTTATTTTTAAATTACTTGTGTCTTCTCTCATTTTACTGTATGTGATTAAATAAAACCATATAGCTCCTTCAATATTTTGCATAAATGTTGCTTCTATCAGATATCTCAGTTCATTGCTCTTAAATTTCACCTTCCATAAAACTCTCAGGCATGGACACGATTCTATCAAATTTTTTGCCACTTGTTGACAAGGATGGCCTTTACTCCAGTTTCTAAGACCTTGTGCCACAGTTTCATCTAAGACCTTATCACAATTGCTTTTACTGTCTATATTTCTACTAGCATTCCTTTTTTTTTTTTTTTTTTTTTTTTTTTTTGAGATGGAGTCTCGCTCTGTTGCCCAGGCTGGAGTGCAGTGGCGGGATCTCGGCTCACTGCAAGCTCTGCCTCCCGGGTTCACGCCATTCTCCTGCCTCAGCCTCCCGAGTAGCTGGGACTACAGGCGCCCGCTACCACGCCCGGCTAATTTTTTGTATTTTTTAGTAGAGACGGGGTTTCACCGTGTTAGCCAGGATGGTCTCGATCTCCTGACCTCGTGATCCGCCCGCCTCGGCCTCCCAAAGTGCTGGGATTACAGGCGTGAGCCACCGCGCCCGGCCCAGTCTTTCTGTTCTTCTGAGCCATCACGAGAATTTCCCTTAATGCTTCATTTATGGCAATCTAGGTTTTTCTCTACCCTGCTCTTCCAATTTCTTCCAGGTACTACCTATTATCTAACTTCAAAGCTACTTCCATATTTTCAGATATTTGTTATAACTTCTTCATACCATATTTTTGTATTACTATTTTTTGTGCTGCTGTAACAAAATACCACAGACTGAGTAATTTATATTAAATAGCCACTTATTAGCTCACAGTTTTGAAGGCTGGGAAATCTAAGATCAAGTGGCTACCATCTCATGAGGACCTTCTTGATATGGCATTCCATGGCAGAAAGGCAAAGAGAAGGTAAGAAAGAGAAAAAAGGGGCTCAGGCTTGTCCTTTTCTCAGGAACCCCTGTTACATTAAAAAAAAAAAAATCCTACTCTCATTGTATCAGCATTAGTTAATTCACTAGAAAGGTGCCCCCATGACCCTGACACCTCCCATTAGGCCCCAATTTCCAACACTACTATCAAATTTCTGACACACAAACTTTGGAAGACACATTTAAACCATAGCAGTTATGTCTCAGTCTTTTTGGTGCTACTATAACAAAATACCAGAGACTGGGTAAATTACTGTACAATAAACATGAATTTATTGACTCACAGTCCTGGAGACTGGGAACCCACTATCAAGGGACTGGCAGATTCAGTGTCTTATGACAGCCCAAAATGTGCTTCCAAACTTGTGCTTTGAATGCTGCATTCTCACATGCTGGGAGGTGGAGGGGCAAACAGAGAGACCACACTTCCAAAGCCTTTTTATAATAGTATTCATCCATTCATGAGCATGGATCACTCATGGCCTAATCACCTCTCAAAGGTGACATTCTTAATACTGTTAAAATGGCAACTAATTTTCAACATGAGTTTTGGAAGGGACAAACTTTCAAACCATAGTGGGTTATTTGATATATGTATTTTATTTTTTCTCCTCTTTCCCATAAGTATCTAAGTATGCATATAATTTGGAGAATCTGTTTTGTGGTGTTATTGTTGTTCAACTGTAAAAAAATATGTAATTCTTGAGTTAATAAAGAAATATTTTTTGTTTTTTTTCTGATATTAGTGTACAAAAATGATATTTAATTTAATATCTTATTTGTAATACTTAAACTTGATAAAGCATTGAAAAAGTAGGAGTTATATTTTGTTTTTAAAAAAGTTTAAGAAGAAATTTGTAAACTGTTTAGGTCCAGCTGAATTCAGTAACCTAGACACCTCTTCAAGGTAAATTGAGTCACGAATCACCAATTTACTGGATATGATTGTACCAACCTTTGGAAGTTCCATTTTTCAAATGTAATCTTAATGATTCAACGACTACTTTTATGTCCATGCTTTCCAATTAGCAGCCGGCAGAAGTGGATAAAATGTCTTTATATATTACAATGTAGTTCTAAAAAAGAATTAAAACTCTTCAATTGTTTAAATCAACAGAAGCAGTTCCATATGGTAAAGTAAAATTTTTATTTCTTTCTTTCTTGTTTTGTTTTGTTTTGTTTTGTTTCTGCCAAAGAAAGTAGAATATGGGGAAGTGGAGGGAAACTAAGACAAAGACAAGATGATGGAGGGTTGAAAGAATAAAAATATATGTGGTCAAGAGTTAGTATTTTATCTTTTGCCCCCATGGTAAAAGAGCTTATGGCTGCTACATAAATGCCTCTCTTCTGTTCTGAATGCTTATGAAGTCGATTTACAATTAACCAAGATTTATAAGAATACAACTTTCTATAAAATTAACATAGAGATACAAGCTATGATCAAGTATTTTCAAGGATAAAAACTTTTTAAAGCACTAGTGAAAATCTGAAAATTCTGGGAAGAAAGTAAAGAACGAAGCATCAGAAATATATTCTCTCCACCTAGAAAAATATTGTACCTGCAGAATCTGTCTGATGTAAACTATTTTGGAACTCTGGAATTCAATGAAGACTTGAAAATTCCAGTGCTAGTCTTGGAAAGTAAATTATGGTCAACGTCAGCTCTTAGCACAGTAGTAGCTACTCACTCCCCACCCCTCAGTTCCATGGCCAGTATCTGTGCCCATGTTTCTGAAGTAGCTTGCACACAATTTGTGGGAACCAGTGGGGAGTTTGGAAACAAAAAGAATTCTGTTCTTAAAATATTGGAGAGCTTTCATCACTGATGGTAGCTTACAATCACAGAAGTGCAGAAAAAGAGGCATTGACCACTATTGTTTTATTCCCACTTTGTTGCAAGCCCTTTTTCCTCTGCCTGACCACATTTTCTCCCCTTTTATGTTTTACTTATTTCCTCTTGGGGAGCCAGTCTCAGAAAACAAGGACATTCAAAAGCAATGCCATATACAAGGGAAATTAGAAAGTCATCACATATTCCTAGGAGAAAGCACAGGCTCAAAAAACCTGAGGAGGTGATTCATCTGAGGTGATTCACAAAGACAACTTAAAAAATAAAGAAACAAAAACAAAAGAAAAAACCCCAGCAAACACTAGGAAAGACAGAGAATCTGATTTTCACAATTAGTAGATCAAAACATTTATTTTTCAATAGAAAGAGAAAAAGAAAATATGATCCATTTCTTTGGCCTCCAAAAATGAAAAGAAAGTATTGCCTAATGGAACAATAAACATAACCAAAAGAAAGTTCCCTGGAAGAAACAAATGGTGATTCTACTAGACAAAGACTTTAAAACAACCATCTTAAAGATGATCAATGAACTAAAGGTGGATGTGAAGAAAGTCAGAAAGTTATATATAAAATGAATGAAAATATTAATAAAAACATAGAAAACCTGAAGAAAGACAAATAGATATCCTGGAGCTAAAAATATAATAACTAAAATAAAAAAATTATTAGAGAGAATCAAGGGCAGATTTAATGATGTAGAAGAAAGATTTAGTAAACTTGAAGAGAAGACAATGTGAATTATCAAGTCTCAAAAGCAGAAAAAGAAAAGACTGAAGAAAAGTGAACATAGCCTAAAGAACTTGTGGAATATCATCAAGCAGACGAACATATGCGTTGCAAGAGTCCAAGAGTTAGAAGAGAGAGAGAAAAATGGGACAGAGATGTATTTGAAGGAATGACAGCCCAAGTTTGATGAAAGACCTAAATATAAACATCCAAGAAGCACAAGAAATTCTAAGTAGCAAGAATTCAAAGAACCACAAACGTAGTTATAACCAAATGGTTTAAAGGCAAAAACAGAGAGAATCTTGAATGCAGAAAAGAGAACTCACTTATCACATACTAGAAATCCTTAATGAGATTACCAGCAGTTTTCAGAAAATTTAGAGATCAGAAGGGAGTGGGATAATCTATTCAAGATTCTAAAAGGAAAAAAAAAAAGATTTCTCAAGAATTCTTTATGTGGAAAGCTGTTCTTCAAAAGTGAGAGAGATATTAAGACATTATCAGATAAACAAATGATGAGGAAGCTTACTACCATTGCAAGTGCCTTGCAAGGAATGCATGTTAAAATGAAAGAAGACCAGATAGCAACTTGAAGCCATATAAAGAAATAAAGATCTTAGTAAAGGCAAATAAAAGGTCAATTATACAAGCTAATATTATTGTAACAATGACAGGTAAGTCCAACTTTTTTTGTTTTCTCCGTGATTTAAAAGACTAATACATTATACATTTCAAAAAATAATTACTAGACTAAAAGTTAGTGTAAATAGACTAATGCATTAAAAATGTATGTCTATATTTTGGGCACTCGATATATAAATATGTAATTTTGTGACATCGATAACTGAAAGGGATGGAAATAGAGCTAATACAGAGTAGAATTATTGTATGTTATCACATTTAATTTGACATACATTTATATTTGAGGGTCATAACTTCAAAATGTTAAATGTGATCCCCCTAGTAACAACAACAATATAGCTAAATAATATATGCAAAATAAAATTATAAAAGAATTCAAAAGTTTTCGTTTTAACAAAAAAAACTAACAAAATAGTAACGCAGGAAATGAGAGACAAAAAATCTGTAAAGCACATAGAAAAAAACAGCAAGATAACATAACTCCCTCTTACCAGTAATTACTTTAACTGTAAATGGATTAAATTATCCAATAAAAAGATATAGATTGGCAGAATGGATTTTAAAAATAATAATAACTATATATTATCTACTAGAGACTTACTTTAGATTCAAAGACACAAAATGGATTGAAAGTAAAAGATGGGAAAAACACTCTGTGAATAGCAACCAAAGAGAGTAGGAGTGGCTATACTAACATCAGATAAATTAGACTTAACCAAAAAAAGCTTATAAGGGACAAAGGAATGGCATTACTTATTAATAAAAGGTTCAACACAGCAAGAAGATGTAACAATCACAAACATTTTCACCGAATAACATACCATCAAAATATATAAATCAAATCTGACAGAATTGAAGAGAGAAATAGACAGTTCTATAATAACTGCAGGAGACTTCAGTACTCCACTCTCAATAGTGGTTAGAACAACCAGACAGAAAATAGGTGAGAAAATAGAGGACCTGAGCAACACAATACACCAACTCTGTCCAACAGGCATATATGAACACTGTACTCACCACCAACAGCATACACATATTTCTTATGAGCACATAAGAAAATGTGCTCATAAGAAAAACATGGAACATTTTTCAGGGATAGATAATATCTTGGGCCACGAATTGATTTTCAATAGATTTAGAAAATTACAATACCACGCAAAGTATCTTCTCTTACCACAGTGAGATAAAGTTAGAAATAATAACAGAAGGAAAACTTAAAAATTTACAAATTTGTGGAAAATAAACAACACATTTATAAACAATCAATATACCAAAGAAGAGATCACAATGAAATTAGAAAACAGAGATGAGCCGTGCTAAGAACATTTATAAATGCTTACTTATATTAAGTAAACAACAAGAAACATTTTAAATCAACAGCCAAACTCTACAACTTAAGAAACTATAAAAGAAAAAGACAAACTAAATCCAAAGTAGTAGAGGAAATGAAATAATAAAAATTACAGCAGAGATAAACAAAATAGAGACTAGACAAATACTTAGTCTATTTTTCAACAGAGTAGCACAAACTGGGTAATTTATAAAGAAAAGCAGTTGGCCTGGTGTGGTGGCTCACACCTGTAATCCCAGCACTTTGGGAGGCTGAGCAGGGCAGCTCATCTGAGGTCAGGAGTTCGAGACCAGTCCGGTCAACATGGTGAAACCCTGTCTCTACTAAAACTACAAAAATTGGCCAGGTGTGGTGGCCCATGCCTGTAATTCCAGCTACTTGGGAGGCTGAGGCAGGAGAATCGCTTGAACCTGGAAGGCGGAGGTTGCAATGAGCTGAGATCGTGCCACTGCAGTCCAGCCTGGGCAACAGAGTGAGACTCTGTCTCAAAAAAAATAAAAAAAGAAAGAAAGAAAAAGAAAAGAAATTAATTTTTTATAGTTCTAAAGACTGGAAAGTCCAAGAGAATGAAATTAGCATCTAGTGAGGGAATTCTTGTGTCATCAAAACATGGCAGAAGCCAGCATATGAAAAGAGAGAAAGAGACAGCCACAGACCCATTTATGAGGACCTAACAACTAATGACCTTATCTAATCATAATTACCTCCCAAAGTCACCACCTTTAATCAACACATGAATTTGGGGGTAAGTTTCCAAATCATAAAATTTTGGGGACACATTAAAACAGTAACAAGAAATACAAGCATACCTTGTAGAATATCTTGGGTGCGGTTTAAGACCACTGCAATAAAGTGAATATCACAATAAAGCCCTATCACACAATTTTTCTGGCTTTCCCAGTGCATGCAAAAGTTATGTGTACACTACACTGCAGTCTATTTATTGTGTGATAGCATTATATCTAAAAATACAATGTGTATACTTTAACTAAAATACTTTATTGCTAAAACCTGCTAGCAATTATCTGAGCCTTTAATGAGTCATAATATTTTTGCTGGTAGATATTTTTACCTTCATATTGATGGCTCCTGACTCATCAGGGTGGTGGTTGCTGAAGGTTTGGGTGCCTGGAGCAATTTCTTAATATAAGACAACAATGAGGTTTGCTGCATCAATTGACTTTTTAATATTACATTTCTCTGTAGCATGTGATGCTGTTTGATAGCATTTTACTTACATTTGAAACTTCTTTCAAAGTTAAAGTTAGTCATCTCAAACCCTGCTACTACCTTATCAGCTAAGTTTATGTAATATTCTAAATTATTTGTTGCCATTTAAACAATGTTTACAGCACCTTCACCAGGGGTAGATTCCATCTCAAAAAAGAAAAAATATATACGTTTTATTTGCTCAGCAGTAAGAAGCAAGTCCTCATCTGTCCAAGTTTTATCATGAGATTGATGAAATTCAGTCCCATCTTTAGGCTCCGCTTTTAATTCTAGGTGTCTTGCTATTTTCACCACATCTGTGGTTGCTTCCTCGAGTGAAGATTTTTAAGTTATTTTTCCAATTTTTAATTTTTATGGGTACATAATAGGTGTATATCTTTATAGGGTATATGAGATATTTTGATAAAGGCATACAACGTGTAATAATCAAATCAGGGTAAATGGATATCTATCACTTCTAGCATTCATCAAGTATTTGTGTATGAATATTCCAATTCTATTCCCTCAGTTATTCCAAAATGTACACAAAATTACTGCTGACTGTAGTCATCGTATTTTCCTATCAAATACTAGATCTTATTCATTGTATCTAAGTATATTTTTATGTCCATTAACCATCCCCATCACCCCACCAACCCTACCTTTCTCAGCCTCTAGTAACAATAATTCTATGCCCTGCCTCCCTCAGTTCAATTGTTTTGATTTTTAGTTCCCACAAATGAGCAAGAACATGACAAGTGTGTCTTTCTATGCTAACTTATTTCACTTAGTATAATGACCTCTAGTTTCATCCATGTTATTGCAAATGACAGGATCCCATTCTTTTACATGGCTGAAGAGTAATTCATTTGGTATATGTACCACATTTTCTTTATCATTTGTCTGTTGGTGAACTCTTAGGTTGCTTCCAAGTCATAGATATTTTGAATATCACTGCAATAAACATGGGAGTGCAGATATCTCTTCGATATATTGATTTCTTTTCTTTTGGGTATTACCTAGCAGTTGGATTTGCTGGATCATATGGTATTTCTATACTTAGATTTTTGACAAACTTCCATATGTTCTCCATAATGGCTGTAATAATTTACATTGGCATGAACAGTGTATGAGGGTTCTCCGTTCTTCACATCCTCACCAGCATTTGTTATTGCCTGCCTTTAGGGCAAAACTATTTTAACTAGGGTGAGACGGTATCTTGTTGCAGTTTTGATTTGCGTTTCTCTGATGAACAACGATGTTGAGCAACTTTCACTTACCTGTTTGCCATTTGTATGTCTTCTTTTAAAAAATATCTATTCAGACCTTTTGCCCATCTTTGAATCAGATTATTAGACTTTTTTCCTATGGAGTTGTTCAAGCGCCCTATATATTTATGGTTATTAATCCCTTGTCAGATGGATAGTTTATTTTCTCCCATTCTGTGGGCCGTCTCTTCATTTTGTTGATTCTTTTCTTTGCTGTGCAAAGGCTTTTTAACTTCATGTGATTCCATTTGTCCACTTTTTCTTTGGATGCCTGTGCTTGTGGGATAGTACTCAAGAAATCTTCACCTAGTTCAATGTCCTGGAGAGTTTCCCCAATGTTTTCTATTAGCAGTTTCATAGTTTGAGGTCTTAGATTTAATTCTTTAATCCATTTTGATTTGATTTTTGTGTATGGTGAGAGATAGGGGCCTGGTTTCATTCTCCTTTATATGGATATTCAGTTTTCCCACCACTATTTTTGAAGATACTGTCCTTTCCCCCAATGTATGTTCTTGGTATCTTTGTGGGAAATGAGTTAACTGTAGATGTACAAATACGTTTTTTGTTCTCTATTCTGTTCCACTATTCTATGTGTTCGTGTATGTTAAATCAACTTTGCATTCCAGGGATAAATCCCACTTGGTTATGATGAATGATCTTTCTAATGTATTGTTAAATTCAATTTGCTAGTATTTTGTGAGGGTTTTTGCATCAATGTTCATCGAGGATATAGGCCTACAGCTTTCCTTTTTTGATGTGTCTTTGTCTAATTTTGGTATCATGCTAATTCCTCATAGAATGAGTTTAGATGTATTCCCTCATCCTCTTTTTTATTTTTATTTTTTTGAATAGTTTCAGTAAAACTGGTACCAATTCTCTTCAAATGTTTTGTAGAATTCAGCAGTGAAGCCATCGGGTCCTGGGCTTTTCTTTGCTGAGAGACTTATTTTGGCTTCAATCTTGTTACTTGTTACTGATCTATTCTGACTTTGGATTTCTTCATAGTTGAAACTTCATAAGTTTTATGTCTCTGGAAATTTATCCATTTGTTCTAGGTTATTCAATTTACTGGCATATAGTTGTTTGTATTAGTCTCTAATGATTTTTTTGAATTTCTGGAATGTCATTGGTTATGTCTGCTTTTTCATCTTTTTTAAATATATTTGAATCTTTTCTCTTTTTTTCTTAGTCTGGCTGAAAGTCTGTTAATTTTTAAAAATCTTTTCCAAACACCAACCTTTGCTTTGTTGATCTTTTGTATTTTATTTTGTTTCAATTTCATTTGCTTCTGCCCTTATCTTCATGATTTATTTTAATCTACTAACTCTGGGTATGGTTCACTTTTGTTTTTCTAGTTATTTAAGATGCATCTTTAGGTTGTTCATTTGAATTTTTTCTACTTTTTGATGTAAGTGCTTACTGCTATAAACTTTCTTCTTAGTACTGCTCTTGTTGTATTCATAGATTTGGGTATGTTTTGTTTCCATTTTCATTTGTTTAGGGAATTTTAAAAATTTTCTTAATGTCTTCATTAAGACACTGGTCATTAAGGAGTGTATTGTTTAACTACCCTGTGTTTGTAGAGTTTCCAAAATTTCCCTTGTTAATGATTTCTAGTTTCATTTCATTGTGGTCAGATAAGATAGTTGATATCATTTCAACTTTTTGAATTATTTAAAATTTACTTTGTGGCTTAAAATCTATACTTGAGACTGATCCTTGTGCTGAATGGAAGAATGTGTATTCTGTAGCCTTTGGATGAAATGTTCTATAAATATCTATTAGCTCTATTTGCTCTATAGTGTAGATTAAGTCTAATGTTTCTTTGTTGATTTTCTGTCTGGAAGGTCATTCAGTGCTCACAGTGGGGTGTTGAAGTCTCCAACAACTATTACCTTGTGGTCTTTCTGTAGGGCTAATAATGTTTGCTTCATATATCTGGGTGCTCCAGTGTTGGGTGTATATATATTTAAATTTGATATATCCTTTTTCCAAATCAATACCATTTTTGTTATATAATGATCTTTGTCTTTTCTTATACTCTTCTTTTGAAATCTATTTTGTCTAAGTACAGCTACTCTTGCTCCTTTTTGTTTTTTATTGGCATGGCATATCTTTTTCCATTCCTTCATTTTCAGTCCCTGTGTCTTTACAGGTAAAGTGCATTTCTTGTATGCAATAGATTGTTGGGTCTTGTTTTTTTAATCTATTCAGTCACTCTGGCTTTTGATTGGAGAATTTAGTCCATTTATATTCAGTGTTATTATTGATAAGAAAGGACTTCCTTCTGCCATTTTGTTATTTTTTTGTTCTGGTTGTTTTCCCTTCCTTCTTTCCTATCTTCCTTTATTGAAGGTGATTTTGTCTGGTAGTATAATTTAATTTCTTGCTTTTTATTTTTCACGTATTTATTATATTTTTTTATTTGAATGTTACTATGAGGCTTGCAAATAACACCTTATAACCCATTATTTAAAACTGGTAACTCTAACGCAAAAACAAACAAATAAGCAAGGAGAAAACTAATGAAAACTCTACCTTTTAGCTTCATCACTCCCTCTTTTTAACATTTTGTTATTTCTATTTATATCTTATTATACTGTCTATGTTTTTAAAAGTTGTTGCATTTTTTTTGATAGTTTTGCCTTTCAGTTTTCCTATTTAAGTTACGAGTGGTTTACACACTACACTTAGAGTGTTATAATTTTCTGTATTTATCTGTGTACTTAACTGTTTGCAGTGAGTTTTGTACCTTCACGTGATTTCTTATTTCTCATTAATATTCTTTGTTTTCAGACTGAATGACTCCCTTTAGCATGTCTTGTAGGATAGGCCTGCTTTTAATGAAATACCTAAGTTTTTTTTTTTTTTTTTTTGGTCTAGGGAAGTCTTTATTTCTCCTTCATATCTGAAGGATAAAACAAAATAACCTCAAGACTTAGATGTAAAATCTAAGAGTATAAAACCCTCAGAAACAAACATAGATCAAAAGATTTATGATATTAGTTTTGACAATGATTTCTTGGTTATGACACCAATGGCATAAGCAACAATTAAAAAAATAGATTGGACTTTACAATTTTTTTAAATTGTGGATCAAAAAGCAGATTTTTTTTCTTTCAACTTTTATTTTAAGTTCAGGGGTACATGTGCAAGATGTGCAGGTTTGTTACATAGATAAACGTGTGAAAAGGCACTATTAATATCATTAAAATTCAGCCCCAGAATGGTGGAAAACTTTGTAAATCATATATATGATAAGGGATTAATATTTAGAATACATGAACTCCTAAAATTCAACAACAACAACAATAACAAAAAGCAATCTGAACAACAACAACAAAAAGCAGACAACCTGATCAATATGAGTAACACACTTAAGAGAACATTTCTCAAATGGCCAGTTAACGTATCAATAGATGCTCAATATCACTAATTATAAAGGAAATATAAATCAAAATAACAGTGAGAAACTATCTCACATGAATTAAAATGACTACTATCAAAAAAACAGAAAATAAGAAGTGTCGTTGAGGATGTGGAGAAATTGAAGTTCTTGTGAACTGTTAATGGAAATGCAAAATGGCACAGCTACTATAAAAATCAGTAGGGTATTCCTTAAAAAATTTTAAAAGTAGAATTTCCACATGGTCCAGTATTTCCATTTTTGGGTATATATTAAAAAAAATTGAAAGCAGAATCTTGAGTCATTTGTATACCCATGTTTATATCAGCATTATTCACAGTAGCTAAAATGTGAAAACAACCCAAGTGACCATAATGGATAAATATGAAGGACAGAAACATTCAAGCCAGGAAAACAGCCTTAAACAAGTGTTTTTAATCAAAGTCCTCACGTTATTTATATGCTGAGGCCTTTCTGGTAAAAGTTGTTTTTCAACCACTGCTGCTTTTCTTTGGAAATCCGGGTTTAGGTAGCTTGGATTTTATTCTGAATAAAAATGCTATATGTGAAATTGCCTCCACGGGGTTTTTGGAAATTTCATGCCAGGTTCTGTATAGAAATACTGTTACAATTAATCATGAATCAGGCTTCAATTTGGCCTACTTCTTTGGTGATAAGGGTCAGGTCGCACTAGATACTGACCTCATTGTTTCTATAGACAGGATTTCTGACTTCAGAACCATAAGGCTTTTGTTTAAGGACCACTTTAGATGATTTTTAGACCCTGAATTCCAGCAACTAGATATCCACATAGGAATGAGATTACCATGAGAATACAGATTCCTCATCTCTCTGTCCCATGACTTCACCCTGCACTCTTCAACCAATCTACAACATCCATACTTGATCCCACTCCAAAACCCTTAAACACCCTAGTCCCAGACTCCTTGGGGAGACGAATTTGAGGATTCCTCCCAACTCATTTTTTGGCCCTAAGATTACACTTTTTCTGTGTTGCTACCTAGTGTCTCCACATATTGACTTGCTGTGTGCATTGGGCAACAAATCTATAAAACTATATATGGAGGGTGTGTGCACTTATGTACAGTATTGGAACACGGTAACGTGGCTCATAGCTGCACATTTCTGTTAATACATTGGGCAGAACTCACCACAAAAAAACAAATGAGTTCATTTTTTAGTTTGCTTTTAGGTTTGTTTAGGCAACAGTACTCTTCCTGTGTACTCAGAAGACTTTTGCTGGTAATAGGCCCACCAATTGCCTTAAATGGTCTTACATGAGACTTTAGGCTATTTATTGATGACTGTAATAGTCCATTTGTGCTGCTGTAAAGAAATACCTGAGGCTGAGTAATTTATAAAGAAATGAAATTTATTTTGGCTTGTGGTTCTACAAGATATATAAGAAGGCTTGTGCTAGCAAATCCTTCTGTTGAGGCCTGAGGAAGCTTCCAATTATGGTAGAAGGCCAAAGGGAGCAAGCCTGTCACATGGTAAGAGACGGAATAAGACAGGGAGAGGGGAGAGGTGCTAGGCTGTTTTAAACCATTGCCTCTAATGTGAACTACCAGAGCAAGAACTCACTGAGTCCCACAAAGATAGCACCGAGCCATTAATGAGGAATCTGTCCCCATTACCCCAACATCTCCCACCATGTCCATCTCCAACATTGGGAGTCACATTTTAACATGAGAGTTAGAAAGAACACAAATTCATGCTATATTAACGCCCATCTTAATCACAAGCTCTAAAATGATTTTACTGTGTGTTTCTCTCTTTCTCTGCTCTGTCATCTGCTCTGCCTTTATTCTTTCTTTTTCAGACCATCTTTTTCTGTGCTTGTTTGTGGGTGGTACACAGCTCCAAAAGGTATGATATTATATAAAACATTTGTATTTTTTCATTTTATGCAATATTTGGTGGCATAGCATTTGCCTTGATCATAGAGGGTCGTTTCCCTAGTTTTACTGCTGTACAATGGAGAAGTAAAAGTTCATTCCTTCAGAGATTTATAATATTACTTTGCATTTGATACAGCATTTCTGATCTAAACTCTGAATTTTCTATGATGCCCTGACTTTTTTAAAGCACTGTATATGACAAATAGAATATGCATTTTAAACTGTATGATAATTACCTGATAATATCTTCTTTGACTTTTTTCAATCAATGTTTCCTTCCAGCATGTGACTATTGTAGGAGTCTGCCTATTAAAATTCAAATTAGGTAACAAGGTGTAAATTGCCTCATGAATGTTTTTCTTCCTCTTTTGCAAATTGTTCATGTTTATAGTTCTCTCCATTGCTATACTTTCCATGATGCTGAATTTTTATGTAGAGTTACTGTGCAAATACAAGTATGGTAGTTCTTAAGTGAGAAACAGGCACTTTTTCATTATGTCGCCTTTGAAATGGAAACTCAACTGGGTAACACCTTAACTAGAGCATAAGAAGCTAATTAGGAATCCCCCTACATTCTGAGTATGAGTTTAATAGAGAAGCATAAGTCAGTTTTCAAAGTTCTTAATATCACATAATAAAATTTTTGATAGAGGCAAGGTGGTAATCTCCCTCCTGGAGCTTGTAGATGTAGCCTGACTAAGTTGCTTATGAAAATGTGGTTTCTCAGAGCTTTGGGCAAATTTGATTTAAGAAAAGAAGCCAAGGAATTTTTGATACAGCACTGGAGTGACAGGTTAATATTCCTGGGAAAAGAGAGTGGAAATGCACATATTTTCATTTCAGTATTTCAATTTTGTCAATAGGATTGGCACTGTAATTATCTCTAGATTAGTCACAGGCCTATATACTTGTTAAAAGTGAATTAAAGTAAACTGTAACTTGACAGGCAATTTGTTTTAAAAGGTATGATGGGAAGAGGGCAAGAAGTTCAAGCAGAGAAAAAAGTTAAGCATTTTAAAACTTAACTGCTGAAACAATCTTATTTTTCAAAAGATGCTGCTGATAGAGACAGTTATAGGAAATTTCCGTTTTGTCAACATGAGGTAAATCACAGAACCAGGAGTTTCTTCTATGACTAGAGAGATTACCAGTGTCAACACACTATCCCTAGGCAATTTCCAGGGCCTTCCTCCCCAGAGATTCTCCCCACCTTGTATTGAGCACCTGGGCTTTAACTCTTTCTAATGGAGAAAAATGAGAAAGTGAAAGCGTTCAACGTGGAGCAATATGGACAGATTTCCTCCTGCTTCATTCTCCCGTTCATTGATTCATGGATAAACTTACAGCTTTATTCCATAATCATACACTGACTGCATGTAGCTCTTTAAGTGGGTGAGAAGTGTTTGCCACATTTTGTTTTGTTTTTTGCTTATTTTTTAAACTAAATTTTATTTCTCAACAGCAAAAATTCCATGTAAAGGTTTCAATGGAAAAGCAAATAAGACCAGATGAACAGACCTATGACCAAACAAAGAAAACAGTATCTTATAATTTTTGGAATAAAACCATTATCTTTAATTTTTTCCCTCCCCATAACTTTTTCCTAAGCTACTAAATATTTAGGAAATAAGATATTTAATAGAGTGCAATCATTATAAAGACAAAATACCATGCATAGCCAAGGTATAGAAAGAAACTAGAAAGCATCATTCCTTGAGGAATTTATAATCTATAGCAGCCACAGAAACATAATACAGGCATATAAATATCTTAGGGCATGCACAAAACCACAATCCTCCTTTTAGAAACGTAGCTCAATAGAATGATTATTTGTACAAGATGCATACAGAGAATTACAGAGGTTGTTATAACAATGTTGTAAATAACAAATTCTCAAAAAATAGTTAATGTTCAGCAGTAGGAGATACACTGAATAAATGAAGATCCACCAGACATTAAAAATGAAAACACAGAATTCTTATTGGCATGGAAATACATTCACAATATAATACTGTGCGAAAAACACAGCCACAAAATACATTATGATATGATCTTATTTTTATCAAAGAATATATATATAGGTAAAAGCTAAAATTAGTTTATTTGAATGTTTAAAATTTATAATTATTTCATTATACCCTTTTTAAAACTATGTATTTCAAATTAAACTTGTCTCAGCTTACAGAAACCTTTATTTTCAAAATGTACGGCACAGGGGCTGGGTATGGTGGCTCACGCCTGTAATACCAGCACTTTGGGAGTCTGAGCCTAGCAGATTGCTAATCTCAGGAGTTCAAGACCACGCTGGACAACATGGTAAAACCACATCTCTACAAAAAAATACAAAAATTAGTCAAGTGGTGGTGTGTGTCTGTAGTCCTAGCTACTCAGGAGGCTGAGATGGGAGGATTGCTTGAGTCTGGGGAGGTCAAGAGGTCAAGGCTGTAGTGAGCCATGATCATGCCATTGGACTCCAGCCTGGGTGGCAGAGTGAGACATTGTCTCAAAAAATAAAAATAAAAAATAAAAAGTATGGCACAGACACAGTAAAGTCATTATCAGGACAAAAGGCAAATATTGACAGATTAGATCACTTCAATGTAACCATGAACAAATATATCTCTGATCCTCAGTTTCCACATTTACAAATTGAGGCCCATCCAACCTTCTACACAGCAAGATTGTAGTGAAAATTATCAGTCTGTGATGAACTATATCTCTGATCCTCAGTTTCCACATTTATAAACTGAGGCCCATCCAACCTTCTACACAGCAAGATTATAGTGAAAATTATCAGTCTATGTCAGGTACCCATACCATGCTTGGAACATAGTATTATAATCACAGTTGTCTCAACAAATGGTCATTGCTATAATTATAACATAGCCTCCAAAACTCTTGTTAAAATTTAATTGTCGTTGGGGTGGTATTAAGCGTTGTGAGGTATTTAAAAGGTGATTCACTCTGTTCTCATACATAAATTAATGTTGTTACCTCAGGAGTGGGTAAGCTATCATGAGATTTTGATTCCCTTTTTTTTTTTCTTTCTGTCTCACGTGCCCACTTGCCCTTCTGCCTTCTGCATGAGATAACTCAGCACAAAGGCTCTGGCTCAACGCTAGTGCCATGCTCTTGGACTTCTCAGCTTCCAGAACCATAAATTTCTATGGTTTATAAATTACCCCATCTCAGGTATTGTGTTATAGCAGCAGACAACAGACTAAAACAGTTATCTTTCTTTTATTTCCTTTCTACAAAATAATGTATTTTTAGAAAAATGAAAACAAGTGTTTTTGCATGAGCTTTATTCAGCTTCATGTATAGTATGGTCAAAACAAACAAACAAAAAAACCCTATCATTGACCTATGTTGGAGAATTTTTCTCTTTTGCCTCCTTATATACTACTAGTTAACAAAATGTATAATTAAATTTCACCAAGTTATTGAATACTTATAATTTATCATGCATTCTGCTACATGTTAGAGAGCTCAGAGATAAATATGATAAAGGTTCTGCCCTCAAAGCATATAATACAAATAATTATAATACAGTAAAAAGTACATCATGGAAATAGGTACAAGATACAAAGGCACCACACAGGAGGGCTTGGTTAATCAGCTGTCTGGTAGGAGTGACAGAGTAGAATTGCCCTAAGATATGATTCTGAGCTAGGTTAGGAAGATTGATTTGGTAGGTAAGGAGGCAGTGATTGTTAGCCCAGAGAAACAACACAGGGTAAGAAGTTGAGTTGATGATAAACTCAACTTTCAACACCTCTCCTCTCCCCAGGGGTTGAGGGGTGGAACTGAAAGCCCCAACTCTTAATCACATGGTTGGTTTCTCTGGCAACCAGCCTCCATCCTGAGTTTATCCAGAAGCCCCAAGCCATCATTTATTAAAAAGACACATCACTTCAGAGATCTCCAAAATTGTGAAAGCTGATTGCCAAGGAAGAGGGTAAAGACCAAACATATATAGCTTTATCAATTTTATTATGCAACACAATGCTTTGAGATACATATATAATAAAACGGTTTCTACAGTGAAACAAATTAACATATCATCTCATATACTCATCTTTTTCCTCTGAGGCAGAGCAGCTATTATCTACTAATTTAATAAAAATGTTGAATACAATACACTATTATTAAACATAGCCCTCATGTTGCACACTATTTATTAGACTTGTCCATCCTACATGACTTCTATTTCGCATCTTTTGATCTACATCTCCCTAATTCCTTCTCTTCCTCCACATCTTGACACTGGTAACCACTTTCTTATTCTCTATTTATGTATAGTTGACATTTTTTTTTAGATTCCACATATAAGTGATATCATGAATTTTTTAACATTTATCTGTTTCTGGCTTTTGTCACTTAGCATATGTCCTCTAGGTCCATCCATGACATAGCAAAAGGAAGGATCTCCTTTTTTTATGGCTGAATTATTTCCCACTCTCTCTATACATACCAAGTTTCTTTACCCATTTGTTCATCAATAGACACCTAGATTGTTTCTATATCTTGGCTATCATGAATAATACTGCAACGAATATGAGAATGCAGACATCTTTATGAGGTGATGATTTTATTACTTTGAGTACATGGTATTCTCTCCTTACTCTCAGAGGCTATAACACCAATACCCCACCAGGTACCTGAACCTGTGAATAGTACTGAACCCCTATATATATATATATATATATATATATGATATATAGATGATGATTTTTCTATTCATATATATCTATGATAAAAGTTTAATTTATAAATTAGGCACAGTAAGAGATTAAAAACAATAGCTAATAATAGAATAATTGTAGCAATATACTGTTCACAATTTCAAGGATAGAAGACTTGCTCTTACCATAGATCTTAGCAAATGTGGTATATATATATATATATTTTTTTTTTTTTTCTTAGAAAGTTAAGAATTTTCACCTTTTCACTTACAGGAAGTTCATTATGGCTTCTCTTTGGCGTATCTGAATTGCCAGTATTACTGTTCTTGCACACTGGGGCCACCACTACATAAAATAATAATTACTTGAACATAAGCACTGCCATAATGTGACAGTTGATCTAATTACCAAGACAGCTATGAAATGACTAAGAGGCAGGGAGCATATACAGTGTGGATACACTAGATAAAGGTATGATTCATGTCCTGGATGGTACAAAGCAGAATGGCATGAGATTTTATCATGCTATTCAGAACAGTGCCCAATTTTAAACTTTGTGAGTGGTTTATTCCCCAAATATTCCATTTAACAATTTTAGACCCCTGTTAATCGCAGGAAACTGAAACCACAGAAAGTGAAACAATGAAAAAGAGGGGACTGCCATATACCCAGAAGAAAGATTGCTAGGTGATATGGTAATTATATTTTTAATTTATTTAGGAACCTCCACATTGCTTTCCAAAATAGTCAGACCAACAGTGTACAAGAATTCCCTTTTCTTCATACCTTCACCAACACTTGTTATCTTTTTGTCTTCATAGTGGCCATTTTAACATGTGTGAGCCAATTTATCATAGTGGCTTTGGTTTGCATTTCCCTGATAATGAATGATGTTGAGATCCTTTTTATATACCTGTGGCCATTTTTATTTCTTCTTCAGAGAAGTGTTTATTTAGGTCTGTTGCCCATTTTACAATTAGGCCATATGTTTTCTTGCTGTTGAGTTGTATGTGTGTTTGTATAAATTTTGCATATTAACCCCTTATCACATGTATGTTTTTTAAAATAAATTTTGCTTATTAATCTTTTATCAGATGTATGGTTTCCAAATATATTCTTCCGATCCATGGATTCTCTTTTTTGTTATGATTGTTTCTTTGCTCTTCAGAAGCTTTTTGTTTTGTTTTGTTATTTGTTTTACTTTGATATAGTCCCATTTATTGTTTTTGTAGCCTGAACTTTTAGTGTGATATTTAAGATATCACTGCCAAGACCAATATCAAGGAGTTTTTTCCCTATTTATATATATATATTTTTATTTTAAATTACCTATATATATAAAATTATGAAGCACAAGATCATATACACTTTAATTCCATATTTTAAAGCTGTTTGATTTTGCTTCAGATGCATCCTGTTGTAAATTCAGCCCCTTACCATTGCTTTACAATGTTGCATTTCTGTGATTAATGCTAATTTTTTTAATTGATTGCCTTTCAACTTTAATTTATTCTCATTAACCAAATTGGTGTCATATTGCAAACTTACTTTTCCATATTTCTCATATATTATACTTCATTTAGATGTGAGAAACCAAGCAAAAATCTAACAAATTGTAAAGCATTTTCACACTCAACCTCCCACTAAAGAGGTTGACACATTTAAATCAATGAACAAACATAAATTCAAAAAATATCCAGTTCCATACACGCATATATTAAATTGAATATCCATTTTTAATGGCGGTGTCCCATAATATAGAGGTTTTAACACAGAAAAAATAAAGTACATAGAGAGATCATTTCCCATCTGCTGCTACGAAAAACTTAATCCTTTCACACTTACTGCAAGCAATTGCATGGCTGAATAGGTCTTGAGAAATCTTTTGCACTCAAGCATTCCTCTGTGGTTCAAAGATGGCTCAAATCATGCCCAGGTAAACCGGGACGGGAACCAAGAGAATCTATATTTAGTGAAAATTGCAAATACTGTTAGGAGCAAAAGAAAAAATGTATGAGACTATGCTATTATTCGTAGCATGCAAATGACAGAAAACACACTTTTGAACAAGACACTCTAGGAAATGAAGATATTTGCATAGAATTGCATTCTCATGAAAATTGTTAATGAACCCTATGAAATAAGAGGTAAAAGGAGAATTAGAAAATTTTCAAAATTCACTTAAAAGGCAAATACAGTCATATGCTACATAATGTTATTCTAGTCAATGATGGACTGCATATATGATGGTGGTCTCATGAGATTATAAAGAAGCTGAGAAGTTCCTATGACTTACTGACTTCATAGCCCTTAAGATATTGTAGTGTTAGGGGTGACAAATACATGAGTAACTGGCAGCAAATCTGTAGGGTTCTGCAGCAACCTCAATTCTTGCCTCCTCAGAAGAAAGAATTCAACTGACGGGCACAAGTCAGAAAGAGAGACTGAGATAAGTTTTAGAGCAGGAGTGGAAGTTTATTAAAAAGCTCTAGAGCAGGAAAAAAAGAAAAGAAAGTACACTTGGGAGGGGCTCAAGTGGGCAACTTGAAGGACAAGTATGGCGTTCGAGATTTTTTTTTTTTTTTTTTTTTTTTTTTTTTTGAGACAGAGTCTGGTTCTGTCTCTCAGGCTGGAGTGCAGTGGCGGGATCTCGGCTCACTGCAAGCTCCGCCTCCTGGGTTCACGCCATTCACCTGCCTCAGTCTCCCGAGTAGCTGGGAACACAGGAGCCCGCCACCACGCCTGGCTAACTTTTTGTATTTTTAATAGAGACGGGGTTTCATCATGTTGGCCAGTATGGTCTGGATCTCCTGACCTCGTGATCAGCCCGCCTCAGCCTCCCAGAGTGCTGGGATTAGGGGCTTGAGCCACCGCACCTATGCCGGCGTTTGAGCTTTTGACTGGGTTTTATATGTTGACATACTTCTGTGGTCTTGCGTCCCTTTCCCTTTATTCTCCCCTTAGGGTGAGCAGCCCACATGTGCGGTGGGCTGCTGACACTTGGTAGGTGAGCATGCACAGTGTATTTACTGGAGTTGTACACATGCTCACCTGAGGCTTTCTTCCATTTTCCGGTGGAGTGCCCTGGCAAGTCATGCTCTGCCATTTTGCCTCTTAAAGTGCATGCTCGAGCCAACTTGCCCATTTTCTGAGATGGCATTGGAAGCTGTCGATTACCAGTTTCAAGTGCTTTTATGTATTGGGAAATTGCCTCTCCCTGGCACAAGCTGTGGCCAATTATTATTTTAAAAAGCCAGTGTGATAACTGCTGGACCATCACCTGATGGTCGCCTTACATTCCCAGCGGGTGGGGGTAGCCCTCTCCTGCCCTGCTCATGTCCGACTAGCTACCTATTGTAACAATAGCACAATACATTAATCATTTGTTTGTAGTGATGATGGTATAAACAAACCTACTGCACTGACAGTCATACAACAGTGTAGCATATACAATTATGTACAGTACATAATACTTAATAGTGATAATAAGCAACTATATTGCTGGTTTTTGTATTTAGTATATTGTACTTTTTAATCATTATTTTAGAGTGTACTCTTTCTACCTACTAAAAAACAAGTTAAGTAAAACATCTTCAGGCAGGTCCTTTAGGAGATGTTCCAAAAGAAACCATTGTTATCATAAAAGATGACAGCTCCGGCTGGGCACAGTGTTTCACGCCTGTAATCCCAGCACTTTGGGAGGCAGAGGTGGGCAGATCATGAGGTCAGGAGATCGAGACCATCCTGGCTAATATAGTGAAACCCCGACTCTACTAAAAATACAAAAAATTAGCCGGGCGTGGTGGCGGGCGCCTGTAGCCCCAGCTACTCGGGAGGCTGAGGCAGGAGAATGGCGTGAACCCGGGAGGCGGAGCTTGCAGTGAGCCGAGATCCTGCCACTGCACTCCAGCCTGGGCGACAGATGGAGACTCCATCTCAAAACAAACAAATAAATAATAAATAAATAAATAAATAAATAAATAAATAAATAAATAATGACAGCTCCATGCATGTTTTCGCCCCGAAGGCCTTCCAGCGGGGCAAGATGTGGAGGTGCAAGAGAGTTATTTTCATGATACTAGCCCTGGGCAGGCATTGGCTAATGTGCGTGTTAGTGTGTTAGTTTTAACAAAAAAAAAAAATCTGAAAAGAGAAAAAAGAAAATATTTAATTCAGCTGTACAATGTGTTTGCATTTTAAGCCGTTACCACAAAATACTCAAAAAGTTTAAAAAGTTAAAAATTTATAGACTAACAAAGTCATAGTAAGCTAAGATTAATTTATTAAAGAAAGAAAAATCATTTTTAATAAGTTCAGCATAGCCTAAATGGACAGTGTTTATAAAGTCTCGAATAGTGTACATTAATATCATACACTATTATTAATATCATAGGCCTTAACATTCACTGACCATTCACTCAGTGACTCACCTAGAGCAATTTCCAGTCCCACAAAAGGTCCATTAATGGTGAGTGTCCTATACAGGTATACTGTTTTTTATCTTTTATACCATATTTTTACTGTATATTTTTATGCTCAAATATGTTTGGATACACAAACACCATTTTGTTACAGTTGCCTGCAGTATTCAGTACAGTAACATGCTGTATAGATGTGTAGGCTAGAGGAATAGGCTATACCATATAACCTAGGTGTGTAGTAGGCCATACCAGCTAGGTTTGAGTAAGCACACTCTATCATGTTTGCACAACAAAATTTTCTTATGATGATGCATTTTGCAGAATATAACCCTGCTGTTAATCAATATAGGACTATATCAATACTGCTAGGAGTAAAACTCATAATAAATGATGAAAAACAGCTGGAATTAAATACACTGTAACAAGAAGTAAATTAATAAAAAAAATTTACATGAAGAAAGATGGGGCTGACCCATTAGATTGGTAACAGGTGTGTTTGGAGACATACACTAACAAGAAAATCAGAAAAAGCATTTGAAGATATGAAAGAATGTTTCACTAAAATGCAGGAAAATTAAATCTATGGATCACAGGTCAACCTAAAGAGGCAAAATAATTAAAAATATCCTATCAAACATATCCTGGTGAAGATGCTCAATCTCAAAGATTTGAAAAGTCAGATACAAATTCAGGTGAAAAAAAAAAAACAGATTGCTAACAAATAGGCAAAACCTGAGGCTCACCTTGAACATCTCTAAGTGCATGCAATTTTGATGAGGTGATTTCAGTATGGAAAGTTTGACATAGCCTCTTCACATTTCCCTTTTGCCAGAGGAACATACTAGTTTAACTTAGAACAAAAATTAACTTAGTGTTAATTATTTGTAAATTGTTTAACAATATATAGAACAGATGCCTTAGTCTATCTTAAATATGCATCCTATTCCTGATTTGCTTTGGAAAATATGCTTGCGTAAGTTTCATTAAGATTGTCGGCCTGGCGCGGTGGCTCACGCCTGTAATCCCAGCACTTTGGGAGGCCAGGGCAGGCCGATCATGAGGTCAGGAGATCGAAACCATCCTGGCTAACACGGTGAGACCCCGTCTCTACTAAAAATACAAAAAATTAGCCCAGCGAGGTGGCACGTGCCTGCAGTCCCAGCTACTGGGCAGGCTAAGGCAGGAGAATAGCTCGAACCCAGGAGGTGGAGGTTGCAGTGAGCCGAGATCGCACCACTGCACTCCAGCCTAGGCGACAGAGTGAGACTCCGTCTCAAAAAAAAAAAAAAAAAAAAAAGATTGTCTAGTTTTCTCTACTTGATGTAAAAATTGTCAGTAGTATGATGATCATTTATTATGACTTTGTTTTCAATTTAGCCTTAGATTTTCATTAAGTTTTCTTCATATATTCTATTGCCTCTTTGCCACATAAATTTGTTGTATTTATATATTTTTATTGAATTATTCCCATCTACAACTAAAAAATTACTTCTTTTGTTCAGTTTGATGCTTTTTATCATGAATTCTAAATTTGTATGATATTAATATCTTGACCCAGGATTTTATTTTTTCTGAATTTGTTTATTGTATGTTTGAACTGCATTTACATTACACTTTCTTAAAATATTTTAATTTAGGTAAATCTTTAATAATTTCATACATTTTAAAAGTACATTTCAAATGATTTTCTTTTAGTAGATACACTTATTCATTGACTCATATCTCTCAGCTTGCTTTTGGTGTTCTGCGTTTTGATTTTTTTTAAATTTCTTTCCTTTTTTATTTTTTAAATTTCTGTCTTTTTCTACAAGTCACCTTGTTTTAATTTTATCTTTTACTCAACTCTGCAGTTGGGGATAAGTAACTGGTTTTAGATTTTCTTATTATTTTTCATCATTTAAACAATGAATGTGCTAATGGCTACCATATTTCTCAAATACATAAAAAATACAAAATATATTGTACTTATCTCCTTTTTTTCAATTTCAGTTTTTTCGTATGCTCTGATAGTTTTTGCTTAGTTTTTTAGATCTAAAATACTGTTGTTGTTGCTGTTATTATATCACTTAAACATCATTCCAAAAATTATAACTTTCAATATAATGTTAAATTTAATTTAAATTTTATTTTGTATTTATTTTGATTTTTTAAAATCCAGATATCCTAAAACAGCATTTATTCACACAATTTCCTTTGCAATTAAGAGTTCCTTTTTTCAAATTAAAGAACAGTCACATTTCTCATATGTTGAAATTCCATTGACAGCATGTAGGGCATAAATTAATCTCAGTCAAATTACTATTAAAAATTTATTACATAACATAATTATGAAGGATACATATTTTATCTTCTACAGATAATACTAAAGTTTTTATTAGCATTATCCATGCTATGTAATAGCTGCCTTTATGAAACAGATTGAGTTTAAAGCTGGCTATGGTTTGAATGTATCTCCCAAAAAGCATGTATTGGAAACTTAATCCCCAATGTGATAATGTTGGGAAGTGGGGGCTACTAAGTGGTGTTTAGGTCATGACGGCCACCCTTACAAATGAATTAATGCTGATTATAAAAGGGCTTGAGGTTATGATTTTGATATCTTCCTCTTTCTTGCCCTTTTGCCTTATTTCATGGGATGATGCAGCAAGACCTCACAGGTGCCAACCTTATGATCTTGCACTTCCCAGCATCCAGAATGCTAATAAATACATTTCTGTTTATTATAAATTACCCAGTCTCAGGTATTCTTTTAAAGCAGCACAGAAAAGACTAAGATAATCATGCTGCAATATTATTTACAGAGATACATTTTGACCGGGTTTAATTATCCTAGTTTGAAAAATTAATATTAAAAAATCTTAGCAACTAATTTCTGGATTTTATATTATTGACAGTATTATTCAATAATTACACACTGCACTTTCTATGAGGATGCATAGGAATCCTTTTTTCCTTGATTTCAATAATAGAGTGGTAATTCTGGGCAATATTTTAGTTATATTAATACATTGCTAATCATATTCCCAATCACGAAAATCTTTCTCTGAGTTACTTGGATTTTACAACCAAGTTTATGATAACATGTGACATTTTCTTGTCCTAAAGTTTTTTTATCCTTATTTCCTTTTTTCAAAATTTATTTACATAAGGTGCCAAATTTCTCACTTAATAATTTTTGTCACTTTGTGGTTTACACATATCTTTGTAGATTAGGAGTAAGACACAGTTTAAGTTAATAGTAATACATATAAATAGGTAGACATTCAAGCCATATGAAATTAAGTATAAAATAAGATATTAAGTGACATTGAAATGGGATAGAACAGTTCAGACTGTTCAAGTGGTTAGAAAAGACTTCATGAAGGACGTAGTAATTTAAGCTTGAATTTGAGTGAACTACAAGCTTTTTATAGAAAGAGGAGTGGGAAGAGTACTTTTGCATTAGAAAAAAAATACATGGAAAAGACAAAGCTGGAAAGGCACATTTGAGGACTGAATAGATCATTCTACTGTGACAAAATTTCCTGTAAGTAGAGTTATAAAGTTAAAACAGGCATTGGGACAAGAAAATGTGAAGATCAATTAATAGCTATGAACTTTACCCTGCTGGCACATGGGTGTCATTGATAGTTGATGGAAGGGAAATTAACATTAATAAAACTATTATTAGGTTCAAAAAATTACTGACAATAACTTGTGGAATTCATTGGAAAAGAGAAAAGAGATAAGGAGAGCCATCAGGAAACTATTGTAATAGTTCAGTCATAATATGTTACACAGAATACAGATGTTTAACAAACGGTCATTAAATAAATTAATGGCTGAAATAACAATTGAGTAAATTAGAGGAAAATGGAAATTCAATTTACTAAAATAGATGTGAAAATAATGATGAAATATAATAATGATAAAAACAATAATGATGAAAAAATGATATTTTGACAGAATTGTAAACCAATTGCAAAAGAAAATGTAAAAATGATTAGAAATTTGGATAGCTGAATTTCTCAGTACTGAAAATCTCAGTACACTTTGCAAAAATAAGAAGGCAAGAAGAGTAACACCTTTACTAAAGACAACTATTTTGATTTTTAATAATGAATTTGAGGTGAAAAAATTCTAGGTCAAAATTTTAAAGTTATTTTGGAATGCAAGATTATAAGGCAAAGGGTTTGTTTGTTTCATTTACTGATTTTTATCAAACACTTAGAAAAGTGCATGGCAGAGTAAGCACTTGATACACATTTCTTAAATGGAATTTCAATGTTTAGGCAAATGTGATTGAAGGTTATACGAGACACTGTGTCTGCTGATAGTTCTGTACATCATATTTAACAAAACAATATTAAAGGAGCTGCTGGAGGTGTACATAAAATAATATGGTAATACTGTTTCATAGCATGCATTTTGTTAAACATGCTTTTTAGCTGGAATTTACTGTAGCCTTATTGGATTATGTTTTCAAATATTCTCAATAATATTTGAGTAGAGATTGAGTTCACCATCAACCATACCTTAAAACACCCCATGGGTTTACATCTTGTACTTTATTGGGAGGTTGTGGCATGTTTTGTGTGAAACTGTTTCTTCTAGTTTAAAAATATTTTGGTATATCTTATGTCATATATTATTTTCTTAGAAGCATGATATAAACTGAAGAAAGAGATTAAGAGCAAAGAGTCGTTAAAGTTGCATAGGTTTCTCTTCCTACCATTGTTAAATAAAATTAGTTCATTGACTTTATTAGTTCTTTTTAGTATTTACTATATTACTGAAAAAAAATTGGTATAGACATTAATAGTATTATAGTTGTTTGGAGATGTGTGAAACAAAAGCGGAAAGTAAAAGGTATAATTTTATTTCATCAAAAATTGTAAATAAGAGCAAATCTTCTTTTCTTGCTCATTCTCATAATAATCAACATCTGATTTGCGAAATATTCATGAGCTCTATAAATTACAATGATTTTATTTTCATACTCTTTGAAATTAGAAAAAAAATCAAGTGATGATCTGATACTGCTACCGTTACATTAACAATGTAAATTTTAAATTGCATACTAAGTTATTTCCCATGATATTTTATTGATTTTTTTGTTTGTTTTTGGTTCACGTTCAATTGATCAAATAAGTTAAAACTTAATGGTATTGAGATTTTTCAGTGATATTTTCATCAATATTAGATAAAATTCAAACGGTACAGTTTCTTCTTGCCTAAATAAAAACCTTAATTTTATGAGGTAGTTGTCTATTCTTTTTTGCATGGGCTGGTTTCTTACACAACTTATTGTTTAATATAGCTATGTAAGCACAAAAGTGATGTTTTAAAGGTCTCATATCCCATTTATAATAATCAATATTTTTATTTTTTATGTTTTAAATTTCATTTTAATATTGAAAAAATAAAACCAAGGCAGAGTAGGAACACAGTCCTCCACCAACACCAATTGTGCAGTGGAGTTTCCCACATTTGGGGAAATCACAGGGGTCAGCACACCCAGAGTTCAATGGATTAGCCTCACCCTGGAAAAACCACCTTCATGATTATGGTATCTCCCCTTCCAGATAAGTGTAATAATCAATATTTTAATTAAAAACTTGCCTAAGTCATTATAGAACCTAGAAACAATAGCCAAATAAGAAAGAAAAAAAAGAAAAAGAAAATTTAAAAATTGAAAGAAGATAGACTATCAATTGAACCTAATATCAAATAAATACTTATCCTCTTATATCAGCATGACTTCACTCTTTCTAAAGTTCCTAATTGCATAAGCCACATAACAATTATTTCCACTATGCATAAGAATTTTTTGCAATGGTGTGAATCTATGAATTATTTCATGGCCCAAAACAAAAAAGAAATTGTCCAGAGGAAGGCAAACACTATGTGGCCCTCAGATTCTGAAGAAAATTAATTCAGGATCATGTTAGCTTCCATAAAATATATCCAGAAGTCTGAACTGCTAACCCTCTTAACCGTCATTTCTTAAGTCTTAAATTGTTCTTCTACTTTTCAGTGTTCATTTAAAAAGTCAGAAATGCAAGTAGATATTTCTCTTTTATCATCTGTGCTTATGATGATATTAATAACTTTATTTTTAAAAATTCGTATGTGATTTATTCAAATGCTTAATGCTTAATCCACTTCTCTTAAAAGCCAAACTAAAACCTAACAGTTTTCATTAAATGATGCATAGAAATAAGGGTTTGCTTTATTAGAAAATTAATAAAAGTGATGCATACAGCATTCATCAGGCCTGTGTCTCTAGATTGTTTCTCTTATTCCGAAAATCATTATCATCTAGCTGTTACTCATATAGACTATATTTTTTCTATTGGCCACTTGGTTAAGTAGGGAACTACATTGCCTAGAATCCCTTTTTTGTTGGGTTCTTGATTAGAGTTGGCCTAAAGAGAAACTTGTGGAAGATTTGAGAAGTGAGGTAACCACCATTAATTACCCTGTAAGTGGGTTTTTGTGGTCACATAGATGGGAGAGAGGCCCAAGTGTACCTGGTAGATTTCAGACCTTTTTTTGAACTCCTCCACTCTATGTCTATCTTGTCTACCTAATTGCTAATAATCTGACAAACAGCAGTGACCCCAGATCAAAATAAAGGCAAGAGTTACACAACAATAATAGCTTCCTCTCAAATTCTTTAGGAATTTCCCTTCACAGTCTTCTTATGAAATTGGATTTGCTTAGCTTTTCCTCTGCTGGTACTTAGGCAGGAAGTATTTTAGGCAGAAGCTAGTTAATTGTTCTCTGATTGCCTAACTCTTCTCTTCCAACCTTCAATTCTCCCATCTAGCCTTACAACCCTAAGGTTTAATACTTGTACTAAACTTTTAATTATATAACTCATATTGAGACAGGAGAATATGGTCTGGAAGCAAAGAACCTAAGGCCGATGTGCACTGACTCCCTAAAACTGAATTAAAAGAAAAACCCCACCTCTCTACACCCAAGTAACAAAGGGATCAGAGGCTACTCCCTTTGCAACACCCCCTCCCATTCCACTGCATCACAGACAAAAAATGGAAAGCACCTCTGATTTGTCCCCTCCCTCAATCAATCAGACTGGTCATGGGCCAGGTCTTCATCTGCATAGAGTGTAACTTTGTAACTTCACTTCAGCCTCTGATTGGTCACCTCCTGTAACTAATCAGACCGGTTGCAGGTCAAGTCTTCATTTACACAGGATGTAACCAAGTAACTCAAGGGAAACCTCTAGAGGGTATTTAAACCCTAGAAAATTCTGTAACCAGTTCTCTTGAGCTGCTTGCTTGAGCCTACTCCCACTCTGTAGAGTGTACTTTTATTTCAATAAATCTGTGCTTTTGTTGTTTCATTCTTTTGTTACTTTGTTTGTGTGTTTTGTCAAAATCTTTGTTCAAAATGCCAAGAACCTGGATGACTCATAGTCAAGACCCTCCACCCACCAGTAACATTATAATGACTCTGCTTCCTTGTCTGAACTCCAACTGATAAATTATCTGTCATATTTTGGCTCAAATGTCATTTTGCTAGGAAAATGTTTACTTAGTTACTCTCTCTTTTCATGTCTCATGGACTAGGTCAGATAATCTCCTAAATAGTCCTATAGCTCCCAGCATCCTAGCACGTTGCTTCAAAATCGATTACTCTGGAATTATATTTATCTACTGATCTATCCATCTATATATTTACATGTGATTAATGTCTGTTTCTAAATAACAAGTCTATGACAACAGAAAAATGTCTGATATGTTCATTATTATGTATAAAACTGCTATCACACTGCCTGGTGCAGAGCAGACACTCAATATACATTGCTGATTAAATGAATAAGCATAGGACTCTGTTCTACACACATTTTCTTTAAGCAAATATGAATTAATGTGTAACTTTAGTTCACCACCCATTCAACAGAACATTAAATAACATGTTAAATTAAAACATCTTGTACTCTGCCACATATTCATTGATATAAATGAAGATTCTCAAATAATATATACATTAAGAAAAAGACACACACACATTAACACAAAAACTGTTACACTCCAAAATTATAATCAAAAGACTGCTTTTCCACCTCTACACTCTATGGATTTACTCTCTTTCTTATAGTCAGGTATACATATTTTGAATTTTGTTCAAAACTAATAAAACTTGCTTTTACTATTAATATTTTCTAAGTATCAACAATGACATCAGACTAACCATCATTTTCTTTTCTTACTTAGGTATTATTTTGAATTACTATAGGTGACCACGAATTTGATGAATAATACTCTACAATCTACGTACAATTTGCTATCCTATATATTAAGCTATATGTAAAGTAAAATTTACAATAAATCTTTATATTCACAGGGAATTTATCAGAATAGATTCAGATATATTTTATTCCATAACCTCTGGTAAAATTTGTTGAAAAACTTAAGTTAACGGCCAGGCGTGGTGCCTCACGACTGTAATCCCAGCACTTTGGGAGGCCGAGACGGACAGATCACGAGGTTAGGAGATCAAGACCATTCTGGCTAATACGGTGAAACCCTGTCTCTACTAAAAATACAAAAAATTAGCTGGGCATGGTGGTGCACACCTGTAGTCCCAGCTACCTGGGAGGCTGAGGCAGGAGAATTGCTTGAACCCAGCAGGTGAAGGTTGCAGTGAGCTGAGATGGCACCATTACACTCCAGCCTGAGCAACAGAGTGAGACTCCCCGCCTCAAAAAAAAAAAAAAAAAAAAAAAAGAAAAGCAAAACTAAGTTAACTAATTTAGCCATACAGTTTTCCTGAGTTTCCAGTCTATTTAATAAGGGGCTTATCAGAAATTGTTCTATTGAGTTTTGACACCTCATGAGCTTCTTAAAACTACTTTTGTGTCTTAAAATGTAATTTTATTTTTAATCTAATATTTCCATCTTTTTTTAAATTCAGCTATTTCAGACAATATCATAGCTTCTAGGCTGGATCAGATACTTTCCTTCATATATGGTTGATTATAGATCTATAGTCCATTATATAAATATGGCTCAACTTGATTGAAAAAACTGCATTGGCTAGCTGTGAGTGGTGGCACATGCCTGTAGTTCCAGCTACTTTGAATGCTGAAGTGGGAGACTTGCTTGAGCCCATGAGTTTGAATCTAGCTTTGGCAACATAGTAAGACACCATCTCTTTTAAACAACAAAACAAAAGAAAGCAAAAACCTGAATTGGTATAATTGTATTACATTTGAAAAAAAATATTTGAAAGTATGAGCTTTTTTTTTTTCTTCAACGGAAACTGTATTGTAACAGGTACATTAGTGTAGCTACACAGGTTGTGGTACACAGACTGTCCTA
The DNA here is from genome assembly GCF_000001405.40 of Homo sapiens. Classification (NCBI taxonomy): domain Eukaryota; kingdom Metazoa; phylum Chordata; class Mammalia; order Primates; family Hominidae; genus Homo; species Homo sapiens. The sequence goes on along the minus strand of NC_000003.12, from coordinate 103,156,199 downwards.
CACAACTTTAGCAGTGCCATTTGCTTAGTCTGGGATATAAATGATGCACTCTGAAGTTCTGCAGGTGCTCTAAGGATACATTCATATCAGTGGAAGTTTCTGATGATATTAATGTCAATAAAATATTAATACATTTTTCTCTCTTGAAACACATATCAATAAAAACTGTTGATTAAAAGCCTCTGGGTTGTTGAAAAGGTTTTACTTTTTTATCTATTGTAATATTTTTAAATGACAGAAATCTAGCCCAATTTCTTTAAACGAATCACAGGCTTGCATAGTAGATGTAACCTATCATTAAGAGTCATGAAGACAGAAAGTACTAGAGATATTTCAAATAGAAAAGAATTTAACACTGAGAATTAGAGGTCTGCATATTTGCTGGAGGTGCTAGTGTAGTGAAGATCAGGGAACTTTTAGTAAACTTTACAAAACCAGGAATAGAAGAATGGCAGAAAATTAGCACCGATGTTCTCAACTGCCTACAATATTAGACTGGATGGTTCTCAGGAGGACATATGGAAGGTGCTGGCAAAACCTCACAGCAGCTGACATTTGCCAAAGTCACATGCCTGCCCAGAGCTTTTGACTGAAAAATAATTATTCTATTTTTCTTCTATCTCCAAAATATTTTATAATTATCTTTCATTGTTGGGATCTAACCATACTGACAAGAGATACTGGGAAATTCAGTTTCTAAATCCTAATTCCTGTCATACATTAAAAAGCTTAAAAAACAAGAGTTGCTGTATCTAAAATAGTGTCTGTTTTTGATATAGAAATCTATTTAGAAGCATTTTCAATATTAATTAAACCTGTTCAAATCCCAATCCAATGTCTAATTTTTTTTTATTGTAATACTCTTTTCTTGTCTATTGGTAACTATTAAGCTCTTCTAAAAGTGATGTTATACAGTTTTATTTTGTCACACATATACCTTTGAATTCTTAATAACTTTTCTAATTATTCTCTTGAAGGAAAGTTATAACACATATACATATAGAGCCTTGAAGCAGCATGTGAAAAACATCTGAAAAAAATTAAGGTTTCTGGACAGATGTTATAAGAGTCTCATAGAAAAAGCTATCAGCATTACAATCCCAATTCTAATTTACTTTACATCAGGCATTTAAATTTATTATCTTTAAGCCATATGTTCCAAATGAAGCTTGGTTTTATATTCATGAATCAGTTGACAATGAATAGTTAAGTTCTGCTAATTCAGAAAGGTGAAGTTGAGTGAGCTTATTTAAATGGCAGAATATTTGTAACTACAAATTCTACATACCATCAGACGACTTCCAAAAAAGACCTGCCATATGTTTTAAACCATGACGGAAATGGTTCTTTAAAAAACTCTGCAAATTTTATGCAGCTACACTGAGAATATCTTAGCATTTCTATTAAAATTCTATTTTGAGAGTTTTAAATTTCGCTATAAAATTTATTGTAGACTGAAATTTAGCATGTGAAACCTAGGAGAATATTAAGTAACATAATATATTAAAATAAGTAAATGATTTTAACATTTTATATGTCTTTAACACCTTAGCAGTAGAATTAGATTTGACTTATTAAAAAAAATTTTGTCCTATGGACTACTAGTACCTCACTTAGGTATCATAATAATCTGCACCAGCATAGCCACTCACAATCTTCAGGAACATTCCTCTCCATTTGCTGAAAAGAGAAAAAAATGTCTACAGGTATAAAAACTGGGGCTGGGAGTGAAGCATATCCTGGACTTCCAAAAATCTCAATTCAAAAGTTAAGGATATTACAGAGTCTCTGGAAAGTAGCCTAAGAATAAGTGGGAAGCAATTTGTGTTAACAGAGAAAATTTGGTGACTGAATACCAAAATGTTTAAATAGAACCTGAACATTTAAACTTGAGACACTTCACTTTGAAGGAATCAGTGAAGGCTGTGTTGCAATGTAAGGCATGATCCTCTTCCTTCACATACTCATCCTAATCAGAGTATATATTATCAGCTCAGAACATTTGCAGAACCGTCCTGCTCCTATCTGCTGCATAGTTCCAAGAACATTATTCATGGAGGAATATTGTTAATTGTATGAGGGCTTAATCTGAGTAAAAGCGATGATGCAGAAGAGTTGAGAACTCCTGTATATTCTGTCAAAGTTGTTTTCAAATCAGAAAAAGCTGGGTTTGTTTGAGTCCTGGCTTCTGTTATCTTCAGCATGTGTGATCTTGGACAACAAAATAACCTCTCTAAATTTCAATTTACTATCTATAAAATGGGCTGATAATATTATCTTCACAAGTTTTTAAAATTAGAATTAACTAGATCAATATAAATTACCAAGCACTGTGCTAAAAACTGTTGAGAAAGAAATAACTTATGTATATATATATGTTATGCATGTATAACATATATATAAATTATACTCTTTTAAGTATAAATATAATCAAACTACAATATAAAACCTTGTAGCATGATTTTATATATATATGCTCTTAAAATATAATTTATATATATTGTGTATATATATATATATAATTTATTTCTTTCTCAACAGTTTTTAGCACAGTGCTTGTCCTACAACAAGGTCTTAATGAGTACTTTTTGTGTGAACTGACAAAATGAAAAAATTATGCAGAACTACATAAATCTGCACGATTAATGCATACATATATATTATTTTTATATATATATATACAGACACATATATTGAGTATATAAGTATATTGAGTATGTATGGGGTGTGTGTGTGTGTGTGTGTGTGTGTGTGTATGTGTGTATTCAAAAGTTTGTAGTTTCAAAAGTGTGCCTGGTAAGAAAGAAATAATTTTAATAGCATGGGATAGGGGCTGATAAAGTTTGATACAGAGTTCATTTTATATCAGATTGAGATGTTTGAAACAACTTCTTAGGTGTGATGAAACATGTTTAAAGAAAGAATTGTAATTGAGCATATGAATAAAAGAATGGAGAAAGCTCTAGCAGCGGGAAGAGCACATGTAAACAAGTAATGGGAGCAATAAATAATTTAGCTTGGAAAAAGTCCAGAATTATTGCAGTGGCCCATACAAAAAGAACAATATGCAAGAAAAAGTCAAAAAATACTTTCAAATCATATGGGAATCTACCTCGAGATTTTAGGCAGGTAACTAGTAGAATTAGATTTACATATTGAAAAATTATTCTGGTAGCAGTATGACATACAGTGAGATTGAGATCACTGAGATCAATCAGGAAGCTTCACAATAATCTTAATAAAATGGCCCAGTGTTTACCATCTGCAATTTTGAGAAAGTTATTTGACCTTATTTTAAGCCTCTCTTCATTCATATTATGTAAATATAAACATTGCAGGTTGAGTATAGCTAATCCAAAAATCTGAAATTCAAAATGCTCAAAAATCTGAAATTTTTGGGTGCCAACATGACACCACAAGTAGAAAATTCCACGCTGACCTCACGTGATGGGTCATGGTCAATACACAGGTGCACAACATGCAGTTTATTCATTATCATCAAAGGAGAAAAGACCCTTCCAGCCCTCTTCAGATGTGACAGACCTTTCCCACACACATACGGATTCTCCCACACAGGCACAGCCACAGAGGGTAATAAAATGGCATATGTTCAGTCCAGTCTCACCAATGTCAGGTTACCCGCAATGTCCCACATGAGGAAAAGACCTATGTACATTACTTACTGCATTTTTTCATTATTCTCAGGTCTGTGGTGTAAAAATAGAGTTGAAAATGTCAAGAGGCCTAGAAATATCTTTATGGGCCACAGTGATTTAAAAAAGAGGAGGCATTGATACTTATCTATAGCACAGGAAGTCAAGTTGTTGGAGAGAGAAACTGGACAAGGCTGTAAGTGTAAAATGTTTTACAGAAGAGCATAGTGTTGGGGTGACCACCATATATGACCTGAAAAAACAGAAGGATAAATTGTTGAATTTCTATGCTGAAAGTTTCAAACAGAAGTTAATGAAAATAGAAAAGTACTGCATTAAGCTAAAAATGAAGATCTTAATTGTATATTGGATAAGTATATCCATTAGTGTCACAGTGAACACTGGCTTCTTAATGGTATGCTTATCATGAAACAAATAAAGACTAAATCACAATGACCTGAAAATTGAAGGGAACTATGAACACTCAACAGGCTGGTCTCAGAAATTTAACAAAATATATGACATTAAATTGTTAAAAATTTGTGTTGTTAAAGCATCTGCAGATTGCAAAGCAGCAGAGAAATTCATTGATAATGTTGCGAATATCATTGCTGATTTAAAAAAAATGATGCCAGAAGAAGTCTAAAATATTGATGAAACATCATTGTTTTGGCACTATTTTCCCATAAAAACACTGTGGTAGATGAGACAGCCCCTACAGGAATTACAGATGCCTCCTGAGTAGCTGGGAATACAGGCACCCACCACCACGGCTGGCTAATTTTTGTATTTTGAGTGGAGACGGTTTTTCATCATGTTGGCCAGGCTGGTTTTGAACCCCTAGCCTCAAGCAATCCGCCTGTCTCGGCCTCCCAAAGTGCTAGGATTACAGGAGTGAGCCACTGCACCTGGCCCCTCTCTATTTTCAAGGAATGAATTTCTTACCAGTCCATTATTTTGCTAACAAAAAGGCATGGGCCACCAGAGACATTTTTTTCTGATTAGTTTCACAAATATTATTTGCCAAAGCCTTGTGTTTACTGGAGGAAATTTGAACTGAATGACAACTGCAAGATTTTGTTATTCCTTGACACTTATTCTGCTCACTCTTCAGCTGAAATTCTCATCAAAAACAATGCTCATGACATCTATATTTCCCCCAAATGTGACTTAATTAATTCAGGCACGTGACCAGGGTATTCTTAGATCAACAGGCGTAAAAATAAAAATACTTACTTGAACAGTATGCTAGCAGCAGTGAACAGAGGCACGCATGTGGCAGGTTTTCAAAAGGAGTTTACTGTGAAGGATGCTATATATGCTGTTGCTAACACTTGGAACACAGTGACTAAAGACATAGTTGTACATGCCTGACAACACCCTCTGCCTTGCAACTATGTTCAGTGATGATGATGAACAAGTTGCTGACTTTGAAGAATTTTGTATTTCAAGTAAGGAAAAAGTGATGCCTGACTGGGTGTAAAAATAACCCTCAGAGTCTCTCAGTAAGCTGGAAAAGTGGATACTAAAGCAATTTTTAACATTAATAATGAGGCTCCAGTTATTCATATTTTTACCAATGGTGAAGTAGACAAAATGGTTCTGAATTAAGGTAATTGTGAAAATAGGGACAATGAAGATGTTAACACTGGAGAAAAAGTGCCTAGAGATGATATGGTGAAAATGTGTGATAGGCTTACTGAAGAACTAGAGCAGCATGCATTCAAAGCTGAACAAAAAATCGTGCTAGTTTATAGAATCAAGAGATACTTCTAATATAAAACCCACTGTTAATGAGGCAGATGACTCTGGAGGAAACACTTTGAAAAGCTACCCATTAGAATGCCTCCTCATTCCTAGAGGACCTGCATCCTGGTCCTTCAGCTGCTTCTGTAGTTTTTCTCACCAACAAAATAAAATGCAATGTACAGTTATCTTTCAATCAAAACCAGCATCATAGGTAGAGTCTGCTGTTGCTTCTTCTTGTTTTTGTTTAATAGTGGATGCAGGTATCCTACTGATTCCACTATGCTGCTTACCCTGAACATGATGTTTTTTTTTTTTTTTTTCAATGCGTTAATGGTATATCGTGTATTTTACTGTTAATTACTTATGTGTGAATAAGTGTAAAAAAATGGTTGCTTATCAGTAACGTATAAAGTTGGGGTCAGGAATGAGGATGATGCCAAAAAACACAGATTGTCCACATGGGAGGTGGGGATAGTGACAGCTTTGTTTTCTGATGTTTCAATGTACAAAGACTTTGTTTCATGGACAAAATGACTTAAAATATTATATAAAATTACCTTCAGGCTATGTGTACCAGTTGTATAAAAATATAAATTTAGTGTTTAGAATAGGTTCGTGTCCCAAGATATTATATGTATGGAAACATTCCTAAATCTGAAGAAATCTGAAATTTAAAATGTTCCCAAGCATTTTGGATAAGGGATATTCAAACTGTAATAATAATAATAGAGTAGGTCTTATTACCTGAGAAAGATTGATACAATAATTACATGAAAGAATGTTTGTAAGAGCATTGAGCAGTGTACCTGAAGAGGAACTGTTTGTGGTAGCTCACACTTTTCATTCCAGTCCAAATTGGTCCATGTGTGGAAACACATGGAGATACTTTTTTGAGTTGTCAGATGTTTTGTTTGTGATCATGCTGGAATCTAGGTAGAAGAAGGTGACATGTTAAATCACTACATCTCCTCTAGAACAATGTTTGTCATACATTAATATGCTCAAGATCACCAGAGTATTTTGTTAAAACGCAGAATCAGAGCAAGCAAGTCTGGAGTGGGACTTGAGATTACGCATTCCTAAAAAGCTCACAGGTGATGTTGATGCTTCTAGTCCAGAAACCACTTTTGAGTTACAAAGTTCTAAGAAATGCTTCTAACTGTCTATGCTCCTAGCAGGTGGAGAGGCAGATTTTCAAAACCAAGTGCAGGAGCTACACAATTAACATGTTGAAATGCCACTGTGACTCATTTTGCAGACCAGGTTCTATTTTCCACAAGAATTTCTCACCTTTTCCTACTTAAAGCTATAGATAGCACACAAACTAATTCTGTAATTTCGTTACAGACTATTTAACTTTAGAATGTGGGTGAGAGGACATTCACTGGTTGTTTCTTTATTTTTTGAAACACATGGTCTTAAAATAAACATTTCAATGTACATACCATCATCACTTACTTAGAGACCCTCAGTACAGATGCAGATTTGACAATGGTTTCTCTGGAAGGGAGAGGTATGAGGTGAAATTTGAAGATGAGAAAATGAAAGGGTCAAAAATGGAAAATTTTTCACTGACTTGGTCAGAGATACTGAATTTCATGTAGAACAATGCTATAGGTATTTCCTGGGGGAACAAAATTTCCCCTGTCAGCAATTGGACTGATTTCTGAAAAAATGCCTTTCAACTACCTTCAACCTAGGATCGATTTACAAAAATTATCTTGAGAACCTTTACTATTGAACCCCCTGGGACTCTTTTAATTTTCAGGAGGTTAAGAAATAGGTGCCAAATAATGACTGGGGAAATATTGAAATTATATTTACTTCAGAATGTTCTGCATACAGTTGCACAACTGAGAGATAGTATATAATTCAACAAATGTTTTACCTTGATTCAAAATATTTTACAGCAATAAAAACATATAATTCTAAAGCACAGTTAAGTCAAACTGAGGTTTGTTTTTTCAAGCAAAAATCAATGCTTTCTTAGAATTGAACTCAAAATTATTCTATATTTAAACATATTTTAGTATTTCATATTTAACATTATTATTCTGAAGGCATTATGAAAATACAGAAGTGTTAGAGAGAGGAGTATATTTCTTGTTGAGTAGAGCACATTGGGGGTACTTTGTTAGAAAGAAGACAATATTTTAAGCAATATAGACAAAGTCAAAATATATCTCTAATCTCATTTCAGGATGAGCATTCTGTATAAACACAATGGATTTGAGAATTTTGTAAATCTCAATGCATAATCTTTAGGTATCAATGCACAAAGTAAAACTTGATAATGCGAAAACGTGGCTAATAAATTAACTAGGCACCTTCCGATTTCAGCCAAGTTGATTTAGTACATCCTCCAGACTTACTTGATTTTTATTTCAAAATGTATTGCAAATGCTAAAGTTTAATATCTTTTTTTATCTGCTTTGTTTGTAATAAAGATTCAAAAGTTATCAGTTGCAAAGGAAAGAAATTCAATGTTTGGGTTAAACAAGATGTACCATTTCTGGAAAAATTGCTTTTTTTCTTGTCTATTTTTTTTTTTTGCTTCATACATCTGTGCTTTTGTAAAATAAAAACTAGTTATCATGGCAACTGGAGAATCACATGTACTATCTCAGAGCTAAAATACTCCTTGTTTGAGAAATATTATGTTCACTATTTGAATATATATAATACTACATTCAGAAAAAAATATTTTATAGGTACCATTCATAACACTATTCAGTGCATTTTGTTTAAATTTTTTTCAATAAATCATGTATTGCCAGTTAAGTAATCTATTTAATAGCAGCAATAAAAAAATCATAATACAAAAATAAATTAAAGAAGCTTAAACGTTTAACATTCTAGATAAATCATATGACAACTGAATATCCTTTCCTTTCAACAGATTGTAAGTTTTTCTCATATATGTTCAAATTACAGTAAATATAGATATCAAGACATAATTAGAAACTAAAAAGGAATAGCTTCAGAAGCCCTAGTATATATCATAAAATTACTACTTATTTACCAATTCTCTATTACTCAAGATTTTTTATGTGGCAGTTTTCATAAAGGAGACAGTTATGGATTTACTTAACCAAATTTCTAGGAATAGAATAACTCAGGGATAACTACATCGCAAATAAGAAACTTTCCTACTAATTTTTAATGTATTTTTAAATTTTATCTATTCTCCCCTAATTCCTGTCTTTGATAAAGTAGGGTGCACAGCCGTCTGAGTTTCAAGATTTTCACTCTTTCTACTTTCAAACCAGACATAAGGTAATTCCCCTTTGGAGAGAGAAACTATCTTTCAAGGAACATCCAGGGTATGGTACTTTATCTTTGAATTATTTAGCCATTAAAAAAAAGCTAGGAATTGAAAATGAAGGGTGGAATGACCATGACAGCTAGGAGAATTGCAACGTGATGGACAGAAATGACCCTGAACCCAATATGTGTACGCTCTCATTATGCAGAAAATAAACACTGAGTTCAACTTTATCTTCTCTGAATTGAGCAATTCCCATTGTACAAGAATATTATTTACACATATCATATTCGGTAAAGCCTGTGTAGCTTTCATTCAAACTTTCTTTCTTTGCCAGGAAAGATGTATTCCCCTGCTTTGCAGCAGTAGAAATTTTGCCTCCATCAGGATTTATATAGATTTTCTTTACTACACTGTAGGGATAACTTACTATTTTGACATTTCAAAATAGATACATAATCTGAGTGGGCCAAATAATTAGGTGTGTCTTGCAAGGAGAACCTCATAAAAATATTGGCAGCCAGAAAATATAACCTAAGGCTTTATTTTTCTTCTCATACTTTGTTCTAAACTCTTATAAATTATAAAAGACGTAGACATTTCTAAATTGCAGAAACAAAAAGAAAATCAACCTCTGTTGGTTACAAAAGTGGAGCCATTTGTTCATTGTCTTCACCTGTTTTCCTATTTTTTTTTTCATTTCTCTTTTCTTTTCTTTCTTTTCTTTTCTTTTCTTTTCTTCTTTTCTCCTCTCTCTCTTCTGGGTTGAAACATGAAACAAATTTCAAGGAAAATCCATTCATTACACAATGATTTCAACTGAAGATGCACATAGGAATTATACCCAGACAAGTTAAAGACACCAAATAATCTTGCTAAGTAACATTTATAATTAACAGAATTATGTTTAAAGCTCTTTTTCACAAATAGTTAATATATGTAATTCCACAGATTAAAGTTGAGTACTTTAAACAGATCAAGTGGCTCTCATGTGAGAACTATAGCTCAAGTCAAACAATTAAGAATATAAAAATTTACAAATGGGGGTGAAGGTGTGGAGAAATGAATAGGTGGAACACAGAGGAATTTTAGGGCATCAAAAAAAACTGTATAATACTATAATGGTTGATACATGTCACTGTATACTTTCAAACTGAGTCAAAATCTATGGAACATACAACACCAACAGTGAATGCTAATGCAAACTATGAACTTCGGGTGGTTATGATGTGTCAGTGTAGGTTCATCAATTGTAACAAATGTAGCAATCTGGCGGGGGGGCGGGGTCATGTTGATATTTCGGGAGGCTGTGCAAGTGTTGGGGACAGGAGCATATAGGATATCTACATATCTTCTTCTCAATTTTGCTGCTCTAATAATGTGTTTTTTAAAATCCAAACACTATTACTATTAATAGTAAAAAGTATAAATCCTATTCACTTAGCATGACTTTAGCAGCATCATCACCATTGTGATTGTGATCAACAACATAATTTATATGTGTTGAATGATTATGTTCCACAGAGGTAGTTACTGAAATTACCCATGTTTCCCAGCTAAGGAATTAGTGCAGATGTTGGATGAATTGCTCTAGAACACAGATAACATCTGTATGTCAAAGTCAAACAAAATTTTTCTGAATGATACCTGTCTCTAAAAGGGGGAAGATAATTTGGGAGAATTTCAAAATCTATTTAATGCTAACTGAGTGGTAGAAGGGGATAAATTCCAAGTGAATCCTTAACCCGTGGAATGCAGGATAATACACTATTCCCCAATTCAGCCCTTCTGTACTCACTGATACACAGCTGGGCAATTTAAACAATGCAGTGACAAACTACTCTCTGCTCTTTTGCAATAAGGATGCTGGTAATTCTCTCTCTTTTTTTTAATGTAAAATGTTACCAGCAGACTTATTATATTCACAGTTACTAGTACCTCCCACCTCCAACTGTCCCTTACCCCCAACCCATTCCCTTCTATAATGGAAAACATGCCAAATTTTCTCTAAAAATTAAACAAAAGTAAATGAGAAATTTCTATGTTCTTAATCTATAACACTTTATATAGGCCTACACTATGTATGTACTCCTACCAAGTGTTTTAGGTTGTATAAAATTTGCCCTTGTTATTTAGAATCATTTTCATAATGCTTCTACAATTGCCTTAATGCAAAAAGCTCCAAAATTTTTGTGTGTTCAGTTTTATACCCCAAAGCAGTTTTTACATAACATTAATTCAAAGCAGTATTAAAAGCTCCCATGTTTAAAAGGGGAGGTAAAATGTTTGCAAAATTTTTGAGACATTAAAGAAAAGTAAATTATAGATCTATCAGACCCTTTACTATGTTAGCTCACTGTTAGTCCCAAGAAAAAAATACAGAAGGTGTTGAATTTCACAACTTAAACTGGGCATGCATCTTACTAGGCCCTTAATTTTTCTTGAAGGGTCTCTTACAGGACTGATATTTTTGGAAACGTATTTTGGGAAACATGACACATGACAATGTCAATATTATTCCCCAAACACAAACTACACTTAAAATAATTTTGCTTTTGTTCATATCATACCCCCAAACCTGAAATATTCCTTCATTCTCCTGATCTTCCAATTTTACCTGATAAATTTTTATACATTCTTTAACACCAATATTAAATATCACCTTTTCTATCAAATATTGTTTCTTTACTTCCCTAGGCAAAAATAATACTTAGCACATTTCAAATATGTCTAATATGACTCTTACTTTTATAAAACTCTTCTCATAAAAAAATGACAATGCTAAGAGAGAACATTTTTATCTGTGCTTATATTTTCATATTAATAGAGTAGATGTTATTTTTAATATGGGGGCTTTACCTTCTTTCTTTTGAAACCTTCTGTCCAAATGAGTATACCATCCAAAGCTGTGGGGGATATGAAGATAAAATGCAGTAAGCTGGCCAATTTGATCAAGGCTTAGGAACTGTTTAGGTAAGTAGTCAGAGATAAGAGTACCTAAGCTGATTGAGAGCATATTTTAAAGTGCTTTAAATGCCTTAATAGTTGAATATTTTCAATTTGCTAGGCAATAGGAAAGATTTCTGAGCAGGAAATAACATAACCCAGCACCAAGCAGTATTTGGAGTGAGAGCTCTCCCAGCTGAATTCAGGAGAGATAGTGGTTGAATAACTGATTAGGAACTGATTACAGCTAAAAAAAATAAGTGAGAAGCAACATTGGTCCACTCAAGTGTAACAATATTAGAAATGGGAAATAAGAATAAAAAGTGATTGGATAGATACCTGAGGCATTTCATTGGTAAATTATGAAACTGGGTAAATGAACTAGGTGCTCAAGGAATGGGAGACATCAAAGATGACTTTGGTGTTTCTCAAGGGATTTTCTTGAAATTTAGAACTACCTCGAGATAAAATTAGTAATCTGATTATTTTATTTCATGACACACAGGAGAAAAAGGCCTTGATATGATGCGATAAAAGGAAAAGGAGAGACTTGTGGATAGTAGAGGTTTACAGCCCCAAGTGCACTCTAAGCAGTAGTGAAGAACATCTCATAGAATGACTCTTACAATTTTTCTAGAAATAGCCCTGGCATATCCAGAAATAACTTGGAAACTAATGTAAAAGCAGTGATTGTAATTAATACAGTTCTGCTCAAAATTTTATTTTTAATTTATGTATGCTGTTGGATTTTAAATCAATGATTTATATTTGTTTAACAACATAATTATAAAATAATTAAAATGACAATAATGAAACAACAAGACACTACTTTTGCTCAATATAAATAATGAGAAATCTTACCATATACCCAATTTAAATTTATAACATTTCATTTAATTAAGTCTAATTTTAAAATTATAAAAATTCAACCTATTTTTCTACCTTTAAGCACAGAGGCTGTGTGCATATGTATTCTTCAGATCACAGAAGAGAGGAACATATCCTCTACCCACTCTGTCACCAACCCTCAATTCTTCACTGAAAATAGACTGAAACCCAGATGTCATTGGAATCTGTTGGCTATTCTAAAGTAAGCACTCCTGCTCTGCAGCTTTGAAAAGCAGCTGTCAAATGCCCTTGGCCTATATACATGTATGTATAGTGTATACAAGAAGCCATAGGGCATATATATTTAGAGCAGCATGACATTGAATGTGCTGAATATCTCCTTTCTTGCTTTGGTCATGTCTAACGTGAGACATCACAGTATTTATGAAATTTCAGTCAGCTTTATGAGAAGCACTCTCCGTTGTCACGTGTAGAAAGACTGAGATGGTCCTAAAAGCAAATTCACTCTGAGTATAAAAATCTCTCAGTGCCATCTTGTTTAACACATGTAATGACTCCTGCTAGAGACCTCAAAAAGGAAGGTTCATAGATCAATTTAATTTACCTAATTAATCAAAAGTAAAACTTCTATAATGTACCCAGAGTTCCATTACTGGACTACTATTATTTAGATTTTTTGCAAGTTTATAATTCCATGTAAATATTCACAGTTAGTTGTTTTTATTCTATACCTTAAAATATAAATTTCATATTTATGTCATCAAATTGGCATACATTAATATCATTATTATTTTTAAATAAACAATAGAAATTTATCTCTCACACTTCCTAAGGCTGGGGAGTCCAAGACCAAAATGCCAATAAGTTTGGTGTCTGGTGAGGGCTGCTGTCTGCCTTGTTGCTACATCCTCTGGAGGGGACAAATGCCATATCCTCACACGGTAGAAGAGACAGAAAGGATTGAACAAACTCCCTTGAGCCCTTCTATAAAGGCCCTATTTCTACCCATGAGAGCTCTGCCCTATGACTTAATCACATCATGAAGGCCCCACCTCTTAATACTATCACATTGGCAATTAAGTTTCAACATATGAATTTTGGGGGACACATTCAGACCATAGCAAATGACTTTTGTGTGCAATGTCACCATCTAAGCACCTCCCTATGGACAGCTTCCCTTAACTCCAAAGTCAGTTTACAGTGAATACTATTGGTGCCACCCCTCAGTGACTTCTTTGACATCCAGTGAGACATAGCTTTGCCTTCTCTGATGTGAACTGGATTTCAGCCATGAGTCAGGCATCTTTCTATACCTGCCATTTCCTCTATACCTGCCATTCTTATATTCTTTTTTTTTATATCTATATACTTTAAGTTTTAGGGTACATGTGCACAACATGCAGGTTTGTTACATAGGTATACATGTGCCATGTTGGTTTGCTGCACCCATCAACTTGTCATTTACATTAGGTATTTCTCCTAATGCTATCCCTCCCCTAGCCCCGCACGCCCCGACAGGCCCCAGTGTGTGATGTTCTCTGCCCTGTGTCCATGTGTTCTCATTGTTCAGCTCCCACCTATGAGTGAGAATATGTGGTGTTTGTTATCATTTTTGAGATGGAGTCTCGCTCTGTTGCCCAGGCTGGAGTGAAGTGGCGTGATCTCAGCTCATTGCAATCTTCGCCTGCTGGGTTCAAGCAATTCTCCTGCCTCAGCCTCCCGAGTAGCTGGGACTACAGCCATACGGCACCTTGCCAGGCTATTTTTTTTTGTATTTTTAGTAGAGACAGGGTTTCACCATGCTGGCCGGTCTGGTCTCGAACTCCTGACGTCATGATCAGCCTGCCTCAGCCTCCCAAAGTGCTGGGATTACAGGGGTGAGACACTGCGCCCAGCCAATATGATTATTTCAAATTTATATTTTATAAAGAATGTTACAGTGGTTGAAATAAATTCCAAACACAAAATTGACACATGATACTTATTGATACATGTTTTCAGAGTAGATCATAAGACTCTCAAAACCATGTGAAAATCTGAGTCTATTTCATTCAAAATAAAATATCCTAAATTATTTATTTTGTCTTCTAGTTTCTTAGTTACAGAACACATTTTGCCTGAATTTGTTTTCACTTTTGTAGCTACTCTGTCTGCACAGATATACCAGTTGCTCCCCAAATCCAGGCCTGGCATCATTTATTTTCTATGAGATTTTTCCCTATGAACATAGTGTTTCCACTAAAAGAACAATAATTATGTCACACATTTCAATTTACTCCTCCAAGTGTCCTCCATCAGGACAAGTGCTCAATTAATGATAAGTTAGTTGATCTTTCTCTCATTCCTCCCACACACCCCTCTTCAAATCATTTATCAAAGCATGACGGTTTTCCTCCATGGGGTTTTACATAACTGTCCTTTACTCTTTGAGGCCCACCCTCTTCTACTTTAATCAATGCCACCATCAGATCATCCTAAGGCTATTGCAATTATCTGCTAATTGAATTCCCTCCCACTAGACTTTTGGTAATACAACCCATTGCATAATGGACTCCTGATTAATGTTCCTTAAATGGCATTTTGTTCATGTCAGAACCCGCTTGAAAATTAGTACTGCATCTCTATAAAATAAAATTATATGTTTAAATTTTCAAATGTAAGATCCTTACAAGCTGGCTGCTACCTTCTTTCATTCAAAACCTATTTACCGAGTGCCTAGTATATGCAAGTTACAATTCTTGGTAGTAGAGACTTACGTGGAGAAAACAAGACAAAGAACTTACCCTCATGGAGAGAATATTCCAAGGAAGCATTGCTGTTCAAGTTCAAACTTTATTTCTTTGACTCTACACCAGTGATCAGGCAGGCTATGCATACTTCAGCTTTTTTTCATAGAGCAACTCCAATTCCACCCTGTTGTGATGCCTTCGTTTGAAAAAGGAAATATTCATTCCTTACCTTCCTGTTTATCTGGTGAGGAGGGAAATTCTCTCCTAGAGTAAAGGTTTTGGAGAGGACCTTTATTTCCTCAACCCCTTACTGAGTGCTCGTAAAAGGAAAAATGATTTAACTGATAAATTGGTCATATAGAGATAAGTAGATTGATCTCTGTGGCTCAATTCTTTATAGTTTTTTTTTTTTTTTTTTTTTTTCTGGAGCAGCTTATTCTCAGGTTACAGTCCTTCTCCTCTTCTTTGCAATAACTAGCCTGTTCCTGAAAGAAACAAAGACCTATGTTTTCTCAACTCTGGCTGTTATGAGCAGATGTACTTAACAAAACTTGCAGGCAGTGTCAGGTAGCCTGCTTGTGTCAGTACATCTTGTCTCTACCTGGTATCAAGTTTACAACTGGAAGTTGCATTTCACTCCTGTGTTCATTTCTCTATTGATTTCGGATTTCCCCTTCCTGCCTTCACACACACAAGGATTAAAACTTTCTTTTCACAAATTTTTATAGCATAATACAATATAGCCAAGTTACTTGTGTCAATTTTCTCATCACCAAAGGTAAGTAATATTGGTATCATTTATTAAGTTTTTTATGATTTGTCATCTACACAATATTACATATAACCATATTTAATCCCTTAGGACTAAATTATACTTTGTACTTGGTATTTATATGTAATGATTAGATATTATAGCTTTATATTTTGTGGCTTAAGTGCTATAGAAATCTGTGAAAGGTACACAGGTAAGTCCAAAGTATCTCGAGATGCCTCATAAATGTAATAAAACTGATTGTGGGTTAGGTACATTTCAGATTTAAACAGACCATGGATGGAAGGCGGATAGCTTTGGATAAGAATATTAGTAGCTGGTAAGAATTAAATATGAAATGAGCAAAAGTAGCATAGTGAGTTTATGGGAGAAGTATGGAGACAGAAAAAGAACGAAGACATCTTTCTGGGAATTAATGAAAAATAAGTTTAGTTGGTGGCATTGTTCAAATTATAAATAGAGAAAATTAAGCACATTAATTTTAGACTGTGTGCCATAACACACTAATTTTAAATTGTGTGCTATAAAGAAACAGTACTCATCATATATCCCATGCTTTCTCGTGCATGTCTCATTCTCTCATGATGTTATATGAAGTTCATATGACTAGTTATAATCAATGCACTGTGAACAAAAGCGACATATGCCATTTGTGGCCCAAGATAGCTTAAGGTTTCTATGTCTGCTGTATTCCTACAGTTTTCTGTATTGGGAACCAAGTGTTAAGACAGCAACATTAAATTGGAGAGTTATAGGTCCCTATATGTTCACCACATGGAGGAAAACTCTGGCCACTGACAATGGATAATATGTGAGTGAGAAATAAGCACTTGTTATGTTAAGCCACTGGGATTAGTTGCAATGCCTAATGTCACCTAAATATAACAAATATAAGTTGATTGATAATGAATTGGGAATCATGATAGACCAAATTTGATAGTATTCAGATGATTGTCTCATCATAAATTAGCAATAATGCGTAGCATCTAACTTAAATTTAGATCTAGCTACTGTTTGAGTAACTCCCTTCCAGAAGGCTGAGTAAACATACAAGATGCTAATAAATCCTGCAAGCTAATCTTCCAATTAAATAAAGCCTCACGAGGGGTGAGGCACTACCTAATTTCCTTGTGCAAAATATTTACTGAGCACCTGGCTATGTTCTATTGGGGGTATAGTAGGAATAGCCTACTGGGATGAATTAGATAATTTATCTGTACTTTAAGAGAATATGTGGTATTTGTATCAGCGACACAAAAACCTATAAAGAAAAGTTAGTATTAACAAAGTGGTGCTAATGAAACTTTTATTTCTATTTTTCAGAAAAAAAATCAGATGGTGGGATTTCAGTTAGTCATTAAAGGAAACATAATGGGTTTTTTGAAGAAATGTAGGAAGAGTGGCAAAAACAAAAAAGCAAAAAGCAAAAGTAGATATGTGAGATTAATTTCAAAGAACTGTGATTAGAACAATCTCACTGGCATGTATAATTTCAATGAAGTAGTAGAGAGATCAATTACTTAAGTGAGATTTTGAGGCCAGAATTTGGAAAATATTAGAAGTTAGAAGTTTTTTTGGATATAAAGATATAAAATATTCTGAAGCAGGGAGCTACATGCGATATTACTCTAGATTCTTTCTTACAAACTGTAAGAAATGTTATTATAAAAAAATTTGTTATATAGCTCAGAATTGTGTAGGACCCTAAATTATGAATCTCTGGGTAGACTTCTGGGAACAAACCAGAATATGCTGTAGAAGAGGTCTACAAGAAAACTAGCACTACCAGTTTTTGTATGGTTACCCTTTCTGGACCAAGAAATCAGCATAACTATGACCACTGCTATTCATACATGTGTGCCAGTTATGTTCCAGAAAACCTCCCTGGCTGTCATTGCTGCCCCCAAACCCAAGGGCCTCCATTACCTTCTTAACTGCATTCTTGTCCGAATCAGACTTTTCTTACTTTTGAATCAAAATGTTATACCTGGAAATCTTATTAGTGGATTCTGGGTCACCTGTCTATGCCCTGGCTGCACAGGAGTCTGGAAAAGCAATTTCCTGGCTCTATTTTGGGAAGCTGGTATTTACAGGTAGAAAAATCCTTAAACATAAGAAATATGTTCAAAAGGCCTTGAGAATTAATTTTACAAGTGTCTCCTATGTATGTTCTTAGCTGTGCTTTATTTTATTTTATTTCATTTTATTTTATTTTATTTTATTTTATTTTATTTTATTTTATTTTATTTTATTTTATTTTATTTTATTTTATTTGTTTTTTGAGATGGAATCTCACTCTGTCACCCAGGCTGGAGCAAGCCTCCTGGGTTCAAGCTATTCTTCCACCTTAGCCTCCCAAGTAGCTGGAATTACAGGTGCATGACACCACACCCAGCTGATTTTTGTATTTTTAGTAGAGACGGGGTTTCACCATGTTGGCCAGGCTGGTTTCAAACCCCTGTTCTCAAGTGGACCACCTGCTCAGCCTCCCAAAGTGTTGGGATTACCGGCTTGAGCCACTGCGCCCAATTAATCTCCTGGAGATGAATGAACAATGAGGAAAAAGAGACAAAAAGGTATGTTAGTTAAGAGACTATGGCAATAAAAAGCAACATAATCCTAAAGACAGCTCCTGAGTGAAAGTAATATATGATGCTAAATAAAGGAAAATATATGACTTAATTAATTATATAATAATATAATAATTAAATATATGAGGCTCTTGGACACTGATTGAACTATAGGATGGGACAAAAAAAAAAAAACCAGTGTCCATATCCATGAAAGTTTGACCCTGTGTATATGAAAGATGATAGTATTATGAAAGTTAATAGGAAATTTAGGAGAGGGAGTTAATTTGGAAGAAGTGATGATGTGAGTTTCAAATACATTGAGAAGGAGATGAACTAACACAGCAAAATTACAAAATAAGAATATTCAAAGAGATTGCAAAAACCTAAAGCCATTGTTTTTCTTCAAAGATTTTCTAAAATATCTAGTTTAAAGAGACAGAAAAAGCACGATGTTACTTAGTTTTAGCTGGGTAAATAAAGGTCTAATTTAATTATTTGAGTTGGAGAAATTCACTATAGTGTTATGTTAATACACTGTTCTCTAATTCCACTGTAGCAAAACCAGAGGAAATTAATTCCTTAGGAAGATTATGAGGCCTGTTAGGCGCTGGGATGGACTCCAGAAGACTGAAATGTCCTCTGAAGATCTCTAAATATGACAGCACTTCTGCCTCTCTAGTTTTATTTAGAAGTAATGCAAGTTGAAGTCAAAGGGTAAGAGACAATGATCAAAGTGAGTTTTTAAAACCATCTGCAGTATTGTAGTTCTATAGTTTTTTAAAGATTGCCCAATTTTCATGAAATTGCAGGTGTAGCATATGAAAGCCATTTCCTTCCTTAATGTGTAAGAAGCTCTCATGATTGCTTAGAAAACTCTCCTACAAACCACAAGTTCTTAAGTAGTCTCCAAGAGTAAGAGAGAAAACTCTGTTTGCTACTATTTTACATGACATTTTTTGCAATTATAATGGGTTTCTCAATCATAATGAGCCCAAAGTAACAACAACAAAAAGCCTGCTCTTTTATTGACTGTTAGAAAAATGACCCCTTAAGTTCAATATTGTCCTCAATTTAAATTCACCAGTGACCTGCTTAATTACATAAGATGCAGTCATTGTAGTCATTATCCTTGGTTAACCAAGAACAGACAGAGGAGAAAAAAATATATTCTTTAAAACAGCTGTGTTCTAGTAATTTGGAAATATTTATGTCACTAATTTTGAGGATTACAAAGATGTAAATAGTTAATAGTGAATTTAAAGATCTGTCATTGCAAAAACTAGGGCAGTAATATATATATTGTATTAAAAGTAAAAAGTGATTAGATGCTTTGTATTTCTGAAAAGAAAATAAGTAATTACATATTTGAAGGCTTCTGAGATAAAATTCTCCAGGATAAACATGTATTTAAAGAACACTAACTGACAGACAACTATTCTCCAAAACCAGCTGAATAAATCAACTCAGTAAAGACTCACAGGAATAGAAACCTTAATTTGTGGAGCTAATGTGTTTATAAGTCCTAAATTGGTCAGGTTAGCTTAATTGAAATGGTGACTGTGCAAGCCTGTTTGTTTTAAGAGACTCCAAGTATTAAGATTTGCTGAGTATAAACTTGTAAGTTAAAGGGGAGTTAATAATTAGCTCTTATCCTCTCTAGAATCAGTATCCATAGTTTAAAAATGATCTGGGGGCAAGAAGAGTAGGAAGAAAGTGATGGTTTGTAAGAAAAAAAAATATTTTTTTCAAATAATGAATTAAATTCAATCACACATTGACAACATTGATTTTTGTAAAATACCTCGGTGCTTGATTGAATATTATTAATTTGCCATATTTTCAACCCAAATGGCCCCTAAGAGTAAAGCAGGTGCTTAGGACAGCCTCATGTCTTCTGAAGATCACTAGGGACCATTTAATTGGCATCAATAGTAATATAGTCATTCTCTTTATTGAAATCACAGTGAAATATTTATTGAGCACCAACTAGATGCAAGACATCCTACCAAAAGGTGAGCAGCTGTAATCTCACTGACATGTGTAGGAGGAATCACCTCCTAAAGATGGCCATACTGCATGTGGCAAGAATTGCATGCCATGAGATTTTTGCACCCAAGCATACCTTTCTCAGCTCATGGGAAAGAATCTCACACAAAGACAGATTTAATACTGGCTAACAGTTCCTGTTTCTAATATTTGGATGAGCCTATCATCCAAATATTAGATATAGTTCTGATTTGTGTGCAGCTGCATTCATTGCACAGTTAATGTCAGTGTGACTCTGGGCATTTTTCTTTTATTTGGTCTGATCATTTAGCCTCTGTGGTAGACAGAATAATTCCACATATTTCCCCATCCCCAATCACAAAAATGTTCACATCCTAATCACCAGAACCTGTGGATATTTTACCTTATATGGCAAAAAGATACTTTGTAGATTTAATGAAGCTAGACATTTTGAGATAAAGAGATTATTCTAGATTATCTCCTTGTTCCCAATGTATTCACATGGTATAATAGGGTGGAAACAGGGTAAAGGTCAAAAAAAGAAGATGTGAAGATGACTAGAGATTGGAGTGCTGGCTTTGAAGATGAAAGGATCCAGGGGCCAAGAAATATGGGTGGCTTTTAGAAGCTAGGAAGAGAAAAGAAATGAATTCTTCTCTAAATCCAAAGGACCATAACCCTGTGAATGCATTCGATGTGTCTTCTGCTCTGTGGAAATGTAAGAAAATAACTTTTCAGTATTTTAAGCCACTAAATTTGTGGTAATACATTACAACTGCAATAGGAAATTAATACAGCCTTCATCAAATAGCAGATGAAGGAATATTTTTTATTTAGTTTTCGAAATAAAAGTTATATATAATAAAATCACAAATATAGGTAACATTGTGAAATGGCTATCAAAATCAAGCTAATTAGCATGTTCATCACCTTACATAGTTAGGGTTGTGTGTGTGTGTGTGTGTGTGTGTTTGTGTGTGTGTGTATGGTGAGAATATTTAAGATCTACTCTCTTAACAAATTTCAAGTACTCAATAACTTATTATTAACTATTGCCACCACGCTGTACATTAGGTAACTAGAACATATTCATCTTATTGAAAAGTTTTTACCCATTGACCAACACTTTTCATTTCCTCTTTTCTCCTATCCTTGGTAATCATCCTCCTAACTCTCTGTTTCTATGAGCATATATCAAAACACTACTTTGCATAACTTAAATATGTATAATATTATGTGTCAATTGTTCCTCAATAAATCTGGGAAAATTACAGATGTTAAGTAATGTTAGTTTGATAGGTTTTAACAATTTTATATTCCACATAACAACCATGAGAATTAAGGTATAGATTTTTGCCATCATCTCATTTGTCTTTTCTGATCACAGACTCAACACAGTTCTGCAAACCATAGACATGTCTATTAAAACAGGCAGTTACATCAGTAAAGGGAAGTAAAAACAGGACACATATTGAGTTACATAAATATCAATGAATGACTATTAGTATCTGATGACAAAAAATAGTCTTCTTGAGCAGACCCTACTAGTAACCTACCAGATGTTCATTATTGCCTTTCTTTTTATTATTATTATTATTATTATTATTATTATTATTATTATTATACTTTAAGTTTTAGGGTACATGTGCACAATGTGCCGGTTAGTTACATATGTATACATGTGCCATGCTGGTGTGCTGCACCCATTAACTCATCATTTAGCATTAGGTATATCTCCTAATGCTATCCCTCCCCCCTCGCCCCACCCCACAACAGTCCCCAGAGTGTGATGTTCCCCTTCCTGTGTCCATGTGTTCTCATTGTTCAATTCCCATCTATGAGTGAGAACATGTGGTGTTTGGTTTTTTGTCCTTGTGATAGTTTACTGAGAATGATGATTTCCAATTTCATCCATGTCCCTACAAAGGACATGAACTCATCATTTTTATGGCTGCATAGTATTCCATGGTGTATATATGCCACATTTTCTTAATCCAGTCTATCATTGTTGGACATTTGGGTTGGTTCCAAGTCTTTGCTATTGTGAATAGTGCCACAATAAACATACGTGTGCATGTGTCTTTATAGCACCATGATTTATAGTCCTTTGGGTATATACCCAGTAAAAAAACAAACAACCCCATCAAAAAGTGGGTGAAGGATATGAACAGACACTTCTCAAAAGAAGACATATAATTAGCCAAAAGACACATGAAAAAATGCTCATCATCACTGGCCATCAGAGAAATGCAAATCAAAACCACAATGAGATACCATCTCACACCAGTTAGAATGGCAATCATTAAAAAGTCAGGAAACAACAGGTGCTGGAGAGGATGTGGAGAAATAGGAACACTTTTACACTGTTGGTGGGACTGTAAACTAGTTCAACCATTGTGGAAGTCAGTGTGGCGATTCCTCAAGGATCTAGAACTAGAAATACCATTTGACCCAGCCGGCCAATATTCAACATTCTTAAAGGAAAGAATTTTCAACCCAGAATTTCATATCCAGCCAAACTAAGCTTCATTAGTGAAGGAGAAATAAAATACTTTACAGACAAGCAAATACTGAGAGATTTTGTCACCACCAGGCCTGCCCTAAAAGAGCTCCTGAAGGAAGCACTAAACATGGAAAGGCACAACCGGTACCAGCCACTGCAAAATCATGCCAAAATGTAAAGACCATGGAGACTAGGAAGAAACTGCATCAACTAACGAGCCAAATAACCAGCTAACATCATAAGGACAGGATCAAATTCACACATAACAATATTAGCTTTAAATGTAAATGAACTAAATGCTCCAATTAAAAGACACAGACTGGCAAATTGGATAAAGAGTCAAGACCCATCAGTGTGCTGTATTCAGGAAACCCATCTCATGTGCAGAGACACACATAGGCTCAAAATAAAAGGATGGAGGAAGATCTACCAAGCAAATGGAAAACAAAAAAAGGCAGGGGTTGCAATCCTAGTCTCTGATAAAACAGACTTTAAACCAACAAAGATCAAAAGAGACAAAGAAGGCCATTACATAATGGTAAAGGGATCAATTCAACAAGAAGAGCTAACTATCCTAAATATATATGCACCCAATACAGGAGCATCCAGATTCATAAAGCAAGTCCTGAGTGACCTACAAAGAGACTTAGACTCCCACACAATAATAATGGGAGAATTTAACACCCCACTGTCAACATTAGAGAGATCAACTAGACAGAAAGTTAACAAAGATACCCAGGAATTGAATTCAGCTCTGCACCAAGTGGACCTAATAGACATCTACAGAACTCTCCACTCCAAATCAACAGAATATACATTTTTTTCAGCACCACACCACACCTATTCCAAAATTGACCACATAGTTGGAAGTAAAGCTCTCCTCAGCAAATGCAAAAGAACAGAAATTATAACAAACTGTCTCTCAGACCACAGTGCAATCAAACTAGAACTTGGGATTAAGAAACTCACTCAAAACCGCTCAACTACATGGAAACTGAACAACCTGCTCCTGAATGACTACTGGGTACATAACGAAATGAAGGCAGAAATAAAGATGTTCTTTGAAACCAACGAGAACAAAGACACAACATACCAGAATCTCTGGGACACATTCAAAGTAGTGTGTAGAGGGAAATTTATAGCACTAAATGCCCACAAGAGAAAGCAGGAAAGATCCAAAATTGACACCCTAACATCACAATTAAAAGAACTAAAAAGCAAGAGCAAACACATTCAAAAGCTAGCAGAAGGCAAGAAATAACTAAAATCAGAGCAGAACTGAAGGAAATAGAGACACAAAAAACCGTTCAAAAAATTAATGAATCCAGGAGCTGGTTTTTTGAAAGGATCAACAAAATTGATAGACCGCTAGCAAGACTAATAAAGAAAAAAAGAGAGAAGAATCAAATAGACGCAATAAAAAATGATAAAGGGGATATCACCACCGATCCCACAGAAATACAAACTACCATCAGAGAATACTACAAACACTTCTACGCAAATAAACTAGAAAATCTAGAAGAAATGGATAAATTCCTCGACACATACACTCTCCCAAGACTAAACCAGGAAGAAGTTGAATCTCTGAATAGACCAATAACAGGATCTGAAATTGTGTCAGTAATCGATAGCTTACCAACCAAAAAATGTCCAGGACCAGATGGATTCACAGCCGAATTCTACCAGAGGTACAAGGAGGAACTAGTGCCATTCCTTCTGAAACTATTCCAATCAATAGAAAAAGAGGGAGTCCTCCCTAACTCATTTTATGAGGCCAGCATCATCCTGATACCAAAGCCGGGCAGAGACACAACCAAAAAAGAGAATTTTAGACCAATATCCTTGATGAACATTGATGCAAAAATCCTCAATAAAATACTGGCAACCGAATCCAGCAGCACATCAAAAAGCTTATCCACCATGATCAAGTGGGCCTTTCTTTTTTAACAGTTTTGTAATGAGTAACATATTCAGGTTGAAAATTTGTATTTTCTAGTATTCCATGCAGGTAAGGTTGGCTACCTGATAAAATTTGGGTCCTTGGGATGTAAATAAAAATTTGTCTGAACTTTTTCTCTCTGTATTTTTTCTTCTCTTAATTTGCGCATAACCTTCTAGAGTATTGTTTCTTCTTTTAACTGGCTGACAGGAAAGCATTATTGCTACAGTTGGAGCAGCCATTTATTTGGGGAAAATAGGTGTGTGGCTGAGACTACCACGGTAACCTCATCCTGTTCATCCTTGAGCTGATTACTCTACTACAGGATATCTTTATTTTCAGCTTTCTTGTTAAACAAGAAAAATAAACCCTTTGTTAGTTACTAAGAGTCAGATCCTAGTCTTAGCTAATATACTTGCCTAAAGGCATTTATAATTTTTAAACATGTTAGAACCAAGGTCACAAAATGACTAATAATAAAATAAAATATCTCAGGCTGAGTTTAAATTGAGTGGTTCTGGTATTAACTACTACAGATTCATACAGTTCTCGTTATGAAGGAAAATCTCATACAGAATTGAAACTGGAGCTAGGCACCTAACTTGGAAATAAAAGAGTAAAACATGTAAATTGGGAGAAAAAGAAGATGGCATTCAGTACCATGAAGGTGGCATGGACAAGACTGTGGACAAAGGTATTCCATAGCTATGCTTGGAAACACAGCTAATAGGGTTTTTGACTTTGAAAGTGTAGAGTATTAACATTGCCCTGTATACATTTTCTAATCACTGGAAACTTTACTTTTATAACACTACCCTGTAATATTTTTATTCAATACTTATTTTATCCTAGTAATTCAGTACAAGCAATATATTTTTTTTCAATATGTTTTCTGAGTTCTAGACATGTCCTTGAAACATAGATGATAATCAATTTTTATTGAATAAATTAATATATGTATTTGGAGCAGTGATAAGAGATAAAAATGAAGAAATAACTTGTTATATAGTTGTGGAGATCCTCAATACAAGATATTCTAAGGGCAAAAATATTTTTTGAGCTAGAACTTGAAAAACATGCAGTGGTATTTTTCAAAATTAAATTATCACTGGTTTAATAATACATCAAAGATGAAAGAAGAGATCCCTAATTAGAAAATCTATAGAATCTACTAAGATAGAAATGAATGTGCCCTGAATTAGGACAATGAAATAAAGAACCTAAACAAGGAGGCAAAGGAAAACATTTAATCCACAAAACAATAGATGTATATATGCAGAGAAATATCAGATGTTTTTCAACGTTAAAATTAGAGAAACTGAGCAAATAATACCATCCTTTTCAGAAATAACTAATTTGCTTCGAGTTGAATGAAATATGTGTGGCTTTGTGTATACTGAGTTTGCGAGTTTGGAGATGAAGGTGTTGAGGGAGAAGTGATCAGCAGGTATACAGATGTGAAAATGAGATTTAGAGAAAGGTAAACTTGAAGATACAATTTTTAGCTAAAGAAGTTTAACTACTGGCCGGGCACGGTGGCTCACTCCTGTAATCCCAGCACTTTGGGAGGCCGAGACGGGCGGATCAGGAGGTCAGGAGATCGAGACCGTCCTGGCTAACACGGTGAAACCCCGTCTCTACTAAAAATACAAAAAATTAGCTGGGCGTGTTGGCAGGTGCCTGTAGTCCAAGCTACTCGGGAGGCTGAGGCAGGAGAATGGCATGAACCCAGGAGGCGGAGTTTGCAGTGAGCCAAGATCGCGCCACTGCACTCCAGCCTGGGAGACAGAGCGAGACTCCGTCTCAAACAAACAAACAAACAAAAAAAAAAAAAAAAAAAAAAAAACAGAAAAAGAAGTTTAACTACCAATGAACTATTAGAAAAGAACTGATCAAAAACAGAGCTTTATGGTCTTACGACATTGGAATATGATATCTCTAATGAGATGTTAGTAAAAGAGGTCATTTAGAGTGACTGAGAAGGAACTGATAGCTAAAAGGGGAAAAGTAATCGAAGAGTTTCAAATAAAAAAGAGAACCAACTTAAAAAATGCCATAGAGAGATCAAAGAAAATCAGTTGTTCAAAGAACTCTGAATTCAATAAAACAAGACAGTTTTTTTTGTCGTTAAAGAAATGTCAGTAATGGTGTGGGAGAATAAGTGGTTCTTGAAGAAATGAAAGTGGTGCACACAGGCTATTCTTTGATGATTTGGGTAGTAAAAATAGAGAACCATGTGAGATGGTATCTTGAAGCCATGTTTGTATTGAAAACTAAAAAATGTCTGAGAATTTACCGTTTTTTCTAGAAAATAATTTAGCCTGCTACAATTTCATGAATGCTGGCAGAAGACACACACTGCTGGGTGAGAAACAGAGAATGTTACTACTCACAGCAATAGCTTTGTATCTGTGGATTATCAATGTTGGCACCAGTACCTCGGGTCCTAATGCTAGGCGATATGCATGCATATATATTAAGTTTAATTACAGAGAAAGAGCCAGTAGCTTAAGTAACTCATTCATAATTGTCCAAAAGCTTGTCTGAGCTTTGTCATGATTGAAGACATTACCATTATAACACTGCACAGTAAAGAAACTTGCTCCTTGCTCCAAAGGAAGATGCTATCTCTCTCTTTTCAAAGCTGCATGTTATTAAAAAAAATCATTGAAAAGATAGTCCAGAAGAAAGTCAATCAATGCCTGGGCTTGCAAGACATGTAGAAATATGAAAGATCCATGAAGAATTCTCTCTCAATAATTAGTTTGGAACATAAATATTTAATACATGAGAAACTTTAGAATATTTATTAGCAGAAATGCAAAATCTCTAGAGAAAACATTTATTGATATGGGAGGAGGGAGAAATAAAAGTTCTTAAGCAAGTGACTTAGATTACCATTAAGCAGATAGGAAAGTAACATTGCCAGAAATCGGTAGATTTGGTGATATTTTAGTTTGAAGAGAAAAAAAAATCAAAGAGCCATGTCAATATTTATAGAAAATTAAGAACTGAAGCAATTTTCTGTGACTAAGTAGATGCGGAGAAGATTTCCATAGACATATACCACAGCCTATAAAGTATTACATGAACTATGAAACAAAGAAAAAATTAGGTTTGTGGACATGCTGCAAACTCAGCAGCAATAAATCCTGTTTATAGTATATTGTTGAATTTAAGCCTAAGGATGTGTATTACTTTCTTGAATTCTCTCAGGCAGGTTTGTGAGTAAACATGGGTTTCACCAGTAGGACATATCTTGAAACTGAGAACTATGTGATGAAATGTATTTAGCTACTGAGTCATAGGAATAGAAGAAAGATACTTAAACATGAAAAACCACAGTTCGACCTCAGGGAGGTTACAAAGCAGAATTTAACTGTTAACATCTTTATGTTTTGACAATAATCAATTTTTAGGTTTATTTAAAGGAGAATATGTAAAATGGACTGATCAAGTTATTCTACTCTGGGCACTTATAGCCCAGTAGTTACATAGTTGTATGGTCACTTGGATTAAAGTATCTCTATTTCCTGTATTACCTAATTTGTTTGTTTTCTTTAATTAGAAATTCAAGCAAATTGAAATGATTTGGAAAAACTAATCATGTTATATATAAACTTAAAAGGTGATTTACTAAGCAGTTAAGTTAAACTTCTCAGCTAATCATTGACACATTCAACTATAAAGTGAGCTTTAACAATTGCGTTCTTCTCATCAGCGTGTTAGTAGGAGATCATTAATGTCCCATTTCCATTTGTTCTTGGCAATTTAAGCAGTTTATATATCCACAGATCATGACAGAGGGAACCTATAAAAGCCTCCTGCAGAGAATAGGTCCTATATCTATTATTCTCCGCGTGGTTTTGGGGGAAATCCCAGCTTACCACCGTATAAGCTGTGTTCTTAGATGCTAGACCCTGTCTCCCCACCCTATCATAGTCTCAAGACCACAAGTTCTAACAACAGTACATTCTTTGAATTACTAGTATTATTCTCATTTGTTCCCTCATTGTTCTGCAATTCAAGATTATTCAGCACTTCCAGTGAAAAAAAATCCATGCTAATTTATCTAGAGTTTGTTCATTATATTCCCAGTTTTTTCCTTGTATTGCATACGTTTATATGCATATTCAGAAACCTCTACAGTTTTTAAATCCTACTGCAAGTAATCATTTGTGTCTTGCATATTTATGATGTAATACTGTAGCACAGTTTCAAAAGCTTTTTAATTTATTCAATAATTCTTTCAAAGACTTTGCTGTTCTTGCTGCAATTTGTCAAAAATACATTTTGTTTTTGCAAAATAGTCTTCATACTCTATATATTTCAATATTCACATACTTCATTCTTCTGCGCTTTGTGTATTTCTATATATCTATGAATGGGTTTCTCTCTCTCTCCAGCTCTCCCTCTTTCTCCCTTTTTCTTTCACTTGCTCCTTCACTGATTGTCTACTATTAAGCTGCCAGCATTTATATCACCTACCTTGAAGGCTCCACACTTTCTTATCTACTGTCCTTCGATTCTTTCATATTATTATCTTTTTTATTGCATTTATTCGGGAAGAAAATAACTACTAATTTTACCTTGAAATATATTTTGAAATTGAAAGAAAAAAGCTAGCTCCCAAGCAAACCAAACCTCTGAAATAATGTGAGCACTCTGTCTCTGTGGTGTTCATTTGTTTCTAGACTTTATTTAGACACTCTAGCAACCACACACAATTTTACTTCAAAGATATTGGACTACCTCTCCATGGATTTACAAAACATGTGCTTTGACCAGGAGGTGACACTATAAACATTTACCAACCAATGTAGCACAGGGAGTGGAACAACACAGAGAAACTGCAGCTGAAGTCTGAAGCTGAGTTTTATGGGCTACTTACTTTGACGCCAACTAGTCCAGCTGTTACTGTGGGTGAGAGTAGGAAACAGGACCTTGGTAGTTAGGGATGAGACAAGCTGCTGCCAGGGATGGTTACTGGCAAACTTGGTCAGACTAATTTCTATATTGTAAAACAGTAAAGGCCATGCCAATGCACTCTGGCTAAAAATTAGCCATACCACAACCCCTTGCTACTTTTTTTTTTTTTTTTTTTTTTTCTGAGACAGAGTCTGGCTCTGTCACCCAGGCTGGAGTGCAGTGGCGTGATCTCGGCTCACTGCAACCTCCACCTTCCAGGTTCAAGTGATTCTCCTGCTTCAGCCTCCCGAGTAGCTGGGACTACAGGCGCGCACCTCCATGCTGGGCTAAGTTTTGTATATTTAGTAGAGACAGGGGTTCACCATGTTGGCCAGGATGGTCTCGATCTCTTGACCTTGTGATCTGCCTGCCTTGGCCTCCCAACGTGCTGGGATTACAGGTGTGAGCCGATGCGCCTGGCCACTACTTTTTATCAGTAAAAAATTCCAAAATAAATCCCTTTAGTATTGTCTACAAATTTACAACGTAAAATCCACCTGGAACTTTTGCTAATAGTTTAATTTAGGGATCAGACTTATTTCCCTGCAGATCAAAATCTCTAGAGGAGAAGTCTGGACAGTTATAAATTTCACAATCGCAACAGGCGATACTTATTACTAGGGAAGTTCAGAAAAGAGTGACTTCATGTGATCCTCACTACAGCTTTATAAATTGGACAGTACTGAAATTATGACGCCTATTTTCAAAAGAGAAATTGAAACATCAAGATTTCATAAGTTGTACAATAATAAGAACCAGGTCTTCTGTTTCTAATTACAATAGTCTTC
Source organism: Homo sapiens (assembly GCF_000001405.40). Classification (NCBI taxonomy): domain Eukaryota; kingdom Metazoa; phylum Chordata; class Mammalia; order Primates; family Hominidae; genus Homo; species Homo sapiens. The sequence continues at coordinate 103,125,458 of NC_000003.12, read as the reverse complement.
GGATTACTAGATCAGATTATTTCCTTGGACTGAAAATCTATAAATACTAGTAGCTTTTCTCCTCAAACTTTATTTTTGTGTGTTTACTTGTTTTTTTCTCAGTGTCATATTTTTATTATAGAAGATCAACTATTTGAAAATTATTTAGTATTATTTGTATTTGTGCTCTTTTCAAAAGTAAATACAAAATATGAGCTTCATTAGCAAAATATTAGGAGTAATTTTTATCACTCAAGGTTCTTTTGTAAATGAAAATTAATACAAAATAGAAAAACTTTAATTCATCTGAAATGCACATGAATTTAAAAGTAAAATAAAAATAATATTGAAAAATAATGGCTGTTTACCATCTCTCTTTTCATCACTTATTTTTGCTACAGAGTACTGTTTTTGATGGTTGGTTTTTGAAAATAATTATGGAGAATTTGTTAGCCTGTTTGTAAATGACTTGTTTTATTCTCTTGCTTGAGTTTATTATATATTGTTTCCAATCAATAGAAGACTAGTAGGTATCAAATATACACAGAGGACAATGGACAATATTAGCTGAATGAGTTCAATTAATGAATAGTTAATGAATTATTGAAACTGGGCACTGCAATACACAATCTGAAAGTTGTGGCATGTCATGCATTGAAAAATCTGAAGGTGGTAGCATGTCACTCATTTCTAAGCCATCTGCTAGAGAATTCAGTCCAAGTCACTTTGCCAATTAAAAAAAATATATTGTCAGGCCCATCAATAACCAACTGGAAAGACAGGCATTGCACTAGACTGTTTTGAACTTTCAGATGAAAAATGTTTTTATATTCACTACAACATCAATGGAAAACTGGATAAGTAGATATATCAATGTGACTGTTAAACTCAAATGTTGAAAATTAGGAATCCATCATTAGATGGATCATTTTGTCTAAAAAAAAAGAATTTAGAATTAGGTCAAATAATATGAGGTTGTTTCTGAGGACTTCATCCTTCACTTAGACATAAAAGGTGTTTGAGTGGCTAAACAAATTGAGCAATTTTCTGAATGTTTCAGAGATTGTTGGAAGATACAGTTACATAAGGTCATGATGCTAGAGCAATTGAGAATTTTACTTGTTTATTTGTCTTATGTGGATATTCAATCCAGTTTTCTTTAAAATGAGTTCATTGAACCACATATCAAAATTATTACAGTGTTTGTCATAAATGCATATTCCTGAGCTTCTCTAAAAATTGTTAACTAACTGTTATCTCTATATTTATTATGAGCATTCAGGATGATTCGCACGAACACTGAGGTTTTAGAGCCACTGCTTTATATTTATTAAATTAGATGTTTTTCTATAGGACCATGTCCTAAATATTTATAGACAAAGTCCATACTTCTATAAATATTCAAATTTACTATGTGATTTGAAGAGAATTGGAAGAATTTCTACTCAAAAGACAAGGCTACCATAAACTCTCCACCAAACCTGAAACTCATTTTGTAAGATTTATTTCCTCAGATTAAATCAAACTATATTTATACATCTTCTTTTACTGAGGCTTCTCTTAAAGGTAAGTAAATATTAATAAACATGATAGGAATAATTTTAACAGTCTGCTAAAAATTGTTTATTAGAAATCTCTCCTCCATAAGTGCCCGAGAGCAAGGAATCAGGGAGTGAATGTTTTGATGATAAGACAGAACACAGTAGTATATTTTTACCTATACTGTACTTACATTTTGCCTTTTATTGTAATCAGCTATGTGTACATGTGTAATCTGAACTTCTGGCTCATAATTTCTTAAAAGGCAGGGGATGTTTGCTTCATCTTTCTATCTCCAGGACTCCAGGGCCTGCTGGAGTGTTTGACACATCATGATTTATTATCTGAATAATAATATCATTATAACTTAATTAAGGGAAAAAAACATGGGTTAATGTTTGGGGAAAACCAAGCTACTGAGATATTATGGTAGGCTACCTTAAAAGAGAAACCAAGACAAACAAAATGTGAGAGGAAAAATAGAGGAAAACAAAAGATGCATTTAGATGTTTTTGAAATTTTGTCAGAATTAATGATTCATTCAATAATATAAGCTTCACCTCTGTATCAGATTATTTTAAACAAAGATACTATATATATGTGTGTATATATGTGTGACACACATATATAATATACACATGTGTATGTGTTATTAATAACTGCACAATTCTCTATATTAAATTTAACTAAGTGATTAGTGGTAGCTTTATAAAACATGCAGATATTGTATTTTTAACTAAATTAAGCATTTATTGAATAGCTATTCAACAATCCATCTTTGTTTTCAAACACTAAGGTAAATCTGGAGAATTTTGGAATAAAGTTATTTCTTAGGAGGTCACACAGCCTATTTGATTGAGAATTGACTAGAAATCATAAAATGGTTTGGTAGACTAAGATTAATCAACTAGTTACCAAGAGTCTATATTGGTAAACAATTTTGTTGATCAGAAGATGAGCATGAAAATAGTAGTTACCTAATTGTACTCAAAGATGTATTATGATGTTGAAAAAAGCCATATGCATTAAAACATTTTGTATACATTAAAGCATATTCACATTTTATAATCAATGCCAAATACTAAAATTATAGCATTCAGGGTTTTGGGGGATTCTTGAGAAAAGTTTGTAAGTAGCTTCATAATTTAATATTCAGGTTCTTATTCAGTAATATTTTATTTGCTGTCTTCTGGATAGGCACACTAGTGGAGCAAAACAAGTGACGTAAGATCCAAACAATTGAAAAGATAAGAGATTGAACTTTAAGATTTTTGTATGTGTGATGCATCTCTGTTCACAGTTATTTGCAATTGCCCTATTCCAATTCTGTTGCTAAATGTCTAAAAATAAATTACTAAATGACTGATTTCTTTTTTCATTAAGTTCACATCTTTTAATATGTGACTAGTAGGAAAAGAAAAATGTTTAAATACTACAGACTTCAGATGTTTTCATAAATCTAGAAATTCAGATTCTGGTAATGGAAGCATATTATCCTTTTTTTTTTTTTTTGCTTTGATTGATATAGTGATACCATGACTGCTATTACTAAAAGTTTTACTCAATAATTAATTATTGTGGTAGGCTGAAAAATGATATCCCCAAAAGACCTTAGTATATCCATATCCTAATTCCTAGAATGTGTGAATGTGTTATCTTCCATTGCAAAAGAGGCTTTACAGGTATGATTAGTTCAAAAGTTTGAGATGGAGAGATTATTCTGGATTATCCAAGTAAGACCAATGTAATCACAGGGGTCCTTTTAAGAAACAAGTAAGAAAGGCAGCATTAAAGGAAGGGATATGATGACAGAAGCAAAGGTTGAAATGACTCAACTGCTTACTGGGTGCCACAAGCCAAGAAATTTGGGCACTATCTACTTGCTAAGGAAATGGATTATCTCTTAGAGCCTTGAGAAAAAAATATACACTGATAACTTAATATTAGGGCTTCTAACTTCTAGAAACGTAAGACAAAAAAAATAGGTTTTCTTAGACACCAAATTTTTCACAATTTGTTAGAACAATGATAAAAATCTAATACAATCCTCAAATAGCCATAATCATAATTTTCATTGAATAGCAAAAATAGTGGAGAAAGCAAGCTGATTAATTATGATTTTAGTCTATGGAGCCATAATACTGGCATTTAAATCTCCTCTCCATGACTTCCTAGATGTGTCACATTGACAAATATTTCCCTGTCTGTACAGTAGAAATAATAATAGTACCTATCTTATAGGATTTTTAAGAAGACTAAATGAGTTAATAACTTTAACGCTGTTAGAATGGTATATGTAGGTTCTCATAAAGTCTAAACTGCCATTAATCATTCTATTATCATTATTATTGTTATAATCATCATTTGCCCAATTTTTATTTTATTTTATTTTATTTTTTATTATTATACTTTAAGTTTTAGGGTACATGTGCACAACGTGCAGGTTAGTTACATATGTATACATGTGCCATGTTGGTGTGCTGCACCCATTAACTCGTCATTTAACATTAGGTATATCTCCTAATGCTATCCCTCCCCCCTCCCCCCACCCCACAACAGGCCCCAGTGTGTGATGTTCTCCTTCCTGTGTCCATGTGTTCTCATTGTTCAATTCCCACCTATGAGTGAGAACATGCAGTGTTTGGTTTTTTATCCTTGCAATAGTTTGCTGAGCATTTGCCCAATTTTTAAATAAAATATCTGAATTTTACTCTATAGTGGCTATTTGATGGAGAGGATATCAAAATATCTTTTACCAAATATCTGACTTTGAGGAGCTTAAAATCATGAGAGAGAGGTAGAGAATGCACCTCATGTACTACAGGGCAGAATAAAAAATTGTGGATATTATCAATGTTTTTCTCTCTTACCATCCTCCTGCTTCTGAATCTGGCAAGTTTAATGGGTGGCATATTGTGTATCTGTCTTTCACTGTACAAATGTTTCAATTGTAGTGCACTTTTGACCCAGTTATATGAGGAAAATTTCCTTTAAATAGAAATATAAATTGTTTGAGGAGAAACAGGAGTGTTGGCTCTGCTATGTGTTGGATTGCTTTCCATAAATTCCTGCCATTATCACATTGCTTATCTATTGTCACATACATTATCTGATACAGACATAATCTCAGTTTCAGTTCTTAGTAAAAAATAAAAACAAAACAAACAACAACTGTGGAAACTATGTTTTATAGTTGTGGTAGACCACCTATTCTGGTAATAGATCTTATATTTTTTTAGAATTATAAAATAACTTAGGACTATAGATAACTTCTTAGATATGAAATAAGAAAATAATAACAATTTTTGAGTCCATATAGCAATTTTTCTCCAAAATTAAATTTCACTATCCTATGATGGATTAAACAGGTACCATTTTCAGTTGCCATCTAGAGGATAAAGAAGGTCGAATGTCGTATCATCCTTCAGAAAAAAAAAAAAAAAGAGAGAGGGAACCAGAAAAGAAAAGAACGAAAAAGCATCACCATCACAAAAATATATTTAGCAAAAGTTTTTTGTGGTTTTGTTTTGATTTGTTTTATATGCAGGTTGTACTTATTTGGGTACGAACAAAAAATATAGTTTTAAAATTGGACTCTATTTGTATATGTGTGAATGAACAGCTAAATGTGGGCATCTTCACCAAAATAAGGTGCTGGGATATGGGCATGTCAGCCATCCTCATGTTGCTGTCCATTAGCCAGCAATCAACAACTTAGGAAGGTCACAAATTCAAATAAGTTAACTTAGCATTGGCTGAAAAAAAAAGTTATAAAACTGCTTTTGTTTGAAGTTAATGAATGAGCATGAATTAGAAATAACAAAGTGAGCCAAAATATTAAGATAATCTATGAAAGGGAAAGACCATAAGAAGTTTAGAAATTTTAACTTGTGGCCGGGTGCAGGGGCTCACGTCTGTAATACCAGCACTTTGGGAGGCTGAGGTGGGCGGATCACGAGGTCAGGAGTTCAAGACCAGCCTGACCAAAATGGTGAAACCCCGTCTCTACTAAATACAAAAATTAGCTGGACACGGTGGCGCGGCCTGTAATCCCAGCTACTCAGGAAGCTGAGGCAGGAGAACGGCTTGATCCTGGGAGGCAGAGGTTGCAGTGAGCCGAGATCACACCATTACACTCCAGCCTGGGCGACAGAGCGAGACTCCATCTCAAAAAAAGAAAAAAGAAAAAAAAAAGAAATTTTAACTTGTGTTCTTAGCTGTGTAAGGTTCAAAGATAACCATTCAAACAAAGCTTATACTTACTTTTACAGATCTAGACTGAATATGCTGGATGTGTCCCAGAGTCAACTACTTTTTCAAGATTTTTAAAATAACTTTTGTGGGTACATAGAGAGTGGATATATTTATGGAGTATATGACATATTTTAATACAGTCATAATGCATAATAATATTATGGAAAATTGGGTATCCAAGCCCTCAAGCATTTATCTTTTGTATTACAATATATCTAATTATAATCTTATAGTTATTTTAAAATGTACAATTAAATTATAGTTGACTATAGTAACTCTGTTGTGCTTTCAAATACTAGGTATTATTCATTCTTTCCAACTTTGTTTTGTACCCATGAAACATCCCCACTCTCCTCTCCCTCCCCCAGCTTTCCCTCCCAGGCTTTGGTAACCATCCTTCTATTTTCTGTCTCCACAAGTTAAATCATTTTGATTTTTGGATCCCACAAATAAGTGAGAATATGCAATGTTTGTCTTTCTGTGGCTGGCTTATTTCACTTAACATAATGATCTCTGGTTCCAACTATGTTGTTGCAAATGACAGAATCTCATTCTTTTTTTATGGTTGAATAGCAGACCATCGTGTACAACTAAGATATTTTCTTTAACCATTCAACTGTTGATGGACACTTAGGTTGATTTTAAATCTTGGATACTGTGAAGAATGTTACAATGACCATGAGAGTGCAGATATTTCTTCAATATGTTGATTTCCTTTCTTTTAAGCATATACCTAGTAGTGCAATTTCTGAATCATATGAAAGCTCTATTTTTAGTTTTTTGAGGAACCTATCTCCAAACTGTTTACCATAGTGCTTGTACTAATTTAGATTACCACCAACAGTGTTTGAGGGTTCCCTGTCTTCCACACATCCTTACCAGCATTTGTTATTGCCTGATTTTTGATAAAAACATTTTAACTGGGATGAGATTACATCACATTGTAGTTATGATTGGCATCTATCAGATGATCAATGATGCTGAGCAACTTTTCATATGCGTGTTTGCCATTTGCGTGTCTTCTTTTGAGAAATATCTATTCAAATCTTTTGCTTATTTTTTTATCAGATTATTAGACATTTTCCCCTAGAGTTGTTTGAGCTCCTTGCATATTCTGATTTTTAATCCCTTCTCAGAAAGGTAGTTTGCAAATATCTTCTCCTATTCTGTGGGTTACCTCTTCATTGTGTTAATTTCCTTTCCTGCACAGAAACTTTTTAACTAGATATAATCTCATTTGTCCATTTTTGCTTTGGTTGCCTGTGCTTGTTGGGTATTGCTCAATAAATTTTTGCCCAGAACAATGTCCTGCAAAGTTCCCCCAATGTTTACTTCTAGTAGTTTCCTAGTTTAAGGTATTAGATGTAAGTCTTTAATCCATTTTGATTTGATTTTTCTATATGGTGAGAGAGAGGTGTCTAGTTTCATTCTGCATATAAATATCCAGTTTTCCCAGGACCACTTATCAAAGTGAGTATCTTTTCCTCAGTGTTTGTTCTTGGCACTTTTGTCAAAAATGAGTTCACTTTAAGTTTCTGGATTTGTTTTTGGGTTTTCCTGTTCCATTGGTCTATGTGTCTGTTTTCATGCCAGTACCATGCTGTTTTGGTTACTATAGCTCTGTAGTATAATTTGAAGTCAGGTAATGTAATTCATCCAGTTTTGTTAATTTTGCTCAGGATAGCTTCATCTATTCTGCATCTTTTTCATTTCATATAAATTTTATTTTTTTTCTGTTTTTGTGAAGAATGTCACTGGTATCTTGATAGGGACTGCATCAAATATATAGATTGTTTTGGGTAGCAAGAATCAACAATATTGATTCTTCCAATCCATGAATATGGCATACCTTTCCACTTTTATGTATTCTCTTCAATTTCTTCCATTAGTATTTTATAATTTTTATTGTAGAGATCTTTCACTTTTTTGGTTAATTCCTAGGTATTTAATTTTATGTATGGCTATTATAAGTAGGATTATGTTTTTTATTTCTTTTTCAGATCTTTCACTTTGGGCATATAAAAATGCTGCTGATTTCTGTATATTGATTTTGTATCCTGTAACTTTACTGAATTTGTCAGTTTAATATTATTTTGGTGGAGTTTTTAGGTTTTTCCAAATATAATATCCTATCATCTGCAAAAAAAGATAATTTGACTTCTTCTTTTCCATGTTGGATGTCCTTTATTTTCTTCTTTTGTCTGATTGCTGTAGCTAGGACTTCCAGTACAATGCTAAGTAATAACAGGGAAAGTGGACATCCTTGTCATGTTCCAGATTTAGCAGGAAAGGCTTTCAGTATTTCCCCATTCACTATGATGCTAGCTGTGAGTCTGTCATATATAGCTTTTAGTATGTTTCTTCTATGCCCAGTATTTTTACTTTTTTCATGAAGAAATATTTAGCTTTATCAAATGCTTTTTAAAACATCAATTGAAATGATTATATGGTTTTTGTCCTTCATTCTATTAATATGATGTATCACATTGATTAATTTGTGTTTGCTGAACTATAGTTACATTCCTGGGATATAACCCACTTGGTCATAATCAATGGCCTTTTTAATCTATTGTCGAATTTGATTTGCAAGGATTTTGTTGAGGAAATTTGTACCAACATTAATCAATGATATTAGCCTGTAGTTTTCTTTTCTTGATATGTCTTTTTCTGGTTTTGGTATCAGGGTAATAATGGCTTCATAAAATGAGTTTGTAAGTATGCTCTGCTCCTCTATTTTTTGGAAGACTTTGAGTAGGATTGTTATTAGCTCTTTAAATGTTTCATAGAATTCAGCGGTGAAGCCCTCAGGTCTGAGGATTTTTTAAAAACTGGGATAAATTTTATTATGGCTTTGATCTTATTACTTGTTAATGGTCTGTTCAGTTTCTAAACTTATTCATGTTTCAATCTTGGTAGGTTGTATGTGTCTCAAAATTTATTCATTTCTTCTAGATTTTGAAATGTATTGGGATATAGTTGCTCATAGTAGCCACTAATGACCCTTTGAATTTCTGCAGCATCAGTTGTAATGTCTTCTTTTTTATCTCTAATTTTATTTTGGTCTTCTCTCTTTTCTTGTCAGTCTGTCTAAATGTTTGTCAATTTTGTTTATATTTCCAAATAAACAACTTTTGTTTCATTGATCAAATAAACAAGTTTTTGTTTCATTGTTTTATTGTTTTTCTCATTTCAAATTTATTTATTTATGCTCTGATCTCTATTATTTCTTTTATTTTACTAAATTTTTATTTGGTTTGCTCTTGCTTTTCTACTTCCTGAAGATGCATCATTAGGTTATTTTTTGACATTTTCCTCTTTTTCTTTTGATGTAGGCACTTAGCTATAAGTTTCCTTCTTATTACTGCTTTTACTGTTTCCCATATGTTTTGGTATGCTTTGTTTCTATTATCATTTGTTTTAAGAAATTTCTCAATTTCCTTCTTAATTTCTTCATTGACTCACTGGTCATTCAGGAGCAGGATGTTTAATTTCAATGTGCTAGTATGGTTTCCAAAATTATTCTTGTTATTGATTTCTAGGTTTTTTTTTCCATCGTGGTAATAGAAGTTGCTTTGATATAATGTCAAATTTTTGAAAGCTTTAAGACTTGTTTTGTAACCTAACATACAGTCTATCCTTGAGAATAGATCCATGTGCTGAGGGGATAGATGTGTATTCTGTAGCCATTGGATAAAACATTTTGTCAATATCTAGTAGGTCTGTTTGTTCTATAGTACAGATTAAGTCCAATATTTATTTGTTGATTTTCTGTCCAGGAAATCTGTCCAATGCTGAAATTGGGATGTTGAAGTCTCCAGCTATTATTGTATTTGGGTCTGTTTCTCTCTGTATCTCTAATAAGATTTGCTTTATATATCTGGGTACTCCAGTTTGGGGTACAGATATACTTAAAATCATATCCTCTTGCTGAGTTGACTCCTTTATCATTATATAATGACCTTCTTTGTCTCTTCTTATAGTTTCTATCTTGAAATTTCTTTTAGGTATAACTACTCCTGCTCTTTCTTGGTTTTAATTGAGATGGAATATCTTTTTTCATGCCCTTAAGTCCATGTGTGTCTCTGTAGGTGAAGTGATTTTCTTGTAGGCAAGATGTCATTGGGTATAGTATTTATTTTCATCCATTCGCCCAGTCTATTTGATTGGAGAGTTTAATCCATTTATATTCAATAATGTTACTGATAAGTAGAGACTTACTTCCACCGTTTTAGTTATTTATTTTCTGCTTCCTTTACAGTCTTCTCTTCCTTCTTTTCTTCCTTTGTGTCTTCTTTTTATAAAAGCCAATTTTCTCTGATGATATATTTGATTGTCTCTCTTTTATTTTTGTGTTTTTGTTGATTTGAGGTTACCATGAATCTTGTAAATACAGTTGTATAACCTATTATTTTAAACTGATGACAATTTAACACTCATTTGATAAACAAACAAACATGCAAAAAGAAAACTAATAAAACTTTACACCTGAATTCTTCTCCTTGTTTTTTAACATTAGGTTGCTTCTCTTCATGTCTTATTGTGCTGTCTATGTCTTGAAAAGTTTTGTGGTTATTATTTTTTATTGGCTCATCATTTTGTCTTTCTATTTAAATCAAGAGAAATGTATACACCACAGTTACGATGTTATAATATTCTGTGACTTTCTGTGTGGTTACTATTATCAATGAGTTTTTTTACCTTCAGATTATTTCTTCTTGCTCATTAACATCCTTTTCTTTCTGACTGGATAACTCCTTTTACCAATTCTTGTAGGACAGGTCTGGTGTTGATGAATTCCTCAGGTTTTGTTTGTCTGGCAATGTTTATTTCTCCTTCATTCTTGAAAGATACTTTTGTTGTATATACTATTCTAGGGTAAGAGTTTTCATCTTTCAGCAACTTAAATATGCCATGCCATTCTCTCTTGGCCTATAAGGATTCTACTGAAAAATATGCTGTCAGGTGCACTGGAGCTGCATTGTATATTATCTGTTTCCTTTCTATTGCTACTTTTGGGTTATTGTGTTTATTCTTGACCTTTTTGGAGTTTCATTATTAAACGCCTAGAAGTAGTCTTCTTTGGGTTAAATCTGCTTGGTGTTCTACAACCTTCTTGTACTTGAATATTGATATCTTTTTCTAGGTTTGGGAAGTTCTCTGATATTATCCTTTTGAATAAACTTTCTAACCTTACATATTTCTATATCTCCTCTTAATGGCCAAGAACTCTTAGATTTGCCATTTTGAGGCAATTTTCTAAATCTTGTAGGTATGCTGTATTCTTTTGTATTTTATCCCCTCTGACTGTATTTTCAAAAAGCCTGTCTTCAATCACACTAATTCTTCCTTCTGCTTGATCTCTATCAAGAGACGTCAATACTTTCTTCAGCATGTTACTTGCATTTTTCAACTTTAGAATTTCTGTGAGGTTATTTTTAAGTATTTGAACCTCTGTGTGTTTAATTTATCTAACAGAATTCTGACTTCTTTCTCTGTGTTATCTTAAAATTTATTTGAGCTACCTCAAAACAGTTACTTGCAATTCTCTGTCTGAAAAGTCATATATCTTTATTTTCCAGAATTACTCCCTGGTGCCTTATCTATTACATTTGCCAAAATCATGTTTTCCTGGATGGTGTTGATGCTTGTAGATGTTCTCTGGTGTCTGGACATTGAAGAGTTAGGTATTTATTGCAGTCCTTACAGTCTGGGCTTGTTAGTGTCTGTCCTTCTTGGGAAGGATTTCTAGGTATTCAAAGGAACTTGGGTTCCAAGACCAACAATGCATTGTTTTTTTTGCAGACTCATGGAGGTACCACCTTCGTGGTCTTGAATAAGACCTGGAAGAATTATCTAGATTACAAAGTAGATACTCATTATTTTACTGTCTCCCAAACACATCTTTGTGCTGAGCCACCTGGAACTGGGGGTGTGATAAAGCAAGCACCCATGTGGCCATCACCACTGGGACTGTGCTGGTTCAGATCTGAAGCCAGCACAGCACTGGGTCTTGCCCAAGGCTCTTTTCCTTTCAGGGTAGTGAGTTAACCCAGGCCCCAAGTGTGTCCAGAGATACTAACTGGGAGCCAGGGATTTGAATTAAAAACCTTAGTAATTTACCTGATTTCTATTTTACTGTGCCTAAGCTGGCACTCAAACCACAATACAAAGTTCGTCCTGCTCTTCCTCCCACTACCACAGGCAGAGAGACCTCTCCTTGTGGCCACCACAATCACTATTCCACTGCTGGAGATCACTAGGGTTCTGCTAATCCACTGCCAATGTTCACTTAAAGCCCAAAAGCTCCTCAGTCAGTTTTTGGTGAATGCTGCCAGGACTGAGATTTACTTTCAAGGTAGGGCTCCTCTCTGTCCCAGGGCAGGTCCAGAAATGCTGTCCAAAAGCTTATGCCTGGATTTGGGGATCCCAAGAGCCTGCTGCTGCTTTACACCACTCTGATGAGCTGGTTTCTAGGGTACAAGACAAAGTCTCTTCCACTTTTCCTCGTGATTTTCTCAAACAGAAGTCTTTCACCATAGCCACCACAGCTGGAAATTTGCTCGGTCACCTTTGAAGCTAGCACCTCTCAGAGCCCAAGGCTCACAGTGTACTCCCTGGGTATTACTGGTGGTTATTCAGGGCTCACAGGCTCTTTAGTCAACAGGTGATGAAACTTACCAGGACTGCATCCTTCTCTTCAAGGCAAAAGATTCCTGTTTGGCTCAGGATGTGTCTAGAAATGTTGTCTGGGACCTAGGGCCTGGAATGGGGAACTCACAACTCTGCCTCGTGCCCAGTTCTACTGTGGCTCAGCTGGTATTTAAGATGCAAGACAATGTCCTCTTTACTCTCCTCTGCTCAAGCAGAAAGAAGGAGTACTTTAATTTCTGCAAGACACACTGCTTGGGGTTGGGAGAGGGATAGTGCAAGCATGCCCTTAACTGTGCCAGCTGGTGTCTTCCCTAGTTCATGTGCCACCCTAGGTCATTAGCTCTAAGCCCAGTTTAGCACTAGGAGTTGCCTAGGAATTACAGCCCTTGTGTCCTAAACTGCATTTCAAGTTTACTGCCTTTCAAGACCACTTCAGCTTGTGGTAGTGAGGCTTGCTAAGAAACTCAAGTTCTGACTGCTGGGATGGGCAATTACACTCCAGCTAGGGCTAATGCAAATGCTTCTCTTGTGTGAAAGTGCTAGCTGAACTCAGCATGGGCTGAACCCAGCATGGTTTTATTCTCTGCAGGGCAGCACTGAGTTCAATGTAAAGTCCCCCAGTCACTGCAGTCTCCCTCCTTAAAGTGCACAGATTTTCTCTCTGCACCACATGGCCACTGCCAGGAGACAGAAAAGGGGTGGCACTGGCAATTCAAGCCTCTGTCTCCTGTCCTCCTCAATGCTGGTTTCCATTATATGAAGTGAAATCCAGGTACTGCGATTGCTCACCTTATTTTTGGTCTTGTGACTGTGTTTTTCTGTGTGGGGATGGTTGTTAAAATTTGGTGTCAAAGCAGGGAGGCATAGCAGGATGAATGGTGTAGGCCTCTATTCTGCCACCTTCTTCCTTCTTCAGAGTCAACTATTTTGGTATGTATTTGGGGAGCAGATTTTGACAACTGAATGTTGTCAAATAATTAAAAATCTCAAATATTTCTTTCAGTATTTGTTAAAGTCTTATTGATGTCAGTAGCAGAAAATGCACCATCTGGAGGAGAGGGCGCAGAAGAAACATTTTGAGAATGAGTTTATCTGGATACATACTATTTTAAATATCTTTTTAGGATAAATTGAAAATTCATTCTCAATATTTTAATCAAGAAATAAGCTGGAAATATATCAAGGCACCTACATTATACCTCAGACACCTGCCATCCTCTATTGTAATAGATGCACAGACTAAATTGTCTGAATTTTTATTAAAATGTAGCATAATGCAGAATTTAAAAAATAAATATGGCTTTAATTGCATAATGTATTATCTTAGCAAATTAATAATATATGAACCATTGAATCTATAAATGTCACCCTAGAACTGTAATAAATTTAATTGTATTACTCTCACCCATCTGTAATTTCATATCGTTTAAATCTGTCTTCATGAAGTAAAATTAGTTTAAACTTTTAATATGCTGACAAACAAAAACCTTTTTACCTTTTTATTCTCCATTTACAAAATGACATCTGCTCTATTTCCATTTAATTTTTTCAAGATGAGGTTATTTCAGTATTTTATTTTTTATTTTGTCAAATATCTTTGCCAAAGATGGTGAAAATGTAGTCTCCATAGACCAAAAATTAGAGAAAAGTAAACACTTCACATATGGTAGTTATGTTCTTAACATTTTACATTAAAGTATTTTAGAGGAGACCTATTTCTTTATATATTTTTTAACTCAACCAAACACAGGAAAAGTTTAAGTAGTAAAAATCATGTTATTTAGCAAGTTGGATATTGGCTAGTATTATAAATGAGGGTATAATACAGTATTAATAACATAAATCAACCTTCCCATTTGGTCATCTAACTACACACAGTCTGTTGCTTTCTATTCAATAACATCAAAAAAGGAAAACTTTGACCAGAGATATGCTGTTCTGTCACTTGCTAATCTCATCGTCCTCTCCCTCATATTGTCTCCCCTCTTCTACACAGAAACACATGAACACCCATATACTTACACACACACACACACACACACACGAGTGTGGGGCTTAATGCTGTGGATTCTGACATCAAACTTACATCGGTTTTTAGCCAACTGTATAATTTAAGTGTGCAGCTTCAGGTAAGTTAATAACCCCTCTAAGCCTTGTTTCTTCATTTGAAAAACAAAGATAGGAATCATATGTATTCTCAATAAGTGGAAAGTCCTTGTGTTGCAGTTATTGCTTTTGTTATTATAGTGCTTTTAGGCAAAACAGTAGTTTTGGTATTTTTAAGTGCTCATAATTTATCCTCAATAATCAAAAATTTTATTCCCAGTCTCAATCAGATAAAAATGCCTTGTTAAAAGAAGACTGCTGTAACAGAAGACATATGAGGAAGGATAATGTTGAAGTCTAGGATGAATCATTACTCTGATAAATCCTGAGGCCATCCTGCCATTAGAGATACAATTTTTTTTAATTTAAATCTTCTCTTACTTATTTATTTATTACAGAAATCAAAATATGATGAGAGACTCAGCAGTATTGGCTACTGATGAACTTTAAATAAATAGGTTTAGATGAATCAAAGTCTAGAGCAATTTGTTATATTATTAATACATACATTATTTTATTTGTATATCGTTTATCATTACAATCAATCTAGGATCAAAACTGAGTTTTATTAATGTTTTAACCAATGAGATCCCAGAAAGATAGGATATTGTAAATAAGAAATCACATAACTTTAAAACTGTGCACTTGCTTACAGTTTCTATATCTTTACTAAAATGCCTGATGTCTAACATCACAAAAAAGGATATTTAAATAACAGACGTCAGCCCCTTCTATGCCTGGCTTGAAAGAATATTCTCTGCAGAACACGGAACTTAGCAAAGCTTATCTGAACTTAAGATGCCAAAGTTTTTCTCTGTTCTGGTCTTATTCCTTGAGTTCTAGGCTTCAGGCTATCCCATTTATAATTCAGAAATTTGACTCTTCTTGATAAAAATAAAAAAAATAATCTTGAGTCAGAGTAGCACAGAGAAAGAAACAGCTAACTAGAAATCAGGAAGTCCGGCCTAGTCCTGAATCATCTTTTGTGTATCTCAGTGACCTTGAGCAAATAAAACTTAGGCTCCCTGTAAAATAAGAAAGTTTGGTTAAATTATACCTAGTATTAATACAGCGCTAATGTTTCTTGGGGGAATAAAAACCCATCATCATGTTTTATTATAAAGTAATCAGTGTCTTCATCCCACACATACATATGGGATACTGTGCTTACTTCAGGCACACACACACAAACACACACGCACACACACACACTTCCATAGACAATTGTGGAAATCCAATATTCTTATCCTATTAAACAAAAATAAATATATCTATAAGGATTTTCATCAGATAAGGGGAATTCTGTGGCAGATTTATTTCTCTGGGTAAATACATATGCCTGTGATAGAATTCTAGGTCTGACTTTGGCTTAGTGATAAAATGTCTGTTTGTTTTTTACCAGTAAAAGAAAGAGGGAGGAGGAGTCATTTGTTATCCAGTGGAATGAAAAGTTCTCAACCATTGCTTAAGTGAAATTCCCCTCCCCATCTAAGATACAAGTTCTCCTAAACGCACATATACTTTTATTATTGATTTTTATCTTCTATGCCCTCAAGATATAGCAAGAATCATGTTCAATTCTAGCCGGAGGGAAAACAGAAGGAAAACAATTTAACATCAGTAATCTATCCTACTCTGCTGAAAAAATCGACTGGATGACCTAATAGGCCCTTCCTGACTCTTGTTTGTATGACTGACAGTTAAAACACTTTGTGCTACGTGAAAACCAAATTGAGCACCATAGTACAAGAAGAGAAGCAACAACCAAATCAAAAGGTAAATTAGATGTGCTTGTCTGAGTCTGAATTTGCTAGGCTGTTCTATTTCAACTCTATCCAAAGTGTAATTCTTTCTACACACAAGTAAACCGGGAGGAGAGCCGTCAAGAAAGGAAATAAGTAAATTCGTAATTATCATCAAAGGAAACAAATATTCTTGTGAGTCTACCCCTTAGTTTTTAAACTTTGAGGTATCTATTACATCGGTAGACCAAGGCATATTTTCATATTATTTTTTGGAAATCTAGGATTGCAGTAACAAACTGAAAATAACCTATGAATATTTCTTAGTTATAGTAACTGCATTCATTTGACTGCTCAAACTCTTCCCTCTTATTCTTCAACAGATACATGAAGAGTTGCATAAAATGGCAATTATTGGTACAAAATGATGCATGTGAGGAGAAATTCTTTCTGATGCTCGCCTTATTTTGGGTTAAATCTGCTTGGTGTTCTACAACCTTCTTGTACTTGAATATTGATATCTTTCTCTAAGTTTGGGAAGTTCTCTGATATTATCTGGCTCTCCCAGCCACAATAGTGAGAGAAGTTTAACTGGAGAATTATCTTGACCCATCTGCCCTTATTTATTTAACCACCTTTCTACTAAATTAATATCAGAAATTTATTAAATAGTATGATGGATCTTACATATCCACCCTAGCCAGCAAAGCTAAAAGATGCCTATTCACTGCCGGGCGCGGTGGCTCACGCCTGTAATCCCAGTACTTTGGGAGGCCGAGACGGGCGGATCAAGAGGTCAGGAGACCGAGACCATCCTGGCTAACACGGTGAAACCCCGTCTCTACTAAAAATACAAAAAAAAAAAAATTAGCCAGGCGTAGTGGCGGGCGCCTGTAGTCCCAGCTACTCAGGAGGCTGAGGCAGGAGAATGGCGTGAACCCTGGAGGCGGAGCTTGCAGTGAGCAGAGATAGCGCCACTGGACTCCAGCCTGGGCGACAGAGCGAGACTCCATCTCAAAAAAAAAAAAAAAAAAAAAATACCTATTCACATGCCTGATAGCTAGAAACCTATACATTGTATTAAAAATGCCAAAGCCACAAGAAAAACTATAGCAGCAAACTTTTATTCTAATAACGGATTATATAGGAAGAGTCTGAAGCCTGGGTTTCCCTTTTCTTTAATTCTCCAGATTCCAAGGAGTATGAGAAGGTTGAATATACTACGCCGTTATTTCAAATGCAAAGAAACTTGTAATAACAATAATATCTAATATTGTTTGTATGCTTACTGCTATAAATTTACATATATGTTCTTATTTTATTTTATAATAACCTTTAAAAGGAGGTACAATTAATATCCTTATTTTACAATCAGCAGACAGATAATTTTAAAAACTGTGCATACTCAATTAATAAACTGTTTCAGAATACTGAATTAAATAATTTGTTAGAAAATACTCAGCTTATGCTTTCATTGACAGATTGTGAAGTCAGAATTCCTGGGCTTGTACACTGCCTTAGTCAAGACACTGTGACTGCAGAATCTATCATTTAAAATACTCTATCATTTTGGCATACCTAGGTAGCAAAGCATTGTCATTTACACTATGGATTGTATATTAATTTTCTGAGTTGAAGAATATTTTGGTCAATACGCTGCTGAGAAGTTTTTGGCATCTTAATTGGATTTTCATTAATTACAATTTTGTTTCTGCAGATTACCAGCACTGTCATAACACACTTTCAATTTCTGTTGAGATTCAAAATTAGTCAGGTTAACTAATATTTTATTGATAAGAACAAGAAATTTGCCATAAACCACTAGCAGATGAGACTATTAAATAAAACAAACAAACAACAACAACAATGCCCCCATCACCAGCAAATTAATAAAATAAAAATACCTTTTCTGTGGTATGTAAGAATCAACAGGCGTAGAGCATAAAGAAAAGTCAGGTTTGTTCGTTTAGAATGATATTATCTGTTGTTTAGCAATGCGATACAGAAGGAAACTGAAGAAGCTTATCAAATTGAGGCTGAACCTGTTTTGATTCCCTCCTGAGTAAACTATTTTGTTATTATTTTCTTTGTTTTGCACTTTAAATATGAATAATATGGAATTGTCTTCATTGATTTTTCTTTCTAGTAGGAAAATAAAGAGGTCACTATTTTAAAAATTCTCCTCTTAGAAAAGTAAAATCCTAGGCATCCTAGAAATGTTCAATTTTGACTTGCTATCAAATCCATCAGGTAGAAATAGAGGAATATTCTTTAATAAAGTTTATTAAACTTTATAACTTATATTAAGTAACTTCACAAACTAAAAGCATTTGTAATATGCCTTTCAAATTTTAAAACCAAAAGCTTTTAAGTATAGGAAAAAGGAAAATAACTTAGTCACCCATGCATCACGCTGTAAAATGAACCACTTCAGATACAAACCTTGGAGTTTGTATCCTTATTTGAACAATACTGGCTGATGAATTGCAAATTTACACGTCAATTCTGGATTGACCAGGAAAGTAAATGATTTGAGCATATTTATTTAACTTCTACCCATTAGAGATTCAATATGTGTACAATGTTCAATGACCACAATTTAAAAACATAAAATGAAATGAAGAAAACATTACCACAACTAATATCATTTCATAGACATTCAACTTTGGCAATCAACCTTACAAATGAACTAGTAATAACAGTATGTGATGAACAACATTTATGTTTGTGTAGGGATGTCACTTAAACACAAGGTCTAATGAATCTGGAATATTTATTGAACATACTATATGTGTATGGAATATTTATGCTAAAAAGCTGGAAAAGAATACAATAAAAATAGTTCCTTCACTTACAAAGCTTATAGTAAAACATATCTTTATAATAAAATATTGATGAAAATATAAGGCAAGTTTTCTAAGCAAGTATTTTTTGTTGAATTTGTAAAGCTAAGAGAGGTTTATAAAGTATACTACCTCATTCTGTCTAGTTGGAAATACTAAACTATAAAGTGTACCTTGAGCCTGTAAGTTCCCCAAGGTCAAGGATCTTGCCTTCTCGCTTGAGGCTGAATTTTCTGTCTCTTGAAACACTACTCAGGTGATGGTTGCAATAAAAGCCCAGACTTTGCCACTACTTAATATATCTATGTGACAAAACTGGACTTGTACCCCTGAATTTATACAAATAATTTAAAAATGTTTTGCCACATATAAGGATCTCTCTGTTTCTCTCAAAAAGTGAGTAGAGTGGCAATCAAATTTATCTAGTTTGTGGCTTTCTTTTTTTTTTTTCTTGAGACGGAGTCTCGCTCTGTCACCCAGGCTGCTCTGTCACCCAGGCTGGAGTGCAGTGGCGCGATCTCGGCTCACTGCAAGCTCCGCCTCCCAGGTTCAGGGCATTCTCCTGTCTCAGCCTCCCGAGTAGCTGGGACTGCAGGCACCTGCCAACACGCCCAGCTAATTTTTTGTATTTTTAGTAGAGACGGGGTTTTCACCGTGTTAGCCAGGATGGTCTCGATCTCCTGACCTTGTGATCTGCCCGTCTCAGCCTCCCAAAGTGCTGGGATTACAGGCGTGAGCCACTGCGCCCGGCCTAGTTTTCTTAAGGAGGCTTTCTTAAGGGCTTTCTTAAGGAGGAAAGAAGATTCTTTTTACCAACTCAGTCTGAAGGCAGAGAGAATTAGGGGTGATTTCTGACATAGCCAGCATATATTTCTTTCCCTTAAACTCAGTCTCTAAAGGCAGTGTCTGTCCAGAATGACTCCTACAGTTTACTTTAAGCTTAGTTGCACAATAATCAACATCATATAAGGATAAAACATATCTCCACATCAAAACTGGGAGCCTTCCAGACAAGAGGAATGGGATTTCAAGCTTCTAATTAGGATGTATAATGCTACAAAAAGCATTATTTCTCATCCTTACAACAGTAACATAAAAAGCTGGACAATGTACAAAACAAAAATTTCTTAAACTTATCAGTGAACTGAGATCACAGGGAAATAAACTAACCAAAATTCAAAGAAATACAGGGTTATCTAAGAAGAGACAGGACATAAGCAGTTGCTTACCTGGGGCAGATGCAGTAAGCTAAAAAGCAAGAAGGATAAATTCAGCTAACATTTAAACAAATTTCTAAATAACGACTTCGAGTTAGTTGAGGAAAAAAAGAACTCCTGGGAGCTGAAAAACACAAATATAATTAATGTTGACTTGCAAAATTTTACCTATAGACCGTAACTGGTGATCATGAGAAAAAAGAAATTAAAGTCAGAGTGGGACAGCAGAGAGCCTGGGGTGAAAATAAGTTCAAAAACAAAAACAAAAACAAAAATTTTGACCATTTCCCAAATGAGATGTAGTCAATTTTTGTTGTTGCTATAACAAATTACTACAAACCTATGGGCTTTAAACAGCGTAAATGTATTATGCTACAGTTCCAGAGTTTGGAAGTCCAAAATGGGTCTCACTTGACTAAAATCAAGGTGTTGGCAGATGAGTATTCCTTTTGAAGGCTTTAGAAGAATCCATTCCCTCGCTGTTCCAAGCTCCTAGAGACTGCCCACATTTCTCGACTCATGGCCTCCTTCCATCTTTAAACCCAGCAACAGATGGTAGGGTCTTTCTTGCATTGTATCACTCTAACTCTCTTGCCACCTTTTTTCACATCTAAGGACATTCACTAATACACTGGCCCCACAAAAATAATCCAGAATAATCTTTTCACCTCAGTGTAAGCTTATTAACAATCCCAGTTCCATCTGCAAACTTAATCCCCACATGCCAGTTTATATAACATATCCAAAGTTTCTGGGAGTTAGGATGCTGACATATGTGGAGGCTGTCATTCTGCCTACCAAGGTTTTGATACTCTCTGGCATCAAAAGACTCAAATCACTGGGGCTTCAAAATGGCTGATTAGAGTCATCTGGTACTCACTTCTTCCACAAAGAAGAAAAAAAAAATGGCAAGTAGATAATCACCCTTAGAATATATCATCTTAGAGAATACACTGAAATTCAACAAAAATTGACAAGGAATACCTAAAGCAAGGAAAGAGAGGGAAGCAAGGAAGCTTGATCAACTGGGATTGGCTAAGAACCTGGAGAAGTTTCCAGTGTGGGAAATGGGTAAGTGAGAGATCCCTGGAATTTTACATTCCCACCATGGACTTCTGCAACTTTAGCCATGGGAGAGCTCATCAACCCACATGGGTCCTGAGACAAACACAAGGAGTTCCCTGGAATCTGCACAATGTCATTGCTCCAGAGAAGGAGCTCATGCTGGATCCCACACATCCTCCAGGTCCTAAGCAGCTACAGAAATGTACCATTTTGAGAGTCCAGGCCTACCAGATTGCACCCTGGCTTGCGACCCAACAGCCCCATCATCCCCATATCCCTTAAGCCCTATTGACATCCCCATCGGTGGCTTTTACCACAGCTGTCCACTGTCACCAGAGCCAAAGTGCAACCCATATGCAGTGACCCTGCTGTCCCCAGTAATGGAGCTGCTGTGGATGTTCATGTTTCCTGAGGACATTCTCCTACCCACAGCTGCCACCGCTGAATGCTACATCCAGGGCTAAAGCAAAAGCCACTAGGAGCAACACCACTGCCCCCAACAGCACAGTGGCCACACATTTACAAGCACCCTGAAGATAGGTTGTTAGTCTAAAGCTACCATCTGAGGCTGAAGTGCTAGTTACCCAGTCACCTGCCTACAGCTGCTGCTGTTAAAAGCAAACCTGACATAATAGCAGGGCAGAAGCATAGCCAGTGCTACTCAAACCCAACCATTCCACTGGGAGCCTGGGGTCACTACCACAACCAGATCCTGCATTTACCACTGGAAGCCCTCAGGATAGGTCCACCTGACCCAGCTCCACCCTCCTCCCCAATGCCTGAGTATGTTGTCCAGAAGTCTAAAGTTCACCCAGCCACATCCACCATCACTGGCATGTGAACACTTCTCCTAGGGGCCTGAGTTCAGGCCCATTCAACCTGCCACTACCAGCACAGTTCGTACACATTCAATTGTGACACTTGCAGGCCTGGAACTAGCCCACTCACCCTATCATATCTAATATTCACACCTGCATTGACTGGAAGCCAGAAGGTTGTCATACCACTGCTACTGCCATCACCCCAAACACCTGCTAGCCAAATGACCTATCCACCCACATGGCCCATTGTTGCTATTACCAGCACTCAAGAAATTTGCCTGGAGGCCCAAGAATAAATCAAGTCTGGACCTGCTAACACTAGTGTAGGTGTATAATACCCTGGAGCCCAGGGGATTGCATACTCAGTCTGCCGCTGCCACCACTGGGGTCTAAGGATTGGTCCACCTGGCATTGCTGTCCACAGTATAACTTCACCACAGCCTTCACTGAAAACCTTGCCCTAAAACTCTGAGGAAATTACAGACATCACTGACACTGTTACAGCCAAAGAAATAAGATGAAGAATCCATTAATGCACCCACCTAGTCAAAGCCAAAGTGCCGTGCCCAACCAACACCATAGATAGGTCTTCAGGAAAAAAGGTATACTCTATGAAAGCAAATGTTAAAAATTAGAAACATCAACTGTCACACTAGTCATGCAGATATAAATGTAAAAACACAAGAAACATTTAAAAAAATGACACCACCAAAGAAACACAATAATGCTACAGCAAGAGATTCCAATGAAAAAGTAACAGATGAGATCCTGGAAAAAGAATTCAAAATAGTGATATTAAGGGAGTTCTGTGAGATCATGGAGAACACAAATAAATACAAAGAAATCGGAGAAATAATTCAAGATATGAATTAGAAATGTACCAAAATTATTCATATTTATATTGTGTTGGGGGAAAAGTAATTGCTTTTTTAATATTTATATTAGGTATTTGTTTTGTACTAAAATTATTTGTATTTATATTAATATAAAAAAGAACCAAACAAAAATTCTGGAACTGAAAATTTCTTTGAATGTAGTAAGAATACATTTGAATACTTCAGGAATAGACTAGATCAACCAGAAGAAAGAATCTTAGAAATTTGAAGACAGGTCTTTTGAAATAATCCACTCATAAAGAAATAAAAAAGAATGAAAAAGAATGAGCAAAGCTTTTGTGACACTTGGGGCAACATAGTGGAAAACTCAAATTATTGGTACTCCTCAAGGCTAAGGTAGAATAAAAATATTAGAAAACCTATTTAACAAATACTGGATGAAAACTTCCCAAGTCTAGAAAGAGATTTAGTTAACAGATACAGGCAGCTTAGAAATCCCAAAATAGATACAATTAAAAAGGTTTTTTATGGCATATTAAAGTATATGTATTAAAAGTCAAAGACAAAAAGAATTCTAAAAAGAGCAAGAGAAAAGAATTAAGTCACTTAAGAAAGCCCTCATCAGATTAACAGTCGATTTCTCAGCAGAAACCTTACCAACCGGGGAGAATGGGATGGTATATTCAAAATGCTGAAAAAAATAAACAAAAACAACATAAACCTGCAATTCAAGCATGTCCAGCAAAGTTATTCTTTATAAATAAAGGAGAAATAATGTCTTTCTCAGACAAACAAAAAATTAAGTAAATACATTAGCACTAGCTGGTTCTGTAAGAAATATTCAAGGGAGTATTAATCCTAGAAGTGAAATATATTCCATCAGGAAAACACATGAAAGTGTGAAACTCACTTTTAGAGCAAACAGACAATAAGGAAGAGAAAGAATGCAAATGTTACCACTACAGGAACCCAAATCATAAGATAAGTAATAAGAGAAAAATAAACGATATACAAAATAACCAGAAATCAATTAATAAAATGACAGCCATACTGGCTGAATGGATTTTTTTTTAAAGACCGAACTATATGCTACCTACAAGGAAAGACATATACAGACTGAAAGTAAAGTGATGGAGAAAGATACTTCATGCAATCAGAAACCAAAAGCTCACGCAATAGCTATATTTGTATAATAAAACAGACTTTAAGTCAAAAACTATAAAAAGAGAGAAAAAAGTAATTATATAAAGATAAAGGAATCAATTCAGCAAGAGGATATAAACATTCCAAACATGTATGTACCCAGGAATTTTGTAAACTGTACAAATATATGAAAATTATGAAATATTTTTCAATATATGAAATTATGAAATAGGAAAATTATACAAATATATGAAAATATATGAAAATTAAACATGTTCCTGAATGACCAAAGAGTCAAAAAATTAAGCAGAAAATAAAAAAATTTATTGACACAAATAAAAAACAAAGCATAGCATATCAAAACATATACGATAACGTAAAAGCAGTTCTAAGAGGGAATTTTATTTCAATAAATGCCTACACCAAAAAAGTAGAAAATTTTCAAATAAGTAATCCAATTATGCACCACAAGGAACTTGAAAAGCAACAACAAACGAAATCCAAAATTATAGAAGGAAAGAACCAATGAAAAGGAGCAGAACTAAATGAAACGGACTAAAAAAAATGCAAAGGATTAATTAAATGAAAAGTTGATTTTTTAAAAGATAAAATCAATGAAACACTAGCTAGAGTAACTACAATAGGCTATTCTTGCATTGCTATAAAGAAACAATGGAAACTGGGTAATTTATGAAGAAAAGAAGTTTAATTTATAAAGGAATAAGGCTCACGGTTCTGCAGGTTTTTTACAAAAACATGATGCTGGCATTTGCTTGGCCTCTAGGGAGGCGTCAAGAAGCTTAGAATCATGGTAGAGGTGAAGGGGGAGCATGCACGTCACATGGAAAAAGCAGGAGCAAACAAGAGTGTGTGTTCAAGGGGGTGCCACACACTTTTAAATGAGCAGATCTCACGAGATTCACTATCTTGAAAATAGAACCATGACATCGGAAATCCACCCCCATGATGCAAATACTTCCAATGGCCCCACTTGCAGCACTGGGAATTGCAATTGAACATAAGATTTGAGTGAGGACAAATATCCAAACTATATCAGTTATCAAGACTAAAAGAGAGAATACCCCCCAAAATAAAACCAGAAACAAAAAAGGAGACATGACAACTGATACCACACAAATACAAAGGAGGATCAGAAATTATTATGAACAATTATTCACTAACAAACTAAAAAATCCAGAGAAAATGGATATATTTATGGACACATAAAACCTACCATAATTGAATCATTAAAAACAATAGTAAACCTGAACAGACCAATAGAAAAAATGAGATTGAATCAATAATAAAAAGTCTCCCAACAGAGAAAAGTCCAAAACTGTGTGGATTTATTGCCAAATTCCACAAAATGTACAAAAAAGAACTAGCACCAGTTCTCCAGCAATTGCAAAAAATTGAAGAGAAGAAAATTTTCCCAAACTCAGTCTCTGAGGCCAACATTGCCCTGATACCAACACCAGATAAAAAAGTAAGATAGAAAGCAAAAAAAGGAAACTGAAGAAAGAAAGAAGAAAAGAAAGAAGAAAGAAAGAAAGAAAGAAAGAAAGAAAAGAAAAGAAAAGAAAAAAGAAAAGAAAAAAGAAAAGAAAGAAAGGAGGGAGGGAGGGAGAGAGGGAAAGGAAAGAAAGGAAAGGAAGGAAAGAAGGAAGGGGAAAAGGAAGTAAGGAAGGAAACAAGCAAACAAGCTACAAGTCAATATCCCTGATAAACATAGATGCAAAAATCCTCAAAAAATTATTAGCCAACCAATTCCAGTATCACATGTGTAAAAATATAACACCATGGTCAAGTAGGTTTTATCCTGGGGATTCAATAATAGTTTAACATATGTAAATCAATAAACATGACACATCAATCAGCAGAATGAAGGTCAAAAACCATATGATTATCTCAATAGATGCAGAAAAAGCACTTGATAAGATCCTGCGTCGCTTTATAATAAAAACTCTTAACAAACTAGGCACTGAAGAAACATAACGTAATGAAGGTCATATATCACACCCACAGCTAACATCATACTGAATGAGGAAAAGCTGAAAGCCTTTCCTCTAAGTCCTGGAACAAGAGAAGGATGTCCACATTCACCACTTCTATTCCACCCATTACTGGAAGCCTCAACCAAAGCAATGAAGTAAGAACAAAATAAAAGGCATTCAAACTGAAAAGGAAGTTAAATTGTTTCTCATTTAAGATAACATAATTTTGTACCTAGAAAAACCTTGCCTTCATCAAAAAACTCTTGGATCTAATAAGTTTGGTAAAGTTGTAGGATAAAAAGTCAACATACACCAATCAGTAGTGTTTCTGTACGATAATAATTAAGTAGCTTAGAGAGTAATCAAGAAGGCAATCCCACTTGTAATAGCTCCACAAAATATCTAGGAATAAATTTAAACAAGGAGGTGAAAGACCTTTACAAATAAAACTATAAAACATTGAAGAAATAAGCTGAAGGCATAAACAAATGAAAAGCAATTGCATGATCATGGATTTAAAGAATTAAAATGACCATACTGTCCAAAGCAATCTACAGATTCAATGCAATCGCTATCAAAATATCAGTGTAACTTTTCTTGGAAGTAGAAAAAGCAAACCTAAAATTGATATAGAATCAAAAAAGAGCCAAAATTACTGAAGCAATCTCAAGCAAAAATAACAAAGAAGGAGGCATCACACTATCTGACATGAAGATATTTTATAAGGTTATAACAATCAAAACAGCATGGCATTGCTATAAAAACAAAGACCAATAAAACAGAATAGAGAATTCAGAGGGTGTGGTAACGTGGTGTAATACAAGGCTCCACTGATCATCTCCAACACCAGAACACCAAATTTTAACTATCTGCATAGAAAAAAAGCACCTTCATAACAACTAAAAATCAGATAAACAATCAAAGTACCTGGTTTTAGCTTCATGTAGTTTAACGAGACACTGAAGAGTGTAGAAAAGACTGTCTTGGATTGCCAACACTAGCCCTCTTCCCTCCTTCAGCAGCAGCTTCATGGTGTGGAGAGAGAATCTGTGCATTTGGGAGAGGGAGAACACAGTGAATGGGTGACTTTACATTGAACTCAGCACGGACCTGTCACAGCAGACATCCAAACCATACTGAATTTAGTCAATGCCCACCCATGGAGGGAACATTTGGACCAGACCCAGCCAGAGGAGAAACACCCATCCCAGCAGTCAGAACTTGAGTTTCTTGGCAAGCCTCATCATTTCAATCTAAAGTGCTCTGAAGTTGAAAATAAACTTGAAATGCAGTCTAAGACACAAAGACTAAAATTTCTAGGCAAGTCCTGATGCTGTTTTGGTCTGAAGAGTAAGTGGATTGGGGGAGTGTGTGACCTAGTGGGACGTCAGAAAGACCAGTTGGTGGAGTAGCTGTGCCACCCTTACCCAACCCCAGGCAGTGCAGCTCACAGCAATTAAAGTGATTCCTTCCCTCTGCTTTAGAAGAGGAAAGAGTAAAAAGGACTATGTCTAGCATCTTGGATGCCAGCTCAGCCACAGTAGAATAGGATAGGACCATGGGGAGAGTCATGAGGCCACCATCTCAGGCTCTAGCTCTCAGATGACATTTCTAGACATATCTTTGGCCACAAGGAAACCCACTGCCAGGAAGGGAAGGACCAATTCCTAGCAGAATTCTTCACCTACTGACTGAAGAGACCTTGTGCCCCGAATAACTGATAGCGATACCCAGGTACTACACTATGGGCTTTGGTTGACATACTGAGACATGCTGGCTTCCAGTACCAGCTCAGCCACAATGGGACAGAGCACCAGGCAGGCTCTTGGGGTCCCTAAGTCCAAGATTCATTTCTTGGACAGCATTTCTGGACCTTCCCTGAGACAGAGGGGAACCCACTGCCCTGAAGGGTGAGTCCCAGGCCTGGAAGAATGCACCATAACCTGACTGAAGAGCTTTGGGCCTTAAGCAAATATTAGGAGTGGCTCAGCAGAACAGCCTATGAGCTGGTGGTGGTGGTGGTGGCCATGGAGTGAGGCTCCATTGCCTGTGGAAAGGGGAGGGATAGCAGTAAAAACATTGTCTTGTGGTTTGAGAGCCAGCTTAGCCACAGTAGAATAGAATACTAGGTAGATTTCTAAGGTTATTGACTCCAATCCCTGGCTCCCAGATAGCATCTCTGGACCTGCCTGGGGCCTGGAGGAACTCACCGCCCTGAAGAGAAGTTCACAGACATGGCTGACTTCACCATCTGCTGATTGTAGAGCCTTACAGCCTTGAGTGAACATAGGCAGCAGCCAGGTAGTGGTTATAGTGAGCCTTGGGCAAGACTCAGGGCTATGCTGGCTTTAGGTCTCACCCAGGGCAGTGCCAGAGGAGGTAGCCACAGGGGTACTTGCATCTTGCATCACCCCACCCAGAGTACCAGGCACTGTAGGAGAGAGAGAGAGAGAGAGAGAGAGAGAGAGAGAGAGAGAGAGAGAGAGAGACTAACTCCATTTCTTTGGGAGAAAGTAAGGGAAAAAAACAAGGGTCTTTGCCTTGTAATCCAGAGAATTCTTTCAGATCTTATGCATGACCACCAACAATCACAGCATTACTAGGTTTGGAGCCCAAGTCCCTTTGAATACTACAGAAGCCTTCCCAAATAGAATGGGCACAAACAAGCCCAGATTATGAAGACCACAATAAATACCTAACTAATCAATGCCCAGACACCAACAATCTATAAGCATCAAGTCCAGCAAGGAAACCATGACCTCATCAAGTGTACTAAATAAGGCATCGGGGAACAATCCTGGAACTTCCCACACCTAGAGAAATATATCAATATCTAAGTAGAAAAAAGTTATAGAACACCAAGCACATTTAACCCAAATAATACTACCTCAAGGAATTTAATAATGAAACTCCCAAAGGTCAAGCATTAAAAAGGAATCCAAAAAGCAACAAGTGATTATAAACAAATAACATACAAGGAAGCTCTAATATGTCTGACAGAAGACAGTGGAAACCCTACAGTACAGGAGAGAGTGGCATGACATATTTAAATTGCTGAAAGATAACAACTTTTACCCTAGAATAGTATGTTTAGCAAAAATGTCCTTCAAGAATGGAGAAATAAAGATCTTACAGAAAAATGAAAGCTAAGAAATTTCATCAACACCAACCTGTCCCACAAGAAATGAAAAACGAGTTCCTTAGTCTGAAAGAAAGGATGGTAATAAGCAAGAAGAAATTACCTGAAAAAACAAAACTCACTGGTAATAGTAAACACACAGAAAAACAGAATATTATAACACTGCAGTGTAAACTACTCTTAAGCAACAAGACCATTAAATAATGAGCCAAGCTAAAAAAATAACTACAACAACTTTTTAAGACATAAATATACAATAAGACATGAAGAGAAAGAACAAAAAGTTAAAAAGCAGAAACAAAAAGTTAAAGTGTAGAGTTTTTCTTAGTTTTCCTTTTGCATTTTTGGTTTTTTATGCAATCCGTGTTAAGGTGTCATCACGTTAAAATAATGGGTTACAAGACACCATTTGCAAGTGTCATGGTTAAACAAAAGTACAAGGGATAGACCAAAAATAAAAAGCAATGAATTAAATTTTGGCAGCAGAGAAAATCACCCTCAATAAAGGAAGAAAGGAAAAAAGGAAAGAAGGAAGAAAGGACTACAAGCCAATTAGAAAAAAATAACAAATGGCAGAAATAAGTCCTTACTTAATAATAACATTGAATTTAAATATGTAAGTAAACTAAACTTTCTGATCAAAAGACATAGAGTGGTATAATGGATATAAAAACAAAACCCAATAATCTATTGAATACAAGACACACACTTCATCTATAAACACATCCACAGACTGTAAATGAGGGTTAGAAAAAGATATTTCATTCCAATAAGACACAAAAAAGAGAAGGAGTAGCTATAATTAGACAAAGTAGATTTCAAGAGAAGAACTGTAAGAAGAGACAAAGAAAGTCATTACAGAATGATAAAAGTGTCAATTCAGCAAGACAATATAATGATTGTAAATATATACGTACCCAACACTGGAGCACCCAGATTTATGAAATAAATATTATTACAGCTAAATATAAAGACAGACCAATACACAATAATAGTTGGGGACTTCAACAGCCCACTTTCAGCATTCGACAGATCTTCTAGAGAAAAATTCAACAAAGAAACACCAAACTTCATCTACACGATAGAACAAATGGACCTAATAAATATTAACAGAACATTTCATCCTGGCTGCAGAATATACATTCCTTTCCTCAGCACATGGATCATTCTTCAAGATATACCATATTATTAGGTAATAAAATAAGTTAAAACATTCCAAAAAATTGATACTACATCAAGCATCTTCTCTGACCACAATGAAATAAAACTAGAAAACAATAACAAGAGGAATTCTGAAAACTATAAAAACATATGGAAATTAAACAATATGCTCCTGAATGTCCTGTAGGTCAATTAAGAAATAAAGAAGAAAATTGAGAAATTTTATGAAACTAATAGTAATGAAAACACATCATACCGAAACCTGGGATACGGCAAAATTGGTACTAAGAGTGCAATTCATAGCTATCAGTGCCCATATCCAAAAAAAGAAAAACTTCAAATAACCTAATGATGCACCTTAAAGAACTAGAAAAACAATAGCAAACCAAACCAATATTAAAGAAAATGAATAATAAAGAACCAAGCAAAAATAAACGAAATTTAAATGAAAAAAGGGATTATTAAATATATTTAAAAGATAAACAAAATTGGCAAACCTGTAGCTAGACTAAGAAAAACAGACAAAAGATCCAAATAAATAAAATCAGAGATGAAAAAGTATACATTAGAGCTGATACTGCTGATATTCACGGGATTATTAGTGGCTACTTTAAGCAACTATATGTGAATAAATCGGGAAATCTAGAAGAAATTGATAAATTCTTATATATATGTAAGAATTTAAGCAAATATATGTGAATAAATTGGGAAATCTAGAAGAAATTGATAAATTCATATCTATATATAGAATTCTATATATATATAGAATTATCTCTATATATATAATTATATATATATATATATATATATATATATATATATATATATATATATATATATATATATAAAACCTGACAAGAAATCCAAAAGAAATCCAAAACCTGACCAGAGCAATAACAAGTAACAAAATTGAAGTTATACTAAAAGTCTCCCAGTAAATAAAATCCTTGGACTTGATGGCTTCACAGTTGAATTCTACCCATTAAAGGAAGAACTAATACCAATACTACTAAAACTATTCCAAAAAATAATTTGGAATACATGGAAGTAATTCTTCCAAAATCATTTTATGAAACCAGTATTTCTCCGAGAGCAAAACAAAACAAAGACACACCCAAAAAACAAAGATACAGAACAATATTGCTGATAAATGTTGAAGCAAAATTATCAACAAAATCCTAGCAAACAAAATTTAACAATATATTAAAAAGATTATTCATTATGACCAAGTAAGATTCATCCCAGGTATGCAAGAATGGTTCAACATGTGAAAATCAAACAATGTAATACATTATATCAACAAAATGAAGCACAAAAAACACGATCATTGCAATTGATGCTTAAAAAGCATTTGATAAAGTTCAACATCCCTTCATGTTAAAAACTCTAAAAAAATCTATACAAGCTATAGAATAGCTCAGAAGATATAGAAGGTACATACATTTACATGATAAAAGCCATGTATAACAGACCCATAGCTAGTATCATAAGTTAAATCTTTTTCTTTTAGACCTGGAATATGACAATGATACCAACTTCACCACTATTGTTCAACATAGTACAAGAAACTCTAGAGTTTCTAGAGCAATTAATTGCTAGAGCAATTAGAACAAAGGAAGGAAAATAAAGGACACCCAAATTGGAAACCAAGAAGGCAAATTATCCTTGTTTGCAGAAGACATGATGTTATATTTGAAAAAAACCTAAAGATTCCACTAGAAAATTATTACAACTGATAAAAAAATAAGTAAAGATGCAGGATACAAAACTAAACTAAAAAATCAGTACCATTTCTGTATGCCAACAATGAACAATCTGAAAAAGAAATCTAAAAGTAATCACATTTGCAATAATCACAAATAAAACTAAATGCCTAGGAATTAAGCAAAGAAATGAAACATCTAATACAATGAAATCTATAAAACACTGATGAAAGATATTGATGAGAACACAAAAACACAAGAAGGTATTCGATGTTCATAGATTAGAAGAATCAATATTGTTAAAAGGTCCATACCCCCAAAACAATCTACAGATTTAATGTGATCTCTATCAAAATACCAATGACATTGTCCACAGAAATAGAAAAATAAATCCTAAAATTTATATGAAATCACAAAAGACCCAGAGTAGCCAAAGCTATCCAAAGGAAAAAGAACAAAACTGGATGAATGACATTACCTGACATCAAATTATACTACAAAGCTATAGGAATCAAAACAGCATGGTACTGTCATAAAAACAGGCGCAAAATCCAATGGAACAGAATATTGAACCCAGAAACCCATTCATACATGTACAATAAATCAATTTTTGACAAAGGTGCCAATAGCATACATTGGGGAAAAGACAGTCTCTTCAATAAATGGTGCTGAGAAAACTCAATATCCATATGTAGAAGAATGAAACTAGACCTCTATCTCTCACTATATATAAAAATCAAATCAACAACCCCAATGTTAATTAACTGATGAGTGGATAAATACAATATGGTATATCATATATCATATATATGATATCATGTTATTGACCAACAAAAGGAATGAAGTACTGACACATGCTGCAACCTGGGTGAAAGTATATTCTTGTAAATATCATGCTGCGTAAAAGAAACCAGAACCAAGAGTACATTTTTATTATTCCATTTATATAAAATCTCCCAAACAGGCAAGTTTAGACAGTGGTTGCCTAACGATGTAAGGTGGAGGAGAAATGGGAAGTGACTGCTAATGGGTACTGGGACTCTTTGAGGATACCAAAAATGTTACAAAATTAAACTTTGGTGATGATTGAACAACTGAATGAATATATTAATATGTATGAAACATTTTAAGTGAGTAAATTACACAAAATTAAAAAAATGAATTAAATACTTATATCTAATACCTGAAACCAGGAAACTGCTAAAAGAAAACATTCAGGAAACTATCAAGGACATTGGTCTAGGCAAAAATTTCACAGGCAAAGTAAAAATGGACAAATGTGATCACATTGTATTAAAAAGCTTCTGTACATCTAAGAAGAAACAGTCAACAACATGAAGTGATAACCCACAGAATGGAGAAAATATTTGAAAACTACCCATTTAAAGAGGGATTAATAACCAGAGTATCTGGAAGCTCAAACAGCTCTATAGAAAAATAAAACTAGGCCGGGCGCGGTGGCTCACGCCTGTAATCCCAGCACTTTGGGAGGCCGAGGCGGGCGGATCACGAGGTCAGGAGATCGAGACCATCCCGGCTAAAACGGTGAAACCCCGTCTCTACTAAAAATACAAAAAAATTAGCTGGGCGTAGTGGCGGGCGCCTGTAGTCCCAGCTACTTGGGAGGCTGAGGCAGGAGAATGGCGTGAACCCGGGAGGCGGAGCTTGCAGTGAGCCGAGATCCCGCCACTGCACTCCAGCCTGGGCGACAGAGCGAGACTCCGTCTCAAAAAAAAAAAAAAAAAAGAAAAATAAAACTAATAATCTGATCCAAAAAAAATGAGTAAAAGTTATGAGTAGCCATTTCTTAAAAGAAGACATACACATGGCAAATAGGAGTAAGCAAATGTACTCAACATCATTGATCATCAGAGAATGCAAATCCAAACTGCAATTAGAAATCTCACCTCAGTTGAAATGACTTTTATCCAAAAGACAGGCAATAACAAATTCTGGAGTAGATGTGGAGAAAAGGGAACCCTCATACACAGTTGGTTCAATGTAAATTTGAATGGCCACTATGGAAAACAGTTTGGAGGTTCCTCAAAAAATTAAAAGTAGAGCTACCATATGATCACACATCACACTAATCACACTATTAGGTAATATACTCAAAATAAAGGAAATCAGTATATTGAAAAAATATCTGCACTCCCATGTTTATTGGAGCACTGTTTAAAATAAACAAGACTTAGAATCAACCTAATTGTCCATCAACAGATGAACAGATAGAGAAAATGTGGTACTTATACACAACGGAGTACTATTTAACCATTAAGAAAGAAAGAGTTGCTGTCATTTGTGACAACATGGATGGAACTGGAGGTCATTATGTTTAGTCAAATAGTTCAGGCACAGAAAGACAAATTTCACATGTTCTTACTAATTTGTGAGAGCTGAAAATTAGAACAATTTAACTGATGGAGACAGAGAGTAGAAGGATGGTTACCAGAGGCGGGGAAGGAAAGTGAGGAGTATGGAGAAGTGGGTATGGTTAATTTGGACAAAAAAAAATCATAGAATGAATAAGAGCTAGTATCTGATAGCACAACAGGGTGACTATAGTTAACAATAATTTAAATGTACATTTGAAAAAACTAAATATTACAATTTGATTTTTTGTAACACAAAGGATAAATGCTTAAGTGGATAGTTACTCTATTTACCATGATGTGATTATTGCACATTGCGTGCCTATAATAAAGTATCTCATGTATACCATAAATATATATACCACTATGTACCCACAAAAATAAAAAATTACAAAAGATAAAACAAAGAATAGAGAACCCATAAATAAATCCACATATATAGCCTACAGATGTTCAACAAAGGCGCCAACAACATACTTTGAAGAAAGGACACCTTTTTCAAGAAATGATGCTGGGAAAATTGGATATTTATATGCAGAAGAATGAGACTGGACCCCTATTTCTCATCATATACAAAAATAAACTCAAGATTGATTAAAGACTTAAACATAAATCTCAAAAGTATAAACCACTAGAATAAAATATAGGGGAAACACTACAGGACATTGGCCTAGGCAAGAATTTTGAGGCTAGGACCTCCACAGCACAGCACAGGAAACAAAACAGAAAATAGATTAATGGGAGTGTATTAAACTAGAAAACTTCTGCTTGGCAAATGAAACAATCAACAGAAGGAAAGACAACCTGTTGAATAGGAGAAAATATTTGCAAAATAGGAATTCATATCCAGAATATACAAGAGACTCAAACAACTCAACAGTAATAATAATAATAATCATCATCATTCCATTAAAACATGGGCAAAAAATACATGACTAGGCATTTCTCAAAAAAAAGACATATAAATGGCCAAGAGGTATATTTAAAAATGCTCAACATCACTTGTTGTTAGGGAAATACAAATTCAAACCACAAAGATCTGTCATCCCAGTTATATTAGCTATTACTACAAAGATAAAACATTACAGTTTGCAGCAAGGATGTAGAGAAAATGGAACATTTATACACTGTTGGTAGGAATGTAAATAAGTACAGCACAATTAAAAATAGTACGGAGATTAATCAGAAAACTAAAAATAAAACTACCATATGATCCAGCAATCTCACTACTGGGTATTTATCCAAAAGAAAAGAAATCAGTATATCAAAAGGTTACCTGCACCACTATTCACAATAGCACCACCATTCACTATAGCAAAGATATGGAATCAACCCAAGTGTCCATCAATGGATGAGGAGATAAAGACAATGTGGTATAATTACACAGTGGAATACTATTCTGCCATAAGAAGAGAATGAAATCAAGTCATTTGTGGCAATGTGGATGGAGCTAGAGGCTAGAGGTCATTATATTAAGTGAAATAAGCCAAGCATAGAAAGACAAGTATCACACATTTCACTTATATGTGAAGCTAAGAAGTTGATATTATAAAGTTAGAGAGTAGAATGATAGATACCAGATGCCGAAGAGTGTGTGTGTGTGTTTGTGTGTGTGTGTGTGTGTATGTGTGTTGCAGGGGAGGAGATGCATAAATAGAGGTTGCTTAATGGATACAAACATATCATTACATAGAAAGACTAAGTTCTCATGTTTGATAGCAGAGTAGGGTGACCAAATTTAACTAAAATATATTGTATATGTCAAAATAGCTAGAAGAAAGCATCTGAAATGTTCTTGACACGTAGAAATGATAAATACTCGAAGTGACAGTTATCTCAAGTACCCTCACTTGGTATTATACATTCTATGCATGTAACAAAATATCACATGTACCCCATAAATATGTACGTATATTGTATATCAATAAAAAATAATTCATACCTATCCCACAGACAAATACATTCATCCTACCCTAAGGTCACCTGAAGTCTCAACCTACTGGAGTATTAACTTAAATTCAAAATTTCATATCAGCCTCATCACATAAATCCCAGTTCTTATTATCTTATTCAAATAAATCAGATAAAGATGAGACTGTAGATATAATCCATCCTGGAACCAAGTTTCTCTTCTTCTGTAGAGCTGTAAAACCAGTAAACAAGTTATCTGCTCCCAAAATAAAATGGAAGGATAGGAATAGATGAACAGATTCCCATTCAAAAGGAAGAAAACAAAAGAACAAAGGAGTCATAAGAGCTAAGTGATTTAAAATTCCAGTAAAACTGGATTACGTTTTAAGGCCTGGGAGTTATACTATGTGGTTGAAGGTTCTGCCCTGTGTGTTCACAGATCCAATCTTAGAGTCATTCTTCCTTTTTCATGAAGGGTAGTAGCATTTATTTGAAGCTTGATAATTTTATCATCCTGTTTTCTGCTTGTAAAATTTTGAGAGTCTCACAGCCTTCTTTCATTTTCTCTTTTCTCTGTTCTTTTCAGTAGAAACTGACAGTGTTTCTGCTGGTACGGCATTTTCAAGTATCTTGTGAGTCTTCCGTGTATGTCACATGGATTCATTCCATTAGACAAAAGTTCTTCCACAACTCTTCCCTGGATAATCCTAACTCAATTTCTGGCTTCTGAGGAGATAGGTGTGGGGATCTCCAGGTCTCACATCTAATGTCTTCACGCAGCCTTTTGTGTGTCTGAATTATCTGACCTATTAATTCTTCTGATGCATTATAAAATAATTGTCCAGCCACACTTGGCTTTCCCTCCAAAGCCAAAATTAATTTTGATATGCTTTGCAATTTACATGGCCTGAGAATTTCACAGATTATCACTTCCTGTTTTCTTTTGGCTGAAGTTCTTCCATCAATATATCTCCTTCTTTTCATTTTATTGTCTGTTGCAAGAAAAAATCAGGTTATTATATGCTCAAAATTTTTCTTGGAAATCATGGGGTTGAAGCCTCACCAGCATAAGGAATTTAAGTAACACTTCTGAGCAAACAGCAACAAAATAGGTGACTCTAACCCAGTGGCAATGCCCAGATATCCAGGCTTAATAATTATATCATACTCATCCCTACCAATTTGAAATATTGTGTTCATGCCATAGCTAACTCTTTTCAGAAAGAATTAGAGAGGGAAACTCTAAGATACTCTTTCCTGTCTTTGTGTGGGATGAAAAGCCAAGCAAAACACACAAGGAAAGAAAAGTAGTATTTCAAGACTTTGGTGTAAGGGAGGCATCTGAATTTTCCATAACCTCTGTATCCAACTGCAATTAGTCTATAAATATAATGAAAGACCCAGAAATATAATAATAAATACATATTACTAAATTAATTTACCCTCTAAGGTTTTCAAATCAAGAGGTAACAAATACAGCTATGGGTAATGGCTTAGGAGAAATGATTAGCAAAGTTTATGTTACTCTTCAATATAATTTAAAGTTATTCTAACATATGTTTAACTGGTGTACTCAATTCTGGTATCTGAGTCCCCAATGTCACCTTAGATCACTGATAAAGCAAGTATCATAAACCTCAGACCTTTGGTTTCTTTGACTATTCAACATAATTATCTCATCAGCCATTTTCAAGTTGCTTTTGTGATTGTACAGTTTTCCCTAATTAGTTTTTCTGAATGCTTCATGCCCTTTTTAATCTGGTAATACATTGCAAGTTTTGACACTTTCTGATGGCATTCATCAAAGTGTAAAGGGCTTGATTTTCTCATTAGTCATCTTTCATGTTTGTCTATGTTTTTATTGATTTTGTCTTGAAACATTCCTTTCAACATTGTTTAACCAGAATTATCTTGTTGACAAGAGTGTTGCCTAATAAGTTGTTTTCTTTTTTCTAACAATAAGATATTAACATCATTAAATCATTACTGACATCACACAGCTCAAACAAAATAACACCTTTTTACTTTACTTTGAAAATGGCATGTGCTGCACCCATTAACTCGTCATTTACATTAGGTATATCTCCTAACGCTCAACATGGCACACGTATACATGTGTAACAAACCTGCACGTTGTGCACATGTACCCTAGAACTTAAAGTATAATAAAAAATAAAAATAAAAAAGAGAGAGAATAAAACGAAAAGGAAAAGGCATGTTAAATTGAAACAGGGCTTGTAAAACACTATGATCTGAACTATTTTTATGAAAAATAATATGATCATACTTAAGGGCAGACATAATTCTAACTATTGATATGTATGCTTAGTAATTATGAAAGAATGGTGAGTCCAGGAAAAAATAAACTTTAAGCTTTTTTTTTTTGGAATATAGAAGACTGAGGGATGGGAAGGTTGGAGGAGCAAGAAAGTGGTACGAGGGATTTCTGAAAATTTCTGGCTGCAGTGGGTGTACTCAGCTGGGATATAGCCAACACTCACAAAAGGGACACACAAAACTTTTAGTGTAAGATCTGGAGATTCTAAACTCCTCCTCCTTTCACTGTCAATTATTCTTCCTGAAAGTGGGCCAAGAGGACATTTATCAGTGAATCCCTTCTTCCTTCTATTTGGCTTTCTTAAGTCAAATAGATGTAGGAGGCAATGACATTCGCAAGAAGAATGAGGGTATAACATAGAGTAAGAAACCATTCCAGTTAGCCTCCAACTAAGAAAGTTCCTGGGCTGCAGGACCTTCAGTGCAAAATAGGGAAATAATCAATTGCCCTAATGCAACAACATAGAAAAGATGGCCTATGGACTGAGGTGATTATGATTGTTGTGTTCCAGATCTCAGCACCTATAGATGAGCACATGTGTCAGAAGGGACAATCTGAAAACTCTTTAGCAGCATCACATTCAAATATCTTAAGAGATAAATGATTGACATGAATGAGTGCAATTCCATTAAAATATTCAGATTTGGTCAAAAAACTCTGTTAGCTCTTGTTAAAAATAGTTGGTAATTCCTGATAAAAAACTTTTACTTCATCACTGGATTAGTGAATCTAGACCCAGATATGGCAAAAAGTCCTTATAAGCAAAGTGAAGCATAATATTCACAAGTAGATGCATGTGGTTCAGATCACAGACTTTGGAGTAAGAGACTTAGAGTTTGAATGCCAGCTGCAACACATAGTACCTGAGTGGTCATGGGAAGTTCCCTAACTATCCTGTGTCACAGTGCTTTAAGTTTCAGTAGTGCCTTTTGGAATGCAATGCTGCAAGGGCTCAAAGTATTAAATATGCAAAGAATGTAGAACACTGCCTGGTTCACAGCAAGCATGAAAAAAGTGTTAGTTATTAACTTCTCCATCCTTGTCACTCATTAACTTCACAAATACCTGTCAAATCTAAGTGCTAGTTATTGTTCTTGGCATTTAAGCCAGAAAAATCAGTAATACATGCCACATACCACAAAGAGCCTTCATTCTCTCTCCCAGGGGTGTTGGTTAAATGATAAAATTCAGTCAAGTTTCCTCAGCCAATA
Organism: Homo sapiens; assembly: GCF_000001405.40. NCBI lineage: Eukaryota > Metazoa > Chordata > Mammalia > Primates > Hominidae > Homo > Homo sapiens. The sequence goes on along the minus strand of NC_000003.12, from coordinate 103,085,433 downwards.
ACACTCATTACACACAGCCTGAAATGTCAACATAAAGAATAAGCTATCCATAACATATTGTGTTAAAGTGGCTAGCAATACTTTGGCAGAATATTAAGCTATTACACTGGTTTCATGGATAGTGTGAGCCCAAGCTCAGGTGTACCTCTTAGGAATTTAGGATGTATTCCCACAGGTACCCAGTTGTCAAGATCCTTGGGAGTTGCCTGAGTTGAAGGAAGCTGCCCCCAAATACATTATGCCTCATTTCTAAGACAGCCCTTTTCCAATGACCTTCCTGGCTGTTGAAAGAAGTGTACCAAAGAAGAGAAGAAATAAAAATCGGACAGAAAGTGATCTTGGGCTCTGTATAGTGGCCACAAGGCCTGAGCCAATCCTCTGTGGACTCTGAAGCTGAGATAGCCCCTTAGAGTTATTATAATTTCAGACACTGGGGTCAGGTCTTTATACACCTTTATACACTCGTGTTACCTTACTTATGGTACTTTTATCCCTTAAATCTTCACAAGACTAATGAATAATAGTAAAAAGTAAACATTAATGCCATGTTTTGTAGGGCATTTTGTGAAAAAAATGCCTTTTAACAACTTTTAACTTGTACTTTAAGTTCCTGTTATATAAGCTTGCAGGGACAAGAGCATATACAAAACTCTTAAAACATGTGCACTCATACTTTTCATAAATGGAACCAAACAACTACTACTTCCCTGGCTGATCAGTTCCAAGATGATATAATGAATTGATACTGTGTTTGTCACAGAAGAGTTGATGTGGGATGTGGGTCTTCCCTGTCTTTGCTGTGATAGCTGGCAGGTGCAGTCCTATTGTTTGATTGCTTAATGGGATTACTTTATAGTGCAAACAATCTACCTGAGACCAAAGGGAAATCAAATTTAAAACAAAAGACAATGGAGAAAATATTATCATCATTGCTCATTATTTTTCATTTCCTTTGCTTCTTTAAATGGCTGTTTTTACTGGCTCAAAGAATGTGGCAGGTGTTGTCTGTGTCTTTGTCACAGGAACTGACAGTTTGCCTAGACAGCAAGAGCACCAAGGCAGAAGTACCGGAAAGGTGATGCTTTATCATTCAGAAATAACAGATAGGATGTTTACACACATATTTCCAATTGCATATCTCGTATGCAGTTTTGGAAATCAACAAGTGGCTCATATATTTTTTAATTTGACATTTATTTAATGCTGCCGGCAAATCACATGTTTCTTGAATGTTGCAGTAGCATATCCTGGCATAACTGGTACTCAGTACTGAAACACAGTAAAACAAATTCAAGAAATTCCTGGTCACCAGCATGTGTATACTATTGTAAGTCATATGATCCTATTCTAAGCTGCCCTAAAGCTTTAAGAACATCAAGGACTGTTCTACCATCAGCATCTTTGGTACAGTTGTTTCACTTCCATTTCTGCTTTTTTATCAACATAGACCTACTGGATGTTGCCACACAGAATAGTCCTACTGAAATACCAATAATAATAGTGGTAGAGCTTTCTATATAAAAAATGGAAAAATGATGAAGTTCTCTATAATCTTTTTAACTGCTATTACATATACAAAATAAATATATATACTAAGATATATATTTAAATATATATAGGATTATATATATATATATCTCCTAAAATATCTAGAGTTTTCCTTGAAGTCTCCAGCAAATATATATATATACACACACACATATATATACACACATATGTGTATGTATGTGTGTGTGTGTGTGTGTGTGTATATATATATATATATATATATATATATATTTGACATCAAAGAAAACTCTAGATATTTTAGGATGACTCTCTCAATCCAACTGGCAACTTGGCCTCCAAAAATATGTTTTATAGAGATTTTCACAGTGCTGAAATTTAAGGCGTGAAATGTCAGCTTTATAATTCTTCAGATTTTTGTAGGGGATAAGAAAGGTTGTATGCAAACCACCAAACAACAACAAAAATTTCAAAAGGAAGAACTACAAATACTTATTTTTAAAAATGATTTAGGGCCGGGCGCAGCGGCTCAATCCCAGCACTTTGGGAGGCCGAGGCGGGCGGATCACGAGGTCAGGAAATCAAGACCATCCTGGCTAGCACGGTGAAACTCTGTCTCTACTGAAAATACAAAAAATTAGCCAGGCGTGGTGGCGGGGGCCTGTAGTCCCAGCTGCTTGGGAGGCTGAGACAGGAGAATGGCGTGAACCCGGGAGGCGGAGCTTGCAGTGAGCCGAGATAGTGCCGCTGCACTCGAGCCTGGGTGACAGAGCGAGACTCCGTCTCAAGAAAAAAATGATTTAGGCAGGTATTTTGTATAATTCTATCAGAGGCAAGTTACATTGCCAGGAAATTCAGATTACTCTACTGAATATTTAGAAAAAATATATAATTTGTTTTGTAAAACCAACAAACAAATAATACCCATATTCACACCCACGTCTTCATGCCCTTGTGAACAAAATAGCTCGAGAATAATTTCAAACATATTTCTAAAATGACATGTATTGATTAAAGTGTTTGGTTGCAAGCAACAACAAATTCAAGACATGTTAACTTGAGTCTTTTTGTTAATAACATTATTGGCATACCTAAATGAAAACTCACAGTTGGATCCAGGGGCTTAAATGATGACATCTGCAGTAGTAATCTTGCCCCCTGGCTCTGATTTATTCTTCTTTGTGTCTTGCTTAAATTTTCAGACAAGCTATTGCAATGTGATCAACCCCCAGTGTTCTAGTCCTGCATTCCCACAGTATATAAGTGAGAGACAAATGTTTATCTTCTTTAATTTCAAAGGTACTTGAATTGAGGATAGTCATCCCTGAATGGGCTGCCTCAAGTCATGTATATTAATAAGCCATTCACTAAAGTCAGTCAGGGTTTGGGAACTGATTAACGAAGACTGGGTTTTATACCCAACTCTGGAACTAGGGTTCACATCAGGTTTAAAATAACTATGTAAACCGAAGATGAGAAATGGGGATTCTTGAGAGAAAATGAGAGTCCTGTTATCAGCAAAATAAGAAATGGCTGCACACCCAGCAAAAACAAAGGATTTATTTCAGCTTATTGTTGACTATTGATAAATAGGATATAAATGCTTATAGTTAGTTTACTAGGAAAGAGCTGTGTGAGTTTGAAAATGCTACATTAATTCAACGAACACATTTCTCCAGAAATGTAACTGTCTCTCCCTTATCAATATTATCCCAGTTCTGTGGGTTCCTGTCATTTCACAGCTTCCTTTCTATGTAAGTCCTTTTTTGCATCACTCTAAAGAAATACCTGAGGCTGGGTAATTTATAAAGACAATAGATTTAATTGGCTATGATTCCGTAGTCTGTGCAAGCATGGCACTGCCATCTGCTCAGCTTCTGGTGAGGCCTCAGGGAGCTGTCACTCATGGCAGAGGGTGAAGTGGGAGCAAGTATATCACATAATGAGAGAGGGTGCAAGAGAGAAAAAACAGAGGTCCCAGGCTCTTAAGCAACCATATCTTGCATGAACTGAGTGAGAACTCACTTATTACCAAAAGGATGGTGTTAAGCCATTCATGAGAGACCCACTGCCATAATTCAATAACACCCACTTAGACCCCACCTCCAACCTTAAAGGTCACATCTCAACATGAGATTTGGAGGGGACAAACTTCCAAACCATATTGCCTTCTCTCTTGCTTGACAGTTGTATGCTATCTAGATAGGAAAGTTCAAATTGGCATCCCTTGTCTAATTCTGTAGATGGAAGATGGGTTTTGTGGTGCTACAATTTAAAAATAAGTAATTTTAATTAAATACAGAAAACATTCAATAATCTACTTAGAATATTTTAGGCAATAGGCACTGTATTATGTATTACATTAAGTATAAATATTATTAAGCCCCAGTTCCTGACTTCAATAGTTCAAAAGGTAATGTGAAGAAAAGCAAGAACAATTCTTTGAAATTCTGAAAAATAAGAATAACAGATAGAGTTAAAGAACTATACTATCTTTACCTGATTGTTTACTTAAAAACTATATACAGGCATCCATAATTAAAATATACAAAATTCAAAATGCTCCAAAGTCAAAAACATTTTTAGTATCAACATGACACTCCAGAGAAATGCTTATTGGAGCATTTATGATTTCAAGTTTTCAGATTAGGGATGCTAAGTATACAATGCAAATATTTCAAAATCTGAAAGAGTCAAAAATCTAAGACACTTAGGCTCCAAGCACTTCAGATAAGGGATTCTCAGTCTGTATAAGTTCAATGTATATATCATAAAGTAAACTAATTGATATAGTACAACATAATACATACAGAAGTAAATTTTGGAGTAGACAAGGAAACCTGGAAATACACTGAAATATTGTTGGGAATGTAATATATGATAAATGAATTCAAAATTAAATGTATTTAAAATCAATGTGTGGAATCATCTGGAGAACAGACCAGATAGTTGAAACAATGTCTCCAAAATTATAAATGCACAAAAATTTTGCCTCTGGTATTTCATATAAATTTTCTTGCAGATGGATTTCTTAAAAATAATACACATATAAGTTTAATCATTTAGAATTATTTGTAACAATTCAACATTTAAAATAAACTAAAGTCCAAAGAGTAGGAGTAAAATAAATTATGTCACATTCTTGCAAAAGAGCACATCAAAATAAATGTAGCATTTCTTTTAGAAGTTACAGCAGCATACTGATCATACAGGAATAGTTACATATACTCAAAAAGCAACTCATTTTGTTTTTCACTATCTGTACAAAATGTATTCATTCATGCCCCCTTCTCTGCTTGAAACTAAGATGGCCCTATCAATTTTCAAGTCATGCATTGATTGTAAACATTTCTATGGCAATTTAGAGAAGAAAAATCACACTTAAGTACTGTTCAATACTTAGATGTTTAGTCCCATGTAATAACCATCAATTCTCACTTCATACAAAGTTGTTTTAACTCCTAAGAAAAGCTGGAAATGCACTGCCTGTTCCCTGATTAAGGAGGATTGACTTCTGTCTTCTTTTCCTTACCTGCTTTACCATTCAGAGCCTAGGTTGAAGGGTCAGGAAGGAGGAGAAAAGAGGCTATCAGGAAATCATTTAGTTAACACGTACTATCTGAAGCTTGACCTTGCTGATGTTTGTAGCTGGCTTTTCCTCTTATGAAACATTTTTGTAACTTCTTTGGAGAGTCACTCTCATGCCATAAATAGTGCACACACAAGTACACACCCATGCATACACACTCATAATTAGGGGGTTTGCAGTAACACCCTCATTCTGCACACTGTACTTCATTAAGACTTATAAGTATGTCTTGATTAGCTTTGCTGCATACATATTCATGGTTAAGAAAATTAAAAGACAAATCACAGATCAGGAGAAAGTATTTACAAATCACATTTCTGACAAGAAACTGGTATCTAGATTATATAAAGAATTTTCAAAATTTAACAATTAGAAAAAAAATCAATTAAATATTGCAAAAATAAGGCCTGGCACGGTGGCTCACATCCATAATCCCAGCACTTTGGGAGGCCTAGGCAGATGGATCACTTGAGGTCAGGGGTTCAAGACCACCCTGGCCAAGATGGTGAAACTCCGTATCTACTAAAATTGCAAAAATTAGCTGGGCATGGTGGTGCATGCCTGTAATCACAGTTACTCAGGAGGCAGAGGCAGGAGAATCGCTCAAACCCAGGATGTGGAGGTTGCAGTGAGCCGAGATTGCACCACTGCACTATAGCCTGGGCAACAGAGCAAGACTCATCTAAAAAAAAAAAAAAGTGTGTGTGTATATATATATATATATATATAAAAAATATGTATATATGTATGTATGTATATGTGTATACATACACACCTATGAGATATATATATGTGTGTATATATATCTCATGAATGGATATATATACACACATATATATATACACACATATATCTATATATGTGTGTATATATATACACATAGATGTATATACACATTATATATATACATATATGTGTATATATATGTGTATATATACACATATATAAATGTATGACTGTGTGTGTGTGTGTGTGTGTGTGTATATATACACACACATGCATACCTGGCCGAAGATCAACTTCCAACATGGCATTCCAAGGGGTCAAATATGGAAAGCATAGCAATGGATAAACTAATTATTTACATCCATAACGTGAAATACTACTAATTAATAATAATAATAATAACACCATTGATGAATGCAGTAAAAGAGATGATGAATCTTAAATATATTTTGCAAAGTGAAGGAAGGCAGAATCAAAAGGCTAAATATTGTATCATTCCATTTATACGACAGTCTATAAAAAGCAAAACTATAAGGTCAGAAATCAGATTAGTGGTTGCCAGAGGTTAGGGATGAAAGGAGGGGCTGATTACAAATTGTCAGCATGAGGGAATTTTTGGCATGTTGGAACTATTGTCATGAACACAGAACTGTATGCATTTGTCAAAGGCCTGTCTACCACAGTGAGTGAATTTTACTGTGTGTCATTAAAAAATTAATATGAGAATTAGGGAACTGAACACAAACAATAACTATTAAACCTAACTATATTATCAATAAATTATAGCCACACTATACTCCTTATAGTAAGAAGTAAGATAACTAACCCAGGCAACTTAGAAAGTAGTATTTTACAATAAGGCTAAAGAGTAAAAGAACTTTGCACAAATACTATATTGTAGTTAGTACATTCCTTTCTCACAAGGCTATGCATCAGTAATTCTAAAGTATATTATGTGTATGCTAGGTTTGAACAAATAAGTGAATATAAATAATATGAGCTAGATTTTAAGAAAAGGGGAAGACTAAAGTGAACATTGGAGTGGTATTGAATTGGAATCATAGGTATTATTAAGAACTTGTGGTTTAAAATACATGTTTAAATACATACACACAAATATAGTTACAAATGTGTATGTGTGTGTACATATGTTAGTAACATACATATATTTCCTAGCTTTGTTCACTTAAAGGGCCTAGAAGCAATAATACCACAGTGACAATGAGCACGACGAGCACTCGATTGGTTACTTGGTTACTAAATACCAATATTCTATAAAATGATTTAAGGCTTCTTGAAAAAATGGTAGATTCTAGAGCCAAGGAAAGGGAAACATACGATGAGCCTGCAACATGTGTGGTTTCCGAAAATACAGAGGTACTCCAAACTGGATTACAGTATGTCCAAAGGTCATAGAAACCAACCTTAACGATTTTTCAATGATTAATCTTGAAAGTAAATAAAAATGGTGTTGGATAATAGCTCATATATTAGCTCATTCTTGCATTGCTATTAAGAACTACCTAAGCCTGGTTAATTTATAAAGAACAGAGGTTTAATTGGCCATGGTGTTGCAAGCTGGACAGGTTTCTGCTTCTAGGGAGGCCTCAATAAACTTGTAATCATAGCAAAAAGCTAAAGGGAAGCAAGCAAGTCTTATATGCTGGGAGAAGTAGGAAGAGAGAGAAAAGGGTGAGGTGTTACATACTTTTATAAACAACCAGATCTGGTGAGAACTCACTCACTATTATGAGAACAGCAAGGTAGAAATCTGCCTCCATGATCCAATCACCTCCCACCAGGCCCCTCCTCCAACATTGGGAATTACAATTCGACATGAGATTTGGGCGGGGACACAGACCCAACCCATATCAGATCATAAAACAAAATAGTCATAATTCTATACTTATGTAAATAAATAATTCAATAAGTAGAGGGACATGATGCCTAAATTCAATGTAGCATTCTGGATTGGATGTTGGAACAGAAAAAAAGGCATTAATCATAAAAAAAAGTGAAATCTGAAAATATTCTGTAGTTTAGTTACTAGTACTACACAAACTTAATATCCTAGTTTTATCCTGTGCTATGATTATGCCAAAATGTGTACAGTAGGAGAAAATAGGTGAATAGTATCTGGGAACTATTTGTATCATTTTTGTAACCATATTGAAATGCTAAAATGATTTCAAGTTAATAAGTTAAAAAAGCATGGTTCAGAAGAGTGTGCTAGTATGCTAGTATTTTTTTTAAGTATTGGGCATCTAATTTTATTAACATTTTATTTACTTTTTTAAGAGATGAGGTCTTTGTTGCCAAGGCTGGACTCAAACTCCTGGGCTTAAGCAATCTTCCTGCCTCAGCATTCCGAGTCCTGAGGAGGGACTGCAGAAGTCATCTTTTAAGTAGCTAATATTAACAGATACAACTAAGAATGTTATTGACAGACTGTAAAAAAATGTACTATCAAAAAGTTGCTGGAGTCCAAAGAGACATAGATCATAATTAGCTGAGATAGTGATTAATTGCATAATGGAAAAAATAGGCATTTATTTAAAAATGAATACAATTCTGAAATGTGAAAACTTTTGGATTAGGTCAAGTAAAAGGGAGCATTAGGGGGAAGAGTAGTAACGGTAACAATTTGGAGGTGGGTAAGAGGAGGGCTTATTTAGAAAAGAGTATCTAAAATTATTAGATCAGAACATGTAAAATGATAGTTTTTTTAAAAATCCTATCTCTAGAAAATCGAAAGTACCCTACATTCAAGAAAACATAAAATATAATTTCTGGAGAAAAATCCATGCTTATAGATGTGGCTTAGAATGTTCCATAGTTAGAAGACTATACAGATAATAGTAAGTAGCAATCAGCTTTGAGATTTTAAGATACATTAAAATTTTTATTGAATTAGTAATGAATAGTTTCCTGTTCCAGAAGGCTTTGCTTTCACAGATTTTTTTTTCTTTAAAGCGTCTTCTTTCAACTCTAGCAACAGTACTCTATTATCTATATATTATAGATGAGAAAGAAAAGTTTAAATGACTTGTTCACCACCCTGCAGCCATTGGGTAAAGAAGCTGATCCAAAAATCACACATCCATTATACCATACTCTTTTCAATATATTATGCTTCTGTCTGCTTTTTATAGTATCACCTAGTAACAGCCCACATTTTTAGGGAATAAGAGAAAGAAGTGTCATTTTATAATCATATAATTTAAAAGCTGAAAGGGACCCAAGAGATGAGTTAGTCTAGTTCCAAAGTGTTACAGTTCAAAGAGTAAGAACCAGCCTACAGGCATGCAATTAGTTACCATTATTGTTGATCAGACACAAGTTTCTTAGTTTCTGTCTCCTTCTACTATGTCAAATGATTTATTTTTCCGAAATCTGCTGGAAAATAAAACTGGAAACAAAACGAAGATATTTCATTAATGAATTCACTAAGAAATACCTTCAATTTACAAGAAAAAGGATCACTATAAAATTGCAGACACATTTTTTCTTCAGACTATTCAATTACATTATTCTGAGCTATCTCATTTTCTAAATCTGTAAATGATTAGTTCAGCTCTTATGATCACATTGCAGTAATTGATATCTACAATTATAAGCATTTGTATCTCGTAGCACAAATTCTGACTTGAAAAAGAAGTTGGAGAAAAGTGGGCATATACTGAAGGATTAAGTGACAGAAGTCATTACAGCAAGAATCTTTTTAGCTTCACTCACTCAGGAAGACAATTTTAACCATTTCTTTCTTGTGAATCAGAAGAAGACAGTCCTGAGTTGACTCTGGCATAGGACAGCTTTAAACTGTCCACAGAGTTCAGAATCAGTGAAATATTTGACAGAGAAGAGACAAGATTGACCAAGTAACTTGATCTGTGTTTCAAGGCAGAATTGCACTCATGCTGCTTAGCATTGCAGACATAGACAAAGACGGTTGAGGGATATCCCTGTAAACACTGTGATGTGGGATGTCCACCAGGTTCCCTCCATTTTCTCCTTTTTCAATTCCTTCTCCTTTACTTTCTCCCTCCAATCATCTGTCATCTCTCTTGCCACAACCCCAGGTCTTGTACACTCGCAAAAGCTGCAGTTAGCATAATACTGAGAAAGGCATCTCACTAATGGTTTCTGTAACTTTCACAGTGTCATCTCTAATGCCCACTGTTAGGACAGTTGGAAAGCACATTAACCTTAATAAGTAAACTAGTTATTGAACAAAAAGATATACTCATGCAGTTTCTGTCTCAAAGAAACAGCATTTTTCCATATGATTGTTGGCCTTGTGTATGTCTTCTTTTGTAAATTGTCTATTTATGTCCTTTGACCACCTTTTAATGAGGTTGTGTTTTCTGTTGTTGTTGTTGATTTGTTTACATTCATTATAGATTTTGGATATTAGACCTTCATCAGATACATAGTTTGCAAATATTTTCCCCCATTCTGTCGGTTGTCTACTCTATTGATAGTTTCTTTGGCTGCGCAGAAGCTTTTTAATTAGGTGATTAGGCCCCATTTGTCAATTTTTGTTTTCGTTGCAATTGCTTTTGGTGCCTTTGTCATGAAATCTTTGCCAGGTCCTATGTACAGAATGGTATTTTCTAGGTTATTTTCCACAGTTTTGTAGTTTTAATTTTACATCTATCTTGAGTTGATTTTTGTATATGGTATAAGGAAGGGGTCCAACTTCACATGGCTAGCCAGTTATCCCAGCACCGTTTATTGAACAGAGAGTTGTTTCCCTTTTGCTTGTTTTTGTCAAAGATCAGATAGTTGTTTATGTGTGGCATCATTTCTGGACTCTATGCAGTTCCATAGGTCTCCATATCTGTTTTTGTGCCAGTACCATGTTCTTTTGGTTTTTGTAGTGTTGTAGAATACTTTGAAGTTGGGTAGCGTGATGTCTCCAGTCTTGTTCCTTTTGCATAGGATTGCCTTGACTGTCCAAGCTCTTTTTTGTTTCCATATGAATTTTAAAATAATTTTTTCTTATTCTGTGAAGAATGTCATAGGAATAGCATTGAATCTGTAAATTGTTTTGGGCAATATGGCCATTTTAACAATATTGATTCTTCCTATCTATGAGCATGAAATGTTTTTCCATTTGTTTATGTCACCTCTAATTTCTTTGAGCAGTATTTTGTAATTTTCATTGCAGAGATCTTTTACCTTCCCTGGTTAGCTGTATTACTAGGTATTTAATTCTTTTTATGGCTATTGTGAACTGGATTGAATTCTTGATTTGGCTTTCAGATTTGATGTTGTTTGTGTATAGGAATGCTACTAATTTGCAGGCAAAGAGCATATGAAAAAATACTCAACATCACTAATCATTAGATGAACATAAATCAAAACCAAGATGAGATACAATCTCACACCAGTCAGTATGACTATTACTGAAAAGTAAAAAATAACAGATGCTAGCAAGGTTGTGAAGAAAAGAGAACACTTACACACTGGCGGTATGAATGTAAATTAATTCAGCCATTGTGGAAAGCAGTTTGGTGATTTCTCAAAAACTCAATCCAGAATTACTATTCATCCTAGATATTCCATTATGGAGTATATGCTCAAAGGAATATAAATTGTTCTACCATAAAGACAAATGCCTACATATGTCCATCACAGCACTATTCACAATAGCAAAGACATGAGATCGAGTGAAATTCCCATCAATGGTAGATTGGATAAAGAAAATGTGGTATCTATATATAATGGAATACTACATATACATAGCTATAAAAAAGAATGATATCATGTCCTTTGCAGCACTATGGATGAAGCTGGAGGCCATTATTCTAAGCAAACTAATATAGGAACAGAAAACTAAATACTGCATGTTCTTACTTATAAGTGGGAGCTAAACATTGAGTACATACTGACACAAAGAAAATCACAGGCTGGGTGCAATAGCTCATGCCTATAATCCCAGCATTTTAGGAGGCCGAGGCGAGTGGATCACTTGAGGTCAGGAGTTCGAGACCACCCTGGCCAACATGGTGAAACTCTGTCTCTACTAAAAATACAAAAATTAACTGGGCATGGTGGTGGGCACCTGTAATCCCAGCTATGCAGGAGGCTGAGACAAGAGAATTGCTTGAAGCAGGGAGGTGGAGGCTGCAGTGAGCTGAGATTGCGCCACTGCCCTCCAGTCGGGCCAACACAGAGCGAGCCTTGGTCTCCAAAAAAACAAAACAAAACAAAACAGAACAAAACAGGAAAAAAGAATCACAGACACTGAGGCCTACTTGAGGGTGGAAGGAGGGTGGAGGTTGAGAATAGAAAAACTGTCTATTGGGTACTATGCTTATTACCCAAGTGGTGAAATAATTTGTACACCAAACCTCTGTGACACACAATTTACCTACATAACAAACGTGCACATATACCACTGAACCTAAAATAAGAGTTAAAAAAATTGAAACATAATTGTACTTTGAAGGATGACAGTCTTCCCATGGGTAAAATTCAAACTAAATAAGGAAACTAAAGCAGATTCAGAGAATTGTGCATGTTTTCCTATCATACTTTATTTTTTAATAGTCTTCAAGATTTGTTGAACACAAATATATATATAATTTTTAGTTCTTGATAATAAATAATTTGGTTATAAATTAATTAATTATTGAATATTCTCCAACCCTTATGATTCAAATAATATTTGCCATGTAAAACTAGTTTTAAAAAGTCATTTAAATAGAAAAGCAGAATGTATTTATTTATTTTTATTTTATTATTATTATTTTTTTGAGACAGGTTTATACTCTGTCACCCTGGTTGGAACACAATGGCACAATCTTTACTCAATGAAACCTCGCACACCAGGGCTCCAGTGATCCGCCCACCTCAACGTCCCCAGTAGCTGGGACTACAGGTACACGCATTCACACCTGGATAATTTTTTTTTTTTTTTTTTTTTTGAGACAGGGTTTCTCCACATTGGCCTGGATGGTCTCCAATTCCTGGGCTCAAGTGATCCACCAGCCTCAGCCTCCCAAAGTGCTGGGATTACAAGCATGAGCAACCATGCCCAGCCATGATTTCTTATTAGTGAATCCCATTGTAACATTTTCTAAGAGAAGCATAATGTAACAAAACAAACACCAAGGGTAATCTTCATGTGTATTCTCTACATTGATTTACAATAAACAAGTTCATTTCTACAAGCCTTGCCTGATAGTGGCTGAATAACATAGTTAGCTGCCTTATTTTTCATTTACTCTGGTTGGATGTCTTTGACATTGTGAAAAACAGCATAAATGCAGTAACATCTAAAGCCAATAATAATAAAATAATTTTTATATTATTGTAGGAAAATATAATACACACACACATATAAAGCCAATAATAATAAAATAATTTTTATATTATTGTAGGAAAATATAATGCACACACACACATATAAAGCCAATAATAATAAAATAATTTTTATATTACTGTAGGAAAATATAATGCACACACACACATATAAATAAGAAAAAACTATATCCATGTTACTATTTTTCTTCCAAGAATTCATTGTGAAAAACTATACATTGTTGGTCAAAACACACAAATTTTATTTGCGGACTAACAAGCTACAAAACTAGTAAAACTATGTTGTAGAAAGTGTGGAAACAGAGACTGGGCTCGACTATAATTATACTAATGATAATGTTGGCCACCAGTGGAGGCTTACAATATATTTGCCTCCATTCTAAGTATGATTCATGGATTAATTAATTTCATGATCACAGCAACTCTATGAAGAAAGTAATACCGTTATCCCCACCAATATAACAGTGCGACCTGATTAAGTTACATAACTTCTCTGAGCATGTTCTTTCACAGAGGATTAAATAAGGGAACATATTTTCAATAATCATTTAAGTTCATAGAGAAATATTCTTCATATTGCATTCAAAAAAATCATCAGTATAAACATATTTTAATATATAAAATATGTATACATACATAGGTGTTTGTATGATATTTTCCCCTTGCCCATCATGTGGGTACTTATGAATCCTTCCAAAGCCTATTAGAGGTCACTGACCCTGTGAAGCCTTCCCCTGGGTCTAGCAGCAGTGACAGATCCACCAAGTTCTAATCAAGATCATTGTGTTGACTGATATGATAGGTCACCCAACTCATACATTAAGATGATTGAAATTACTGAAAATTGGATGGACTTGACCATAAATATATTGATTTAATGCCATACATATAATAACATGCGGTTTTTCTTTCTGTAATTTTTTTCTTTTGATTGTTATTACTCCATTCCATAGATCCAGTGTCTGTGGACTATTTCTTTAAATTGCTTTTCACGTAAAGGAAATTGGGGCAATAAGTTTATTAATTCATTTTTCACTGAATGTTAGATTTTTTTATTTAATTCATATGAAATGAGAATTGATGACTGAAGAAAATGTTATTTTTGGTTGAGATTTGCTTTTCACCAATGACCTGTCATGTTGGTCACATGTAATCCAGAATGCCATAGAATCATCTCTTATTTTCCTTCATCAAATGACAATAATGCTTATTTTGACTTTTTTAGAGAGCTACTATGGAGATCACACTGAAATAACGTTGAAATATTAGCTATTTATTTTAGCCTGGGTATGATTTTCTGAGCACATTGAAATAAGATTAAACATGCAAGGATTTTATTTGAAAAAATATCTATGAGAGAAAATGAGAAGGAAATGGCAGAAGACTGAACAGACGTCAGACTGTGATGAACTGGGATCCTGAGGGAAATAGAAAAGAAAAGAAGGTGAATGGGAGCATCCTGGACTACAGAGCTCCAGGGAATATTTGAACAAAGTTTGACCTTGAGAGAAGTACCATGACTACCGGAGAAAGATCTGCCTTAGCATCACTACATGCTCAGTCATGGGCTGGGGCAGCCCAGAGGATATGCGGCCTGACAACAAATGCAGTGATGGATTTCAGAGTTAGTTACTAGGGCCTTTGGCCAATTAAGCTTCTGTAGTTGGAAGTCTGAGAGGCATATTCTCATGGCCACTATACTACTCAATTATTTTTATTTAAAATTATACTCAAAGTAAGCATTCTATTTGAACGATTAGTATTGCTGGGTTTGGGACAGCTTCCCACTTTTAGCTTAATAGTTTTAGAAGTTTATGGTGTATTTACCCTGCTTTTCATTTAACCTTTAGAAAACAATGTATTTTTCTTGAGTTATTATTGTCCCTAAATTATAATGCAGACTTGCAATGATATATGATAATGAGGAAAAAAGGGAAAACTACATTTACCAAATTATTTTCTTAAACCTCATATCTGCTATCTTTTGAAGTTGCATATATATTCTAGTATATATGTGAAATTACAAATGAAAGAAAATGATGAATATTATTTATTTACCTTAGCATATTAGTTATTCTATGGCTTCTGGGAAAACATCCAGCTATTATTTTCAACAGTTTACTCTTCTTTTTCATTCTCTCCCATGATAATTAAAACACAAACACAAGCAGTAACGTAATTTGAGTTATATCTGTACTTTGTAAGGGATTCTAAAGACTTGTGGTAAAACAAGTCCCTATCTGAAAAAACTAAGAACCAAAAAAGGAAGCATACTAGTAGATAATTTTTCTTATTTGTCTTTTGTTGCTGAAATTTTATTCATAATGCTAGTCATTTGTAAATATTTTAATAAATAAAACTAAAAACAGAGAAGAAAGACATTTTTCATAGTATTCAATTAGAAGCGTTAGAATTATCTTACACTAAAAATCACCTGGCCCATTAGAAAATACCTTCAGCTAGTTTACAGTCCCACCAAAAAAGTAAAAGTGTTCCTATTTCTCCACATCCTCTCCAGCACCTGTTGTTTCCTGACTTTTTAATGATCGCCATTCTAACTGGTGTGAGATGATATGTCATTGTGGTTTTGATTTGCATTTATCTGATAGCCAGTGATAATGAGCATTTTTTCAGAAGACAGTGTGGCAATTCCTCAGTGATCTAGAACTAGAAATACCATTTGACCTAGCCATCTCATTAATGGGTATATACCCAAAGGATTATAAATCATGCTGCTATAAAGACACATGCACAGGTATGTTTATTGCGGCACTACTCACAATAGCAAAGACTTGGAACCAACCCAAATGTCCAACTGGATTAAGAAAATGTGGCACATATACAACATGGAATACTATGCAGCCATAAAAAGGATGAGTTCATGTCCTTTGTAGGGACATGGATGAAGCTGGAAACCCTCATTCTCAGCAAACTATCTCAAGGACAAAAAACCAACCACCACATGTTCTCACTCATAGGTGGGAATTGAACAATGAGAACACTTGGACACAGGAAGGGGAACATCACACACCAGGGCCTGTTGTGGGGTGGGGGAAGGGGGGAGGGATAGCATTAGGAGATATACCTAATGTAAATGACGAGTTAATGGGTGCAGCACACCAACATGGCACAAGTATACATACGTAACAAACCTGCACATTGTGCACATGTACCCTAGAACTTAAAGTATAATAAAAAATATATATATAAAAATAAATAAATAAAATTACCTTCAGCTTTCTTTAAGGAATTCGGTTATTTTAAAATCAGAATAAGTAAAAGAGTAGATATTAGAACTAATCCTATTATATTATCAATAATAATGTCTACTATAATTGTAAATTGAATGAGATTAGGATAAAACTTTTGGTATCTAAATTTATAATGTTATAATTTGCTGTGAAATCAGTTTTTTTGTTGGTTTCCGTGTTAAGAGAGGCAGTAGGAGATTGAAATTATTTCTGTTCATCAATTGAAAACACATAACCCTTAAATATCATGACTCCAAGAACCTGCCTGGGAAATCAAATACATTACAGGATGTCACTCTGTGCACCACTACAGAGTGACACTACAGATGTCACGTTACAGTCCTCAGATCCCTAAGGCTATTTGAAAGAGATTCCAAAACCAATAGACTCAACTACTTGAAGAGAGGGTGCCAGTCATGCGTATGTTTTGTATCCTTGCTTCACACAAAATTCCTGGCCATGAGTAGGAGTTTGTTAAAACTAAGCTGATTAAATTATAACTCAGAGCCTCTCATTTTTCTGATAAAAAATCCCCAATGGTTTTCTGCAGCAATTAGAAGAACAGCAACATTCCTCAGAATATTCTACAACTTCCTACATGCTATGTCCCATGATGATTTCTGCACATTAACATCTACCACATTCTTATTTTCTATATTTGAGCTAAATTATGCATTTCATTGTAAATTAAAAGTGTTAAGTACACACTTGTTTAGAGACTTTACAGTACAATATTCATCCAGCAAGCTGATTTTGATCATCATTTAGGTTTCTCCTAAAATACTATTCAAATGTCATCTCCTCTGAGATATCTTCTCTGACCAATTTACCTTCTCAGCTCCTGCTCCGAATATATATTTTTCCTTCCTTCCTTCCTTCCTTCCTTCCTTCCTTCCTTCCTTCCTTCCTTCCTTCCTTCCTTCCTTCCCCTCTCTCTCTCTCTCTTTCTTTCTTTCCTTCTTTCCTCTCTCTCTCTCCTTTTTTTTGACAGGGTATCACTCTGTTACCCAGCATGGAGTGCAGTGGCAGGATCACGGCTCACTGAAGCCTTGACCTCCCAAGCCCAGCTAAAATAAAATCCCTTTTCAGTTTGCCTTTTTACAAGTCAACAGTTTTATTACACAGCTTCTAAGTTATTGGAAATAGAAATAAATAAAAATAAACAATGAACATATACATGCTCACATTTCAGATCAAGCTATAGGTTGGGTATCTCAAATCTGAAAATCAAAAATTTAAAACTTTTTGAGCATCAACATGATGTTGAAAGGAAATATTCATTAGATAATTTCAGATTTTGAATTTTTGGATTAGGGATGCTCAACTGGTAAGTATAATATATATATGTTCCAAAATTTTTTGAAAATTCAAAATCTGAAACTCTTCTGGTCCCAAGTATTTTGGATAAGGGATACTCAACCTATATCTTGATCTAAAATGTGATCACATATATCAGGCTTTATTTTGCATACCTGGAACTTTATTGTATTTTATTTTGCAATTATGTGACTCTTAAAGTGATTGCTTCTTAAGATTGAGGTAGGCATTGAACATATTATCAACCATATTGTCAATTCTAGAAAAAAAAATTATCACAAGTTATCACGTTATTGTACATATTTTTTGGAAATATTAGAACCCAAAATTAAATTTCAATAGGACTTTCCATCTATCTAATGAAGTTCAGAACTCTTTCCTGATATTGTGTAGCTTCCAGAATCTAAAAATGTGGATACTAGCAGAGTAAACTATAATGAGTGTGGTAGATTGTTATTTCTCCACACTGAATAATCCAGCAAAAACAAACATATTTTCTTCATTTCTCTGCCTAATAGTCATATGATTAGATACTATGTTCCACATTGTAGCATTTACTATGGTGCATTTATTTTCTGCTTACACTTTCTTTTTCCCACTAGACTGACAAGCACAAGTAAAAAACTGCCATATCTAACTGTCTACATTATGTTTTCCCTTGTATCTAAGATAGATCTTGGCACAGTAGAGGTGCTCAATAAATATTAGTTGAAAAACTGCATGATGTAGAGAAGTGACAACAAATACTAAGCATATTTTTATTTTAATAATGAACTGTTGACCTGCACCTTCTTTAAACCATAATCTGAGAATTACTTAAAATTTATCAAACTTTGCATCATTGAAAATTATAGTTGACTATCATTTACTATAGTGACAAGACTAAGATGATGTTGATAAAAATACTAAATTGGGTGTTTCCTTGAGAGAAAAATATCCTTTAATTTCTAGATGATGAAAATAGAGTGATACCTAAATAGTAATTGAGGCCATTTGGGAACATCATATATTTTGTAACATCCCCTGATAATTTCAAAGTTGAGTTTGTCTCTTAAATAAATGGAGAACTATCTTACCATTTTCCATTACATATGTTAAGATAAAATTTGGAAATCAGGAGGTACTCATAAAATATTGCAAATTAGAGTTGTGTGTAATTTAAGGAGGGGCTGGAGCAAGTCTGGACTATATTTGATTTAGTTTTAATTGATTTTAGGAATCATTGCCATTTAAGCAATGCTAAGAAAATACTAACACATAAAATGGTATGAACTGTATTACATATACACTAAAACATAATTGTTAGATTATTTGTTAACTCTAAAACAGTATCCCACCACCTTTAATTTTTCACCAAATGTCTCATATGTCTTAATTCTATGAATGCTGTTTAAAATCAGGGCCTAATTTCTCATCAACACGATATAGAAAATTTCTTACTTCTATGCACATGCAGACTATTGTAAGTCCAAGGAAAGAATGAATAAAATCCAGAACAAAGTTCTACTTCCACTGACATGTACAAACCTGTAAAAAAAAGTTGTCCACAATTAAAAAAAATAAAAACCAAATAATCTATAAAGTCATACTTTTCCTGAGCCCATCAGAGCAAATTTTAAAACCCTGAATTTCAAGGAGTAAAATATTTCCTCCATGGAGAGAAAGAATGTATCACATTCAGAGCATAGGATGAACAAATAATCATCACAAATATGGGTAAGATAAAATCAGCTGATAGATACTTTCATAATTTTGTAAAGACCAATTGCAGGCTAGCATATCAATTTGGCATAACAGGGAACCCCAGAAACAAGGGCACTTTACAATTAATCTCAAGATGTTTTCAATAGACTTCATTTAGGTGCTCATGAGAAATACTGGGAGTAGGACCTCGATCTGGGGACAGATACTTTGTGTCACAGGCCTGCGGGGTAAAATCAGGTGTGGAAGACAGAGATGAAATTCTGCCTGCTTCCCTGGATACGTTCCTTATAGGTTGTAAAGACTGATGGTGCACAGGCAGCAAATCATTTCACTTATAGGACTCATACAAAATTCATTGCTTCTGATGGAATAGAAAAATAAAACTAATTTGCTCTTGGGAGATAGGTACAAAGCACTTCCAAACCCACAACACAGCCATGATTCATTGTTGATGAGGAATGGTAAAAGAAAAAGCCATCTGCCTCTATGCACAAGAGGAATGGTAAAAGAAAAAGCCATCTGCCTCTATGCCCAAGATTATATGCCAATACCAAGGGGAGTCGGCTAGTGAAGAGGATCAGGTAGAAATGTCTCTCCTATGTAAGACTGATCATAAGTGGATGACAGAGTTTAGCTGCTATAGAGAGGTGAGGCAGGAATGATGAGGAGTCTCTACCCTTCAGGACAAAGTACACAGGGCTTGTATAAGGTTTAGTTAGTCTGATCTAAGAGAATTAAAAAAAAAAAATGTTGGCCCCACTGTAGGCCTAGTCCTGAAGAACAAGTATCAACAGTCTAACCATAGTGGGACAATAAAGTCATGGAGAGAGACCTCCTCTATGGCTCAGGCATGCAGTAACTGCTGAAAACTGAAAGTGGGCAGAAACTCTAAGAAAAATCCTCTAGCCCTGCAATCTCTATTCTGAGCATAATTAACAGTAGCCTAGAAGCATCTGTCCACATTCAGGCCTGACAGAAGGTGAGGTATGCCCAGGTACAACTACTGCTTATTTTCTTTTGTTCTCTACACAGTATGTGCTACTGAATCAAAAATTGTAAGGTAAACAAAACATAAAAAATAATTTTTTCAAGATAAATTATTTAAAAATCTAGATTAAGAAATCATGGATGTGATGAATATATAAGAAAGAGACTATGAAATAATTATGATTTATATGACAGAGGATCCAATGCACAAGGTAGACAACATGCCTGAAAAGACAGGGATTATAGCAAACAAAGGGAAGCTATACAAATGATCCAAACAAAATGCTACATTTAGAAATATAATACCAGTGATGAAGAATTCTTTGATAAGCTCATGAGGAAATCAGGCACGACTGAGGAAATCAACAGTGAACTTGAAGATATGTCAACAGAAATTATCAAAGCTGAAACATAAAAAGAAAAGGAAACTTTAAAAGCAGTATTCAGGAACTGTGGGAAAACAAACTATGGCCTATCATTTGTGTTACTGAAATTCCAGAAGGATAAGAGAAGAAGAATGGGGTGTAAAAAATATTTGAGATAATGGCCAAGAATTTTTTCAAAATTAATTAAAAATAAACCAAAGTTCCAAGAAACTAGAGAATCCCAAGAAGGAAAAAATATTTGACAAATAAAAACTAACATGCTGATAAATGAGGATGGAGAAAAATATCTGGAAAACAACTAGGGAAAAAAGAAAAATTATATACAGAAAACATAAGAACCAAAACGAAAACAAAAACAAAAACAAAAACCAGACTTTGTCAAGAACTATGCAAGCTATAAGACAAGATAAATGTTGAAAATAGTCAACTCAAAGTTCCACACCCTCTTAAAATATGTTTTTAAAATGTCTGAAGTTGTTTTATTAATTTTGCTATTGTTTTCCTGTTTTCTATTTCACTGATTTCTACTGTTTTTCATCTTTTCGTCTACTTATTTCTGATTTTAGTTAGACATTTACTAGTTTTTTTTGAGGGAGTTTTCTGTTTTTTTTTTTAGGAAGACATGGAAGAGTTGATTTGGAAATGTATTCTTCCCTAATATAAACATTTAATGCTATAAGTTAGCCTCTAATTGCTGGTTTGGTGACATTCCAAAAATTTTAATACATTGTGTCTTTATTTTCATGTAGTTTAAAGGACTTTCTGATTTTCTCTTTGGTTTCTTTTTTGACCTATATGTTATTTAGAATTGACTTATTTCAATTCCATATATTTGGGGCTATTCTAGAGATCTTTCTTTTATTTTCTGTATTGATTTCTATTTTAATGCTATGTGGTCAGACAACATACTTTGCAAGATTTGAATCCTTGTGAATTTATTATTTTGAAATGTGTTTAGTTTCCAAGTACTTGTATATTTTCCTATTATCCTTCTCTTACTGATTTCTAATTTGATTCCACTGTGGTCAGAGACCACTTTTAATATGATTTAAATTCTTTTAAATCTGTTGGAGTTTGCATTATAATCAGACTATAGTCTATCTTGTTATCTGTTCTATGGACACTGGAAGATAATGTGTATTCTGCTATTGTTGGATCAAGTGCTCTATAAATGTCTATTAAATCCTGTTCACTGATGGTGTTGTTGAATTCTTCTATATCCTTAATTTTCTGTCCAGTTATTTTATCAGTTATTAAGAATGGGATGTTGAAGTTTCCAACTATAATTATATATTTATCCTTTGTCAGTTCTGTCAGCTTTTGTTTAACATAAGTGACCCTTGGACAAGGCAGAAATTAGAGATTTCAAACCTCAGACAGTCAAAAATCCAGGTATAACATTTAATTCCCTAAAAACTTAATTAGTAATAGCCTACTGTTCACTGGAGTCCTTAAAAATAACATGAACAGTCGACTAACACACATTGTCTATGTTATATATACTATATATACTGTATTACTACAATAAAGTAAGCCATTGAAAATAAATTGTTATAAAAAATCATAAGGAGGAAAAAATATATTTATTATTCATTAAGCAGAGGTGGATAATGAAAATGGTCATCATCGCCATTGTCTTCATGTGAGAAGGGTGAGGAGAAGAATGAAAAAGAGAGATTGGTTTTGCTATCTCAGGGTGGTAAAACCAGAAGACAATCTGCATATAAGTAGACCAATGCAGTTCAAATACCTATTGTTTAAAGGTAGACTGTATTTTGAAGTTCTGGTTTTTGGAGTATAAACACTTAAGATTGCTACATGTTTATCCTGAATTGACACTTAATATTTTATAATGGTCCTGTTTGTCTCTAATAACTGCTTTGCTCTATAGATTACTTAATCTGATATTAGTATAGCCATCTCTGCTTTCCTTTTATTAATATTTAAAATAATTTTCTATCCTTTCACTTTCAACTTATGTATATTATTATATTTAAATTGAATCTCTTGTAGACAGCACATAGTTGAATCATGATCTTATTTTACTCACTCTGTCACTTGTGTTTTAATTAATGCATTTAATTTACATCATTTACACATAATGTAATATTGATATATTAGGGCTTAACTCTGCTACTTCATTTTTCATTTTTAACTTACTTTTTTGTTTCTCTGCTTTCTTTTTTCTGCTTTTTCTCAGAGTTCTTTGAATATCTTGGGAACATGTACAATATCCATACAATAAGAAACAAATTTGATATAGTCACTCACAGAGGTACCGTATCTGGTCTTCATCATTACTTTGTGTAGATCCATATTTCCATCTTATATCATTGTATTTCTGCCTGAAGAACATTCCTTAAAACTTATTTTTTTTTTTTTTTGCTGTGTGGGTCTGATGGTGACAAATTCCTTCGTCTTTTTCATGTTTGAAAAAGTATTTATGTCCTATTTTTAATGAAAGAAATTTTTCTGGGTATAACAGATTTTGTTTCATGTTTTTGTCATCTCAAGACTTTACAGATATTCTACTCTCTTCTCACTTGCTATCATGCTCATTTTATTCCTCTATTCATGTGTCCTTTTTTCAAGCTACTTAGAAGGTTTTATTTTCATCTGTGGTTGGAAGCAATTTGATAATAATATGCGTTGGTGAAATTTTCTTCATGCATTTTTTTGTTTGAAGCACATTGAGATTCTTCTATTTTAGATTTATGATTTTTATCAAATTTTGAAAAATTTTAATCATAATTTCTTTAATATTTTTCTATTCTCTCCCCTTATCTACTTTGGGAACTCTGATTACATGTAAATTATGCCACTTATGACTTTATCACTGTTAACTGATATTTTATTCATTATTATTATTCTCTTATTCTGTATTTCTTTAGTACAATTTCTGTTCCTATTTATTCAAGTTCACTAACTCTTCTGCAATTTCTAATCTGCCATTAATTCTGTCTATTGTATTTTTATCACAGATTTAGTTTCCATCCTTAGAAAGTTAACTTCTAATATATTTGTTATGTCTCAACTTTTTGAACATATAGAATATAGTTCTAATAATTGTCTTGATTTATTTGTCTGCTAATTCTAACAACCTTGTCCCCTATGGATCTGTTTTAATTGATTGCTTCTTCACATGCCTATTATTTGTATTGAATATCATATATTGTGAATTTTATTTTTTAGGGTGGTAGATTTTTGTATCCTTATAATATTTTTAGGTTTGTTCTGGGATGAAGTTGTGTTTCTGGAAATAGTTGAATGCTTTCTGCTCTAGCTTTTAGATTTGTTAGGTGGGACTGGAGCAGTGCTCAGATTAGGGCTAATTCTTCCCCTCCACCAAAGAATTACCCTTCTGATACTCAATTTTCCCTGAACTAGGAAGCTTTCCAGTATTCCTAATGGGAACAAGCTTTATTCCCATCCTGGTAACAGCATCAGGGACTATTACTCTAATCCCGTTGGGTATTTCTTTCTTGAGCTCAGGTAGTTTACTCACACAGATGTGTAATCAGGCCTTGGTTGAATACCTGAGGGGGGCTTTCTATATATCTCTGAAATTCTCTCTCTGTGCAGCTGTTTGCTGTACTATATTCTGCTTTTCGAACTTGAATTGTCTTGGAACTCTCAGCTCCATTTCGTCAGGGACATTTTCAGGCTCTGCCTAAGAACCTCCTCCCTGTAACATGGCCCGGAAACATTCTCAATAGGGTAAACCTCAGTCAATCCTGATACTCCCCAGACCATTATTATTATTTTTTCATCTTACTCAGGGATCAGTGCTCTTCATTGACTGATATCTTTGAAAACAATTATTTTATATATTTTGTCTGTTTTGCACTGTTTCAAGTGAAAGGGTATGAGCCTATATTACTCAACCTTTGTTAGAAGCATAAATTAATGTTAAGTTTTTAAAGCTGAAAGAAGTACATGTGTGTTTTTTTACAAATTTACATATTTTTTAATAATTTTATGTTACATTTTATTTAAATGCAATTAAAATAACAAATCAGCTTTAATTAGGAGATAGAACTGTGATGCTCAAGTCTGAATTACAGCAATTGGTAGGAATAATAAAACAAGAATAATCAAAACAACATCATGTTGTCATCGCTTAATAAATGATGGACCATGACAGCATCTCAGACAGAAGAAAACATGAATATTCATTCAGATCACACTGTGACATCAGAATGAAGCTTCGAGGGTATGCCCTTTCCAGTCCTCTGGCTTCAACGCAGACAGTAGTGTCAAAATATTACCATATTGTGATAAAAAGCTCACCTGCTTCTTTCTCCCTTTGAAATTATTATCAAGTTTTGGAATATGATGTAGTCATCACACTTAAGCTTTGGATGCTGAACTTGTGAGCAGAATATTAGCAAACAAGCTAAGAAATCAATAAGCAGTCAGCAAGTTCAAAAGCTGTTATACTGGACTACTTTAAAGTCAACTACTGTTTCATTAACAAAATTTTACACTACGGCGTTAACAATTTTCAGACTCCTATTTTTTAAGTGGATTAGCAGTTCATTTTCATGAGAAATATGAGAATGCACAGAGGTTCTCTTTCTCCACTTCTTCTTTCTGAATGGCCTAATTCAGTTCTGATTTTTTTAACTGATATACCCAAAATTTACCTATATCATTTATCAGATCAATAAATTTTTCATCAGATATCAAACTAATATGTATCTAATAAAAATTATAGGTATTAGATAATTAAAATTATAGGATTTTAATTGATAATTGCTACAAAGATATATATCTGTCTGTGTTAGGTGAAATAATGGCCCACCAAACCGATCTATATACTAGAATTCAGAACCAGTTAATATCTTACCCTGTATGGAAAAAGAGACTTGGATGATGTGATTAAGTTAAGCAATGTGAGATGGGGGAATTATTCTGGATTATCTGCACAGGCCCAATATAATCAGATTCAGAGAGGGAAATGAAATCATAGTAGCAAAGGTTGAAGTGATGCAACTGTTGGAAGAAGAGGTCACAAAACAAAGAATGTAGGCAGCCCCTGAGAGCTGGAAGAGGCAAGAAAAGGGGTTTTCACGTAGAACCAGTTAAGGCAGTTCTGCCACTACCTTGAGTTTAGCCAAGAGAAACTGTTCTCTTAGTTCTGACCTCCAGAACAGTAAGAGAACAAATTTGTGTTTTGTTAAGCCCTTATATTGTGGTAATTTGTTATAGCAGCAATAGGAAGCTAAAGTACTCCCTAAAGTGGCATTACTTTTTACCCTGCATTATAGTGATTTGTGCAAAGTAGTTTTAATTTAAAAGGCTACAAGTATTTTAAGGTCAGATTCTGTGCCATATTTGTCTTATTCATAGCAATAACTATCATATTTCTTAACGTAGTGCTTTTTATCATGCGTTTCAAATAGAAACCTTAATCTCACAAGCAATCCAGTCCACATAATGGAAGTTCCCCAATAAATAGTAATTGTAACAATTAAAAAGGAAAGGTTATGTGATAAATGAAAATCCACTGTCTAATGAGAAAATATTCAGTGTGAGGTATTATACTTTCCAGTATTTTCTGAGCTCATCTTTCTAGCATTTCAACTTTGGATGGGACCTAGTGTCTTAAGAAAAATATATTGAAAGTGTTATCTATTTCTGCCAGAATAGCACTATTTAGGTGACTTTAATGGAAAATGTAAATGCTAAGATTTTTTCTCCATGGTTTTGTATTAATAGAAGTTAGAAATAAAAATATCATCAGAGTGAACAGACAACATACAGAATTAGAGAAAATTTTTGCAATCTATCCATCTGACAAAGGTCTAATATCCAGAATCTACAAGGAACTTAAATTAACGAGAAAAAAAAACATCAAAAAGTGGGCAAAGGATATGAACAGACACTTGTCTGTTCAAAAGAAGACATTCATGCAGCCAATAAACATATGAAAAAAAAGCTCATCATCACTGGTCATTAGAGAAATGCAAATCAAAACCACAATAATATGCCATCTCATGCCAGTTAGAATGGTGATGATTAAAAAGTCAAGAAACTACAGATGCTGATGAGGCTGTGGAGAAATAGGAATGCTTTTACACAGTTGATGGGAGTGTAAATTAGTTCAACCATTGTGGAAGACAGTGTGGCGATTCCTCAAGGATTTAGAACCAGAAATACCATTTGACCCAGCAATCCCATTATTGGGTATAAACCCATAGGATTATAAATCATTCTACTATAAAGACACATGCACACATATGTATATTGCAGCACTATTTACAATAACAGAGACCTGGAACCAAACCAAATGCCCATCAATGATAGACTGGATAAAAAAAATGTGGCACATATATACCATGAAATATAATGCAGCCATAAAAAAGAATGAGTTAATGTCCGTTGCAGGGATATGGATGAAGCCAGAAGCCATCATTCTCAGCAAACTAACACAGGAACAGAAAACCAAACACCACAGGTTCTCACTCATAAGCGGGAGCTGAACAATGAGAACATACGGACACAGGGAGGGGAACATTACACACCAGGGCCTGTTGGGATGGGTGAGGGCCAAGGGGAGGGAGAGCCTTAGGACAAATACCTAATGCATGTGGGGCTTAAAAAGTAGATGATGGGCTGACAGGCGCAACAAACCACCATGATACGTGTATACCTATCTAACAAACCTGCATGTTCTGCACATGTATTCCAGAACTTAAAGTAAAATAATTTTTAAAAAGAATATATTGGTGGAGTTCGGGAAATTTAAGCCTTTCAGTTTTAGAGAAGTTAAGAAGAATATTCTAAGAATGTGGTGTATGTTTAAGAGTCCTCAATTTCTACTTTATAATTATACTTTGAGGGGTTGAGTTAATTGGATTTGCTTTTCTTGGTGGAGATGAAAGAGGCAAACTGACTGGTTTCTGGTTTTGATGTGGTTTGCAGAAAAAGAACAAAAGCCCCTTACTGCAGTAGGGGCTGTAGTTTACTTAATCTCCAGCCAATCAGTATCAAAGCCCCAAGATGCTATTAACTACAAGTTACTGCTTTCAGGGTCTAAGGACCTCCTCAAGGCCCTGCATGTGTAGCTAGGCTTAAGTTTTAACTGATGGTGACCTCCTCATTTTAATGCTCAGGACCAGAGATGGGTATGTAAAATGCTATTACATGCAGTGTATGAAGAAGCATGTAAAGCCCTGTGCAAGTGCTAGAGGAACTCCTGCTACATATGCCCTCACGAAACTCCTCCCTATAGAAAGGCCCTATAAAACTAATCCACATATTACCCTCTGGGAGCTGCCCACCCTTTTCCTTTCACAAACTAAATAAAGTTAGGCTGATTTCCCTTGTACACAAACTAAATAAAGCTTTGTCTTTGCTGCCATCTCTGGTCATCTCTCTCGATTTCTATCCTAGGAGATTACAGGAATGCATAGGGGTGCCAGTAATATCTCATGGGACTCTCCTTTTAGCATCTGGTGGGAGTGAAGGAAGCTGCCCAGAGGATGTAGATGACTAACCAGGGGTGAACGAAAGCAGCCACTCCGGACCATTGTTTCGGCATTGACACTTTGGTGAGTCAAATCCAGACTCCGGATCGATACTCATTCCCTTTTCTTTTTCTCTTTCTCTCTTTTCCTTTCCAGCTTCCTCTTCCTTTCCTCATTTTGACACTCTTCCTTTCCAGCTTGTTCCGCTCCTTAGGAGTTTTGTTTCCATTTGAGTTATCTTATTAGGACAGTCGGGGTATTGCCAACTAGCCCCACTGGTTTTGGGCTAGGAATCCAGGTTTTTCTGATTCTGTGTGGGTAATTGGAGTGATTCCAGCTCTCACATCTGGTGTTGAATGAGGAAGTGTTCCCTGTGTCTGTGCCTGCTAGGTATTAGCTGGCAACCTAGAGTTCTGTCAGGTTTTGAACTTTGAAACCTCTCAGTATTCCCCTCGACTCTTATCTTCTTTGTGGGGCCTAGAAGTTTGCAGTTTGTTTTGTCAGTTGTCTAAGTGAAAATGTGTCCCACTCACTGGTGCCTGTTGCCTGTGTGAACCAACCGTCCACAGTCCCTGGAAGAAGACTTACTTACTAGGCCAGATCACCTCTGTCCCCTTTTCATTTGTCTAGTCTATCATCTCATTTCTTATTACAGAGTCAGTATTAATGAATGTGGGTGTAGAGTGAACACTACTTGGAACTGGTGCAAAGTAAAGAAATTAGAAGATTTTAAAAACCAAGGGAAAAAGATTTTAGAGCTAAATGGTCTCAGACTCCTCCCTCAGAAAACTTCTCTTTCTATATCCTCTTTAGTCTGTTTAGCCCTTGCCAGAGACCTGAAGGAAGCAGGGTTACTGGGACCAGGATCATTACTATAAACTTTGTGACAGTTGGAGTTAAGGATTTCACCCTCGCCAGCCCTTTGATTGCAGGCCACCAATTCTACCATGGTAAATTCCCCATGTCCAAAGAGATTCTTCCATAAGGTATATTCTCAATAACCGGGGTAAATTTAAATTGGATAATCTAAAAGAAAAATAAGCTCATGATCCTCTGTAATGTCGCTTGGTCTCAGTATCCCCTGGAAGACCAAGAAAAATGGCCTGAGAATGGGTTTTTGAATTATAATACCATTTAACATTTGAATTTAAATTGTAGAATTTCTAATAAATGGGTTGAAATTCCATATGTGCAAGCCTTTATGAAATTACATCAGGATCCCAAACTTTGGGACTCCTGCTGAGTTTGTGTGGCATCTCTTAAACATCAATTGACAGAGGAGTCCACTTCTGCCTGAGATCTTGACACTCTAGATCACTGGGTACTTTTCCTCTCCTAGGCCCCCCTTCCTCCCACTCTGAGCCTGCTCCATATCAGGCTAGGTCAGGGAAGCATTCTTTTTCCATTTCCCAACAACCTCTGGTGATATCCCCAATGGGGCTCCAATCAGGTTCCAAGTTAATGCTTTCCTTCACTGTCCCATCAGACCAGAGCTGCTTTCCCCACTGGGATATGATGGAAAGGACTGGAGGGACAGCTCAGCTACATGTACCCTTTTCAATGTCAGACATAAGCGAACGCAAGGATCAGTTCAGCCAGTTCTCAGAAAATTCAGATAAGCTTAGAGATGAATTTACGAAGTTGGGTCTAACATTTCTTTTTTTTTTACTTGACAAGATATTACAATAGTGTAACTCACTGTTGTATTCCTGAGGAAAAGGCTCAGATCTTGGGAAAGGCTAGAGAATATGCAGATGAGACAGCCAGATCTAATCCTGGCCATGTCATTTACCAGGCATCTGGTGTGGCAGTCCCTGACCAAAACCCCCAGTGAGTTCATAAGGATAGAAGGGATCAGCTAAAGATGAACCATATCCTTAATTGAATACTGGAGGGAATGAGGAAATACCAGACAAAGCCGGTAAATTATAACAAAGTGAAGGAAATTACTCAGGAAGGGAATGACAATTCAGCTGTGTACTTTAACAGGCTCCCTGAGGCTTTCAGAAAGTAAAGTTATATAGACCCGGAGCATGCAGAGGGTCATACACTTCTAGCCATACATTTCATTACCCAAGTGGCACCAGACATTCAGAGAAAGCTCCAAAAGCTGGGAACTAGCCCCCACATCCCTCAGGCAGCATTTGTAGCACAGGCCTTTAAGGTATTTAATAATCATGACTAGTCAGAGGAGGATGAGAAGAATAAGATAATGAAAAAAAAAACAGGGCACAAATTTGAGTTGCCATAATTACAAGTCTGCCTCAAGATAACCCTATGCAACAGAGAAACCCTGGATGAGACATGGTTAAACCACTCCTGGCATCAGCAAGCTGGGATGAAACCAGTGTGCTAGCTGCAAGAAGGAAGAACACTAGAGAAAGCATTGTCCACTCCATTCTGGGAAGTGGAGATGAAGTGAGCCTCCACAGCCTACTCCTTTTATAGCATCTTGGATGAGAAGGCTATCCCCTCTGACTGAGGGGCCCCAAGAGCTTGCCCAGCTTCAGTCTTGAAGTCTTGAGAAATTTCATCATCGTCACCTTGGTGGAGCCTCGAGTCACCTTCTATGTGGCAGGTAGGAAAATTGAATTATTGGATGCTGAACCTGCCTACTCTTTCCTGACCTAACCTATTGACTTCTCTCCAATGTTGACTGTATAGTGACAGGGATAAATGGCCAATCAAACATAGGACAATTTACCTTTCCTTTGACTTAGAAAATTGGATCTAAGGCTGTTATTTATTCCTTCCTATATGTCCCTGAGTGTACTCTTCCTTTAATGAGTTATAATTTGCTATCCCAGTTGGAATATTCGGTTTCCCTCCAAGAGAAAGACATACAAAGTCTCACTACCCCTGAGAAAGGACTCCATTTAGTGGCCTTTTTGGATCCTCAAAGTCAAAAACCACCCCCTGTCCCAGAGGAAACACATTAACAAAGTTTGTATGGGACATCAGTACTCAGAGAAGAGCCATAATGCAGAGTTTTTAATGCAAAACTCAAGCCAGGCATACCTTACCCATGCAAGCCCTAATATCCGTTAAGATCAGAAGTCCTACAAGGATACCACCTTTCCTGGAAAAATTTCTACAGAATGGGCTAATTCAGCCCTGCCAGTCCTCCTTTAATACTCCAATCCTGCCTGTGAAGGATCAAATGGGGAATACTGCATTAAGACCTTTAGTAGTGCATGACTCAGTTGTTTCCATTTATTCTATAGTTTGCTACCTGTACACATTCCTCTCCCAATCCCTGGGTGCACTGAGTTTTATACTATGCTGGATCTAAAGGATGCTTTCTTTTGTATACTGTTATATCTTGACTCCATCTATATTTTTTCCTTGAGTAGAAAGATCCAGAAGCCAAGGAAACTTTCCAGTATACCTGGACAATGCTATTCCAGGGGTTTCAGGATAGTGTCCCCACTATTTGGGTGATCCTTGGCAAGAGACCTTAGAGACTTTAAACTTGCCAATGGAGCCTTACTACAATATGCAGATAACTTGCTTATAGCTAGTGAGGACTTCCATAATTTTCAAGAAAATACTGATAAAATCTTAAATTTCTTGGCTACATGGGGATAAAAGGTCTTCCCCTCAAAGGCCCAGATCTCTCAGATACAGATTCAATACCTGGGATTCACACTTATCACAGGAGTCAGGATGCTCACCCCAGACTGAAAGCAGGCCATTGCTTTACTACCAGTCCCTAGTAGTAAAAAAGAGCTGCAGGGATTTTTGGGGATAGCAAGCTTTTGTAAGATTTGAATCCCAAACATTGGCCTCATAGCCAAATCCCCTTATGAGACACTCAAGGGTGGAGAAAAAGAACAATTCCACTGGGATGAGGCCTGCTGGCAAGCATATGAAACCCTAAATTCTGAATTAGGGAAGGCCCTGCCCAGGAACTCCCTGATTTGTGAAAGCCTTTCTTCCTGTTTGTACATGAGAGGTCTGGGCAAGTTCTGGGAGTCCTAATTCAGAAGCTAGGGCCCTACCAAAGGCCAGTGGCCTACTTTTCAAAGCAATTATTCCCAGGACCCCAGGGGTGGCCTGGCCTTAGAACAGTGGGAGCCACCAGCCTTCTGGTCAGAGAACTCCAAATACATGCTAGGTCAACCCCTTCAGGTTTATACTTCTCACCAGGTCCAGGATTTATTAGAAATAACAGAGCAACACTTTCTGATGGAGGGAAGGTTTACTTAGTATGTAAAAAAATGGAGCTTGGAAGGCAGGATATGTATGCTATTGTCAGCCTAAATCGAACCTTAGAGTCAAAAGCCCTTCAGTTCAGGAAGCAGAGCTCAAAGCCCTCGTTAGGGCTCAGGAAAAAGGAAAGACTTAATATATATATACTGATTCTAAATATGGACTCCCAGTGCTCACACCCATGCAGCTGTCTGGAAAGAGAGGGAAATGTTGCCTGCTAGGAGCTCTTCCATAAAACACAGGGAAGTGATTCTATCCCTCCTTGAAGCAGTTGGGCTCCCTGCCCAGATAGCTGTCATGCAGTGTAAAGGGCACCAAAAAGATAGTTCCTTAATCAGCCAAGGAAACAAACAGGCAGCATGGATTGGGCAACTTGTCACTTCTGCCCTTGTAATCATGCCCTCCACTTTGCCTTCAAGTTCCCAGCATAGTCAGTTAGAACAAAAACTGGCCGAGGAGGGGAATACTATTTAAATGGTTGTGGGTGGCAAGAAGATCAGCAAGGACACCTCTTCCTACCAGAAGATGACTAATGAGAAATCATCAAAAGCCTTCATGAGGCAACTCATTGTAGGAGGGACTCACTATGGAATTTAATTCAAAATCACTTCATGGACAAGGCTTTAAAAACTACAGTGGATCAGATAATTCAGGCATATGAAATTTGTCTTTGAAATAATTGCTGAGCCTATCCACTGGCTCCAACACTGACTGCTTCAGTACAGGACAGAGGAACATATTCTGGAGAGGATTGGTTAATTGATTTTACACAGATGCCTCCCCAAGGGGCATTCAAATATCTTCTGGTTTTTGTAGGCAGTTTCACAGGCTAGATGAAAGCTTTCCCCACGTGAACAGAGGGGGCAACTGAAGTTTGTAAATGGATGCTTAAATAAATAATTCCTAGATTTAGGCTTCCACCCTCCCTACAAAGTAAGAACAGGACACTTTTATCACTCAGGTTACCCAAAGATTGTCCAGAAGTCTTATCATCCAGGATGAACTTCACTCAGACTGGCATCCTCAGTCCTCTGAGAAGGTTGAGAAAATGAATCAAACTCTTAAAAGAGTCTTCTATCAACTATGCCAATAAACCCAAGAATCATGGATTAAGCTCCTCATTACTGCTTTACTATGAATAAGAGCTGCCTTAAAGTGAAACTTAAAGCTCAGTCCTGGCCGGGCGCAGTGGCTCACGCCTGTAATCCCAACACTTTGGGAGGCTGAGGTGGGCAGATCACGAGGTCAGGAGATCAAGACCATCCTGGCTAACGTGGTGAAACCCCATCTCTACTAAAAATACAAAAAATTAGCCGGGCGTATTGGCGGGCGCCTGTAGTCCCAGCTAGTCCACAGGCTGAGACAGGAGAATGGCCTGAACCCAGGAGGCGGATGTTGCAGTGAGCCGAGATTGCACCACTGCACTCCAGCCTGGGCGACAGAGCGAGACGCCATCTCAAAAAAAAAAAAGTTCAGTCCCTTTGAAATGACTTATGGGTGGCCTTTCCTCAAAACTAGCTAGATAAAGGTTTAAATCAGTGTTTAAAGTACATTATTAACTTACGACAAGTTCAGCGAGCAATCACCCAATATGGCAATGAAATACTACCCCAGCTCGGTAAAAGCGTTTTTATTATCTCCCTATTAGCTCAGGTGCACAAGTCCTACTCAAGACATGGCAAGAAGAAAGCCCAAAGGATGACTTAACTGAAAAATGCAAGAGTCCTTACCAAGTTATCTTGGCCACTCCAACAGTTGTAAGGTTGGAAGGATATCCTAGTTGGGTACATATCTCTAAAATAAAACCTTTTTCTTCTCTCAACAAACATACCTGCTCAGAAGAGTCAAAAGCAATCTACTCCTGTAAGCCAACAGAGGACCTCAAATACTTGTTCAAAAAGGTGCCTCCAGAGGACAGCAATAAAGCTAAGTGACACTCCTACAAAAATAACTGACACAGGTCTACTTAGTCTCCTTTTTCTATTTCTTTTTCTTTTTTTTCTTTTTTTTTTTTTTTTTTGAGACAGGGTCTTGCTCCATCATTCGAGGTGGAGTGCAGTGGTGCAATTACAGCTTATGGCAGCCTCAACCTCTGAGGCTCAACCAATCCTTCCACCTCAGCATCCAGAGTAGCTGGGACCACAATTGTGCATCACCACACCCAGCTATTTATTTATTTATTTGTTATTTATTTATTTATTTTTGTAGAGACAGGGGTCTTACTATGCTGCCCAAGCTGGTCTCAAACTCCTAGGCGCAAGGAATCCTCCTACCTCAGCCTCCCAAAGTGCTGGGATTACAGGCACGAGTTCACCTCACCTCTCCTCCTTTTCCTTTCTTCCTATTCTGTTTGTTTGTTTGTTTTGTTTTGTTTTTTGAGATGGAGTTTTGCTCTTGTTGCCCAGACTGGAGTGCAATGGCATGATCTCAGCTCACAGCAACCTCTGCCTCCCAGGTTCAAGCGATTCTCCTGCCTCAGCCTCCTGAGTAGCTGGGATTACAGGCATGTGCCACCACGCCTGCTAATTTCATATTTTTAGTAGAGATGGTGTTTCTCCATGTTGGTCAGGCTGGTCTCAAACTCCCTCTGGCCTTCTTTTTCTGTTATTTGCTAATATTTTCTTAATAATCTACTGGTTCAGTTTGCTCTGTCTGCTTCTCCATGGTTGGAATTAGGACTTGCATTTTGCCCTAAACATTAGTCATGCTCTCACTATACTCTCTTTTATGTCTTGCTGTACCCTTTTTCCTTTAATTTGAGTGCAAGGCTTCTGGAGTCAAAATAACTTGATCAACTTCTCTAATGTCATCAGTAAGGGGGAATCTCTTTTTAGCTTCTTTGTCTGTCCCCGGCATCCCCAACTTTCTTCCAGTGTCCCTTTTACAACCTCTTTAAATCTATCTACTCCCAACTAATAGAGGGCAGCTGCTAATAGAAGACAGCCGCCTCCTTTAATCCTTTAACTCTCAGGCTGCTTCCCATCCATCGGGATCTTTGCTTCTTCCCGCTAAAATGTATTCTCTGGCTACAGAAAATGAGGAATTAAACTGAACCTGAGCAGGATGCATTCATTGCAACCTTCCCGTCACAATTTTACTTGGTACCCTGGTTCTGACTTAAAAGTTTGCACAAATAACTCATTGGTGCCCCGTATATAAAATTACTAGGACTATATGGGCCCAAACCTGCTGACAAAACCCTTTCTGATTGCGAGGGGTGATGTGAATATTGGCAGGGTAATATCCTGCCACTTTGGGAATACAGCTTCACACTGTCCCAAGGGTTCAAGATAAATTACAAGCTCAGCTATGGGGGCAGATATGCAATGCTACAAGGTACCTCCAAGGTCATTCATGACCATCTAGTACAGAAAACCATGGAGCAATACATAGACAATGGTTTGCTGTCCCCCATCTACACAGTTCATAATTTACACCTCATAATTCTCAATTACACCAATGAGTAAATTTGTACTTGTGCTTGTCCCAGAATTATTTTTCTTTGTGGATACCCTAATAACTACCTCCCATGGTCCACTGCTCATTATCCTTACACCTTCACCCCATTAGCTTGAGCCTACTCTTGTGTACATAATGTACAGAGATAAATTGAGTAATTATCCATAACTCCATCTCCCAACATCAGGCTTCTATTTGAGCAAAGTGAGGCCTCAGCAT
Source organism: Homo sapiens (assembly GCF_000001405.40). Lineage (NCBI taxonomy): Eukaryota > Metazoa > Chordata > Mammalia > Primates > Hominidae > Homo > Homo sapiens. The sequence goes on along the minus strand of NC_000003.12, from coordinate 103,049,276 downwards.
GGTCGTAGCAGGAATAGGCATGGCTCTTATTCTAGCAGCTCCTTGGGGAGGGTTCACTTACCATGAGGTTACTTTGCATAATTTAATGCAACAGATAGGGCATATGGTGGACCAGGCAAGGCCGACCCTGGAGGATCTAAAAATCTCCCTAAATTCTCTTGGTAACGTGGTGTTGGACAACGAATTGGCACTACATTATTTATTAGCTGAACAGGGTGGCATTTATGCAGTCACCAGCAGATCCTACTACACTTGGATAAATACTACAGAGCAAGTAGATGTTAACATCCAAGCAATTTATAATCAGGCAAAATGGTTACGCTTTTTTTGCAAAGGGGACTCAACAGCTGCCTCAATGTGAAATGCTCTCAGTTCAGCCTTACACCCCATATCTTGGTCCCTTCCTCTCTTAGGGCATCTAGTAACTATCTTTCTTCTTTTAATTTTAGGACCATGCTTATTTAACCTAATGATAAAATTTGTGTCTTCCAGACTACGACAATTGCATGTCAAGTTAATTGTCATGCAAGCCTTCGATCTTGTTCCAGAGACCACCAACCCAGAACAGTATTGGTCCTTCCACTAAGCCATGATAGATTTCTACTCCTACCCAGAATAGATGTAGGAACTACGTCCATGCACAGCAGGAAATAGCTCCAGAAGAGACCTTTGCCCAAAACCACTTAAGAATAAAGAGGATAAAATCTCTTAAGGGAGGAAAAAGACAAGTGAGCTGACTCATTTTCTGTTTTGATGTGATGTGAAAAAAAAAAAAAGCCTCTTACTCAAGTTGTAGCTCAAAGGCTCAAGAAGCTATTAACCACAAGTTCCTGTGTTAGGAGGGTGAGGACTTCCCTGAAGCCCTGCATGCACAACTAGTCTTTAGTTTCAACTCATAGTGACTTTTCCTCATTTTAATGCTAACAATCAGGCCCAGAGATAGATATTGAAAATGCTAATGTTACATGTGGTGTATGAAGATGCATGTAAATAGATGCATGCTAGAGGCACTTGTGCAATGGCTTCACATGCATCTTAATACACCGCACATAACATTAGCATTTCACGTGCCCCGACGAAACCCTTCCCTATAGAAAGACCCTATTAAACTAACCCATAGGCTACCCTTGGGGAGCAGCCTGCCCTTTTTCTTTCACAGTGCCAATTTCCCTTGTACACAACTAAATGAAGCTTTCTCTTTGCTGCTACATCTGGTAATGTCTCTTGATTTCTATCCCAGGAGATTACAAGAACCTACAGGGCTGCTAGTAACAGAAAGAAAAAGAAGCTGTGATTTGGAGTAGGAATTTTTAAAGGAGAAGAAACCAGAGAGAGGGCTACCTTTCTAAATAGAGCTTCCAAACATACCTTGGAGAGTTATCCGATAGGAGAGAAGTTGAGTGCATATCAAAGCACAGGCTAGAATGACTCAGCCTCATACTGCAGAATTGTGGTTTGTCTTTTCCTTATGGAACTGTGCTGTGTGGACACCTTATAATATCCAGGAAACTTACTGAGGTGGTGGTGAGAAGTCTTCATATCTATCTTCGGGAGAGGCAAATGTGAACAAGTCATATTGAGAATGAGATAAGACCATGAGATCCATGTGATTATACCTTTTAAATTATCTAATTAAAAATAAAAAGTCCATTGTTGGGAGACAATTCTGTATAGGTATTTCATGTTTCTGCATGGTTTTTAACCTTTTATTTCAGTGTGACTTTTCAAGGACATTGAAAAGCCTTGGAATGTAGTGGTAGTGTTTTACTCCAGATAAAGGGCAGGTTTATTTGATGTTTATAATAATAAAGATAGGATCTCCATACAAGGCAAGGTTTGGAGTTGTTTTTATGCAGCCCCCTTATAGGAAGTCAGGGTGTCCTACATGTGCAGCATTCACCTGTGCTGCTCCATGTCACCCCTGTGACATTTGCTGGGATAAGAAGAATTGGCATAAACATGAAACTCATGCTGCTGGCTCTGTAGTGAGTGCTAAAGTTTTCCGTCTTTAACCTAGGAAATCATGTCTTTTGCAAATATCCATGAAACTATGGCAAGTTAATTTTTATGGTGGAGGAAAATCTCAGATCCCACACATTCAAGCAAGTTATTGACATTCAAATGAGTTGTTTTTTCAATGGTAAATGTAGAATTCTCATATTCATTGATTTCATTTAAATCTATAATTTTATGCTATGTATGATGACACAAATGATATAGCATGATTTAGTAATTCTCAAATTCTCAAAATTTTCATAAGGATCTCAAGAATATCTGTTAGGTATATATATATATATATATATATATATATATATATATATATATACACACACACACACACACACACACACACATACATATATATATATGCCTGGGTCAAGCACCACAGTTATTGCAATAAAATCTTTAGGAGTGATGTAGGGGAACCTATGGTTTAAAAATATTCTGAGGCAATTATGAAACACTCTTCTTCCTTTCCATTTGTTACATTACTTTGCTTTTTAAAGTTAAATGTTTTGGCTTATTGGGAAGCAGTTCTTGGACAAATAGATTTGCTTAGAAAAAAATAGATTCGAGACAAGGAAGTGGCTCTCTAGCTCTGTCAAAACAAACACAAGGCTTCACGCTTAAGAAAATTCTTTTGAGTTTCTAAGCAGTCTGTGCTAATACTGTCATCACTTTATATTTTTAGGTTTGCAAGTTTAGTTCTTACAAGGTTGCTTTTAGTTTTTTTGTTTGTTTGTTTTGCTGTTAAACCATTATTTGCTCCATCTTCTGTTTTTACCAAATCAGTGTTGCTGACTTATCTGTTTTACTTAGAGGCCAAAACAATAACATTTCAGCAAGTAGAGATATATAAGTAATGGACATCAATATTATCTGTAAATAATCAGAAATTATAATTTCATATTCAAAAAAGACTCAAATAAAATATTTTTATTTGTTAACAAAATCAAAATTATAGAGTTAATGCAATAGGCTGAAGAGTGTGGTTATGGATTAAATCCTAGCTCTTTCTCTTGTTGGTTTGAGATTTATCAAGAAATAACAATATTTGCATCTGATATAAAGCAGAAATGTTTAGGTGGGATATAAATCATCAACTACCTTGATAATAACTGTTTCCCTATAACTATAGCTTTTCAAAATTATTGTGTTTAAGTTCCAAAATGGGAGTTATATTTCTGCTTTGAATTCTCCTACTCTGATTTGAACAAACAGTGCCTAAAAGTTTTTTGAAACTATTTCAATGTCTCTGTCTCTATAAATATAACTCAGAAATTTTTAAGTTAGATAATACCCCTAAATAATCTATTTTTAAAATTTTGAAGTACTTAAAGAAATGAATTCTATATGATAATTTCATTAATGGATTTGTAATCTTTTCTATTTCTATGAACATTTTAATTTAGTAAAATGTGTGCCTGTTGAATTTTGCACAAAACATACTAAAAATAACTATTTTTAAAAAAGGTAGTATGTTAGAGATCGGAAATTGATTGAAGAGTTAAAGAATTAAGAACTTCCATGATCAAGTTCACTTTTACTTTATTAAACCTGTCTCAGATATCCAGTAAATGTGCATTATGTGGTCTATAGATAGAAGAATATAGGTGCTATATCAATCAGAATTAGTGTTGGCTACATACAGAAGAAAAAAACTCAGATTAAGGACTTAAACAAGATTCAGTTTATTTATTCTCCCACATTAAAGAGATACAGAGGTCTCGGGCTCCAGCTGATGTGGGTGCTCCATATGTTCTGACCTAACCTCATTTCTTCCCAGCCTGTGTCTTACACCTCATGTTGGAAGGATCCATGATCACGTATTCCAAGAAGCAGAAAAAAGAAAGAGTTTTAGGAAATATATGCTTCTTCTATTTTTAGAGAGAGAGAGAAAAAAAAAACTTTCCTTAATACCACTTTATTTTCTTACCTTTTTACCAGAAGAATTTAGTCTCATGGTCACACTTAGCTGCAAAGAAGTATTAGAGCAGAATAGTGGCTTTTATTCATATGACAATATTACCATGTTACCAGCTAATAATAGGAATTTGTTATACTGAGGAAGGAAATAGTTAGTTTTGGGGGAGTCTATTAAAATCTTTGCCACAAATGTCAAATGAAATTATTGGGAGGAACAAGAAAAGGAGTTGATATATACATGTATCCCTATTGGGAACCTTTTAATATTTTGAGAAATTTCTTTAAGAAGCATCTTTCTAACAACTGAAAAGTTGATTTGCCTACTCGAAGAAGCGACTTAATCTCAGTTAAAAAGAAAAGAAAACAAACAACAGCAACAAAAAATCCTCTGAATAGCGTCATATCTTCCACTTCTTAGATGTGGAAATGCATGCTGTCAAAAACAGTTTGATATATTATTGACATTATCCATAATTAAAAATGTTTGCTATTACCTCAGGTATATATTCAGATGTGAAAGCCTAACAGTGTATTATGTAGGATAATAAATTCTGAAATATTAAGTTTCCTGAAATAAAGTTATCTCTGATATAATCCATTCCAACTTGTTTTATAAAGAAAAAACAAATGAGTAAGTGGTTTGTTCTGATTCCATTAAAAAAATCCTAATCTCCCAAATTCAATAACAACATTCTTTCATGTTAAATTTTCAGGAAAATTCTTCATAGCTTATTTTACTCGATCTCTCTCTGTCTCTGTCTCTTTCTCTCTCCCACTATATATTATATTTTGAAATATTGTGAAAAGTAATAGATAATGCTTTTCTGTTATTTAATTTGTATATATTAAGCATATGAGGAATGTAACAGGCTATGTGCTAGGTGACAATTAATTTTAAACAAACTTTGGAAAGCAAAAGTAATATGGAATATGTAATCTACATTTTCTTTTACAAAGTAAAACTCAGTAAAAAATGTTTATTTTTGAATAACAGAGACATAAATTAGCAAATGATTAAAATATTGATGTTCATGTAAAATGAAGAAAGAACATAGAGAGACCAAACCTGGTTATGATTCCTCAGTGTCAAGTGTCCTGGAATCCTTTTATCTTTCCACCCACCACTTGTAACACATGCATTCATTTACACAGTAGCCTCATGTTTGCATCAGATGAAGTTCTAACCATCGTATTCTCATTGCAAATAGAGGAAGATAGGGCACAAAAAGGAATTTACTGATTGAATCAACCCAAATTAATAAGTTTTCCTAGAGGCCCTATTGAATGACATCTGACCGTAAAATTGAGCCAAAGCATTGATCACATACCTACTCCATTTCAAAGAGAGGCTTAGAAATGAACTTTTTCAGCTGGCTATATCAATCCTCATGAAAGCAGAGTCCTGTCTTTAAGTGTGAAGAGGACACTGGACGCTGGGTTTATACATAAGAGTCTCAGCTACAGTGTGACCTCACAGAAACTTTCAAAAAATATGTGGCCTTTACAGTAGCCCAGGATTTGCGAGGCTAAGATGCTTCCACAACCCTAACCACCTTCTGGGAAATGATCAGACTTCTCGTCCTCAGTGGGGACTTAACCCCATTTCAGCAGTTAGCAACTCTGTATAGAGAACAGTGAAATAGCACTAAAAAGAAAGAATTTATCAAGAAACTAAAGGATTATTCTGCTGGAGAGTTTCTCTCTTAACCTTTCTAGAGAAACAAATACCAAAACCAATTATCTCCTTTTGGATAAAAAATAGAAGAGAACATTGTTTTTACAGGAAAGAAAATTGCCTGAGACCTTGGGACTACATTTCTCATTTTCTTAAGAAGTGTTTGGTACAACTGAACATTACTGTGAAGTCCTATATCTTCACATCAAACTACTACCTTCTCTAATCATTTGTCTACCTGTAAGTATTAATAGCACTTGTAATTTCTTCACATAAACAATTTTCAGTAAATTTGTAGTCAATTTTCTTTACTGAAATCAGATTCTGATAAATAAATTTGATATTCAATGTGCCCATGGAAACAGAGTTTTGAAAATAAGTCTTGATAATAATCATGGCTTACTAAAAATACCCTTGCACGTTTTTAAATGGCCTTCCTAATTGTAACAATATTCAGGGAATAAGGAAAGTGTTAATATACATCTGTTTTGGTATTATCCAATATTTCTGTGCTTAAATTCCCAGAAAAAGATACAAAAATTCCCATGTAGATTGTTTCAGAATAAAGTTTAAAATCAGTATTTATTTGTTCTTCAAGTACAGATGGCAGAATACGTTTTAAACTTACTTTTAAGAAGCAGAACTTCAATATGACATCACCAACGCTTTTTCAAAAGGTAGAACTCCAAATTTACAACTAAGTAGCAAGTTCCTGACCTTCTCTTTTCATAATAGAGGAAGAGAACATACCATGTACTTCAACCTGTGCCATAAGGAAGATAAGGTAAACCCAATTTGGGAAATAGGTAGTTACATTATTACAATCCCTTTACTTATTTATGAATTGCTTATTCACTGGAGACACATTTTAATTCAATATCTAATATGCACTGGGACTCTTATGGGTTGTCCAAAATTCTAGGTTGAGAAAAATATTTTTTGGTCAGCATCTATATTATCTGTTTACTTATCTCTCTTCACAAGAAAATTGATACCTCAGTTACTTCCCCTCCCTCTAGCTGCAATATCAGAGAATACTATGAGATGACACATGGTTCTAAATGGGATATAATCCAATGTCAACATTCATGGCACATCTAATAAGTGGTTTGGAAGGTCAAGACAGGGAAGTCAATATGGACTGGGGTTATTGGAAAGTTGACAAGATTTAAAATGGCTTTAGAGGATTGCAAGGGTTAGGATGGACAGGTAAGAGGGGTCACTTTACTGATAAGAATAACCTTAGCAATATGACTAGTTTTCATTTATGAAGAAAACAGATGGCTCAAAAACAAAATATAAGGCTTCTATTATTGGTGTGGTGGTATAAATGTAAAACATGGATGAAGGAAAAATAGAAAATATGGAATTTATTTGTAGCAAAAGACTCTTTTTAATAAGCCCTTCAATCCACATTCCATACTTCATTTTAGTGGTGGAGCATAGGGAGGTTGGGTCAGTCTTAGGTTACAAGGAGAGAGGAGGAGGGCAATTATTAAAGTCAGAAAGCTCATGTCAGTTTAAGACCAGGGAGGCATGCATAGGCTCAAATCAGAGGCAGAATCATGGCTAGTGAGTCTGGTGGATATACCCATGTGAAGACAAGCAAAAAATATCTGACAACATGGTTGTGATGCTTGGGGTTCCAACTACTAGACATGGGCTTTGTTGTGTAAATGTCTTGGCTACAGTTAATTGCAAAGATATAGAGAAAGAAACTTTAAAATTATCTTCCTTCTAAAATCTGTGATATTCCCACCATATCTCCCCAGTTTCAGAAAGCTAAAAAGGTAAGTGTTTCTACATGACTTAGAGATAATAAAAATGAGTTAGCAAAGCAATTTTAATGAAAATTTTAGTACTATGAAATTCTGCATTTTGAGTAGTTAAAATAGTAGATATGATATATTGTTTGTTGATAAACATATTTACACATCAGTTGAACTTCAAAAAACTATAGACACGTATAAAGATTGTATGCAAATAATTTACCATCTCGGATATCAAAAGGGGATATTCAGACTCCTTTCTGGTATGTCGCATAGTACAAAGAAGCTTACTGGAGAACATTAGTATGATACACAGTGGGACAGAGGTTACAGATATTTCTGTTAGACAAGCCAGAGTGTCCATAAAAGGCATATTTTTGTCTCTTTAAGTCCGTGAATAAATCCTGTTTCTGACTAGATGTGTCGCACTTTCAACAATTACCTTAAAAAGACAATAAATATAAGTGTGTGTATATGTGTAAAATGAGAACCATAGGAAAAAAGACAACTTTACAGATTCTTTTATGTAACCGAATCCTCTCAATTTTAAAGCAAAAAGCCTGACTCACAAAACAAATGAGAAATTCAGCTCGGCTTGAATCCAAATGGCGTATTTGTTAAAGAGAATACTTTTGAGTAAAACTAATACAAATATATGGATTTGATCCAATAGATAATGGAGGGTCATGGTACATTCTTGAGCAGGATGGTAATGTGTTGAAATAAATGGTTTTAACGTAGTAATTGAGGTGGCAGTTACGGTTATGAATTTTGAAGAAATGGGGCAATGATATCTTGCACTTTGATGTGAATGGTGAAAAAAGAAAGCAAAGGAAGATCAAAGAGATAGTTCTGAGACTTCAGCCTTGTTGAATCTTTTGGAATAAGTGACATGAAAGTTAGGTTTGACTTCTTCATTTTGAGTCTAAAAATTAGAATGGTTGTCTCTGCCATTGTAAGATACGAGGGGAAAATGGAGACAAAGGGTAGAGGAGAAGGGGAGGAAGAGTTAATTTAAAGACAGTCTCAATTTGAGGGTGTGTGGGATGTCATGCAGAAATGCTGTGAATACAATCAGCCTTATCATCTGAAGACTTATTGAAACAAAATTAAAATTAGAATTTGAGAGTTTCAATAGAAAGGCTAAGAATAAAGGCAGAGACTCAGATTAGTTGTAAGAAGTACATAGGTGAAAAAATTCCATAGTCAAAGATTCACAATTAAGAAGGCTTATAAACAATGGATAATTAGGAAGAGTAGTAAAAGGAAAAGAATAGAAGATAATAAGGTCCAATGACTGTGCCATTTTGTATGCTAATTTTCACATTTTTGTGTCATATAAATTTTGTCCGTCTGTTTCCACTAAAATTTCTTAGAAAAAAAATATGCTGCATCAAATTTAAGTTTTGTTTTCCTGTGTTTATATTTAGTGGGTGCTTGATAAAGTGTTGGAAAGGCAACTGTTCATGGGCCCTGGGTGTTCCTGAACATTCTTGGGAAAATTTTTTACTCTATTGTCCTTACCAACTTAGCAGTAGGGTTACTAAATGAGGCTAGAAGGTCTCCAGAAATAGACCTGCTCCCCTTGGCTGTTAACTAGGTAATGATTAGGACAAAATATGGTCATATGGACCTATTTTGAAGATTTGAGATTCCACCCTGACCTTTCTACGTGATATATGTGGATGTAAGTAGGGGCTGATTGGGAAATAAAGGTGAAGTTATATCTTCTGAACTGGGACACAGAAATTTGTAGTGATAAAGAAGAAACAAAAACTTTAGCATTTGGGAAATGAATATATTAGACCTTAGGAGGTTCAGGAAGTGGGTGAGAGCTATTAAGTTTTGCTTTGTTCCTTAAATCTAGGACCACCATCTGAATCAAGGAGCAACTGAGGCTGGCAATCTGATTTGCTGTTAGGTTTGTCATCTCTGTCCAAATGCTATAAATACAGAAAAACTCATATGGACCTGACTAGCCCTGTACTATGCTGCTCTGGTTGATGCCCTCAATGGTAACCCAAAGTGAGTGTGTTGAGACACAAAGACTACCACACTTTTGTTTCTATATAAATGATAAAATTTCATATACTTTTTATGTCTGAGTAGCCTTGTCATAAAAGGTGGTTGAAGGTGCAAATATTCAATAACTGTGCCATGTGATTTACATGGATCGATGAGATTCATATAAGAGCAGGCTTGCTTTTGCTCACTGACAAAGCAATAAATCCTCCAAGTTCAGTGGTTCCTTCAGATAACACAGCAGACTGATATGCAGGCATCTATGATGAACCCTTTACATCCCATCGTGGCTTAAGGGGAGCATAGGAACCAACACAAACCAATATAAATCTGTGGCTAGTGTTCTTTCTGTCAATTATAAAGTCCTTTGTTATCCACCTAGGAGTCTCTGTCTTCTGCCAGGCTACACAAACAGTAATAGGATAACTGCTTAACTTGTAAGTAGGGTAAAATCCCAAACTCTTCACAGTTCTTGACCAAAAAAAAAAAAAAAAAAAGTGTCTTCTCTACTGCTTCGTGATAGAAAAATTCATCATTGGCAGAAGATTCCAGTAATATGTAGCTAGGATTATAAATTGCAGAATATGAATTTTTGTATCTGACTACTGATTTGTTTTAGACTTTTGTAATTTAGATAAATCCCATGACCTCCTGATCCCTTATCTTTCTCCTCATACTTGTTATATGTAGATAATAACAAAGATACATTTGTAAGTTTAGGTTTTCTTAAGTGCTTTGGCATGTTTGGATTTAAAACAGTATTGTACATGAAAATAGGGAACAAAGTTTTTCACATGATAGAATTTGTGAAGTCTTTAATTCTTTATGTCTTCATCCTCCTCTGCACATTTTTATGAACTTTATAGATCTTAGAGTTAACTGGAAGGGAAATATCTTCAAGATCAGCATACTAACTTTCAGAGAAATATTGGTGAAAACTGTAATAATCTACCACATGCATGTTGAATTTTGTAAACCAAGTACCTCACTGATGAAAAACACTTTTACACTTGGCTAACTACAGATTCAGTGGTGACATTGCCCATGCCATTCCTTAATATGAGAACAAGAGGTATGGTGGGGATAATTTGCTTCTCTTTCTCTCTTTGACCTAACCTACAGCTTACCGCTTTCTTTCCTTCGTTCCTCCCTCCCTCCCTCTCTCTTTCTTTCTTTTTCTTTCTTTCTTCCTTTTCCTTCCTTCCTCCTTCCTTCCTTCCTCCCTCCTTCCCTCCCCCTCTCTCTCTTTCCCTTCTTTCCTTCCTTCTTTTCTTGTTTTGCTTTTCTCTTTTCTTTCCTTTTCTTTCCTTTCCTTTTTTTTCTTTTTTGCTAAACTTACCAGTCACATCTTCCAGGGAACCCATGCAAACAAATTTGGGTGAATAATTTCAATCACTGGGAAGATCTCTGAATTTAAAAAATACTAGTTTTAATTCCATTTAGAAATCCCAGGCAGAAGAATCATGTTTGAGTTGTAAGGACAATAATTTGACTTCTTTGGACTGAAGAATTTATATATTTTTATGGTAGTTCTTTATCATTTTCATGGTAAACAATCAGATTAATATAGGATTAAGCACTTTATAAAATACAAAATGTTCTATTTCCCTAGAGCATATGTATTTTCTAGACTGATATGAAAAAGTAACACAAACTTGGTTGCTTAAAATAACAGAAATTGATTATCTCACAGTTTTCAATTCCAAAACTCTGAAATTGAGGTGCTGACTGGGACATGCTCTGCCTGAAGCCTCTTTGGGAGAATCTTTCTTTGCCTTTCTCAGCTTCTGTTACCCCAAATATCCTTTGGATTGTGGCAGCATAACTCTAATCTCTGCCTCTGTATTCACATTGCATTCACCCATCATGTCTCTGTCCTTTTTTTATAAGGATACCCATCGTATTGAATTAAGACACTATCCCACTTTGGTATGACCTAATGTTAATTTAATTTCATCTGCAATGACTCTATTTCCAAAAAAAAATAAAAATGTCACATTCTGAAGTACCGGGTGTTGTTAGGATATTAACATATATTTTTGGTGAATACAATTCAACCCATAACAGCACTCCTCTGTCCCCACAAAATCCAAGTTATTTCCATATAAAAAATATATTTACTCTATACCAATATGCCCCAAAGTCTTCACCATTCCAGCTGCAATTTTGAGTGAAAACTCTCACTTAAGCAATATCAACTCAAAATCCCAAATGCCATAATTTAAATCAGTTATAGGTGACTCAGGGTATGATTCATTTGGGGGCAAAATTTCTCTTAATCTGTAAACTTGTAAAATTAGAAAACAAGTTATCTTCTTCCAAAATACAATAGTGGGGTGTGCATAGAATAGATAAGAAGGTAAAGTGGTACAGTCACTTTGGAAAACAGTTTGGGAGTTCCACAAAAGTTTAAACATGGAATTATCATATGAAATATCAATTATATTCCTAGATATATATCCAAGAGAAAAGTTTTGTACACACAACAATTTGTATGCAAATATTCATAATGGCATTATTCATAATAGCCGAAGAGTAGAAACAAGCCAAACATCCATTAACTGATAAATGGATAAGGGTGGCACATCCATGCAATAGAAGATTATCTAGAAATAAAAAGAAATAGAGTGTACATGCTACAACATGAATGACCATAAAATCATTATGCTAAGTAGAAGAAGCTAGTTATGAAAGAACACATATTGTATGATTCTTTTTATATGAAATGTCCAGAAAATGGAACTCTCTGGAGACAGAAAATAAATCAGTGGTTGCCAGAGGCTAGAGGAAGAGGGATGACTAGGACTGAGTGCTAATGGGTTATGTAGTTTCTTTTGGGGGTGATAAAATACTTAACATTAGATACTGGTGATGGTTGCACAACTCTGTGTATACGCTAAAAAATACTACAGAGGTTAATTTTATGGTATGTGAATTATATTTCCATACAGTTATCATATAGATTTTTTAAAAGAACCATACACCAAGTGGTTGATTTTCTTTCTTTTAAAGTGTCACCTAATGGAAAGATTGAAGCCTGGAAAAGTGTCCTTAAATTTTACAATCCAGTCGTTTATTATTCCTTGGGCTTGGAAATGGGGGTGGAGCAGTGAAGCAAGGGGAAGATAAAGAGAATATTTTTAGTTCATAAGCAGCAATGGAAGAACACTGACTTTGTATTCAGAAAAATCTTGGTACTAATTCCAGTTGGCTTTCTAGGTGTGTGATGGTATGAATAAATTAACTTCTCTGCGCCTCAATTATTGCATTTTTAAAAGTAGAATAGTAACAATTATAATAAAATTATGTCTCCCGGGCTTACTAGCAATGATATTATTTGGGTATTCATTATAAGAACCGAATATGTAGTGAGTATTATTTATTTCCTTTTACTTGCAGTACCTACCACAGAGTTAGGGATAAATACTCCAAAAAAAATACAATTTGTTTTTCTGATTGGAGTTCAGTACAGAGTAGACATATGCAAATACAAGAACACTTATTTCTGAGTTTCCTAAAATGAGTTTTACAGATGCTTCGCCATTAATTTTTCTAGCATTTCTTTATTTAATTTGCCTTTAATTATGTGTTTTGTTTTCCCTCTTGCTGGGGGTCTATACATTATTTATCCTTGACTATTACCAATTCGCATTACAGAAAGAATGCTTGATTCGCTGTAATGATCATTAATAATTGCAAAGATAAAGTGGGATAAAATCAAGACCACTAGAGTAAAATGGAACAAGATATGTGGCTGGACTCTGAGCTTTTTAAAGAGAGAGAAAACTGATGGCTTAAAAAATTAGCATCAGAAATATTATTCCCCTAATTGAGAATGTGTGACCCTAATTGAGAATGTGTGGGAAACAACCTCCCTAATGATAAAAGCAATTAAACTTATCTAGGCAGATTAGTCATATATTGCTGCAGAATTATAGTAACATCCACAAAAGTCATAATGGGTAGAGGTTATGCAGTGCTGATTTACGTGCCAAGTGTTGTTATGTGGCTTTTATGTATATATTAATATTTACTCATTTGAAAGTTCTGAATAGATGTTTGTTTTTGCACATATTTATCATTAATCTAAAAGATTTGCCAGCTCTTCTTTATCTCGTTCTTCTTCGTCCTCATTTTAAACTGGAAATCAAACTCTCACTGATTGAAGAATGTTTTTAAAATGCTTGATAATTGCATGAACTCTGGATTTTGAAACCAATAGATTCTTTTTGGCCAAGTTTACTGATTTTTCTCTAGTATATTTTCTCCTACATAAATGAAATTTCTAAAATTAACTAAGTAGATGGCCACCCAGAAAAAAATCTACATTTCTTAGCTTCTCTTATAATTATGCATTACCATGTTATTAACTTTTGGCCAATGAAATGTAAATAGAAAGAATATGTGACAATAATTAACATAAATTATAGACGTAAAACAGCATAAATGGATTCTTACAGTTCTGGAAGTCACAAGTCTGGAATGGGTGGCACTGGGTTAAAATCAAGGTGTCACCAGGACTACATGCCTTCTAAAATTCTGGGATAGAAACTGTTTCCTTGCCTTTCCTAACTTGCAGAGGTCTCCTGCATTCCTTAACTCAAGGCCCTTTATTCATCTTCAAAGCCATGAAGCAGCATATTGTCTTCAGAACTCTATGCCTCTGACACTGATTCTCCAGGCTCCCACTTTCACTTATATGATCCCTTGGGATTGCATGAAACTCACGTGGGTAATCCAGAACAATATCCTCAAATTAAGGTCACCTGATCAGCAATCATAATCTGCAACTTTCATTCTCCCTTGTCATATAACTTAGCAAAGTCATAGGTTCTGGGGATTCAAATGTGGACATCTTTGAGGGTGGGGCATTATTCTGCCTACTACAGAATTTTCAACATCTATCCTTAAAATAAGTGGATGTTTCTGCCTTCCCCAATGTTGGAATGCAAAATTTGATGGTTGAAACTGGACTGTGGTGTTAACTAACTTGAGAATGAGCCCATTTCTGGCACAGCTCAACACCAGCAGCAATCATAAACATAGTGGTAATCAATTGCAAAAATGACTATACATTTTTCATCTCTTCCAATGTGACATTATAACTCTTGCCCTCAGGAACTGGAGTCCTTCTACACTCCGTGAACATGTGCTGAATTGTTCCTTGCTCTGGCCAATGTAAAACTGATGCAAAAATGATGCGAGCATAGATTTGGAAAAATGTTGGTACACCAGAACTTGCTCTGTAAAAAAGCTCATGCCAGCTTGCTAGAGGATGTGAGAACACATCAATAGAAGGCCCAGTTATTCTACCTTTCTCAGGCGAGGGCATGCTAGTCCCAGTGGATCTACCAGCTGACCATATATCCCAGCCTGGAGATCAGCCAAGCTCATCCCAAACTGCCCAAACTGCTGAGTCAAAGAAAGTAAACAACATACATGGTTGATATTTTAAGACACTAGTGTTTAGACGGTTGTTGCATAGAAAAAGCTACCTGGTAACAAGCTAACACATATACAGTTTACCCAGTGCTTGGAATTGTTCTGAGTTCATTATATGTATTAGCTTGCTCAATTCTCACAACAATCTTATGAGATATTTATTATCTCAATTGTAGAGGTGAGAAAATTGAAGCACACAGAGATAGAGTTATACTTCTATAGGTTATATAGTAAGAAGTGAAGGGAAACCTGAACCCAGGCAGTATGGCACCAGATACCATAATCTCATCTTCCCTTTGATAGGAGGACCTTAGATGCAACACTGTGAGGAGTCCAACACTATTCACTGGAATATTATGTTTTAATCACTTTTATTGTGCATATTCTGCTACTCGGCCAAACCTAATCTTGACTAATGCAGACTTTGGTACCTGGTTCATAGTGCTATAAATAACAAAACCGAAACCTGTGGCACTGGATTTATAGAATTTGCCATATGTTAGGAAAGAAGGATCAGACATTAAAAGGTAATAACAGGTACTATTCAATATCAAAATATTTGGCAGAAATTATGTACTGTTGTTTGTTCAAAGGCAGATCATATACTAAAAGAGGCTATAGCATTAGAGCAAATGATAGGAAATTTTCAAAGTGTAGGTATTTATTAAATATTTCTAGATGCTTAAGAGAGAGTAATACTTAGCCTAGAATTTGCCAGTCCAAAAGTAGAGTTGACAAAGATTATCATTCTGCCAAGAAAAATAATCTGGGCAATTTTCATTGATTAAAAGCCCAATAATTTGGAGACTCTGTAGATTAAGAAACAAATATACTCATGCTCCAAACCAAAGCCATCATTGATGGTAGCTCTCAGACATGGACTTGAACATAAAACTATTCCCCCAAGCCTATTTCAAACATTTTACTCTCTGTAGAAAAGATCAGATTAAATTGGTTCCTTTTCCACCCAAGGCTATTGTTTCAGATATTTTTAAGTAGTTTAAAATAAGCAAGAGGATGATAAATAAAAGATAAGAGTCTTTAAGCCTACAGTAATATATATTATCAAAATATTTGGCTGCAATTGCTTGCACATGGAATGTTCTAGAAGAAATTGACTGGAAACCTATTAAGTTTTGAGGGAAATTATACTGTCAGAACCACACACTCTGACTGATAGAGCTTGTAATTTCTTATATGCTAAAGAAACAACAGGCCCGATCATGGGCCAGCAGAAAGCCTGCTGTGAAAGCTGAGACACCATCAGGTGGGTTGCAATCTCCATTGCTAAGCTCAATGATAGAACCTATTGGGCATGATGTGTCATGGAAGGAAGATTTTTTTCTATCCTTGCATCATACGATTGAATAAAAGTTATGGCCACTGATTGCTGTTTATTTTCTATCATTCATTATCATTTCATTATATTTGTCCTGTTTCCATACCAGTTGGGTGGGAATTAAATATTCAGAAGATTTTAAATTGCGATATGGCTTATAGGTCACTAGACTATTATGAGATATATGTAGCTTATCCTTAAGAAATTTTGGACTACAGACTGGAAGTAGTAATTGCATAGTTCTCTGAGGTGTCTCTCATTGAAAGCCATGACTCTATTTTATATGTGAGAAGAAGAATACATGAGACTCTTCAGGGTGGAGAAGCCTGTTTTATAAAATTAAGCTCCTTCTTGCTTGTAAGCAATAGTTAGTGTTTCCACCACCCAGAGCATTTATTTGAGATTTCCCATCTCTTCTCTTAGAGCTGTATGTGGTCCTTGACATCATTGGCTAATGAGATATAAGAAGAGTATGGGCAATTTTTAAAAGGCATCTTTAAATGGAAAGAACCATATCTTTCTATTTTACACTTCTCTCTCCTGCTGGCAGAACAGAGTTGGAGCTGGAAACATCATCTTTGACTATGAAATGAACTGTGGCCTGGGACCCATGCATGATAGGGCTGCAAATTACAAGAAGCCTGGGTCCTGGAGTGACAATAGCCTGGCATTACCCACTATACTTCTACTTTTAAACTACTCATCACGTATGGATAAATCTAACCCTAATTAATAAAAAAAAAAAATCATGATTTCTGAAATCATGACATACATACAGACACATGCATGCACACACGCTATATACACCAACACACACACATATTGCCTCCAATAAAGTCTAGTAAGGGCCCTCAATTTGGTATAAATTAATAAATGCTCTTTGAAAAATTATTGTATTTTGGCCGGGTGTGGTGGCTCACGCCTGTAATCCCAGCACTTTGGGAGGCCGAGGTGGGTGGATCATCTGAGGTCAGGAGTTCGAGACCAGCCTGGCCAAATTGGTGAAACCCGGTCTCTACTAAAAATACAAAAATTAGCTTGTGTGGTGACAGGCGCCTGTAATCCCAGCCAGTCGGGAGGCTGAGGCAGGAGAATTGCTTGAACCCAGGAGACAGAGGTTGCAGTGAGCCGATATTGCGCCATTGCGCTCCAGCCTGGTTGACAGAGCAAGACTCTATCTCAAAAAAAAAAAAAAAAAAAAAAAAAGATTCTTGTATTTTTACATGATGCTGCAGGAGAAGAAGGAGATAAAAGATACGGAGATGTGCATAACTATCATGAATCAGTGAGGGGACAGAATAATCAAACGTAAACTACCAAAATCTACTAGGTCAGAAATGTTGATTGAGCACCTACTATGATGTAACAGGGATAATAGGTACGAAAAATGTGGATAGCAGTGGCGGGTGCGGTGGCTCACGCCTGTAATTCCAGCACTTTGGGAGGCAAAGTGGGTGGATCACGAGGTCAGGAGATCGAGACTGTCCTGGCTAACACGGTGAAACCCCGTCTCTACTAAAAATACAAAAAATTAGCCGGGTGTAGTGGCGGGCGCCTGTAGTCCCAGCTACTCAGGATGATGAGGCAGGAGAATGGCGCGAACCCGGGAGGCGGAGCTTGCAGTGAGCCGAGATCGCACCACTGCACTCCAGCCTGGGCGACAAAGCGAGACAACGTCTCAAAAAAAGAAAAAAAAATATGGATTGTAGTAAAGAAAGCACTGAAAAATCTCGACCTTATGAAACTTTCATTCTAGTGAGGAAAGCAGCAATAAACATAATAAATACCCCATTTTAATAATTCTCAATCTATATTTTATATATTCTGAAATCATAATGCATCTATCACCAATGACATGGCATTGTTCAGCTGACAGCACATCTTTCATAGTACTACATAAAATAATGTTGCCACTTACAACTGATAGTGCCTTCAGTATAAAAGACAGTAATTAAAATACGTAGTAATAGAAATGTAAAGACTAAACATTCAAACAAAAACTTCATAAAATAGCCAATAATTACATAGTTTTCTATTTGTTATACTATATTAAGTGCTGAGGAGAAAATATAAAGCAGTGAGGGATCCTGTTACATTTGGGGATGTTGCAATTGTATATAGAAAAGGAAAAGATCTCCATGATAACATATGGTTTTGTGTAGATTAAATCAAGTGAAAGACTGAACCACCAGGATTCCTAAGGGAAGATCATTTAAGGATGAAGGAAGAGCATACATAAAGAATCTAAGCTGTAACCACAACTGGCTTATTCAGGAAAAAAAAGAAATGAAGTGGCCAGTGTTCCTCAAGCAGAAAGAAGAAGGAAAACTGCTAGAAACAGAGGTAGAGCGGTAATTGAGGGCCTCCTCATATAAAGTCTCATAAGCCATAGTAATGACTTTGGGTTTGTTGCCTCTGTTTCTCAGTCGGTCATTTCATAGCTTTAAAATACTCTTGATCAGATTAACTACTGCCTTGAAGAATGGTATACAGAAAGGTATGTGAGAATTTAAAATATCTCCGTTGCTTGTTACTGTTAGGGATAGAGAAAACTATAACAGTTTCCTCTGTTTTACGAACTGGGATATACAAAAGATTTAATCTTTATATAATTCAGTTTTCACATTGTGAACTTGGGGAATGTCAGAAAGCCTTAATAGCTAAGAATGTTATTAATGATAAGCCTTCCATAGCCTAAGAGATGTTCACTGGAATCTATTGTCAGGAAGATGCAAAAGGCGTAGATGGATATAAGGCCACGTAAGGAAAACAATAAAGAGATATTCAAAGATAAGAGCATCATACTCTTGTCTCTGATTTAGCATTGAAATTCAGCTTCCTAATAGAATATTTGGCTAATATGGGTATTTTTAAATTAAAATTTCATTTGTGTATCACCTTTCATATTTCTTCCAAGGCAATAAAGAAAATTGAAGAGTATATGACTTCAACATTAGAAAGTTTCCAGATAAGCCCATTCTCCGAGTTACCTAAGTATAAATTAAGCAGAAGATTTTCACTAAGAAATCCTAGATCATGTCATCTGACTCTTATGAGGGCTATGATTAAGACATTTCTAACTTCACGTTCTAATTTTTTCATATTAGTAAGGAATTTAAGAATAATTATCTGGCCCTTCTGCATTAATATATTTTTAAATATCCCAGCTCTACTATAATTATTAAAACTAATAATGATAATAATTCTTAATACTATTATTAAGTAAATAACAGAGTCTTTTCCCAATAGAGAAAAGTCAAGCCATACAAGATTCAGACTCCAGTCGTTTTTTTTCCTTTGCATGTGAAATTTAGGTTTCTGTTTTTGTGCAAGGAAGTCAGATAAACTATGTGCCATTCGTTAGTTTATATTTGTGTGGTTTCAGTTTATATAATATAAACCCAAAGACAAAGACATTCATGCTTATGAAAATTAGCCAAAATGTGAATTCTATCATGAAGTATTAGTGTATTCTTTCTTTTATATAAGTTATTGTCTTTTATCTCTCTAAGCTTGCCTATTCATTCCTTTATCTGACAGTCAGAGAATTAGTGTCATGATTCAGTTCTTCAGTTACAAGAAAAATAATTTTTTCATACTAGCTTCAAAAGAGGCAAAAAGTCTATCTAAAGAGCATATGATATTGAATTTTCCCCTTTTATATATAATATAATGGGTTGCTTGTTGTTTTTTAGAAGAAAGTCTAGCTTTTTAATCATTCAAACATCAATTGACTTTTGAAGTGAGATGTTGATCAAAGAGGTTGGCCTAACTAAACGCAAGCTATATAGCTCAGACTTATTTTTGCCTCATTTTCTTTCCTTCCTTCTTTCTTCACACTTCTATCCATTTACTTACTCATGATCCAATAATCATAATGTAGTATTTAAAAAGAATTAAAAGAACTATAATTTTATGTGATTATATATGCCCAATTACACTTTAAATATACTGTTGCTTGGTTTCTTACAAGTGCTTATAAGATAATGGTATCAAGAATCTAAGTTTATAATTATTATTGATTCTATCAGTGAGCTACTTTTTTTTTTTATTATACTTTAAGTTTTAGGGTACATGTGCACATTGTGCAGGTTAGTTACATATGTATACATGTGCCATGCTGGTGCCCTGCACCCACTAACTCGTCATCTAGCATTAGGTATATCTCCCAATGCTGTCCCTCCCCCCTCCCCCGACCCCACCACAGTCCCCAGAGTGTGATATTCCCCTTCCTGTGTCCATGTGTTCTCATAGTTCAATTCCCACCTATGAGTGAGAATATGCGGTGTTTGGTTTTTTGTTCTTGCGATGGTTTACTGAGAATGATGATTTCCAATTTCATCCATGTCCCTACAAAGGACATGAACTCATCATTTTTTATGGCTGCATAGTATTCCATGGTGTATATGGGCCACATTTTCTTAATCCAGTCTATCATTGTTGGACATTTGGGTTGGTTCCAAGTCTTTGCTATTGTGAATAATGCCGCAATAAACATACGTGTGCATGTGTCTTTATAGTAGCATGATTTATAGTCATTTGGGTATATACCCAGTAATGGGATGGCTGGGTCAAATGGTATTTCTAGTTCTAGATCCCTGAGGAATCGCCACACTGACTTCCACAATGGTTGAACTAGTTTACAGTCCCACCAACAGTGTAAAAGTGTTCCTATTTCTCCACATCCTCTCCAGCACCTGTTGTTTCCTGACTTTTTAATGATTGCCATTCTAACTGGTGTGAGATGGTATCTCATTGTGGTTTTGATTTGCATTTCTCTGATGGCCAGTGATGATGAGCATTTTTTCATGTGTTTTTTGGCTGCATAAATGTCTTCTTTTGAGAAGTGTCTGCAACCCCATCAGTGAGCTACTTTTTAAAATGTAATAAAAGGAATGCCTTTCTACAATTGGAGAGGAGAGCAATCCTTGGTCTAAAATATAAGAAAAATCAAGTAGGAATTCTAAGAACTGTCCATGAAAATGCAGACTTTCTACTTAATATTGAAATTAAAATATACTTTAATTTTTTAAAAGAGCAAATATATACATAAGAAATATAAGTTATGGCAATTTGAAAATCATGTTCAATATACGGTTACAAGCAGCATGTGATAGTGGCTCCATTTTGTGAGTTTTACTGTTTTGAAATATCAGTTGAATTAACTAAAGACATTTTGATAGTTTCCCATAAAGTCTAAAGTCTTAATTGGATTTTATGGAGCATTCTGAATGCTAACAGAAAAACACATGCAAATGGTTTTTAAGCAGATATTAAAAGAAGAATTGATGCAATGCTACTGCATGTATTTTGTAGTATCACACTTAATTGTAAGCAGAAATTATACAGGACTTGTGGGAGAACATCAATGATTACTTGTGCTATTCTAAGACAGCACTTAAATATTAAGCTTTCAAAATATAACAGCATACTTCAAAAAAATGCATTTTGGATTTCATTTTTTTTGTTTTACACATAATGAATTCCTGATACCCAGAAGTTTAAAAAACTGATCCCCTTCCCCTGACCTTCTGATTGTTCCTTATCCTTTCCTGATGTTTGTTATGTAATAGGCTCTTTTTAAAAAGGTATGCATTTTCCTATATACATATCAAATAAATGTGCTATGCAGAGCTCTCATGTGCTTCATGTGGAAATCATCACAGGAGTGGTGCAGCAAACATTCTTGTAATTATCAAAAACTCAGATGGCCTAGCCTTTGCTACATAACAATAGAAGTTTTTATTCCATGGATCTGAATTCAAAGTGATATATTTTGCATTAATTCACATATACAATATAACCTTATTCTCATCTGAGCTATTATAATTTCAATCTACAAACATCAACCCAAACCACCAGAAAGAAAATGAACAATATAATGGATACCTGCTAATATTTCTATAAAATGTGTGGGACTTGTTAAAAATTAAAATTATGGTAAAACACCAAGTTTATTTTTAACAAAATGGCCAGGTAAACATTAATTTTATATTCATGCAAGTAATATTAATTGTGCATTCACTCTGTATAAAGCACTAGGGTGGCAGTTAGGATCAATGAATGGAGAAAGACAAATGACAAAGTTTAATAAATCAAGCTGTTTGCTTATTAAATACCTTACAGTAAAAAGTTGATAAAAAGGACATATACATTATGGACCGGACAGAGTGGTAAGGAAGTTTGACTTGGTGCTGACAATGTCTAGAAGTGATTTTTAGTTTAATTTTTTTTATTTAGTTGATATTTAGCTGACTTTTAATTGATATTTATTGATATTTAGCTAATTTTTAGTTGATATTTATCATTTACTTTGTACCTGAAGTTGTGCTAAGTTTTAGGTTAAATATATGAAATTGCCAATATCCAACTGCTTTAGATGAATTAAAATAGAAATTTGTGTCCTGAAAATAGAGCACAGTTATGTCTGACTAAACGTTTATTTCATTGTGGTATTAAGATTTAATGAAAGAGATAGTCAGGAACACATTTTTATCTATACACATCTGTGCTTCTTTATATAAAACACATTTTTCTCTGCAGGGACTAAATTTATAAACTTTGTTCCTCAGTATATATAATTCTGGGCTTAAAACATCTCATTTGTTCCAAGTTATCTCAAGGACTATTACAAATTTATCTATAATTTTAATTCATTTTGTATTAAAAAGCAGGTGATGTGGTACTTTTAGAAAATAGGCACTAGTATCATGAAATGATAGCCATTCAAAAAAGTGAGGAGCCAATTGATAAAGAATGCTTCAGTCAAAAGAACAGCACGAGTGAAGGCCAAGTGGGTGGGGGAGAGAATGACAAGTCTGAGCAACTAAAAGTAATTTTAATCAAAATGCCATAAAATTGAAAGGTGAGACTTAATCCCAAACACATAAGCAAGAGAAGATTATGAAAAGCCTTGAACAACATATTGGAAAATTAACCTCCCTATAATGAAACAAACATGAATCTGTTTGGGAGAAAAGAGCACTGGCTGTGTTAGACACCATGGGGCACAAAGAGGAACTGCTCAATTTTACCTCTGTTGTGAAGATTGTCAATGATGTGAGAACAGGAACAAAATCATATTGGTTACAAGTGATAACTATAGTTTAGACACTAAGCATGTGATATTATAGTGTAGGATATTTTAAGTCTTAGCAGTTAACAGGTTGGAATAGCATTCAAATAGCATGAATCTACACATTAAGGAAGAATTTCTCAAATGATGCACTATTATTCTTTCACTATAATTATTCTGCGCCACTGCACTCCAGCCTGGGTGACAGAGAGAGGCTCTGTCTCAAAACAAACAAACAAACAAACAAACAAACCTTAGAATACTTAGAAGGGTTAAACACATAGCAGAGCATGAAAAATGTTTGTTAAAAGGAAATGAAACATATTAACTTGAAAATGTACTATGAACGTTGTATGGTGTATCCATGAAGGTAAATGAGGACATGGCATACTTGTAATGTTAGTCCTTCCCTGGATCCATTTCTTTGAATGAATGGATGCATGGGACGGACGACTGTTAGAAAGGGAAACGAAAGAGAAATCAGATACTTTAAAGTTTTGATGACTTGGCAAAGTATCAAGTAGTAAAAAGAAGTCATGATGGGCATGTGATTTAGGGAAAATATATTTTATTTTGCATGTTTAGCTTATACACTTACATCTATTGTGCATGGAAGTTACTGGTAACCATTTTAAATGTAATTCTTCCTTCTTTCAACCATCAGATATTAACATCTATCATTTTATGAGTTGTTGCCATATTTCAGGCAGCATATGACAGCTTCATGTAACATCTTATACTTTATAATTTAAAAATGCTGCTAAGCATGTATCATAATACCAATTTTAAAATGTAAAAAAGTCAACGTAATGTTTCATTTACATAACTGAGTGGAAAGTTCATGATTTCAACCTACATATATCAGGTGCCAAACTCATGATCTCAATAAGCTTATTGTCACTGCGTAATTTATTAAGTAATTCCTCTTTGCAGGTATTACACAATTAACTGCAAATGCAAAAACAAAAGATAAAATATGACATCAGTATCTGGCATTGATTAGGAGTAAAGGAACCAGAGAAATATAAAGATAATTCCTGTATATTATGATAAAATTGTATAAATAAGCCAGAAGAAAAATGTTAGAACACTTCACCAAGAGTGTGTACAAATGCCAAACAAACATATGCAAAAGTGTTTGGTCTTATTAGTAATGAGAGAAATGCAAACTAAAAGCACATTATTTATTTAGATAAAACTACCTAACAAGAAATGAAAACACAAGCATCATGAAAAATGTGGAGAGAGAGGAACTATCATACAGTGCTGATATGAGTGAAAATTTGTAAACTCACTTTGGAAGACTGTTTGGCATTGCTGTCATAAACCAAGTCAGTGTATACTTTATAATCCAGTAATTCAAGGCCAAAAATATATGCAACAGAAATTGGTATCCACTTGCACTAAGAATACTTGACAAGAATATTAATATCTGCTTTACTCATAAGAGCTGTGAACTGAAAATAGCCCAGAGTTTCATCAAGAGTAGAATGGGTAAGGAAACACTGATACATTTGTGTAATGAAATAGTATACAGCAACAAATGAACAAACTTTGAAAAATTTAATGCTATTCACCACAAAAGGGAAGAATCTCACAAACATAATATTGACTGAAAGTAACTATTCAATAAGTAAACAAATAAGTTATAGTGTTTAATGTTACATACTTATGTACAATTATTTTTTAAAAAAACAAAGAAGTGATGAGCAAAATAATGCAGGATGGTGTTATATTTGCAGAAGTCATCAGTAGACAGCCAGCAGAGGCTTCTCAGTTACTGGCATTATTCAGCACTTTGCCTTTGTTGGTGGCTATGTTAGTATCCATGAGAAGCACATTGTTTTGTACCCACTTGTGTATGTGTGTTCTAGATCATAAACAAGGATAAAAGTATAGATTTTGAACTGAAGATGACCTAGTTGAGGAAGTAAATGTCAGCTCTCAACCTTAGTAATATAAGAGGTCAGAAAATTTGTCAATCAATTTGGAGAGACTGGTAAATGTTTTTCAAAAACATTTCTAGCATATTCACCATAAACTAAAAAGAAAGAATCAAAAGAACTGAGGTGACAAAAAGGGAACTAGATCAAGTAAGATAACTAGTTCACAGCATTTTTTGATGTTCTCTAACTTGACATTTTGTTTTCCCGTAAAGGCTGTAATAAGAAGGGCTTTGTCCATGGTCTTTAGTCTTGTTAATAGTTGAAAACAAATGTACCTTAGATGCTCTTGTTTTATTAGCATATTCTCAGAGATCTGAGGAGTGCACAGGCTGAAACTGGGACATGGAACCACGGGACAAGCATTCACAGACCGGAAATGGAATTTATCATGACTTCAGACCAAGGTGTTAATTAATTGGCCAAAAAAAAAAAAAAGAACACCATTTATAAGCAATCTAAGGTATAAAGGGCACTGTCCATGCAGAGGCTCTGAGGTACATTGATAAAGCTGAAATTTATTTTCTATATGTAAATGAAGCTATTATCCCTAGGGATAATCTTTACGAAAAAGATACTCTACATTTCAGCCTAAACTTGTTTATTTTTTGTTTGTTGACAGAATTTCTCAAACTAATTCATCCTTTTATTTCTGATATAAATCTTGATTAAACACGGTATATTATTTCTCATATCAATTGCTGTATTTTGTTTTCCAATGGTTAATATAATACATTTGATCTATATTCATGACAGATTAATTTACAGTTCCATTTTTAGCCTACCAATATCAATTTTTTGAAGAATTATTCTTTATCAAATAATTTGACAAATCTTCACATTTTTCTATGGCTTTACCTATTTTAAATATCATTTATATTTCCAATTCAAAAGATTAGATACAATTAATATGTGAAGCTATCTATGGTAATTGGTGTATTTGAATCTTCCACTAATTGTATTGTCAATTTTGGACATTATTATTGACCATTTTGTCAATTCAGATTATTTGGACAGAAAATTTTTTCATTCACTCTAGGCATGCAATTTTTTTAATTAATAGATTTTTCTAGAACAGTCTTAGGCTTACAGAAACATTGAACAGAATGTCCAGAGTTCCCATATACCCTATCTGCCATCCCTGCCTTCCCCTACCCAGAGTTTTCTGTTAACATTAATATCTTGCATTAGTGTGGTGCATTTCTTATAATTGATGAGCCTATATTGTTATATAATTAATCAAAAGGTTGATAGTTTACATTAGGGTTTACTCTTTGTGGTATATAGTCTATGGGCTTTGACAAATGTATAATGACATGAATTCACCATCAAAGTATTACATACAAAAGTTGCACTGTCTTTAAATTCTTCTTTGGTCCACCTATTCATTTCTCTATCCCTTTCCCCACTCTAAAATCATGGTAATCACTGATCTTTGTACTATCTCTATAGTTTTGACTTTTCCAGACTGTCACATACAGTCATACATCACTTACCAATGATGATGTTTCTGAGAAATGCATCATTAGGTGATTTCACCATTGTGTGAACATCATAGAGTGTACTTAAAACAAACCTAGATGGTACAGTGTACCTATCACCTACCTAGGCTGTATGGCATAGCCTGTTTCTTTTAGGCTACAAACCTGTATATGTTACTATACTACATACTGGAGTCAATTGTAATGCAATGGCATTTGTGTATCTAAACATATCTAGGCACAGAAAATATACAGTATAAAAGATTAAAAATGGTACACCTGTACAGGGCCCTTACATGAATGGAGCTCAAAGACCTGGAGGTTGCTCTGCGATAATAGTGAGTGAATGTGAAGTCCTAGGACATCATCCTACACTTCTACAGGCTTTATAAACACTGTATGCTTAAGCTACCCTAAATTTATTTTTAAAAATTATTTTTGTTTCCTCAATAATAAATTAACCTTAACTTACTCTGACTTTTTTACTTTATTCACTTTCAAAACTTTTTCACTCTTGTACTAACACTTAGCTTAAGACACGCATACAGCTGTACAAATTGTTTTCTTTCTTTTTTTTTTTTTTTGAGACGGAGTCTTGGTCTGTTGCCAGGCTGGAGTGCAGTGGCATGATCTCAGCTCACTGCAACCTCTGCCTCCCAGGTTCAAGCGATTCTCCTGTCTCAGCCTCCCAAGTAGCTGGGATTACAGGCACACACCACCATGACCAGCTAATTTTTTTTATATTTTTAATAGAGTCGGGGTTTCACCCTGTTCACCGGGATGGTCTTGATCTCTTGACCTTGTGATCTGCCTGCCTCGGCCTCCCAAAGTGCTGGGATTACAGTCGTGAGCCACTGCACCCGGCCTGTTTTCTTTCTTTATGTCTTTATTCTATACACTATTTACTTTTTAAACTTTTGTGTTAAAAACTAAGACACTAATGCGCATAGTAGCCTAAGTCTACACAGGGTCAAGATCATCAATAACGCTGTTTTCCACTCATCTTGTCTCACTGGAAGGTCTTCAGGGGCAATAACACATCCCTCATAGAAGCTGTCATCTCCTATGTCAATAATAACTCTTCTGGAATACCTCCTGAAGGACTTGCCTGAGGCTGTTTCAGAGTGAACTTTCATACATATATATGTGTAGAAGAAATAGAAAAAATAATGTTTAAACTTATAGTATAATAAATATATGAATCAATAGCACAGTCTTCTGTTATCATTATCAAGTATTATGTACTATACATAATTTTATGTGCCACACTTTCATACAAGTAGCAGCATAGTAGGTTCGTTTATACCAACATCATCATAAGCACATGAGTAATATGTTGTGCTGCAACACAACTAAAGTTAGGACAACTAAAACATCACCAGGCAATAGGAATTTTTCAGCTCTGTTATAGTCTATGGGATCACAGTAATACATGCAGACTGTTGTTGACAGAAATGACATTATGCAGCACACGACTGTAGTTAAAATCTATACAGCATGGAGCCTTTTTAGATTGGCCTCTTTCACCTTGTATAATAATAAGCATTTAAGTTTCCCATATGTCTTTTTATGACTTGATAGCTCATTTCTTAACACTGAATAATATTTTATTGTGGAGACATACCACAGTTTATCCTTTTACCTTTTGAAAGCATCTTGGTTGCTTCCAAATTTTGGCAACTATGTATGAGGACGCAAGATTTTGTGTGGGTGTAAGTTTTGTACCCATTTGGGTAAATACCAAGGAACAAAATTGCTGGAATGTATGATGAGTATGCTTAATTTTGTGATAAACCACCAAGCTGTCTTTTAGAGTGGTTGTACAATTTTTGCCTTACCACCAGCAATGAATGAGAATTCCTCTTGCTCCACATCCTCGCCAACATTTAACGTTTTTTGTGTTTGGATTTTAGCCACTCTTAAGTGCTTAGTGGCATTTCATTGTTTTAGTTTACACTTTCCTAAGGACATGCAGTGTTGAACATATATACTTATTTGCCATCTGTAGATCTTCTTTTGTGAGGTATCTGTTCAGGTCTTTTGCCCGTTTTTTCATTGAGTTGTCTGTTGTTGTTTTTTTTAATTGTTGAATTTTAGGAGTTCATTGTGTATTTTTGGATAACAATTCTTTATCATATAAGTATTTTGCAAAGATTTTCAGGCTTGCCCTTTCATTCCCTTAATAGCGTCTTTCACAGAGCAGAAGCTTTAACTTTTAATTAAAATAAATGTAAACTTGTATTTTTAAATTTTGGTTTTTCAGTTTGATTTTTTGTTTACTTAAAAAACTTTTGTTATTCTACAGTGTATACCTTTGGCATTTCATATTGCTGAAAATTGACCTGTTTTCTAACTCACCATTCCCTTGATTACTGAAGCATGTCTCTCTCCTTTTTTACCTTTTTCCCTGACTTAATTCAGTTTTATGTATTAATTCACTCAACATATATTTATTAATGATTCCATATACCAGGTGTGGCTCTATGTCCTGGGAATAGAGTGGTAATCAAGACAAATGAGAAAAATGTCCCTATAGAGATGATGATGATGTAAACTGGTTCAGTAACCCACTGTAAATAGAGATGATGTCCAAGAAACAGATCTCTGAATCATAAAAACTTAAGCTACAACCAGATTCTGAAAAATCAAGAACCGTTCATTTTGTAATTTCAGTTACAAAAATTTCAACTGTTGTAATGTGTATATCTCTGCTTTCTTGATAAAATTTTCAAAACTAGCTAAAGCCGAAAGGTAAACTATTCAATAAACTTCATGTATTGTTGATAAGACAGCAGTTTCTAAGTGTATAAGGTATTCTTGTTCCAAAAAATTATTTTTAATTTATGTAACATAGTTTTCCTCGGTCAGTAATACAGAAAACATTATTTGAATGTCTTTAATTAAACTACATGGGTTAATTTTTTAAAAAACATATTTGTAAATTCCTATGAATATGAATTATCTTTAAAGTAACTGGGAAATAACATAATAGTTAAAAAGAAATCTAAGTTTGATAGACTGTTTTTTTTTCAGCAACTCATGACAGAGTAGGTTTACTAATTATCTGATGAAGACACTCATCAATCTTTAAAATACACTGGCTAATAAAGTAACTATAACTGCATCATTTCTCATCCTTTTTCAAGAGGAACTCACACTTACTGATCTGCTAAAAACTAGCTTATGTGAAGGGTAACTTACACATACCCATTCAAAGTAATAGAGATTTATTGAGCACTTAATCTGTACCAGGACCATGTTAGGCACAGGAGATAAAATGGTTTAATAAGATAGTGGCCTATACTCATACAATTATAATAAAGTCTGGGACACGAAAACTCTATGTTATAATGCAAAAAATTAGAAAAATGCTACTGGAGATAAATAGGTTTAAAAAGAGCAACTTTCTATGACAGCATTTAGTAAGACAACATGCTTTCTTACACCATGCCCCTGTCATATGACAACACTGCATAAACGTGTATACCTGAGCCCAGACATACACTTTATATACACACCACACATGGCAATTCCAAGCCTTTACATAATTAAAAACTAATTCCTTCCCATTATGGGTATGGTATCTATGAATTAGAAGTTATATTTAAATTTATTCAAATATGCTGTCCTTTATAAGTTTACACTGCGAATTCTTCATTCTTCTAAGATGAACCAGTGTCCCTGTTCCTCATCTGATGTTTTGGGTCTCAGAACAAGCCAACACATACCATATCTTGGACTACTTCTTATTCAAAAAAGAAATTATTATATAATTTTATACCTGGATTTCTGATGAGATATATATATATATAATTTTGTATCATCCTTTTACTAAATTTAAGAATATGGAAAATATCTTGTCATGATTTTTATACTTTCGTTTAATAGCTGTATGGTATTGTATAAGCTAGATGAGCTACAATCTTCACATTTGTTTTATTTTTATAATTGTGCTAAAAAGTTATTGTTAAATTTCCTTGAAGGAACTCCCTGTTTGGGGAATATATTTTGAGAATAGATTAATAAGTGAGAATTATGAACATATTTAAAGATCTTGATGCACATCTTGAAATTGTTTTTTAAATAGACTAGGTCAATCCAAACTCCAGACATGCTTCAGTAATCAAGGTCAATCCAATACCAGTAAAGCGTAAGATTATATAGTGTACCAAACCTTCCTTAACATTAAGTATTTTTTTTATTATACTTTAAGTTTTAGGGTACATGTGCACAATGTGCAGGTTAGTTACATATGTATACATGTGCCATGTTGGTGTGCTGAACCCAGAAACTCGTCATTTAACATTAAGTATTATAATACAAAAACACAATCACAATTATTAGATTAAAAATAAACTTTTTTACATTTCTATTTTCTTTGTTATTTGTGAGATATACATATAGTCTTTTTCTTATCTTTTTTTGGTGTATTGCTTCTTCTTAGAATTATTCCTTTAAGGAATAATTACATCAAACATCAAAAATTTGTTTTATTTTCTACAACTATTTTATTAATAAGGTTTTTTAGTATGAATTATATTTATAATAAATTTTGGAACATAAAAGTTTGTAAATTTTACCTGTCACCCTAGTAATACTTTTAACAATACTTTTTATGTGGCCATGATTTTTTTTAATTCTGTTTTATTAAAGTAAAATTTATATAAACCAAAATCTGCACACATTTAATAAGGTCCTCAATTTTTGTTTTGACAAGTTTATACAGTGATATTAAATTTTTGATAATTATACGCACCCATAGAAATACCACACAAACAAAATAGATAGAATATTTGTATTCTCCTAAGAAGTTTTTTTGTGCCGCTATCCAATGTTTCCTGCTTCTACCTTCCTGAGGCAACTCCTTTTGATTTTTATCACCGTAGACTCTTTTGCCAGTTATTAAAACTCATATAAATATAAGACTCATAAAATATTTATTACTTTATATCTGGCTCATTTTTCTCAATATAATGTTTTTTGAGATTTATTCATTTTTTAGGATGTAAGTAGTCCATTTCTTTTTTCTCTGAGTATTTCATTATACACATATACCACAATTGGTTTAATCTGTTTCTTATTGATAGACATTAGAGTTGTTTCCACTGTTTGTGTCTTATAAACCTATGAACATCCTTGAACATATCTTTATTGAAGATAAGTTTTCATTTCTTATGCATGAATACAGAGGAGTACAATTGCTAGGTCAAAAGGTAAATAAGTGTTTAAATGTAGAAGAAATTGCCAGACAATTTTACAAAGTAATAATATGGTTTTACAATCCCATCAACAATGTGTGGGATGCTCAGTTGCTCTTATCTTCACCAACATTTGATATAATCAGACTTCCTTAATTTCAGTCATTCTGTTGCGTGAGAAATACCTCATTCTATTTATAATGTGCATTTCCCTGATGGCTCATAATGTTGAATACTTTTTCATGTGCTTCTTGGCCATTCTTCTGTCTTTTTAAATAAAATCATTCCCAAATTTATGCAACACATAACTCTAGTTCATTCATTTTGACTATCACTTACTTATTAATCATTTACATTAATATAGAAAATTTAACTTATCCATTTCCTATTTCTGGTCATTTAGGTCTTTTCTAATTTTTTACTAATGAAAACAAAACTGTCACTATCTTTCTTGTATGTGTTTCATGTAGAAGATCCTACAGATTTGATATGTTTATTTTCATCTTTACATTTTCTGAAAAATATATATTAGTTGATAATTATATTAATTAGTAATTCTGATATTCAATTATTCTTGGATTTCTTGCATACGCCCTTCCTGGTGTGTTTCTGCATGTACGTGTGTTATGTGCATATTTGTTTGGAATACTAATGGAATCAAATATCTAATTTTACTTAGATTTTTAATGCTATGTTGACAAGTTAGTTTCTGTATATAATTTCTTCCTATCACTGCCCTTGACTCTTGTAACAATATTATATTCAACTTATGCAAATTGTTGTATGACACTACTTATTTATTAATTGAATTATTCTACGAGATGTAATTTTTTTCTTCAAGATTCAATAAAATTGACCTATAAATATTACCTAAACCCACTGCCTATTGAAGGTGGGAAGTGAATAATGAGAATAAGAGTATCCAATCATTAGCCAGTTTATACTGATGTACAGTTTATACTGATTAGCCAGTTTAATGATTGAACATCATCAAAAGTGTATTTTTAAATTTTTCAAATGCTTGAGAAAATTTTTATAATATTTTCACTAAATATATCAGTTTTTAATTGAGCTTTTCAACATTTGGGTCATAAAATTAATCACATTGACTTTAACATTTTGTATATTCTTACAAAAGTGCAACACTTTTTCCATTCCAAATTTTTTTGTTGTTATTCAGTTGGTTAACTGGTTGGTTATGTTTTTGTTTGTTTTTACTTTCTGACAAGTTGGGGATAGATTCATGAGAAGTTTAGCTTTGGTTTTGTTTACTTTTTAACTTTTTATTCATTAATTCATTTATCCTATTTTATTAATTTCTTCAATTATCTATATTTTCCTTTCCTATGTCTTTGATACTCCACTTTTGTTGCTTTTCTTCTGTTTTTTGGTAAATGCTTTCATGATTATAGCTTTCCTATAAATAATTTATTTGTATTGGTAGGCTTTGAAATAGAGTACTTTGTCTTTAACCCATGAATTAAAGGTATAATATAGATTTCAAAAATTTAAAAAAATTTAATTTCCAAAAAATGTTTTTGAATTATGATTTGCAGTGTTAAGATTTTGTCAGAGATGATCTTCCACACTTTATAGATTTAAAAAATTTATAGGAATCTCTTTTGTGAGTAGTACAAATTGATTTTTTATGGACTTTTAAATGTGTATGTGCTTGAATAACTGCTGCAATATTTTTTGTAATAATAGTTATTTTAATCTACATTATTTGCTTTATGATATAAACATTTTTGATAGAGATCTAAAAGGATATTACATTTCATTGTAACTTTATCTTCATTAATTTACTTTATATGTTATAATGCTTTACTGGTAAGTAAGCATAAGACAACAATCATTACCTTTTGTGAAATTTTACCAATTATGCCTTGTGTTAGGTTGTATTCTAACAGCTACATACATTTGTTTGTTAGGTTGGTTTTGCTATTGTGTTATTTTAATTTACTTTTGTTATTGTAGGTACTTTTTTTTATATTTCTTTAAAAAAATTTTATTTAATTCCAATAAGAACCCTTAATATGAGACACCCTTTTAACAAATATTTAAGTATTTAATATATTACTGTTGACTATACCTAGGCAAGATGGTTTGTGCTTATAGTTCCAGCTACTTAGGAGGCTGAAGTGGGAAGATCACTTGAGGCCAGGAGTTCTAGACCAGCCTGGGCAACATAGTGATACTCCATCCTAAAAAAAATAATAAATAAAATAACATTACCATTGACTGTAGATACAATGCCATACAACAGATCTCAAGAGATCACTCATCCTGCATAACTGAAACTTCAGGTCCATTGATTAGTAACTCTTCATTTTTCCCATCCTCCAGCCCCTGGCTATTACCATTCAACACCTGGATTCTAGAAATTTGACTATTTTAGATACCTCATATCGGTGGAATCATGTATTATTTGTCTTTCTGTGACTGGCTTAACATAATATCCTGAAAGTTCATCCATGTCATTGCATATTCCAGAATTTAGTATTCCATTGTATGTACATAGTACATTTCTTTATTTGTTCATCTGCTGATTAAGATTTAGGCTGCTTCCACATCTTGGCTATTGTGAATAGTGTTACGAATAATATTGGAGTGCTAATATCCACGAGTATGATGTCAATTAATTTGAAGACACACATACAGAGAGAGAGAACTTCAAATACATGCATACATACACCATATCATCTTACCGTGTCTCAATCTCTAATCCTATTATTTCAGGTAACCAAGATTATCAAACAGACAGATACTACCCCAACTTCCACCTTCCACCTTCCCTATCTATTATAGGAGAAATAGAACTATAGTGTACATATGACTGCATACTTTTGCTTTTCACTTGGATATATTGCATGCATTTCTAGGAGTCAATGTATATAGATCCAACTATCCTTGTTATAGATTCTTTATTCATAAATACACATATTCAATTAGCATTGAAAAGTTTGTACTACATAAACTCTTTATTGTGCTATTTTTTTATTTTATTTTTTTATTTTTTGAGACGGAGTCTCGCTCTTTCGCCCAGGCCGGACTGCAGTGGCGCTATCTCAGCTCACTGCAAGCTCTGCCTCCTGGGTTCACGCCATTCTCCTGCCTCAACCTCCCGAGTAGTTGGGACCACAGGCGCCCACCACCGCGCCCGGCTAATTTTTTGTATTTTTTTTTTTTTTTAGTAGAGACAGGGTTTCACCGCGTTAGCCAGGATGGTCTCGATCTCCTGACCTCGTGATCTGCCTGCCTCAGCCTCCCAAAGTGCTGGGATTACAGGCGTGAGCCACCGCGCCTGGCCTATTTTTCTCTTCTCTCTGCAACATTCTTTCTCTTAATTTCTTCCAACATCTATATTTACCCTTTGTAAATTTGTTAACAGTCTGACATGTATCAATCATCTGTATTTTTAATCCATGTTCATATAATGATGAAAACATACCATTTTCAACGTGTTAATAAAGATAAGAAATCATATATGAGATATGTGCTCTCATGCTTTCATTGAACACATTCCTCCAAGTCAACTTTTACAACATCATACATTATATATACATATAAAATTGTGTGTGTGTGTGTGTGTATGTATATGTATATATATATAGAGAGAGAGAGAGACAGAGAGAGAGACAGAGAGAGAGAGAGAGTCTGGCTCTGTCACCAAGGCTAGTGCAGTGGTGTAATCTCAGCTCACTACTTCCCATTATTTTAATTTAACATATTATTCCATGGTATCTATATAACATAAAATATTCAATAATTTTCCTGTTGGTATTCATTCAAATTGTTTTTAGTTGTTGTTGGCTTTTTTTGCCACTATGCATAGTGCTGCAGTAAACACTCTTGCACATATATTCAAAGCGATGTCCTCTTTTATTTCTACGTGATTGATTTCTAGGACCAGGATTTCTGTGTCAAAAATCTGTATGTATCTTTAGTTTTCTGTTTGTTTTTAATTTTAGTAGATGCCTCCAGATTGACTTCTAAAAATATTCTGAAAATTTATATTATTTAAAATTATATTATTTAAAATTTCCATCTTCCCTCATTCTTACTCAAAAGTGATATTAGTCTTTTGCATTTTTGCTGTCCAGTGTGTGCTAGTTGACCTTTGTTAATTTAGCTTAGATTTTCCTAACTTCTAGAATTTTTTAACTCTCTTTATTGCTTATTTTGATTTGTTCTTCTCTGAATTGTAGATGTATATTCTTTGCTTATTTTCCTATTATTTTATTTCTTGATATATGAAGAATACTTTCTATATTAAGATAATTTTCCCCCAATATTAGCTTTTCTTCTTAATGAAGGATTTGCAGATACATCTTAAATTGTTAAATTTATTCTAATTATTCTCTCTTTCAGTGTTGTCACCTCAAAGCAGTTTTGAAGTCGCCTCCACTTGGGCCCTGGTCTCCAACTCATAATCAGTTACCATTATTGGCTTGGGGTGTCCATACTTGGTGCTTTGGATAATTCATAGATTAGAACATTGAATCATTAAATCAGCTAATAACATTGCTCTAGTTTTTACTCAAAGACTTTCTATTTACCCCCCCACCTTTTCTGCATTGTTAAGCAGTTTTGCAGAAACCATAGTTCTATTAAGCATCTGACACAACTTTATTCAAACTTTTTTCACATCAAAAGGTAGAAGTTATTCCCCCTCCTCTTGACTCTTGTCTACCCTTGTTTTTTGCTTTGACTAATGAATGAGGCAAAAGTGATTCTTTGCCAGTTCTGGACCTAGCCTTTAAGAGGACTGGATGTATTTTCTTTCTCCCTGTTGGAAAATTAGGGAAGTCCAACTATTCTGAGACCATAATTATGGGAAAGATCCCAAGCTAACCTCACGGAGATCCATTGCTAAGGAACACTTTCTACATGATTGAAGCCTTCTTGGAACTGAATGCTGCCAAACTAGTGATCCACGCAGGCATCATGTGGAAGAATACAAGAGTCCAACTGTGTCCTGTCAATGAGAAAATTGTAAGAAATATCAAAATGTTTTTTGTTTAATGGGTCTAAGATTTTTCTTTTATTTATTTATTTTTTTAACTTTTAAGCTCAGGGGTACATGTACAGGGTGTGCAGGTTTGTTGCATAGGTAAAGCTATGTCATATGGGTTTGTATACAGATTGTCTCATCACCTAGGTATTAAGCCTAGTATTCATTAGTTATTTTTCCTACTCCTCCCACCTTACACCCTCCAATAGGCCCCAGTGTGTATTGTTCCCCTCTATGTGTCCATGAGTTTTCATTATTTAGTTCCCACTTACGAGAACAGGCCATATTTGGTTTTCTGTTCCTACATTCGTTTGATAAGAATAACGATGTTTTTGTTTTAAACCAATGTGTTTTGGGGTGTTGTGCTGTAACAAATAAGTGATAAATCATTTTGATAGTATCCAACAATCACTCTTAGTAAACCTTTTGCTTATAGTAATCTAAACATTTTTATATGTATAATGTAATGAGTTTTCCTTTAAAAAAACAATTTATTGTGATGTCCAGATGCCTTCTAATTAACATGAGAAAAACAAGAAACACTCACTGTCACCATGAGTATTTAATGTTATAGTAGACTGTAGTTCACACAAACAGATGCTTAATAGAAGACAGAGTGGCAGGACTATGAAAGAGAATCATCTATTATTATTAATTAATTCTATGACTGTTTATCAAAAGATAATTTTAAAATTAAACCAAGGAGAAAAGGTCAACAAATTAAAATAAATCCCCAATTACAAATTAAAAAATAAATCGTCTCATTCAGAATATACCAAATCAATGAAACCTTAAGGAAATCATTCACTAGCATGAACAAATATGGGATAAAACATGTTGTTGATAAAGACAGAAATACATTTTTATTTTAAATTTACTTTATAAAGCTAGTCAATTAAAATATTCACAGTTATTTGTGTTTGCTTGTTTGTTTGTAATGTGGTGGACATAGGGCTCCAGAGAGTGATTCTAAAATTTTTCTAAGAGGGAAAAAATAAAATATACAAGAGAAACTACTCTTGAAATCATTAAAAATTATTGAAAGTAAAATAGTGGGCTCAATCAAATAGTAACTCAAGCAAATGACTGTGGTATTGAAATACCAATTAAAAGACAACTCAAATGCCAACAACTAGGTCCTAATTATAAAAATTTGGTATAGAATATATAGCATAAAAACAAAAGAAGACTATGTATTCTACTGTGTTGAGATACGAGTTTTAAAATACTAAAAACTCATTAGAAACTCAAATTATTGTATTCAAAGCTATATTGTATCTTCCATATAGTGTTAAATATAAAAAATTTAAAACAATACAATATTTAAATATAAAAATAAAATAAAATATAAAATATATGTATATAAATATACATATTTTTATATAAAAATAAAAAAATTATAAAAAAGGAAGAAAGTTTAGGGCCTATTTCTATTGATCTACACACTCAAAAAATGAAAATTCAAATGAAGCATGCATTGAGAAAATAATTAAAGGACTTTCAATCTGGTTATGACATAAAATGTCATTAAAAGTTGTTATTCTCACACTATCCATGAGATCAGTCTGGATAATCTATAAAATCTTAGTTTGTTTTACATCCATTAAAGCAGTGCTGTCCAATATAATTTTCAGTAATAAAGAAACTGTTTTATATCTGCACTGTTCAATAGAATAGTCTCTAGCACAATGGTTGAACTAATTTACACTCCCACCAACAGTGTAAAAGTGTTCCTATTTCTCCACATCCTCTCCAGCATCTGTTGTTTCCTGACTGAAAAAAAAAAAAAGACAGTGGTCCTGTAAGATTATCATGGAGCACATATAAAAACCTGATATATCGAACTTGATATTGGCATTTCAGATCAGGTAGGGGAAATAATTGATATTCAATATTCAGTAATGATGTTGGGACATTTGGTTTTTCAGATAAATATATATATATATATATATATATGTATATGTATTAGTATATATACCATCTAGGTTTTTATAAGTATACTCTATGATGTTCATGAAATGACAAAATCACTTAAAGATACATTTCTCATAATGTATCCCTGTGGTTAAGGGACGCATGACTGTACTTGCTAGTCATCGTTTTTATTAAAGACTCTTTGGAAAGGAAAAAAAAAAAGAATAGTCTCTAGCCACATATGACTATTTAGCACTACATATGTGGCCTACGCAACTAAGAAACTGAATTTTAACGTCCTTGCAATTCAAGTAATTTAAATTACAATATAGTCACAGGTAACTAGTAGTTTCAGCACAGCATGGGAGAGCTAAGGATGCAAACAAAGCTATATGCACTAAAATACAGAAAGCATAGAGCCCTTTAAAGGAGAAAAAAGATCTATGTCTGCTTTCATCTTTGGCAGAACAGCAGACATAGGAGGAATTCTCCAGAAATGGTAGTAAGTAAGAACCAAAGTCTTAAAGCACTTTCAATGTGACAGATTTAAACTTTGAATAACAGGAAAGAGTGAGTCTTCACATATC
Organism: Homo sapiens; assembly: GCF_000001405.40. Taxonomy (NCBI): domain Eukaryota; kingdom Metazoa; phylum Chordata; class Mammalia; order Primates; family Hominidae; genus Homo; species Homo sapiens. Next base: position 103,009,890 of record NC_000003.12, on the reverse strand, counting down.
TATCAAAATACTTCTTCCTCTCCATCCTGCTGTCTTCACCAAAGGCAAGGGGTGGACCAGCCAAGTTTAGCAGCTGGGCAAGAGAGGTGGAAGAACTCTCTCCTGATGTAGGTAATGCCTTCCCCAAGTGCAGTGTAGCAGTTGCTGAAGGCTGGGGCCAGGCAAGCAGGTGAAGAGAAATAGAAATAGTCCAGACTTGACCATCAAAAGCCTGGAAATAAGGCAATAGGTTAGAGAAAGATCTCCCAAAGTTGAGAAAGGCAAGGACAAGATTGAAGAGCAAAAATAACTCCCTATAACTATAAAAACAGGCACCTAGGCCCTAAAGTTTATATCTATGCTACAAACTCTGTAGTATTTTCAGTCCTTTTGTTACAGAAGGTACTTAGTAGTCAGACATGAGCAGGGCAGGAGAGCCCTCCACTACCCATCAGGAATTACAGGTGATCATTAGGTGATGGTCAGGCAGTTGTTAAGCTCTCTCAGAAATAATAATTGGTTGCATATGGTGCCATGGAAACGCAGTCTCCCAATAGATTTTTAAAAACGAAAAACCTGAAATTGGTGATTAGCTTCCCAAAGATCTCAAGAGTTAGGCCAGTTGGCTCAAGCATGTGCACTAGAGGTAAAATAGTGGATTTTAACTAGTATGTGACTGACATGGTTTGGTTCTATGTCCCCATCTAAACATCATGTTGAATTGTAATTGCTAATGTTGAATAGAGTTAACTGGATCAGGGGGCAGATTTCCTTTCTGGTGTTCTTATTATAATGAGTGAGTTCTCATGAGATCTGGTTGTTTGAAAGTGTATAGTACTTCCCACTTTGCTCTCTCGCTCTTTTGCTCCACCATGTGAAGAAGGTGCTAGCTTCCCCGTTGCCCTTCCATCATAATTGTAACCTTCCTGAGGACTCCCAACCATGCTTCCAGTACAGACTGTGGAATTGTGAGTCAAATAAACCTCTTTACTTCATAAATTACCCAGTCTCAGCTAGTTCTTTACAGCAGTGTGAGAATAGACTAATACAGAAAACTGGTACGGAAAAATGGTACAGGGCATTGCTATAAAGGTACCTGAAAAGGCAGAAACAACTTTGGAACTGGGTATCAGAGGTTGGAACCGTTTGGAGGGCTCAGAAGAAGACAGGAAGATGTGGGAAAGTATAGAACTTTCTAGAGAACTGTCGAATGGTTGTGACGAAAATGCTGATAGTGATATAGATAATGAAGTCCAGGCTGAGGTGGTTTCAGATGGAGATGAGGAACTTATTGGGAACTGGAGCAAAGGTCACTTTTGCTATGCTTTAGCAAAGAGACTGGAGGCATTGTGCCTCTACTCTAGAGATATGTGGAACTTCTAACTTGAGAGTGATGTTTTAGGTAGGGTATCTGGCAGAAAAAATTTCTAAGTAGCAAAGCATTCAAGATGTAACCAGGCTGCTTCTAAAAGTCTAAATCATTTGCATAAACAGAGAAATAACCTGAAACTAGAATGCATATTTAAAAGGGAAGCAGAATGTAAAAGTTTGAAAAATTTGCAGCCTGACCATATGGTGGAAAATAAAAGCCATTTTCTGGGGAGGAATTCAAGGCTGCAGAAATGTGTATAAGTAAAGTGGAGCTCAATGTTAATAGCCAAGACAATAGGGAAAATGCCTTCAGGGCATATTAGAGATCCTCACAGGATCTTCTCCCATCACAGTCTTAGAGGCCTAGGATAGAAAAATTGTTTTGTGGGCCAAGACCAGGACCCTGCTGCTCTGTGCAGCCTCAAGACATGGTACCTTGTATTCCTGATGCTCCAGCAATAGCCATAGCTAAAAGGGGCCAAGGTACAGCTTGGACCATGGCTTCAGAGGGTGCAAGCCCCAAGTCTTGGCTGCTTCCATGTTGTATTGGGCCTGCAGGTGTGCAAAAGAAAAAAGTTGAGGCTTGGGAGTTTCTGCCTGTATTTTAGAGGATGTATGGAAATGCCTGGATGTCTAGGCAGAAGTCTACTGCAGGAGCAGAGCCCTCATGGAGAGCCTCTACTAGGGAAATGCAGAGGGGAGATGTGCAGCTAAAGCCCCCACACAGAGTCCCCACTGGGGCACTATCTAGTGGAGCTGTGAGAAGAGGGTTGCTGTCTTCCAGACCTCAGAATGGCAGATCCACCAAGCAGCTTGCACCATATGCCTGGAAAAGCCACAGGCACTGAGTGCCAGCCTGTGAAAGCAGCTGTGGGAGCTGTAGCTTGTAGTGCAAGAGAGATGAAGCTACATAAGTCCTTCGAAGCCCACCCATTGCATCAATGTGACTTGGATATAAGACATGAAGTCAAAGGAGATTTTTTGAACCTTTAAGAGTTAATGACAGCCCTGCTGAGTTTTGGACTTCCATGGGGCCTATAGTCCCTTTACTTTGGCCAATTTCTTTCTTTTGGAATGGGAGCCTGTACCTCCACTGTATCTTCATTGTATCTTGAAAGTAACTAAATTTTGATTTTACAGGCTCATAGGCCAAAGGGACTTGCCTTGTCTCAGATGAGACTTTGGACTTGGACATTTTAGTTAATGTTGGAATTAGTTAAGATTTTAGGGGGCTCTTGGGAAGACATGATTGTGTTTTGAAATGTGAGAAGGAAATGAGATTTGAGAGGGGCCAGGGGCAAAATGATATGGTTTGGCTCTGTGTTTTCACCCAAATCTTATGTTGAATTGTAATCCCCAGTGTTGAAGGAGGGACCTGGTGGGAGGTGATTAGATTATGGGATCAGATTTCCGCCTTGCTATTCTCATAATAGTGAATGAATTCTCATGAGATCTGGTTGTTTGAAAGTGTGTAGAACTTTCCTATTTGCTGTCTCTCTTCTACTCTGCCATGTAAACAAGCTGCTTGCTTCCCCTTTGTCCTTCCATCATGATTCTGTGTTTATTGAGCTCTCCCCAACCATGCGTCCTGAACAGCCTGTGGAACTCTGAGTCCACTAAACCTCTTTTCTACATAAATTACCCAGTCTCAGGAAGTTCTTTATAGCCATGTGAGAATGGATTAATACAATGACCTTATAGAAACACTTGACTAATGAGGGAAAAACATTTCAAGTGAGCATTCGTACAACTCTAGTAAATACACTGCATACACAGCCCCTCCCAATGACTAGCAGGCCACTGCACATGCAGACAGTTAATCCCAAGGAAAAAATCAGGGAGAAGTAGTGCAAGACCCTGGAAGCGTGCCAGTGTATAAAACTCCAGTCAAAAGGTCAAACTGTGCACTTGATCTCTTGAGTCCCCTTCTTGGCCTTCTTTCAAGTATACTTTACTTCCTTTTGTTCCTGCTATAACTCTTTTTAATCAACTTTCAGTTGCTCTGAAACTTGCCTCAGTCTCTCCCTCTACCTTATTCCCCTTGATTGAATTCTTTCTTCAGAGGAGGTGAGAATTGAGGTTGCTGCCAACCAGTATGTATGCACTGCTGCTAACATACTTTGGTGCCGCATGAGTCAGATATGTTCTACTGTTAAAACTTTTATTCTAAGCCCTACCTAAGAGAATGTTCTAATTATTTCTTCAAAATACATGAAATTGTTGTGAACTGATTCTAACTAGAGCTGCAACAAATCCTAGACCAAGCTCAAATAAAGATTAGATCAACCCAGCCACTGCACTAATAGTCTGAACAGAGAGAAATATTCTATCCTCCTGAGATGATTCTATCCTCCTGATTTTATATATATATATATATATATATATATATATATATATATATATATATAAAACTTACTTCAGTTTCTACATTTTTACTTACAATATTTAGAGTACCAAAAACAAAGAAAGAAAAGTGGGAAAAAAGAAGCAAGGCATTCATTGTCCAGATAAGAAATAGTCAATACAGCCAATAGAAGCAAAAACAGAAAAAGGTACAGATATTAAAATTTTCAAAGTGAGTCCCTTTCTTGAATTCACATTTTGGTTTCAAACAATTTTTCTGGTTCTGAGCAACTATTTTATACAGGGTATATCACAGGAGTAGACTATGAGCCACCCATGGTGTGTATCTTGATGAAACCCAGTAGGTTTGAGGTTTCAATCCTATTTACTTTTTGTATCTTGTATATATTTTTTTCTTTTTCAGGACCCCGTATATCTTCAGGACTGGCAAAACATAGATTTAGATTCCTAAGTTCTAGGGCATTTGAATGGCACATGCGTTCTGTGTTGCCATGATTGCCCCATTTGAAAGTGCAGTAATATACTCAGGGTCAGTAAGCCAGCTCCCACCTTATATGAAAATCCACATTAGACAAATGCATGGTTTATGTAATTTCTAATTCAGGCAAAGTCCCAATTTTGAGACGGCTAGTAGGAATTTAAGTTATGTAAAGGTAGTTAAAATGCATTAATAACATCAACATTTTATATATCCCTAAATGGTCAAGAGCCTTGTCACTTTTTCTTTTAGCTAAATCTTCCATCAAATTTGCTAAGAGAAAATGCAAGTAATTACATTTCAGAAATTTATATCTATTTTTCTAAACTTCTATTGGATACACTATTGAGCTAATTTGTATCAAAAAAGGAGTTTGTATTGCTGTATTTTTTACCACATATAAATTCAGTATACCATAAAACCAAACTATTTATGCCAAACTGCTATATCAAATTAAATATCAATAGTTACCCATATTTCTCCAATGGGGCCTGGCTCAAGCAAGAGCACATACACATTTCAGTAAATATGAAATGTCTTTTGAAGAGCGACAAACAACATTTTTGTGTATCTAGTCACTTATATTTCAAAATCAGTGCACTGGCAATAGAGGTAAAATGTGATGGCACTTGCCAGTCTCAGATCTACTTCACAGTAAATTCTTTGCACGAATTCCTCTGCTTTTGTTAGTATCATCCAACTGCCAATTTTGCTCATCCTCCTGTCTTCTAACTAGCTATCAGGAAAAAAGAACACTCCAGCTGCTTCAGCACATTTTCGTGTTTTGTGAGTTCTGAGAATGTATATGCCTGTGTTTAATGTTATAGCTGTGATATTCTGTCCTCCCCCTCATAACCATACATTTCCAAACAATCTGGGAACCAGCAGCTCTGAAAATAAAATTAAATTAACAAGAATTAAATAGAACTGGTTGTGATCTATAGCATTTACTGGTGTTCACCCCCCTGGAGATTAATAATATCTACATGCCCAAACAAAAAATAAAATCCCCACATCTAACTTTTTTATTTTCATTTAGTAGTTAATTCCATCACATTACCGTGATCAACTTAAGAGGAGAAATGTAATGCATAGAAACATTGTATAATAATTTTTAATTCCTATGAAACCTTTTAAATCTACTTGTAATTTTTTTGACCTAATCCATTTCTATATTCATATACATAAGGCACCTTCTGTTCTGCCCACGACTCCCAAAGCAATTGTTACTTAAATTTTAAGCCCCAGATTCAACCCTTCCCTGCCAATTAACTGTTTACTGAATTGATTTATAAAATATACCAATTTGTTCTGCCATTCCTAATCTAAACCTTATAAACCTCCTACACCTTAATTGCTGGTGCATGTGATCCAGTTAACTTTAATTTGTAGTTAATGAAATTCACAAAGCAACACCTCAAATCTTAGTAACATGAATTAAGGGAAGGCATGAGTTTTGTTTTTCATCTTTTTCCTTTCTGAAGATTAGAAGAAAATGCAAGCTTGAGTATTATAGGTGAGAACAAACAGAAAATATAACATAAAAACCCTTGATTTTTCAGAATTCTAAACACTGAGCTTTTAAGAACTATAGACGTGACTCACACCTATAATCCAAGCACTTTGGGAAGCGAAGGAGGAAGGATTGTTGAGCCCAGGAATTTGAGACTAGCTTGGGCAAGATAGTGAGAGCAAGTCTCTATAAAAAAAAATACTTAAAAAAAAATTAGGCAGGTGTGGCCAGGTGTGGTGGCTCACGCCTGTAACCCCAGCACTTTGGGAGGCCAAGGCAGGTAGATCAGGAGTTTAGGAGATCGAGACTATCCTGGCCAACATGGTGAAACCCGTCTCTACTAAGAATACAAAAATTAGCCGGGTGTGGTGGTGCACGCCTGTAGTCTCAGCTACTCCGGAAGCTGAGGCAGGAGAATCACTCCAACCTGGAAGGTGGAGGTTGCAGTGAGCCAAGAACCCACCACTGCACTCCAGCCTGGGTGACAGAGCAAGACTCCGTCTCAAAAATATAAATAAATAAAATAAAATTTGCCAGGTGTGGTGGTGCACCCCTGTGGTCATAGCTACTTGGGAGGATGAAGTGGAAGGATAGCTTGAACCAAGGAGGTTAAGGCTGGGAGGTTGAGGCTGAGCAGTCAAGACTGCAGTGAGCTGTGATCATGCTACTACACTCCAGCCTGGGTGACAGAGCAAGACCCTATCTCAAAAACAAAACAAAACAAAATTAAAAAAAAAAAAATTAGAGAAGCTGATACAGAATTATATACTCAGAGGGTTTTACATTATGCTTTATCATTACTGTATATTTTGTCTCTCAAATAGATAATAAATTCCTTAAGGACAGAGAATATATGCAGTGCCAGGTACAACACAATCCCACAATAAATACTGTTGAGAGAATGTATATATGAACATTGTTGACAATAAGTTTTAAACATACAGAAAGTTTGTAATAATGTGTTAGTGACATGCAATAAAAGGAATACGAAAAGAATGTCTTCAAGAGTGTCTAAATAACTTTTTCATAAGTAACTTCAGATATTGGCAGGAAAATAGCTGATTTCATTGCATAATTAAAATAATAGCTAACCAGCTGGAATCTCGTTGCTATTCAGATCCCTTCTCTCATAATGACCTTTTCATAAGCCAATGCAAGCAACTAAGAATCCTGACAACAAAACACTCTGACCCAATTATATACCATTTGCAGCTGTTTCAATTTGGGATTATGCTAGACCCAGCAAGTGAAACTTAAAGAAAATATAACCTATTTGAGAAATTGAGAAATTGGGATATTTAACAATGTCCTGTTCTCTGTAAATGTATATCCTCTGAACTATTTTATGAATATGATATAAAAGTCCAGATTTATTTGAATTCAGAACTCTAGGACTTTTGAAGACAGTGCTGTCTTTTGCACTAAGTTTCACAATGTTCATTAGGTCTTCCAACCAGAAACCGTTGACAATCTTTTCATCTCAAATTTCTCAGCGATTCATGCTTACGTAACCTGAATAGAGCCAGTAATTTGCATGCCAACTTGCCAAAATGCAGCTGTCACCATTTCCATGACTGTATATAATTATCTTTTGATGTGGGTTCTTCCAGTGAGACATAAGTAACTACGTGGTAGAAAATGGCCACTTCCCCCATGCTCCTGTGCCCACATAATAAATCAGCTTCACCTGTTTCCCTACTCCTTGTTCTCTTAATCCATTTTCGGTGTAACATTCTCTTGCAATAAAAGTGTCTAATTTCCTCTTAAACTTATTTATACCATTTGCTGCAATCGCCATATGTTTTTCCTTCTTATTTTTGTATTTATTATCCATTGAGCAAAACCTAACTAAAATCATTCAGAATTAACTAAAATATGCACAGGAATAAGAAGTTGCATGTCGTATTTCATTCCACCAAATATTTCCAAATCGCATTGAATACACAATTCTTCCCATTTTCCTGCCCTGTTAAATAAGAATAACTTTCACAAATAAGGAAAATTAGAAATTCCAGGTGGTTTACAAATCTCCAAGTCCTATTTATGTATTGGTCAACTTGGAAAAAAAGACCAACTCTTTAAATATTCCCTGTTTCTTGTATTTCTATAATGCAGTTTTTTTCTTGAACCTTGGAAAAATTAAATAGTTAGAATAGATCTTCATATGTTATTTAAGAAAATATCCATCAATTCTACATTTTTTTTGGAAGAACAAAACCTTTGCTTTGTCAGATAGGCAACTATTAATATTTACACTGATCTCAAAACAAACACAATTGTGGACTTTCCACCAGCATCTAATGGAAGAACTATTAAGTTAGGTAATGCAAAAGATTATTTTTAGAAAGCATTGAAACCATAACCAAGGATTTTATTTTTTGATAATTATTTAATTAAACATAAAATAGGCCATTTTTCCCTCAATTTTTAAGGATTTGGATGTCAGTTAGCTGCAAGGCAATATATTACAATGACGGAAACAAGTTGTTAGAATTTTTCCCTGTACATCCCTCCGCCTGCCTTATATACAGAGGGTTAAAATCCTTCCATTCTCAAATTAGAAAACAGAGAATTTTGCAGTCATAACATTACCGGGGACATCTGGTAAGATGTGTTAATAATGAGTGGGAGTTCTGACTTGGGGGATTGTCAGCACTGTTTTTTCATAGATCTTGAAACGATCAAGAAGTTTTGCAAATCAAACAGAACTAACGGCCATCACAGTAACAGAAATCAAGCATTGAGCCAATTTGCTGTACTTGGGAAGAAATAATTCAACAAGATTTTAAAATATTAAACATGAAGGCCAGGGATTCATGCTAATGCAAAAATGGGTATATTTACTTAAGTGTGCATGAAAAATATGTCCATATTTAATACAATCTCATAAACATCATCTACACAAATTATCCATCCACTTAGTCTCAGTTTTATCTAAACAATGACTATGAAAGCACAATTCTCTTTCTGCTAAAATCCGCACCTAAATTTTTGCCTAAACTTTAACTTCCAGGAAGATATTCAGCTTCCAACAGTGGTGGTGGTATATTAGGGAATCAAACTGAGCTTTCTGCATCAATATATAATTTAGCATTCTAATATTAAATAAGAGTTTGAAATTCAATTTTTTTATTTGACTGACTTAAAATTTGCCTTTGTTATTTTGCTATTTAAATTATGATGCCATAATAATCCAGAGGACAATGATACAGCATATTTGTCTTGTAGTTGCAGAAATTCAACAAAGTGGTTTTTGGTACATACATGTACACCCATATAAATTATCTGGTTTATACACAAAGTTTATAGTCTTTCAACTATTTTAGCAATTCAGGGATAGAATACTATTTTAGGACTATACTTTTTTGGTCTTGACATGGTCAAATAATAAGTGGATATTATTTAAGATAGCAGAAGAGGCTGTGTATCGTAGAGTCCTTTTCAGTTTATCACATAAACACCAAATGTCCTTAATTAACTGGGGATAATTACAAGACAAAAAGACCTAGATAAACAAAACCGAAATCATCTTAATATTCTAATCTAATATTTTCTTTGTCAAGCATTTTAAGCACATGACAAAATAAACATGTATTTTTAATGTAACTTAAGAAAACTAAGAGAGACAAATTTTAGTATGAAGACAGCTCTGGGAAGGATGCTAGAGCACAATTGTTTAAGCTAGAATAGTTGGTGGAAACTAGAAAATAAGAAATTACTTATTGTCAGTCGTATTCCACTAGTCAATGTGTGTATTCTCAGGAGTAGCTATGACACATTGAAGGATAAATTAATTCTTTGGGTCTTCTATGTTTCTTTTAATAACACAACAATCGTTTATAAAAAGAGATCTCAGGGGACCTGAGAGTTTGTTACTTTCAAGGACCTGACTTATTTCTAAAGATTAATTTATGCACAACGGAAATTTCTATAATTATTAAATTAGCCATTTTTGTCTGTGTCCAATAAATCTATTATTTATGAAAGATAGATGGGTAGTAGAAACTGTTTAAAGTGTTCTCAATTATTTCATTATTATTGTGAAATTCCTCTATTAAAGACACTAATGGATATTCAAAAACAATAGTGAAATGGGGTTTTGTTTTGTTTTTGTCTCTGCTTTAAATGGACACAGGAAGGGGAACATCACACACTGGGGCCTGTTGTGGGGTGGGGAGAAGGGGGAGGGATAGCATTTGGAGATATACCTAATGTTAAATGAGGAGTTACTGGGTTCAGCACACCAACATGATACATGTATACATATGCAACTAACCTGCACATTGTGCACATGTACCCTAAAACTTAAAGTATAATAAAAAACATCCTTACAATGCAGAAGACACTTTTCCTCTTTTCCTTCTAATAATAAAAGAATATTTACAAAAGTCTCTGGTGATGCCAACACTTGGAATTTAAAATTATCTGCTGAACTGCAGCCTCTCCAAAATAAACTGGGTTTTAAATTCTCAATTTAAGAAATCAATTAAGTAGAAGTTATAATCAAAGTCAAAATAGTTATTTGTAATCACATGTATGATTCATGTAAAATTATCAGGTATTATATTAATGCATCTAGTTATAAAACTATTTTAGATTAGCATGATTATACCATATTTGTTGCAAGAAATCAATATATTGCCAAGAATCATAATTGTACATGATACTGAGTAGTAAATATGATTTTTTACTTGTGTAACTTACTACATCATTGATATAGCTCTGATACAATTTGTCTTTTTTTCCTACTGTTCTTCCATTGATGTTAAATGAGGTCATTGGTTGCGTGCAGTGACTCATACCTGTAATTCTAGCACTTTGGGACACCGAGGTAGGAGGATTGCAGAAGGCCAAAAGTTCAAGGCCAGACTGGGCAACATAGTGAAACCTCATTTCTACAAATTTTTTTTTTATAAATTAGCTGTGCGTGGTGGCATGTGCCTGCAGTGCCTAACTACTCAGGAGGCTAAGGCAGGAGGATCGCTTGAGCCCAGGAGGTTGAGGCTGTAGTGAGCCAAGATTAGGCCACTGCACTCTAGCCTGGGTGGCAGAGTGAGACCATTTCTCAAAATCAAAATCAGATTACCAATGCTCTTGAAAAGCCACAGAGCAACCTCAGTAACACACAGTTTAATGAGCAGTTTCTTTACATGTTACACATATTACTGGACCTGGCATTCTCCTTGAAAAGTGATCAAGCCTAATCTATTGCCTCTACATGACCACATTTAACACATTCTAGATAAGTGAAACTGTGCTTTTTATTTTTAAGTAGTGAAGAGGGAAATACTTTTAAAATAATTTTAACTTTTATTTTAGATGTAGGGAGTGCACGTGCAGGTTACTTACATGGGTATATTGTGTGATGCTGAGGTTTGGGGTACACTTGAACCCAAGAGCTAGCAAGTGAGCATAGCTCCTAACAGATAGTTTTTCAGCCCTTGATCCCCTCTCTAGTAGTCCCCAGTGTCTACTGTTACCATCTTTATATTCATGAGTACCCAGTGATTAGCTCACACTTATAAATGAGAACATTTGATATTTGGTTTTCTGTTCCCGCCTTAATTCACTGAGGATTATGGCCTCCCATTGCATCCATGTTGCTGCAAAAGACAGGATTTCACTCTTTTTTACAGCTGCATAGTCCTCTGTGATGTATATGTTCCATATTTTCTTTATCCAGTCCACCATTAATGGGTATCTGGATTGGATTCTTGCCTTTGTTATCGTGAACAGTGTTGGGATAAACACCTGAGTGCATGTATCTTTTTGGTAGAATGATTTATTTTCCTGTGAGTATATACCCAGTGATGAAATTGCTGGGTCAAATGTTAGTTCTGTGCTACGTTCTTTGAGAAGCTCCAAACTGCTTTCCACAGGGCCTTAACTGATTTATATTCTCACCATCAGTGTGTAAGCATTCCCTTTACTCCACAGCCTCACCAGCCTGTATTGGTTTTGACTTTAATAGCCATTCTGACTGGTGTGAGGTAGTATCTCATTATGGTTTTGAATTGCATTTTTCTGATTATTACTGATGGTAAACCTTTTTTCATGTTTGTTGGCTGCTTGCATGTCTTCCTTTGAGAAGTGTTTGTTCATGAGCTTTGCCCACTTTTTGGGAGTTTGGTAAAATACTATTTATTTATTTTTTTTAAAAAAATATTTGTGGGTAAATAGTAGTTGTATATATTTACAGGTCCCCGAGATGTTTTGATATAGGTATGCAATGTGAAATAAATACATCATGGAAAATAAGATACCTATCCCCTCAAGCATTTATCCTTTGTGTTACAAAAAATGCAATTACACTCTTTAAGTTATTGTGAAATATACAGTTAAGTTATTATTGATTATAGTCACTCCATTGTGCTATCAAATAGTAGGTGTTATTCATTCTTTATACTATTTGTACTCATTAACCATCCTTACCTCCCCACCCACCCCCTGCTACACTTCCCAGGCTTTGGTAACCCTTCTTCTATTTTCTACATCCATGAATTCCATTGTTTTGATTTTTAGATCCCACAAATAAGTGAGAGTAAGTGATGTTTGTCTTTCTATGCCTGGCTTATTTCACTCAGCATAATCTCCAGTTATATCCATGTCATTGAAAATGACTGGATCTCATTCATTTTATGACTGAATAGTACTCCATTGTGTATATGTACCACATTTTCTTTATCCATTCATCTGTTGATGGACAATTAAGTTGCTTCCAAATCTTAGTTATTGTAAAAGATGCTGCAACAAACATATAAGTGCAGATATCGCCTCAATATACTTATTCTTTTGGGTATATATCTAGCAGTGGGATTGCTGAATCATATGGTAATTCAATTTTTAGTTTTTGGAGAAACAGGGAAAATGTTCTCCACAGTGGTTGTAATAATCTACATTCCAACCAACAGTGTACAAGGGTTCATTTTACCCACATCCTCTGCAGCATTTGTTATTGCCTGTCTTTTGGATATAAGCCATTTTAACTGGGGTGAGATGATATTGTTTTGATTTTCATTTCTCGGAGGCTCAGTTATGTGGAGCAGCTTTTTATATGCCTGTTTGCCATTTCTATGTCTTCTTTTGAGAAATGTCTATTCAGATCATTTGCCCATTATGATTGGATTATTAGATTTTTTCCTATAGAGTTGTTTGAGCTCCTTATATATTCTGGTGATTAATCCCTTGTCAGAGGGATAGTTTGAAAATACTTTCTACTATTCTGTAGGTTGTCTCTTCACTTCATTGATTGCATCCTTTGCTCTGCAGAAGCTTTTTAACCTGATATGAGCCCATTTGTCCACGTTTGCTTTAGTTGTCTGTGCTTGTGGGGTATTGCTGAAGAAATTTTTGCCCATTAGGGCAAACATTAGGGAGATTTCCCTAATGTTTTCTTGTAGTAGTTTCCTAGCTTGCAGTCTTAGATGTAAGTCTTTAATACATTTTGATTCTATTTTTGTATATGGTGAGAGATAGGGGTCTGGTTTTATTCTTCGACATATGAATATCCAGTTGACCCAGCACCATTTATTGAAGAGACTGTTTTTCCACAGTGTACATTCTTGGCACCTTTGTCAAAAATAAGTTCACTGTATGTGTGTGGATTTGTTTCTAGGTTTTCTATTCTGTTTCACTGGTCCATATGTCTATTTTCATGCCAAGATTATACTGTATTGGTTACTATAGCTCTGTAGTATAATTTGAAATCAGGTAATGTGATTCCTCCAGTTTTATTCTTTTGGCTTAGGACAGCTTTTGCTATTCTGGGTCTTTTGTGGTTCCATATAAATTTTAGAATTTTTTTTCTATTTCTGTGGAGAATGTCATTGGTACTTTGATAGGAATTGCATTGAACCTGTAGATTGCTTTGAATAGCATGGACATTTTAACAATATTGATTCTTCCAATTCATTAGTAGGAAATATTTTTTCATTTTGTTTGTGTCCTTTTCAACTTCTTTCATCAGTGTTTATAGTTTTCATTATAGAAGTCTTTCATTTTGGTTAATTTCTAGATATTTAATTTTATGTGTGGCTATTGTAAATGGATGACTTTTTTATTTCCTTTTCACATTGTTCACTGTTGGCATATCTTTGCCCACTTTTTAGGGGGGCTATTTGTTTTTTGCTGGCTGAATTGTTGAAGTACCTTATAGATTCTAGATATTAGGCCTGTGGGATGCACAGTTTGTGAATATTTTCTCCAATTCTATAGGTTGTCTGTTTAATCTGTTAAGAGATAGATAGATACATAGATAGATAGATTAGATAGATAGATAATAGATAGATAGATGATAGATAGATGGATAGACAGATTAGAGAGGTAGCTGTGAAGAAGCTCTTTAGTTAAATTAGGTCACACTTGTTAATTTTTGTTTTTGTTTTCATTGCTTTTGAGGACTTAGTCATAAATTATTTGCCAAGGCTGATGTTCAGAATGGTGTTTCCTAGTTTTTTTTTCTAGGATTTCTATAGTTTGAGGTCTTACATTTAAGTATTTAATCCACCTTGAGATTGTTTTGTATATGGTGATAGGTAGGGTTCAAGTTTTATTTTTCTGTATATGGCTAGGCAGTTATCCTACCATCATTAATTGAATAGGAAGTCCTTTTCCCATTGCTTAATTTTGACAACTTTGTCAAAGATAAGACGGCTGTAGCTGTGTGGCTTTTTTTTTCTGGGTTCTTCATTCTGTTCCATCAGTCTATGTGTCTGTTGCTGTATCAATACCATGCTGTTTTGGTTGCCAAAGCCCTATAATGTGATTTGAAGTCAGGTAGTGTGATGCCTGAAGCTTTGTCCATTATGCTTAGAATTTTTTTGGTTATTTGTGCTTGTTTTTGTTCCATATGAACTTTAGAATATTTATTCCATTCCTTGAAAAATAATGTTGGTAGTTTGACAGGAATAACATGGAATATGTAGATTGCTTTAGGCATGTGGCCATTTTAACAATATTAATTCTTCCAATTCATGAGCATGAAACATTTTTGCATTTGTTTGTGTCATCTATGATTTATTTCAAAAGTGTTTTGTAGTTTTCCTTAATGAGCTCTTTTACCTCCTTGGCTAGATGTATTGCTAGGTGCTTTTGTGTGTGTGTGGGTCTTGTAAGTGGGACTGTATTCTTTATTGGTCTCTCAGTTTGAATGTTATTGGTGTATAGAACTGCTACCAATTTTTGTACATTTATTCTGTATCCTGAAATTCACTGAAGTCATTTGCCAGTTCCAGGAGCCTTTTGGCAGTCTTTAGGGTTTTCTAGGTATAGAATTATAGCAATGTGTTTTGTTGATAATCCTTCCATACATTTAATTCAATTGTAGGAATGATTCCTTCCAATAAATATTTACAGTAAGCCCAAACCATTGATGTTGTGGTTAACTTCAGTTCCACTTATATACCATTAATCTCAAAGGTAAATATTTATACAACTTTTACCACCAATCCTTTTGCTTAGAATTCACTTGTATAATTTTAGTTAAAATATGAGTTACATTGAGTTAAATTAGAAGAATATATCTTTTTCCTTTTGTTTCTTCCATTACTCATTCCCCATCTTCCTTCTATTCTTCCTTTTTCTTCCTAAAATGCCTACTTTGTGCATGAGAATGCAAAACATAATAGAAATTCAACAAAAGTGAGGAGATAGGTAAATATAAGTGAATAAATACTAACTATACAAAACAATAATTTTAATGTCTTCAAATGTTTAAAATACATGCTTAATAAAATAAAAATCAAGAGGGGTAAGTGGAGGTAAAGTTTGACTGTTCTAGTCATATCATGGAATGGTAGTGTCAATACTTTTTTTTTAAGGTCAAAAAGCAGCAGGTCCTACATCTATCCTTCTGATGTTGAAAAAGTAGAAAACTGTAGAAAATAAATTGAAATAATGACTTAATAATTTTCAGACCAAAGATAACTGGCAATGCAGGGCTCTGAGCCTGAGTGATGGCAAACAGGAGACCAGCTTTATAATCACACCAGCTTTCAACATTCAGGAATTTTCTGGACCAAAATACAGAAAAGGAAAAACCAAGAAGATAATGGTGGGCTCATCAAGGTAAACATATAGTAACCAGTGTTCAGGTTGCATGAAGCAGCTAGAATTTTGGGGCATAATATTGGAGAGAAGGAAGCTACCCAGAGATATTTTATAAACTATGAAGAGTTTGAGATTCTACCCTAGTTTTAAACTCACATATTCGCCTACCGTGATTTCATGGATGTTAGAAAATATAAGACAGCTGGTCAGACTCAAATATATGCTGTTTACAAGAACCAAATATTAAATGTAATATAGTTGTATACATATAAAGATATTTTAAAGTATAGGTAAATATGACATCTAAGAACTATATAAAGGTGAGATTATTTGTATGACTGAGTAAAATCTATCAATTTGCCACCTCTTTTCTATATGATACTTTTGTTATTTGTCTATTTTTCCTATTTTTCTGCCTCATCTTAATTTAATGAGGCACTTTTTATGATTTTATTTTATCTTTACTATTAATTTATTTCATAGACCTCTTTTTACAATGTTTTAATTGTTGCTTTAGGGTTTAAAATATACATATCTTAAACAAAAGAGGAAAAAAATTCTTATAAAACCATCAGATCTCATGGGAACTCACTTACTATCATGAGAAGAGCAGCACGGAGGTAACACACCCCCACCATTATTCAATTACCTCCCAATAGGTCCTTCGCATGACATGTGGGGATTATGGGAACTACAATTCAAGATGAGATTTGGGTGGGGACACAGGCAAACTATATCATTCTGCCCCTGGCCCCTCCCAAATCTCATGTCCTCACATTTCAAAACAGAATCATGCCTCCCCAACAGTCCTCTGAAGTCTACCTCATTCCAGTATTAACCCAAAAGTCCCAGTCCAAAGTCTCATCTGAAAGTCCCTTCCACCTATTAGCCTGTAAAACCAAAACCAAGCTAAGACCTACAGTAGGCAAGCCTAGTATATCTCAACTAAGATATTGTATGACTGATATAGTTTGGCTGTGTCCCCAGCCAAATCTCAACTTGAATTGTAGTTCCCATAATCCCCACGTGTCATGGGAGGGGCCCAGTGGGAGGAAATTGAATCATGGGGGTGGTTATCTTTATTAGCAGCATGAGAACAGACTAATACAATAAATTGGTACCAGGAGTGGGGTTGTGCCCTGCAAAGCCACAAGGGCAGAGCTACTCAAGGCCATGGGAGCCCAACTCTTGCATCAGTGTGACCTAGATATGAGACACTTTTAAATACCTATATTTGGCATACTCCAGATAACCTCAGGTTTGGTGATTTGCTATGAGAACTCACAATCTCAGCATATAGACCTCCTTTGGCTATAATTTATTATAGTGAAATTATACAAATTAAAATTAGCAAAAGGAAAATGTGTAATGGGTTGAAGACCAAAGAAACTAGGCATAAGCATCCAGGAATTATCTCCCAGGTAAATCAGACAGAATATACTTAATTCCATAGCATTAAATTGTTTAAAATGTTGTTTACCAGGAAAGCTCATTAGGCATTCAGGGCCCAAGGTTTTTATTGAGAGGTCGATCACATAGGGGTATTCTGTCTAGAATGTCCACAAATTCTAGGATCTCAAAAGCAAAGTAAGTATTTAGCATAATCCACATTGCTTTTATTTAAAAAGTAGGCACAGTGAGCCACCATTATCAATTGGGATATAGTACGGACTTCCAAAATCCAAGTTCTCAAACACGAGCCAAGGCTAACCTTATAAGCAGCCTTTTTAAAGAATAGTCCTCTAAGGCCTGCTATATTAACTTTTTCTGCAACGTAACAAATGAGTTAAACAGGAACCTAGAAAAGAAAGCTAAAAATAAATTTAACTGAATGAAAATGAAAACATGCTATGCCTAAATTTGTACCATGCAGTTAAAGCAATACTTTATAGACAAAAAATGTACATATTGGCTTACAATAGAAGAGAAAATAAAAAAGTTAGCAATCTGCACTTCATCTTAAGCAACTAGAGAAACAAGTATGAAATAAACTTCAAGAAAGTAGAAGGAAGTAAATATTAAAATTCAGAGTAAAAATAAAAAAATTGAAAGAATAGCCATTAAAATCAATGAAATCAAAAGCATGTATTTGAAAATATAATGTAATTGCTAGATTTCCAGGCTGGCTCACCAAGCATGAAAGAGAGATAAAAGAAATTGCAGTATCTGGAATGAAAGAGGAAACATCACTTATTCCACTGACATTAATAAGATAATAAGAGAATACAGAAAAAAAAAACTCTTCATGTCCACAAATTTGAAAATTTAGATGAAATGGACCAGTTCCCCGAAAGACACAAACTATAAAAACTCACTGAAGTACAAATAAATAAAACATAATTTTATGGCTACTAAAGAAATTGATTTCATATTTTTGAAAGCATTCAAAAAAATCCAGCCACAGATAGTTTTGAGGTCTAATTCTACCAAATGTTTAATAAATAATACCAAATCTATACAATCTCTTCCAGAATTAAAAAGAGAATAGAACACTTCCCAACTCATTTTCTAAGGTCCAGTATGATTCTAATACCAAAACAAAACAAAGACACTGAAAAAAATAAAATTACAAACTAGTCCTTCATAAATAGCAACACAAAAATTCTAAGGAAAAAAATAGCATATTGAACCGGCAATAGAGTAAAAAGGATAGCACATCCTTATCAAGTGTTACTTATTTCAGGAATGAGAAACTCATTAAATATTTGAATATAAGTGTAATTTATTACACTAACAGACTAGAGAGGAAAATACACACATGATCCTCTCTACAGGTAAAGGAAAAGTATTTGACAAAATTTAGCAATCATTCAAATAAGAACAGTCAGCAAAAGAGAGCTTCTTTAACTTCAAGATGGGCATCTAAAAAAAATCAGACAGATAAAACAACTACCATACTAACACACTTAATGGTGTTAGGCAAAACTGTTTTCTTCTAAGATTGAAAATAAGAAGAAGAAAGAAGGATGTCATCTCCCATCACTCTTATGCAATGTCATGTAGAAATACTGTCTAGGGCAATAAAGCATGGAAAAAAGTATACAGATTAGACAGGAAAAAATAAAATTATACAGGTATAGCTATTGTATATATAGAAAACTCTAAAGAAGCTACTAACTAGTTAGTATTCTTATTTTTTTCCACGCAGGATACTGATTAGCAGTTCTGTAGCTCCTGTGTGTGTTCACTGGGTTAAACAAATAAGTAAGTGTAGAGAATGAGATTCAGGTTTCTCACTACAGAAGAAAGAAATAACACATCAAGAATGTAAAAGGCGAGAATAACTCTGTGGTGTTGAATTATAATTAAAGTTAGTATGAATTCAAGATTTTTAAACTATATAAACAGATAAATAGATATAGACTAAACTTTGTGTGTATGTGTATTACATATATATATGTTTAAGTGTATACAAATACTCTCTCTCTCTTTCTCTCTCTCTCTATCTGTCTGCTGATAAGGCCTAAAATCTATGACAGTCCAGTAGCAGTAATTACATCTAGTACCTTGATTCTGGCTTATATATACAATTCTTAAACAGAAGGAACTAGAGATCCCTAAAGTGGTTGTTGATTTCATAGCTGAGGAAGGAATATACAAGATGGGCATAGAATTTCTGTGATACTAGGAACAAAGTAAGAAAGAGCTCAGAAAATAAGAGCATGTTCAAATTGCACAAGAGGCAATCTGAAAGTACCTTCAAGATGAGAGCTGAAAGAATTTGACCACCATAATTACAGGGTTTATGTTAACTTATTTCAAGGTTTACTATAAACGTAAAGTTACCCAAAGAGTGTGTAGTATGGTGTGAGATTAAATGTATGGATCGAATAAACATTACAAAGAATGCAGAATTAGATATACATATATATGGTCAATTGATTTTTGATCAAGTTTCTAAGAAATTTCAAGCAGTAACAGCTGGATATCCAAAAATGGGGGAAAAGTGAATATTAATGCTTTAATTTCACTGTTGTAAAATACAAAATCACCTGCAAATGGGTCACATATTGAAAGATAAAATCTAAAATGATAAGAGTTCTAGAAGATGATATAGTAGAAAATTCTTATGGTCATCAGTTAGGCAAAGATATCTTCATATGGTACATGCACAAACACATGCACACACATTCTGCAAAGTAAAAACAGATGAGTGACTTGCACTTTATCAACATTAGAATGTTCTGCTCTACAAAGAACATCATTAAAAGAATAAAAGTGACAATAAAAGCAACAAAATAGCAGATAACATTTATATACATATATTTGTAATATTGTGTGTGTATGTGTTTGTATGTATGTAAGTATATAATTGACCCTTGAGCCATGCAGTTTTGAAGTGTGTGGGTTCAGTTATACCTGGATTTTCTTCCACTTTTGCAACCACTGAGGCAATAAGAACAACTTCTCCTCTTCCTCCTCAGCCCACTAAACATGAAGAAGACAAGGATGAATACGTTTATGATGATACACTTCCATTTAATAAATAGTAAATATATTTTCCCTTTCTTATGATTTTCTTAACTTTTTCTATCTCGAGCATACTTTATTATAATAATACAGGATGTAGTACATATCACACATAAAATATGTATTAATGGAATGTTTATGTTATCTGAAAGGCTGCCAGTCAACAGGAGGTTATTAGTAAAGTTTTGGGTGAGTCAAAAGTCATACTCAGATTTTCAGCTGCACGGGGGTTGGCATCCCTAGGACTCACATTGTACAAGTGTCAATTGTACATGTATATAAATACACACACACACACACACACACATCCCTACATACACACGCACAAAGTAAGCAGGATATGAAAGAAAAAAGACTATTGGCTGAGCATGATGACTCATGCCTGTAATTCCAACATTTTGGCAGGGCAAGATGGAAGGATTGCTGGAGCCCAGGAATTTGAGACCAGCCTGGGCAACATAGCAAGACCCCATCTCTAAAAAAAAAATGGAAAAAGATGCTGGTATTACTATCCAATTCATCACAGAATAAAATGTGCCCATATTAAGGAGATCCAGGTCTCCAAATGCATAGTTTTTCTCTAGTAGGACCCACACATTCCAGGATTAGAGAATTATTCTTCATCTCAAGGTGATGAGTAATCTGCACATTTAATTTAAATCCATTTAATTAACTATAGCATTTATTATAAGAAAGAATTTATATGGAACTCTAGATTCCTAAGTCATATAGATAAAAACAAAATATGTGTGAAGAGTAAATTTTTTTAATGGCCCATATAATTTCACTCACTTTCTAAAAGATGAGCCTGAGCCATTTTTTCTTAATATCAAGGATATTTTTGATAATTTGAATTTAATACTTATAGTCAAGATTGTCACAGCTTGTGATTTTTTAGAAAAGATTATTATAGTCTTATTTACAAAGTATATGCTGCCAGAAAAATTAGGGTTATTCGACCAGGAAAATAATATCTAATATAGAAGCTGAATTTGATAATTTAGAGAAATTTTACTAATACATTATGAAGCAGTGAACTATTAAACCACATAGGATAAGTGGTTTATGGTAGTCATTTCCTGCTAAGTAGTTAAAGTTACAAATACAACTCTGACAATTTTATGCAAAAATAGAACTGCCATCATTTTCAAATTCCAATAAACAGGTAAAAGCAGTAAGTACTATAAGAGAAAGAAGGGAGAAGAAAAACTTGGGAGTTTGAAATTATTGTAGATACAAGGAAATTAATAGAATAGAAAGGGTAAAATTTGGATAAAAAATTGATTCATTCATTTACCTTATTAGTTCCTGACATGTTTCAAACACTGTTCAAGGTTCTAGGGATAAAGAACACAGTATTGACCAGAACCTCACCATAATAGGGCTTATATTGTAGCAAACAGAAACAGACAACAACCAAATATACAAATAATGTGTAATATACTAGGTATTTAACCATGTAATCAAGAAAAGAAAGTAGGTTTTGTGATAGAGAGTACCTGAGGATGGTCAGAGAAGGGTTTTTTGAGGCAGTATTTGAGAGAGACCTGAATAAATCAGAGCATACATCTATCAAAAAAGGATATTCTAAAGAAATGCAATGTTTAGTGAAAACACCAGGGAATATGACATTTTTAATATGCTCTTAATATATTTTTCATATGGGAATTGCAGAGGCATCATTGTAGCTGTAACACAGGGTTTCTCAACATCTGCATATTGACCTTTTGGTCCAGATAAATGTTGTGCAGTTTGTCTTACGCCTTACAGCAGGAGTCCCCAATCCCTGGGTCACTGACTGGTACTAGTCCATGACTTGTTGGGAACTGGGCTACACAGTAGGAGGTGAATGGCAGGTGAGCGAGTATTACCACCTGAGCTTCACCTCTTGTCAGATCAGCAGCGGCATTAGATTCTAATTAATGCTTGAAGATCTGAGGTGGAACAGTTTCATCCCCAAACCATCCCCCACCCCTGTCCGTGGAAAAATTGTCTTCCACAAAACTGGTCCCTGGTGCCAAAAATGTTGGGGACCACCACATTATAGGATGCTTAGCAGCATCTCCGGCCTCTTCCCACTAGATTGCAGGTGGAAGCCTCCACACATACCCTCAGCTGTATAAACCAAAGATGCCTACAGAAGTTGCTAAATATTCCTGAGGAAGAAAAGTTCACAGTTACCATCTCCTCTTTCTCCCCTCACCCACTTCTGTTTAAGAAACACTGATGCAGCAAATGGAACAAGACAAAGAATAATAGGAGAGGTGGGCAGAGAGGGAGAGCTGGAATTCAATATGGGTAGGACCCCACGTAACATTTTCAGGACCTTCATTGCACTGATTTGAGCAAAAAAGGCAGTTTTAGTAGGGTCACTCTAACTGGTAAGTGGGAAATAGGTTGTTGGTGAGCAAGAGTGAAAACAATAAACCTGGTTTCTTGTTTTTAGGATACGAGTAACCCCAATAATGAAGAAATTATTGAAAGTATGGTAGTAGATGAAGTGGTAAAAAATGAACAGCTCTGTGTCTACTTTGAAATTCAGTTAACGGGATTAATTTGGAGATATAAAAGGAATCAGGGTTTTTTTTTAATGGTCTAAACAATTGAGAAGTGAGATTGTCATTTATTGAAAAAAATGACTTTTGGTGACACAGGATTTCAGCACAGTTAAGAGATATATGAACTAGGAGTTCAGTTTTGAATATGATAAATTTGAGTTAATTGTAAAAATATAGATTAATAAGTAAAGATATTGAAAATTTGGATATAAGTGGCGAGATTTGAGGTGAGAGGTTGGTGGCATAAATATAAATTTGTGAATGCTCATAACGTATGAGATTACTCAGGGAGTGAATGTAGTTAGAGAAAAGAAGAACTTCTAGAATTATATTCTGAGACACCTTGGCAATTAAATGTCTGAAGGATAAGGAAATATTTATTATGAAATAGAGTGAAACATTTTCATAAATAGTTAAGATAAAACATATATCTTAACTGTGTATATTTCTGTAGAAAACTTTGACAGGTTTAAGATAAGGGAACGTCCACAGGTCCTCAGAGGAGCTACATATTCCTCATTATGCATAGGAAAGATGCTTACATTGTCCAACAGAGGAGGGGCTCAGTAAACATTGGCTATTGTAACTGAAGACTTGAGCCTAAATGAGTAGAAAGGTAATGAGATTCTTACTAATGGAAATTAGCAAATTCAGTGGTACAGCTTAATCTGTGGGAACACTAGTAGTAGACATGGAAAGACCCTGAGATCAAACAGGACAGTACAGGTTGTAGAAATAGTCTACAGCAGGAGTCTTCAACCCCTGGGCAATAGATGGGTACCACTCCATGGCCTGTTAGGAACTGGGTCACACAGCAGGAGAGCACAACCCTATTGTGAACTGCATATGTGAGGGATCTAGGCTGCACCCTCCTTATGAGAATCTAATGATAAATATAATATGCTTGAACCATCCTGAGGCCATCCTTCCAAACCCAACCATGGAAAAATTGTCTTCCATAAAACTAGTCCCTGGTGCCAAAAAGGTTGGGGACCACCAGTCTACAGGATGTTAGAGATATGACATTAGAGACAGAAAAAATATATATGATTTTTTAAATTATTAATCAAGCATATATATGTTTATGGGAGTAGACAAATTTTGCAAAGAGTAAGGAATATAGATGAAGAGAGGGCAAGAACTAAACTGGGAGAAATGTTCACATTTTACACATAATGAAGGAAGAGAAAAACCTGAGTGAGAGAAAAAAAATTTTAGGTATGTGAGAGGATCAGAATATCAGTAATGATGCCAAATTTTCCTGAGAAAGGAGAAGATGTGGAAGACTAGAATTCCATTCTAATAGAGAATATTATTTTTACCAGGGAGAGTGCATGCTCAGAAGAATGGTCTGCAATGGTTTGAATGCGTATGTGCCAGCAAATTTCAAATGTTGGAACCTAAGACTCAATGTTCTAATATTGAGGTGGGGTTTTTATAAGATGCGGTGTTTTAACAAGATGATTAAATCTCATAAATGGTTTTAGCACCCTTTTGAAAGGAATCAAAGGAGCTATTATTGAGGCTCTTTTGACCTTCCGTTTCTACTTCCATGTGAAGACCCAGCATTCATCCCCCAAGAGATGCAGCATGGGTGCAGTGACAAGAGATCAACTTGAAAAAAGTGACCAGGTTTTCATCTCACCAGACGCCAAGGCAGCTGGTGTCTCAGTATTGGACTTCCAGCCTTCAGAACTGTGAGAAATAAATTTATTTCTTTTTTTATCAGAAAAATAATGTATTTCTTTTTTTTTTACTTTAGATTCAGAGCGTACTTGTGCAGGTTTGTTACATGGGTATACTGTGTGATGCTGAAGTTTGAGGTATGATTGAAACTGCCACCCAGGTAGTAAGCATAAAACCTAATAGGTAGTTTTCCAAACCTTGCCCCACTCCGTGCCTCCCACATGTATTAGTCTGTTTGTGCACTGCTATAAAGAACTACCTGAAACTGGGTAAGTTATAAAGAAAAGAGGTTTCATTGGCTTATGATTCCACAATCTGTACAGGAAGCATGGCTGGGGAGGCCTCAGGAAACTTTCAATAATGGCGGAAGGCAAAGGGGAAGCAGTCATGTCTTACATGGCTGGAGCAGGAGGAAGAGAGAGAAGGGGAAGTGACCAGATCTGTGAGAACTCACTATCATGAGACTAGCAAGAAGGAAATTTGCCCACATGATTCACTCACCTCCCACCAGGCCCTTCTTCCAATATTGGCGATTACCATTGGCATGAGATATGGATGGGGACACAAATCCAAACCATGTCACCCATCTTGTGGTTTCCAGTGTCTGTTGTTCTCATCTTAATGTCCATTCGTATCCATTGTTTAGCTCTCTCTTACAAGTGAGAACATAGAGTATATGGTTTTCTGTTCCTGCATTAATTAACTTAGGATAATGGTTTCTAGCTGCATTTATGTTGCTGCAAAAGACATAATTTATTCCTTTTTAAGGCTGTGTAGTATTCCATGGTGTACATGAACCACATTCTTTTCATTCAATCCATCATTGATGGGCACCTGGGTTGATTCCATGTCTTTTCTATTGTGAATAGTGCTGCAATGAACACACAAATGCATGTATATTTTTGGTAGAATGATTTATTTTCCTCTGGATTTATACCAAGTAATAAAATTGCTGGGTCGAATGATAGTTCTATTTTTAATTCTTTGAGAAATCTTCAAACAACTCTCCACAGTGGCTGAACTAATTTACGTTCCCACCAACAGAGTAAAAGCATTCCCTTTTCTCTGCAGCCTCACCAACAACTGTTGTTTTTATACTTTTAGTAATAGTCATTATGACTGGTGTGGGATGGCCTGTCAGTATTGTTTCAATTTGCATTTCTGTGATTAAGAGGGATGTTAAACATTCTTTCATGTTTATTGGTTGACTGTATGTCTTATTTTCAGAAGTGTCTGTTCATGTCTTTTGCCTGCTCTTTAGTGGGGCTATTCGTTTCTTGCTCGTTGAATTGTTGAAGTTCCTTACAGATTCTGGATATTAGACATTGTGGGATGCGTAGTTTGCAAATCCTTTCTTCCAGCCTATAAGTTGTGTGTTTACTCTGTTGCTAGTTTCTTTTGCTGTGCAGAAGCTCTTTAGTTTAGTTAGGTCTCACTTGTCAATTGTTGTTTTTGTTGCAGTTGCTTTTGAGGACTCAGTCATAAATTCTTTGCTAACGCTGATGTACAGAACGGTATGTCCTAGATTTTCTTCCAGGATTTTAATAGTTTGAGGTCTTACATTTAAACTTTTAATCTATCATTGGTTAGTTTTTGTATATGGTGATAGGTAGGGATCTAGTTTCATTCTTCTGCGTATAGCTAGCCAGTTATCTTAGCACCATTTATTTAACAGGGAGTCCTTTTTCCATTGCTTATTTTCCTTTTTTTTTTCCCCAAGATGGAGTCTCGCTCTGTTACCCAGGCTGGAGTGCAGTGGCACAATATCAGCTCACTGCAACCTCTGCCTCCCGGATTCAAGTGATTCTCCTGCTTCAGCCTCCTGAGTAACTGAGATTATGGGCGCATGCCACCATGCCTGGCTAATTTTTGTATTTTCAGTAGAGATGGGGTTTCACCATGTTGGTCAGGCTGGTACTGAACTCCTGACCTCATGATTCGCCCGCATGGCCCTCCCAAAGTGCTGGGATTACAGACATGAGCCACCATGCCCAGCCCCATTGCTCATTTTTCAAAAATTAAAAAGGGGTAAAAACAAGAAAATGGGATGGGAATATTTAACATTAGGTCTGCAATTAGAAAAAATGTTGTTCTTAATGTGGAATAAAATAAAATAAGTTTCTGCTTTATATATTTTCCAGTTGCAGGTATTTCTTTATAGCAGACTAAAACAAGTAAAAGTGTAGTCAGAAAAATTATGCAATAATTTGGTTAATTTAAAGCCCCATGAAGAATTGAAGAAAAAATGATTCCTACGTGTCACATAAAAAGAAGAGAACATTTAAGAAGGCAATTTATATTTTAGTTTTATAAAAAACATCTAAAATGTTTTACCTAAGGTAATATTTAAAACTAAAACAAAAAATAAGGGAGAAAGAGAAATGTCTGGGTATAATTAAGATGAAAATATGTTATTGCACTTGATGTCAGAACTTTGTGGCACCAACATACAAATTCAAAAATAAACAGTGATATAAGAAGTCAGGTAAGAAAAATTAATATACTACATTTAATTTTCAAAGAAGTTGTGAATGAAGAAATTTAGAACTGTAAAACTATGCCAGAAAGTCAGAAGAAGAGATTCAGTTATAATCATAGGTTTAAACCAATAAGTAGAAAATTAGAATTTTTTGTTATCTTTGAGAGATACTCAGGAAACCTAACATAAAAAAAGCCTGCCATAGTCTCATAATATTTAAAATAGAGGGTGGAGCCATACTTACCCTTAAAATAAAAAGAGTGAATTTTGAGGGATAGCGTTTGACAGAAATTGGCAATAGAATATGATATTTGGCACAAAATACAATAATAACCTGGAACAAAAAAAGGAAATTTTAATATGTAAAATATTGGAGTAGGTAAAGAGGAAACCTAAGGAAAAGGCAGGTTGGGGGTGATGTATAAGACAAAGGCAAAACTGAAGTATTATTCAGTCCCAAAGTGGAGGGATTATTATTAAAGAATGAGTGTAGATGTAATGTGGAAAAGAAAACTATTTCACTGCATTTCAATAATACATACACTTTAGTTGGTTGGGTTGATAATTATAAAAAAAATACATTTAATGATTATCATATAATGATATAATCTAAAAATATTTAAAATAATTAATTATATCCAGATACTATATGTGGCATTTGATTGAAATTGATAATTTCACTCTTTAATTATTACCAGAAACAGTTGTACTAATGTAGTTTCTTGAACATTAAGAAGGGAGTGCCTGTATGACATGAGTAAGCACTCTCTTTATTCTTTAGAGTCCTCACATATAAGTGAATTCCAACCAGCAATCATGGAGCACTTACAAAGGGTCGGAGTTAGCCAGATGTTAGTGGGGTGGGGCTAGGGGGTGCAAAGATGAGCAATACAGTTCCTGTGTCTTCAGTCAACAAAGTCTGACAGGCATGTACATTTAGGATTCCAGAATAATATATTACATGCTAAAACCAGAGTGTGAAATCAGAGTAAGGTTGCTTTGTTTCAGTATTAAAGAAGAGATGTTACAAAGAGGGGTAAAAACAAGAAAACAGGATGGAAATATTTAACATTAGGTCTATAACTAGAAAGAAAAAATGCTATGAATGTGGAATAAAATTTATGGAATTATTTTTTCTTCTTTAACATTTATTTTGGTATTGATACATAATGGACGTACATATTTTGGAGGTGCATGAAATAATTTAACATACTCATATAATTTGTAAAGATTAAATTAGTATAATTGGGTTACGCATCACCTTAAATATTTGTCTTTATGCTAGAAACATTTGAATTATTCTCTTCTAGCTATTTTGAAATATACACTAGATTATTGGAAACTATAGTCACTCTACTGATCTATATAAAACTAGATATTTATTTTATCATACTGTTTATGCCCATTAATCAACCTGTCTTCAATCCCTTCTTCTCCCTACCCTTCATGGCCTCTGGTAACCACCAATCGACTTGATAGTTTTATAAGCTTCACATTTTTAGCTCTCACATATGAGTGAACATGTAATATATAATCTTTCTGTTCTTGGTTTATTTTATTTAACACAATGACCTCTAGTTCTATCCATGTTGCTGCAAGTGACTGAATGACATTCTATTTTGTATACATACCACATTTTCTTTGTTCATTTATCTATTGATGGGCATATCAATAGATAATTGATAGGTTGATTCCATGTTTTGGCTATTGTTAATAGTGCTGTAATAAACATAGAATATGTTTCTTTAATATTTTGATTTCTTTTTTTGGATATATATCCAGTAGGAAATTGCTGGATCATACGTTAGTTATATTTGTAGTTTTTTGAAATCTTAGTTATATTTTTAGTTTTTGAAATCTTCACATAGATTTCCATAGTGGCTGTACTAATTTATACTCCCACCAAAAATGTATGAGCCTTCCCCTTTCTCCACATCCTCACCAGCATCTGTTACTGCCCATCTTTTTGATAGAAGCCATTTTAACTGGGGTAAGATATTCATTGTGGTTTTTATTTGCATTTCTCCAATGATTAATTATGTTGGGCATACTTTTTCCATATACCCTTTGGCCATTTGTATGTCTTCTTTTGAGAAATGTCTATTCAAATTTTTGGCCAATTTTCAATTGGATTATTTGGGGTTTTTTGTTTGTTTTTCTGTTTTCTTTTTGCTACTGGGTTGTTTGAGTGCCTTACATATTCTGCTATTTATTTATTTATTTAATGTTTAAATTTCTTTATTTTTAATTACTGAGGGTACATACTATTGAAAGGATTTGGTTAGCTTGCCTTAAGGGGATAACAAGGAAGGGTCTCCAGAGAGCCCCTAGCCCATGGGTCAGTACCTCATCCCCACATAAGCTGCAGGCACAGATAAGGGAAAACTAGCACAGGGTGTTTTGCCTGGAGACAAGCCCACGGCTGCACAGATAGAAAAACCTCCAGCCTGCTTGAATAAAAACTTGCACAAACCTCTAGCTCACTCAGATAAAGAAACAAAGCCCTGGCCTTTGTCCTTTGTATAGTCAGTGGGGTCCCAGGAAAAGTTTCTTCTCCTTTTGTGGGCATGGGCACAGTGGGCTCCAGTGGGTTCTGGTGCGCACTTGACTTTTCTTTATTTGGACTATAAGTCCAGCTTTTATGAATCATCGTTTCAGCCTCTGATTGGTCCCATGCCAAGGTCCCAGGCCAAGCTTTCACTTCAGCTCCTGATAGATCCTGGGCCAAGCTAAGCAGCATCTGTGAATCATTATTTCAGCTCCTGACTGGTCCTGGGCCAAGGCCCTGGGCCAAGCTGAGTCACACCATTCTCCAAGACAGCCCGTGGACTAAGCATATTCCTTCCCCTTCCCATAAAAATCCCACATGGGGTCCATAAAAACCTTGGACCCCAGCCTCATAGGAGACACCCTGTTCAGGCCCCCCTCTCTGCTGGCAGAGGGCTTTCTTCTTTCACTTATTAAACTTTTGCTCTAACCTCACCTTTGTGTCCACACTCCTTTTTTTCCTGGAGGTCAGACAAAAAACTCCAGACATTATCTCAGACAAGAGACTGTTACATCTTGGTGCATTGCTGAGACTACAGCACTATGTGTATATATTTATAAGGTACATAAGATGTTTTGATATAGGCATGCAATGTGTAATAATTACATCATGGAAAATTGGGTATCTATTCCCTGAAAGATTTTACGCTTTGTGTTACAAACAATCCAATTATTCTCTTTAGTTATTTTTAAATGTATAATTATTACTGATTACAGTCACCCTTTTGTGCTTATCATCTAACAGTGTCTTAGATTTTATACTGTTTTATATCCTATCTTCATTGGCCTTACCCTGAAACCTCAATATAGAAGACTGAGATTAATACAAGTAATGTATGATGTGATAGGTTAGATAATTGTTCAGAAAATATGTACTTCTCTCCACCTCTTCTCTCTTACAGCAGACTCTACTTCCTGCTACCCTCCCTGCTTTGAGAATGGCCACATAAATTACTTTGCAACAGAATGTGAACAAATATGATATGAGAGATGCATTAACTTACTTTCATGTTTGGCATTCTTCTTATCCTTTTGCTATCTGTCATAAAAAAAGCATGCTCTGTTCTCAGACTGCCAGTCAGGTTGAAGTAGTCTGAAGCTAACTTGCAGTCTGAAGAAAAGCCACTAGCTATTCCAAAGACCCTTGAGTGATGAAAAAAGCAGTTATTCTCCTAAGTCTTTGAGATTTGGTGTGTGTATGGGGATGAAAGACAGGTTTGGTGCTTAGCATGATCATAATAGACATCTTACTGAAACATGTGGTGTCAGATAAATATATATGAGTCAACTGTCTCCATAATAAAACTATGTAACCAATCACCCCAAAATGCAGCATTTTTAAATAATTATCATTTATTTTCATGAGCTTATGGGTCTGTTGGAACAGTTCTACTGATGTAGACCAGGAGTGTTTGGGCGATTCTGTTTTGGGTTGCAGCAGCTGGACAGCTGGGTGACTCTTCTTATGACTACAGGTCTGTGACTTAGCTAGGGGGTATCACTGCTGCATATGTGTTCATTCAGGGACCCCAATTCATGGGGCAGACATTATTCAGGGAATGAATATAAGACTCAAATCATTTTGAAAGATATTGGGCAGAGTCAAATAACATTTTTTTCCTTCACACTAAAGAATAAATGTCAGGTCCTCAAAATACCTGTTAAAAGAAATCCAATAATATTTGTCACTTTTAGTAACTTGCTATAACTTTTAGGGATTTGCTATAAAATTTATCTTTCATGAGCTAATCTTCTCATATTTATGGCAGACATGCAAGAGGACAAACAGAAACATATGAGGCTTCTTAAAGCTTAGGTTTAGAACTGCCACATTTTCTACCATTGTCCAAAGCAAGTCAGATGGCCAAGATAAAATCTATGGGCCACAACCCTGAAAAGGACATGGAAAGAGCATAAATGTAGGAGTGTGGAGAAGAGACAGATAAATTGGGCCAAACAATTTTTCAATCTTCCATTATAAATACATCAGTAGTGTTTTATTATAAAATGCAGTGTTACATATATTCCTCCAGATGCTAATAATGCATTTGGACTAGTTAATTTCAGGAAGTAGTAGAATAGTGTTTCCCAAAGAAGGCCATTTTTTAATTCTTCACTTGGTAGAATGACTTGCCAATAATTATAATATTTTTACCTATTCCTTTTATAGGGCTGTTTTAAACAAATGCTTCTCTTTATTTTTAATCCAGCATTAATCCACTTAACAATTTGTAGCTGAAATTCAATTTTGATGTGAAGACAGTAACCCTTTTGTGCCTGCTCACCTAATCTACAACAGGAAACACAGTATGTTATCCAATTACATGTACTATTGTCTTGTTAGACACTATATATCATCTGCTTATTTCATCAGGGAAGTTTTTTATCATTATATACTTGCAATAATTCTTAGTGCCAATCAACCTATCCTGAATTGCCATTGAATGCCCTTCAGTCTCACCAAGCAATGTATGCTACTTCAGTTACAAATTAGACAATTTTTTTCTCTATAATTTTGGTTAACATTGAGCATGCATCAGTTATGAACTTTCTGAATAGCTATAAATTAATTTTGCATTTTACCCCATATATACAGAAACTTGTTATATTTAATCAAAATGCATACAGTTATCATTTGCTGATGAATATGTCACAAAAATGATATATTTGTCTATATAAATGAATTGAATTTGGAAGTAAAAAAGACTCATTTTTGTGGAGTCTGACTTTTCAGAACCCCAATCAATTAAAGCTATGCCACTGCAATTTTTTTCATTCCCTGAAATTTTCCCAACTGGCACATGTCATAGAAGCATCTTATTTTAATGGTAAATGTTGGAATGATATATTTTTTGCCACCATAGGACTAGACAACATATCTAACAGCTCTAGCTCTAAGATAGCTCAATACCAAATTGATTTTTGTATTGGTACATTTTCCAAAATTGTCTGTCTTGTTACTTGCAGTGTCAAAACTGCATATAATCTAGAATAACAAGAGTTTCCATCAAGGGTAATGACTATTGCTTATTTTCTCAAATGGAGGGATTTCCCTGTGTTATCAGTCAAGTTACTATTTCTTTGGTGCCTGGAATTATCCGAACTATTTGATTCTGGAGGAGAAAAAAAAATTATTGCTTAAAGAAACATTCAGGAGCTTGTTTTTTAGTTCTTCTATTATCCAGAACTACTGTTCCCCCTTTATGCAGTTATCGCTGTCTGTAGCAACCTTCTTGTATCTTAATCTGTTTGAAATGGAGTCACCAGTAGGAACAATAACCTTTGGAATCAGGTCATTCAGATGTCTTAGAAATATTTCTTAATAATGAAAGAAAAAACTCATTCCTAATGTGTTTCATACCTTTTAGCAGAAAATCATAATTCTCTTTGGAGAAGCCATATAGGGTTTTTTTTTTGAGAAGAAAAACATAGCTAAAAATTTACAGATATATATGTATTATGTACATATGTATTATGTTAGTACATATGTATTATGTATATATGTATTATGTTAGTAGCAGGAGTGTGTATGTGTGTATGTATGTGTGTGTGTACACATATATATGTGTGTGTGTATATATGTATATACACACTCCTGCTACTAACATAATTCTCCGTGTCTTTCCTTTAACTTTGGAAAGAGAAATTATGACTTGCTTTATAATCTTGGAAAGAAGCAAAATAACCAAGAGTTAAGTTCAGAACACAAGAATTCATGAACATGAGCAGATGGACACTATATCATGTGGACTTAACATTGGTTTATTCCTGTAACCTAAACATTAGTTAGAAGATTGTTAAAGCACAGGCATTATCTAATTTTTTTTTCAGAGAAATATGTCACAAACCACCACTTCAATGGAAATAAAAAGAGATATTGTAAATCTATTAGGCAAAGGGTATCTGCAGCAGCCTATTTGAAAATGGAATTATGTGAAAGATAAGTTTCTAAGGCTATCATTTCATACCAATTGCAACTAAATTTAATACAAAATTGTTTTAAAACATCTGTAGTTCCACCTTGCTTGATGCCAGAGAGAAGCACATGGTAGGATATTGTCTTTGACTAAAAACAAGTCAGATTCTATCGTGGTAAGAGCAAAAATAAGTGTTTATGTCTGTATTCTTCTGAAATTGTGCAAAAAATTAATAATCTTCAAAATAAATTTACTCATTCAAAAAATGTATATTGGGCACCTACTGTGTAACAGAAATTGTTTAGGTCCTGAAAACATAGTAATAGAGAAATCAAAATCTGTATCTTGCATTGTAGTTGATGACTGACAATAAAAGAATAATAACTTATATTTAAAAACAATGCAGGGCTAAGTACCAGGGAGAAAATAGAGGAGTTTAGAGAGATCAGGAGTGCTGGGATGGTGCAGGATGGAGGGAACATTAGTAACTGCTATTTTATATAGAGTGTCCAAGAAAAGACCCTCAGTAAGGTAACATTGAGAAGAAAACTAAAAGAAAGAATTAACTCTATATAAACAATTAACTCTATATAAAAATAGCAGTTACTGTGTACTGAGACATGTGGACATCTGGACAAAAGGTGTTCAAAGACAAGCAAATAGAAAAGTCAATGGCCTTGAGAAGAAAGCATCTTGGTATGTTTTTCAAGGGAGGGCAAGGAAGTCAGCGTACCAGAGAGAACAAAGGTACAGTATAGTGTCACATGGTTAGCATATGGCCAAATAGTAAACGCCTTTTTGGCTTTTACCCTAAGTGACATAAGAACCTGTTGGAGGACTTTGATCTGAGGAATGACCTAATCTGAAGTCAGAACTTTAACAGAATCCGTCTGGCCATGGTGTAGTGCAAAGCCTGTGGGAAATAAGCAGCAGAAGCAGTGAGAGTGTCAGTCAGAGTCCAATGAGGAGACAGAAAGTACATAGTAATTTGAACTATGGACATTTACTACAAGGAATTATTATCTCTACATCAACGATAGGAGAGTGAACATAGTGAGGTAAAGACAACACTAAAGGGTAAGGGCTAAGGGGCAGACCTAAGGAAGGGCACAGTTGTAAGAGGAGCTCCCTTCTTTCAAATGGAAGCCAAACCTCATAGGAAAAGGTGAGGTTGCAGCTCACTGTATGGCCAAAAAGTTATCTGGGTTGTCAGGACCAGGACTGGTTTACAGTCACTGAACAAGCAGAAAAAAAACCTAATATACAAAGGAACAAGGCTGATGGGAAGTAAGCAAAGAGGGTTAGGTAACTGTAAGTGCAAGGCCTGGAACATGCAGTGTGCACATCAGAAGAGCAACAACAAAGTGGTCACCAGGCCCAGGCTATGACGATAAAGTCAGAAAGCATTCTGGGCACATAGTTGAAAGACTACCACTAGACATCCACATACCTCACACCACTGACAGAGTATGCAATAGAAATAAGAAAAAGAAAAAATACAGTATACCGGGATCAAGACGGGAAGTCTCCTTCCTACAAGATCCCTCCAATATCCTCTATTGACAAAGCTTTACACTGTCCTCACTGTGAAGGAGAAATGCCCGAACAGTCTAGACTATTTGCACAGGTACTGAAGAGTAGATTTGGGACTGAGGTACACAGTTATAAATTTATAACTATGTCAAAAAGTTATGGGGAGTTGGAATAACTTTAGTAAAAAACAGATATTGGCTACAATCATGGTGGTAGGAATGCCAGTGACACGGGACAGTTTATGAATATATTCTGAAAGGACAGCCAACAGATTTGCTGATGTAGGATGTAACAGAAAAAAACAAAGAAGGATTTTGTATCTGATGAGCTGGAATGATTATATGTCATTTTATAGTATAAGGATGATTGTGATAAAAGTGGGTCTTGGGAGACATGTTTGGACATGTTGGATGTGAGACATTTAACAGACACACAGATCAAGATGTTAAATAGGCAAAGCACACGTATATAATTTGGTAGTTAGGAGACATATTTTAATTGGATATAAAAATATGCACATCATCAGAAACAGAGGATATTAAAAGGCAAAAGGCAGAATGGCATAATAAAAGGTCAGGCATAAGTAGAGAAGAGAAAAGACACCAAGATTAACCCTGGAAACACTAAAATTTTAGAAGGTGATGAGATGCATTGTTAAAAGACTCTTCAGAGAAATGTGGCAAGACTGTATGACAGCACTCAGCATTAGCAGTCTGGAATTTAAAATGGAATATAAAGTCATCACTATACAGTGTTCTTTTTAGCCACATTCAGCTGTCCTATTGCAGGTGCAGAAACAGGCTTTGATGTAAAAGCAATACTAATTGGACAAAATGATAATCTTTGCATATTAAGTGAGCTGATGTCAGAGTCTGTAAATTACAATCATGCCTACAACAGAGAATGAGTAGCCTGGCCTAATCTAAAGTATATTTCTTCTTTAGCATTATTATTTGTTTCCACTTGTCTTCTGCTGAAGAAAATGGCTTGGATTTCTCATTTTTTTCTTTTCCATTATGATGAGATCTGTAGTCTCATTTTATCTAAGATATAATTACTGCTGAAAATTTCAAAAATGTAGAAAAATAGTATTTGTAGAAGTGAGTATATGTTTAAATGAGATGAAATATGCTTTGTCAACAGTAAGAAAACCTTGGGAATATTATCATAATTGCTGATACTTTGTTTAAAATAGTACTGATGTTTTCCATTTGCCACACTCATACTTCACTATCCCGATGATTGATGTGTCAACTCTCCTCTTTGTCATCAGGAGGTTGTCCCCTGTAGACTGCTTGACTTGGTTCTCTTGACCTTATTAAGCCTGAATTTGTTAATATTTTACATTATATTATTAATAATACATATTTGAAACTTCTAAAAACAATTGAGTGCTAGCTATTTTAAATTTTCATTTAAAAATCAATAAATTGGAATGAGATACTGAGTATTCAGTAAGCACAATGGACCAGGATAGGTATTTTCAAATATAATTAAGTTGTCATTTTTGCCAATAAGTAATTCAAAATAGAGTGGCTGAATTTTCAGTGAAAAAGCCAGATACAGAAAGAGAAATACCACATGTTTTCATTCATATCTGGTAGATAAAAAGTTGATCTCACAGACTTTGGGAATAGAATAGTAGTTACAGAGGATGGGAAGGGTAGAGGGGCAAAGGGATAGGGCTAGAGTTCCATAGCACCGTTGGGTGGCTATAGTTAGTGATAATTTATTGTATATTTCAAAATAACTAGAAAAGAGGATTTGAATGTTCCCAATACAAAGAAATGATATGTGTTTTAGGTGATGGATATTCCAGTTACTGTGATTTGATTATTAAACACTGTACACATGTATTGAAATATCACATATACCTCAGAAATATGTAAAATTACTATGTATCAATTAAATATTTATAAATACAGTGGTTGAATGCATTTGAAAATCTTAAAATGCAAAGCAAAGAATGATATATTTTATAGTTAAGACGTAAAAATAAGCTCAGAGAAAACACTTATCAATTCCAAATAATAACATTGACTTGAACGTAATGGAGATATATATAAAAAAATCATCTCTTGGCCCCACATCTTTGTTTATGAAATTATATCTATATATAATATATATTATATAATGTTATATATATATAACATATGTTTTATATATATTATATATATATGTTTTATATATATATTTTATATATATATACATATGTAAAAGATCATCTCTTGGTCCCACATCTTTCTCCAGCTGCTGCTCTGTTTTTTTTCCCCTGCTTTAATGAAAAGCTCAAAGATGCATTTTATGTACACTTAGTAAGAATTATCTTTAGCTACATAATAAACTATGTCAAAGTTTGTGACATCAAACACCATTTAAAAAATTATAAGTCTAATTTTGGTTGGGCAGTTTTGCTGATCTTGGCTGGGCTCATAGATGTTTCTCTAATAAAACTGTTAGCTCTCCTGGGGTTGGCTTGTCAAGATTGGTCTTATAAAAACAAGGTACTAAAATAGTAAGCCAAACTGTGCTAGGCCTTTTGAGGTGTATTGTCAGAGCTGGCACAATACCACTTTTGCCATATTCTAGTGGTCAAAGCAAGCTCAGAATTAAGATTTGGAGAAAATACTCCACAGGTTTATGGGACTACCTGCAAAATCACATTTTGAAGATACATAGATACAGGGAGGAGAATATTGAAGACTTTTTCAAAGAATCTGCTATATTCTTTTCTATCACAGAGAGTAACACAGATTCCACATCACAGTTCATGGATTAAGAAATGTGTTTTATTGAGGAAAGAGAAAACTTACAAGACTAAGTTCAGCAAAGAAAAAGGAAAAGCAACTCTCCATCATGTGCCTGTCATTCCAGTGTCATGCCAGCTTTAGACTTTTTTCAGTAACCTTCTATATAAAGTAGAAATTCTCTTCTCCAATTTCAATGCCTTCCATCCTATTACATGTCTACATTTTTATTCAATATTCTTATCTCCACATAATGTATTATGTATATTTAAAAATTTGCTTTATGAATCTGGGTGCTCCTGTATTGGGTGCATATATATTTAGGATAGTTAGCTCTTCTTGTTGAATTAATCTCTTTACCATTATGTAACAGCCTTCTTTGTCTCTTTTGATCTTTGTTGGTTTAAAGTCTGTTTTATCAGAGACTAGGATTGCAACCCCTGCCTTTTTTTGTTTTCCATTTGCTTCGTAGATCTTCCTCCATCCTTTTATTTTGAGCCTATGTGTGTCTCTGCAAGTGAGATGGGTTTCCTGAATACAGCACACTGATGGGTCTTGACTCTTTATCCAATTTGCCAGTCTGTGTCTTTTAATTGGAGCATTTAGTCCATTTACATTTAAAGTTAATATTGTTATGTGTGAATTTGATCCTGTCTTTATGATGTTAGCTGGTTATTTTGCTCATTAGTTGATGCAGTTTCTTCCTAGCCTCCATGGTCTTTACAAATTGGCATGATTTTGCAGTGGCTGGTACCAGTTGTTCCTTTCCATGTTTAGTGCTTCCTTCAGGAGCTCTTTTGGAGCACCCAGATTCATAAAGCAAGTCCTGAGTGACCTACAGAAAGACTTAGACTCCCACACAATAATAATGGGAGACTTTAACACCCCACTGTCAACATTAGACAGATCAATGAGACAGAAAGTTAACAAGGATACCCGGGAATTGAACTCAGCTCTGCACCAAGTGGACCTAATAGACATCTACAGAACTCTCCACTCCAAATCAACAGAATATACATTTTTTTCAGCACCACACCACACCTATTCCAAAACTGATCACATAGTTGGAATTAAAGCTATCCTCAGCAAATGTAAAACATCAGACATTATAACAAACTGTTTCTCAGACCACAGTGCAATCAAACTAGAACTCAGGATTAAGAAACTCACTCAAAACCACTCAACTACATGGAAACAGAACAACCTCCTCCTGAATGACCACTGGGTACATAATGAAATGAAGGCAGAAATAAAGATGTTCTTTGAAACCGACGAGAACAAAGACACAACATACCAGAATCTCTGGGACACATTCAAAGCAGCGTGTAGAGGGAAATTTATAGCACTAAATGCCCACAAGAGAAAGCAGGAAAGATCCAAAATGGACACCCTAACATCACAATTAAAAGAACTAGAAAAGCAAGAGCAAATACATTCAAAAGCTAGCAGAAGGCAAGAAATAACTAAAATCAGAGCAGAACTGAAGGAAATAGAGACACAAAAAACTCTTCAAAAAAATTCGTGAATCCAGGAGCTGGTTTTTTGAAAGGATCAACAAAATTGATAGACCACTAACAAGACTAATAAAGAAGAAAAGAGAGAAGAATCAAATAGACACAATAAAAAATGATAAAGGGGATATCACCACTGATCCTACAGAAATAGAAACTACTATCAGAGAATACTACAAACACCTCTACGCAAATAAACTAGAAAATCTAGAAGAAATGGATAAATTCCTCGACACATACACCCTCCCAAGACTAAACCAGGAAGAAGTTGAATCTCTGAATAGACCAACAACAGGCTCTGAAATTGTGGCAATAATCAATAGCTTACCAACCAAAAAGAATCCAGGACCTGATGGATTCACAGCTGAATTCTACCAGAGCTACAAGGAGGAACTGGTACCATTCCTTCTGAAACTATTCCAATCAATAGAAAAAGAGGGAATCCTCCCTAACTCATTTTATGAGGCCAGCATCATCCTGATACTAAAGCCGGGCAGAGACACAACCAAAAAAGAGAATTTTAGACCAATATCCTTGATGAACATCGATGCAAAAATCCTCAATAAAATACTGGCAAACCGAATCCAGCAGCACATCAAAAAGCTTATCCACCATGATCAAGTGGGCTTCATCCCTGGGATGCAAGGCTGGTTCAATATACGCAAATCAATAAATGTAATCCAGCATATAAACAGAACCAAAGACAAAAACCACATGATTATCTCAATAGATGCAGAAAAGGCCTTTGACAAAATTCAACAACCCTTTATGCTAAAAACTCTCAATAAATTAGGTATTGATGGGATGTATCTCAAAATAATAAGAGCTATCTATGACAAACCCACAGCCAATATCATACTGAATGGGCAAAAACTGGAAGCATTCCCTTTGAAAACTGGCACAAGACAGGGATGCCCTCTCTCACCACTCCTATTCAACATAGTGTTGGAAGTTCTGGCCAGGGCAATTAGGCAGGAGAAGGAAATAAAGGGTATTCAATTAGGAAAAGTGGAAGTCAAATTGCCCCTTTTTGCAGATGACATGATTGTATGTCTAGAAAATCCCATTGTCTCAGCCCAAAATCTCCTTAAGCTGATAAGCAACTTCAGCAAAGTCTCAGAATACAAAATCAATGTACAAAAATCACAAGCATTCTTATACACCAATAACAGACAAACAGAGAGCCAAATCATGAGTGAACACCCATTCACAATTGCTTCAAAGAGAATAAAATACCTAGGAATCCAACTTACAAGGGACGTGAAGGACCTCTTCAAGGAGAACTACAAACCACTGCTCAATGAAATAAAAGAGGATACAAACAAATGGAAGAACATTCCATGCTCATGGGTAGGAAGAATCAATATTGTGAAAATGGCCATACTGCCCAAGGTAATTTATAGATTCAATGCCATCACCATCAAGCTACCAATGACTTTCTTCACAGAATTGGAAAAAACTACTTTAAAGTTCATATGGAACCAAAAAAGAGCCTGCATCGCCAAGTCAATCCTAAGCCAAAAGAACAAAGCTGGAGGCATCATGCTACCTGACTTTCAAATATACTACAAGGCTACAGCAAACAAAACAGCATGGTACTGGTACCAAAACAGAGATATAGATCAATGGAACAGAACAGAGCCCTCAGAAATAACACCGCATATCTACAACTATCTGATCTTTGACAAACCTGAGAAAAACAAGCAATGGGGAAAGGATTCCTTATTTAATAAATGGTGCTGGGAAAACTGGCTAGCCATATGTAGAAAGCTGAAACTGGATCCCTTTCTTACACCTTATACAAAAATTAATTCAAGATGGATTAAAGACTTAAATGTTAGACCTAAACCATAAAAAACCTAGAAGAAAACCTAGGCATTACCATTCAGGACATAGGCATGGGCAAGGACTTCATTTCTAAAACACCAAAAGCAATGACAACAAAAGCCAAAATTGACAAATGGGATCTAATTAAACTAAAGAGCTTCTGCACAGCAAAAGAAACTACCATCAGAGTGAACAGGCAACCTACAAAATGGGAGAAAATTTTCACAACCTACTCATCTGACAAAGGGCTAAAATCCAGAATCTACAATGAACTCAAACAAATTTACAAGAAAAAAACAAACAACCCCATCAAAAAGTGGGCGAAGGACATGAACAGACACTTCTCAAAAGAAGACATTAATGCAGCCAAAAAACACATGAAAAAATGCTCACCATCACTGGCCATCAGAGAAATGCAAATCAAAACCACAAGAGATACCATCTCACACCAGTTAGAATGGCAATCATTAAAACTCAGGAAACAACAGGTGCTGGAGAGGATGTAGAGAAATAGGAACACTTTTACACTGTTGGTGGGACTGTAAACTAGTTCAACCATTGCGGAAGTCAGTGTGGCGATTCCTCAGGGATTTAGAACTAGAAATACCATTTGACCCAGTGATCCCATTACTGGGTATATACACAAAGGACTATAAATCATGCTGCTATAAAGACACATGCACACGTATGTTTATTATGGCACTATTCACAATAGCAAAGACTTGGAACCAACCCAAATGTCCAACAATGATAGACTGGATGAAGAAAATGTGGCACGTATACACCATGGAATACTATGCAGCCATAAAAAATGATGAGTTCATGTCCTTTGTAGGGACATGGATGAAACTGGAAATCATCATTCTCAGTAAACTATCGCAAGAACAAAAAACCAATCACCGAATATTCTCACTCATAGGTGGGAATTGAACAATGAGAACACATGGACACAGGAAGGGGAACATCACACTCTGGGGACTGTTGTGGAGTCGGGGGAAGGGGGAGGGATAGCTTTAGGAGATATACCTAATGCTAAATGATGAGTTAATGAGTGCAGCACACCCACATGGCACATGTATACATATGTAACTAACCTGCACATTGTGCACATGTACCCTAAAACTTAAAGTGCAATAATAATAAAATAAAATAAAATAAAATAAAAATTTGCTTAGTTTTCTGTCATCTATTAAACTATAAGCTCCACGTGGATAGAGATTTTTAAATTACTTTGTTCACTGCAGAATCCCACAGTAGTTGAGATATATAGTAGATGCTGAATAAATATACTTTATAGAAATGGATGCTAAGGAGTCAGTAGATATTTTTAAAGGAATGAATGCTAAATAATCTGACAGTTTATTGGAAATGCTTATTACGCTCCTATCCACTTTCTACTCTTCCTTTCACAGATTTGTTAGTTTACTGTCTTTAATGTCATATACTTTTCATCTTGCTCCTCTCTAACACTTTGCTCTCTTGCAAATTTAGCCTTGTATTTCCAAGTA
The DNA here is from genome assembly GCF_000001405.40 of Homo sapiens. Classification (NCBI taxonomy): domain Eukaryota; kingdom Metazoa; phylum Chordata; class Mammalia; order Primates; family Hominidae; genus Homo; species Homo sapiens. The sequence continues at coordinate 102,967,355 of NC_000003.12, read as the reverse complement.
ATTAGTAAGTATCTCTACCTGCTTATAGTGGCTTTATCTCAAACTTTGTGTTTACAACTTAATTATTTTTCATGTTAAATATCAGGAAGCTATGGCACCTATTCTATGTTAATGTCATCACCATTATCAAATTTTAAAATATTATTCTCCCTTATCTTGTTGAATTATTTATATAACCTTTCTTCCACATCACACTGAAAGTTTCATAAAGGTAATGTATATATAATTCCTTTTGGCATTCTTCAAAATTCTGAGCATTTTGACTTACAAGGAGAAGACACTCAATAAATATTTATGGAGTACAAATATTATAGATAAACTATGGATACCTACTAGATATGGATGGTATAATATTTGGTTTTGCATATATATCATTACCTAAACTACAGTAATGAACTACTTTATTGTAAAAAGAACCAGTGAATATTTAAATATACATAGATTGGAATATACAAATATACAAAGATTGGAAGGTAAAAATCTCAAACTCCTGGCTTAGTAAATTCATGGTAACCTCTCCATTCTACCTCCTTATAATTTTATACTACTTTGAAGTCTAGCCAAAAATGCTAATATGGTCTCTTATATGAACAATTAAAATAACTGTTTTTGCTCAGGCTAGATGCAGGCCTGGAACTAAAACTGGCAGAGCAGTCTGTTACAAACCTTTCTTCCCTCAGATAACAGTAATATTCAGCTAAACTATTGCAATTCCAGTGGCAGAAATGAGCAGTGCAGAAAGATGATTCAGTCAATAAGAAACCAACTCAACAAAAGCAAAAAAAAAAAAAAAAAAAAAAAAAAAATCTGATAGAACAGAGCGTCCAGTCAGCAAGAAGCCAACTCAAAACAGCGTAGCTTAAAAGAGAAATGTTTTTCTGCCAATACCTGGACTAGAGTTGCCCTTAACCCGTATCCCAGGTGACCTTATGGAGGTACAGATCTCAAAGCAGCAATACCTCTGAACCTGACTATGTTCTCCAGACTCTCATTAAAAAGAGAAAATATGTCAGAAAATATTCTCATATGGGCACCAACTTATCTGCCTTTTTCAGAATAATAAGAGGTCCACTAAATTGCACTATGACTTAATCAGTATATTTTAACCCAATCAATACATAGCTACCTACATCCTCTTTAGAAGTAAAATGAGGATAGAGTGAAGGGAACAGTGAGCTTTGATCAGTATGCATTATCAAAGAGAGGGTTTTGCCTTAATTTTACATATTTTATTACTTTTATAGATGTGTTATTTTATTACTCATTATGAACCCAAGAAATAGCTGTTATTATAACTGTGCTTAATAGTAATTTTTTTTCCAAAATCAGACATCTGCTAAGTGCCATAGCCAGTGCTCCAATTCACATCTGATGGACTTCACAGTTTTTGCTCTTTTGAATATGTTGGAAGGAGTATTTGAATAGCATAGTAAATCGTTTATTCAGCCAATGCATATTTTACTCAGTGTATTACAATTGGTATGTCACATATATCTACATAAAAATTTGTTCTTGACCTCTGAGAGGTTGTAATGTATTGAAGAAGATACACAATTCTTTCTTTTAGTGACTGCTTTCCTCTAACAAATTTGAATATTTGAAAACAATTTGTTCTCCTGAGTAGCTTATTATTTCTTTCTTCAATCTACAAATTTGATTATCCTATGGCTTTAGTTGGCAAGTTATATATTTTACAGATGGCATAGCTGCTTTCAAATTATCAGAAATTCTTATTTGAGTAGTTCAAATGAATGAGATATTATTTCAATGTGCAGACTTGTATTTGGAGCTTAGGAGAAAATGTATGAGTAAATTTGTGTAAATGTCTGTCACTAAGTAATTTAATATAGTCTCATACATTCAATGTTAAGCTATATAATGAAGACTTCCAAGTCTTATTAATAACGCTTCTCATCACCTAGATTCTAATCATAATTCTAGTTACACAAATTGGTGTAGATATCTTAAGGTACTCAGTTTCATTAAGTGTTAATTTAACTGATTTTTTTTCCTTCCAACTACACTTTATCTGACTTTTCTATTTCTGCCATACTTCTCCCAGATATCTAAGATCAAAATATGTGGAAGTCAAAATCAACATTCTTTTTTAAATTTTATTTTACATATAATCTGTCAACTCAAATAATTTTTAGGGTTTTTTTCAAAGTATTGCACACCTTTTTTTTTTCCTTTCTTATTTCTATTACCTGCTTGGTCTGGTTTTCTAATGACTACATTCAAAATGATAATACATGAAAGTGTAAGATATCAGTAGATAGATTAGAGGTACAAAAAAAGAGAGAAATATAATACCATTAAACTATCACACCTTCTCCTAACTCGGACTCACTTGCTCCATTCTCATGACATCCCCTCATAATCCACCTTTTCAGTAGCCAACAGATTAACCTTTCTAATGTAACATCACATTATACCAATTTTTTGCCTACTCAAAAAGTTAAAATTCCTCAGTAAATCACTGAAGTTCCTTTTTCCTCTTCCTTTCTGTTTTAGAAACACACTCTCGTGTCATCCTATGTATAAACTACCCTACAACTAAATGAATGACTTCCATTGCTCTGGGCATCTCCTGGGCTTTACCAGCTCTAACTAATGCCATTGTATCCACTTATAATATTCTCTGTGATCCTCAAAATCTCATTTATCTTTTGAAGTGCAATCCAGTTTGTATGCTACATAAATATATGACCTGTCTTTTCCTGGAACTTCAGAGAACTTAGTGATAATAGTGCTCCTATACAATAACATGTGCTCCTTTGAATTATAGTAATTTCTGAACACATATTTTCCATTATTTTATTATAGGGTCCTTACAAAGTGTTTAATACAATTTTATATCCTCCCCAGTGCCTAATAGAAAAAAATTGCATCAAGTAGGGAGAATAATATTTAATAAATGTATGGCTAAGGGCATATTATATATGATTATGAAGATTAAAGCATGTAGCTCATTGTTGAGAAATGAACCTCAGTCCTGCATATGTTCACTGTTCAGCATGAAATTATGTTAAGCAATGATTCCTGCAAAATGATCACTAATGAGGTTCAGCCAGCAGTAACGTTTGACATGCAAATTTTAATAACATCATAGGCATATGCATAAAAAAGAAGATTCCAATAACTTCACAATTAAAACTTGTCATTCAGAGTGGGAGAGTAAGCCATGATGTTACAATCTCTAAAAACAAATAAGCAATACAGAAAATATCATATATTCATAAAAGCAGGATGTGGTGGACAAGAAGAAACACTACTTAGCAGTATCCTGGGCTGCTGGAACCTTGGTGCCAATCATCCAGTGCAATTAGAGGGAGACTAATTCTCCAGTGCCTTGGGTAAGAGCTGGTAACCCAAATTAGATGATGCATAAAAAAAGGAAAATATATTTTGTATCAGTAGATGATACCAGTCCAATTCTGAAAACTAAGTCTATCTCCCTAATAAATCTGTGCATCATTGATAGATAATTGGAGATTTAAAAAATACATAATCTGTATTAATAAAACATCAGATAATTACTGAAATGGACAATGACATAAACACTAATGAGTGGATATCAAAAATCAATAAACCAAGAACAGGAGGATGACCTACCATTAATAAGCATGCATTCAATACTCAAAACTATATTGCAACATGCAACATTTTGGTGCCAAACGGGAAATAAGTACCTGACAATATTTAATATAATTGTTCAGAAGTTGTATTAGTTTTTGTTAGTTTGTTCCTCTTTTTTTTTTTTTTTTTGGTTTGGCTTTTACTTTAAAATCCTTATATATTGTGACACAGCAAAATGTTTAGCAAGACTTTTGCCTTGACAGGGAATGGTGGACATAATAAAAATAATCCTACAGTTTCAGGTAACAGGAGTATAACTAAGGACCTCCTTAGCCTGTCACTACTGATGCACAGGAACTATCAGAAAACCTGACAACAGGTTCAGCCAATATGTCTCTGGTGCCTGAGCACACCATTCAGGGGCCTGGAGACTGACCTGCCATACCCACCACAATATGGATCCATGTGCGTCATCAGTCAGTTTGAGGATAGGCCCATCCCACCTGGTGCTGCGCCTGCCAGTGCCCATGTGCCAATGGGGGCCTGGGGATCACCTTGCTCTGTCCACATCACCGGTGACTGTGCACATTTCCAGGAAGTCTGAAGAGGGGCCCATCCAATCTGCCAGTGCTCCCACACATCATCTGGGGGTCTGGGGGCTAATTCATCCTGCCCAACCCTGCCAGCATCAATGCATTTCCCTCTGGAGCCTGAGGACAGATTTCTTGAGCATGCTGCCACCATCACTGCTGGCACTCACCTGTACATATCATTTGGGGTCCTGGAGACTGGCCCACCCAGTTTGCCATTGCTATGATTGGCACTAGTGCATACCACCAGGAGGATAAAGCTTTGGCCTATGGACACAATTATCATCGACAATGCCACACATATCACTCAAGGTCTTATAGAACTGTCCATCCACCTGTCCCATTGCTACTACTGCCATTACCTGAGCAAGCTACATAAAAGCCCAAGGATCAGCCTGCACTGACTTGCTACCACTGGTGCCTACATACACCATCTGGTGGCCCAAGGAGCAGCAAAGTTGGTCCACTGCTGTAACTACTGAAGCATGAGCACCAACCTGCATGGTGATGCCACTTCTAGCAAAGCTTCACCATAGGCTTCACTAACAACAGCAGTCTAAGCCACTGAGGAACTTGAAGGCACCACTGACACTGATTACAGCTGAAGAAATCATACATGAATACACTACTGCACTCAACCAGAATCAAAGCCAAAGTGCCCTACTCAACCAATACTATAGATATATCTATAGGAAAAAGTATTTCCTTATGAAAACTAAGGAATAAAATTGGAAGAAATTATCAGAGGCACAGATATCAATACAAGGACACAATAAATATAAAGAAGCGAGGAAACATGACATTTCCAAAGCAACACAATAATTTTCTAGCAACAGATTCCAGTGGAAGAAAAACAAATAAAATGCCTGAAAAAAATAAAATAATAATATTAAAGAAGCTCAGTAAGATAAAAACAGATTAGCAATACAAACAAATCATAAATTCAGTTAATGACCTCAATGACATGTTTAACAAAGAGATAGTTATCATAAAAAAAGAACCAGCCACAAATCCTGAGACTAAAGAATTTGATAAATGAAATAAAAAAGATAATCACGATTTTCAACAATATACTAGAGTAACTTTATTCTTAATATGGAAAAGCTAAAAGCCTTTCCTTTAAAAACTGGAAAAATACAAACAAGCCTACTTTCACCACTCTTTTTCTATATAGTTGTAGAATTCTTAACCTGAATAATCAGGCAAGAGAAAATAATGAAAGCCTTCCAAATTGGAAAAAAATAAGTCATATTGTCTCCCTTTGCAGACAACATGATCTTATATCAAGAAAAATGTGGAGACTACACCAAGAAACTCAGAACTGATACACAAATTAAGTAATTTTGCAAAATAAAAAAAAAATCAACATACAAAATTGGTAGTTTTTATACACATCAGGAACAAAGTAGCTGAAAAAGAAATAAAGGAAGTAATCCCATTTAAAATGGCTACAAAAAATGAAATAGCTAGGAATAAATTTAACCAAGGAGGTGAAAGACCTCTACAAGGAAAACTAGAAAAAAACTTATAAAATAAATTGAAGTGGTGGGCACTAACAAATGGAAAGATATTCCATGTTTATAGATCAGAAGTATTAATATTCTTAAAATGACCACACTACCCAAAGCACTCTACAGATTCGATGCAATCCTTATTAAAATAGCAATGATATTCTTTATAAACATAGAAAAAAAATCCTAAAACTTAAATAGAACCACTAGTGACCCCAAACAACCAAAGCACTGCTGAACAGAAGGAGCAAAGCCACAGGCATATTACCTGATTTTTGTTTGTTTGTTTGTTTTTTGTTTTTTGAGACAGAGTCTCGCTCTGTCACCCAGGCTGGAGTGCAGTGGCGTGATCTCGGCTCACTGCAAGCTCCGCCTCCTGGGTTCATGCCATTCTCCTGCCTCAGCTTCCTGAGTAGCTGGGACTACAGGCGCCTGCCACCACACCCAGCTAATTTTTTTGTATTTTTTTAGTAGAGACGGGGTTTCACTGTGTTAGCAAGGATGGCCTCGATCTCCTGACCTCGTGATCCGCCCGCATCAGCCTCTCAAAGTGCTGGGATTACAGGCATGAGCCACCGTGCCCAGCCTACCTGATTTTTAAATATACTGCAAAGCTATTATAACCAAACTGCATGGTATTGGTATAAAAACAAACACATCAACCAGTGGAACTGAATAGAGAACTCAGAAATCATGCCATATTTTACAGCCAACTAGTTTTTGACAAAGGCATTAAGAACATACATTGGAGGGTGAGCATGGTGGCTCACATCTGTAATCCCAGCACTTTGGGAGGCTGAGGCAGGTGGATCACCTGAGGTCAGGAGTTCGAGACCAACCTGACCAACATGGTGAAACCCTGTCTCTACTAAAAAATACAAAAATTAGCTGGTCATGGTGGTGGGTGCCTATACTCCCAGCTACTCGGGAGGCTGAGGCAGAAGAATTTCTTGAACCCAGGAGGTGGAGATTGTAGTGAGCTGAGATTGTGCCACTGCACTCCAGCCTGGACAAGAGAGCAAGGCTCTGTATCAAAAATGAAAAACAAAACAAAACAAAACAAACAAAAAAAAACATACATTGGGGAATGGACACCCTCTTCAATAAATGGTGCTTGGAAAACTGGATATCTGCATGCAAAAAAATGAAACCAGACTCTAGTCTCTCACCATGGATAAAAGTCAACACAATGGATTAAAGACTTAAATGTGAGACCCAAAACTATAAAACTAATAGAAGGAAATAAAGGTGAAATGCTTCAGAACATTGGTCTAGATGAAGATTTTATGACTAAGACTTCAAAGGTATAGACAGCACAAACAAAAATAAACAAATATGACCACAATAAACTAACAGCTTCTGCATGTCTAAGGAAACAGTCAACAGAGTTGAAGAGATACTCTGTATAACGTAAGAAAATATTTTCAAACTATTCATCTGACAAGGAACAATAATCAGAATATACCTAGAACTCAAACAGCTCAACAGCAAAAAACAAATAATGCAATTAGGGCAAAGGATCTAAATAGACATTTATCAAAAGAAGACATACAGGTGGTCAACAGGTATATGAAAAAAATGCCCAACATCACTAATCATCAGGGAAATACAAAATAAAGCTACAAGGAAATCTCATCTTACTCTAGTTGGAATGGTTATTATCAAAAAGACAAAAAATAATAAATGATGGCCAGGATGCAGGCAAAAGGAAACTGTTATACACTGTTAGTGGGAATATAAAGTAGTAAAGCCATTAGGGAAAACAGCATGGAGATTTTTCAGAAAACCTTTTTTTTTTTTTTTTTTTCCAGAGTCTCACTCTGTTGCCCGGGCTGGAGTGCAGGGCGCGATCTCGGCTCACTGCAACTTCCGCCTACCGGGTTCAAGCGATTCTCCTGCCTCAGCCTCCCAAGCAGCTGGCATTACAGGTGCCCACCACCACACCCAGCTAATTTTTGTATTTTTAGTAGAGATGAGGTTTCGCTACCTCAGGTGATCCACCCGCCGCGCCCTCCCAAAGTGCTTGGATTACAGGCGTGAGCCACTGCACCCGGCAGATTTTTCAAAAAACTTAAAATATAACTACCACACGATCTAGCAATACCATTACTACGTATTTATCCACAGGAAAGGCAACCAGTATATCAAAGAAATACATGCACTCCCATATTTTTGCAGTGCTATTAATAGCCAAGATATGGAATCAACCTGAGTATCCACCAGCAGATTAACAGATAAAGAAAATTTGGTGTATACATACCCAATGGAATACTGTTCAGCCATAGAAAATAATGAAATCCTGTCATTTCTAGTAACATGGATGAAAGTGGAGGTCATTATGTTAAGCAAAATAAGCTAGGCACAAAAACACAAATATAACATGTTCTCATTCATATGTGGGGCTAAAAATATTAATTTCATGAGGTAGAGAGTACAGCAATAGTTATCATAGGTTGGAAAGTGTGGAGTGGGGGAATGAAGAGAGTTTGGGTAATGGGCACAAACAAACAGTTAGATGACAAAATAAATTCTAGTGTTTGATAGCACAGTGTGACTACTATAGTTAGCAAAAATATATTGTAAACTTCCAAATAGCTAGAAGATTTTAAATATTCCCAACACACAGAAATGGTAAATGTTCAAGGTGATGGATATTCTAAATATCCTGATTTAATTATTACACATGCATCATGTATCAAAATATTACATGTACGCCATAAATATGTACAATATGTACAATTATTATGTATCGACAAAAACTTTTTTTAAAAAAAAGTATAACTTAGAGCTCTTTGACATAGTACTGTGTTAAACCCCGCATCAGAAGATTATTTGCATTAACCCTCTGTGTCTGTTTTATCTTCTGCAAAAAATAAAATTAGTAAAATCTGGCTTGCCTCATAAAAATATATGAAGGGCTTCGATTTGGACTGAATAAGCAAGCTTGTTGATAGTAATATGGAACACACAAAGGAGGGAGAAAAGATGTTTTTGCATCTTCCGTGGATGCAGGCAGCTTGAGAAGTTGAGGTCTGGATGAAATAAAAGTTAAGGAGTCACAAGGTTAATTCATTGGTTGTTGAAAAGTATCCATTACTGATTCCTGTCCCATGCCTAGTTTTTTCTTCTCAAAACTAAAAAGTGTATCTAAATGGTACTTAGGACCAGTCTGTGCTACCATACAAACTATTGCTTCATTTGGCAGAAACTTAAAAGCAAGGAGGGGTTTCAGGAAACTTTGCAATGAAAAAAGAAAAGATTTCCAGTATGTGCACATGGAGATTTTTGGCAGATAAAAAGTGGAAATGAGCTAACCTAAACTGGGTTATGTTTTGTGATTGGTTTGGGGGAACTTAATTGATTTTTTCGAGTTGGTCCTGAGTTGAAAGCAGTGGCAGAAATTAGAGAAGCTGGCAGTCATTGACTGAGTCCTGACTGTCCTGAAGGCATATTGATTGACTACCTTTGCTGGTTGCTGCAGAGTTTACAGGTGAAAGTTCTATTGTCATATATGATCTGGCCATTGTCTGTATATTCATCCACTCAATACCCCCTTTTTGGTCACTCTCTAACTTGAGAGAGATTGATGAATTCAGGGAAGGCTGCATCCCTAGATTTTCACCATACATGGATTGTTCAGTCATCTCTCTAGTCAACTGTATTGCAAGACTTTCTTGACCTTTTTGTTGTTATATCATCCTTGTGATCATCTAATGAGAGTAGTTGTGCAGAAGCATTTAAAACTGAATAGTGGTCTCTAGTAATTCTGAGCAAAGTAGAGAAATTTTCCTATTTAGGATATCACAATCACAAAGCTCTCCTTATTCTGCTATGAGCAAGAAAGTAGCAAGATTCAGGGTACTCCAGTGATTAACAGTAATGGGAGAGAGAGAATAACATAATCTCAACGGATTAATAAACTGGCTGAAAAAGTTTGTGTTTCAATCAGTAGTAATGTCAATACTGCATGTAGGGCCATAAGGTCAAACAGGGAACTTAGACATAGTTTAACAGAAACATTGTTATTCAGTGTCAGCTATTACCCTAAGACAAAAGGTATAAGCCTTTCCCACAGGTCAAGGGTGAGGATATAATAAGTGATAGGTTTTTAATGGTCCCCATAAAGTTTAGTTAAAATTCCACGGTTTGTCCAGGTCACTCATGCGTAGTTAGTGATACCAAGGAAGGAGTTTGTTGAAGAGTCTTTTTCAAGTTTCAGAAGACTTGTTCATGTTTGGGCCCCCACAGAACTCGGTTTCTTATTGAGGACTTTGTCAACTTATAAAGAGCTATTATAATCTCAGAATAATTTGCTCCCATTGTCTGCGATATTCAGTTAAACCTAGAAATAATCCCAATTTTCATTTTGTAATGAATCTAGGATAAGCCTACATAGTCTTTAGTTTGTCATCAGAGAGTGGCTTTCCCTCCTTAGGTAGGTTATTTCCTAATGCAGAGTATTTCAGCAAAATTGTAATGTATATTTTGAAACTTTATGTCACTTTCTGCCATTGCTAAGAGCAAGCATAGATGTTTTTAAAGATTTTCTTATTCTCTAAATAAAGTAGGAAATATTCTACATATTGTATCAAAACTGAATCACAGCAGAAATCTATCTTTTAAATCTTGAATGAGGGTGTGAGAAAAATAGGAGAGAACTTCGGTGACCCCCTGGGGAATGACTGCTAGGCATCTTCCCCAGGTATAGGCATAAAGGTATTAACTTCTGATCTAGAGGCACACGGAAAAAGGCAGGGTAAAGAAACATTACAATGAAGCAGGTAGCTTTATGTGAAATTTATGACAGGGTGGTATTTGGGTTAGGTACTGCTTAGAAGAATAACAGTTTTGCAGATGGACCTGAAGACTTGAATAAATAAACGTCTTCATCTATTTGGTTTCTTTATTAGAAGAATTAATTCTGTAGCTTTTTGGTCTGCAGGGCCACCTGTCTACCTTGGGTCATGACTTCTTTTTGCTTTAAAGTCGTTTCAAAATGTTCTGCCAGGTGTTGCAGTTCAGGTAAATGGACTATTTTCCACTCTACTCAGTCTTTTAGAATTAGATAATCAATTTCCCATTTAACTTCAAGGACAAAATTATATGAAAAGGCTGCTGTTATATCAGTACCTTCTTTAATTATTGAATGTCGTTGGGAGGTATCTTCTAGTCTATCCTAAAAAAGAAATAGCTTCATATTTTTTTTCCTGTTTTCATGACTCATTTGTGGTCCAATTAATTAGTAATGGAAGGTTTCAAGTATGGCTTTTGAAAGACTGACCGGGCGTGGTGGCAGACGCCTATAATCCCAGCTACTCCGGAGGCTGAGGCAAGAGAATCACTTGAACCCAGGGAGCGGAGGTTGCAGTGAGCCTAGATTGTGCCACTGCACTGCAGCCTGGGCGACAGAGTGAGACTCTGTCTCAATATAAATAAATAAATAAAAGGAAAGACTTTGACCAATTGGGGGGCCTTTTTTCATGGAGAAAAAAAGTTCCTATAGGTCCCTTCAGGGACCACGGTCAGTTTAACTGGCTTTTGTTATCTAGAATCTCGCATCCGACGTTCTGATCAACATGTGCACAAGAAAGGTAGGTTGTGTAACCCTAGATTATATGCATCAAAATAATTATAGGTTCTTCCATAAATAATTGTTGGTCTTATCTCGGTTTATGGAAATTCTTATCATCTCCCTTAATACATCTTGGGTCTAAGGTTTAAATTCTACAGTTGGCTGCACACCTGGCTGATGGAAAAAATGGGTCTTCAGAGCCACTGGCATTTTGGGTCAGAAGAGAGTCATTGGCAAAAAAAAAAAAAAAAAGAGAGAGAGATCTAGAGAAGACAAAAAAGAGGGAGGAGGTGATGGAAGGAGAGGGATTGAAAAGATAAGGGGAAGGCAGAATAATTGGATGTAGGGAAGGAAACTCGAAGAAAATGAGAGAAAGGATTCAGTAAAAAAAAAAAAAGTCTACTGTTTATGAAATTTTCATTATCTTCGAGTAAAGAATCATTTAGTGAAGCAACTTTTGATTCAGAATTTTGTTTGTTGGAATGTGTTTCCCAGAAGCTTATGGGTTAGAAATTTAATTTCCAATGCAACAGGGTTGGGATGTGGGACCTAATAGGAGATGATTGGCTCATGAGGGTAGAGTCCTTCTGTATGAATGATTAAGGTTGTTATCATAGGAATAGGTTCATTATCACAAGAGTGAGTTCTTACAAATTGAGTCCAGCACCTGGTGCCTCTCTGTGTTTCACATGCTCACTTCTACTTTTTCCACTTCAGCCATGGTATGACATTTGTCAGATGCTGACACCATGTTCTTGGACTTCCAGCCTCATGAAATATAAAAATTTCCCTTCTTTATAAAAATTACCCTGTCTGTGGTACTTTGTTATGCAGCAGAACTAAAGCAGGGGCTTATGCCCTTCAGTCAAAAAAATGCTGTCCATTGGGGCTGATGTAATTCCCTTTCTTTGCTAAGGTATGTCTCAAATGAATAATTGTTTTTATGCCAATGTTCCCCAGAGTGATCACTGAGGATCAAAACCATCTTTGGTGGAGTTACGCCATTTAAAGAAATACATGTAAGGACTAGGTTTATAGGAATATATATTAAAAAATCAGAACATCTTTTTTCCTGGAGGAAGAGAGGATTTAAACTTCATGGCCTGATGAGACCTGGAAACAGTTAATAGGAATGTGACATTTTGGTTTTTGAGTTTTCTTCACTCAATCTGATGATCAGCTGCCTCCAAAAGTACAGCCTACAATCTTTCCTCTCCTGGCAGGTAGAAATCTTTCCTCTCCTGGCAGGTAGAAAACCAGAGAGAATGCTCTCTCTGGATCAAAGCCAACTTTTTCCAACAACAAGAAAATCAAGATTATAGGAAAATTTCATCTTGTTTTACTAGTGATCCACAGCAAAATTTGTCCAAATGAAAACCCCAAACTCACCAGTCTGTGAAGCCAGCCTATGCAATAGGTTATAGTCTCTATGCTTGTTATCTACTCTGGGATTTTCCTTCTTATGTCAAACAACACTTTTAGATGGTACAACACAAAAGAAAGCATGAGAACAAAACTGGATGACAAAGAATGATCTCATTCCAGCAAGGATGTCAAAACAAAAATGAAAACTGATGGCAAAACTGAGGTACTAAAACTGAGACTAAGTAGTAAAGAACTCAATGCAAAGAAAGGAGTTTAGACTCAATGCTGACTTACTAAATTGACATGGACTTAACAAGCCATGAGTAGGAAGACACAAGAGGACTTTGTGGGTACCAGACGTGGTCAAAGGCTGGGTTCTATAGTGACAGCAGTGCGATTATATGTTGGTGGAATTTCCAAGAAAACTGTGGAAATGAACAAAGGCACAAAGCACAAAGGAACAAATTAGAACAGAAACTATTCAGAGCTTGTTATAGCAGAGTCAGACACCATTACCTGCTTTTGGAAGAGACTTTAATGCAAGCAGGGGAGGTGGGAAAACTCAGGTATTCTCTGATTGGTGGGTGAAGTGTAGGCAAAGGGAAGATGAAGCCTGGCTACCAAGAAGTAGGAACATTTTATCGATTGGTTTGGGAAGTATCTTAGTCTGTTCAGACTGCTGTAAAAAATACTGCAGACTATTTTATAAATAACAGAAATGTATTGCTCACAATTCTGGAGGCTGAAAAATCCAAGACCAAGGCACCAGCAGACTTGATATACGGTGAGGGCTCTCTATTTCAAAAATGGCTACTTCTGTGTTCTCGCTTGGTGGAGGGGTGGATGGGACTAGGGCCCTCCCTTTAACCACTTTTATAAGGGCACTAATTCCATTCATGAAGTAGGAGTCCTCATGATTTAATCACTTTTCAAGAGGCTCCATGCCTTACTACTATTATATTGGATACTAGGTTTCAACATATGGATTTTAGAGGGATACAAACATTCTGACCATAGCTGGAAGCATATTTGACTTTATCCAGTTGACCTTGAATTAAAAGCAAGGGTTGAAATTAGGGAAGATGCCAGTAATTGATCAAGCCCTGAACCCTTTTGGGCTGATCTCTATAGAGACTGTAGTTTAAATTCCTGGACTGGTTGCTGCGGAAGTCATGAATCAGCGTACCATTGTTATATATGATCTGGCCATTGTCCATTTGTATATTGTCTCTCACTCAGTTATAACATCTGCAAAACATCTCTTATGACTTAAAAATCTTTAACATGTGTTTTTTTTTTTTTAAATACATACATATTTCTGTGGAAGTCATACTTTTGCCTTTTTTGGTAATTCTCTTCTAGAAGATCACTTTCCTAAAGGTGTCTTCCATGACTCCCCAGTATAAATCATACTCTGCATATATACTCTGTGTTTCTGCTCCAAGGCTTAAAAATCTGTCATAGTTTCTTTTGCCTGGAGTGTAAAGTTGAAATACATTTTCATGTTATACAAAATCTTCTGAGATTAAACAATGTTCTCTCTCTGTAATGTCTCTCTCTATATAATTTTATATATATAATTTAACCCTGTTTGCACGCTCTAGGCTTAAGCCAAAGTAAATTATTTGCCAACAATCTTAGAGTGTTTGCTATCTCCAAAATTGGGTTCAAATATTCTTTTTATGTAGAATGTACTCCTCCCTCTACACAGGCATCAGATTCCTCTTTACAGTTTTAAGAATCAAATGTTCTGACCTCTACTCCCTGCTAGAATTAACTACAGTCCAATTTACATATTTGCTTAACATGTGAATACATCTAACAAGACAACCAATAGTTCAGAGCAGGTTTTCTTTTCCATACTTGCCCTTGGGATCTACACAAAGGGCCAGATTCTGAGTCTCAGTAACTCCCAGTGGCAGGCATATGGTAGAAATTTAGTAATTGATTGCTAAAGGAATAAATGGAGGGAGAAATGCTTAGCAGTATTTTGTGTCATGGTGTAAATTGAATTAATTAACTGGACAGCTAACCACTGCCTAAAAATAGCTGCACTTAAAATTTTTTTAAAAAATTGTTAGAAGAAAGGAGTTGGAGAACCAGAAGAAATGAATAATAAAGACCAGAAGGTAGGGGAGAAGTTTTAGAAAGGAAGTGAAATATTAAGAAAACAAAAAATAAAAGTAAAAAAGAAAACAAAAAAGCAAAACAAAATAAACAAAAAATCTTGTTATGCTATGCCACATTCTTAATATTCTAATCTTCTTATAGACTGAAAAAGGCACCTGGCTGTCTTCCTGTCATGCTGATGTGGGGACATTTCCTTTTCTGTAATTGTATATCCACCAAAATTATCTTTCACCTGTGAGCCAAAAGGAATTTCAGCAGCAGTCTTTTTGTATTCTGTCTATGAGAATACTATCATTACTCAGTTCCATTGTGTTTCTGAAGTACCCTGCCAAATGCCTCATCTCAAATATTACATTCATTATACCTAAATTTCACCTTTTTCTATAATTGAATGAGCTATTTATTTGCTTCTAATTTGTTGAAGAGCACTTCTCCATTATGTTAGTTGCTGTTTTCTACGAGAAAGACAGTTCAGCAGTAAACCAAGTAGCGATTGCATTATGCCTTTGCATATAGCCTTTAATTCTGTGAATGGGTTTCAATCGTATTAAATAAAAGTACTGTGTAAATCAATATATATTATTGATAATAGGGTTGAGTAGACAGGCTAGGCAAGGTTTGGAGCTAAAGCAAACATCTAATTTCTAGCATTTAACCAAATACTAATGTTTAAACTGAAACTGAACAAGAAGAAAAACTGTGGCTATAAGTTCTTTTACATAATTAGCAAAGTATTCCATGAAGTAGTACATATTATTCTAGTTCTCTTTGTTTTTGTATCAGTCCTCCTTGTTTAAAAATTTTATGATAAATAATAAGAAAAATATTATTCTCCACTTAATTTTGCCAACTATTCTTTTCCACTTCACGTAACCAACCTGAATTGTTGACGTTAACAAAACGAATGTGGCCAGGCATGGTGGCTTTTGCCTGTAATCATCCCAGCACTTTGAGAGTCGGAGGCGAACAGATCACTTTGAGCTTGGGAGTTCATGACCAGCCTAGATAACACGGTGAAACACTGTCTCTACAAAAAAATCACAACTATAGTCTCAGCTACTCAGGAGGCTGAGGCAGGAGAATCACTTGAGCCCAGAAAGTGGAGGTTGCAATGAGCCAAGATTGTGCCACTCCACTCCAGCCTCGGTAAAAGAGCAGGAGTCTGTCTCAAAAATAAATAAATACATAATAAAAAGAAAAAAAGAATTTTTTTTTTTTTAGAGACAGTCTTCCTCTGTCACCAGGCTGGAATGCAGTGGCATGATCTTGGCTCACTGTAACCTCCACATGCCAGGTTCAATCCATTCTCCTGGCTCAGCCTCCCAAGTAGCTGGGATTACAGGCACCCACCAACACGCCCAGCTAATTTTTGTATTTTTAGTAGAGATGGGGTTTCACCATGTTGACTGGGATGGTCTCAATCTCCTGACCTTGTGATCCGCCCACCTCGGCCTCCCAAAGTGCTGGGATTACGGGCATGAGCCACTGCGCCCGGCCAAAAAAAATAATTTTTTGTCACAAATAGAAAAAATAAAATAAATGTGTCAGATTCCCAGAAAAAAAGGTTTAAAATTAATTATAATATGTAAATATGTAGACCATGCCACCAGTTAGAGGTAAAACAGAATAATAATTTATTAAGCAACGACCTAGCAAGCCTCTTCATTACCTGAGTGAGTATACTTGCCTTGTTTATAAGTAACAGAAGCCAACTTAAAACCCTAAAAAGAAAGAAAGAATACTGTATTGTAATGATGTAGACATAACTCTCGAAATTTAGGGTCAAAAATTAAGTGAAAAGCCAATGGGGTCCTTGGTAATATATTTTGTGTCTCTTCTCTGCCACTATCTACTCATCTCTGGGTTTCTATTATATCCTTACAGATAGATTTTCTCTATTCATAGTATGTACAGCTAAACATGGCTGGTAAGCTCTGATGGTGCATGCCCTGGGCTCAGAAACATGAGATACCTGATTATTTCTCAGGCCCTCTTCTAACAGAAGAAATTTTAATTTGAGAAGGATGAGCGAGGTCCTGCCAATTGTAACTATGGATTTTGGTCATCCTGAAAAAATAAGGCTGCTGTGACCTGCACCTGTTAAATTGAAGGTGTGGTTAGAGAGTCTAGTTAAGAAGGATACTAGAGACATAACAGACACTCCAAATGTATACATTATGTTAGCCCTTCCTTGTGTAATTTCTGCACCTGTTCTTTCTGTATCATAATACAAAAACCTGCCTAAAGATCATCATGTATTATTTTACTTTAAGTGATTTAATACTCCTGTGATGTTTGATATCAACTGACATGTTTCATTCTTTCATTCCAATATTTCTATTCAATTAAATTAAAATGCTCTGCTAAGTATTATAGGGAATCCAAATTTTGATAAGATCCCATTGCTTCTGCTAAGTAGCTGTGATGTGCCAGGAAGATTAAGAAATATACACAGATAAAATTCATTTAAGAGGAATCAAAGTGTGTTAAATGTTACAGAAATGGAAAAGGTACATTTCAACTTGGAGGACAAAAGATGTCTTTCAATTTTCACCATTCTTTATTCCTCAGCCACATTTTTAGTGCTCCTTACTCTTTTTCTCTTTTTTAATCTTCCCCTTCTTCAAATTATACATTCATGTATGGAATAATGGAATTATTTCTCGGGGTGTTAGGTTAAAATTTCACATATATGTATGTTCATTATTTTTCAGATCGTCACACTGGATGGTTTATCCATCACAGATGCCTCTCTGAGGAATTCTCTTGTACATCTAATCTGGGCATTAACATCTTGGAGGACCCGAAGTGCCACATCTGTTAACTCAAAGAGCCTTCCAGAGTGGCCATAAGATTCCCTTATTTTGCATTTTTTTAATAGCAGACAAAGAGTACAGTTTTGGAAAATGAGCACAGAGTGGGAACAAGAACCAAATCTCAATCTCACCTGGCTCTCCCTGGGCTCAGAAAAGAAGGGAGAACAAAGAAAAACTATAAGGACGTTGAAATGTTCTGTTTACTGACAACATTTTTCCAGTGGGTACCTGAATAACCTGAGAGTCTATTTAATTTGAATGAAATTTAATTTAGATATGCATTTCTGTTTGATGCGTACATGAAAAGGGAAGATTTAGTGAATAGACTCTGGATGTGGGGCCTCTGATGCACAACTGTGCCTACCCAGATATTCTCCTCTTATTTTTCACTTAATACATATCTGATGGATCCATTCCTGTTTAATCATAGGACTTCATAGGGTGACAAGCAAAACAATAAATTTTTTAAAGAGCTCATGAGAGCAATGGTCATGAGGATGTGATAACAATGCACTGAGACCTCCAAATGTATTATTTCACTTGGAAATATCTTTGCACAACATTTGGTGTAGATTGGGTTTAGTTGTTCCGTCACTTCCAAATGCACACATGTACCTACCTTTTCTCATTTATCTTTCCATACCTCTGGGTGACCACTGCCTCCTAAAAAATCCTCATCCAATTTTAAATACCCTACTCTACAATTAAGAAGGATAAAAATAAGATCAAAACATGATTTCTTTATCAACCTAAAGGCTTAGTGGAAGAGACACAAAAACATTTAATAAAATGTAATCAGAGGTAGAGAGGGACACTGGAATTTATAGGATCTTTGGAAGTGAATCAAAGTAGGCTTCAACTACCATATATTTTATGGTGTGTGTCCAATATGCAGAAACTTTGCAGACCATAGAAACTATCAATTGTATTGAGCTTCACAAGAGAAAGAGGGCAGAAGCAGGATTTTAGTAAATGTGACATACAGAATTGGTGTAGGCCTTTTTGTAAAATCAATAATCTTATCTTAGAAGATAGAAGAGCACTGCCTAAAAGCTAAATGAGTATGGAAATCAACAGAGAGATCTGTTTTGTTTTAAGATAGGAGTGATTTACTTGTTTATATATGCTGGAAAGAATTGTTAGTAGGGAGGGGAATTTAAAGAAATAGGAGAGGGAGAGGGCCATCTAGGAGAAAAGCATCTCCTTAGAGATAGTTGAAGATAAAATCATTGACCATCTAGAGATTTGCTTTGAGGCATATTTTCCTTTGAATGGAAGAGTGTGAAGATTAAAAAGTGTAATATTAGGAAGGAGAAACTACAAAAATCTCTCTCTAGTATTTTGTGGAAAAGGAAGAAAGTTAAAGATGGAGGCAGGATATTGAAGACAGTATGATTATCATGAAAACAGTCCTATAGTAGATTATGTAGAAATAAAAATTTAAATAATAAGCGGGATGGATATCAAATGAGAAAAAGGAAAAATGGCATTACAAGGAGAAAGAAAAGTTAAATTATAAAGGCATGAACAATTATGATTGTGCAAGGGACTTCAGCAACCCCATGTATGTGTTAGTAGAGAAGAGGAAAGTAGGACATGAGTGTAGAGCAAGAAAAAGACATTTTGGGGTTAAGAGTCCTTTAAAAACCCTCTAATTCACACTCTGAAGAAACTGCCTCCTTCACCTATCGATAAGCTTCACTCTAATGATATGTTCGCTGCTCAGTCTTTTGTTAGTCCCCCTTTAAAGGCTGCATCTAAATTGAGACTCAGCTGTACAATTTCTGGTGATGAAAGGCTCCTATGAGAAGTTGTCTGATGCTTCTTTTAAGCCCAGTTGGGCCCTCTCACTCTTAAAGCTTCCAGATGGCAGTGGAGCATTCTAACGTCTGAGTTTGTGAACTTCTGCTCTTCCCATATGGGCGTTGTGTAGATCTGACATGAGCACAGGTAGAAAGGGCTTTATGAAGGCATTGGCACTCTCTTTTACCTCCCACTTCTGCTGTTTCTGAGGCTTTGTTTAAGCATTCGCTTTCAAAAGATTGTACAATAAGAAATGCAAGTCCCAGGTACTGCTTCTGTCAAAGTGCCAGTGTGAGGTCAGTGTGTTAAAGGACCCACCGCCCCTTCTTAACTGCATTTTCTCATGGCTTTTTACTTTAATACGATAGAAAAAGCATATACAAGCCCTCCATGCTCCAGGTTTACCATAACGTATTTCTTAAGTAGCAAATCCTTTCAAAAGTATTACAATAAAAAACGTTTTCAATGTGAAATAATGGCACACACATCTTTTACCGAATTTTTCTCTTTCATACTACCAAAATGACTTCATGTAGAGGCAGCTGTGCCCTATTCAAGTGAAAGATTTCTGGTAAAGTCTGTATGTTATAACCTCAATTACAAAATCCATTCCACTCTCAATATTTTGGTCTTCGAATTTGGTTGCTTAACACGCAAATTTACTTGCATTTGCTGTCCATGAAATGGCATTTCATTGCAACACAGCTTGGAACCTATATTTTGATGCTGTAACTAGCACTGTGTCTTGCCATCTGCTAGCCAATAAAGTAGTTGCTTATCACTTTATGTATGACACCTACTCAGAAAGAGATATTTAAGGAAAAGCTCTTGTAAGTATAGTATTTTCTCATCTAATTTGTCCAAACGTATAATATATTCAGATATATCTTTTCTTCTATTGGTAAAAGGGAGATCTTACAAATAAATTGAAAACCCATAACCCCAATATCCACTTGAAAGTGATGAGTATGATTTGCATTTTTCACTTTAGGAATCAGAAATTTGCAATGTTACATTCAAGTCTATACAGAGAACTGTAAAAGGATTTATTAAATGCCAGGATTTAGCTGCAAAGAGATATGGGAACAATCAGTAGAGGAGATCTGTGCTGAGAACGAGGACAGATAGAGAGTTCTATCTTAGACCCCAGAAGCGAAACTCTGGATGTTGAGTCAATCACTTTATCAATATGTAAGTAAATAGGCTGGGCGCGGTGGCTCACACCTGTAATCTCAGCACTTTGGGAGGCTGAGACAGGCAGATCACCTGAAGTCAGGAGTTCAAGACCAGCCTGGCCAATATGGCGAAACCCTGTCTCCACTAAAAAAATACAAAAGTTAGCCAGGCATGGTGGTGGGCACCAGCTACTTGAGAGGCTGAGGCAGGGAGAATTGCTTGAACCCGGGAGGTGGAAGTTTCAGTGAGCCGAGATCGCGCCAGATCCAGCCTGGGTGACAGAGCAAGACACTATCTCAAAAAAAAAAAAAAAAAAAAAAAGTAAGCAAATAAATAAATATATAACCGTAGCATTTTTGCCGCCATATTAACTAGTTTTTATGGGCATGGTATCTAAGTGGCTCACAGATACCAGAAGCAAATTCAAGATCGGAGTCTTTACTACTTGATAGGTTTGTTGATGTATTTAGACCAAATTATTCAAAATTCTTTATGTACTCTAAACAAATTACGCAGATTCAACAATTATTTGGATTTTTCTTCATCTAACCTTGCTTATTCCCTCATTTGGAAGTATATAAAACAAATCCCAGAAATCATGTCATTTTATTCTACTTCAGTGTGCCTTTCTAAATAATATACATCTTTCTATTATAATCATTATCGCACCTGACTAAATTAATGATAAATCTGTGGCCAGTTCATATTCAAATTTTCTATTTCTCTTAAAAACAACTTTTTAAAGTTATTTATTCAAGACAAGACACACCTGAAGACCACATATCCCATTTTGTTATTACATATCTTACGTTTTTAAAATTACAGGTGTTTCTCCTTCCTTTTTGTTTTGTCTAGCATTAATTCTTTACAGAAGCAGAATGAGTTACTTTCTGGAATGATGTACATTCTGTATTTGTCCATTTGTTTCTTTGAAATGTTATTAACTTGCTTTTTGACCCCCTACATTTCCCATAAATTTAACCAAGCTATAATAAGGTAAAAGGATTTTGACAAAAATGCCTATAAGGGCATTCCAGCTGCTTTACATTACATAATATTAAGAGAAAGACGATGGGTGGTCGTACAAGTTTTAGGTATACAAAGATTTCGGTGGGTGTAGGTGATGACAGCCAGTCCCTTCCACTGTAAAGTCTCTTATTATTCTTTACCCTCACAGTGTCATCTATTGATGATTATTATGTGAAAAAGTTAAAGGCTATAAAATAATGGCTTGTTAGCTAGAATCCTGCTGTAAAGAAGGAGCTTCCTTTAACATTTATGGCTGAGTAAACCTAAAATATAATTTGCATAAGATATTCAGGATGAATAATTAATAATTTCTTCTAAATATCCAAATACCAGAATATTCTTCAAAAATCAAAATACCAGAAAAAGCTATTATCACCCCACTTAGTTCCAACCGAATCTAAAGAGTTTGGTTTGAGACTTTGTTGTTGTTGTTGCTGGCTTTCTCATTTGATCTGAATAGTATTTTGAACAATTAATTTATTTTCAGTATACTGAAATATATTCTCCATTATTTTTGATATTCTCACTTTTGGCCATTAAAAGCTACTTCTTTTTGACATGGTGCATTGGGTTTCTTTTGTTTGCTTTTGTATTTTTAATATCTTGCTTGCTTTCTGTCACACGTAGAAAGCTGCTCTTGTATTATTATACATATTTCCTGTCTCAGACCTGAAGCTAGCCATTCATTCAAGGAATTCTACTTCTTTTTAGTGGGGAATTGCAGTTAGAGGACATAATCTGAATGTTAGGTGTACATTACTGTTAAATACATCCAATAGAAAATGGACCGTAAATATTATCATGGTTTAATACTTATAATCATCTGTTCAACAACAAATATAAGCAAGTTCTTCCCTAACAGTCTCAATTTTTTTTTTTTGAGATGGAGTCTTGCTCTGTTGCCCAGGATGGAGTGCAGTGCCATGATCTCTGCTCACTGCAACCTCTGTCTCCCGGGTTCATGCCATTCTCCTGCCTCAGCCCCCCGAGTAGCTGGGACTACAGGCGCCCACCACCACGCTCGGCTAAATTTTTGTATTTTTAGTAGAGACAGAGTTTCACAGTGTTAGCTAGGATGGTCTCGATCTCCTGACCTCGTGTTCCATCCGCCTCGGCCTCCCAAAGTGCTGGGATTACAGGCGTGAGCCACCACGCCCGGCCCTAACAGTCTCAAATTTTAAGTCATCTATGTTCTTAAGCTAAAACAGAAAATTTTATCCTAACAAAGTATTTGTTTGCTCTAAAGAGTTTTTATTCACCGCTATAACATATCTCACAAAATAAAAATCCAAATGTCTTTATCATGTTGTATTTGCTTTATCTTGAGTTATTGTTACAGTTATTGCCAGTGCAAAATTATAACTAATATACAACTGGTCAAAACAACAGAATGATAAACTTTGAAAAATAATTATGCAAAAAAGTTATTGTAAATGCACATCTTCAAGATGTAGATGATAGCAGAGCAGTTTTGGTGACTTGATTAAAGACACTATGACACTATTTTATTCAGTGTACCCTCAGGAGGCAATGCACTGTAATAAGTTTCAAGATGGTTTAGAGTAATGTTTCTTTTGTAAAGTGGGAGAAGAGAAATTGGCAAAGGGCAGAAAGGAAAAGTATTAAACCTTTCCTCACAGACTCCTGGCTTCTCAGTCAGATAGATTAGTATTGAAGTTGGGTAAAAATGGTAATATTATTTCCTTAAAATTCTCCAACTTTCCATAGATCTTGAAAAAACTTTAGTGTACCACAGAGGTATGAAAAGTCCGGGCTTAATACTATTGGTCAAAGTCCTAAACATAGGAATAGAATAATAATTAGCAGCCATAAAAAGTGAGAGATTTGTAAGGTAACATTGTTAGTTGTGGATAGGAAAATGTATTATGAATGACAGTATTCTCTATTTCATTTTTAGACTTAATCTTGATATTCATCTTTTCACAGATGTCCATTAATGCTCTGTTTTTCTCCATTTGTCACATATTTAAAAGACAGGGATCCAATAACATGGAGAAGTGTAAAGGAGTATCTACATTCTTAAATACTTCCCTTATTTCTTTTTTTAAGAAAGAATTAGGGAAGAAGTGAAGGGAGAGCTGTCATTTAGGGTTGCAGAGAGGATGCAAAAACATATTTGTTCTTTACTTTTAGATTATATGTTTGGATAAATGTTGGTCCATTTAGTGACTATTGAATATGTGAGCTAAACTGGTTTTATTTCCATAATTCCTTAGTAATCCACAAACACACTGAAGCATTAGTCTTAATTTATTCTGGAAAAAAGTCAGTATGAGATTTTTGATGAAGCAGCCTAAAATAAATGGCATTGATTATTCCTCCTTTCTTTGCTCTCTCTCTCTCTTTCTCTTCCAGAGCTTATTCTTTTTAAAAGATCATTCTCCATTGATCTCATTTAACGAAGTCTGTCGTTCTAATAAGAAAAAAATACACTATATCTTTGGAGGGAAAAACTCCCAAACAAAATGCAATCATAACAAAAGTTGGAATTTCCCTTAAATGAACTACTGCTTTGATACTTACAATAGCGAACTGGCTGACAATACATTCTAAAATATCAGGTTTGAACTGATTACAAATCCAAGAGGACTCCTAAGATACGAGAGAATAGCTTGAGTTGGGCATTGCAAGAGGGTTTCAGGGAGGAAGAGGCTTGAGCAATCCTTGAAAAACAAATGAGTTTTGAATCAACAGAGAAATGTACAAATCTTGCCTTACCATTGCATTGTCAGAATCAGATCACAGGTTAACAAATGGCCTATAAAGATTCTTCAGCACACTATACAATGTGCCAGTGAATATTTTGTATTTCTTGTTCTTAGATACAGTCTCTGAGAGAAAATTAGTTTATATATAGTGTCATATCTTTTTCATCACTTGCCTTGAGCTCCTTCAAAGAGATGTACTATGGAAATACAAATTATTCCTAGTCTGCTTCCCTCATAAATTTATCTATTTCTTTTTCCGCTCAACTTGTCATTGAATATATCAAACTAAAGTTTAGCTACTTCATGGTCTGTGGCTAGATTTTTAAGAATAATACATTATGTGAGGCTGTTGAAATAAATAATGGCATTTTTTTCTTCCCTTTCCTTGGCTTCTGATGAATTCATATATAACCATAAAAATAAATTTCAGTAAAAAATGGACCTGAGAACACAGAATGTGGCTGACTGATACACCCTTGAGTGATCTATTTTAATATATTGAAAAGGTCATTATCTGAAAAGTTTTTATCTTGACTTTTCAAGGTCAAAGGGGAGTTCATGACTTTTTAGAGTAAACATATGTCAAGCATCTGAAATATCATAAATGTAAATCATGTACATAGGTCATAAATGTAAGCCTTTGTATTTCCTATGTTCCATTATATAAAACTAGTTAATGAAGATCAATGAATTTTCATATCATTTCTATAATTTAATGCGTATAACAATTTTGCCAATTTTAAAGAACACAGAATAACCAAAGATGACACATATATTAATTAGCAGCTAGTAGTCATTTTTCATTACTTTTTGTCATCAGTTTTATGGAATCTTAAACTCATAGAAAGAAAAGATAAGCTGAATGCATCAGCTTAACTAAACAGAATACACAGAGTGATTTTTCTAATCAAGTTTGAGTCTATTTCTTGAGAGTTTAGTTACTCTTTTTATTATTTTTGTTTTTGAACAAGTGATGGCATTTCCACTGGTGTGTATTAAGTATAAAAAATTCTTGAGCACATATAAGCCAATTAAAGAATGCAGGAGGAATTTAACTGAATGATCCTAGGCAAGATAAATAAACAATATTAGCTTTGATATGTATGACTAAGACAACCTTAAAGGCTAGAGATAAATGGGGATAAAGGATACCGAGACCTAAAGCTGAATTCTTTATTACTTCAGCAGTCAGAATGCTGAGTAAGTAAAGGAATTGAAAGACAGAATTTTAGGAGCTCACCATCCTAACTTTTCATAGAAGCAAATCTAAACCATTGTAACCACCAGATAAACACAGTATCTTAAAAAGACTAACTCTTAAGGCAAACACACAAACTCTGAGAGTTACCCTTGCCAGTGTTGCCGTCTTTGGAAAGATAACCTGAAATAAAATTCACAGTTTTTGAGTTTATGCTGCCATCTCCTATATCCTTCATGAACATTGACAAGAGTTAATAAGCAGCTAAAAATAACTAAAAGTACTATACTAATCAACACTCTATATCCCTTCCTTTCCTCAGTGGTCCAACAGTCTCCAACTGGATGAATAAATCAATGTGGGTGTATCTTTAGGTGGTTTCTGGAGTCGACATTCTTTAATCATTGTTTTCATCTTCCTGGTTTAGTGTATCTGTGAATTGTAGTGCAGAGAGTACAGATTTGAAGGAAATACAGGCTACATTTAAATACCCAAGTGATCAATTTTTTAATTGTCTTATCTGGGGAAAATTAATAACTTTTATTCACCTCAGTTAATTCACACGCAAAACTAGAATAATGCAAAGGCCTGAGAATATTGTTCAAAATTTAATGTTACTGCTGTATCCCTTTAACAGTGCTTCTTTCACACTCATTTATACCATAGTTCATTTAAGAAGTCATTTTTTATATTCTTAGATTTTTCCTTAAAATAGTTTATCTTCATGCAACCATTTTGGCTGCCTCATGTATTTTATATTTTTTCAATTATTCTCAAAACACGTTTTGATCTCCTATGATGTGCCAAACAGTCCCAAGTTCTGAAAATATAATACAAACAGAATAAGATACCACCCCTGCTGCCATGCAGTTTGCAGTATATTAAGGGAAAGTTTAAGAAAAGAAGGATTATAAGTGCTATAATAGATATATGATTAGAGTTCTTAAGAAAGACCAAAGGAAGAGGCTAAATATACTAGAGGTGTCTGTTTACATTTTAAAAAATAATATTCGGACCAGGCCTTAGTGAATGAGTAGCATTACTCAAAGAGAAAAACAGAAAACAGAAGAGAAGGAAATTGCTTGCACAACGGACAGCCTATGCAAGGGCACAGAAATGTGAATTATCAAGCATATGAATCTTAGCAACCATACTCTTCAGTCAATTGTAAATCTACTGCTACTTACCATATCCTTGTTTCCTCAATACACATTCTATGTATAATTTATAAAGTAACCATTTTACACGGGTATCAATGTTGATTTTACATCTACAGAGGACAATTATTTGGAAATAAGAATACCTCAGCTAATTTAATTGCATCTCTATGCTGTTTTTAAATTTTAATTTCATAACACATTTTTGCATAGATAGTGTATTAGTCTGTTCTCATGCAGCTAATAAAGACATACCTGAGCCTGGGTAATTTATAAAGGAAAATGGTTTAATGGACTCACAGTTCAGCATGGCTGGGGAGGCCTCACAATCATGGTGGAAGGCAAAGGAGAAGCAAAGGCACATCTTACATGGTGGCAGGCAAGAGAGCTTGTGCAGGGGAACTCCCATTTATAAAACCATCAGATCTTGTAAGTCTTACTTTCTACCATGGAAGATTATGGGGGAAATCGCCCCCATAATTCAATTATATCCACCTGGTCCTGCCCTTGACATGTGGGGATTATTACAATTCAAGGTGAGATTAGGGTGGGGACACAGCCACACCAAATCAGATAGTACAGTCACATGATTCCAAAATTGAAAGGTAAACAAAGCTATACATTGGAAACTTTTTGGTTGCAGTCACCCATTTGTCTACTAACAACACAGGTAACCATTGTTATTAATTTCTCTTATGCATCCATAGTTATTTTGTAGACATACTAGTAAGTACTATTATATGTTCTTTTACACTCTACAATAAATTTTGAGATCTTTCTATGACAGCACAAAAGTTTATTTTTCTTATTACTGTACTATATTTAAGTAGTCTAATGACAGATATGTAGGTGGTTATCAATCTGTAGTATTTGAACAATACTAAAATGAATATCTATTTACATATGTTTTTTCACTTGTGTGAAATGTATCTGTAGACTACATCTAAAGAAATAAAGTTATGGAATCAAAGAACCAAATTTGTTTATAGTTGTGTTTAATATAGCCACACTTTGTGTGTGTATGTGTGTGTGTATATATAAACATATATATGTATATATACACTCAAACACCATATATGTGTGTATAGAAATATATATACTTAAACACCATAAACTGTGCATACATATAGTTTTGTTTTGCATTTTTGGGGGTATCATATGTAAGAATTAGCCTAGTTCTGTTACTTTAAGGGTTATTTTTTATTCCTTTTTTATGAGATGCTTATTCCCAAATGTTCTCTTTTTATTTTAGGTGTTGGTCTTTTACTAATGTAATTGTAGGTTTTTTTTTTTTTTTTTTTTTTTTTTTTTGAGATGGAGTTTCTCTCTTGTTGCCCAGCCTGGAGTGCAATGGCGCAATCTTGGCTCACCGCAACATCCGCCTCCTGGGTTCAAACAATTCTCTTGCCTCAGCCTCCAGAGCAGCTGGGATTACAGGCATGCACCACCATGCCTGGCTAATTTTATATTTTTAGTAGAGATGGGGTTTCTCTGTGTTGTTCAGGCTGGTCTTCTTCATATGTTAAAGTTAACCACATAGTTTTGCTAAATCCACATAGCAGAATCTACTGTAAGTTGTCAAAATATAAATTTAAAATATGGAAAAATATTTTGTTAAAATTCCAAAGGTCTATTTTCCTTCTATTTCTAATTTTTGGAGTACTCTGCAGTCAAGAAAGATTTTCCTTAACACCAATACCCATACTCATAATTTCCATATGTGAAATTCTAACAGTAAATAAGTGGAAATAGCAAGAAAATATGGTATAAATCCTTAAACCCAAACCTGAAATTAGTGTTATTAATTTTTTACTACCTAAAAGAAAAAAATTAATGAGTGTCAGTTTTCATGTAATTGATGCTATATTTATATAGATTTCAGTTTTAAGAAATGACATTTTAATGAGAAGTGTGTGTGAATCAGAAAAAATATACATTTATCATGAGTACATGAAATGACAACTCTTTTGCAGAGCCTTTTTGGAGGTGGGGGCCAGGGCAATAAAAATTTTAGTGTGCTGATCATTATCTTTATAATATTTTGTGAAAGCATCCTCCTCATCTTCAGATGATATGCAAGAAGAACATGTCAATTTAGGCAAAAAAAATTTTTGATATTTTTCAGAGTACTTACCTCTACCAGACACTGTGGTCATAATGGGCAAAACAGGTGATAGCAGCATGAATACCAGAATGAAAGATGACCTCACAAAATTAATATAGTTACTTTAGATCCTACTGTGAAACACTAAGCAGTATGATGGTGTAGTATTCTTTCCACATCAAGTCTCATTGAACTCAATGGTGCAGCCATCTCGTTCATTTCCTTAAGACATCTTTACTGATTTAATTTTAAATGTAAATACTCCACATAACCAATTTTACTGCATAATAAAAATGTTTTAATACAGCACTGAAAACTCAAATATGCTTTAACAACTTATTTTTAAAGTATCCTAAATTGATAACATGAAGAAACCAAAAAGTTTTAAGAGGACATGATTTGAAACAGACACGGCATGACACCATTTGAAAATAATAAAATACGGGGCATAGAAATGCCATTAAGTAAATCATAAGGTTTTTACATGGTACTAATGATATACCCCGAGCATGCTGTTCAGTCATTCTTTACTGGATGCCAAGAGCAAGTGGACGCCACCCTGCTGGATGTCAAATCCTTGGCCAAAGCAGCTTCCAAACACAGCGAGAAATTAAAAGCTTTACTGATTGGATTACTAAAATACATAATGGTCAGAATGCACTACAAAATGGAACTATTGCAGAAATACACAGTTTTTCTGAACACAAAACTAAGAAAAATAAAATACATTAGACAATCAGGCCATTGAAAACAGTCAATTCTTTTAAATACACATACATAACACAGCAATTATTTCTGTGTTTGCCTTGAGTCTTTTCTATAAAGAAAAGCAACAGCAATAGTAATATTTCTATTATTTTCTTGCTTTACTCAAAGGTGTCAAGAGTTGTTACCTACATGCTTTCATCTGTAGCACAAAAACGAGAGGTAAAATGGAATAACAACAAAAAAGACAACTATCATTGTCCAGTATTGATAAACAGGTTAGAAAAATCCAGTAACTTGTTCACTTATCACTTGCTCAGCCATTATCCTTGTGAATCCTACATGAGCATATATTTTATCATGTTTCAAAAGTGAATAATTTTTGAAAATATAATTATAATTATTCTTATAGTAATTCTGTGAGGCAAAGACTATTTTCACCCTCTTTTACGGATAAAGAAATTGAACCGTGGAGAGAATAAATTGCCCTGCTCAGACTGGCCAAATGTTAACAGGCAGTGCAAAAAGTAAAATCCAAAGCATGTATGATCCCAGAGTTCTGACTTTAAACTTGTTTTTCTCCTTCTCTGGTAGATTCTAAACATCTATATTAGTGATCACGCATGCCTTCAAAGGTAAAATAACTATATTTTGTTCCCTGTACTCTACAATTAATGTGGGGTTTTTTAAAAATGTAAATTAGTAGACTGGGTAAATTAAAATCTACTCATATACCAATGATAACTCCATGTGAAACCTTTCAAAAATATAATTATAAACTTTGGCAGGCTTCCTGAAATGTAATGTAGGTTGAAAACAAATAAAATAAAACTTCTGGAGGTTATTTGAATATGAAACTTTTTCAAATTCATCACATGAACAGGTGTTTTGTACAAAAATGACATTCACCCCCAGAAGTAAAAGTACTATATAAATAAAAAATACACTTAAACTCCAGTTTCTTTTTTTTTCTTTTTGCTTCTAAGTTTGTACCAGACTATATTTACTGCCAAAAATTAAACTTGAGATATTACAATGGTAATAAAACTGTCATGTAGGATTTGCTTATGCACTTTTAAATGATATTAAAAGTGAATTGTAAACCGGACTGTATAAAAGAAAAAATGTGTACAGCTATTGATCTTCCTTAAATGAGAACGTTTTGCTGTTGCTGTGGTAGGAAGGCTTGCCACAGGAATGTAGACAACTCATTAATGTCCAAACTTAAAGATGAAGTGACCTATTTTTAGACAATTAGAGAGTTGAAATACTACATGTTTTCTCATCTTATAATTCTACAGAATAATATTACAAGGGCCATTACACATAATTAAGTAAATCTTTGCCCTTAAAATTTCAGTCAAATTTATACAAAGAAAGCAAAGAATAGGGTTGGGTATATATCTAAGAAATTTCCCTAGTAAGGTGAAATATGTAGAGACCACAATGCCCAAATCTATGCTTTACTCAAGTGTCATAATACTATTTTAAAAAAAACCTTCAAATTATCCCAACTTTCCATTTTCATTTACCTATGTAGACATAACCCAAGAACTATTGGTCAATTTCATGTAGTTTACAAAAGCATGGCAGTGAATATACTTCCAAAAGTTAATTTTGCCATGATGTAGGTGAAGAAAATGGTTTTTATGTGATAAATTACTCCTAGATTTGTTTTATCATTTCGTTGTAAATAAGTCATCATGATCTTTCTTTATATAAAATTATCATTCCCAGAATATGTAGAGAAAATATTTTATAAAACGATGTGTTTAATTAATTAATTTAATTTTTGAGACAGGCTCTCACTCTGTCACTCAGGCTGGAGTGCAATGGCACAATCACACACAGCTCACTCAGCCTCAACCTGCTGGGCTCAAGCGATCCTCCTGCCTCAGACTCCCAAGTAGCTGGGACTACAGGCACATGCCACTACACCCAGATAATTTTTAAAATTTTTTAGTAGAGGCAAGGTCTCACTATGTTTCCCAGGCTGGTCTTCAACTCCTGAGCTCAAGCAATCCTCAACTTCAACCTCCCAAAGTGCTATGATTACAAGAATGAGCCACTATGCCCAGGCTTGTGTCTAATTTTAAATGAAGAAGTATAATGTGTGTTCCAAGCAAGTAATGCAAATCTCCCAAAATTCTCAAAAGAATAATACCACAAGTGTCTGATTTTATTGCTGAAGCTTAGAACAATTTCTGCCATTACACATGCCAGTTCTGAGGTTGGTTTATTGTGTTGTTTCTTTGTGAAAGATGACCTCATGGTGATTCTCAATATTTTATACTTCTGTTTGAATTATAGTTCTGATATTAATCATTTGAATTTTATTATAAACACAATAAAATGAGTTTAGTAATATTTATATTTATGAGATTACTATACAGGCATACCTCAGAGATAATGCATGTTCGATTCTAGGCTACCAAAATCAAGCAAATATCAACAGAAACTGAGTCACATGAACTTTTTAGTTTCCCAGTGCAGGTAGAAGTTATGTTTACACTATACCGTAATCTATTAAGTGAGCAATAGCAATAGAACAATGTCTAAAATATAATGCACATACCCTAAAAAATAATTTATTGTTAAATGCTAACAATCATCTGAGCCTTCAGCAAGTTGCAATCTTTTTGCTGATGAAAGATTGGATGTTGATGGCTCCTGACTGATAAGAATGGTAGTTGCTGAAGGTGGAGGTGACTGTGGCAATTCCTTGTAATAAGATAACAGTAAAATTAACTTCAACGATTGACTCTTCCTTTCATGAAAGATTTCTTATAGCATGGATGCTGTTTGATCAAATTTTACAATGAACTTCTTTCAAAATCGTGATTAATTATCTCAAACCCTTCTGCTGCCTTATCAATTAAGTTTATGCAATATTCTAAATATTTCGTTATCATTTCAACAATTTCTACAGCATCTTTATGAGGAGCAGATTCCATCTCAGGAAACCACTTTATTTGCTCATCCTTATGAAGTAACTCCTCACCTGCTCAAGTTTTATCATGAGATTGCAGCAATTCAGTCACATCTTCAGCCTCCACTTCTAATTCTAGTTCTCTTGTAATTTCCACCATATCTGCAGTTATTTCCTCTACTGAAGGCTTGAACCCCTTGAAGTCATCCATGAGGGTTGGAATCAACTTCCTCCAAACTCCTATTAATGTTAATTTTTTACCACTCCCCCACCAACCCATGAATCACAAATATTCTTAATGGCATCTAGAATGGTAAATCTTTTCCAGAATGTTGTCAATTTACTTTGCCAAGATCGATCACAAGAATAATGATCTATGGAAGTTATAACCTTACAAAATGTAGTTCAGAAATAATAAAACTTGAAATTTGAAATTACTCTTTGATTCATGAGCTACCAAGTGGATGTTGTTCTAGCAAGCACTAAAACACCATAAATTTTCTTGTATGTCTCCATGAGAGCTCTTAGGTAACAAGATGCATTGTCAATGAGGAGTAATATTTGAAAGGAATATTTTATGCTGAGCAGTAGGTCTCAACAGTGGGCTTCAAATTTTCAGTAAGCCATGCAACAGATATACTGTCATCCAGGCTTTGTTGTTTCATTTCTAGAGCACAGGCAGTGGATATTTTGCCCATTTTAAGGGCTCTATGATTTTGAATATGGTAAATTATAATTGGAGTTAACTTAAGTTGCCAGCTCTATTAGACCATAACAACAGAGTCAGCCCATCATTTGAAACCAGACATTAACTTCTCTGCTCTAGCTATGAAAGTCCTAGGTGGCATCTTCTTCCAGTACAAGGCTGTTTGGTCTACATTTAAAATCTGTTGTTTAATGTAGCCACCTTCATCAATGATCTTAGCTATGTCTTCTGGATAACTTCCTGCAGCTTCTACATCAGCACTTGCTACTTCACATTGCACTTTTAAGATTTGGAGATAGTTTCTTTCCTTAAACCTCATAAACTAACTTCCACTAGCTTTAAACTTTTCTTCTGCAGCTTTCTCACTTCTCCCCACCTTCACAGAATTGAAGACAGTTAGAACCTTGCTCAGGATTAAGCTTTGGCTTAAGAGAATGTTGTGACTGGTTTGATCTTTTATGCAGACCATTAAAATTTTCTCTATATCAAAAGTAAGGCTGCTTTGCTTTCTTATTATCCGTGTGTTCAATAGAGTAGCACTTTTAATTTCCAAGAACTTTCCCTTTGCATTCACAATTTAACTAACTGTTGCAAAAGACCTAGATTTTAGCCTATTCTGGTCTTCGATATGGCTTCCTCCCTAAGCTTAATCATTTCTAGCTTTCAGTTTAAAGTGAGTGACATGTGACTCTTCCTTTTACTTGAACACTTAGAGGCCTTGTATGGTGACTGACTGGCCTAATTTCAATATTGCTCTGTCTCAAAATAGAGAGGTCAGGAAGAGGGAGAGAGACAGGGGATCATCTGATCAGCACAGCATTCACACATAAACAACATTTATCAATTAAGTTTGCTGTCATATGAGTATAGTTCATGACACACCAAAACATTCAAATAGTAACATCAAAGACTGCTGATCTACAGATCGCCATAAAATATGTAATAATAAAGAAAAAGTCTGAAGTATTTTGAGAATTACCAAAATGTGACACAGCATCACAAAGTGAGCAGATGCTGTTGCAAAAATTGTGCCAATAGCCTCACTTGATGCAGGGTTGCCACAAATTTTCAATTTGTAAAATATTCAATAAACTGAAGCACAATAAAATGAGCTATGTCTGTACACTCTCCCCAGTATTTATAAATGATAAGACTCACGGCTTCTATTCTCAGAGTCCTCTGAATCGTGCTGCAGTTTGGGAAATTCTTCCTCTGGTCCCACATTTGGGATAAAGATAGGATCTTATTCTCTCACTCTTTGACCCTCATTAGTCTCTACCCTCCATTCTTCCTGGTTCCAGAAAAGAATCTCCTCTCATCCTTTTCATCTTCAGTGGGTGGCCTGTTCTTCATGCTAAATGGGTGCTGTTTTTTAGTGGGTGCTGTTCTTTAATTTGGCCACTTCAGTATGGCTCACAAAGACCTTTAGAGCATTACTGAGAAAAGACTCCGTTCTTTCTTGCATTCATGCCTCCAGGACTCATGCACTAATTTGATCGACATAACATACATTTTCATCACTTTCTACTTCTCAGAGTTAGTCTTCTTTCTGAATTCCATGCCAGACAAATCCAATCTGGAAATGCCCACCATCTAGGCTTTACTCTGCTTATATCCACATGCATGACACAGGAGAAGTCCCCTCATCTCTTTAGACTGCATTTTCCATCTATAAGACAATGAGATTATCATGGGACAAATTTTGTAGCTCATGGGCCTTAAGTGTTCACCTGACCATAGATTACTTATCGTCTCTCTCTCTATTTAATATCGTGGCTTAACTCAGCCTATTGGATTTATTTGTGGAATAATTGCTATATTTTAAATAGATATTTAAAAAATAGCAATTGACATAAAAATAGCAAATCCAGTTACTTAAATATGAAAGTAAATATTAGTCCTTAGTTGAACAGGTAAACCAGGGAATGCTTTGATCAGTGAAAGTAAAATAAAACTCAACCAAGCATTTGCCGATAATAAATGTTGGCTCTATTATTGGAAAGAAGGCTTTTCTATCATTGTGTTACAAGTTCTCTTGCTTGAACTTCTGAAAAACCTCTCTAATTGATAGCCTTACTTGCTAGATGACTTATCAAATCAGAGAAAGTCAAGTCACATGCTAGAGAAGTAGCTCCCAAATCCTATATACAGATTTGCTATAACAAAAATACCTACAATGTTAACTTACACAAGATATTTCTGATTACTTTTCATGGCTTGTGGAAATAGTATGAGCAAATAAGAAAAACAATCATCTATAATTTAACAAATACCTCCAGAATGCAAGAAATGTTATCTCAAAGAATATTATATAAAAATTCTTACTTCCCGTATCTTTAAAGAGTCATATATTCCATGGCCCATAAATTGTCAGATAATAGATATTTCAATAATTTTCATGAATTTAAATCCAGTAGACCAATAATCTGAAAGAGCATCTCTTGCCAAATAGCCTTTATGCATACTTGACAGATTAATTAAAGAAATGCAATCTTCTGTATTCTGTTTTATGAAATGAAGATAATACGTTTTCAAATTAATATTATTTGCAAAAACATACCATGGAATATATTTACAAATCTACATAAACTATGCTTATTTTAAACATTAAAATTAAATATTTTAATATTTAATTAGAAATTCTAAGACTCTTATTTGGATTCTACAGAAGTCAGGTTTTTAAATATTCTTGGATAAGTAGTTGTTGCACCTGGCTTTCTTACTATACATAGCACATGCCACAATGTCAAAAATCATATAAGTAAGAATTATGGCTGCAAACTCTGTGACATAAATGTTACTAATGATATATACTCTAAAAATCTTAGATGGAGTTGAACTACTCATCTTTGATTGAAAAGTGAAAAATATCAATCCATGATTGTCTTATCTACAAAGAACAACATTAAAAAATTGGCTTTCACCTGTTTTATTATAAACTTGATCTGTTGTTTCAAAGTCATAACAACTCATATAATTATGTTATTGTATACATTTAATCTAAGAATTATGTGTCAAAATAGAAATATGCTAAATTCAAAGGTCTTCCTAAACAATTATTTCCACAATATTTAATTGATATTAAAGAAACTGTAAAGTAGATATTAAAACTCTCCCTCACAAGAAAGTTAGACCCAGAATTGGTAAACAATTCATCCTACACTGCATTGCAAACTAAGAAAATTGAGAAAATAAGATTCACATCTGACCCAATTTGCTCCACAGTCAATGCTATTTGGACTACAATATGCTCTTATGATATAAAGACAATTCCAACAGGAATCCTATTTTCAAATGCATATTGTTCCCTTGTATAGGAAAGATTCCTCCTCAGGCTGTGTCATCTACTGCTTGTGGTTCAGATTTATCTGGGCATGTGTTTCAAATTGATGGCTGAGAGCCTATTAGAAACCTGTCTATATGTGTGTCTCTGCTAGATAATCTACCTTGCCCATGAAAAGAAATCTCAGTTCCCAGGATTGAACTGAAGCCACAAAAGAAAGTCTTAGTTGTTTATTGCAGACTGATTCTGAGTTCAAGGATGTGTCTGCTTTTCAAATCCATTTTTATCCCTAATTCCTGGTCCCATATTCAAGTCCAAGGGAGAAAGAATGTAATAACTAAAAATAAAGCAGTTGTTTCTTGTCAGGTATAGACAATGCTACCGTATGATCCTTATCTTGGGATGTATACAAATAGGCAGGAGCTGTTTTTTGTCACATTGATATAGACCAGAATTCAACTTGGCCTTTCTGAAAGACAGAGACAGTCAAGGGAGTCTGGCTCTGACCAGGACAAGAATTCTGCGAAATCATCTGGTAAAATAGCACCAATTAGCAGCAGCTGTCACCATATTTAAAAGACCAGTGGTGACCACACACTAGATGATAGCCACCTACAGAAAGAGGTACTCCTCAGAGGAGCATGAGTCCTGTGGGAAACCGGTTATAATAAGGAAATACATGCCAGTCTCCTCTGAGAACTCTCAGAAATATTCTTTGTGGGTGACAAGCAGAGGAATTCAGTTATTATTGAAGTATATTAACTTATCCTCTTTTGAATCTACAGTTCAGTAAGATCTGGTGACACTGGGCCTAACTGGTCTTGTAGCTATCTATTTACATAAACCTTTCCCATATTAACCTACTCTCTGATTGACTCTTCCCTTCAACTTTAAGAGACATGTAGTAGGCCCATTTTAAATTCTAAGAGAAAATCCCAAAGCTAGTATCCAGTGAGTGGTAGAACTAACATTGGAACCAAGAATTGTGTCACCTCAAAACAGTATTGTTTCTTCTACACTGGTGCATACAGAAAAGCTAAATTGGTAGCAACAATTGTTGTTTTTGAAACATCCTTGGGAATTACATTAGGATGCTCTCTGATCACATTAAGTATTGTATAAAAAAGGATTTAAAATAATATAAAGAATAAAACTCTCAGCTTTTCTGTTCTCCATTGTATTGCCAGTGTGATAAAATAAGAAAAACAAATTAAATATAAAATGATTGGAAAGGAGGAAATCAATTGGTCATCATTTTCAAATGATAGAAACATCTACACAGAGAAGCAAAATATTTTGAAAATTATTATAAATAATAGCAGTATGTGCAAAATATTAAGTAAAAATCAATGTACAAAATTCAATTGAATTTCCATGTACCAGCAAAGATTTAAAAAAAAAATTCTAAAAAACATTTAAAATAGTTTCAACATTTTTTTAAATCCATAAAAAATACAGAAAAAATGCCAGATCTACCTTCAGAACATTATGAAACATCAATGAAAATCAATATAATAGGGATAAATTAATGGATATATTACATGGGCATGGGTAGGAGGACTTTATAATGTTAAGATGGCAATGCTACCCAAATAGATGCAAGGATTTACTGAAATGTCAGTCGGAACCATTTAGCAGGGTTTTAATTATATTCAATATGTTCTAAAGTTTATATGGAAGAGTAAATAAACCATTTACAAAGATGATTATAAAACTATATTAAATACAATGCATGGCAGAGCATAGATAAATTAATAAATGGAACAGAATAGGCTAGTTAATGAAAACATATGCATACAGATTTCTGGTATCTGACCAAGATAGAATGGCAGATCAGAGAGAAAAAGTGCCAGAAAAAAATGTTCTTTCACATGAAAAATTAAAATTGAATTTGTAAGTCCTCTGTGTAATAAAAAAGAAAGAATGAATGAAAGATAAGAAAAAGAAAGAAAATCAATTCTAGATACATTCAGAATTTAAATGTGAAAGCTAACTTTTGAAACTTTAAAACATATAAGTGAAATTTTCTAATCTCAGGGTAAGAAAGGATTTCCTAACCAAGACAATAAAATCTCTAAGTTAAAAGTTAATAACTGATATATTGGTTTGCATAAAGATTAAGAATGTCTCTTTATCAGTTCCCATCTTAAAAGTCAAAAACTACACTACAAGCTTGAAGTAAATATTTGCAACACAAATTGACAAAATATTTTATAAAATATAAAATGACTAAAAACTAGTAAGGAAAAAAGAGGCAAATAACCCAATAGTTCAGAAAGCTATTTCATAAAAGAAAAAAAAATACATGGACAGCAAATATATGAAATGAGTTCAAAATAAATAATTTGAAAATGTAAATCAATACTAAAATGAGACATAAAATTAATTATTTCAAATAGCAGACAGTACAGATCAATGTAGTAATATAATAACTGATACATTGTGAAGGCAACTTCCAGTTAGTTAAAATACACTTAGGAAAACTATTTGATGTTATCTTTTAAAGTTTAACCCTCATACACTGTGATAGATTATTTAGTGGCCTCTAATCCCTCCCTTCCGTCTGTATACTCTGCTTTCTCCTATCATGCACTGGAATTAATTTTGCTAGTCTTGCAGCTATGTTTGTTCACGCAACTATGTGATTTGTTTTGACCACTGGGACACTGACAACCATGGTGCAAGCAAGAAACTTAAAAAGCAGATATGCACTAGGGCTTGACATCACTTGTTATTCCAATACCACTATTTAAAACACCTTGTCTGTTCTTCTTGGGGATGAAAGATCACATAGAGAGAGACCCAAACAACTAGAGCCCTAAACACCAGGATGAGGGATCTTCTTAATATATCCAGCCTAAGTTGCAACACTAGGTGTCAGAGGAGCAAAACAGCTGAACAGCTGAGTTCAAGCCAATTGCAGACCCGTAAAATCATAAGCAAATAAAATAGCTGCTATTTTAAACTATTATATTTTGATTAGAACTGATACACTTAAATAGGTAAATGAAGAAAAAAAGCCTTGCAACTGGAATGACCATATAGTCAAGTTAGTGTGGGACAGTCTAGGTACATGTTTATACTAATAACATTTTTCACTCTCAAAAATGTTGTGGTATAGAATAAAATTATGTCATACCTGTAACCCCACAATATCCCTCTTAAGCTATCTGAGATATATATTCAAGAGAAATGCTTGAACACGTATAACAAGATGTATGTACAAAATGTTAATGGCAGGCCTGTTCATAATAGCAAATACCAGGAAACATGCTGAATGTTTATACACAAGTGAATAGATGTTTCATATGTGATATCTGTACACAATGAATATTATACATCAGTGAAAACAACAGCATAGTTTGATTTCATTAACTTAATATTCAGTGAAGAATGCAAACTCCAAAATATTACACATGGGTTTTGAAAATATTTTACTAAAATGTAGATTCTGAGACAGATATTAATGGCAAGATGTTTAATAAGAAAATAGCTTTGGGAACAAATGTTTTAGAAGGAAGAGGAAGAAAACAATTGTGCAAAGGGATAAGTTAATGTGTGATGCAGGTCAAGTCAAACTTTCAATGGTGAATCTAAAATGCTTCTCAGAGAAGTTCTAAGGGGCCAAGAGAGATTTTTATCCTACATAATTAAATAGCT
The DNA here is from genome assembly GCF_000001405.40 of Homo sapiens. NCBI lineage: Eukaryota > Metazoa > Chordata > Mammalia > Primates > Hominidae > Homo > Homo sapiens. The sequence goes on along the minus strand of NC_000003.12, from coordinate 102,927,313 downwards.
ATTAGATGTCACTGGATATTGGATGTCACTGGTCATCTTCTGTGCTGCTGAAGCAATCCTTGAAGCTCTTACAGATTATGATTACCTATTGACAACACTCTAGCAGCTTGGCCAACTTATTATTTAATGGATAAGGGGTTTGCCTTGTACAATACAGTGTCCACCAATTGGAGATTAAGCTTAATATTTTTCTGTACTTCCTATCACCATCAAAGCAGATGCTGATGATCTCCAGAACTCAAAGGAAATCCCCCAAATGAAAGTGTAAGATACAGTGAATTTCTCTAAATTTCTCTTCAAAGGTTTAGCTCGTTAACTTCCTTGTTGTTTGTTCTCAAACTCAGCTTTCTTGTTCTCCATGCCTCCTTGCCTCTAGTTACTGTAAACAACCTTCCTGTCAGCTCTAATCAACAACTCACATCTGTTCCCTTGGCTACCCACTCTGCACTATACCACCCTTTGAAACCACACGTCCCACCATTGTGACTCACACATCCCCCTTTCCTTCCTTATTTGGGAACATATTCACCAATAGCCAATTGGGTCAGTTTATGTTGTGCGGTCTGACCCCAGCCCATGGGGGAGTGACACAGAGGTGGAGACTCTGCATTAGAAATAAAAACCCTTTCCCTCCTTTATTCAGTGTGCTATTTAGGTTGTGATTGACATGAGCAGCATTCTTCTGCAGAAGTAAATTGCCTTGCTGAGAAAATTTTTGCCTGAGTGCTGGTTTCACTTTGCAGCACTGAGCATTTACTTCCAACAAAAGCTAGGCTGGTCACCCAAGTTCCAATTTTTTTTTAATTTCATGTTGGCGATTATTTCCTTTTATATCAGCTCAGCAATTCATTTATAATAAATTTTTGCAGATATTTTACAATAATTTAAATTCTTTGATTTTGGAAGGACATTAAGATACATGGTATTTCTAAAACCAAAAGTTCAGAATGCTATTGCCCTTTCTATAGTCAACGAGAAAAAGTGATGTTATGAATAAATTACTGTTCATTTTTTAAGAGTACTTGCTTTGGATGATTTATGTTTTTCTAATAATAATATATGAGAAATATGTTTAAAAATCATTCTAACATTACTATTTAGAATGGGAATGACAGTTAAGCACATAATTATGCTATACTGAGGTCATGACAATTGATGGTGTATCTCACAATTTTACTTACTATCTAATTGTGACTTCACAGTGTTTAAATGGAAAAAAAACAAAAACCAAAATCAAATACTTCTGGCTTCAGATCCAACATGTAAAGAGCTTAGAAGTCATCACTACCATCTTACAGTAAGTGAAAGCTAAAGAAAATAAAAATCAACAACTTTTATGTATCAAAGAACCAAGGTAACACAGTAAACTATTATTCTGAAATCTAGAGAGACAGATGTATCTAGAGAAATAAAACTGCTAATATTTGCTTACCTAGAGCAGAAGCCACCGGAATCCTTAAGCTGGTAGGAATATTCAGATGGTTGTTTTATAAATTGCTTCAGACTGAGTGTAGAATTGCTTGAGAGTGAGGAATTCATGGGGGCTGCATTAGAAAGGGCCCTCCTACATTTACAAAGGCATTCACTCTAGGAATCCCACTGTAATCTTACAGTGCAAATCTGTTGAAGATTCGTAAATCTAACTTGGAGAAAGGAAGACTAGCTTTGTGAATCTCACCCAGACTCATTTTCCGAGCAAACGCCTGGACTTTAGGGGAAAGAGCAATTCTAAAACTTTATCTCAGGTAGGGGAAGGAAATTCTACTCCAACTCCACCCTTTTTGTCTAAGGTATTGTTAAGGTAAATAATAACAACATTAATAACAAAGTGAACAAGGGCAGGCAGTCAGGGGAATAGATAAGCAAAGCTGCACACAGTGAATGAAATAAGGGACAGAAGGAGGAAAGCTATAACCGTGGGGTAGGGACAGAAACATTTATAAATGCCCTACCCATAAGATGCAGACTTTCTAAAAGACTGAGACATAATCAGAAGATTGCACAGCAGTACCCCTCCAATACCCACTAGCACCACACCAGTAAGTCCCAAATGTAATGTTAAAGCAAACTAAATATGGCCTGAGAAGGACTCTGTACTTCTATTTTTGAGTCCTTGTGGATGAACTGCAACCTAACTTAATAGATAGACAAGATTGAAAACCTAATTTAGGAGTATGTGCCTGTAACAATCGCTGAGTCTTACCCAATCCCAGCAACCTTACTTCAACCAGTCATACACTGCTGAGGGTTCACAGCGTTCAAATAAGTCAAATGTGGAGCTATAACAAATCCAACTGTTTCTTTACCTCACTTCCAGTTTCAGTACATCAATTTACTTTTTTTTTTTTTTTTTTTTTTTTGGGCTATAAATTTGTTCTGACCATGAGGCAACCCTGGAATCCTTCTGAATCTGCTGTGATTCTGGGGGCTGCGTGATTCACAAATTATTCATTGCTCAATAAAACTCTTTTAAATTTAATTTGGCTGTTTTTCTTTTAAAAATAATAACAATGGATTAAAGCTGGAAAGCTGCAAGACACAGACTCTTTCTGAGGAGCAATACAAACAGAAGTCCCAAAGACTAGACAGGAGACAAAAATGAAGACACTAGAGGAATTTCTTCTGATTCCTAGAGCTATAACAATTTATAAAAACAGCCAAAATCCTAGCCAGATTGACTTAAATCTTCACACTGAAGGCCTATTTACCTGACATAATATTATTGGCTTTGAACAAAAATTACAAGTCATTCTAAAGCCAGGAAAAAGCAGAGTCTGAAGAGACAACAGAAACATCATATCTAGACTCAGATATGACACAGATGTTGAAATTATCAAATAGGAACAATAGGCAACATGTAAGACCAGATGTATAATGTTATTAGAGAGATGGAAACTCTATAACAGACTCAAAAAATAAATGCTAAAACTAAACACACAGTTAAATAAATGAAGAATAGATTGATGGGCTCATCACTAAACTCTACATAACTGAGGAAAGAATAAAATCAATAACTTGAAGACGGATAAATGGAAACTCCCCAAACTAAAACACAGAGAAAAGAAAAATAATTTAAAAAAAGAACAGAATATTTAAGACCCTGGGAAAATATTAAATAGTATAATATATGTGTAACTGGAATATAAAAAGGAGAAAAAAGGCAAAAAAAAACCACATGATTAATATTTGAAACAAAAATGGCCAAAATTAACGACACACAACAAACTACACACCCAAGAAACTCAGAAAACACCAAACAAGATAGTTTTTTAATGACATATTATATTCAAACTACAGAGAAACTTAAAAGAGAATACCTTTATAAATACCAGAGCAGGGGGAAAATTTATGTATAGAAAATCGAGGGTAAGAATTGCAATAAACTCATCAAAAACCATGCAAACACAAAGGGAGTAGAGTGAAATATTTTTTAAAAGCATATATTACAGTTAAAGAAAAGAGGTAAAATGGACCACTTATGATGCCAAATTCATTACAAGAAGGCAAAAAATGATGGAAAAAATTACAAAGTATTAATGAAATGAATACTGTTTTAAAAAAATAAAAAATAAAAAAATAAAAGAAGTCTCACTCTGTTGGTGTTATCCAGGCTGGAACGCAGTGGCATGATCTCAGCTCACCACAACCTCTGCCTCCCGGGTTCAAGTGATTATCCTGCCTCAGCCTCCTGAGTAGCTGGGACTACAGGCATGCACCACCATGCCTGGCTAATTTTTGTATTTTTAGTAGAGACGGGGTTTCACTATGTTGGACAGACTGGTCTCGAACTCCTGACCTCATGATCTGCCCTCCTTGGCCTCCCAAAGTGCTGGGATTACAGGCATTAGCAACTGCACCCGGCCTGAAATGAATACTTTTATTAAAAGTGTAGATATTAATTTATTGTATCAGTAATCACTCTTAATGCACATGGTTTAAGTACATTAGTTAAGAGGCAGATGATCAGATTGAATGAAAACTTAACCTAACTATATGCTGTCCAAAAGAAACACAACACACCTTAAATACAAAGTTTCACGTAAGTTAAAATAAAGAGATGGAGAAACATACACTATACTAATAATAATCAAAAGAAACCTGTAGTAGCTATTTTAATTTAAGGAAAAGCAAACTTCAGTACAACAAATATTTTCCCAGATAAAGATAATATAAATAATAAAGGGGTCCATTTTATAAGAAGTCATAACAATTCTAAACCTTTATGTGCCTATAAACAAGGCATCAAAATAACTGAAACCAAAAATAACAAAATAAAAATAACTAAATTCACTACCATAGTTGGAGACATAAACATTTCTATGCAAGTAATTGGTAGACAAAGCAGGCAGAAAATTAATAAGAATTATATGACATAGCTCTGCGAAGCATACACAAGTTTCAGTACTCAAATTGATCAAGTGGAAGAAGGGATATCAGAGATTGAAGAACAACTTAATGAAATAAGTGGAAATAAATAAGTTATTCAAAAACAATGACAACAAAGACACAATGTACCAGAATCTCTGGGACATAGCTAAAGCAGTGTTTAGAGGGAAATTTATAGCACTTAATGCCCACAGGAGAAAGCAGGAAGGATCTAAAATCGACACCCCAACATGACAATTAAAAGAACTAGAGAAGCAAGAGCAAACAAATTTAAAAGCTAGCAGAAGACAAGAAATAACTAAGATTAAGGAAGAACTGAAAGAGAGACACAAAAAAATCCTTCAAAAAATCAATGAAATCAGGAGCTAGTTTTTTGAAAAGATTAACAAAATAGACCACTAGCTGGACTAATAAAGAAGAAAAGAGAGAAGAATCAAATAGACACAATAAAAAATGATAAAAGGGGTATCACCACTGATCCCACAGAAATACAAACTACCACCAGAGAATACTCTAAACACCTCTATGCAAATAAACTAGAATATCTAGAAGAAATGGATAAATTCCTGGACACATAACACTCCCAAGACTAAACCAGGAAGAAGTTGAATCCCTGAATAGACCAATAACAAGTTCTGAAATTGAGGCAGTAATTAATAGCCTACCAACCAAAAAAGGTCCAGGACCAGATGGATTCACAGCCAAATTCTACCAGAGGTACAAAGAGGAGCTGATATCATTCCTTCTGAAACTATTCCAAACAAGAGAAAAAGAGAGACTCCTCCCCAACTCATTTTATGAGGCCAGCATCATCCTGATACCAAAACCTGGCAGAGACACAACAAAAAAAGGAAATATCAGGCCAATATCCCTGATGAACATTGATGCAAAAATCCTCAATAAAATACTGGTAAACCGAATCCAGCAGCACACTAAAAAGCTTATCCAACAAGATCAAGTCGGCTTCATCCCTGGAATTCAAGTCTGGTTCAACATACACAAATCAATAAACGTAATCCATCACATAAGCAGAACTAATGAGAAAAATCTCATGACTAACTCAATAGATGCACAAAAGGCCTTTGATAAGATTCAGCACCCCTTCAGGCTAAAAACTCTCAATAAAGTAGGTATTGATAGAATGTATCTCAAAATAATAAGAGCTATTGATGACAAACCCACAACAAATATCATACCGAATGGGCAAAAGCTGGAAGCATTCCCTTTGAAAACTGCCATAAGACAAAGATGCCCTCTCTCACCACTCTTATTCAACAAAATATTGGAAGTTCTGCCCAGGACAATCAGACAAGGTAAAGAAATAAAGGGTATTCAAATAGGAAAAGAGGAAGTCAAATTGCCCCTGTTTGCAGATGACATGATTGTATACTTAGAAAACCCCATTGTCTCAGCCCAAAATCTCCTTAATCTGATAAGCAACTTCAACCATATATCAAGATACAAAATCAATGTGCAAAAATCAAAAGCATTGCTATACACCAATAATAGACAGAGAGCCAAATCATGAGTGAACTCTCATTCACAATTGCTGCAAAGGGAATAAAATACCTAGGAATCCAACTTACAAGGGATGTGAAGGACCTCTTCAAGAACTACAAACCACTGCTCAAGGAAATAAGAGAGGACACAAACAAATGGAAAAACATTCAATGCTCATAGATAGGTAGAATCAATATCGTGAAAATGGCCATACTGCCCAAAGTTATTTATAGATTCAAGGCTATCCCCATCAAGCTACCATTGGCTTTCTTCACAGAATTGGAAAAAACTACTTTCAATTTCATATGGAACAAAAAAAGAGCCCACATAGCCAAGACAATCCTAAGCAAAAAGAACAAAGCTGAAGGCATCACACTATCTGACTTCAAACTATACTACATGGCTACAGTAATCAAAACAGCATGGTACTGGTACCAAAACAGATATATAGACCAATGGAACAGAACAGAGGTCTCAGAAATAACACCACACATCTACAACCATCTGATCTTTGACAAACCTGAGAAAAACAAGCAATGGGGAAAGTATTTTCTATTTAATAAATGGTGTTGGGAAAATTGGCTAGCCATATGCAGAAAACTGAAATTGGATCCCTTCCTTACACCTTATACAAAAAATAACTCAAGATGAATTAAAGACTTAAATGTTAGACCTAAAACCATAAAAACCCTAGAAGAAAACCTAGGAAATACCATTCATGACATAGGCATGGGCACAGACTTCATGACTGAAACACCAAAAGCAATTGCAACAAAAGCCAAAATTGAATTGACAAATGAGATCTAATTAAACTAAAGAGCTTCTGCACAGCAAAAGAAACTATCATCAGAGGGAACAGGCAACCTACAGAATGGGAGAAAAATTTGCAAACTATCTATCTAACAAAGGGCTAATATCCAGAATCTACAAAAACTTAAACAAATTTACAAGAAAACAAACCACCCCATCAAAAAGTGGGCGAAGGATATGAACAGACACTTCTCAAAAGAAGACATTTATATGACCAACAAACATATGAGAAAAAGTTCATCATCACTGGTCACTAGAGAAATGCAAATCAAAACCACAATGACATACCTTCTCATGCCAGTTGGAATGGCGATTATTAACAAGTCTGGAAATAACAGATGCTGGAGAGGATGTGGAGAAATAGGAATACTTTTACAGTGTTGGTGGGAGTATAAATTAGTTCAATCATTGTGGAAGATGGTGTGGTGATACCTCCAGGATCTAGAACTAGAAATACCATTTGACCCAGCAATCCCATTACTGGGTATATACTCAAATGATTATAAATCATTCTACTATAAAGACACATGCACACATATGTTTATTGCAGCACTAGTCACAATAGCAAAAGCTTGGAACCAAGCCAAATGCTCATCAATGATAGACTGGATAAAAAAATGTGGCACATATACACCATGGAATATGATGCAGCCATAAAAAAGAATGAGTTTATGTCCTTTGCAGGAACATAGTTGAAGCCAGAAACCATCATACCCAGCAAACACAGGAACAGAGAAACAAACACTGCATGTTCTCACTCATAAGTGGGAGTTGAACAATGAGAACATATGGGCACATGGAGGAAAACATCACACAGCAGGGCCTGTCGGGGGTGGGGGGCAAGGGGAGGGATAGCGTTAGGAGAAATACCTAATGTATATGACAGGTTGATGGGTGCAGCAAGCCACCATGGTACATGTATACCTATGTATGAAAGATGCATATTCTGCACGTGTATCCCAGAACTTAAAGTATAATAAAAAAAAGTATTTAAAGATTTTACTGGTCAAAAAAAGTATTAAATAATTATGTTTCAATTGGTTATGCTACTTCAATCTGACATATATATATGTCAAACCAGATTCAAGTAGCATATATATATATATATATATATACATATATATATATATGCTATATGTGTGCTATATATATACGTATTTTTTTCAGTTGTTTACAGTGGTGGGGATTGTAGCAGATATTATGAGAAATTTATCATTAAAATGAATAAAATATTTCCTTTAACTCTTTTGGGGGCTTCTGATTAAACTAAAATGTCTTCAACTAGTTGAATTAAGGTGCTGTCTCTTGTAATCATAGAATTGATACAATGCCTTACAGATTGTAAGTTAATAAATGCTCAACAGAGATTGCATTGACTTGATACGAGCCTCTAGTATGCATGAATAAAGAGTACAGCTCATCACAAGATTTTCAGTTTATTGAGTAAATTTTAATGCATTTTAGAAAGTTTACTTAGCACCTTGTAAGTGCATAACATTAAGCAATATATCCTCTAGACATATAAAACTGTAATAATTTTTGTACCTTAAGGAAGTTTATAACTTCCCTGTGAAAAAAAATACTAAGATAAGACAGACCAAACAAGAGAAGCCACTCCTGGGACAGTACACAAAATCCTGCAATATTTAATATATATATGTCAAATTGTGCCTGCACTAGCAGTATAGTAAGGAAAATGGAAGCCACAAAGAGAAGAAAGTGTAATTAAAAAAGAATAATGTAGCACTAATGTCAGGATTTGTCTGGAAGTTGTCTATCTTCAAAGTCCATACACTAGGGGTTAAAAGGGCCACATACAAGAAAAATGGATAAAAATTAAGCAGGAGAAGAAAGAGTATCAGCTCAGAATTCTCCACATAAGGCCAATATTCCTAAAGGATAACATACTCAGTAGGTGAATTAGGAAAACAAACAAACAATCACCAAATACATACTACAGTAGTATAGGTGACTGATTTGGCCTTGAATTGGGGCTGAGTAGAACGAAAGTTAAAAAGAAAAAAATATTTTTAAAGCATAAACTCGTAATCACACAACCTTGTGTCCTGAAATCATATAACTTGTTGCCTTAAAAGCCTAAAAAAAAATTAGTCTAATGCAGCCCCATATTGGTCTGTCCATAGGGATTTGGAGAAAAAATAAATAAATGGAAAATATTTTAAACAAAGTCCTCAAATTCTTTCTATTAATAAAATTCTAAATAGCAACCTGCATTCAAAATAAAACCATCAAGAATCACAAAACAATGAATAAGCACAAGCAAGAGTAAAACTAAAGCATCAGATTCCCAAACTGTAGACAATGGAATCATCACATAAAAATATCAAATAAATACATTTACATGTAAAGAAATAAAGAAGGTAATTGAAGTTATGTTAAACAATAAAACATCAATTTTTTTCTGAATTTTGAAATTAGCACAAACTTCCAAAAATGAAAAATATACTATATATATTAAAATTTTTATACAAATAATATTGACATAAAATAAAAATATACTACTACTAAAATATTTAATTTTAGTAATTAAAACTTCACATTAAAAGCAATTAAACACAGCTTCAGAAAGCATTAGTGAAGTAGAACATAGTTCTATAGATAATTATTCAGGAAGACAGAGATAAAAACTATAATCAGGAAGGATAGAGTGAATTTGCCCAAACTCTCTCTAATCATATTTTCAAAAGTGGAGAATCAGAAGATTAGGGAAAGGCCATAGTCAGAGACATAACAGTAAATAATATACCATGTTTTATAGAATATAACATTCTTCAGATTCAGAAAACTTAAAGAATCTCAAGCAGAATAAATAAAAAGAAAATACACAGCCATGCCAGGGCAAAATAGCAGAGCAGATGAATAAACAAAACACAAAGAAAAGGCCTTCAAAGCAATCCAAGAACAAGATCAGTTGACCTACAGAAAAATAACAGTCAGACTATTTATTTCTCAACGGCAAAAAGGGAAGCCAAAAAGAATGAAATATCTCCATAGTGATAAGAAAAAATATCTACCGAAGTATAACTATTTTTGATATGACTTTGTTTTCTTCATTCTTTTTATTTTTTAATTAAAATAAATTACTAGTTTTAATGTAGTTAAAATGTTTTATATTTTTCTTTATGGTACGTGCTTTTATGTCTTGTTTAAAAACAAACCTTTTTTATCCAGAGGATGTGAAGATAGCTTCATATATTTTCTTCTAAAGAGGTTTTGTTTTATTTAAGTCACGTAGAGAAGATTTTGCAACACACTTCTGAGGAAGGATTATATATAATCTCCTAAAATTAACTCCTACAAATAAATAAAAATAAGACAATGTAACAGAAACTGAGGAAAAGCCATAAGGAGATATTGCACACAAGAGCTTTAAAATTAATGGTGATGATTATATTTAAACTATAATGGATATTAATTTTTTCCTACTCTTTATTGGCACATACAAATATTTTTCTGCCTATGATAAACTTCATAAAGAAAATATTTATGATAATTAATATGAAATCAGTATAAAGTGAAGTATAATTAAACATCTTTATAATTGCCATAGGAATTTCAAGGAAAGACAGAGCACAGTGAACTTAGAAGAGTTGTCACATGCTTTTAGGAGCAAGGGGTTGTATTGGAAAATTTCCCTGAGGAAATAAAATGAAAGGAAGGAAGGGAGGGAGGAAGAGAAGACAGGGCCAACACAATGCATAGAAAAAGCTAGTATTCGAGGGTTGGTCAACCAATCTAAGTAAACCAATGTATAGCTGTAGCAACTGTTTTCTGTTACTAAATAGGCGTTTTTTAAGCTGTTCAGTTTGCCCTTGAAATATGTCAAATGACTCATTTCAGGTTTACCTAGAGAGTATTGTCTTTGTGTAACTCCATCCTCTTATCCCAGAAACAATCATTCTTGCATGTCATGGTTACCTCATTTAGTGCCCTTTGAGAGCTTTTGCAGGTGGGCAATATTTCACATGCAGTTTGGTTTGTATGCTGTAAACATCACTGAACAAAAACAAAACCATCAGAAAAATAACACTGGAAAGATTGGAAGCTGCTAAGGGTAGAATCATTCTCAGTTATGGGGTGGTCTAAAGGTTTGCTTTCTTGGAATCCCAAAGGGAAGCTGTTTTATGAGTGACATAAGGAGAGCACACACAGGAATGAGCTGAGGCAGAGGTAAGTTCGTATTTATGCACATTTAAGAATTGTGATTAAACGTTGATTATATTGTGTTTTACTGTAATTTTATAGAAAACAAATGGCTTTGTTAGGTGTACCTGTATACTGTAAACCATGCATATCAAATCAACCATTTACAGGCTAATTTCACTTTTTAAAAATATCAGTTAATTCTCAACAGATTGCCACAAAATTAACAAAATTAGATTATTCCTATATCAAAATAACCAATAGTTATTTCAGTACTGCATTATTCACCTGGCCTGACAAATAGCCACACAATTGACTTGGAGGGTAATACTGTGGAACACCAGTTTGCAATGAGAACAATAAATGTGTCTAATAAAGCTTCCTCCTAGCTAGATGGGCAATTAAGGAATACTGCTCTGCCAGAAAACTGTCACAGATGCAACACCTGAGCCATGTCTCTGGCTTCCTCAAACCTCTATCTGGAGAGGAAAAGAGATGATTCTTCCAAATGAAGCCTTGTCTTAGTAATCTTCTTTTCTAATGAGATCTGATAACAGCCATTGAGTCCAGCTTTTTGGCCATATTGAAGCAGTTAAATTGGCTGTCTACTTAGGCTTGAAAAAATCATGTAAATCAAGTCAACCAAAAAGATGTAGTATGCATTCTCGCACTTTGCTATGAACACTAAAACTAGGGAAAGACAATGGATAATCCAGAAAAGTCCCAATCAGCTCTGACAAAAAAGCAGCACCAAAAAAGCATTAGTTGTAGGACTAGCATTTATTAAGATAGTTAAAACTAGTTATTAGGAGAGCCATCCCATAAGAATTCATAACTCCTTTTGTTTACCTGATATGGCTTTCTCAGTCAATAGATTTTATAGATTTTTTTTGCTTCAAATTCCATCTAGACTAAGGAAAAATTATGGCCTATATTTTCTAGTAACAGAAAAAAATTGTTAATTTAAAACTTTATCCTATGTAATAGATATTTTATTCCTAAACAGGAATACTGCAGTACACACAACTAAATGTAGATTTTAACTATGTACAAATTGCATCAGATGTGTTTTTTAAAGTGTCATCATTTTATTATCCATAAGAGTACCTTCTGTTCCCTCTCCCTTTCTTCTATCTCTTTCCTTTCTCCAAAATCACTCTTGTTATCACACATACAGACTGTAATATGGGTGGGTGTTAGGATTGTGAGGACAGAGGTGCTTTATAACAATACATCACAACACACTTATGAGTTTTATCAACAGCAAGTTGGAACAGACATCCACTGTCTTCAATATCCACTGGCCCACAACACTCACTTTCATTCATTTGATTCAAAACTTTGTTTTATGAGCTGGAGGTTATAGAGAAAAGAATACGAAAGAAAGTGGTGTCACATACATTTTAGGTTTTATGATGTCATCAGTAAGTTATTGTTATGTTAATAGAAAATTCTACCATTATAGTATTTAGAACTTGAAGTTAAAAATTTAAAAGTTAATATATGAAATTTCTGAAAATAATATGTGATGAAGAATAACCTAATAATCCTAAGACACTATACTAATTCTGTTTTTTTTTTTTCATTACTCAAGTATAGTGAAATTGGTACATGAAATAATGAAGAAAAGATGCACTCATTGGTGGGAATTGAATCTAGTTGCCCTCTGTAGGCCCAATTTCTCTGCTGCAAAGAAGGCTCCTGGTATTTACAGCCATTTAAAAGAAAGGCAAGGAAATGTCCATAAAGGATTTTAATGGATTCCTAATAACATTAACTTAGCTCGATACTCTCTGCTCCTCTTAGACTGATTTTTAAAAGTTTTCCTAGAATGTGAGCAGTTCCTCAGTGTAAGTAATGATAATAATAATAAAAGTTACAATTCTCTTCCAGGAAGAAATCTAATATGGCAGTTTTTAGACAACAATGACTTACCTGACATATAATATCTAGTTTGTAGTGTATACAATGAAAAACTCTAAGAATACAATAAAGGATTTTTTTCATATTAAAAATCAATTTTACTCAAAGATTATAATAAAACTTTGGAATTTTGATAGCAAAATTTATTTTCAGACTGTTGTATAAGTCTCCTGACCTGCATATTTATAGGTTTAGTAAGGTATGTTTGTCAGAGTTACCATTCCTTTTCCATTTGTACTTATTTTTCTGGAGTAAGTCTCTCTCTCTCACTCCTTCCCTCCCTCCTTTTATGTATTCACACATATTTCTTATTAATCAGTAAACTGCATGCACACACACACACACACACACACCCAAATCCACTATCAAAATAAATAATTTCATGGTTTTATAAAACTAAATTATCTAAAGGAGGAAAGGTAAGTCAAATTGTGGTCTCATGAGCTTGTCCGAGTCCTCCAGGTACTATTATTATGTGGTGCCTGAAGATACATTTGTTACACTCTTTGCAATGTCTAAAATTTTAATTTTCCGCTATGAAGCATCTAAGGTCTGTCTGGGATAGTCGGAAATGTGTTTCTAATTGCTTTTTCCATGCAAAAAAGATACAATAGATTACCAACAACAGGACTATTAATCATCCATCTAAGTGCAGCTTCTCTTCTGCATGCAATATTTATAAGTGTTTATATACTCGTGGCTAATGCTAACAATCAATGCCTACTTGATGAGCCAACCTATATAATTGTCAAATGGCTGAAACTCACCAGAAGATTAAGTTTATCGTTGGCTTCTGTTCCAGATTGGATTTGTGATTAAAAGAAAGAGAGAGAAAGAAAAGATATCTTTTCGAAGTTTCTATTAGGAATGGAAAAGTAATCTAGCTGCATTTTTCTTGTAGATAGTAGAATCCTTTTCACCGTGTATTTTCATATATCAACTATAATAACAAAATAAGTAGAGATAATTCTTCCTGACTCTGTATTTGTGAAAGACATCTCAATGTACAGTTTCTGTGATGCTGAGATTAAACACAAAATCCAATTACTTTAATAGTTTAATTGAGAACTTTTAGGCCTTAGAAAAGTTATGCTTAGCTTTCATCGATGTGCAAATATGGTTGTGCTGCATGCCTTTTGTTATTTTTGCTATTTTGTTATTTTTGTGAGGAATATAATTCACACTCTCATAGTGATGTTCATTAACTGCTAGTCAACTTATTTTTTTCTTTTACTTTTTTTGTGTTAGTAGTAAAACTTTTACAGAGTAATGCAATTCAACCTAGGGTATTAAATTTTTTTCTTTTGTCTACTTAAATATCAAACAAGATATACAATTACAAATTTATAGTTATATTTTACATTTGATATTTTGTCAATTATTTTATTTTATTTTATGTATTTAATTTTTTGAGACGGAGTCTCGCACTGTTGCAAGGGCTGGAGTGCAATAGCGCCATCTCGATTCACTGAAAACTCTGCCTCCCAGGTTCACGCAATTCTCCTGCCTCCGCCTCCCAAGTATCTGGGATTACAGGCACACACCACCACACCTGGTTAATTTTTCGTATTTTTAGTAGAGATGGGGTTTCACTATGTTGGCCAGATTGGTCTCGAACTCCTGACCTTGTGATCCGCCGGCCTCGGCCTCCCAAAGTGCTGGGATTACAGGCGTGAGCCCTGTGCCCGGCCATCAATTATTTTACCTTATTGTGTAGAGCAACTCATAAATATGTTTATAAACTAGCATAATTTTAGTACTTATTGAACTCTTAATATGCAATTGCTTGGTTATTCAACTTAATTTTTTTATCCTAAATATTTATCTTCAAGACTCAAACCAAAAGAGTTTTGAAGTCTGTACTCAATCAATAATTTATATTTTATGTATAGCATGCCATGCCAGATTCTACAAATGATAAAAAGAAGACTCTAAGTTAAGATCATTTATCTCAAAATGTATGTTTCTTTAGGGAAAAAAGACACCTATGGCAGATTCAATACCAATATGCAAACACTACATAACTGGTCATTGAGGAAGGGCAATGGAAACTTACAAAATTATTACTGAACAGTATATTAGGAAGATAGGATCTCAGAGAAGATGGGATACACATTGCATCCAAAAAAGTTGATAGGATTTGAATGGGCCAAGGGAAGAAGAGGGCTCAGATGAGAGGGATACTGTAAAGAAAGGCTCAGAGTGGAAATGATTAGCATGGCTCAGTAGGCAGATCAAAGAGGGGGGAAAAAAGCATTTCTTTTGGAATTGCTGAAATAGCTGGAGATACGTTTGCAAAGGCAGTCAGTGAATAGATTGTATAGAGAGGATATAGAATTTCAGACTGCAGAGTTTGTGTTTTACCTTGTAATTGAAATCCATTTTAAAGTAACCCACAGAAGGTGACAGGTCAGAATCAGAATTTTACAAACATTTTTCTAAACACAGTTACAGGTTAAAAGAAAGAGTTGCCCTCCCAGAGACAAGTTAGACTACCCTCTAAAGAGTGCTGTCAAACCAATACTGTGCCAGGCCACAGGAGAGACATCCTGATGAATGCTGGAACTTGGTGAGGATTGGAGAATTTTGTTTTCCTTTTCTACTTCATCATTGTTGGAATGAGGGAACACTGCAAGGAGAAAAATTAGACTAACTAGAGCTTGGGGAAGTTACTTATTACTTGAGGAGCCTCTCGTAGGATTCTGTGCTCTCAAATCCCCAGAGCCTATTACCGACACAGATTTGTATCATTTTTCAGGACTAACATATGTGTGTTTGTACACACACACACATATGTATGCTTATATATATGACACATAGATCACACACTGGTGATGTATGGTGCTCTTAGAGTGGAGGCAAGGAAAATAGCATAAGATCACACATGTGGCCATTTCTTTTATACCCCTTAGAAATTCCACATTGTTCTCTTTCCTTCTGCTTATTGTCTACCCTCATGTCTGCCCCCAAACTCTTCTTTGCTTCTCTATTTCTCATTTTATCATCAGTTTTTATCTTTTGCCTATCTTCTCCACTTTGCTTTTGGTAAAAGGTTCAATAGAGATTAACAAGAACAGAAACAGCAAGGTAATAGTGAGTTACTTACTTCTAGAAACCTTGGAGCACTTGTGGAATATATGGATGCCTGAGAATTTACAGACTTAATTAGAACAATTAGTGAGGAAAAGTGGTAATTACAAAAAACAAAGAATGGCATTTCCTGAATAAAAATTTTCCTCTTTCTTTATGCTGTCTCTCCATGTGCAGGCTATTGCTATCATGGTTTATAAGCATAACAGATAGCCTAGACACTATGGATGGAAGCTTGGAATATCATCGGATAGAGTGGCACCATCAGAGGAATTCCTGGTATTACCAAATGAAGTAGGCATGGGAACAGTTTTTGTGACAAATATTTTGGATGTCTTCACTCTACCCCTCACCCACTGTAGGGAAGTGAAGGCATGAGAATTTGAACAGAAGAGACACCCTACTACCTGTACTTCCTACACAAGACCCAGTGACCACAGGCTCCCAGTGAGTATGATACAATCTGTTACCATTTCTTCTTACACCTGACCCCAAATTTTATGTATTCTGTAACTCTTCTGTAAATCTTTCTGGAATAGACAAATTTAAATACTACTAATAAAATACACACTGCTACATGCTATACATTCTTAATATGCACGAATGTTTACACAGATATTTTCATTTTTCTCAGGTGGCTATTTATTTTGGGTGTATTTCTAAGACATTTTGTTTCCTAAATTCATCTGATAACCTTGCAGCATAGACCATTGTTTACATATACTATAAAAAAACTAGACTCAATTTAAATTTTAAGGAGAGAAAATATGATCCCGTGAAGAAAGACTCCAAGATTTATCTTTCCATGCAAAACTTAGAATGTTTGCCACAATTTTTAAAAGTAGTACATCCTCTAGCAAGAGGTTGTACTTACCGACTGAGCAAAATCTTCAGAGATTTTTCAGCAAAAGAGTCTCCTACAGTATTTATACATCTGTTCACTATTGTTGCCAGGTATGTAGCCTTACTGATGGATAATAGAAGTTAATTAAACCTAGCACATGTTATATTTACAATATTTTAAGAATAGTGTTTGGCACAATTCTGCTGGCATTTCTTCTTCAAAAATATTTACAATTTCCATTTTGGTGGGCTGTTTAAGTATTAAAATCAGAGTTCTACTCTCTCATTAAAGTGTAAAGGCATTACCCCAGAAAGTTCTCATTGCTTAAATGACATATAAAACATCTTGGGTGGAAATAAACTTGTCCCAAGCTCTCAAAGGCAATTATGCCCATTAGTTGCAATGCTCCTTTAAGAGAGAGAGAATAATCTAATTGAATGGCCATATGCACTATTTTATTATGTTGATGCTTTGCATTTTAGCATAGTTGGCATTTGTGAAAGGAATTCTTTTGCATGGAGAAACTTTAAAATGCCCAAAACAGACAATATATCATCTTGATATGCCCTTGCTGACTTTTCATATTATGAAAAGATTTAAAGCAAGAATGCTGCTATTTGAGTAGTGAGCAATTTTTTTAAGTATAGATTTCTATCACATAGTTTCACATGCTGAAACCGAGTTGTGGCAATAGGAGATTATCAAGAGTACTGAAAAAATCATTCAGCAGTAAACAAAGCTTAGGTTAGGATAGGACAAAACTAAGTTAAATACCACCTAATGTCAGATCAAGAGGCTGATTTTCATAGAGATTATCTATAAATTTTATAAGAACTATGAAAGTGAGAATATCAAAAGGGAAAGAAGGAGGCACAGCTATTTTAATTTATTTTATGTACTATAAATCAGTTGTGGTCCCTCTGATAAAGTGATTTCACAGTTAAATTTCAGGACATAGCTAGGATGTTTAGCATAGTAATATAATATCATAATCTAATTTGTACAATAGATCCCTGAATAAATCAGTGAGCTTACACTTATTGTCTGATATTTAACCAATACAGTTTCACCAGCAAAGGTCCATGATATTGGGAAGAGAAAAGCAGTTATGAGCTATGTTTGTATACATTTTTGAAAATTAGCCATGATTATAGGAAAAGTGTGAAGTTTCTGGTTAGGATTTCTATTCACTATGAAAAATTCATAGACGTATACTTTTCTGAAACATTTCATAATAACCTTTTTTTCCACAACTTAAAATGTAATTTTAAGAGCCTTGAGAGAGAAATGTAGTAAATGATTTTTCTAGGGAGTAAAGGACTCCAGTTCAGAGTTCTCTTAAATAAATTTCTAGAGAGTTTTAAAATACCTTTTTATTTTGTGAGCTGAATTGTGTCTTCCCAAAATGTAAACACTGAAGCCCTAATTCCTAATGCCTCAGAATGTGACTTTGTTTGGAAATAAGGACTTTAGGGAACTAAGGTAAAATGGGTAACTAGGGTAGGCCTTAATCTAATATGATTGGGTTCCTTATAAAAAGAGTTTGGAACATAGACACACAAAGAAAAGACGACGTGAAGACACAGGAAGAAGACTGCATCTGCAAGCCAAAGTGGTAAGGCCTCAGAGGAAATCAGCCTCAGCATTACCTTGATCTTGGACTTCTAGCTTCCAGACTGTGAGAAAATAAATTTCTATTGCTTAAGCCACCCAGTCTGTGGTACTTCATTATGGCAGCAATAGCAGACTCATGTAATCATCAATACTGCACATTCAGTTTTCCTTGGCAAGATTCCATACTTGACTAGAAACTAGACTAAAAGAAGAGGATCATCTTCATAAAAAACTTTTTAAGAAGAACACAAATTTCTCTAGAATACGGATCCTGAAAAAAATTAGTAAGGAAGACAAAATAAAACTATTGTACTCTGATGAAATAGTATCCATTCACTTTATCCTCTATATGTTTACTTGCTCATTTTATAATGCATTTGAGCATTCCATCCACCACTGTGTGTGCTCACCAAATTTTTGTTTATTGATTGATGGAAGCCAATGGAAATATTACCTTCAGGAAAATAAAAAAGCTTCCTTGGCATCTTTTAGATAGATAACACTTTTCTAAGTACGTTAAGGAGAGTGAAACAATTATTTTGATTAATAATTCTTCTTCCTGCCTGAAAAAATGTAGAATATACTTGATAGAAGTCAGTCAACCTTTCTATAATAATAAAAATAACAATAATATGTTACTGTGTTAACGATAAATTATATAATAGTTATGAAATAATATATTTATAGTGGCATATATTTATAGTGGCAATCATCTATTAATAATTGACTATGTCAGGCACTTGCAAAGTATTCTAATATGTTGTAGCTAATTCTGTATAACTGTTTGAGGAAGGTAAAATTTTTTCCATTGAAAGATACTAAATCTGAGGATCAGAGGAGAGTAAGATGTCCCAGATCACAAAACATTCAAGAGAGAGAGCCAGGATTCAAACTATGGTCAGAATGATGGGGTTGGGAGATTCTTTATCAATATCCAATCTGCATTCCCCAATTCCCAACACATTTATTTTCTGTTTTGCTGTTGTTGTAATTTACTTTTTTCCTAGTGGGGGCAGTCATTTTTGAAAAATATGTATTAGTAGATGATTCAATGTCACTTATCTTCAGTTTATAAAGGCAGAATTATATGTTTGGAAGAGTTTCGTAGAGTTTTGTTTGTTTACAGTCCTCAATATCTGCTCATCATCCTAATTGTATTTGGTTTCCTTTTGAAAACAGTAGCTCCATCTTTCCTGCTGCCATTTCTGGTGATTGGTGCTTTCATTTCAGATCTTTCTCTCTGTACTTTGGAAGAAGTGAAGTGATCTTAACATGGCTAATTGGATTTTCTTTCTGTGACTTTGTATCTTAGACTGAAAGAAGTATAGAATAAATGACAGAATCCACTTATTTTCCATCAGGAAACTTGGGCATGACTCTCAAACTGTTCCACCTACCAAGAGTATCAGGAATAGCCTGGATTCCATTGTTTTCAAATTTGTTGTTTCAGTTTTGCTTTGTGTGTGCTGTTTTTATTGTTTTGTGTGTGTGTGTCACAAAATTCCTGTTATGATGGATTTTTTCTGTTTCTCATAATGGCATAAGTCAGTGAAAACAGAAAAAGACAAGCAATAGTCGGAAGTGGGTGTGTGTGTGTGTTGTGTGTATGTGTGTGAGAGAGAGAAAAGGAATGAAAAAGTGGAAGCAAGAGAAATAGCTTCCAACTCTTGACTGCTTAAAGTCAACTGATCATTTGTATCAACCACATATCTTCTTGATTCCAATTCAGGTATTTATAAAGGACCTTCTCCCTCAACTTTCTTATGCATTTTTAAAGTTTCTATAAAATTAGTTTAATACAGGATATTACTTTTTGTCTGGCAGGGTATTATCTCTTCCACTTATCGACATGAATTATTATGATAGGTGACTGGGATACAGCTTTTATTCCCTTATAAGTAAGCCCAGATAGCACTTTAATATCATTTCCATTGCCAGAGACACCACAAGAGCCAAAGTAAATAGGGCCCAGGAAATCTGTGAGAATGTGTTCTAATGCTGTCAAGGCATGGCAAATGTATTCCTGGAATCTAAATTAGAGCTTGAAATTATTTTCACTATAGTCCCAATATTAGACACAGTATTACAGGGTGATTTTTTTTCCAACCCAGACATCTTATGATTTTATTATGCATCAATGTATGATGATACACAGATCCAGGGTTTGGCCTGACAAGCAGACGCATTTAATGTATGTTAAACATATTCAAATAACTCATATCCACATAAACTTTTTGGGAAAAAAATGTGTATTAACATAAGGCCATCTACTTTTCATGTTTGTCCTAGAAATGAATAATCATTGAAGTAGTAGTTTTGCAATGACAATAATGTACTTATTCTGTAAAAATTTTCTTTCTACACAAATACTGTGTAGTAACTTTTTCTAGATTATTGGAAGTTTCAAGAAACAAATATATATAATAAAGACACAAAAATGGTTTGCTTACAAGTTTATTTTAGTTTGTCTATGCTATCGAGTTAACCAAAGAGCATCACAAAGCATTTTTTTTCAAGCTAATAGAAAAACTTAGCTGCCCTGCTTGTCAACTGCAATAATAATCCTGACATTCATCCCCACCCACACCACCAGACACTGTAACTTCTTAAAAACTAATTGTAAAGAAAAGTAAGGAAGTAAGCTTTGGATTTTATAAGAGAAGGTCATTTTACTTTCTGTAGTTGTGTATATGTGTGGGCCATATGCAAAATGCTTGTATTTATCTATCTTTATCAGGGAGCATTAAAGTCCAATCAGATATTAATATTTTCCTCTAACACTGTGGCAGGGATTAATAATGATATTTTTCCTGGCTCAGGCTTTATCGGTAGACTTTCTAAAATTCTGACTGTGCTCAATCCCTACTAGTCAAAGACATCTTTAAGGCTGTCTCACATGTGCACTCAAATAGTCATTACTGTCACACTCTTCCACTTTAGAAAATCTGTCCGTTCATGCATGTCTATACCTGACATTATGAGTGAGTTTATTTATGAAGAATGTTTTGGTAATAACTTCAGCCATTGTTAAGAACCATTTCACCATGTGATCTAATATGAAATGCTGTAGAAAGATGTTTGACTTTACCCTCATTTCAATTGCATTACACTCTTGTATAAGTCAGAGTGAAGGGCTATTTGTGTTCTTATTGCTTAGGTATTCTTCAAAAAGTTCTGCGCAGTTTCTGAGAGAAAGAGGAAAATATGAGTGACATACAGAGGTTGGAACTCTTACACATTGCTGATGAGACTGTAGAGTGGCACAACTCTGGAAAACTCATTGGCAGTTTCTTACCTTATCTCCCGGCAATTCCATTCCTAGGTATTTACCTGAGAAAAGTAGGAGTGAGGAGAATGTGTCCTCAAAAAACCTGTGAAAGAATAATCACAGCAGCCTTACATATAATAGCCAAAACCTGGAAACAACCCAAATGCCCACAAAAGGAGATTAGATAAACAAATTGTGGTATATTCATACAATAGATACTACCCAGAAATAAAAAGGTATGAACTGCAGCTATAAAAAACAACATGAATGAATTTCTAAAACACTCTGTTGAGAAAAATAAATCAGACACAAAAAGTACAAAATGTAACCTCTTAATGAAGCAGTCACATATCTTCAATATAGAAAGAAAGATATCTCAATTAAAGAAAGGCTTTAAAATTATTTTTACTTTATTCTCTAGGACAAATAAAAATATATAATTTCAGACAAAAATACAATGAGGTTTTTTTGGAAAATAATAGGATTATCATATAGTGGCTAAAAACATAGGTCTTGGACATAAATAGATCAAAAAGTTTGACCTACCATTTAGTAGCTGTGTGTTATCTAGAAAGTAACAACTCTAAACGTCTCATTTTCTCAGGATAGGGTTGTGATGACAGTCAAGATATTTATTCCCTCTTGAGGTAGGAGTTATTAAGAAATTATTTTAGGCAGAGAGAGGAAAAAAGGGGTCCTTGGAAGATTTTTCGCAGCTCTTGTCTAGTATGAAAGCCTTGGGTCTTAGACCCCGGCAGGCAACCTCTGATTAGCAAATACCAGCCATTGGAAACTGGGTCCACCCAACATGGCGATTCCCACCGTTGTCCTCTTGCCCTTGCTCCCACATGTGCCTGGCGACAAGCCCGCCTCCACACATCCCCACGTGTGTGGAACATCATAGTGCTCTACATTTGCATATTAAAAGGCCAGGGTGGGAGGGCCAGCTTTTTCGCGGGCTACGTGAATGACATGCCTGGTCAAACCAATCCCCTGAGCCCTATGCAAAGCAGGCAACATCTCCTCCAGCCATCAGATATAGGTAGTTAATATTACCTGAAGGCGGGGTTCCCTCTGTTAGATATGAGTTCTAAATTTCTTTTCAAAGAATTAATGTCATTATGTTCAATTCTTTGCCTTCTACTTTTAAACTTCCTCCTAAAGTAACCTTTTTCAGTTACCTACTCCACCCTGACTCATCCCAATTACCTACTCCACCCTGATTCATTCTGATCACCTGCTCCACCCTACATTGCAATCACCTGCTCCACCCTACATTGCAATCACCTGCTCCACCCTACATTGCAATCACCTGCTCCACCCTAACTTATTCCAATTACCTGCTACCTGCTCTGCCCTGACTCTCGCCAAAGCACTCACCCCATTATTCTCTTTAAATTAGCCAACTGGAATTAGTTTAGCCTATGCGGTCTAACCCTAGCCCATAGGGGAACCACACAGCAGTAGGGGCCATGTGCGTAAGGGATAAGAACCCCTTCCCCTCCGTTCTCCAAGTGTGCGCTCACCATTGCTCCATCTGTAAGGGTGCACCCTTCTATAGAAGTAACTTGCCTTGCTGAGAATTAAAAAGAAAATTTTATATTCGAGTGCTATTTCCTTTGCGGCACCGAAACTTTATATATAACACCTCTCGGCTTTGGAGCCACCCTCCCTCTGTCTCTGTACAGGGGAGCTTCTTTCTTTCTTCCCCCTTCTTTCTTGCCTATTAAACTCCCTGCTCCTTAAAACTGCTCCACGTGTGTCCATGTCGTTTCTTCTAATTCAACTGGAGATGAAGAACCCTGTTGTCTCTCCACTCATCGGAGCCCTATTACTATGAGGAGGAAGGCATTTTCTTTTTCTGTAATTTTCGTCTTTACACATCTTTAAATATAACTTCGTTGGTTTTTTTTCCTTCTATATGTGATGCACATCATTCCAATGAAAACAATTTCAAGAAATATTAAATAAAATTTAAATATAAGTTTTCTATTTTTCAACTCCCTTCTCCTGAAATAACCACAGTTAATGACGCTACATTTATTAATCCACAGTCTTTCACACAGCACAGAAATACATATATTCATATGTAATTGTTTTCCCAAAAGATGAGTTCCAAAACTTCCTTTTTCTATTTAATTCTGAGTATTCAAATAGACATGCTTCTAATTCTATCAATAATTTCCAAATTTAGTTCACAAAATATTTTGGGCAATTGCAGAAAAACGGAAATAAATGCACAACATCTTGGATAATAAAACTGAGTGAAACAGTGCTAATGTGATAGATAATATTCTGACATGTTTAGTTTAAATTCAATTATGTTAGTATTTAGCCAGAAACTGTTTTTAGTATTTAATAGAGGATTTGAGTATTTTGATAGGTAGAATGGAATATGTCAAATAAATGCCTTTGACAGATAGAAATTTTTAGACCCAATATATTTTTGTTCATTTATAACCAATGTTTCTGTGTTAAAAACGTAGATAACTCACTGTCTGTATTAATACACAAAATTCAGTAGATAATGTTGGCCAATCGACAACCAAAGAGTGAGATAGTTTCACATTCAATCTAACACAGTGATCTTTCTCTTTGAAATAAATGAATAATCTAAATGCCTCCTTAACAATCTAGTTCGTAGTACAGCTCTGAAAAAATGGAATTAATTTTTCATTCTATAATCTAAAAGTATACTGCTCAATATTATGAAGTCACTCCGTCTAATGTCTCCATTATTTCAAAATTTAAAATAATGCTGGAATTCAGGCCCTGAACAGCATAGAGATTATAGCAACAACTGCATTAATCTAGCGTTCATTGTCCTGTATGAGAAGGCTTATTTTAAGCTGCATGAAGTTTACTAGTTTATCGGTTTTTAATTACATTTTATTAAAATATGACTCTGGGGCTTCTTTTATAACCATAGAAGAACATTTGATCTTCATTTAAAAATAAAACTCTCATTTCAAAATCCCAATGCTTATGGGAAGCAGAATTAAATGCTCTTATTTTTTTCAAGTTTTTATTATAATTGGGATTAAATACCAATAAATTTATGTCTGAATTTTATAATCTCCTCATGCAATATAGAACGCAAGCTGAACTCTTTGTGTCTACTGTTAAAATTACTTCTTAAAGTTAATTCCATATCCATTATTCTTTTTCTTCTAATTGAGTTGCCTTAACTTCAGTAAATTGCCCTGATGACCAGATTTCATTAGCATGTGCATAAATTCTCAGCTGCGTGTCTTGGCAATTTATCTATACTAGTAATTTCTGATTTCTAATAGCCCAAGAGAATACAATATGGTTGTTGTCTTCTTTGTGTTCTAAGTGATCATAAAATAAGACTCATGGTTCAGCCAATGGATTAGAGGTTGGAACTAATAAGGATTGCTTCCAATTTTGAGTTTCTTGAGATAAGAGACTCTTAGTTAGATGTGTATTTTTCCATAGTGCCTATATAGTGCATTATACTCAGACAACTAATACACTTTGAATACTTGAATTGAAACATAGTTAATGGAAAAATATAGAGTATTATTTAGTGTAATATGTATCTAAAACCTTATATTCCCAAATGGTAAGCAGTCATGTGGTTAAGGGAGCAAAGAAACACCCACAGGTAACTAACATCTTTGAGCTTTGATACCTTATTTTTCTCCCCTATAAACAAGAATAATAGAAATCATAGAAACTACTTCATAAAAGCATGGTGAGGATTAAAAGCAACACCATAAATGAAGCCATTCAATATTTTCTGATACATAATATGCACTCAGTAAGAGTAAGGTATTAATAAAGTATAATGACTCTAGGACTTGGGAGAAGAGGAGTAACATAATATTTTTTGAATCCCTGTTATAAATGTAAAGCATTATGATAAGTGCTTTCTTAGGTAACTTATTTTTTCCTCATTAAATAATCAAGGATTCATATTATAAATAGAAATTAGAATTCACTAGAGTTATTGTTGCTTACTGAGATGTGGTTAATAGTATAAAGTTGATGAGGTTCCAGACATGCTACTCCAAAATATGGTATTTTCGCATTTCAGAAAATAACAAAAGCAGGAAAGCCACTCTCATCTTTTTCTGGTCCTTCTCTTCTGAAGCAGTTTATAAAATCTTCATTCCAGAGGTGCCCACTCCATACCCAAGGAAAAACAATATCCTAATCTCTGAAGATAACAGAGAAGAATCTGAACAAATAGGCCCTTCTATGTTCCCTCCAGTTTATTACCATTTGATTGGACCTCATTTGTCTAATCACACTTCTCTACAACTATCCATTTCTTCACCAAACTAAATGTAAAAAAACACAGGTTTCCCTGTTTATTTGGGTCTTGATTTCTGAAGCCTCCCAAATTACATAAAACTTATATAAAATAAATGTCTATGCTTGTTAATCTGTCTTTTGTTATAGGTGCCTTAGCTATGAACCTAGTAATGAGTAGGGAAAGAAATCTTTCCTCCTCTACAGAGTTCAAACCCAGATCCTCTGAGACCAGAGAACTTGCTCTTTCCTTGATACCTTGAACCTAAATGCTGACACTTGAGGGCATGAAGACATAGAGTAAAAGGGAAAGAGGTGATGATGCATGAGTCACTAGCTTCTATTTTCAAATTCATGGTGGATTGTCTGGGATGTTCATTTTTAGACAAATTTCATTTGTAGGTGGTGGGAAAAATCATTACAAGTTCAGATGCTGGCTTAAATATCAAACAGTATCTATTTATACACACCATGGTAAGCACTTCACATTAACTATTGCTACTATTTATAATGATGTGATTGAAATGTAATTATTTATTTTATAATTCTGAAAAAACCGTGAAATGGTTACAGACTGTTGAGGTCAGTCGTCTCACTATAGTGCCTTTGTACCTTCCTTCCCTTCCACTGTTGCTCATGATAATGGCAAACCCAGCTGACTAAAGTCACAGATGAAAAAAGGCACTGACAATTAATAATAGTAAGAACTCTGAAAATATTACATTTTATGAAAATTCTAAATTGAACAGTCAAACCTTTATGGTTGAGTACAATAGACAGGATACTCTCACCACCTAATGTAGTCTCTAATCTAGTAAAAAACAAAAATTTCAGCTATTTATAAAAATTACTTACAGCACTTTAATTTTAAAGCTTTCAAAATGCAGAGACCCACTAACAAGAATCATTTTTACTTTAGAGTGTTCAATGTTATATCATTTAATGCGACTCCTGGGTTTTTATATTTCCTTTTCGAGTTCCTAACATGTGAGAATCTTATGACAAAAATATCATTCTCACACTTCTAGTCAGCATGTTTTTTATATGAGTTTACAGTAACACAACAGCAAAGGTTAAATTTCACATTAAACTTTCTTTGCTAGTAGTTTTTTTAAGAACTTAATCTTATGTCTACTTAGAGCATTACATTTCCTTATAGAGAAAGATACAGAAGACACAAAGTTTTAAGTGAATATTTAGAAAGTTTTAGATTAGGAAACTCTTTTTCCAGAGATACTCCTAATGTTCTTTGAGGATCCTCAGTAACCTAACACATTCAAGATTTTGATTCTCATAATGTTGTCTTAATTCCACAGACAAATGAGCCAGGCCTCTGCTTATTCTTCAACACGCATATCACATCACCCTAGCAAGAAATGGATTTCCTCTGCATTATTGTTTATCTGGAGAGAATAACAGTTCACAAAGTCCAATCAGATCAAAGCAACTTCATGATCGAATTAAGCCTCACATGGATTCAAAAACACTTCTATTGAGTACCTGTGACATTGCATAAAATGACTACAGCTTCAAGCACAATGTCAATGAAATAAAAGTTATACCTTGTGAAATAGATTGTAATCTAGGTACAGATATTCATCTTTCTTTTATGTTCAATGGCCTTTGTGCATCTGTGTGTGTGTTCAGTTAATACATATTTATAAATGATGAAAAGGGAAACAAGTCATCATTATTTTTATCAACTTTTGTTAAAAATACATATCGGTTAACGTTGCCAGGTAACATACAAGATGCTCTGCTGAATTTGAATTTCCAATAAAAAAATAAGTAAATTTTTTAGCACAAGTGTGTGCCAAATATGGCATAGAGCATATTTATACTAAATAGTGATTATTTGTCTAAAAATCTAATTTAACTGAGTGTCATATTTCCTTTATCTTTTTCTAGCTTTATTGAGATATAATTATCAGAAATTATATATACAGCCGTGTGTTCTTTAACAAAAGAGATGCCTTCTGAGAAACACATCATTAGGTGATGTCATTGTGGGAACACTATAGATTATAAACCTAGATAATATAGCCAACTACACACCTAAGTTATATGGTATAGCCTATTGCTCCTAGGCTAAAACCTGCACAGCATATTACTGTACTAAATACTATAGGCCATTGTAACACAAAGATAAGTATTTGTATATCTAAATATATCTAAACATAGAAAAGGTATAGTAAAAAATACTGTATGATAATATTATGGGACCACTATTGTATATGTGGTCCACTGTCAACCAAAATATGTTAATGTGGCACATGACCGTATTTAGGAGTACAATGTGACATTTCGATGTATGTACACATTGTGAAATGATTGCCAGCCCCAAGCTATTATAACTGGCATACCTGTCACCTTATATCATTATCATTTTTTCTCTTTGTGATGAGAATACTTAAGATCTGCTCTCCTCACAAATTTCAAGTATACACTATTATTAAGTATAGTCACAATGCTATACATTAGGTCTCCAAAACTTATGAATCTTGTATCTGAATGTTCATACCCTTTGACCAACATCTGCCTATTTTCCTCAGTCTCTGACCTCTGATAACCAGTCTTCTATTCTCTGTTTCTCTGAGTTTTACTTTTTTAGATTCCACATATAAGTGAGATGATGCAGTGTGTTAGTCTGTTTTCACACTGCTATAAAGATACTACCTGAGACTGGGTAATTTATAAAGGAAAGAGCTTTACTTGACTCAGAGTTCCACATGGCTGGGGAGGCCTCAGGGAACTTACAATCATGGTAGAAGGTGAAGGGAAGATAGGCATTGTCTTCACAAGGCAGCAGGAGAGACAAGGAGTGAAGAGGGAATTGTCAAACACTTTTAAAACCATCAGTTCTTGTGAGAACTTCCTCACTATCATGAGAACAACACGGGGGAAACCACCCCTATGATCCAATCGCCTCTCGTCACATCCCTCCCTGGACACATGGGGATTATAATTTGAGATGAGATTTGAGTGGGGACACAGAGAAAAAGCATATCATGCAGCATTTGTCTTTCTGTGCCTGGCTTATTCACTTAGCATAATGTACAGCAGCAGCATCCTGTTGTTGCAAATGATAAAACTTCCTTCTTTATAAAAGTTGTATAAGCCACTTCTCAAAAGAAAACACAAATAGTCAATTAGGATATGAAAAAATGTTCAATATAACTTAATCATCAGGGAAACGCAAATCAAAACTACAATGAGATATCACCCCGCATTTGTTAGGATGTCTATTATCAAATAGGCTGGAGAGAAGTTTTGGCAAGAATGTGGAGAAAAGAGAACGCTTGTACACTCTGGGTGGGAATGAAAATTGGTAAAGCCATTAGGATAAACTTCATGAAAGCTCTTCAAAAATGAGAATTACAACCACCATGATCCAGCAATCCAACTTCTGGGTATATCCAAAAGAAACAAAATTAGTATCTTGAAAAGATTTCTTGAAAAGAAAATGTCTTATATTTCTTATTTGTCAAATCTGGACACCCTAATATAGGTACAAGCTTTCTAGAAAACAAATGGCTTAGGACTCAATTATTTTATTTATAGAGATCTAAGAAATACCAAAAATGCATGCAAAGGTGTACAAAATGCACTTATGCACTGAATATCTATTTCACACATTTTCTAGGCACTGGAGATAAATCAGAGAAGAATACAGTAAGGCATTTGCTTCATGGGGCTGACATTTTAAGAGAAGACAAAAAATTAAAAGCATAATAAATAAATGAATAAATAATAAAGTTTCAGTTCCAGGATGAAAATAAAACCAGATAAGGTGATGAAGAGACTGAGGAACTACTTTTTATTGGAGGCTAAGAGAAAGCTTTATTAGAAAAGTGATATTTAATCTTAGAAATTAATAAAAAAAATAGTGGCCAGCCACTGAAAAGGGAAAGACATATCAAATTTTAAAAAACAGACATAGAGGTTATACAACTTGGCATATTAGGGCAACAGCAAGATAATGAAAAGTGACAATGAGACTTGTGTCAGCAAGTGCAACAATTGTCGTATGAGATGAAGTCACAGAGATATGCAGGGTCTAATTCAGGATCCAAAGGCTAGGGTAATGAATATAGATTTTGTAGTAAAAACAACAGGAAGCAAACAAAGTGGGTTAGTTAAATGAACAAGTGAAAAAATAATAATTTCTGTTTAAAAATAGTTCTACCAAGTGATTTGTAAGCAGTCAAGCATGCAAACTAGGCAATGAGTGAGAGTAGGAGAGATGAAGAGGATTACAGGGATTGGGAACATGATGAGTTTGAACTGATAGGATTTGGGGTACATTGGCTGCCTAGCTTAAGATAAGAGAGGAATCAATGCCACCTCCTTTGTTTTTGGCTTAAGGAACTGGGAGATGGTGGTAACATTACTGCAGTTGCATCATCAAAAGAGTATGTGGACCAAGAGTTTATTTAGTTTAGTTAGCTTTGAGATATTTATTAGAGACTTAAGTGGAGATTTAAAGTAACAGCTGGTTGTGAGTCAGGAGTTCAGGGACAAGATCAGGACTAGGGATATTATTATTATTTAGATATGTAAAGCCATGGCAATGGATAAGATTTTCTAGAAAAGGGAATAAATCCTGAAAGAAACGGAAACTAATTTAAGTCCTGAAATATCCAGAGATCTAGAGAAACAGCTCAGCAAAGAAAACTGAGGAGGAGCAGCTACGGAGTCAGAAGGAAATACAATACTGTACAATATACAAGAAGCTTAGAATAATATTAGTTTTCAGAAAATGCAATTGTCAATCTGCATAGAATAGGCCTAGAGATGAGGTCATTTGAGAGTTGAGAAGGGTTCACTGTATTTGAAAATATGAAGCTCATTGATGATTGGGTAAAAGCAGATTCAGTGGAGTGGTCAGGAGCAGAAGTCTGGCTGAACTTGACAAATGAAAGTTGAGAAGTGGATATGAAGTTACTGACAGCTTTTATAAGAAACTATGCTGTAAAACAAATAGGAAAATGTGGCTATATTTTTTAAAGCAGAATTTTTTAATAGATGGAAGAACCCAAAGAATGTTTTATGTTGATGTAGATAATACAAGAGAGAGGGAGAAATTGTTGGTGCCAAAGACAGAGAAATTTCAGAAACAATTACCTTGAAAGATGAGACAGAACAGGATCTGGAGCACAAGTGGAAGACTGGCCTTTCATAAGGGTAGTAGGCACTTCCTTAATTGTAGCAGTGTTGAGATAAAAGTAAGCAAAGAAGGAAATAGATAGAAAGCTTGAAATCACAAAAGGAAATACTTAATACTTTGAAATATGAATTCAACTTTAAAAATCCAAGAACTGAGAAATAAATTCATATCATATAATATAATGCAGCTGTTAAATTTGAATATTTTCATGAGATAGAGAAAAGTTTATTAAGGTAATTAAAAAGGAAGATGAAAGCTATGTATATATAGTATGATATTAAGTGTGTAAGAAATATATAAGAATAGAAAGACCTATGCCAAAATTTTATATTTCATCCCTAATGATGAAATATAAATACGAGTTTTATTATTATGAGTAAGGATTATTTCATACTTTATATGTTTACATAGTCAGGGAAATAATTTTAAAAGATATTTCACAATAACCAATTAATAAAATATGAAAATGGGTTTTCTATCCCACTTCACAAATCTTGCATTAGCAGACTAATTTTAACACTAATTAATACTCTTTTTAGAAATTTCAGATGGAAGGCCAAGTATTAAATGATTTGTGCATAATCAAAGACTGCTTCTATTTCTGAGTTTTCTAAAGAAAAACCCCATAGAAGAAAAATAACTGGTATCTAGCATTTTAAAATGATACATTCATCTTGATGCTTTTTTTTCACTTAAGAAGAAGAAGTGTAAGAGTTGATAATGCACAAACAAGGACCAGAAAAATATGATGTAGAACTAAATATATAACCAAAAGCCACTTTAATCCCCACAAGGGGAACTATAGAAGGGATACTGTGGAGAAAATTTGATTTGCTTAAGAATCAGCATTCTGCTGTTGTATTTAAATTATTTTTATATTCTGCTACATGGTCTCATTCTTATAGCTTTTAATTCAGCGAATACAGATCTTCAGGTTGAGGATTTTTTTTTAATTATAGGTCTCTTCACTGAACATGTCATTAATTATATATTAGTAAAATATATAGTTTTCAATTATAGTTAGAAGTTTGCTTGTTTCTGTATTAAATGGTGAAAGTGACCACTTTCTTTTCAGTACATTAATCTAGTAGAAGCTTCCACAAAATTGAATATATGGTACAATTTTGGTAAAAACTTTCAAGTAAGTGTTTTGTTAAATTTTTTAAATAATAAGTAAAGATCTGTCATAGGGCATGTGATACTCTCTGGTGCTTTTCTTCTTAGTTGTTCATTTCATTTAATAGATTATGAGACCCTGGCAGATAAGAAACAACATCTCATTCATGCTTGTATTCTCAGAATGCAGCATGGTACCTGGAATATGTGACCAATATAAGTGCCCAATATGTTTGCTGAAAAAGAAAATAAAAAGAAGAAGGGAAGGAGAGAGGGGGGAAAGTGTATTCTCCAGAGATCTTATAGTCCCAAAGGGTGCTAAGTATTAAAAGAAAATAAAATACTGTTTTTTCTTTTCCATGCTTTTGAAGAAATCATTCTTCAAAACAGAGTTGGAATTTCATGGAGTGATAACACTCCTTGGCCAGTTTTAGGGATTTGAGAGGCCATCAATCTTTAAGGCTGTTTGTTGATCTGCAACATTTAATCAAATACAAGTTGTTTTGAATATTAGAAATGAAAAAATAATCCTCTGTGCTACCCTTAGGGGACTTATTTCTAATTGATTGAACATGCCTGAATGCATTCTTAAGTCTTTGTAGAAGTATTAAAATAATATCTCATCTTGTAGTGTATAATAGAGAGCATGAGTTGTAAATATAGAACAGACTGCCACTTGTAACCATTATGAATATATCTAAAGCAGCAACTGGGCCATATTTTAAAGTGACTTATAGTAACAACCCAAAACAGGGGAAAATGGTTTCTTCAGAATTTAAGCACTTATCTAATATTTTTTTCTACCTCTCACACATGATGTTGTGATAGGTAGCAGCACAGAATGAAAAAATAGGTGAATTAGACAATGCAAATTGAGAGAGGACTGCAATTATCTGACCATTAAGATAAATTTATCTTTTACATGGGGAATCAATAAATTGCCTGAATATTTTAACAAAGCCGCTATTTTTAAAACCACAATTTTAGTATATTACCTTATTTAAGAAACCTGGGCAGCATTCTGAATCATTATTTTTGCCTTTGCTGTCTAAGATATTGAAAATATATAGTTATCTTTATCCTATTTCCATCTAGATAGAGATCCTTTAGTAAAGCTTGTTGTAAATAAGATAAAGCCTTAGTAAATGATGTATTGACCATGTGCAGCATGATGTTTTAAAGTATGTCTACATTGTGGAATAGTTTAATTAACAAATGCATTACCTCACATTATTTTTGCGGTGAGAACACTTAATATTCACTATCTTGGCACTTGATATTCACTGTTTTTTCAAGAATATAATATATTGTCATTAGCTATAGTCACCATGCTATACAATAAATCTCTTAAATGTATTCCTCCTGTCTAACTAAATGCACATCATTTAGTCAACATCTCCCCATTTTCCTCTCCCACCTAACCACCTCAGCCTCTGGTAACTACCATTCTACTCTCTACTTCTGTGAGATCAACTGTTTTTTAGATTTTACATATGAGAGATATCCTGCAGTATTTGTCTTTCTATGCCTGGCTTATTTCTCTTAACATAAGTTTCTCCAGGTTCATCACAAATGACAAGATTTTATTCTTTTTATGGCTGAATAGTATTCCATTGTGTATATATACCACATTTTCTTTATCTTTTCATCCATGGATAGACACTTAGGTTGATTCTGTATCTTGGCTACTGTGAAGAGTGCTACAATAAACATGGAAGTACAAATATATTTTTAACATGCTGATTTTATTTCCTTGGGATAAATACCCATTAGTAGGATTGCTGGATAATATGGTAATATGATGGTTCTATTTTTAATATTTTTAGAAACTTGCATGGTGTTTTCCATAATGGCTATACCAGTTTATATTTCCCCTAACAGTGTACAAGGGCTCCCTTTATTCTACATCCTCACTGTACTTGTTATCTTTTGTCTTTTCGTAATAGTCATTCTAACAGAAGTGAGGTGATATCTCATTGTGGTTTTGATTTGCATTGCCCTGATGATTAGTGATGCTGAACATATTTTCACATACCTTTGGCCTATTTGTATATCTTCTTTTGAAAAATGTCTATTCAGATCTTTTGCCCATTGTTTAATTGGGTTATTTGCTATTGAGTTGTTTGAGTTTTTATATATTTTTGGATATCAACCCCTCATCAGATGTATACTTTGCAAATATTTCCTCCCATTCTGTAGGTTGTTTCTACACTCGGTGAGGAATCTTTTTAGTTTGATGTAATTCCATTTGTGTATCTTTTGCTTTTGTTACCTATGCATCTGAGGTCATATTCAAAAATTATTGCCCAAACCAACATCATGGAGCTTTTCTCCTATGTATTCTTCTATGTTTCATAGTTTCAGATCTTATATTTGGGTCCTCAATCCATTCGAGTTGATTTTTGTATATAGTGAGAGAGAAAGGCCCAATTTCATTTTTTTTGCATGTGGATATTCAGTTTTTCTCACACCAGTTTTTGACTAGACTGTCCTTTTCCCAAATGCAGATCAAAACCACAATGAACACCATCTCACACCAGTTATAATGGCTACTATTAAAAAGTCAAAAAAATAACAGATGCTGATGAGATTGTGGAGATAAGAGAATGCTTATATACTATAGATGGGAGTAGAAATTAGTTCAACTATTTTGGAAAGCAGTGTGGTGATTCCTCAAGGAGCGAAAAACAGAACATCTATTCAACCCAGCAATCGCATTACTGGGTATATATCCAAAGCATTATAAATTGTTCTATCATAAAAACACATATACACATAGGTTCCTTGCAGCACTACTGACAATAGCAAAGACATAGAATCAACCTCAATGACCATCAGTGGAAGACTGGATAAAGAAAATGTAGTACATATGCAGCTGTAAAAAAAGAATGAGATAAAGTTTATAGCAAAAATGTCAATGAAGCTAGACACCATTATCCTTAGCAAATTAATGCAGGAACAGAAAACCAAATACATATTCTTACAAATAAGAAAGAGCTAAGTCATGAGAACACACAGACACAAAGAGGGGAACAAGAGAAACAGGGGCCTACAAGAGGGTGGAGGGTGGGAGGAGGAAAAAGAGCAGAAAAAATAACTGTTGGTACTAGGCTTAATAATCAGGTGATAATCTGTACATCAGACTCCCATGACATGAGTTTACCTATGTAACAAGACTGGACATGAACCTCTGAACCTAGAATAAAAGTTAAAAAAAAGAAAAAAAATTTTAAGGTATATTATTTACTTTTTTTAAAATATCAAATATTTTTAAAAGCAAAAGATTAGACTTTACCATTTTATCATTTGAGTAATCAAATAATTCAGAATGTACTCTTCTTGTAGATTCTGCATGTACTCTTCTTACAGACTCTGCAATCATAAAAACATGCTTCAAAAAGAAACAATAGCAGGAACTAAAAAACTGAACTGAAAAAAAAACCCAGTGATAAAATGTACTGGTTTTTTATGTAATTGTATAATATATATCCTATATAGGAAAATGTGAAAGTAATGATTACGTATTTTGCTTTTCAAGATAAGTATTACGTTGGTACTCAGTATTCAATGAAGCTCTTTTCATATTTGTTCATTTTCCCTCAACAAATTATGGCTTCCTTCACACCTTCAGTCTTTTATTTGTGAAGAGTAAGTTTTTTGGTTGTCATTGCAACAATGGATTAGTTAGTTACACTTAATGTGTACCAGTTTTGCACTGACTTTTGTGTTTATTTCTTTAGAAATGGCATTATACAGTCTTCAGAGAAGCAAAATTATTTAGGTGAAGTATATTGAGATTTAGCATCCCCATTTTGGAGAGAATAAAACAAAAAAGAGAACTCATTTGTTACCATCACTCAGAAAACTTGCGACTGACAGACGAGAGAATCAATATGGTTCATTCCTATACTGAGTCTCGGAAAACTCATCTCCAAAATTCATCAGCAAAAATGGTAAAATAAATAATTACCTAAAATTAAAATTACTTTGCAAGTTCATAGTCTTAAAAATTATTTTACATCCCCTCAGTCATTATGATCCAACGACCCTTGGAGGAATCACACTTTGCTGTTAGAACAAACCCGTGAATCCTTAATAACTTCTAAGATTTCCTCATCTTAATACCAGGTATGGAGGAAATAACTGAAATAAAGAAGATGAAGGAGGGAAAGAAGACAATGATGGTAATGAAGAAGAAATATTTTTTCCTGTGTCCAAAATGGAGTAATAATGGTGTTAAATAAAACACTGTGCAACTGAAATAATTAGTGAGTTTATAAAGTTAAAAATTTGGAAATACAAGTAGTGGTGTTTGGTACAGATGAAGCTTCACAGCTCAGGACACATAGCGAGGGTCGTATGGTATAAAACATTTTTGTAATAAGTACTTTTGCAAAATTATATAAGAGTGAAGTGTAAAAAAGAAAAGAGGATTAAAAGGATCAACTTTGGGGGTGTTATGCCCTGACAGTTGAAAATATGTAAGATTTTCCCACTCTTGCCATTTCTAGGAATAAATCACTTTCTTTTACCCATACTCAAATCACCATCCTGCATTTCCTTTGAATAACTATTTATTCAACAAATATTTACTGAAAACTGAATGCCTGTAGAGTATAGTTCTATGCTCTGGAAGGAAAGTGATAAATAAAAAAGACGGAAGTATTTGTCCTCATGGAATTTGTATGCTACATTCAGCAAGTTGCCTACATGTTGCAGTGGTACTTACAGCTTATTATTTGTATTCTTCATATTTAAAATATGCATTAAGTATTTTCATATTCACAAACTGAATCAAGTACTCATCACCACACCAATTCTTAAAAGCAGAGACTTGATTTGGAAAGTTTAGTGGATCAACATATTTAGGCTCAAAATAGTGAAGCTGTTAGGAGCACGGGGCTTAGATTACCAACTTCCAGATTTAAAAAGTGTCTCTGGGAATTTCTGGTTTCAGCTTTGGTATATAGTGACCTTAGAAGTCATCACTACCATCCTCACATGAAAGCACTGAATAGACTAAAAATCAGTGATGAGGAAAACCACCACCCTGAACACTGAAGAGACAGGTGAGACATGAGAACCACAATAAGTCCTGCCTGTCTGGAACAGAATCCATGGGAGCCACTAACTAGTAGGAACACTTCCTGGTGATGTTGACGAACGGCTGGAGGCTGAGTATGTAAAGCATGAAAGTGAGAAACTCCTGGGAGCAGCAGTATTAAGGAAGCCCCTGCACTTTCCTGGGTTTTACCTCTAAGAATCCCACCAAGTTCACACTAAGATGGACCCTTTGATCCTCTGATAGAGGAAGGAGAATATTAACCATTGTGAAATATGACCAAAGCATTCTTGATAAAAAAAATCCTGCTCCTCAGGGTAAAACACTTTACCAGGGCCATATCTCACTTGGAGAAATGCTTTTAAGTCACTCAATCTTTATTTACCCTCCATTTTCACCTAAAAAGTTAAAAAAAAAAAAAAAGCTAAAAGCATTTGTGAAGATTACAGTCCATAGATACAGACGAACTAAAAGATGAGAATTTAATTGTAAGTTATTTGGTTGCTTCCCTTCTTCCACACTTACTATATTAGTTGCCAATGCTGCCATAACAGAATACCACAGACTGGATGGATGAAACAACAGAAATCTACTTTTTCACATTCCTGGAAACTGGAAATCCAAGATGAAGGTATTTGCAAGTTTTGTTTCACTGGAGGCCTTTCTCCTTGGCTAACAGATGGCCACCTTCTCGCTGGGTTCTCACATGTGGCCTTTGCTCTATGCATGGGTGTCCCTGGCATCTCTCCTTCTTCTAATAAGGATAGCAGTCATATCGAATTAGGACTTACTCATATAATCTCATTTTGCCCTACTTACCTCTTTAAAGGTTGTATTTCTAAATGAGTACCCATTCTGGGATACATAGAGAGTTAAGACTTCAATATATAAATTTTGGGAGACATTTTAATTGATATTGAAGGTATACAGAAATGAAAGATAGTTAAAAGGTGCTGTTTTATATAGTGACAATGTTCAAATATATGATGAATTGTAACCATTTTTTTGTAAATTATTTTCCATTTTCTGTAGAGTATCATTTTCTGTTAATATCAAAGGTTTCATGTACTTTCTAATTCTTATAACTCTATGTAAGCTATAATTTCTAATGTAAGCATTAAGTTTGATCTTTCTCTTCACTTTAAATAAAATGTTTCCAATATTTTATTATGATATCAGATGCTTTCTTGTACATATTTGGTTATTTTTATCAGACTGAGGATGTTCCCTTTAATCTTGCCTTGCTGGATTTTTTTTTTTTCACGGATATGTGCTAAACTTTGAAAAAATATACTTCTGTGTCTAATGAGATAGGCATATGACTTTTTCCTTTAATACGTTCACATATTCACTTATACAGATACACTTTCTATGTTGATTTTTAATGCTTAGGATGACCGCTAATCATGCAATAGTACTTCTATTGTTGTTACAATTTTAATTTGCGATAAGTTTGAGGTATTACTATCTTTATGTGTTACAATGGTTGGTAGTTTTTGTTTTTCCTGTATTGCCCTTACCATATTTGGATGAAATATTCTAACAGTCTCATTAAACAAGTTCTGTAGTTTCCCTTCTTTTATTCTACTGTTTAAAATATTTGGTATAAGATAGAAATAGTCTGTTTTATGAAGTTAAAAAACTTGCCTACAAATCATATTAGGCATGGCAAGTTTTTGTTTTTGAGTTTTTAGTATTCATTCAATACATAGTGTGATTGTAAAACTATGAGCCTTTTTGAAGATTTCTGGCTTTAAAAAACACTTCAACGTCCTTGTTCTGGTGCCAAATATAAGGGATAAGATATAAACTATAAACAAAAAATTAGAAAGCCAAATCTGTGCTCAAATCATTAATTTTCTTCGGATATTATAAATGGAACAGAAATACATTGATCAGGTTCTAAACTAAAGACCATTGAACTGTATTCACAAGCGGGCCCTGGTAACTATCTGTTCAATTCTTACGTTTAATTTAATAATGAGGATATTAACTCAATTTTATTGACTTTTATCTGAGCCTTCAACCAACCATGAAAGATTGGGCTTTAATCATGTTTAATTCCACGTTAAACTTGATGGTAGGTGGACATTTTACTTGTTTTTTTGTGAGCAAAAACTGCGGATAAATAAGTTTACAAGGTGAATTAATATTAGTGGTTACAGAGATAATATATATTGCTAATGTTTTTTAGACAAAATAGCTAAATATTGGGAATGGGCAAAAGGTTTTTCTATAGTTCTGCTTGGAAATAAGATTTTCACATGGCATTTGAGATTGGGACATCATGCATGCATGATGATCAAAAGGACACTAGCCATGACTTGGGAAGAGTCTACTGCTGCCGTTGCTTGATTAAAGACATGGTTCAATGCCCAAATGCTGCTCCATCATTTTCTCAGTGTTTCTTCCTGATGAAAGTTGCTCTCCGTGGATAAATTGTTAGTCAGATCTGGGAATAGTTGCAGCTGTTGTGCATATTTAAATATTGCCAAGGAATGAGATTATCATATTGGACAGAAATCTGGGTTTTGTACATCTCTGTGTACAGACAATATGCCATTTTTCAAGTTATTCTGTGTCTCAAATTGTCTACTTAACACCTGTGAAAAACAAAAAGAAAATAAATAGAAAACACTGGTATGTTTACTGTCATAGTCGTAGGCAGAATTTTGTGGTCTAATCACACTTTGGATAGCCTCTTTGGACTCCAGAAAACTATTTTTTTTGGTTATTAAACATGAAGATTATACATAATAGAGTCATTTTAGAGAAGAAACAAATGATTAAACATTTAAACTTTCATTGCCTCTCACTTCACCTTCTTATTATCATTGTTTTGTAATTTTTCTTTTTTATCAAATTATACAGCTATTTACGTGGTGGACATTTCCTGTACTTGCATTATTTAGTTTTAGCTTTCAACAGGTTTTGGAATCATAATTTTTACTGAAATAAAATCAATGTTTTTGGCAGTGATCGGAATAAAATTATTCCTGTAAACATAACTTTTAACACTGTTATTTAAAACTCTGAAAAGTAGAAGTGCGTGCTCCAAGATGGCCAACTAGATGCAGCCAGGAGGAACATCACCCATTGAAGGACCAGGACTTTAGGAAAACTGGTGCACTCCTAGCAGATCTTCAGACGGAAGGAATTGAGAGCAGACGAAGGAAGACGCAGAAGCTGGGCTGAAGCGGGAGGAACCCAGTAATCCTGCAAGGGACTACTGCTCCGTGGGACTTGTTTCTGGCCCCCAACAACTCCTGTGGAGAGAATGAGTTGAACAGAGAGGAACCCACTCCACCACAAGCCTCTGGAATCCCAGCAGGAGAAGACCTCAACCATGATGGACACTTGAGTTGGTAAGGAAGACTGCTTAAAGAAGTGGTGGGGCAGCTTGGTAGCTGTTTTGGTTACTATCACTTTATAGCATTTTTGTACAAGCTCACAACTAACATCATACATAGCATATTTTGAAATTGGGTAGAGTTATGACTCTAGCTTTGTTCTTTTTGCTCAAGACTGCTTTGGCAGTTCAGTGTCTTTTGTAGTTCCACATACATTTTAGGATTGTTTTTTCTATTTCTGTGAAGAATGTCCTTGGTATTTTGACAGGGATTGCATTGAATCTGTACATCACTTTTAAAGTGAAGTCATTAAAAAAAATGTCCAGCAATCACATATACTAAATAAATTATAATTTTCAATTAGTTGTAATAAAAATTCAAAATAATTATACTTCTATATAACTTTCCTAGAATACCAAATGTTTTTTCATAAGACCCAATTGCCAAACTAAAAAGAATAGATAATTATTTGACAATGTATATTTGATTAATTTATTTTACATACATTTATTGAGAGCTTAGGCTATAACAAAATCTATGCGAGGCACCAGGGATGCACAGTCCTTTGCTCACAGACATTCTAGTTTAGTGTGTTAGGAAGGATAGCTGCTGATCATATTATTGGCCATAAATGTCAAGTAGCAGCTATGTCAATTACAAACATAGATAAATGGTAGGGCTCAGTGCACCAGCATTAAGGAGTTTAATCTCTACAGGTCTTTTTTAAAAATGCGTAAACAAAATCCAAAAAGGTTAACATTTTTGCATGAAAACTTATCCAACTGAAATCTACCTTCTCAAAATAGAATGTTGCAACATTTTTTTTCATTATTCTGAAATAAAACTGAAAGCAGTTACTTCCAGTCTTAAAATTTTTGGCCAGTTGAAAATAATAAATGTGTATGTATATGTTTAATGTATGATTGATATAATAAGGAAAACAATAATTGTTGTATATTGGGGGCTTCACTTCAGTTGGGACAAATTTACATTTAAAGAAGAAAAGGACATATGACGGTATTGGTTTGACTACTTTTCCCAAGGTCCTATCAATCATATGAATCCCAAAATATGATTGGGTTTTTATTTCCCTTAACATTAGCCTAAAAAAGGAAACATGTGCCTGTCCTCACTTAATCAGATATTTGCATAGCAAAATACCTATGTTATTGACTTAGAGCAGTCCTAAAGAAGTACAGTAAAAGAGAAGATAAGCAACAGAGCTGGTAAACATTGGTAGTTCTGAGCCTGCCTAGCTGCCTACAAATATAGAAAGAATGAGGGCTCTGGAATCAGATTGTTTGGGTTCAAATTCCAGTTTTCCCAGTAACTGACAACTCCGTGAATTTGAGCAAGTCACTTTGCTATGACCCTCTTTTTGTTTCCTCATCCACAAAGCAAAATTTGTTCTGATAAGACATGCATGTAACAGTTTCA
The DNA here is from genome assembly GCF_000001405.40 of Homo sapiens. Classification (NCBI taxonomy): domain Eukaryota; kingdom Metazoa; phylum Chordata; class Mammalia; order Primates; family Hominidae; genus Homo; species Homo sapiens. The sequence continues at coordinate 102,885,304 of NC_000003.12, read as the reverse complement.
CATGGTAGTTGACACATAGTGAACACTCCGTATATGTTATGTGTATGTTATGTATTTTATTACAGGAGGTACATCTACAGGAACAGTCATAAGGCAATGAGTTAAATCTTTGTTGTGGCCTCTTTTTAAACTACATTCACTTATTATTGAGCCAATAAAATACAGATTTCTGTCATCTTTAGTTTTACAATGACAAAATATCTTTACCCCACATAAATATGACAAGTATTTGAGGACGATAAAATCTAACTTTTCTGTTGTAGGTGACCAATAAAAATATAGAACAAATCACAGCTTCCAAAAATGTGTCCATTCTGTGTCATCTGCATGAATTCCTCAAAATTATATGCGTTGCACAGTCTTTTATTTAATGCCATTATTACTCCATTTTGGACACAGGAAAAAATATTTCTTCTTCATTACCATCATCTCCTTCTTTCTCTCCTTCATCTTCTTCAGTTATTTCCTCCATACTTGGTATAAAGATGAGGAAATCTTAGAAGTTATTAAGGATTCTTAGATGTGTTCTAACAGCAAAGTATGATTCCTCCCAAAGGCCATTGGATCATAATGACTTTATGACAAAGACATAAAATGATTTTTAAGACTATGGACTTGCAAAGTAATTTTAACTTTAGGTATTTATTTTACCATTTTTTGCTGATGAACTTTGGAAATGAGTTCTCTAAGACACAGTATAGGAATGAACCATATTGATTCTCTCTTTTGTCAGTCACAAGTTTTCTGAGTGATAGTAACAAATGGGTTCTCCTTTTTGTTTTATTCTCTCCAAAATGGGGATGCTAAATATCAATATACTTTACCTAAATAATTATGTTTCTCTGAAGATTGTATAATGCCATTTCTAAATCAAGTTCCAGAGAAGGGGTAAAATAATAAATTTTGAGGATTTCAGAGGATGGAGAAGTCACTAAGAGGTGAGAGAGTAATAAAAGACTTCATGCAATCTGGAACAAAAACTGAGTCCTGAAAATAGTATAGGAAACATTTAAACAGAAAGAAAAAGGAAAAGAAGAAAGGCAGAAAGAAAGAAAGTGTAGGAGGGAGGAGGGGGCAGGCAGGTATTCCAATCAAAAATAGCAGGATGAGCCAGAACACAAAGACAGAATGGTTCATGGAATGAAAGGTAAGAACAAGGAGAACAATTTGTTCAGCAAGGAGGATTTAGGGTAATGCACAACATTAAATTAGGTTGGAAAGGTAAGTAAGGGTCAAGTGATCATTTAAACCTTAGTCATAAAACTGAATGGTAACATTAAAATGTGCCTTCTGTAGAAATTCTGGACCTCTTCAGGAGCATTTTTTAAGTGACAGTAAATCACAGGGACACTAGATCTCTTAGCATGAAAGTGATCCACTAATTGTAGGCACAGTCCAACTAAATTGTAATCAGTATCAGAGGTTTTTGGTGTTTGCAGTACGCTTTTATATAAAACCATATCATTAAATTTGTATAGCAGTTGCAGTGAAAATCTCAGGTTCCCATTCCTACTGAAAAATTCTCTGGGCTGAAACACATCAATCTAAAATATAAGAAAGCCAAAAATAAATAAATAAATAAATAAATAAATAAATAAATAAATAAATAAGGAAGCACTGTAAAAACCCAGTCTGAAAAATTGATTCTTTTAAAATCTGGAGAAATAGCAACTAGAAAAATAATGAGAAGTATATCCAAGTGTCTAGAATTCCATCTTAGTCTTTAAATTCGAATAAAATTACCCTCAATGTGCATCATTAAAAAGGTATTAACTTTATAGTGGACAAAACCCACATGATTCATGACCTACACTGACTTATATAATCAAAAACATGTTTAAAGTATTAGGCAGTCGTTTCACTCAAGAAAGAGTTATTGCAACTGCAAGTTTAATTTACTATTAAGTATGTTTATGTAAGTTTCTGTGTGCCAGAGCTTGACCAAACTCTCTGGAACCTTACAACTATATGAGTTCTAAACATAAGTGAAGAAAGTTATCCTTTAAGTTGGACTATTTTATGGCCAGCTATGCATTTTATAAATACCATTTCTTCATTTCTCTTCCCAATAGGTTCTATTTTCCAGGTTAACTTTGCACATATTAACCTGGAACTATATTAACTTTTGTACTATATTAGTACAAAGTCACATCTTGTACAACAGAAATGCAGGTTCATTTATATCTGTTAAGCTTTGCTGTTATTTATGTTACAAAAAAAATACTGACAGAGCATCATGTTTCCAAAATTCTCAATCACTAATGCTTTTCTGACAGTTGCATATTATTTTCCCAATGATTTCTAATAGCAGCGAAACATAAGTGACATATAGTAAGATTTAAAAGCAAATAATGGACTATATTAGTCTGTTTTAATGCCGCTTGATAAAGATATACCTGAGACTGGGCAATTTACAAAAGAAAGAAGTTTAATGGAGAACTCATAGTTCCATGTGGCTGGGAAGCCTCACAATCATGGCTGAAGGCAAGGAGGAGCAAGTCATATCTTACGTGGATTGCAGCAGGCAAAGAGAGGGCTTGTGCAGAGAAACTCCCATTTTTTAAACCCATCAGATTTCGTGACACCCATTCACTATCATGAGAACAGCATGGGAAAGACCCTCCACCATGATTCACTCATCTCCTACCGGGTCCCTCCCACAACACATGGGAATTGTGGGAGCCACAAGATGAGGTTTGAGTGGGGACACAGAGCCAAAGCATATCATGGACTATGTCTACATACATCAAATTCATGATAGCAGAACTTTTATGCACTGCAGAAAACCTTTAGGTCTAGAAACAATTGATCCTTGAATTACACATTTCCAAACATTGGGATAAGAAAGTATTATCAAGAAAAAACTCAAACCGTCATCAAAATTGAAGTATTGATAACTTTAGTCACATTTTTAGTTTTATATAGATATAGCTCTCACATGTTTTAACATTCTAAGGGTTTCAAGTCTATAAAAATAGGTAATGCATGCAAAACTTTCAAACTTAAAACTCAGCAGACCAAGAAATCCAAACTTCGGTTACTGGAGATCTTAATACAGCTCCATAACTCACTTTCCTGTCATTCCATAAAATCTTGCCACAGATAAAGTTATAATGAGTGTCTATATGAGATGCAATATAATGTACTCACAAAAATAAGCTTAAAGAAGGAAAGATACATACAAATTGTGTCTCCTTGCAAATTTTTTCACATCAATTTCTAAGTGCAGTCGACTTAACATGCATATTATCTGCCACATTATGCAAAATTATTTCATATACTTGTGTCATCAAACAACTATTTTTACTATGAGTAAGTGTAATCAAATAACTATTTTTACTCTGAGTAACTTAGTAAAATCACTGTTCAAAGTTCTACTTATATGACTATGAAAAAAAATCCTAATATAAAATTCAAAATTCATTATTTGCCTTCTAAGAGAAAAAATAGATTAAAATAATCTGCAGAGGTTGGCTGGAAAAAAAAAAGTTGTTAAATGCTCCTAATAATAGACAAATTAGACATTTCCACATACTTTAAAATAAAAGCTTGGTTAATATTTCATCTTCTTACTGACAATTTTTTTTTTTGCCAAGGATTTTATATCACTTTACAATAATTGATCTGAATAAGTTCCTTGCTGTTTTTTTCTTTTTATTTCCTGGAATATTAAGTTCAATTTCCAATAGAACTATAAATAATCTAGAATGCCTTCTCAGAAGGATTCATAATACTGTTTATATCATTTAATATATATCATTTAGTTTAATTATATTTAAATATCACATTAATCTTATCACTTTCGAATCCTGAATATCTTTCATCCTTTAGTTCTTAATATAATCCAACATTCTTTACTTTATGATTTCTTATATTACTACATTTTTATTTGATCTATATCCTCTGGTTTTTATATTATCTGCTGTTTGGTACATTTTATAAATTATTTTAGAATATTGAACAAACTAGTCAATAATCTGTATAATATTTGAATGGCCACTAATTTAAATCAGCTCTTAAGAGTCCCAGTGCCATGACCTAAAATCTAGATTTGTATTGTTATATATGTGTGCATCTCTGTCCAAAACTAGGCTATAACTATGTTCATGCTTCTGTGACACCCACAACCAGGCTGCAGCACCTTCTAATTAATCACTACTGCACTTCACCATGTTATTAACGTTTGTGGATGATCTCCTTATGATCGCTACACCAGCAAGGTACTTCGGACAGCTATTCTCTTTCCACTGCTGTCCTATGCAGTGTATTGGGTGTTGAGGTAGTTTGGTTGATAGCTCAGGCTCCTATTTTAATATCATGGAAGAATTGAAAGAAAAGCTCTTAATTATATGTTTTATTAAATCATTGGTTTGTAATCCTTGCTGCACATTAAAATTTCCTGGTAACTTACAGGTAATTTCTGATGTCCAGTTACCAACTCATCCCAGCACTACTTCATGGTCTGGGGTTGGTCCTGGGCACCACACTGAAAAACACTGGTCTAAATACATGGATAATATTTTTTCTGTTAGATGACTAAGAAAGTCTTCACTACATTCTGAATTTTCAGAAAATGGTGAGAAACAAGTAGGCTTACCATTCACTCTCTGAGATAATTATGTTGAAAAAAAATAAATAAGGATATACTAAACCTCATAAATACCTCATAAAGACTCATTAGATTTGTTAATTAAATGACCTGAAAATACTTCTATTGAACTGACCATGGTAGACCACTCTTTGATTTATTACTAGAAATGGAAACAGTGGGAAAACCTTACATATTGTTAACTGTCAGAGAGGGCATAATCCCCACAAAGTTGATCCTTTTAAACCTCTTTTCTTTTCTACACTTCACTATTATACAATTTGGAAAAAGTAATTATAATAATCTTTTATGTTATACAACCCTTGCTATGCGTCATGAGCTGTGAAACATTATCTGTACAACAAACAACTTCTTGCATTTCCAAATTTTTAGGTTTACAAATACACTAATTCAAGAAGCAGGAGCCAAAGTTCTACTAATGGTCACGAATTTGCAAACTTCTGAGACTGCTACAGCCAACATTAGACATGGTTTTTAATCTAAAGGAACACTAATTGGCAAAAGAAATCTTCAGAAAATTTACTTCCTTTTAATAATTAACATAAAACTGAAATATTCAAAGGATATAAAAGTATGGGAAAGTGAGTCTTAGAGGTAATTCTTATTAATGTTTCATAATCAGACAGATAATAATTTTGTTGAAATTTGTGGATAACGTATGATTATAGCATTTTGGAATTAAGATGTTAGGGAATTTCTGGACCAGGAATCAGAAAACTTCAGCCCACTGCCTGTTATTTTCTGATCTCAGAGTTAAGAATGGTTTTTATACTTCTAATGGTTGAGGAAAAGGTAACATCTCATAACATATAAAAATTATATAAAATTCAAATTTCGTTGTCTATAAATAAAATGTCATTAGAACACAGTCATGCTCGTTTTTTTAAATGTATTGTCTATTGCTGCTTTCATGTTGCAATGGCAATGTTGAGTAGTTGCAAGAAACCAGTGTGGCCTCCAAAGACTAAAGATTCTCTGGCCTTTTACAGAAAAAGGTTGCCAATGTCTGCTCTAGATTAACACTGTTAAATAGAACTTTCTGTGATGACAGAAATGTTCCATATCTGCACTATGAAATACAATACCCACTAGCTACATGTGGCCATTAAGAGCTTGAAATATAACTAATAGGACAGGTAAACTGATTTTCTGCATTTAATTTTAATTAATTTAGATTTAACTTATTATTTCAAAATACAACTTACCTTTAATTATTGCAGGTTTAGTTTATTTTGAGAAACTTACTCTAGTATTACTAGTTGAGAATATTTTCTCATAAGTCAGCCTGCATGGATTTTAATTTCAGCTCTGGTAAAAACTAATTCTGAAATCTTGGAATTTACCTAATCTCTTAATAGTAATACCTTATCTTAAGTTATTATAAGTACTAAGTTAGGGGATATCTGTAAAGCAAATACAATTTTACGTAGCAAAGAGATGCTCAAAAATAGTAGTGATTATTAATACCATTATTATTAGCATTTTGTTTTGACATTGAAATATATTCAACAAGCTAATGCATCAAATATTTGTATTCCCAGCCTCTATAGTAAAGTGCCAAGATATGTAATTAATGCAACAGAGAAGATATCTGTTCTCATGCAGCTTGCATATTGCAAGCCAAGATGCAAAATAAAACATGACAAAAGTGAAAATTTTTTGTAAGCTATAAGGAATTATCTATATGAATGAAGATCATGTTGATAACTTGAAAGGGAATAAAACAGAAATTATCTGACTGCAAAATATGCCATAAGCCTTATTGTCATCTATAGCTTCTAATTTCAAATTTTTGTTTACATTAGATCCTTTCCAATGTTCTACTTGATTGATTTTGTAGTAATGAAATCTACATTAAAATAGAAATGTTTACTAATAAAAAGTCATTGGTATCTGTTTAACATATCAAAAATTTATTAAGAGGTTTTATTTTTTTAAAGTCTTCTACTGCTGACATATGTATATAATATATGCATAATATCACTGCTGAGTCTAGAGAACAGTTAGAGAACAGAGAAACCAACAGGGAGGTTATGTAATTTTCCTAAAGCAATTAATACTGTCAAAGTTTAGTTGAGAACCCAGGTGAGTAGCAGAATTTTGATATCCAATGGGCCTTTTCTGGAGAAATGACATATTTCTCCTTTTCATAGAACAGGTAGCTAAAATAACCATGTAAATTTGCAGTTGAGATTTGAAAATTTCATTCTGCCTTTCTAGAAGAACCAGCAACATATTTCTAGACATAGGTTTCATTACTGTCTATAATTTCTTTTTTGAGGTATCCATTATCCATAGAATAAATATCCATCCCATTTACTTCAATTAGTATAGCCAACATTTTCTTTTAGGACATTTTGTTATAATAAAGTATAAGTATCTGTCTTGTAAGTGGCTCTTCCTTGCTCTTTGGCCTCATAAGCAAGCTAGAATTGCTCTTATGTAGTTATCAAAGCAGAACCACGGCATGAGACACCTGGCTGCTACCTTAATTGATAGGGAACTACACTAACTAGATCACTTCCAAAAGCAAAATGGCTTATCACAACCTAACAGTCAACGAATAAAAGAACATTCCTTCCAAATGGTGTTGTCTAGTTGATGAAACCTAATGCTTTCTACAAAACTCATCCTGGGCAAGCAAAATAGGCTTCCAGAAAACTGGCGCTATTATCAATCACTGAATACCAAATTTTTTTGAAGGTTAAAATCCTGAACCATCTTAAGACCTATTCCACAGAGGTTGAGTTCCACTGGAAACCATAATCAACTCAAATCTTGCTTGAGAATACAGTAAACCAGGAGTTCTTGGTTCAAAACCAATAAAAAAATATATACATTTAAACATTAATTGAGAAAAATTAGAAATAAAAATTGAATACAGCAGATGATAACAATATCCCACAATGTTCATTTAGAAAATATGAACTCTAAAATCTCAAACGAACATTACTGATAAAGCCAGAGAATGTTTTATGATATAAAATTTGGTATTTTAAGAATAAAGTATTTTCATCTAGGTATGGTAGCACACACCTGTAGCCCCAGCTACTTGGGAAGCTGATGAGGAAGGATCATTTGAGCCCAGGAGTTAAAGACAACAGTGAGCTATGATTGTGCCACTGCACTCCAGCCTGGGCAACAAAGAGATATCTGATCTCTATAAAAGAAAATGAAATATTTTTACAGAGAAAATATTAACATCTATTATAACTATATAAATAGTTTAGATAGTACTAGACAGCCCTTTTAGGAAAAAGAGAAAGGAAATTTAATATTTGAAGTAAGGAGACCTTTGCATTTAGAATAAATTGTTTCATTAGAGAAGCTTTAAAAAAAAAAAGAAACATGAATCATTCTGTGGGAAATTGTAGATTCTAGAAGGATGGAGTTTACCTTGTCCCATTTGTGTACCCCAAAAATACTGTAGGAGCATTAATACAATTTGAATTCTTTCCTCACTCAATTTTCAAAATTCTTACATTATTAAGATGTTTTTTATTTGCATGTTTTTAAGAATGGCTATTAGAGAAGAGAGATGCTCCAGAAAGATAATGAAACTAAATAAGCTTCAGTATCCCCCACCACCTTCACAGCCTTAGGATGGGTGCTAACATTGGCTTTCCAGGGTCACATGTCTTTGTAAAATGTGAAAAGTAAGACATTTTAACTATAATCAGTTGAAATCACTGTCTTTTTCACTCTGACTTCCTCACCATCACACTTTCCTTGTTGGTGGGTATTGAGTGATTGTGAGGATGATCTAAAGAAGAAAAAACTGACAATGCATGAAACTTGGAAATAGTACCTTCGACAAAATTCAACAGCCCTTCATGCTAAAAATTCTCAGTAAACTAAGTATTGATGGGATGTATCTCAAAATAGTAAGAGCTATTTATGACAAACCCACAGCCAATATCATACTGAATGGGCAAATACTGGAGGCATTCCCTTTGAAAACTGGCACAAGACAGGGATGCCCTCTCTCACCACTCCTATTCAACATAGTGTTGGAAGTTCTGACCAGGGCAATCAGGCAGGAGAAAGAAATAAATAGTATTCAATTAGGAAAAGAGGAAGTCAAATTGCCCCTCTTTGCAGATGACATGATTGAATATTTAGAAAACCCCATTGTCTCAGCCCAAAATCTCCTTAAGCTGATAAGCAACTTCAGCAAAGTCTCAGGATACACAATCAATGTGCAAAAATCACAAACATTCCTATACACAAATAACAGACAAATAGGCAAATCATGAGTGAACTCCCGTTCACAATTGCTTCAAAGAGAATAAAATACCTAGGAATCCAACTTACAAGGGATGTGAAGGACCTCTTCAAGGAGAACTACAAATCACTGCTCAACTAAATAAAAGAGGACACAAACAAATGGAAGAACATACCTTGCTCATGGATAGGAAGAATCAATATCGTGAAAATGGCTATACTGCCCAAGGTAATTTATAGATTCAATGTCATCCCCATCAAGCTACCAATGACTTTCTTAACAGAATTGGAAAAAACTACTTTAAAGTTCATGTGGAACCAGAAAAGAGCCCACATTGCCAAGACAATCCTAAGCCAAAAGAACAAAGCTAGAAGCATTATGCTACCTGACTTCAAACTATACTACAAGGCTACAGTAACTAAAACAGCATGGTACTGGTACCAAAACAGATATATAGACCAATGGAACAGAACAGAGCCCTCAGAAATAATACCACACATCTACAACCACACGATCTTTGACCAACCTGACAAAAACAAGAAATAGGAAAGGAATTCCCTATTTAATAAATGGTGCTGGGAAAACTGGCCAGCCATATGTAGAAAGCTAAAACTGAATCCCTTCCTTACACCTTGTACAAAAATTAACTCAAGATGGATTAAAGACTTAAATGTAAGACCTAAAACCATAAAAACCCTAGAAGAAAACCTAGGCAATACCATTCAGGACACAGGCATGGGCAAGGACTTCATGACTAAAACACCAAAAGCAATGGCAACAAAAGCCAAAATAGACAAATGGGATCTAATTAAACTAAAGAGCCTCTGCACAGCAAAAGAAACTATCATCAGAGTGAACAGGCAACCTACAGAATGGGAGGAAAAAAATTTTTTGCTATTTATATTTTATTAAAAGGTATATCAATTTTTTTATTATTATTATACTTTAAGTTCTAGGGTACATGTGCACAACGTGTAGGTTTGTTATATATGTATACATGTGCCATGTTGGTGTGCTGCACCCATTAACTCGTCATTTACATTAGGTATTTCTCCTAATGCTATCCCTCCCCCAGCCCCCAACCCCATGACAGGCCCCAGTGTGTAATGTTCCCCACCCTGGGTCCAAGTGTTCTCATTGTGTCTTTCTTTGGTTATCAAATTTCAAAATGGAACCAGTGAAAAAGTATCATGACGGAGACACTTTCTGGACTGTATATATTCCAAAGAATAAAGCAAACTAGGGCAAGTATTAAAAAGGTGTGATTCTAGACATGTTACACATAAATATTATGCCTTCTTTTAGGTTATGTGAAAACAGAAATTCCTTTGACTTAATAAAAGTTCAACATTTAGGTCAGATCCAAGAAATACGAGAAATGTGGGAAGATAAAAACTTTAAATTAAAAAATCTTAAATTGGAGTTTTTGTGTTTTTGCTAAATATTAATTTGGCCTATTAAAAATTGACAAATTTTATATGATACATGATTATTGAGCTCATAACTCCATATTTTAAAACTGCTGTTTTCTCCAGAAACTTTGAGACAATTCAGTAAGTGGAATGAATTAATTTTCTATATTTTAATGGTTTCTTTGCCCATTTTTTGTTGTAATATATACTGAATATTATTCAATTCCTACTCTAATTTGCAGAATATATCTTTTTCATTTAGTCTTTCTCACATTCCTACCACATCATCAAAATTAAGCAACTTGATTTTTTCCAATAAAAAAGTATTTATAGCATATCTGTATGCAACTTGTCTTTTCTATGTCATTCCATAGTCATCTTATTCAACTCATTTCTATATAAGAAGTCTTCTATTGCACAGAACCTAGATTGCTTGATGTTCTCACACAGGTCACTGAATTTCTATTTATTTTATTTTTCCAGTCTTTTATACTCCCTGTTGTTGGTGGATAGTTTCTATTGCTCTATCTTCAGGTTCATTGATCTTTTTTTCCTAAGGGTCTAATCTCATAACTATCTCATCTAGTAAATTTTTTTTCAGTTACTGTATTTCTCATCTCTAGTAATTCCTTTGTGATTCTTTTATTTTCCATTTCTCCCTAGCAGAAAGCAGGAGCTGTTATTGCATGCACTTCATTTGATTACCCCTTTTTTGACAGACCATAGTCCTGTCCTGCTTATTATCCAATATATGAAGAGAGCTGCTTTATATATTCTAATAGTTTACCACTCCAAGGGAAGTCCAGTACTCCATCAAGGCTGGAAGCACAGTCTTGAGATTTTATTTTGTACTAGTGTTCATATGACCTGGGCAGACATTACTAGTTATTAGTTCAAAACATGAAGGCACAGCAACACAACAAATGACATCTGTATTTAGTTATCTTAATATGAGATGAGGCTAACTTCATCATAGCCTGCAATTGTGCAAATACGTGATTTCAAACTGTATTTTAGCATCATGTATGTTCTTGTGTATGTGTATATATGTGTGGCTATCTATGTAATTAATTTGGTAGTCATATCTGAATAGAAGAAATGGCTCAGCATTTCATTACAGATACTTTAGGAAAAAAGCATAATCTAAATTACAATATGAGAAATTAATGTGGATATAAGGAGAAAAAATACAAATAAATAAAAATGAAACACGATGAATCTGAGATTGGAAAATATGATTTTTTAAAGCTTGTATAATGTTTGAACTGGAATGTGATAGAAAGGGAGAAATATAGATCAATATAAGTTTGGAACTATACTTATAAAATTTCTAAATTAAATATGGGTAGAGTTGGCAGTTTACTATGAGAATAATATGCCATGTCTAAATAGAGTTCATTTCAGAATATGAAAATCTTTTCATGTTAGCTCTCTGTTCAAACAGCAGTGGCAATTTTAGTTTTGAATTAACAGGCAAATTCATAAGACACAGCACTCTTCACATAACATTAAATTTATTTAATTTTAAGAAAGAATGCAAGACAGGTTGCTAATGTAGCATGTGCAGCAACAGCAAAGTGGAGGTCCTATGAATCTCTAGTGCACCTTCCTATGTCCTAAAATTATTTCACACTTGAGACACACATATTTGCCTAAGTCTAGAGAATCTATAACTACTATGGTCACATTTCACAATGCTAGTAACATAGCCCCTCAAAAGCAATGACTAGCTCACATCTCGTCAATACTGGCAACTAGTTATTCAATAAACATTATTGGTGATGAAGTACAGTTCTTAGTCTGGCATATAGTTCTTGATCAGATTCTCATCTATATTGGATCTAGTCTCTGTTATAAATTCTTGAGTTAACATTGCAAAAATAATTTGAACTCTAGCTGAAGCATTAGGCATATGTGAGAAACAGGATAGGACAAAGAACTCATTGTTAACCCCTTTCTTACAGTAAGTATGGGTTTTTTTTTCTTTCTATAAGGATTACCCTGAAAATAGATGAAACTGCAAAAGAATTTATCCATGTACATACATTTACATCTATGAAAATTTACAAGAGGCACTTGGTAAAATGCAACGTCCAGTCTTGATTAAAAAAAAAAAATATCTTTAGTGAAATAAGATGGGAAGTTTCATAACTAAATAGCTAAATATAAATCTCCAAATAATTGTCAATATGATATAATACTTAATGGTAAAACACTAAATACATTCCAAATAAAGTAAGAAACAGGACAGAAAAATGTATCTTTATATTGACACAATTTAACTTTGTTCTGGAATTCTTAGTAAATATAATTGTATGATAAAACGAATTAGGCAAAATAATTTAAAACAAGGAAAAATAATTAAAACTTACACCATGCCTGCCTCTGAAAGGAACACTAAGGTGGCCGATTACAAAATATATGTAAAAAATCAATATTTAGCTTAATCTTTTGTAATTAAATAATTATCACGTGCTTTTGTGCCAAATATTTTGCTGCTTAAGAATGAAACAGTGAAATTATCAGAGTCCGTTTGTTCACACAGCTTAGCCTACAGCAGTGTTCCTCGGCCCCAGCTGTGCATCCGAATTAAACTGAGGACCATTTTGCTAAATGTGCATGCTTGAGCCACATTCCAGACTTATTGAGTCCTAATCGCCAAGGGTACGGCACAGACCCCTTTATTATTTTTTAATTGATATATAAAACTCATAGATATTTATGGTGTACAGCATGTTTTGTTGTTGTTGTTTTGAGACAAGGTCTTGCTCTGTCACCCAGGCTAGAGTGCAGTGGTAGGACCATGGCTCACTGCATCCTCTACTTCCTAGGCCCAAGCAATTCTCCCACCTCAGCCACTCAAGTAGCTGGGACTACAGGTGTGGGCCACCATGTCTGGCTAATTTTTCTGGATTTTAGTAGAGATGAGGTCTCACTATATTGCCAAGGCTGTTCTCCAATTCCTGAGCACAAGTGATCCTCCCATCTAGGTATCCCAAAGTACTGGAATTACAGGCATGAACCACCACACCTGGCCCAACATTGTTGGTTTGATATAGGTATACATTGTTGAATGGCTAAGCACAGCTAATTAATATATGTATAACCTTACATAATTGTAATTTTTATGGTGAAAACACTTAAAATCTCTCAGCAAATTTTAAGTATACAGTACACTATTATTTACTATACTTACCATGTTATACAATAAATATTTTAAACTAATTCCTCCTATCTAACTGAAATGTTATGTTCTTTGACCAACATCTCCCCAATCCCTCCACCCCACAGCCTCTAATGTTGTGTTCTTTGACAACAGCCTCCCCAGTCCCTCCACACCATTTTATTCTGTTTCTATGAGCTTACCTTTTTTTAGATTCCACATATAAGTGAGATCATGCAGTATTTGCCTTTTTTTTTTTCCTTTGCTTTAGGCCCCTTTATTTTGGAAGCAAATAAAACCTTTACAAATAATTACTTTACGTATAACTAATCAATCATTAACCACTGCTCCTGGGGAATACAGAGAATTACAATTAAGTGAGTTGCATATTATGAGAAATGAAATAAAGTAGAAGAGATAGGCCTTGCCCAAACTTTACGAGTCAAGAAAGAATTATTGGTGAAAAGGTTTAGTAAGCCAAAAACTCAGTGGTCATAATCTGTCAGACAAATAAGTAGATATGAGAAGTTTGTTTTATGCAAGAAAAAGAAAAAAAATTCTTGTACAAAAACCCTGATGCAACAGAATACCTAAAAATAATTTATATATGTGTATACATATAAGATTTATTATACATAAATATCTAAAACTATATATAAGATTTATTATACATAAATCTCTCTCTCTCTCTCTCTCTCTATATATATATATATATATACTTATCTTAAACCTTTGGAACATATAATAATGTATGGGAGAATAATAATGGGGGAAAATAATATTAGCAATATATATTAAATTTGAAGAAAAACTTACCAAGAAATTTACAGAATTTGCGTTTTAAAAACCAACAAGAAATCCCAGAAAAATCTATTCTGAGATATGCAAAAGAAATCTTAAAAATGTGTAAGTAGTCCGGAATGAGAAAACTCACTCATATGATTCAAATCTTCTCAAAGTGTGCAGAGGGAAAAATAATGTATTACACGGTTTGTATTTATTCTATAGTTTTTCACTAGAGTACACTCAAAATATCTTAAGGTCCTTTAATTTGTATTCAGTTTCCAACTCATTGGGATACACTCTAAGTTTGTATTTGATATTTTTTAATCTTACTTTATTTATTTTTATTTTATTTTATTTTATTTCATTTTCGAGAGGGTATGTTTTAGTTCATAAGAAGCAGACACTTTATAAGCAATCTTCATATATGAAAAAAATATATAAGAGAACAACTTTAAGGGAAAAATATGAAAATGTAGAAAATAGGTTTTCATCCAGAATATGAAATACCAAATTTGAGTCAAGATAAAGAATAAATGTAAATTGACCCTTTGCCATTTTAGAAATAACTTATATATGATATACCTTTAAAGAGCTATCCAGGGACTTTAACAATGGCTGAGTAGATTGTAGATACAAATTTCTAGGCATGATAAATTTTAAAATGCAGAAAATGTTTACTTTGTTAAAAAGATTTCATTGGAGATCTACCAGTGCAAGGAATTTGTGGGTTAAACATTCAGAAGAAGAGAAAAAAAGAGAAGTAAGCTAGACATTTGGAGCCAATGTTCCCTTGATAATAAATAGACACAGCTCAATGTAGTAGGACATTTTAACAATATTTTTTTCATTGATAGGACACAAAAGAAAAGAACATGCACAGAGAAATGGCACAATACACATTATTTTCAAACTCACATTAAACATTCATCAAAGCTGGTCTTTTGTTGTGCCATAACATAAATCTCAATTCAAAAGGATTAAAATTATACAAAGTATGGGCCAGGCGCGGTGGCTCACGCCTGTAATCCCAGCACTTTGGGAGGCTGAGGCAGGTGGATGACAAGGTCAGGAGATCGAGACCATCCTGGCTAACACGGTGAAACCCCGTCTCTACTAAAAATAGAAAAAATTAGCTGGGTGCAGTGGCGGGCACCTGTAGTCCCAGCTACTCAGGAGGCTGAGGCAGGAGAATGGCGTGAACCTGGGAGGCAGAGCTTGCAGTGAGCCGAGATCGCACCACTGCACTCCAGCCTGGGTGAAAGAGTGAGACTCCATCTCAAAAATAAATTAATTAATTAATTAATAAATAATAAAAAAATAAAATTATACAAAGTACGCTCTTTGTTCATGTTAATGAGAAAATAATCTCATACTTTGAAAAAAGCAATACAATTCTAAATAACTCAAAATCAAGAAGTCACAATGGAAGTTACAAAATATTTTGAACTTAATAGTAATAAAATAATACAAATCATACTTTACAAGATCTAGCTATTGCTCTGAGGAAAATTTGTAGACTTAAACACATATATTAAAAAATAATAAAGCTGAAAATTAATGATCTTAAGCATAATTCTTAAGAAGACAGAAAAATGTTAATAAAAGAATAAAGAAAACCAAAACTGAAGAGGAAAATAAATAATAAAGATAAGAGAAGAAATGAAGGATATAGAAAACAAACAAAAAACGTGATCTACACAGCCAGAAGATAAACTAATAAAATTGATGCTTCTGGCAAAAAAAAGGTCAGAGAACAAAAGAGAGCAGTCACAAGTAGACAGCACCAGGAATCAGTAAAGGGACATCACTAAATACCATAAAAACAGAATATGGAAATCAGTAAATATTGTGAAAAACTTTATATTTAATATCTCACTTGTTCCAGCAATACTTCAGCCACATATATAATTTGGACAAATTCGAGAAGTGAACTCACATATCATCAATTGAGTTAGGCAAATATTTATTATCTTTTATTATATATCAGTACCGTGGGTAGGCCTATGGGATACAAAGGTGAAAATCCCAATGCCTTGAACTTACAAACCAGTGAGGGAAATACCTCTGAATAGTTTCAGAACAGTTGTAAGTGGCATCATAACATCAAACCCAGAGTGATAAGGGAGCATGTATAAAAGTAGTAAACCCAAGCCTGAAGCTGCCAGTGAACGTTTCCTTCAAGAAGTAAAAGTGAGTCTTGAAAACAGCAAAACGGCAATGAAAATGTCCTAGACAGGGCCAAGAGTGTGTCAAGAGGTGTGATGGAGTATTTAGGTATCAACTTGACTGGATTAAGGATTATCTAGAGAACTGGTAAAGCATCAGTTCTGGGTGTTTGTGTGAGGGTATTCCCAGAGGAAATTGGCATGTGAATTGGTAGACTGAGTGGGAAAGATCCATACTCAATATGGCAGGAACTATCAAATTGATTGGGGGCTGGATAGAAAAAAAGGCAAAGAAAAAGTAATTTTGTCGCTCTCTTCCTAATAAGTCCTCTCTTTCTTTCTCTCTCTCTCCTATTGGGTCTGTCCCTCTTACTCTGATGAATAAACATGCATGTAGGCATGACACAACATTTTGGGGAGAAATACTCCCAAGTGTGGTATTGGTAGATTACACACCAAGGCCTGCCACTGAGAAAGAGAAGCGCTTAAAGAAGTGCTCCGCTTCATATTCCACTCTAAGGTATGTTGACTATATTTCAACAGCAATGGGCTGCTGTGATAAATTTCATGAAAGAGAGTAACATGAACATTTAAGGTTTTGCTAACAGTCTTGCTTCTCAGAGTGTGATCTGCAGAACAACATCATTAGCATCATGTGTGAGCCTGTAAAGGAACTCAGACTCTATTCCAGATCTACTGAATCAGAATCTGTCATTTCACAAAGTTCCCGGGTGATTTCTAGGTAAATATCGTTTTGAGAAATGCTGAATCAGACCATTAAAATGGGCATATTTTCTTCCTTGGTGAAGGCAATATTCAAGTGAGGAGACCAATCAGAAAGGAAATCAAAGTATGCTAGATACAAGTTGAAGGGAATTTAATAAGTCATGGAAAATAAAGAGGAGAAGAAAATTGAAAACAAAAGAATAACTTAAAGGTAAAATTAGATGTATAGGTATCAGGTTAAACTTGGAGATTAAGGGAGGAGAAGAAGTCTTGTTGACCAGGTTAATAGCTTGGGCGAAAAGATAGATAATGAATATACCAAAATAAGTAGGTGTAGAAAATACCCCATCATTCAGAGAATAAAGCTGAGTAGTAGTAGGTTAAAATAAAATAATTAATAATAATTTGTAAAGACTTTGAAAGCAGTAAATCTCTGATTTTATTGTGTTTTGCAGTTTACAAAACTGTTATTCATTTGTGAAATTGTAATCTACTGATTCATAGCATTAACTTGAATTTACCTTTCAAGGGAGGGTTAAATTATATAAAATCATAGCTATTTCCTTTGAAATTTAAGACTAGATTACTGCCAAATCATGAGTTTAGAGTTAGAATAACAAAATTTGTATTCACAGTTTCTTGAATTATGTTCCCTTATGCTCTCTGTACTTACGGCTACTGCCTGAGAAATATGGGACAAATTTCAAGATTTTTTTCATTAGTATTAAAATATTTATAGAAGAATTTACCTGAGTTTCTATCTTCTATGATACTACTCTTGGGAACTATTCTGCAAGCTCTGCTCATATAAGCTATCCTTCAGCAAGTTTCCATTTCAGCATTGCCTAATGCACCCACATTGTTCCTGCTGATAATGCCTTTTTTGTTTGTTTTTTAACTGAGGCAATATGAAAGATCCAAAAGAAAATGTACAAATATTATTGCTATTATTTGGGGATAGAAAGTACAAGATAGCCACATGTTATAGGTTTACCCAGCATGTCTGAATTATCAATCTTGTTGTGAAAATGGAAAATGATAGTAAGATAGAGAGCTAAACAACTTCTGTTTGTCTCCACAAGGCAAATTATTAAATAGATTGTCTTTACTCTGGATACATTGAATGTTTCATACACAAAGTAAAAGGAAGGACCATATGACTACTGAGACCAAAATAGGCAAGTTACTCTCTGTAAGTATCAACTCTTAATTAATCATTCACCAATGGTGAATCACAGAATAGGGATGCCTCGCTAAATCTAGGAGGATGTATACACAATGTTTCTGTATTCGAGAAACTTCACCCTTCTCAATTTCTCTTCTTACTCTAATGAATTTCTGTTGTTGTTTTGATCTGACATTAAATTGTGTTGATATTGTTTTATATATAATATTAAATATTGTATTATTATCATCACATATTTTATGTAACTTCATTTTCACTGGTCCATGTTACAAAGAACAGCTTTTTCAATTTAGAGACTAAAATAAAATAGTTGATGGGTTTATTCATATTGAAATTCACCTTTATATAATATACACTGATTAGACACTTAAGCTATACAAGGCATTTTTCTAGGTATGTTCTTATTGATGTATAAAAACAAAATATAAAGATGAACATGATACACATTTCACTTTAAATAATATAAAATCTAATATGGTGAAATGAGTAATAATAACATGAAACCAATAATATAATGAAGGAGAATAATCTGAAAACCAAAGACAGCTTGAATTCCATAGTGGAATGCATTTGGAAGCATTCTTACTAATAATTTGATAATTATACTCAATAGTGTTTCGGTTCTTATTGGCTTCTATGTTTCTTCTGTAATAATATGTTTATAAGTCTCTACCAGTGAGTTAAGTAAAGCAATAGATTTGAGATAGTTTATATAGGTAATCCAAAACCTAAATCCATTCATAAGGAATGTAAAAGGAAAAAATTTATGTAACTTCTGTTTTAGTAATGGGAAGTTATATGCTATTTTCACAAATGTAGTAGTAAGTATTGCATTTTTACATAGTTAACTATTCCTGTATCACCCCATTTCTGTAGCAGCCGATGCCACTGCAAATTTCTAGCACAGTTTAAGTTAGGCCAGTGAAGTATAAATTTTTTTATTTTGTTTTCTTTCAGTTGGCTTTAACATGCTCGTGTAATAATCAAGTAAATGCAATAAATTTCCAAAAGCCTATGGGATCTGACGCACGTTACCAATGATAGAATGCCATTTACTGGAACATTTTTTTTCTCTTTTTTGTTATTCTTTCGAAAGGAATTTTAATGCTGAGATTCCATTTAAATTATATTTATTAAAACAGAAATTATACTCTATCCAATTACTCAAGTATTCATCTAGCCTGCACAGACACAAATATAGCTTAAACTTTAGAGTAAATGTAAGTATATTTTATATTATCTCAGTTCATTTGAAATCATATATTTTAATCATCTGGTTTATTTTTGTTGTTAGCCTTTTACAACTTTTTTTTTCTTTTTTTTTTTCTTTTTTTTTTTTTTTTTTTGGAGAGAGAATCTTGCCCTGTTGCCCAGGCTGGAGTGCAATGGCACAATCTCTGCTCACTGCAACCTCCACCTCCTGGGTTCAAGCGATTCTCCTGCCTTAGCCTCCTGAGTAGCTGGGATTACAGGCAGGCACCACCACGCCCCGCTAATTTTTCTATTTTTAGTAGAGATGGGGTTTCACCATGTTGGCCAGGGTGGTCTCGATCTCTTGACCTCATGATCCGCCCACCTTGGCCTCCCAAAGTGCTGGGATTACAGGCGTGAGCCACCGTGCCTGGCCTACAACTTTAAAACAAGCAAACAAAGGAAACCAAAGACAGAAAGCAAATTTGCAAATCAAGAATTCAGAAGGTTAAATACATAAAAAAGTTACTTTTCCGGGTTTTTTACTACTTGGAATCAGCTTTGCTCATGACTTGTTTCTGCTTTAAAATAAAGGTCAGTAGCTTATGTAGATAAACCAAATCGGAGGTGATTTTTCTCTGTGATGCTTTGTATTATTTATTTACTTCTTAATTTTTTTCTCTACTCAAAAGCAACAAACTTCAATCTAAAATCCTTGCAGATTCCAATAAATGTTTGTCCACCTAAAATTGCAAGGCCCATTAATGTTACCTTTAGATTTTCTTTACTAATTTTTTTAGGGCACCTAGCAGGAATAAATAAGCTAAATATACTTTTCAATATTAATCTCATCTCAAAATCATATTTGTATACAGGTTAGCCATTTGGATTTTGCATTGGCTTAAGTTGCTTATATTTTTGTCTTCAGGAGGATGTTTTCCAAGTTACCTTCAAATTTTTGCTAAAGAATAAAAAATAATCTGTATTGTATAAAAACAAGAAGATTTCAATGCTCCTTTCATTGCAGACAGTACCTGCTTGGGCAGGATTTTTGAAGTGAATTATCTCAAAGGCTATTATATAAAGATTTCAATCTCCATAAGAACCATTAAAATTGACTTTTGAAAATGTAGACCCATCAAAGTAGTCAACCAGGTGCCTACGTAATAAAAGGCTCATAATTACATAAATCAAGTTAAATTACAAAGTCAGTCCTTCATTAAGAGAAAAAAAACAAAGAATATGAACTATGCTATTGAAAAGAAAAGAAAATTTATGTAGTTTAATTCTTCTCATCATGGATTTTACATTATAGTAAGATAGTTTTATTTAGTTAAAGTCTTTGATATAGTTTTGAATTGATAAAATGTTATATTTTTGCAATTCTTGCAATTTGTCTCAGAAGGGTAGTAAATCCTGACCTGACCATTTAATTATTATATTCTATCAAATGTATGTCTCAAAGTTATTGCAGATTATTTTTAATGAGTATGTATTTGGTTCTTCCTAATTTGTGTGATAAACTAATTGTTTAGTAATAAGACACTGTTATATTAATATTATCTGTAGCTGATGTTAATTGAGTAACCTTGTAAGTTGTTAAAACGTGATTTTTTTTAAATGACGTGGCATATTTTTGGCTTTAGTATTTGAAAAATAAGAATTTGTGTCTAAGTCTATTGTACTTGTTTGAATGTAACCTTGGTGATTTGGCCATGATTTGAAATAATATCATTATATGTACACTGAGCAGACATTTTAATTTGCAATAAATCTCCCCAGCTCATATTGCCATCAGTAAATAACTGAATGGTATATTTTTGTTTTAGAATAAATATAGATAAAATAATACTTTTGTTTTCTACAATGTGATTGAAAAACTTCAGAATAACTTTTGGCATTTTCTTGTATTAGAGGAAATAATAAAAATAGCATACGCTTTGAGAAAGTTAGATCTTAGAGACAGTAAAAAACACAAATTTTGCGATGAATTACCTCTAAGATCAAATGACACCCTTTCTGGCCCTGTCACTTTGAGCTTAAGTTCTTAAATTATATTTTGATTAATCAATAACATTAGACCTATAAAGATTATTATAAGACATAAATATTAAACTGTCTAAAATTTTGACATGATGTCTAACCAGGTGAAGGTATAAAATGTATGATTTTTTTCCACATACTCTTTTACCAAGAAAAATATTAGAATTTTAATGAACTAAAACTGTCTATAGGGCAGATGTGTTTTGACATATATATATATATATATATATATATATATATATATATATATATATATATCCATTCTTCCTCTATATTTCCATATTCCTCTCTCAGTCACAATGATGGAGCTTAGGACAGTATCTACTGGGTGAATCAATAACTATTAACAAGTGAGTGAATGACTAGCGAACAAGTGAAACATTGATAACAACTTGCATCTCCACTAGCACACTGTTTATTCACATGCACATTGGTTTGTGATGGAGGCAAAAACACTTCTTTTAACCCATTAACCTGAATATTTGAAAGTGGTAACTTTCAAAATAAATATTTACTAGCTCATATACTTGTTATGTTGTACAAAGTTTGGGTTTGAAATTTTATAAGTAGCTTCATTCCTACTTGAAGATCCTAGAGAAGTTACTTTACAGAATATTAATCTAGAAAGTGAAGAAAATGTCTATTTTAATATTTATTAAAAATATGTAGTTGAGATAAGACACTTGCAAAACTTTAAATCTCTTGAATCAAGTACAAGTAATATTAGCATTACTCTTGTTTAAAGATTCAAGGAATAAAATATTCCATGAGTTACTCAGAGAGTGGGTCAAAACAGGGTCTGAACTTGTACCACTCCAGATGTGTGGGAATATGACCATGAATTTACTTTTTTACAACTCTGTATTGTGGTTTGTTTATTTATTAAGGTAAATATGGAATGTTATCTTTATTCCATGTTATACTAATTATCCTAATTGTTTATTGTGGAGTCCCTAATGTATGAGTTACAAATTCAGCGGCTGGGAGAAGATTTGGCTACATGTGGCAAGGTTTAAAATAATTAAGAAATGGAGGCAGTAGCTTTCTTGGTTTGATATGGTACCCATCTGCTTAAATCTCATATCTCAGAACCCAGCAAATTAAATGCAAAAAAAAAAAAAAAACAAATGAAATAAAAATTAACTTAAAATGGATTACAGACCTAAATGTAAAATGCAAAACTACAAAACTCCTAGAAGAAAACATAGAAGAAAATCTAATGACCTTGGGCATGGTGATAACTTTTTAGATACAACACTAAAGGTATGATTTATGAAAGAAAGAAATAATTGATAAGATAGCCTCCAGTACAATTTATAATGTCTGCTCTGTTAAAGACACTGTCAATCAAATGCAAAAGCTTTATACCCTCCCACCCATGTAGCCCCTGAAAATCACTATCCTACTCCCTGCTTCAATGAGTTCAACCGTTTTTAGATTACACACATCAGTGATATCATGTGATATTTCTCTTTCTGTGCCTGGCTTATTTTAGCCAGCACAGTATCCTCTAGTTTCATTTATATTATGACAGAATATCTTTCATTTTTAAGGCTGAATTACATTCTGTCCTGTGTGCATGTGTTTGTAGGTGTGTACATACCACATTTGTTAATCCATTTATCCATTGATGGACACAATGTGCTTCTATAGCTTGACTATTATGATTAATGTTGCAATAATCATGAGAGTGCAGATATATCCTTGAGATACTGATTTCATTTTCTTAAGATATATACCCAGAAGTGAAATTGCTGGATCACACATTAGTTATATTTTTTAATTTTTGAGGAACCTCTCTACTGTTTTCCATAATGGCTGTACTAATTTACATTTCTACAAACAGTCCTACAGCAAAGTAACTATAGTTAATAATAATGTACTGTATACTTAAAAATTGCTGAGAGAGTAGATCTTAAATGTTCTCATCAAAAAAAATAAGTGTCTGAGTAGATAAGTATGTTAGTTTGATTTAATCATTTCACAGTCTATACAGATATTAAAATACCACATTATTGAACCTTATTAAAGCTGAAAAAAGAATGAGAAGACAAGTCACAGACTGAAAGAAAATACTTGAAAAAGGCATGTGATGGTTAATACTGAGTGTCAACTTGATTGGATTGAAGGATGCGAAGTACTGATCCTGGGTGTGTCTGTGAAGGTGTTGCCAAAGGAGATTAGCATTTGAATCAGTGGGCTGGGAAAGGCAGACCCAACCTTAATATGGGTGGGCACAATCTAATCAGCTGTGAGCATGGCCAGAAAAAAAGCAGACAGAAAAACAGGTAAAGACTAGACTGGCCTAGCCTCCCAGCCTACATCTTTCTCCCATGCTGGATGCTTCCTGCCCTCAAACATCAAACTCCAAATTCTTCAGCTTTGGGACTCAGAATGGCTTCCCCGATCCTCAGCTTGCAGATGGTCTATTGTGGGACCTTGTGATAGTGTGAGTTAATACTACTTAATAGGCCAAGCACGGTGGCTCACACCTGTAATCCCAGCACTTTGGGAGGCTGAGGCGGGCAGATCACGAGGTCAGGAGTTTGAGACCAGCCTTGCCAACATGGTGAAACCCTGTCTCTACTAAAAATACAAAAATTAGCCAGGCATGATGGTGCATGTCTGTAGTCCCAGCTACTCGAGAGGCTGAGGAAGAGAATTGCTTGAACCCAGGAGACAGGGGTTGCAGTGAGCTGAGACTGCACCACTGCACTCCAGCCTGGGCAACAGAGTCAGACCTCATCTCAAAAAAAAAAATTCTACTTAATAAACTCCCCTTTATATATACATCTATCTTATTAATTCTGTCCCTACAGAGAACCCTGATTAATACAGGTATTGGTACCATTAGAGTGGGGCACTACTGAAAAGTTACTTGAAAATGTGGAAGCAAATTTGGAACTGGGTAACAGGCAGAGGTTGGAACAGTTTGGAGGGCTCAGAAGACAGGAAAATGTGGGACAGTTTAGAACTCCCTAGAGTCTTGTTGAATGGTTTTGATCAAAATGCTGATAATGATATGGACAATGAAATCCAGGCTGAGGTAGTCTCAGATGGAGATAAGGAACTTCTTGGGAATTGGAGCAAAGAATTGGACTCTTGTTATGTTTCAGCAAAGAGACTGGTGGTATTTTGCCCCTCCCCTAAAGATTTGTGGAACTTTGAACTTGAGAGAGATGATTTAGGATATCTGGTGGAAGAAATTTCTAAGCAGCAAAGCATTTAAGAGGTCATTTGGATCCTGTTAAAAGCATTTAGTTTTAAAAGGGAAACAGAGCATAAAAGTTCTGAAAATTTGCAGCCTAACAATGCAATAGAAAAGAAAATCTCATTTTCTGAGGGGAAATTCAAGCCTGCTGCAGAAATTTGCATCAGTAATGAGGACTCGAATGTTAATCTCCAAGACAATGGGGAAAATGTCTCCAGGGCATATAGAGGTCTTCACTGCAGCCCCTTCCATCACAGGCACAGAGGCCTAGGAGGAAAAGATGGTTTCATGGGCCGGGCCCAGGGATCCCCTGTTCTGTGCAGCCTAGGGACTTGGTACTCTGCATTCCAGTCACTCCAGCCATGGCTAAAAGGGGCCAAGGTGTGGCTCGGGCTGTTGCTTCAGAGGGTGGAAACCCCAACCCTTGGCAGCTTCCACATGGTGCTAAGCCTGCGGGTGCACGAAAGTCAAGAGTTGAGGTTTGGGGACCTCTGCCTAGATTTCAGAGGATGTATGGAAATGCCTGGATGCCTAGGCAGAAGTTTGCTGCAGGGGTGGGGGCTCTCGTGAAGAATCTCTGCTAGGGAAGTGCAGAAGGGAAATGTAGGGCAGGAGCCCCCACACAGAGTCTCTACTGGGGCACCACCTAGTGGAGCTGTGAGAGGAGGACCACCATCTTGCAGACCCCAGAATGGTAGATCCACCAGCAGCTTGCACCATGCACCTGGAAAAGCCACAGTCACTCAACACCAGCCCATGAAAGCAGTCAGGAGGGGGGCTATACCCTGCAAAGCCACAGGGGCAGAGCTGCCCAAGACCATGGGAGCACACCTTTTGCATCAGTGTGACCTGGATGTGAGACATGGAGTCAAAAGAGATGATTTTAGAACTTTAAGATGTGACTGCCCCACGGGATTTTGGACTTCCATGGGGCCTGTAGCCCCTTTGTTTTAGCCAGTTTTTCCCATTTGGAATGGTTGTGTTTACTAAATGTCTGTACCCCCATTGTAACTAGGAAAAAACTACCTTGTTTTTGATTTTACATGCACATAGGTATAAGGGACTTGAGTTTTCTTGGATGAGGCTTTGGCCTGTGGACTTTTGAGGTAATGCTGAAATAAGTTGAGACATTGGGGGATTGTTGGTAAGGCATGATTGGTTTTGAAATGTGAGGACATGAGATTTAAGAGGGGCCAAGAGCAGAATGATATGGTTTGGCTGTGTCCACACGCAAATCTCATCTTAAATTGTAACTCTCACAATTCCCACATTCCATGGGAAGAAGCTGGTGGGAGGTAATTGAATATGAGTTCCAGTCTTTCCCATGCTGTTCTCATGATAGTGAATAAGTCTCATGAGTTCAGGTGGTTTTTAAAAAGGGAGTTTCCCCACACAAACTCTCTCTCTTTGCCTGCCGCCATCCATGTAAGATGTGACTTGCTCCTCCTTGCCTTCTGCCATGATTGTGAGGCCTCCCCAGCCATGTGGAACTGTAAGTCCATTAAACCTCTTTTTCTTCCCAGTCTCAGGTATGTCTTTATCAGCAGCATGAAAATAGACTAATACAAGGCATATCTGATATAAAAAAAATGTTATCCAAAATATACTAAAACTCAACAATAAGAAAAGGAATACACTAGATACACAAGAGACTCAGGTGAAAACAAATTGTTTTGGAGACATAGAAATAAAGGCAGCTGACTAATGAAAAAATGATAAATAGGAAAACAAGAAGATAAATATATCCTGGAATAGTATCATCTGTATCTAAATATATAATTGGATGTGTGAAAAATATATATGTCAATAATCGGCTTGGGGCAAAATACAAAAAAGTCTATCTAAGTCTATCATTAATTAAAAATATAAAATGAGAAATGTTAGAATTTTCTTAGCCACTCTTTACGGTGAATCTATTTTAAAAATATAGAATTCACAGAAAGCGGTAGAAAATTAAACTTGTCAAATAAATGAAGGAAGCAGGACTATTAATACCAACCAACTTTCTGTAATCCAGTGTGTTAATAGACTAGAACTATAATGATTAAATTTGCTGAATTCTAGGGTGAAAACGGCAATAGAATAAATCTTTGAGTAAAGAAAAATGAAATAACTGAGCCTATATTTCTATACACAGAAAAGATGTTCAAAAATAAGGGTTGAATAAAGACATATTTAGACAAAATCTGAGAGAATCAGTTGCAGGCCAGTCTGAACTACAAAGATATACTAAACATGAGTTCTTTAGGCCAAAAGAAAATTTTCTCAGATGGAAAAAAAAAAAAAAGAGAGAACTGGCCACAGTGGTTGTTCCTGCGGATCTTAACCACTCAGGAGGCTGAGGGAGGAGGACCCTATGAGCCTAGGAGTTTGAGGAAAACCTGGGGAACATATTGAGACCTGTGTCAGAAGAAGAAGGAAGAAGGAGAAGGGAAAGGAGGAGGAGGAGAGGAAGAAACAAAGAAAGAGAGAGAGAGAAAAAAAGAAAGAAAGAAAAGAAAGAAAGAAAGAGAGAGAGAGAAAAAAGAAAGAAAGAAAAGAAAGAAAGAAAGAAGGAAAGAAAGAAAATAAAAGAAAAAGGGAGGGAGGGAGGAGGACGAGGAGAAGAAGAGGAAGCAGAAGAAGAAGAGCAGGAGGAGGAGGAGGAGGAGAAGGAGGAGGAGGAAGAGGAGGAGGGATGGTGGCAAAGGAGGAGAAGGAAGAAGAGGAGGAGGAACCCCAAAAAAGGGGGCAAAATATATATGCAAATATGCATTAATGTCAAATATAGAAAATAATGTCATATATTATAGGGTTTAAATATATATAGAATTAAAAGTTATCGATCATTTATGAGAAGACCTCTTAGCAAATGAGGAGTAAAAAATAACTTCCTAATTATAACATGACACATGGCTTCAAGTATGTAAAATAAGCCAAATGTCCCCAAATTCATCTATAATAATGCAAAAAAAATTTTTGAAACATTATGTTTGTTTTCATTAAAATTGTAAAGCTAGATTTAAATCTATATGGAAATGTGATGGGTCAGGAATACATAAAACTTTGAAGAAGAATAAGCCTGAAAGACTTATACTATCAATTATTAAAACCTATTAAAAAGTGATAATAATAATAATGCAGATAGTAATGACACAAGAATAGATAACTAAGGCAATGGAATAAAAAAGAGTTTGGAATTAGAATTAACTAATTTGTGACAAAGGAGATACTATGGGCAGTGAGAATCAATGTCTTTAAATAAATAATGCTAGATTAGATTTCTATATGAAAAAAAATATCTTGACCTTTACCTCATGCCATATACAAAAATCAATTCCACATGGATTGCAATCTAAACAATAACAGTTTAGAGTAAAATACCAGAACAATACAAATTTTTAAAAAAATCTTGAAATTCATTTAAAACAGTGACATAAGAAGTAAAATTTTGAAAAGAAAACACAGAAAATTATTTTGCTGACCTTTGAGTATGCAAAGATTTCTAAAGATTCCTAATACTACAGGGAGCTAATGGTAAAGAAAAACAGTAATAACTTAGGAAATATGAAAACTAAGAGATTTTTATTCACCAAAACCACCTGAAGAGACTGAATAGGTAATTAACAGAGTGAGACAAGATATTTGCAAGACAGTTATCTGAAAATGGGCTTATGACCAGAATATGCAAAGCACTATAAATTAATAGCTACATGATGATCAAACAATAAATGGACCAAAAACTTGGTCAAGGAAAAAAAGAGTATTCAAGTGTCTAACAAACATCTGAAAATATGCTCAGCATCATTGGTCATCAGGGAGATGCAAATTAAACCACGATGTATTATTACTACTGCATTAAACACAAAAGGCAAAAAATAACAAGGGACATGGCACAGACAGAATTCTCTTATAGTAGTTATCAGAGTACAACTCTGTGCAATCACTTTAAAATGTTGGTAATGCTATCTACTGTAGCTGAACATAAACATATCCTAGAATCTAGCAATTCTACTCCTAAGCATGTAACAAATAAAAATGTATACATATATATATAAAGAAATACACTAAAATATTCATAGCAATATTATTCATAAGCAAGAACAATAGTAAGATGGTAAAGTGAAATATTTTATCACAATGGAATACTGTGCAACAATGGGAATGAATAATGCAATAATTTGTAAAAATCACAAATAATATGTTGAATGAAACAAGCTATACAGAAAATAGTTCACATTATTTGATCCCTTAAATGGTATGGCTGTGTCCCCAACCAAATCTCAACTTGAAGTGTATCTCCCAGAATTTCCACATGTTGTGGGAGGGACCCAGGGGGACGTAATTGAATCATGGGGGCTGTTCTTTCCTGTGCTATTTTTGTGATAGTGAATAAGTCTCATGAGATCTGATGGGTTTATCAAGGGTTTCTGCTTTCGCTTCTTCCTCATTTTCTCTTGTGGCTGCCATGTAAAAAGTGCCTTTTACCTCCCACCATGATTCTGAGGCCTCCCCAGCCATGTGAAACTGTAAGTCCAATTGAACTTTTTCTTCCCAGTCTTGGGTATGTCTTTATCAGCAGTGTGAAAACAGAATAATAGAATGGGGTGTTGATGAAAAGACACCCAAAAATGTGGAAGCGACTCTGGAACTAGGTAACAGGCAGACATTGGAACAGTCTGGAGGGCTCAGAAAATTAAAAAAAAAAAAAAAAAAGCAGGAAAATGTGGGAAAGTTTGGAACTTCCTAGAGCCTTGTTGAATGGGTTTGCCCAAAATGTTGATAGCGAAATGAACAATAAGGTCCAGGCTGACGTGGCCTCAGATGGAGATGAGGAATCTGTTCAGAACTGGAGCAAAGGTGACTCTTGGTATGTTTTAGCAAAGAGACTGGAGGCATTTTGCCCCTGCCCTAGAGATTTGTGGAACTTTGAATTTGAGAAAGATGATTTAGGATATCTGGCAAAAGAAATTTCTAAGCAGCATAGCATTCAAGAGGTAACTTGGGTACTGTTAAGGGCATTCAGTTTTATAAGGGAAGCATAAAAGTTTGAAAAAATTGCAGGATGACAATGCGATAGAAAAGAAAAACCCATTTTCTGGAGAGAAATTCAAGCCGGCTGCAGAAATTAGCATAAGTAGCAAGGACGCTAACATTAACCTCCAAGACCATGGGGAAAATGTTTCCAGGCCACGTCAAAGACCTTCATGGCAGCCCCTCCCATCACAGGTTCAGAGGCCCAGGAAGAAAAAGTAGTTTCGTGTGCTGGGCCCAGGGTCCCCATGCTCTGTGAAGCCTAGGGACTTGGCGCCCTGTGCCCCAGTCGCTCTACCCAAGGCTGAAAGGGGTCAATGTGCAGCTTGGGCTGTGGCTTCAGAGGGTGGAAGCCCCAAGCCTTGGTAGCTTGCACGTGTTGTTGAGCCTGCGAGTGAACAGAAGTCAATAACTGAGGTTTGGGAACCTCCGCCTAGATTTTGGAAGATTTATGGAAACAACTCAATGCCCAGGCAAATGTTTGTTGCAAGAGCAGGGCCCTCACGGAGAACCTCTGCTAGGGCAGTGCAGAAGGGAATTGTGGGGTCTGAGCCTCCACACAGATTCCCCACTGGGGCACTTCTTAGTGGGGCCGTGAGAAGAGAGACACCTTTCTCCAGATCCCAGAATGGTGGATCCACTGACAACTTGCACCTTGCACCTGGAAAAGCCACAGACACTCAATGACAGCCTGTGAAAGCAGCCAGGAGGGGGATATACCCAGCAAAGCCACAGGGATGGAGCTGCCCAAGACCATGGGAACCCACCTCTTGCATCAGTGTGACCTGGATGTAAGATCTGGAGTCAAAACAGATCATTTTGGAGCTTTAAAGTTTGACTGCCTCACTGGATTTCAGACTTGCATGGGCCCTGCAACCTCTTTGTTTTGGCCAATTTCTCCCATTTGGAATGGCTGTATTTACCCAATACCTGTACCCCCATTGTATCTAGGAAGTAACTAGCTTATTTTTGATTTTACAGGCTCATAGGCAGAAGGGACTTGCCTTATCTCAGATGAAACTTTGGACTGTGGACTTTTGAGTTAATGCTGAAATGGGTTAAAACTTTGGGGGACTGTTGGGAAGGCATGATTTGTTTTGAAATGTGAAAATATGAGATTTGGGAGGGGCCAGGGGCAGAATGATATGGTTTGGCTGTGTCCCCACCCAAATCTCAACTTGAATTGTACCTCCTAGAATTCACATATGTTGGTAGAGGTAATTGAATCATGGAGGTTGGTCTTTTCCATGCTATTCTCATGATAGTGAATAAGTCTCACGAGATCTGAAAGGTTTATCAGGGATTTCTGCTTTTGCTTCTTCCTTATTTTCTCTTGCTGCCACCATGTAAGAAGTGCCTTTTGCCTCCTGCCATGATTCTGAGCCCCCCCCGCCCCCGAGCCATGTGGAACTGTAAGTCCAATTAAACCTCTTTTCCTTCCCAGTCTCAGCTATGTCTTAATCAGCAGCATGAAAATGGACTAATACAATCCCATATATATAAACTTCTAATACAAGTATATTCCTCTATGTTGTTAGAAGACAGAAGCATTGTTTGATTTTTGCAAGTGACCAAAAGTGGATAAAGTTGGATTCTGAAATGCTGGCAGTATTCTGTTTCTTAATCTGGATTTTAGTTTTATGATTATGTTCAATTTGTGAAAATTCATCATCCTGAATGATTATAATTTGTACATATAAATAACATATTTTATACTTGAATTTTTTTTTATTGCAACCAAGAATATCCAGGTAAGTTGCTTAGGTGTCTTAGTAGTAGGCTGAACTAAGAAAGGCCTAAACTAGGAAACATCTGGATTTTCTAATTGCAGGTGGTAAGTCTGGCTTGCAAGGACTAGACACCACCCTTACATTCTTCCTAACCTTTGTTAACAATTATTCTACTCACTAACCATATGAAAATAATTTTTCTAATTTTTCACTGCCAGAAATGAGTGAGAACATGCAAAACTTTTCTTTCTGTGCCTATATTATTTTACTTGACATAATGTTCTCCAATTCCATCCATGTCATTGCAAATGTAGCTTCTGAAAAACTTAACCTAAATCAGGAGAATTACTGGAGGATTAGGGCTAGAATATAATGAATTTATGGAAGAAGGCAGGGAAGAATCTCAATCCTAGGGTAGTTAGAACTTGGACATAGAGGAAGATAGTGATAGTCAATAAACACATCAGGGATACTGTTGGAGGGGAAGGGAATTATAAACTCTATTAGATCCAAGATAAAATATCAGATACATAATTAGTGGCAATGTCCATTATGCTAAACTCATAATGTACAAATATAAGCATAGAAGTTTATAATCTTTTTGGCTGAATCAAGGTTAAGAGTTCCTCAGGCTTCAATCATACAAGGAGTATGTCCCTCCTGAAATCTTAGTAATGCTATAGTCAAGCAAAGATCAATAGGCCAAAGAAGTGCATATAAAAAGTTTTCAAACTACAGGGAAGTGGAATCAGAGTCTATCATCCAGGAAGATAAGAATGTAGGTCAGATTGAGGTAGGAGACTAGAAGACTTATCTCCTGGTCACAATGGAATGAAGTAAAGAAAACAGCAGAAACCAACAGATGACAACAAAAGCAATCCCTAGCTGCCCTCATTGTTCATTACTGTAAGACCCTTCTACCAGCACCATGACAGTTTACAAGAGCCAGGGCAATAACAAAGAAGTTATCAGCCCTTTCCTAGAAGGTTCTAAATAACCCACCCCTTAATTTGCATCAACCTGTACCTTAATTAAAAGTGGGTATAAGAGGATATAAATACAATTGCCAACAACTCATATGTTATCGACTCTGGGCACACTGCCTGTGAGTTAGCCCTGCTCCATAAGGAGCAGTACCATTCAATAAAATATTGCCATTTAACAACATCAGCTCACCATTGAATCCTCTTCTGGGTGAAGCCAATAACCCTTGCAGGCCAAACCCCAGTTTTGGATCTCACTTTTTCTCCATCAAGATGAACAAGAAATTTAGCAGGGCATAGGACCTGAATACTTAGATTTGGTACTAACTAGAGCTAGTTTTACAAGTTATTCTTTATTGGTATGTAGAAGACTGGCTATACTTCAAGATTCAAAAAGCTGGTGGCAACCTCTACAAGAGTAGTTCTCAAACTTTTGGCATCAGAACCTTTTTATTAAAAGGTATTGAGGATCTCAAGAGCTTTGATTTATGTAAGCAATCTATCTGTATTAGTCCAGCCTTGCACTGCTATAAATACCTAAGACTGGGTTATTTATAAAGAAAAGAGTTTTATTGACTCACTGTTCTGTAGGCTATACAAGAAGCATAGTGACTTTTGCTCAGCTTCTGCAGAAACTTCAGGAAATTTACAATCATGGCAGAAGGCAAGGGGGGGCCATCACTTCATGTTCGCTGGAGCAGGAGAAAGGGAATGGGGGGAAGGTACCACACACCTTTAAACAACAAGATATCATTAAAACTCTATCACAAGAACAACACCAAAGGAAAGTGCCAAACAATTCATGAAATACTCACCCCTATGATCCCATCACCTCCAACCAGATCCCCCTCCAACATTGAGGATTACAGTTCAACATAAGATTTGAGTGAGGACACAGATCCAAACTATATCACTGTCTACAATTACTGTATTAGAAATCAAAACAGAAAGTAAAAATATTTATTATTTTATTTAAAATCAACATTAAAAACCACTAAATTTTAATATATTTTATCTTTAAAAGCTATACTTTCTGAAACAACAATAAAAGAGCTAAAATTGAATGGCATTTTTTATATTTTATAGTTCTCTTTAATATCTCTCTTATTAGAAACAGCTAAATTTTCGTACCTGCTTCTTTGTTGCTACATTGTGTTGCAATATCCAATCATGTAGCCTCTGAAAAACTTTACTCTTTACTCATGAGAAAATGAGAGTTTAAAAAGGTAAAGAATATCTTAGTATTATTATGAAAATTATTTTTATGTTGCAGAACCCCTGAAAGGGCCTCTGAGAACCCCCAAGAGCCCCTAGAAAATGTTTTAAGCACCACTATTTCATTAAATGCCAGTTTTATCTCAGAACTCAGGATGTGACTAATCCTATAGAAGCAAGTTGTCTTAACCTATATTCAACTATCACAGCATGAAGCCTCATATTTTTGAAAGAATATATAAGTCCACTCTCAGGATAATATATGAGGCAAAAGTATATTCATAGCTTGGATATAAGTGACAGATAAATTTGCCATAGAAATGAGCTGAATTATTCAAAACAAGTTTTAATTGTCATCTTTATTGATGCTTCAGAAAATCCTTGGCTAAACCACAAGAGGATTTGTAGGGACACTGATGGAAATTACTTAGAAGAGAAGATTTTGAGAAATTGTGGTGAGCATTTTCAACAGGAATAATGGAAATTTAAGTAAATCCACATAACAAGTAAGGGGAATAGAGTGACGATAAGAAATTGTATTTTATTAAATATTTTCTAGGTTATACCATACACACACTCAAACATATACTTTCAGAGAGGAAGTTCACAAAATTGGTGAATTAGGGCATGTTTGATCAGTAATCAATTCTTGAGAAATGAGATAAAAAAGGAGTTTGTATGAAATTTATGACTTGTGTGATCACAAGGATGGGAGAAGTCAAAAGAAACAACAGCAACAAAATATTAGAGTTAAACAAAACTGAGCAAAGGGCTCCACTGGGATTGAGCTACACAATACTACTTTCATAAGTCTCACTATGCTCTTTTTTAAGCAGAGGAAAAAATAAGATTATAAAGATATATATATATATATATATATGGATTGCAAATCATTATCTGGACTTTCTAAAACTGGAAGAAGAGTTCCTCTTCTCTGAAATCATAAATCACCAAACCTTGCCTCAATGAGCAGAAATCTGCAAATACCAGAAAACATTAGAGGACCCTGAAAATTAAATTACCATAACATTTTAAAATTAAAATACAGATTTAAATATTATGTTGCTGAAATAGTGAGCATGACTAATGCCACATTACAAAACTAACCTCATTCATTTGGGAAAAAAATAGGAAATAATTGAACATAAATCTGACTCAAAGAGCCTTGGAAAAATCAGGAATTCCTTGGCATAAGCCAACACTTGGTTGGCAACATAAGCTATCAGAACTCTGATTTGTTGTGCTTCTATGAACCTGTGAATAAAGTTACCAAAGTTTATTTACATATAAAAAAGTTAAGCTAAATTGGATATTAAAGATCACATGAGCTTTGCCATGTCAAAATCAAATCCAAAATACTAACTTCTTATTCAAGTAAAATACCAGCAATTTATTCATTTAAATATGCTTTTAAACAGAATCAACTTTACTTTTTGGGATATACCTGCCCATTTTGCCTTTAAGTTTTGTTTTGTTTTTTTTTTTTTTCTAAAGAAAGCAACTAATTTCATTTCAAACTCCTCAGACTATGACAATAGATTTTTAATTCACTTTATATTTCATAAAAAGGAAATCTATTTCTAATACAAGCCAGAACAAATGGCATAAAAATATGTTGTGTACTTATGTACATTTTATTTGGAGAAAGGTGAAGTAGTGGGCAGGTATGGAAATTACTATCAGTTTCACAAAATTGTACATAAAACAAAAAAAATTAAGAAGCAAAATCTGTGCCAGTCATTGTGGCTCATGCCTATAATCTTAGCACTTTGGGAGGCTGAGGCAGGAGGAGCACTTGAGCCCAGGTGTTCAAGACTAGCCTGGGCAACATAGTGAGACCTTGTCTCTACACAAAATGCAAACATTTAGCCAGGCATGGTGCCATGTGCCCGCTACTCTGGAGGCTGAAGTGAAAGGCTGCCTTGAGCCAAGGAGGTAGAGGCTGCACTGAGCCAAGATCATGCCACTATACTCCAGCTTGCTGGGTGCCAGAGTGAGAACCTATCTAACAAAAAAAGAAAAAGAAAGAAAAGAAAAGTTGAGCATTAATATGATTTGGCTCTGTGTCCCCACCCAAATCTCATGTTGAATTGTAATTCCCAGTGTTGGAGTTGGGGCCTGATGGAAGGTGTTTTGATCAGGGAGGTGGTTTCTAATGGTTTAGCATTATCCCCCTAGTGCTGTCTCGTGATAGATTTCTCAAGATATCTGGTTGTGGGAAAGTGTGTAGCACCTCCTTCTTCACTCACTCTCTCTCTCTCTCTCCTGCCAGCCATGTGGAGAGATGCTTTCTTCCCCTTCACCATCTACTATGATTGTAAGTTTCCTGTTCTATAGCCATGACTTTTGTACAGCCTGTGGAACTGTGAGTCAACTAAACCTATTTTCTCATAAATTACTCAGCCTCAGGTAGTTCTTTATAGCAGCGTGAGACTAATACAAAAAATTGGTACCAGAGAAGTGGGGAATTGCTATAAAGATAACTAAAAATATGGAAGCAGCTTTGTAACTGGGTAATGGGCAGAGGTTGGAACAGTTTGGAGGACTTAGAAGAAGAGAAGCTGAGGGAAAGTTTGGAACTTCCGAGAGACTTGTTAAACTGTTGTGACCAAAATTCTGATAGTGATATGGATGATGAAGTCCAGAATGAGGTGATCTCAAATGAAGATGAGGTACTTATCAGGAACTGGAGCAAAGATCACTCTTTCTATGCTTTAGCAAAGAGCCTGGTGGCATTGTGCCCCCGCTCTAGAGATCTGTTGAACTTTGAATTTGAGAGAGATTATTTAGGGCAGGGGTATCCAATCTTTTGTCTTCCCTGGGCCACATTGGAAGAAGAAGAATTGTCTTAGGGCACACATAAAATATACTAACACTAACAATAGCTGGTGAACTAAAAAAAAAAAATCACAAAAAAACTCATAATATTTTAAGAAAGTTTATGAATTTGTGTTGGGCGACATTCAAAGTCATCTGGTGCTACATGCAGCCTACATGCCATAGGTTGGACTAGATTGATTTAGGGTAACTGGTGGAAAAAATATCTAAGCAGCAAAATGTTCAAGAAGTAACCTGGCTGCTTCTAACAGCTATACTAATATGCATTTGAAAAGAGATGGTCTGAAATTTGAAATTATATTTAAGAGGGAAGAAGAGTGTAAATGTTTGGAAAATTTGCAGCCTGACCACATGGTAGGAAAACAAAAACAAAAACAAAAACAAATAAAAAAACATTATATGGGGAGGAATTCAAATCAACTGCAGGAATTTGCATAAGTAAAGGGGAGCTAAATGTTAAAATCCAAGACAATGGGGAAAATGCCTCCAAGGCATTTCAGAGGCCTTCACGGAAGCCCCTCCCATCACAGGACTGGAGGCCTCAGGGGAAGAATGGTTTAATGGGCCAAAACCAAGGACATGTTGCTCTATGCAGACTCAAGACATGACACCCTGCATCCCAGCTTCTCCAGCTCAAGCCATGACTAAAAGGGGCCAAGGTACAACTCGGGCCACTGCTTCAGAGGGTATAACACCCAAGCTTTAGAAGCTTCCACAGGGTGTTAAGCCTGAGGGTGTGCAGAGGGCAAGAATTGAAGTTTGGGAGCCTCTATCTAGATTTCAGAGGATGTATGGAAATGCCTGGATGTCCAGGCAGAAATCTGCTGCAGAGGTGGAGCCCTCATGGAGAACCTCTACTAGGGCAGTGCAAAGGGGAAATGTGGTGTTGGAGAGCCTCCACACCGAATCCCCACTGAAGCACTGCCTAGTGGAACTCTGAGAAGAGGGCCACTGTCCTCCACTGTCTTCAAGACCCCAGAATGGTAGATCCACCAATAGCTTGCCTCCAGTGCCTAGAAAAGCCACAGGTACTCAATGCCAGCCAGTGAAAGCAGCTGCAGGGGCTGTAACCTGCAGAGCCACCAGGGAAGAGCTGCCCAAGGCATTAGGAGTCCACCCCTTGCATCAGTGTTGCCTGGATGTGAGACATGGAGTCAATGGAGATTATTTTAGAGCTTTAAAGTTTAATGAATGCCCTGCTGGATTTTGGACTTGTGTGGGGCCCATAGCCCCTTGGATTTGGCCAATGTCTCACTTTTGGAATGGTAACATTTACACAATGCCTGTGCCACCATTGTATATTGGAAGTAACTAACTTGTTTCTAATTTTACAGGCTCATAGGTGAAAGGAACTTGTCTTCTCTCAGATGAGACTTCAGACTGGAACTTTTGAAGTGATGCTGGAGCAAATTAAGACTTTGGGGGACTGTTGGGAAGGCATGACTGTGTTTTGAAATGTGAGAAGAACATGAGATTTGAGAGGGGCCAGGGGTGGAATAATATGATTTGGCTCTGTGTCCCAACCCAAATCTCATGTTGAATTGCAGTTCCCAGTGTTGAAGGTGGGGCCTAGTGGGAAGTGATTGAATAATGGGGGTGGTTTCTAATGGTTTAACACCATCCCTCTAGTGCTGTCTCATGATAGAGTTCTCATGTGATCTTGTTGTTTGAAAGTGTGTAGCACCTCACTCGCTCTCTCCCTCTCTGTCCTGCTAGCCATGTGAAGACATACTTGCTTCTTTGTCGACTTGTGCAGTGATTGTAAGTCTCCTGAGGCCTCCCCAGCCATGCCTCCTGTACAGCCTGCAGAATTGTGAGTCAATTAAACCTGTTTTCTCCATAAATTACCAAATCTCAGGTAGTTCTTTATAGTACTGTGAAAATGGACCAATATGAGTGCTATAATTTGATATTAAATTAAGAGAATCAATTAAAACTTTGCTAAAAATTTTACTCAGCTTATGAAATTTTGGATGTGTGATATGCAAACTTAGTTATCAATTTTTGAATTTTAAAATAGAATGATATCTTGCTAGATTTTACTTGGAAGAATTGAATAAATAAGATGTTGCTAATTCCATGTGTATTAATCTATAAAAATCTACAAAAATTGTGAACACCTTTATGAGCATTTTAACCACTCATCTTTGTGAACTCCAAATGTCTGAGACAAGCCTTAGTCAATTTAGAAAGTGGCTTTTTTTTTGGCCAAAGTTAAGGATGAGTGCCTGTCCTGATGACATGTGCCCAAGGTGGTCCAAGCACAGCTTGGTTTTATACATGTTAGGGAAACAGGAGACATCAATCAATATATGTAAGATGAACATTGTTTTGAGCCAGAAAGGAAGGACAACTTGAAGCAAAGGCAGGACAACTTGAAGTGGAGAGAGGGCTTCCAGGTTATAGGTTGCAACAACAAATGGTTGCATTTTTTTGAATTTCTAATTAACCTTTCCAAAGGAGGCAATCAATCAGATATGCATTTATCTCAGTGAGCAGAGGGATGCCTTTGAATAGCATGGAAAGCCGGTTTGCCCCAAGCAATTCCCAGCTTGACTGTTATCTTTAGCTTAGTGATTATGGGGACCCAAGATTTATTTTCCTTTCACATCTTAAACTGCATGCTAGTATATTTTAACAAAAAGATTATTACTTTGTTATATATGTATTACTGAGTGTTTATAATTATACAGAAATAATATGGTACATGAAGCAACAAGAGTTCAGTTTGAAATTATACAATATAGATGGGTTTAGGAATTCAGGTAAGAGGATATCTTAACAGAGATAAGTCAAATGAGTGAGATTTTGTGGAGAAAATGAGTAGGGTGTTGGGCAAAAAGGAAAGGAAGCACTTGGCTTTTCTTAGGAACAACATAAGCAATAGCAACAGCACTGATCATAATATCTGTGGTTATCCAGAGAGAAGTTGACTTTGCTAGAGTGCTTGCATAGCAGGTCAATCAAATGGGACTGCATTGGAACTGAGGGATAAGGAGTTTTAAACAGGGACAACCAAATAAAAGTGATATTTTTAAAATATGCACTGAGAAGCACTTTAAAAATAGCAAGAATTTGGTGGCCATAAATATAAATTTAAGCCGATTGAAGTTATCTAAATGTGAAGTTATCAAAATCTGAATAAGATATTAACAATGCAAAGGAAGAAACAGATATGAAAGACTTTAAATGGAGAACCTGTTAGATAATTTATTGCATATAGGAAGTAAAATTATCTTCCCAAGAGTATAGTTAATTTTGAGCACTTCTGTATTAGCTGTATAATTATTTTTCTTCCTTTTTACTTGATTTGCTAATTCAATATTAGTTGCATAGTAAGTAAGGGACATAAAGTACAGTAATAAAAGTACTTCTTTCTTTCAACTTTTTTTCATACTCTGCTTATTCATGGCAAATTTGAAAAAGTTTTTAAAATGGTAAATATACGTTGACAGGAGAAATATTTTCCAAGTTTAAAAATAATTTTCCATTTTACCTTTCCTTCAAAATTAATTCCTATACTCTTCCAATATTATTTTCTCATATTGTTTTGTTCATTTGAATTCCTGTGAAAAGTTAATGTGATACCTTGAATTTTGCAAAAACTTATCAGTGAAATTAATACTCCTATATAACATATTATATTTAATTAAGTGGTAGAAATGTCTTCTGTTTACAGTAAAATGAATACTCTCAGTTGCTCCACAGATTATGAGGCAAAGCAAGAAAAATGCTGTGTCTAATTTTATCAATTAAAATAATTTACTTAAAATGAAATTCTTGACATAAATGCTGTAACCTATTTCCTTATGACATTCAGAAATAAATGCTACAACCTATGGATAGAAATGTGTTAAAGAAACAGGCAGTGTCTCAGACAGATGATTGCTTTACTTCTGCAGTGAAAAACTATCACTGACATTACTAAAGTTTTCATTTGCTTTTCACCCAAAGTAATTTTAAGTAACTAATTTTTCAATAGAGTTTTGGAAAGCATAACTGTTGGAGTGACCAAGAATCAGATAAAAAGGTAAAAATCTTTTAACAAGTATATTGCTTATTTCAGCATCCACATCTGAAGGTATATATCGTACTGCAGAAGAGTTCTTTCTGTTCCTGATTGAAGAGACTAGCTTTATGATGTGAAAAGCCTTAAGCCTATAGAAACAATTGTAATGAACTTAGGACTTAAAACCATAAGGAAAAAAATTACATACACCTCTGTTTGATGGTTATGATTGTAGCTATAACTAGAAAAGTTGCCCTGAGGCATCAATAAATGTAAGCACTAAGACATGTATTCAGCACCTGAAAGAAATCAACAACTACCTAATGATGGCCTTGTATAGACATAGGAGTATTATTTTTTCTATAAGTAGACAGTGCAATTTCTCTACTAATATGGAGAAATTTAAGAGGAGATAAATCTGTGAGTATACTGAAAATATGGGTATCAGGCATTTATAAATTCAGATATTCAGTGTCCAGCATTAAGAGTGTTAAGAGACTAATTAAAACAGAGAATTTGAAGTCTACCTGGTTTCTCCGTGGCTACCATTTACTGTATAAATTTAGGTACATCATATAATCTGGGCTTCATTTTTTTCATCAATAAAATAGAGATAATAATAGTATTAAAATACTATAGTATGGTTATAAGAATTGAATGTGACTATTGCTTAAAGCTCTCAGAGCAGAGAATAGCTGCTCTCACTTACTAGTGATAATGGTAGTGATCATAATTATTATTTACTTGTTTATATTGCTGACATAGCCAAGCATGGCTTTGTTAATTGGAGCAGGACAAGCTATATTGAAGAAGGACCATATTTGAAACTAAACCTATCCATTGAAGTGGGAAAAGAACTGAGAGGATATACCCAGCACAAAGAGGAAAAAACTGCAGACAAATTCAGGGGTTAGAACTTGGTATGTGGTGGGAAAAGCCACAGATATATGTGAATTTGCTAGTTCCAGAATATTCACTCAGGGAACAGGGTATCTAAATATGCAACTGGAGGCAAACTAAGAGGTAACCGAGGAGTAGTCCCTAGTGCAGAGACTGCACTAGAGATTCAATTCCAAAGTCAAGGATCTTACACTGGGATTTAATCCCAAAGTCAGTGAATGAAGCATAAATCCCTAGAGTTCAAAGTACCCTTCAAATTCTCCCAGTAAGACATTACTTTGCAGAATGGCATATTATCTCCCATTATAACAAGATCATTACATTGGATGTGTCCTCTCCATTTGAGCATCTAATGAAGTACTTCCATGGAATTTGGGATCAATGCTGCAATCAAACTCAGCGTGTTTAAAAGTTTAAGAAACATATGGGAATTGGAACTTAACCAGAGAATAGCACATTTATATCTCTCCTCTCATACCTAAGTCATATGTAAATACTTACATAGAAAATTTTTGAAATTGTTTATTTCTCCCTCTCTCTCTGTATGTATGTATGTGTGTGTGTGTGTGTGTGTGTGTGTGTGTGTGTGTGTGCATGACATGATAAAGCCCTTTTATACTCAGAAAATAAACTTGTAAAGAAAATTAAGGAATTAATAACTGAACTTCAGTCCCCTCTGGTACTCATTTCCATAGCCAGCTTACATTCAGTGTTTCCTCATTATAACTGCTTTGTGTATGCTTCCATTTGTTTATACCTCTTTCCCTTCATATTTCTACCCTAGAAGTTGTCAGAGCTACATGTAACATATCACTTCCTCCTTACAAACATCAGAGCAATAAGCGTGGATAGAGTAAAACACATAACCAAGATGACCATGCTGGCCATGAATGTGTGCACCTCAGATCTCCCTTCAAGATAACCTGCTGTGGTGAGCACAGTTGACTTAAAGCCCCCACCTGCAGCACCTGAACATTCTCTGCCACACTCAGACCAAAGCCCTACTTGGTTAGGCTGCTTGGGCCAATAATTGGGCATGACAAGGATATTAGGGATGAGCTATTTCAGCCTCATGCTCTAACAATCCAGCTCTTTCAACAGTCAACCTTGTGAGGGACTCCACATGGGCCTGGTCAAGACACTCTCAGATACACTGCAGACTGATGCTCTCCTACCCACTTTTCCTGCCTTTTCTCTCATTTCACAGGTGTCAGACCTGCATCGCAGTCTGAAGACTCTTCTCATCTGTGCCCAACTCTCCCCTTTATCCTTCACCATCATCTCTCCCAATAAATTACTTACACTTCTAATCCCACCATGGCATCTGGCTCTTGAAGGCCCTGAATTAATCACTTACTAACTCTAAATTCTTCACTACATATCTCAGGCTGAATATGTGCTTTCATTTGGATCCTATTGTCTTTCCTTTGTCAGTTTAGCTACCCATCATCCTAGATCAACAGTATATTTTTGTCACTTCCAAGATGGCCAAATAGGAACAGCTCTGGTCTACAGCTCCCAGTGAGATTGACACAGAAGATGGGTGATTTCTGCATTTCCAACTGAGGTACCTGGTTCATCTCATTGGGACTTGTTGGACAGTGGGTGCAGCCCATGGAGGGCGAGCCAAAGTAGGGTGGGGCATGGGCATCACCTCACCCAGGAAGTGCAAGGGGTCAGGGGATTTTCCTTTCTTAGCCAAGGGAAGCTGTGAGTGACTGTACCTGGAGGAATGGTACGCTCCTGCCCAAATACTGCACTTTTCCCATGGTCTTCACAACCAGCAGACCAGGAGATTCCCTCCCGTGCCTGGCTGGGCCGGTCCCATGCCCACGGAGCCTTGCTTGCTGCTAGCGCAGCAGTCTGAGATCTACCTGGGACACTGGAGCTTGGTGAGGGGAGGGGCGTCAGCCATTGCTGAGGCTTGAGTAGGCAGTTCTATACTCACAGTGTAAACAAAGCAGCAGAGAAGCTCAAACTGGGTGGAGCCCACCTTAGCTCAGCAAGGCCTACTGCCTCTCTAGATTCCACCACTTTGTTCAGATATCTGAACAAAAGGCAGCAGACAGCTTCTCCAGACTTAAACGTTCCTGCCTAACATCTCTGAAAAGGGCAGTGGTTCTCCCAGAAAGGCGTTTGAGTTTCAATAATGGACAGACTGACTACTCAAGTGGGACCCTGACCCCTGTGTAGCCTGACTGGGAGACACCTCCCAGTAGGGGCTGAAAGACATCTCATACAAGCAGGAGCCCCTCTGAGATGAAGCTTCCAAAGGAAGGATCAGGCAGCAATATTTGCTGTTTTGTAGCCTCCACTGGTGATACCCAGGAAAACAGGGTCTAGACTGGACCTTGAGCAAACTCCAACAGAAGGGTCTGTCTGTTAGAAGGAAAACTAACAAACAGAAAGGAATAGCATCAACATCAACAAAAAGGACATCCACACCAAAACCCCATCCGTAAGTCACTAACATCAAAGACCAAAGGTAGATAAAACACAAAGATGGGGAGAAACCAGAGCAGAAAGGCTGAAAATTCCAAAAACCAGAACACCTCTTCTCCTCCAAAGGAATACAACTCCTCACCAGCAAGAGAACAAAACTGGATGGAGAATGAGTTGCACGAGTTGACAGAAGTAGGCTTCAGAAGGTCGGTAATAACAAACTTCTCCGAGCTAAAGGAGCATGTTCTAACCCATCATAAGGAAGCTAAAAACCTTGAAAAAAGGTTAGATGAATGGCTAACTAGAATAACCAGTGTAGACAAGACCTTAAATGACCTGATGGAGCTGAAAACCACAGTACAAGAACTTTATGAAGCATTCACAAGCTTCAATAGCCAATTTGATCAAGCAGAAGAAAGGATATCTGTGATTGAAGATCAAATTAATGAAATAAAGTGAAAGGCAAGATTAGAGAAAAAAGAGTGAAAAGAAACAAACAAATCCTCCAAGAAATATGGGGCTATGTGAAAAGACCAAATCTACTTTTGATTGGTGTACCTGAAAGCGACAGGGAGAATAGAACAACTTAGAAAACACTCTTCAGGATATTCTCCAGGAGAACTTACCCAACATAGCAAGGCAGGCCAACATTCAAATTCAGGAAATAACAGAAAACACCACAAAGATACTCCTCAAGAACAGCAACCCCAAGACACATCATTATTAGATTCACCAAGGTTGAAATGAAGGAAAAGAATGTTAAGGACAGCCAGAAAGAAAAGCCAGGTTACCCACAAAGGCAAGCCTATCAGACTAAGAGTGGATCTCTCAGCAGAAACCCTACAAGCCAGAAGAGAGGGGGTCAATATTCAACATTCTTAAAGAAAAGAATTTTCAACCCAGAATTTGATATACAGCCAAACTAAGCTTCATAAGTGAAGGAGAAATAAAATCCTTTATAGACAAGCAAATGCTGAGAGATTTTGTCACCACCAGGCCTGCCTTACAAGAGCTCCTGAAGGATGCACTAAACATGGAAAAAAACAACTGATACCAGCCACT
This sequence comes from Homo sapiens, assembly GCF_000001405.40. Classification (NCBI taxonomy): domain Eukaryota; kingdom Metazoa; phylum Chordata; class Mammalia; order Primates; family Hominidae; genus Homo; species Homo sapiens. The sequence continues at coordinate 102,840,395 of NC_000003.12, read as the reverse complement.
GCAAAAACATGACAAATTGTAAAAACCATTGATGCTATGAAGAAACTTCATCAATTAATGGGCAAAATAACCAGCTAGCATCATAATGATGGATCGAATTCACACATGACAATATTAACCTTAAATGTAAGTGGGCTAAATGCCCCAATCAAAAGACACAGACCGGCAAATTGGATAAAGAGTCAAGACCCATCGGTGTGCTGTATTCAGGAGACCCATCTCACATGCAAAGGCATACATAGGCTCAAAATAAAGGGATGGAAGAAGATCTACCAAGCAAATGGAAAGCAAAAAAAAGCAGGGGTTGTAACCCTAGTATCTGATAAAACATACTTTAAACCCACAAATATCAAAAGAGACAAAGAAGGCCATTACACAATGGTAAAGGGATCAATTCAACAAGAAGAGCTCACCTAAATATATAGGCACCCATTACAGGAGCACCCATATTCATAAAGCAAGTTTTTAGAGACCTACAAAGAGACTTAGACTGCCACATAATAATAATGGGAGAATTTAACACTCCAATGTCAATATCAGACAGATCAACAAGACAGAAAATTAACAAGGATATCCAGGACTTGAACTCAGCTCTGGACCAAGTGGACCTAAAACACATCTACAGAACTCTCTACCCCAAATTAACAGAATATACATTCTTCTCAGCACCACAGCACACTTATTCTAAAATTGACCATATAATTGGAGTAAAATACTCCTCAGCAAATGTAAAAGAACAGAAATCACAACAAACTGTCTCTCAGACCACAGTGCCATCAAATTAGGACTCAGTATTAAGAAACTCACTCAAAACCACACAACTGCATGGAAACTGAACAACTTGCTCCTGAATGACTACTGGGTACATAACGAAATGAAGGCAGAAATAAAGATGTTCTTTGAAACCAGGAGAACAAAGACACAACATACCAGAATGTCTCAGATACGTGTAAAGCAGTGTGTAGGGGGAAATTTATAGCACTAAATGCCCATAAGAGAAAGCAGGAAAGATCTAAAATTGACACCCTAACATCACAATTAAAAGAACTAGAGAAGCAAGAGCGAACAAATTCAAAAGCTAGCAGAAGACAATAAATAACTAAGATCAGAGCAGAACTAAAGGAGATAGAGACACAAAAAATACTTCAAAAAATCAACGAATCAAGAAGCTGGTTTTTTGAAAAGATCCACAAAATAGATAGACCACTAGCAAGACTAATAAAGAATAAAAGAGAGTATAATCAAATAGATGCAATAAAAAGTGATAAAGGAGATATCACCACCGATCCCACAGAAATACAAACTGCCATCAGAGAAAACTACAAACACCTCTACACAAATAAACTAGAAAATCTACAAGAAACGGATAGATTCCTGGACAGATACACTCTCGCAAGATTAAACCAGGAAGAAGTTGAATCTCTGAATAGACCAATAATGGGTTCTGAAATTGAGGCAATGATTAATAGCCTACCAACCAAAAAAAGTCCAGGACCAGATGGACTCACAGCCGAATTCTACCAGAGCTACAAAGAGGAGCTGGTACCACTCCGTCTGAAACTACTCCAATCAATACAAAAAGAGGAAATCCTCCCCAACTCATTTTATGAGGCCAGGATCATCCTGATACCAAAGCCTGTCAGAAACACAACAAAAAAAGAGAATTTTAGACCAATATCCCTGATTAACATTGATACAAAAAACCTCAATAAAATACTGGCAAAGCGAATTCAGCAGCACATCCACCATGATTCCACCATGATAAAGTCAGCTTCATACACCACGATCAAGTCAGCTTCATCCCTGGGATGTAAGCCTGGTTCAACATACACAAATCAATAAACTTAATCCATCACATAAACAGAACCAAGAACAAAAACCACATGATTAGCTCAATAGAAGCAGAAAAGGCCTTCCACAAAATTCAACAGCCTTTGATGCTAAAAACTCTCAATAAACAAGGTATTGATGGAATGTAGGTCAAAATAATAAGAGCTATTTACGACAAACCCACAGCCAATATCATAGTGAATGGCCAAAAACTGGAAGCATTCCCTTTGAAAATCAACATAAGGCAAGGATGCCACTCTCACCAGTCCTATTCAACATAGTATTGCAAGTTCTGGCAAGGGCAATCAGGCAATATAAAGAAATAAAGGGTGTTCAGTTAGGAAAAGAGGAAGTCAAATTGTCTCTGTTTTCAGATGACATCATTTTATATTTGGAAAACCCCATCATCTCAGCCCAAAATCTCCTTAAGCTGATAAGCAACTTCAGCAAAGTCTCAGGATACAAAATCAATGTGCAAAAATTAAAAGCATTCCATACACCAAGAACAGACAAACAGAGAGCCAAATCATGAGTGAACTCCCATTCACAATTACTACAAAGGGAATAAAATACCTAGGAATCCAAATTACAAGGGATGTGAAGGACCTCTTCAAGGAGAATTACAAACCACTGCTCAACGAAATAAAAGAGGACACAAACAAATGGAAGAACATTCCATGCTCATGGATAGAAAGAATCAATATCGTGAAAATGGCCATATTGCCCATACTACCCAAAGTAATTTATAGATTCAATGCTATCCTCATCAAGCTACCACTGACTTTCTTCACAGAATTGGAAAACACTACTTTAAATTTCACATGGAAACAAAAAAGAGCCTGCATAGCCAAGACAATCCTAAGCAAAAAGAACAAAGCTGGAGGCATCATACTACCTGACTTTAAACAATACTACAAGGCTACAGTAACCAAAACAGCATGGTACTGTTACCAAAACAGATATATAGACCAATGGAACAGAACAGAGGCCTCAGAAATAACACCACACATCTACAACCATCTCATCTTTGACAAACCTGGCAAAAACAAGCAATGGGGAAAGGATTCCCAATTTAATAAATGGTGCTGGGAAAAATGGCTAGCCATATGTAGAAAGCTGAAACTGGATCCCTTCCTTACACTTTACACAAAAATTAACTCAAGATGGATTAAAGACTTAAATGTAAGACCTAAAACCATAAAAACCCTAGAAGAAAACCTAGGCAGTACCATTCAGGACATAGGCATGGGCAAAGACTTCATGACTAAAACACCAAAAGCAATGACAACAAAAGCCAAAATAGACAAATGGGACATATTAAACTAAAGAGCTTCTGCACAGCAAAAGAAACTATCATCAGAGGGAACAGGGAACCTGCAGAATGGGAAAAAATTTTTGCAATCTACTCATCCGACAAAGGGCTCATATCCAGAATCTACAAAGAACTCAAATATACAAGAAAAAAACAACCCCATCAACAAGTGGGCAAAGTGTATGAACAGACACTTCTCAAAAGAAGACATTTATGCAGCCAACAAACATATGAAAAAATGCTCATCATTACTAGTCATTAGAGAAATGCAAATCAAAATCACAATGAGATACCATCACACGCCAGTTAGAATGGTGATCATTAAAAAGTCAGGAAACAACAGATGCTGGATAGCATGTGGAGAAATAGGAACACTTTTACCCTTTTGGTGGGAGTGTAAATTAGTTCAACCATTGTGGAAGACAGCGTGGTGATTCCTAAAGGATCTAGAACTAGAGATACCATTTGACCCAGCAATCTCATTACTGGGTATATGCCTAAAGGGTTATAAATCATGCAAATCTAAAGACACCTGCACACGTATGTTTACTGCGGCACTATTCACAATAGCAAAGACTTGGATGGACTTAGCAAATGTCCATCAATAATAGATTGGATAAAGAAAATGTGGCACATATACACCATGGAATACTATTCAGCCATAAAAAGGGATGAGTTCATGTCCTTTGCAGGGACATGGATGAAGCTGGAAACCATTACTCTCAGCAAAATATCACAAGGACAGAAAACCAAATACCACATGTTCTCACTCATAAGTGGAAGTTGAACATTGAGAACACATTGACACAGGGAGGAGAATTTCACACAATAGGGCCTGTTGCGTGGTGGTGGTTTGGGGGAGGGATAGCGTTAGGAGAAATACCAAATGTAAACGACTAGCTGATGGGTGCAGCAAACCAACGTGGCACATGTATACCTATGTAACAAACCTGAACGTTGTGCACATGTATCCTAGAACTTAAAGTATATTTTAAAAACCCAGTATATTCATTTTGTCTCTTCTCAAATTAGCAGAACTTCTCCCCTACTCTTCACATTCAGATGTTCACCTTGTAAATATTTTACTGAAAATAATAGAAGCATTCAGAAGCATCCAATACCACATCCACCAACCCACCTACTTTTATTCTCATATGTCCTGTCTTCACTTCTGCTGTTGCCCTGTCCTCTTTACTTTGTGCACTATTAGGATTTTCCCACCTTTGAATTATTTCCTTCATAATTAAATATGCTATATCAGCATCAATTTAAAAATCTTCTTGACCCCAAAAATCTCTCCAGCTACCCTCTGTACTCATGGTCTACCTTTCCATTTTTCACATTATTTCTTGAACCCACACTAATTTTTTTTTCCTTTTAAATCAGGGGTACATACGCAGGTTTGTTATATAGGTAAATCTGTATCATAGGGTTTTGTTGTACAGATTATTTCATCACCCAGGTATTAAGCCTAGTACACATTAATTACTTTTCCTCATCATCTCCCTCCTCCCACCTTCTAACCTCTGATAGGCCCCAGTGTTTATTGTTCCCCTCTATGTGCCCATGTCTTCTCATCATTTAGCTCCCACTAATAAGTGAGATAATGTGGTGTTTGCTTTTCTGTTCCTGGGTTAGTCTGCTAAAGATAATGACCTCTAGCTCCATCCATGTTCCTGCAAAGGCCATGATCTTGCTTTCTTTTTTGACCATGTAGAATTCCACCGTGTATTTGTACCATATTTTCTTTATCCAGTCTATCATTGATGGGCATTTATGTTGATTCCATGTCTTTACTTTTGTGAATAGTGCTGCAATGAACATATAGGTTCATGTGTCTTTATGATAGAATGATTTATATTCCCTTGGGTATATACCTAGTGAAGCAATGGCTGGGTCACATGGTAGTTCTGTTTTTATTAGGTTGGTGTAAAAGTAATTGTGGTTTTTGCCATTACTTTTAATATCTCCTTGAGGAATCAACGCACTGCTTTCCACAATGGTTGAACTAATTTATACTCCCACCAACAATGGGAGTAAAAGTGGTCTCTTTTCTTTACAACCTTGCCAGCATCTGCTATTTCTTGACTCTTTAATAATAGCCATACTGACTGGTGTCAGATGGTATCTAATTGTGAATTTGATTTGCATTTCTCTAATGATCAGTGAGGTTCTATAGGCTGTCTTCCAGGGTTTTTGCAGTTTTGGGTTTTATGTTTAAATATTTAATCCATCTTGAGTTAATTTATTTATATGGTGTAAGGAAGGGTCCAGTTTCAACCTTCTGCGTATGGCTAGCCAATTATCCCAGCACCATTTATTGAATAGGAAGTCCTTTCCCCATTGCTTGTTTTTGTCAGCTTTGAAGATCAGATGGTTGTAGGTATGCGGCCTTACTTTGGGGCTCTGTGTTCTCTTCCACTGGTCTGTGTATCTGATTTTGTAGTAGTACTGTGCTATTCTGGTTACTTTCACCATGTAGTTAGGTAGGATGATGCCTCCTGCTTTGTTCTTTTTGCCTGTGATTGCTTTGGCTATTCAGGGCCTTTTTGGTTCCATATAAATTTTAAAATCGTTTTTTCTAGTTCTGTGAAGAATGTCATTGGTAGTTTCATAGGAATAGCACTGAATGTGTAAATTGCTTTAGGCAGTATGGCCATTTTAATGATATTGATTCTTTGTATTCATAAGCATGGAATGTTTTTCTATTTGTTTCTGTCATCTCTGATTTCTTTCAGCAGTGATTTGTAATTCTTCTTGTAGAGGTCTTTCACCTCCTTGGTTAGCTGTGTTCCTAGGTATTTTATTCTCTTTGTGGCAGTTGTGAATGGGATTGCATTCCTGATTTGGCTCTTGGTTTGACTGTCATTGGTGTACCAGAGTCCTAGTAATTTTTGTACATTGATTTTGTATCCTGAGACTTTGTTGAAGTTGTTTATCAGCTTAAGAGCCTTAGAGCTGAGACTATGGGGTTTTTGAGATATAGGATCACGTCTGCTAACAGGGATTGTTTGACTTCATTTCTTTCTGTTTCGATGCTATCTGTTTCTTTCTCTTGCTTGATTGCTCTGGCCAAAACTTCCAATACTATATCAAATGGGAATGGTAAGAGAGGACATTCTTCTCTTGTGCCAGTTTTCAAGAGGAATGCTTCCATATTTTGCCCAATCACTATGATGTGGGTTTGGCTGTGAGTTTGTCATAGATGGCTCTTATATTATTTTAAGGTATGCTCTTTCAGTATCTAGTTTGTTGAGAGTTTTTAATATGAAACAATGTTGAATTTCATCAAAATACTTTTCTGCATCTATTGAGATGATAATGTGGTTTTTGCCCTTCATTCTGTTTATATGATGAATCATATTTATTGATTTTCATATGTTGAACCAACCTTTCATCCCAGGGATAAAGCCCACTTGATCAAGTTGGATTAGCTTTTTGATGTGCTGCTGGATTCGGTTTAACAGTATTTTGTTGAGGATTTTTGCGTTAATGTTCATCAAGGATATTGGCCTGAAGTTTTCTTTTTTTGTTGTGGTGCCTCTGCCATGTTTTGGTATCGGGATGATGCTGGTCTCAGAGAATGAGTTTGGGAGGAGTCTGTCCTCCACAATTGTTTGGAATAGTTTGAGTAGGAATAATACCAGCTATTCTTTGTACATCTGGTAGAATTCAACTGTGAATCCATCTGTTTCAGGGATTTCCTTGGTTGGTAGGCTATTTATTACTGATTCAATTTCAGACTTCATTACTGATATATGTAGGGACTTAATTTCTGCCTGCTTCAGTCTTGGTATGGTGTATGTGTCCATGTTTTATCCATTTCTTCTAGATTTTCTAGTTTGTGTGCATAGAGATGTTCATAATAAGCTCTGATGGTTATTTGTATGTCTGAGGGGTCAGTGTCATTTCTAATTGTGTTTATTTGGATCATTTCCCTTTCCTTGTTTATTTGTCTAGCAATTGATTTTATAGTTTTTTTCAAAAAAACAACTTTGAGGTTTGTTGATCTTTCAAATGGTTTTCCATATCTCAATCTCCTTTAGTTCAGTTCTGATTTGGATCATTTCTTGTCTTCTGCTAACTTTGTTGTTGGTTTACTTTTGGTTCTCTATTTCTTTTAGTTAGGTTGCTAAATTGAGAACTTTCTAACATTTTGATATGGGTATTTAGTGCTATAAATTGCCCTCCTAACATTGCCTTACATGTGTCCCAGAAATTCTGGTAGGTTACATCTTTGTTCTCGTTAGTTTCAGGAACCTCTTGATTTCTGCCTTAATTTTATTACAGATCCAAAAATCATTCAGGGATAGGTTATTCAACTTCAATGTGGTTGTATGGTTTTGAGTGAACTTCTTAGTCTTGAATTCACTTTTGATTGTGCTGTGGTCAAAGAGAGTAATTGTTATAATTTCAGTTGTTTTGAATTTACTGAGGAGTGTTTTGTGTCCCATTACATGGTCGATTTAGAGTATGTGCCATGTGGAGATGGGAAGAATATATATTATGTTGTTTTGTGTGGAGAATTTTGTAGATATCTATGAGGTCCATTTGACCCACTGCTGAGTTCAGGTCCTGAATATGTTTGCTAGTTTTCTGCCTCAAAAATCTATCTACTAATGTCAGAGGGGTGTCAAGGTCTCCCAATATTATTTTATGGGAGTCTAAGTCTCTTTGCAGATCTCCTTCAGGAGTACTTGTAAGCAAGTCTGGTGAAAACAAATTTCCTCAGCATTTGCTTGTTTGAAAAGGATCTTATTTCTCCTTCACTTATGAAGCTTAGTTTGGCTAGATAAGAAATTGTGGGTTGGAATTTCTCTTTAATAAGAATGTTGGATATTGGCCCCTAAACTCTTCTGGCTTGTAGGGTTTCTTCTGAGAGGACTGCTGTTAGCCTGATGGGCTTCCTTTTGTATGTGACTTGACCTTTCTTTCTAGCTGCCTTTATCATTTTTTCTTTAATTTTGACCTTAGAGAATCTGATGATTATGTGCCTTGGGGATGACCTTGTGAAGTATCTTACTGGGATTTTCTGCACTTCCTGAATTTGAATGTTGGCCTCTTTAGCTAGATTGGGAACGTTCTCCTGGATGATGTACTGAAATATGTTTTCCATGCTGTTTATACTCTCCGCATCTCTTTCAGGGGCACCAATTTGTCATAGATTATATCTCTTTATGTAATCCCATATTTCTCAGAGGTTTTGTACATTCTTTTCATCTTTTTTTATTTCTGTCTGACCGTCAAATCAGAAACCCAATCTTCAAGCTCTAGGATCTTTCCTCCACTTGGCGTATTTGGCTATTAATACTTTTGATTGCATTATGAAATTATTGTAGTGTGTTTTTCAATTCTATTAGGTCAGTAACATTCTTTTCTACAGTGGCTATTTTATGGTCTGTCAGCTCCTTTATCATTTTATTGTGACTCTTAGCCTCCTTGGATTGGGTTTCAACATACTTCTGCATTTCAATGATCTATATTCTTATTCATATCATAAATTCTATTTCTGTCATTTCAACCATCTCATCTTGGTTCAGAACCCTTACTAGAAAAATAGTGTTGCTGTTTGGAGTAAAGAAGGCATCCTGGCTTTTCGAGTTGACAGAATTTTCACATAAGTTCTTTCTCATCTTTGTGTGCCAATGTTTACTCAATCTTTGAAGTTGCTGATCTTTAGATGATTTTTTTTTTCTTTTATCCTATTTGATGACCTTAAGGGTACTATTGTGGTATAAAGTGAATTCAGCTGACTGGCTTCATTTCTGGAACATTTTAGAGGGCCAGTGCTCAGTTTTCAGCTTCTGGACCATGTGCTCTAACTCTGGGGGGACTTGTATTGAGCCCTAACTTTGTTCTCTGGCTCCTTAAGGTTAGAAATTCACTGCACTGGGGGGCCGATGTGCCTACAGACCCTGGTCACAACACTTCAATGGTTGGTGTCAGCCAAAGCATTTCATGGTACAGCTGCTGCAGGATCTGTCTTTGTTTACATATGCCAGCAGCAACAGTAGTGTGATGGGATGCACACTCTTGCTGTGGGAAGGTTCTGAGGGTGCCAGGGTGACAGCCTTCCTGTGGGCTTCCACCAGAGTGATGGAGGCAGCTGCTTGTGGCAGTGGAGGGGACTCTGCGGGTGAATGTGCACATGGTTGTTCAGGTGATGGTGTTAGCATGGGGGCAGGGTGCAGACAGGCACGTGTTTGTGTGCACTTTCTGTGTGCCACAGGCAGGGGTGGTCACTCAGGTCAGGGGATGATCTGATGTTCTCTGTGTCTATTTTCACTAGTGTGGCAATTTTGGCACAAGGGTGGGGCACTGGTAGGGACATGGCTGGATGGCTGTGTGCCCACCAAAGCTCAGACTGCAATGATGGTCCTACAAGGAGCCACAAGGAGTATGGGGGCAGACTTCACTCCTGCCAGCAGCAGTGGCAGGGTACAGTGCGTGCAGACATGTGAGTTGTGCACACATGTGTCAGCAAAGTGATGTGGTGGGTTGCCAGGTGCCCAGGAGAAGTTACACTATGGAGAGGGAGTGGGCAGGCTGGTGCATAGCCATTAGGGCTGCCTCACTAGAGCTCTCCACAGGTATGGTCTGCCAGTGCAGAGGCTACGATGCAGGCGCCCAGGGCACCTGAGGTTCCCCTGCATGCAGGCACAATCAGTCTGGGGCCCCAGGAGAGGCCAGCAGACCAAGGGGTGCTTAGTTCAGACCAGTCCGTCTGATGGTCAAGACAACCTTGCAGAGTTCAGGTCCAACATCTCCCTTAAGGCTAAAGTCTCCTGTGGGAGCAAGTTGAGCCTATGGGATGGCTGTCCCTGGCCATGCTCCAGTACTGACACATCCACACCAATCCCTCTGGGCTCCATATCAACTGGCTTGCTGCCCCACCACTTCTCTGAGCAGCCAATTTGAATGTCTGTGGTGGTCAAGGGGTCTCCTCCTGCCAGGATTCCAGAGGCCCCTGGCAAGAGTGGGCTGCTACTTGCCAGTTCAACTTACCTGTCTCCCAGGAGCTGTTGGGGGCCAGGAACAAGTCCAGGTGTGCTGTAGCCTGTGTAGGATTCCCAGCTTCCTCCCACTTCAGCTCAGCTTCTGTGTCTTCCCTCTGTTCAATCTCAGTGCCTTCTCTCTGAAGATCTGTTAGGCATTTGCCAGCATCTCAGTCCCTCGGTGGCAGCTGTTCCACCTGATTGCATCTAGGTGGCCATCTTTCCCTCTCTCAAACCCACACTAACTTATATCAGACCACTCCATTGATCTGCTTTGCCAGTGTCACAGCAATGTCAGTTCTCAAACCTCAATTAATACAAACAATCAGCAACATCTGTCAATGTTGATCGCTTCTTCCTTGTTGAAAGGCTTTCTTCATATTTATTCTGGACACCACATTTTCTTGGTTCTCCTACCTCTTTGACAACTTCTTTCAGCTTCCTCTGCAGGCATCTACTCTTTTTCTACACTTGTACCAATTAGAATGTCCCGTGGCTTTGTTCTTGTAATCTGTGTTTTGCCAGCTACATTTTGTGATGTGTTCCATCTATAGATTTGAATATCATCTTTAATTTGGTAAATCCCAAGTTTGTTCTCCAATCCTCACCCACCACCCCAGTCTACAGACTGGTATATCTAACTGCCTATGCAACATCTACACTTAGCCATCAAATATATCCCAAATTAAACATACTTAATACAAGGTCCTTATTTTTCTCAACCAATAATAAATATAATATATTATATATTATATATTATATTAAGCACAAGTTGACAATCTGTATACTCCAATACACATGTACTCACCACACACAAGTACAAGTTATTTAAGAAAAAAATTTGTACTATTTAGTACTATATATTTTGTGCTGTTTGTGGTATGTAAAGCCATGAATATTTATTGAAGGGGTGAATGCATAAAATGAATAAAGAAAAAAGCACAAAGAAGCAGGCACAGTGATCTAGTTATTAGAACTCGGCTAGGTAGTAAAAAGTAAGATAACTTGGTTGATATGATCTGGTTAATAACTCTAAACTGGTTATTATAATTAAGGTACAAAGACATTTAAGACCTTGATTATTACCACTGGCATACAAAGTTTTTAGAATTAGATTACTATAAACAAAGTTAATTTTTGGTTAACATAGCTGGCCTGGGACTGCTATCTTTAGAAAAGTCTGCTTTGAAGGATGACCCTTGGCTGATGTCTGGGGACTTACATTTTGGGAATTTTCTTACCATTTTCTAAATGATAAGGGTGACATATTGTGCCTAGAGTGTTTATGCAAACAATGTGGTTTATGCTACACCTGCCTTTCTTCTGGGAGTCTTCTGGGAATTTTGGTATGTGCTAGACAGAGGGTACCTCTGTGACCAGGCCTGTCTCTATTAGTTCAGGCTCCTATAACAAATACCATAGTCTGGGTGACTTATAAACAAAATAAATTTATTTCAAAGCATTCTGGAGGCTGGAACTCCAAAATCAGAGTGTTGGCATGGTCAGGTTCTTCTAGCGAGAGCCCTCTTCCAGGTTGCAGACTATTCCCACTTCTCCTTGTATCCTCACATGGAAGAAAGTAAGGGAGCTTGTTCTCTGGCCTTGTCTAAGTGCACTAATCCCATTCATAAGGGCTTCACCTCATGACAAAATTACTTCCTAAAGACCCCACCTTAAAATGAGGGTCTCCATATTACAATAAGATTAAGATTTCAAGTTAATGAATTTTGGGAAGGACATAAACATTCAGATCATTGCAAACCCCCAGTAAAATCCTAAGCATAGAGTCTTTAGTGAGTTCCCTTAATAGAAACACTGCACACATGCTGCATTTTCATAGCTGGGAAAGAGTATGTTCTATGTGACCCCTCATGAGAGGGGGAATACATAAGGAAGCCTGCAGATGAATTCCTCCAGACACTACCTATGTATTTTTCCCTTATGATGCAACTATTATGATGCAACTATTTATCCTTAACTGTATTCTAAGTCGCATGAATCCTTCCAGGAAATATTTAAACGTGAAGATGGTCCTAAGACTGCAAAACACAAGAATAACATGCCAAGTCCCGGAATACTGGCTAAAAATATACTACATAATAGAAGAATCAATGCAATTGAATCAAGGTTGAGACTGCAAATAGGACTGAAATCAGGATCCAAAATATATAGAGGAGGAAAATTTTTATTATATTTGATTAGGCTCTCACTGACACTAAAGTTTTTTTTTTTCCTTTGTATGGAAACTAGGAAAGGAAAAAGAAATCACTACCTTATAGGAGGGAGAAACAAAATAGCAGCACTTTTTTGAGGATGTGGGACCTCAAGAAAGGACACAGGCTTGTAATAAAGATTTAAGGAGTAGAGAGAGGGGGAAAAAAAGAAACCTTCCATTACGTCTCCCCATGGGTCAAGACTCCAAATGGGCAGATGCTTCATATAATGACACTCTTGAGGGTAAAATCCCTTGATGTGCTGATAAATGTTTAGCTATGGGCTTTCTTGAGGGTATGAACTAATTAGTAGCATTTGCCAATTTCTTTTGGTGTAAATTCTCCACTATGTCAGATTTTAAGCCACCAATGGTTAAACAACCAGGTCTCAAGTTTCCTGAAGATATAATCATTGGCTTTCACAAGGACAATAAGATCTAGCTTCAGCATGACACAGGAAAACCAAAAACCAACATTATGTAAATGCAACCTTAATCAGACTGCTGAAAACCTAGTACTGTCTCAGGAACACAAAGAGCTAAGAAGAGCCATGCAATTATCTTATACCCAAAAGGGAAAAATCAATACATGATTTGCATAAGACTTTGCTTAAATTTGAAACACATATTTCATGGGCTGCTGTAGCTCTCTATCAATTTTATTGACAACCTCAGAGAAGAAAATACACATACACCACTCTAATTAATTGTCCAGTTTTCTCTAAAAAAATTTATGCTAGAAAAATAATATAGCAGTTGAATCTGCAGTCAACTGGTAACACCTTTTAGTGATATGCAAACTTACCCTATTCCACATGAGATTTTAAGAAAGTTAAAATAAAAGTACAATCAGTGATTTTAATTTTATGGAGAGCTATGTATAAAGCAGGGATTGTTTTCTCTCTTTCTCCTTAATTTTATTATTCATGCTCAACTCAATACAGGGAGTGTTGTCTCTTTTTGTCGCTACAGTATACATAATTCCTTGAACACCTGCCATAAAATAGCCTCTCAATAATTTTTTGTTAAATTAATGAACAACACCAAACTCAAAAAAGTCAAGGCCACATGGTTTAACTGCTTTACTTCTTCATCTAATTCTTAACAATGACAATATAAAAAGATAATGTAGGGCCGTAAAACATTCATAATAAACAGCTGTTACTTATATTTTTCAGTCACTCTGCTTTTAACTTTTTGACCCAACTGGGTAAATATAGAACACTTCCTGTCTATTTATTCAAAACAGCTTTGAAGAAATGCTTTTCTGAGTGCATTAGACTATTACTTTTTCATTGAAAGTCGAGAGTGCATTAGTCTCTTTTATATAAACTGTACTTGAAGTAGTTTTTACACTGATTAAGTTAAATGCGATAATAGCCAGAGTGATCAAATGAAATTTAATGGAAATGATGTGACACATTAGAATTAAGACTCTGGTGTACTGAAATTAATTGTTTGATTATCTAAGGAAGCACTACACTCACATTTTGAAATGCTCCAAAGATAAATAAAATTTCCAAAATTTTAAATGAATAGGTAGTAAAATCAGTTTTCCTATGGTGAGATTATGTTAAAATATCCATTGTTATAATTTCTGATGTCTCTGCACACATAAGAACATCCATTTAATCTGTAATTCTACTAGTAAAAAAAACTAAATAAAGAAAACTCAAAACATACAGTTTAATAATCATATGACAGAGGTATCACACAATATGACATTAAAATACAAGTTTTAATTACAGAAAAATTGTGTTCTACCCTTTTAAAGAAAAACTATATTTTCAAAGTGGTGACGTTAACAGAACTGCTAATAAAAGCAATAATCTTAATAGCCCAATACACATGTGTGTAACTTTTTTATTATTATTATACTTTAGGGTACATGTGCACAACATGCAGGTTTGTTAGATATGTAGACATGTGTCATGTTGGTGTGCTGCACCCATTAACTCGTCATTTACATTAGGTATATCTCCTAATGCTATCCCCACCCCCCCGCCACCCCACAACAGGCCCTGGTGTGTGATGTTCACCTTCCTGTGTCCAGGTGTTCTCATTGTTCAATTCCACCTATGAGTGAGAACATGCAGTGTTTGGTGTTCTGTCCTTGCGATAGTTTGCTGAGAATGAGGGTTTCCAGCTTCATCCATGTCCCAACAAAGGACATGAACTCATCATTTTTTATGGCTGCATAGTATTCCATGGTGTATATGTGCCACATTTTCTTAATCCAGTCTATCATTGTTGGACATTTGGGTTGGTTCCAAGTCTTTGTTATTGTGGATAGTGCCACAATAAACATACATGTGCATGTGTCTTTATAGCAGCATGATTTATAATCCTTTGGGTATATACCCAGTAATGGGATGGCTGGGTCAAATGGTATTTCTAGTTCTAGATCCCTGAGGAATCACCACACTGTATTCCACAATGGTTGAACTAGTTTACAGTCCCACCAACAGTGTAAGAGTGTTCCTAGTTCTGCACATCCTCTCCAGCACCTGTTGTTTCCTGCCTTTTTAATGATTGCCATTCTAACTGGTGTGAGATGGTATCTCATTGTGGTTTTGATTTGCATTTCTCTGATGGCCAGTGATGATGAGCATTTTTTCATGTGTTTTTTGGCTGCATAAATGTCTACTTTTGAGAAGTGTCTGTTCATATCCTTCGCCCACTTTTTGATGGGGTTGTTTGTTTTTTTCTTGTAAACTTGTTTGAGTTCTTTGTAGATTCTGGATATGAGCCCTTTGTCAGATGGGTAGATTGCAAAAATTTTCTCCCATTCTGTCAGTTGCCTGTTCACTCTGATGGTAGTATCTTTTGCTGTGCAGAAGCTCGTTAGTTTAATTAGATCCCATTTGTCAATTTTGGCTTTTGTTGCCATTGCTTTTGGTGTTTTAGACATGAAGTCCTTGCCTATGCCTATGTCCTGAATGGTATTGCCTAGGTTTTCTTCTAGGGTTTTTATGGTTTTAGGTCTAACATGTAAGTCTTTAATCCATCTTGAATTAATGTTTGTATAAGGTGTAAGGAAGGGACCCAGTTTCAGCTTTCTACATATGGCTAGCCAGTTTTCCCAACACCATTTGTTAAACAGGGAATCCTTTCCCCATTTCTCATTTTTGTCAAATTTGTCAAAGATGAGATGGTTGTAGACATGTGCTATTATTTCTGAGGGCTCTGTTCTGTTCCATTGGCCTATATCTCTGTTTTGGTACCATTAACATGCTGTTTTGATTACTGTAGCCTTGTAGTATAGTTGAAAGTCAGGTAGCGTGATGCCTCCAGCTTTGTTCTTTTGGCTTAGGATTGACTTGTCAATGTGGGCTCTTTTTTGGTTCCATATGAACTTTAAAGTAGTTTTTTCCAATTCTGTGAAGTAAGTCATTGGTAGCTTGGTGGGGATGGCATTGAATCTATAAACTACCTTAGGCAGTATGGCCATTTTCACGATATTGATTCTATCCATGAGCATGGAATGTTCTTCCAATTGTTTGTATCCTCTTTTATTTCATTGAGCAGTGGTTTGTAGTTCTCCTTGAAGAGGTCCTTCACATTCCTTGTAAGTTGGATTCCCAGGTATTTTATTCTCTTTGAAGCAATTGTGAATGGGTGTTCACTCATGATTTGGCTCTCTGTTTGTCTGTTATTGGTGTATAAGAATGCTTGTGATTTTTGCACATTGATTTTGTATCCTGAGACTTTGCTGAAGGTGCCTATTAGCTTAAGGAAATTTTGGGCTGAGACGACGGGGTTTTCTAGATATACAATCATGTCATCTGCAAACAGGGGCAATTTGACTTCCTCTTTTCCTAAATGAATACCCTTTATTTCCTTCTCCTGCCTGATTGCCCTGGCCAGAAAGTCCAACACTATGTTGAATAGGAGTGGTGAGAGACGGCATCCCTGTCTTGTGCCAGTTTTCAAACGGAATGCTTCCAGTTTTTGCCCGTTCAGTATGATATTGGCTGTGGGTTTGTCATAGATAGCTCTTATTATTTTGAGATACATCCCATCAATACCTAATTTATTGAGAGTTTTTAGCATGAAGGTTGTTGAATTTTGTCAAAGGCCTTTTCTGCATCTATTGAGATAATCATGTGGTTTTTGTCTTTGGTTCTGTTTATATGCTGGATTATGTTTATTGATTTGTGTATGTTGAACCAGCCTTGCATCCCGGGGATGAAGTTCTCTTGATCATGGTGGATAAGCTTTTCGATGTGCTGCTGGATTCAGTTTGCCAGTATTTTATTGAGGATTTTTGCATCGATGTTCTTCAAGGATATTGGTCTAAAATTCTCTTTTTTGGTTGTGCCTCTGCCAGGCTTTGGTATCAGGATGATGCTGGCCTCATAAAATGAATTAGGGAGGATTCCCTCTTTTTCTATTGATTGGAATAGTTTCAGAAGGAATGGTACCAGCTCCTCCTTGTACCTCTGGTAGAATTTGGCTGTGAATCCATCTGGTCCTGGACTTTTTTTGGTTGGTAAGCTATTAATTATTGCCTCAATTTCAGAGCCTGTTATTGATCTATTCAGAGATTCAACTTGTTCCTGGTTTAGTCCTGGTTTAGTCTACGTGTCCAGGAATTTATCCATTTCTTCTAGATTTTCTAGTTTATTTGCATACAAGTTTTTATAGTATTCTCTGATGGTAGTTTGTATTTCTGTGGGATCAGTGGTGATATCCCCTTCATCATTTTTTATTGCATCTCTTTGATTCTTCTCTCTTTTCTTCTTTATTAATCTTGCTAGCGGTCTGTCAATTTTGTTGATCTTTTCAAAAAACCAGCTCCTGGATTCATTGATTTTTTGAAGGGTTTTTTGTGTCTCTATTTCCTTCAGTTCTGCTCTGATCTTAGTTATTTCTTGCCTTCTGCTAACTTTTGAATGTGTTTGCTCTTGCTTCTCTAGTTCTTTTAATTGTGTGTAACTTTCTTACTGTACAAACCATGCACCAGTTTTAATGACTTTTTTTCTTTTTTCTTTTTTTTTTTTTTTTTTTTTTGAGATGGAGTCTCGCTCTGTCTCCCAGACTGGAGTACAGTGGCGTGATCTAGGCCCACTTCAAGCTCCGCCTCTGGGGTTCGAGCCATTCTCCTGCAGCAGCCTCCCAAGTAGCTGGGACTACAGGTGCCCACCACCACGCTCAGCTAATTTTTTGTATTTTTTTAGTAGAGACGGGGTTTCAGTGTTAGCCAGGATGGTCTCGATCAGTTTTAATGATTTTTATCTGAGCAAAACTTCTCCAGAAAAATTTGGGTTCCAATCAGAACATAGAAAAATAGAGCATTGTTGTCACTTGGACACCATGAAAAAGCCAAATAATCTGATAGATGACAACTTGTTTTGAGGTAGCTGAGGTAACAAGGGAAACAAGGAGACTAAAATCAGAGGAAAGACAGGTACCTTTAAAGAATGCAACTACTGGCTAACCTGGGCGGGACATAATAGAAAAACTGGACTGTCATGTAAGTTGGAAAGAAGATTGCAGCTAAATTTTTAAACAAATTGTTAAATCCCAAGCACGGATGAGCTTGAGAGCATGGAATTTCCAAGAGCCACAAGCACTATGGATTTTACACTCAATCTCAGATGTTTTTCCGTGAACTTCTCCAAGAAGTCACAAGAAAGATTCCTGGGTAGGTGAGAAACAGAAAAAAGTCCCTCTTTGTGGTGCAGGCCTGAAGAAAAAAAAGCAGCAGCCACTCCAGGAAAGTTCTGCCTGCAACCTTGTCCCCTACAGGAAAAAAAAAAAAAAAAAAAGAAAAGAAAAATCTTGAACCTCAGGATGATGAGTGGGATTTTGTGAGGGTATAGGGAGCAAACATAGTTGAGGCTAGGGAAAAGAATCAGGGAAAAAAATTAAAAACTTCTATCATTGGGAGAATGGTAAGTGACATTCTAGATCACAACCATTAGAGGGAAACTAGTCTGGCAAAAGAGCAAAATCATAGAAAAAAACACATCCCTGAATATCCAGGAACGCAAAGCTAGCCTGAGACTCAGTGTGAAATAGGACAATGGAAATGCCTTTTGTACACATACAGTCATTGAGAAAAATCCCTCTGACAATCCAACTTGTACATTATGCACAAAATAAAAGAAACTTGAATCAGATAAGGCACTAAGGATAACTATAGCTACAACAAAGCCCACAATAAGTTCAGTTTTTATGCAAGCCAAAAGACAATTGAATGACATTGTTAAAGCTCTGAAATAAAAACTTCAACCCACGAAATGTGTAACAAATGAGAATTTTTTTTTTATTTTTTAGTTTTAGAGATGGGGTTTCACTCTGTAGCCTAGGCCTAACTTGAACTTCTGGGCTCAAGTGATCCTCCAGCCTCAGCCTCCCAGGTATTTGGGACTACAGAGATGTGCCACCACACTCAGCAAAAATATTTTTTTAAAAAAAGATAGTGAAATAACAACTTTTGCTGACAAAGAACTGAGACAATTCAATAACAGCAGACTTCGTCACAAGAAATGTTAAAGAAAGTTTTTCAACAAAAGAAATCTGATACAAAACCTGAGTCAATCTTAGGTTACCTGTAAATGGAAAAAAATATTAAATCAAAAATACTTTTTGTAGATTTTCAATTAGAAACTACCTTTCAAGTACCTGGTATATAGCAAATGCTCAATTAATTCTGACATATTTGCAGTTACAGGGTTTTATGTCACAGAATTATAGAACTAATTTATGTCAGCTACAAGTTAAAGTAAAAACTTAAGGAGAATTGTTGCTTATGTATGATCATGTATTCTCATCCTCTCAAAAGATACTT
This sequence comes from Homo sapiens, assembly GCF_000001405.40. Lineage (NCBI taxonomy): Eukaryota > Metazoa > Chordata > Mammalia > Primates > Hominidae > Homo > Homo sapiens. The sequence goes on along the minus strand of NC_000003.12, from coordinate 102,821,250 downwards.
TCCATGAAGTACATTATGTGTTATTTTACTGATATTTTACCATGTAAATCAGCAGAATAATCTTTAGTGAACTCATTAATTTAGCAATATTTTTAATTGCCAAAAAATTGTAATCTACTCATGTTAGGCATTCGAAGTACAAGAAACTTCAATAGTGTTCTATGCCAGAAATTGATGGAGGCTTAGACAAATGTGATAACAATAGAGACAAAAGAAGAAAAGTATGGATCTTAAGTAAATATTGTGGGGTGAATAATACATCCTCTTCAATGATAAATGATTTAATTTCAACTTGTAGTTAGAAATCTAGAAGGAAGTATAAAATTAAATAAAAAACAATAAATGATAAATGGGAAATGTCTAAATGAATATTCACTGTACAAAACAATTATTATAATTTATGCTACTAGGATATTGGAGAATCAAGATGCATGACAATAATAATAAAAAGAATAAATGGAGCTAAAGTATTCTAAAATCCTAACGTTGTCTGGAAAGCCCTAAAAGTGCTATTTTATAGTAGTAGTTAATTAACTAAGTTGTCATTACTAGGGTAACCACAAAAAGTAAAGTAAAAAAATGCATAACAAAAGGTAATTAAGACAAAAGTTAGAAGATGGGAAAGAGAATAATACAATTACACGATTGATCCCAAATAAAGCATAAAGGGAGAAAGAGCAACAAAAAGCAGAAAGATAATATAAACATAAAAATATAACTACATTAAACATAAGTGCAGTGAGTGCTCCAAATAAAATACAGTGATTTTACATTTAAAATATTTTAAATAACAAAACAGAAGTTATTTTTATAAGATTATCAATCAGTAGAGAGACAAGGGTTATAAAAATATAAAGGTTTAAACGTGATAAAGCAAATATAGTAATGTTATATAATAGCAAGGAAAATCAAGAGATAAAATGTTACTCCACTATAAGATATAACCATCCTAAATTTGTATGCTATTAATAACATAGTCTAAAATATAAAGCTTAAAAAATACATACAAAACTACAGTTTATGAGAAAATAACTATAATTTAAAAATTAAGCTGGGTGTGGTGGTATGTGCTTATAGTTCCAGTTGCTTAGGAAGCTGAGAACCAGGAGTTTGAGGCCAGCTAGGCAACATATCAAGAACCTCATCTCAAAAAAAAATTAACCTATTTGTTCAACAAATAATAAAAAAGAGTAAGCATTAACAATACTACTAGCATGCTTGTATTAATTGACACACATAGAACGGTGCCCACAAATGGCAGAGAAAACAAAAACAACAACATTCTTTATATGTTTATTTGGTAAACATATAAAATGTTTACCAAAATAGATTATATTCAAGGTCATAAAATGATTCTTAATTCCTAAGAATTGAAATTAAAGTATTTTCTTTTACTGCTATGGCAGAAATCTAAAAATCAAGAACAAAAGACACCCAGTACACCTCTAGGTGTTTTAAATTAAACAAGACACTTTTAAATGACTGGAGGGCAGGGGGAGTCAGGAAAGAGACAAAAAGCAGTGGAAATTAGAAAATATTTGAACTGAATGATAAGAAAATAGAGCATATCAAAATTTATGGATGCAGCTAAGTTTCCTCAGTCTTAGAGGAAAATGTAATGTGAACAAAGAAGGAAGACTGAAATCAGTTGTCCAAGAAAGAAGTTATTTCTTAAAACAATGTCAAAAGCCTGTATTTTTTAAAGAAATTAAATCAATAATTGATAGCCTTCCAAAATAGAAAGCTCCCAGCCTATATGGGTTCACTGGTTAATTCTATTAAATATTTAAGGAAGAAATTATAACAATTCTCTACAATATCTTTCAAAAGATAGAGGCAGAGGGAATACTTTGTAATTCATTCTATGAAGCCAGCATTACTCTAATATTGAAACAAGACAAAGACATTACAAGAAGAGAAAACTACAGACCAATGTCTCTCATAAACATAGATGCAAAAGTCCTCAACAAAATATTGGCAAATAAAATTAAACAATACATAAAAAGAATTATAAACTAAGACAATGAAATTTATTCTGGATATGCAAGATTGGTTCAATATTCAAAATTCAGTTAATGCATGACATCATTAGCAACAGACTAAAGAAGAAAAATCACATGAACATATTAATAGATGTAGTAAAACATTTGACAAAATCCAACACCAATTCATGATAAAGCAAGCTAAGAATAAAAGGGAACTTCTTCAACTTAACGAAAATTACCTATAAAAAGCCTTTAGCTAACATTATACGTACTGGTAAGAAATAACTTTCCCGCTAAGACTGAGAACAAAACAAAAATGTCCCCTTTTACCTACTCATTTTCAACACCATAGCTAATGCAATGAGATAAAAAATGGGAATAAAAAGTATATATATTGGGAAGGAAGAAATAAATTGTCTTTGCTTGCATATGGCATTATCTTCTATGTTGAAAATTGGGGAAAATGACAAAAAAAAGAAATTACTATAGAACTAATGAACTATTATAGCAAGGTTGCATGATATAAGCTTAATTTACAAAAGTCAATTGCTTTCCTGTATACAAGCAATAAAAAAGGAGAATCTGAAATTAAAAGAAAAATATCATTTACATCTGCGTCTCCAAAGTGACATACCTACAAATAAAGGTAAAAAAAATGTATAAGATCTGTGTGGATAAAACACACAAAACTCTGATTAAAAATCAAAGAATAACTAAATAAATGAAGACATCCCATGTCCATGGATAAGAAGACTTGATATTGTCAATATATCAGTTCTTCCCAACTTGATATATGGATTCGATGCAAGCCCAATAAAAACCCTAGCAATTTATTTTGTGGATATTAACAAATATGTGGAGAAAGAAAAGACAGAATAGCCAACATGATATTAAAGGAGAACAAAAATTATAAGACTGACATGACCCAACTTCAAAACTTACTATAAAACTAAAATAATCAAAGCAGAACTGTATTGGTTTAAAAAAGTAGACAAGTAGAGCAATGGAAGAGAAGAGAGAGCACAGAAACAGATCCACACAAATATAATCAAGTGATTTTTGGCAAAGAAATAAAGATAATACAATGGATACATAGTCTTTTTAACAAATGGTTCTGGAATAGCTAGACATCCACAAGATAAAAAAAGATCTAGACACAGACCTTACACCCTTCACAAAAACTAACACAAAATGCGTTATACCTAAATGTAAATTGAAGAACTAGAAAACTTTCAGAAGTTAACAGAGGGGACTATCTAAATGACCTTGGCCATGGCAATGACATTTTAAATACAACACCAAAGGAACAATCCAAGAAAGAAAGAGTTGATAAGTTGAACGTCACTAAAATTTATCATTTCTGCTCAGCAAAATACACTGCCAAGAACATGAGAAGACAAGCTACACACTGGGAGAAAATTTTTGCAAAAGACATTTCTGATAAAGGAATGTTATCCAAAATATACAGAGAAATCCTAAAACACAACAATAAAAAGAATAACCTGATTAAAAATGAGCAAAATATCTGAACAGACAGCTCATCAAAGAACATATACAGATGGCAAATAAGCATATGAAAATATATTTAATGTCATATGTCAGGAGAAAAGTGCAAATTACAACAACAAGATACCACTACACACTTATTAGAATAGCCAAATTCAGAACACTAATACCACTAAATACTGGTGAGAAGGTGGAGCAACAAGAAGTCTTATTCATTGCTGGTGAGAATGCAAAATGCTACATTTTGTAAGACATTTTGGCAGTTTTTTAGAAAACTAAATACACAATTACCATGTGATACAACAATTGCCTTCTTGATATTTAGTCAAATGAGTTTAAACCTTATGACTACACAAAAGCCTGCACAAAGATAGTTTTAGCAGCTTTATTAATAGTCACCCAAACTTGGAAGCAACCAATATAACTGACAGTAGGTGAATGGATAAACTGTGGTGTATCTAGACAATAGAGTATTATTCAGTGCTAAAAAGAAATAAGCCACCAAATCAAGAAAAGATAATGGAGGAAACTTAAATTCATATTACTAAGTGAAATAAGCCAGTTAGAAAAGTCTACAAACTGTACAATTCCACTATATGACATTCTGGAATATACAAAACCATGGAGATAGTAAAAAGATCAGTAGTTGGCCAGGATTTAGGGGAGAAGGAAGGATAAACAGGTGAAGAAAAGAAGATTTTTAGGACAGTTATTCTGTATAATACTATAATGGTGAATACGTGTTATACATTTGTTAAAACCTGTGGAATATATGACATTAGAAGTGAACCCTACTGCAAACTTTTGACTTTGGGTTATAACGATGTATCAATATAGGTTCATCAACTGTAACAAATGTAGTGCACTGGTGGGGCATGTTGATGGGGGGTAGGGAAAGGCTATTCATGTGTGGGGGTAGAGGATACATGGGAACTCTGAGAACCATAGAAAATTAAACCTAAAGAGAATCAAAGAAGGAAACAGTAAATAAATGGGAAGAAATTAATAAATTAGAAAACAAGCATATAATAGAGAAAATCAACAACGCCAAAAATTAGTTCTTGAAAAAATGATTTAACCTATGGCAATTCTTATTTTAAAAATAGCAAAAATACAAAGCATCCATATAAAGAATGCAAAAAGAGGACAATACTATAAACCAACAGATAATGCAATGATAATACAAGAATATTATAAACAACTTTGATGACTAAATTTAAAAAATTTAGATGGACTAGACAATTTCTGGAGAAATACAACTCATCAACATTGATACCATCATAACAATGAAACAAAAATGCTGTATCTTTTAAGGAAATTTAATAAATAATTAAAAGCTTTCCCTCAAGCCTCTTTACCAAGATATTACTCAACATTTTCCAGCGACTAGAAAGAAGAAATAACTATGCCCTATTTGTTTTATAAGATAAGTATAATGTTGCTACTAAAAGCTTACCAGGATATTACAAGAAAGGCAAATTTCAGAACAATCTTGTTTATGAATCTAGATGTGAAATATTGCAAGCTAAATTTAGAACTAAATAGTTGTCATATCAATGAATGTCCTTCTAGCGATATAATGGAATTTAGTCCCTACTCTGAGAATAATGGGTGGGACTTAGAGAGTTTAAAGAAACGAGAAAAATGGGTGCTTCCCTACAAGTCTTATGATACAGTAGAAAGACTTGATTATAAGATTTGATTCCTTCACTCGATATTTTACATTATAGTAAGGAAATAAAAGCTATTTCTTATAAAAAGGAAGACTGAAATACCAATATTAAACTGCATGATGCAGACTACTAAAGAAATTCAATAAATAAAGGCCATGAGATATTTAGAAATTGGAGAAAGCTTGGTGAGTGGAAGAGGAAATAGATTTTATCATTCCTTCGATGATATCATGTAATTTAGTAGTTGGAGAATATGAGAGAGTTTATTCCTGGAAGAAGAAAATAACATGAGCAAAGTGATTAAGGCACTAGTAACTTGTGCACTGTGAATCCCCAGTTCCTAGGGCAATACCTTACACATGAGACCTTCAATGCAATTTCACTAAATGAATTAAAGGATATCAGCCTAAGTGAAGTAGAAAATGTGTATAATTGTAGTGGAAAATCAGATTGAAAAATATAAAGCAGAGACAAATTTTAGAGAACTTGAAAATCAGGAGTTGGGAATCTGAAACTGAAATAGGCTTCCTGAGCTCTGAACTCTTCTGAAAAGTTATCCCAATGCCAAATGTTATATGCTTGTAGTTTTCTTTTAGAAATTTGCAAAAGTTTACTTCATCAGAGCACACACTATTAAAAACACATTTTTCCAATTGACTTAGGTAATGCTATGCACGTAAGAGTTGCTTCTTGAAGCCTGAACTACTTTGTTCTTTTTCTTCTGTCTTTCAAGAACTTATTGTTCATACAGTAGGTGTACAAATGTCTCTTAAGATAAAATATAAATGTATCTAGAAGAGAAAAAATGAGAGTACTCTATTTAAGTTATCAGATTTCAGCGAGCTGTTGCCAGGGCTGATAGCAACAGCACTTTCTTCATTTGCTTCTTGTGCATTTGCATGCGTTGAAACTTCCCTATGAAGGCTTTAAAGTCAATGATATAGTCTCAGGTCTCTCAGTTTCAACATAAGTAGGAGATTGGATAAAATACAACTGACTTAACCACAGTGGATAGTAAAATATATAGAATATCCTATACTTTGACTGTCAAATTATAGGGCAAAGATGAAATCATTTGCTAATATGAAAAGTAAGAAACATTTAAACACTGAGCAATTTCTCAAAGATGCTCACAGCTGTCCTACTTGACATAGTATCTTAGCCAAAGCGCAGCTATCTCAACTTGCAGCGATGAACACAGAATGTTATAAAAGTATCTGCTTGATTCAAACAATAGAGCAAGAAATAATACATTTTAAATCTCATTTTCCATTAAAATACCCATTAACATATAATTAGGAAAAGAACTCTAGAATTCTTGTTAGACTCTAGGAATTTCAGTGTAAAGAATTGCAATAATAAAGCAACGTAGAAGAATTGCTATAATAATTATAGCATAGATTGGACAAAATTAAAAAATAAGATGATGCACATCTAACCTTTTAAATCAAAATGAGGCATGCAGGAGGAAATGTATTAGGACGCTGCCAGCAGGATCAAACTGACTCAGGTTGCACCTCACAGAAAGAAAATGGCATCATCCTTGTCCCAAAGAAAAAGTCTTTCACTACAATTCTTAAAAAGAAAAAGAAAGAAAAATTCTATCTATAGCAGTAGAAATCTTCTTTTGGACCTCCATTCTTCTTCAACACTTTGTAGTTTTAGAATTCAGAATATTGATGTTATTCTTACACACACACACACACACACGCACAAGTGCGCGTGTAAAGGAATTGAATCAACTTGCAGAATGAATGCAGTTAAAAATAAATGTTATATCTAAATTAAAATAAAAGGTTATGGACAGAAGAGAATGTGTTTACGGTATTCACAGAGTCCTTTCCTATGCTAAAGTTAAACCACAAGTATAACTCTAATTACCAGTTACTAAAGCTAAAAAAGGGTTGCTGACCATCCATCAACATGATTTGCTGAGAATTTGAAGAAAATACGAATGGTTTCTCAGTGGAAGAAAATTTCTTCTGGCATTTCAATCTGGAAGGTTCTTTCTCTTTTTTGCTTTGTTTTTTTGTGTGTATAAAATAAGGAGTTTATGTGAGGAAAAATGAATGGCATAGTGAATATTGTCCTTGCCTATGCCCCTATAGTAAATTTAGTGATGAACTTTAATGCCAGGTCATTGAACAAAGGTGCAAGCCATGACATTACACAATGATAACAATCACTTAATTGGCAAGATATTTAAATTATTTGTCTTTATGTAATTTTCAAAATTGTCTTTACATCAGAAAAAAATCTTAGCTTTTAAGAGTAAGCAGATTGCCAAGTGCCACTTAACTAGTAAGTGACTGAACTAAGATCAGAAGTTGGGCAGTCTTTTGCCAAAGTCCATATTTTTATATGTGACATTATCTTGGCTTCATCAAAATGAATTCTATACAAAGTAAGGAGAAAAAGGTCAAGGGAGTTCCAATATGAGTTTTCTGCTATTCTGCCTTCATCTGCTAAAACTAGAATATTTATGATATTGGAATGGACGATTTGAATGTTTTGCAAATGGTCCGCTATAAACCCTTGGCCTCTCAGTTTGTTGATTTCCTCATAGTTGGTGATTTTATTTTTCCTTTTTTTCTCTTCAACCATTCACTCCTATGATTATGGCCTGAATATTGAGATCACAAGGACATAAACATCCCATCAAACCTTAATACCAACAACTACCTTAAAAAAGCATTTCTTTTATACTGTTGTAATCTTCTCATTTGTTCACCCTTATAATCAATGTCTTTCAATTCTTGATGGCATGAAGATGTTGACCACAATACTCTCTATCAACTCCATCTGTTCTTACCCAGCCAAAATTTAATAGCTCATCATGATAATCATGTTATTGCTTACATCCACATTTTCTTCATCTCCTTTAAGCTTTTTTTCCTATAAACCCCAAACCTTCATAAATCCAAAAAGCTAAATGCTCTTTTTTATTTTAAATGCCTTAAAGCAAAGTAAAAATTATTTACTCTTCATGTGGGTGTCACTGTTGTTCTTTCTAATAGAATAGTGCTCTTATGTGGCCTTCCTTCAAGAAGTTACACAGGGAGGCCTTCCCTGTGTGATGCTGTCACCTATAGAATTTGGTCTCCACGGTTGCCATAGAAAAGAAGGTAGGGAGAAGAGAAGAAAAAAACAATGGATGTTGCTCCTAAAATCTAACCTACACTTGTATGCACATACACAACCACACACAGACTTCTAGTCTCCATTTAAATGGCTTGTATTAAGAGAAGTCTCCCATGCTGTTATATCAAAAATAATGGACCAACCCTATCCTTTTATCTCCATTTTTTCTTAATCATGCCATCCAGAAAATGATTCTCAAAAATAGCAGCAAATGTATGAGGAGAGAAAACATAAACATATCATTAAATAGATAGCAAGAGCAAAGGACTTTAAGAAAAAAAACTGTGTCAAGTGATGCTGAAAAGATTGTATAACAATGCACGTTTCACTTTGTATTGCAAAGGCTAAAAGGCCTTTTCTCAGACCTCTTTAGGGCAAAGGTACTAGATGCAATTTAGTTTCTACCCCTGACATGCAGTCATGCAAGAATAAGGCAGATGTAGAATAGGAATCATTTATCTATGGCTGTGGTGGTTGGTAAACAATTTCTAAAAGACATGAGTGTTTGCGGGGAATAGACTTCATTCCTTCATTCCCTATTTCCGTGATCTAGTTACCAGCATCATCAATAAAATGTAATTTTGAAGGCAAGCAACATGGATAGCAGTAGCAGCTTTCTAACTCCTGGATTGCATCTAAAATGATTTAGTCTTTAACTCTTCCTTTTAACTTTTCTTACTCAAACACTTTTAATGATATTTGACTGCCTAATTTCTTGAATTAAACCCCTATGTTTAAAATACTTATAATTTGCCTGTGAGACTATTTGGTGATTAGAGAAGTTTCAGAAAACTGACTCTCACATATTAGAATCTGGAATTGGTTTATCTGACTTGGTTGACTTTGAAAGTTGGAAAATAGAAATAGTGGAAAATGGGCTACCACTAGCCCAATGATGTGTGCCAAAATGATTACATAAATTATTATCCTGTAGGGCACAGTAGTTTAAGCCTGTAATCCCAGCACTTTCGGAGGCCAAAGCAGGAAAGTAGCTTGAGCCCAGAAGTTTGAGACTAACCTGGGCAACATAATAAGACTTCATCTCTTAAAAAAGTAAAAATAAACTTTCAAAAATTAGCTGGGTATTGGGCCACACACCTGTGGGACCTGTGGTCCTAGCTACTCAATAGGCTGAGGTAGGAGGATTGCTTGAGGCTGGGATGTCAAGGCTGCAGTGAGGCACTGCATTCTAGCCAAGGTGACAGAGTGAGGTCTTGTCTTAAAAAAGGAACAAAATAAATAAATAATAAATAAATAAATAAATAAACATTCTGTAATTCCCTGAAATAAAATGTTCATTTAAGGCAATCTTTGGCATTTAAGCCAACTGTTGTGACAAATTTTTATGATAAGACTGAGTAACACAAGTAACAATAGAGTAAGCTGGCTATTCCGATGTCACTGGAGAGTTTTTTAACATAAATTTTTTAAAAAAGCTCAAACTTTAAATCTTTAGCATAAATAATAATAAAGAACAAGAAAGCCGCGATGTTTATCCTAAAAAATATCTTAATGTCTCTTGTAGATTCAGGGTTGGGCTGCTGAAACTGAAAAGCAGAAGCAGAAACTTCTAAGGATTGCAAAATTATAACATAAACTGACTTTTTAAACATAAACTGATTTATTAGCCTTGGCATATCTCAAAGAAATTAGGAGATTAACTAGGACCCTGAAAAGTGTAATGGGGCATTAGGATGATGAATTATGATGAATCTGAGCACTTACATGCACAAATCACAGTCTTTTTTTAAGAGCAGAAAAAGTACTTCCTCGCCTCTCTGGTACAGAAACTCTGATTTGCCTAAAGACCTGCAATGACCTCATCTAGGGCAGTTGCCTTGCAAGTGAAGAGCATTTGTCTTCATCCTCCACCTTTGTCATCCCACACTGTCTCTAGGCTTGTAAGCAGATTGGGATCCCAGCATCCTCAAGGTAGCAGGTGTAAACTTTGAGCTGGGAGAAAATAGTTTGTATGATAAGAATTATATAATTTTGCTGGTTTATAAAGACAGAGACCTGGGTATATATGAAGACATGAATTTGATTGGCTTCATTAATTAAAACAGTATGAATATAAGAAAAAGTAAAACCCTTCTCCAAATATTCATTCAGAAACAGCTCATTCATGTCTTTTATTGCAATACATCAATTTCTTCGATAATTAAGACTTTCCAAACATACGCTAAACATTGCAAGGCAAAATTCTAGGGGAAAAACATATAAATTATATGAAATAGTTATTTTAAGTAAAATATCATTAATACCACAAAATAAAGGAGCCCTCATTTCTGACATTGTTGATACAAATAGCAAATCTCTTAAATACTAACAAATAGTATTAAATCATCAGATGATATAACTATAAATGCTAATTGAGAACTGAAATAATTAACTCAAAGTACATATGACAGACAATGGTTCTTTAAATTTTATGGACTACAATTCATTCTGAAAACGGTATGTAGGGTAAATGCACAAAAGTACATGTGATATTTTACATATGATTTTTAGTGGTTCACAGGAATCCCTGCATCCGTCACTGCCACTCCCTATGGTGATATGTACCTTGGAGTAAGAAGCCCTGTTAATACAGTCTAAATTATTTCCCTGGATTAAGTCATGTTATCAAAGATGAGTGTATCTAATTTACTGATTTATTTTGCAACACTTCTCCAAAAAACTTTCATTATAGAATTTTACATATATATGTATTTATATAACTATATATGTATTTATATAACTATATATATATATATACATACACACACACACAATCGGTTTAGAGATATTACTGACTATATTGTCCTTTTATAGAGGTTATGATCCTATCAGGTCTTAATATCAAGAAAAGTTGTGTAATTAGAGATTAAATATATTTTAAAAGTTTTTCTAATTCAGTGAACAAAAATCTGATACACTTCCTTTTACTGTAACAATTAATCAGAGTCATTTTGAGCTGCTTCTGTAGCAATTATACAAATATGGTTTGCATTAACCAGGTTTTATTACTTTTTATCTCTATTTTGCTTTTACCTAATATTTTATTCTGTTCTTTATTACATACAGTTTGCAAGAAATTGTAAACACTTGGTGAAATAAGAAAATAAGAAAAGGGATGTAAACCTATAAATAAGTCTAATAATTATTTATTGTGTTTCAGATCACAGAGAAATGCTTTACAAAAATCTTTACTCTGGATATCTTTTTAGATGGACATTCCAGAGTGCAAGATCAAATACAGAGTGTTTGTTATTACATATTATTTGAAATACAAATTAAAGATCATATGCATTATATCAACAGCATGTTTTCTTAATATCTAATCTAAAGGAGCAAATTAAACCAAATTGATATTCCTCGCTGCATTATATAAATGATAAGAAACAAGGTCTTCTATTTGATGTTTGGCCAAAACAGTATAGCATAGTCAAATTTTTCCCGTACCTTGATCTTAGCCACCTGATCAAAAATAAAACATCTTTATAGATGTCATCAATGCTTCAAGTACCACTATTTTCAAAAAATTAGCTACAGCCTCTTCTGACACTTACCCTCACCTCACGCAACTTATTTCTGCCAGTAACTGCAAATTATAAGAACAATACTGCAAAGCTCCCAGCTTTTATCATCTTTTTCCTTTATTCTGTTACTTCTCTTTTAGGAAATACGTTGATCCTAAAGTCCCAGATTTTCAATAAGTTTCTAAACTTTATATGGGTTGATGGCTAAAATTTTAATCTGTATTATTTCCTAGTATCAATGCAGCCTAGATTCTTCCACTTTTATTTTATATATATATATATATGTCTATATAAGTAGACATATATATATGTCTATATAAGTAGACATATATATATATGTCTATATAAGTAGACATATATATATGTCTATATAAGTAGACATATATATATGTCTATATAAGTAGACATATATATATGTCTATATAAGTAGACATATATATATGTCTATATAAGTAGACATATATATATGTCTATATAAGTAGACATATATATATGTCTATATAAGTAGACATATATATATGTCTATATAAGTAGACATATATATATGTCTATATAAGTAGACATATATATGTCTATATAAGTAGACATATATATATGTCTATATAAGTAGACATATATATATGTCTATATAAGTAGACATATATATATGTCTATATAAGTAGACATATATATGTCTATATAAGTAGACATATATATGTCTATATAAGTAGACATATATATATGTCTATATAAGTAGACATATATATATGTCTATATAAGTAGACATATATATATGTCTATGTAAGTAGACATATATATATGTCTATGTAAGTAGACATATATATATGTCTATGTAAGTAGACATATATATATGTCTATGTAAGTAGACATATATATATGTCTATGTAAGTAGACATATATATATGTCTATGTAAGTAGACATATATATATGTCTATGTAAGTAGACATATATATGTCTAGAAGGCGTGAGCCTTCTCCTACCTATGATAATTCTAATTTTTTATTTTGTTGTTTTCATAATTTCACCTATTGTTCATTCATATATTCGTTCTTTTATTCAATAAAATAAAATATATACTTTGAAGAAATCTTGAAATCCTAGTAAAAAACATAGTCCATCAAACCTGGAATCAGATGACTGCACTGCTGCACGATAAGAATTATTATAGATTATCGACATCTTTGAATTTAGGTTAATATTAGCCCTAAAAATATAGTAATTATTTTATCTTGGAGTATACCCAATATGTCATCTCTTTTGATAGGTAATATTCACTTGCTCCAAAACGATAGTTTCATGTAGCCCATTTTCAATTGTATTCCCTGTGAAGCTCAATCACTTTTCATTTATTGAAGTTTCTATATATCAGCTCACATCTAGTCTTAGACAACTAGTTTTAGGTATTGTTGAAAGTTGATAAATTGTTTTAAAATATTCAGTCTTAGCTTTTTTCTAGCTGTATTTAAGGTTTTTTATGCTGACCATCCCTGCATGGAGTCTTTTCAATGTCACCAATGATATAAAGTTTTCAACTCCATGTATGTATTTCTATTGTTTTGCAACCACTAATAAATAAGATTTGGCTTCATGAAATTAGAGAAAACTTTTATTTTTAAAAATCAACCCTAACCTTTAAGATTTCAAGATTTTAATATACTAATATTATGATCTATATTAGCTCATAAATGCTTTAGAAACATACTTTGATCTCTTTATAAGATACACTTATTAAAATTAAATTACCTGCTAAATTCACCCATTTCCTATTTAGAACTGCAAATGCCATGACCAATAGTAAATACTATTGGTCATGTATAAATACAGTAAAAAATAAACTAGATGGTAATATTTCACTCAAGCAAAACCTGTTTTTAATTGTATTCCTGGTATATGATGGCTACAATTCAACCTGCAATACATTCAGTGGCCAATACTGTCTACTTTCTTCCTCAGGTTAAGCATAACATTCAAAAGAAGCTCTATATTATAGCATGTTATGTTGGTAACCCATCAGAAGCCATGGTACTTAAAATCACCAAAGTAATACAGGAATTAAATAGACCAATCTTAGCTTAATATTTTGGAAGTTTTTTAATTATTATAAAGTCAGGGAAGCTCATGAGAGTCACCAAATATTTTTAGACAAGACTTTTATACATCACAGAAACTCTTCCTCTTTTTTCCGAAACCTCTCTCCAATTTCAGCGCCCTCTCCCCGCCCCTCCCACCATCCTAGTCTATCAACATATATTAAATGAAGAGGGAGGACCATGTAGCATAGTTATTTTTGTTTGTTTGTTTCCTTTTTTGGAATGAAAATATAGTACACAGAATTGAGATAATCATTCTCATCCTATATTTGACTTGGGTAATGATCATCCACTTTTCTTGTATTAAATAATACTTCTTTTTTTTATTTCCTTCCAAGTTCCCACTCCCACAAAAGCATAACTTTAGTATATGTAATATAGGACTTTCCCACTGTCTTCTAAGTGTTTGGATACAGTTATATATATAAAATGATATTGCATTGTTTCTTGTGGGTGTTTAATCCATTTAAATCATTTTGTGTTTTCAATATTCTATTTTTCTATTGATATGTAGTAATAGTCACTGTAGGCCCTCTAAGCCTTGCTATCACCCAAGCATGAATATGCACAACTTACTCCACCCAGAAGTGAGAATGCTAGATAGCATATAACTTATTTTCACCAGATAGTAAAATTGTTTCCCAGAAAATTTTATACTCCCATCAACAATAACCTTGGGTTTTCCAGTTTGCCATATCCTCACTAGGACTTTCCAAATTTTGCCATTCTGAAAAATGCAAAGTGTTCTTTAACTTTAACTTGTATTTCCTTGATGCATAGTGAGAGTAAATATCTCTTCAAATGCTTACTGGTCTTGCTGTTTTCCATCCTTCTGAATTATTAGTTGTTTTCTAATTTTTTTCTTTTCTTAAATAACTTATTGCTAAAAGAGTTCCTTAAATATTCTAGTATGTGGCCAGGCTCAGTGGCTCACGCCTGTAATCCCAGCACTTTGGAAGGCCGAGGCAGACAGATCACGAGGTCAGAAGATCGATACCATCCTGGCTAACACAGTGAAACCCCATCTCTACTAAAAATACAAAAAAATTAGCCAGGCATGGTGGCAGGCGCCTGTAGTCCCAGCTACTAGGTAAGCTGAGGCAGGAGAATCGCTTGAACCCAGGAGGAAGAGGTTGCAGTGAGCTGAGATCACGCCACTGCACTCTAGCCTGGGTGACAGAGTGAGACTCCGTCTCAAATATATATATATATATATATAAAATATAAAATAGATATCTATATATCTCATACCTTATTTAGAGATTACAGATATCTTCTTTCTATGTATTACCCTTTTATATCCTTCCCTAAGGTTGTCTTTGTTAACCAGAAATCTTTATTAAACAGCAATCAGAGCTTTCCATTTTTTAATGGTGTCATATTACAGTCAGGAAATATGAAAGGAGTTAAGTCCTAAGCCTGATTTCAGAAGCATAAATGGTTTTTACTTTAAAAAGCATTTATGCATACCCTTGAATCTCCTTTCATGTTCAACATTTTTAAAGAAGATGAATACCAAAATATGTAATTCTTATTTATCAACTTGAAGGAAAATGAACAGCAATCTAAATAAGTAAGTAAATTACTGTCTCATGACATTATCAACAGAAAAAGAAGTGGACGGCTATAAGCATGTTTGATGCAGAGTGACAGGGCTTATCACAGGACAACAAACAAAGAAGAAATTTTACTTGACTTTAAAATTCCTGTATTTGAAACAGGAAGTTCCAGATCACTTCCTTAAATTTTAATAAATCTCTTTTTGTGTAGTTGCTGCTTTTGGTTTTTACCTATTAAAACTATGATGAATATCAACCTAGACATAATCATGAAGGAGATGTTTCATTTAGTGTCCTGACCAATAAAAAAGAACTTGGATCTTTAATTTAAAAAGTTAAAAAAATTATTTTGGGAGAAAAGAGCTTCGAAATATATTAGAAACTTCTTTGTCTTAAAGCACACGCCAAGTGAGTCCTTTCGTTTAGGGTGCTTTAGGATGAGCCCCACGTATTATATTTGGCGGGCACACGATGTCATTTGAAGAGGTCACTGAAGGATGCCTTCGCCAACAGTAAATGATTGCACACTGCTGCTTTCTGAATTAATTCACAGGATAGTTACAATTTTTCTGCCTCTATCCCCACTGACAGACTGGGAAAATTCACCCCTTTCTCCCTCAGTTTCCTCATTTGTAAAACAAAGATTACAATGGTAGACTGAATTTATATATAAAGCGTTCAGACAGGTCTGCTGATATTAAACACTATGTTAAACACTATATATGAACCAGCTCTAAGCTATATTTTATTATTAATAATGTAATTGTGTTTTTTGGTGTGCCTCTAATTGTGAGTATACTATGTAAGATGAAACCAAATCAGCTGTGAGTCATTTGTGCACATTCTGTAACAGGGTGATATTGGGCAGAATGTATATACATGTCTGTATGTGTGTATATGTATGCCCAAACCCATTAGGAAGTGACTAGTATTATTATCTTTGTTTTACAGATGATGTAACTGAGGCAGAAAGAAGTAATTGCTCATGGTCTAACAGTGGGGGGGAGTGGCAGTGTGGGGGATGTAAGAAAACTATAGCTATAAGGTATATAAATAAAGCAGTGGTCTGCTGTCATTTACACCCTCACACATGCACACATATGTGTATTATGTATGTGTGCATGTGTGTATGCATGTGTGTGTAATTTTTTTGTTTTAGTTTTAGGGTCTTGGTTGGGTTCTGAACGATTGTGAAAGTTTGGTGAGAGCCTCCCATATAAGTGAGGTGTTAACATGGCTAATTAAGAAATGATGTTACTGAGATTGCACTTAGCCAGCCCTAAAGAATATTAGCTCCAATAGCTTCCATTTCACTTATCCAATCAGTTCCACCACCCACATATATGATTACCCATTTATGACATAATAAATTACAAACTTTCACTGTCCGATCTATTACGGATAATGGTTATAAAATATAATGCTCTCAAATCATTAAGTTCTCCTGTTGCTATTACATTGTCATTATAGAGAGACCCTTTTGGAGAGAGAACTTATTAAAGGCATGGAATTTAGGGAGCTATACAGTCTTAAGCTAATATAGTCAAACTGTATAATAAAACCATAAAATCTACCACGAACCAGAGTTTAATAAAGTTTTCACTCTAATCTTATTAGCAAACTTGTTTGAGTCCTGAGAGCCTAAAGTGATAAAAGGACACTCGGAGGACATTTATTCATCCTGTATTAAATGGCATATTTCTAGTCACAGAGCAAAAAGGTTTTTAGAAGCCCTTCATAAAACTAGCCAGTGATACCAGCTGACAAGAAAGGAAATCTGAGTTTAAGTGCTCTCTTTATTCTTAAATCAGCTGGTTGTGTCTAGATATCACTGTCCATATGTTCAATAAGATTAAGTACTTTTATAAAATGTCTGAAAGCAAAACTATAGTCTCTCTGAGAAAAGAGCGTTCTGAAAAACGGATATGGTTGTTATCTCCTTCTAAAGACAAAACAACAAACCTATGAGCCATTAACAATGCCAGTTTTCCAGACATCTGTTGTCTCAACAATATTAGAATATTGCCCAAGACTCTAATCTCAGCTCAAGCTACGTTTGGTATCTGGACTGAAAAAAAAAAATTCAAGTGTTATGAGCCTCCATTTCCTGTAATAATATGGCCAACCTTACTCTTCCTG
This sequence comes from Homo sapiens, assembly GCF_000001405.40. Classification (NCBI taxonomy): domain Eukaryota; kingdom Metazoa; phylum Chordata; class Mammalia; order Primates; family Hominidae; genus Homo; species Homo sapiens. The sequence continues at coordinate 102,803,635 of NC_000003.12, read as the reverse complement.
CACCTGGGAGACAGGATGATTCTAAGGAATGCAGGGCTACATTAAGCATGTTTATGTTCAATCACATAGAAATGACAGTTAAGGAATCTCTCATGCACACACTGCACATAATATAACCAAAACAAGTAGGCCCAGTGGTTATTTCCCCATGCCTTCACCAAGAGACAGAAAAAAACCAGCTTAAAATTTTATTCTACTGCCATGTAAGGGCTGAAGAAAATTTTAAGACAATAAATATACAAGAAATAGAAGCCAAAGCTACAAAAGATCTAGTATAATTCCCAGACTTCCAGTACAGAGTTTATTAGAGAAAAAAAAAAATTGTATTCTAAGAGATGCTAATGTAGTGGGTCTTACTGGCAATCCTCCTGTAGGGAGTGGAAGAACCATATTATGTAAAACACTTGTCTAGCAGATGTCCATTAGCATGGTCTGGTCATTATCTCTAGGGGCATATGTTGTAATTCAGAATGTTTGAAGTCAAGTATAAACTTTTAGTTTGCTTAAAATAAGCCAATACTCACTGAGATGAACATGAAGATTAATGATTTTAGGCAATTTTGAAAAAAGGAGGTGGATCTATTTGAGCCATATCATGCTATAAAAGTGCTGGCCTCATATAATTCTGAGCAAAACCACTCAAGCTCCATGCAGCAGATTCCTCCGCTTTCACACTTTGGAGTCCCACAGCCAAGCTCTGGCCTCAGCCACAGCTCAGACTCAACTGAAACTTGCTGCTGGCAATGATCTACCTGTCAAGGATGTTTGGAGGATCTTTTCACTTTCTTTTAGGGACCTTATCCAAGATCATGGAACTCCCTCAATCCATGTGTAAATGTAGCCCAGAAGTATGAGTGAAGCCCCCACGATAATCCTCATCCTGGCAGTTCCTCTCTCAGCCTGTTTTTTGCTGAGTTAGTTCTCGATGCTTCTTAGGAGGTCCTGGAGATTTGGCCCTCAGTATTCACAGTGGCAACCTTGAAAACCCACATGTATAATGTTTTCCCTGTATTATTCTCCTTGCTCCCTAATTCCTGCTTCCTAAGGAAGCCAAGGCATTGTTACAAGCTCTGATTTCAAGAGGAAACTACAATATCTCCCCAAGCCTTTCTTCTGCCTTATGCCTCAGGTTATCCATGCATGGCTGCAGTAGCAGAAAACAAGCAGGTTACAGCAATCTATGCCTGCATAGTAATATCATTTCTGGGTTCCAAGTGATTATTTATAATCTTGTTGAGATAGTACTCCAGTTATAAGCTGTTTTTTAATAATATTTAACACCTACCATATGTCACCTATGTTGCTACCTATTTTATATGTTATTATTATTCAGTTGTCATAATATCCTATAAGTTATATCTTAGTTTCATTTTATAGACAACAAAACTGTGATTCAGAGAGTGGAAATAACCTAACTGACATAACCAAACTCATATGTAGCTTAGTCAGGATTCAAATTCAGGACTGTATAGCTCCAGAGCCAATATTCTATAGACTTCTTAGGAGAAAAATACAATGATTGCAAGTGAATGAGATGGCTTGTGTTGTCTGTTAGGTTTCTCCAGGAACCTGATAATTTTTTCTAATTGTCAAATGTCTCTTAAAAATCTGTTCTACCTTTGTCTGGATGTAGGGTGCTGATTTATCTCAGCATATGTGATATCAGAGCTAGCATAGCTGCCAACAGGTAGAGTTAATCCTCATGAAAGGGAGAAAAGTTTTCCTGGTAGACATGCTACAGGATGATCCAGATGGTTTCAAAGTGATTGCCTGATTTGTGTGACGTTTGGCACATACTTTATATAGCTGCTGCTATATCAGGTCCTGAGCAGAAGAGGTAATTCCTATTAAACAGGATTCTAAACAACCAATCTAATATGCCACACAAATTTGTACTTTATTTGTATTTTATACAAATTTGTATTTTATACAAATTTGTATTTTACAGTGGCTGTTTGGGTTTATTCCGTTATGTTACCTGAATAGTAAGAGAAAGAAATAAGTGTTTTTTTCCTTTCTCCTTTTAACACCATATCCTTCCAGAAATATTTGAGTAACTGAAGGTGATGCTAAAAGGGACCTGGGGCCCAGGAAAGTTGTATAATTTGTTCAAGGTCTCAAGCCTAAATTTTGGCAAAGTGAGGCTGAATCTGATTCCCAGGTCTGTGAGCTTATACATTGATTAAAATAGACACATAACTGCTTGTAAACAGCATAATCTGTATAAAGTCAGCAACCTCACCTGTCCACACTGTTGCATGTCAAACATCCAACACAGAACCTGGCAAATGAAGACTCCCAACAAATCAGTCTTCAATGACTGAATAAAGGTCAAATAGGAGCTGCACTCAAAATACCAACGGTGCTTCCAAGCTGTTCTAGGAAGAAAACTACATCTACATATGCCTTTAATTTCTGAGTCTGGAAGAGCAATATGTGGTTGTTTTTCAAACAGATCCTCCAAGGGAGCAAGACAGTACTTCTTATGAATACCAGATTCCCATTGAGCAGTACTCCTCAAAGTGTGGTCCCCAAAAACACAACCTTGCCATAATCTGGAAACTTGTTAGAAATGCAAATTATCTGGCTCCACCTAAGGTCTACTAAATCAGAAACTCTGGAAATGGGGCTCCAACAATCTGTGTCTTAAGAAGCCTCCAGGTAATTCTGATGCATGCCAAATGTGAGATTCCTTGCCATAGATTACCACTGTCCCATGTATCCTTGAGGGATTGGTTCCAGGAATTCCAGAGGACACCAACCTCTACCAGGGCTCAAGTCCCTCACATAAAATGGTGAAGTATTTGCATATAACCTATACATATCCTCCAATATACTTTAAATAATCTCTAGACTACTGATAATACCTAATACAATGCAAATGCTATGTAAATAGTAGTTATACTCAATTGTTTAGATAATTGCCTTATTATCTAAAAGGGTCTGTGTATATTCAGCATAGATACTTTTCCTTTCCAAAATTTTCTGTCAGAGGTTGGTTGAACCCACAGATGCAGAATCCACAGATTCAGAAGGCTGACTGTACTACAAAATCACTCTCTAAATTACAACTTGGAGTATGAAGCCACCAAAAATAAAACATGGTTAGGATATGGGAATCAAATTAGCATTGTAAGATTTAAAGGGATTTTAAGGCATGTGTGCAAATGCTCGTAGAACTCAAAAGGTTATTCACGGTAAAATTTTCAGAATACTTGAAATCCAAGAGTAACTTTTAGTTATATGATATCTAATTATGCAGACAGTAACAAACAAATGGAACCCTAGCACACACAGTTTCCTCCAGCCACAGAAGGCTCAACCCACTACTAGACTCCTCTTAACACAACCTAGACTGTAATCTAGCTGGTGCCCAAGTTTGGAATGCATCTAATTTGGTGAAGATGAGAAATAGTATTGACTTTCATAATAAGAATTCCATCTTTCTTTTCAGTTTGCTTTCCTTCTTTCTAACTAGATTGCTATAGTGCAAGTGAATTTTATATATATCTCTCTAATATTTGCTAATTTTTTAACAATAAAGAGACACAAACACCAGCTCACATTTTTCCATAGGCAACACTTTGGCTACAATTTAATAATATTATTGTGTTTGTATTCCATATCTTTGTATGCACACTTTTTATTTATTTTTATGTATAGCTATAAACACATTTGTTTGAAAAAAATTGAACAGATTTAATGAAAAATATTTTTAAAGATTTCAATAACAGAGTTGCTATCAAATGAGTAGATTTATGAAGCAGTCTTCTGACTGATATTTCCTTTATTTTGACACTTCATATTTGTAATAAACTAAATGGTGTGCCCCTAAAATGTACATGTTGAAGTTCTAACCCTAATATTTTGGCGACAGGGTCTTTAAGGAGGTAATTAGGGTTAAACGAGATCATAAGAGTGGGGCCCTATTCCAATAGGATTGATGTCCTCATGAGAAGAGAGAGAGACACAGGAGCTCATGTGCACAGTGGAAAGGCCATGCGGGGACATAACAAAAAGGAGGCCACCTGCAAGCCAAGGAGAGAGTCCACAGGAGAACTGATATGTTTTAGCTCTGTGTCCGCACCCAAATTTCACATTGAATTGTGATTCCCAATGTTGGGGGAAGGACCTGGTGGGAGGTGATGGGATCATGGGGGCAGACTTCCCCCTTGCTGTTCCCATGCTAGTGAGTGCATTTTCATGAGATCTGGTTGTTTACAAGTGTGTAGCACTTCCCCTTCACTCTTTCTCTCCTGCTCCTCCACGGTAAGAGGTGACTGCTTCCCCTTTGCCTTCCACCATGATTGTAAGTTACCTGAGGCCTCCCAGCCATGCTTCCTGTATAGACTGCAGAACTATGAGTCAATTAAACCTCTTTTCTTCATAAATTACCCAGTCTCCAGTAGTTTTTAATAGTAGTGTGAGAACAGAGTAATACAAAAACCAAGCCTGCTAATTAATACCTTGATCTAGGACTTTTAGTGTCCAGAACTATGAGAAATAAATTTCTCTTGTTTAAGCCACCCAGTCTGTGGAACTCTGTCATGGCTGCCTGAGAAGACTACTACTTTTATTTATTAATTCATTCAACTAAGATTACTGAATGTATCTGTGCCAGAAATCACATCCTACTAGGCGCTCATGCCACTTAACATGAGTCTGCTAGTCTCAGCCCCCTTCCAAAGTCATGGGAAAAAAAGAGCAAAGAAAGAGTTAATGAATGTTTAGCATCTTAAGTGTGACTCTTCACAAGTCCAGAGGGTAATCTGAAATGATTGTAAGAGGGCATGTCACCCAGATTGGTGTTTAAGGACAAGTTTCATGAATAATGGTAGCCTAAGCTAAGACTCAAAGAATGAGTAAATAGGAATTGTTGTGGATGAAAGGATAGATGTTGAGAATAAATAATCACAGTGTTCAGAAACAGCACTGTGAATGCACCTTGTGATCCTAAATACTAGGAGGGATGGATAAGCATGATGGGAAAAAGCAGGGTAGACAAACACTTTGTTTGTCATGTGAGCAATCTCTGACTTAATCCTGTTACAATGGGGCAGGCCTACACCAGGGTTTCCCAACCTCAACACTATTGACATTTTGAGCTTCATAATTCTTTGATGTGGGAGTCAAAGAATTATAATGTTTAGCAGCATCTATGACTTCTACTTACTAGAGGCCAATAGCATTCTCAAGTTATGACAAACAACAAAAAAAGTCTCCAAATATTTCTAGACGCTATTTCCATTCGGGGACCAGGAAGAAAGGGGAATTAACTCTGGTTGAGAACCACCACCCTAGATAATCCATAAAAAATGAACTAGAAATAACATGGCCAAATTTGCATTTTATCTAGATTGAAGAGCTCTGTAACATAATAGTTTAAAAACAAAAACTCTCAAGCCAGTGTGCCGTGGCCTCAACCCTAGATGTGACACTTACTAGTTGTGCAAACTTGTAAAAGCTATTTAACTTTTGTGCCTGGGTATTTTCACCTGTACAATGAGATTTTTTTATTTTATTTTTATTTTTTTTATTTTTTTGAGACAGTCTGCTCTGTTGCCCAGGCTGGAGTGCAGTGGCACAGTCTTGGCTCACTGCAACCTCTGCCTCCTGAGTTCAAGCAATTCACATGGCTCAGCCTCCCAAGAAGCTGGGATCACAGGCGCACGCCACCATGCCTGGCTAATTTTTGCATTTTTAGTAGAGACAGGATTTCACCATGTTGGCCAGGCTGGTCTCTAACTCCTGGCCTCAAGCAGTCTGCCCCCCTACACCTCCTAAAGTACTGGGATTACAGGCATGACCCACCTCACTCTGCCTTTGAAATGAGATCCTAAAAGTATAGCTAGTTCAGAGAGTTGTTGTGAGGTAAAATGAGTTAAGATATGTAAAGGGTTTATAAGAGTGCTTGATAGTAAGTGCTATGTAAATGTCTGTTAAATTAATAAAAGAGGTTTGTGAAGAGACTGGAAATAAGGAGGACAGACCAGAGGCAAAGATGTATGTTAAATTTATAATAGTCAAACATTGACGCCTTCTTCAACACTCTTAGCAGAATGTAGTTTTACTCTCCCTTGAATTCACATCGAGTTCTAATGACTATGTTGTTATAGTTTACCTCACACTGTAGGTTATTATGCAATTGTCACATAATCTTTGCATCCGTCCACCGTGATTTATTTATACCATATACCCAATAAATGTATCTTAAAGAATAGAGAAAAATAGCATGCCAAATAGCAGCCTTCTCTACTAAAGGTAGGTTTCAATTTTTCAAGATGTATGGGTGCCCCAGCTCATTTTAAGTACAGCACCAGAGGGATGTAATGAGGCCCTGGATTCTAATTGTTCTTTTCTTCACTCCTGAAGCAAGCAGAACTCTAAGATGCCCCAATAAAACCTCTTTCTAAGATGCCCTTATAAAACCTCTTTCCCTTTCAGTGTGAGCAGAGCCTATAAATATGATGATGTATTATGCCTATGATTATGTTACATTATATGACCAAAGAAAAGAGATTTTTCAGTCAGGCTTAATCTAATCACATGAATCTAATAACCTGAAAGCAGAGTTTTCTCCAGCTAGTGGCAGAAGAGGATGTCAGAGAGATTGAATACCTGAAATGCGATGTGTCCTGGCTGGCTTTGAGGATGGGCAGAGCCACGTGCAAGAACCCGAGAGCAACTTCTAGGAGCTGAGTTTGGCCTTCTGCCAACAATCAGCAAGAAGGTCGTACTTCAGTTCTACAATTGCAAGAAACTGAATTATGCCAACAACTTAAATTAGCTTGGAAGTGAATTATTTCCCTGAACTCCAGATTAGAGACTAGTCTGGCTAACACCTTGATCTTGGCCTCAGGAGACTGGGAGCAGAGAAGCTAGTCAGGCTTACTTACATGACCTCCAGAACTGTGAGATAGGAAATAGATGTTGTTTTAGGCTGCTGAGTTTGTGGTAATTTGTTATGCAGCACTAGAAATTAATACAATTCCTTTAGGAACTGATGTGCTTTTATTTTAACTGGGATTCTGTTCAGAAATATTATCTAAAATATATATCCACTTGTTTACACATCTATTCTATGATGCATGTGTGTAATGTAATATCCATTAGAGTGATTTCAAAAATAATTGCAAGAACCACTAGCAATACAACACTGTGGATGAATCTCATAAGCATAACATTAATTTAAAAAAATACAGACACAGAATACTCATCATATAATTCCATTTCTACAACACAAAGAAAACAAGCAAACCTATATTATGGTGTTCATGGAATGCGTATATAGGTGCCAAATGTATAATAAAGAACAATAAAGTGATTACCAAAAACTCAGCATAGTGGTTACCTTTAAGGAGAGAGAAGGCAATAATAATGGAATGGACAAAGTCAAGGGTAGAGTGGCAGCATCTGTGGTACTGGCAATGCGCTATGTTATGACTTTGGTAGTAGTTTTATGTGTATTTTCCTCGTGATTACTTACTAACAGAGTTTTCTATTCCCCTTTTATATATTATATTTTAAAAAATTTCAAAGCCAATAAAAACCTGCAGGGCATTGTGCTGCTTCATTTTATTCTAATGCGTATAGTTGGAGGCTCATGAAAGCATCAAGAAGCATGTGTGAGAATCACCATGCAACGACTGTTGCAAGCCCAGAGCCCTTGGTGCTTCTACAGACAGAAATGCACCTCTTCAGACACATCTTAACATACCTTGCTTAAAACCTCCATATCTTTTCTTATGTACTCTGGAGTCATGAAACGGACTATTTTCTCCCACTTTTATTTATTTTATTAGTGTTTTTTAGGAAAGAGTCACCATCTTTTGAAGAATGTTAAGTTACTTACTTACATGTAAGGCTCTGATTTACCATTTCTGCTATTTTCTTGAATCATCTCATTTGCTTCCTGTTCTTTGCTTCTACCCAGAAGTCAGGTAAAATTTTGGCAAGAATCGTGGTGCTAATGCATTCTGCGCTATTACTTTACTGATGTGCTGGCCCCTTTTATATTAATGTGACTGGGCAGAGCAATAATAAAGACAAACTGCTGATTGCTTTGTTCCTTCCCTAAACCAGTCCCCTTGATACTTGAAATAGTCCTCCTCTACTCCATATGCCTATCAGATATTTTTTCCTCTTAATAATGTCTACAGTTGGAACTTCACTGCTGTTAATGACATTTAATATCAGAGGGTCCAAGCTATTTGGCAGGAGAGAGAGTGGCTGTCATTAACCCTGACATCCCGAGCTGAGATTCAGGTTGGATGGATAAGAGCTTAGACTATTCCATATGATTTCTACAAATGAAATAGAAAAAGATGACTTTATTTTCAACTTACAGATGCATGGGTATGGGTTGCTAAAGAGGTTCTGAAATAAAAATGAAAATAGTAGGATTTGCAATACCTGTAAAGCCTGACCACATTCTGATTCAACCTTAACTGCACTCCAATATAAGCCGATACTGTACCATGCAAGCCCTGTTCATCTCCGTCTCTGAGAGAACTCAATGAATTTCTTTGACGCCCCTCTAATTTACAGTACCTTGCCTCATTCCCTTTGCACATTTAAATTCTACCAATCCTTCAAATTCTAGCTCAAGACTTACTGCCCAACCCAAACTCTTTTTTCAAACGTATCAACATACCGTTATTTCTTCTATAAACTCTTACCACTCTTTAATTGTACTCCATTTAATTGTCATCATACCATGTTACACTTGTTACAATAAATCATCACCTTCTCTAAAAGCAAAACATTTCTTTTTTTAATCATGTGCATCATTTGAAGACATGATAGGTGCTGAAAAGGGAAACAGTAGACAGTCAGGAGACCCTTAGACTTTTAAAAGCAGCTTTTTGTTGGAGGGAAAAATTACCTCATCCAACCTTAAAACGATAAATTATAAAAATTCAAGGGAAACACGATTGAGCCAAATGATTCCTGGCAAATGTATTAGTGGGTAGTTGGTAGATGGTCAAAAAGTGCTTGTGAATTTGATTGACTGATTTAATATGGGAACAAGAATATGACTAGCTTTCCTGGAAACACAGAAGGGAGAAGGTTTATTATCTGGGGGACATGAAAGTAGAAAATGATGAAAACAATCTAAAATCAAATGAGTTATAAATAATCCTCATTTTTAGCAGTGGTTAAGATTCTTCCCAACTAGAAGTAAAGTAGTGTTATTGTGATAATCATCATCACCATCATCTTCATCAGCAGCATATATTTAATATATATTCATATGTTTTACATGTTATATCTCATTTGATCTGCTCAAAAATCCTAAGAAATAAAAATCACAATTATTCTCATTTTAAAAAAAATTGAGATCTAGAGAGTCTGCATAAACTTCCTATTGCTGCTCTGATGTATTATCACAAATATAGTGGCATAGAACAACATAAACTTAGTACTTACACTTCTGAAAATTAGAAATACAAACTAGTTTCACTAGCACAAAATAAAAATGTCTGAAGTTCAGTGTTCTGGGGGTTTTAGGGAAGAATTTGTTTCCCTGCCTTTTCTAGCTTCTAGAGGCCAATTACATTTTTGAGGTCCTGGTCCCTTTCTCCATTTTCAAGATCAGCAGCCTCCCCTCTCCTCTCCTCTCCTCTCCTCTCCTCTCCTCTCCTCTCCTCTACTCTCCTGTCCTCCCCTCTCCCCTCTCCCCTCCCCTCCCCTCTCTCTCTCCCCCTATACTTCTATTGTCACATCCTTTTACTGACTCTAACACTTGTGATTAGACTGTAGTCACTCAGATAATTCAGGATATCTCCCCATCTCAATGTCCTTAACTCAATCACATCTCACATCGGCAAAGTCCCTTTGCCATGTAAGGTAACATATTTACAGGTTCTGGGGATTAGAATATGGGAAAACTAGGGGACCATGAGCTGCCTGCCAATTTAAATAATTTGCCCAAGGTCTCACAACTGGGAGATAGCAGTACTGAAATTTAAAAATTTAAATCCGGCCAGGCACCGTGGCTCACACCTGTAATCCCAGCACTTTGGGGAGGTGGAAGCAGGCTGATCACCTGAGGTCAGGAGTTCGAGACTCGCCTGGCCAACTAGGTGAAACCTCATCTCTACTAAAAATACAAAAAATTAGCTGGGCATGGTGGTGCACACCTGTAATCCCAGCTACTCCAGAGAATGAGACAGGAGAATCGCTTGAACCCAGGAGGCGGAGGTTGCAGTGAGCCAAGATTGCACCACTGCACTCCAGACTGGGTGACAGAGAAAGATTCTGTCTCAAAAAAATAAATGAATAAAATAAAATAAAAATAAAAAAATTTAAATCTCTTGGCAGTGTATACTACCCAATAAATGAGAATTCTTGTGAATCATTGGTGTTAAATACAGCCAAGAAGAACGTAAATAATGCCAACTCTTCTTATGCAAAGCAGCATTGTTCACTGGGAAGCCTGTGAACAAAAAAAAAAAAAAAAAAAAAAAAAAAATGCTCTTTTCTGATTATGGCCACTCTGCTAAATAAATACTATGTGAACATAAAATGCTCTTTTCTGATTATGACCACGGTGCTAAATAAATGGATTAAAAATAACCTAGTTTTAACTTGCACCTTGCTCTGAAGAACTCAGTATATTAAAGGATACTATTGAGTTGCTTTCCTTTTAATTCCAAAGATTTAAATGGCAGACCTCAATAATTACAATAGCTCCTTGAAATATTTATATCGCTAGCAAATATTGTATACTCATATATGCGATAGTCATGACAACTTTGCTCAATAATTAAGATTGACAGGCAACCTTCAAGAATAAGGCCTTAATTTCTTCTCTCATGTTAAAGTGCAACCCAGGTTTATTCAAGGGACAGTTGAAAGTCATCAATTACTTATTCTGAAAGAGGCATAAATAAAATCTCACATTTTAGGCTCAATGTGTCAGTTCAAGGGACTTTTTAGAATATCATGTCCTTAAAGACAAGCCTCATATATACAATCTCATAGCAGATTGGAAATTTGTTTTTCTTTAAATTTTCCAAGTTCTTACAAGCAAGGTTTCAAGACAAAGACAAATTCTTAATAATAGATGCAGATTTTTATTAACTTTTTCTTCTTTCCCCCTCACTCCTCCTTCTTTTTCTTTTTGGCTGCTGAAGAGATCTACTTAATTCCAAGTCACAGCAAGGTCTCTGAGAGGCCGTAAAGACTCAGACCTCTCCCTCAGAGCCTCAGGGTTGCTCGATATGGGTAACTGCCAAGACCTATTAGGAGCTGAGCAAAAAAACAGGCACAGTGGTGGTTTGGCAATACATCCGGTAACAATTTGAGGAGGTTATGCCACTGTGATAGTGCTACAGAAAAGTCCTTTTTTGCTGTAGGAATTCTCTTTCTCTATCAGCTGAAAGACAGAGGCAGAGATTAAGACAGAACCAAAGATATTGTTTATACCAGTGATTTATTTTCAGATATGTCCAGGATTATATTATTTCTTAACAAGGGAAACATTTACAAGAGCATCAGTGTGTTAATGGCTATATTATCACTTGATAATGTGGTACTGTCATGTACCAACTAGGCCTATGTTGCTGATCTCAGCAGATATCATCACAAATTATGCCATTAAATAAGCAATCTATTGTTAGCTGCTCACCAGTGAAATAGAATTCATATTCTAAATTTCGATGTAACTTACTCCTTAGTCCATACCAATGAATGCAGCCCTACAGAAAGAGTCAAATGTGAAAAGACCTAAGATCTATATAAGCCATATAAGCCAAGCCAATTATGAAAACACGTGACAAAATCACGTGACTGCATTTGAATAGAGTATTCATCATGTGAGATGTTGATCTAAATTCTGAAAAGCGACAAAACAGTTCCCATACCTAGACCTCATAATTGCATAGCTCCACTTATAGATAAGGGGAATGGGAAACTACTAAGTGGTATGATATTAGGGCTCAGAAATAAATAGAGATATCCCTCTATTTACCATGGGGTTATATTCAGATAAATCCATCATAAGTTCAGTACACCCCTTGATTTATGATGGTGGTGTCACTGCATTGTTAAGTCAAAAATTATAAGTCAAGCCACCATAAGTGGGGAGTCATCTGTACAACAGTGATTGAGTTTCTCCTAGTTAAGAGTCATGTGGACATTTGTTCATTCATTCATATAACACTGGTTGAGATTTACTAGCTGAAGTTCTCTTTTTAGACACTTAGAATACTATGACGGGCAAAACTTGCACACCCCCTACCCCAGATTCCTGGCTTTCCCAAGGCCCTTAATAGCAACTCTCTCTAGAAGAAGTTATGGTTTAAGTCATAGCCAAGTATTAATGAAAGGAATCGTTTCCAAATTGTATTTAAAAAATAATAACAACACAAAAACTTTTGGAGTAAGAACACTTAAGAAAGAGACATAAATGTGCAGGGATCTAGAGAATAATGAGCTAGATTTACAACTGTCTAGGCTGAGCTAAAGGCCTTGCACATTCCCTGCCAGCAGCACTTAATCAGCAAAGTCAAGCATAGATTAATATGGTAGAACATTTCTTTTAGACTTCCAATAAGGTAGATTGACTGTTAATAGCAATTGAGCAGAAATAAATTAGGAGAATAAAAGTAATTTTCTTGCCAAATGTTATGTGTAACCACCAACAGAGCTAAGGCTTCCTAACCGATGACTAAGTGATGCTAAGAAGAAACCAGTTCACATACATGCAAGGCAATTCATCCCTTAAGAATGGGGCTTAAGTAAAGATTCATGCATTATAACAAATACCAGATTTAGTATAAGCCAGGAGATCATCCAATCATCTTTATCGTTTAGTTTTCTATAATGTTAAGAAGTGCATTTCATATAGATCATAGTTGATGATCCCTCATTAACCTCATGTGTATGATTAGCATAAATTTATTACATACCCTAATAAAAATCACACAATCAGATTATCCTACAGCAATTTGTGGGTTTTAATAAATAAGAGAGGAGTTCTGGGGGCCCTAGAGGCACAACAGGAAGATGTGATCAGAGATTCTTGTATCTATTTGCACTCTAAGCATTGTCTATAGACTGAATAGACTGAAAAAAATATGCCTTACATTGTACATACTGTTTTATATATATACGTATTATATATACATTATATATATATGACTTGGTGATTAATAAACCACATTTAAAATCTCTATTAGCAAATGTCATTGTACATTTTTTCAGTTAGCAAATATTAAAAGCATAACTATTACACCAAGAAAGGGAGAAATGTTGTTTGGAAAATGTATTCATTGAGATAAAGGACCTTATTTTTCAGAGCATAAGGAATGAGTTACAAAGCTGTTTACACATTGAAACTCAACCATAGACATTTACACCATTCACTTAACTGCAGAAGAGAGTCTACTAAAAAAGAGAATAAAGAAACAAATAAATATTCTGGGACTGCACGTTTAAACTTTTAAAAATTAAAAGACATTCCAGCAGGGTTTGTAATTGATTTTAAATATCTGGCACAGCAAATCAGAAAGACTTATCACCCTTTGCACTTGGATTTTTTGGTATTTCAGATCGATATTGGTCTTGTGATCTTCAAATTAAAGTACAGTCTGATACTGCCTGATAAGAATGAAGCTATCCCCACTTGCAAGTTCTCCTCTCCTAGAATAAAGGAAAACAGTGGAGAGGAGCTTATGGCACCTGAAGTTTACTGATGACGACTCTGCTTTGAGAAAAGCTAGTTCTAATAAGGGATGGAAAAGAGGAAAAAATACAAATATTGCCAACCCAGGCACTGGGTGGTTAAATAATAAGAGGTCCACATTTGAACCTTCCCAACATTTACCAAGAGCCAATACTTGCAATATTTACTCATTTTTAAAGAAAAGTTGGTATAAAGTAAGGAAGTAGAAAATGATAAGATTTGAGCAGAAAGGGGAGGGCCAATAGAGAGAGATAGCGAAGTCTCATTGAATTCTTTAACAAAAAAATTTGACAGAAAATTGCGAAAATGTCGTAAGGTCAGAAATCCAACTTTTTTGTTCCTGAGATTAACTTTTGTCCAAAACAGCATTACAATAAGTGATACTTCGTGTCCCAATCCACATTCTAGCTATCCTCATTCTCTTCATCCTAATCAGAAAGAAAATAAAGCACTAGAAATGTAAGGGAAAAATACAAAACCCTCTCCTCCTCCACAGGTGCCCAGGAAGAGAACCCATGTGGGTTTTTCAGCAGGGGAGCTGCACACATTAATCTGACAGGAGCCAGCAGGAGACCCAGGGACGGTGTGTGTGATGTTGGCCTGTGACACCAGGAATCTTACCTCTCCAGAAAATAGCACCGCAATTACTGCAAATAATTACTTTCAGAAACAAAGCTTCTTCGCCAAGTCAGAGTTAATTTTTAAGTTTAAAAGTTTTTGCTGCCACAGTGCACATTATCAAAAATCATGAAGTAGAATGAAAATAAAATACTGGGTTGAATACAAAAGAACTTGAAAATTTCAGATTCAAGAAATACTGAAGTCGTTCAGTATAAAGTTGCTGCTCTAATTAAACGCAGCTCTCAAATTACCATAAAGCAAGACACAAAATAGTATAATTTCTAAAATAAAATAAAAAAACAAACGACAAGCCCAAAATACGTAGTAAATTAGGTAATTCTCAGTATATAAACAATTGTGTCTCAAAGCACTTCCATATAAGTCTACAGCCCCATCTCCTCATAAGTAGAGTTCTTTTATCTTTTGATTCTAAACAACTGCTGAGTGGTTGTCCTGAGACCCCGTTTCTATCATGTACATACAGAACTGGGTTGAGCAAAAAAAAGTTCCTTGATAGTTCCTGAGTACATCCACGAACCTACCCACAGTGAAGCCTGGCTCTGCATCAATGCTGGGCATGGCTGCTACTATTGAGAGAGAAAGGCTTAGAATTAAGAAAGCAATTATCTCTTATAAATAATGGCACAGCTGGTGGCTAGATGTATTTTGAAATAATTCCAATACATTTAGGTACCTTACATGTTCAAGTTACTTGCAAGACTGGTCAGGGTACATCATAATCATTCCTTATGCCATTTGTATAGGAAATGTCTTCCAAGATATAGAGCAACTCACTTACAAATGATTTTTGGAATGGTACTCACTCATCGCTTGAGAAGGGTCTATTTAGATAATAACCGAATGGCTTGGAACAAAAGAAATGATTCAGGATGCTTCCCTGCTGGCAAAGAGTTATACTAATATATCTCAATCATTCTTCTTCATTTGAAATGTTCTAATTTCCTTTGAGGAAAACTTTGACATAGTTTCTTTCTTTCTCCTTTAGTTCTAAATATGTACCAAGTTTGTTTTAAAAAATTTAATGACAGGTAAGCAAAGTGAGAGACAAAGCAAGTTGTATCATTGAGATGAATTTTCATAGTGCAGGGGGCTCTGCCCTAGAGACATCTCACTGGGCAAGTGTCTGGGCTTGATCCTCTTCATGTATTAGCTGAATCATACAAACATTACATTTTAAAAGTCAAAACTGATCAAATATTGGTCATTTTATTCATTTCTGCACTAATGAATTAAGATTTTATTAGAAAGACTCTATTATCCTTCCCAGCCCTGATAATCTGCAGTTCTGAGCCCATTCATGGTGAAATCTAAATAACTCTGAGAGCCATAGAGATTGTTTTGCACTTTCTGGGGAAGAGGGTTAATCAATGCACAAGCAACTTTTTCAGAATGCATTCTTTCCAATTGTTCTATACTTATTGATCTTCACTCATACTCAGGATAAGAAGATGAACCCCAGAAAAGGGATCTCTTAGCATGTATGATTCATACAATAGTGTAACATGGACATTAATAAACCATCTGCTGTTGAAAAAAAAAAAAGATAACTGGGCCATAGCTTCAGTAGATCTAGAAAACTGTGAAAGAAGGTACTAGAAGTAAGGTTATCATGGAACCCACGTAAATACATAAAAATTTAAACCCTGAACTAAGGCATGAATGCTTTATGATTAAAGGCAACAGGACTGCAATATTCCTACAACAATAAAGAAATAATAAGGCAGCTATTCTATTGCCAATTAGTAGGAAATACTGTAGATATCTTCCTGAAGAAGAGTGAAGCAGGAACATTTTAACATAGGCCATATCTACAAGTGTGCCAAATCAAAAATTACAATGGTGCAGTTGTCACATTTTTTTACTCTCATATTGTCCAAGTGTGAAGCAATAGGTCATTTTCAGTTGAATTATTTTAGGTCATATTAATCATCAAATTAAAGCAACCATTAAAACAATAAAAATTAATAATTGGTCATTCAACATGAGCAATTGATTATCAAGATGCAGGCTCTAGTACAAAAAAAGAAATAAAAGGGAGCAATGCCTATAAAATATAAATATTGGCCTTTTCATTTGGAAAAATCTACCAGAAAAATTACAGAATTGGATGATCACTCATAGGGGTAAGTGAAAGTCAAGGGGAGGCAAGTTTGTTAAGGATAAGTTAAAAATTAGCAGTAAAGTAGTAGTTCTAAAACAAATGATCCTCTGGAATCTGTGCACTGCCAAATATCAAGGAATAAAATAAGTAAGAAACAGAAAAGAAATAAGTAAAAAATAAAGTGAACCCAAATACCAGAGGGCAAGTATGGCCAAACCAAACCAAAGTCAGAAGTCAAGAGTTCAGGAGATGATCTTAAGCTGAAACAGAAAAACAGTTCAGGTTGGTGGTAACACCAATGTGATGGACTTTAATCATCACAGAGGGAGGCTTTTTTGCTCTCTATGAACTAAGCTGAACAGTAATGGAGAATAGCACTGGAGAGGGAGATGGAAGAACCTAGAATAAGACATTTCCTGACTGTATGCTCACTTAAGAATAACTCAAACTCAAAGTTGGGTGCACTTGTTTCTATTTAAAATGAAGTTTAGGCATTTGTAAAAAAGAAAGATATTACAAAGTTGATCTTAACATAAACTTGTTTTATTTATTTTAGAAATTAAATAACTGTTAGAATCACCAAACCAAGAATAATAGTGTGGGAGAATAAACACTTACAATGGGTACTCCAGGACCATCTCTCAAAGAACATACACTTTTCTGGTCAACCAAGATAGAGACCCTCAATAAATTTACAAACATGGATCCAGTGAAAACAGAAAGTGATTTAGGGATTAAAAAGGAGATATTCTGTTATTTTCAACTACAGGAATAAGCACTATTGCTACATAACAAACCTCTGCAAATCTCAATGGTTTAAAAGAGTATTTATTAATACACATATGTCTTTGTTGCTCTTTAACAGTATAACTGCTAGGACAGAAATAAACAAGTAGGAAAAACAGGACAAAGAAAAATAAATTGTGCTGTGTTCATGCAATGGAATCTGTGTACAGTGAAAATGAATGCACTATACCTACAATTATTAATAAGAAAAAACCTTAAAAAATAATGTGAAAAAATTATTTCAAAGAAACAAATATATTGTTATTGTATTTATATGCTTTAACAACATAAAAATATTATTTCAGAATATGCATATATGTGATAAAAGTATAAATATCATTTTGATAAATAACAAAGATGTCAGTTACTTTTAGAAGAAGAAGAAAATGGAAGAAGTAATAATTGAGCAGAGGGAGTTAAATGAATCTTTGTTTAATTAAAATATCAGAAGTATATATGACAAAATATTATGACTGGACAAAGTTGGGTGGTGGTAGGTATTCATTATTATTTTCAGTATACTTTTCTCTATGCTTAAAACACTTCTTAATAAATAAGATGTAAAGTATACAGAAACATTTTTATTCAAAGAACAGTATTATTAACAGAATAAGAAACTTAATTAAATCTGTTAAAAGTGCTGTTAATGAAACTGGTATGTTTTTACTTAGACTGGCACTTCTCTTGATATAGGCGTAGCTATTGTTTTTCTGTGAAAATCAAACATGTCGTAGAATTTTTTTTTTGAGAGAATTCTAAGACGTATAGAGAGCTTAAAATCAAGTACTGAAGAAAATACATTCCAAGCTGCTGCAGATGTCCTCAGTTCGAATAACATTTTAATGAAAAATTGTGTGTTGGCTAGAGCCTGAAGCAAGAAAGGATGGAATGGATTTGCATCATGACTTTAAAATAAATAAATAAATCAATGCAGTGGTGTCTGTCCCTGTGCTTTTATTTTAACAGATATTTTAAATTTAATATAACTATAAATTAAACAGGATGCTTCAGATGAGGCAAAATTCTGTCATCTGTACAGTTTAGTGTGAATATTGAGAAAATGCAATGGCTATCAGGCTATTAAAGAAACAAGGAAACAAGACTATTATTATTACTATTTTTTTTTTTTTCTAAGACAGAGTCTCTCTCTGTCGCCCAGGCTGGAGTGCAGTGGCGCGATCTCAGCTCACTGCAACCACTGCCTCCTGGGTTCAAAAGATTCTCCTACCTCAGCCTCTAGAGTAGCTGGGATTACAGGCACCCAGCACTATGCCCGGCTAATTTTTTTGTATTTTTAGTAGAGACTGGGTTTCACCATGTTGGTCAGGCTGGTCTCGAACTCCAGACCTGAAATGATCCGCCCATCTCGGCCTCCCAAAGTGCTAGTATCACAGACATGAGTCACTGTGCCTGGCCGAGATTTTGTTCTAAATGCTTAGCTTTGAGAAAACACCACATTCTAATATATTCTTTATGTTAAATAGAAACTTTAAATATAGTATACTCTACCTATTCTCAGAAGTGTTTGGATCTCTAAGGCAGGCCTTAAACATGAGTGAAATATCGTAAATATGAGGCATAATATGAGCAGCACTCCCTGAAGAGGTCCTGTACAAAATCTTCTCCTCTGTTGGCTGGTACCAGCTCTGAAAATCCCTTCAAGCTATCAGTACCTTTGGGATTGGTGGTGGTAGAGTGAGGAGACCCCTGAGAGGAAATCTGTGTTCTACAAAAAAAAAAAAGCGAAGTCTAATGGAAATAGAAAAAAGAGAAATACTTGGAAAGGGTGCTAGAGAAGGGGAATAAAAATAAAAGTGCCCTTGTAATGATGAGGTCTGAACATTTCAGAGGGGAAAGATAGCACAAGTATTTAACTCACTCAAGGAGCACAACAACCATCTATAGTTACTTCTGCCACTAAGGAAGAGGGTTAATTTCCTCCAGGATGGATGACCTTATATCCAGCAGAACAGGTTACTTTAAATGAGAAATTACAGGGTTTCAGCTGGAGATGTGAAAATTTCTAAATTGCTTTCCATAAGAAAAAATAAAACAATAAGGAATTTATGGGTGGAGAAAGTCTAGTCGAGACTGGAGTTCAGGGGTTAGGAGGCCCAGAGGCTTGCAGAATCATGAGGAACTTGGAAGCAAGATCTAAAATAGGACGATGAAAGCGCTTCGTCTCATTATTTTGACACCAACAGGTTTGCCCTGGAGGAATTCTGACACTACTGTGTGTTTCATAAGAGCTATTTAGCCAGAGAAGTAGCAAGTCTTTATTCCTCAGTGATCCTGTTTCTGTACCTCCCTTTTTGTTCCCCAGCTGCTGGTTCTGTATCCATGTGTGCGCCTTCTCTTTCATTTGAAACCACAATAAACAGTAGGAATATTCCAGCCAAAGTCTTATATTATTTACATTTGTAAAACAATAATGGTGTCAATTATTAAAATTGATAACTATTTTAATGTTAAATGCAAGCCCTTACTCAAATTAAAATAAATATTCTGCATAAACAATCAATAAAAAGCTTGACAATGACCAATAGTGCATATATCAAAACATGTTATTCATTAAAAACTGTTGAAAAACTCAATTTTTGAACAAATTTAAATTTGGAAAATTTGGCTTGGGAAAATTGAAATTATTATTAAACATAAAGAGCCACAAAGGAAAAACAAGGAGCTGAAATTGATCAAATTTGATATGAATAGAGGTACTAATTTCTGAGATAATTTTTTCTATTAAAGATTAGCCTGTAAAAATCTACCAGTTTTTTAAAAACTCAATAAAAAAATGATCAAAATAGGCTGTATAGAAAAGAGATCATTTATAATTACATTTTATTAATTTTCTCTATTTTACTGCAGAAAAATACTAAGTAAAAATCAATTAGCATTAAAATAATTCTGACAAAAGAATTTTATTCAAAAGATTTTCAAAAACACTGAAGTCAAAATATTCTATGCCCAAAGGAAGCCATGAAGGAATGTTGCCAATTGGAAATTTCTGGGTGTTGGTGCAAAGAATGCAGTGATAAGAAAAGAACTTCAAAGATAGGCATATCTACCACTCACTTTTAAAATGAATTGCTATATATTACTGCAATGCACCCTCTACCATCCCTATCACTTTAAATCTTCAGTATAATCTACTATGTCTACAAATGCTTTCCGTGAGTGGTATATGAGAGAACTTAAACATGTGGGGAATGCTCCTTATTTGAGTAGATTATGGAGAAAGAAGCTAGAAGTAACATACAGATAGGTTAAATTCAAAGTAAACTAGAAATTGAAATTAGAAGTGACTGTGAGAAGGAACACTCCGGGGAATTCACAGAAATGTTGGAGAAAGCATTGGATTTCTTATTGGACATAAAATAGGAGATGCAAATCAATTTTATATGCATCTCAAACGAGAGAGTAATCTCTAATGAAGTCATGATTGTAGTCTGGACCAAGAAAATCTATCTACTTCCCAAAGTAGACCTAATGGGCTCCAAAAATATAACTATAAAAATAAATAATAGTCCTATTTTGTAAATGTTACTTATAGCATAGCTACTTTTGGAAGGAAAAATTATAAGTTTCTCTACATAACCAAGTCTTTTTCCATATCCCAATAGGAAAACATCATAAATATGTAAGAGTTCTATGTTTCTGAAATAATTAAAACTTTAACACTGAGACCACAGACCATATGAGGATCATAAATAAGCAAAGTAGCTATACAATCTTTGTGTTCAGGAAGAGAACTAAACCCAACAAAGGGTCTTATTAATTTGGTATTTCCTTTTAAACAAAAGAGCGACGCTCAGTTTTATCAATACTCAATATCCAGTCCTTTAACAGTGTTATAAGAACACATTTTATGGAGAATGTCTCTTTTGATTTTAAGG
Organism: Homo sapiens; assembly: GCF_000001405.40. Lineage (NCBI taxonomy): Eukaryota > Metazoa > Chordata > Mammalia > Primates > Hominidae > Homo > Homo sapiens. The sequence continues at coordinate 102,782,520 of NC_000003.12, read as the reverse complement.
TTGGAAGGCTGATATTTTAAGATTCACAAATCTTACATCATATTCTCAAATAAAAATGGTATTAGTTCTTAGGAAAGATCTCCCTTTGATCTGCTTAGGGGGTCACTTAATTGAACCCTTTAGTTTATACATATAGGTAAGAAATAACACTTTCAAATTTCTTTCATTGTTCTTGAAAAGAAAAATTGAAATAGAAGGACTTGGTCTTGGTCTATTAACTTAAGCAGATATCCTCAGCAGAACACTACCTGTAAATATTTCAAGAAATGTTTTTGTTGTTGTTTTTTTAACTTTTATTTTAGGTTCAGGGGTATATGTGCAGGTTTGTTATATATGTAAATTGTGTGTCACGATGGTTTGGTGTACAGATTATTTTGTCACCCAGGTAATAAGCATAGTACCCAATAGGTAGTTTTTGAATCCTCATCTTTCTTCCTTCCTCCACCCTCAAGTAGACCCAGTGTCTGTTGTTCCCCATACTCAATGTTTAGCTCCCACTTTTAAGTTAGAACATGCAGTATTTACTTTTGTGTTCCTGTGTTACTTTGCTTAGGATAATAGACTCCAGCTCCATCCATGTTGCTACAAAGGACATGATCTCATTCTCTTTTGTGCCTACATAGTATTCCATGATCTATATATCACATTTCCTTTATCCAGTCTATCACTGATGTGCATTTAGGTTGAGTCCATGTCTTTGCTATTGCGAATAGTGCTGCAATGAACATACACATGCATGTATCTTTATAATAGAATGATTTCTATTCCTCTGGGTATATAACCTGTAATGAGATTGCTAGGTCTAATGGTTATTCTGCTTTGAGTTCTATGAAAAATCATGAAACTGCTTTCCACAATGGCTGAAGTAGTTACGCACCCACCAGGAGTATATAAGCATTCTCCTTCTTCCACAACCTAGTGAGCATCTATTGTTTTTCAACTTTTTAATAATAACCATTCTGACTGGCAGGAGATGGTATCTAACTGCAGTTTTGATTTGCATTTCTGTAATGATTAGTGGTGTTGAACATTTTTTCATATACTTGTTGGCCATGTGTATGTCTTCTTTTGAAAAGTGATTGCAACAAAAACAAAAATTGACAAATGGGACCTAATTAAACTAAAGAGTTTCCACACAGGAAAATAAACTATCATCAGAGTAAACAGACAACCTACAGAATGGGAGAAAATATTTGCAAACTATGTACCTAACAAAGGTCTAATATCCAGAATCTATAAGGAACTTAAAAAGCAAAAAAACAATCCCATTAAAAAGTGGGCAAAATCCTGAGGCAAAACAAAATAGACAAGTTTTATTAAATTATTAATTTATTTTGTGATTCCTTCTCAAATAAATCTGGATTCTGTAAAGCATCTCTACATGGGGCATACCTGTGTCTTTTGGAGGAAGAATATGTATGCATATTAGCACCCAAGATTAGGTTTTGTCCAAAGATATAATCGTGATGATACTTTCATCTCATGTAATGGAAAAAGTTGTGTGAAGGAATAGGCATGAGCTTGGCACAGATCCAAACTAGACTAAGACACAATGAATAACATAATTTAGGATTCTATAACTCAATTTTGCTAAATATACTATAGAAAAAGATGCTTAGTTTATCTGATGAATAAAATCCACTCCACATATTTGTATTAAAAGGCAGTAAGAGGCACGAAGAAATTGGGGAAATTTCTCCAAGAGAATATGTCAGTTTCCTGTGACTGGAGAGGAAATGGAACTTAGACTAGAGGAGGAAAGAACTTCTGTGTTTCTCAGAAACACAGAAAACAAGCATATACAAGAACTGAGATGTGTGAGTCTCAGGAGATTCCCATTGTGGGGGTTGAGCTTGTTCCCACTAGCACAAGGAAACATTGTAAGAGCTGAGCAGAGATCCTGACAACAGATTTGAACAGGTGGGTTATTATGAGTAATTATGTCTAGGACAAATTTCAAGTTACTCTGTGCATTGTCCAGTACTGCAGCTTCAGTAGTCTTGTTGAAATTCTTATCCTAGTCACATCTGTGCTGTAGTTTAAAAGAAAGGGAATGAAATTCTCTTCCTTGAGATCAGGCAATGTCTGAGGTAAAGAGACAGGATTGAAGGAGTTGAATAACCCAGAAGGCTATCTCATATATCAAATTGGATGGAACAGGTGAGGATAATGCAGATCGTAGGTCATGTATTGTCAAAGGCAGCATATCAGAATAACTACCAATGGTTTAGCTTTGCTCACACAAAAGCTTACTCACAGAATCAGCAGCAGTTGAAGCCATTGGTCAGTGACACAATTAGAAGATATAAGACCAGATCAGAGGAAATGGATGGTCTTTTTCAGAGCACAGTAGGGTCATTACTCCAGGAAACTTCTACAAATAAAATAGCAATATCATTAAAAGGGTGCTACTTTCCCAGAACGAGATCAAGGATGAATCATTCCCTAACCATTTGGTGTAAAATAGAAACATAATCTCATTTTATAATACCAGGCTGGTGAAACAGAAGCAGATGGTTAAACAAGGAAAGGTGAGCACAAACCATCCCTGTTTGTGCATTTGCTTTGAATTGACACATTGCTCCCACAACAGGACTGAGTACTTCTACAACGAATGGTCACATTTTACTCTTATCTGACAACTCTCCATACCTCCCCCTTCCCTACCCTATGCGGAATCCTCCTGGATCAGGCATCCATCCCCAAGTGGCCCTTTGAACTCAAGACATGAGTTTACTTCTAGCTTTCTCGGTTTTCCATTTATGCTACTCCTTCCTGGGTATTCTTCCAGAGTGACTTCCCTTTGCTTCAAACTCCAGGGATCCTTGGATGTAGATAATATCCCTAACAGTAGGGACCCAGCCCAAACAGAAGAACCCAAACCAAAATCATAACAGACCCATATCAGAGCTTTCCAAATAAAAAAATCTGTATAATTCTGACTTTTATTATAAATTCATTACTAAACAAATATAATGAATATAAATTCATTAATAAATATACTGATATAACTAGAATATGGAGTTTTCCATACAAATCAATTCCAGTGACTCTATCTTTAGGAGATCAGATAGAAAGAAAGGTAATAGGGCAGGAAGCCCATCAGCACACTGCCATCCATAAATCAGTCTCTTTAAATGATGATTTCACTTATGAAGAGGGGGTATTTCTACAACTTTTGACAGAAATCTCATTGAATCCCTGACTGAATTCTCAGATTAATTCTAATGCTTAACTTCATAAATATTCTGAAGCAAAGTTTTACTTTACATGTTTGTATTTAATTTTGGAGTAAAAAAAATCTGATATTTGTTCCTGAATATTGTTTGCACTGGTTTTGTTTTTAATCCTCTTTTCTTTAGCCTAAATGCTCTTGGCTTATTTCCCTCATCTTTATAGTTATGATTTTTAATGTTCAATCATCCTTATGTCTCTTTTTCTGTGCTCAAATACATTTAGCCACTTTTCCAAGGATGTTGACCATAATTAAATGTATTATTTTCTGTTAGATCAGTGATAAATACTCCTCACCTCAATTATTTAGTTAAGTTCTATCACTTAAAGGGTACAGCATTAAATCAATTTGGTCTTAGAATGAATTTTTTTAAAGAAATCTACTGATATCTAGTAAACAAGAAATACTTTTATAGAATGCCACTTCTAAGAAAGTGTTAGCAACAAACACCAATGCCTTACTGTTTGACTTTATTTGTTCTTACTAAATCCATGTTGTTTCTTGGTTGACTTTTCAACACCATTAGATAATCAGAGATTTTCTCTTCTGTGCAGTCTGAATGGGATCCCAGGAGAGCCTCAAGAAGTGTATAGACTCATGGAAGGGAGCAGGAAGCAAGAGGAATTGTGCAAATAAACTATTGGTAAGAAAAGTAGGAGGAAACCTTCTGTCAAAGGGAATTTATTGAGCAATTTATCGGCAAGATTTGACTTGAGTCATTTAAGAGTTAGACCAAAAAAATGTTTTAGAGACAAAAACAATAAAGGTGAACAATATGAGGAGATAGCCAAACAAAAAATCTAACTCAATCTTAGGCTACACTAATTTAAGGACAGTGTCAAGTACAGAAAGTTAACAGCCCTAATGCCTTTTGCAACGGGTAGATCCTACTTGAAGTATCTTCAGTCCCAAGTCTCTAAGTCATTTTATAAGGGTGAGATAGGGTGGGGAAAGAATTAAAGTTTATTTCTTCTATGCATCAGGCACTAAGCTAGATATTTGCACAAACTACCACATGGAATATAATATTTATATTAACCATTTGACATCGAAATTACTTTTTAGGGTATAAGGAAATTCAAAGAGGTTAGGTACAGAGCTTGTAACTGAACTAAAATCTAATGATCAAATCCATGTTATTCCTTTTTTCTAGAAGTACAGGAAAATTAAAGCAACTCACATGTCCGAAAATGAATAAGTAAAACAATTATTATAAATGTGTGTAATAGACAAATTAACAGATCCTCCTTTTTAAGAATTACTCTTCTCTAATATCCACTACAAAACAAAAGCAAATTCTCATGTACCTCTTGATTGGTGGACTTAGAAGTCATTGGGTGTCTTTGAGCAGTGGTTTGTAGTTCTCCTTGAAGAGGTCCTTCACATCCCTTGTAAGTTGGATTCCTAGGTGTTTTATTCTCTTTGAAGCAATGGGAGTTCACTCATGATTTGGCTCTCTGTTTGTTATTGGTGTACAAGAATGCTTGTGATTTTTGCACATTGATTTTGTATCCTGAGACTTTGCTGAAGTTGCTTATCAGCTTAAGGAGATTTTGGGCTGAGACGATGGGATTTTCTAGATACACAATCATGTCATCTGCAAACAGGGACAGTTTGACTTCCTCTTTTCCTAACTGAATACCCTTTATTTCTTTCTCCTGCCTGATTGCCCTCACCAGAACTTCCAACACTATGTTGAATAGGAGTGGTGAGAGAGGGCATCCCTGTCTTGTACCAGTTTTCAAAGGGAATGCTTCCAGTTTTTGTCCATTCAGTATGATATTGGCTGTGGGTTTGTCATAAATAGCTGTTATTATTTTGAGATACATCCCATCAATGCCTAATTTATTGAGAGTTTTTAGCGTGAAGTGTTGTTGAATTTTGTCGAAGGCCTTTTCTGCATCTATTGAGATAATCATGTAAGAGGACACAAACAAATGGAAGAACATTCCATGCTCATGTGTAGGAACAATCAATATCATGCAAATAGCCATATTGCCCAAGGTAATTTATAGATTCAATGTCATCCCCATCAAACTACAAATTACTTTCTTCACAGAATTGGAAAAAACTACTTTAAAGTTCATATGGAAACAAAAAAGAGCCTGCATTGCCAAGTCAATCCTAAGCCAAAACAACAAAGCTGGAGGCATCATGCTACCTGACTTCAAACTACACTACAAGGCTACAGTAACCAAAACGGCATGGTACTGGTACCAAAACAGAGATATAGACCAATGGAACAGAACAGAGCCCTCAGAAATAATACCACACATCTACAACTATCTGATCTTTGACAAACCTGACAAAAACAAGAAATGGGGAAAGGATTCCCTATTTAATAAATGGTGCTGGGAAAACTGGCTAGCCATATGTAGAAAGCTGAAACTGGAACCCTTCCTTACACCTTATACAAAAATTAATTCAAGATGGATCAAAGACTTAAATGTTAGACCTAAAACCATAAAAACCCTAGAAGAAAACCTAGGCAATACCATTCAGGACATAGGCATGGGCAAGGACTTCATGTCTAAAACACCAAAAGCAATGGCAACAAAAGCCAAAATTGACAAAGGGGATCTAATTAAACTAAAGAGCTCCTGCACACCAAAAGAAACTACCATCAGAGTGAACAGGCAACCTACAGAATGGGAGAAAGTTTCTGCAATCTACTCATCTGACAAAGGGCTAATATCCAGAATCTACGATGAACTCAAACAAAATTTACAAGAAAAAAAAAACAACCCCATCAAAAAGTGGGTGAAGGATATGAACAGACACTTCTCAAAAGAAGACATTTATGCAGCCAAAAGACATATGAAAAAAATACTCATCATCACTGGCCATCAGAGAAATGCAAATCAAAACCACAATGAGATATCATCTCACACCAGTTAGAATGGTGATCATTAAAAAGTCAGGAAACAACAGGTGCTGGAGAGGATGTGGAGAAATAGGAACACTTTTACACTGTTGGTGGGACTGTAAACTAGTTCAACCATTGTGGAAGACAGTGTGGTGATTCCTCAAGGATCTAGAACTAGAAATACCATTTGACTCAGCCATCCCATTACTGTATATATACCCAAAGGATTATAAATCATGCTGCTTTAAAGACACATGTACACGTATGTTTATAGTGGCACTACTCACAACAGCAAAGACTTGGAACCAACCCAAATGTCCAACAATCATAAACTACACCATGGAATACTATGCAGCCATAAAAATTGATGAGTTCATGTCCTCTGTAGGGACATGGCTGAAGCTGGAAACCCTCATTCTCAGCAAACTATCACAAGGACAAAAAACCAACCACATGTTCTCACTCATAGGTGGGAATTGAACAACGGGAACACTTGGACACAGGAAGGGGAACATCACACACCGGGGCCTATTGTTGGGTGGGGTAAGGGGGAGGGATAGCATTAGGAGATATACCTAATGTAAATGACAAGTTAATGGGTGCAGCACACCAATATGGCACATGTATACATATGTAACAAACCTGCACGTTGTGCACATATACCCTAGAACTCAAAGAATAATAAAAAATATATATATACATATATATTAAAAAAAGAAGTCACTGGGCATCTTGATGGTACATCCTAGCACTGCAGCCACTTGCTGTGTGATAGTCAGCCACCAACCTGGTTCTTCTAAACTTCTACCTACTGGTCCTTTCCCCCAATGGGTAACAGCAAAGGATAGGTGAAGAGCAAGCTGCACAGTATTAAGAAGAAATGAGCCATTTTAATAAAAGATTCAGCAATGGAACTCTAAGAGGAAAACGTTAAAGGTAGTTGTTCAATATTACTATTTCTATATTATAAAGGAAAAGAACCTCATAAGTTAAACATATTTCACTATACATTCAAGCTTGAGCAACCCTTCCTGGGAAGGGTGTATGGGTACAAGAGCTAAACTTCAGAAATAAATTTATTTTGGCAGCTCAATTGACTAATGTATTCTGGACACAATACAGTTTGTTATACTTCCATCATAGTAATAGTGAATAAAAGCTTGTGATATAAAGATTTCTAAGGTAGCCCTAAATATAATGAATATTTCTATTTAAATGTCTTTGCTAATCTGTTGTTAGCTTTAAAAAAGAAAGTGATTTCCAAAGAGGTCTTTTATTGAGGCAGGGAGCATTGAAATAATATTTTATACCATCTTTTTAAGTTCTTTTTTCCTTTAGATTTACTTTTTCTGAATTTATATTACTTCTCAGTTTTATAATTCATAAGACTTGATGATAGTTTATAAAAGTTCAATATTCTCTCTACTATAAATTACAACTGCTTCCATTTCTAATTATTCTTTATCAATTTCTATGGCTACCATATCTAATTTCATCTAAAAAGATCTATTTCATCTTTCTCGTATCTTGTTCCTCTTAAACTATTTTAAAACGCCCTTCATATTCTCTTTAACCTCTTTCCTGGCATTTTCTTTTTCCTACCAGCTATAAAGGATATCAGCTATTTTTAAATTACCTATGTAGCTTTACTATCTTCTGTCATCATCATTCAAGTTAATCCTATACATTTTTGTCAATGCAGATGTTTATTCTCCTGTTGATTTCTGATAATTTCATGGTAGAGACGTATTGGAAGTTTTCGGCCCTTTATTGGCAGAATTGTAATCTGCTCTGCTTTCGTTATGGTGTCCTTTAGCATACTCATGAATTTTAATAATTCTTCTCAGTGAAACATAATAACTTGATGCTTTAATTCCTGCAAATTTGATTTATTGGAAGCTAATGGCATTGAAAAGCTGTTGTATGTGATCTTATTATTTAATATCCAAAATTTTAATATCTTGTAGGCTCCAAGAGCAAAGCTTGCCTGATTGCAATAAAAGTATCCTGACGTGAGAGGCTTTAGAGGTCATCTGTTCTCTTTTCCTGCTTTGGTAGGATGATAATGATGCCATACTGGACAAACAAAAGCTACCTTATCCCTTCAGCTCTCCAAAGGACATCCAAATTGTAACTGGGTGGTTTAAAATCTCTGTGTGTGCTAGTGAATTATTTAGAATTTGACACAATAATCCCTAAAACTCTTTCACACTAAAATATCTAGTTAATTCAGATGGCACCTTGTAATATCAATATTGACACTGTAAATAGAAAATAGCCAAGTCATGCACTTTTGCATTTATATCCGCTTGAATTTTCTTGTGTCTGTTCAATCCATATAAGTTGTATTTTTGTGTCTATATTATACATAATACGTGTCTTTCTCACTTCTATTTGGTACATCTTGAAATCCTTCTGAAGTCCTCTGCCGAAGAAACATCAACATTAAAAATGAGTAAAGTAGGATATTTACTTCCATTATATTGATGAACAGTATTTCTTCCTTCACTGCACCTCCAAAAGCTGATATATGATGTATTAATCAGGCTTCTCCAAAGAAACAGAACTAATAGGATGTGTGTATATGTATATAGGAGATTTATTATTAGGAATTGGCTCACGCAATTCTGGAAGCTAGCTAATTCACATCTACAGTGTGGCCTAGCAGATTGGAGACCCAGGAGAGCCAATGGTGCAGATGAAGTCCAAAGGCAGTCTGCTGGATAGTCACCACTTGCCTGGAAAAAACAGTCCTTTTATTCTATTCAGGCTTTCAATTCATTGAATGAGGCCCATTTATATTTTGGAGGATAACCTGCATACTCAAAATTCTCCAATTTAAATGTTAATCTCATCCACAAACACAGGTCAACACATAAATTAGCCATCATACATACACTAAGATATTAATGACAGATCATATCTATCTCAGATGTGATTTATCTCAATGTTATCTCAGATGATAAAGATAAAATTGCAGATATGATCTATAATTTTCCATCGTGGCATCATTTGTGGTAATCTGGGACGATTTCCCAGTCCAGACAATGTCATAGTATACAATCCAACCATTCTATCACATTATCATCAGTTCAGATTTCAGACTGACATTAGTGCCTTAATCCAGAAATGAGTAAAATTCATCAATATAGAACCTTGGAAAAAAGAATATTCTTAGAAACAGATACTTTTTAAATTAGTCTATAGAAAACTTTATTCTTCCTGTTAAAAATTGTTTATAATTTTTTTGTTATATCTGTAACAAATGTTACATCATATTGTTACTTCGTACTCAAGCCTGAATATTCACATTGCCTCATTTGGTTTTCACAGCAATTACATAAGGTAAGCAAGGAAAAAAAATGGGATTATCACTGCTTTAGTTTCTAGAAAATGGAAACATGACAGTCTAATAATTTTGTCAATTTTATATATCTGGTGACAGAAGCATAACTAGAACCAAGGGTCTTGACTATTAGTTTAGTTATCCCTTTTGACTACATTATACAGAATGTCAACTGATCAGTTGAGTTTTAATACATTGGTCAGGTGGACTTGCTTTTTTACCCTGTACTCTATATGAAAAATAAGTGGTTTAAGAAATTGAGTTTCCATCTTACCTTCTAATCATCAATCAAAAACAATTTAATATATTCAGCATCTACCATGCACAAAGCATTGGGTTATATCAACTATTTAATGGCCACCCCAAAATATTTTGAAGTTCTGATGAAATTCCAACAGTCAGGTCTCTATAGATAAATGGGAAACTAAATTGGGAATACAGAAGTGATTACCACCAGAAAGTGAGTCTGCTTGGCTCAGCTTTCTCAGAGTATTGTTCCAGAATTTTCAATGAAATGCTCAGTCAGAAGAATTTATCTACGGTAGCATATTTCATCACAAATTTTAGAAAGTGATTTATTGATATAGTAATTGTATATGTATATCTGTGTTCCCACTGCATTTCACCCACCCACAAATTCCAACAAGTAGTCATATATTATATTTCCTGGCTTCAGGAAGTTTTTGAAGGACTGAAAAAGCAGAGGCTGTCTCATGGCAGAATTAATTTATGTATTTACTTAAAGCCTATTCTCATTAAAAACAGGATGCCGGGTTTTGAGGAAGGGAGGAAAAAGTGAAAATTGTCTCTAAGGATAGCAATGTGGAAACAAGCCTTCCTAGAATGGAAATAAAAGAGGGAAATTCTCATCATAGTGAAGAACTCTCTAGGTCAACCCCCTCAGAATGTGAGCAAACCTCCGCGAGAACTGAGTCCATAATGGGGCAAGGGAGTTTGGAGCCTAAAAGTCTGATTTATCTGCTCTGTGCATATGAACAGCAGAAAAGCAAAAGCTGTTGAACTGTAAAGGACTCTGTGACCGTGGACTGAGCTGCAGTTGATGTTACAGTGCATAGAGTAGATCATATAGACCGTATGAGCTCCCCATAATCAATTCCAAAGTTGAGAAAGAAAGGAGACCCGAATACTAACTGAGATGGAAGGTGCATCCAGCATCAAATCAATTTAAACCAAATAAGTCTAAATTTCCTGCACATCTGAGTGGAACAGTTACAATTCAGTCCCATTCTACAAATTGGACTCTGGGTAATATTGCAATTCCATAGAATGAGAATAAAAAACTTGGTGAGTGTCTCTAGTTTTCTTTATTTTTAGCTTAACTGTTTGAGAGTGGGAAATGAATATTAGGTTTCTGGACTTGTATTATGTATTTCACTCTTAGTTATCCCATTTGGTATACACAGAGGAACTTTGAGATGTCTGTTGGTGTTTCAGTTTTACAAATGAGGAGAGGGGCTTAGAGTAGATAATTAAGTCATAGAGCTTGTAAGTGACTGAGATGTGAGGTGAAGTCAGACCCAAGTATCTCTGGAGTCCAGATTCCCTTCATAAAGCTCTGCTGCCTCACTCCGAGACTTTTAAACAACCAGTGCCTGTGTTCCAACAAGGTCTGGCCTTGACTGAGGCTGAGCTTTCATGGTGTGGCTTGACAAGATCTCTTTTGATTCTTTTTAAATACCAAAATTTTCCAAGTACTGTGAATGCAGACCTCATGCCCATGAACACAGCTCCATACTATCTATCTGGCTATCTGCTTTGTAGACTATTTCTGCTTTTTTCATTTTCCTTCAAAATTTATGTCACTCACAATAGCATCTGTAAATAGAAAAGAATGACATTGTCTATCCACAGAGACAGAAATAACGAAGCTATTTGGTGAACCTGGATTAAATAGCCACTTTTTTACAATGTTTATTGATATATAATTCACATACAGTAAAACCTATTGTTATTTTCCAAAGTTTCAAAAAATCAATTTTGACCAATTTTGCTAGTGTCTTCATTGCTTTTATGGAGGCATGAATTTTTGGATATCCTTACTTTGCTACGCCTGACACCTTGTTTTGAAATGGACAATTTTAGGTATTTTCCTGTCTGCTTTTCCTTAGTAGGTTGGAGGGGAAAAAAAGCATTCCTAATCTCAAAGAGCTAATGAGACAACTTACTTTTTAATCACTAAGGAATGTAATATTTAAATTCCCTGAGACTCAGCTTGGAAAAGTATAGCACAAAATGTTGATAATTGTATAATTATAATATTATATGATTATAATACTGTAATTAATTTGTTAGTCACTATATAGATGTGTAAATAACTTATCAAATAGTATTAATAATATAAAATGCCAAGTAGTGAAAAATTTAAAATCACTTTGTATAGCTTATTTTTTGAGCTTAAATTTACAAAATAGTTAAATTATACAATGGGCACATAAACTAAAATTTCTGGTTGCCTTGTCATGTTATTCTAATGTACTGTAAAGATAGTAAGTGTTGTAAGATGGCTGCCTTCTCTGAATCACGCAGACAGATGGGATACCTTATTATGACCAATGAATGAGAACTGAAAACCTGTGGACCTAACCACAGCCTAGAAAAATTTTATCCTAATACCTTCTACATAAGTTAAAGTTATTAAAATCTCATTTTCCAAAATATTAAAAAACAATTTGAAAAATTTGAATATTATTATCATTTAATAATTGAGTTCACCAAATATAATGGGATTAAAAATTGGAACAGTTTTAATCTTTTTTAATTTTTACTTTAGGTTGAGGGGTACATATGCAGGTATGTTATATAGATAAACTGGGGGGAACATTTCTTCATTGTTTCTTTCCAATATCAGCAGCCCCAGGAAAATAAGCTCATGACAAAATCAGTAAAATTGTCAAATGCTAAATCCTAACATAAAACGAGGTAGCATTAAATCTTTTGATACAGAAGCTATAATGCACTCAACAGGTTTTATTTTTGACTTCAAATATAATGTTTCTTACTTAAGGTTAAAATGAATATAGATGTACCTCATTGTATTGTGCTTCATTTTATTACATACTTCCAGATACTGCATTTTTTTTTTTTTTTTTACAAATTAAAGGTTTCAAAGGTTTGTACCAACTTTGCATCAAGCAAGCCTATTAACGTCATTTTTCAACAGCATGTGCTCACTCATGTTTCTGTGTCACATTTTGGTAATTCTTGCAATATTTCAAATGTTTTTGTTATTAGATCTGTTATCGTGATATATGATCAGTGATCTTTGATGTTATTAATACTATTGTAATTGTTTTGGGGCACTACAAACCTCACCCATCTAAGATAGCAAACTTAATAAGTGCTGTGTGCATTCTCACTGATCCACTGACTGGTCTTTTCCCTATTTCTTTTCTTCTTCTAGGGCCTCCATATTTCCTAAAACACAACAATATTGAAGTTAGACCATTACAATACCATTTAGGACACAGGCATGGGCAAAGATTTCATGACAAAAATGCCAGAAGCAATTGGAACAAAAGCAAACTTGACCAATGATATCTAATTAAACTAAAGAGCTTCTGCACAGCAAAAGAAACTATCAGAGTGAACAAACAACCTACTGAATGGGAGAGAATTTTTGCAATCTAACCATCTGACAAAGGTCTAATATCCAGAGTCTACAAGCAACTTAAACAAATTTACAAGAAAAAAAAAACATTAAAAAGTGGGCAAAGGGTATGAAAAGACACTTCTCAAAAGAAGACATTGATGCAGCCAACAAACATGAAAAAAGCTCAATGTCACTGATCATTAGAGAAATGCAAATCAAAGTGACAATGAGATACCATCTCACACCAGTCAGAATGGCAATTACTAAAAAGTCAAGAAAAAACAGATGCTGGCAAAGTTGCAGAAAAAAGGAATGATTTTACAGTATTGGTGGGAATGTAAATTAGTTCAACCATTGTGGAAGACAGTGTGGTGATTCCTCAAAGAGTTGGAAGCAGAAATACCATCTGACCCAGCCACCCTACTACAGGGTATATACCCAAAGGAATACAAATCATTCTATTATAAAGGTACATGCACATGGATTTCACTGCAGCAGTATTCACAACAGTAAAGACATGGAATCAAACCAAATGCCCCTCAATGATAGACTGGATAAAGAAAATATGGCACTATACACCATGGAATACTATGCAGCCATAAAAATAAATGGAATAATGTCTTTTGCAGGGACAAGGATGGAGCTGGAAGCCATTATCCTCAGCAAACTAATGCAGGAAGAGAACACCAAACACTGCATATTCTCACTTATAAGTGGGAGCTGAATGATGAGAATATGTGGACACATGATGGGAAACTACACACACTAGGGCCTATCAAGGGGAGAGGGTGAGGGAGAACATCAGGAAGAATAGCTAATGGATGTTGGGCTTAACACCTAGGTGATGGGTTGATCTATTGCAGCAAACCAACATAGCACACTTTTACCTATGTAACAAACCTGCACATCCTGCACACGTACCCCAGAATTTAAAATAAAAATGATGGAATAAAAAAGACTGAGAAAGAAGAAATAATATAAAGAATTCAAGGAAGGAGAAGATTCTCATAGGAATGCAGGTTTACAATGTATTAAACATTACATAGCCTTAAGGGTATATAATTATTTTGTTTTAAGTTATTTCTAAATGCATTCTAATTTTATGTAAGAAGATGAGATGAAAAAGAATTATTATTTAAAAACAAAAAACAAAAAAAGAGAAAGTAGGCCATTATTTAATAGCACTACAATGGCATCTAAGGGTTCAAGTGAAAGGAAGAGTCACAAGTGTCTCACTTTAAATCAAAAGCTAGAAATGATCAGGCTTAGTAAGGAAGGCATGCCAAAAGTCAAGAGAGACCAAAAGCTATGCCTCTTACACCAAATAGCCAAGTTGTGAAAGCAAAGAAAAAGATCTTAAAGGAAATTAAAACTGCTACTCCAGTAAACAGACAAATAAGAAAGCAAAATAGCCTTAATACTGATGTAAATAAAGTTTTAGTATCTGAATAGCAGATCAAAGCAGCCACAACATTCCCTTAAGCCAAAGCCTAATCCAGAGCAAGATCCTAAATCCCTTCAATTCTATGAAGGCTAGGAGAGGTAAATAATAACAATAATAATAATAATAATAAGCTACAGAACAAAAATTTGAAGTTGGAAATTGGCAGGGATTGGTTCATGAGGCTTAAGGAAAGAAACCATCTCTATAATCTAAAAATACAAGATGAAGCACAAGTGCCGATGTAGAAGTTGAAGCGAGTTTCCCAGGAAACCTAAGATTAAATGCTGAAATTGGCTACTACACAGCAGATTTTCAATGTAAGCAAAACAAAACAACGTTCTATTGAAAGAAGATGCCATTTAGGACTTTCAGAGCTGGAGTAAAGAAGTCAACGCCTGGCTTAAAAGCTTCAAAGGACAGCCTGGCTTTCTTGTTGGGGAATGACACCTGGTGATTTTAGGTTGAAGTCAATGCACATTTGCCATTCGAAAAATCTTAAGAGTCCTCAAGAATTATAAGAAATCTACTCTTCCTTTGCTCTAGAAATAAAGCAACAAAGCCTGGATGACAACACGTCTGTTTACACATGCTTTACTGAATATTTTAACTCCACTCTTGAGACCTGGTGCTCAGCAAAAAAGATTCCTTTCAAAATATTACTGCTCATGACAATGCATTTGGTTACCCAAGAGCTCTGATGAAGATGTGCCAGGAAATTAACATTCTTTTATGCCTACTAACACAGCATCCATTCTGCAGCCCACGGGTCAAGAAGTAATTTTGACTTTCAAGTTTTATTATTTAAGAAATACATTTTTATAAGTGTATACCTGTCATAGATGGTGATTCCTCTAATAGATGTGGGCAAAGTCCATTGAAAACCTTCTAGAAAGAATTCACCACTCTAGATGCCATTAAGAACATGTGTGATTCAGGGGAGGAAGTCAAAATATCCACATTAACAGGAGTTTGGAAGAAATTGATTCCAACCCTCCTGAGTGATTTTGAGGGGTCCGAGACTTCAGCGGAGAAAGTAACTGTAGATGTGGTAGAGATTATAAGAAAATGGAATTAGAAGTGGGGCCTGAAAATGTGACTGAATTGTTGCATTCTCATGGCAAAACTTCAATGGATAAGGAGTAGCTTCTTAATGAGCAAAGACGGTGGTTTCTGGAGATAGAATCTTACTCCTGGTGAAGATGCTATAAACGTTCATAAGATGACAAGAAAAGATTTAGAATATTGCATAAACTTAGTTGATAAAGCAGCAGCAGGGTTACAGATGACTGACTCCAATTTTGAAAGAAGTTCTACTGTGGGTAACATGCTATCAAATAGCATCACATGCTACAGATAATTCTTTCAGGAAAGGAGGAGTCAGTTGATAACACAAACTTCAATGTCATCTTATTTTAAGAAATTGCCACCTCCATTCTAACCATCAGCAACCACCACGCCAATCAGTCAGCAGCCACAGACATTGAGGCAAGACCCTCTACCAGCTAAAATATTATGACTCGCTGAAGGTTAAGATGATAGTTAGCATTTTTTAGCAATATTTTAAATTAAGGATGGTATATTGGTATTTTTAGACATAATGCTATTGCCCACTTACTAGACTACAGTATAGTGTAAACACAACTTTTACATGCACCAGGAAACAAAAAAAATTTATGTGACTCACTTTACTGTGGTGGTATGGTACCAACCCCACAATATCTCTGAGGTATACCTGTATAAGAGAATGTAAATTAGCTATGTAAATATAATATAGTCTCCCTACTCAAAGAAACTGGGGAAATCAACAAATATAATTTCACCCCGGCACCCTAATTTAGACTCAGTTTGTGAGAGTTATTTCTCATTTTCAATAACACAGAATTGCGAAGCTAAGATAATGGAAAGAAAATTGCTCTAATAGTAACAAAATATCTGTAAACTAAAAAACATTCATTTTGACTGCAGAAGAGACATTTAAATAATTTAACTTCTGTGAGTAAAATTGAAATAGGGCTGTAATTACTCAGATTTTCAATATCCCTTCCCTTATGAAGAGAAAGAACTGCTGCTGGTTTCCCCATCACAAATACTTCTATCCTGCCAAATACAAAGATTAGAAATATGTGCCAGCCATAGGGAGAGTGAGCCTGCAGCAAATTAACAAAATACAGGTGACACTTTTCCGAATCACTCTTTCTTATTAATGTGGTGTCTTGCAAATATGTATTTCATTAACTCTATAAGTATATACAGGAGGAATATATCAGCCTTAGGTGAAAGCTGGAAAACAGCTAATATTTTTCAATTTTGAAAATCCTTCTTCATTGGCTTGTTAGAAAATACTAAAAATAATTTTGAATCAACTCTACAAACACATGGTCCCAAAGTTACCTGACTAGTTTTCCTACTTTTCACTGAGACACCTCCCCAATAATCTGGAAACCATGAATATCAAACTCCAGGGTCAAGACAGGGAAACAAAGTGAATAATAATAATAACTATTATTATTTTTGAGACAGGGTCTCATTCTGTTGCCCAGGCTGGAGTGCAAAGGCATAATCTCTGCATACTGTCGCCTCAACAACATGGGCTCAAGCAATTCTCCCACTTCAGCCTCCTGAGGAGCTGGGACCATAGGCGTGTGCTACCACAACTGGCTAATTTTCATACTTTTTGTAGAGGCAGGGTTTTGCCATGTTGCCCAGGCTAATCTCAAACTCCTCAGCTCAAGCAATCCACCCACCTCGGCCTCCCAAAGTGCTAGGATTAAAGGCATAAGACACCGCACTTAGCCAAATAATTTTAAATATCATTGTAATGCTTTTCTTCTGATATTTCCACTCTTCTGATCACAAAAAAGTTTTTTCCTTAAAATATGCTTTATATGAATGACTATTATCTTGTAGTCTTTATTCCTTATCCTTCCTCTAGCCATTGACATTTTCTTTCCTTTCTTCATGTTAAAGGCAACTCTGTCTCCCAAATCTTTGCCACATGCAAGCAGCAAAGGATAACTGTTATTTTAATAGCCACTGATTTCTTCATTGTTTAATCTGATCTCTCTTACATTCAGGTGGCTAACTTAAACCTCAGAAAGTTAAGAATGTATACATTACTCAGCCTCCCATAAATAGAATTACTGAGGGAATTCACCAAAGCTGATCCAAATCAGGAAAAATGTTTATCATCATCTACCCACAAGTTGGTGGGGTCCAGATGTCAGTCTCCCAGATATCAGACATGTCAGGGATAAAACTGGGAGATCATGAGCTACACTCCACTAGCAACAATTTGTAACCTACAAGATCAATATGAATACCTTTAACTTGTCAGTACATATAACTAGATTTCCAACTCAATTTTCCAAACCTGCTGCTGATACAGAACTGATTCTGATCCATTTTGCTGGTACCTGACCTCCAGCTCTTGCCAACTCCTCCTCCTAGGTTATCTATCCACTACTTTCCTCCCCTTAATCAAACACTGCCTTATGGAAACTCGTCATGCAGAATTAAAGGGCCAGAGCTGCTTCACTTAAAATAGCACATAAATTATTTGTCCTTCCCAGTATTCCACTCGTTTTTGGAGGAAATAAACACTTCCCTCTGATAAATGGCTTTTTCTGTTATAATACAATTATGTGGTTCCAGTGGTGGCTTCCAATTATTATGTTTTTCTATGATGCAGCCATGATGTTCCTACATATCCCATGCTGACCTAATCATAATTACACTATCCCCAAGCCTACAGCATTAGTCAAATAGGTGAACACTTCCTTAAACTGATCCAATCAGAGCCATTTTCCAAGGTTTATTTTGTTTCAATATTTGTTGCGCTTGTTTTGTTTGTGTGAGTTTTGTGTTTTCAAAAAAAATCTTTGGGAAGATCACTTAATCATAAAGCCATGAGGTTTGAGCTCAGGAACCGCCAGCTGACACACTTCTGTTTTCTGTAGCTTAGTGTCAAGAGGTGTTGAAGCCACTAAGGAAAGAAAGAGAAAAGAGATAGAGGAGATACTGACTATTGTCCCTGAGGTCCCTAGATACATTATGGCACTTGCCTACCTTAAAAATATATGGAATGGTCACCTGTATTACTACAGCAGTGATGGTATACAATATTCAGTTTGGAGACAAATTGATCATTCCCAATATTCAAATAGGGCTAATACCAGGTACTGTTTGCTTTCAAGTACCAAAATTAGTCCAATTCAAATCATTGGTGTTAGTCATAAAACAATATTTAAATACTTAAAGCCATACTGAAAAATTATTAAACTTATATATATCATGCCTCAACTAGGGATTAAAAATCCCTCAACTGGATTAAAAATCCATTGTCAACTCTGACTCATTCCTAAAACTGTTGAATAATGAGGGTTTCTATATGGTTAATTTATATTATGAGGCAGTCTTACTAATATTATACAAATGAATCCATAGCCAACTTACTCTAAAACATAGTATTTCACCAATTATATCTTAGGCATAATTTAAGCCTTTCACAGTAAACTATGAGTGAGATTAAAAAAAAATGAGCATTATCTTGCATTTTCCTTTGCTAGTTTCTGTAATAACTATTGCTTAAAGCCCCCAAACTAGCAAAGTCTTTTCAAAATATTTTGTTAGTGTTTATAATTTTAGATAAACAATACTAACTACCAAAATGTTTGCAAATAAAGGCTTTTTTTCACAGCCTTAATGGCCTTCCCATAAGGATCTAGGTAAATAGCCAAGAAATTTTATTTTCATTTTATTTGGCATTTGTTTTAATTGTCTACATGTAATACCATGTATACTAAGTATTGCATAAATTCACAGAATCAGAGATGATTTCATGGAATAAGCGGAATGTTAAATTTGACATTTGCCACGTGGGTAGAATCCTGTTGGATATACTTTAGAAATGGCATGGACAAAGATACAAAAGCCAAGTTCAATGAATTGTAAGCACACGAGTTTGGTTGGAATGGATCAATTTGTTATATATGGACATACTGAAGAAATAAGGCTAAAAAGATGAGCACAATTCAAATTGTGCTGGGAGCAGAATACCAGATGTCAATCATTCTATTAGTCAATCAAAGTCAATCTTCAACACATATCTACTGAGTATAACCATGTGCCAGGTGTTGTGTTTAACACTGATAATACAAAGCTAAATATGGTTTCTCACACTATTAGTAGAATTACGAGTAGCTATCATGTGATGAAGTATACTGAGGACTGGGAAGGTTTTCTGGAGGAACTAGTGACTGAGATGAGTATTGAAAAATGATAACTATTAACCAAGTAAATAAGAGGCAAGATTAGAAGTGAGAGAGATGTGTATAATAATTGAGTATCAGGAAAAGGACAAAAGGAAACACTCAGAGAGAACATGACATAAAAAGAAGTGCTAATAGTTCCATAAGCTTGAAGTTTAAGTGTAGAAACAAAATTCAAGAGCTACATTAAGAAATTAAATTATTATACACCACTATTAATAGCAAATGAAAACATAAATAGCTCACAATATTTTATTATTACAAAAATAGAAATCATTCTGTGAATTTTCTTTATGTAATTATTTTGCATAAACAACACATTTTTCATGATACTCTTGAGTCTAGTTCATAGTCACATTACCACAAGTTGTTAATTAACTTAGTTTATGTGGTACATAAGCATCAAGAGGGCAGGATCTTTATCTCTTCGGCTCACTAATGTATCTCAAGATCCTGGAACAGTACCTGGCACAGATAGAGCATTTAGAAAATACTTATTAAATAAAATTGATATATTAATATATTATCAGAAATTTTTTTTTTACTTAATAAGTGCATAGAAATAAAAGAAAGCCTATCATTGATTTTCTAAGTTCTGAGATTCGTAAGTTTGAACTCTGTGTGAGAATAATGGTTTCATATGTCCTTCTGAAATTACCTTTTGGAAATGATTCTAGGGAGCAAAACTCCTTCCCACTCTGATTGTTCCATATTGTCTGGGAAAGACTTCTCACAGAAACACACTGAATAAAAATCTGAATTGCATAAGAGCTCAGCCATCTCTCAGCTTTGAACATATTTAAATTAGTAAAACACTTCCTCTAAAAAGCCCTTATGTGGGAGTACTCAACTTCTGATACATTTTGGTTGAGCACTATCAGCTGCTAGACTTTTGCTGCTAGTGATCATTCGTTTTTCATAGGAATACAAGCTTAAAATTTGTAGACATTCATATATCAAATTTCTGCCATTATGTTAACCTCAAACTCAACATATTTAAACTCTGAGAGTGGGGAAAATGAAACTATAATTTTGCATTTGTTCCTGAAAAATTAAATTCATCACAATATTTATGATGGGTGAGAGAGCTGTACAATGTGTAGAATTGCCAAACAACCAAAGTCCTATGGTATACATGGTAAAATTTTCTGAGAAATATAATGAACATATTCAAGACTAAACTATCTGAAAGGTCAAAATAAACTTTACTGTAGCAAGGATATATCTTTTACAAGAAAAATCAATTTCTGTACTTCTTGTCCTCTTTAGTTAACTAAAACACTTCAAGCACTTATTATGAGTAAACTACTATTCATTTTCTCTTTCTTAAATATAGAAGAAATCCTTTCACAAATAACATGTCAATCAAGGGACACCCCTTTGAAGAATTGGTTGTGATAGCTGTTGTTTTCTATTTATTTTCTTTTTCCTAAATCAGTCAATAGAATCCAACCTATCCTCTGCCTCTATTTAACCTATGATTATATTATACTTGGTTTTTGATGTCCATTTGTTTATAATAACATAATTATCACTTAATACACTCTTTTTTTTTATTTTTGAGAGGGAGTCTCCTCTGTCGCCCAGGCTGGAGCGCAATAGCGCAATCTCGGCTCACTACAACCTCCGCTTCCTGGGTTCAAACGATTCTCCTGCCTCAGCCTCCCAAGTAGCTAGAATTACAGATGCCTGCCACCACGCCAAGCTAATTTTTGTATTTTTAGTAGAGACAGGGTTTCACCATGTTGGCCAGGCTGGTCTCAAACTCCTGACTTCAAGTGATCTGCCCACCTCGGCCTCCCAAAGTGCAGGGATTACAGGCATGAGCCACCACGCTCTTAGATGTAGGATCCATATATATACCTTCTCCACTGAGCCTTAATGGTCTCTAGGTAAGTACATTGATATTTACTGATTACCTACTATGTGATCCAAACTGGAAAATAGCATTTAATAACTGATTTATAAAGCCTCTGTGCATAGTTCCAAATTTCATAGGTGAGAGGAGATAAGATGAAACGAGGAGATGAAATAGGATGCCAAATAAACTTCTTTTAATTGGGGAGCAATATTATGTTCTGATCAAACTAGATTGTGTGAGCTTGAATAACTCTTAGACTTACTGTCTGTCTTTGAACAAGTTTTTTAAATTTCTTAGAGTGTCCCAGTATCTCAGCTTTCTTATCTGTAAAATGGAGCTAATAACAGTAAAGAGTTAATACATTAACCAGCTGATTTAGTCAGTTTAGGCTTTTATAAGAAAATACTACATATTTAGTAATTTATCAACAATATAAATTTATTCTCATAGTTCTGGAGGCTGGGAAGTCCAAGGTCAAGGTATGGCATGTTCAATGCCTGGTAAGGGCTGTTCTGTACTTCCAAGGTGGCATATTGTAGCTGTATACTCCAGAGGAGAGTAAGCTATGTCTTCACATAGCAGAAAGGACAACAGGGCCAAAAGGGACCTATCTCATTCTCTCCAGACCTTTTACAAGTGACTAATCCCATCCATGAGGGTACAGCCCTCATGACCTCATCAACTCCTAAAGGCCCCACCTCTTAATACTATCACATTGGCAATTAAGTTTCAAGCCATGAATTTTGGAAGACAGTCAAACAAAAGCATTTCATCCCTGGACTTCAAAACGCATGTTCTTCTCACATTCAAAATACATTCAAGCCATCCCAACAGCCCCCCAAGTCTTAACTTGTTCCAGCATCAACTCAAAATCTACAGTTCTGAGTCTTATCTAAATCAAATATGGGTGAGAGTTAAGGTATACTTCATCCTGAGATGAGTTCTCCTGCTGTGAGCTTATGTAATCAAACAAGTTATGTAATTTGAAAATACAATTGTGGGATAGGCATAGGATAGACTTCTCATTACAGGAAGGCAGAAATAGACAAGAGAAAAGAGGTAACAGGTCCCAAGTAAGTCCAAAACACAGGTCAAACAACATCGAATCTTTAAGCATGAGAATAATCTTCCATATCTGGCTTTTCATACACACTGGGTTAAGGGTTGGGCCCCTATCGCTTTGGGAGGCCCCACTTTCACAGCTTTACTGTGGGTACAGCTCACACAGCCACTCTTCAGGAGTTGCATTCGAGTGTCTGTGGCTGTCCTGGGCTGGTGTTACACTACACACTGGTGGCTCTACAGGTCTAGGGTCTTGGAAGTTGCCCTGTCCCCATGGCTTCACTAAGTACTGTCCTAGTAGGGGCTCTCTGAGGTGGCCTGTCCTATGGCAGCTCTATGCCTGGACCTGGAGGCTATCCAGGATATCATTTGGAATCTGGGTGGATATAGCCATGCTTCCACAGCTTGTACACTCTGTATCCCTGCAGAGTTAGCAGGACATACCAAGGTTTCCCGGAATCCTCTCTGGAGTGGAGGCCTGAGCCATATCTGAGCCCAGCTGAGCCACAGCTGAGGTGACCAAGGAGCACTGCAGAGAGATGCAGGGAGTGGAAGCTCAAGGTGGCCCTTCCAAGAAGGTGCATTGCTGCTGCATCCTCCAGAGAGAACCAATAATATGCCCTCACATGGGAGAAGGGAAGAAAGGGGTGAACTCATCCCCTTCAAAGTCTTTTATAAGGTCACTAATCCTATTCAGGAGGGCTCCTTTCTCATGACTTAATCACATCCTAAAGACCCCACTTCTTAGTACTATTGATATGGACAGGAGACAGGTAAATACTGGGTAGAAGAGAGCAGTTCCACAGCAAAGGCCCCACCCTCAAGCATGGATACCCACAGCCCTAAATGGGAACAGGCATTCCTGTTTTCACACCCAGAAAGTTGCTTTTTGGCCCACCACGCCCACCTATCCTGTACCCATATAAACCCCAAATCCCCAGCTCCAGGTGAATAGAAGAGCATAAGAGTGGCAGAAAAGGAGAGAAAAGTAGAAATCTCAGGAGCAGTTCTGCTGGGGACCATTGGCAAATCGGCCGCTGGATGGCCAAACTCCAGGGGAAGATCATCTTACCACTCCATCCCCTTTCCAGCTCCCCATTCATCTCACTGAGAGCTAACTCACCACCCAATAAAACCCCTGCATTCACCATCCTTCAAGTTCGTGTGTGACCTGATTTTTCCAGGATGCTGGACAAGAGCTCGGGATACAGACAGCTGTCACATTGGCCCCTGCCCTTGCAGAAAGGCAGAGGGTCCACTGAGGTGGTTAAGACTTAAGCCATCCATGCACATCAAGGCTAAAAGAGCACACTGTAACACATGCCTACTTGGGATCTGGGAGTCTCAGACTCCTACCACTGGATGTTGCTGTGGGGACGGAGCCCAGGGGTGCTCGCCCCAGCTCCTGCACCTGTTCATCTTCATGTTCCCCCACCCATAAGGGGTTTGAGCAGCAGCAGCAAGTGAACAGATGAGCCACACCCCTGTCACATCCAGTGAGGGGGATAATCACATTGGTGATTAAGTTTCAACATATGAATTTGGGGAGACTTTCAGACCATAGCACTTGCTTAGAACATTGCTGCCACATAGGAAGGAATTAATAAGAAGTAGCTACTATTAACAAGGTTATTCCCACTGAAAAAACCCAGAGCTCCTGATTGAACTTTGCTCATAGTACGTTACAAATATTTGGGGAGAAAAACAATCAATCCTTTCTCAGGTTACGCAATTCACAATTTTAAATAGATATAATAAAGCAATTGCTCAGAATATGAACAATTGATCTTGGTGGTCAGATCAGATGACAATTTCTTTTAAGTCTCCTGATATTGTATGACCATTGTATGATGAAATAAACAGTATTCTCCACAATAGCCAAATAGTAAATATAATGACAACTTCAATCCTCAATATAGGATGATGGCATCATACCAGAACCCAATTCAGAAAAGCAATTCAGAAGAAGCAATTTTGCAAAGGGTGCTAATGATCTAGATGACCTGATTTCTGCTGCTTTGGCTTCTTCTAGGAACATAATTTATATTTTCTGTAAAAAGGAGAGGGAGTGCTTGACCTTAAGCAATCCTCCTTGAATATTCCTTCCTTCAAATTATATTTTGAAAAATGAGTGTCAGAATTCCATTTTACTCTTGGCAAAGAAACCTAGTGGGGAAGTATTCTGTATGGCCATATGAGCATAATTTTTTTTAACCAAACAAAACTGTGAAGTAAAATTATTTGGTAGAAACTAGGTTGTCTAATAGAGATAGCTACATAAATATAAGGCCATCCCATCCTTATTCTGTTGTAATAATGACAAGGGTCCCCTACAGAAATGTAAATTAAATACAGCCCAATTCATAGGCAAATTGGAGGTCAAGTGTCCAAGATTCTACTCCATAAACATAAAGTAAGCTTTCTAAAAAAATGAGGTAATTATAAACAGAGAACTGCCTCAGGCAAAATAAACTCTCAGTAGTATATCCATAGAATGCCTGCTTTTGAGCAAAATCACTTTAGATAAACTGCTTATGAAAGAAAACCAAAGTAACCAAATGAGGCAATTTATTTTACAGCTTTGTCTTTTACAAACCTGTTAAAAGCAGGGGAAAGTCTATCAAAGGTAATTGGCTCTGTTTTAAAATCATTTGTGTGTTTTTCCTGAAAAAAAAAAAGAAGCAGGGTAGATTATTTCTGAACAAATAAAATTCAATCTGATAAAGTTATAATAGACATTTATGTGTCTACTAATCAAAAAGTGGTGTCAGATCACAAAGAAACACAATTTTAAGAAGGGAGAACAGAACATATTTTTTACCCCTTTGAAAACTTAACTATTTTATAGGATATCAGAGGACTGGTTCCTATGATCTGTAACTATTGCATCACCCCTAAAGTACAACTTACCATGAGAAGCAATTAAGTCCACAAGTATAACCGCAGCCAACCTACAACTAAGTGTTGGCTGCAGAGGTAAAAGTTTAAAACAAACAAAAGAAGATTTCATTTTCTGGCAGATGTTCCCATGAGGTGATAAGGAATGCAATGAGAGTAAAAGTTGTCAGTAAAGCCTGCCTACTCCTTGGATAAATATTAACGTGAATATTTAAGATTAGACTAGTATTAAACAAGCAGAATCATCTGTTGGGGATATCCGATCAATTGCTCTGTACTTCATTTGGAGCAGAAGGCTGCCCTTTGAAGGACAGACTTTTTGAAATAACTGTACTCTTGAATGGTCAATCAGATCATTCCTGTTGAGTTAATAAATATAAAACAATTAATAATGATCTGCAAAATTATTTTTCAGTCATATAGGGATAGAATGAGTTTTGCTTGGATGCTTTAGTCAGCCAAATATTTTAAGATCAGAATGAGGATGTTAATGGGATCCATTGGAAATTTCTATTGAATTTATGAAAATTTATACCCCTTTATCTTATTTTGTAAAACTATAAAGAGTAAAAGTCTTCATGGTATAATTAAAAATGTAAAATTCCACACTCTCAACTTCTAGTTTTAATGCCAGGTTTAAAATCTCCAATCATATTATCCAAAAATAATTTGTTCTAGCTAAATTTTTGAAGCACTCTGATACATGCAATAAGTATTAAATGTTATAAGGCCACGTTTTAATTTTATTTTTTGCACGATGCTTCGCTAACCTCACTAAAATATTTTGGCCATCTGGTGGTCCTTGTCAAATTAAATATCCATTAAAGTCTTGAAGGAAAGCCTATGTATTGTTCAGTGTTTCATCTCCAACACATTGGCTAACAATAGTAGAGTCTTTATATATCTATCCTTTAGGACCAAAAACTACGATAATGGGATTTATGCTTGTCCTGAACTTTTGGAATTAAGAATTGTTTCAGTGCATATGACATTTGAAGAAAAGAAACTTCATTGTCATGTCACCCAAATAGAGTTTTACATGATCCTCAAACCAACAAAGCAGTCAGAAACCTGCAGGACATTATGCCAAGTGAAATAAGCCAGTCACCAAAGGACAGACACTACATTATTCCACTTCCATAAAGAATCTATAATAGTCAATACAGCATAGAGCATGATAGTGGTTTCCAGGGCCTGAGATGCAAAGGAAATGGGAAGTTGTTTGATGGGTATAAAGTTTCACTTGTGCTAGATAAATATCTTCTAAAGATCTGCTATACAACATAATGTCTATAGTTAACAATACAGAATTTTGCACCACAAATTTTGTCAAGACAGTAGATCTCAAGTTAAGTGTTCTTATCAAAGAAAAGCCAAACATACAAACAAAGGGTCTTAGAGAAACTTTGGGAGATGTTGAATATGCCTATTACCTTGATTGGAATGATGGTATCACAGGTGCTTGCCTATGTTGAAACTCAGAATTGTACATGTTAGACATGTGCAGTCCGTTGTATATCAATCATTTCCCTTATATCTATCCTATAGAATATTTTATACCACCGCCAGTATCAATAAAAAATGAACTTGCCGAGAAGTTTCCTATCAATAATAAATATACATGCTTCTCTGAATGTATACCTTACAGTGAAGCAATACTTCCATTCCTGCCCAAAGCGGAGCACTTTCAAACCTGACACCAATCCTGGTACTTAGAATGATACCTCAATAAAGCTGCTTTCCAAAAAAAGAAAACACTACTTGCTTCATTTGGCAGCAGATATACTAAAATTGGAAGGATACTGAGAAGATTAGCATGGTCCCTGTGCAAGGATGACAGGCAAATTCACAAAGCATTACATATAAAATTTCTTATTTTAAAAAATGTAAAAAGAAAAATGATAATTAATTGGAAAAATTATGACAACTCCATGACCTTTAAAATTTTTTGTCAAAGTATTAAAAATTATCTTACTGTTGATTATGAATGTATATTAAATAAAAAATTAGTAAAACTAATATATATTTAATATGTTATAATTTAAAACATTATAAACATGAAAAGTTAATGTTTTACTTCTTTGTTTAAAAAAATAGTCCAGCCTGGGCAACATGGTGACACCCCATCTCTACAAAATACAAAAATTAGCTGGGTGTGGTGGCACATACCTCTAGTCCCAGCTACTCAGGAGGCTGAGGCGGGAGCGTTGCTTGAGCCCAGGAGGTGAAGGTTGAAGTGAGCCAAGATCATGCCACTGCACTGCAGTCTGGGCAACAGGGGAAGACCCTGTCTCAAAAAAAAAAAAAAAAAAAAAAAAGGAGTGACCAATAGAGGTGAATACTACTTCTAATTCTAATCATTATTTTTCCTAGCTTCTATCATTTATTTATTTGCCCTGGTAGTACTCTGATATAGAAATGAGAAAGCTTAAAATAAGAGTAAAATAATCTTTTTAAAACTCAATACAATATGCCTTTTAAAAGTGGCATGGAGTAATAATGCATAGGATGGCTGTCTATAATATAATCTATAAGTCTGCCTTTCTAAATCAATATGTGGGTAACATTTCCCTTACATCTATCCTATAGAGTATTTTATACCACCGCCAGTACCAATAAAAAAAAAAACTTGCTGAGAAGTTTCCTATTGATAATAATATATATACTTCTCTGAATGTATGCCTTACAGTGAAGCAATACTTCCATTCCTGCCCAAATCAGAGCACTTTCAAACCTGACACCAATCCTGGTACTTAGAAACCTATAAATGATTATCTCAGCCATGGGCTACATAAAATAAATTAAGTTTTAAAGATCATAAAAGTAAAACCATGTGTCTAAACATATGGCATGTTCATTGGCAGTGTGAATGCTCATTATATGAGAAATATCATCCAGTTTGTCAGGAAACTGAATCAAATATTTCCTGCCATGTAAGCCAAAGGGCTCAAAGCAGTCCCCCTAAGGTTTATGGTGAATTCACCTGCTGAAAATACTTAATGCTAAGGATAATACAGAGGTAAGAAGCTAAAACCATAAATGAGGAAAAGTAAAAATTCTAAAATCAGTACTTATAAGTCCAAACCTCAAATGGATGCTCTTACCCTACTAGGAAAAAAATTGGACAATCCTGGTAATTAGCAGGTTGGATGAAGACTAGAATAAAAATGGTGCCAGGCATTTAGCCACAGAATATCTGTACATCCTCCTATTAATGTTTCTTGGTTGTTTTAAAACCATCTCGTTCCACAGCTAGGTCAATCCAGGAGGGAAGAAGCTTGGACTTCTACTTGCCACTTCTAAAATGTTTCCACCCTAGAAGTGATACATCACATTTTCCATTTATATTTTATTAGCCACGTCAAGTCACCTGTGATTATCATCTTCCCACATGTGTGAAGTAGAACAGAACTGGATATTGGTGCACAGTTTGATACAACGACTAGATAGGACTTTGAGACAGTGGAATTAGATAAATCCACCTCCTCCCCATAAAAGTACTTAGCTACACCCTTGATTTATAAGAAAGTGGAGTAGCCTCTTTGGGAAAATATTCAAACTATGTCCACAATTGTATACGAACTCAGTGGACTTAAAAAGACTTAAATTGGGTAGGTTGGGAAGGACTCAACTTGTGGTGAGGGACAATGAAAGGGGAATAAAGCACATGGCATGTTTGAGTAAATCTCAGCCATCAGGCCTAAGGACTGGGGGCAAGTGATGGCTCCACAAATAGTTTATGGTTATCCAATAATGAACATGATTTTCTTCTATAATAAAAAAGGTTTTCTTTAAGTTTCCTAGTAGCATAAATTTCTGTTGAGACAAATATCCGTGTTTCCCATCCTTATATCAAGAAGTCTTTAAAGATACTGCCTTCTATAACTTCAGAGCAGTCAATAAGTATTTGCCCTTCCTTATCAAGAATTCAATATCAGCAGCTTATCAGTACTGATCTAGCATGCTCTCAAATACAAGAAAACATGTTAAAATCCCCTTCAGCTCATGTTCCTTCAAAATAGACACCAAGTTATCTTTATTTTTAATTTATTTATAGTTCTTTTCAAAATTGAAAACTAACAGAATATAATTCTGAAAATAAAATAGAATATTATTTTTCTAAGTGTGAAAACCATGTTAAACTTAAAACACAGTAGAAGACTTATTTTCTCAAACTGCTCTGAAGTTTACATTACTGTTTTTTCTTTTAAAAGCCAATATAAGAATCCTAAAAGAATTAAAATAATCAAATGAGTAGATAAATATTATAATCCTCTTAGGGGAATTTTATGTCCAACCTTCTCTAAAATATAATTTCATGAGAAAATAGCTCAAATTCTAACCTACTACAAGAAAGTTGTAGCATAGCTGTTTACATCACAAGAAATCAACCTAATCAGTCTCAGAAGATAAGAAGATTTGTAAATCTCTTAGTTCCTGTTTAAAATTCCATCCCTGATATTTTAATGACCTTGAGTTTTCAAATGCAAAAGATAAAATTAAGCTGTTTGAAACTTCACACAAATAACTAACTAAATAAATAGAATAAACAATAAATGCTAAATTTCTGCAAAGTACTGCAGCCTTTAGGGTTGAATCTAAGTTCTCATCTCATAAAATTCAAGTAATGCAAGCAGAATTAAAATTATATCTCCCATGCATGCAATCATAAATAGCATGATAAATATGCTACTGTATTCCTTTTTTCTCTCTCTCTCTCTTTCTTAAAGACTTAGTTCAGAAAACAGTTGGGAACTGAAACAAATGATAGTGTCTCAGCAGGAAAAAGATGGAGAAAGGAAGAAAGGAAGGAAGATGGTAATAGCTAACAGTCCAGCACAGTGACTCTCAAATGGTCTCATTTATAATTCATTTAAGAAGATCATCTTGATAGCCATACTATGCTGAAACATGTATATTTGTTCTATTTTCCATGATGCTACCATCCTCAAAAATCTTCACTGCAGCCTTTAAAATTCTGTCCTTTTAAAAAATATGGTGGAGGTCCATAATTTAGTGGTACTTTTACAAAAAGGGTTAAAGATTGAACAGCGAAAAACTTCTATAGATTAAGATAAGAGAGGGATAGTTCCAGTTTGTGAATATTACTTGTCATTTGTTCTTCCTCGAAATTGTACTACTTTTTTTTATTAAAAGTCATTATAAAAAGTTATTTTCTCTATGTTCAAACTGGAACAAATGGGCTTACATTAAAGCTTATGGGATTTAAGTTAGATACCTGGAAGGAGCTGCTGACAAAGGAGTCTGTTAAGCCCTGAATTGTAAACTTGGAAAATCTTTTTATCTGCTAGCCTTTAAAAGAAATACAGGGTGGTTTTCTCAACTAAGTTTGTTGAAAGACAGAGAATCTAGGCTAGCTAACGTTTCTTGGAACATTTTCAGCACTGATTTTCTCTGATTTGGTGATTATGTAATGAGATCCTCATCATAAATATTTCCTTTAGTGACCTTCCTATATTTTCACCCATCACCACCATTATTCCCCACCTCTGCCAAGTCTCAGATTTTTTTTTTTCCAAAAACATCTCCAGTGTAGAAAAGATCACAAATTTCAATTATTCTGATAGGGAATGTATTATATAAGGTATACATATTTTCAATAAGGGAAATTAATGAGATTTTCTATGACTATCAATATTTAGAGACATATAAATTAATCTCCAATGATTAAAATAATTGAGGAGCCTCATTCATTTTTTTGTAACTGTAGTTTTTTTTTTTTATTACTCTTTGCCCCGCTTGGCCATCCTATCCATATTTTTTAAATAATATATGTATGAATTGGGAGATTTTGCTTTGCACTTCACAGCAACTGATTTCCAAAGGCACCCGAGTGATTTTGTATACAAACAAAGTTGCTGCCTGTGTATTTCATTTGAGGAGTATTTTGGAAAATCTTTTGTAATGCTGAATTGAGTTGGGCCTATTTAATTTGGTCTGGTCTCAGCTTTCATGAATTTTCTATTTGAGTCAGTGATTTTCAAAGCCCTTTTAGGGTTTGTGTAACCTTCTCATAAACCTTGGAAAGAAATCTTGTTTGCTAAAGCTTTATATATAACTTTATTTCACACTCAGAGTGCTAAAGATTTTTACCAGGCAGAAAGATCAAACCTATAGTCACTCAGACTACATTTGATTTCAACAAGAAAAGAAATTTTAACTTTTATTTTGTATATGATTGACTAAGTGTAAATTATCTTTTCCAAAGAGTTCTCAGGTATTTAGTTGCAATGCAGTTTGTAATGGGATGTTGTATTATTTTAAATATCCTTTATAATCCTTTAACATGATTAAGTGCTTATTTCTGATCTAGGTAAATAAATCTATTCCACAAATTTCTGCTGTAATCTAGAAGTTGGTGATATTTCCTTTTCTTCTAAAATTTGATAAAGCTGACACATCATATTTAAACTCAAAATCTACGTTCTTCTCTCACTCGATAAAATAATCATGCCCTCAAATGATATTTCTCAGTTTCTTTTTCATAATCCACAATGAATCTTTCTGTGTACTTCCTATTTAACAAGTTTTCAGCAAACAGGTTCAATTCATCATTATTTAAATCCAGTGAGCTGCATTTACACTTATGTGGATTTAACACACCTGCACTGACTATTCCCAGCCTGAATTCTACATCTATCTTTAATTCATTTTTAAACTTCAATTTTTGGTGTCCTTGTCGTAATTCTAAAAGTGAATGCTAGTTTTTGGTGCCTTGTTTACATTTAGGTTCGTGCAATTTGTCAGTCATTGTATATTTTCATGTGTAAATTTGAACCCAAGCAAATCACAAAGCCTGGATGTCAGCTATAGAATGGTTCCCAAGCAGAAAGGGAAAATAAAGAATGGTGTATATTTCACCTCTTTCTGAAAACCCTGTACATTGTCATCAAATGCAACTCTTCAGTCTAGAATGTTACTCCTGAGACCATATAGCCCTGATAATGATAGGGACAAATTGGACTGGAGAAGCCTAGAAAAGGAAGGGAAGAAGCCAAAGATACTGAGTCTGTTATAACATGCCTCCTTGGCTTCCTCTCCTGCCATGGACTTCAACTGGTATTTCATCAATTAGCCTAAGTACACAGAGGGAAAATATAAATCTGGGCACAGCAAAAAAAATGCAGTCATGGGGATAACTGAGTAATTCCCTGAGTGTCAAATGACTTTAGGCAACAGAGGAGGCTGTTAAAAGTAACTCTGCCCCACATCCTCTCCCAGGTCCTCTAGCTGTGGATGAAGTCTGCACTTAGTGCTACAACATAGTATCAGGTGAATTATGTGTGCTTCTACATTCCTTAGGACATCAGAAGAATCTTGACTCAATCCTAATCTCTAGTTTGTTAAAATAATTAATCTTTTTATTTATAGCAAACATATTCTGTGAATGTCAAAATAATAAATTGAATCACTGACTGGCTGGTAAAAATTTGAAATAGATTTTATAGTAAATTTTCTATTTGCTTGACCAGGTACTACCTGATGTTTTCAATTAATCAAACAAATTGCATACCTGCAGACACTATTAAAAAACAGAGAGCCTTGAATATTTCCCCAATACCCAATATCTATTAAGTAATGTCTATGTGACTTTTGTTTGGTAGAAGAAAGACGAAGGTATCTTGGTTATACCAGATATCTAATAGGAAAGGTTACAAATTTAATTACTTTATGGAACTAATGTACAGATATGTATTCATCTTCAGTTCATCATTTTGGTTTGGGCTACAAAGGAAATAAATTTATTGCAACTCTAATTTGAATGGCTAATCTTAGCCAACCCAAAGAATCTGTTCTTTCCCTTAGCATCTGACTGTTAAGGAAAAAAAATTGTTATACCCAAGGTTGACAAACTTTTCCAGTAAAGAACCAGAGAGCACACATTTAACTGTATAGAACACCTGTGGATTCTATCAGTGATGCTGCTCATCTTCTTCATCTTCCTTCTTTTCCTCCTCCTCTTTCTTTTCTCAACAACTCTTTAAAAATGTAAAATCCACACTTAGCTTGCTAGCCATATGAAAACAAGACTCAGGCCACATTTGTCTTGCCAGTACAGCTGAAGCTTGTTGACCCCTGTGTCAGAATGTGATTGTTTCTATTCAGCTTTCCTTCCTCCTTAAGAAGCTTATATATACTTAACTGGAGAAGCTAATACTATTTCTTGTTATCCTAGAGTAAGTAATTTCTCATATTTTGGGAGAGCAGGAAAATATTTTTAACAGTTTTAACTCATGAATATGTCCAGAGAATGAACTGTTCCTTCCTCATTTACCACATAAAACATTCTTATGTTACTTCCCTGTTAATTAAGAATTCTATTAAAAACTTTTGTGTTAACTTGATCATTCCATAAAAAGCTTACATACACTGACAAAGGGATTCGCAGACAAAAGGACTATGAAATATATTAGTTTCTAATATCTGATCCTTCACTCAGCACAGTGTAAGGTACTAGACATATTAGAAAAAAATATAACCTAGTTTCTGCTTCAATAGAGTTAATAGGTCAGTAGAAAGGACAGGCAAGTAAATAATTTAAATATTTAAGCCAAAGAATTTAAAATTTGAGCAGGACTTGGATGCATTTCCAAGTCACAAATTTCAGAAAATAGAAACAGATAGTTGTCAAGGACCCAGGAAATAGATGTGGCCTGGAGAGATGTATTTGAGACTCATCAGTACATAAATGCACTGAAAATTTAGGTCTACACAAGACCTTTCAAAAACAGCACAAAGACAAAGAGTGGCTGGAAGAACAGCAGTAAAAGGAATAGAGAAAAAATATTGCAAAGAAATCATGATCCCAGACTGGCCAACATGGTGAAACCCCGTCTCCACTAAAAATACAAAAATCAGCCGGGTGTAGTGGCACGCACCTGTAGTCCCAGCTACTTCGGAAGCTGAGGCAGGAGAATCGGTTGAATCTGGGAGGCGGAAGTTGCAGTGAGCCAAGATCCTGCCACTGCACTCCAGCCTGGGGGACAGAGTGAGACTCTGTCAAAAAAAAAAAAAAGAGAGAGAGAGAGAGAAAACATGGTCAACAAATTCAAAGGCTTCAGGGAACTCAGCTAAGATAAGCCTGAAAAGTAGCATTAGAGTTTGCCAATTGGAAGCCGTTTAGTGAAAGAACTCAGAGAATTATGTTAGCTGGGAGGCACTGACAAAGATAGTGATTCTCATACGATAATCAGGTCAGAGGTATTTTTCAAAATTAAAGTACCTCTTTCCCAAAGGAAATGTCAAAGTAGATTATGGTAAAAGAAGTGTGTACTTTGAAATAAGGTTTTTGTTTTTCTAATACCTATCCTCCTCACAAGCTGAAAATTAATGGAAAGTGAAAGATTTGAGACAGCAAGAGTATTTTATTTTTCAAGAACAATAGTTTTGTTAGAAAGGAGAATAAAAAACATTATGAAAAAAAAAGATGGGGTTTAGGAAGAGCTTGTTTTTGTTGTTGTTTAGGATAAGGAAAGATTGGAGAAAGTTATAGACCAACAGCTAATACAAGAACAGAAGCTAAAGATGATAGAGAAAAGAGACTGAATGTCTTGCCCTGTCCCAGGGGCAGTGAGATATGATAGGACCCAGAGAAAACATGGGAGAGCAAGTAAAGAGGTTTTCGTAAGAGAAGGCAGTTTGTTAGGCAAGCAAAGTGGCCCAGACACCTCCTTATTTTCTTTCCTTCCTTCCTTCCTTCCTTCCTTTCTTTCTTTCTTTCTCTTTCTTTCTTTCTTTCCTTCCTTCCTTCTTTATTTCTTTCTTTCTTTCCTTCTTTCTTTCTTCCTCTCTCTCGCTCTTTCTTTTTTTCTGAGACAGGATCTCACTCTACCTCTCAGGCTGGAGTACAATAATGCAATCATGGCTCACTGCAGCCTCGCCCACTTCAGCTCAAGCAATGCTCCTACCCCAGCTTCCCAAGTAGTAGGGACCATAGGCATACATCACAGCACCCAACTAAATTTTTAAACTTTTTGTAGAAACAGGGTCTCACTATGTTTGCCAGGCTGGTCTTGGATGTTTGGGCTCATGGGAGCCTTCTGCCTCAGCCTCCCCACAGGCATGAGCCACCACACCCAGACCCAAACACCTTCTATACAGCTTCAATACTAACCAATTTCCTCCACTTTGTCATACCTGTACTTGAGGGAGAAAAATAAAAGGGAATGGTGGAAGGGACCAAAAGCTAATGACCAGTTGGTCTGTATAAAGGATTTCTACCCATTATTTTTCACTGAACAGCAGCCTTTTAGGATTATGAGATGCTATTATGATCCTAATTCTTGGTTGCATTTGAAAGCTGAAACAGAGAAAAGGCAGAGATGAAGTTCACAGTATGGATACCAATAATAAAATTGATAGGAATATCTCATGTGTACTCCAAATATTTAATTAACTAAATGAAAGGAAAACTGCAAGTCCTGATGCAGCAGGCTTGGTGACAAGTGTGGCACTCTGCTGTGCCACTGAGGATGTATAAACAGGCAGATGCTGATAGAAGTATTTCTAACCAAAGAAAATAGAATCGTTTTTTGTTTGTTGTTTCATTTGTTTCTCGTTGACTGAGAATCAAAACTTTACATGGAAAGTGGAATGGCAAGCGTTAACACTTAATAATTTTCTCATTCTAAATTTTTGTCCTTGGGAGAAAAAACTCACTTTAAATGAAATTCCAGGATCTGGCATATATTTGAGATACGTGTATTTCGCCTATCAATTGTCGATACACTTGAGAAAATGGTATACATGTTTTTGTGTCACCCACAAGTATATTCATGGAAAAAACAAGCCATTAATACCATGATCAAGAATGTAAAAGTGCCATCTAGAGGCTGGTGGAGCACCTTATAGGTCTATGATCCGTAAAATTCTTGTAGTTTGGAGTTATAGGGAAGATGCAAGAAGGGCCTCTACCTGATTTAAGTCATATGACATATATGCTTATTCAATGCTCCCACACTGCAATCCAACAAACTACTTGAAAGTAGAAATGCTACTCCAGTTCTACTTACTTTGAAACATTAACTCATGTTTTCAGCCAAGTGGCAGCACTGAATCTGCTTGTGATTATGGACATTCAACATTTTATGTGCCATTTAAGTACCTTCAGCATCAATTTTGCAGCTGGCAAACTATTGCTATTTATGTTTTCAGTGCATTTGAAATAATCTAGAAGTTATTTTACCACCATTAGACATTAAGAAAAGAACCAAATGTAAAATCATTACTTTGCCAATTTACTGTGAAACCCAAAGGAAATATCTCAAATGTATCATTTGTTAAATGTAAAAATGAAAATAAAAAGCAGTTCTTGGAACTTGTTAACAACATTTTGGTCAAGTAGATTTATCTAAAATATATTAAAGATTTTGAGACTTTTCCCATTTATATTGCTATAAAAATAATACAAAATAGCTGATTAAATATCTCCTATATGGCAAATACTAGCAGTAATATTATATGCCTTTTAATTCTAAATACCCAGTAAGTTAATCATAAACTCTGTTTTACGCATAAGGAAACTAAGGCTGCAATTTTTTTAAGTTACATGACTAGCTAATTAGTGATAGCCTGAATTCCAATACAGGAATGTCTTCATTCAAAGAGAGAATTCAGAGTCAATACTCTTATATTCTCAAATTATTGAGCCCTTTTAGAAATTCAGATATATATTTGTAAAACTCTGGAGCTAATAGATCTGTATATACAAACTATAATTATAAAATAGAGCTGCAATCCTCTAATTGAACTGCTAAATTTTCTTAACTCCTAATGTGTGAGGACCTGACAAAGAACAGTATGTAAAACTTCAGTACTCTGATTATCAGCATATTATAAGGTACTTAGGCCATTCATCAAAGCACTTCAAATCGATTATCATCCCTCCATCTCTCCTGAGTGCTCTTTTCCTATTTTCTCCTTGAGCTGAGCATTGTTGAAGGAGTATTTTGAACCATGAAGATTTGACCCACTACACATTTATGCTATTATTATCAGGATTCTGAGTGTTATTAGTCATCCCCTTATGCATCCTTTTTAAAATTCTCCAAGCCCCCAAATGCTGTTGAAGACTACCTGC
Organism: Homo sapiens; assembly: GCF_000001405.40. Classification (NCBI taxonomy): domain Eukaryota; kingdom Metazoa; phylum Chordata; class Mammalia; order Primates; family Hominidae; genus Homo; species Homo sapiens. Next base: position 102,744,831 of record NC_000003.12, on the reverse strand, counting down.
CACCTGGAGCCTCCCACGCCACACCTCTTCACCCTACACTGGCTCCTTCAGTGATGGGACATTCTGAGCTTCAACTTGTACCTTTACTTCCCATTTTAATAATTCAGTGTCTATGTTCTGCCTTCCTTCTTTCCATTGACAGAAAAGATGACCTACTGCTTCTGATTCAAGTTAATTTATCCTTCTTGACTGCTGAAGCAACTTGTTACTATACTTAAATTTCCCCTTTTCAGCAATTCAGTCTGTTTGTCTTTGCCACATTCTTCTGCCTCAGTTTACACACTGCTGTAGGTTTTGTTGCAGACAGAATAATGGCTTCCGTAAGATGTCCACATCTTAATCCCACAACCTGTTAGTGTTACCTTGCACAGCAGAAGGGACTTTATAGATGGGATTAAATTAAGAACCTTGAGATGAGAAGTTTATCCTGGATCAAACAGGCAGTCCAGGTGTGCCCAACATAATCACAGGGGTCCTTAAAAGTGACAGAAGGAGATGGAAGAGGAGGCCCAGAGAAAAAGATGTGACAACACAAGCAAGGTCAGAGCAATACCACGTTAAAGAGACTTGACTTGCCTTTGCTAGCTCTGAAGATAAAGGAAGGGGGCCACAAGTGAGGAAATGCCAATGGCCTCTAGAACTGGAAAAGGCAAGGAAATTGATCCTTCCCAGAGCCTATAGAAAGGAATACAGCCTTGCCTACACTTTAATTTTAGCCCACTGGAATCCGTGTTAGACTTCTGACCTACAGACCTATTTTAAGTCACCAAGTTTGTGGTAATTTGTTATGACAGCAATAGAAAACATACAGTCTTTATCTGAGATTACTATTTTATTATTTTAAGGCTACTATTTTATTTCTCTGATTCATTTTGTATTTCAGAGTATCAAATTTGTAGGCTATATCTACTACTTCTATTAATTTTTAATTTATTTTCTCCCTTCTTAATGTGAACTTTTTATTTTCACACTCAATAAAAATCATTCTCTTATAAGCCTTTAAGGACAGTTTTCTTACCAATCTGATGGAAGCTTCTTCCTTTGACATCTTCAGAATTTTTTATTCTGTTGACTTCCCCTTCTGTGTAGAAATTACTTCCATCCTTGGTTTCTCTGATCTTTCATAGGTTCCTCATTTTTCCCTTGCCTACTGAGGCTCACCCCATTTAGATTATTCAGGACACGTGTGGCCACCTTTGGCTGTTGCCTCAACAAAAGCCAACATACTCTGAGAAACATCGAGACTAGCAGCTTCTTGTTTTTCTTCTTATTATTATTATTTATTATTATTTATTTGTTTATTTATTTATTTATTTATTTGAGATGGAGTCTCGCTCTGTCACCCAGGCTGGAGTGCAATGGCGCGATCTCGGCTCACTGCAACCTCCGCCTCCTGGGTTCACGCCATTCTTCCGCCTCAGCCTCCCGAGTAGCTGGGATTACAGACGTCCGCCACCATGCCTGGCTAATTTTTTGTAGTTTTAGTAGAGACGGGGTTTCTCTGTGTTAGCCAGGATGGTCTCGATCTCCTGACCTCGTGATCTGCCCACCTCGGCCTCCCAAAGTGCTGGGATTATAGGCATGAGCCACCACGCCCGGCCTGTTTTTCTTTCCAAGCACTGCTTCACTCTTCAGGAGGGTGAGATATGCTCTCCATCCTCTGTCTCCATGGCTTAATACCTTTGGCTTGCTGGCAGCTGATTTTCTCAGGTGGTTCCCATTTACTTCAAGACTTCTGGCTATAGCTGTAAACTGGGAAGACTCTACAATGAGCAAGAGTCTGAGAATTTAAGCATGGTTTCCTAAGTTAGTTGTGCTTTTCTAAAAAAAAAAAAAAGAGAGAGAGAAGGAAGAAAGGAAGGAAGGAAGGTAGGAAGGAAGGAGAGAGAGAGAAAGGAAAGAAGGAAGGCAGGCAGGCAGGCAGGCAAGCAGGCAGGCAGGCAGGCAGGAAGCAAGCAAGCAAGCAAGCTGGCCAGGCATGGTGGCTCACGCCTGTAATCCTTTGGGAGCACTTTGGGAGGCTGAGGCCGGCAGATTACCTGAGGTCAGGTGTTGGAGACCAGCCCAGCCAATATGGAAAAACCCCATCTCTACTAAAAATACAAAAATTAGCAGGTGTGGTGGTGTGCACCTGTAATGTCAGCTACTCGGGAGGCCGAGGCAGGAGAATTGCTTGAACCCGGGAGGCAGAGGAGCCAAGATCACACCACTGCTCTCCATCCTGGGTGACAGAGTGAGACTCTGTATGTCTGTAAATAAATAAATAAATAAATAAAATAAAATAGCTGAATCAGCTAGATTATATATAAGAAGGAACTCTTACTGATTTAAATTAATCTTTGTCTTAACTATACTACTGAAGGTTGTAAAAAGCAGGCAAATTTCAAATGTTAAGAGTTCTGAATAATCCACAAACTAGATAACAATTCCTTGAATCTTTGCATTAATCAAATAGTCTTACTGGATTTTGTTGATAAGCATATAGTCAATAAAAACAATGTTTCTAAAGATTATAAAGCAATTGGAAGCATGCTAATGCCCTAATGCCAAGTGAAACAACAATATTGAAACTGTATGATTGCTATTTAAATAAGCCTAAAGTTACAAAAAGTTCTTAAAATAAATTGTCAGGTTCAGGGTTAGGTTCCAGGCCAAGCTGAGGGCTGAGGGGAATGGGTGGACGTGGGGCAGGGAGCTGGAAGAACACTTGAGAGACAGTGTTCTTTAAATGAGACATGGCTTTATTCAGCAGCCCCTCACAGGGTCAGTGTTACATTTATAACCTACACAAAAAATAGCGACTGAGAGCCAGGTGGGGAGCTTCTCTATGTTGTGTCTACGTGGCTATGATTACATAAGACACAGGACTGTGCGCCTTGCATCCCAATCCCGCTGAATCATCAAGGCTGTTTACCCTGGCCCATGCCTGCTGCCCAGTGCCTACTTGGCTTCAGCACAGCCATGTTCCTTACACCCTGCCCCCAGGCCGAGCGGATCCTCTTGGTGGGGACCCATGCACATACAGCAGCACCCTGGACCCATAGGCCATAGCAACAATACAGAGAACAACAACCCACCACTAATACCCCTGCTATGCTACCTAAGATTATAAGAGCCCAACATAGGCCAGAGCCCAGAGATGCCCACCATCTCTGCGGGGGGTCATCAGTAAGGTGTTCAATCACCTTAATCTCCTGTGACACCCCCTTGTAAAGCTGTCATTATATTCCCGTGGTTGTCAGGGGTAATAAACGTACAGCACTGTGTCCCTACAAGGGCACAGTTACCACCTTGGGCAGCTATGACTGTCTAAGGCCATCAGTTTTGCAGCGCCACCTTCCTGATCTGGTCAGCTTCATCAGTGAACAAAAGGAGAGCAACTCAGGTGTAATTCAGGGCCCAAGCTGCGTGCTCTGCAAAGGCTACAACCTGCTTTTCCACAGTGATGACACCTGCTCCAGGGATAGTTATAGCTAAGGGATAAAACCACCAGGGGGCAAGCTGCACCGCAAAAAACAGGAACACAGTGGCTCCCAGTTATGCGGGTGGCCAGGAAATGTGGGAAGCACAGTGGCAGCCACATAGGGCCACCTCCAGGTACAACGTCCAGTCCAATTGGCTGGCAGAGATGGCCATTCTGTGTCCCCACAGACCCATAAACTCCCAAGGGGCACAAAATCCGTGGGGCCCCAGCCTTGGCAAGTCTGCTTGTTCCACCACACCCTTGTTGTGGTGACATGTGTTTTGTTTGCACAAACCTCAGCAGGCAACCATCTTACAGTGACTTTACCACAGTGCTGCTCTATACATTATGGTACCTGCAATGGGGGCACTACATGTTCTCCCATTAGCCAAGCTCATCCATCATGGACACTACAAGTCAGCCAGGGGGCAGGCTTGCCATGGGTTCTGCGACAACCCCTGTTCAAAGCTCACCGTGTTGCATCCTACCTGTTGTCTGCAGGACCCCAAGTCTCTAGCCATGTCCACTTCTGCATAGAAGCTGGATGCACGTGCCAGAACAAGCTGTCCCCAGCTGCTGCTGGAAGAGTTGTGCAGATCCAACAGTTGGAGACATTGGTCACCTCGGCGTAGGTGTAGGCCCCGTCCATGATGCTGTTGGAGCATGCCAACCTGCAGCTGGAATGACAAAGCAGGCACAGGTACTAACAAGGGCAAATCACGTCCCTCAGGCAAAATACAGGCTAACTTTTCATCCCTGGATAACAATGCAGCTGCCAACGGCTTTTTCCCTGGGCGATGATACCACACATTCTCAGCTCCCTATGGTTCTTTTGAGTCTTGTATCCATTACAAAGTCACAGGAGAGCTTGTAATAATAGGCCACACAGACAGTACATATGTCCCCCAGAGGAGGGTTCCTTCCTTGGCCATTCCTCTATGAAAGGTCAATCATGGAGGCCACGCATTAAATACCCAAGGAGTAACATGTAAGTCATACAGCAGGCCCTCCCCTCAGGAGGCTAAAATAGCCAACCATCGGCAATGAGGGGTTTGGAGGGTCCATGGCCAACACCAGGTTTTCTGTTCCTGTGCCTTCAGAGGCTTTGGGGCAGGCAACAATAGATTACTGTTTGTCCCCATACATGATTGGAGGAGCTCATCCTTGGTGTGTATCTGCAGCTGGATGAGGGTGGAGGCCTAGTGTAACAAAGCCTCCACCAGGGCTGGGCCACCTTTCCATGGCTACTCATTCAAAATTTGAAGCACCAGATCCAACCCAGAACTCCATCCCTGCCAAGATGGGGGAGTAAAAAGCAACTGTGACCCATTCTTCAAGAATCCGTTATATCGCTCGATCATGCCAGCGGCTTGTGGGTTATAAAGAACATGAAATCCCCATCATATGTCCATCTGCTGTGCCCACTGTTGTACCTGCTGTCCAATGAAATGTGTTCCCCCATCACTTTCAACAGCCAAGGGATGGCCACATAAGGCAAGTAAGTGTTGTAGGGCTCGAACGCTGTGTTGCTGGTTGACCACCCTGCAAAGGTAGGTGAACAACAAGCCAGTGGCTGTGTCTGCAGCCGTCAGTGCATATGTGTAGCCCTGCGATTTTGGCAGCGGCTCAATGTAATCTATTTGCCATCTGGTAACACAGCAAATGGTAACCATCATTTGCTGTGCTGTGTTACACTGGGCAGTTGTCTCTGTCTGGGGTATGCCTGAGCACATGCTGGGCACTTCCGGCAGGCCTCCAAAATGTCCTGTGAAGGCAAAGACAGACCCCAGGGCCTATTGACCTGCCTGTTGCATCAGCTTACTCCCTGCATGTCTCAGTTTCCTGTGTAGCCACAAAGCTACATCTTTTGTAGGTGCCGATATCAGAACTTGGCTAAGCTATCTGCCTCATCATTACCGGGGGTGGCCAAAGGCACATGACCTGACACATGATAGACTGTTACATCTTTCTGGTGAACTATTTCCCAGAGGTCATGCCACATGGTTTGGCCTACATGCCAATCCTGTAATTTCCAAGTAGTCAGCCACAAAGTTAAACCTCGATAGGCTGCCCAGCTATAGGTGTAAATTACCATAGGTGAGTCCTCCTTAGTAATCACCATCCACACCGCTCTAAGTTTAGCCCATTGGCTGCTTTGTCTGCACCCAGTAAGTGCTAGGCTGGACTGCTACAACAGTCCAGGCAACAGTAACACCCTGGTTGGACCCATCTGTATACCATGCCCTATCAGGAATTGGAAGGTACCCTTCTTTAAATGGTGATGGCTTCAGGCCCCATGGCCTTATCTTGCATTAGAACTACAGGCCCTAAAACTTCTTGTAATTCTGCTGCTAAGGGGCTTGTACTCAGCATACTCCATTGTTCTAAGTAGGCACCCCACTTCACTAACGTGGATGTCTGTGCTGTCCCAGTCAGGGGGGTTGTTACCCATGAATGCACCCATCCTGCTATTGGGTAAGTTGTCCGCACTATGACTGTAGCCTGTCCTGTCATACTCTCACAGGCCTGAAGAGCAGCAAATACAGCAGCTAATTGCCTCCCTATCAGTGAATACTGGAGCTCAGCTCCCAGTAGGACCAAAAGCCTGCTGGCATACTCAAGTGTTCTGTGCAATGCTATAGGCCCTAACTAAAACTATGTGTGGTCACATGCACGTCCAGTTTAAATGAGCACCCCTGGTCAACTATCCATAGGGCTTGTGTCCACTGCATAGCCTGCTTGGCTACCAGAAAGGCTCTTTCAGCCTTCTTATCCCAATCCCAGGCAAGAGGGGCATTGTCACTTCTAAACCTGTAAGAGAATCAGAGGTTAACATAAAATCAACGTAATGAAACAGGTGGACCCCTTTTGGACATTCCCAGGCACCTAATTCCATGGCAACAAGACCATGACAAATGGTGGGGCTATGCATATAGCCCTGCAGCAACACTGTGAAAGTCCATTGTCGTCCTTCCCATGTGAAGGCGAACTGTTCATCACTCTCTGGAGCAATGTTTATGGAGAAAAATGCATTAGCTAAGTCCACTACGAAGTGGTACTGTCCCAATTCCACTGTCAAACAGTCCATAAATCCGTGATGGAGGGTACAGCCACATGCAGAGGGGTGTCACTTTATTCAGTTCCCGATAATCCACTGTCATTCGCCAAGTTCCGTCAGGCTTTCTGACTGGCCCTATGGGGGAACTGGAGGGGCTATGGGTGCCATGCACTATTTGCACCTCTTCTCACTTCTGAATAGTCTCAGTTATCTCTGTATGCCCCACTGGCAAATGGTATTGATGACTGGAAGTAACCGGTCAGGGTTGTGACAGAACTTGGGGCTGGTGATGTGTATGTCCACGCAGTACCAGCTTTACTACATGAACCCGGAGTCTGAATTCTCCAGCCATGGTGTGCAAGTCCAGACCATACAAAATGTCCACCCCCAGAATATATTCAGGTTCAGGAGAAACATACACCGTATACAGGTGGGGAGCCAAGCGGCCAATACCAAGATGCAGAGACACAGGTTTCACTTTCACCAACTGGCCCCCAAAACCATCAATGAATGCAGCTTTGCCCAGAAATTTTTCCATGTTGCTATAAGCAAAACTGCTATTTTGCCCCGTCTTGGAACTTCTGTTCCAAGGACAAATGGAATTGCTGCGTTCTCTGGAACTGCTGCTCCAGGGACAATTGCCTCTGCAGAGTCAACCAGTATCTACCAGTGCTAGGACCTGCTGTACATTGGTGGGGGACCAGTTGCCAGTTCCACATAAGGCCTCCAGTCATCCACCCCCCAGCCCCCAACCTGAGCCAGGCACCTCAGCCAGTTCCCTAATCAAACAGGAAGGTCTCTTTGCCCATTTGCAAATAGTCCTTGAGCTGCAACATCTGGGCAGGGCTGGGTTGAGCCGCAGTATTTTGCCCCCTCTTGAACATTCTCTGGAATTGCTGCTCCAGGGACAGTTGCCTCCACAGAGCCAGCAGCATTCCACTGGGTTGCCTGTCAGTTTTCTCCTGAGCAATCCCAGCTGCAATTAAATCAATCCACATCTGCATGCGGGTCACCCACTGGGGCTCCTTTTTATCTCGTGGGGTGGTTACCAGCAGAAGGGGCACCTTCTTTTCTTTATGGCACGGATTCCCCAGTCCTGCTGATGGCCTTCTGTCTCCTTGAGGGCTGCCATAGCAGTAGTCACTTCATATATATGGCACCCCACATATAGGGTGAGAACAGCAGCCACAGAGCCAAAAGCACTTGGGGGCACTGGGCCCAGTGCAAGATCCCTCATGTGAGAGGTAAAACATTCATTATCTGGCCCCTGAGTATTCAGATCAAACATAGCCTGCTGCATACCCATCTCCCAGAGTACCTGCACCAAGTCAGTAGATGATTGCCATTTACTCACAATTTCTGGTATCTCTCCAACATCATTCCAAACAGTTAATATGGCTGTCATCAGCCACTTGGTTAACATGTGGTCACCTTGCCCTTGTGCCAACCATTGGCACAGCTGCAGCTGCTGATGAAGGGAGGGGTGAGATGTGATAGAAGCCAGCTTCTCCATCACGGAGGCAGAGTAAGAAATGCTGTCAGTCCCCTCATCCCAAAGATAGAGTATCCAGGCTAGGAGGGCCTCCCCTGGGTGCTGCCAGCACTGTTTACCCATATCCTGCAACTCAGTGAGGGTATAAGCACAATAAGAGGTGTGGTCCACCACTGTGGGTGGTCCCTGGGCTGTCCCATGGGGTCCCATCGGCTGCTCATGTTCTATCTTCTGATGGATCACAGGACGAGCCCATAGCAAAAGAGCCTCCTCCTCCTCAGGATCAGGCCACGCAGGAGTGTCCAGCCTGGAGGACGGGCTCAGGGTTGCACCAACAGCTGTTGCCAACTCCTGCTCCAGGATGTTTATCTGAGCCTGTAAGTGCCCTGCTTGTGACTGGAGGTCCTTCACCCTCCAGGTTTTGCTCCAAGCTGTGCATTTGGGCCCCCAGGCACCCAACTTGCACCTGAAGCTCCCAAACCTGCACCGCGTCCAGCAGGGACTGAGCATGTACTTCACGTAGCACAGTCAGAAACGCCCATCCGATTCTGCTGGCGAAGGTGAGGTCTTTCTTGGTGCTGTGAGCTTCCAGCTGCTTCAGTGCCTTCTCACACTCACAGGAGACCCATCCACTGCCTCCCACATTTCCACTGGGGCCCATTCAAGCAGCACCTCTGACACTAGGTACCACAGCCCATCTGCGGCCACGTAGCCAACCTGAGAACCCCAAAGGCTGACAACCCACTCACCTCATCATGCCAACTACGCCAACTGTCAGGTTCAGGGTTAGGTTCCAGCCCAAGTTGAGGGCTGAGGGGAGTGGGTGGACATGAGACATGAGGCAAGGAGCTGGAAGAACACTCAAGAGACAGTAGGTAAATGAGACATGGCTTTATTTAGCAACCCCTCACAGGGTCAGTGTTACATTAATACACTACACAAACAATAGTGGCTGGGAGCTGGGTGGGGAGCTTCTCTATGTTGTGTCTACACGGCTATGATTATATAAGACATGGGACTGTGCAGCTGTGCCCCAATCCCACTGAATAAACAAGGCTGTTTACCCTGGCCTATGCCTGCTGCCCAATGCCTGCTTGGCTGTAGCACAGCCATGTTCCTTATATAAATTTACCAAAATATCAGCAATTTATATTCTAATACAGTATGATAGTTATCTTTAATATTCATGTGTTACTTTGGTTTAAAAAATTTTTAAAGGAAAGATTGGTTTTAGAACACAAGTAAAGTTTAAATGGAATCTACCATCAGATAACTTGCTCTCAGCTTGGAAAACCCTGGTGTTCCTTCTCCATGGCACCTAATATTGATCACGTGTCACTTATTTTATTCCATAAGCTAAGTTAAGAAGGAATTCTGATCCTACATCATGGCTATCCCCATGTTATTTATACTTTAGGAAGCAAGGTACATGTGGAATTATTTTCACACTAATGCAGACCAATTTTTTGTGTTTTTAGGATATGCCAAGCACACCTTTATAAATGAGAATTTCTTATAATTAATGATTCAAACAACAATAAGACATCACCAATATGTAATAAAGTATGACTTGGCACAAGCTACATTTTTCTCCTTTGGAGACAGAAATGCATATTGACAGGTTCATCTTTTTTAAAAAGACCAGCATTTAAATATCTAAAGTCACCAAATAATCTCTACACAATAAAAAATAAGTTGTAAGAATTGCATGTGAAAGAAAGTCAACTTCTAAACAAAAAGCCCACCACTGTAACTGCCCAACAGCTTCACCTTGCTTGCTGCCTAGACAGAGCCAGATTTATCAAGATGGGAATTCCAATAGGGAAAGAGTTATTTATGCAGAGCTGTCTGTGTGGGAGACCAGAGTATTATTATTACTCAAATCGATCTCTGAGAACCCAGGGATCAGAGTTTTTAAGGATAATTTGGTAGTTAGGGCACCAGTGATGTGGGAGTTTAATTGGTAAGGTTGAAAATGAACTTATAGGTAGTTGAAAGTGTCCTCTAGCGCTAAGTCAGTTCCTAGGTGGGGCCACAAGACCAGATGAGTCAGTTTATCAGTCTGGGTGGTGCCAGCTGATCCATCAGGTGCAGGGTCTGCAAAATATCTCAAGCACTGATATTAGGTTTTACAATAGTGATGTTATCCCTGGGAGCAATTTGGGACATTTAGAATCTTGCAGCCTTCAGCTGCATGACTCTTAAACCATAATTTCTCATCTGGTGGCTAATCTGTTAGTCCTACAAAGGCAGTCTAATCCCCAGGCAAGAAGGGGTTCGTTTTGGGAAAGGGTTGTTATATCTTTGTTTCAAACTATAAAGTAAGTTTCTCCCAAAATTAGTTTCACCTACACCCAGGAATAAACAAGAACAGCTTGGAGGTCAGAAGCAAGAGGGAGTTGGTTAGGTCAGATCTCTCTCACCGTCTCAGTTATAATTTTGCAACGGTGATTTCACAATCACCACTGAAATATCATGATTAAATATGTGCTAAATAGCAATGACAGATGCAGACACTTTCTAAAATAAAGCAAAACAAGGATTTCAGGAATGTATAATTTAATTTGCATCTTAGGGGGTATATTGTTATCTTCCTGCTAAGGAATTTACATTCATAACTTGCCATGCACAATTACAATATAGAGAGGTCTTGGATGTTTTTGTTAGTATTTCTTAAAAAAATAACACAAAACATAGAACAATAACTTCATAATGCTGACCACAGTAAGCAAATCATTTGGAATGCCTCTCTTGTCATGTTAGCAAAGTAAATAATGAATTTGCAAATTCCAGAGATTTCTGGGATTACAGTCGTACTAATGTTTTGGCCCAGGGTCCCTGCTGGCTCATACCTTTTCAAGTCAGTGTTTTTGTAGTCACTATTCCTTCCCACATAAATACTTGCACACAGTGAAACAATGAGACTCCTGGCATACCCATAGGCTTTCTTAATTCTTCTTTTTTTGTTCTGTTTCTGCTTTCCAGCTAAATGACCGAAAAGGGATGTTTTACTGTGGATTCTTGGCTCCCCTACCTTTTAAATAATTTTTTTCTTCTTTCTTCATTTTAACATAGATGTTTTTAAAGCTAAACATTTATCTTTTCTTTGAAATTGCCTTTTCAATTCATTACATTGCTGTATGTTGATTTCCATTCTCAAGTCTGTTCTCAGACTAAACATGGTACACAATGTTTTGCTAGAAGAGTGGGGTACAATATTATTCAAACTTTATCCTTCATCATTTATTATCACTAATGTACTGATTTCCTTAATTAAGCCCTCCCCAGTGGATCACCTTGTTCACAGTCTTCTAGAGCTGTACTGTTCAATATGGTAGCCACTAGCCCCATGTGGCTTGTATCTAGATAATTTAAATTTAAAGTAATTACGTTACCAGAAAGGTGGTTCCAATCCAGACCCCAAGGAAGGCAGTTCTTGGATCTCATGCAAGAAATAATTCTGAGTGAGTCCATAGAGTAAAGTGAAAGCAAGTTCATTAAGAAAGTAAAGAGATAAAGAATAGCCACTACATAGGCAGAGCAGCCCTGAGGGCTGCTGGTTGCCCACTTTTATGGTTATTTCTTGAGCATATGCTAAACAAGGTGAGAGACAGGACTAGCTGGATTTCCTGGGCCGACTAAGAATCCCTAAGCCTAGCTGGGAAGGTGACCACATCCACCTTTAAACACGAGGCTTGCAACTTAGCTCACACCTGACCAATCAGAGAGCTCACTAAAATGCTAATTAGGCAAAAACAGGAGGTAAAGAAATAGCCAATCATCTATTGCCTGAGAGCACAGCAGGAGGGGCAAGGATGGGGATATAAACCCAGGCATTTGAGCCAGCAACAGCAACCCCTTTGGGTCCCCTCCCTTTGTATGGGAGCTCTGTTTTCACTCTACTTCATTCTATTAAATCTTGCAACTGCACTCTTCTGGTCTGTGTTTGTTATGGCTGGAGCTGAGCTTTCGCTCGCCATCCACCACTGTTGTTTGCCGCTGTCACAGACCCGCCACTGACTTCCATCCCTCCGGATCCAGCAGGGTGTCCGCTGTGCTCCTGATCCAGCGAGGCGCCCATTGCCACTCCCGATGGGGCTAAAGGCTTGCCATTGTTCCTGCATGGCTGAGTGCCTGGGTTTGTCCTAATCGAGCCGAACAGTAGTCACTGGGTTCCACAGTTCTCTTCTGTGACCCACGGCTTCTAATAGAGCTGTAACACTCACCACATGGCCCAAGATTCCATTCCTTGGCATCCGTGAGGCCAAGAACCTCATGTCAGAGAACACGAGGCTTGCCACCATCTTTGAAGCGGCCCGCTGCCATTTTGGAAGCGCCCATCACCATCTTAGGAGCTCTGGAAGCAAGGACCCCCCGGTAACGAAGAGGTAGATTATTCATGGGTTTTCTGGTAGAGGGGTGGGCAATTCCAGGAGCTGAGGGTTCTTCCCCTTTTTAGACCATATAGGGTAACTACCAGACATTGCCATGGCATTTGTAAACTGTCACGGTGTTCATGCGTGTGTCTCTTAGTATGCTAATACCTTATAATTAGCATATAAGGAGCTGTGAGGAAGACCAGAGTTCACTCTCCTCGCCATCTTGGTTTTGGTGGGATTTAGCCAGCTTCTTTACTGCATACTGTTTTATCAACAAGGTCTTTATGACGTTATTCTTGTGTCTATCTCCTATCTCATCCTGTGACTAAGAATGCCTAACTTAATGGGCTTGCAGCCCAGCCGGTCTCAGCCTTATTTTACCCAGCCCCTATTCAAGATGGAGGCACTCTGGTTCAAACGCCTCTGACAATTACATTTAAATAGAATTTAAAATTTAGTTTCACAGCCACACTAGCTACATTTGAAGAGCTCAGTCACTATATGTGGCTAGTGGCTATGATCTGAGGCAGCATAGACTATCTAGGAAATTCCCATCATTGCATAAAGGTCTATTGAATGGCACTTATTTAGATGAAGAAGTCACATAGTCTGAGGAGCTGGAAATCTAATCTGCCTTCTTTAAATGTAACATGTAGAAGGTAATACAGTTCTCCCTCACTGTCAGCGAGGGATTGGTTTCAGGACCCCCATAGATACCCAAATTTGTGAATGCCAAAATTTAAGTCCCCTATATAAAATAGTGTAATATTTGCATACAACCTACATACATCTTGTAGTGTACCTTAAATATATAATATAAATGCTATGTAAATAGTTGGTATAATGTTATACAGTATACAAATTTATACTGTATACAAATTTTTTATTTGTATTATTTGTATTATTTTTTATTGGGTTTTTAAAAAATATTTTTGATCCTCAGTTGGTCGAATCCAAAGATGGGGAGCCTGTGGATACTGAAGGCCAACTGTACTACAGGTCAGAAATTCTTTGTTCCTTAATCAATGTAGCAAATGTAAAATGTATTAGGTAGAATGTGTTGATTAATGTGCAGGTGAAAACTAGAATAACATATTAAGATTATGCATCAATAAGACCACATTACACAAAAGGGAAAATAAAACATTTATGTGATATACTTACATTTCCTGCCTGTGATTAAAACTCTGCTTGTTTCTTGTAAACAATCCTGGGCACTACTGAAGCTCACTTAGTCCTAAATTTGTCACACACTGTGATGGTTTTGATATGATTTGGTTGTCTCCATCAAATCTTGTGTTAAAATTTGATCCCCAATGTGGTGGTATTGGAGGTGGGGCCTAGTGGGAGGTGTTTGGGTCTTAGGGGCAGAGCCCTCATGAATGGCTTGGTTCCTTTCTTGAGGTAGTGAGCTCTCACTGTCTTGACACTGGATTAGTTCCCCTGGCAATAAATTAGTTACTGAGTGAGTGGGTTGTTATAAAGCCAGGATGCCCTTCAGATTTGCTCTCTCCTCACACATGTTTTTCCCTTAATCTTCTCTGCCATGTTTGGACACAGCACAAAAGCCTTATCCAGAAGCCAAGCAGATGCCAGTGCCATGCTTTCTGTACAGCCTGAAGCACCATGAACTAAATAATCCTCTTTTCTTTATAAATTACCCAGTCTCAGGGACTCCTTTATAGCAAAGCAAAACAGACACACACCCACTATGTGCAAGTTGATGATTTATACATTTTGTTGCAGGAGGGGTATTTTCAGGTTTTGTGAGGTCTTGAAACTTAGACAATTTGCAAAGCGCTTAAAAAAAGAAAACCCAAATTGCAAGTATATAAAACAACGATTATATGAATACTTTGGCAAGACATCTTGCAGAATTTTGGGAGGAGCCTGTGCAAGCAAGGAGCCGTGAAGTTTTGTCTTGTTTGATTTTTATGTTTTTTTTTCTGATGGTTCATCCTGAAAAGCCCTGAAGTTTAAGCTTTACTAGTTTACTGTAAAGCCATATATGAATATGAGACAGAATGTAACAAAGTGCTATGTTGATACAGCAGGAGGAAATAACAATTAGTGGAAGGACTGGAAATGGCATTTTCATAGAAAAAGGACTAGAAAGAAATACTTCATAATGTTAAAATAGTAGCACTTACTCCTTTTTTGTTGTTTTTTGAGACAAAGTCTTGTTCTATCACCTAGGCTACAGTGCATGGCATGATCAAAGCTCACTGCAGGCTTGAACTCCTGGGCTCAAGTGATCCTCCCACCTCAGCCTCCTGAGTAGCTGGGAGCCCAGTGGTAAGATACCATGCCTGGCTAATTTTTTCCTTTTTTTTTCTTTTTTTTTTTAGTTTTTGTTAGAGACAGGGTCTCTCTGTGTTACCAGGCTGGTCTCAAACCCCTGGACTCAAGCAATCCTCCCACTTTGGTCTCCCAAAATGCTGGGATTACTGGTGTGAACCACCACACCTGGCCAATGTTTATTCTTTCTTTGTTTGTTTGCTTTTCTTTCTTTTTTCTTTTTCTTTCTTTTACTTTTATTCTCTCTTTTTTTTTTTTTTTCTGAGACAGAATCTTGTTCTGTTGCCCAGGCTGGAGTGCAGTGGTCTGATCTCAACTTACAGTAGCCTCAGCCTCCCAGGCTCAAGTGATCCCCCCACCTCAGCCTCCTAAGTAGCTGAGATTACAGCTGTGTGTCACTGTGTCCAGCTAATTTTTTAAGAAAAATTTTTGTAGAAACAGAGTCTCACTATGTTGCCCAGGCTGGTTTCAGACTCCAGGGCTCAAGTGATCCTCCTACCTTGGCCTCCCAAAGTGCCAGGATTACTGGTGACCAGTGCTTACTCTTGACATGAGAAATTTGTTAGGGCAAGGAAGTTGTTTTCATATTTTACTTTCATATTTCTCACAACTTTTATAGTGAAAACATGTTGCATAACTTGTGTTTAAAAATAGTCTGCCTATTTTTTTAATACACCCTCATACACACAATGCAGGGGTGGGGAGTGGTGATGTTTGAACTAAACATTCAAGACTGGCTTGATAGTAAAAGATGGGAAAGTTTTTTAGTCAGTCTGAGATGCCGTAACAAAATACCATAGAATGGGTGATTTAAAATCAGACATTTGTTTTCCACAATTCTGAAAACTGGGAAGTGCAAGATCAGGGTGCCAGCCTGGTGGGTTTGTGGTGAGAGCTCTTCACCTGGTTTGCAGAGGGCTGCCTTCTGGCTGTATCCTCACTTGACTAGGGTAAGGAGCAAATTATCTGGTTTCTTTTTCTAGGGCACAAATCCCATCATGAGGATGGTACTTTTGTGGCCTCCTGTCAAGCTAATTACCTCCCATATACCCCATCTCTTAATACCATCACATTGGAGGTTATAGTCTCAACATGTGAATTTTAGGGGGAACACAAACATTTAGTCCATAATAGTGAGGTCCAATCCTGAAGGGGAAAATAGAAGGTGCAACTATATGGAAGTGAAAGGTGAATCAAATGTTTGAGCATCTGTTATTAATAGAAGGCAGTCTGTTTTCATGTCTGAGTGGTTTCATATAACAACGCTTTCCACCCAGTATAATGTAACCCACATCTACAAGCTCATATCTTGGCATTCTAGGAAGAAAAGAAGTTGTGATCGTCCAAAATATATTAAAACTTAAAATATAATTTAATAATTACTTATATAAAATGTAAAATGCAAGTCTTCACGCTGGAACCAAATAAAAGAAATTCACTGCGTGTTCTTATAGACATAGACTCCAGTCCCTGTGTCAGGGTGAAACCTTTTCAGGTGTTTATTTTTCTTTCATTAACATCAAATAAAGAAAGATAATAAAAAAATGCAAGTTTTAGAGTTTAGGTGAATGGATATTTTGGATAGTGTTTATTGAGTATCTTTTGTTAAATTTATAGGACTCTTTCCGTATACCTTGTGAATTCTAAGTTTTTCTCTAGAGCTGTTTGCTTTGTAGTTTGCATGGTTCTAGAACCAAAACAAGCATTGTAAATCAAGACAATGTATTTCAGCCTAACAGATCTTCCAGGGAGTTCCTGCTGAAAGAGCCTATCAATGAATAAATCAATATGCCACCGTAATCATAGGAATGGCCTCCCTGAGTCTCTTGATTAAAGGTTTAACAGCTTCAGTTGTCTTTGTTCTGGAACACTGATATTCCACAAGCAGAATCAAGATTTCAACTCTAAAAAGTCATTTTACTAACATTTAAAAAATATTTACTTTGTAAAAGATACTTTACTGCATTGATAATACAAAATAATAAAAATATATCCTCCAACAACAGATTTCTCCAAGAAGTCAGTCTTAGTTGAGAAACAGAATAAGTAGACAGTTATGGAATAGTATAAGAAGTTCTGTGGTAGAAATTAGCACTCTGTGTTTCTACAACCAAGTATACAAGTGAGCTTGTCAGGCAAAGGAATATGTAAAGTAAGAGTAAAAATCTAATGAGAAAATTAAAAATAATATGAGTTGACCATATTTTTAAAATATTACTCCTGACAATCATGGTTTTATGTAACATATTTATTGTGTATTCGTATTTTTGCAGGAAATTGTTCCCAGTTCAAAAAATAGAATTAACCTTTTTAACACATTTCAGTACTCACTAAAGAACATAGTGTTCCACTGAAAACGTCACTAACTCTAGCTGTTCCCACCAATTCTATTCAAACTGGAATTGTAAAACTCTTTTACTAACTCACAGGTTTCCAAAAAATGTATATATAATCCAAACAGCATATGTTTTGCTTTATGCTTTTCCCTGCTTCCATTAGAAATTCTTTTTCACAAAATAAATTATGATTTTTATCATTTTATTGAAAACAAATGACAAATCTCACAGTCCATGAGCCACGATATTTCACTAAAAAAAATTCCACTGGGTATGAGTCTTCCCCTAAGACATTTATCTTGAGCACCAATCAGCGTGACTCCACTTTCATCAAACCCACCATGCAGCAAAGCATAGTTCAATCTTACTCTTTTCTTTCTCCTTTTCCATACAAAGTAGGTTTCTTTTTATCCTGAAATGTAGAAGGCCAGAAAATAGAATACTCATTTATACCACAGAGAAAGCTTATTAAATATCTTCCCAAATATTATCTGTTAGGATAATAACTTCTTCCTATATCATTATACGATGAAGCCTAATTTAATTAAACTCTCTAAATATATAGAACTATATAACCCTATAGCTCTAATAGTATTAAAGGAAAGAAATAATAATAGCTAATAGTTAATGAATATTTATTATGTGCCAGGTATAATATTAATAGCTTTATATATATATATATATATATATATATATATATAAAAAAAATGCCATTTAGTCCTAAAAATAATCTTATGAGTTACATAAGAAGGTGGTGAAGATGAAATTTTACCCAGAGGCTCCAGTTCCAAAGCACAATTAATTACTTTACTAGAGTGTCTCAGCCAGTAACTGGACCCTCAGCTGTCTTCTAATTTAGTAGGTGATAGTAGCACAAAATTACATGGATTAACAAAGTAAATGTTTAATATCTAGCACTTCTACATAAGTTCTCTGCACCCTTGTACAGAAAAGTTGTTGAACTAGATAAGCAGTCGGGTTAGATAAGTACCAAAAAAGAAGACATGACAATTCATGTTATCTACAATATTTGTCATTAAAAGATAGTTTTTTTTTTCACTTCCTTATGCCATTTAACTAATATGTGACATCTTGCAATTAAGACAAGGACATGCTTTTAAATTGTCTTCTGTCTTTCAATTTCTGACATAATTCTTCACAAATGAAAAAATGTGTAACTATCAGAGAAGGAAAAGGATGGATGAAGACGAGTGGAGAGATGAAGACAATAGTGGAGTCAGGAGAAAGAAATAACAGTAAACATAAGCATAGTTATCATTTGTTCAACTATTTTCCTTAGACCATGCCCCTCCAGACCTTTATAATTTAGTCCCAGTCAAGCAAAGCAGTGCTTACAATTTTCAAAAGAAGAAATCATAATGTCCAAAGGATATTTGAAAAAAAATGTTTTTCTCACTTGTAATCAAGGGAACAAAATAACACATGAGATCCATTTTATATGAATCAGATTGGCCAAAAAATTGATAAATATTTAATAAGGCAAGGGTGTGGAGAAAACAGAAATTCTTAAACATTGGTAGGAACATAAATTAACACACTTATTATGGAGAACAATTTATGATTATCTAAAATTGAAAAGGCATAAACCCTATGAGCCAACATTTCCACGTATAATATACTATTGAGCAACACTCCCACAAAGGAACAAAGCTATGTGTATGAAACATTTTTGAAAAAATTGTTAGTAATAGTAAAAAATTAAAAACAAAATAGTCAACAGTTGTTACCTTCGATTTAGCAAATAGATATATTGTTCCTATGTGCTGGCCATATTCTGAAGTGTTGATAACTTCTTTGATCCTCATAGCAGCTCCATGATGTAAGTACAGTTATCATCTCCATTTTATAGATGAGGAAACCGAGATGCAGAGAGGTTTCCTGAAGGCTCAACAGCAATAAATACCATAGCAACAGCAAGGACGATGCTACGCTGCTTCCCATACATTAGAGAATTAAATAACTTGTAAGATATTATATATTATCAACAATAGATCTTGAAAACGCTGAAGAGAGAAAAGGCAAGTGTATTAGTCCATTTTCGTGCTGCTGATAAAGATGTACCCAAGACTGGGAAGGAAAAGAAGTTTAATTGGACTTACAGTACCACATGGCTGAGGAGGCCTCAGAATCATGGCAGGAGGCACAAGGCACTTCTTACATGGTGGCAGCAAGAGAAAAATAAGGAAGAAGCAAAAGTGGAAACCCCTGATAAACCCATCAGATCTCATGAGACTTATTCACTATCATGAGACTAGGATGGGAAAGACTGACCCCCATAATTCAATTACCTCCCACTGGGTCCCTCCCACAACATGTGGGAATTCTGAGAGTTACAATTCAAGTTGAGATTTGGGTGCGAACACAGCCAAACCATATCATTCCGTCCCTGGTCCCTCCCAAATCTCGTTTTCACATTTCAAAACCAATCATGCCTTCCCAACAGTCTCCCCAAATCTTAACTCATTTCAGTATTAACCCAAAGTCTACAGTCCATAGTCTCATCTGAGATAAGGCAAGTCTCTTCTGCATATAAACCTGTAAAATCAAAAGCAAGCTAGTAACTTCCTAGCTACAATGAGCGTATAGATATTGGGTAAATACAGCCATTCCAAATGGGAGAAATTGGCCAAAACAAAGGGGTTACAGAGTCCATGTAAGTCCAAAACCCAGCAAGGCAGTCAAATTTTAAAGCTCCAGAATGATCTCTTTTGACTCCAGGTCTCACATCCAGGTTATGCTGATACAAGAGGTGGGTTCCCACGGGCAGCTCCACCCCTGTGACTTTACAGGGTATAGCCCCCCTCCTGGCTGCTTTCATAGGCTGGCGTTGAGTGTCTGCGGCTTTTCCTAGTGCATAGAACAAACTGTAGGTGGATCTACCGTTCTGGGATCTGGAGGATGATAGCCCTCTTTTCACAGCTCCACTAGGTAGTGTCCCAGTGAGGACTCTGTGTGAGAGCTCTGACTCCACATTTCACTTCTGCACTGCCCTAGTAGAGGTTTTCCATGACGGCCCCGCCCTTCCAGCAAACCTTTGCCTGGGCATCCAGGTGTTTCCGTACATCTTCTGAAATCTAGGTGGAGGTTCGCAAACCTCAATTCTTGACTTCTGTGCACCCGAAGTCTCAACAGCACGTGAAAGCTGCCAAGGCTTGGGGCTCCCACCCTCTGAAGCCACAGCCCGAGCTGTACATTGGCTCATTTCAGCCACAGCTAGAGGGGCTGGGACACAGGGCACTAAGTCCCTAGGCTGCACACAGCACAGGGATGCTGGGCCCAGCCCACGAAATCACTTTTCCCTCTTGGGACTCTGGGCCTGTGAGGGAGGGGCTGCCATGAAGATCTCTGACATGACCTGGAGACATTTTCCCCGTGGTCTTGGCGGTTAACATTGGTCTCCTTGATACTTATGCAAATTTCCGCAGCCAGCTTTAATTTCTCCTCAGAAAATGGGTTTTTCTTTTCTATCACATTGTCAGGCTGCAAATTTTCCAAACTTTTATTCTCTGCTTCCCTTATAAAACTGAATGTCTTTAACAGTACCCAAGTTACCTCTTGAATGCTTTGCTGCTTAGAAATTTCTTCCACCAGATACCCTAAATCATCTCTCTCAGGTTCAAAGTTCCACAAATCTCTAGCGTGCAGGCAAAATGCCACCAGTCTCTTTGCTAACACCTAATAAGAGTCACTTTTGCTGCACTTCCCAACAAGTTCCTCATCTCCATCTGAGACCACCTCAGCCTTGTCTTTATTGTCCATATCGCTATAAGCATTTTGGGCAAAGCCATTCAACAAGTTTCTGGGAAGTTCCAAACTTTCCCACATTTTCCTGTCTTATTCTGAGCCCTCCAAACTGTTCCAACCTCTGAGTCGCTTCCACATTTTCTGGTATCTTTTCACCAGTGCCCCACTCTACTGGTACCAATTTACTGTAGTCCATTTTCATGCTGCTGATAAAGACATATCCGAGACTGGGAAGAAAAAGAGGTTTAATTGGACTTATAGTTCCACACATCTGGGGAGGCTTCAGAATCATGGCCCGAGGCAAAAGGCACTTTTTACATGGCAGCAGCAAGAGAAAAATGAGGAAGAATCAAAAGCAGAAGCCCCAGATAAGCCCATCAGATCTCGTGAGACTTATTCACTATCATGAGAAAAGCACAGGAAAGACCAGCCCCCCTAATTCAATTACTTCTCACTGGGTCCTTCCCACAACATGTGGGAATTCTGGGAGATGCAATTCAAGTTGAGATTTGAGTGGGGACATAACCAAATCATATCAGCAAGTTTCAGTATAACATATGCACTTTGATAACATCTGTGTAACAACTTGTGTAAGTTTTAAAAAATTTTAGGTGCATAAAATATTTTGTTGACATGTACATTCATAGATATAACTGCAAGAATTCATATTAAATTCATTAAATGGCTGATTCTGAAGAGGTGAGAATGGAAATAAGATTGGGGTTAGAAGACTAAGAAGCTTTCAAGTTTATATTTAATGTTGCACTAAAGAAAATGTTTAATGATATGTATGTTCTTGTATACTCCAATTTATTGATGAATATGAGACTCAGAACTTGTGACTTGCTCAAATACATGGAGTTACAAAACAGTAGAACTAGAAATCAAACTCATATTCTAAAGTGTTTTATTTAACTTTGGCCAACCAAGAGTTTGCTATATAGATATAAGCTATGTAAAAGTAGTTAGAAAAGAAGATTAATAATATGAAAATATAATCTCCATTTACCTCAAAAACTTTCCCTATCAATTTATCTATTATGTCATGCAACAATATATATAGAACAATGATTTCATACCAGCTATTATGTTTAAACGCTAGAAGTAGGTTGAGATTCTAGTGAAGTCTGAGTTCATGACTCCTGGTTTACAAAACCAGGGCTCTAACCACCATCAGCAAAGGGAGCTTTTAAAGCTAACAAATTGTTCATTGTTTGAGCTTCTGGAAGAAAAGTTTTATAAATCTGACAAGAAATTATCTTTACACATATCATTCCTTTTAATAGTGTAATAATAATTTCAAGCATTATTATTGCTATTACTGTCTGTAATTATGTAATAATTGTGATGCCTCATTTCTAACTCTCCAGAGAGAAGGGAAAAAAAATCCACTGGGAAGATGATGAGGGAGATTAAACCAAATGGTCTTGATAAATTTTCTATTGTAATTTTAAACAAAGCCCTAGATACCATCTGACTAATTGCAGATATTTCTGGAAAGCTTGAAGGTCTCCGAATAATTAGGTTGGGAAGAGGGAGGAAATCAGTTAGGAAGCTGATATCTCCCTGGACACTGTTAAAAACTGGCAACTGGCCTGCAGACCATGGTGGTGCTGACAGTGTGAGCACCAGGCAGCCCATCTTGGAGGCTAATTTCGTCTCAGAAGCAATGGTGTGTCCATTCCATTTGGTAAAGCATTTTGGCTGTGAGAAGCATTCTGAAATAAAAGGTTCATAGGGAGCGGAAAAAGGAAACTTGAAATTAAGTTTAAAATATATTTGTTATAATCTGTACAAACAACAGTTTTATGTGCACTAACCAAAATGCTCTGTCATTCTTCATCAGCAACCGTTACACTCCAATTCCGTGCTAAAGAGTAAAAAGGTGTCTGGGGAACTGATAAATCTTTATTTGCCTCATTAAGTCTGCTCAAAACAAAACAAAACCAAAGTTGATAAAGGCATCCTAAGAAGATCTGGCTATCATTATGATTTTCATCCAACAAAACAAATCTGACATAGTAAAAGGAGCATTAATAGAAGTGTTTTTAAATTTAAGAAATTTAAAATGATGAGATGATAATATCTATATTGGCAGAAGGCAAGATATATTTTAGCTGTAAGATCTAACAGGAAAACTGTTCTCCATCACCAAAATGCTTCATTTCTTTATTTGAAATTCTGAATTTCTTGCTTGGATCTATTTTTTTATTCCTGATGAGAATATTGATATCAGCTTTTATAACAGCCATAGAAGAATGATATAAAAATCTGGCTTTTATACTCAAAGGTTTCAATATGTGCTTTAGCCTACATTCTAGATTCTTCATGTTTCAATGTAGATGTATTAATTTTCTAGAGCTGCCATAGCCAACAGTCACAAAATGGGTGGCTTAAAACAACAGAAATGTATTCTGTCACAATTCTGGGGCTAGATGTCTGAAATCAAGATGTCAGTAAGGCCTTACTTCCTCTGGAGTCTTTAGGATAGACCCCTCCAATGCCTTTCCCCAGCACCTGGTAGCTGCCAGTAATCTTCAGCATCCCTTGGCTTACTGTTACATCACCCCAGGCTCTGCCTCCAACCTGGCATGGCATTTCTACCTCTGTGTATTTCCAAGTCTCCCTATCCTTAGAAGGACACTAATCATTGGATTTAGAGCCCACCCTAATCCATTATAACCTCATTTTAATTTGATTACATCTGTAAATAACCCATTTCCAAATAAACACACATCCGCAAATACCAGGAGTTATGACTTGAATGTATCTTTTTAGGGGACGCAACTCAACCCATTATAGTAAATTAAGTGCACATCTCATTCTCTGAATCTAGGAGGCAGAAACAGATGGGAAATTAGCTGTCAGAACAATAGTTACCTATTCAACTTAAAAAATAATAATAATAGGGTTACAAGGAAGAAAATCTTTCCATATGGTTAAACAAAACAAGAACAGACATACAATCCCATGAATCCTTGCATCCTACCTATAATAAAGGTGAATAGAAGTATGTACATGCAGGTCAAGCAGCAAGGTCCTAGCAGGTCTGAAATAGTATACTTAGACTATGGAAATAAATGTGGGGTATGGCAGTGGGGAATAGGAAGGAGACTGGAAGCTTCTCTTCACCTCCATCTTTCTTAGTAACATCATCAAAGAGGATATAACATTAAATTGTCTTCCTGTCTTTGGAAGCCTATTCTCCCTCTGTCACTCTTCAATGTGTTCTTTTATAGAATCCTACCCACATTCACAGCTGGTGCAGTGAGAAAGCCCCTAGTCTTTCCTTCTGTCAGAGGAGGCAACTTGCTACTCACTTCTACCCAACCAGACCCACATCTATGCATACCCACAAATCTGTACCTTACAAAATTAAACTACTGCCAGTTTGAAATAAAAGAGTATCTGGCAGTCTGCTCTAAGTCTTATAAAAAATTATTATTTTCTTTTTTCATTCTGTTTTTTCTTGCATTCAAAATTGTAGATCAAAAGAAAAAGACACTGGAAAGCTGCTTTGCCTACCTCTAGTGTCCTAAGGTTTGGCTCCACCAAAAGCTGAAGAAGCAATAACACCACTTGCCAATATTTACATAATGCTCATATGATGCTTGCAAACTTTACCAGGTACTCTTCTGAGTGTTTTAATATGTGGTAACTCACTTAGTCTGCTAAAATCTTTGAGGTGGATGCTCTATTATGCCCATTTCACAGAAAAAGAAACTGAGGAGCACAGAGGTTACATGTGCTGATCAAAGTCAAGCAACTAACAAGTGTCAGGATTGGGATTCCAGTTCTTTTTCTCTGGCTTCAGAATTCTTAAGTTCTTCTGAATTTTATTTTGTATTAAAGAAATAGTTCAGAGGAAATTCTTCAAATTCTGCATGGCAATACAATATCAGCTATCATTAATAAACTAATAAACATAACTGCCTCTTCCTGGATCTTTCCTGGGTGTTTATTTCCTCAGGAGATCTCATAGAAGATGCTATAGTAGCTGAAATTCAGTATTCCTGTTTCTGGGTATTTCTCAACCTCTTTACATGAGTGACCCAGCCAATAAGCTCCTTCATGTCATGTTGTAAATATCTGGGCACAGTTCTGCTCCAGACAATCTTACTTACTTGCATTTCCCACAAAGCCCCAAGATCCACAGACTACTGTTCTTTGTCCAAGCTGTCCTCTTCCCTTATAGGGTTCATCACCCTTTCCTACTAAGCCTTCTTAGCTAACTCGTACTCAGAATTCCAAGCTACATCTAAAGTATTACTTCCATATAAATTCATTTCCTGATCCCTTTCACAAGACTTAGGTTCAGTATAATTCTTCTCTCCTGTGACTCTGTTTGGACCTACAGCAGCAGGCATTCTTACCAGCCAAACATTAATTCTTTCTAATAGAATCTGGAAATTATTAAAGTAACCAACTCTGTCCAAAAATCTAGATACACAGGGAAAACTAACCCACCTCCAGCTCAAGAGATGTACTTGATTTTTCTAGAGTCAATCGCAGTTCTGTAAAGTCTTGTGACTCAAAGCCAACCAGATGTTAGAATAAATTTTTTGGGGTTTCTCCTATGAGTGCTTCTGGAACCAACATATCTTTTCTTCCTCTGGACATTGTTAGGCATAAAAGTAAATTCTAGAGCTAATGTAACCATTTCGTTACCAATTTAAAGATAGAGCTAAATCACAGAGGAGAAAAGAGACTGTAGAAATAGAGCTAAGGCCATTGATTAAGTCAACCCTGAAGCTGCTCAATTTCTGAACCTCCTACTATAAATGGCAATATATATTTTTTATTGCTTACTCCAGTTTGAAATGTGTTTTTCTTTTATTTCCATCTGAAAGCACTTGAAGGAGTACATTTACCAACCATTTTTTGCATACCTCTTTAAAATTACTTTTTAAATTGTTGAGCAATCAACCATGAGCTCCTTGAGATTAGGAATTATGTTTTTGTTCTTTCTGTATCCCCAGTACTTAATTCAGGTTTGGTACATGGTAAGAATTTAGTAAAAATTTAATAAATGAATGGCTAAGTGAAATTACCACTAACTATTCAATACATAAGAATTAACCTCAAAAGCATAGACAGCAAAACCAAAAATAGACCAATGAGACTATGTTAAACTAAAATGCTTCTACACAGCAAAGGAAACAAATGAGTGAAGATACAACCTCTTAAATGGGAGAAAATATTCACAAATGATTAATCTGACAAGCGACTAATATCAAGAATATGCAAGGAACTTAAACAACTCAACAGTTAAAAAAACCAAAGAAAGAAACACATAATCCAATTAAAAAGGGTCAAAAGACATGAATAGACATTTCTCAAAAGAAGACATACGAATGGCCAAAAAATATATAGATGCTCAACATTACTAATCATCAGGGAAATGCAAATCAAAACCATGATGAGATATTATTTTACCCCAATTAAAATAGTTATTATTAAAAATACAAAATATAACAGATGTCGGTGAGGATGAAAGAAAAGGGAATTCAAACGCTATTGGGAATGTAAACTGGTACAGCTACTATAAAAAACATTATGAAGATTTCTCAAAAAACTAAAAATATAACTGTCACATAATCCATCAATTTCACTACTATTTATCCAAAGGAAAAGAAGTCTGTGTATCAGAGGAACACTTGCACTTGCATATTTATTGCAGCACTGTTCACAATGACAAAGATGTAAAATCAATCTAAGTGTCCACAAAAGGATGAATGTACTTTTTTAAAAATATGGTATATATACACAATGTAATACTATTCAGCCAAAGAAAAGAATGAAACCTTGTCATTTGCAGCAGCATAGATGGAACTGGAGGTCATTATGTTAAATGAAATAAACCAAGAATAAAAAGATAAATATTGTATGTTCTCATCTATATATAGAAGCTTAAAAATTTGATCTTATGGAGGTAAAGAGTGGAATGATGGATACAGAGGCCTAGAAGTGTGTGTGGGTGGTAGTAATGAATGAAATGAAGTTGGTTAATGGGTACAAACATACAGTTTGATAGGCTATAAATTCTAATGTACAATAGCAGAGTACAGTGAGTATAGTTAGGAGCAATGTGTTGTATATTACAAAGTAGCTAGAAAAGAGGACTCAAAAATGTTCTCAACACATAAAAATGATAAATGCTGGAGGTGATGGATATACTAAATGCCCTGACTTAATCATTACACATTCTGCATGTAACACTCACATGTACCCTATCAATGTATAAAATACGATGTATCAATAAAAAAGAATGATTATAATGTATTCTGTAAGAAAAACAGAGCCAAATTGTAAGAATTAGTATGTTAATTAAATAATTTTGAAGACAGAGTTTTAAAAATAGGCCCTCTTCTACTTTAGTCATGGAAAATTCTACCTCTATCTCAGACCGCTGTTCTAGCAGTATGTTGAAAGGCACATAAGTTAGCTGTAATTGCAGGTGCAACTGATAAGACAACTGATAAAATAACAGATGTCCCACAATAAACTAAGGTGCAATACAAACATTTAGAACTTACAAAAGCAAATTGTGGAAACAGTTTTGTGATCTTAGATGACCATTGCCTTAGCCTAAATGGAGATTGGAGAGAAAAGGAAACTAACTAGAAATTTCAGGAGAACTTTTCAAAAGAGTTGTTGGGGTATTATGAATCTCATTCTCTTCTAAGGGTAAAGATGATAGAGTGCATTTCATCCCTTTACCTAAATTCTAGAGAGAGCTTTCAGGGGTATGGACAGTCAAGCTTATTATACTCTGCCTGCACTTTGGAAGACATTGAAGACCAGTGACGAGCTCATACTTTCCAGATCTGAGGAGTGAGATGCACTTGGCTAGCTAACTAGCTGAGTAAGGAGCAAAGAAGAGCTAGCTGCTGCAACTGAAATTAGTCTGCGCTTTCAGGGTTTATCCAGGCAAAGAATGAGCCACACCAGAGAAGGAAATTTACGTGGGTCTGCCTGGAGAAGTAACTGGAATTCAAGGGTGAAATTCCCATTTCACCCAAAGTAAAAGCCAAAGTATTTACAATAGTATACATAATCTGGGTTTTCCCTTCCACATCCCTCCCTTTTCTCCTTGTCATCCTACCCCTCTCCCTTCCTCAACCCTATAGTCTCCCTTGTGCTTTAGGGGATTTTCACAGGATATTTACTATTTCAGCCATCCACAGGGCACACACTGTGACTTCCTCCAAGCCTTTAAAAAATGTCAGTGTATCAGTTAGCTATGGATAACCACAAATTTTGGTGGTTTAAAGCAATGACAGTTTGTTTTTCATCATGATTATGTGGGTTGGCTACTTGTCTTCTTGTCCATGCCTGCTCAACTGAAGCTCGGTGGTCTACAATTACTCTTGGTTGGAAGTCTTTAGCCTCAGCTAGAACCTGAGCTGAAAGGGTTTGGAAAGCTGAAAGTTTTACCTCCAGCTGGGCTGTCATCTTCCAGAATGCAAAATGAGATTTCTTTACTTGGTGGCAGAGAATTCCCCAGCAGCAAGAGAGGATGAAACCCCAAAACACAAGCAATTTTTATGCCTTTGCTTTGTTTTAATATTTTTTGTGTTTGTTTGTTTGTTTGTTTTTTGAGACGGAGTCTCACTCTGTCGCCCAGGCTGGAGTGCAGTGGCGCAATCTCGGCTCACTGCAAGCTCCGCCTCCCGGGTTAACATAATTCTCCTGCCTCAGCCTCCCGAGTAGCTGGGACTACAGGCGCCTGCCACCACGGCCGGCTAAGTTTTTGTATTTTTAGTAGACACAGGGTTTCACCATGTTAGCCAGGATGGTTGTTTTGATTTTTAATGTATATTACCCTAAGCGATCACATGTCCAAGCCCATATTCAAGGGATGGAAAGTGAGTTTCCACCCTTTGAGCAGCAAACCCACATTGCAAAGGGTGAGCATGTAGGAATGGGAGAAGCTGCAACCTACCTTCTCAATAAGAACTACAGTGATCACCCCACTTAAAATTTTGACTTAGTCCCACAAAAGCATTCCCAATCCTCTTTAATCTGCTTTATTAATTCTTATTCCCAGAGTATATGTCACTTTCTAACATATTATGTTAGCTACTTATTAATTATGTCTATTATTTATTGTTTTGTCTCCTCCTTTAAAATATATATTTCCAAATTGGAAATCTTTTTTCGCTAATCCACTTAGAAGAGTTTCTGACACATAATGGGTGCTCAATAAATATTATTTAAAAATATAAATGAAATATTCATCAACAATTTGAAGCCAATGAGAACCTCATATTCAGCCAGAGAAAGTACTTCATTCACATCAAAGAGACTGCAGATATAAAATTCCCAACAATGGGCCTGGGTGGGAATGGTTCCTGAAGAATCAATTAAAACTATTCTAAGAGATAAAATTGCATCTTAAAATAAGTAAAGCAAAACAACAATAGTCTGTGAGTCAGGCACCAATTCATGATAGTATTAGTCACCTGTTCATTTTTCTGTCTCTAGGGTTAGAAGCATAAGTCAGTGGAAGACAGAAGAGGCCAATCTGCTTCTCCATCAACCCATTAGGCAATGACAAAACTGCAACAATACTGAGCTGAGAAAAGGGAAGTAGCTGCAACTTAAATAATCTTCGAACTTTTAATTCTTACATGAAATGAGACCTATGAACTGCTGAGCAAGGTTGTGTTAAACCATTGTGTTAAAATGACAAGAAACATGTTTTCCTTAAATTTCATCTAGGAGAAAGGGAAATACTGGTCCCATCGAATAAATTAAAAAAACAGCAGTGGGGGATGGGAATAAAGTGCAGCCCACAAGCCATACCAAACATCATAGTGATACTGCCTTTTCAAAAGTGATAGTTGCAGTTGCAAAATGAGTGACTCATTGTGTGTTCATAGGAACACCTTTTACATGGTGGAAAGGAATGTTTATCAGCAATATGAAAGAAAAGAGCTGAGGTTTAATGAATATATGTGAGGGGATGGGAGCAGTTAATGAATTATTTCATAAAATCTTTCCCAGATGCTATGAACTAAGTATGATTATCATTCTTTTATATATAAGGAAGTCAAAGCGCAAAGAAAATTAATGACTTGCTGCAGTTCAAATGGTTAGGAAGTGGCAGAGCTTGGCTTGAAACCGGGTTCTCACTGATTCTAAACTCCATACTCTTCTATTTTAAACCACTGCTTCCAGACTGAAGCGGGATCAGATATAAATCCTCTACTCAATTACTTTATAATTTTGCAATATCATAAGACCCTGGAGAGCATTCGTAAATCACTACAATACAAGGCCTTAAGTGCTTTAGGAGAGGTTCTGGAAAGTCAGAAGAGGAAGAAATTACTTCCAGCTGAGGATCAGGGAAAACTTCCCAGAGGAAATTGAATTTTAATTTAATCTCATAATTATGACAGAGCTGAAGCTCTGGTTGGTGTTCCTAGTCTTCTTTCCTATCTTTGAGAAATGAGTCATATTTACATTTTTTTAAATATTTAAATAATTGATAAGTGTTCAACTAAATCAAAAGTAACTCAAGTCTTCTTTGTCTTTCTCTTCCTAAATTTATCTTTCACACACAGAAAAAAAAATGTAAGTGAAAAAAGAAGTAAGTAGACTCCCTACCCTCTATATGTTTGTATATAAGACACATCCATTCTTAAAGCAGTTTGGTCTCTCATTTACTATTGAAGTTATCTAAAAATGAGCATGAGTACCTAAATCATTATAAATTTTCTTAATTCATGTTTACGTATGTTTTGACAAATATATTTGTTATTTCTAGCATTTTCTTCATTCTAAATCTGTAAGCTGTTTAACATGCTAAATTGCCTATATTAATTATATTCTCACAAGCTAGAGAAAAAAGTAAATATCTAATAAACCTCACTACATATATCATAAACTATGATATTCAGAGTCCAAATGTCAAAAAGCATATAGTTAAGCATGAAACTTGAAATGATTAAAAATTATACAGTAAAACAAGCATTTTATTTTGCCTAAAAATACATATTTAATGATACAAATGACAATAATCATTTTTATAATTATATACTACAACATTATAAGTTAATACATAAGAATAATGGTGCAAATTTATGTCACATCAAAAATAAATTTGTAACTTGCATCACTTTTTATTAATCAAGAACCTCAGAGCCCGCTATGGAATACTAGATCAACTCTGTTCTATGTAAATTGATTAAACACAGAATCCAAAATTCTGTTTAGCCAACCTAACTCTCCTCAAGAGGCTAATGCATCTGGGTCTTAAATTGAGCCCAGCTGAGCAATGAGGATCAGATGAATTCAACACTTCAGCTTTGCCCAATTCGTATCCAGTCCATAAATGTGATTTATAAATCACATTAATGAAGATTTACTTCTTCAACCAGATTAATTAAGTAGAATAAGGAAAACATTTAACAGTTACTGTGTACAGATATTTTGCATATATTATTTCATTAAACTTATGCATGATAAAGCTGGGCTTTAAACATACATAGTCTGTCCTAGAGCTAAGCACTTAACTACCATCCTATGGGTCTATGATAGCTAAGCCTTTACATGAATTTAAAAAATGATTGATTCTACAATTTGCAAGATTTTGCAATTCTTATTTTAATATATGTAACATAGTTTGAAAATGTACAAAAAGTGATGGAGGATTTTCAACCAGAGCTAATGATTCACCCTGGATCCCTTTGAATTTCAACATTGCTTCATATTTAAGAGCCTTTCCAATAGTTTACATTAAACCTATTGCCTTAATTCATGTAGTGATAAAACCAGATTTTCTTTCTCACTTTCCCTTCTTTGTACTTTTATAGATCCACAATTGCCAATGCAAGACTGAGAACGATGTGATATTCAGAGCCCACAAAAAAGCATTACCCCACTCCAACCACAGGGCTCCTCCCAGCCTTGTCAATGTGCCATTCATGGCCCGTAATGACTTCCTCTCTCCATCTCCACCAGTACTTCTAGAGGTTCAACTTTCATCAACACCTGCAACGAGCCCCTTCCCCGTATTACATGAGTCGCAATGACTGTTCAGTGATATCACTGTCCCTGTCATATGCAGTTTGTGGGCTGCTGCTGGAGTAATTTTGCTGCCACTTTGCTAACTTAACTCATCCATTCACCCAGTGTTTTACGCCTCCAGGACACCCCAACTACTGTTTCAACAAACACTCTCATACTTACCCCTATATGGACCTTTGTAGTAATTTCTTTGAGATGCAGACCCAGGAATGAAGTTGCAGGGCCATAGTATATGTGCCTATATAATTTGACTAATTAAGCACTAGAATGCATCCCACAGTATATGTGCCTATATAATTTGACTAATGAAGCACTAGAATACAAGAAGTACATGAAAATTCTCACTGTCTATTTTTATTCTTGCTTCTAACTTAATATCTATACTTACTGGTTTCCCCGTATTTTTCATTGGTTTCTTAAATATAGCAATATTTGTACTTTGCAAGTTCACACCATTTTCATCTTTTGTTGTCTCCCAGCTTCAAAACAGTGTTGATGCTATTTAGAATTTACATATTTTGCTTCATCCATGCTTTGAAAAATTATTATAATATCCTCAAAATGTGGGGCCCAACATCATATATTCCTTATATATTTATGCATCTTCTTATTTCAATACATTCTTCAAGAGTTTCTCAAAGTGATTCTTTATATGGTCAATATTCTGAAGGTTGATTGAATCTAACGTCCTTAGTTTTCAAATGTAATTACAATGTTAAGAAGCCTGGGATCAATCTAAATATTTTTCCTTGGTAGGTATGCTCATTCTCTGGAAGCATTTCCATTTCTCTTCATTGTTCTAGAATTTAATTGTAATATGTCTAAGTAATAATAATAGCTAATAATTAACAAGTGATTATGTGCAAGGCACTATTCTAGGGGTTTTACATATATTAACTTATTTTATCCTCTCAATAATATTTTAAGATAGACATTTTATTATCCCGATTTTAGTGATGAGTAAACTTTAGTCCCAAAAGTTTATCTTATGTGTCATTTCAAATAAGAGATCTGGTATTTTTCTTTATTTCTGGGATATTAATAATCTTTATTTTTTTTAATATGTCTTTTCTTTGCCCCTTCTGCCCACCACCACCACCACAATCTTTTTTCTGAGAATCCAAGTAACTGGATGTTCGCATTTTTTATTTCTATTTTCCAAGTCTTTTAGTTTATTGTAATGTTTTCTCTAATTTTATGTTTTTCTGTTATCTTCTGAAAGTGTTCAATATAATCTTCTGACAAACTAATTCTTTCTTCAGCTGAATCTTTTGGGTCTTCAGATCTTTTTTTTTTTTTTAACTATTATAGTTCTCATACTTACTATCTCCACTTGATTCATTCTTATGACTTCTTCCACATTTTAACTTTTCTTTTTTTTTGAGATGGAGTCTCACTGTGCTGCCAAGGCTGGAGTACAGTGGTGTGATCTCAGCTCACTGCAACCTCAGCCTCCTGGGTTCAAGTGATTCTACTGCCTCAGCCTCCCAAGTAGCTGGGATTACAGGCTCACACGACTATGCCCGGCTACTTTTTGTATTTTTAGTTGAGACAGGGTTCTACCATGTTGGCCAGGCTGGTCTCAAACTCCAGACCTCAGGTGATCCATCCACCTTGGCCTCCGAAAGTGCTGGGATTACAGGTGTGAGCCACTGCACTCAGCCATTACCAACTTTCTTTTTCCTTAGAGTATTTCGGTTAAACTTATTTTATATTCTTAGTCCATCTTTTCCAATAATTCTCTTTCATATGATATTATTTTTAGCTTGCCACCTTCCTTTTAAAGATTATTGTCCCTAGTATCTAGAAGTTTTATCCCCCATGAGCTCATGACACTACCTGATAATATAAATTAGGGAAGAGCCTACACTGTATTTCCGCTTTTGAGTTTAATCACAAAGAGGATGAGACTAAATGGGGAGCCTTGAAGTACCAAAACCTGTCCCCATTACGTCTGTGCCACTCCACCAACAAATCTCCTGAATCATATTTTTCAAGATGGTGCAGTCTTTTTAAAACAAAATCTATTAGCTCTAGCATTTGAAGAGAATTTATAAGATCCCTGATAGCTGGCATCTGTTTTATTAGTGTCCCACACTAGCAGAGACTTTGCAGACCCAAATATTACCTTCCTGGCATTTCGAGGTCCAGGCTATTGCTACAGAATTCTGTGACAATTGTGAGGTAAGAACAGTCCCGAAGTGATGGACCAACGAGTCAGAGGCAAGATAACTGAAAGCCTCTGTCCCCACTGTCTTCCGAGAGCTGTGGTTTGACCAGGCAGCCCCCTATGCCTCTTCCAGACTCAGGCTTCTCTCTGCTTCTGCAGTTTCTCCAGGTAGATTTGAGGGGGCAGAGAGTTAGCGGTGAACTAGCAGCCTATTCTAGTTCACTCTCTTGTTTTAGCCTTCCAGCTTCCTGACTCTCTAATCAGTCAGCATTTCCTTTCCACCTGTAACAGGCTTCATGACCTTCAAGCCCTTTTTCTCTAATCATTGAAACTTCTAGAACCGTAGACACTAATATACAGATACATTCTTTAAATTATTCTAAATAGATGGTTAAAACATTACAATCCGGAACTTAGATCCCAAATTTCCCATTTTTCAAGTTGTTTTAGGAGCTACTTTGGATCTGACATGCTTAACTGGTTCTTCAATAACAAGGCTCCATAGCTTATACTGTACCCCAAATAGTATCCTAATATCTTTAAAATAAAAAATAAATAAATAAAATAAAAAGCATCTTATACAATCTGCCAGACTCTTAAGGTTGCTTCTGATAGGCACAAAAGGAATTTCTCACATTTTAAATTTGTTTTGGGAAACTGCAAAATTCTTATCACAACTTTGGCTATTACGAGTTGGAGTTCAGAATAATCTAAATTCAGCAGTTCTTCCTTCAAAACAGTATTACTGTTAATGAATTATGTGGGTATTGTACCTTCTGTGCCTTTCTGTTCAAAAGGAACAAAGCTGTGCTTTTCATTTGGAGCAGAGTCTGTGATTATGGACCAACTAATTAACTTGTCTGATATAGGAGGGATGATGCAATTTTCACTTCTAGCTTTTCTCTCTTCCATATTGATGGGGTTGCCGCTTATAAATGCTGTGATGACGGTTGTGCAAAAGCTTGTTCGAAGAACTTGCTTTAAGGACATTTTTATATCTATCATTAAGTTCCCTTAGCAACAGAGAAAATTTTAAAAGCTAGTCAAACTAAGGTTACCAAGTTGAATTTCCACATATTCTTATTTACAAAAGGCAAGATTTTCTCTCAGCATTTTCTGAGCTTCCTTTCAACCCTTAATATTTTAATAAAATATCACTGTTACTTAATAAAGAAATGATGACATGAGAAAGAGGTGCTACCTGTTCTTTCTTACCGCACCTGTGCATGGCACAACCACAGGAGAAAAATAAGTTCTCCAAAAGTCTCATGTGCTGTAAGGGGATAGGGGGTAATTTACTTTGCCATTTTAGTTAATAGCTGATTTCTGTCTTGCAAAGGGAAAATTCCTAGTATTTTATTGATTAGAAATGTCCATTAGCCAAAGTATAAAATAAATTAAAATTACAACTACTTAGTGACACTTGGTTTAAAAAAAAAAAAACTTAGCGATAAACATTCCAACATTTTACAGAGAAAGGAAAAGCCAGCAGTATGCTTCTCATTGATCTGAGAAAAACTTGTCCAAGTCAGATACGGATAGACGCACATACTTCATCTAAAAAAAAAATGGCAATTACATTAATATTGATAAAAATAATAAATAGCTTTCCAAGGGGGAAAGCATAGCCTGCAAAAAGACATCTGTGATATATGGCTCACAAACTCAAAATTTAGATTCAGTACCCAAGGGCTGTCGGCTGATTTATAAAATGCCTTTACTACATTGGATTCAAGTGCCAGTAAGTATTTTAGATCATCAATACCATCTTCCTTAATATATGCTTTTTAGAACATTTAAATAGTTGATGCAATATTTCATTTATGTCCATACTGAGTAGGGTTGCTTTATAGAGTTTATAGACTCGAAGGAGGGAGGAAGTCTGCTTGGTTGGTTAAATTCATGTAGGAAATAGGCAGCATTTCTGACAGTGCCTATACCTGTACTGTGACCTTGAGGAACTGTCATGAAATCCTAATACCTAGTATAGACCTTAGAAATGTCTCATTTAGTCCCCTCCAGAGTTATCCTCCCTCCACTAGGGAGGGAACAGTTGTAGGGCTTTGGCTTTTATATCAGGCTTGGCCAATAATTCTAATAGCCAACTTATTAAGTGCTTAGAGTGTGCCAAGAGCTGTCCTAAATGGTTTACGTGAATCCACTCATTTAATCTTCAACATAGTCCAATGAGGAAAGTACCATTTCTGTTCTTTCATAGATGAGAAAGTCAATTCCGAAATGTTTTAATTTAGTTACCCAAATTTACACCATAACTCCAAGGTTTGAACTTTAACTTTTTAACTCTACATTGGTATCATATCTAACTCTTTCCAAAAACTAGGTTCATTGAGGACCAATATTGCTTTTTACATTTGAAATACCCCATTGCACTTAACACGGGGTTAGGTAGGCATACAAAAATATTAGTTAATAAATTCATTTATAAAATGTAAATGTACTAGGTATTCTCTCTGACCCAGATATTCTTTGACCTACCAGATTTTCTTTCTATCATTTTCCGCCCTGCTTTGGGCACCAGGAAGTGGATCCCTATATATTGTTTCATCTGGGTCCCTTGGGCCACTCTGACCCCTAATTGGGTTTGGCCAATGAAGAGAACAGGAGACTGAAGGGAGAGTGAAGAGAGAGATCTGGGTTATTTTCCCAGCTCCATCACTGGGGTTGAGGGTTGGCAGTGTCTCCGATGCCCAATGACAAGCTGCAGCTTCTGACTGGTCCCCATAGCTATAGCTCCAGCTCCAGCTCTTTTTGGGGTTCCAGTAAGGTACTCATTGCCCTGGCCCTTCAGACCGAGTGGTGATAATGGGGTTCAGCCCATACCTTTTTAGTTTTCTTTCATCTTGTTTAGGGTTACCATGAGAAGTTATTCTCCTATCCTCAGTGTGTTTAAAAGATATACGAGAGAGTGTTAAGATGAAACAAAATATTGTCACATAATAATACAAAATCTATCTAGTCTGCATCTTTAACTTTATTCTGACACCCTTAAAGTAGTTCATCTCTGGCCTCCTTGTTTCTCCTGTAGAATAACAAGCATATCTCTTCCCAAGGTTTTTGTACCTGCTCATCCTTCTGCTTGAAACACACTTTTCCACATAGAGCTACAAGATTTATTCAGGTTTTGAATGTCATCTTAGAAGTTTTTAAAGTAACAGCTCCCATTGTGCTGTACACACAGCCTACTTTATATTTCTTCAAAATATGTATTATCTGACATGATATTATAAATATATTCTTATTTGTTTATTAATGTCATTTCTACAATACCTGCTCAAAGCTTGGGCATTCCTAATTTCAAAAATCTTCAAATCCAAAATGCTCCAAAATCCAAAACTTTTTGAGTGCTGACCTGACGTCACAAGTGGAAAATTCCACACCTGACCTCATGTGAGAGGTGGCAGTCAAAACATGGATGCAATACACACAGTTTATTTAACATATCCAAGGAAAAAAAGACCCTCCCAGCCCTCTTCATCTGTGATATATCTTTTCCACACAAGCCCATATTTCCCCACACAAGCATGCCCACAAAGGGTAATAAAATGGCATGTGTGCAGGCCAGATGCACCAACAGCAGGTTGCTCTACATGTTGCTCTACATGGGGCCAAGGCCTACATGCATTACTCCGTATGCTTTTTTTTTTCTCTCATTCTCTGTTCTATGGTATAAAGATATTGCTGGAAAATGTCACCAAAAAAATTCCTGTAAATATTCCCATGGCTAGCAGTGGAAAGAAAGAGGATGGTAAACTGGGCATGGTTATGGGCACCTGTAGTACTCAAGAGGCTGAGTTGGAGACTCGGTCTCAAGAAAAAAAAAAAAAAAAGTAGGAAGTATTTACACGGTGCTTGAGATAGCCATTCTTTTGCTTTCTGATGGTTCAATCTATGCAAACTTTGTATTTTACACAAATTATTTCTTAAATTGTATAAAATTACCTTCAGTCTATGTGTATAAGGAATATATGAAGCATAAATGAGTGTTGTGTTTAGACTTGGGTCCCATCCCCAAGATATCTCCTTATGTGAATGCAAATATTCCAAAATCAGAAAAAATCAGAAATGTGAAACACACCCGGTCCAAAGCCTTTTGGATAAGGGATATTCTACCTGTACATTGTAAGATCTGGGAGGTCATAACTTTTGTTGATTTTGCTTTTCATTATATTGTCTCTTCTGCACTAGTACCTGGAACATAGTGGGGACTCAGCAAATATTTGATGACTGACTGAGTGAAGGAATGATTCATAACTACCTTCCATTTTGAGAGTTCTGTGTCCCCAGGCTGGAGTGCAGTAGTGCAATCTCGGCTCACTGCAAGCTCCGCCTCTTGGGTTCAGGACATTCTCCTGCCTCAACCTCCTGAGTAGCTGGGACTACAGGCACCCGCCACGAGGCCAGCCTAATTTTTTTGTATTTTTAGTAGAGACGGGGTTTCACCGCATTAGACAGGATGGTCTCGATCTCCTGCCCTCGTGATCCGCCTGCCTCGGCCTCCCAAAGTGCTGGGATTACAGGTGTGAGCCACCGCGCCCGGCCTTATTCATTATCTTAACAGCATTGGGTAAAAGAATACCAATTTTATCCTTATATAAGGAATAATTCCCAGACATATAACAAGGCAATGGACCAAATTCTTTATATCTCCCAGACCTCATCAGATCATTCAGTTCCTCTTAGATTACTAAAAAGGTGAGTCTTAGGCCGGGTGCGGTGGCTCACGCCTGTAATACCAGCACTTTGGGAGGCCGAGGCAGGTGGATCACAAGGTCAGGAGATTAAGACCATCCTGGCTAACATGGTGAAACTCTATCTCTACTAAAAATACAAAAAATTAGCCTGGCGTGGTGGTGCACCCTTGTAATCCCAGCTAGTTGGGAGGCTGAGGCAGGAGAATAACTTGAACCCGGGAGGCAGAGGTTGCAGTGAGCTGATATCAGGCCACTGTACTCCAGCCTAGATGACAGAGCGAGACTCTGTCCCCCCTCCAAAAGAAAAAAGAAAAAAAGGTGAGTCTTAGTATTGGGTGAGCTCTTAGATGAAAGAGAGCTATTTAATAGTGCAGAGGAAGATGCTTATGTGACTCTGTCTTCTTTCAGGACTCTTCATGTTCTCCCTCATTGACAAAGGGCAGTGGATTTCTGGAAATCTATTTTCAGTAGACTTCAGTAACTCAATTTTACCTATCCACACTGTGTGGTATAGTATCATCATGTAAAAATCAGAAGCATCAAAAATCAGACAAACCTAGACTCACTCCTCAATTCTTTTACCAGGTAACCTTGAGTTAATTACTATAAGTTTCAGCTTCTAAGAGTAGTATTGGAATTTATCAAAGGGTTATTATGAAGATTAAAGAGATAACATGTGAAGTGACAGACACATGGTAGGTACTCTAAAAACCTTTTTATTATTATTATTATCTCTTAGAAACCACCTGCTATGCATGCTCTAAATCAGTGATGCTCACACTGTGCACCACAAATCCCTCAGGTTCTGTGAAGGAGCCTAACTGTTTAAAGATGGGGAGAGGGGGTGAAGACGATACTAAGTGGGAATGGAGTGAGGATCGGTGCTGAGGAAGAGGCCCTGTGGATGGGGCCCTCAGTCAGAGCTACTCCAATGTTACAATTTGTTTTTTTTTTTTTTTTTTTGTATTTTGAAGTGCTGAATGTAATTCTCTTTTCACAAAGGAAACAGTTTAGATTTCTTTATCTGATTATAAAAAATGCATAATCATTTAAATACTCTTTAACCACCCATAAAAGCAGACCTGTACTTAACTCATTGAATGAACTCAGTTAATTCATTCAAAGAGCCAGACTCAGTGAAGTACAAACAGCATTGTTAGCAATTTTTTTTTTTTTTTTTTTTTTTTTTTGAGACAGAGTCTTGCTCTGTCATGCAGGCTGGAGTGCAGTGGCATGATCTCGGCTCACTGCAACCTCAGCCCCCTGGGTTCAAGCAATTCTCCTGCTTCAGCCTCCTAAGTAGCTGGGCTTACAGGAACTCACCATACTTCTGGCTATTTTTTTAGTAGAGACAAGGTTTCACCATGTTGGCCAGGCTGGTCTCTAACTCCTGACATCAAGTTATCCACCCACCTTGGCCTCCCAAAGTGCTGGGATTACAGATGTGAGCCACCACATCGGCCTGTTAGCACTTCTTTAAATCTCCCTGTTTGACTTGTTTTCCCCTATCTCTGAATGAGATTTCAAGTGGGGCCTATAATTTTCTTGGACATTTGCATGAATTAATAAATGATTTCCATATTCAGAGAAGAACTTTGTAGTGCAGTCTACTAACAGCATTTCAGCATCTCATTCAATTTAAGGCTTCTCTCTTCCAGGCTCAGGCTTGGAAGTCTGCTGTGGGAGAGGGAGTGGGTTTTGTCCATTTTTCTTACATTGTTTCTGTACAGAGTTGCAGGTGAGTGTGGTGGAACAGTAGTGAGGAGGAGTTGTTGGGAAGAGAGGAAGGTAAGAGAAAAAAGTCTCACATGACTAGCATAGTTGCAATTTGACATGATTACTCTCTTGCTGTGACAGATGTTCAATCTGACTTCTTTCTCTCAAGCAACACTTTTGATGGTTGTAGAAAGACACTTGATGCTGAAACTACTTCATGATGTGGGCAATGCCTCCTCTGGTCATCAATTAGAAATATGCCCCCTGAGACTAGCCTTCACTAGCATGTGCCATTCAGACACCCTCTGTCTTAGTCCATTGAGGCTTCTATAACAAACATACTATAGACTGGGTGACTTTCACAACAAACATATATTTGTCAACAGTTCTCTAGGCTGGGAAGTGCAAAATCAAGGTGCCAGAAGATTCAGTGTCTCGTGAGGGCTGGATCATTAATTCATAGATGGTGCCCTCTCCTGGTATCCTCACATAATACAAAGAATGAGGGAGCTCTCTCAGGTCTCTTTTATAAGGATACTAATTACATTCATGAGGGCTCCACCTTCATGACCTAATCACCTCACAAAGCCTCACTTCCTAATATCATCACACTAGAGGTTAGGATTTCAATGTATGAATTTTAGGGGAATGCAATTATCATCTGCAGCACCCTCCTTTGGGCTCAGTTAATCATCTGGGTGGAACTCTTGCACAAAGCACTCTTCCAGATGACCCCAGTCTGGATCCCTTAAGTGGAATCTACGTCTTACCCACCAGAAACATGTAGGCATCCTTTCTCCACCAAACTCCAGGAGCCGTTTCCAACACAGCACAGCCTTTCCTGCAGAGACTGCCCTAGCAGGATTCTCATTTAAGATTTTTTATGAGTTCCCAATTCCCTTATACTGTGGAGGATTGAAGCATAGACACTTAATTGAAGAGTTGGGGAAAACCTGTTCTCTAAATGGGAAAGAGAGGGAATGCCTCAGTAATCTTATTTGTAGGGAAAAACAAAATTCCCACAGTATTCAAATCTTCTTTTAGGTAGCTCGGAACTATTTATAGTTACTTGACCCATCTTATTCCCAAAGTTAGGTTCTCAGCTATAACTATAGGATATAAATCTCCTGAAAATTGGCCAGGCATGGTGTCTCATGCCAGCAATACCAGCACTTTGGGAGGCTGAGGCAGGCAGATCACTGGAGGCCAGGAGTTTGAGGCCAGCTGGGCAACATGGTGAAACCCCTTCTCTACTAAAAATACAAGAATTAGCTGGGTGTTTGACAGGCACCTGTAATTCCAGCTATTTGGGAGGCTGAGGCATGAGAATCTCTTGAGCCCAAGTGGCAGAGGTTGCCGTGATCCGAGATTATGCCACTGCTCCAGCCTGGGTGACAGAGGGAGACTCTGTCTCAAAAAATAAAACTAAAAATAAATCCCCTGAAATGTCACCGCTTTGAAATTTCCACAAGCAAAATGTTGGTAAATATTTGCATAATCGAGATGATAGCAAACACTGTTTTTATTATTGACTTCTTTCCATTTTCTTGTACACTTTTGCTTGTCTTCTCTTCCCCCTTTACCTGTACAACCAGTATTGACAATCTGGTGGGTGTCCTTTCATAACTTATAATTATGAATACATAACAATAAAAAGTTTCTTATTTTTATTTTTTAAATTTTCCCTTTTTTCTATTTTTTTCTTCCTTTTTATTCTCAAATCATGCAGAAGAGGTTGTTATTGTTTGTCTTACTTAGAATGATTGGAGTCTATGTGCTTATCAGTCTTCTGTTTATATCATTTAATACTACATCTTGAAAATGTCTCCTAAGTCAACTGCCCCAGAGAAAATTTTACATTTTCCCTAGCTAAATTATTGCATGTTATGGATTAACACTAATTTATTCAAACATTCTCCTTTTGATGGACATCCACTTTGTTTTCAGTTTTCATATGAGCTAGTGTTTTCTTTTTCCATAGAATAGATTCCCAGCTGAGGCTATGCTGAGTTGAAGAGTGTGTACATTTTAAATTTTAATAGCTGTTGCCAGATTTCTTTCTAAGAAAGCTTTAAAAAATATCATTTCTATGAACAAAATGTGAGCCTATCTTTTATTCTATGACCCCTACAAGAAGTGTTATTCCTTCTTATAATTTTTATTTCTAAGTGTAAGGTGTGTGTCATTTTTTAAAGCAAGCATTTCCCGATTACCAGTGAGACTGAGCTGCTGTCAGTATGCTTATTGGCTCGCTGAATTTATTCTTTTGTGAACTACCTATTCATGCACTTTGTTCATTTTTCTATTGTTTCTTTTTGTCATTTTCATATCAATTCATAACTAGTAGCTCATTTTATTCTATAATTGTTGATCTCTCATAAGCATTGTGAATATTTCTCTCAATCATTTGCTATCAACTTTGTGTGTATTATATTTTACCATAGAAATATTTTTTGTAAACATTTATATAGTCAAATGTAGTTTTTTTATTTGTTTTAGTTGGGATTTTTGTTTTTATAGCAGGGAATTTTGTCTTTATTACACAATCCATCCGAACTGCTGGATTATACATAGATTTTTATATATGTGTATTTGTAGTATGTATAATTTATATAGTTTTTTAAATTTAAATATTTAGTGCATCTATAGTTTAGTTTTTTTGTTGGTGGGGGGGGTTGATTTTTTTTTTTTCTTTGAGACAGAGTTTCACTCTTGTTACCCAGGCTAGAGTGCAATGGCACGATCTCGGCTCACTGCAACCTCCGCCTCCCAGGTTTAAGCGATTATCCTGCCTCAGCCTCCCGAGTAGCTGGGATTACAGGCATGTGCCACCACACCTGGCTAATTTTTTTTTTTTTTTTTTTTTTTTTAGTAGAGACAGGGTTTCTCCATGTTGGTCAGGCTGGTCTTGAACTCCTAACCTCAGGTGATCCGCCGGCCTCGGCCTCCCAAAGTGCTGGGATTACAGGCGTGAGCCACTGTGCCCGGCCTATAGTTTAGTTTTTAATGTGAAATAAAATCCAGGTTTATTTTCTTTCTGAAAGATTGACAATTGTGCTGATTAATTAAAAACCATTTTTTACCACTCCAGGTGAATGAAAAAGTGATTATTTTATAAAAGTAAGTCAATGGTTCCTACCTTGGGTGAAATGACCAGTAAGTAAACAGAATTTTTTAGAAGTACTATTGCATTTGTTTATTATAACTTATAAAGAAGATTTAAATCCTTGCATTTTATCAGTAATTTCACAAATACCTGTTTATTCTGATGTTTTTTTATCTGCTCAGAGTCTACTTTAGAAATTTAAGATATTTTGGAAGCACTGATTGCTACTGAGCATGGGAACTGAGAAAGTATCTGAAGAACGTAATTTCTATCCATTTCTAAAGATTTTCATTAAATACAAGTGTGTATGTGTGTGTGGGTCTATATGTGTGTGCACATGTGTGTGATGGGGGTGGGAAGTGAGGAGTCAGTGGACCAAAAGAGAATGGAAGATTGAAGCAGAGGAAAAAACAGTTGCTCTTGGAAAGAAAATTGCCTTAATTTTCCTCCCCTATTTGCTTACATTCAACAGCTCTATGAACTTTATTTCAGTACATACAATTGACATTCCACTTTTACCTTTCCCCTTGGCATCGCTTGTTCATAAACATGTCCCTAAGCACTGTAGAAGTGGTCTGTGAAGAAAAGCACTAAATGCTACTCCTTGACAATTTCTTGTTTTAGGAGTCTAATTCCTTAGAAACAACATCAAGACAAAGCCATTCAATTTTTAATCACAGGTGATATAAATCATTATGTCAGTTAACTCTAGGGTCCATAAATCTCTAGAATGCAAATTTGTGACATAGGGGTGCAATTTACCAGTATTGGCTTTTTAAATTCAATTAGCATGATGAGATATGATAGAACTGATCTTTGCAATGATGCTTGCAACCATACCAAAAATAGAGGCTCTCAAGCTCACAGTCTGTTAGTATATTAAGTATCAGCTTCACGTTTTTCCTGTTCAGACTAATTGCTTCCTTAATCTGTGATTGCTGACACACGTGCAGTTGTGCAAGTTAATAGGAAGAAAGATGGTTCTGATACTCTTTGGTTTTATTATATTCTGTTTTTAATTGTCTTCACAACTAAAGTATCACCATTTTATTTGATGGTCTAATACATAGGAAATTCAACAACAAAACTTTATAAGATAGTTGTGGATAAACACTCAAAGTGTAACATACTCAAAGAGACCCAAGGCCAAATAGATTGATTTAAAATACAAATAATGTTGTGAGGGGTGGTAGAGATTCACCCTCATTGGAACTTGATCTGGTTTGCTTTGCTTGTTGAGATCACCTATCATTGTGAACTTTCAGAATCTGAGTTCTAAAGTTC
The DNA here is from genome assembly GCF_000001405.40 of Homo sapiens. Taxonomy (NCBI): domain Eukaryota; kingdom Metazoa; phylum Chordata; class Mammalia; order Primates; family Hominidae; genus Homo; species Homo sapiens. The sequence goes on along the minus strand of NC_000003.12, from coordinate 102,700,018 downwards.
CAATACACTTACCCTAATCTCATAGCAGGCACGCACACTGAGTCAAGTGCCCTGCAGCTGACTGATATGCTGATGCATTTTTAGAATGGAACAGGGTGAAGTTGAACCAATGCAGTGGCTAAAATAAGAAACCAATTAACTCCATTGTGAAGACAGCCACCCAAATCATTCCCCAAATAATTCAAAATGTTGGGCTGCAATACTGAAAACACATATTTGTTCTTTTTTTGGCATGCGTTTTTTATGTACATCTCAGTCTTTTCCTCCTACTCACAGAGGATCTCATCGTCCTCTTGTTCTGGAGGTTTCAGAGCTGTTATTATATCCACGCTCTCACATGATGCCTCTGTTAAGTTTGGTTCAGCATTTCCATTATAAAACCCATAAGCCTCCAGAACAAACTTATTATAACTGTCTATGAGGAAAAAAAAATTGCTTCCAGGCAAACTTTGTATATATTATATTCATTTTCAGTCCAAAGGCACTCATCTTCTTTAATATATTATAAAATAAAACTTCATACCATTGCTTTTACTTTCCTTAGTTGCTTCTGTCAGTATGATGACACGAAAAAATAAAATAGGGAAGCAAAGAACCATTCATTCCACATTTTGCCCATTTTTCTCCAAGACACTGTTCCATTTACATTTCCAGCCTGGAGTCAGAGTCTCAGGTCTGAACCACAATGACCTGAGTGTCCCTTTTACCAAAACTAGTTCTGGTCACTCTTAGACAGTCACATTTAGTCATGTCTAAGACTGACTCTTAGACAGTCACATATGGGCAATCAGGCTTCCACACAGGAGGGATTTTATTTTTCCATACTCAAGAGCAATCACGAATGAAAATACATAAAATGGAAAACACTGAGAACTTTCTAAAAATGACTTTAGAATAGATGGCTAAAAGAGATATTGTGCCAATTCAAGCTATCCCATTTTTGGATTGAATTTTTAAATTGTACAGAATATTTCTTCAAATTGTTGTACCATTTGATGTTAGAGGAAAAGAAAAGCTGACACAAGTCTGTAAAATGAGACTTTAACTACTGAATATTGATATAATTATCTTTCTTTAGTAATATAAATTTAGTAGTTAGGAAAACTATTTTTTTTTAGCACACATTGAGTCTGAGAGATATTTTTCCATTGGTTGGGTAAACATTTGTATCTCTAGTACGTCTTCATAATTAACACAGAGCAATGGAATCAACGACAAATTCCCAACTCCTCTGACTGGGTCTGAGAAGGAAATAAGTGACTTCTGTAGATACCTTTAAGAGGTGAAATGCCAGGGAAGGCTTGTTCAGAAAAGCGGTTAGTGGGGAGTCAGGGACTAGTTGGAAAAACTATAAACCATTTGATCCCTGATTCCATACCTAAATTGCTATGTTTGGCTCCCATCTTCTTCTCGTACAATCCTGAGGTCCATTCCTATTTCTATGACTCCTCACTGAACAGAGGGTCTGTAGAGGGTCCATGCAGGTGCTTCATATCCTAGAACCGCCTGTCGCTCTGCCTCTGCCATAAAGCCACTTTGACCCTGAAGCAAAATGTGCTCTTTCTGTTGATATTCTCTTCTCTGCTCTTAACCCTTTGGCTGGGCAAAGGAGTTTTCTACCTGTAGCTCCTCCTTTGAGCTCATCCAGAAGCTTGTGTGTAAGAGAAGCCAACAGATAATCCAAGCATTTTCCTGGGAGAGGCAAGTTAACTCAAACACAAGTCCTGAAACCGCCTTTGTAAAGATCATGACAATGAGAGAAATTTAACATGGCAGACTCATCTTGCTTCTAGCCTCACAGGCTGACTGTCCTCACTCATTCCTGGGCATAGGCCAGGTTAACCACGGGAGGAATTTAGATTATAGTTTAACTTGAAAGCAAGGATGATAATAGTCCCCCACTAAAATTAACCCCCTGCTTACTCAGGGACCAAAAACTGCCTTTGTAAAATTAATGAAAGGCTGCAAGAGTAGGATTATAGAAGGGGTCTGAAATATACTAAAATGTAGGTGTAGTTTTTATAAATTCTTATTGCTTAGGATTCATGTGGCTGAGGACTTCTCTAGTTGTTTCTATAGATACCATCACTATTGTAGAACCTGGGATTAGTCTTTTAAAATGTTTTTTCCGACTGACCCCATCCAGACTTGTGATTCATGACTTAACCATTCTCTGGTTCCCAGCCTAGAGGTGAATAAAGACCTTGTATTTATTTATTTATTTGTTTTTTTAGAAGGAGTCTTGCTCTGTTGCCCAGGCTGTAGTGCAGTAGCACAATCTCGGCACACTGTAACCTCTGCTTTCCAGGTTCAAGCGATTCTCCTGCCTCAGCCTCCCAAGTAGCTGGGACTACAGGCATGCACTACCACGTCTGGCTAATTTTTGTGTTTTTAGGAGAGATGGGGTTTCATCATATTGGCCAGGCTGGACTGGAACTCCTGACCTCGTGATCCACCCGCCTTGGCCTCCCAAAGTGCTGAGATTACAGGTGTGAGCCACTGTGCCCTTTTTTTTTTTTTTTTTTTTTTTTTTTTTTTTTGCGATGGAGTCTTGCTTTGTTGCCCAAGCTGGGATGCAGTGGCATGATCTCAGCTCGCTGCAACCTCTGCCTCCCAGGTTCAAGTGATTTTCCTGCCTCAGCCTCCTGAGTAGCTGGAACTACAGGCACATGCCACCATGGCCGGCTAATTTTTGGATTTTTTGTAGAGACAGGGTTTTGCCGTATTGGCCAGGCTGGTCTCAAACTCTTAACCTCAGGTAGTCCACCCACCTCGGCCTCCCAAATTGCTAGGATTACAAGCATAAGCCACCATGCCTTGCCCACAAGGACCATTTTACACACCCTTATGATTGCATCCCCAAACAATCAATAGCACCCATTCCCTAGTCCCCTCACCACCAAATTATCCTTGAAAAGCCCTAAACTCTAAGCCTTTGCAGAGATTGATTTGAGTGATAACTCTTTTCTCCCACATGGACAGCCTCACATTAGTTAACTCTTTCTTTACTGCAATACCAAGGTCTCAGTGAATTGGTTTTGTCTGTGCAGCAAGCAGGACGAACCCATTGGGTGATCACAGTCCCAAAGAAAAACACAGGCATACCCAGCATCCTACAGTAAAATAAAATAAAGAGAGCTCATATTTCATTGTAGATATAAAAGAAGCTACATAAATGTCCTTATCTTTATGGATGTTCAAATGCTATTAGATGACATTTAGATATATCAGAAACTTTCTTTGAGAACCTACTTCAAGCCCAGCAGTGTGCTGAGAGTTGAGGATAGAAGTGTTACTAGAAAAAAGTAGAAGACAACGTTTTTGCCCTGATGCATTTAACAATCTTATTTGTCAATCAACAAGAGTGTCATGATCATGTCTCAGCTTTGGAATTTACAAAGCCAGTTTGTAAAACCTTAAGTGTTATGCATTGATTAGTATACACTAATGGATAACAGCTGAAATATGAATCATCAGAGTATTTTAATTTTTTGAGAAAATTACTAATCCTAAAAATAACATATCAGATTGACACTTTCTATGGAAGATGATATGTTTTCACAGCAAGAGAATGGACTTGATGCCAGAAAGACTTATCTCTGTGGTGGGGCTTAGAAACTGATACCCCAAGTGATGGTACTTTGACACGCTGAACTGAAGAAGCTTCAAAGTCTATCTGACCACCCACCCCATCTCCCACCAACTCTTAATTGTCTGTCTCCCCCAAACCACAGGATGAAGTTGTTCTCTAAAGTTCATCTGCCTAAAGTATGGACCCCCCAAAGAGAAGAATGTAACCACACCTGAAAAGACTCTTTTAACATAATGCCTGTCTCTCAGGCTCATTCAAATTCCAAAGATAACTGTTTATAAGTTAATCTTTGTTCCCAGTTCCATTCGTTCTCCTTAGCCATTATTTATTGCCCCTCAACAAGATTCCTCTTCTCTTCTTACCATAGCCTGTTCTTCCACCATAACTTGTTTGCCAGGATCCAAGCCCCTATTCTTCCTGTAAGCTCATGAGGTTATATAAGGTTCTGAGCTCCACTGGAAGTGGTGGGTAATTGCTCGGTGGTTGTCCTCATGCACTCATGTTAATACATTTGTTTGCTTTTTCTTCAATTAATCTGCCTTTTCTGAGTCGATTTTTCCGTGAACCTTCAGAGAGAGGAGGGGAAGTTTTTCCCTTGGCCCCTACAGTTTTGACCCTAAGAGCGGGATACCAAGGCTCTACTCTTTTGGAAGCCAAAGTTAAGGGAACCCAGGACCTGACAAGCTGGCAGAAGGTTAAGAAACTCTTATCAGACAGGTTCCTAGCCTCTCTTTCTAGATGGAATCCAGTCAAGCAGATGGCAAAAATCACTGTTGACTTCTTTTTCCCCTCCAAAATTTTGATTAATGAGAGAAAAGAATTTGTGTTACTAGTCTTGGGGGTAGCAACTCTGGTGCACTTTTTGGTACTATTTGGTATGCATATTCATATTGCTGATCCCTTTACTCCTATAAATGATCTTTTCCTTCGTCATTGTCTTTCTTTGTGGTTCTATCATGAAGAAGGGTACCAGATAAAGTTCTCTCTCATCTTGTTTTATGTCTTTGAGAATTGTCACCAAGTGAGAGCATTCACTCTTGAGACTCCTCAATCCAAAGGGAGTGATTTTGGGGTCATTCAGGTGGCCAGTTTGAAAATGGCTGGTAACCCAATAATTTTTGTTGTGATTGTGTCAAGCTCTCAGGAAAGTTTCTCTTAATAAGTCCCATCCATAAGGGGCTTCTGTCATTTCAACCCCTGTTGCTTGGTTGGTGCTGGGAAAGTCCCATCCCAGAAGGGCCTATTAATTAATAGGTGTCACAAATTAATGGGTCTGAGGGTCCCTACAAATTCATGAGTAACCAAAGGCAAACACCACCTTTAACCATCTGTAACAACAAGATTCTTTTGCTATCTTAGCTTATTCCTGGAGGTGAATTTTGTGTGAGTACCTGGGCTTTGTATGAAGAGGCTATTGGATTGAGTCACTATAGTAATTGAAAATTACAATATTATAATGGAAAATTCTAATCAATGGGCAAAGATAGATCCTTTAAATTAAAAAGACCTCTAAATTTTTTTAATTGTAATTTTAGAGTACCTTATTCTAAACAATTGCCTTATTTGAATTTATGGAAAAAATCAAAATTTAAAAACAAAGACACATAATAGTGTCATGACTAGCCTTTAAAGTTCTCTTGACTAAATTAAAAGGCAAAAATTTGACCTAAAACAAATTTAAAATCTTTTCTATACTCAAACTGCCTTTCTTTAGATTCTCTGCAGGATTAACAATAAAGGCTGTAGTCTGAGGACTACAGTTCTGCAACTTATAGTCTGATAGTTAAAACTGTGCTTTCACTGTTGCAGCCAGGGTTTGACTCCCAGCCAGGAAATTGTAACTGTCCAACAGGGTCACCTTGCCCACAGCCTAGACAGAGCCGATTTATCAAGACAGGGGAGTTGCAATAGAGAAAGAGTTATTCACACAGAGCCAGGCGTGCGGGAGACCAGAGCTTTATTATTACTCAAATCAATATCCCCGAGAATTCAGGGATCTGAGTTTTTAAGGATATTTTGGTAAGTAGGGACCAGTAAGTTGGGAGTGCTGCTTGGTTAGGTTGGAGATCAGAGAGTTGAAGCTGTTCTCTTGTGCTGTTAGTTCCTAGGTGGGGGCCACAAGATCAGATGAACCAGTTTATGCATCTGAATGGTGCCAGTTGATCCATCAAGTGTAGGATCTGCAAAATATCTCAAGCACTGATCTTAGGTTTTACAATAATGATGTTATCCCCAGGAACAATTTGGGGAGAATCAGAATCTTGTAGCCTCCAGCTGCATGACTCCTAAACTATAATTTCTAATATTGTGACTAATTTGTCACAATATTTCCAGCTTTTGATTTTTTTAACCAAAAGTACTCTCCCACCTCATAAGATTCAGAATACCATAACATCTCCTGAAATGAAACATGTCTCTTTAATGGGACCGGCCTATTCCTTGAAATGAAAGATGCTTTAAGGGGATACATTGCACTCAACTGTTAACTCAACTTTTCTCTTCACAGCTACCAACTCAGTTTAGTGTGTGAAACTTCTAGAAAAGTTCAGACAGAGGAATGTTAGGGATCACAAATGGGTAACCCAAAATGTGAAACTTTGACATGCAGAACTGAAGAAGCCTCTAAGGTCTCACTAACCTCCCTCTCTCCCACCATCACTCAATCCTCTGTCTTCCCTAAACTACAGGATAAAGTCATTCTCTTAAGCCCTTTATCTGCCTAAAGTCTGGACCCACCAAAGACAAAAATGTAATCTGAACAGACCCTTTTATAAAATAATGTCTGTCTTTCAGGGTCATTCAAATTCCAAAGGGAACTATTTACAAGTTAATCTCTGTTCCCAGTTCCATTTATTCTCCCTAGAAATCATTTAACAGAATTCTCAACAGAATTCTTCTTCTCCTCCCTCCAGTAGCCCATTCTGTCACCATAACCTGTTTTGCCAGGATCCAAGCCTTTATTCTTTCTGTAAACTTAAAATTGTACATAAGGTTCTGAACTCCACTGAGGGGATAGGAAATCACTCTATGATTCTTTCTATGTACACATTAATAAACATGTATGAATTTTTTTAATGAATTTGCCTTTTGTGATTTGATTCTTTAGCAAATCTTCAGAGGGCAAAGATGGAATTTTCCTCTTGACGCCCACTTCTGATAATTTACTACTCATGTGAACCTGGCAGGCAATTTTGACCTTTTTGCATTTAACCTTTCTAATCTATATAAAAGGGGAAATAACTCCTTCTTCAGATAGATGCTATATGAACAATTAAATGAACTAATACACAAAATGCCCAGTATGATAGTAGGCACTCCCTCTACCTACTTTTGAGAAGAGAACAAAAAGTTTCTCCACTCAGTTTTTATTTGCATTTTGGTGATGAGACTGATAGAGGCAGGAGGCAAACAAATGCCTAGGAAGATAAGGAAGGGTTCCTGGAGAATCTCCAACCCCCCCCAACAAGTGTTTACACCAGATATTTTTGTGCAGATTTGGGAGCCTGCACAGGGTCTTGCCTGGACATGCCCTCAATGAACTGGAGGCCCACATCCACTGGCGAAATGGTGTGAAGCCACCAGGAATTCATGCCTTTTGCAGGGGAGGAGCCTGGCATCTTTAGCTCATGTGTCATGGCCTAGTATTTATCTGTGATGGGGAAGCCTGCTTGGAGAATCCCTCTCTTTGCTGAGAGCTTTCCTTTCGTCTAATAAATTCTGTCCTCCTCACCCTTCAATGTGACTATGTGCCTAAATTTTCCTGGTCATGGGACAAGAACCCAGATTTAGCTGAACTCAAGACTAGAAAACCAATATGATTTTGTCATATTTTTGTTTGCTGAAAGGGAAACACATTCTTAAATTCACTTCTAAAACACCAACGTGTTGTATTTTCAGTCTTATGCTGAAAAAAAAAAAAACGCTGACTAAATATGAGTCCCTAATATCTGAATAGAAAATTACAAAATTCTTTTAAAAGTCAGAAGTCATTAAGAATCCCATACTCCACTAGGAAACTTACCTGTGACACTCTCATTCAGTTTCATTTTGCTCAATCCTGGTAAGAAATGCTCTGTGACCTTAACTTGAAAGTTGCTGATTTTATTATATTAAGTTCCCTGAAAACACAGGTCATGATCCTTCTTTTCCTCTCACAACCACAGAATCACATCAGACCCAAACTCTAATACGTTACCTTCAGATTTCAATCCAAAACAAACCAGAAATGGTAAGAGCTGGCTGATTGCACCTGTGAAATGACCAACCTGCACTCCAATTTAGCTCTCAGACCCTTCTCTTCAGCTTCACCAGTCGTTTGGCCTTTAATGGGTCTCTTTTGCTGTTTATCACTGTCTATCCCCATCAATTTTCATTGCTCTCTACAGCTTCTTTATCACTTTTTGTTGTCAAGAACATAACTACTTTTGGATCAGATGTTTGCCATAAATTCCTGAAATAGACATCTAGCCCATAAAGAATAGAAATGAATAGGCTAGTTTTAAATGTCACCGGTAGACAGTTCATCTCAGTAGGCGTGATTGTTAATACTTTCACATATCTAGTTCAAAATTGAAATTTTTCCAGTGCCCCAGGCATAATTATTTTCCTCCAAATGACTTGGAAGCCAGTATTACAGCATCCACCTACACATTGTATTTCACCAAAACACTGATATAAAGCAGAATCACAAAAATCTAATTATGTATGCTCCTTAGTGTTGGCAGCCTTGGTTTCTTAAAAAAGATTGTCTTATTGAGATGGAATAAAATTTGATAGCATTGGCAATTACTGACTTCTACTTTAGATTAATGTCCACATGTGAAAAAAATGTGGGGTTTTGCGATTCCAAATGTTTAAAAAAATGGCAATGACACTGGAAGTTTATATGGCATATTTCAGCTGACAGCACAATTTAGGATTGAGTTACACACTCTTAGAATGTAAACTTCCAAAAGAAATGCTGACAGGCCCTTTACTTATAGTGTATTTGCCTTTAGAATAATAGCAATATATTATATTTAAATAGACCCTTTTATAAAGCACTTTAAAAACTGTCAACCTGTATCTCTACTTCCTATACACACATCTCTCATGAAAGTCAATAGTAAAGCTATATATCTATTATTTATTTAGTTAGTTATTATGTATTTATTATATTTATGAGATTTGCCCATCATTTATTAGCCTCTGGGCACCTTTGCAAGTATCAGAGCTAAAAAAATAAGAAGACAGCCTATGTCATTATGATTTGCAAGTTATTCTAGACATCACGAAAGCAAGACATATTGCTTCCAGCTTTCTTGTCTTAGTAGATCAACACCCCTTCAAAAGCATACATTCATCAGAAGAAGAACACTTAGACTGATGCAGCTCAGAATTATTCCATAGGTTCAAGAACCAAGGAAGAAGCAATAAAATAGAATCAAAGGTGTTTGGTAGGTTATTGTTGTTGTTGCCTTATATTTATGTGTTATAAAGCATTGTTACATAGTGGAGGTTGGTAGATATGAGATACTATAAAGATACATTTGCATAAATAATTTATTTAATTTTGTCAAATTTACATTGCATCACTATTATGTGCTTAGCACTGTGCACAGGAATAAAACTTCAATCTTTATAAACTAAATATTGAGCTAACCTCTTTAGCAGACCTAGATAGGTAGAAAGAGTCCTCCAGCTCCAAGACTTTTGATAATCAAGTTAGAATCAAAGAGTATCATCAGAGAACATTGTGTTCTCCATATTAAATACTTTGATCCCAACAGAATACATGGATAGATTACATGGTTTAAAAATGATTTAAAAAAAAAAAAAGAACCCCAGACATTGCCTTTCACCTATAGCTCTCAGCATCTCTTTGCATATCCAGAAGAGATTCTGAGTTCTTACTCCAGTGTCTTCTTGGTTCTCTCATTGAGAAAATTCTAGGTTCTGGGTGCAGGGAGAATGGAATGGCAGTATTTTAGTCAATTTGGTCTGTAGAGTCTGTATATATATATATATATATATATATATATATATATATATATATATACATTTTCTCTATCATCTAGATAGCTAGATAGCTGTCTACCTATAGGTCTGTATAGATATATATAGAGAGATAGATATAGCTAATTGTATATATACGGAGAGAGACTTCCACGCCCTGGACCTTCACATCAATATAGTGAGTGACCTTGAGTTAGTAATAAATCTAGTGAGTTAGTATCCTAATGTCTTTAGCACAGCAGTAGCCTCCTTCCAACTGATTACTATGCTTGGAATTATTTTGAGATGTTGAAAGGAAAAATGTTCTATAAATACAAAATACATGCATAGTATAAAAATCCACCCTGTGTGTTTCTCTCTCTTTGCTGATAGAGCTCGTTCACCAGGACCTACTTTAGCACCTATTGGGGTTCAGAAAATGATTCCCCCAAATAACCGTCAGAGTGCAAAGGAAAAGTTTTCCCTTCACCCTATACACCTTTGCTTTTCCATTGATATTCTGGAACTCTGTTGAGAAAAGCATGTTAATTGCCTAGTGCTTAAACCAACTGGTATATCCCAAACTAACCCTGGTAAAAGTTCCTGCACTTCTGACCACTAGCCAATTTCAAATGTAGCTCCTCAGGGGCAGAGAACCAAAGCATTAATTTACTCTACTCTTGAAAGTTCATATCAATTCCCTTGTTCAATTTCTTCAGCTTCAGTACAAAGGAACTCCTCCAGTATAAATTTATGAAATGCATGTGCAACTAAACCTAGCTCAGAACATTTATGAAATACATTTATATATTTGATTTTTAGATGGTGTAAAGACAGATAAGTGGGGGTAGTTACATAATATAAAATGAAATAAACTTTAGGAAACTAAAGATTTATCTTTTCTTGGATTTTTTCCACAAGTTCACATTGTGGGGAGATCAGGCACAAGTGTAAAGGCATATTCAACTTTTAATATCTAAAGATGCAGGCTCACGCCTGTAATCCCAGCACTTTGGGAGGCCGAGGTAGGTGGATCATGAGGTCAGGAGATCGAGACCATCCTGGCTAACACAGTGAAACTGCATCTCCACTAAAAATACAAAAAAATTGGCTGGGCATGGTGGTGCGTGCCTGTAGTTCCAGCTACTCGGGAGGCTGAGGCAGGAGAATGGTGTGAACCCAGGAGGCGGAGGTTGCAGTGAGCCGAGATTGCATCACTGCACTCCAGCCTGGCAACAAAGCAAGACTCTGTCTCAAATAATAATAATAATAATAAGTAAATAAATAAAAGATGTGTGCACATATGAGAGGTATTTCTAGAACTTTCTAGTGATTTGTTAAAAATGATACCTCGAGGGCCATACAATAGTTTGTATTTATCTCTGAAATTCTATTCTAATTCAGAATAATTTATAAATAGCAACATTAAACATTTTTAGAGCACTGAAAATGTACAAATACAAAAATATAGCTCTAACCACTCCCTCACCATCATCCCTACCTTGAATTAAAATTGGCTTCTGATTAACTCAGAAAATTTCAGTTCATGATCAGATCCCTTCAATTCTCAGAAAAGGTAATTCACCTTTCTTTCTTCTCACATAGCATGTACCTTCAACCCTCTGATTTTTGAAGTCTGCAAGCATAGTACAGTGTAGTGATGTTAGAGATTTACATATCTTCTTCTTTCCTCCCTTTTTAAAACATTCTTTCGCTTTATCAGTGTCAGTCATTCAGGCACCCCTTTGGCAAGGGACTTGAAGGAAGGTGACAGCACCAGAGTAGAAGATGTTATATCAAAAAAAGACTGATGTTTTATGAATACTTCCTGTGATTGCAGATGTTCATTTAAAAATAGAAGCACAATAATTATTGGAGGGCTGTTTAAGTTACTTGAATTTTATTAAGGGAAAAATGATAAATAAAGCCTAAAAGCCAAGTGGGGAGGAAGAATGTAAAGGCTGGTAAAGGCAGGCCAGGTTGTTGTGGGATTTTATCCCTTAGGGGGCTTCATTTTGCACCACAGGTGGCCAAGAGGAATTTCATCCCATTACCTTACAACTGCAGAAAGCTTTGCATTTCGGCCCCCTAGGGTGCTCTCGCAGGCCTCCTGCTATTCCCCCTATTATTTTTGCAAGCATTACTGCCAAAGATGCTATTATTCTGGTTTACAACAGTTGATCACTGCTGTGAATTTCAGGCTGTAGACAAAATGGATTATTGAAAAAAAAGAAAAAAGAAAAAAAAAGAAAAGAAAAGAAAGAAAAAAGAAAAGAAAAGGATAAGGGAGCCCAGCAGCCCTCACACATACTTGCTCTCGGACAAGCTTTGTCAAATGCCCCACTTTAGAAGGTCATTAAGTCTTTCCGAATTTCCATTTCTATTATTGTTTACTGCTGATTACTGGTGATTACCAGGAATCATTAGTGGTTCCTGGTATCTAAACTGAGAACCTGTTTCCCTTTCTTTCTTTAGGGAATGCTAGTTAGCATTCCTGGGAGAAGTGAGTCTCTATGGCTTGCCCTTTTGAAACTGGTTTCCAAACAAAATGCATACTCATGAATATTTATTGATCATAAAAGTTTGGCAGATTAGAGCAGAAGAAGGGTAGCATGAGGAGTACCAACTCTTAAACCTGAGGTGAGTAGAGATGGTTCTCGTTCCCTTGATTTGTGTGTAGTGCCCATTCCTCATTATGCCAAAGCATTGTTGGATCCTTTCACTGCCAGACCCCATATGACCCATCAACCCCAGCCAGAGCATGCTTATCATGTTACTTATCAGACCATGTTTAATTGGTAGTGCTCATTTACTTATCTATCTTTTCTGCAAGACTATGAGATCGGGGGAGAATATATCAATCTTGCTGATTATTTTCTTGCCGTTGCCTAACAGAGGACCTGGTACAGGTGACAATAAATTCATTTTTGCTGTACAAATGAATAATGGACCTGTTTTTGTTGACATGATTGTCTTTGGTATGTACCATTGAAATAGAACGATAACAAGAAAAATAAGTTGTCTACAATGCATAAGAAAACAAAGGTTCAAGGCGTAGATCTAACTTAGTACCCATGAATCTGAAATTTTACCTGGGGAATTAAAATTCTTTTTCCTTTATTCTATGGTAAATATGATTGAAAAGCTAACAGACAGAGTTTGAAGAAGATTTTCTTAGTCATCATGTTCAGTTAGAGCAAGCATCTGCTGAAACCAAGGCGAATAAATTATAGGCATAGCTAATAAGGTCAGGAAGCTGCTAGTACCAAAATCCTGGGAATATACCTTAAGTCTTCAAATTACTCTTAAACAGATTAAGTAACTCCTTTAAAAAAGAATAGCAACCTATGAATAGTTATTTCAGAATAAGTATTTATTTTCCCCTCCGTGAATACAAGCTGTGATTTGTTTCTTGCCTTTCTTTATCCTCCCCTATAGGACTCATGTCTGCACTACACCTTATACAACAGTGTCTGTGAAATGGTTAAAGAGTAAAAACCCAATCTGTTGCAGCCAGAAAGGAGTACTCCACCTATTACACAGCAAGGCCAATAGATTGCTTGTTATTTTAAGTGTTATTTAAATTATCTCCCTAGGGAAGATAATTTTCAGCTGCCTCTCCATCTTCTTAAAGAAGAGCAGAATTTAACACATCTCGTCTTTGTGAAAAACAAAGACACTGAAGCAATGGTCAGAAAGAAAAGGAATAAAGACAAAGTCAAGGAAAGAGCCATACAAGGACAGTTAGCATAAGATAGTTGTTCTCAATGTAGGCTATCCAGAACAGCACTGTCAACCTCACCGCGGAACTTGAAAGAAGTGCAAATCCTTGAGACTGACTCCAAGTCTACTGAATCAGAAATTCTGGGGGTGAAGTCCATCAATCTTTGGTTGAACAAAACACAACCAATCTCACATTTATGGAAGTTTCATATATGAAGTCATAAAAGTCACTAGAAAGGTATTAACTAACAATTACAGTGTTTACAAATTTGAAAAGGACAGCTTTACTTTTCATAAAGAATTGCAGCCTGCAGACTGACCATTCCACGGCCTGGGAACTGTAGCCTCCAGCAGATACTGGAAGCAGGCACTTTGAGGGAGGGAAGGATGAGACAGAAACTTATGGCAAATAGATTGGCTAAGTATATATATATATATATATTTCACAGATTATAGGAGGAGCTATAAATATCTATGACAGGGGGATGTCTGCATGCACAGTAAGTAGATATTCATGTTGCATACATCCTATGTTTACTTTGGAATGGAGAGTTAAGACTTAAATGTATTAAAATTAGGCTCTATATGTCAAAAGGTGAAACAGAGGACACAGAGGCATCCTGTGCACAGCCTCTATAAACCAGCCAGAACCAGTTGCTGGTCTGTGGTCTCTTATCAGAAAGGAATGCTGGTCAGTTACCTTGGAAATGCAAAAAGGAGGGGAGTCTGGCAGTGTCAGGTGGTCCATTGAAATCAGTGGTGGAACAAGTCTCTCCGAAGGGCTGGTTTCTGTTCAACCGTTAGGAAAGAAAATTGACTGGCAGCTAACAAGAATCGGTGTATATAACATGGCATGACTGACCTCCCATTCCATCATGATGAGGACCTCAGTTTTTAAGACTTCTCTGGGGTCCCCGTGGCCAAGAGGGGGTTCATTTAGTCCATGGGGGTACTTAGGATTTTACTTTATTTCTCAAAAGGCAGAAGGAGGAAATAATTTGATAAGTAGAACTTTGAAATGCATTATATTTCATAATGGTGAAATAAAAATCTGTGTCACATCAGTAATAAAAATTAATGCCCGGGACCAGACACAATAGTTGAAGCCTATAATCCCAGCACTTTGGGAGGCAGTGGTTGGAGGATTTCTTGAGCCCAGGAGTTCAAGACTAGCCTGGGCAACATAGTGAGACATTATCTCTACAAAAAGTGAAAAACTTAGCCAGGCATGGTGGTTCATGCCTGTAGTCCCAGTAACTCAGAAGGCTGAGGTGGGAGGACCATTTGAGCTAGGAGGTTGAGGATGCAGTGAGCAATGATCATGCCAATGCATTCAAGCCTCTGTGACAGAGTGAGATCCTGCCTCAAAAACATAATAATAATAATAATAATTAATACCAGGTAGGTTGAGGCTTTAAAATGTAAAAAGCAAAATTTCAAAAAGAGCTTAAATAAATTTTTTTTTTACTTCAGGGTATAAGGGGAAAAATAAGTTTTTCTTAACACTTCTAAGTGCTCAGCTGGGGCCCCCTATAAGAAGAGACAGATTAACAGGAGAAAAACAAACAAATGTTTATTAACATGTATATATCATATATACATGGGAGAAAACTCAGGGAAAGATTAACTCTGCAAGAGGTGGCTTAGAATTCAGGCTTAAGTGCCATTGAGGGGAAAGAAATGTCTATTCTTTCCATCTTAGGTTCACAGCTGAGGCCCCTGTAACAAATGACATAGTAACAAGGGAAAAGCATACAAATTTATTATAACTTTTAAGTGTCCTGGGAGCCTTTGAAATGAAGATCCGAAATAACAGGTAAACCCGTATGCTTTTAGGCTTAGATTTGATGAAGATGGACAGTTGTTGAGATATATGATTGGAGAACAAGAGTATGATCTAATGGCAATCAACCAGGGAAAACTGAGTGAGGCCTACTTGTTTAGCTTTTTCTTGATGTCCGTGTCTTCAGCTCCTTCTCTGTGGATGTAGGGAGGGTACTCCTCTAATGAGCGTCTATGTATGACCTGCTTCAGGGGAGAAGGGCAAGGGGAAAGTGAGAATGGCCTTTCTGCTTCTGCTGCTTTCTCACATACCAAGTTGGCATATTTTGGGGCAGTTTATCCTCAGCCCCATCATTATCTTAATAGGGGAAGGAAACAGGGATGTAGGCCGCTTTGGAGAGGGTATGTGATTTTCAGGGAAGATGGATGGGCTCACAGAAGAATAGATGGGAGAGAAGATAGTTTGTCTGGGTGTTGTGTCAACTTGGAGTCTCTTCTCCTGTGATAACAGTCAGTCTTCCCTGGTTGATGAAACTCCTGGGGAGGGGATTTATGACAATTAAGTTCATTTGGAGTGACCAATCTTTGGGTAGATAAGGGGAGTTCAGAGAAATCCTCTCCCTGCATTTGCTGTTTTCCAAATGCCTTCAGCTCAAAATAGTCAATATATCAAAGTAGCATGATGGGGTGGCATATTTGTTTCCTTCCATGATAACAAAACTTTACAAGGAACAAAAGTTACTAGCCAGAAAAAAAAGTTGAAAATTGTATGTGTTTTAAATAAATTCTCTTAACTAAAAGACATAATTTAAAAGAAAAAAAAAACAAGACACACTTAAAGATGTTTATAACACATACAATTGACAAAGGATTAACTTCAAGAACATAAAAAGAACTACAAATCCCTTTAAATAAGAAGAACACAACTCAATAAAAACATTGGGCAAAACAGATGAAACCCTTTTGGCCAATAAATATATGAGGAAATAATCTCATTTGAAATTAAGAAAGTGTACATTAAGACTTCAATGAGATACCATTTTAACCCTGTTCAATTGGCTAAAGTTAAGAAGTTTGACAATATTTTGTGTTAAAGGAGAAAGAGACTAAGATAATCTTTTTATACAATGCTGCTATGTGATAGTTCTTTGGAAAATAAGTTGAGATTATCTTTACAAGTTAAATAGTGACAAACCATGGCTCCATAATGTCACTTCTGAGAAAATACCCAAGAATAATTCTTACATATGAGTATCATGAGATAATGACAAAAATATTCACTGTATTACTGATTATAATTACTAAAAACTGGAAACAATACAAACTCCCATCAACAGGAAGATTAATAATTATATTGCAGCAATTTAACACAATTAAATGCTGTAACATGGGATAATACGGAAAAATTTTAGTAAAAAGTTGAATAAAGTTCCAAAAAACTACAATAGAGTGAGACATTTCTTATGAAGTTCAAAAATGAGTAAAACTAACACTATATCCTTTATGAATACAAACATGTTCGAGTGGATGATGAACATTAAATGTAGGGATTTAGGGTAGTGGTGATCTATGTGAGGAAGTTGAGGGTTGGGATCGTGGATGAGGACAGGTTTTATATGAGTTATTGGTTTTGTTTTAGATAGTTGAACATTCATGATATTAGTATATTATTTAAAAATCAATAAAATAACAATATTAAAATAAGAGAATGCATATAAGAAAGATAAGGTTGCAGAATAAACTAAAGATCATGATTAATTCTAAATTTCTGTAGTCCTTAAATAAAAAAAAAAATGAAGAAGAAGAAGAAAAGAAAAAAGAAAAAAAAGAGAGAAAGGAAAGTGTAACTGCCCAACAGTTTCACCTTTCCCACTGCCTAGACAGAGCTGATTTATCAAGACAGGGGAATTGCAATAAAGAAAGGGTTATTCATGCAGAGCCAGGTATGCAGGAGGCCAGAGTTTTATTATTCCTCAAATCCATCTTCCTGAGAATTCAGGGATCTGAGTTTTTCAGGACAATTTAGTGGGTAGGGGTCAGTAAGTTGGGAGTGCTTCTTGGTTGGGTTGGAGATCAGAGAGTTGAAGCTGTTCTCTTGCACTGAGTTAGTTCCTAGGTGGGGCCACAAGATCAGATGAGACAGTTTATCCATTTGGGTGGTGCCTGTTGATCCATCAAATGCAAGGTCTGCAAAATATCTCAAGTACTAATCTTAGGTTTTACAATGGTGATGTTATCCCCAGCAACAATTTGGGGAGGGTCAGAATCTTGTAGCCTCCACCCACTTGACTCCCAAACCATAATTTCTAACTTTGTGGCTAATTTGTTAGTCCTACAAAGGCAGTCTAGTCCCCAGGCAAGGAGGGGTTTTTGTTTTGGGAAAAGGCTGTTACTGTCTTTGTTTCAAATATAAATCATAAACTAAGTTCCTCCCAAAGTCAGTTTGGCCTATGTCCAAGAATCGACAAGGACAGGTAGGAGGTTATAAGCAAAATGGAGTTGCTTAGTTCAGATCTCCTTCACTGTAACAATTTTCTCCGTTATAATTTTGCAAGGGTGGTTTCAAAGGAAAGAAGGAAGGGTAGAGAAGTTTAAATTCTTCCCCTTAAGATTGAGTAATTTGAGTCTATAAAATAAACTGATACTAGATAGGGCAAAAAAAAAAAAATGATACTAGCAGGACAAAAAAAAATACGCTAATTTTATTAATGTGCATTCAGGCACAGGAGTCATGTAAATATTAAAAACTCAAAGAAATGGCCAGATAGTTGATGCTTTTATACCATCTTCAGGGAACAGAAGGAATAGGGGTTTGGAGCATGGCATGACGGGTTACAGTGCTAAGATAGGATATAAAAGGGAGAGAAGAGGAAAAGCATGGGGCAAATGTGGTCTTGTGACGCAGATGAAACCTCACAGGTATCATCCCCCTAAAGGAATATCTGGTAGCCTATGGTAAATGTTTCTCCACCAGATTTTGCAAAGGTGTCAGATTCTCAGTTAATCTTTCTTACATCAGGATAGGGAGAGTAGCTTCTGAGAAAGCCAGGCTGTTTATTTTATTGATGCATATTTTTTTCTAAAAATGCAAGTCTACTCCACAAAAGGCAATTTTCAGGGTTATTTCTGTCTCCAGACCCTCTGATTAGCCATATCAACATATGACAAAGAAGTATATTTTGGGGTAAAATATTTTTAGGGTTTATTTTAGAAAAATGGAGAGAGAAAGGAGAAAAATACATAAAGTATCAAAATAAAAATGTAGTTTTTCCTGAATTTTCATAAACATCTTGTGTTAAGAGTATCTTAATTTCTAGACAAAAGTTGGAAATTTATATTAACACTTCACTCAATGTATTTTATCAGCTTACCTTAAATCTAGTCTATGTTAAATCTACAATAAACTACATATAAATTTCATTCATTAAAAATGTCAATTTGCCATTTTTAGGCAGATTTACCATAAAGCTACTAAAACTTCAATCTCAAGATTTATCACTTGCACAGGCTGCCAACAATGTGATCACATGATCAGATGTTGTTGTAAACTTTGCAAAACTAAGGTATTTAAACCATAGTCTGTTAAAGCATTTATTCTTTCCACTCTGAATTGCCCCTATCATATATCCCATTGAAATGGTTTGCAGCAGCTACACCCATTTGGGGATCCAGCAAAAGAGAAATCTGGTTGAGTTTATATTTAGTGTAAATTCAGAGGAATTTATTTATGTGGTTTCATAGTCATTTCCCTTCATGATAAGTTGTTGCTAGCTACCCCAGTGTGGGAATGGCTTCCAGGAACACTCTTATTACCTCTTGTATTGATTCCCTAGCACATACTGCTACATGAATGTTTTCCCCTGTGCTATGTACCAAAAATAAATGATGAGTATGAGAGAAAAAGTATTTGAAAGGTACTGTGTCAGCAGCTAGTGCGTGGAAAATTTTTTCAATCATCAGAAATGTCAAGTTATAAGCAAAAAACTCAGTTCTCATTAACCTCTAGTCAAAGTGAAAGTTCTATTATGTTATGAATATATTTAATAATGCATTATATACAAGTACAAATGGGCAAAACATTTTAATGGGAGCCACATAAAATGAATTGTATAGAATCCTTGTGTTTGAAGTCACAAACCCATAACAGCACTATAAACTACAGCACATCTGTATGTGAAATTGCATGTTAGTGTGCCCCAAATATTAATTTAACAAGTTTTTATCAATAATGATAGAGGAAATATTAAATTATCTTTTTAGTCTTGATTTTTTTAAAAGCAATATTGTAAAACCATTGTCATATAAAATGCTGTAGGGTCCAAGGGAAAAACCTCCCCTTTGTCTTTTAAACATTAGCTGAAAATCAACTGACAAAAGGCAGATTAATAGGAGAGAAAGTATACAAAATGTATTAATATGCACGTGTGCACAGGAGGCACACAAAAATGAACTCAAAGAGGAGCCGGATGGTTGATGGTTAAGTAGTCTCTTCATAGGGGATAGATGCACAAAGGCAAAAGCAGACATTATGGAAAGGTGAGGAACAGAACTGCACAGGAGCAAAGGTTGTCTTATGCAGATAAAGTGCCCCAGGTAGTCTCTTGGAGCTGCAGAAGGAGAATAGAGAAAAAGTTTGTCTGGGTGTACTGATGACTCCCAGGCTCTTCTTTTCTCCAGTGGTTGACTTTTTTTCCTAGTTATTCAGTGAGATCGCTAGAGAGGACCTTCAAGACAATTGCATTTCTGTTGGAAAGAAGTTTTTCTTCGTCAGATAAGGAAATTCCAAAG
This sequence comes from Homo sapiens, assembly GCF_000001405.40. Taxonomy (NCBI): domain Eukaryota; kingdom Metazoa; phylum Chordata; class Mammalia; order Primates; family Hominidae; genus Homo; species Homo sapiens. The sequence goes on along the minus strand of NC_000003.12, from coordinate 102,680,160 downwards.
AGAGCTCCTCCCCACATTTGGCAAGGGGAAATGTGGAGGGTGGATAAAAAGATTGAAGGAACCTTGATTCTGAGGCAGCTTATAAGACTTCTCAGCACATTGAAGTACCAGTCTAGAGTTATGCCAATATACTCATTTATAAAAATTCGATTTTTGAGGGTTCTTTTTTAGGGGGGCGGGATTTGTGATGTTTGTGGTATTTCACAGCTTCTAAAAATCTATAATTTGTTTTTTCTCATTTTAAATAAATATATACTTTTTAATCTACTTTTGTATGCATACAAACTTTTTTGTATTTATTTTAAAAAGTTTTAAAAAATTGTTTACATTTCTTTTAAAAAGAGAACCCTCCAAAATGTATAAGCTTCAAGCCTTTCCAAATTTAGGCAAATCCCTTCCTGAGCCTCTAAAATATAGGTGACATAATCCCTCTTTCCACTGATCCCAATCTAAAATCCCATGCTTTCCCTTCACCTCACCCTCTTTGACTCTCTGTTGGAGGCAGGACGAAGCCTCAGTACATGAAAAATCTTAGGGGAAAAAAATGTAATAAGGAATAGGATGGGAGTAAAGAATAAATATGCACAATTATGTCCCAAAGAACATATTAGAGACTACATTGTATAGCATTTTATCCCTGAAGGAAACCAGAGTATGTCACCCCCTTAGGGGCCAAGAGAAAACTTCCCCTTTGCTCTCAGAAGGTTTGCTAAAAAAAAATAAACAGACAAAAGGCAGATTCATAGTAAAAATGGCAAACAAATTTATCAACATGCACAGGGGAGAATCCCAAAGTGATTGACTTATATTCCAGTGTCTATATAACATATGCCCTAAGTCTTAGAGGAAAGGGAGATGGAAAAATGTGGGTCATTTTAGGGGGATGGTAAATAATTTTTAGGGGAATTCAGTGGGCTTGAAGAACATACAATGGCCTGGGACAAACCCTGTTGGGCCTGCAGGGCAGGCAATGAATTATAACAAAAGTCTGTCCAGGTGTGTTGACAAACTTCAGTCTTTCTTCTTCCTGCGATATGAGTTCAGTTTATGAAAACTCAGGGAAGGGACCAGAGGTAATGGTTTCATTTTTTGATGAGTCCAGACTTCCCGCAGATAAGGGAATTTCACTTCCCGCAGATAAGGGAATTTCACCGAACAACTTCATCCTGTGCTTTGGAAAAGAGAGGACCAAGAGACAGGAAGCGGGAGAATGTCGGAGAGAATTGAAAGGTTTCTCAGTTTCGTATGTCAAAGTTCCACATTTAGGGTATAAGGTTCTGAGCTCCAACAACCCCAAAATATGCCTCTTGGACATAAAAATTATTTTTGAACTGAAGGCAGTTAGGAAATGGCAAAGGAAAATCTCCCCCTAACCTCCCATTCTCCTCACTTTCTGCCTGAAGACCAGATAGAAATTCTTTTTTGCCAGAGACAATACTGTCTCTTATTATCCCAGAGACAGTACCAGAGGAACCTGCAAACAAATCTTACTCCACTGGTTTCTTCCACTATATTTGCTGTTTAACCATTTTGTACCCTTGGAAGCTCAAAACTGTTTTCTTTTGTCCTGTCATTTCTTTTCAAATCTATTGCTGTCTATTTAAGAAGCTACATATGTTGAGTTCTAAGCCACCATTTTGAGTTACTTTTCATCAAAGCTTCTTCTGTGTCACACGTGCTGCCCACATTAATAAACTATTTTGTATTTTTTTTTTATTAATCTGTCTTTTGCTACAGGGGTCTGTTACACCTAAGAGCTCATGGTCATTAAGGAAAAAACTGTTTTCCTCCCCTACAGACCTATAAACAATATTCTGTGCACCCAGTTTCACCTCATGATGGAACTCAGAACCCAGTGTCCCTTAGGAGTGTTGGCGCCACTGCACTCCAGCCTGGGCGACAGAGTGAGACTCTGTCTCAAAAAAAAAAAAAAAAAAAGATGATGTGTATGTATTCCACATTAGTCTTCATTAAGAGCTACATTCTGATATAAGCTATATAAAATAAAAATTTTTGAATGCTTTTCCCTAGGAACTCAACCGTTACATATAACTTCACTTTTCTATGGAGAAATAAATTCTGAGATGCAAACAACAGATTTACAAAGGACCTTTTCAGACAAAGCTTTTCCTTAATCAGAAGTTAAGTGTTGTATTGTACTTCTTAACTCTTTTGTTTGTAACTCACTTTCCTTGTCAGTAATAGAGAAATGACAATCCAACTTGTCTCCTGGGAAGAGGAGAAGTGAATGGGATAATTAAGATCTAAAACTCTAAAACCTGCTCTTATTTTTTTCTGAGTGCTCAAGGCCATGAATGTGTGAGTAAAATCTTAGGGAGCAGAAATCATATCTTTTGGGTTGCTATCATACAGTGAGAAGCCACTTTAAAAAAATATTAAAAAGTCACTGGTCACTGAAGCTTAGACTTTGAATTTTAGACCTGGCTTTTTTCCTCACGAGTTCTGAGAGGTGGAGAAAGTCCCTCAACCTCTCCAGTCCACAAGACCAGGATCAAAATAATGGAAGTTTGGACAATGTGGTCTCCAAAATCCACCTTGGTTCTTACAATCTCTTCTTTCGTGACCAGAAAACACTCATTAAAAAACAAAACAAAAAAAAAAAGATATTAAAGAAATTCTTCTTTTGCCAACCTCAAAAAGCAAATTTCTGTGACATATCAGACTGTTTAAACCCAATTGTCCTTGGGAAAAGTATTTCCATATTATAGGGAGATCACTAAAAAATCCACCTTTAAAAGTTTCAGAATTTTTGAAAAACCAAAATGCCATTTCAGATATCCACCATTACATGATTATATGATGAAAACAGGGGTAGATATTAATAACAAAGTAACTTTTTGTTGATATTATCTACTTTTTAAAAGTTAATATTAAGGAGAGGCACACAGAAAATAAATTAAAAAATTTGCAAAAGACTAGCTGTATTTTAAAAAACCAAATAAATAGAGAAACAATTATTAGAAAATTAAGCCTAATGAAAAAAAGAAAGACACTGAAATAAACTTTTGAAAAAGGCCTAAGAGAAGGTTCATATTTTTGAGGGATGACTATTTGAATTTGAAATGTAGTTATTTTCCTGCTATCTGCACAAGTGTTTCATTTTCAGTGAGGGCAAGGAAAATTAAAAATATCCAGGCAGTATGTATGTCATAAATGTAACTACTGTTTATTTTAAATTATTTCATTCCCTGTTCAGCTATTTTTTTAACAGCTGTTGCCATTGCTACATGTTTATTCCAATCAATCAACCCCTTGCTCCAACATTTGCAACAAATTCCAGAAACCAAAAATGCAATGTATCTATCAACTCATGTTGGCAGCAATCAAGAGAAAATCAAATAAAAAGCATTTTATGTTAAGAAGTAAAAGTTCCATCTACATTTACATTTATATTTAGCTGTATTGAGTTGGCAAACTCAAGTCTGGGGATGAAATAGGAGCAAAGTTTTCTGAAGAATTTGGCCTGAGAGACAATTGAAACCCCTGTGGTTTCAGAAGTGCATAAAAACTGCAGCCCCATCATGCTTTGCCTATAAAGAAAATTGCCCATCAGCATTTTAGTTGAATTTTGAAAGGAAGGCTTATGCCAGCCTCCTTGTGGGAACTTCTTGTCACCCTGTGTAGCTAAGCAATGTACAGTATTTGATGCTTGATTGTGTCTCTGGATCCCAGAAGATTTTTAATAGTCTTAGGTAATCACCTTCCAAATTTAGATAGATAGATGATAGATAGATACATAGATAGATAGATTAGATAGATAGATAGATAGACAGAGAGATAACAGACACATAGACAGATTGATAATAGATAAAAAAGAGTCTCAATAGAAGCAAATGAGAATATAGATTATCTGATAGTCCACTAAATACATAGAATGTCAAAATGATTATTATTCTTCACTCAAAACATTATACCAAATATTTTTCAACACTTGGAGAAGGGAGTAGACAAATATCTATTTATTTATGTAAATTCTGTTTTCTGTTTTGATATTATGCTTAGTATAAAATGAGGTACAGGAGTGGGGAAGATTTTGTCTTGGATGTAAGACCCTGAGTCTGTACTTCCCTTGGAAACTCGTATGTAGGCAGAGCTTGCTGTCTCCAATTACTCTCCACACTGATTCTCTTGGCTCTGTGGAGTAGCTCTCATTAACTTATAGAATATAGATATAAGAATTCTTTGTTCACAGAAGAAAGGATATGTCTTTTTCCCTAGCGATTAATGCTAAAGTAGTAAAATCCATAGTTCTAATCTGTAATTGTTATAAACTCATAAATATAATCTCCAAGAGAGTGGGGACATTGTCCATCTGCCATTCTGCCCACCATATCTACAACACATCTGGCACTGAATAATCTTCCAGTAACTGATGTTGAATAAGTGTATGGAGAAAGTGTATGATTAGGAGATAGGTTGACATTTTCTTCTACCAAGTAAAGTTTATAAATAGTTGTTTGCAAGTGGAAAACATGTGTCTATCTATGCATTCATGACATACGTGAGTGAAAAGTGAGAAATGAGATCGTGTATGAATTAATAGGAGACCTTCATTAAATGTTAGTTTCCCCATTCCAGAGGGACAGGAAAACAACATTACACTGCCCCTAATTTTAAAATCCCTAAGTTCATATATAGCTTTCATTAAGACAAATCATCAAATGTACTATAAATCATATGAAGCTTGGGGCAATATCCATTTTTCTGTTTTGCTTTTGTTTTGTTTCCCCAGCCTTTAGCACAGTGCCTAGAATATAGAAGACAAATATTTGTGAAATAAATAAAATATGTATAAATGAATGAACAAATGAATTACAAATGCATGAATGAATCATTCCAAATTATACATTAATCAATGGAAAATATTATTGAAATGTAATTTGTGTTTATTTGTCTCCTTCAAGGAAAACTATTTGCTTATGAATTACCAGTGCAGGATAAAGTAAATAATTTACAGAAAATTACAAAGTAGAATTTAACATATGAAATTCCTTTTTAAAAATGTTCCAAGGCAAGAAGAACCAGGGAGCTGACATGTTCCTAGATCCAGGAGCCACCCAGTGGATTGACGATTCTTATCATAATAAGACTTCCTTGAACCATCCCCCACCCAACCCTTTTCCAGAAAGAGTTGAAGACAAATCTACAGTGAATAGGAGGCTGAGGCCACCACAGTGAGTTCCAAGAGTATGCACCACAGTGCCCCCTCTTATTCAATCCCAATCATTGCTAAGCAACTAACTGGTTGTCAGTGGTGGCAGAGATAAAAAGCCCATTCTGCTTCGAGAAGAATCCCTTGGCAGAAGTTACTGTTCCCAAGCTCAAAAAATAAATCAGGAAATCTATATCTAACATATTAGAGAAGTATTAAACTTGATTTTTTTCTGCTAAATGAGAGAAGAAAGATGAGGGAAATACCCAACTAAAAAATATATAATAATGCAGTTTTAGGTTGACAATGAAGAACAATGAAGAGGTGCAAACAGAATCCAAACCTAGCTTATAATCTGCTTTGAAATGTTTAAATACAAGAGGTTATATTCCTGGAAAAAAAGCTAAAGTGTGAATTCTGGAACAAGGGTACCAGTCAATATCGATAGCAAGGTCTTCTGCACAACTGCAGTGGCTGGGGCGGGCAGAAGGGAAAGGGAACAGCGAGGGAAGGGTAGGACTGCCTTCGCCGTATGGATGCCATGCCCTTGGTGAGAGCAAGATTTGAATTCATTTAACCCGTTTGCTTCACAGTATTCTCCATTCCTCTACTTTTTCGGAGTAAGAATTTAAGAGATCCTCTTTTTAATAAAATAGATTTTTACAAAATGTAAAGTTCTTCTCTCACTTACCAACTTTAAAAATCTCTAAGGAGGACTTTAGAAACTGAAGATCAATTCCTGATACCTCCATGTGAATAGCTTTGTAACTCAATGTGGTTTTTCGTTTTCTTGTTTTTTTTTTTTCCTGAAAACAAAATTCATGTCTTGAAAAGGAACACCAAAATTCCAACTCCACAACCTTTGGGAAGTCCCCCATGAGCTGCTTGTTCACGGATTAGCACCTAGCTGCAGCTGAGAGAGATTCTCACATGCAGGAGAATCAGACTTGTGTCCTGGACTTAGCAAAGCATGATCACACTCTTTGTCCTTATCTACCCAGCCACAGCTTCCAGTGCAAGTGTCCTTGTGCCCTGGTGCCTGATATCCAGCTCCGGCAGCCTAGAAAATCAGTTAGGCTTTTCAGTCACAGCACCCTCTGTGACAAACGTGTGGAGCACCGCACGACTTCTTCAACCAGCTGGTTTTTCTGGCATTCGAATAAAAGTAAAAATAGAAAACAAAGAGGGAGAAGAAAAGTGACAAGCTGAAACCTGCGAAGAGAAAGAGGACAAGGTACAGAAAATTGGCTCCAGGACGCCAGGGAGGGGGCGGGGTATGATGGGCTGCTACTGCCATCTAGTGGCTGCATGACACTCGGTGAAAACTAATAAATCAGGCTCCAAGGGGCTTTGATTTATTTTTTCAGTTCCAGGCGAAAAGAAAATGTCTTCATAAATGAGCTGGGACAGTGGTGAGGAGATTTTTTTTTTTTTTTTGGCCCTAGTCAATGACTTCCACTTCGTTTGGTAAACTGGGGAAAGATAGAGGAAACCTTACCAGAGCTGCCTTAACAAGTGTGTCCCTCTGCTTTTCTATTTGAGACTTCAGCAGACACCTTCTTCAAACGACGGTTTCCCCTCACGCCTAGGTTGCCGATTAGGACAGAAATAATCATGATAAAATAAGTATTCCTCCAGTTAAATTTGAATTTCAGATAAACAACTAATAGATATTTTAGTATAAGTATGTCCCATACCATATTTAGAGCATATCTACACTAAAAAACATTTATTATGTATCTGAAATTCAAATTTGTGGCCATTTGTATTTTATATGATAACCCTACCTCATCCCCCAGTAAAGATAATATTTAGCTAAAAATTTTGATAGTAAGTTTATTTTAGGACTGACCTGAAATATGGCTGTCCATGAGAAAAATATATTGCTTGCATCATTTCTGCTCACGACTATTATTACAGATGTTGGTATGAATAAACATCTTAAAAGGGATAATTCATAATAAAGGTAATATCTTAGACATTGAATTAAGTCCATTTTAATCTTTCATACTGAATTCCCGTTTGTTCTATGACATATATATCCGAGTTGGAAGCTTGTGGGAGGCAGATAGGTTTGAAGATCTAGTCACTAAAATGTACTTCAAATTAATAACCACTTATTGATTAGAAACCTGTATAAATGTGTTAACAGGACCTGAATGTTATTGGCTCAGAGCTTACGTTTAGGGGCACAAACTATTATGAAATGTGTATAAAAAGGACTCCTGTCTCAGAAAGACTCTCTCTTCTCGCCAGGGAAACAAGAGTCTAAAAAAAGACCCAAGCGTCTTAGCAGCTTTATTTTTCACCTTTAATACACTTGACAATTTGACAGATTGAATTTTGCTTTTTAGATTTTGACTTTTAATGAGAACATTCCTTTTATTTCACTTGGCTGAAGGACAAGATTTAAACACCCACTGAACAAGGATAGCTTATTAACTGCCACAAAGGTGCTGTGGCTTGAATGATCATGTGTATTTAGGACAACCTATTCAATTGATGGATGAGGCTAAATCTTCCAGAATTTACTGCAAACATGTCTTAGATGTGGTACAATCATGGCCATTTTTCATGACTTGTGTGAGTCATTAATTATAATGGAAGAGCTCCCTAAAAGGGAAAATGATAATCTCATTTGGTGTTGAAATAGCCATAAACCCAAAGAGTACTTCTAAGTAAATGATCATGTAAGACCTGCAATAGAAACGTGAGCCATCCTTCCCTCAATCCTCACAATTCCACATAACCACACAATAGTAATACCCCTTCTTTGCTTGTTAACACTAGACAACCAACTTTCTGTGACTTAATTGTATTTTTCAAAGTAAGCTAAAATCTAACCTGCCTTGTCAAAATAAAAGAGCTGACTGATAGTAAGCAAATTGCTTTGAAATTCCTGGAGTAAACCATCCTCATTGGGATGTAACTTCTGCCAATTATTAAAGGATGCCTCGGCCCCAAACAGAGCACACCTAGATGTTACGCACCTTAGAAACTGAGAATATAATACATTATGCACTTAATGGTATTCTGATACAGATATACACTACTTAACGTAATAGGTATATTCCTAAATAGTGCATCAATTCAGATCATCTTTTTCTATTGAATTATAATATAATTTAGGAGGTGTATTGTTCTTATTTCTATTCCTCCATCAATTGCTAGTGATTGCTAGTACATAAGCTTATACTTAACTTCTTTATTGCTGATCAAGTCGCTACTAAAAATAGAGAATATAAAATACTACTGGAGAAAAATTCTTTTTGTATTAATCCTTTATGCTATAAGAATTAAATCCCTTTAAACCTCAATTTGTATATTTGGGATTTTTCTTATATACCTATATATTTCATCAGCTAAACTATTTTCAGGCTATGGAAGCTATATTAGTCTTATTTAGCCAACAGAACCATTTTATAGGTAGCGAAATCTGCAAAATGGAAAATCTATAAGACCTACCCTATTAATCTCACAGAATTTGTATAAGGGTCAAATGAGAGAGCATGGATTATAGGAAATAATACGTTGTTGGGAAACAGCTTTTTATGTCTCTCTTATGTGTGTATTCATGTTTTGTGAGCAGAGTTGATGACAGCTCTTATTCCAGACTGTCTTTTCAAAAAATGTATTTTCAAGACATTTTTTCAATAAATGATAGAAAGAGTGTCACCCTCCTGGGCAAAGGGCAGATTTGTTTGCCGACCAACATAATACAAATAAGAAAACACAGCGAGAGCTCCCTCTGGGCAAAGGTTGGTCAGGTTTGCTTGTAACCCTTTTACAGATTAGGATTTCTCAGCTGTGACACAAACACATTGCAAACACAGCATCCACCTGGGACTGTCTCCTGGTGATTCCCCATGAGATCTATGGGGAGAGGGGAACCAATGCAAACATAAATCTTATGCTGCCTGTTGTGCCATAAATAACCAAGTATCTGACTCAGGAGTCTCATTTATTCTTATGGTATTCATGAATCTATAGCAAGCTCACTCTTCAGCTTATAAGCAGGGTAAGATCTCAAACTCTCAGAGTTCCTGACATGAACTTTTAAAAATTATTTGTGGTCCTTGCAATTCTGAGATAGTACTATTACACTGTAAAACTACCTTACATGTTGATAACGTATATGACTGTGGGTGCATTTTAATCTGTGTAGATCATGGGTAAGGGAAGATAGGTGAGTCAACATCTCCTGAAGATAATTTTCCTAATACAGACAATATTGTAGCATCTTTAAGTTGAGCTAGTACCTTGCTTCCCCAGTGCTACGATTTCTTTAGCATTCATAAAACTGTTGGAGAGAGAGTACAATATGGCGGTTCAAAATGTGGACTGAAGAGTCAGGTTGTGCTGTATTCCCAGTTCTACCACTTACTAGCTATGCGATCTTGAACGCATTACTTAAACTTTTTGGGAGTTAATAAAATATACTCCATAGGGTTGTTGTTTATACCAAGCAGTCAGTAATTGTTATTGTTTTCACTCTGAGAAATCAAGTAAATCAGGTAATTCAGCTTGTCTGATTTTGATGATTCACAAAGATTTGACATGGACTGTATTTGATAAATCTGGCTTAATACCTTAATTTTACAAAATTCAATATATGTTTATGTGTGTGTGTTGTTTTATTGTTGGGGCTTTTTGTGGTTTTTTGTGGGGTTTTTTTCTCTTCAATACCTCTTTCTTAGGTTAACACTGATCTTCACCATCATTAACTGATTATTAACGTCTTCCTCAAAATATCTACATAATCAACATAGTCAAATCAACAAAGAAATTTCTTAACAATCGTTAACAACTCTCTCTTTATCCAACTTTTTATTTAACTTGTCATAAAATCTTTAAGTGTTTTACTCTCTATACTAAGGACACGTTTTTTCACATGGGGATATGTTGGTATTTAGTGTATATTGCCTCTTCTGCAAAAATCTGTGAGCTACATTCCTAAGAAACCTCAAATTAACAAAAAGCCCTTTATGAAAACAATGATTATAATGGTGGGAAATAGAGTTTTATACACTTTCGTGCTGTAATCAGAGTTTTAGACTCACAATATCAAACATTTATTCTGAAGGAATTTTAATACTAAAATTAGTTTTTATGGTTAATGTTTCTCCTTTATTGCAAACTAAGAATCATTAATTTCTTGATTAAAGCTGAAAATAAATGACTAACCAATTATCTGATTGCCTTTCAATCCACATATGTGAGAATCTTACAAATGTTAGCACCCATTGTAAAAATATGCAAAGCACAAAACTGAAGTGAGGTTTTTTTAAAAAAAATTACAAAATAACAATAAATCATAGTACAGTTTATAACCACCATCAGTAAAGAAAAAAATATGATGGCAATCCAGTAGCTATAAACTCAAAAAAGTAGCTGAGTGAATTTATGCTGCCTATATAATCTTTTTTTCCTTTCAAGGTCACTCCAATTTCCCTGTACAAGAGCCATTGAACTATACAATGATGTGCTAATTATTGTCTTTTTAAAAATGATTAAAATGAGGATAAGTCAGTGACACTCTCCATATCCACCAAAAAGCCCAATCCAGTCTGATAAGTGATAAGAACTCTTCAAGAAAAAAATTCATTGGAACATTTAGTCTATTAATCAAGGAAACAAAATATAATCTGTTTTATATAATGTTCTTCCCTTATGCTCTTTTTTTCCTCTTTACCCCTCACGCCTCACGCCTATCAATTTTCTGAAGAACCTGTATGTACCCAGTGGTGTGGATAAATCGTTATGTATCTGCCTACGCATTGTCAGAAATACAGCAGCCTAAGTAGCCATTCAAGGAATTTAGAGTAAAGTACCATGGTCAGAATTCAAGATATAGCCACTACAGGATCTGAAATGCCATCTGTTCCAACCGCACGACATCCCCATTCAGCAGGCTCACAAGGCTGGCATAGACAGGAAGAGGGACCCCTCTGTTGTCCTCTACTCTCTTCTTCAACTGAGCAATGAGCAGAAGATTTAAGTTTGGGATTTTTTCACTATTTTTCCCAAACGCATGAACAGGTTCTTCTCAAACTGCAAGAGTCGATTCAAAATCCAGACAGCTTTCACCACCCAAGGATTCAGGGAAGTGTTTATTTCTTTGTCTCAGAATCTCTTTAAACATGGTAAGGACAAAGTCATAAGAAGTGTGCATGGTATAGAATCAAAGTACCTTTGGCAGTGATATAGGTCTGTTCTGAAATACAGACTCCTGTGCCCATGGCCACTCTGGGAACTCACGTCGTGTGTTCAGGCTAAGGACATATTAATATACACTGCTTTTCTAACAGCCAACAATGCAGCTGGGAGAAAAACAAATCACTCATTACTGCAAAAAATGTTATTGCCAAATGAAGCATTTCAAGGTTTTACTCTTAAAATGTCCTTTTAAAGCAGAATCTTAGAAAGGACTGCTCAGTTCTACTCCTAGGGAGGGAGACTGAGGCATGGGGAGGTTAAGTGAGTTGCCCAAGGTCACCCAGGAAGTCAGTGAATTAACCAGAAATAGCACCCGGGACTCCTGCCTCCTTCACCACAGCTACCACCACTGGACCACGTTTCCTGATGGCAACAAAGCATCAGACCACAGCGGTTTGCCAGTAACATCAAATAGCATTTTGCCAGTGTAATTTACCTCTTTCGGAATTAAATAATAATACCATTTTACCTTAATCTATCACCTTTTGTCCCAGAGGAGCCTAAAGTGCTAAGTGCTTTAGTTATGAGTTTTAGAAGCTTACATATAAATCACTTCACACACCATTAAAATGCAGCTGTCCTTGGAGTCAATGTTGCAGCTGTTAAACATAAGTATCCCAACTGTTAAACATTTATTGAGCACCAACAATGTGCTAAATGTTAGAGAGGAGGCAGAATTTGAATTTCAGGAGTTTTGGGGGACTAAGAAATACAGGAAAACTACCTAAAATGTTGATGATGTATAAATAGACATCCGACTATTACTAAAACACACTTCTGTTGCTAGTGAATATAATCATGGGGTCTGAAAAATCGCCTTTGGTTATAGCAAGGACCCTTAGATAAATGCTTTAAAAATGTGAAACATATAGTTCAGACCACAGGCAAAGCTGTTCCAGATTCATTCCAAGGCATGTCACTAATCTTTCCTGATTCCTTATTTTCATTTCTCCTTCCTTGTGTGTTCAGGCACCTACAATGACAAATTGTAAATAGCCACGTCCAATAAGTTTATGCGTAACCTTACCTGACTTTTCCATGGAACTCCATTATATAACTAGAAGCATTTCTCCACAAGCGGAAAAAAAATGGAACCAGAAGAGAAACAAAGCACATTTGAGCATACAATAAATAATGATATGGTTAGTGTAAAGATAATAATTTTATGATAAATGGTCAAAATCGATTTATATGTTATACTTTGACAACAGTTCCCACACTATACCCTTTAAAATATGACCTGCCTTAATAAATTCCATGCACCTAGTAGATGCGCAATAGAAATTATGAATGACATTAATCAGGATTACTTTCATTTGCCTGTTTTACACTCCAGATGAAAAGTCAAAGGGAAATAAAGGACATTTGAAAGGAATAAAAAATCACAGATGGGGAAGTGAGTTTCCACTGTATCTGTCCAGTATTCTATGGCTGAGAAATACTTGAGTTGCTCATACATTGTTTTGTAACACTTTGTACCAAATGATTGCTTTCAGAAATGAACAAGTTGATCTGGTCTTGAGGGAGGAGGAGGCACAGGAACACAGTAAAGGAACCTATCTGAGGAGCTGCAGACATGAACCAACAAAGGTATCACATCATCCAAAATGCATGGCGTGGGAATAGGAACAAGTATATCTTTCTTCCCCCACAGTCCTCTCTATTCTCAAAATAAAACAAAAGCAACGAACAAACAAACAAACAAACCCTGCTTCACTTTGTTGTTTTTGTTGACTCCCAGGTTCACAATGGGGGGATTTCAGGAAGTTTTATATAAACAGCTGCCACCAAACCAAACTGGGGTCTTCTTGCCCAGTGCAGGAAAGCCAGACACTGACATCAAGATTTGCAGTTAAAGAAAACGGCATTTATTGCATGGTGCCAACCAAGCAAGGAGGACGGGCAGCTAATGCTTAAGACCCAAACTCCCAGATGGCTTATAAGCAAGGGTTTTTCAAGGTAAGGATACATTCCAGGAGAGCAGAAGTTGTAGGAAAAATCATAAATCAATACATGGAGGTTAGACATTGGTTTGGCCCAAGGGTGTGATTCTCTCCAGGCCCCTCAGGAAGAAATGCAGAATGAAGAACAGAGACCAGAGTTCAGTCCCCAGGTCTTCCTTCTCCGAGGTCTATGTGATAGCAGTTGGCATTTTCCATTTGGTGGGGATTTCTGAAAAACAACCCAAGAACATATGTTAAGATTTTAACTTTTTGTTTCCAGAGGAACCAAAACACCTTTTGACGTTGGCTTGCTTAGGAGACTATTGTTAATATCCTCTTGCTTATGTGTTTGCTCACTTACTTTTCAAGGCTAGCTAGGTGCCTAGAATTTACCTTGAAGGGACTCAAGATTTTTTTCTTTATTTCCATGCTTGTGGGGACCTAGCAGGCCCCTAAGAAGGGTCCCTGATCCATCTTACAGCTGATAAAATCTCCCTAGAGGAGGGTAATTTGAAGGGGTAAAAAGACTGGCTAAAATAAATGAAATGTTAATTGTTTTCAAATACTTATACTGTGAGTTAATATAAGGTCTACTCTGAATTTGTAAATAGATTAAAATAATTTGGAATTACTTTTCATTAAGATACACTTTTCAGATGTTAACTTTTCAACACATATGTGTAGTTAAAATACATATAATAGGTATAAGTATAATGGAGAAAACCCAGGTGAGCTGAGCAAAAGTGAAAAGCTCTCAGAAATGTAAATTGGCAAAGTGTTCAACATGGTGCAACTGTATGATACCACTACTAGGAAGGCTGAAGGGAGTCTTAGGCTGCATTCACTTATTTGTTTATTCAACATCATTCATGAAGTCTCCAGCTTGTGCCAGGCATAAAGACATAAGGGGAATCTAGTGATGCATAACACATTGTCCTTGTTTCAAGAGCTTAGCATTTTCTGGGAAAAACAGATATAAAATTAAGTAATTAATTTACCATTCAATAGGACACATACCAAAATAAAGATGCATATATACAGTGACATTTCAGAAAAGAGGAAGGGGAAGAGGAGAGGTATTGAAAAAGATGGCCTAAATTCTAAAGAGTGAATAGGATTCCTTCAGGAAAAAGAGGCTCAGAGGTGGGAGGAGTGGATTTTAGAAGCACGGTTTCCCAAAAGAAGGATGATGATTCTTCTGTTCAATTTGGTTTAGGTCAAACCCCACCTGGAAAATGAATTGTGTCCAAATGAGACCCCTTTAATGACAGGATTTGAAACAATCTCATTATGAAACAATTGCAGTCAATGGGAATCCTGAGTCTTCAAGGAAGTAAAAAGAAAAAAAAATCTCTGTTATCCTCACATATTTAAAGATTCTCATATAAAAGCTTCTCCGAAGAGAACAGCTTGTCCTGTTTAGCTTCAAAGAAGAGAATGAGGAGGAAGGTCGAGGGAAAATTACAGAAAAGCAGACTTTGACTTGACACGTGGAAGGACTTCTCACTAATGCTATTCCCAAATACAATGAGTTGTTTCCGTGATTGGAGGACTTGAAGATGTATAAGTTATCCACAGGGATGTTGCAGAGGAAATTTGACCATCATATGGGTGAATTAACTGATATCTATGATCTTTATTTCTCCTGAGAGTCCATAAAAGGTAGTGTAAAACCAGCCCAAATAGTGGTTTACAAGTGCACTGGGTATGTTATGTAAGATTTCTGCTTTCCTGATGAGGCCCCAAAGCTGAGAGCAATGAATGATACAACAAACACAGCATCCCCACAGAATTTTCTAAGAGGTAGACAAAATTGGCTCTGCAACCTTTAGCCTATGGTCCACCACTGCCCTATGTAAGGAAAGGTAAGAAATTCAAGAGAGATTAATCAGAGAGGGAAGGCAAATGGAATGAAATTAGTAGAAATAAGGAGTACTGTGGCATTTCTCTTCCCTTTGTATAATGAAAGAGAGGAGAATGTATCTTCTCCCAAATTCCAAGCTAAGTGAGAGAGGGCAGAAAACCACCTTCTGAGAAAGAAACTGACGATCCGTCACAGGGAAGAGATATCGACCTCCTTACTTAACATTTTTGAGCTTGATTAGAGGATGATGCATTAGATGCCATTATAGGACAAATGTTTTATGCAGTGAGATAATTGTTTGGAAATTTGACGTATACCTCTTGGAATCTGAGGAGCATGAAGATCAGTGTATGACTCTTGCCTGAAATCAAGGAGAAAGGAAAACCCTGTCAATGGCACAAATTTCCAAAGTTTGGGATGACAAGGACATGTGAGTTTTTCTGTAAGCCAAATAGAAACTATAGAAGGGAAATGGGCTACAGCCATTATGAAAATGAGATAGGAGAGTTCCCTTGACCCCCTTGTGGGACCTGCAGCAGGGGTGGCTCATTTGCTTGACCACCCACTCAAACCCCTTGCAGAAGAGGGAGCATGCCGGTGAGCAGGTGGAGGAGCCGGGGTGAATGCCTTTGGGAACTGACAGGAACAAACCCTGTACCAACCCGTGGCAGCATCTAGGGGTTGCCCGTGACCTCTGGAGCCCCACAGGGCATGTGTTACAAACAATGCTCTTCTAGCATTTGCCGTCTGCAGATGGCTAAGTGTTAAACCAGCTCAGTGGAGGGTCACGATGACAGCCTTTTACACCCTGCCCTATTGGTACCTGGGTTCTTGTCTGGCATCCAGGAAGAATCAGGTCACATAGACTTGAAGGATGGTAAATTTGGAGATTTTATTGAGCAGTGGAAGTAGCTTTCAGTGGGATGGAGAGCTGGAAAGGGGATAGAATGGAAAGATAATCTTCCCCTGGAGTTTGGCCATCCCCAGCCAAACTCCTCTCCATAGTCTCTGATGTCCAGCTGCCTCTTCTTCTCTTGACATTCAGACACTTCTCTCTTTCTCTGCCAAGCCACTCTGTTCCTCTGCCAGTGGAGTTTGGGGTTTTTATGGACACAGGATAGGGGGTGTCATGGGCCAAAAGGTAACATTCAGGTGGGAAAATGGGGATGTGAAATTCTCATTTAGGGCCATGGGTCCAGGCTCTAGGGTAGAACCCTTGCCAGAGACCCTGCCCTTTTCTACCTAGTATTTCCCTGCCTCCTCTCCATAGCAAAAATGTTTTGCCTTTAAGGGCTTCTTCCTGGCATGAGAAGACCCCAGAATAAGACTCTGAGCAGGAGTTGGGGAAGAACTCTGAGTTCCAGGATAGAGGTCTTCAACATAGGTGCAAGAGACTGAGAGTAGGGAGTGTTTCTTAAAGACACACAAGTTTTCCATGAGAGAGCACTGTATAGCAGAGACCACTAAAAGAGCACTGAAGAATAATAAATAGCCAAGAAAGTAATATTTTGCCTTTCCCCTGATTTCCCTATTCTTCTTAGCCAGAAGAGCCTGAAGCAATACTGCAAGTGGGTGCTTTGGTACTGCTTTGAAGCATCTTTCCAGACTCTGCAGTAGCCAAGGCCTGTGACTCCAGTCCCTGAGAAAGTACCATCAGGAGCAATACGTAAGCTTTTCAGGGACAAAGAACCTTGTCCTCTTAATCTGGATTCACAATTCACAATTATACCCCTAGCCTGCCCAACGCCTTTTTCTCAGTCTCTGAGAAGTATTGACTCTCTTTTACCTAAGAGCAGGAGTCTGAAAACTACAGCCTATGGGCCAAATCTCTTCTGTTGTGTCCCACAAGGTAACAGTCGCAGTTACATTTTTAATTGGTTAAAAAAATCAATCAAAAGAACAACACTATTTTATAAGATGAGAAAGATATTTAAAATTCAAATATAAATGCCGATGAATAAAATTTTATTGGGACATAGCGATGCTCATTCACTTATGTATTATCTATGACTGGTTTCACATGGCAGAGTTGAGCAGCTGTGAAAGAGCCTATTCTTAGGCAAAGCCTGCAATATTTGTTATCTGAACTTTTACAAAAAATGTTCTCAATCCCTGCCCAGGAAGATTGCCTGAGTCTGTCATCTTACCCCAGCAGCATCCATCCCTTTGTAAATAAGACTTTTGGTAGAAATGGAAACAATTAAAAATATTTATATGCTTTAAAATAATACATTTAATAAAAGGTATCTAAATCCTTGCATATATGACTGTAATACTCCAGTGTGATATTAATTGCTGGTTGTTTAATTCCCTCATTTTAAATGACAGCACAGAGTTTAATCATGGGCATATTCTCAAAAAGCATTCAGAAATAAAGTCCTTATGGGTGTTGCCCCTGACTATACCACAACTCTGAAAGCCACATGGTGGATTTATTTAACCTCCAATTTTTGGGAACACTTAGTAGCATACGTGGGCTAATATTTGTTATGGCTCAATTTACTTTCTCTCTTTTATCCTGGGGAAAGGAATACTTTGCTCCCACACTGTGAGGTTTCTGAGAAAGGGTGAAAAAACTATAATCATTCACTTCTCTTGGGCAAGGTGGGAGTGAAAGAATAACCAATAAACAAATATATCAAGTGCTCATCTGTGCAGAATGCTGCATGCTTAATTTAGTTAAATATACACATACATAAAAGGCACAGCCATTATTCCATCGGAGCCTGAGCCTGAAATCAGAATATGAAGGTCAAACTGGGGTGTATTTCTGATTACAGAATGAAATCCTCAGACCAGCTGCTCTGTGTGTCCCACTGGGCTCAGTCTTTCTCTCTAGTCCATCTTTGCTTCCATGTGCTACTGGTTCTGGAGTGCTATAGGGGCCCTCAGAGCATCATTCTTGCCTCCAAACCTTTGTTCGCTCTGAACCATCACCTGAGGTCCATTATCTGCTACATTCCTCTTAAACAAATTTTATCCCACACTCAAATGCTCAGAACAATTCCTACTTCTTTAAAAATATCTCTGCTTGGAGTATTCCGTAGACTCCTCCTTGAATTTCATATTAGCATTTCAACCGTTGAGTTTAGTCTTCTTGTATATCAAGTTTGCATTTTCCTTGAATATTTTATTTGTACTAGTCATAAATTTTCAATTAAATGGGAGCTCTTCATGTTAAAGGCTGCATCTTTATTTCTAGTTAAAAAGTCATACACACACAAACACATAGTTAATTTTCATTATTCACAGATTTCATATTTGTGAATTTGCCTGTTTACTAAAATTTATTTGTAACCCCCAAAACAATACTCATGATACCTTCACTGTCATTCGTGATCATGCTCGAAATAGTGAAAAATTTGAGTCACCTGATACACACATTCTCTGTTTTCTTGTTTCAGCTCTGTAAACAAGTTCTTGTTTCATACTGTAAACAACTGTATTTTTTGTGGTCTATTCAATGGCATGGTTTTGGCTTTTTAGTGCCTTTTGTTAATGATTTCACTGTTTAAAATGCCGCTAAGAATCAGGCTGAAGAGCTGTGTAGCATTCCTAAATACAAGAAGACTGTGATGTGCCTTATGCAGAAAATATGTGTTAGATAAGTTTGTTCTAGCATAAATTAGTGGCTGTTGGTTGTGAGTTCAATGTTAATGAATCAACAGTGTATATTAAGTAAGAAATTTTTAAACATAAGTCAACCTAAATCAATGTTATTGATTGGTCAAGAAAAATGTGTGACTAGAGGCTCACAGGAACCTAACCCTGTATTTGCCCTAGGAGCAAGTGTTCAGTATTCACCAATTCAGTGTTTGCAGTGATATTATAGAATATAGCTGCTGTGAATAATGAGAATCAACAATATATACATTCCCACCCTCCACTTCAAGAAAAGTGGAGCTGGTGGTGGCTTCTTGGGCATTTGTCTGTACACCTTATGGACTCATGTACTTACAACGCATAAGTCTTCAGTTGCTCATTCCCCCATTCTAGGAGTCCTGTCCATCTCTGAAAACATGCTGCTGATGTTGGATTAATAGTTAGACAAACAACTAAGAAGATCAGAAGTAACATGCTACTTTGGGTGTTGCAAAATGACTGGACGCTACCTGTCATCAAACCATAGTTTACTCTCCACTTCAACATAAATCAATAGCCTGCTTTTACCTCAATGATCAGTTGCTGCAGGGGAAAAAAGTAAGCTTCAATTTAGACGCTGTCAAATATATGGCCAACTTGCCACCTCTCTCTTCTCCTTGTTCCTGGAACATGTTGCTAATTGCTATGGTGTTCCTGCCACACTCTGATGTGATTATGGAATCAGCCTCAGCACAATGCTATAGGCAGCCACTAATAAGGGATTGGAGTGGGGAGGCTGATTGAAATTGTTCCCCAAGACAGTAAGCATAATATGTTCTCATCTGCTTTGATAGACTCTAAATTGTATACACAGTGTGGATTTTGTGATACTCAATAAAAAGCTTCTAGGAAAGAGTCCTGAATGGGTTGTATATTACCAAGACATCACATGTAATACAAGATAGTGGCATAAACATGTATTGGCTCCTACTGTGGTTAGGCAGTCTTCACAGTGTATACAGGGAATGTGCTCGCAATAACCCGTACCACCAGTCAACGTTTTCAAGAATGAAAGTTCATCCTGCTGCTTTTCATTGCAAAGAATAGTGAAGTTAGATCACTGTAATTACTATGCCCTATTTGTCCTCTCTCATTTCTCTCCCCTAAACCTGGTTCCTATCATTGCTGTGTGGGATCTCCATTTATAAGGAAGCTCAAAATGCAAACATTGATGCATTTCTTTTATTATATTATAACATCTAATTTAGAATTTACTTAAAATTGTTATAAAATCTGTTGGACAATGCCAGAAGATATAGCGATACTCTGAATAAATGAATAAATGAGTGAAGGATGCCTTTAAATAAATATGTAGATCAGATTTTTATGAGATATGTTTATTTTGACAGTCCTTTAAATGAATTGAATTTAAAGACTGTTCGGGAAGAAGTTTTTCTTTTATCCACTGTTGCCTTTAACAAATTATGTTGAGTCTTCCTTTTCCATCTGTTGAGGCTATCTTGAGCAGATGACATAAGTTTCCTGGTATTAGGATACTATCTGTATCAGATTTAAGTAGTCCAGTTCAATCTAAAATATAAATAAAATGAAATTCTGTCCTCTATACAGTTTAAAGTTCTGCCTCTCTCATATTGAGCCTGGACCAAGACATCTCAGACAAGTAATAGGAAAAGGGGATGGGCCTGCAGTGGTTGTTCTTGCCTGTAATTCCAGCAGTTTGGAAGGCCAAAGCAGGAAGATCACTTGAGCCCAGGAGTCCACGATGATCCTGGGCAACATAATGGGACTCTGTCTCTATAAAATATTTAAAACATTAGACAAGCATGGTGGCATACACCTGTAGTCCCATCTACTGGAGAGGCTGAAGTGAGAGGATTGCTTCAGTCTGGGAGGTTGAGGCTGCAGTGAGACGTGATCATGCCGCTGCACTCCAGCTCTGGTGCCACTGCACTCCAGCCTTGGTGACAGAGCAATCTCTGTCTCAAAAAAAAAAAAAAAAGAAAAGAAAAAGAAAAAAAAGGAAAGGAAAGGGGGATAGCCTCAGTTCTTT
The DNA here is from genome assembly GCF_000001405.40 of Homo sapiens. Lineage (NCBI taxonomy): Eukaryota > Metazoa > Chordata > Mammalia > Primates > Hominidae > Homo > Homo sapiens. The sequence continues at coordinate 102,659,311 of NC_000003.12, read as the reverse complement.
CAGTATTCCTTACTTCAATTCCTTATCCACTGGCTCTTTTGCTTCATGCTCTTCTGGGTACAAGGAGAAGTAAAACTAGAGGAAAAGGCAAAACATTACTTGCCTAGCTATTTATTATTCTTCATTGCTTGTTTAATGGTCTCTGTTACGCAGTGCTCTCTCAGGAAAGGCTTCTGTGGATTCTCAAGAAATACTTCTGTACTAGTCCATTTTCATGTTGCTGATAAAGACATACCCAAGACTGGGCAATTTACAAAAGAAACAGGTTTATTGGACTTATGGTTCCACATGGCTGGGGAGGCCTCACAATCATGGCAGAAGGCAAGGAGGAGCAAGTCACATCTTACGTGGATGGCAGCAGGCAAAGAGAAAACCTGTGCAGAGAAACCCCGTTTTTAAAACCATCAGATCTCGTGAGACCCATTCCCTATCACGAGTACAGCATGGGAAAGACCCACCTCCATGATTCAATTATCTCTCACTGGGTCCCTTCCACAACACGTGGGAATTATTGGAGCTACCAGATGAGATACGGGTGGAGACACAGAGTTAAACCATGTCAATTTCCCCCTTTAGTCTCTTGCATCCATGGCTGAACACCTCTATCCTAGAAATTAGAGTTCTCCCTCAACTTCTGCCCAGAGATTTACTCTGGGGTCCTCACATCCTAGGAAGAAGCCTTTGAAGGCAGGATCTTTTTATATAGAATCTAATTCTCTTCTGCAGTCTCTATTATTTTTACAGGGAAGCTCATGTGTTTTTGTCCTACCAAACTCCGGAAATGTGTGTCATTCACACAGCTTTCCACTCTCCTTGATTTTAGACAACAGTTATACATTGGTTTTCATGCTCCCCAATTTCCAAAAGAATTCCCCAAAAGGCACTGATATGGTTTGGCTCTGTGTCCCCACTCAAATCTCATCTTGAACTGTTAATTCCCATAATCCCCATGAGTCCAGGGAGGAACCAGAAGGGAGGTGATTGGATCATGGGAGCAGTTTCCTCTATGCTATTCTCATGATAGTGAATGAGTTCTCATGAGATCTGTTGGTTTCTTGAGGAGCTCTTCCCACTTCACTCTTTTCTTTTCTCTCTCCTGCCACCTTGTGAGAGGTGCCTGCTTCCCCTTCTGCCATGATTGTAAGTTTCATTAGGCCTCCCCAGCCATGCCAAACTGTGAGTTAATTAAACCTCCTCTGTTTATAAATTACCCAGTCTTGGGTAGTATCTTTATAGCAGTGTGAAAATGGTCTAATACAGTGTAAAAATGGTCTAATACAGGCACAATCTCTAGGGACTGGAGTCACAGGCTTTGGCTATTTTAGTAGCCAGAAAAGTTCCAAAATAGTACCAAAATTATCGTTCCATCAAAAACTGGAAAGCTAATGCTGCCTTTTAAACCAGTACCCCTCAGGCTTACATTCTTAATTCTGGCCTATAAATTCATAATTTAGTTAAATTATTCTCATTGGCCCTTGACAGACTCAGTCACTGTAAAACTTTCTTCTGAAAAGGGCAATAATTTTGGATAAAGGGCAGTGGGAGGAGACTGTAGAAGTTGGAGCATGGTGTCTGGACCCCTGGTCATCAGATCATCCCTAGAATAATAATCTAAGGAGAAGGCAGAGATTTTTATTACAAGAATTCTAGCAATAAAGACAGGCAAAGCTGAAAAAAAGTGACTTTTGCATATGGTAAACAATATGGTTTTGTTTTGCAAAGATAAACTCTGTAAACCAATCTATTTTACCCATTGTGTTATATGAAGTCTTTTTCTTCAAGAGATGTGATGGACTTAGAGTATTAGATTTATACCACACAAGACCTTTAATACTGACCAACATTTATGACAGGTTTATAGATGACTGAAATGAGGCTCAAACGTGCTGTGTGACTTGTTCAAGCTAGCAAGTGACAAAAGCAAGAGTCAAACCCTGTCTACCTGGCCACCTTACATTATGCTGACTCCTTGCTGACTTATAACCCAAAGACATTAGTAAGTTACACCACTCTCTGAGAGTATGAGGACATAAAGTTTCCAGGATCCAACTGAGAACCAAAGTAAATTTCAAAAAACCTCCAAATAGTTCCAATAAATGCAAATGTCAAGGAATTCAGTACCTTGCACTTTCCTAATGGAAAATTTCACCAGTCATGAATCAGAGATGCTCCCCACTTTGATTAGACATCATTTTAATCAATTTGGCTATCTGGTTTTCTAATTCCAAGCAACATATTATAAAAGAAGTCAGGGAGATCCTGGAGAATAGCTGATTTGATAGCTTAACAACTGGAAAGGAAGCAGAAAATAATTATGACATAAGGATGCAAACTATATAGCTGTCTGGGACCATTTAGTGCAGTGACTATACTCTGTTTTATATTGTGGTATAGTAGTTAATTTTGAAAATTAAAATGAGTCATCAAGAAATGCTTAAGTGTTGCTTATCATACTCTGCTTTTTAGAAGCAAGAAAGTTTGTGAAACGCTTTTGAATTTTTTAAATCAAAACTAGTTTAAAATGTTAAAGAAAGTTTGCAATCTTAAAAATGATATATGTCAATTATGGGTAAGTCTTATTCTACCACCTAGCAACACCAGGCACTTTTTCATATGTGTGAGTTCAGGCCAGGTGACCTTGGTAACTATCTCAATAAGTGCTCAAAGTAACTATAAGGCTGCCTATAAGGGCACTGTATATGCATGGAAAGCCCTAGAACTGAGCCAAAAACTCCTTACCAAAGGATTAATGCTTGGAGGCACTATAACAAAAGAAAAATGTGAAATCGGAAGCCAGGAAACAGAGTACAAAGTCAGCAATCATTGCTTAAAGTTGAGAAGTTGAGGCAGGAGAAATGTGAACTAGACAATGGGAAAAATCAAGATAAGTCCCAAAGATACAAAAGGATATTAAAAAGAGAATTTTGCATATTAGAGTGTTTCACTGTTATATGAAAGCCAGAATGGTGCTTTTCCCTAGTAGTAGACTCCACTGGTCTTCATGTCTGCTCAAACCCCATATATAATGAGCAACTCTGGAAGCATCTCCAATCTACTCCAGTGCCTTTGTTTTGCAGACTCCTGGGTTTAACTCTTTCCTTTTACTTTCTTATTTTGTGTGGGGGTGCTGGACAAGATGGCCCCAAACAATTTGGCTCAGACTATACAGTTTATCTTTTGATAATGTGTATTCTAATATGGCTTTGTCTCTAGTCCAAGCTTCTGCCTCACTATTCTACACAAATGTTTAAAGTTAAGTTGTGACATTATAAGAATTATAAAAAAAAGATACAGATATTATATTAGACTTTGCAATATATTTCTCAGGTCAAAAATTCTCTCATGTCTCCATAAAAACATTATCTCAGAAATACCAATATCTCAAATATGTAAAAAGTGCACTGTGGGTAAGAACCAAGCCTAATCTAGCCTAATTGATTTTCTGCCTTGGTGATTAAATATGTTTGATTGCCATAAATTAAAGCCACACCCCAATGTTTCTATACTCCAGTTAAAAATCTCTAAAGGTAATGATGGCTCAACTATAGACTCCCCAACTATTTACTCTTGTCTTGAACTTACATTGCTAAGAATGTAATTGGTAAAGAAAACAATTACTCAACAACCTTTAACTTTATTTCCAATGTATTTCTAGTTAATTTTTTCTAACTACTTTTAGAGCCCTTTTCCATGAGACCATCTGTAGCCCCTTCTCTACCTCTGTGTTCTTAACCTTCTAAAGTCCTGAAGAAATGGTCATTTCCAGTTTATTACCACACTTTTCTGCTCTTGATTGGGTTGCAAAGCCAGAAAAAAACGAACACTAAAACTTCAAACAACCTTTGTGTTTGGTTCAATTACTCATTTAGAAATATAATAATAAGATCACTAATACATGGGAAGTCACCATACTGGCTTTTACTAATTCACCAGTCTACTTTATTGAGCAAATAAAATGTGAGTTCTGTGAAAGCTGAGACTACGTCTTTCTTGTTCATTGTGATTTTAACACCCTTTACAACGTGGAATTAATGAATAGATCAATAAAGTAAATGAAAGACTAAACCTTGTTAATACCATACCCCATCACACAATGCCACTCCAGCCCCATACATATATAATGGTTAAATATATTAATATCTAGTAAATACGTATGACACCAGAAATATAAAGCTTTCTTCCTATTTTCTTCTCGTCTTTATAGATAGAACAATGGCAAAGTCCTCTAAATGCTCTAGAATAATTAAGTTAAAATTATATTAACTTGAAGATTAAAAAAAATACTTCAACAGGAATCATAAAAACAAAGAGCCAGTGATAATTCTATATAAAAACCTGGTTTTCTAATCTCTTTAATAATCCTACTACCCAGTTTTACCAAGAGGCGGTAGAGCACAGAAGGCAGTGGTATGGACTCTGGAGTCAGATGTCTGTTGCTCATCTCCACTAATATCTGTTGGCCTTAGACAGCTCACCTAAAATCTCTGGCCCTTGGTTTATTCATTTGAAAATAAAATAATCATAGAATTCACCTCATAGGATTATGTGACTGTGCTTGTTATTTGTTTATTGTGTCTCAGCCCCAATACTCTCTTCTATCCTCTGCTCTATAGTACTCTGGGGAAGAGTGCTACAAATGACACTTCTCATCCTCCTCTGTCAGTGGTCATCTTATTAGGCCCTACCAATAAGAGACACAAGAGGGATGTTAGAAGATAGAGGGAGAGAGAAAATACTTCTTTTTGATTTTGGCTAGTTTGTCAGCATTCTTCATTGCCATTTCTTCAAGCTTCTAGCTTATTTCAACACACTTGCCCCCTTAGAGATATAAGCAATAACCTGTCCATGCCATTAACTCAGAGAATGATCTCTATGGGGCTGTTTCTGAAATTCATAAGATGTGGTTGCAGCCAAGAGATTCCTCTCATCAAAAGGCTGAGCACCCTCCTGTGATCTACCAGATTCTAGTAACCCCAATGTCCATTGTTCTCCTGAATGTGAGGGGAGGGATTCCTGTAGCTGCTTTTTGTAGTTATTATCTCTACTGTGTAATGGATTTTCTATATAAAATAGCCCCTACTCAAATGCAGAATGTGATTACTATTTTCCTGACTGGACCCTGACATGCAATAAGTAGATATCTGTAAAATTCTTTGAACAGTGCCTGGCACATAGTAAGTGCTTCTTATAGCATTGTTATTAGTGTATTGCTGACTTATTTATCAGGACAACAGCACCTCATTCTTAGTTTCTGCAGTTGGGAGAACAGTAGCTGAATTTAGGAGAAAAGCTGAAAGTTATTATCTCAGTAACCAATGTGAATGAAACACACAACTTTATAACCAGAAAATAGCATGTAGTAACATTTGCTAAAGAAAATAAATTGTGGCTTCTCTAGCACTCTGTGAGGACAAACCTTTTTTTTTTTTTTTTTTTTAACATTTCTAACCCATCACAGACTGGTGTATAGTTCCCTGGGCATGATCAAAATACAGCTTGTGTTATCCATGACACAGCACAAGAGGTCAACACATTAAACTATTGTATGCCCTGTTCAACAAAACAAGTCCACCAATCATGGACTTGTTTTGTTGTCTTGATTTATTTGCGCTACTACAACAAAATATCTAAGACTAGGTAATTTATAATCAAGGGACACTTATTCCTCATGGTTCTGGAGGCTGGGAAGTTCAAGACCAAGGCACTAGTAGGATTGGTATCTGGTAGAAGCCAGGTCTTCACTTCCAAAATGGTGCCTTGTTGTTGCATCCTCTGGAGGGGACAAACACTGTGTTCACACATGGAAGAAAGAACAGAAGGGCAAGAGAGTGCCCCCCTTCAACCTCAAGCCTGCTTATAAATGTGCTAATCCCATTAATGTGGGCTCTGCCCTTGTGACTTAATCACTTCCCAAAGACCATACCTCTTAATACTGTTGCATGGGGAATTAAGTTTCAAAATGAATTTTGGAGGGAACATCATCATTCAAATCATAGCAGAGGTGTGACAATTTTATATTGCCATAAAAGTTTTTAAATTCTTACTCTCATATTCTATGCCTATCTTCTGTGGACCGGTTCCCAACAGTTTGAAGTGGCCCGGAATGCACTTTTAGCCACACTGCTTTGTAGTAATTTGTAGCTGTCTATTCCTTTTATTAGCAAATTCCCCCAGAAGAGAATTCCAAATAAAAAAAAAATTAGCCAGCCATGGTGGCATGCTCCTGTAGTCCCAGCTACTCGAGAGGCTGAGACAGAAGGATTGCTTGAGCCAAGGAGTTTGAGGCTGCAGTGAGCTACGATTATACCACTGTACTCCAGCTGAGTAGACAGAGCAAGACCCCATCTCCAAAAACAAAAAGAGAAAAGAAAATTCCAATTTTGCGGGAGGCTTTATTCTTTCCTGATATGACTGTGAATCCCCTTTAATTATAGGGTTTTCAAACTACACAGAGAGAAGAAAAGCTTGGACTACCTTAGAAAACATGTAATTTGTGGGCTTCCATTTCAGAAAGGAAAGCACACAAACAACTATTAGTATATTTTATGTCTGGGGTTAAAAAAGTGCTTCACCTCACTTTCCTTTTCCCGAACAGGAACTACTACCCATTTCATACACTTTCTAATCTTTATACTTTTGACATAGGATACTTTGTCCTATAATGCTGCCCTGTGTTCCCCACACAGTTATCCTTCTAAGCCCAAAACAAAAGCCATCTATTTCATGAAGTCCTCTCTGAACCCCAATAATAGCACGTATATTTATACCCATATACTTGACACATACTGTCTGATACCATAGGTTTGTTGTTATGATACTGTTTTGTTTGTTTTTTAATTTATGGCTTATCTTCTTTAAAGGTTGTTAGCTCCTTGGGGCAAGGTCTCTAATGAAACTTTGTGTCCTCCTAAGAAACTGCATGTAAGGTTCCCCAAAACGGTGTTCTCTAAATGCAATATTACAAGAACATAGAGTACACAGAGATGCCCATATTCATTGAGGAAGGCACTGGGAGAAGGAAGCATAATAAACCCCTAAATTTCAGCATACTTTCCAGATTTTTGTAACCAAACTATATTAAGACCAATGCTTATAAAGCATTCAGAAATCCTTGGATGAAAGACATTTTATGAAAAGTAGAATACAGTGAAAAAGTTCCAATTAGGAAAAAAAGAGGAATCATGAGGTAAGAATTTATTGATATTCTAAATTCTACAATTAAAAAATTACATTTTTTATTTTTAAAGTATAATAATAACCGAAAATCTTAAAACTACAATTTGTGTTAGGGAATATAATAAAATGATCGAGTTCCAGACTTCACATCAAGAATTTTTAAATATTTCAATTTTCTTCATCCAAAATTAGTGGATAAAAACTTCAGATTTCTCTATTTATAAATAAATAATTTGCCAGACAACATGAAGGATACTTCAGTATCTATCCAAATTATTTAAAATATTTTAATCTTAATTAATGGTTTGTCTTTTTAATGTGAAAACATCTAAGGAATAGAAAAAAATAGCTCCATTCAGAGAATATGATAAAAAAAAGTGTGTATGTATATATATATATATGTACACACATACATATATATATACACACATACATATATATGTTTTGAGTTGCAGCCCTATAACTAACCAACTTTAAAATTCTCATAAATTTGTTTAAGTTCTTTGTAGATTCTGGATATTAGCCCTTTGTCAGACATTCTGAGCAAACTATCGCAAGGACAGAAAACTAAACACCACATGTTCTCACTCATAGGTGGGAACTGAACAATGAGAACACTCAGACACAGGGTGGGGAACATCACACACCGAGGCCTGTCATGGGGGTCAGGGGGAGCATTAGGAGAAATACTTAATGCAAATGACGAGTTGATGGGTGCAGCACACCAACATGGCACATGTATACCTATGTAACAAACCTGCACGTTGTGCACATGTACCCTAGAACTTAAAGTATAATAAAATAAATAAATAAAATAATAAATAAATATTCTCTGCATATCTATATGCTTATCTAAAAACTATATGCTTATCTAAAAACTAAAAATGAGATTTAAAAATACATGATATATATAAAAATACAAGATATATATGTTTCTTTTCATTAGAAATCTTAAAAAAGTGTTTTTCAAATGAAAATATTTTCCTAAGACGAGAAGCATCAGTGATTGCTGATCTACAACAATGATAGTTTTTGGACTAAATCACATCTTTTAAACTTTTAAAGGTGATAGGAAGGTAAAGACTCAAGCTAACCATTACAAAATCTGCTTGGCGACTGCCATGTTTGGCAGAATTATTCTAACTCTAACCCTATCAGAATGCTCTTTTCTACAAAGTGTATTTCTTTGCAATTGAATCTTCCTCTATAAGCTCTTTGTAAGCCGTATGTATCTCAAAAATATATTTTGACCTTGACTTCAATTTGAGAAACATATTTCATGTTGTGGTCCATTTTCTTGCAGTAGAGCCTATGATAGTGGAAGCTTTTGCATAGGTAATTTCTGGCTATTGCTTCATAAATTACTTAGACTGCCCCTTTTCTAGGAATGAAAAGAAAGTTACATCCATTAAAGTTTCTCAGAGACTACACTAGCAATCCACCTTGGTCTGTGTATTTCCTGCCTCTTTGTAGGTATTTTAATGCCTCATTTACTATGAATATTCCTCTAGTCCTTCAGAATTATAAAGTCCATGTAAATTAGAAATCAAATAATAAGATTCCCATTCAAATGTGATTAATCCTGTGTAAATATTGCTGAGGATAACGGTGACAAACCATCTTTTGTTTGGGCCTTCCTCCTGGCAGGGATGTGCATGAGTATCAGCAGATAGTATATTCATCATACGATTAAGGAAATTAAAACCTATGCCCATCCTGACACTGATTTCAGAGGAGGTACATGCTGTTAGCACACTTTCTTGTTTGCTTATTTTGCTTGATCTTAATATCAGGAATTACATATAGTTACCATGAGTATCTAGGTGAGTTCCTATAATAACAACTGTTATTATTACAACTTCTAGAGAAGGAGAAGCTATAGAAGGTGTTCCCAGGCCCACTGAACTGCCAGAAGTATATTTGTAAAGGTGGGCAAGGAAGGCTTTACCAGAGTTGTGAGCTTACCAACAAATCTCTATCACAAAGGTGGGAGGTGGGAAAATTGCATGAACAACATTATTTAGTCATAGGTAACAGACTGACAACATCTGAGCCTCTGGGACCCTTCTGTTCTAGTAACTTTAACTGCAAGAATTGTCTTTTGCCAAAGGTGTGTGTGATGGTTAATATTGAGTGTCAACTTGATTGGATTGAAAGATGCAAAGTATTGTTCCTGGGTGTGTCTGTGAGGGTGTTGCCAAAGGAGATTAACATTTGACTCAGCGGACTGGGAAAGGCAGACCCACCCTCAATCTGGGTGGGTACCATCTAATCAGCTGCCAGCATGGCCAGAACAAAAGCAGGCAGAAGAAAGTAGAAAGATTAGACTGGTTTAGTCTCCTGGCCTACATCTTTCTCCTGTGCTGGATGCTTCCTGCCCTCGAACATTGGTCTCCGTTCTTCAGCACTGGGACTTGGACTGGATTCCTTGCTCCTCAGCTTGCAGACGGCCTATTGTGAGACCTCACCTTGTGATTGCGTGAGTCAATACTCCTTAACAAACTCCCCTTTATATATGCATCTACCCTATTAGATCTGTCCCTCTAGACAACCCTAATACAGTGTGGTAGATAATGCATATATAATATACTTTATCTCTAACTGTATGATAGCAGTTACAGCAATTTGCTTTGTATTCCAATTTTTTTTTTTCATTTAGTAGAAATACTAGGTGCCAAGAATAAAATGGTAGCCCAGTAGAAGAATCAAAAAGCTATATGAATGTTTCAAATGACAGCCAGAAATTATCTTAATAGAGATATGTGCAATGTACACTAGTAGCACAAAGGAAGGAACAACCAACTTTCCTTAGCACGGAAGGAACTTCTCAGGAGAAGAGGATATAGTTGGGAAAGTTCTTTGAGATGAATAGAAAATTCCCAACCAGACATTTGAGTAAAGATTGATTTTTAAAAAAAGCATTCTAGTTAGAGGGAACAGAATGCCCAAAAGCAAAGTGGCATGAAATAGCATAAAAGATCAAGATCAGAGAACTACAGGGGAAAAATTAGAGGGCCAATAATGGTATTCAGTAATTTGGTGATTTATGCTCTTGGCAATAGGAAGACTCAAATGCTTCCTTAAAGCAATGGAACAGTATGATCATATTTGCCTCTTGGTGAGATTACTCTGGCCAAAACATGTACAATGGTTAAGTGAAGCCATATTAAAGATAAAACGAGTGGCTTGGAGACTTGTAATAATTGAAGCCTGATCCAAAGAGGGAGAAAAGGATGAAAGGAAGGGACTAATTTGAGAGACCTGTAGGAGGAAAAATGGACAAATAACAATGAGGCTAAATCAGATGGATTTATTTATTTGTTTTGCACTTGGTGTGGGCACTTTCCAAGTCCCTCAGGATTGTTAAGGCAGACTTTATACAGGAACCTCACAATAGGTATAGGAACCACAGCAATGGAATTTTGCACTGAGAGAGAGAGAGACCAGACTCAACTTCAAATATAGCACAGTCAAGTTGGAATTTGTAGCCAAGTAGCAGGGTGGGGGTTAGTGGATGTGAAATTACTAAGAGGAAACATGAGAGGCAAGGGAGATTCTGGCTAAACCAACCTAACAGGATTCTTGCTGAAGACAGACCAGGATGATCCATTGGGTGATGGGGGAGGATAAAGAATTTGATTAGACATTGAGTGTGATCAGATAATCGGGGATAAAGGATTCTAACTAAACTAAGCAAAGTTATTTGCTAAAACTAGATTTTTTAAGGAAATGCACAGGTGGGCTTAGGAGAAGATTCAGGTGCCTGACTAAAGTTTGACCAAGCAAAGAATCCTTGTCAGGATACAACTAAATTGAACAGACACGGAACTTAGGGTCTAGCAGGATAGACTGAACATTAAACAAGCTTTTACTATGAAATGCAAGTACTATTATAGGGTAATATGGGTTGCTACTGCAGCAGACTACAGAGTCTCCAATCCTAGAAGGGAGTTCAGGGAATATTTTCCAGGGAAAAGAAAATCTAAACTGAGACTTAAGAAAGGCTGCAGTGAAGAGGGGTATAGGGGAGACTTGCAGAAAGAGAGGAGAGCACTTGAAAAGACCTTGATGTGAGAAATTGCTCAATAAGAGAGAGAACCTAAAAGAAAAGTGTGCAGAGATAAGGACAGGCAAGAGAGGTAAGCATATGCATCAATTTAAAAAACAATAAAAATTCATTAAAAAGGCAGGAAACAACAGGTGCTGGAGAGGATGTGGAGAATTAGGAACACTTTTACACTGTTGGTGGGACTGTAAACTAGTTCAACCATTGTGGAAGTCAGTGTGGCGATTCTTCAGGGATCTAGAACTAGAAATACCATTTGACCCAGCCATCCCATTACTGGGTATATACCCAAAGGATTATAAATCATGCTGCTATAAAGACACATGCACACGTATGTTTATTGCGGCACTATTCACAATAGCAAAGACTTGGAACCAACCCAAATGTCCAACAATGATAGACTGGATTAAGAAAATGTGGCACATATACACCATGGAATACTATGCAGCCATAAAAAATGAACAGTTCGTGTCCTTTGTAGGGACATGGATGAAACTGGAAACCATCATTCTCAGCAAACTATCACAAGGACAAAAAACCAAACACCGCATGTTCTCACTCATAGTTGGGAATTGAACAGTGAGAACACATGGACACAGGAAGGGGAACATCACACTCTGGGGACTGTTGTGGGGTGGGGGGAGGGGGGAGGGATAGCATTAGGAGATATACCTAATGCTAAATGACAAGTTAATGGGTGCAGCACACCAACATGGCACATGTATACATATGTAAAAAATCTGCACATTGTGCACATGTACCCTAAAACTTAAAGTATAATAATAAAATAAAATAAAATAAAATATATATATAACATAAATTAATGTATTTAATATATTACATTAATTTTATAATATGTAGTAAATATACATTAATAAAAAAATTAAAAATGAATTGCATAATCTCTCCGAGAGAGAGAGAGAGAGAGAGAGGTCAGTAGAGGCCAGAACATGGAGGGTCTCAAGGCAATGTTAAGAAGTTCTGCATTCATCTGAAAGGCAATGCTGAGCCACTGAAACATTTGTAAGCACAGGAATGGTATGTATATTGGTATTTTTAGGAAATCATCCTTGATGTGAGAACTCATTGCAGGAAGGGGCCAGCTCTAGTGTTTACTATGTCATGGTACTCATCACATTTTGCTCAGTTGTATCAAAAACTGTTCCTCCAACTATACTAGATACTTCGTTAAGGCAGAAAAATGTCTTTGTTGTTTATTATTGTTTTCCTAGGCAGATGCTTAATAATTATTAAATGAAATTAAATGAAATTTAAAAGAATAATAAATTTAATAATAAATTTAAAAATAAATTTAATAAGAATAATAAATTTAAAAACAAATTTAATAAGAACAATAAATTTAAAAGAATAAATGAATGAGGTGCAATTAGTATGGCATTATAGGAGACCACAAAGATAATGTGGATTTCTTGACAGGAGTAGGCGTAGCAGAAATAAAGGTAACTGAACACATTCAAGAGATATTTAGAAGTAAAATTGACAGGTCATTGAAAGAGATGGGAATAAATTTATGAAAAGGCAAGAATAGTCTCTAGCTTCCTGCCTCATAAAATTAGGATGATAACAATACCATTGTCAATTGTCTCTCCTTAGCCATCTAACTTTATTTCTCATACTGCTTCGACCCGCAGCTTCATGCTCTTCATCATTTCCACCCAAATCATTCCCGAAACTGCATTGCAAATCACAATTAGCAGTTGCCACCAGATTGTAATCAGTTTCCCTTGAGCTCCTTAAAATCAGACTTAAAACTCACATTTTCCAAAAATTTAAACAAAGAAAAAAGTTATGACAAAATTAGAGAAAGATTTGTAAGCAAGGGTAAGAAGGGAAAACACAGCTGAAGCTCAAATGAAAAATGAGACAAAATTGAATGGCCTTCACCGTTAAACATTATCATTGAGAATATATGATGTATAAGACACTAGATAGAGATAATTTAATAATTGCATTATGTTATTTCAAAGATAGGGCACTTATGTCCCATAATGCATAGGTGTATAAAGAATATAAAGCAATATATAATAAGTGCCAAATGAGACGTACAGAGAGAAAGGTTTATATGAAGTCACGATGTAAACACTCTTGTGTACTGAAACACAGGGCAAATTGAAGAAAAGACCTAGGAAGCCCCAGATGTCCTAAATCTCTTCTCAATAGGGCTTTGGATCTCTGCTAACAACTATGTCAATTGCTGTTGAGTGGATTTTCCATCAGGATAATATGATGCACTCCAAGTTCAGTGTTTTTGCTCCAACCTGCAGCTGGCAATATTCCTGAGCAGGCATAGCTAATACCCAACAGCTGAATGTATTTGGATTGTTATTCAAAAATATTCATGGTGCCAAATGTGAGAAGCACTGATATTCATGCTACTCATAAAATGAGCAAATAAGTTATTTAATTTTTCTAGCCCTTATAATCTCAGCACTCTCATATCCTCTTTGCCAAAAAAAAAAAAAAAGGTGCTATCTGGAGACATGGGATAAAATCAGAACCTGTCATCAGGCATACAGAAATTAGACTATTGCCATTAATATTTCTCTCTCAGTTTGACATGTTCACCTTAATGAAAATACCCAAACAGGAAGCAGTTCTCTTCTTAGCTCCTGGAAAAATAGAATGCAAGTTAAAAGCTCCTAATGCTTTTAACATGATTTGTCCACTTTGGACAGTCTAAGGTGTAATGGGAGAAGAAATAAGGAAAAACGAGAGAGATGAAAAAATTGAGAGAAAAAGGAAGAGCAGGAGGCAAAGAAATGACATAATGATTTTTTAAAATCATTTTTGCTGGTAGTAGCCAAAAATGGAAATGTAAAAAGAAAAAAAGCAAGATACCTAAGAAATAAGCCATACTACATGTCTGCATATCTCTTTTACATATGAAACCTCTGTGTGTTTGTGCATATGTGTGTGTGTGTGTGTGTGCATGTGTGTGTTTTGCTGGCAAGATTGGTGTTATTTTTTAGTGTTAATGGAGAAATGGCCAACAACTGTTTCTTCCTGCCAAAGATATTCTCCAAGCAGCAAATTAAATATATATAGAAGAAATGAGAACTAAATGTGCCTTTTAAACAAGAATTCCAGAAAGGGGAAGGGAGATAGGTTAGCAAAAATACACAAATCAAAAACTAACACAGAAATGAGATGGAATAGAAAAAGGAAGGATACACTTAAGTGATACTGGGAGATCCAAATGTCCTGAAGGGAAACAGAATTTAAAATGTAAGAATGTAGGAATTCAAGAGAGAAATATGGGATATAATAACTATATGGAGGTGTGGTCTTTGATAGCTAGATGTCTTCATGTATTTTATTGCTACTTTTTTATAGCAAAGTTTTTATCAATTTAAAATGAACAAGGAACCATAATCAGACTAGCTTTTGCTAATTAAAAGATAAGAGTTTTTCAGCTTATCTTCCATAAGACACTGCAAGCCAAACCCTGTTACAATTATGGAAACTTACTGAGATCTCCCACTCTTATAGCCACCTTGTGGGTCTTTATAGTAAGATGTGGTGGGTAAAGCAATAAGAGAGGCTTATTGGAGAAGCATGGGTAAAAGGGAGTAGTTGACTCAGTTTCCAAAGCAAACTTGAACCAAAACAACTGAGTTAACACATTAACATAAAACTGCCTGTGCATGTCTGTTTATAAAGTCAGAAAAATCAGCAAGTATCTCATTCTCTCTGATTTTTGCATGGCAAAGATAGCTTGTGTTCGGCTCCCTTTAAAACTATAAAACATGCAATTAACAATGGAAATCTGTCAGAAAAATAGGTGTTTTCCACATCAAAGCTGTATTTGAAGAAGTATGGTAGGATGGGATGGAAGGAGGAGGTGAATAAAACTAAATTTGAAGTCCAGTTCTTTTCTTATTCATTGTATGACTTTTGAGTGATTACTTAACTTTTCTGAGACTTGTTTTCCCCTCTTACAAAATTAAGACAATAATACCTATTTAGCAAGAGTGTTTTAACACATGAGTGCATGTAGTCTGTTGATTTAATGCATACTTTTGGAGCACCTTCTATGGGCAAACTGTCAATACTTGTGAAAACATGTATTGATGGTTCAGGGTTGAACAAGCAGAAATGGTCCCTAACCTCATGAAACATTCTATGACAATATAATAAATACATAGATGCCCGATAAATTCCAGCTAATATATTATCTTTTGAAGACGTAAGACATGCACTCAGAGTGAGAGGAATCCCACATACACACCATAAACTACCATCTGCAGGTAGATGGATTTTTACTAAATGGAAAACAAATGTAGATGATTTGGTGTAAATTGTGCTGTTTTGACAGATGTACAGACAAGATTGAGAGTAAGAAAACTGGCTGATGAAAGAGGTATATGAGAAAAATATGTCTGACTTTATATGTATGTATGTGGCTTCTGTAAAAACCCATCGCGATTGCCCTGTTACATATTCAGCAAGATTTCCTAAATTGAAGAAGCAGGTACAGGTTGTGTTTCTGCTCCCCTATGGACTCACTGTGAGTATCAAGAGAAGTTTCAGCTTAATAAAAACAAAATCGAATTTCTCTCTAGGCTGGTGAATAGGTAGCGTTATTTTAGCCCACTGTAGCAGCAGAAAATTGACTTGATCTCACAGTCCATGCTCATCACAGCGCTAAGTCTGGGGAAAATTTCTTCTCCCATCAGGTAACTACAGAAGCTGCCAAAAATAAGAACTTTGAAATTGAGGCTTGTCTTACTTTTGTTTTCAGAAGTCTCTGGCATTTAACTCCAGCTTCTTGGGATGCTGTTTTGCTAGTAGGTAATGCCTCAGAGTAATTATTTCACCCAGAAGAAGAGCCTTTGCAGAAACCCTAAGTAAATGCTGCAAAGCTTGCTTCCTTCATTTCCAAGATTCTGTTTAGGATGTTGTTATTACAGTGACAGATTTGTTGAGCTGGCCTCAAGTTCCAGAGGCCATCTCTAAGTTGAGGCATTAGAGGAGTTCCCAAGAAACCATTGCTCAATTTTGAAGAAATTAAAAGTATGATTAGTTTAGAAATCTCTCGGACAGCAGCAGCCCTATCTCCATACAGGCCAGCAATTGCAAGAGCCCAAATGGAATTTCTTACTGATATTTCAAGAGCATGTCAGCATCTCTATGGTATTTTGAAAAAATAAAACGAAGAAAGTTCAGGGAACAAAGGCTGAATAACTCTTTCCTTGGGAGATGAAATAAAGAAAAGTAGAATGGAGTAAAGGAGGCAAGGAGAATGAGGAAAGTTCTTTACAAGAATATATTTCTACAATAATCAAAAGAGTCTCTTCTTTGATTTTTTGGACAAAGAATCTATTTATGGACAGAAGATATATTTGTATCCAATTCAGTAAATGATACACCAAAGAGAAAAGAGTAGTCAATACTGTTTATTGGAGTTTTGGTGATTTTTATTTTCTTATTTTGCCTTTGATACATTCTCTTTGTACTAAAATAGTATTATGTCTAAGTTGGGTAAATAAGTATGTAGGTTTTAAAATAAGACAAAAAGATAGTCATGATGAATGTGTTTTGTTCCATGACCACTGTCAGGTCTTTCTCCTCAGTCAGCCCCTTGTGATGTAATTCTTTACACCTAGCCCACTAACTCCACATTAAATTCAGGACCTTATTATCTCTACCAATGAAGGAGGCAGAGCTGCAAGTCACAGAAAACACTAAACAAGTATAATAAAAAGGGGAGTAATTTATATAGTAGCAGGATAAGGGCTATGTCTTAGAACACAAAACCAAGAAAAGCAATAGACCTGAAAAGGGATTAGAACCAATAACTGGAACCAAAGTTATACTCTCAACCTGTCTAGGTTTGTTGGTCTCTCATCTCTGCTTCTTTCTATGTATGCTTCATTCACTCTTTCTAAAGTGTCGTCTACTTTTCTGTTCACATAGTGGAAGGTTGGCAGACTCTTCCAACTGGTTCTATTATGCCTCATAGTGGACATATGGGATAAATAGAGAGGGTATGATGGCAATTTCAAGCACTGGCCCCTGTTCATTAGGCAGTCGTCCATCAGCATACAAGGGGGTTGGTTCCAGAACCAGCTCAATATACCAAAACCTAGGAATACGCAAGTCCTACAGTTGTCCCTGCAGACCCTCTGTATATAAAAAGTTGGCCCTCTGTATACATGGGTTTTGCATCCAGTGAATGTCACAGTTTCCATCCAAGTTTTGTAGAAAAAATTCCGTGTATAAGTGGATCCACACATGTTACTCAAGGGTCAACTGTACCTGGATTTTTATTTCTTTCTGTGACAGTAAATTCTCTTCTGATGTCTCCAGGTAGAAATCTTATAGGTTCTACTGCTCTGTGATACGTTACCACCATGAAGTAGTCAAATTTGTTCATTCCTTCTAGGCTTCTTTGGCTGAGAAAAAACTTGAACTAGGACACCCATTTTCAATGTTCGAAGGTAATGAACCCTAAAGATTCATCCTTCCACTCTCCAAAATGGCCATTTTACCTCTTTCCATATTGGGTCCTTGACAAAATATTTTTAAAAAATTAAAAAATGAAAACAAAATAGCCATTTTTGCAACACCTATTTCTTGTCTTCTATTAAAATGTCTAACACTTCTTCAGACATCACTTAAAACATAAAGTCAGATGACAGCCATCTCTTATTCCCACCACCAAACAGCACTGTTCATTTACATATATTTCTGTCTTACCTCGTGTTACAATGAATGAAATTTCTATACGTTTTATCTCATGCCAAACCCTCCATTTACACTCTGTTGAGCACTTTATACATGACTAATCCAAATTGATATTGCTGTAAGCATAAAATTTATGCCAAATTTCAAAGACTTAATATACAAACAGTAAAAAAACTCAATAATTTTATAATAATACATGTTGAAATGAGAATATTTTGGATATCTAAGGTTAAATTTAAAATTTTAAAATTAATTTTACCTGTTTCTTTTTATGCTTTTAATGTGGCTACTAGAAAATTTTAAATTACTTATGTGGCTCACATTATACTTTTTTTTTAACAGTGCTGCTCCAGATCCTATCCTTTCTTTCCTACTCAGGGTCTTCTGTTCTGCCATTATTTACCCGCTTCCAGCAACATCAGTTTCTGTCTCACTCCTGAATCATTCCCATGATAATGGGAATATATTTACAGGAATATATTTCTACAATAGTCAAAAGAATCATTCCCATCAGAATGCAAATTTACTTTTCTTTATTGTACCTTTAAAATAAGAACTTTCTTGGATTTTTCTCTGCATTTCTCTTCAACTCTTCAGTAAAAAAAATTCTTCAAAATATTTATTTGTCTGTAATTACTACCTATATTTCTCTCCTAAAGATCCCTCAAGTTGGGCTTCAATTTCTTTATTCAGGTCACTATGGCATCGATATTGTCTAGTTACATCATCAGTTTTATCTTCTCTTCTTACTCAGCCTCTTGGCAATACTTGACAAGATTGACCACTCACTCCTTGAAATAAATTTTTTCCTGGTCTTCTCTGACTGTACAGTGTCTTTTTGTGACTTCTCCCTTTGTTCCTGACTATAAACACTTCAGTTACTGAAAGCACAATCCTAGACACCCTCATTTATTTTCACTCACTTAAATGTTTTCATCCAGTTCTTCCTTTGGCTTTTAATATTATCTATTTGCTGCTGACTCCAAATCTATTTCTGTACCCAAAATGTGTCCATCCATGAGCCCCAAACCCATAAATCCAGTTGCCTCTTCCACATTTACTCTTGCCAATAGGCATTCCAAGTCCTGAACAACTATACCCATCCTTCAGATCTGCCTTTCCTTCATGCAGGTTGAGTACTCCCAATCCTAATCTGAAAATCTTAAATCCAAAACATTCCAAAGCCAAAACTTTGTCAGTGTGGATATAATGCTCAAAGAAAATAAATGCTCATTTTGGATTTTGGATTTTAAAATTAGAAATGCATAACTGTAAGTATAATGTAAATGTTCCAAAATCCAAATAAATTCAAAATCCAAACCACTTCTGGTCCCAAGTATTTCAAATAGGGGATACTCAACCTGTAATTTCTAATCTCAATCTATGACACCATTGTCTACACAGATGCTCAGGCCACAAACCTAAATGCCATCAGTCACTTCCCTGTCCTTCCCCTGCACCTCCAGTCTGTTCTCCTGGTCACTTTTCAGCATTCACATTGTAGCCCAAGCCACTCTCATGTGTCCTAGAACATCATAAAACCTAGTTCCTTCCTTGGCCCACTTCATTTATTCTTCCTCAAGGCATATAAAGTGTCTTTTTAATATTAAGCTCAAATGAGTTCAGATTACTCCTCTGTTTACAATTTGCAATCACAACTGACATAAAATCCAAATGCCTTAATATGGTTTATAAGGCTATATATGATCTGAATTTTGTAATGTCCCTGAGCTCATTATTCACAATGCTCATCATCTTTTGCTGGACTCTAGCTTTCTGGATTTTTTTCCTGCCCCTTGAACACACCAAACATTTCCTGTCTCAGGGTCTTCACATTTGCTGTTTCTTCTCCTTTTCCCAAATTTGTGCACAGTTGGTCCTTTCTTATTATATGGGCCTCAGCTCAGTTATCCCATTACAAGGGAGAGCCTCCTTGACCATTATAGATAACTCGTACTATCCTTCCACCTTCACAATCACTTCTTTCTATTACTTTATTTCCTTCAAAGAATATATGTTTCTGAAATATTCTGTTAGAATAAAATCTCTGTGAAGAGAAACTTATTTTGTTCACTATTATATCCTCTATGCCCAAAAGAATGCTAAGAATCCATTAAATTCTCAAAAGAAGACAGATCAATGAAGATATTAATTAATAAATGAATGAATGATACAATGAACAGAGGCCAAAAAACAATGAACTGCTCTAGAATTTGTTCTCATGATATGCAGGGAATGCCAGACCCTCAAGGTTCATACTGAATTCTAATCACTGAAGGTGATTTACATTGGGAAATGTTATCAACTCTGTTGAGCATGAAATATACACAAGAAGAACATAGAATGTAATAACCTGGTAAAATTGGGGTCCTCCATCACATCCAGCTTCTCCCTCATACCATTCCAAAAGTCAGAATCCTACTCTTTGCTAACCTATGTAGCTTGGCCACAGATGTGCAAAGGGTCAGAGAATTCAGCAGCTGCAATTAAACACAACGTTTACCTAATTTCTTAATCTGAATTTCAGCAATTTCAGAATTTAAGACATCTCAGACACAGATAGGGATTTTCACAGGACATTTTCATATTTGAAATGTTATATTCTTCTTTGGGTTCATAAATCTTTCCTTTAAAACTCTTTTCTTAAAGAATCAGTGTTAGTGTGTGCCAAGAAAATACAAGGGCCAGTTTATTGTTTCATCGTCGACAAGTAAGACTATCCCTCTGCTTCAAATGATGACATTTTCACTATCCTTAATATTCTACAATTTTTCCCAGGGGTCTATTACTTCCCACTGACTGATAAATGTCTGTCAAGTTACCATTTGATAGTAAGGCACACAAACTCATTTAACTTAAACAAACTGTAAAATGCATCAGAAGAATACCAGAGACATAGCCAAACCTCTCAAAGAGTAGAATCAGTTGAGAACCAAATTCGTTTCTTCACCTCTCTATTTCTCTCTGTAAATCTAGTTATCCTTCTCTCTCTTTCAATAGTGGCTATTTCTCTGATTCTTCATTAAC
This sequence comes from Homo sapiens, assembly GCF_000001405.40. Lineage (NCBI taxonomy): Eukaryota > Metazoa > Chordata > Mammalia > Primates > Hominidae > Homo > Homo sapiens. The sequence goes on along the minus strand of NC_000003.12, from coordinate 102,638,334 downwards.
ACAGCAGAGACTGACTATATAAGTTTCCTGTTTCCTGCTTTTTATCATCTGGTAATTGAAGTCCTAACAAAAACTCAATCAATTATAAGTTCAAATTTAAAAGTCCTGGTAAGAGAAGTGTATTGTCTTAGCTTGGCTCATGAGAATACCTGTGGTCCAATGGTTACATTTTGGGGTCACCTGATCCACTGACTATATAGCTGTTGCTCTGAGTATAGGCTTTCTGAGAAGAGGGCAAATGTAGGTTTTTTAAGAAGGTAGCGTGGAGGCAGGGAGACGGTGAAGAGTAAAATTCTTTGCACGTCTGGTACAATACCAAAAATGGAAGAAAACCTAGCTTCCATTGACTGCTCATTGCTTCCCTAGAACACTTTGATAATCAGGGACTATGTATTATTTATACTTGCCCATTGAATCCCCAGCACTAAATACTGTGCATTACATACAGGAACCTACATAAATGTAGGTTTAATAAATAAATGGTGAAAAGCAATTTTCACACAAGAAATAATATAGAAATAATTTTCAAATAGAAAAATCATAATCCAGAAGAGAAGAAGAATCATGGAGCTGTGTATTAAAGAAAGGATAAACATTTACTAGAGATTGAGATTTGAGAGCAGAATCTTGCAGAGATATTATATTAGAGAAATAAGATGTATATTCAAAGTGTGTAAATAATCCTTGAATTCTTAAACAGGCAATCTTGACTTTATTAATTAAGGAATAGAAAGCCATTGTGGGAGCTAATGCAATTGCTACTATTACAATCTTCCAATTGTTCTCTAAGATACCACACTCATCTCTCCAGTCTAAGAGAATATCAGTATAACAATGATAATAGATGTGTTCGAGACGGGCAAAATATCCTAATGGAATGTGGAAGATGCTAGGGATAAGTTTCACAATTTTGGCATTAATACCTTCCATCTGTACAGCTTTTCAACTTTATCCACAATGCTTTCATATATTTTCCTTTTTATCTTAAGCATAAGATTACTAATAGAAAGTTTATACTCTACATTAATAGGAGAAGTAATGCTGCATTTTTGTTAACAGAGCAGAGATATTTACAATTGCATTTATAATTGGATGGCACTGAGAGAGCTCAAAGTAAGCTGTGGGCTTTCTGGGATATTTATACATATCACAGAGGAAGGTAAAATGAACAGCCAATTGTTGGCTTCTCAAGCAAATGAAACCATGATAAACCAACACTTAGAGATGTGCTTGCCTCTTAAAAATGTAACTCAGATCTTTTAAATCTATTTGGTGTACTAGCAATTTTGTTTGATTTGAAAAGGAGTATTAAAATGAAATGGATGCCCTTGATTTCTCTACTTTCGGTGGTGAATCTGTTTAGATTGTGAATGGCACAATTCCTTCCATTCAAATCTCTCAAGTTGAGTTCCATTATTTATAACAGTTAAATGTTTTACACTTAATGCATTTTCAGTAAAACTTTACTGATATTTTTCCATTTTACCCTTACAATCATTCTTCATAAAATGTAAGTCAGACAAAAATATATTGTTCAATCACAAAACAGGTATTATGGAAACAAGTTTAAAAACACATTCTTTGCCCCTAACTCATTTCTGGGAGAAACAGCCATGTTATCACAAAGTCATCATAGAATACAATGAGAATTAAAGTTAGTAAAGGGTATTCTGGGAGCTCCTAATACACACTTAGAGGTTATTGTCCACTGGAGAAGATAATGCTCAACCTGGTTTCTTAATGTTAAAATCAAGATACCCGGGTCAAGAGAATAAGCGAGGCTCTTGGGAAAGATGGGGCATTAGAAAGCTCCATGTAAATATGGTTCCTATCTTACAAGTTATCAATAGACGAATTTAAGCCCAGTTAATCAAGGATAAGATAACATTTCCTCTATTTGACCTATGTGCTTTCATGTATCTTACACTATACCTCTTATACAAAAAGATTTTGTGATTAAAAAAGAATGGAAGATTGAAATTATATGATGACTATAAACTACAGAGTTCATTAAAATCGGACTGGAAATGAATATCTGTGGCCCTTATTGTATTTTGATATCATGCTTATCAGTGTTTAAGCACTGTATGTGAATTGTCTCATTTAATTTCACAAAAAAATTAAGGGATATACATTATTATGGTCATTCTATAGATGATACAATTGACGCAGAGAGAGGTTAAGACACTTGCCAAAGACTGCACAGCTAATAAATCAGCAGGATTAGTATTTAAATGCAGTCAGTTTAACTCCAGTATCTGTTCACTTTGATACATGATATGATTCCCAGCCTCATCTTAACACTGATTTAACTAGTTTTGTGAAAGGTATATGTAATAGGCTGATTTTTAATGGTATGCCATTTGTGGTTTTTCTACGTATTTTATGTTGTCAGATAATAATGCAAGTGTGTGTTCGTATTTGAAGAGTTGCCAGAGCAATAATTTCTGAAATAAGAGAAGACTACATACAGAAAGGGCATACATACGCCTGCAAAAATAGAGCCCAAATGAGCAACTCTGAGACCAAACTAAGTAAAATTGTTAGTCTTTAAAATAAAGGAAGACATTCTTTAAACACACAGGAAAAAAAAATTAAGTTACTTATAAGGAAAAATGTTGGATTTGTATTAGAGTTTTCAACAAAAATATTTTTACTGAAGTAAATGTAAGTCAAATATTTTATATCCAGTCAACCTGTCCTTCAGGTATAAAGACCATAGACATTTATTAACTTGCAAGCAATATCTCAAGACTGTTGATTCCAGGAATCTTACCAGAGAAATTTAATAGAAAATAGGCTGCAGGCAACCCCAGAATAATTTCAGAAAATCAACTGAAGATTTGTGTTTGAGCATTAAATGTTTTTAACTCTGACACAAGTATTAGAAGTTGTGTATAAGTATGAAAAAATAATATTAGGAAATAAATGCTCTCACAACGCAGAAAAATATAAGTAATAAAAATGGGAGGAGAAGAGAGAAAAAAGTTTGCAGTAGATAAACCTTGCAGATTGATTTATAGGTATTATTGGAGAGTGAAAGTTGATTACTTAAAGCTAACAAACAAGTACAATATGTTTAGGTACATTTAATGTCACTAATATTAAAGAAAAAATAATACTGGGATATCATAAATGATACAGAAAACCTAAGAAGTATACATAATAGTAAGCTGCATAAATACATTTAACTGTGATTCTTGATTATTTAAAAAATCACTTTTTCCCCAAAGAACATGTAATTATTATGTAAAAATACCCAGTATTAGCTTAAAAGGAGACAGTAACTTTTTCAAGAAAATAGAATCCATGCAAATAGGATTATCTGACCACAATGTAATAAAATTGGAAATTATAACTAAATCAAACAAAAGACTTCTACCTATATATATTTTTAAATACTCTATTAAGCACAATACAAAATTGCCAAATTTCTACAAAATCATAATAATAAAAACATGACATATTAGAATCTGTGGAATACAGATAAAGCAGTACTCAGAGGAAAATTTATACCTTGATACATTTATATCAATAAAGTACAATAAACATAAGTTAACCATATATAATTTCTAAAGCTATTGATTTGCTTATGTCAGTAGAATTATGTATTAATAATCACATCAGTAAAAATGAAGAAAGTCAAACATACAAGTGTAAAATGTACTAATATCCTGATGTAGAAACAAATTTTGTACTTCAATGAAAATCTAAGCATTTCTCATAGTATACCAACTGGGTCTGTCTGATTCTAGTGCTGTTAATTGTTTTTGAGGTATTTTTCACCTTTTTCTAAACTGTAGGTAATTTAAAGGAAAACAGATCATTATACCAAAAATATACATGTACTAGTATGTCACTGCCATGCTCTTCACGATAGCAAAGTCATGGAATCAACTTAGGTACCCATCAATAGTGAACTGGATAAAGAAAATGTGATCTATATACACCATAGAATACTATGCAGCCATAAAAAGGAAATGAAATAATGTCCTTTGCAGTAACATGAATGGAGCTGGCGGCCATAACACTAAGCAGATTAACAAGAGAAAAGAAAATCAAATACTGCATGTTCTCACTTATACGTGGGAAGTAAAGACTGAGCACACATGGACATAAACATGGGAACAACGGACACTATGGGCTGCTAGAGGGCTTAGGGAAGGAGGGCGACATGGATTGGTAAACTACCTATTGGGAACTATGCTCACTACCTCAGTGCAATATGCCCATATGACATACCTGCACATGCACCCCCTGTATCTAAAATAAAATTTGAATTAAAAAAAATTGCAGGTAATTGATAGGTAAACAAACTCTATCTTGCAAGTTAAAATTTTGATTGATATTTCTCCACACTGTGAAGAAAAATTGTCTCCTCGTTTGTAATTTATCTCAATATTCCTTTACTCCATACAAATTTCTGAAATTTTGATTTTTCCATTTAACCGTTTATAACAGCTGTGGTCCCCTCATTGATTAATAAAAGTAAAATATTTTACACATGTGTATTATTCTATCTCTATAAGAGTTACGACTTTACCTTTTTCTTCAAATTATCTTTTGCCACTTATCATAGTAAAATTATGTACTGTCAATAAAATGATAAAATAATATCAACACAATAACAAAATTAAACATTGAATTTCAAAATTTAGATATGAAGTTCATAAAAGGACAAAATAATAATTATAAAATAATAAGTTAAAAAATAATAAATAAATAAAAAGCTGATTTTTTTGAAAAAGACAAACCAAACAGCCAATATAATAAAAATAAAGATTGGAGTACATTGGGAAGAAAGTACAAATATACAAAAAACAAAATTGCAAGGAAGAAACAGCAATTGAAACAGAAAAATTTATAAGCAAAGGATTGTCTTGCATAAAATATGTTAATACATTGGAAACATTGATAAACGGATAAATTTATAGCAAAAGCATAAGGATGTCTGATTGTCTTTAAAATTATTTTCACAAAAATATCAACAGAATTCTTTTCTGAAGATAGAGAAGTTGATTATGAAGTTAATCTGAAAAAAAAAGTAAAGATAGCAAGAAAGCTGCGAAGGTTAATACTGAATGTCAACTTGATTGGATTGAAGGATGCAAAGTATTGATCCTGGGTGTGTCTCTGAGGTTGATGCCAGAGGAGATTAACATTTGAGTCAGCGGGCTGGAAATGGCAGACCCACCCTTAATCTGGGTGGGCACCATCTAATCAGGTGCCAGCACAGCTAGAATATAAAGCAGACAGAAAAATGTGAAAAGATGAGACTGGCCTAGCCCCACAACCTACATCTTTCTCTCGTGCTGGATGCTTTCTCCCTTGAACATCGGACTCCTCGTTCTTCAGTCTGGGGACTCAGACTGGCTCTCCTTGCTCCTCAGCTTGCAGATGTCCTATTGTGGGACCTTGTGATCATGTGAGTTAAGAATTAGTTAATGGGTGCAGCACACCAACATGGCACATGTATACATATGTAACAAACCTGCATGTTGTGCACATGTACCCTAAAACTTAAAGTATGATAATAATAAAATTTAAAAAAAAGAGTTGATTAGTTCCATCCTTCTAAAGAACGCTGACTAATACAAAAGCCCCAGAAAAAAAGAGTAATGTATGGAGGATAGTCCTGTTGAATATTCAAATATTTTTCAGGTAAGCCTTATGCATTATTGTAATATAAAGCTTTTTAAATTAAAACAGGCTGACTAGTGAAAAGTATATAGAAAGTTTATAATTAAACACAAATACATTTCAAATTTGATATATGATAAGGTGGTGATATATTCAAAGTGAGTTGAAGAATGTCTCCCAAAAATTTATGTTCGCCTGCAACCTCAGGATAGGATAACATTTGGAAATAGGATTTTTGCAGATGTAATTAGATAAAAATCAGTTGAAATTAGTCATCCTGGATTCAGATGGTCCTTATAAGGGGAGGAAAGGGGCACCATGGTTCATGCCTGTAATCCCAGGACTTTGAGCAGCCGAGGTGAGAGGATAGCTTCAGACGAGGATCTCGAGACCAGTCTTGCCAACATACCGAGACCCTATTCCTACAAAAAAAAACTTTAAAAATTATCTGAGAGTGTTTGCTCATGCCTGTAGTCCTAGCTACTTGGGAGGCTGAAGGAGAAGGATTGCTTGAGCCCAGGAGCTCAAGGCTGCAGTCAGCTATGATTGCACCACTGTATTCGAGCCTTGGCAACAAAGTGAGACCTTGTCTCTGGGGGAAATAAAAAGGAAAGGACACAAAGAAGGCCATGTGAAATAGAGGCAGAAATTGGAGTTATGCTGCCATAAGCCAAAGAGTGTCAAGTGCCACCAGGAGCTGGAAGAGTCAAGGAAGAATTCTCCCTCAGCCTGCAGAGGGAGGATAGCCCTGCGGACACTGTGATTTTGGACTTCTGGCCTCCAGAACTGAAATCCAAAGTAAAGCTCTGTAAAAGATTTGCCTTTATCTCTAAGTAAATAGAAAACTTCTGGAAGATTTTAAGAATTATGATATTAGATTTGTATTTTTAAAAAGCACATTCTAACTGTAGAAAGAAGATGAACTGAAAGGTAGAACTGTTAGGAAGAAAGATAGTGTCAGAAGTCCAGGAAAGAGCAAATAGTAGCTTGTATTAGGATGGTAGTAGAAGAGACAGAGAAAAATGTTCAGATGCAGAAGATATTTAGGAGGTAAACCACAGAAGACTCAGTAATGAATTTTTGTATAAAATATTAAGTGTAAGAGACAAATGCAAAATTGTGGATTTATTATGATAAACCAAACCTGAAAGAAACACAGGGTAGAAATATATAAATTATAGATAACAATCTCATTTTTTTAACTTTCCAAGATGATAATGTGGCTATATTATGCTGCTTCTTTTTAAATAAAAATAATATTTTAGTTTAACTGCCACAGAATTACAGTGTTAGGGTCCTTCCTCAAGGATACATGAAATGTGTATATGTTTTGATAAAATTTTGTGTGAAATTAATACGATCAAGAGAGGCCTGGCAGTAGGAATTATCTCTGACATTTAAATATGTCACAGAGAGTCTACAGTAAAAGGGGTATTCCAGCACAAAAAGATCCATATAGAAGCTGAAATTATTGTTAGCAAGACTTCTGCAGTTAATTTTCTTGAGGAAGGTTCTTTTATATACAGATAGGAAATTACTTCCTCTTTTACTTAAGACAAGTTTTTTAAACCCTGTGAGGCTTGAACTCATTCATCCCCTATAAAACAAGGTTCCTAACAGTACTTTCCACTTAAAAATACTATAAGGACAAAATGAGATAAAGCAGGTAGAGTATTTTGAACCGGTCTGGTATGCTAAGTGTTCAGACAGGTAGTAGTAGAGGTAGTGGTTGGCTTAGTTGTAATTATTATTATTATTATTATTTATTATTACTTCTACCAACATTTAGAATGTTTAATGTCTGGTATACGGTTAAAATGAAATTGTTTCCACCTTATTTTGTCGATTATAAGTTGAGAAAGATTATTCCTGTTTTGTGAGAGAGTAATCGGTTTACTGGGTATATATTAAGAAATATATACTTGGCCGTCATCCCACGTTCCTGGTACAGAGTTCCTAAAAACTTTGGAATTTCCTGAGTGATAAGGGATAAGGGTGAAAGGAGTATGTTTTGTTACATTACTTAGGTTTTGAACAGAGCTCCTAAAACCACTGGAATTTCCTAAGTAATAAAAATATATTTCGTCCTATATACATCCATTTTATCACACCTACCTTTATGCTAATGAGGTGACTTGGACTGGGCCCCTAGATAGTCTCAGGATTAGGTTGGTCACCAGAATGACCAAATAATTAAGTGGTTGAAAGTTTTAGCTCCATCCAGGCACCTCCAAGAAGGGGTGGCGGGGCTAGGGCTGGAGATTAAAGCTCTACAAAAAAATTCTTGAACAATGAGTTTTGATGAGCTTCTGGGTTTGTCTTCCACAGGCTGGGAGGGTGGTGCACCCCAACATCACAAGGACAGGAGCTCCTGCACTCAGAACTCTTTCAGATCCTGCCCTATGTAGCTCTTCATCTGGCTGTTCATCTGTATCCTTTATAACAGCCTTTATAATAAACCAGTAAACATAAGTAAAATGTGTCCCTGAGTTTTGTAGACATTTGAATAACTTAGTGTAAACTTATATAGTTTAGTATAAGTCAGCAATTTAGTGTAAGCCAGCAAGAACTGATTGTCTAAGCAAAATGAGAAGCACTTGGTACAAAGTAGAATCTTCTGCTATAATTTTATCTGATTTTTCTTGAATGAGATTTTTTTTTCACCTATAAGGGAAATTTGAGAAACACATAAATTTAAAAAGTTAGATCTTTGTGAAGTTTTGTCAAAGTTACCTAAAAAGCCCTGAAATGTCAAAAGTAAAAGAGACAGATGGAATGACTGAATTGACAGAATTGATTGATCAATGTGATCCACAAGCAATATTAAGGCACCTATTGTAATCACCTGATGGGTTCATCTTGCCCACTGCCCAGAAAAAGCCAATGCACTAAGAACAGCAAGGGTTTTTGTTTTTGTTTTTGCAGAAAAGAAAGAGTTTAACACAGGGCTAGCCAAGTGAAAGCAGAATTTATTACTCAAATCAGTCTCTCTGAAGGTTCAGAGGTTAGGGTTTTTCAAGAATAGTTTGGTGAGCAGGGGGCTAGGGAAGAAGTGCTGCTGATCAGTTGAGGATGAAATCATAAGGGTGTAGAAAATCGTCCTCCTGCACTGAGTCAGTCTCTGGGTGTAGATCAGGAGCCCCCTTGAGTCATGAATCACTGGTCTGGGTGGAGTCAATTGGTTGCCAGAATGTTAAAGTCTTAAAAACATCTCAAAGACCAATCTTAGGTTCTATAATAGTGACGTTATCTATAGGAGTAATCAGAGAAGTCCCAAATCTTGTGACCTCTAGCTTCATGACTCCTGAGCAATAAGAAATTTTAGGAAAACAAGCTAGGGAACAATGGCTGAGTATCAACAGAATTCAGGCCCTTCACATAATCCTAACCCTGTGGCCTTTCATTAGTTTTACAAAGGTGATTTCAGACCCCAAGCAAGGAGGGGATCAGTTTTAGGGAGAGATTATTATCATCCTTGCTTCAAAGTTAAACCATAAACTAAATTCCTCCCATTGTTAGCTTGGCCTATGCCCAGGAATGAGTGAGGACAGCCAGCCTGTGAGGCTAGAAGCAAAATGGAGTCAGCCATGTTAGAATTGTCCTGTTTTCATAATCTTCGCAAATGTAGTTTTATTTTTAGATGAGTCCTATTTTAAGTTGTATTCGTGAAATACTTGTAATATAATTAAAGGTGTACTTTTTTTTTTTTTTTTTTTGAGATGGAGTCTCATTCTGTTGCCTAGGCTGGAGTGCAGTGGTACAATCTTGGCTTACTGCAACCTCCACCTCCTGGATTCAAGTGATTCTCCTGCCTCAGCCTCCCAAGTAGCTGGGATTACAGGAATGCACCACCATGCCCCACAATTTTTGTATTTTTAGTAGAGACGAGGTTTCACCATGTTGGCTAGGCTGGTCTCAAACTCCTGACCTTAAGTTGTCCGCCCACCTGGGCCTCCCAAAATGCTGGGATTTCAGGCATAACCCACCGTGCCCGGCCTAAAAGTGCACTTTTTGAACCAATGATGCCTTCACCTCCTGATTGGCCATCCCAAAATGGACATATTACAAGTTTTTTCTCAAAAGTGTATTTTTGGACCCAAGTACAGTTGTTTCTTGGTACCTAGGGTATTGGTTCCAGGATCCCCCACAGATACCAAAGCCCAAGGATGCTCAAGTCCCTGGTATAAAATGGCATAGTATTTGTCTACAACCTACACACATCTTGCTATATACTTGAAATCATCTCTTGATTAATTATAATACTTAGTGCAGTTGACCCTTGAACAATGTGGGTATTGGGGCACAGACCCCCACACAGTCAAATATTCATGTGTAACTTTTGACTCCCCCAAAACTTAACTATGTAATAGCCTACTGTCGACCAGAAGCCTTACCAATAACATAGTCAATTAACACATATTTGGTATGTTATATGTATTATATACTGTATTCTCATAATAAAATAACCTAGAGAAAGAAAATGTTATTAAGAAAATCATTAAGAAAGATAAAATATATTTATGATGCATTAGGTGGAAGTGGCTCATCATAAAGGTCTTTATCATCTTTACGTTGAGTATGCTGAGCAGGAAGAGGAAAAGGAGAAGTTGGTCTTGCTCTCTCAGGGGTGGCAGAAGCAGAAGAAAATCTTCATACAGGTGAAACCACAGTTCAAACCCATATTGTTCAACGGTCAACTGTACATTGTAAAGGCTATGTAAATAGTTGTTATACTATATTGTTTGGAGAATAATGTCAAGAAGTCTGTGAAGAAAAAAATCTGTTTGGTTCAGACGCAATTGTCCTTTTTAATTTTTTTTTTTTTTTAATCCACGGTTGTTGAATTCACAAATCTGGAACCCACTGATACAGAGAGCCCACTGTTAGTACATTCGCGCACCATATCATGGTGTTTTAGTCATTGATGGACTGCGTATACAATGGTGGTCCCATAAAATTATAACATGATTTTTTTTTACTTTACCTTTTCCATACTTAAATATGTTTAAATGCACAAATATTTACAATCGTGTTACAATTGCCTGCAATATTCAGTACAATAACATGCTCTATAGGTTTGTAGCCCAGGAGCAATAGGCTATGCCATACAGCCTAGATGTGCAGCAGGCTCTACCATTCAGGTTTGTGTAAGTACATCCTCTGATGTTTGCATGACAAAATTGCCTAACACCACATTTCTGAGAAGGTATCCCCATCATTAAGCTCTGAATGACTGTAATTAGTATCAGAGTTCTACGTTTGTTTTTCAGCTCCATCTCCTACTAAGTGTAGGTGCAGAAGCACATTACTTAATTAATCTGACCTTTAGTATCCTCATGTTGAGAAATGAGGAGTGAAACACCTTATGCATGTCATGGTTGTAAGATTTAAATAATATAATATTAAAATCTCTTAGCATATGGCCTAGTCTATAGTATGAGATTGCAAAATGCTAGTTTTCCTTTCTCTTTTCATAAATATGATCTGTGACTATTTGGGGAACATTTTGGCTGAGGAATCTGAAATAATACTCAGGTGTGCAGTGATATAAAACGTAAAATTTCAGATTCTTTTGGTCTTAAATTTTTATTCCTAATGGGTAAAAGAGTAAGAACTAAATGATTTTTTTTTAGTTTAAATTCTCAATTATACTTTTAAAATTATATGTCTAAAATTACATGAATTAGGTTATACTTGGTGTGTTGACATGATTTAGACATATGGAAAGCAGACTTCATTGGCATCTGATAGATACATTAAATACCAAATTAAAAATACAATATTGCATTTCCAAGTTCAGTGTTTTGTTACTCTTTCCCTTTATTCTTTATTCAGTCAAACTGTTTAACTGGAAACCTCTTCCAATGTCTGTTCAGAGTAAACAACATTTTGAAAGGAGTGTTTTAATGAGACCATTTGTGTTCCCAGTGCCTTGCAGAGTGACAGATTATGGAAAGCATAGATAAATATTGTTAGAATTGAGGGTATAAAAGTGGAAACATTTTATAAGCTTACCAGTGTCTCACATTGACTATAAACTAGTAAATTTTTCAAATGTGCACCAAATGTAAAACTTTAAAAGAAGCTAAGTCACAACACCCATTATTTTTTTCAATAAAAAATTTTGGAAATGTCATCCTACAATGTTAATTTTTGAGCATCTCTTGCTTCTATGCTTCTTGAAAGGTACTGAAGCAAGCAGAGAAAGTATTTTCCTCAGTTTTATAATACTAACAATGCTAGTTCATTTCAAAGAGTTTTTACATTTTTATCAAGGTTTTCTGTGTCTACCTATATACCTCTAGTTAGAAACTGATGTGCCATAATCTCTTGTAAATGAAAAGTTGTTTAACCTACAAATTTATTTTGCCTTATAATTTTCTGGTGCCTGAAAAAGTACTGATAAATGACACCCTCCCATTGTTCCAAATACCAAGTGTAAAATGCCGTCTGTCTGTGTCTGCATTTAGTATTGATTCTTCAAATGGAAAAGAATCTGTAATAAACACAGGGGAATCAAGACAGGCTTTTAGACTCAGCAGTAGATTCAAATAGAGAGGGCAGGCCAGAAGTGGTTTTAAACTGCCTGGAAATTACTGTGCAGTGAAAAGGGCTTGGAATCCACAATTTGTTAGTAAACCCAATTCTTATCATAAAAGCTGTCAAAGCACTGACACAAGATACTAGATTTTTTTTCCTTTTTTTGTGAACATTTTATAATCTAGTAGTGCAGGGTCAGATGGCACAACAGTTCAAATCATTTCATGAAGCATTGGCCTCAGATCATCAGTAATTCTTTTCTTCATTTTCGTACCCACAGATCTGACGTACAAATACTTTCAACTTGGAAAAACTCCACTTCATGCAGAGTGTGGACAAAGGGGCTGGTCTTGCACTATCGCTGTGGCAAAGGAGTCTTTTTTTTAAAAAAAAAAAGGGCAGGTGGGAAGGTTAGACTAATTGAATCATTTAGTGGCTGCGACATTTTTAAGTGCTTTCTTGCTTGAGGGGCCAAAATCTATATTAACATTTCTGCCCTTAGCAAGGCAGCCTCTCAAGTCAAGATGAGTTGCCTACAAGTCCAAGGAGTCAATAGAGCTCACTAAATAAATAAAAAGCAGGTGTGAATTGTGGCAGTCTAATGGATTGTGCTGGATCAAAACTAAAAGAAAAAAAAAAAAAGCAAGGGGACCTAGTATCCATGGTCAACAGTAAAAGGTTTCTCCAATGCCTCCTTCAATCTTGAGTTATTCAGTCAATCACCTCTCTCCCATTTGAATTAGAATGCCAATGTGGTGCATTCAAACAAGTCAACTGATCTGAGAATGTTAATTTGTCAAGGGCATTCTGAAAAGAAAAATGAACAGTATATTGCACTACTCAAACTCTTTCCCCTGTATCTCTATAGCACCCCACGTGCCTGCCACACACGCAGCCATAAGCACCTTATGAATGGAACTAAAGGGTTTAAGGAACAAATAAGATAGATAGTACTCCAAAACTTGTCATGCAGAATCTTTATGTTCCTTCTTGAGACTCTCTGGTATTGGCAAGTTTTATACTATTAATTTCCTCAAAAACAATGTTTTCTAAGTGTAGTAAATGATTTGTTTTTATTTTCTACATTGCTCGTTTCCAATCCAGTTCTTTCATAGTTATTCCTCTCCTTTCTCTTCTTTACCACGTTGATTGGAAGACATCAATTCAAGTTAATTGCTTGCAGTAATTAACAATACTTTTAAAAATCTTATCAAATTATTTGACAATTCATATAAGAAAATAGAAAGATGAAGCTATAAAGTAAGCCTAGAAAAAAATAATAGCTATAATTTATTGTGTTCACACTGCGTGCCATTTTAAGTCTCGAATTAAGCACCTTACAAATATTAAAGAATAATAGGCATTGAATCAGACATTAAGACAAATTTTAAGGCTACAATAGTTCTAACGTCCTGTCAGAGTCAGTCACATATACATACAAATTTGATTTTGATTTAGGTGACATGATGAAGCCCCAATGCCTATATGTTTCTCCTCCCAAAAGACATTGAAATTTAACTAACCAAGATCCACTCTTTGGAATCTGTTTTTCTTTTCTTTTTTATTTATTTATTTTTTTTTCTTTTTTTTATTTTATTATTATTATACTTTAAGTTTTAGGGTACATGTGCACAATGTGCAGGTTAGTTACATATGTATACCTGTGCCATGCTGGTGTGCTGCACCCATTAACTTGTCATTTAGTATTAGGTATATCTCCTAAAGCTATCCCTCCCCCCTCCCCCCACCCCACAACAGTCCCCAGAGTGTGATGTTCCCCTTCCTGTGTCCATGTGTTCTCACTGTTCAGTTCCCACCTATGAGTGAGAATATGCGGTGTTTGGTTTTTTGTTCTTGTGATAGTTTACTGAGAATGATGATTTCCAATTTCATCCATGTCCCTACAAAGGACATGAACTCATCATTTTTTATGGCTGCATAGTATTCCATGGTGTATATGTGCCACATTTTCTTAATCCAGTCTATCATTGTTGGACATTTGGGTTGGTTCCAAGTCTTTGCTATTGTGAATAGTGCCATGATAAACATAACGTGTGCATGTGTCTTTATAGCAGCATAATTTATAGTCCTTTGGGTATATACCCAGTAATGGGATGGCTGGGTCAAATGGTATTTCTAGTTCTAGATCCCTGAGGAATCACCACACTGACTTCCACAGTGGTTGAACTAGTTTACAGTCCCACCAACAGTGTAAAAGTGTTCCTATTTCTCCACATCCTCTCCAGCACCTGTTATTTCCTGACTTTTTAATGATTGTCATTCTAACTGGTGTGAGATGGTATCTCATTGTGGTTTTGATTTACATTTCTCTGATGGCCAGTGATGGTGAGCATTTTTTCATGTGTTTTTTGGCTGCATAAATGTCTTCTTTTGAGAAGTGTCTGTTCATGTCCTTTGACCAGTTTTTGATGGGGTTGTTTGTTTTTTTCTTGTAAATTTGTTTGTGTTCATTGTAGATTCTGGATATTAGCCCTTTGTCAGATGAGTAGGTTGCAAAAATTTTCTCCCATTTTGTAGGTTGCCTGTTCACTCTGATGGTAGTTTCTTTTGCTGTGCAGAAGCTCTTGAGTTTAATTAGATCCCATTTGTCAATTATGGCTTTTGTTGCCATTGCTTTTGGTGTTTTAGACATGAAGTCCTTGCCCATGCCTATGTCCTGAATGGTAATGCCTAGGTTTTCTTCTAGGGTTTTTATGGTTTTAGGTCTAACACTTAAGTCTTTAATCCATCTTGAATTAATTTCTGTATAAGGTGTAAGAAAGGGATCCAATTTCAGCTTTCTACATATGGCTAGCCAGTTTTCCCAGCACCATTTGTTAAATAGGGAATCCTTTCCCCATTTCTTGTTTTTCTCTGGTTTGCCAATGATCAGATAGTTGTAGATATGCGGTGTTATTTCTGAGGGCTCTGTTCTGTTCCATTGATCTATATCTCTGTTTTGGTACCAGTACCATGCTGTTTTGGTTACTGTAGCCTTGTAGTATAGTTTGAAGTCAGGTAGCGTGATGCTTCCAGCTTTGTTCTTTTGTCTTAGGATTGACTTGGCGATGCGGGCTCTTTTTTGGTTCCATATGAACTTTAAAGTAGTTTTTTCCAATTCTGTTAAGAAAGTCATTGGCAGCTTGATGGGGATGGCATTTAATCTATAAATTACCTTGGGCAGTATGGCCATTTTCACGATATTGATTCTTCCTACCCATGAGCATGGAATGTTCTTCCATTTCTTTGTATCCTCTTTTATTTCATTGAGCAGTGGTTTGTAGTTCTCCTTGAAGAGGTCCTTCATGTCCCTTGTAAGTCGGATTCCAAGGTATTTTATTCTCTTTGAAGTAATTGTGAATGGGAGTTCACTCATGATTTGGCTCTCTGTTTGTCTGTTATTGGTGTATAAGAATGCTTGTGATTTTTGTACATTGATTGATATTGTATCCTGAGACTTTGCTGAAGTTGCTTATCAGCTTAAGGAGATTTTGGGCTGAGACAATGGGGTTTTCTAGATATACAATCATGTCATCTGCAAACAGGGACAATTTGACTTCCTCTTTTCCTAATTTAATACCCTTTATTTCTTTCTCCTGCCTAATTGCCCTGGCCAAAACTTCCAACACTATGTTGAATAGGAGTGGTGAGAGAGGGCATCCTGTCTTGTGCCAGTTTTCAAAGGGAATGCTTCCAGTTTTTGCCCATTCAGTATGATATTGGCTGTGGGTTTGTCATAGATAGCTCTTATTATTTTGAGATACGTCCCATCAATACCTAATTTATTGAGAGTTTTTAGCATGAAGGGTTGTTGAATTTTGTCAAAGGCCTTTTCTGCATCTATTGTGATAATCACGTGGTTTTTGTCTTTGGTTCTGTTTATATGCTGGATTACATTTACTGATTTGCATATATTGAACCAGACTTGCATCCCAGGGATGAAGCCCACTTGATCATGGTGGATAAGTTTTTGATGTGTTATTATTTCTTAGAAATATTTTAAGCAGAACAACTCTCCTAAATTTTATTTCCCTCAGGTACTGTCAATCTCTTTGTCTTTGCCAATTCCCCCTACTTTTCTCTCTCCTGATTCTCTTTCTACTTTTTTTTTGTCTATTATAAGTTAATAATCAGCAAAGAATGTTGTGATCCCTGGATTAAAACATATCGCAGCCTGCTGTGCCACATTCAAATACTTTTCCCAGAATGGAAAAACTCAGATCTAGAAGGAGAAATTTCACCTTTTGCACACAATTGCTAACTGTTTTAAACGGATGAAATTGATTGGAAGTATAGCTCCATGAATTAGTTGGAAGAAGGCATTACAATATCTGTTTAAGAAATTGGCACACAGATCTAAAAGAAAAGAGAAATTTAAATGTGCTAATAGAACAGTTCTGTGCCTGAAGGGGAGGAAGAGAAGTAAGTTGAGCTGAAGAATTTGAATTTTAGAAGAATTTATAGTAAGTCTCTGATTTTGTATTCTTATGCTTTGTTCTAGACAAATTGCTTACCAATATGGAAATCACCATAAAGTAATCAACTGCAACACATTCTTTGACATGAGAAGGGAATTAGAAGAAAGGATTGCTTCAAAGAGTTTGGTAGCACACTTTATATAAACCCCCCTTTTTTTAATTAACAAAATGGTTTGGAGTCATTTTTCTACCACTAGGTAATTATGTGAGTGTGATCTATAATCTTCCTCCTGAAAATTGTTTATGTCCTAATTCCCAGGTCAAATTGATAGACACCTCTCAAACCACGTGATATGGTTTGGATTTGTGTCCCTGACCTCTTAAGTCAAATTGTAATCCCCAATGTTGGAGGAGGGACCTGGTGGGAGGTGATTATATCATGGGGGCGGATTTCCCCCTTGCTAATCTCATGATAGTGATGAGCGAGTTCTCATGAGATCTTGTTGCTTAAAAGCGTGTAGCACCTCCCACTTCTATCTCTTTCTCCTGCTCTACTTATGTAAGATGTGCCTGCTTTGCCTTTCGCCATGATTGTAAGTTTCCTGAGACCTCCCCAGCCATTCTTCCTGTACAGCCTGCATAACCATGAGCCAATTAAACCTCTTTTCTTTATAAATTACTGTTTCAGGTATTTCTTTATAGCAGTTTAAGAATGAACTAATACACCACCCAATCAGCAAGGCTTTAAATAAGAATAATGCTTCCACACCAGGACTTCCCTATTCTCAAGAGGACTTTGAGGTTGACTCTGAGGCTTCTAATTAGATAACAGGTATAGTTTTATTTTCCTGTTTTTTGTTTTGTTTTGTTTGTTTGTTTGTCTTTTGAGACTGGGTCTCTGTCACCCAAGCTGGAGTGCAGTGGCTCAATCACAACTCACTGCAGCCTTGACTTCCCAGGCTCCAGTGATCTTCCCACCTCAGCCTCCCAAGTGGCTGGGACCATAGGTGCACACCATCATGTCTGGCTAATTTTTGTATTTTTGTTAGAGACAGGGTTTCACCATGTTGGCCAGGATGGTCTCAAACTCCTGAGCTCAAGTGATCCACCTGTCTTGGCTTCCCAAAGTGCTGGGATTACAGGCGTGAGCCACTGTGCCTGGCCACCAGATATAGTATTGTGGTGTTTCAGCAATGACCACAGGCTTTGAGAATCTGTAGCACTTAGTCCCATTTTTTTTTTCCATCTAAATTTTCTGACCTGGTTTCTGTTT
This sequence comes from Homo sapiens, assembly GCF_000001405.40. Classification (NCBI taxonomy): domain Eukaryota; kingdom Metazoa; phylum Chordata; class Mammalia; order Primates; family Hominidae; genus Homo; species Homo sapiens. The sequence continues at coordinate 102,620,463 of NC_000003.12, read as the reverse complement.
TGTTCCATGTTTTGTCTGGGCAAACCCTTTCCGAGGAGACCAGCATCCTGTTGATGCACATTGCCTTCCTGTGTGTACTTCTATCACAAGTTTCAAAAGCCATGCCCACTCCCACAAAGCCGAGTTCCTTCTCTCCATCTGCTCCATGTTGTGAGACAGACACATAGATTCCTGGTAACGTGTTACATAGATGAACCCAGAATCAGGAAAAGACCACTCAGGGACAGAGAGTTTCCATGAGGAGAACCCAAAAGACATCAGTTGAATAGGCATATAAGGGGTGATGACTTGAGAATAAGTCAAAATACATGGAGTAGAGGCAAAAAAAAAAATAAGTTCTGGTTTTATTCTGGTTTTAGAAATAATTAGAAAGAATTCTAAATGGATTCAGGATTAAAGGTATCAGACATATATGCCAAAGGGCCCAAATGTCAAGATTACGAGAAGTGTGGAATGGGAAAGAAAATGAAAAGTTGTGCAGAGAATTAAAGTTGGGCACAATAAGTCGCTTCTGCAAAATGACATTTGGCTAAACCATTAAGCAGCTTCATATTTTGTTTTGCCTATATAGGCTCGAGAAAGGAAACTTCCCCTTTGCCTTCTGAAGGTTCACTGAAAATGAACTGACAAAATGCAGATTAATAGGAGGAAAAGGCATATAAAATTTTTTAAATGCCGGGTATGGTGGTTCATGCTGTAATCCCAGCACTTTGGGAGGCCAAGGCCAGGAGGATTGCTTGAACCCAGGCATGAAGGCTGCAGTGAGCCATGATCATGCCACTGCACTTCAGCCTGGGAAACAGAGTGGGACTCTGTCTCAAAAAACATAAATAAAATGTTAAAAAATTACTTAACATGCATAAACATGGGGAAGTCACAGCAGAATGATTACCCAATAACCCAGTGAGGTCTAGATGCTTATATATTTTTTTCATAGAGGAAGCTGAGATGGGAAGTATAGGAGTACATGATTTTCAAGGGAAATAAATGAGCCCAGAAACCAATGGCCTGCAACAAACTTCCTCTGAGTTCTGGGAGAGATGGCAGGACATCATGGTGAACAAAGATGGTCTTATTACGCAGATAAAGCTTTCCAGGTATTCTCTTTGAGCTGCCACAGAAAAATAGATAAAAAGTCTGCCTGGATATGGGGAAGACTCTCAGCCTCTTCTCTACTCTGGTAGTTAATATTTCCTGGTTATTGAATGAGATTCCCAGGGAAGAGGATACTAAAACAATTGCATTTCTTTTGGAAAGAAGCTTTCTTAGTCAGATAAGGAAATCCCAGAGAGACTGTCTCCCTTCTTGTGCTTCAGAAAGAAAGAGAATCAGAGAGACAGAAGAAAGATCAGAGAGAGACCTTGCTTGTGAGGCTTATTTCTGAGGGCTTTCAGTTTTCTTTAATTTAAAGCAACCGGCTTGCCAAAGCATCATATTTAGTAGTATCACTTTCTGATCCCCAACACAAATGGCCAAGTGAGTAATAAGTCTTTGAATTATCTGAGATCGTTATATTAGGTGTGGTATGGTTTTATATCCCACACCTTTAAATGAAAGGAATAGAAAGACCAGCTCAACAAGGAACCAACTTGATGCAGGTCAGTTTCCCTAAAGAAGACTAAGAGGAGATTAGCCTGCAGGATGTTTAATGAGGAATGTTTTCAAGGTCAATATCTACGTGAAACATAAGAAAGCCGGACTTGGCAGAGGGAGATGTTGGGCCCTTATTCAATCACAGAAAGAGATCAGCTAACCCCATAAGAGCTCTAAAGCTTCTAAAGCCCTTGAAATATGTCCTGAGTTGAAGCAAAGGGGCTGGGTTTGATCCCTGAATAGCTTCAGATTGCCCCTGAGAAGGAGTATGACCTCCAGCAAGGTGGGCCTATTCAGCTTGAAACCACTTTTGCAACATTATGACCATAAGATAAATCTGGCACAGTTGACTCCATCTTGCATCTGACCTTCAAGCTGTCCATGGTCATTCCTGGGCATAGGTCAAGCTAACTCTGGAAGGAATTTAGTTTATAGTTTAACTTGAAAGCAGAGATGATAGTAGTTTCTCCCTAAAACTGATCTCCCTCCTCGCTCAGGGACTGAAAACTGTCTTTGTAAGATTAATGAAAAGCCACAAGAATAGAACTATGACAGGGGCCTGAACTCTGCTAAAATGTAGGTGCGGGTTCTATAATGCCTTACTGCTCAGGAGTCATGTGGCCAGAGGTTACAAGATTTGTGACCTCAATTGCTCCTATAGATAACATCACTATTGTAGAACCTGAGATTGGTTTTTTTTAAGAGATTTTTCAGACTGACCCCAGCTAGACTCGTGACTCATGACTCAACTCATCCTGTGGCCCCACACATAGGTGAACTCAGTGCAAGAGGACAGTTTTCTACACCCCTATGATTTCATCCTCAACCAAATCAGCAGCACCCATTTCCTAGCCCCCTGCCCACCAAATTGTCCATATAAAACCTAGCCTCTGAGCCTTTGGGAAAACTGATTTGTCTTGAGGAAGTCTTCTCCCATGTGGACTGACCTCACATTAATTAAACTCTTTCTCTACTGCAATGCTGTGGTCTCAGTGGATTGTTTTTGTCTGTGCAGAGGGAAAGAAGAAACTTTCGGGTGATTACAATCTAAGACAAATTCCTAGAAATATTAGACAGCTGAGAACTATTTGTACTCCCAGTAGCCGGAATAAGAATTTCAGTGCTGTAGGAAGATCTCAGTTACGAGCACAGTTTTCACTATAGAAAGATAACCAAAAGATATTATTTTATGTGAGTTTGGATGCATTTTGAGTTACAGATTTATTCCCCTCTCTATTTTATCTCTGTGCCAGCAAGGGAGGTTCTGGCAGTGTAGAAAGCAGAAGTAGCCAACATAAATTTCGCACTTAAGACTTCCAAAAATTTTATATGCAATGTGGAGACTAGGGTTCCAGGGTAGCAAGGGATAAGATTGTGGATCCTAGATCAGTAGGGAGCTGGCCCGGCTGCCTGGCAGCACTCCAGAAAGGTAGCAAGATAAAAATCTGTGTGACAGTTTTAAGAAGAGAGAACATGGACATTGGAGAACCCAGCTTCATGAAATATCTCTGTGTCCTAAGAGGAGCTGGCTCTAAGTGAGCTATGGAGATGAGCAAAAGGGATGTATTGGCGTTCATCCCTGTGACCATTACCAGAGGATACCTACTCCTTCCCCATTAAGAATCAGTGGCACTAAATAAAACCCTGTCAGCTCTGGGGATGGAGGGAAGCCCAAAGCATAACAAAGTTTGAATATCTTACCAGCCTACAGGATAAGGGCTTAGAATCAAAGTCATGTGTAGTCATAAAAAAAATGAAAGAATGCAATATTTCTTGCAAACCTAAGTTTCTGGCCTGAGGTCTATACTGGGTTGAAACCTATGCTGAACTAGCTCAGGAATAGAAAATTATGACTGCAACTTCTATACTGGTAAAACCAGTATAGAATATTCCAAAAGATTTCATGCCATACTTAAAAATTGTTGCTAGCAAGAATGAACAGAGTTTCTGTGCTGCCACAGAAAGCATTGCAGTAGAGGGACCTCCAGGGGGAGATTGATACTTCTAGAGAAACAAGAGACATAAAATGTTTTGGCAAGTCCAAAAGACTTGTGGAAGACCTAAAAATATTTACATAAGGAGAATGATAGCAGAAATCCAATTTAAGGGGCCAAGAGTTTAGAGTCACCTAAAAAGTGGAAGTAATCATACAAGGAATATGTGCCGCCAATATTTAATATTTCTTTTAACATCTTAATAAAACAGATACGAAATAAACAAAAGTTTTAAAACTAAGGAGAAAATATCCAGATACTTTTGCCAGCAACCACATGTCTTTTTTAAGGAATAGCAGAGCTTTGTTGTGAGTCTGCTATGGTCCGAATGTTAGTAACCTCCCAAAATTTGTTTTGAAACCTAACTCCCCCGACTAACCCATCAATGCAATAGTATTAAGATGTTAGTGTAAGGTTAGCTGAGAGAAAAAACGAGAGAGAGACCGAAGTTCAGGCAAGCCTCTATTTAACCTGCCGGCTGCTCCATTACAGACACAGGAAGCAGCCCTGAGCTTACAAAATGAGAGGTTTATATGGGGGAGAGAGACCCTGGGCTCATTTGTTGGTTAATTCTGCCACATATCACCTTGTGACGTTTATGGTGCCGGAGGGTGTAGGTAAAGTTTGTTAATGCTTCCCACGACGTACCCCTGTGTGGTCTGCATAGTTTGTAATTGGAGTTTGCTTTATAGCACCAAAGCCTGACAGGTAAAGTCTGCTGGCTTCACCGGGGCACCTAGATAAGGGCTTAGAAAAGTAAAAAGGTTTAAGAGAAAGGTGGGCAGCACGGAGAGGTTTGGGTGGAGTGTTGGCAGTACCAAGAAGCTTTTTAGGGCAGTTTGTCCCTAACAGTTAGGCCTCTAGGAAATGAGTAAGTGGGATTAGTGCCTTTATAAAAGATGTTGAAGGGAGCTGCCTTGCCCTTTCCACCATTTGAGAACACAGCATTCTCTTCTTCTGTCATGTAAGAGAGCAGGACCTTATCAGACATCAGACACTGAATATGCTGACGTCTTGATCTTGCACTTCCCAGCCTCCAAAACTGTGAACAATAAATACCTGTTGTTTATAGGTTACCCAATCTAAGATATTTTGTCATGGTTGTCTAAGCAGACTAAAACGGAGTCCAACAGAGAATGTGTTGGAGATTATGTTTATACAATAACTTTATCATGACTTTAGCCTGAATACATAAAGAATAAGACATTTTTCCATTTGTTTCATTTGTCTGAAATGTCTGTAGGATGGCAGACTTTAGCATTAGGATACATATAATTTTCTGAAGGAATGTTAAATTCTGTCAACTCCAAGTCTGATCAATGTGGCTATATATATTTTAGGTGGGATTTCGCTATAGTGGCCAGGCTGTTCTTGGACCCCTGGGGTCAAGTGATCTTTTTACCTCAATCTCCCAAGTAGCTCATATTACAGGCATGTGCTACTATGCCTAAAGTCATACTTATTTTTAAAATTTCAGATATACATTATGTATTACACCATAAGTATCCTGGAAAATCAATGATATCAGCAGGAAAGAAAACAGGGAATCTTGAAGAAAAGCTGAAATATTAAAATAGAAATGTTTTACCAATGACACTATGTTTTGAAAAATTTTAGATTTACTCTCTCAAAGAGTAGCATAAATTATTTAAACTTTTGGGTAGAATTTTGAGTTGTTACCTAAAAATTACATCAGAAGGATCAAGATTTATGTCCACATTTACATATGGCAATTTTGTTCGCAATCTGTCAGAATTGACGTTTTATGAATTTGAGATGATGTAGGAAGAGGTATCAGATCCCCCTGGCATGAATGAAAAAAAAATGCTAATAGGTTTCTAGTGGAGGTTATTAAGCAGCCGGATATAGAAATCAATAGAACTGTGCATTTATGTAAGAGAAGGTTATTGAACAGAAAATTGCAAGACTAACAGTAAGGTTCTGTTGAGAGAGGTTTGTGTTCAAGTTAGCTTTCTCTGTATTCCTCTCTTAGTCTAGCTCAGAAATAACTATAGCAATATGCAGGAAAGCAGATGGAATCTGGCACCATTTCAAAGACTGCAGATTGGATGCTATGTATTTAAACTGCATGTAATTGAGAAATTATGAATGAGTCTTTGGGATAGAAAACGTCAACCATTTCCTGTTTTGCTGCAATTGCTTTGATTTATAATGACTTTATAAATAGTAAAATAAAAGGAAATGTATGTACTAAAATATTAGAGCGGAAGAGGAAAAGATCAGTGAAGTCACAAAGTATGCCATTTTTTTAATGGAAAATGATTGACATTCAATTAAGAGACAAAAGTAATAATAAGCTCACCCTTATATAACCATAGTATCAAAATATAGAAAGCATTATAATAAGCTCAAGTCAATAGACAAAGATACAAAATGAATAATGCAGGGCAAAGTCTGTCTTTGAAAAGGGAGATAGAAATTGCCTAATTGCAATTTTCCTCATTGTTTCAAAGTCAATCTTTTTGTTCTCTGATATATCTGCAGATAGTTTATTTTGCTTCTGACTGTGAGGTAATCAACATCTTGCCCCAGGCATAGCTGGTATTCAACCTATGTTTCTCCGTGCACTCAATAGGGAAGCCAATAGCAAAAACAGGCAAGTGCTAGAATTTAACATGTTGACTAAAAACTCAAGGACTGTAGCTTGGTGGGAGTTCTGGTTTTTCTAGGCAGTAATTATACTAAACAACATAAAGCGTACTTGGTTTACATACTGTTGGAATCAATGAGCCAACCCACTTTACATTTACATATCATGTTCTCTTAAGTCTTTTATCTTAGAATTACCCCAAGCAATGACTCAAAGGCCCTTGCTGTTTAATGAAAAGAGTTGCAAATGAAACCTTACTACTGTAAAACTTACCAGAAGTTGGCATCTGTCTCAGTAAGCACTTTTGTGTCAGTTTGTCTTATAAGAATCCCTCGTTCTGAAAGACCTGAATAAGTAATGCTGTTTTCTTCTTCCTTTTCAAGTAGATGGTATCCAATATCCAGCAATGTCATCATGAAATTCTCTCACAATTCTTGGTAAATTCTAAACGTTTAAAAGATTTAGGAATTTTTCAAGCAGTCTATCCATTTTTCTCTGATTTTACAAAGCTTTGAAGAGTCTTTCAGAAGAGTCTCTTCTGTTGGGGCACATGTATGCATATGTAACAAACCTGCAGGTTGTGCACATGTACCCTAGAACGTAAAGTATAATAAAAAATAAATAAAAAAAAAAAGAATGACAGCTGTGCCAAGATCACCTAAGGCTGATGACGGCTAGCAAAGTTCTTTACTTAAATCTACCATAGCCAAATAAACAGCACAAAGCTTTCAAAAAAAAAGAAGAGTCTCTTCTGTCCAGTTACTTCAGAGATAGTTCCTATTACAGAAAACAGATAACCCCTGAGAGAATTACACAGTAGGCTCTTCTCCCAGCATCAACATAGAGTTAGTTGATATACACAATAGGTGTTTGTTTATTTATTTATTTAGGGACAGTCTCACTCTGTCACCCAGACTGGCGTGCAGTGGCATGATCATGGCCCACTGCAGCCTCAACCTCCTGGGCTTAAATGATCCTCCTGCCTCAGCAGCCCGAGTAGCAGGGACTACAGGCATGCACCACCACAACTGGTTAACTTTTTAAATAAAAAATTTGTAGAGATGGGGTATATGTTACCTAGCTATGTTACCTAGGCTGGTCTTGAACTCCTGGGCTCAAGCAATCCTCCCACCTCAGCCTCCCAAAGTGCTGAGATAACATGTGTGAGCCACCATGCCTGGCCTAAAAATAGATATTTGAATTGCATGGGGAGCATAGAGAAAACTAGTTCCCCTAACAATCCACAAATAAAAATAAATACAATTATTTGGGGGTAAAACTTGTCAGCCTTTGTCAAATAAAACAAATCCAGACTTAAAAAGGAAGACTTTATCAAAAGGATTACTCCAAGCAGGGAAGAGGCTAATGGAATAGAAGAAAAGAGAACTATTGCAATGGTAAGAATACCTTGACATAGATCTGGTTGCTCCAAAGGGTTAGGCAAAAAGGGGTTTTCTTCTACAGAGAAGAGTTAACAAACGTGGTTAGAAACAGGTGTTACAGAAGTAGGATGAAAGGATGGTGGGATTTGATAGTAGATCAAGACATATTTTACTCTGAAGCCAGCCAATTTTCCTATTTTTCATAAGCAGCTGTATGCTGGTTCAGGCTAAGGGTGGGCCAAGTTTAGGAGTCTGGTGGAAGGAGAGAATCTTAACCAAAATTTGTTTAATAAGAACTTTGTTTCCAGTAATCAGTGGGGACAACAAATTCAGCTAATCATTTAGGAGAAAAAAATGAAAATTTGGAGGGCCTATGTCTGGCCTTGTGATAGGCAAATAAGCCATCAGTGAGCCTTATCTAAGTCCTATGGGGAAGGGTAGTTATTTCCAGTAAACTATTCTCTGGAACACAAAAAGGTGGAGGTTGATGGGGTTAAGGACACACTACCATAAAACATGACTCCTTGGCATTTCAGAAAACAGCAGAATCAAGAAGGTCCCCCTGACCTTCTTCTGCCCTTCTCCCTTGATTCAGGCTATAAAAGAATTCTCCAGTTTTCCTCTAAATCAAGCCATAAAGACTTCATTCCAGAGGTACCCTCCCTATTCCTTGAGAACAGGAACATTCTAATCTCAGAAGACACAGAGATGCCAAGAAGAAATTGAGCAAATAGGCCTTGCTAAGTACCCCCCAATACAATTTGAATGTCTCCTCCAAAACTCATGTTGAAATTTAGTTGCCAATGTAATGGCTTTGGAAGGTGGGGCCTTTAAGGGGTGATGAGGTCACCCTCATGATTGGATTAGTGTCATTATCAGGGGAGCAGGTTAGTTATTGCTTGAGGGGGTTAGCTATTACATGAGTAGGCTCCTGATAAAAGAATGAGTCTAGCTCAATTCCTTCTATCTCACATGCTCACTTGCCCTTCCACCATGTTATAACACAGTACTTTGCCCTTGCCAAATGCTGGCACAATGTTCTTGTACTTCCCAGCCTCCAGAAACATGAGCCAAATAAGCTTCTTGTCTATATAAGTTATCCAATCTGTGGTATTGTGTTATACCTGCAGAAAATGGAGTAAGACATCACATTGGTACTTAGAGTGGGATTGTTGCTATATCAAATACCCGAATGGGGATGTTTACCCTATGCCTGTCTCATCATTGTATTTTGGAAATATATAACTTGTTTTGACATCACAAGCTCATAGCTGGAGGGAATTTGCGTTGGGATAAATTGTGCCTTGAGTCTCACCCATATCTATTTTAAATGAGACTCTGGACTTTGTACTTTTGAGCTGATGTTACAATGACTTAACACTTTTGGGATTATTGTCATGGAATTAATTTATTTTGTATGTGAGAAGAACATTTTGAAGAATGAGGCACAGAATGCTGCGGTTTGAATGTCCTCTCCAAAACTCATGTTGAAAGTTAATTTCCACTGTAACAGTATTGGGAAGTGAGATTTTTAAGTTGATTAGGTCATGAGGGATCTGCCCCTATGAACAGATTAATGCTGTTATCTCAGGAGTGAATTAGTTATCATTTGAGTTAATGCCTAGTAAAAAGGATGAATTTGTTTATATTTCTTTTCTTTGTCTCACATGCTTATTTGCTTCTACCATGATATAAAAAGCCCTCACCAGATGTTGGTAGCATGCTCTTTGACTTCCCATCCTCCAGAACTATAAGCCAAATAAAACTTATTTTTTTTAAATAAATTAGTCTGTGGTATTCTGCTTTAGCAGCAGAAAATTGACTAAGATACCCCCCAGTTTATTACCATTAGATCATACCCTCTCTGTTCAATTACAGTTCTGCATGACTGACCACCCATTATCAAACTTAGCATAAAAATACACAGATTCCCATTTCATGGAGTCTTCATTTCTGAAGGCTCTTGTGTCATGTAAAACTTATATTAAATAAATGTGTATGTGTTTCTCTTGTTAATCTGTCTTTAGTTAATAGAGATTTCAGCCGTGAACCTTGTGATAGGTGGAGAAAGAAAATCTTTCCCCTCTGCAGGGGATTTCTGATTTCTTTAACCTTCACTGTTTTCCAGAAGTACATGGCTCAGGTAAAATTCAACATTGTCATCTTTTATGTATAGGCATATTTTATGGATATAAGAACTGCTCATCTTAGATTCCTAGTCTCTAGTGTTGGCCTGACACATAAAAGAATTTCAGTGTTTCATGAGGTCAAGGGTAAGACTCCTTATCTTGTAAAGGCAAGGGTATGAACCTCTTGTACATACTCAACTTTATTTCTGCCTTGGTTTCATTAAAGAAAAATCCTTCAGACACTTGTTAAAGATGGTAAAGAAAACTTTATCCAAGAAGAGGACGACTGCAGTGGTGCCTTTGTTAATAGGAGAGAGATCAAGCTCAACTTTAAATACAACAAGGACAGGTGGGGATCAGTTGGTGAAAAATTAGTATGAGGTAATATAAGGCTAGGGAGATTCCAGCTCAAGGTAGGCCAGGGTGATATTGAGAGTGAGGGATAAGAAATTTGATCAGATATTGAGGCTGGGAGATTTTTTCATTGAACTGATTCAACAGGATTCATGCAAAAACTGGACTAAACACACCAAAGACAAAGACCAAGTATAGAGCCTAATCAGAAAGAGAACTTGGAGAAGACTGACTCCAGTTTAGTCAAGGATTCTTTGTCAGTCTAAAAATATTAGCAGGCAAAAATCTGACTGTAGGAAAATAAAAGAAATAAGGTGGACCCCAGCCATCGTAATAACTCTAAAATCCCTGAAGCTCAGGCAATCCTATTTTAAGCATATTTGACAAAGAACAGAAGGGGCTTTGTGATTCCTAATTAAGATCACAGCCTACCACAAAAGCTGGTTCTTCAGGAGAAGTGTGAATTGATTTTGCATGAACAAGAGCTAGTTTAAATTGACATAGGAAACCACTTCTGCAGACCCGCTGACTTCTTAATCAGAAGCACCTCCATCATCATGGCCACACTGCCTTGTTAGACAATTGAGGTCATTTGTTGTGGTTGCAGGTGTCACTTGCATTATTCTTATCTTCTAGTTTCACACTGATCTGATCTCTTCACAACATTAAAAAGACCTGAAACCCCATCTCTACTAAAAATACAAAATTAGTCAGGCATGGTGGTGCATGCCTCTAATTCCAGCTACTTGGGAGGCTGAGGCAGGAGAATCGCTTGAACCTGGGAGGCTGAGGTTGCGGTGAGCCGAGATCATGCCATTGCACTCCAGGCTGGTGACAGAGCGAGACTCAGTCTCAAACAAAACAAAACAAAACAAAACAAAACAAAAAGACCTGATTCACCTTAACAGATTTCTTCACTCCTTCCTGCTAAAATAAAGGCCTTTTGTGTTCTTCAAAAGTCTAAGGGAACTGGAGATGAAACAGTACCTGGGGAATTTAGAGAAGGAAAGTGGAGGCTCCCCGCAAAGGAACACAATTCTTAGGGTGGAGAAGAGATGCAATTGAGGTTATTTTATTCATTCAGACTTTGCTGCACATTGTCTCTTTAATGACAAAAGTTTTTAGATGACATATTTATAAATAATTTTCAAAATAATGTTGTTAAATTTAGCCTTTGACTCTATCCTATGTATTTTCCAGAGCTGATAAATAAAAGTTTCTGCAAAGTCAGAATTTATTCTTTTATGCCTCTGTCAATAATGGATTAGTCAAAACAAAAGGATTCTACGTGTGTGTGTATAGTGATTACATCATGCTGTTCCACCTCACTGCTAAAGATTATCATGCCTCTGGAAATATTTTGATTCTGAAAAGATATGGCCTGACTTCCTTAGTGCCAGAGAAAAAAAGTCCTGCTATTTTCCACTGTTTTCCTTGCTAAACCTCTCATTCTGTTCCTTCAAACTCATGTCCCAAGTGACTGAATCAAACATCAACGCTATAGTCTTAAATACCCCTAAGCAACTCCCTGAAGTGCTTGGAGGACTACTCAGACAAGGTACTGATGGAAGATTTGATTGATGATTCATGGGTGCTGTAGACAAAAGTGAAGTGGTGGCACGAAGCTAGAAAAGGAACTGCTGCTAAGACTGAGTATTCTCCCAGAAACTGTTCCCTAACACACCTGGATTACCTTTTCAAAGACATACACATACTCATACACACACAGAGACACTCTGCTTTTTAGTGAATGACAAAATGATTTTGTTGTATATAACTTTTTTTTAACCAATTAAAGAGAAAACAATTACATTAACTTCAAATCTATGGCCACGGTAATTTTTTTTTCTCCTCCATTTGGCTAAATGTTTGATAATTCCAATATCATTTCACTCGTGGATAGATCACGCTTCTGAATATGAATACTGGGCTCAGGTACACTCCTCACATTTTGTGAATCCTTCACCTAATTAATAGGAGGTGAGTCTCTTAACCTGCTGCCCAGGTCCCATGGCAGATTATTAGCACTATTGCTTTGATTGATCTTTTTAAGTGCTCCTCTTGGGAAAGATATTTGAAAGTCACATTTAAATAAGGATTCAACAATTACTGAACATTAATTCTCTTCTAGTCTCAAATGCTATTTCTGGCAAAGGTTATGGAGACAATTTTAATGGGAGAAATACACCATTATTTAGTTACTCCTGATTCCCAATACACGGCAAATGGTTTGTGCTAATTTTTTTTACTGATCTTCTCTAATAATATGGATTTTCATTCACATTTGAATTGTAGAGAATAAAGCAAAAGAGAAAAGAACTAGAACTCACGGAAGCTTATTGTATCTCTTCATTCCAAATACAGCCCTCAGTGACACGGCATCTCATTCAAAGCATTTAAATGATGCAATTTAATTTGTATCCAACAAAATTCTTCCTTTACTCTCTCATCTGTCTTGTTCTCAATTAATAGAATATAGCAAAATCAAAAGGCTTTTTCCATTTAGAATCATAAAGCTGAAAAGAACCAAATCTCATTCACTAAGAAAAAGAGACAGACTCAAACAGTGTAAATAATTTTCCCAAAGACACAAAATTTCATAGCAGCAAAACCATGACTTGAGACCAGGTCTCTGGACATCCAGTCTTCTCACCTCTGCATAATGCTGCTTAAATATAACTTGTGAATTCGCTATTTTTGAAAGTCAAGCATATATCTTTTCCTACCCTGCCTTCAGACAAAAATTTAAAATGGAGAAAATTCAGATTCCAAAAGAAGTAATTATGTAATTGCGATGCATTTGAAATTTCTAATCTATATAGTAAAACTGCTTATGGAAGGAAAATAAAGGGGAACCATGAAATCAAAAAGGGAATGAGTTTGAAACTCTCTTAAATTTTACAAAACTTTTAAATGAAGATATATATTTTAGAAAAACAACCAAAATGCAAGCTAATGGCTGAGAGAGACATTAAAAATACAAAGCAATGCTAAATGCAACTTCACAAAATTTTTCTACTGTCAGGAAGGTAAGAAACCAATAAAGAAAAAAATGAGAATATTGGTGGATGAAACAGGAAATGAAGAAGCTCCGGATGGCAAATAGCTCATCTAGTAAGAAGGCAAAGAGGAATATAATTCACATATTAAATGAACACAAAGTATCTATCATCAAACATTGATTTTGCATTTAACCATCAAAGGGGACTTCGGTCAAAAAGTAGAGATAGTTAAAGTAAACCAAAGGTGCCAGGCCACAGAAGTGAAGAAAAATGATTACAGAATGTTATTTAAGGGAAAATGAGAAAACAGTTGAAGTATGGCTAAACAACAGGCTGTTTTATCCATTTGTATGCACATGTAAATCATATTATCTTCATAGAAAGTTTACACATGTCCAGAAAAACCTCTGCTTTCTCCCTTGAGCAAGCAAATAGTCCTGTTTAAATAGCAGCATGCTTGTGGAGGTTATAGGTGGCATTAATGACATCAGGGCACAGATAGGTCTTCTAAACCACTCATCCTCTTTGGAAAAGGGCTTTGTGATATGAGAAGCCATGGATCATCTATTTACTTCCAGTCCTCAGTGAGAAGAAAACTAGCCTGCCCATCACTGAACTGGCATGCCAGCTCTTGGAGTTTCTAACACACATAGCTAAGTAGTAAGAGACAGGAACTTCCTCAGGTAAGCCCCAGTGCCTGCCATTTCAAATGCATAACATCTCCCTTAGGCTCAAAATTAGTATTAGTACTAACATTATTTATAATGTTTTCTAAAATGTATCTTTCACAACATTTTATAATTATATACGATGCTTAAATTTAAAAATTCTACCTTTGTGCCAAAAATGCATACATCTTTTTCATATACATCTAATGAATAAGACAGAAATTCACATGATAGCTTTTTCAATGGCCATCAGTAGATATCACTACAGAAAGGCACACATAACCATGGTTAAATGAAAGAAGCCAAATTTAAAGTTTTCCAGAGGCATCAGTACTAATTTCTAGGACAAATGTCAATCACATTTGAAGTTAATCAGCAAGTACCCAGCTGGTTAACAGTGGGCAATTCAAGTTTTATTTGGACTACATACCCACCTTGTGGGGAAGACAGTTAAAAGGATACTTGTTCAAAGACAAAAGCTGCCTGTTGTGGTAGAAGAAAAGGTAGGATCTACTCTAATGCTCTAGCCATATGCTGCAGAAAAAAGTTATTTTTTTGTGGCCAATATGCTGTGACTAGTTTACTCTACGTCCCCACCTTGTGATCCCTAGTGGATAGGGGTATGAGGGGTTTCCTGGAGAAGTGGGGAAGATGATTCAGCCTCCAAATATCAGCTCTAGGACAACGAGTGTATGAAGGACAGAAAGAAATGAAGTTACTCTGGAAGCTACTATTGGATGGGAGGCAGGTGGGATATCCCTGAGAGGAAGAAAATCTTACTGAGGAGGAGAGCATTCAGGTTCCTTGACCTTGATCCTGGATCCCAGATATTGTTATTGAGAAAGCAGACTTCAGCACAGTGGTTTTGTTCATCATTGACTGCATAACATAACCTTATTCAAATAGGCATGAGGCATTTATTTCTTTTATAACACTTTCATTCTCTTTTCCTCTGATGGGTTTTCATATGAAAATGTAAAGAAAAGTTATATCTTGTGTGTTTGGGGTACATAATCTTTGGTACACTCATGAGACTATACCACGCTTATGCATGTCATTGGTCATGCACATTGAGTCAGTAAGGTGTAACACTCAGGTGGTATTGTTGAAAGTCCACTCTGCAGGTTGGAGTTGGGTAGGGCTAGAGGTTAGGGGAAAGGGGGAAACACAAAGAACAAAGCAATCCTTTAGGAAGCATAATGAAGAAGCAGTAACTTCTGTGAGTAGAGTATTCTCACTTCTTCAGGAGAGCAGCTTCCACTTCTGGAGATGCAGAAGATTTAGAACTTTCAAATCAAGCAGAGCAGCACTTAAGCAGCAACTGCTGCATGAGTCAGTAGGGTGGAAAACAGGATGGGTGAGATGGCAGGCAAACACAGAAGTCCAGCAGAAATGGTGTGTAAGAAACCAGTAACCACACCTGCTAAGGTCAGGGAGTTGGTATTTGAAGTCCCAGTGACTGTATTTGTTGAGGACAAGAAATCAATCCAAAGGTAGAGAAAGAGCTAAACATTCCCTCCTCTGTGTTCTCAAAACATGAATTACAATGATTAATAAACAGCAAGCATCCATCTACGTAACTCCCTCACTAAATTGTGAGCTTCTGTATGGGTTGGGACCATGTCTTACTCACCTGTCTGTCCCCAACACCTCAAGTAGTACTTGGCATAGAGTAGAGGCTCAAAAATGACTAATGAAAGAGAAAGTATAAAGACCTTTGGAAGAAGCAAGCTGAATAGCAGAAATGATACAGTGGTGGTAGTTAGAAGACTGCCTGTTATAATTCTGCCTCTGCCTATAAACCAGCTGTGAGACCTTGGAAAGCCCTTTAATATTTCTGAGATTCAATTTCTTTATTGGTAAAATAAAGATATTCTTCAAGATTGCTCTAAAATTCTATTACTGTGAAAATAAAATCAAGATGTTTTTGGAAGTTTGCTTATATTAGCTAAGTTCCAGCTTTTACTAGATGTAGCACCTCAAAAAATAGTGTATGTTAAAACACCTAAAGTGTTGAGATTTTAGCTCATCCTAGTAATGTACTAAACACTTAAAATTAACTGAATTATTACCTCAATGATAAAGTCACTAAGTTGTGAGAAATACATTTTTAATTTCTCCAATGTGAAAATATATTGTTCTTACCACTCCTATGACAAAGCTGTGAAGTTATTATTACTTTGCAATAGTTTAATTTCTGATAATGCCCCTGGAAGAGAATAAGCAGCTATGTCTTAAGTTGATGAGCTCTGTTAATCTTCTAGGTGATGCCTTTTTTACAGAAAGTAAAAATTGCAATTATCCTGGATGGCTTCATTCTTCCAAGGATGAGGGAGTTTTGTAAAGATTAGGAACATTTAAAATAAATTGTGTAAGATCATATTTATTTGTTTAATTATCTATGTAAGCCATAGCATAATGAAAATATTGTAATTGTGCCACTTTTCAAAGAAACACTAAGGAGAAAATTGTAAACATCGCGGATGGGGAATTATGCACACAAAGACTAATAGCCACAATAATGTTATTCAGAACTGTGCTGGTAATTTGCCCCTTAGGGGGTAAATTTAGAAAAAATATGTATAAGGTTTAACCACATGACTATCATTTAATGGGTGTTGTACTGCAAAAGCCACACACACCACATTGAACATTCAATAATAGTTTTTATTTTTTAGTTATTCTCCTGGTGGCTCCTCTAGTATCTCTAACTGCCGTGTTCTCAAACACAGCATTCTTTATATGGCGACTGCCCAACAAGTAAAATGAACTGGTGCTTACAACATATGATTAGCAATTAGAAATATTTTTTTCTTTCCACATTTAATTACCAAGGGCTTATTCAAGAAAAGGAACAAAAATAAAATGAGTACATGGTGTTTTTCTCTCTTGAGACCTAGGAATCTCAGCTGGTGGAATCTCTTTATTAAGCATTTCACTTCAGGATTATTTGTCAAAATATGTTATAGGAAATGGCTTGCTTTTTATGGATAAAAGAGAAACCTATGTTTTGTTTGGGAACTATGCTGATTATTCTCCATTTGCCAGTTCTTATCCATTGTTTTCTATTCTTTTCCTACTCTTTGCCCCAAGAGACTGACCCTATGCATTGCATCTCTCAGACTTATTTGTTAGTCGGCTTCCAGTTAAGTAGGCCTGTGAGAAGGGACCAGCAAGTGATCAAGGGCCTAGGCATCACCTCTCTGTTAGTAGCTGTACATCTCCAGGACTGCTGCTCCTGCTGATGGTAGACCAGCTCTCATTGGGCTTCAACAATTGTCTTTACATTCCTTATTCTTTCTAACTCAGAGAAGTTAACTGAATCTTACTTTTGTGAGTTTCTGGGTCCTCATCATCCCTATTTATTCCTCTGACTTGTCCATACCTTTGAAATGGAACTTTAATAGAAATCTTTTTATTGAAACCATTAGGAGTGAATTCGGTCTTCTTCTAAGACACTGGCAATAAATCTTAATGGCATATGCACTTAATGATAGTTAATGATACATACTTTTTACATGTCGAGTTGTTGCTTGATTATAAGTCAACTATTGCTATTCCAGTTATCTGTGCACTGTTTCGTTATGTGACAAAGTACTGTAATGGATACTCCTACCCAAATAAGTAAATTACTGGATTAATTGGAGGTACAAGGTCCTTGCCCCTTGCCTCAATTTGGCACAACTCTGAAGGGCCACATCAACTCCAGAGCTCACCGTAAGATTAGCTGATGCATCATTAGTTTCTTCACTATGGGTCAGCTTCTCCCTCTGCCCAATCTTGCAAATGTATCACCTAAGAAAAGCCCTCAGTAAATCTCCTGATTGCAAGTCCCAGTCTCTGAAACTGTTTCCAGGGAAACTAACCTAAGTCATACAGTGACTGGGGTCAGCCTAGACCTAAGCTAGTAGAGGAATATAGCTAAAGCTCAAAACTCAGCAAACACACCATGACTATTAGAATCAAATTTTCTTACAGTCTCTCATCATAAAAATTCTGCAAGCACCAGTGCAGTTCTCACTGAGAAGAGAAAAGATACTTTCTCTCTTAGGGTGTTATAGCTCTTTTTTTAGGCATGCCCAAAGAATGACTTTAGCTTCTAACACACCATGTTGTGTTCCATCAGGGCCTTGACAGGTTAACATTTGAGTTGCGTCAACTAATTTGGAAGTGGTATTCCCCCAAACCACCTCTCCTGTTTTCCAGTCTCTGTTATTCCTTCTTTCAGAGATTAGGACTGACCTTGCCTGTTGCAGGGAGTTGGTTCCATAAAAGCAAATTAGAATATGCGTTTCTACTGAGGCAGCCAGCTTGATATGGGCCTGAGTGAAACAAGTCACTCTTTAAAGAGAGCTAATCAAAAGCAATCACCGAGTCAAAAATGGTTAGAAACAAGTTTAAACTTTGAAATTCAGAAGGAGTGATATTGATAGGGATGAGTGGAGTAAAAATAGGTTCACAAGAAGTGAACAGAATTCTGGGCATCTGCTACAGAAAGGCTTGGGTTTTAGAGACTCATCTACAAGTGTGCTGAAAAGGTGGATAGGGCAAAAAATCAAAATACTATTTCCATCATCACACTCTCTCTTCTCTCAGTGATTCCTAGGGCAAGAATCACTTGCATGCTGATAAAAGCCAGGGAGGCTCAGAGAAGCTAGAAACAACTGGATCATCAACACAAACTACTGCACTCCACTGGAATTGGTGAGTGAACCAGAGCCTTGGTAGGGGTAGAACAGGAGATGAAGAAGGCAGAATGAGGGAAGTAGGCAGAGAGCCTTTAAATCTATGGCAATGACAGCATCAAGAAATAATGTCAGCATAATATGCATATAAGATAACTGGGTATCTAAAATTACATTTAAATGGATTAAGTCCACTAAAAATAATCAATACTAATTTTATAGTTTCTTTGTAAGATCAAACCTCTCCAACTGTTAGTGGTTTCTTCCCACATAGAATAGTAGAAATAAAATCAAAACAAAGAAAAAATATGACCATAGTTAAAAATGGAAAAAAAAAAAAGCCTTAAATGACCAATCAATTTTCTTCAGAAATACACATTTAAATATCATAGTTAAAAAGCTTACATTAGTTTCTCTTTCAATGCTTGAAAGTTAGCAAGAGAAAAATGTGATTTTCTTTGCAATAATGATAGCCTTGCTGTGCCTGCTTAGTATAAACAAAAGATAAAAATTGCTTAATAACACAATGTGCTTATTTGCCTCCTATTTTTCTAGGCCAACTCTAGCTAAATAAAAAAGGTAATTTAAGGTTAGTCTTTCATGAAAATGCTCTTTTAATGAAAAACAAACCTTTTCCAACTAACACCCATTTTAAACAGATTTAGAATTAAGAATCCTCTTTAAATTCAGGCTAATAAACTTAGGGTGAGTCTAAGTACTCATAGTTCAAATAGGTTTTTACCAAAAGATTTGCTACCACAGCAGACTGGATTTAGTGGGACTAACCCGTGAGCAAGGGACATGCAAAACATTAATAGAGTTACTCAAAAAATGGTCCTAATGAACTGCAACTAACTTTAATAGCCATTATTCAAGGTAGCTTCTGCCCAATTTAACCACATCCATGGAGGTGATGCTTTTAGGCAGGAGTGATCTTCCAGTCTCTTTCAATTTAGAAATACTGAATAATCTCCCAGGTATTTTAATCTCATAATGCTCTATGTGGGTTTCCATGGGTTTTTTTCCCCCACATGTCAATGCAGAATGGCAGATTTGCATTCTGTTATTTCTGGGAAGCTATTGCCAAGTATAAGGTGGGAAAAAGCACACACAGTGCTTCCCATGGTTTACTTCCCCCATGTAAGCCCACTTCCACTATGGGTGGAAGTGAGAGATTGGAGGCCTGAATTTTAAGGTGGTTCCCCAATTCCCACCAATTGTATACACACCATGTGTAATTCTTTTCCCTTGAGTGTGAGCAAGACCTGTAAACATGATGAGGTAGTCTCTCCCTTGATTAGTTTTATTATATGGCAATGATTGAAGCAGGAAAATTTTCACTGACCTCTTCGTGGGTAGGAACTGGAATGCATGGGTGCTAGAACTAGCCAGCTGCTTCACTGCAGCAGAGATGGATACCACTTGCTCGGTCCCACTATATTCCACCCTTTGCAGGAGGAGGAGCACAGATGAGCAGGTGCAGGAGCCAGGGCTGCTGGTTTTGGGTGCCAACAAGAGCAAAACTCCCTGCACCACCACAGCAGCATCTAGGGAGGTGCCCTTGATCCCTGAAGCCCCAGAAAGAGTGTTACAGGCAGCGCTGTTTTAGCTTTGCCATCTATGGATGACTTAAGTGTTAACAGCTCAGTGGAGGATCAGTGCAACAGCTTTTTGCACCTGCTCCTGAGTTCTTGTCTGGCATTCAGGAGGAATGAGGTCACATAAACAAATTGGAGATGGTAAATGCAGGGGATTTTATTGCTGATGAAAGTAGCTCTCAGCAGGAAAGGGAGATGAGAAGGGGACAGAGAGGGAAGACAATCTTACCCTGGAGTCTAGCTGATACCCCCACCCATCCCCAGGGACAATTTTTAAAAAGTCATTTTGTTCCTTACTAGCTGCCTCACCCATTATTTTCATAGTCCTGGAATTTGTAGTGCAAATAACAATATATAGCCATTTAATAGCTTACATTATTTTAATATAAATCCTTGGTAAACAACTTAGAAACTGCCTCTTCTTTTCCTTTAAAAACCTACCAGTAACTGCCAAGTGCGGTGGCTCATGCCTGTAATCCCAATACTTTGGGAGGCTGACGTGGGCAGATCACGAGGTCAGGAAATCGAGACCATCCTAGCTAACACAGTGAAACCCCATCTCTACTAAAAAATACAAAAAATTAGCCGGGCGTGGTGGTGGGCACCTGTAGTCCCAGCTACTCAGGAGGCTGAGCCAGGAAAATGGCATGAACCCGGGAGACAGAGCTTGCAGTGAGCCGAGTTCAGGCCACTGCACTCCAGCCTGGGTGACAGAGTGAGACTCCGTCAAAAAAAAAAAAAAAAAAAACCTCCAGTAAGGACAACTTGAATATATGCTCTATGCCCCCAGGTTGCAGTTCTCAAACTTGGCCCAAATAAACTCTCTATTTTTATTAAGTTTACCTCAGTTTTTTTTTCTCTAGGTCAACAACAGCAACAGAAAATGAATAAGGGTGAGGGAAGAGGGGTAGGAGTGGTTGGGATCCTGAGTAGTGTTATTGACTCTCCTGTGGTATGCATATAAAATATCCAGACTTTGGTATGGTTTGGCTCTATCTCCCCACCCAAATCTCATGTCGAATTGTAATCTCCACATGGCAGGGGAGACACCTGGTGGGAGGTGATTAGATCATGGGGGTGGATTTCCCCCTTGCTGTTCTCATAATAGTGAGTGAGTTCTCACGAGATCTGGTTGTATAAAAATGTGTGGCACTTCCCCCTTCACTATTTCTCCCTCTTTTGCTCCACCATGATAAGACATGCTTGCTTCCACTTTGCCTTCTGTCATGATTGTAAGTTTCCTGAGGTCTCTCAGCCATGCTTCCTGTACAGCCTGTGGAATGGTGAGTCAATTAAACCTCTTTTCTTTATAAATTGCCCAGTCTCAGGTAGTTCTTCATAACAGTATGAGAATGGACTAACACAACTTTCTCAAAGCTGCTTCTGCACAAGCCCTGATGGCAAAGAAGAAGGTAGTATTGCATAGTAGGTAAAGAATGGGCCCTTGAGTCAAGCTGTGAAGTCTGAATACTCATTCTGCTACTTATTAACTTTTTTGTGCCTCAGCTTCCTCATTTATAAAATTGAGATAATAATAGTTCCTTAGGTATATTATTGTGAAGACCATCTCTGCAACTCCATCATAATAAAGTTAGGATAGTTCTGTTGGAAAAACAGAAATTCTGGCTTAAATGAAAAAAAGTCTTTTTTTCTTTTATTCTCAGGTAACAAAAAAGTCTAGTAATTGAGATGGTTTCAGGTGCTAACAGGGCACAATGTCATCAGGGTGTGGTTTTCTGTATATTGTGGTATTCTTTCTTCTGTATGTTGACTTTATTCGTATTCTACTGCCTGTAATGGTAGTCAGATGGCTTTAGCAACCCCAATTTTAAAATCTTCTACCATAGTTGGTCTCCAAACAAATAAATGAAGAAAGAGAGGAAGAGAGAAAGAGAGAAGGAAGGAAGGAGGGAAGGAGGGAAGGAAGGAAGGAAGGAAGGAAGGAAGGAAGGAAGGAAGGAAGGAAGGAAGGAAGAAAGAGAGAGAGAAAAAGAAAGAAAGAAAGAGAAGGAAGGAAGGAAAGAAAGAAAGAAAGAAAGAAAGAAAGAAAGAAAGAAAGAAAGAAAGAAAGAAAAGAATCTTTTCCCCCAAGAACACTTACAAATTTCTCCTAGTGTCTTAATGTTTTGACTGAAATATATGCAAATAAGGACAGAATTCTCTGATTAAATAAGTCATAGTCCTTCCTTGGAATTGAGAATGGGGTCAACTCAATCCTATTCAAAACTCACACCTGAGACTGGAAGTATGATGGTTTCTCAGAAGAAAATCAAGCCACTTGTTATGGGTTGAATTGTGTCTCCCAAAAAAGACATGTTGATGCTCTAAGCCCCAAAACCTGTGAATGTGACCTTATTTGGAAATAGGTTCTTTGAATATGTCATCAAACTAGATAAGGTCATTAGGGTGGACCTATGGGACTTCTGTCCTGATAAGTACAGGGTAATTTGGACATAAACACAGACACATAGAGAAGATGGTCATGTGAGGATAGAAGCAGAAATATGAACTGAAGAATCTACAAGGATCTAGCAAATGCCAAGGATTGTGGGCAAATACCAGAAGCTAGGAAGAGGCAAGCAAGGATTCTCTCCTACAGGTTGCAGGGGAAGCATGGCCCTGCTGACACCTTATTTACAGATGTCTAGTCTCCATAAATGTGAGAAATAAATTCCTATTGTTTTAAGCCATTCAGTTCATGGTGCTTTTTTATGACAGCTCTAGGAAACCAATATGCTACCACTAGTGAGGATAGAGAGAAACATGATGCTAGGGAGACAACAAAAAATTATCCCTTATAGTTTCCCAAAGCAGCAAAGGAGGGCTCTTAGAAAATTAAATCACCCAGGCCAGGCACAGTGGCTCACACCTGTAATCCCAGGACTTTGGGAGGCCAAGGCAGGTGGATCAGGATTTCGAGACCAGCCTGGCAAACATGGTCAAACCATGTCTCTACTAAAAATACAAAAAATTAGCCAGGTGTGGTGGTACATGCTCGTAATCCCAGCTACTCGGGAGGCTGAGGCATGAAAATAGCTTGAACTTGGGAGGTGGAGGCTGCAGTGAGCCCAGGTTGTGCCACTGCACTCCAGCCTGGGCAACAGAGCAATACTCTGTCCCCCCAACAAAAAAACAGTAATTAAAAAATTAAATCACCCAGTAGACACTGTATACTTTGTCTGGTTTCACAGCTACTCTACTCTACTCATCACTCCTTTGTGACACTTCTTGGGATCAAGGTCACTGAGTACTCAATGGGAAGCAAATAATTTGGTTTTCCACCTTCTCTAAATAGACTTTTAAGAAAATGAAAGAAATTCAAAAGGAAGAAATATGTAGATATATGGAGTGGAGTGATGAATAATTCTTTAGCATTGGGTGAAGTGACCAAAGGTTATTAAAAAAAATTGTTTTGGAAACCATTGCCAATATCATCATGGTCTCAGCAAATAGTATAAACAAACACTATCATAGAGAAATCTTAACTTGAAGTTACTAATGCATAGCTTCCCAGTTTCACTCCTCAGCACAGGGTATGTAAGCATCTATATTGCTGTATTAGAGAAAGAGAAAGCAATAAGAAAGCTCAATCTACTATGTGCTCCTACTACTAGCTCTTATTTCATTTGATTATCACAACAATACCACTAGGCACATATTTGTGCCTATTTTATAAATAAAAAGGATAAAGATCAGAAAGTTAAGGAAGGGTAGTAATATACCATTGTAGGCTGCATAACGACTCACAAATCTGTCAAGTTCTAATCCAAGGAGCCTGTAAATTTTATCTTATCAGGGAAAGGCTTCTTTGCAAATGTAATTAAGCTAAGAATCCCAAGATGGGGAGATTATCTTGAATTATACAGCTGTGTCCTAAAAGCAATCACAAGTGTCCTTATAAAAAAGAGGTAGAGGGAGATTACCCCATATACAGAAAAAGAGAAGGAGATGTGAAGTAGAGGCAGACATAGAAGTGATGTGGCACAAGCCAAGGAAAGTCATCAGCCACCAGAAGCTGGAAGAGGCAAGGAACATATTCTCCCTTACAGCTCTCAAAGGAGTGCACCCTTGGCAACACCCTGATTTTTGGCCCAGTGAAACTGATTTAGGACTTTTGGCCTCCAGAGCTTTGAGAAAACACATTTCTATTGTTTTAAGCCGCCATGTTTGTAGTAGTCTTTTATAGCAGTCATAGGAAACTAATACATACACCTCGAAGGTAACTACTAGCACTTTACTGTATAATGGGCTCTGTTAAAAACATTATGCAACAAAGATAAGAAGTGGGTAATATTATTATTCCCATTTTATAAAAGGGGAAACTAAGGCATAAAAAATTGGGTAACTTGCCCAAGGTCACACAACTAGTGGGTTAGGGTTATCAAATATACCAGTTTGCCTACTACTGTCCCAATTTTATCTTTGAAGGTCTGTGTTTCAGAAAATCTCTCCATCATGAATACATCTGAATGATTGGTCATGCTATATAGAAATGTAAATCCAGCCAGTCTGATGCAGAGATGGTGCCCTTAAAGAACTCCAGCCCGTGACCTCTGCCTCAATTACTGACATTTGGGTAATGAGGCATTTGAGTCACCTATGATTGGTCCAGAGTCTGTGTTTGTTATCTTATAGCTCACTACATCTCAAACTCCATAGCTCTAGGCTGTAGAAGCCTCACTTTGCATTCCAAGAATGGAATGCTACCATTTGCATTTGCCTCCTAAAAAATATGGTAGCAGGATACTCCTCCATTGTCAGAACCACCTCTCAAAGCAAAAGGGATGATATGGTTTGGCTGTGACCCCACCCAAATCTCATCTTGAATCGTAACTCTCACAATTCCCACGAGTTGTGGGAGGGACCCAGTGGGAGATGATTGAATCATAGGGGTGGCTCTTTCCCATGCTATTCTTGTGATACTGATTAAGTCTCATGAGATCTGATGGTTTTATAAAGGGGAGTTTCCCTACACAAGTTCTCTTCTCAATTCTGCAGCCATGTAAGACGTGCCTTTCACCTTTCACCATGATTGTGAGGCCTCCCCAGCCATGTGGAACTGTGAGTCCATTAAACTTCTTTCTTTTGTAAATTGCCCAGTCTCTGCTGTGTCTTTATCAGCAGCATGAAAATGGACTAATACATGGGAGTATTCATTTGCCCAGAGAGTTCAAGGGTACAAGGGCAAAGTTCTTGTACCCCCACGGGCTCCTGTCCTGAAATGAGACTTAGGACTCACTGAAGTCTTGAGTGAAGAGACAGAAGTAATGGGTTAGCTAAGTCACCTGGCCTGTGACACTGTGACTCAACCTCGGCACTTTATTTCAGATCAGGTCAATCTACAAGATCTGAGTGCTCTTTATACATTATGGATTTTTTCTAAAACAAGATATACTAATTCTATTGATATCCATTTTCTGATGGCTATTGCTCTTGTTAAAAGTTCTGTGCAGCAGCTAAAGCCACATTTACATTACCAGTCATATTAGAAGAATAATTTCAGGCATTCTCTTACATTTTCTTAGCCTTCCTGAACTAAAAGCACTTTACTTTTTGGAGATGTATCAGAAAAAAAGAAGACAGTTACTTGCTGAATTTTTACTTTTTAAATTCATTCTTTCTAAGACTCTTTTCCATGCATTGCCCATCCCTTATCCTTCATAGTTCAACCTAAGTCACGTATTTTCCAGGAAGCCTACCCTAAACTTCATACAAAGAAGTAGTGGTAAAATTTTTATATTATAGCACTTTATTATGTGCCAAACACTGTGCTTTATAGGTAAGTAGGTGAGTGGAGAGATGATTGATTGACAAATGGATTACAAATGTGTGTGTGTGTATGTGTGTGTGTGTATGCATGTATGTGTATAAATATATATTTTAATATGTATAAAATATATACTTTATATATAATAGATATAAAATAGTGCTATTAATATTTAACATAATATATAAATATTTTAAAATATTAAAATATTTGTATAATAAATATATAAAATCTTATTTAATATATATTAATTTAATATGTAATATATTACAGTATATATAAAATATATAGTACATAATATATAAAAATTATATATTATATATTAACTTAAATAATATTAAATAAGATTTTATATACTTTTTATTTTATATATAAATATATAAAATCTTATTTAATCACAATCACTCCATGAAGTACTATTTTAATTCCCAGATCAGGAAATTAAGTCACAGAGAAATCAACAAGTTTGTCCAAGTTCACATGGCTGCACAGAGTCAGTGTTCAAACCAGGTTTGTCTCAAGCAAAAGTCTGTGTCTGTAAGCTGTAACCACTTCATGGTAATTCCCCGAACACTCACTTCCAGAAATACTCATTGAGTATACTGGGTCAGTATGGCTTAGCATATGTTCTCCTTATTATTAGGTAATTTTTCATGTGCATGTCTTATTTACATAAGCTATATCTACAAACCCATCTTCAGTACTTAGCATAGTGCCTTTTTCAGTTTGAACCTTGATTTTCATCCAAAGCTAACATTATAATAGCATTTGTCTTGGAAGGAATGCAAGTCTAGGTTAACTGCATGCCACAAATGAGCATTTGATTTATAAGTGTACAGCGTTTTATTCACTTACATTATTATTATTGAAATATTTGAAAACTGATTAGGTGAAAGAGATTACATTCATTCATTATATATTCAAAATTATTTATCAAATAAATATCTATCTAACATTTCTACTTAAAAGATGCTTTTTTGAGCACTGAATGAATGCCCAAAAATAAATCAGATGTATATTATTGCCTTCAAGGATTTTCAATGTAGTAAGGAAGATGAAGCATGGAGGTAAATGAATAGAAAGTAAAATAAGTGGGCCGGGCGCAGTGGCTCACACCTGTAATCCCAGCTCTTTGGGAGGCTGAGGTGGGCGGATCACAAGGTCAGGACATCAAGACCATCCTGGCTAACATGGTGAAACCCCGTCTCCACTGAAAATACAAAAAATTAGCCGGGAGTGGTGGCAGGTGCCTGTAGTCCCAGCTACTTGGGAGGCTGAGGCAGGAGAATGGCGTGAACCCAGGAGGTGGAGCTTGCAGTGAGCTGAGATCACGCCACTGCACTCCGGCCTGGGTGACAGAGCGAGACTCCGTAAAAAAAAAAAAAAAGAAAGTAAAATAAGTGAAAGGGACAGATATTCCTTCCAGTTGGGGCCTGAGGATGGTCGAATTTGGACAAGAGAAAATGGGCAACCACATTCCAGGCAGAGAGAACAACATGAGCAAAGAAACACAGGCAATAAAGGAGGCACTACACAGAGAACAGAGGTGCACCGCCTAGGTAAGTGGGGAGCAGAAAGGAAACAAAACTCAAAAGGTAGGTCACATCATGGTGGCCTCAATAGCAGGCTACAACATCTAGGCTTGGTCTGTAGGGTTTGAGAAGGATAATAGTAAGAGATTTGCTTTCAGAAAATCAGTACTGCATAAGTGTGAAGAACTAGTTGAAAGCAAAACAGCTGCAGTAGGGAAGAAGACAATTAGGTGATGGAGTGGAGGTGATTGCTTTTTATTATGTTGGAGGTTATCAATATTTCATTTGACTATTGACAAAATATTGACTATTTTTCTCTTTTCAAAAATTTATTTAGTTATTTTTCATTTAAAAAATGTTTAAAATTGACACATAATTGTACATATTTATGGGGTACATAGTCATGTTGTAATATATGTAATGTATAGGGGCCACTATTTTAGGATTATTAAAATATTGACCTTAAGATATTTTATAAACTTTTGAAGAAATATTTGTAGCAGATGCCTCTCTTAAATGATCAGTTCTGGACAACCAGTCAACCTTATAGGTATTGAATCTCTGTCGATACTATCACCTCCCCATTTTCACCCCCATAGTCCTTTGTTTAAATACTTAAGAGATTTGTCACAGCTTGTCTTTCATTTAGATTTATCTGTATCTGTGGATCATTAGATTATCAGCTCCTAGAGGACAGAAAACACTATGGAGGTCATCATCCAGAAAATAATTAGTAGTTGATAAATCATCATTAAATTAAACCCAAAATGTATTAGTCTGCTCTCACATTGCCATAAAAACCAATCTGAAGCTGAATAATTTATAAGGAAAGAGGTTTAATTGGCTCACAGTTCCACAGGCTGCACAGGAAGCATAGCTAGGGTGGCCTCAGGAAACTTACATTCATGGCAGAAGGCGAAGGGGAAGCAGGCATGTCTAC
Source organism: Homo sapiens (assembly GCF_000001405.40). Taxonomy (NCBI): domain Eukaryota; kingdom Metazoa; phylum Chordata; class Mammalia; order Primates; family Hominidae; genus Homo; species Homo sapiens. Next base: position 102,592,208 of record NC_000003.12, on the reverse strand, counting down.
ATGGCTGAAGCAGGAGGGAAAGGCAAAGAGGAGGTGCTACACAATTTTAAACAACCAGATCTCATGAGGACTCACTATCATGAGAACAGTAAGAAGGAAATCCACCCCCATGATCCAATCTCCTCCCATCACACCCCTCCTCCAACATTGGGGATTACAAGTGGACATGAGATTTGGGCAGAAACACAAATCCAAACCATATCATTCTGCCCCTGGTCCCTCCCAAATCTCACTTCCTTCTCACATTGCAAAATACAGTCGTCCCTTTTCAACAGTCCCCCAAGTCTTAACTCATTTCAGCATTAACTCAAAAGTCCACAGTCCAAAGTCACGTATAAAACAAGGCAATTCCCTTCTGTCTATAAGTCTGTAAAATCAAAAACAAGTTAGTTACTTCCAAGATACACTGGGGGTACAGGCAGTGGGTAAATAAACTCATTTTAAAAGGTAGAAATCAGCCAAAAAAGGGAGTATAGGCCCTATGCAAGTCTGAAACCCTTCAAGGCAGTCATTACGTCTTAAAGCTTAAAATAATCTCCTTTGACTCCATGACTCATGTCCAGGCCACACTGATGCAAGGGGTGGGCTCCTAAGGCCTTGGGCAGCTCTGCCCCTGTGACTCTGCCGGGTACAATCCCCTCAGCTGCTTTCACTGGCTGGCATTCAGTGCCTGAAGCTTTTCCAGGTGCATGATGCAAGCTGTCAGTGGATCTACTATTCTGGGATCTGGAGGACAGTGGCCTCTTCTCACAGATCCACTTGGCAGTGCCCCAGTGGGGACTCTTTGTGGGAGATCTAATCCCACATTTCTTCTCACATTGCCCTAGTAGAGGTTTTTCATAAGGTTTCTGCCCTTGCAACAGACTTCTGCCTGGACATCCAAGTGTTTCCATACATCCTCTGAAATCTAGGTGAAGGCTCCCAAGCCTCAACTCTTGCCCTCTGTGCATCACAGGCTTAACACCATGTGGAAGCCAGCAAGACTTATAGCTTGCATTCTCTGAAGCTATAAGCTGAGATGTATCTGGGGCTTTTTTAGCCATGGCTGGAGATGGAGTGGCTGGGATGCTGGGAGCAGTGTCCCGCCTTTGTGCAAGGCAGCAAAGTCCTGGGTATGGCCCAGAAAACCATTATTCCCTCCTAGATCTCCAGGCCTGCAATGGGAGAGGCTGCCACAAAAGTCTCTGAAATGTCTTTGAGGTATTTTCCACATTGTCTTGGCTATTAGCACTTGGCTCCTCTTTACTTTTGCACATTTCTGCAGTGGCCTTGAATTTCTCCCCTGAAAATGGGTTTTTCTTTTCTACCACGTGGCCAGGCTACAAATTTTCTAAACCTTTATGCTCAGCTTCCCTTTTAAATATAAGTTCCAGTTGCAGATTATTTCTTTGCTCACTCAAAGGAATATGCTGTTAGAAGCAACCAGGCCATATCTTGAACACTTTACTGCTTAGAAATTTCTTCTACCAGATACTTTAAATCATCTCTCTCAAGTTCAGAGTTCCAAAGATCTCTAGGGCAATGGCATAACATTCTTTGTTATGCCTCCAAATTCTTTGCTAACACATAACAAAAGTGACCTCTGCTCCAGTTCCCAATAAGTTCCTCATCTCTATCTGAGACATTCTCAGTCTGCACTTCATTGTCCATATTACTATCAGCATTTTGGTCACAACAATTCAACAATTCTCTAGGAAGTTTCAAACTTTCCTTCATCTTTCTGTCTTCTTCTGATACCATCACACTCTTCCAACCTCTGCCCATTACCCAGTTCCAAAGTTGGTTCCACATTTTCAGGTATCTTTATAACAATACCCCAATCCTGGTACCAACTTTCTGTATTAGTTCATTCTTGCATTGCTATAAAGAACTACCTGAGACTAGGTAATATATAAAGAAAAGAGGTTTAATTGGCTCATGATTCTACTGGCTATACAGCAGGCATGCCTGGGAAGCCCTCACACAATCATGGTGAAAGGTGAAGGGGATGCAGGCATGTCTTTCATGGCTAAAGCAGGAGGAAGAAGGAAAAGGGGGAGGTACTACACACATTCAAACAACCAGATGTTGTGAGAACTCACTATCACAAGAACAGCAAAGGGGAAATCTACCCCCATGATCAAATAACCTCCTACCAGGCCCCTCCTCCACATTGGGGATTACAATTCAACATGAGATTTGGGTGTGGACACAAATCCAAACCACATCACAAAGTCATTTATACTTTTTATTGATGCATTTAGTTTTTTATCATCCATTGAATTGTTGAACAAATATTGATTACCTACTATGTACAGACAGTAAAATCAGGCAGCAGGGATGCAGAAATTAAAAAGACATTCTTTATTCTAAAGACACTGACAGAAAAAGGCAAGAACAATTATGTCACAGTCTTATAAATGTAATGAGAAAGATAGTAACAGTTACAAAGCCTTCCAACTTAGCTAGTAACATTGAAAATCTTCTCAAAAAATGAAACTTGTAGGATAAGAAGAAACAACACAGAAAGACAAGAACATCAAAAATCTTTGCATATTGCCCTATAAGTGATAAATGTTTCCAAATACTCTGGAATTTCAAATTAAAGACAATTCTTTCCTCAATTTGTATCTGATTCACTAAAATCCCTTATCATTGAAAGACAAGACTGTTGAAGGCACATCTCTTTTTTTATATTCCTTGAGATTTTACATTCCTTGGGAGGCAGACAGACCCTAAATTTGATTTTCAGTTCTACTTACTAAACCACCTAGGACTAAATTTCTCACCAACTTCATGGCAACACAATAGAACAGCCTTCCTTTCAGGCTTCTTTGGAGGATTAAATGAGATGGCCTATGTAAGCAAGACACCCATCAAAATTCTCTATTGTTCTTCCTCTCCACCTCAACTTCACCTCACACCTTAGATGACTCCTCTCATCACTTCCTGATCTCCCCCATATCCTCAAATTAACCTTAACTTCTCCAAAGAATATCTTTAAGGTATAACTGTTGTAGTGACAGGGTTGGCAGTGGCCAATGGAAAAGAAAGAGGGAGAGAAACTCTTGTCCTTTGATGTAGTGATATTTATGATAAACATTCAAACAGCTTGTAATTATGTCATCCTGTACTTAGAAAATTCAGGATCTCCCCAAGTGTTATGTTTTACATAAATTCCTATTCTTAACTATTATGATTTTCATAATGTAGACTCATTCCTTTCATCCCAAATTATTACCTATACTTTTTATTATAGAAACTCTCCTCTACTCAGAGTACTACACAAATGTAATAGGACATATACCGCTTTTATAACTTCAGTTATACAGCTGTCTACACATAGATCTCTATTCACCTTTACTGATTTCTACTCAGCTATCTTTTGGCAACAAATTCAATGTATACATCTATCTCTTTATATATTTTCAATTTCACCAGGCATCACATATACCTTCTCCAAACTATAGTTATTATCATAAATTTAGTACTATAATAATTTCCCCTGGTTGTTTTATATGCTGTTTCATGCACTACATTTCCCCATGCTTTTGTGCGTGTTGTTCCCAGTTTGGAATACCTTCCTCCTACTCATCTTAAATGACTGTATTTAAACACCTCCTTTTCTGCACTTTCCAAGACCCCAGACATAAACAAAATTGATTATTCCATAACTCTATTATCCTCTATTATAGTACTCATCAAATGCTATGCTCATGTGTTCATATAGCAGATGTCTCTAATAGCCTATATGATATTTAGGGCAAGGACAGCATTCCCTAGAATAGTGTCTGGGATGGTTGGTACTCAATAAAATTTATTGAATGCATGAATTAATCCACTATAAACTCATAGTATTGTGGGATTGCTTCTTAAAAGTTGATTTTTCTGCAATATAAAAATCAGTACTAGTACCAGAGAAGTTGCAATCAACAGAATGTCCCCCTAAAGATATCCATGTCCTAATCCTCAGACCCTGTGAATATGAAAAAAACCATTACATGAAACTGCTACATGATCCTATTACATGAAAAAAATGAATTAAGGTTGCAGATAGAATTGAGATTCCTAATCCCTTAATTTCTTAATTACCTTACACTTAATACCTTAATTACTTTAAAATGGAGAAATTATCCTGCATTATCTGGATGGGCCTAATCTATTCAAATGAGGTCTTAAAAGTAGAACAGGGAGGCAAAAGAGCATCAGAGGCATGCGATGTGGGAAGGACTCAACCCTCCACTCATGGTTTTGAAGGTGGAGGAAGTGGGTCATGAACCAGGGAATGAGAGTGGCTTCTGCAAGGTGGAAATAGCCCTCAATTGACAGCCACAAGGAACTGAATTGTGCCAAAAACCCCAAATGACAAAATAAATAAGTAATTTCCTAGAGCCTCCAGAAAGAAACACAGCTTGTCAAGAGGTAAAATCTGTCCTGGATTTCTGACCTACAGAATTCTAAGACAATAAATTTGAGTTATTTTGTGACTAAGTTTGTTATTTGTTATAGCAGCAAAGAAAACTAATACAGTAGATTTTCAATAAATACCTGCTTTTGTATATAAAAGGCTCAACTCACACAATCTGGTGAGTTGCAGGAGAGCTTGAAAGCATATGTGTTCTAGCCTTCCATCTTTAGGCAGAGAAATTTCTCATTCAACTAAGACAAATAGTTACCAAACACATTAAATGTTTAACATTGTTTTCTTCAGCAGCCAATTTCGATGTTTTATCACCCATATGATCAAGAGGTACCTCCCATGTCCATCAGAGCCCTTTCTTGCCATTGATTTAATATTTTCTCTTGACCATTTACTTCTGAATATTAAGTATAACTAGTAAACATCCCCCAACTAAACGTCCTAAAACTTCTCAAAGATAGTAACCAAGTTGCTCCTTAGAGCTTTTCTCATCAGAATTTCACTTTTCCTCAATGACTTTTCAATCCCTATAATCATTTTTCTTCCTTTTGTTTGGATGCCTTTTTTAAATGACTAACATGGAATACAAAATATTCAGTCAGTATCAAGGCTAGGCTAGATTTAGGGGGGAAAAAGAGATTCCTCACTCCCAAACTTTGTAGTGACATAGTGGCAAAACCGTGCAACTTCAACAATGGTAAAACATCATATGAAACTTCTCAGATTACATACATTTTTGTTAAGCAAAATGTCTTAGCTGCTTTCAATTTGTTTGGCCCAAAGCCTACAAAATTCACACTGTTTTCTAAAATCTTTGTCCAAAGGAGTTGAAAGGGAGAGAGAAAGAGGAGATGAGAAATTGACTTCAGAATGAAAGAACTTATTTTTATAATCATATATATCTTACCTAGAAATTTTTATAAAGATGTTCCTCTACCCATATTAGGGCCAGACTTTCCCAATCAAAGATTTGACTTTTCTGTTTCCTTTTAAACCTCAGCCAGCATTTCAAAAAATCAATATGCTTTGCTAATAATTCATAACCCTCTCTGTGCTGCCTTTGTTGGCTAGTTACAGCAGTCATATCTTGCTAGCTGAGTTTTTAGGAGAATGCTCAACAACAAACCAGCAATCACAAATCACAAGTGCAGAGTTCTCAGAAGCCTGCTTGTTCTGCTGAGCAGTGTCAAAACGTGAGCCAGGCATACACGGTAACTTTGATATAAGCAAAATCAGAGTTCTCCCCGGAAAAAGCAATTGAACACTTGACTGCGTGTTGTTCCCAGTTTGGAATACCTTCCTCCTACTCATCTTGAATGACTGTATTTAAACACCTCCTTTTCTGCACTTTCCAAGACCCCCGGCATAAACAAAATTGATTATTCCATAACTCTATTATCCTCTATTATAGTACTCATCAAATGCTATGCTCATGTGTTTATATAGCAGATGTCTCTAATAGCCTATATGATATTTAGGGCAAGGACAGCGTGTTTTGCTGTTTGACTAATATGCTTGTGTCCCTATTATAGAAGAGTTGTAAGTCCTAAAGAATCATTGATTTAATAATATTTCCTAACCACATATCATCATTTTGATCTAAGTCCATGGAATCTAAAACTATACTCCATACCTTTTGGAAGAGCAGAGAGTTCTTTCAGCTTGTGTGTATGACAAATGATCTTTGTAGAATGAATAAGATAAGATATTTTTTAGAAATGTGTACTTTTGATGGTTACTTTTGTGTGTTGACTTAGCTAGGCTATAGTACACCCTAATTTAATCAAACAGAAATCTAGGTGTTGTTATGAAGGTATTTTGTAGATATGGTTAACATCTCCAATCAGTTGACTTTAGCTAACTAAAGCAGATAATCTTCCATAGCGTGGGTGGGCCTTCATAAAATCAGATGAAAAGCCCTAAGATTAAAATTGCAGTTAACTGAGGAAGAAAAAATTCTGTCTCACAACTGTGACATCAACTCCTGCTCAAGAGTTTTCAGTCTGCCAACCCGCTCTACAAATTTTGTACTTTCCAGCCCCCACAATCCTGTAAGCCATACATGGTATAAATACTGGTTCATTTTCTCTAAGAAACTCAACTGATAAAACACTATTTTTCAAAGTATGTAGATAAAACTTGGGTTTAAATACATTAATTGATTGCAAATATATGCCTATGTAGTAATGTCTGTCATTATGTATTTTCACAGTCAATTAATAAATACTAAAGTAAAACTAATACCAAGAGAAGTCTGCAAATTTTTTTGACATCAATCAATGGTTATTATAATGGGAAAATTTAGAAAGTATAAGATGGACAATGAGTTTGGAGATTAAATTTCACCAACTCTTTAGAGTTGTTGAATCGGCCCTATGCATGACTCCTAAGAGAAAGAAAAAAGTGAGACCATGAAGTTCAGAGTTAAAAGTCACAGGTTGCTTCCAGGCAACTGCCAGACTGGGAATTATATGAGCTGCCTTCAGATCCAAAGCCCTTTTGCCCTCCCACGGCCCTTATCATAATATTTCAATTGTCCCCTCAGAGGCTCTGTGAGTTCACAGACTACAATCTCCACTAATAACAGTAATAATAATAACTACCCTATCTTAAGCACATTCTACATGTCATGCACTGTTTACAGATTATCTCAGGCATATAGGTTACTCTCAAAATCCTGTAAAATGGGAGTTATTTTTAACAACTTGTTTTCCATATGTAAAAACTGGATATTTGAGAGGTAATTGCCCAAAGCACTTTTAGTTTTGTGTTGGCTGTCTAGAACTTATCAGAGTACTGAACACATTGTGGGCACTCCATCCATCTTTATTGAATGAAGTAATGCAGCTGCTCTAAAGAGAATCTGATGAGGAACCTGAGGCCAATGCTAAGGTTAAAGTTAAGGTTAAGTGATTTGTTCCGTATAGCAGAGCAAGTTAATGGCACAGTCAGGACCAGAAACTAGTTCTCTTGACTACTACTCCAGGATATCATAGACTTTATATTTCTGTTTCCAATGGCCACGACTTCCCAGGCCCTTTGCACCCTCAGTTTTTGTACCAACTAACCACATATCATACTTGTGTTCTGTTAAAGAATGGAAGAAAATTAGTAACTAATTCCTCCTTATCCCCACAAACCACCTCTACCTAGAACCAATGCAGTCTGCCAAAAAGCACAGCATTGATAATGTTAGTCTTCTTTTGAAGAAAAACAACAAATAAACAAACATAAAAGCTTTCTCCTAACCCATCCAGATAGTACGATATTTATTTGAGTTTAGAAATATTACTTAAACTCTCCTATGGTGTACAGTGTTTTTACAGAACACGTATAACTTCCCCCAAAGAACCTGGGAAGACTCTAAGAGTTGTGAATGTTCTCTGGTCAGTGGCACTAAGAAAGGATGATACAAATACCTCTTAGGATTTTAAAATCCCAAGTCAGGGACAATTTTTAGAAGTGTTAACTAAGAAAGCTAATTTTTGGTGCGAGTTTTTTTTTTAAATTATAAGGTTCAGTGGTTAATTAAATATTTGTACTAGAGCTTACATTTAGTTGAATACATATATTTGAAACCAGAAACAAATGTTCTAAGTGTGTATATTGGAGACAGAATAAGAGAGCTAATTTAAAGCTAAATTCTGGGGTTGGGGAAAAAAATCAAAGAATTCCAAGTTCTCAGAAATTCTAGAATTAATGTATCTCCTGGCCAATGGAACTCCTTTTTCCAAGTACAAATTATCTATTCATGTACCTTAGACAGGTCTCTGAGCTGTGACCTTGATGGAGCCATAGCAGGAACCTACCAATCGATAAGCAATTACCTCTAATAAAGATAAATAAGCTTCACTTTTCAAGAGTAGAGAGAAAGAAGCTATAATTTTCTTCCTTTCTAAGCTCTGATTCCCGGCCTGAAGAGATCATCTTCATCCACATAGAAATGTGGGCTTATGAAATTACACCTTCTTTAACAATGCATTAAGCCTTATCTCTTAACATCTTCTAGTATAAGTAGAAAAGCTTAATTACATCCTCAACTCACCATCATTAAAGTCAGTTTGTCTGTTCACCACATTCCAGCCCCAGTGGTCTTTAGATTCTTCCAGTACCTCAAGCACCCTACTGCAAGAGTTTTTTAGACTGCTTTCTTCATGAGAATGGTTTCTTCTTCTTGTTTAGGGCCACCTAAATAAGTTCTTACAAGAGGATTTCATTAGTCATACTATCTAAATTAGTTCTTCCTACGTGTTATTCTCTATTAAAAACACATTTGTTTTCTTCACAGTCCTTATCTCAATTTATATTTTTTGTTTGTATATTTATTTCTATTTCCTTTTTTACAAAGTAAATTCGTTGAGGTTAGGAATCTTTATATTGCCAGGATTTAGCAGAATATCTGGCATATAATAGATGTTCAATAGATACAGATCAAGTGATGTTCTAGTCCAGAAATATAAATGCACAAAAATAAAAATCCTACATGTTTGATCTGCACTCCTGTTGGCCTAGTATATGTCTGAAGCCTGCTTTTATTTTTTTTTCTTCTGCACAGACAACTCTATGAGTTTTGCAATTTTATCTAGAATATTTCTAGAAGAAATAGTGCATTTTTTTTTCCAGTTTATCTTGTAGTTCACCACCATAGAGAGTTGTAATTCATGGGTGACATTAAGGATGAAAAAGGACCAGGCTATCCTTTCTTGGCTGTGTGATCTTATTCTAATTATTTAAGTAACTTAATTTACTTAAGTTAATTACTTGAGTTTTGTAGTCAGTTATAGAGACATAATAATAGTACCTTTCAGAATAAAAGTGTTATTTCCAGGATAAAATGAGGAGACATAAAATCCATAGTATGGTGAGTTTTATAAAAACTCAAAAAATGGTAAAGTAACTGTTTTCCTGATTATTTTAACTGACAATAGCTGTGTAGTCACAAGGAATCTGGAAGCTATACATTCATATGCTTTTCTTTCTCCATACCATATTTAAACAATTTTTCAATGCTGAATATAGCAAGAGACACAATATTTTCAAGGAAATTTCAGATGAATTGCAAGATATCTTATTCCCAGTTTTCGGAATGCATATTAAACATTTTAATGCCTTGGTCCTTTCTAACCCCTGATGCCTCCCATGTGGTATTAGGGATTGTTTCTCTGCACTTTATGAAATGCCTCAAGGATATTTTCCAAAAGCCAGTGATTCTCTAATGATAAATACAGATTTTCAATCAATAAACAATTTGCTAATAACCAAGATCTTAGAACTGCCACATCAGGACTGAGTTGCCTTGTTGCAGCATACCTCAAATTTTTCCACTGGATAAAGTTGCAATGCATATAGTTTATTTCTCCTGTCTTAGGCATTTTTCACTTTGAAAGTCAGTGAAATGCTTTTGAAGATAATGCGATCTTTCACCATTATTTCAAGAGTGACTGAAACCTACAGTCCAACTAATTATCTGTCCTCCCAAACTCAACGTCAAACCTTTCAGTATTCTTCTGAATGTTTTAAAATCATTTCTCTCGGTACTACTTTTCGACCTCCATCAGCAAAGTTTACTGAAGTAGTCTCAAAACAGTAGGAAAGGAGCCATATTTGTCAAGACCTAGTGCTCTATCCATATATCACATTAGCAAATTTTAAAAATTCCATTTGCAAGTAGAAAATTCTGTTGGAGAGGCATTTATAAGAGGATATTCTTTCCTATACACATTTAAATTGAAAAAGCAGAAGTGAAAAGAGTATTTCTTTCATATCTAAAGTATAGAAGAGTAGGGCACTACTAACAATAAAAAGTTATTGTTGGATATAGAATATTCAGGGTATAATATATACATGATATGTGTATATAAATATATATATATATATACACACACACACATATATTAGAGGTGGGACCAAACTCTGTATCCCAGGCTGGAGTGCAATAGCACAATCATAGCTCACTGCACCTTACAAGTCCTGGGCTCAAGGGATTCTCCCACATCAGCTTCCCAAGTAGCTAGGACTACAGGCACGGACCACTGTGTGTTTTTGTTTGTTTGTTTGTTTGTTTTGTTTTTTTGTAAAGACAGGGTCCTGGTATGTTGCCCAGGCTGATCTCAAACTCTTGGCCTCACGTGATCATCCCACTTTAGCCTACCAAAGAACTAGGAGTATAGGTGTGAGCCACCATGCACAACTAAAAATTCAGTTTTGATGTGATAAAATGAGTACACATCCAAATTACAGGGAAATGTTGTCTATTAATAGTACAATCTTTAAAAATATACCTTATAGGTAAAGAGTAACTTAGGAAAACTATAATTCAATTTATATTATCGTTTAGAATATTGCACAGTGCTCTCTCTCTTCTGACTTGATTAATTAGTAGAAGAGCGTAAAAATGGCAAGTTGCTTTCTTAGGTCATCTCTACACCAGCCATGGGAGATGTGCTGATTTTTTTGTCTGCACGTGGTAGTGAAAAAATCTGTGGCCTCTTCACTTACTTCACCCTGCCCATTTCTATCCCTAGTGAGGAATGGATACATTGGCATAATAATGCATAAAGCTGTACTTTAAAAGACAAAAAAACTGTTATTGAAAGAGAGGGGTTTATTTGTCTTGTAGACAACTACAATTTAGAAATTTTGAACCAAACAGGGTTTTAGAAGCTTGGTATCAAAGAATAAATGGAACTTGGCCTAGGGCACAATGGCTAAGGCTAAACAGAGATAATACCCTAAAGAGAGAAGAGGGAGTAGAAAAAAAGGGAAGAAACTTTTAGGTACCCTTTGGCAAATACATAGTTGGCCCTGTGAGCTGACCTCTGGAGACTGACTGAATGTGTCCATGATTGCCTGTGACTAGTTATTGAGTTATTTCTGCTGATAAGCTGAGCTCACAAACCCTCCCAATCATTGCAGCTCATGAACCAAAGCTTATAAAGTTAATAACTGGTGAATTTTCAGGTAACTTTAATCAATATGTAGAGACAAACTCAGGCTTAAATGTAAAACACTTTTGGCCAAGAATTTTGTAGGCTGTGTCCAAATATTTTAGACCATTCACAAAATGGTTCATTTTAACTGTGTCACATAACTCTGAAATTAATAGTTCTAATAACTGAAATAGGGCATAGTAGCAACAGAATATTTTATTTAATAGTTTCTGGTCCTCAAGTAAACCCATCTTCCCTAGAGAAAACTATTAAGGGTGCTGTTATTATGATAGCATAATTGAATGGTCAGAAAGGATCAGCTTCTATTAATAGGCCTGGGTAGAAATAGTCATAGGCTAAGATGAAAAACTTCATCTACACTGATCATTAATTGAAGTAAATGACAGATAATTCTAATTTTAAAAGATGGAGAGTAAAAATAATAAAGCCTAATCTAATCTAGAGCAATTGCTTATGTTGATCAGTTTCATTACATAATTACTGAGTTCTCTATTTTCTTTTGTTTGCATAGATCAGGCTTAGTTTATAAAGAAATCATAGCCTATCAGCTGGGCACAGTGGCTCATACCTGTAATCTCAGCCCTTTGGGAGGCTGAGGTGGGTAGATCACCTGAGGTCAGGAGTTCAATACCAGCCTGGTCAACATGGTGAAATGCTATCCCTACTAAAAATACAAAAATTAGCCAGGCGTGGTGATGGGTGCCTTGGGAGGCTGAGGCAGGAGAATTGCTTGAACCCCGGAGGCAGAAGCTGCAGTGAGCCAAGTTCACCCCACTGCACTCCAGCCTGGGCGACAGAGTGAGACTCCCCCTCAAAAAAAAAAAAAAAAAGAAAGAAAGAAAAAGAAATAATAGCCTATCGCCTATCTCAATAAAAATCTCTTTATAAACTGAGCTTATAGAAGTAGAATAGAACTGTGGTTATTAGAAGGTGGCTAGGAAGGGTAGAGGGAAGGGAAAGATAGGGAGCGGCTGGTTATCACATACAAAGTTACAGCTCATTTTATAGATAAAAAAGGGAAGAATAAGTTTTAGTGTTCTTAGCACTGTAGGGTAAATATGGTTAACAATAATTTAGTGTATATATTCAAAATGCTAAAAGAGGATTTTGAATGTTCACAAAGAAATGATAAATGTTCCAGGTGATGGATATGCTAATTACACTGATTTGATCATTCCACATTGTATACATATATTGAAATATCACTCTGTATCCCATAGATATGCAAAATTATTATGTATCATATAAAAATAAATGGAAAACTATTTTCATGATGTTGAGAAAATTTATGAATTAACAAGTATTTGGTCCTTCAAACTGAGTCTTCCATTATTTGTCTATTTTCCTTAGGATAGCATTTTCCCATATCTGAACATTACTGCTGCTTTAGGCCATTCAATAAAAATATTATTTCCTTCCTATAAATGTCTGTTATGATTTACTTTTATGTTGTTTTTTTAACCCCAATTTAGATTTACCCTATGGCAATGTTTTCAGCTGAAAAGGGTAACTTTACTTGGCATTATACCTGTAAGAATTACTGACGTGAAGATGTCACAGTTATAAACCAAGTGCAGCAATGATTAAAATAGAAGAATAAGAAGAAAAGGGTTAGTGTTACTGAAAAGTATGCCTTTCAAACATCTAACTCTTAATGGATACTATGCTCAAGTACTAGAATAAATTGTGTACTGTAGCACAGTAGTTGGTGTAGGAACAAACTTTGAGAATTGAAATATTATTAAAATAGTATACTCTAATAAATGAAACAGTTTTGTGACCAGAACACTTTTGGTTATTTTAATTACCAGACAAAGTATGCTATAAAAACACTTCCATGATTTTTCTTTCTAGAACAAAGACCTTTGCTGAAATGCCCTAGCCAGCAAGAAATGGTAACATTCAGATGAGAGATGACCTTCAAGCAAGTACTGGTTAGAGGTAAGCAATGGTTCTCCTGCTACAGAAGAACTCAACACAGGCAAATTGAATTAAACTAAATCGAATGGGATGGAATAGAATAATTGAATGAGAAAATATTTTCTTTTCTTATGAGTTTATCCCAATCAATATCACCAAGTATACTGTGAGAAAACACCAAGGGAATTATACAAATAATCAATCATAAATATTAAGGGGAATCCTTCTGTATCTTGCATTTTCCAAGGAAGTGTATGTGCTCTCAGAGATCACAGGGCAAACTATCATGATTCAAACTTTACTGAAAAGCAAGAGTTCACATCACAAAAGTAAATAGTTGTCAGTTTTCTAGCACACCAAACTTCATGGGTTAGACACTGTCTAAGCACAGTTACATAAGGCCACATACTAGGCAGCTTGAAACCCTCTTGCATGAAATAGTGATAAATAGGGTATCACAAAAGATAGAAGACAAAGCTTCATTTGGGGAACTATTGGCCTACAAAACAATTTGTCTTTTTTTCCTGACAGTATACATGAGAAGCTAAAGGAAACCAGAAAAATGAGAACCATTTGATTCTCTACATACAAACTACCTATGGAAGCCCAGAGAAATGACTTCTGGCTTAGTAGTTTGCAGCCACTCTCACTCCTCCAAAATTTGCAGTTTAAATTTTCACCGTCTCCAACCTCAGGTCTAAGTTCCTCAAGTAGTATAAAACATGGAAACAGTAATAGATGGAGAAAGAAAGTAAATTGAGATTCTTACTCGAGGGAATTTATAAAATTCAGTATCTATGATTCAACTGTAGCAAATGTAATTTAACTTTTTTTTTAAGTTTAATAACAGAGCAGCTTCTCTGTAAGCCACAAAGTTGGCATCTGAAAAAGTTCTGATAAACAGTTCAAGCTGTATGGAATGTCATCTCTAGTACTTCTTAATGCTCTTTATTTGGTATTTTGCATGGTGTGATGGAATCATTTCTTTTTCTTTTACCTGGCAATGTAATACTATCTGTGAATTCTCATGGGTTCTAAGAATATGAAAAATAACTTGCAAAATGATGTTTTCAGATATCTTTCTAGTCTATGTTAATATAAAATATCTCACCTTCATGTTTGAAGCTCTCCAATCAAAATGTGCAAAGAGAAGGAAGTGGTTTTAAAGTATGGGACTTTCAAGGAATGATACAGGACTGTGTGGGGCATGGCATGTAGGCTTAGGATAGTATGAGGGAAGTAAGTGTTTAGAAGTTGGAAAGAAAAGCACCATGATGTAAGAGATAAACCAACAAAAGGTATGGCGGATGCCAAGCAGAAACTGTCCATCTCCATATTTATTAAGGATCATCTTGTACCCAATAAAGTGGGTTTTTTTAAACAGATATCTTTCATTTATACCAGGTTTCAACCTACTACCTATTATGGCTTCTAATCTTGTCCATTAATTTGTGTGTTTTTGTCAATTTAATAAGTTTTATTAGCTAGTTTATAAATAGGATTTTGTGGAGCAGTTTGGAAATTCAACCATCACTGACTGTGTTGCTCCTATAAACAAATTACAGTTCAGATTAAAAAAAAAACATTTAGAACACACTCTATTTAAAAGTCAAGAGGCTGGTGGGGAGAGGAAATGGACAGTTATTGTGTAATGGATATAGAGTTTCAGTTTTGCAACATGAAAAAGAGTTCTGGAGATAAATGGCAATGATGGCTGTACCACATTAGGAATATACTTAATGTCACTGAATTGTATATTCAAAATGGTTAAGATGGTAAATTTAATGTTATGTATATTTTACCATATTAAAAACAAATTGATAAAATGAAGGTCTGAGTCTACCTAATTTAGCATATCCTTATGACTAAAATCATCTGTACTTAATTCCCAGTCAAAGGAAAGTCCCTAAAGTGTGCTTTATTTTACTATATCTGAAACTAAAAAGGACACAAAAAGTATATATGAACCACAAAAAAATCTGATGTTACAAAAAGGATCATCATACATATTGCATGCAATTTACCAATCTGGCAACACTACACTTTATCAGCTAGGGTTTCCTTTGTTTGTGTCTTCGGCTCAAAATCAAAACAAACACAGTCTTCTTAAATTCCTGGTCAGACCCTAGAATAGTAAGGTTTCATATCTATCACTTAATCTATATCTTAATTAAACCATTAAATGCTATCTCAGTGCATACAGAAATTAGCTGTGCCTTCTCTATCACCTCTTCATTTAAAAGTTTTAATCTGAAATTATAAATATTCTCCTTTTCTATAAAAATCTAATAAGTAGCCAATAAAAGCCAGAGTCTAAGATTTACAGATTCACTTCCTTCATAAAATTTGCCTTTTTCCTTCTGCCTTATAAAGTTATTTATTTAAGGATTAATCATTCCATTCCCAAAGGAGATTTCATAAATGAGTTTTCAGTGTTCTTTATCAAAAATTATTATAATTTCTTCATAGCTGCTAGAAGACAGGAAGCAATTAATGTCTCCATCACATAGAATACCAGAAGTCAATGAAAGAATTAGGATGTTTAAAGAAGAATTAGATGTTCACAGCATGTTATATTGCAGATAAAAAAAAATCATATTGCTACCTTCTAGTTTGATGTTCTGGCCCATGTAATTAGAACCTCTCCTCCCCCAGAATTATTCTCCCTTTATCATGACATCACTTCATTGAGGGAACCTTCCTTGGTGTCTTTATGCTGGACTACATGCCCCTCTTAAACATTCCAATAACCTCCTATATATCCTAACTATGGCAATTAGCATATTCATTATAATCATATATTTAATTATCTGTCTTTTTTCTCAAAACTCTGAAAAGGTATTGATTCTACACTCTTCTTGGTTTTAGTTTCAGGTCCTACCATATTGGCTAGCATGTTATTAGGATTAAATACATTATGAAAAGAAAATAATTACTGTGTTTAGGTCATTATTCTAAGCCTTTTACATTTGTTAAATTCTCAAATCAACCCTATGACCTAAGTACTATTGTTATCCAATTTTATAGGTAAAGAAACTGAAGCACAAACAAGTTGGGTAAGCTGCACAAGTTTACAAAGATAGTAAGTAGCTCTGGTGACTATGCATAAAATCATGCTAAACCAAATAAATAGAATAATTAGAGCTGAAAAATACCCCACACACCAATTTCTGGGTGACTTAAAATTCTAAGACATGAAAGGCCATATGGAAAGAAAAACTATTCTTTGCTTTCCCCCAATTTTTTTTTTTTTTTTTGAGATGAGGTCTTACTCTGTCACTCAGGCTGGAGTGCAGTGGCATGATGTTGGCTCACTACAGCCTTTGCCTCCCAGGTTCAAGTGATTCTTCTGCCTCAGCCTCTTGGGTAGCTGGGATTACAGGTGTGCACCACCACGCCTGGCTAATTTTTATATTTCTTGTAGACATGGGGTTTCGCCATGTTGGCCAGGCTGGTCTCAAACTCTTGACCTCAAGTAATCTGACCACCTCGGCCTCCCAAAGTGTTGGGATTACAGGCGTGAGCTCACTGCGCCTAGCCCATGCTTTATATTAAACTAGCAAAATACCTTTGTTGATGAATAAAATTAAGAGATTTGTATTATCACCATGCAACCAAAGATAACCAGTTCACATTTGGGTACCAATTCTTCAAAACTACTTTTTTTTCTTTTTAAAATTATTTTACTTTAAGTTCTGGGATACCTGTGCAGAATGTGCAGGTTTGTTACATATGTATACATGTGCCATGGTGGTTTCCTGCACGTATCATCTAGCTTTTAAGCCCAGCATGCATTAGATATTTGTCCTAATGCTCTTCCTCCCCCTGCCCCTCTACCCCCCGACAGACCCTGTTGTGTGATGTTCCCGTCCCTGTGTCCATGTGTTCTCATTGTTCAACTCCCACTTATGAGTGATAACATGTGATGCCAAACTACTTTCTATACAAACAAAAAAAAATTGATACAAAAAAGGGGATCATACTTCTTTTCTTTCTTTTCTTTTCTTTTTTGTTTTGAAACAGGGTCTCACTCTGCCTCCCAGGCTGGACTGCAGTGATGCAATCACAGCTCACTGCAGCCTCAATATCCCAGGCTCAAGCAATCCTCCCGCCTCAGCTTCCTGAGTAGTTGGGACTACAGGTGCATGCCAACACGCCCCGCTATTTTTCTTTTCTTTTTTTGGTATGTTTTGTAGAGACGGGGTTTTGTCATGTTACCCATGCTGGTCTTGAACTCCTGGGCTCAAGTGATCTACCCACCTCGGCCTCCCAAAATGCTGGGATTTCAGGCATGAGATTACATTTCTATGTACTCTTTAATAATCCGTTTTTGTCATTTAACATTATATTGTAGGCATTTTTCCACAAGAGATAAAAAGCTTCATCATCATTTTTAATAGTTGGACGATAAAATTTTCTTTAAATGCATTGTTCCAGTATCATCTATGTGTTCCAGTAAGTCAGCATAAAGATATAAAAACTTAAAGCTGATCTGAAAAGTACAGGTGCTAGGTGAAAGATCGAAATACGAGATAGGGGAATGCTACTGACAGGATATAAACAAGAGACAAGACAGAAAGAAGTTAAGGTTTTAATGGCCACTGACAACCATAGAAGAGGTGTAACTCTGGTGGTAGATACAAAGAAAGAGGTTAGGAGAGTGCAGATATATTATTTTTATGACCAGGTTCACAAGCATGCATTGATTAATTAGTTTCACTGAATATTCCCAGTAGATGCGAAAGAGCCAAATGGATATTAGGATACCTTTGAGAAAACTTGACACTGGTTAAATACAGTTGGTTATTTAAACCTGTAAGGTAAAACCTTTGGCACCTTTTGTTTTCTTCTCAAAATGGTTGCGTTTTTCTAGTTTAGAAATTGCATCAAGAATGTCCTGGCATTCAGACTAATGCATAGAAGAGCCTAGATCAAGGATGGTTAGCTACAACTGAAAATATGAGAAGAAGAAGGAATGATTGCATTATTTTCCAAATGTAAGCAAATTTATAACTTATTTCAAACTCATATTTGAATGTGTCAGGCACAAATGAACAAGGTAATAGAGACATGCCTTGACAGGGAGCAAGAAGGGAAGATACAGGGTACACTTGCATGACAATGCACATTTTCCTGGGACAGCACAAGCATGGCACTTAAACTGTACATAAAACACTTTTACAAGCAGATCTCTTTCCAAGGAAATGAAAAGACATACTTAATCTGTAGGGAAATAAAACTTCCTGGGGTGAGGCCTCAGACAATTGGTTTTAAAGGTTCATTCTTTTTCAATTGTGGTATTTGGTTTTAACGAGGCACTTGAAACACTTCGATTTACCCCTTGGCCACTTTAAAACCTTGTTTGAATTCCCATCTGTCCTTAATAGGGTTCTTAGAAAAGAGAGATCCTCCATTTTCATGAAAGTCAGCCACGTAAAGGAGTTCAAGCCTCATGAAGAAGATAATTCCTGGATCACTAAGAAAGTACTTGTAGCATAGGTGGATGAAGTCTCCCAAGATCTATGATAATCAGGAGCCAAGTTCTTAAATTTAGGATGGACCAAGTTTGGTTGATATCTTCTTCAAAGTCTGTGTTTGCAAATGGAAGCACAGAGGTAATTATTTTGCATATATTTCACACCTCTTCTCTCTTCTAAAATGTTCAATACTGCCCTTCTTCACTTCACTCCTACCTCTTATTACGTTGAGGAAATAAAAACAAAATCAGAGTATAGTCACCACAGAGGCCTAACAACCTCCCTTCATCTATAGTCCAGCAAATGAATTGTCCTGGTTTCTAAATTTTGAATCTCTTCACTTGCATACTAATCCCAATCCTCTTTCACACCTGTAGTACTTTGGCTCCTGCAGTATTCTCTTTTTTGTCTCAATCAACTTCTCTCTCCGGAGAGGACCATTTCTATGTTTATGTGAGCCAGTATTCCTGTATTCTAAAGAGCATGGGAAATAACTGGGTTTGAAATCCTGGCCTCGCCCTTTAGTAGCTCCATTGAGTCCATTACTAACACTTTTTGTGAGTCAATTTTATCTGTAAAATAAGAGGTTCTTATGAATATTATGAATTAAATAAATTGGTACTTGTAAAACACTTAGAACACATTCTAGTATGTGCTAAGCTATATAAGCATTAGCTAATTTTATTATTGGCATAGAAATATACCCCAGTATTTTCCATATTTTAAAAAGATCATCTTTAGACATTGGTCACCTTCCGTCTACAGCTCTGTTTACTGATTATCTTCGTAACAAACTCTTCAAAGTAGTCTCTTATATCACCGCTCCCTCCCTCCCCTCTTGGTCTTCCAATCAAGTATGACTCCCCCACAAGACTCCACTGCATCAGCTCTCAGGTAATCTCACCAGTGGCCTTCATATTGCCAAAGGGAGTCAGTAAAACTGTGCTATTATTTTCTTACTAACAAGGATAGAGTAATTTCAGCCAACATCTAGGTTACATTAAAAGCAGTACAAACAGAATATTTTCTAGGATCACACAAATCAAGTTCACTTTAACAGTTAGAACCGAAGCCTGTTGGATCAACAGTTCTCACACACTAGCACAGCACCTCATCTCTCTTCTGTATAGTATAGCTGTGAAATCTCTAGCGTGGGGCTGTCATATATGGTCTGCCCACAATCTCTTTTCATTTCTTTCCACCTGCCTGCTGCTGTCTTGCAATCTCACTGATTCTCTCAACCAGGACTCACCTTCACTCTGCTTGCCTCTGCTGATGTTGCCTGTGCTAGACTTTGACACTTAGGGCAAATTTATTATCCAAATCAGGACACTATTGAGAGTGAAAAAGGCTGCCTTAGAGCAACTTCCCAGGAAGTGGAGCCCACCTAAAATAAGGATTCATGTGGACATAATTCATCAAGGGAGTGTTCTTCAGGTAAAACTATACCATTGACTGTGACTCACTCCTGAAGGGCCTCTTTCTGAAAGCTGAGATAATTCCGCTTGCATGTATGTGTGTGTTGTACAGAAAGGGGCTGATGTGATGTCAGCTGTAAGTCATCAGCAGTCTACACACCAATTGAGATATGGGTACACCAGGCTATAAAATAATCTGAGTGAGTCACTAATAGCACCTAATGTACAGAAGTACAGAAGTACCATTGATAATTATGCCAGGACCATCTCATGCAAACCAGGACATTTGGTCAGTCTTTTATCCCTTTTACTCACATCACCACCCATGCTGTGGCTCTCCTCTGCTTTAAGTCTTCGATGGTTCCTATGGTCATTGGGGATCATGGCCACACCCACCGAGGATCACTACATGGACTCCCTCAGGCTGCTGCTCCATGCCTCTGTCACTGACCACCACTCTCTGCACAGACTACTTCATGAGCTGCAAGCTGCTTCTTCTACACAGCAGATGGTGGAATGCAACTCAGAAATCTTTGCCTTCATGACTTGCCTTTGGGTCTCTGCCTCTGAGTCAACTCTTGCCTATGGCTCCCAGAACTCTTTACCATCAAAGTCCACCTGTAAATCTTTGGTGCTTTTTGTGGAATCCTCACTGCCTCTCAAAAATGTCCTATTTTGGGCAATAAATCCTAATTTTGCCGCACTGGAAATCCTGGTGTTTCATATTCAGCACTCTTCTACAGGGCACACAGGAACTGCATAGAGGCCTTGGGAAAAGTGAGTTCAAATGCAGCCTGTCACTGTCCTCAGAGTCACTGACCCCTACAAATCAGGCTATGTTACCAAATCCAGTTGGACTGATGAGACTATTTATCCCTTCACATTCTCTCAAAGATCTCACAGCACTCTCTGTAGTTTAGATTTATTTGGGCCCTCTCCAAAGGTCAGCAGATATTTAAATGTACTCTGATCCTGAAGTGTGTACAAGTTATTTATGAAAAGACTCAAAGTCTTTTGCAAATAAATGCATAGAGCTGGAACTATATACCAGGACATTTTGCCTAAGTCCAAATATAAATTTTAATTATGTTTTTACTATGAACTAGACAGACTCTTAGATACAAAACGACATTGTAAAGTATGGAGATTTGCAACTTTCATTGTATTTGTGCCTGAACATGATGATCCTAAAGTTCACTCGAAGAAATGCCTCTCAGTAGAATAAAAGAACATCTCTTGTGGTATTTAAATGGATATCAGTTTCTTCCCATTTTCATATAAAAGCTCAGAGGGTTATCTGGAATTCACTTCACATCACTGTGCACCAATATGCTAATACCCTGCATAATTACTTAGCCTCATTTGTACATGAATGGTCACATATAATAGATGTTCTGAGTAAGAAAGTAAAAGTCAATATGAGTTTGAACATCTGGGAACGGAGTTAAGTCCAGTAGATCTTATTATGTAATGTTCTTATTTAGATACTTCTCAAGTCTTAGGCAATTACTTAATAGTGGAGTGATAAGAACAAAGAGCACTTGGATACAGATTTGCTTGCAGGAGAGAGCACCATCCCCCATAAGACAATGGGTATACATTAGGTACATGCCCTTGTATCAAGCAAGACTCAGTATTTCTAAACATGTAGTTCCAATATATATTTTATAATTATAATGTATATTTTATTTAGAGAAATCAAATTATAATTTGCACTGAAGGCATGTCTGATATGGTCATCAAATTATAACCAGTATGTTCTGAAGATCAGTAAAAAGCTAGAAATTAGCAGATATGTGAGTTATTGCCTGTAGTTAAATTACAAAGAATGTTAAGTATACTATAAAGTGTTACTTACGTAGTTACTGGTAGCCTTTAACAAAATGAGCTTCATTGTTAAGATTTATTAACTGTATTCAGCCTGGATGGTCATTCAGTTCAAACTTTAAAAGCTTTCAAGGTATCAAGTAGCAGTCTGGTTTTAATATAAGTAACAAAGTAATCATAAGAAAGACTGAATAGTTGGATTTCAGGAAATTTGCCCATCTTGGGTTAATTTTTAATGGCCTTATCAGAGGCGTAGTTCAAGTCTATAACTTGGAGGGTTAAGACAGAATTATTCCCTGAAGTGAAAGGGTATTCCCACTGTCAATCATCCCAAGTAGTGGTTAATCCTGGGGTAGATTGTCAGCCACAAACCTGAACTGAGATGGAGGACGGTCTTTCTCCCAGGGCCTGGAGCTAGAGGAGAATAAACTTCAAGTCTGGAAAGGCCTACAGTGATTCCTGGAGTGGAATGGCATTCTCCAGTCATGTAGGGCCAGTATGGAAGAGAGTAGGGGCAGTGGGTTTCTGCTGTTTGCCAATAGCAGGATAGAGTGAGGTTGCCATTAGCAGTCATGGCAGAGCAGTGCAGGGCCTGGCTTCCAGAAGCAGCCAACATCTGTGCAGCAGTTAAGAGTAGACAAACTGACCTTGGAACAGGTTCATGAGCGCAACCACACCTGAGATAGGTATGGTGGAAGTAGTAGAAGCATTAGCGCAAACAGCTTTGCCCAGCAAAGCTCCTGCTTCACAAGTATCTTCGGCAACAGGGGTGGCTGACTAGTGGTAAGAAAACTGCCCAAGTAAAAAAATTTGAGGCTCTTGCTTTGGAGTCATGTGGTGCAGAACTGTCTGGAAGAAAACTCTCAGAAACATGTGGAAAACCTTTTATGCAGGAGTAATTTCTAGAAAGGAAGTACATGGCTTGGGTCTTACGCCATTATTATTTGACTGAATAAAGAAGTATAACGTTATTTGTAGTCATAGGTTGGTGAGGACAAGGAAAGGTGGGACACATAGAAAAATAAGGTATTTCTACTTGTGATCTTGTTGTCTAGTGTGTCTACAAGTCCTAATTAACACTTTGAAGGATATTTCTTAAAAATTGGAAAGGTAAGCAATTCATTTTTAAGAGTAAATTTATACTCAATTTTAGAAGGAAAACTTGAGAAAATGATGCTAAGTTTATGGACAATCAATTGAACCAAAATTAAAACTTAGAAAAAAATAAAAGTGATGATAAGCTTGACTTTTATTGTCAAGATTAACCAGTTATATTTATCAGGCACTGATTAATTGAAAAAGTTTCTGTATCTTTTATTTCAAACATGGTTTTCTTATTTTAGAGATGAAATACACTTTTCCATTGTTCTGTCACTGTGCGTCAAACCACGAGCGCTCAAATATTTCTTGTTTTTGCTTGAAGAATAATTTCTAGTATTTAAAAACTATTGTACTTTATGTTTGCTCATAATTATTTTATTTCATTTTATAATTACCCTGTGATCATTTCATTGTTATTATAATTATTCTTAGAATAATTATTTTTTTACATATAAAAAAGAGTCTAATAAATTAAGATTTCTCCAAGATTTTTAAATTACTGAAACTTAGAGGCAGAATATAAGTATTATAAATCGTTGCTTTGTTTTGCAAAATATTTCAGAGTGTTACTTTTTAGAAATAGTCTTCCCCTAATATACTAAAAGCAGATTAAAATGGCCAAAACTCATTATATGTTTTGGGGTACATCTTGTTTACATAGTGTGGGGATAGTTGTACTTGCATAATTCTTTCCATTTGAAAATATCTTTTAAATGGCAGGACTCTATTTAGCTGCAAATATTTAGAGGAAAAGCATACATGTGCCATACACAAACAGAGAAGTTTGTCTCTCTGATTGTGTATGACAGCAAAAGTAATTTTTGATCAAATTTTAGTAAAGTTTAACTATCAAAATTATGTAGAATTAAAAATGAATTTTTTTCTTTCTTTTCTTCTTTTTTTTTCTTCATGGAATTACCTCCAACAGATTCCATTTAAGCTGAAGCTCTGCATACAAAGCAAAATGGAGAATTGGAGCAGAAGAGAGTACTTTAAACTAAGTTTTCTTCAAAATAGTCTCAAAATTGTGGTCAAAATGTTTTTTTTTAATTATTGTACTTCAAGTTCTGGGATACCTATGCAGAACGTGCAGGTTTGTTACATAGGTATACATGTGCCATGGTGGTTTGCTGCACCCATCAACCTATCAATCCATCATCTACATTAGGTATTTCTCCTAATGCTATCCATCCCCTTGTCTTCCACCCTGCAACACGCCCTGGTGCATGATGTTCCCCTCCCTATGTCCCTGTGTTCTCATGTCAACTCTCACTTATGAGTGATAACATGGTGTTTGTTTTTCGGTTCCTGTGTTAGTTTGCTGAGAATGATGGTTTCCAGCTTCATCCATGTCCCTGCAAAGGACACGGATTAATTCTTTTTTATGACTTCATAGTATTCCATGGTGTATATGTGCCACATTTTCTCTATCCAGGCTATCATTGATGGGCATTTGGGTTGGTTCCAGGTCCTTGCTATTGTGAATAGTGCCGCAATAAACATACGTGTACATGTGTCTTTATAGTAGAACGGTTTATAATCTTTTAGGTATACACCCAGTAATGGGATTGCTGGATCAAATGGTATTTGTAGTTCTAGATCCTTGAGGAATTGCCACACTGTCTTCCACAATGGTTGAACTAATTTACACTCCCACCAGTAGTGTAAAATATTCCTATTTCTCCACATCCTTTCCAGCATCTGTTGTTTCCTGACTTTTTAATGATCGCCATTCTAACTGGCTTCAGATGGTATCTCATTGTGGTTTTGATTTGCATTTCTCTCATGACCAGTGATGATGAGCTTTTTTACATATGTTTGTTGGCCACTTAAATGACTTCTTTTGAGAAGTGTCTGTTCATATCCTTCACCCACTTTTTGATGGGGTTGTTTGTTTTTTTTAGGAAATTTGTTTAAGTTCCTTGTAGACTGGATATTAGCCCTTTGTCAGATGAGTAGATTGCAAAAATTTTCTCCCATCCTGTAGGTTGCTTGTTCACTCTGATGGTAGTTTCTTTTGCTGCGCAGAAGCTCTTTAGTTTAATTAGATCCCATTTGTCTATTTTGGCTTTTGTTGCCATTGCTTTTGGTGTTTTAGTCATGAAGACTTTGTCCATGCCTATGTCCTGAATGGTATTTCTAAGTTTTCTTCTAGAGTTTTTATGGTTTTAGGTCTAACATTTAAGGCTGTAATCCATCTTGAGTTAATTTGTGTATAAGGTGTAAGGAAGGGGTCCAGTTTCAGTTTTCTGCCTATGGCTAGCCAGTTTTCCCAACACCATTTGTTAAATAGGGAATCCTTTCCCCATTTCCTGTTTTTGTCAGGTTTGTCAAAGATCAGATGTTTGTAGGTGTGTGGTGTTATTTCTGAGGCCTCTGTTCTGTTCCAATGGCCAGGAGATTCCTTTGGGTGCCTACACCACCAGGGTCCCAGGTTTCAAAATGATGTTTTAAGTTGTTTTGATTTTATAGGCATATTTTGTTATGTCATTCAGAATACTTACTGAGTACTAGCAATGTACTAAGCATTATTGTAGGTTTGGGAATACACTAATGGAGAAAACAGACAAAATTCAAAATAATACATAAATATATAATATCCTGAAAATATCATTTCTGTGCAGGAAAAAAATGCAGTGAGAGAAGATAAAGAATAATGAAAGAGGAGCTATGTTATTTGCTATAGAGCAATCAGGTAGGGTCTTCTCTAATGGAGTGATATTTGAAAAGGACAGAAGGGATTTTTTTTAAAAAAGGTGTTTGAGGCACAGGTATAAAACCCTAAGATAAACAATAACTTGGTGCACACAAAAAAAAATAGTAAGAAGAGCAGTGAAAATAGTGTAAAGTGTGGAATAAGTGACTGACAGTGACAAGTGAAGTGAGGGGCTCCAGGGTATCCAGAATATGGAACTTGCAGAGAACTAAGAACATACTGTTTAGCCACTGAAGATATTTGAGAAGGGATAAGAAATTAACTGAACCATGTTTGTTTTCTCTGCATCCACTGGAATTGAATTAAAAATGTACATAAAGCAAACCAAGAGAATCTCAAATGTACAGACCACATGTTTTACACATGTATACATCACATAGCCACAATTCAGGATTATAATTTTAAAAGATCAATCTAGGGAAATGTAGAGAATTAAAGAATTTTTTAAAAGCATGGAAACTACTTAGGAAGAAATGGCTATAATTTGAGATAATGTAGGCTTGAACTAGGATGATATAGCCGTTGAAGTGGTGAGAATGTAATTTGGAAATTAGAATTTATATTTCATGATGGAGCCAATGGGATTTTTTTCTGCATTCAATGCATGGTGTGAGGATACAAAAAGTTTAAATGACTCCAAAGTTTTGATTCTTAGCAATGGTAGTAATTAGAAGAGACAGAAGGTATTGATTTGAGGGTGAAAGTTATCAAAATTTCTGTTTTGGCCATGTTGAATTTGAGATGGCCATTAGAATCCCTGAGGGGAGATTGGATGAAACTGTCTATAAAAAGTATGAGTAGATAGAGAAAAGCAGAGGACAAGAAGAGGAAGTAGAGCCAACAAAAGCCTACAGAAGAAAAGCCAGGAAGTAGCAGGGAAAATCAGAGACTTGAAGGTTTTGAGAAACCCCACATATGCACATGTAATTTTCTGCGAGAGAAGGGAGCAGTGATATGGGCTGGACTCCCTCCCTCCCACTGCCAAATTTATGTGTTGAAATCCTAACCCCTAGTATCTCACAATGTGATTGTATTTGGAGATACGGTGTTTAAAGAGGTAACTGAGTTAAAATAAGATTGTTAGAGAGGGCTCTAATTCAATATCACTGGCATCTTTATAAGAAGAGGAAATGGCCGGGCGCGGTGGCTCACGCCTGTAATCCCAGCACTTTGGGAGGCCGAGGCGGGTGGATCATGAGGTCAGGAGATCGAGACCATCCTGGCTAACAAGGTGAAACCCCGTCTCTACTAAAAATACAAAAAATTAGCCGGGCGCGGTGGCGGGCGCCTGTAGTCCCAGCTACTCGGGAGGCTGAGGCAGGAGAATGGCGTGAACCCGGGAAGCGGAGCTTGCAGTGAGCCGAGATTGCGCCACTGCAGTCCGCAGTCCGGCCTGGGCGACAGAGCGAGACTCCGTCTCAAAAAAAAAAAAAAAAAAAAAAAAAAAAAAAAAAAAAAAGAAGAGGAAATTAGTTCTGGAAGGAGTTGTACTGCACATCTAGTGCCCCAATTATCTGGCTTCTTTCAGCTTCTCCCTGGGAGTTGCACAACATATCCAGCTGCCCAACTTTTCTGCCTGCTACCCAAGGGACTGGCTTCTAACTTGACTATCCCTGAGAGCCACTGGGATCTGGCATCTGCTAGGCCCCTGGGAGCTGCAGAGAGCAAAAACACAGTTTGAAAGAGTGTGCAGAATGAACGAGAGTACAGGCATTGCTATAGCTCTTCTCCCCAGCTCAAAGGGGAGTAAGTGGGTGATAAACTCCAGCTTTCAGCTTCTCTCTGAGGAGAGAAGGGATTGGACCAGCCATCTAATGCCCCAATTTTTTTACTTGCTACTAGATGGACTGGCTTCTGACTTCCTGTCTTGGGACACTGGTGGGATTTGGCACATTCCAGGCTCCTGGGTTTGAGATAGAGGTTTGAATGAGCATGGACATTTCAGAGGCATTGAAAATCTCTGGCTATGCTGATTGGTTAGTGTCTTATTTCATATGAGACCAGTCTGTGAAGACTTGAAAAGATAGCTGTTTCTTCTTATGTACGCACATCAACACAGAGAATTAAAAAAAAACTGAAAAGGGAAATATATTTCAAATAAAAGAACATGATAAATCAAAAAGCTACTCTGATGAAAATGAAGATACGTGGCTTAGAATTCACTGAGAATTCAAAATAAAAGCCATAAAATACTTCCAAGTTCAGGACAGTAATATATGAGAAAAGTTAGAATTTCAACAAACAGACAGAAAATAGTTTAAAGGATTAAAAAGAAATAATAGAGATGAAGAATATAATAATTGAAATGAAAAATTCAATAGAGGGGTTCAACAACAGGTAGATCAGCCAGGTAAGTCATTTGAGAAGAAATCACTTGAATACAGCTCATTGAAAATCATCTGGAGAAGTAAAAAGAAAACAAGAAAAGAAATGAAAAACAGTGAATATAGCTTAAGAGACTTATGGGACACAATCAAGCAAATAAACACATTATGCAAGTTCTAAAAGGAGAAAAGAGAGAAAAAAATGGCAGAAAGCTTATTCAAGTGAATAATGGTGGAAAATTCTCCAAATCTTTAGAAGTAAATAGCCATCCAGATCCAGGAAGCCAAAAGGGCATGAAATAAGATAAGAGATCCATAGCAAGACACATTATAATTAAACTGACAAAAGTTAAAGAGAGAATTTTGAGCAGCAAGAGAAAAGCAACTTACCACATATAAGTGAACCTTCATAATACTATTAGCAGATTTTTCAGCTGAAATTTTTCAGGCTAGAGGGTGGGATGATATATTCAAAGTGATGAACATAAAAATATAATTTTAAACCAGCCCATCAAGAATACTATACCAGGCAAGATTCTTTCTAAAATGAAGGAAAGAAAGACTTTCTTAGATAAACAAAGTCTGAGAGAGTTAATCACTACTCTATTTGCCTTTCAAGAAATGCTAAAGAGAGTTCTTCAAGTTGAAATAACAGGACACCAAACAGCAATAAGATAGCATAAAAATATATAAAAGCCATTTCTAAAAGTAAATAAGTAAATATATATAAAAATATAGAATACTGGGTTACTGTAATGGTAGCAGGTAAATCACTTTTAATTATAGTATATAAGTTAAAAAAGTATTAGCAAAACTAACTAAAATTATGTTAATAGGCATGCAATACAAATAGATATAAATTGTGACATCAATAACATAGAATGTTGAAGAAACAAGAGGTAACAATGTAGAGCTTTTTATGAAAGTGAAAGTGTTAGCAGCTTAAAATAAATTTATAGCAATAAGATATTTTATATAAGCCCCATAGAAACCATTAACAAAATATATATATATGGAAGTTACACAAAAGAAAAAGAGAAATTAATCCAAGAATATCAGCACACATACACACACACATAAACACACACAAAACTACAAAGGAAGACAGCAAGAAAGAAAAAAATAAAGAACTACATGACAGACACAAAAAAGTTAACAAAATTACAACAGTAAATCCTTCCCTATTAATAATAACTTTAAATGTAAATAGATTAAACTCTCCAATGAGGAGACATAGAGTGGCTGTTTAGATTTTTAAAAAATAAGATCTAACTATATGCTGTCTATGAGAAATTTGCTTTAGACTTAAAAAGCTATACAAAGTCTAAAAGTGAAGGGATGGAAAGATAATTCATGCAAATTATCATATCTATATATATATATATACACACACACACACACACACACACCTGCTTTTTTCTGTTTACCATTTGCATGTTATATATATATATATAAGATGAAATAGATTATATAAGTCAAAAATTGCCTCTTAGAGTCAAAGAAAGTCATTATATAATGATAAAAGTGTGAATTCAATAGAAAGATATAACAAGCATAAATATATATGTACCCAACATCAGAACACCTAAACATATAAAGAAAGTATTGACAGATCAGTAGGAAGAAATTAACCAGCATAGTGTGAGTAGGATACTTCAGTATCCACTTTCAAGAAAATACCTACACAGAAAATTGATAAGGAAAAGGAAGACTTGAACAACACTATAGGCCAAACGGACCCAACAGACATACACCAAACTTTCAACCCAGCAGCAGAAAAATATACATTCTTCTTAGGTGCACGTGAAACATTCTCTAAGCTAGGTCACATTAGATTACAAAACAAGTCTTAACAAATTTAATATTGAAAGAATACTGAGTATCTTTTCTGATCAGAGTGGAATGAAACTAGAAATCATTAACAATGAGAGAATAAGAACACTTACAAAAACATGGAAACTAAACAATATACTCTCGAGTAATCTTTGGGTCAAATAGAAAATCAAAATTGAATTTTAAATATATCTGAAGACAAACAAAAATAAAAACACAACACACCAAAACTTATGGGATGCAGCAAAAGCTGTACTCACAGGATAGTTTATTATGATAAATGCTTACATTAAGAAAGACAGTTCTCAAATAAACAACCTAACTTTACATCTCAAGGAACTACAAAAAGAACAAAGTAAGCCCAAAGTTAGTGGAAGGAAAGAAATAATAAAGAATAAAGCAGAAATAAATCAAAGAGAGAATAGAAAAATAATGGGAGAAATCACAATACTACAAGTTGGTGTTTAGAAAAGTAAAGAGTGAACAAATGCTTAGCTAGAATAAGAAAGAAAAGAGGAATCTCAAATAAATAAAATAAGAATAAAAGAAAAGACATTACAATGGATGCCACAGAAATAAAAATGATCACAAGGGATTTTTTTAAAAATTATTGCCAACAAATTGGATAACTTAGAAGAAAGGCATAAATTCCTACAAATGTACAACCTACTGAGACTGAATCTAAAAGAAATAGAAAATCTGAACAAACCAGTAACAAATAAAAAGATTGAATCAGTAATCAAAAACCTACCAATGCAGAGAAGTCCAGGACCAAATGGTTTCATAGGTGAATTCTACCAAACATTCAGAGAATACTAATGCTTCTTGAATACTTCAAAAAAAAGAGGGGGAAATGCTTCCAAACTCATTTTATGAGGCCAGCAACACCCTGATACCAAAGCTAAAACATGTCACCACAAGGAAACTACAGACCAATATTCCTAATGAAGATAGATGCCAAAATCCATCATAATATACTAGCAAACAAAATTCAGCAGCACATGAAAGGATTATACACCATGATCAAGTAGAATTTATCTCTAGGATGCATAGATATTTCAACATAATCAATCAATGTGACTCACTACATTAACAGACAACATGATAATCCCAATATATTCAGAAAAAGTATTTGACAAAATTCCACATAGGCTCATGGTTTAAAAAAAAAATCCTTCAACAAAATAGATAAAGAACAAACTTACTGCAACACAATAAAGACCACTTATGAAAAGCTCACAGCTAACATCATAATCAGTGAGGTAAACGTTTTTCCTCTGAGATCTAGTACAAGATGATGTTGCCCACTCTCACCATTTCTATTCAACATAGCATTGGAAGTTCTAGGTAGAACAATGAATCAAGAAAAAGAAATAAATGTCATTCAAATTGGAAAGAAAGAAGTAAAATTGTCTCTGCCTGCACATGATGTAATCATATTTGTAGAAATCTTTAAAAGCTTAAAAGCAACAACAAAAATTATTAAAACTAACAAATTAATTCAGTGGTATTGTAGAATACATCAATCTATGGAAACATTTCATGATACATTAACAATAAACTATCCAAAAAAGGAAATTAAGAAAGCAATACCATTTACGATAGTAACAAAAGAATAAAATACTTATGAATAATTGAACCAAAGAAGTGGAAGTTTTATACACTAAAAATCACAAAACATTAATGAAGGAAATTACAGAAGATGGATAAATGAAGAGACATTCTGTGCTCATGGATTGAAAGAATATTGTTAAAATGTTTATACTACCCAAATTGATCTACAAATTTGATGCAATCTCTATCAAAATCTCAATGTCATTCTCTACAGAAATAGAAAACATAATCCTAAAATTCATGTGGAACCACAAAGACCCCAAATGGCCAAAGCAATCTTAAGCAAGAATAGCAAAGCTGGAAGCATCACATTTCTTGATTTCAAAATACATTACAAAACTACAGTTATAAAAACAGTATGATACTGTCATAAAAACCAATACACATATTTTTGATAAACTTTCCAAAATAAAATTCTAAATTAAGTCTTTTCTTGACATGAATTAACTTTGAAGTTTTCCATATGGGCCTTCAGAATATCTCAAAAGGACATCTCTCCTTATAGAAAGAGACATATTAAACTAATTGGGCTGATCTGATATGTTAAATTATATAGAAAGCATTATCAAATAATAAATAACACTAAATTTTTTGAATTATATTTGTATGAATGTGTTATTAATATGTATTTCAGAAATTGTGTAAAATTCATAGAAATCTAATAGTCCTGCTATAAAGCTATCAGTCATAATTCTAGTTATTGTCTTAAAATGTTGAATACAACAGAATTAACTGAGTTTCCTTGCCAATTGTGTCATTATTGTAATGAACCCTTACCAGATCTTTAAAGTCGTTGCCATTTTAAGTCTTTTCATTCACAGATAGTCAATTGCTTACTCTGGTATTTCCTGAGCAACTATAAGCCTAAAGTGTTCCTCTTCAAGGAGATTCATGGAAAGAACTCTGAGAGGTACAGGTTTCTGATAACTTTAAAATCATACAATTGGATTGGGTAAAAAATTCCAGGACTCTAATGAAGAAATTGACTGATTCATAAAACGGCTAACCTAATGTCACACAGAATAAGAAATAATACCAAGAAAATGACCTGGGCAGGATTTCTTGCTAATTAAGCCAGTAATGAAATTATTAAGATGTACAATTTGAATGAATTCTATAATATCGATCCAAGTCAAATTACATTTGATAAAATCTATTCAATAAACAGTGCTACAAGCACCTGAATTGGAGAAACAAAGTTGGTATTTAAGAGAAAGTAAATCCAGTGTTAAGCCTGGACACAGGAAGAACCTGGATGGCTGCCTCGTTCTTCCAGAGTCTTAAATCTTCCAACATTAAAAGCTCTGCACTCCATGATTCATTATGGAGGAGATAAAATGCTTCAACTTATGAAAAAAGATTGGTGGCATGACTGTTATAAAATTTCTAAAATAGTTTATAACCAATGTTTTGTTTGTCAAACCCATAATTGTGGTAAGACAATAAAAGCTTCAGGTGATACAAAAACAAAACAAAACAAAACAAAAACACCAACAGACATATAGACCAATGAAATAGAATAGAGAGCCCAGAAATAAATCTACACATTTCCAGACATCTGATCTTTGACACAGATGCCAAGAACACACAAAGGGAAAAAGATAGTTTGTTTAATAACAAATGTTCAAAAAACTGGATATCCATATGCAGAAGAGTGAAATTGTATTCTTATCTCACATCATATACAAATATCAACTTAAGATGGATTAAAGCCTTCAGCATAGTAAATGAAACTTTAAAATCCTACCAGAAAACAGGAAAAGAGTTTCTCAACATTGGTCTTGAAATAATATTTTGGATATAACACCAAAAGCATAGGCAACAAATGCAAAAAACAGACAAGTGTATTTCATCAAATTTAAATGTTTCTGCACAGCAAGGGAAATATTCCATAGATTGCACAATCTATGGAATGGGACAAAATGTTTGCAAACTATACATCTAATAAGGGGATAATATCCAAAATATATAAGGAACTTGTACAATCTCATAACACACAAAAAAACCTGATTTAAAGAATGAGCAGAGCAGGTGAATGGACATTTCTCCAAAGAGGACATGAAAATAGCCAGAAGGTATATGAAAAGGTTCTCCACATTGTTAATCATCAGGGAAATATAAATCAAAGTCACAGTGAGATATCACTTCACACCTGAAGTTATACACAGCCACACCTTATAATAGCTATTATCAAAAAGTCAAAAGATGTAAAGTGCTGATGAGGATGTGGAGAAAAGAAAACTCTTGTACACTGTTGGTGGAAATGTAAATTGGTGCAGCCATTATGGAAAACAATATGGAGATTTCTCAAAAAATTAAAACTATTTTTAAACTAATAAACTATATGATCAAATTATCATATGATCCAGTAATCTCACTTCTGAATATACATCCAAAGAAAATGAAATGTGATTCTTGACAAGATATTTGCACTTCCATGTTCACTGCAGCATTATTCACAATAGCCAAGATATGGAACAGCCTAAATGTCTATCAATGGATGAATAAATAAAGAAAACATGACATCTACATACAGTTGACCCTTAAACAATGTGAGGTTTGACTGCTAAACCTTGTGCAGTCAAAAATTTGTATATAACTTTTGACTCCCCCAAAACCTACCTGCTAATAAATAGGCTACTGTTGACTGGAAGTCTCACCAATAACATAAATGGTCCATTAGCACATATTTCATATATGTATTATCTACTATATTTTTACAATAAAGTAAGCTAGAAAAAAGAAAATGTTATTAAGAAAATCATAAGGAAGATAAAGTATGTTTACTATTCATTAAGTGGAAGTGGATGATCATAAAGGTGTTCATCCTCATCATCTTCATGTTCAGTAGGCTGAGCAAGAGGGAAAAGACGAGGGATTGTTCTTACTGTCTCAGGGTGGCAGAAATGGAAGAGGTAGAGGAGGTGAAAGGGGAGGCAGGAGAGGCAGGCACACGTGGCATGACTTTACTGAAGTATGATATAATTTTTATCTGGCTCTTTTGCTTTTTCATTTATCTAAAAATGTTTCCGTACAGTACCAATCCTTCTTTCACTGTTTGTTTAATTTCAGTGCCTTTAATATAGACGAGACCATGTCATAAAAGACATCAAAAGCAGTCTTAAATAATCGGAATCCTTCTGCCAGATTGTATAATTTCAATTTGTTTTCTGGCACTTTTACATCTTCCTCATCGTGCAGCACTGAATCAGAAGCACTCACCTCCATCAAGTTGTCTTCTATTAATTCCTGTGGTGCAGTGTCTATTATTTCTTAAATTTTTCCAAGATTCATGTCTTAAAACCCTAACCTCCGCCCTCTACATTTTTACCATGTTCACAATCTCTTTTATGATTTTATGATTTCCTTGATTGGCTCTGCGTTGTGTATAATGTTACCCAGTATACAAATTTCACCTTGTACATATGTGGACTGGCATGTCTTATAGTAGCTGTGAGCCCCCACCCCCAAGGTTCAGGGAACAGGGATTGAAAGCTACTATCAGAATATTTGAGCTGTGGGAATGAGGGTCTTTATCACCGAGGCTGGAGTGCTAGAATGAGGTGGTATGATCACAGCTCACTGCAGCCTTGACCTCCCAGTGTCAAACAATCCTCCCACCTCAGCCTCCTAAGTAGCTGGACCTACAGGTGTGCACCACATGCCCAGCTAATTTCTTTTAAAATTTTTTCTTTTTTTTTTTTTTGTAGAGACAAGGTCTCCCTATGTTGCCCAGGCTGGTCTTAAACTCCTGGGCCCAAGCGATCCTCCTGCCTCGGCCTCCCAAAGTGCTGGGATTACAGTCATGAGTCACCACTTCTGGCCTGTGGGAACCTTTAAGTTCACATAAAGTGGCCACCTTGGGTAGCGTTTTAAGCATAAGGGCTTTGGAATTGAAAATACATATGTTTCAATCTCTTTTCCACTACTTAGCCTTAATATGAACTAGGACCTCTGTGACCCTCAATGCTCAATGTCCTCCTATTTAAAATGGGGATTCTAATAATTGGAAGAATCAAATGAGATTCATGACTTAGTACAGAACCTGACAGACAGTAAGTGTCCAGTACATGCTATCTGTTATTACTGGGTGTTCAAACATGTTGTTGACCATTCAGTGAATGATGATAGTAGATCTTCATTCTGCAGATGAGTAAACTGAAACAACCTGAGTTATTTCCCTGGGTGCCTGTTCCAGTTTTGCCACTAACATCTAAGCCCATGCTCTTTCCTTTAAACCTCACAGGAAAGCAGACTGGAGATACGACTCCCTCTCTGAGACAGCTTTTAAAACAAAATCATTGTCATTACCGTCTCTGAAGCTTTGCTTCTTAGGTACTCGCCTTATTTAGCAAAACTGTTACTGCCTAAATGCTTTTAAACAAATATGATGTCTGTAACAGATGCAGAAATAATGTGCTTTACGTTGGAAGTCTACTCCTGTAAAACAAATTACCTCAGATCAACAATTATTTTTAAGAATTTCTCAAGACTTCACTAGGTTTAAATTAGGGATCATTTGCTTTCCAGGTATTGCATTGCTACCACAGTACTTTGTTGTTGTAGTGGTTTTTAGCAAGTAAAATGCTTACAAACTGTAATCTCTTAGTGAGGACCATGTAGACTATGCACAGTGAAAGAAGTAGGTGTTCTTAACAGGAGTCAGGATTGAGGTTTTCAAGGATTAGATTTCTATGGCACTAGGTCAGGATGATGGACTGGATTGAGAAGGGCTGGGTGTTGACTGACAATCATTATCACGACTTCTAAGAACAAAAATCAGGAATACAGTTTGGCTGCACGCAAATTGGAAGACTCAGGCAAGATTCCTTGCCTGAAAATGTGGAGAATTACATGGGTAAAAATCACAATCTTGGTATACCTCTAAGGTTTGATAGTCATGAAGCTACTTATTTTATTCTATATATTTACACATATCCAAATCTTAATTTTTGGACTAGAAATCTGATTTTGCTCAATATATCCAACATGAACTATCTGCTTCAAAATCTTATTTTCTTTTAGAATCCATCCTTACATAAAGTATATGATCTACCTTGGTGGAAGTGGTCTCTTCAATCTCAAATATCCTTAAATTCCATTCCTTTTTCCATCAACCATCAGAGTTCCATCTTGATGTTCCTTCTCTGTATCTTTCCTAACTCCCTGTTACCTCACAGCCTCTAGCAAGTGTAACTCTGTGCTGTTCTTTATATTTTCTCTCATAATCATTTTTTTTTAGACGGAGTCTCGCTCTGTCACCAGGCTGGAGTGCAGTGGTGCGATCTCAGCTCACTGCAATCTCTGCCTCCTGGGTTCAAGCGATTCTCCTGCCTCAGCCTCCTGAGTAGGTGGGATTACAGGTGTGCAACACTACACCCAGCTAATTTTTTTTTAAATTATTAGAGACAGGGTTTCACCATGTTAGCCAGGATGGTCTGGATCTCCTTACCTCGTGATCTGCCTGCCTCTGCCCTGCAAAGTGCTGGGATTACAGGTGTGAGCCACTGCGCCCAGCCCATAATCTTTTTAATTTTAAAAAATATAATTTACGTTAGTCTACTTAAAAGGTGAGTACCAGTAAACTGTTTTCATTAATATGACTATAATGACTTTTTTCCCTGAAACATAAAGCAGTACACTAGCATTATATTTCCTTCTGTATAGGTCAGAATATTGAGCCTATGCAATGCTTCTCTTTTACAGTTCAAATAATTTTTTTTTGCTTTAAGTTTAAATTAATTTTCCTCTTTATAATTTATCAATGGTATCTATTATAATCTTGGGTTCTTCCAAGTTCTAACTAATTCTATCACATATGAAATCTTCCTTTATCAAATACACCTGCCTCCCAGGGTTTTCTTGAAAGTTTATAGTGAGCATTAGTGGAAAACATACATATAGAGTAATTAGCACCAGATCTGTCACTACTAGTTAGCAATAAATTTTATTATAGCATTATTGTTTCAAAAAGTTCTCAGCTGGATAGAAGACTCCATTAAGGTCAATTCCGATTTTTATGTTTACTATTATATCTTTGTCACCTGGCACAGCACTAAACTGGAGCCATTCAAAATAGTTGAATGCATGTTCAAAAATGATAGATTCATATTTTGTAAGGATCTTTAAGAATTAAGAATTAAAGGTGCTTAGTTGTCCCAATATTTAACATTCCACATAATCAACAGTCATTTGACATAGTAAAAGAAATATAAGTAAATAAATTCTAGTTTGTGGTTTTTAAAATTTATCTATATGTTTGATAATTATTTGGGAAAATATGTTTCAATGTGCTCTAAAATTTTTAATGTTTTTGCTCAAACTGACTTTTCTACATGCATGATCAAAGGATGAGGTTTTCCTCATGTGTTTATAGGTCTTTTTAAAATTTATTTATTGACATATCAAAATTGTATATATCTATCATTGTACAATATAATTTTTAAAACAAATTTTATTGTGTATACTTAATGAATAAAACATGATTGTATGAGATATATATACTGTACAGTAACATTGTTACAACAGTGAGTCAAATTAATATCATCTCCATAGTTACCCCTCCACTTCCCTAAGCAAGAGCAACTATAATCCACTCATTCAGCAAAAGTCTTGAAAATGATACACTATTAGTAACTGTTATAGTAGATATTTGTATAAACCACATTGTGTTCTGCTTCTCTGTCCTGTTGAATTAATTTTAAACAATTTATACTAGTTAGATGCTGGCAATTTTATCATGACAGTGTATAAGCATAATAATTGAAGATTTTTCTCTTAGAGCTGTTATAGTATGGATGTCCCCTCCAAAACTCATTTTGAACTTTAATTGCCATTGTGTCAGTATTAAAAAGTGGGACATTTAAGACATGATTAAGCATGAAGATCCTGCCCTCATTAATGGATTAATGTTATTATCTTAAGAATGGGTTAGTGATTGTGGAAGTGGGCTCCTGATAAGGGCATAAGTTCAGCCTGATTTCCTCCTTCTGTTTCCCACTTGCACCATTTGATGCCTTTCATCACAGTATGATACAGCAAGAAGGCCCTCACCAGATGCAGCCCATTGATCTTGGACTTCCCAGCCTTCAGATCAATAAGCCAAATAAACTTCTATTCTTTATGAATTACCTCGTCTATGGTATTTTGTTATACCAGCAGAAGATGGACTAAAATAAGGACCATGGATAGACAGCATGTAAGTAAAAGCCTATTACTTTCTGCTTTATAAAAAAAAATTGCTGATTCTGAATTCTTACATAATTTTTCAGAGTAGTTTCAAAAGTATCAGCTTTTACAATGCTTAAATATCAATTTGTAAGAAAGTAAAAATATAAAGAGCAATGTATTTCATGATATTCACCATGTATTGTAACTTTTAATTTTGAGATAATTGTGGCTTCTCATGCAGTTGTAAGAAATGATGCAGAGAGCTCACTGGTGAGCACTTTGCCCTATTTCTTCCAGAGGAACATTTTGCATATATATAGCACAGTTAATCAGGAAATTGACATTGATACAATTCACTGACTTTATTCTAATTTCACAAGTTATAAGTACGTGTGTGTATGTGTTCAGTTTAATGCGATTTTACCACAAGTGTAGATATATGTGCCCATCATCAATGTCAAGCTACAGAACAGTGCTATCACACTCACCATTATTTTTTAATTTTTGATTTGTTAGAATAAATGTACACTTTAGCCACAGTTTGTTTAATTAGGGTTTCGTGTTCCAAACTCAGTTACAATTAAGCAAACTGTAGTTACTGTTTCAGTTTCAACTGAAGTAAACTTTTAAACTCTAATTACATAAATAAGAAAGACACTAAATATAGCTAATTACTAGTCTTTAACACTATTCTTTTTAAAAGGTACATATTTATGACCTAAAATTTGAAAGAAAAATTTCTTAAATATGTCAGGAAGTAGCTCTTGGTTTCTCTCAGGTGTTGGTGGAATATCTCTTTATAACTCAACCATGATTTGTTGGTGGCTATGAAAACTCCAGTGGGCTTTGGGCGAAAAGTCATACAATTATATTTCCAGCTTTTGATCATCTCTTTAATGAGAGACCTGAATAGCCATGTCTTAATCTGAAATGTATTCCATTGCCTTACTCTTTCTGATCAGCTTTACCACACTATGTAGCCATCCCACAGTCCTCAGACTCCCCACCCTCACCTCAAAGCAAGCAGAAATGAAAGATAAATGAAATGAAGAAACACCACGATGCTGCTGGTCTGCGTGAAAACACCATTATTATCCTTTTCTAATCAGATGGAGTAATTTTCTTGCTATCCACCTGACTAATTTTCTTCACTCTTCCCCCTCCCATCAGTTGTCTAACTGCTAAATGTTTACAGATTAATTTGCATAAAATGGTCCCATAGCAACGATCACTCACAGGATCAAATTCCTCTGCCCTTTGATATAAGTATTTTTTTTTCTGATGATACACCTGCTTTTTAAATAGACTTAAGCTGAAAATAAAACTTGAATCTCAGAATCCAGCCTACATAGACCATAGCTTTTAAAATTAACTTTTAAAAACATGGTTTTTACACTGATACAAAATATCTTTAAATTCCAGAATATTTATGTCTTTTAGATCATGTCTGTACAACAGGAAAATTTATATTGAGCTGATTAGTTCAAAGAACATAGTTGCTGCTTGCTGTCAAAAGTAGAGTCACCAGGTCACCAGAGGTTTGCTGTCTACAGCCCTGACTCCTGTGCCCCTAATTAATGACAGTAGGAGTGATAGAAGACAGGAATAATGAAAGGCCCATGGTCTAACAACACTGGCCTTTTCTACCACTATTGTTTATGCAACTTTGTCAAAGACAAAGACAGTTTACAGTGTTAGATTCCAGTTCTGCCAAATGATTATTACCCTGATAGCTTAATTGTCAGTTGGTTTTAACCCTAAGTTATAGCCAACAGAGGGTTATGGAGGACTCTGACGCAAATGAGTATACCTCCCATATACACAGTAATGCAAGCAATGGGTGTTTTTCCTGGTAAGGGAGAGATAATTGGGGGTTGGCAGAGATTCCCAAGCCAGCTCCAGCTCCAAACATAGCAGTGTTCAACAAAATTATGGAAGACTATTGTTTTGGTCTGGCCTTTATGCACTCAGCCCCAGTAAACTAGGTCAAACTAAAATGAAGTCACTCATGCTACACGCCAGATAATAAAACTAAGGAAGCACATAGATCTCCCAACAGACCAATTTTTTCTGAAAACAGGACATTTAGGTCTACTTGAAATGTGTGGTAAGAAAGCTCCCTCTGTTTTAACCCTTACAAAAAAAGGTAAACTAAGTAACCTGATGTTAACCAATCAGCTTTTTTTCTATTGTTCTCTTTTCTTGTTCCTTCCTTACAAAACCCACTAGTCTGCCATTGCCCGTTGGAAGTCCTCATTCTGTTTTGCAGAATGGAGGCTACTCTGAGTCATGAATCACAAATAAAAGCCAATTAGATCTATAACTAAATTTATTGTAATTTCATCTTTTGACAGCAGGAATGACGTTTTAGCAATAGCATGCTTGAAACGTGCTAGCTCATCAACATTTACCAAGTATTTGCCATGATTTTTTTTTATTGGTTCTACCTGGTTCTCAGAAAGCTTGAAGCTAAAGGAAAGTAGTTTTAATAGAGTTCTTTCTTTAATTATTGATTTGTTGCAAAAAATGTTAGTTTAATGTTTTAAAATAAACAAGTTGTACATTATTTTTGTTTTCTTAAGAACAAACAAGTTACCTTTCTAACATCAGAGTCACAAGATTTCCTTTGAAAGTGATTTAGTGTCAGGACCCTGGTGTCCTGAGCCTCTGTGTCTTCACCAACCCACAGGGCCAGACTTTACCTAAAGAAACTTAATGGTCCAGCAGTGCTGTCTGAATATCACAAGTTGCCTGGGCAACAGTGCGGGGGGGGAACAGTAAACACGATATTATTTAACATCACCATACCTGCTATTCAGGATGTTTACAACAGACATGGGACTTCCCCACATACAGGCACTCCATGGCCCAGTCAAGTTGACATATAAAATTAACCCTCACAATATTTTTACAACATATGCATGAAATACTCACCACTAGAAACATCTGCATTCCCTGCAGTCTATTTTGTAAACTTCATATTTAGTGACAGTAAACCTGTGTTGACAGAGAGGCCAGAAGAGAATTTGCATGAATATTTTACCTATTTGTGATATATAGTATCACATTCCTTGGGAAAATGTTGTTTGGCATAATCTGCGGTGCTACCATCTTTCAGATTAATTGTTCTGACCTTGGTCTACAAGCATAAACGGAAATGCATTTTAGATAATGTTAGCTCCTGTCATAATTATATTCTGTGCACATTCAGGTGGAGAGGAGTTAAGGAGCGTCTGTGTTTGCCAGCGGGAACAAGAAACCTTGAACCAAAACCAAATGTATAAATTTAATCTTAGGTAGGATGCTAGCTAGTAGATGAACACTGAGCAGGGACAGGGACATGCAAATCTTTGCCTGAACCAAAACCACACCATCCAGAGAATAACATGAATTATAAATTACCATAATCTTGTGCCTATAAAATGAATCTTCTGAATGGGCTTAAAAAAAAGCCTTTGTTTGATTACATCTATTAGATACTAGATATGACAAACATCTTTTAATATATCTTAAAATCTGCTACATGCTTGCCAGTGTTAAAAAAAACGGTCAAATGACTGTGTATTGGGAGTACTCTGAATCACACTGCATTCATCAAAAGCAATGCTATTTGGGGGAACATACAAAATAGTTATGGCAATATGGTGATTGATAATAATTAGAGTCTTAAAAGTAACTTTGCAATTTATAAACATTTGGTTTCCAAATTTTTACCTGACTTGCCAGATATGAGAAATCAGTGTGTGTCTGATTTTAAAATTGTGTATGCCTGCTAACATAAAATGTGTCTCAAAATAATAGAAATTGGAAAGGAGGTAAGCACATATCCAGTTCAAAGAAGGAAATGAATGACTGTGGGTTGAGAGAGGGAGAGAGAAAGAGAAGAAGAGAATGGTTTGTGTTCAAGACATGGAAAAAAAAAACAAACCACCTGTAGCAGTCTGGCTTTTTCCTTGCAGGGTATATCTAGAAACAGAAGGCAAATCAAAATCATCTTTTGGAAACTAAAACAGAGACCTTTTTTTTTTTTTTAATTTTACTCCGAAATCTGAAGTAGGCGTAGCATCTGTAGAAAGATTTTTCTTTGCAACAGATGGAAGCAAAAGGAAGAATCAAGGTGAATTTTGTGTGGACATAAAATTAAATGGGCAAGAAAAATAAAATGTATTTTCCAAGTGAGAATAAAAGGCAATGTTTTGCTAAGCCCTTATTGGTAATATTTGATTCAGTGAGAAAATATGCCATCTTTGTACATAGATGTTGTTCCTTAAAGTGTACTTTACATTGAATCCTTCTATCACTATAAGAGAATATGCAAATTTTCTATTGCTGTTTTATTAGCTATGCAATTGCTGAATATAACTAAAACATTTCACTTCACATTTCTCAATTATACTGAGTAATCTATGAATCTACATACTAAGTATCATTTTTTACCTAATGTAAGCTTCTGAAAAAGCAGACAAGATTTCTAGGAAAAAAAAATCTATTTTTATGGAGCCATTTTGCATTTCCAAATATGCAAAATTTATTAGTCAGGATACTTTAAGTTACATGCAAATTAAACTTAGCTGAAACCAGCTTAAGTAAAAGGGAATTTATTGAGTCATATAACCCAGAAGCCCAAGAGTGGGATTCAAACATGGTTAGACCAAGGAGTTCAATAGCTCTCTTTCCATATTTTGATATTTGGAGAAGTATAAGGCATAATCCTAATGCCAAAAACTGGTGGTAACCTAATGAGTAGACATGTCATACCACGTGATAAAAAGAAGAAACAATTTCCCATTGGAGAAGGGTTTGGGAATGGTGAAAAACACAAATTTCTACTGCTTTAAATGGCCAAACAATTCATTGAGGCATATTGGTCATATTTCTGTTTCTCACTTGACTCCAGAATCTCTGGGGTTAATAAGATGAAGCATATACTGTTCCAAAATAATGCAGATATCCACCATTTATTCAAAGATCTATATTAATCATTATAAGAAGTTCCAAGAGGAAGATAAAATATTTCTCCTAATGACCTTATAACCTATGAGGCTGTTGTGGAGAAAAATATGGAAATGCATTTTGGGAAAAAAGTTGTAGAATTATAATGGAAACTTAGTTTCATCAAATATTTTATATCCTATTCCATAAAGC
This sequence comes from Homo sapiens, assembly GCF_000001405.40. Taxonomy (NCBI): domain Eukaryota; kingdom Metazoa; phylum Chordata; class Mammalia; order Primates; family Hominidae; genus Homo; species Homo sapiens. Next base: position 102,548,314 of record NC_000003.12, on the reverse strand, counting down.
AAGCAAAGATCTTACACAAATATAGGATATTCTCATTTATAAGTAAGCACTTACTTATTTTGTTTATTTATAGACTTAATTATTTTCCTTCCCTGGGGTTTCATTTGGCAAATTAACATACCAGGACACTAATCTTTCAGATTCAGGTGATCTGAAAGAATTTAGAAACCTTTCAATTTGCTTGAAACTCACTTTGCCCAAAGGTGACCTAAATAAGGAAGCGTTAAAACACTCCCAAGAGAAGACTCAGGTTGTCTCCAAAGAGAAAGCTGTAATAGAATATTTCTGCTAAACAGCATCTATCACCATGTTGTTCTACATAAAATCTTAGGTAGCAAAATCTGTGCAAGAATATCCAATGCTAAAAGGCATCCGGGTAGGAATTCAGACATCATGCCTAAACATATATTTAACATCATCCTTACAGTGTCTTCCTTCTTTCATTAGCCTTTGTATTATAGATTTTTTTAAAGTGACTATTTGTCAATAAATCAGTAAGTTCCTGAAGCACATTACATTTATCTGTCACTCTATGTATGTTATATATATATATATGTTTCTTTTTGGACTTCAAAGAGAAGAAGGTCATGCCAGAAATAAAGGCATCATCAGGAGAAAATGTTTGACTATAAGTCATTCTGCATCATTGGAGAAAATACAAAACTAAACATATTACCCAAGGAGAAGTCCTGTTGAGCCATCCAGAACAACTTTTACTGAAGCATAATTACAGGGGCTGTGAATATATTTGCTTTAATAGCTGGTACTACACCTACAATTATAAGCACTCCATTTACCTGATGCACTTCTAAACAAATAAAGCAATAAAGGGCTTTGAAATACTGGACAGCAGAGGGTGTTTCTCTCTGCTTCTCAGTGAGTTACAGCAATGACGGCTATCTCAGTGACAAAGAGGCTGTTAGCTTCATGCCACTCTATGGCAGATACACATCTCCAGTGCCCATGAGTTCTCCAGACATACCCCAATCACTTATTATTATTATTATTATTATTTTGCCTTTTCTAAACAGTTGATTTGTTTTTACTGCTTTTTCAAACTTAAGGTACCAAGGAAGGCCAAAGACAGCAATCAAAAATATCATTTAATCAAAAAACTTTCTATTTAGAGATTTTATGTACAGAGGAGAAATCAGAAGTGTAAACACTCTCATTTAGCCTTTTCAATAACTATAAACTTTAGCATAAATGAAGAGGTCATGTCAGAGATAAGACAATAAGCAGGCTCAAAACTACAAACCTAGGGCCTACAGTAAATCATGTTAGTAGAAAACAGTGCAAACTGTGCATGGCCAAATACCTCAAATCCATAATCCCTTTGCTGAATGTCAGATGTGTTTTAGAATTCAGAATTGTTTCAATTTTAAAAATGTAGCACAGTCTGAAAACCATGTATTGCATAAAGGCCCCAGCAGGTTGTAGGCTAGCTACTATAATCAAACACTCCAACAATCTGCAGTGAAACCTGTGAATATTCCAGAGGGTCAAATAGAGACTCTGAGGAGGTATGCATGCTCACTTCAGTTCACTTAAGTCTTTCCCACCAAATGTGTTTGCAGAAGATAACGGAAAAATCTTTGTTTTCATAGTTTTTGGGGGTTTGAGTACAAAACAAAAGGAATATTGTATAGCTTAGTAAAACTGACTTCTTTCTGTGCAGACTTCTGTCCTAGGATCCCTTTCACCCACTTTGCAAGTGGGCCTCTGCCCAGACCTGCCTGCATCTCAGCAATGGATATAGCTCAGTGTTAAGCTGAAAATTCTGGTATAAGTGTGTATAGTTGATGGGAGGAATCCTTAAATTATACTTAGTACTTGTTGAGAGAAAGAATTGTTTCGGGGGCCGAAAAACAAACACGCACAGCAGACTGGTGATATTTACACATTTAACTTGGCTGATTCACTTCTAAGAACTTTGAAACAAAAGAGGGAAAAAGAACAAACTATTTAAATAAAGCAGGTGAATCCTGTCACTATCTAAGTAAGTAAGTCAATAGCCCAGAGTGATAATTACATGAGAGGAAGAACTCACTCTTCCCTCAATTAGTCTCAGTTCTGTACATCGACATTGTGCACGTGCTCCATGCTTATTCTAATTCCAGTGTTTAAAGTTGCTATACTTTGTTTGTTTGTTTGTATCATATGACTCCTAAAAATAAGCCAGATGCTTAATCTGGTGCTCATTCCAAGAAACAACAAGGAAAATTAGCTGTAAAAAACCTATTCAGGTTGTTTTAGTGATATACTTGATTGGACATTTCAAGGACAACGTTGATTGTATATGATTTTCACTTTATGTCCTTGATTTATATTCTAACTGCTGAGAAAGGTGTAATTTTACTGCATATGTAAGTCATTCAGGGCATTAATGAATATCATACTATTAGTAGATAATTTTGTTTCAGAATGGATTGGGATTAGAAACAAGTATGCTATAGGCCAAACTCAAAGATATGTATGATTCAAAACAGCACAGTAGAAAACATGACATACCTTTTAAAATTCACTGCTTTGTGGCCAGGCACAGTGGCTCACACATGTAATCCTAGCACTTTGGGAGGCCGAGGCAGGCAGATCACCTGAGGTCAGGAGTTCGAGACCACCCTGGTCCAACCTAGTGAAACCCTGTCTCTATTAAAAATACAAAAATTTGCTGTGCATAGTGGTGTGCACGTTATCCCAGCAATTTGGGAGGCTGAGGCAGCAAAATCGCTTGACCCTGGGAGGCAGAGGTTGCAGTGAGCCAAGATTGCACCACTGCATTCTAGCCTGTGAGACAGACAGACTCCATCTCAAACAAATAAAAATTCACTGCTCCTCTTTTTGCATACATCCATATGTGAATGCAGACTCATCTCAAATTACTGTACTCTTTAAGACTACAAAATTCTGAAGAAAATGCTATGAATCAAAAAATCTGTTAACCACACCATTGTGGCATTTTTGTGCATTAAATATTCTTAGATACTAGATCATCAGTGCCCATCACCTCTTAAGACATTGTATAACAACACTTTATGAATGTGTCACGGTAATACTAACATCCTTTTATGTAAACTTAATGTAAAAAGTTGGTTAACAAAGAAACTTTCTTCTAACTCTTACTAAAGAAAATTGGTCAGGGTTTTTGTGGCTCCTATTCTATTTTGGAATTTTCTTTACATTAAAAACATTTTCCCGGAGATTTCGTCATTTATAATATATATCTAATAAGCACAGGCTCAACACCTTTAGGACACAATTTCCTCACGTGTAAATCAAATCACTGTATTAAATAATATAAAGCTCCATTCTTACCCTAACAATGTATGAATCTATGAGCCAATGTTATGAAAGAGAATTTAAGAGCCTGTGACTCATTCTACACAAGTGCATTCAAACTACTTATCAGTATGGGGTTATACGCTGCACTTTGCAGATCTGATAGTCAAAATCGAGGCCATAGTTCTGCAAACCAATAGCCAAGAGCCCTACTCTGGAAACTAAGAATTCACATTAAGTCAGACAGGGCACGGTGGCTCACACCTGTACTGCTAGCACTTTGGGAGGCTGAAGTGGGCGGATCACTTGAGGTCAGGATTTCCAGACCAGCCTGGGCAATATGGTTAAACCCCATCTCCACCTAAAGTACAAAAAAATTAGCTGGGCATGGTGGTGCGTGCTTGTAATCCCAGCTACTTCAGAGGCTGAGGCAGGAGATTTGCTTGACTCCAGGAGGTTGCAGTAAGCCGGGATCGCACGCTGCACTCCAGTCTGGGCCACAAAGCGAGACTCTGTCTCAAAATAATTTCCTTAAAACAGATAATCATTGAGCTTCCTTTCCCATCTCACTTCCCAGCAAAGGAGGACTTTGAACACTTTAAAGAAGTGGAAGGATACAGCGTATCTGAAAAATACCAACCGTAGAGTCAGAAGACTTGCCTTTGAGGTCTATCCCAACCGTTTTCCAGCTGTTTGGCTGTGAGCAAATCACTAAATTTCTTTGTCTCCATTTCACCAATTATGAAATGAGAATGATTGCTTCTGTTCATTTAGTAACTCACTGTAAACGTGAGAGGATTTTGTAAACTCATACGTCCTATTCAAATGCGAGGATGCACGCCTCTTTCTCTCCGCTGAGGAAATGATTAGAAATCCTAACATAAATGAAAACTCTCAGGAAGATTAATTTCTCTCTCGAATCTTCTCTCGTGTGTGGCTTGGCATCTGGCTACTCTTACACAGTGGCCTAGAGCCCCTCCTCACCATTTCTCCAAGGCTGTTAACTCATGTTGAAACCAAAGCTCAGCTTGAGTTCCCTACCGGCTTTGGGATTCTTCGATTAGTCCTAACAGCATAGTTGCCACTGATGTTTGGATTTGCGTATACATGTTCAATACCTCACTTCCTTCAGGTGGCTTGTGACACACTTAGAACATTCTTATTCTTCAGTCAAAAAGAATAGGTCAAGAAACATAGATGAAGTTCATCCACCTGTTTTCTGAATGAAACTTCTTTAAATTTAAAAACCTCCAGAGAAGAAAATTTTGTTATCTACTCCAGAGCTATCTTTTAATATTCAAGCCCTTCTACCACCAGAAAATTCTCTTACATTATCCAATCCGATTAAAAATCTTTCTTGCTTCATTGTTTCCTACTCATACAAGATGTTGGTAACTATTAAGAAAGTTTAAAACATTAAATAAAAGCTGCCATACATTTGCAGGTAAAAGAAAATAAAGATAAGCTAATTTTGAAAACATCATTTCATTCACATTAGTGGAAATGCCAAAATTAATTTGGTTTCAAAATTTAGAAAAGACCATATATAAAGAGAGAAGATGGGTTTTTTAAACCTGAAATTTCTTCTACATCTCAGAAGATAGGTTTCTAACCAGAAGCTCAATGTCTCACAAAGCACTATAATACTAATTTCCACTTATTACAAAACAGCTTTTTTGCCTGTATGACATTGCCTCTTGGACCCCATACATGACTTTAATTAAGATCTAACTTATTCATGACTATAATTCAGATCTAACAACCAGTCTAGTCAGATCAGGGTAATTAGTCCCAGAGGGTATTGTAAGAGAGCTCATTTTTCTTTTCATCTTTATATTCTGGCAAACAAATTGGGGTACTGATTCATTTGGAGAATTCTATAGTTCAGAGAACTCAAAAAGTGGGAGTAAATAAGCTAAGTAAATTATTTTAAAGAGGTTCTTATAAAGGGCTCATGTGCTGGTTAATTTGGTTTGTGTTCCTTTACTGTGGTCCAAAACGAAACAGGATGATTAACCAGCATCAAGCTAATAAACTTTTAACAGCCTGTTGCCAAGTTCATTAGAAAATTTAACAGCAAAGAATTAACCCTTATATCACTTGCCCACTTGAATTTTGGTGGTTTTAAAAGCATTTATCTTACCCTTACTTCATTCCTTTTTGTTATCAAGGATTCTATTAAGAGCTTACTTCAGTCAACTGGAAAGATCAAACATCTTATATAGACCAGGATGGGGTAAAGTGAAGCGATTTTTCCCTTTAAACTGTTGTTATTACAGGATTCCTTTTTGCACTACCATTGTCTGATGCTGTAGGACATCCAAGCTTATTCTTAGACGTCACTATTCTTGCAACCACCTTAAACATTATAGAAGCCTCCTCCTTTTCCTTTATCTCTCTCCATTATCCTTACTTTGTAACACAGTTTCACAGTGATTCTAAATATTATAACCAAATAATTCAGAGCTTCAGGGACTTTTAAAATGTGACTTATTAAATTCCCAGCCTAACAGGGATTTTGTTTAGTTTAGCCCATTCTGTTTAGTTTAGTTTAGTTTAATGCATTATAAACAGCAAGGCATTGAATTTACAATAATTTTAAGGTCAAGAATTATCTATGATGGATACTCTGTACCAAGTAGTCAAAAATTATGTAGGACTTTAAATCATTTTCAAAAATATATATATAAGGAATGCCATATGCCAAATAACTAAGTAGATGGCCTTAAGTAGATGGCTGTATTTTGTTTTGGGTTTTTGTTTGTTTCTTTTTTGTTTTTTATGGGGTTTTCTTTGTGTGTGTGTGTTTGTTTTGAGATGAGGTCTTCCTCTGTCGCCCAGGATGGAGTGCAATGGTACTATCTTGGCTTACTGCAACCTCCACCTCCCAGGTTCAAGCAATCCTCCCACGTCAGCCTCCTATGTAGCTAGGATCACAGACGTGCCACCACGCCCAGCTAATTTTTTGTATTTTTGGTAAAGAGAGGGTTTCCCCATGTTGTCCAGGCTGGTCTCAAACTCCTGAGCTCAGGCGGTCCACCTAGCTTGGCCTCCCAAAGTGCTGGGATTACAGCTGTGAGCTGCCACACCCGGTATAGATGGCCAGTGTTGATGGTTACAGATAAGACATGAACCTTCCTATCCAAAAGACAATAGTTCAGATGGGATGGGGCTAGAACAATGGGCTGTAAATCAGGAGACTACAATTACCATCCCAATAATATCTTGATCCCATTTATTTTTTTACATTACTGTAATAAGACACTAAGTAGAGCCTTTGGTAAGAGTGGTAGACTTCTGAGTCTTAAAAGCTTGGATTTAAATTCTAACTCCATTATCTAGTTGGCTACATAACCTTGGAAATATTATCTACTTTTTGGATATTCTTCCCTTAAAAGTAAAATGGAATTAGTACTCTAAGATCACAGGATTGTAGCAAGGATTAAATGAGATTATGTTTACTGGCTCAGAAAGCAAAGTACCCAGAGTAGTTTCCTCCTCCTTGTTTCCTTCCTTCATCCCTCTCTCCTCTTACCCCTACTCTTTTTTCTTCCAGGTGCATTTTACTGAGGAATATTTCTCCTCTAAATTACTAGTCATAAATTTGGAATACAGAGGCTATCTCTGAAAAAAGAAGTTGAGGGATAAGTCCCCTTTCTTCATCCCTCTTCAATTTCTTTTCTCCCACCAAACTGCAAGATTAATAATAACTGACCCTCTTGACAGTAAGCAATTGATGTCAAGAATTACTTAGATTGTAGCAAAATATTATTATAGCTGCCAAAGGTAAGTCTTTACCTTCAGCAGATAGAGAAAATAGCATGTTCAAAGCTTAGCATAAATGGGCAGGAATTTTTGGGAAATAGTGAAGGACACAAAGTGGGCAGAGAGCAGGTGTGTGAGATTGTGAGGTAAGAAGGAAATGGATAGGGATAAATGAGGCTGAATAGACAGGCTGAGACCAGGTAGAGAATGTCGTATAAATCAAGATTTCCTATGCATTAACTAGATTTGCCTTAACCAGTGGTCTTCAGAAATTACAACAATTATATTTAAAGCCTATATTTCTCTTTTATTCTGGTGTCGTCCAGATTCAAAAGTTCCAGAAGAACCTCGTCATGTAGAGTAGACTTAATTATAAGGCAGCCAATATCATCAGGATGTTATTGTAGAAATTATCACTTTATAGAAAGATGGGAAATTATTTCTATGAAAATAAACATACACCTGCAAATTCATGATACATCCAATGACAGTACCAGGATAATTGAATTATTCTATTAGAACAGAATTGGGTTATTACTTATACTCTAGCTTATATCCTAATTTTCCCAAGACACATAAAGAGTCATGGAATCTCATCAGAATAAAGGGATTTCCTTTTATGCTTAACTTCTGGAAACTCCTATTAAGATATATCTAAAACTTGAGTCTATGCAGGGAGAGGCATCCTGAATATAGCACATGGAACATACTCCACCACCCAAACCCAGCTTATATTTCCAGTCACTTCTCTCTGGAATCCTTCTTCGTCAAACTCCACACCTACAAAAATCCCATGAACACACATTCCACCAGTCTGCACTGTCCCAAGATTACTGAACCTGTCTTACTCTTTCTTACACTTGAGCCTTTGCATATGCTACTTTCTCTGCCTGAAATATCTTCTTCTGTCTTATTCACCTGGCCAAAGACTAACTGTCTAATCTGCTTGAGTTATTCCTTTACAATTTGGTCAAGGTACTACATGAACAAGATAGATGGAAAATAACTGGTTGGATATTGTGGGTCACAAATTGGAGAAAGATACTAGTAGGGATCTGAGGTAGCATGGAAATCAGTGATGTCCCCATGTTTATGAAGGCTAAATTCAGAGCCCAAACAAATACTTGTGGATCATCTATCATACATATTCTTTGATGCCAGTACTCAAATGCTTAAGGAAAATCTCTCAATACAGAATTTTCCTGGTTCTATTTCTTCTCTTTTTGCTTAGAACTGGATTTAATTGTCTAGACTTTTTATAGCTGTATCTCTGCTTTCACTTTTTCCAAATACAAGCCTAGTCCTTAAAGCTCACATGTCACTGGTCACCGCATCAACTTGGACACTGTTTTACTAGATCAAATATCTAGCCAGACATGGCTCACACCTCTAATCCTAGCACTTTGGGAGGCTGAGGCAGGAGGATCACTTAAGGCCAGGAGTTGAAGACCAGCCTGGGCAACATAGCAACATCCCAGCTCTACAAAATAAAATAATAAAAATTAGCCAGGCGTGGTGATCCATGCCCATAATCCCAGCTACTCAGGAGGATAAATTGAGAAAATTGCTTAATCCCAGGACAGTGAGGCTGCAGTGAGCTATGACTGCACTACTGCACTCCAGCCTGAGCAAGAAAGTAAGACCTTGTCTCAAAAAATAAAATAAAATAAAATGAAAGAAAGAAAAGAAAACAAAAGAATAAAAAGAAGTGAAATCCCAGAAATCTATACTGACTTGTCCAAAGCTATGTAAACAAAAAGTACCAAATCAGAACCAAAATGTGGGCCCCCTGACACCCAGGTCAATATATTTTTCTCCCCAAGAATTTGAGAAGTATGTTCAGTGAAACACTAGCTTCTTGGAGTGGCAATAGCCAGTGCTCAATACATTAGTTCTGTGATCAAGTACATTTGGGAAATTCTGAATTAAACAGAGTTAAGCAGATTTATTTACTGGGAAGCCTTTAGTATGATAATGTATATTGATTTACTAAATATAACAGTGTCTTCAGTTATGTCTTCTTTCTGAAGCTCCTGTGTAACCCAAATCCGCTTGTCTGAAGATAATGGCCAGCAATGGAGAATTTAGTAAACATTATATAAAGATAGTAGAGCATATTGGTTAGGGCAAAATGCTTGAGTTCAAATGCCAAATTTACTAGCAAGGATGACTTTTACCAAGTAATTTCGCCCCTCGATGCTTCATTTTATTTATCTGGAAAACATAAATAAAAATAATAGCACTGCCTCAGAGAGTTTCTGTGATGATTACATTATTACAGATGTAAAACCCTAGAACAGAGTCTGGCATATAGAAAGTGTTCAATAATCATTAGCTATTATTAGAGGAGATAGAAAACAGGACATTGTAATGTAGGTAGCAAATATCTTAATAAATACCAATTAATGTTTTTATCTTCTCTCCAAAGGCTGCTTTGATCTGTTCAACAACCTATGGCCTTTTCCATTCTTCCTCCAACACACTGTGCTCAGATCCAGAGCCCTCCTCTTTCCCTGTCATTTTCATCTGCACTTGTTTTTTTGTTCTACAAGAAGCTTGGATGCCAGGTAACCAGACAAGCCACCTTCTATCCTGAGTTAATTTCTTCGTAGCCTCTCCATTTTTTTTTAAGAAAGCGGGATACCGCTTTGATAGCCCCACACAATAGAATCCTCCTACCACCTATTAAGAGGACCTTTTTTGGTGTACATTAAAAGTCTTTTTTCTTTGATAAAAGTCCAATATCAAATGAAAGACCACTCTTTAGGAAGCAGTGCCTTGCAGCGTGCAGACGTCAAACTTAACATCTATAATTTTATATTCATATTTCTAGGGCTTGTGACTCTTTGTAGACCATTAGAATTAGTTGTAGTACAGTTTAGGCTACTGTAATAAAGAAACTAAAAAAAAATATTTAAGCTTAAGTCAGACAGGCATTGGCTTATTTCTCATGTAAGGTCTGCATAGGCATTCCAGGGCTGTTACGGCACATCAGAAGTGATGGGAAGCCAGGCTTCCTTTATCTTGTTGCTCTATTTCTCTTTAAAACTTAGCTTCCTTCTCTTGGTTCAGTGGCTGTTCCATTCCCATCATCATATCCACATTCCAGCCAGCAGAAAGGTAGAAAAAGACAAGGGGAGAAGAAAATGCATGTTCTTCATGAAGGCATGGCACCAAAGTTAGCACATATCACACAGTTGATGCCACACTTAAGAAGCTAGGGCATATTTGGCTGTATAATCATGTACCAGCACAAAGTTCTATTGAAAGAAAAAGAAAAACAATGGTTATTCTGGGATAAATAGCAGAATCTGCCACGTCTGGGTTAAACAAAATTGATAATTTTATGCCTGATAACCCCCATGAAAAAGGCTCTCGTAACAAAAATCTCCCCTCTCCCACTTCATACCCTAAACTCTTGGCTAATTTCTTTAATCATGTTTATTCTAAACAGCCCTCAAAATAAAATGGAGTTATTATTTGGAAGGCTGAAGTGAGGATAGATTTCGTTCAAAAAAAGATAGCATAGAAAAAAATAATGGAGGTATATTTTCAAGGTTTCTAAGTACTTGAATTCAATCATTTTTAAATATGATTAAAATTTAATAATTTTTTAAAATTTAATCACCTGAATTTTTAAGAATGAATGGTTTTCTAGTCTCAGAATATATGCCTTCTTTATCTGTATCTATGTGTTTGGTTAAAACCTTTTTATCTCCTGTGCCATTTTGATCTATTGAGCAAGATGAAATCAGTCTCTATCCTTTGTTTCTACCATTTCTAATCGATCTATTTTTATTATTAATAATAATAGTTAACATTTTTGAGTACTTGCTGCTTAATTTATTTCTCCCAAATGCCCAGTGATGTATGCACTATTGTTATCCCTAGCTCACAGATTACAAAATTGGAACTAGCAAGGGCTATAGCCAGGATGCCACCCAGATAATCATCTATTGAGCAACCAACTAAAACCCTATGCAGTGCTTTATCAAGCTAACAAGCTTTTTGTACAAAAACAGAATCAGGGTGGGTGATCAAGCATAAAGCATTCAGTACAAACAAACACTGCAGAAGAAATAAAAGATTGTTCACAATAACAGAAAAACTAAAGACAAGAAAAATTTTAAGCAGTCTTTAGTGTTTTTAATTCCCTAGTTCCAATGCTTCCTAACCAAGAAAGACCATGAACAGACCACTTCGGTTCTATACAGAAATGAAAGTAGAAAATGCAAAATATTTTCATTAATGAAAATCCCAGAATTATTCAGAACTGGCAAATGATAATATGTATGGTTTTAACTAATCATTTTTCAAGAGTAGATAACAGGTTCCTTGATAGAAATCCTTGGCTTGTTTTCATTTCTAAAATGTGTGCTGTTGACTTTTCCATCACATTGCTCTAAATGAACAGGAGAACGTGGGCTGAGCCTGAACAACGAGAACTCTAAAAGCGTGCGCAGGTAGCACATTTGTGTGTGCAGATGTTTAGAAGGAAAGGTGCTCCCAGGAATTGCTAACCAGAGGATTAGAGCTCAGCACCAGACAAGCTGTCATTTTCTGTGGTTGTATTTCTGAGCTTATTTACTAGGTGGCGATATAATCTTAAAAATAAGCATTAACATTTCGGTGCCAAAGTGTCAGCTCTCCAGTTTTTTCACTGAAGCGTTTTTCACTTCCACTCCTTCTTTTCTTTGGCTCTTACTTTTGCTGTCTTTCTCTGAAATTTTGTGTCATCTGCTTTATTTTCATAACAGAAAAACTATTAAACCATAAAAGCTGGCTTGAGAAAGAGAAGCTTGAAATCCCTCAGTAGTATGATCTGAATATAGAAATATAGGATCTTCAGTCTTTTGCTATCAGCAGCTCCTGAGGGCTGACTAACAGTCAGATTTATTTGCTGCATATCTGGAATTCTTTTTATTGCTAAAACGTTAGAGAAGTAAACCCATTTTCTGGTAAATGGGTAAACATATACACATATATATCTTTCTCAATACTCCTAGAAATAGACCTCCTTGAGACCAATGAAAAGCAATACATTATCAAATGTTTTTGCAAATCCAAATCCTCCACGCTTACTTCCTCTATCTCATCTTCACACATCACACCACCAGCCTCAAAGTGTATAGTAATTTTGGAAGAACTTACAGAATTATGAATAAGCAAATATCAGTTAAGGTGCTTTATAAAGAGTTAAATGGCATTCAAATACTAATTACTATTATTTTACAATATCCAGTTCTATCATCCAGGGACAAGGTAGGGGATATCTTATCTGGAAATTAGAAATAAGAAGCCTTCTTTTTTCTTGCCTTTTAAAATTATCTTGAGAAAATATCATCCCACTGGCCTATAGATGATGACCCAGAAAATGCTACCACTACAAGTTCATGTAATTACCCACTAATGTTACATGGTCATCTACTACACAGCATTGTGCTGGACATTATGACACTGTGAGAATTACTGAGGAAGATAAACCATAATCTCTCACCTCAAGAAGCACATATGTTGGTAAAGCACAGTAAACACAGTAGTTCTGACATAATATTTCTGCACTCAGAGCTCAGAGAGAGTAGGGAAGGCAGGAGGAAGTTGAAAGAAAAATAATAGATGATTCAAACTTGAACACATCCTGGAAGGATGGGAAGGATATTGACATGTGAGAAGGGGAAAGGTGCAAGAGGAGAACCTTCCAGACAGATTGACCTTGCAACTGGGATTGAACAAGTGTTCATTTAAGCCAGAATCAATGAGGAAAGGTAATGTGGGTGGATGCTACTTAAAAGGGGGAAACAGAGAAAGATTGGCGGAGTGGGGTTTGGATTGTGGAAGGCCATGAGAAGCAAGCAGAAGAGTAGATTTAATTTGACAGCAAACACCATTTCGAGGAGCACCAGAGCAACACTGTGAAAGAGTTGTTTTAGAAAAATCAGCCTATGCTGGGCCCGGTGGCTCACACCTGTAACCCCAGCACTTTTGGAGGCCAAGGCAGGGGGATCACCTGAGGTCAGGAGTTGGAGACCAACCTGGCCAACATGGCAAAACCCTGTCTCTACTAAAAATACAAAAAAATTAGTTGGGCATGGTGGCAGGTGCCTATAATTCCAGCTACTTGGGAGGCTGAGGCAGGGGAATCGCTTGAACCTGTGGGGCGGAGGTTGCAGTGAGCCAAGATCCTGCCACTGCACTCCAGCCTGGGCGACAGAGTGAGACTCCATCTCAAAAAAAAAAAAAGAAGAAGAAGAAGAAGAAATATCAGCCTAGCCATGAGAGAGGAAGGGATTAGAGAGGAAAACAAGACAAAACAGCAAGGTGATCATTCATGCATGAGAAGGTCTGGGCTAAAAGGACAGCAGTAAGGATATATTCACAAAAGTAAATATGAGAGCAATGTCAAAAGAAAATAATGCCTAAAATCTAAGACTGACTGATTTGGATGAATGAAGGGGACAAAAGTTACTCTTGTTAACTGGGATAATGGTGGTTTCACTGAAAGAGACTATGAAATTTGGGAGGGAAAGACAGTAAATGTGGCTCTAGAAATGCTATTTTTGAGGTGACCATAGGAGACTAAGTATAAATTCCAATAGGCAGTATGAAATGTGATTTCATAGCTAAAGGGTTATAGAAAAATATGGGCACCAACATAGAGGTAATTGTTGAGGAAGGAAAATAAGAATAAAATAATTCAGCCAGCCAATTCAGTATGATTGTAACATCTATATTTTAGACACTGTGAAACACTAGAGTGAGAAGACACAGAGATGAATACGACATCTCTGGAAAGAGAGACACTCTGAAGTGTTTACAATGCAATAAAATCAATTCTATATCAAAAGTGCTAAGAAAAGGAAGAAGAAAGAGAAATCAATCATGCAGAGAAAGCTGAAGGAGAGGAACATTCTCCTAACTTGTTCCAAGAGCAGACTAGAGAACACTAAGTGGTTTAGAAACATGTTTCTTCCTTCTTGTCAGAAGAAATAGTATCTGGAACAGCATAAAGATATGAAGGAACACATCTTACTCAAGAAAGTATTAATGATCAAAAATGACTAGAGCTTAGGACACACAGAAAGAGTGGTGGGAGGTGGACTCAGTGAAGAAGGTCAAGGAGAACTCATAAACGAACTGTAATGAGTTTAACTCTATGGGGAAAACACAATGGAAGCTTAGTAAGAGAGAGTGACAAGACCTGGATGTTGAGTCTTGCCAGTTTTGGGGGAGAAAAGCAAAGGAACCAGAACGAAGGAAAGTGATAGAGACAAGTGGAGACAAGGAAGTGGAAGTGATGGAGAGAGTGGTGAGTGAAAGTGATAGAGAATTTGAGTAGAAAGCTAAAAGGAAGAAAGTTTTGCAGAAAGGAAGGAACACACAGTCCTGGTGCTTAAAATTACTTAAGAAAAAAACCTATTTATTGTTTATTAAAATGTAAGTGTCCTATGATAACGAGTTAGCGAGTTTTAAAAGATGTCCCCAATGAACCATGCCTTCTGGCATTCATAATCTTGTGTAGTCCCCTCCCACAATAAATCTGTGCTTCCCTGTGACTTCCATGAACAATAGTACATGTTAGGAGTGACATGGTGACACTTCTGGACCTAGATTTTAAGAGGGGTGGCAGCCTCTGCCTCCCTTTGCTTGGTTTTGGGAACTCTAACTGGCCACATAAGAAGTCTTCTTCCTGCTGGGTGCAGTGGCTCACGCCTGTAATCCCAACAATTAGGGAGGCCGAGGTGGGAGGATCACCTGAGGTCAGGAGTTCGAGACCAGCCTGGCCAACATAGTGAAACCCTGTCTCTACTAAAAATACAAAAATTAGCCAGGCATGGTGGCGCATGCCTGTAATTCCAGCTACTCAGGAGGCTGAGGCAGGAGAATCACTTGAGCCCTGGAGGTGGAGGTTGCAGTGAGCCGAGATCATGTCATTGCACTCCAGTGTGGGCAACACAGCAAGACGCCATCCCAGAAAGAAAAAAAAGAAAAAAGAAAAAAAGTATTCTTCTCTGGTCTGGCTATCACAAAGAGACGTCATTAAGATGTCATTATAGAGAAATCCTGAGACTACATGGAGAAGGAGGGAGGTTCAGCCCTCCCAATATCTCACACAGGCCTCCAGATTATAACAGCAGCCTGCAGATGAGGAAATAGTCATCGTCTGACTGCAACCACATGAGAAACCGCAAGCAAGAGCAACAGAATAATACCCAGCTGAACACAGTAAACCCATGGAAACATGGGAGATAACAAAATGATTGCTATATTAAGCCACAAGTTTTGGAGTGAAACCTACTCCTATGAAGCAAGGTCCATTCAGCCATAAACACTCAGCACCTATAAGGGTAAATGTCCTGTTTAGGTGACTGCTGTCTGGGAAAGGCCCCCAGCCATAGCAGGTATAAGAATCCAGAAAAGGTTGTAGCAACTCTATGTCCAGAGGACAACATAAAGGACCTGGACAGCCTGGCAAAGTGAGGAGAATATGGCTAAAAGGAGACAGTGGAAAGGCACTGGAAGAAAATGGGATTTTCTTTATTAAAACAAAACCTCAACCCTCCAGGCTTTTCTTATTTCTGGAAAAACAATTGGCCCAGTAGTTCTTCCACTCTCCTTGGAAGTCCTTGCTTTCCTCTTGAGATTCTCACATTTCAGATATTGCTGCCACCATCTCGCTAGCCTCAGGAGGGATGGTGTGCCCTTTCTTTGCTCTACATAAAGAACAAACAAAATCTCTTCCATGTTTCTCTTAGCACAGTTTAGGGAGGCTAGAACTTTAAAAGAGACCTTATTAAATACCAAGGTAAAGAAAAAGCAGCAAATATAGCAAAAGACAAAAATGATCTATTATTCAATGACTAAGATATCCAATGATATCTACTCCAGTTCCAAAGGACTGGCCAACTTCAAAGGCACCTTTCCTAGGTCCCTCACTCTTGACTTACCCCACTTATTCATTCAACAAACACTGACTGAAGCTTACTGTATATCAGACACAGCTAAGCATTATAGATTGGTAAGTAAAAGACAACATTTCTAGGAAAAAGGAACTTACAGTGTAGTGGGTGATAGTTTAATGAACAAAGAATATCCAGGAGGAACGAAAATCTCAGTTGGGGTTGGGACATTGGTGTAAAATTAAGCGAGTTTCCTTGAAGGAGTAATTGCATTCTAGAAAATGAATAAGAGTTATCCAACCTAATTTGTAAAATAGGTTTACAGAGTGTAGGAATCACAAATCCAAATACAAGGAGATGAGAAATGTAGTAGCCAAGATATAATAGACAGTTCAATGTAACTAGAAAATAATGCATGAGAGGGCCAGAGAGAAGAGATGACATTAAAGAGCTAGTCTGTGGTCTGAGGTGCCATGATTAATACTTTAGATTTTTATCCAGAAGGCTACTGGGAACTAGTCATCATAGATGATTGACATAAGAACTGCATTTTGAGAAATACTTCAGAGTCATTATAGAAAAGTTTGGAGAGAGACAAGGCCTCCACCTAAAGTATAAATTTTCTATCCTGAATATCATGATACATTTTTAATCAAGACAAAGGCAGACAGATTCAAATTCTAAGCCCACCTTGGGTGGACCCTCTGAATTTTTGTCTTTTTTGTAACAAATGTAGATTCTCCAGTAGATTCACAATAAGAATAATCCCACCTTGGCCAGGCGTGATGGCTCACGCCTGTAATCCCAACACTTTGGGAGGCCAAGGCAGGCAGATCACGAGATCAGGAGTTTGAGACCAGTCTGGCCAACACGGTGAAACCCTGTCTCTACTAAAAATACAAAAAATTAGCCGGGTGTGGGGATGTGCACTGTAGTCCCAGCTATTCGGGAGGCTGAGGCAGGAGAATCGTGTGAACCCGGGAGGCAGAGGTCGCAGTAAGCCAAGATTGCACCATTGCACTCCAGCCTGGGTGACAGAGTGAGACTCCATCTCAAAAAAAAAAAAAAGAAAAAAAAGAATGATGAATGATCACGCCTTTCGGGTAAGGCCGTACTCAAAGGTGTTTGTACTTCTCCTTCAGCCCCTTAGCACAGAACAATTTTAACACAGTACAATAATCACATTTCTCCATATTTTGTCTGTCAGATAAACCAAAGACAATCATTACTATATTTATAATTATCCCATGGGTCACCACGCAGCTCAGTTCTATTTATTATATGGCTACATGCAACAAGGAAACGAGGGAACAGGGAAAGCAACTCATAGCATTAGATGTGGAATGCCACAATGACTCATCTATCCAAGAGTTTGTAAAATTCTTCATAGGTTATGAAATGTTTTCTTCATAAATCTTTAATGTTTAGTTGCTTCTCAGTGCTGTTGACGCAGGCATTAACCATGAGAAAATGGACACACCTGGTCAGGCAAATCAAAACCTGGACAAACAAATTGCTTATTCTCTTCCTTCTAGTCCAACCTCTGGCCACTAACTATACTTCAGAGAACTTGAACCATCAATTAGTCTTGCTAAGCTGGTCTATGCAATGTCCCATCCATACAAACACAAGTCCTTCACAGGACCAGCACTGCTGGTCCAATGTTCTAGGAGCAGAAGTGAAAATGAAAACCAGATTCTTGAATTATTTTCCCAGGATTGTTTCAATGGAGTGTCTAATTTCCTGATAACAATCTAAAGAAGTCAGTGACACGTAGGGAGCAGATGAGGATCATCAGGGCACACCCAAAAAGGGTTCTGCTGTATTTTCAAGGAACTTAACTCCATATTAACCAGGACCTATTTGCAAACAATATCACTAGCTTACTTAATTGAAATAAAATGCTGAATATAATTTTAGTTGGAAACATCCATGTCACTGAAAGAAATGGGAGTAAAATGGTCTTATTTTGGAGATGTTTTCTTTCTTAGGACATCTGTCATTTCATGAACGGTTCATCTTCAGGCTCCTCCTTGCCTTAAGTGAGATTAACAGACACTCTGAATCATGTTTATTTATTTATTTTTTTCTTGTGGGAAGAACAAAATGGGGGCAAGGAACATAATTGGAATTTGTAAAATTTAAATATTTATACCCTGAAGAGAATTAAGCCAATTTGATATGGTAATGTTCTAAATGAAATGCTAATAAGCAAAAGACTATGTAATCTCACCCTGTCCTATGACAATCGTTTGACAAAATTCAAAGTCAGCTCTGTAGTTTAATGCTGATGAAGGACCAAACATTCAAGGGCAATTTTCCTGTGGTGGATGCTTAATATGAGACTGTACAAAAAGGACCCTGGTGAAAGCAAATACTTTATAACGGTTGAATTATGGCTGCATTGACTAATTGCAGTCCTGCTCCCTAAAAACCTGTGCAGGTGTGCAGAACCAAGATGAGGCATTGTTTGTAAGAAGAGAGAAGTCGCTGTGGGGAATCAGGCTGCAGAGGGCTCATTGACTTCAGTGCCAGCCTCAAGATTTGTGAGGTTAGGAGACTAGAGTAAAATATGAGGCTCCCTGACAGCAAAGCTGTTTAAAACTGACCTTGCTCACCTTGGAGGATAACCAAGGAACTGATTGTTCCACTGCACTCTATAACTGCCAACCATGAGGAAAAACAACATCAGGTCGGCTCAGGCAGTCTCCACCAGGGAGAGCTATGTTCAAAGCCTTGCGAGATTCCAGAAAATTTACCCATTCGTCAGATGTTGTTACCCTCTCAGCACTTCCTTCATTGAGTACCACAGTGTTTACATAAACTTGCTGAGGTTTTTTTTTTTTTTTTGGATAAACCTACCATACTGATAGCCATCCATTTTGAGACAAAGCCTTCCCTTTAGCAAACCAGCTTAGAGAGAGGGTGAGTGTAGCCAATCACGGTTCCCTAACTGACAATGTTGTTCTGTCCACAGTGTGGCCTAGACTAAGACAGAACATTAAGAAGAGAGAGATGATTTTTTTTGTCTCTGACAAATGGAGAGATGAAAGAAAAGAAAGTATCCTATTTTCATCCCAAGGATAGTGAGACAAAATCTCTTTTCTGAGAGAGCCCAGAAATGTCATATAAAGTATAAATTTAAGAGCTAGACTGAACCTTGGAGGTATAATGGACCTTGTCTTTTATAATTCTTTCACTATAAATATAAGGAAAGCTGGGGTTCAGAAAGTATTAATTTTGCTATGTTCACACACCTCACTGAAGAAGATTCCAGCCTTAATCAGCTCTCCTAACCTCTAGTCCAGTTCTCTTTGTGCTACATTGCCACATTGCCAATTCAAAATGAAATTATGTGCAAGACATTTATATGAACCTGAGTGAGTCATTTTAATCAAGTCAAGATCCCTTTAGATGAATTTTGTGGGCCATTATTCACTCTACTGATTTTTGGATTAGAAAAATAATAATGATTGAATTGTATTTAAAGCTCTCAGGAATCCAAAACAATGTACTTGAAAGACATATTCCTGCATGGATAATTCATGATCTGACAATAGAGTTAGGACTGGGGTAGAGTGTATCCTTGGCCTGTGGACCCACATCTTTCTGTAGGAGAGCTCTCAAAACTAGTACTGAGGAAAGATGTCTCTGAGAAACATTGTCCACTATCGCTACCATATATCCTTAAGGTTTACAAAATCCCCCAAATAATATCACATCATGTCTATTTTTTCTAAAGATTACATCACTTGGCCTCCACAGAATAGACAGAATCATTCACTTAGTACTTTTCCTGTAAGACACACTGACAACTTCATGTTTGGGTTCCCATACCTCATCCTCGGACTGTATAACACTAGCAATTTGGGTATGGAAGAGAAAAGTTATCTTCAAGATAAGAACCTACAGCAGGGATGCTCATATGCACTTTTCCTCACTAAAAGGAGGTGGGCTTACTGTTGAGGAAGCCTCACATAATAGTGATTACAAAAGAGGAGTAAATCCTAATTTTTCCTCTGGAATACTTCTGTAATGACAAAATAAATATCTTTTATTTTTTTAAATTTATGAGAATTATAATATTTTCTGCATTGGAATGGGTATACATATATTCACTGGAATAAATGTGATTCCATTATTGTTCAGAATTCTGTTATTTCTGTATCAAATGGAGCTCATCTAGTCTCATTTTCTGTATGCTCTGAGGACTGAGACTGCATGAGTATTTCTCCAAATGAGAAAGAAAAACAATTATATCATTTCTATTTCATTTCAGCTTACTTAATAAAGGAGAAACAAGAAAATGTAAAATTAATTGCAAGAGGTAGGTTAGTACTGGGAAAGTTAATGAGGAGCTTTTATGGGCTGTAATTTTTATTTATTTATTTATTTATTTATTTATTTGTTCAATTAATTATTTATTATATCTATTGGATATGGCTAGTGTGTAATAGCCATCTGAGTGCGTTTAAAGCTATAATTACCCAAAAAATGAGTCCTGCCCTTACAACTTGTAACCTAATCAGATTCAGGAAAGCAGAACATTCACATATGGAGTGAGTGGAATTTACTTAGCTATCTCATAAAGTGAGATTTCAAGGAAATTTCTTTTCACCTGATAAGAGGGTGATATCTACGTGGTCTTATTAGTCAATAGACAAGTTGATAAATAAGTTACTTGCCACCTACTACTGGAAGACACTGTGGTGAGCAAGGTGAGAGGAGAAAAAAGCATATGATAAGCTGTATTCATCCTCAAGTCAAACTAGCAGTGACCAACCACAGTGTACCAGGCAGACTACATATATCCTCTTTCATAGATTCACATTTATTCAACAACAAAGCATTATTATTCTCATTCCCTAATTTTACAGACCAGAGAGCTGATTTAGTAGCTTGAATGATCTATATCAATGATTTCTCTGTTGGCTGTTGCACTAGCCAGATATAACATGTGGTTGCCATTCTACGTGTTATTTAGAAAATTAACTTGCCTACATAATAGTAAAATAAAAGTGGTGTTTTTATATGTTTTTAAATTAGTTTTTAATTGGGTAAAATTTGCCTAATGTAAACTCACCACTTTA
This sequence comes from Homo sapiens, assembly GCF_000001405.40. Lineage (NCBI taxonomy): Eukaryota > Metazoa > Chordata > Mammalia > Primates > Hominidae > Homo > Homo sapiens. The sequence goes on along the minus strand of NC_000003.12, from coordinate 102,527,283 downwards.
AAGTATTAAATTCAATGGCATTTAGTACATTCACAATGAAGAAAAATTGTATTTTAACTTATCTTTCTTGATGTTTCAGAAAGAAAGCTCATTGATATGAGAGTCTGAAGTTCTCTATTTTAGTTCTCATTTGTCCGAATCATCTCTGTGAACTTGGCTAAGTTGCTGAATTTCTCTAGAACAAAGGTATCTTTCTGTAGAATAAACAATGATTTTCATTGTTTGCATCAAAATCACCTTGAGAAGTTGTAAAAAAAAAAAAAAAAACACATGGCATCGATTCATCCCCAGAGTATAATACAGTAAGTTTGGCATTTGTGATTTTTAACAAGCCACATTTCAGAACTACTAGCCTTCATAATTTCTAAGATTCCCATATAATCTTATATTTGTATGATTCTGAAAACCGTGATTTCATAGTACAAAGCTGGAGTAACCAAGAAAACTCTTTTTAAAAAAGTTGAATTCAGATAGAGGAGCATGAGATTTAACATGTGTGTGAAGCTACATAACATTTGGTGAATATTAACATTATTTGGAAAATTATATAAAAAATGAATGTGTTTTAGTGAAGAGTAAAGTAAGTAGTAGAAGTCAATCCAGGTAGCAAATGGTTGAGGTAAAATTCAAACTCAATTTATGATAATAGGCATTTTCTGCTAAATATACATTGAAGTGTTCCTCCTACCCTGTTTTGTAACCATACAAATCATCCATGTTTTTTCTTTAAGCTACATGTTCATCTCTCATGTAGTCAACATGGTGGCTCCTATGAAGATTATACACTCAATATTTTTCATGGAAAATTTGATCCAAAAGTTGGTTTCATTCCAAGAGTATGTATTTTTAACACGCTTTCCTGGTAATTTTTAGTATCACACAGGATAGTAAACAATGACATAGGCAATAGTTCATTTTATTGTGATGCAGTCATCCAAAAAACAAAGGGCTCATCTGATTTTTATTTATCAAATATTCATAGTAATTCCTTTCTCAGCTATTTTCTGCCTCGATCTTGATTTGCCATCCATAGTTTCAGCTGGAAATAGAAAATGCAGACTGTTGATTTCTAGCAAATGCACCCATTCAAAACACAGTAGCTCTCCTACTTACTCGTTATATTTGTATGCTTCCAAGCTATCCGATGGGTCAGTACTGCTGGTCTCTATTAAGTAACTGCACATTTGTGCAAGTCGATTCTGAATGGTTTTCTTTTAATACTGGATGCACCCATATAGAAGAGATTTATCAGAAAATAAGAATTATGAAGGCAGAGGTGGACATTATGAGAAATGAATTTGGGTAAGATAACTTTATTTTCCTCAGATATAGTCTTACTGGACAACAACACTTTTGGTAATTTACTTCCTACTAAAGCTCACTTTGGGCCTAATGAGAGTGATTTTTTTGTGCTCCTTCAGTGGGTTTCTTGGTCTGTTTCATAATAGATGCCACAACATTTGCATTTCCCAATAGTCCACTTTCCTTTTCAAGTATCACCCAGTGAAGACTGATGTTCTCAGACTCTTTCAAATACAATGCAACCTTTCTCAAAATGCTGCATAATGAACCTAAATATTCACTTCCTGATTATGAGATAATAACCTTTCCTGATTTTATTAGAATTTGTCATTGTATGCTATTTCAATAACAGAGTTTTGTTTTATGATGTCTTGCAAAAGAATAACACCCTCTCTTCCAATATACACACACATACAAAGCCCTACATTCTTAAAAGTCTTCTTATTCCTTTATGAGTTTATGGTTGCTTTTAATATTTTTTAGGACTAATGAGAGGGATGGAGGGGTGAGAGTTTGTACTGAAAGGCTGGAGATTCTATGATGCTTTGACTGTGGCTCAGCTTAAGATCTCCACCTAGCCTGCCCCACAGGATTTTCCATTTCTGTTTGATCATCCAGTTCAGCCCACATGCTTTCACCCATCCTTAAGCCATGAAGAGCAGTCTCGACAAATCCCAAATTCCCACAGGAGTCATCAAGTGTCCACTCACTTTGTCCCATCAGATTTGTCTGATGGATAGCTTCCCATTCTACCAAAATCATGGGGGAGAGGGTGGGAGACAGAGAAGACTGCTTTTTGCTATGTTAATTATCTTCTTACTTTTCCAACCTCCATCCCAAGATGTGCATTTAGCAAATAATAGCCACTCCCTTATTCAAACTGGAATGGAGAAAAAAGTACACAAAATGAGAAACAGCTATAATTAAAGCAAGTCCTCCTGGAGAGCTTAAAATTTTCCAGCAGTAAAATGATCTCTAAAATTCAGATTCTCCAGGGGGAAGCAGACAGGTGGTAGCCCTATATTAACAGTAAATGTGATTAACTTATTGTTTGTTTATTTGATAACAGCTAGCAATTACACAAAATATGGCAATAGTAGCCAGAGATCAGAAACTCAAAGTCCATAACCAGTTACATAGCCAATGTTTATAATGTAAGCAAGGAAACCTTTTCATGTGCAATAAGTCAAAGATGAGCTAAAGACCAACATGGATACCACAACAATAAGCAAACCTACTCCCTAGGCAAACTCAACCTTTTCACTTGCCAATGTTTCTGAGAAACACAGAAGGTCTCAATTTCACAAATAAGCATCTAGGAAATGAAACTGCTTACTAAGCCAGGTTGTTAGGTAAGATTTTCTTATACTTGATGAACAGAACTTGTTTAAAATGCCTCTAATCTGATCATGAGTCTGATGCATAAGCACTATTTCACAAGTGCATCTATTCTTTGAGGAAGGGTGAGGGGAGGACACCCTGAACAGAGGCATATGTAAAGACTTGCAGGCTGAAAAACACCTGGTAGTTTTGAGAATCCAGAAGGCCAATATGGTTGGAGTAAAGTAAGTGGATGAAAGGTGGCCAGAAATAATTTTGGAAGGATACGCCAAATCTATATCCCTGTCCACCATTAGAAAAATGTGAGAGACTAAGTCTAGTGGGAAGTCACTGAGGGTTGATACTCTCTGGCTTCCATGTGTAGGGTGGACTGGAGGTATTAGAAGACAAGTGGGCACCCTATACCTACATGTTCATGTGTCACAAGGTTAACACTCACCACATGGATACAGAATATCTAGCTATCCTACCTTGTTGTCCAGACAGTGTAAACCACTCTCTGTTATGTTACCTCTTTATGCTTTTTATTAAAGCATCTTTCACTTGACAGTGTATATTTTGTATACTTCTGCTACAAACTGAAATGAAATGAGTGGAGGTAACTATTACTGTGTTTGACACAAAATGATTGCAAATATTGGTTCCTTCTTTCTCCTGAGCTACACATAGTCACTCTTCATTTTCTCTCCCCTACAGAGAAGACTCTTGAGGATAATTTTAACCAGAAACTGCCAGTAATACCACAATCAAGGTAGCGTGCAGAGCAAGGTTGATAGAGAAAAAGAGGATGTTGGCAAATTTTGGCAAAGTAGGGTGCCAGTCACAGATATTGAAAGCCAAGTAAAGAACCAGGGCTTTAGAAAGTCAGGGAAATGAGAACTTGTAGAAGCGTACAGACAGAATTAAGAAAAGAATAGTCCTTTTTGGCCGGGCTCGGTGGCTCATGCCTGTAATCCCAGGACTTTGGGAGGCCGAGGCGGGCGGATCACGAGGTCAGGAGATCGAGACCATCCTGACTAACACGGTGAAACCCCGTCTCTACCAAAAAAATAGAAAAAATTAGTCGGGCGTGGTGGCGGGCGCCTGTAGTCCCAGCTACTCTGGAGGCTGAGGCAGGAGTATGGCGTGAACCCGGGAGGCGGAGCTTGCAGTGAGCCGAGATCGCGCCACTGCACTCCAGCCTGGGCGACAGAGCGAGACTCCGTCTCAAAAAAAAAAAAAAGTCCTTTTTGCATACCTTAGGCAGATTGGTTTTACTTGGTGAGGGAGCAGACCAGCTATGTCTAAGTGGTAAGAAAAGGGGTGAAAAGCCCTGGCTTATTCTCCACTGAGATAACCCCATGTCATAGCATAGAGCCAGGCTCACAGGAGAATATCAAAAATGCTATTGAATGATTCTAAATAACACATGCTTCTGGGAGAGACAAGCTGGTCAACTGAGGTGCAATCAAGACCCCCTTGAGGAGAGGATAACAGTGCCCAGGGAAAATGCCTCTATGTGGCCTTGTGCTATACAGAGAATTGAAGTGTGGCCGGATGCCCGAAGGTAACTCTCATACAAATAACATAAACATAGTCAAAGAAGAGTGGCCATGCCTTGATCATTAGAATGCAGAAAGGAAGGAAAACAAAAGAAGAAAAAGGCATAATTATGTCTTACAAGCAAGACTGTCCCATAATGAATTTGTGATAGAAAAGTATGAAGACGAGAGAGGCCTTTTTCTGAATAGCACCAATAATATGATTCGGAACTAATGTGGTTTAAACTCTCGGAGACTTTTCCTCTATTTCAGGCTCCCTTCCAGCCTTGCCATGACATTATCCTCTGAAGTTTCAACTATTGTTCTGAACCTGGTTTTCACTCACTCTTTTCTGCAAAAATCATAGTCAAGCCATTTGAGCTCAGAGCCAAATGGCTCATTGAACCATTTAATGACTGGTTCATTTGTTACTTCTAACTCCTAATAGGGGTGGAAGCCCATCCAGTGGTCATTTATAAGAACAAAAAAAAAGAAAAAAAGTTGTAGTTCCAATGCCCTTAAAAAGCACTAGTTATCAAAGTTCTTGCTAAACCCCATGGTAAGCCTCTGAGACTTATATCAGAAAATTAAGGTAGCCAAATTCTAACAACACAGAAAGACTGGAGATGAAGATCCTGTTCATAACTGATTCATACTGTGAAGTTTCCAGGTTTAAACTGAAGCCTATTCTCAAAGGTTGTCCGCCAAAAGAAAGGCAACTATGCAAGGCAGATTTGCAGCCTTTGTCCACCACACTAAGGTAAGGACTGATGGGGTCCAGTAACAAATGACTGTGGTGAATGGTAGAAAGACATAGGGTTACTTGAGTTTGAGGTAGCTTGTGCTCAGGTGGAAAATTTTCTGGCTTTGGTTAGTCATCACTTGATGAGAGAAGGCGTTAGTAACTGTGAAACTACCCTAGGATTTGGCACTTTATACTTCCTCAATAAAATGTAGTTTATTATCCTGTAATCATTCTTTTCTCATCTGGACACGACCCTCTACATACCCCATCATACACACACACAAACACACTCACACACACACACAAGGTTTGTACAAGGCAACCAAAAATCTAGCACTGAAGCTGACAGCAAGTGAAGCCAGATAATCAAAACAAAGTGGAAAAAATTGTCTTGGAGCAAATAGCAAAATATGCTTGGATGAACTTGTTTTATGCAGACTTTTCCTAAATACATGTCTTTCAGAGAGATGCTTTTGTTCTCAGTGGCCAATAATGTGTGACAAAATAGGAAGAAATAAAAATGCTTTAGAGAAGGAGGACATACTGCTGGGAAACATGGGTGTATCAGTTGCACATCTCACATAATCCCCAAACCTTAACATTTTGAAACCATACTTGTTTCCCTGCTAACGTACAGTCTCGAGTTCCCTGCTTACCCCCCCAAACTATCTGAGACACCAATTAGCCACCAGAAACCCCAATATATACTAATTTTCTGATTAAATTCCTGAGTAATAAATGATTTGAAAATATTTTCGGATCAGCTAGTTTTTCACCAGGATGGATAAAATTATTTATTTGCCTTTGGTGAGTTAAAGGCGTACAGTTACTTAACAGCCTTGCCTGAATCCAGTTCCGTAAACATTCATTGTAAGTCTTATTTTAAAAACTCTAGTGTTTTCCTTCCCCTAGCCAAGCTATAAAATTTGGCTCTGTCTTGTTGAATGCATCCTTTCATCTCATTGCCATATCCTGTTAATATAAACAATATAAATAAAAATTTAAAAAGAACAGAGCATTACATTTATGGCTTTAACTTGTGTATGTTTTTATTTGACCATAACTAATTAGTTAGTTAGTGTTAAACGTGAATAGGCTATGCCTTTCTTATGTTAACAAACATAATTTTAAAACTCAGTGGAAGCTGTTCAATGGCTGATGTGGCAGCTTCTACTCCCAAGTTTCAATTATTTTGTGTGAAGATAAGTAATGTAATAATTAATCACCTTCAACTCCTGAAAAGAAAATAGCAAGTCCTTTGTTCCATTAGTAGTGATGGATTTGGTAATCATTAACCACCTCAACTCCTTTATTCCATAAGTAGTAATAAAATGATATTTTTTAAAATAACTGAGACATTGACATTTTGCCTAAGATTATTAGTGAAGTCATTTTAAAAATAAGTATCTAAAGCATGTGAAGCATTTGAAGACTTTAATCAACCGACGCCTTGGACCATAGTACACATGATGTAAAATATCCAGTGAAAGTTTAGTTGGTAAACTAGCATATCTAATAATACCTTTCATTCCAATTTAGTTGATTAAAATCTAAAAAATACAAAGGAAACAAAATCGGAAAGGTGGGACTTATATCATACAAACACTCAGATATCATTTCCTTTTTGGTGGGTATAGGAAAACATTTAAAAATGTAAAAGACATTCTTATCTTCTTACCATTAAGTAAAATGGTAAGAACCAGGGGTGTAAGTCCTTTAAAAAAATTTATCTAACCAGCAAAATGTAGGTTGCTCTATTTACATTAAACAAATTATCTTGAATCAGCTTTCATTTTCCTCATCATTTTTTGGCAGTATTCATTAGGATTCTTTTTCTGTCAAGTGATAGAAACCAGATTAAACTAACTGAAGGAAAAAGAGGAGAATTTGTTGGTTATCACCAGCAATGGCACTCAACGAACAAATAGCAAGAAATACATGGATGCTAGAACAATTAAAGCCAGATTGTTAAACACAACAAGGAGTTTTTTTTCTATCTTTCTGTCTCTGTATCTATCTTTTTCATCTTTTTCTTCGTCTCTGTCTCTCTCCATGTCTATCTGCCTGTCTGTCCCTTTCTTTCTCTTCTTGTCTATAAATACTGATCCAATTCTTCTTTGCTATGCCTGGCAGAAAATGTAGGCAACAATTCCCATGTTTAATGTCTTACAGGTATCATTATAGAGACTGACTTGTTCTGTTTAGACTAAACAAAATAATCCTGACATTTCCCTACTCCCACATCTTTGTAAATTAACTTTCCTCTGATTTTGACCATGCTATAGGTTTCTTGTTATGATTTTGATTGATATGCACATCCAATCAAGAATCACAATTTGAGAAACAGCAATGCCATGAAAGAAGAAAACAAATTTAACGAAGAGAATAACTTATAACTGAGATAACCACAGTTAATAGAACAAGGAAAACAAGATTTTTAAATATATCCTTAGAGATTTGGGCTTGAATACTACATTCTTTTTAATAATTAAGCAGAAGAATTTTGCTTCCAAATATGATGATATAACTAATACCAGTCAATTCCTCTAACATGAATAATTATAAAGTTGGACAAAATGTATGAGGCCACTGTTTTTAGATTGGATAACATGAAGTGCAATACTGCAAACCTTGAGGAAAGGGAAAGCCCATGAGATAAGTCCTATGATAACCCCAGTTTTCTGCCTACTAACAATTTCGTGACCATGGCACAGTGAGCTGGAGTCCAGAGAGAATATGACAACTGCTTCAGCTACCCAACACCCTGATTTTTACCTCTTCAGCTTAGTAGGATCTTCAGAGCATCAGGAGGAAGAAGCAGAGGATGGGCAAAAGTCTGTTCGGAGGTTCCAGGCAAGTCTTTCATTAAGGGATGAGTTGCACATGTGCAAGCTGAGATCTCATCAAACTTAACAGACAACAGCTAGCTGCATGCTTCAGAGCTTGAAATAAGAGACTGAATATTGCTAGAAGACGGAGTTTGGCCAAGAAAGTCTCTCAAACACTTCAAGCACCCTGGAAATTCAGCTGAGACACTGTGAGGTTTAAGACAGACTACTCTATACCTGCCCAATAAAACCAAAATCTAAGCCATGTCGAAAGTTTCAGGAGATACATAATTTGGAAGAATTTGAATTCTGGCAAGTTGGAGTGACCTGGGAAACATGTTACACTGTTGTGAGATCTACACTAACCAAGTGAAAACCATGTTTACACAAATTCAAGCCATTTAACAAATAATTACCTTTTTTGCTAGAATGAACACCAGGACACTTAGAGTAAGACAGAATAATTTATATTCTTTACAATCCATTATCCAAAATGTGTAGTACACAGTAATAATTTGTGAGATATTCAAAGAAATAGGAAAATGTGATACTAATGCAATAAAGCAGTTAATAGAAATCAGCCCTGTAATAGGCATAATGTCAACTTTAACAAAGATGCTAAAGGAGCTATTATAAATACTTTCTAAGAATTCAAGGACAAGATGTTCAAAGAATTACAGAAATATATAACATTAATTAGTATACTGAAAGGGATCCTTTGCAACAAAATGGAAATTTAAAACCAAAAAATTAAAGGAACAAATTGAAATTCTAAAACTGAAAAGTAAATGAAACTCTTTTAAAAAATTCCTGAATATCAGCAGATGAGAGATCTTGAAGAGGAACTTAGAAAATTTGATAATAGGTCTATAGAAATTATCCAATCTCAAAAACAGTAAGAAAAAGATTGAAGAAAACGGAACAGAGCAATATTTACCTTTGAATAATATATACATATGGTCTAGCAGATATTTAATTTGAATCTCAGCAGTAGATTGTGAATGTAGGAAAAAGTGTCTGAGGAAATAATGGCCAAATTATTCCCAATTTTGATGGAAAAAACAAACAAACATTGACTTATAGACCTATAAGTTCAGCAAATGCAAAATAGAATAAATACAAAGAAAGTACCCACATACATCATAAGCTACTAAAAAGCTAATACAAACTCTTGAAAACAGAGAAAAGAGACTTTATATGCATGCAGAGAGAAACCAATGTACTTGACAGCTGACAATGATACAAATTTTAGATAATTTTTCAAAAGAAATATGAAAATCAGAAGATAATGGAAGGATATTTTTTAAACACTCAGAGGAAAAAAGACACTATCAATTCAAAATTCTGTGTCCAGTGAAAATATCCTTCAGAAACAATAATGGAATAAATACATTTCAATATAAATTAAATCTATTATCAGTAGGACTTTACAATAAGAAATATAAAAGGGCTGGGCGTAGTGGCTCATGCCTGTAATCCCAGCACTTTGGGAGGCCGAGGCAGGTGGATCACCTGAGGTCAGGAGTTCCAGACCAGCCTGACTAACATGGTGAAAGCCGTCTCTACTAAATACAAAAAATTAGCCAGGCGTGGTAGCGCATGGCTGTAATCCCAGGTACTCAGTAAGTAGGCTGAGGCAGGAGAATCGCTTGAATCCAGGAGGCAGAGGTTGCAGTGAGCCAAGATTGTGCAATTGCACTCCAGCCTGGGTAACAAGAGCAAAACTCCGTCTCAAAAACAAAAACAAAAAAAGTATATATATGTGACATAAATATAAATATAAATATATAAACATAAAATATACTTATATCCATATATTTCACATTTATATGTAAAATATATTTTATATTATATAAAATAAAATATTAATATATTATGGAAAATATATTTTATATAAAAATATACACGTAAAATATATTTATATATTTCACATTATAATATATATAAAATATATATATAAAAGTATATTCTCCAGAATGAAGGAAAACAATGATAGGAAAAAACGCAAATCAATAAGAAGAAAGGAATAGCACTATAAATGGTAGATAAAGAGGCAAATATAAAATACTACTTTTTTGTCATAAATTCCTTAATATACAACTGTCTTAGTCTGTTTGGACTGCCATAGCAGATTACCATAGACTTTGTGGCTTATGAGCAACAGAAATTCACTTCGTGCAGTAATGGAAGCTGTGAAGTCTAAGATCAAAGTGCCAGCAAATTCTGTGTCTGGCAACAGCCCACTTGTTAGTTCATAGAGCACCATCTTCTCTTTGTCCCCTCACATGGCAGAAGGGACAAGTGAGCTCTCTGGGAACTTTTTTTTTTTTTTTTGAGACGGAGTCTCGATCTGTCCCCCAGGCTGGAGTACAGTGGCGCGATCTCGGCTCACTGCAAGCTCCGCCTCCGGGGTTCATGCCATTCTCCTGCCTCAGTCTCCAGAGTAGCTGGGACTACAGGCGCCCACCACCACGCCCTGCAAATTTTTTCTATTTTTTTTAGTAGAGACGGGGTTTCATCGTGTTAGCCAGGATGGTCTCGATTTCCTGACCTCGTGATCCGCCCGCCTTTGCCTTCCAAAGTGCTGGGATTACAGGCGTGAGCCACCGCGTCCCGCTCTCTGGGAACTATTTTTAAGGCACTAATTCCATTAGTGGAGGCTCCGTCCTCATGACCTAATTATCACCTCCCAAAGGTCCCACCTCCAAATACCATCACACTAAGAGTTAGCATTTCAGCATATGAATTTTGGAGAGCTGCAATTACTCACACTCACCAAGAAGACTCATATGCTGGACAGTAAAATATTTCTGAATATATTTCAAGAGACTTCAGTCATCAAATATGTTCCCTGACCATTAAAATAAAATACTTAATCAAAACAATAAGATATATAGAAAACGATTCCAAATTACTTGGAACTTAAATTATACACTTCACATAACCCATAAACCAAAGCAGAAATTACAAAGGAAATTAAAGAAAACTTCAAACTGAAGGATGATGAAAAATAGCACCTATATCAGCATTTAGAAGAAAAATTATAGTTTTAAATACCTCTATTAGATAAAATGATTTAAAGTGATCTAATATTTCATATTAAGATGCTAGAAAAAAATGAAATCCATAAATGAGAGGAAAGAAACAAAGATAAGAATAGAACTCAAATAAACAAAAAGCAAACATAATAGAAAATTTTAAAAGTGAAAAGTTTGTTCTTGGCAAATAATAGTAAACTGATAAACTCACAGTGTTAAGGGAGAAAGCCACAAATGATCAATCATCAAGAATAAAAACAGATATCTTTCACTCTTATAGATATTAAATGGATAACAAGATAATATGAACAATTTTATGATAGTACATTTGATAACTTAGATTAAATAGGAAATTTAAGGAAAAAATAATACTGATTTTACCCAAATTTTTGTTTAAAAGACAGGCAGAGAAAAATCCCACATCATTTTATGAAGTCAGCATTACCTTTATGCCAAAACTTTAAGAGATATTATAAGAAAAGAAAACTTTTGTGTCATAACGAAGACACAAAAATTCTCAAAAGTAGTAGAAAATCAATTTCAGCAATATAAATATAAAGGATAATACACCATGACAAAGAATGCAAAGTTCGTTTTTACATCTTAAAAATTAATTAATATAATTTGTCATACTTACAGAATGAGGATATATCATATGATAATTTCAAAAGATCCGGAAAAAGCATTTGAATTGTATTAGTCCATTTTCACACTGCTCTAAAGTACTGCCTGATACTGGGTAATTTATAAAGTAAAGAGGTTTAATTGACTCACGGTTCAGCATGGCTGGGGAGGCCTCACGAAACTAACAATCATGGCAGAAAGCAAAGGGGAAGCAAGGCATCTTCTTCCCAAGGCAATAGGGAGAAGTGCCCAGCCAAGGGGAAAGAGGCCCTTATCAGATCTTGTGAGAACTCACTCACATCATGAGAACAGCATGGGGGAACTGCCCCCATGATTGAATTACCTCCACCTGGTCCAACCCTTGACACGTGGGGATTATGAAAATCACAATTTAAGGTGAGATTTGGGTGGGGCCACAGAGCCCAACCATATCAGACTAAATCCAAACCCGCTGATTAAAAAAAAAGTAGAAACAAACTTTCTCATCTAATAAAGAACATTTTCTAAAAGGTCATCAAGTAACATAAAACTTAATAGTGGAAGAATAACTCCTTTCTCTTCAGATTAGGAACAAAGGCAAAAGCATCATTTCATTGTATTGGAGGCCTTATCTATGTAACAAGGCAAGAAAAAATAAAGTATGCATGTTGAAAACCAAGAAGTAATAAAGTTTCTATTCACAGACAGTATGATTATCTACGAGGAAAATCCTTTTTGAACGTCTCAGAAAAAGTACTACGTTAATAAATAAATTTAGAGTTTACAATATGAAAGTCCAATATAAAACAATCAACTATATTCTACAGACCAGCAATAAATATCTGAAATTTGAAATTTAAAAACAACATCATCCAAAATACAAAATATTTAGGGGTCAATTTGATAAAAGATATTTGTAAACCCTACTGTAAAAACTTCACAACATTGCAGGGTGAAAGTAAAGATCTAAATAAAATAAAATACAACTTGTTCATGGATTAATCAGCTCAATATTATTAGGATGGCCATTCTCGCCAAACTGATCTATACATTCAACACAATCACAAACATAATCCCAACAGGCTTTTTATTTTTCAGATATTGACAAGTTGATTCTAAAATTCATCTAGAAATATAAAAACCTAGAATAGGCAAAATAATTTTGAGAAAGAACAAAATTGGATGATTTATTGGATTTTAAAGACATGATAACGAAGACTGTGGTATTAGCATAAAGGCAGGAATACAGACCAATGGAAAAGAATACAGAGTTTAAAAATAGGCTGACACATATAAATCAAGTGATTACAACAAAGGTGCCAACATAATTTAATAAAATTCAGATATTCCAATTGGGAAAAGGATATTCATTGTTTTCTAAGCAGCAACAGCTACAGATAGGAGGTAGAGGAACACCCCTCACAAACCCACAAGGGACAATATCACTGCCAAGAGGTCATGGATAATTAGGCAAAGCTGAGATTAGTACTGCAATTACCCAGTTTCCTGTCCTTGATTTAATCCACTGAATCACTCAGTCCTTGTATTTGATTTAAAGTAACGTAGTCAAGTTTCTCTAATTGACTTGAAAACAACTGAGAGCCAAATTGCAGTTATAGTGGAAAAAAATGTATATGGGATGAGCATCATAAGATGGGGAGGAAATTCTTTTTTTTTCTTTTAATCAAACAGATTTAGGTTTCACTTTTCTACCCCCTTGTTTGATGGTTGAAACTTCTTGGAAGAAAAAAATATTTCCATTAATTAGATGTAATTTGCTTCTGTTATGAGTGAAGGAGCGTTAACAGCAAATTTATTTTTGTTTCATATAATGTATAAGTGAAAATAGAATATATTTTTGTCAAATAAATTATCTCTAGTCTAAGTTATTTTTAATTGTAGAAAGCTCATTTTGGAGGAATCATTTCTTAATGAAATTTAGCTTGATTTAAGAAAAAAATTATTGCATAAATGCCTCATTTGTTCCTGCTCATTTGAATTAACAGCCAAAGTAATATTGTCTCAAAGAGATATTTTTTCAAATGTGGTTTATACAGCAATAAGTTATTGATGTTAACATTTCCAGTCATTATTACTACAAAGCTAAATATCACCAAAATCTTTTAATTTATATTTGAAACATAGGATGTGATCAAGGTTGGGAGGTCCTACATTGAACATATTATATTTTTCTCTTATCTCCTAATGAAGTCCATATAATTTAATTTCGTTGCATCATGTTCTGATAATATGTTAATTTTTTAAATGCCATTCTTCCCAACAAGCAAAAATACAAACCTAGTATATAGAGAAAAAGTCATGTTGTCACTGACTGCTTTTTAAACACAAAGGCTATTATTGGTGGCAGATGGATTTTTGTTCTGAAAAGCTTCATCTTCCTCTTCTGTTTCCCGCCAACACACAATTAAGTGGAGCTTTGGTAATCAAATATTTCAGTGAATTTGGATTGTGAAAAAGCAAATTTGGACCTTGTATCATTTAGCACTTATTGTCCATGCAAGATAAAGGTGAATGCTTTAGTCTGAACTATGCTAACCATCTATAAAGCTGTTTCATGAAACAATCGTAAATCTTCTTGATTGGGCAGGAATTCCCTGCTCTAGTTACATTATTTCACCAAATACGTAAACATAAGCCTGGAATTTTTTTATTTTTATTCTCTTCGTTGTGCAACTTAATTTTGTAAGGACCTACTTGCATTTAGTTTTCACTATTCACTTTATTTTACTTTAAAAAAAATAAATGGGGCAGCAAATCATGGAGTACAGGGAACAAAGGACAATACATAGGGAGTCCATTATATATGAAATTATTTGCATACTGTTGAAATCAAGAGAGCTTTACATTTTGCCTCTTAGCTTTCTCTGCCATTCTCATAATCACTTAAAGGGGATGAGTCATCATTAATGCAACCACTAAGAAGGGCAGTAAAGACCTCAGAGAAAAGGACTCAACTTGAGGAGTCACTGAATTCTAAGTTTCAAATAACACAAATATGCATTGGCATATTAATGGATACATCACAAGGTAGTTTTATCTCGCTACAATTAGATTATACTCCATAGAAATTTCCTAACTAGAGGGAACCTATTGCAAGAGAATGTCAGTGAAAATTATACATGTCTTTCTGAAGAAAATTCTGCCCCTGAGCTTGTTTTTAAAATGACAAACTATCAGAACCTGAAATTAATCATTTGCCATGACTGTAAAAACTGCCACATCAACATGCTAAAGCGTTCTTTGAGCCAATCCTTTCAGTTGCCTATCTTTATAAATGTCTTCCTTTCTTCTCTAATCTGTTCCTGGGTTCTTCTGGCTGGTAAAACTGGAACTGTGCCACAGTTTGTGACTGCATTGGACTTCCTGGGTACATAAGAAAATCCTCCCCACTTTCTTCCCCATTTGAAAGTTCCCTATTACGGCCAGGCGCGGTGGCTCAAGCCTGTAATCCCAGCACTTTGGGAGTCCGAGGCGGGTGGATCACCAGGTCAGGAGACCGAGACCATCCTGGCTAACACGGTGAAACCCTGTCTCTACTAAAAACATATAAAAATCAGTCGGGCTTGGTGGCGGGCTCCTGTAGTCCCAGCTACTCGGGAGGCTGAGGCAGGAGAATGGCGTCAACCCAGGAGGCGGAGCTTGCAGTGAGCCGAGATCGTGCCATTATTGCACTCCAGCCTCGGCAACAGAGCCAGACTCCGTCTCAAAAAAAAAAAAAAAAAAAAAAGAAAGAAAGAAAAAGAAAGTTTCCTATTACTAGCCTAAATATAACATTACTTAGTTATAGATTGCTTTATTGTAAAGTGTTTTCTTTCCAGAAATTAATTACCAAAGTTGCCTAATCAGCAACCTAAATATAATTTGATGCTAGTTTCACCGTTTATAGCACAATTAAGTGCCCTAGAAATTCATGAAATTCTTATGCTTCAAATGTTTTATAAATACCATCACCTAGGGACTTTACCAAAAGCATCAAAGATTCACTTTGCCTTTTATGCCAGGAGAATTGCTTCAGTGCTGCTACTTCTTGTGTCTGGCGTTGGAAAAATTTCTTAACTCATCCTGTGTTGCAATGCGGAATTAGAATTTGAGAATGGGGAGAGTTTCCCTACTGAAAGGTCCAGAATGAGAAAGAGCTTTGTCAAAGCAGGAATACATCAGCTTCAGAACATAGCAGAAAATCCCTTCAAAGATGACTTGGTCCCAAAAAATACATTTAGTGGGCTCTATCCCGTTAGATTCTACAAGAAATGTTGACTCCTTGAGGAAAACATGTATTCAGTTGATTTTTATTTGCGTTGCCTTGTGATCCAAAGATCAGAACACTGTTAAATTCTTTGTGAGCATCACAATTGTTGCTTATTCATTTTTTGTTTTATTATGATTATCTATTTCTATGCTAGTATATATCTGTCTTCTCATCCATTGACAACTTGAACAAAGCAAGGATGAATTATTTTAGATTTTCAAGAATTCTAGGTGTGTATATTGCATGCCTTTTATTGTTACCAAACCGGTTGGAAGACTCCTGGTGCCAATGTTTTCATGTTTCTGAATACTCATGAATAAATCTTATTTTATACATGTTTCCAAAGAAACTTTGAGTTTTACAGGGATTTCCTCCTCCATGCAAGTAATCATGCTAGAAAGGAAATAATTACCACTTTGTTAATTTGTTTATACATTTAAAATTGAATTGCTAATATTTTCTAAAGTCAGGGTGTATGTCTCATGTCGTGAAGAAAGCAAATCATCTTTTTCAAAATGGATGCTTTTGTTTTTGAAATGGCATTTACAAAATCTTCGGGATAGGTAAGATTGAAAAAAGTATCATATTAGCAGTGTTTATGACTAATAGACAGCTACATTGTACATATTTATGCATGAGCTGTTCTGCTCCGGAACCAGCGTGTTTCTGTGTGAATATACTGTAGCATGAGGCAGTGCTAAGCTGATGGGACTGTATGTTAATGTTCACAGATTTACTGAGGCATCATATTACTAGAGTGATTAGGTTTGGTATACATAATGCCATGGTGTCAGCAATGTTGATGTTGGCTCAGAAGCCTTTGAAATTAGCATTGCTCATGGCATTTTTTATATACCAAGATGTTACTCATAATGGCAATACTGAAGAAAATACTTCTTCTGTAGGTGTCACACAACACCCCCAACCGTCACCAAAACAGATTAAGCAGAATTTAAATTCAGCTTTTAGAAAACAAAAGGATGAAGCATTAGAAATTATGTGATCATTTACAAATGACTGTTCTAAAATTCTTATGTTTATATATTTACTGCAATTTTAGGCTGTGTTTACGTTATGAAGACATAACTCCTGTGCATGCCGTTGGGTTTTATAGAGGCTTCTTTCAGACATTTGCATTAGGAATTCAGTTTTGAAATAAAAGTCATTCCCAAATAAGGCTGATGCTTTTTGTTAAAATAAAATTTATGCCCAGACCCCCAAATGGCTGTGGTGGTAATTAAGCAGAATCAAGTATTGGAATGCAGCAATTTTTAAAAACCAAGCTGACAATTAATTTTTAAAGAGTGACAGTCACCTACTAGATATCAAATTTTTAATGCATTTTCTTAGCCTGCCGCCGTTTCCAGAACTTTGTCAGGCATTTCCTATTTTCCAAGTAGAAGAAAAAGTAGCACATTAAAATGAACCTTTTTTCTTTTTACAGTGGTATTTCTTTGCTGAAACATGTACTTAGTTGAGCTTATTTACATGACCTCTTCTCTTCCAAAAGCTCATTGCATTTTATAATATAATCTAATTTTAGTAATTACAGTGTCTCTATAATACTAGGAAGTGAAAAAAGAGTATTCCCATTTTTCAGCTGAATAATTACAGAAAATTAAAAAAATAGATAAGTCACTTTTCTAAGGTCACTCAAATGAGAAAGGGTATAAATATCTAAACAGAATTCATGGCCCAAACACCTGCAGTTCCTAGGATACATCCCACTACTCCCTTGAGCATTCCATTCATTTTATGATGAACGATGGTATACAATTTAATCTCACAGCACCAAAAGTTTCCGTGAAACTTTAACATATGTTGTTACATGTAATTCTTACGATGATGTGAATTTTTAATCACATTTTACTCATGATGAAAAATGCCAACTTTAAAGACATAAATTGACCTTTCTAAGGTTATATAGATAGATGATAATTGGAAGAGCTGAAATAGGAGCTTCAAGAATAACATTCTTTCCTCTTCCTTATAACTACAGTTGCCTTTTACTGAGTTATTTCTGTCTCTGCCTTTAAAGCATGTTTTGCCCTTCAGGATCTGTCTCAATGCTACCTATTCCACAAACACCTTAATGCCCCAACATTCTCACACGGAACTTTGTACAAATACCTTGCATACAATTATAATATGTGGCTTATCTCTTTTTTCTAGAATAAAGCAGTAAAGGGAAAGGACTGATGAATCTTGCTCATACCAGGTATCAAAGAGCATAGATTGGATTAATTAATGGAATGAATGAATGGATTAATGAAAAGGATGGATTAATGAATGGAATCATTAAGAAAAACAATTTTTTTTATTTTCACATAACAATAATAATAAGATGAAAGTTAAAATATTATTCTGGCCTATTCTCAAGGAAAAGAGAATATCTGTGGATCTGCTATGGCCTGAGTATAGGAGAAGGCAAGGATAATGCTCAGCTGTGGAAAGAACGAGGTGGGAACTAATTCCCAGTCCCAGGTTAGGTGTCCAGGAAACCTGGCAAGTTCTGGAAATTCAAGTCTAAGGAAGCAGGTAGAGATGGATCTTATATTCTGCAAAACTAGATACTAGTTACAAAAGAAGCTTGTCAAACAAGCATTTTTTATGAACCAAGAGGTGTTTCTCTAAGCAACTTATCCACACAGGTCTCAGAGCATCTCATGCATCTAAATTTGTGTTTGCAATCACAGTTGAGTCGAAATTAGGACAAAAGAAGCTTTTCTTGCTTGTTACCTCACTAGACTCTAAGCTCCTTGGTGGCCAGGACTGTGTCTTAATCAACATTATGTTACTAATGTCACTGGTACAAAGCAAAGTGCCTGACACATTTGAAATATTTAATATTTTTTAAAAAATAAATAAAATGCCAAAATCCAGAGTATTGTAGAGGGGAGGTATTCCCTCTTCATCCTCTGTGGCATGCCAGCATATTCTCCTCCCAAGATGTTTTTCAGGATGACATTAACTTAATAATTTTTCTAAGACAGAAAATCTGGCCCTTACCCTTGAAGAATGTGAAGCCTTATTTGTCAGCACAAATAAAGTGATCCGTCTCTCAGACACAGATTCACATTAACTACACGCAAAACTGATGACTAATATGAGTGACAACTGATTAATTTTAGTATAAAATCTATTTGATTCAATTTCCTCATTTCTATCCAATGCATTATATCCCTGAAAACAAAATATATGGGAAATCCAATTATAATAAAATGTTGTTGGATGAAAATACAATTGAAAATTGGACATTCAAATAAAACCACCATCTCCTATAAAGGATAATTTTGATAAAAGAGCAGATATAGTCAAAGTCATTGGCCAAAGGTCTTCTCCACTCACCAGACTGTGCCAGCATGGGTCTTTCCTGTTTACCTCCCTAATCCTTTTTATTTTTTCTGGAGGTTCTTAGTACTTTTTTTTGATAGATTCATTCATTTTAAAAATAGTCTTTGTTAATATATTTCATTGGATTATATCAAGTCTTGTAGGACTGGAAGCTAGACTCCTTTGTGTAGCTCTATTGATGTAAAAATGTGACTCTCATAGCGAACAGAACAAATAGATTTTCCTCATTTCAAAGTTCCTAGGAGAAACCACATTGTATTATGATGATATCGCAACAATTAGATACAAGAATGATTAAGAAGAGGAAAATTTGTTTTTTTTCCCTACTAAAAGAATTAAACTCTCACAATGCCAAAAAAATAAGAGGAATAATGACTATTGAGTCTTACCTGGGTCCACGAGGCTCTGCTGGCTTCACAGATGAAGCCTGTTGACTTCATCTGCAATGCAGATTCAGCTCAACCAGGTCTGTAATCATAGGCAAACGAGATTCAAGAAGGTTTTGCCCTGCATTCTGGATATCTTCCTCAAGCCTCCTTATAGTTAGCTATATCTCTACTCTTACTACAGTATGACAACTAGGCATTTTACATGAGCTGGAGACTGTATCCCCATCATGTGCTGAAGTATTAGACACTCCGAGAGAAGAGACTTGGGCAGCCTGAAATGAACCTTTAGGGAGTGATGTGGCTGAATATATACTTTGATCTCATTCCCCTCCTTCCTTCTCCTAACTCCCCTCTAATCTCCTCCTGTCAGCAAGAGTAAGGTGGAGAAGGATGCAGAGTGTATCCACAAAGCCAATAGAAGATACTTGAAACAGTGGGAAAAAGTGCAAACGAGTAGTGTGAATTTGATCAAGTCTCTTCTCTAGACCTTAATCTCCTTATTTTTGGAATATCAATAACAATAGCCACAGAATTGGTGGGAAAATTAACTAGTTCATGAAAGAATGTTTAGCAAAGCACTTGGCATCTAGTAGAAATTTTAAATCTGCCAGCTTTCAATGATGCTGGCATTATTATTATTACAATTACTATCACAGTCCATTCTTTGGCACAAATTCACTTCAAACAATCCTGCCACCAAGTCCACATCTTCCTGAGGAAAATTTTGTCCATGAACCTTGGCTTGTGAGAAATACCTTCTTGCCTGATGATCCAAGTGATCAAGGCTGAATCCCTGCCTTCTTGCTTTTCAGATTCCCCATCACTGGTTTCCACTGACCATTATTGCTTCCCTGAAAAACATTGCCTTACTGGACTACTCACTGATGAGTAGTGCTACCCCTATTAAATATTTGTATTAGTCCATTCTCATACTGCTATAGGGAAATAATCTATAAATTGTAATTTATAAAGGAGAGAGGTTTAAATTGGCTCACAATCTGCACAGCTGAGGAGGCCTCAGGAAAGTTACAATCATGTGAAGCAAACACATCCTTCTTCACATGGAGACAGGAGAGAGAAGTGCTGAGCAAAGGGGGAGAAGCTCATTACAAAACTATCAGGACTCATGAGAACTCACTCACTATCATGAAAACAGCAGCATGAGGGTAATTACCCCCATGATTCAATTGCCTCTCACTGGGTCCCTCCCATGACTACAGTTCAAGATGAGATTTGAGTGGGAATACAGACAAATCATATCATTCCACCCCTGGCCCTTTCCAAATCTCATGTTCTTCTCACATTTCAAAATACAATCATGTCTTCCCAACAGTCTTCCAAAGTCTTAGCTCATTCTAGCATTAACCCTAAGTCCAAGTCCAAGATCTCATTTCAGACAAAGCAAGTCCCTTCTGTCTATGAGCATGTAAAATCAAAAGCAAGTTAGTTATTTCCTAGATACCACGGGGGTAAAAGCATTCATAAATGCACCTGTTCCAAACAGGAGAAATTGGCCAAAACAAAGGGGTTATAGGCCCCATGAAAGTCTGAAATCAAATAGGGAAGTCATTAAACCTTAAAATTCCAAAATGATCTCCTTTGACTCTATGTCTCACATTCACATCACGCTGATGAAAGAGGTGGGCTCCCATGGCCTCAGGCAGCTCCACCCCTGTGGCTTTGTAGGGTACAGTGTCTCTCCCAGCTGCTTTCATGGGTTGCCATTGTCTGAGGATTTTCCAGGTGCATGGTGCAAGCTGTTGGTGGATCTACCATTCTGGGGTCTGGAGGATGGTGGCCCTCTTCTCACAGCTCCACTAGGCAGTGTTCCAGTGGGGACTCTGTGTGGGGGCTCCAACCACACATTTCCCTTCTGCACTGCCCTAGCATAGGTTCTCCATGAGGGCTCCACCCAGTAGCACATCTCCACCTGGACATCCATGCATTTCCCTACATCCTCTGAAATCTATGTGGAGGTCTCCAAACCTCAATTCTTTTCTTCTATGTACCCACAGGACCAAAACCACATGGAAACTTCCAAGGCTTGGGGCATGCACTGTCTGAAGCAATGGTCTGAACTGTACCTTGGCCCCTTGTAGCCACTGCTGGAGCAGCTAGATGCAGGGGCCGAGGCTGCACACAGTAGGGGGACCCTGGACCCAGCCCAGGAAATCATTTTTCCCTCCTAGGCCTCTGGGCCTGTCATGGGAGGGGTTGCCTCAAAGGTCTGTGACACGCCCTGGAGACATTTTCCCCATTGTTTTGGCAATTAGCATTTGGCTCCTTGTTACTTATGCAAATTTCTGCAACCAGCTTGAATTTCTCCCCTGAAAAATTTCTTTTCTACTACATTGTCAGACTGCAAATGTGTCAACCATCAGATCTCATGAGAACTCACTCACTATTACAAAAACAGCAGCATGGAGGTAACTGCTCCCATGATTCAATTACCTCTGACTGGGTCCCTCCCATGACACATAAGGATTATGGGAACTACAATTCAAGATGAGATTTTGGTGGGGGCATGGAGAAACCATATCAATATTACAGTCTTCTTACCACAAGGGTAGAATAGAGATAGAGATGGGCTTAGTCCCTAGGTTTTAGACCTTCTAACTCCATGTCTTTATTCTTAACTGACTACAGTTGATATAATTATATTCCATGCTATGACAAGGAAAAGAGTTTTATTTTTAATGCCTTGGTATTATTCAGAATCAAATGCATTACTATAGCATTTAAGAGTGACATTTAGAGAATGAAAGGATGCACCATTAGGAATTGTGGGTCTGTACACAAATGAATACAAATGCAAACACGAAATGCCTTGGTCATCTCCAGTTTCCTTTCTGAGTCTATGGTTTATGGGAGAAAGCTTCACTGGTCACAGAAACCATTTTGGAAGGATCATTACCAATTGCATAAAAGTTTGACAGTCAAAACATATTAGGTGATTGTTGGCCATAACTTACCGAAAATATGAAAGTAAGTGAAGCAAGACTGAGACTAGGGGATTACTCTGAGACTCTGAACACCAACAATTTAGTTGAATCCAGTAATTTACTGTTGCAAACTTAGCATGGCTCTCTGAAGCACTTTAAACTCTGCTGCTTGCAGGAGTGGTCAGTTGGTGGGTGAAACGGTTTTTTGTCGTTGTTGTTGTTTTATTTTCTAACAGGTTTAGATTGTTTTTTTTTCCCTGGCAATGAGGTTCTAATACTGCTTCTTTTCAACTCTCGAAGCCCTACTCTTCTGCCCAGCTTGAGGTGTCAGGAAATGATATGGAAAATAATATTATTTTTACTCTAGGATTGTGCCCAAAAATCAGGTAGAATGACTGGCTTTGTTTTCTCAAGGGCCTGGAATCACTGCCATAGGAATGAAAAAAGGATGAACTGGAGAGAGTTAAGACATCTATCTCTTCAGCAGGGCACCTGTAAAATACCTAAATGGACATAATTTACACTCCAGGATTTCTCAGCCTGATTTAATTTCTTGTGCTCTAAATGACAGGCTTATTGTGATATATTGGATATAATCTCTGTGGAAGGTAAAATTACAAGATTGTAATTGGGAGGACATGAATTACAATTTCTGTAATAATGGGCAATCAGAAGATGTGACATCTTCAGTCAGTGCTGCTGATTCCTGGACGAAGGCCCTGCCCGTGTCTTTGCAAAGCCTCACATATGGTGTTTGAAGTATACTGACAGAAGAAAAAAAAGAATAATTATGAGTGGTATTGATGCTGGTGCTGTGTTTAACACTGATACAAAATCCTCTGAAAAAAATATAAAAGGGCATAATTTAAAGTTCCTTTAGTATCACAAAAACAGCATGGAGGAATAAATGAATCTGAGCATTCAAACCCAAAGGAAAATAGCTATCTCAGCCATTTGTCAGGAAATTGAATGACTTCTGTAATCTTTCTTTGATCTGTTGATTGAGGGTTTTAAGTAATGAAGTAATCACTTGAAAGTGGTAGGATTCCCCTAGATGCACACAGAAATGCTGCTCACAGTGTCCTAGACAAAACATAGAATCTAGTGGTGGGGAAATGTTTTCCAAGACCATTAAACTTGTCCCTTATAATGTGGTGCAGCACCTAAGCACTAATTAGCTGTGAGATCTTGGACCATTTACTTAGCCTTAATCTTCAAATGCAAAATAAGAGGTTTGAGAAAAAAGATCTTATATACTCTTATGATGATTCAATTATGAGATCCCAGGGTAGTTATACCTGACTTCCTCTGGAGTGGAAGGGCAAGCAAATGAGCTGATATTTGTTATTACATTTCTTTTTTTTTTTTTTTTGAGATGGAGTCTCGCCTATTGCCCAGGCTGGAACGCAGTGGTGCCATCTCGGCTCACTGCAGCCTCTGCCTCCCAATTTCCAGCAATTCTCCTGCCTCAGCCTCCCTGGTAGCTGGGATTAAAGACACGTGCCACCATGCCCAGCTAATTTTTGTGTTTTTAGTAGACACAGGGTTTCTCATGTTGGCCAGGCTGGTCTCAAACTCCTGACCTCAGGTGATCTGCCTGCCTCGGCCTCCCAAAGTGCTAGGATTACAGACGGGAGCCACTGCGCCTGCCCCTACCTATTATCACATTTCTAATTTTGATTATTATATGCTATATTTTTGGTTGGCAATGTGATTGACAATTTTAATACCTTGGTTTCTTCAAGAGCTAAAAAATAATTCTTCCTAGAAAGTTATATTATTGTCAGTTTCAAATAAAACATAAAAAGCATGCCAAGTATTACTTTAATAAACTTTTCCCAAGCCACTTGTTCCTGCTCTTCTTCTTCCTCCTTCTCTTAGTCATTTCTTTCGTTCATATCACTCATTAACTTGCTTGAATTGTCTACTCACAATTCAATGCTCATAAAAGAAATAAGTGACTTTTACATAACCAAAGATGCTAGATTCTAATGCCTATGTGACTAAGCTTTAGACCACATTATACCAACACCAAAGGCACTCAACTCTACAATGACCTACACAGCCTTTGAGGTATGTCCTAAACTTAGACATCCATTCATTGTAGGTACTCTATGCTGTACTATAATTATTTGCCCGACTAGACGGTTTTTCTTGAAGAACTTGGATACAAAGAATAGAGAGACTCAGACGACATGGCCGCACAGAAGAAAAGTCATGAAAGGTTTTCAGTAAACAAGAGCCATAATACAGGAATAACTGCTAAAACAGAAGCCGGTTAGCTCAAGTCTCAGTCAATAGTAGAAAGAGAAGTAGAAGAAGAATTATAGAGAGAGATTGAAACTGAGTTGGGGGAATAATTTACTGCCAGAATTGTTGTTGGGCATCTAGAGTAGCTTGAATTCTTATTGAGTTCCAGTTCTCCATGAGATCTGATTATGTGCATGCTGAGGCCTTTTTCAATGTTTCCTGGTTCTTCTGTGTGAATCCTGATCAAAACTAACATTATCTGAAGAAAAAAAAAAAAACTTGTTTACCTTTTTGTTCTTTGTCAACTGAAAGAGCCTAATATAAGGAAGTATCAGTAAAATTAACCTGTTTTTTCTGGTTCAAAATGGGCTTATTCCTGAATATGCAAAAGCGTTTCAGTAAGGGTAGGCAGAAGGGAATTACAGTAAAGCCTAGACACGTTAACCTATTTTGTTTTATATTTCAGGTTTTAGTAAAGGGATAAATAGTCAAGGAATCTGAACCTAAAAGTTTACATGAGGTGAGTATCTACAAGCTGCATGTGTCCATATTATCTCTGTTCATGATTTGCAGGGATAGTCAAGGTTGAGGTGTAATAAGATTATTTTGTATATAGAATTTGGTTAATGTTATTATTACTTTCATGAATCCCTGGTATCAGCAGTGTAGTTTATCATTCCCTACCAGAGAATGGTATAAATTAGACTGCAGAATGCTTATTCTGTCTGTTAGTCATTGAAGTATTTATCAGTGTGCTAATTAGAGTCCTGTCTATGAGGCTGAAAGAGCTCAGGGCCAATTTCTCACATAGCTCCTGTTGGTGGGCATAGTTTCCAAAGAAGCATGGTTACATCTGGTGTGCAGGTTGTAGCTCAGCATTGATATTTTATTCATTTTATAGCTAGCAGCAGGTTTTCAGGCAATATCTGTCTGAAATAGTGGATTCAGTAGAAACAGCAATGTAGCTATGATATCCTCTGTTCTATCAAGTGGAAAACTTTAAAGGAAAACCTACGTGATTTGAATATCCTTGTAAATCGTGTTTAATGCACCTTTAAATTAAAGGAGAAGAGTCAATCACAGAAATAGCACTTAATACAAATCTCTTCCCGGTCTGATGCAAAGTAAGCCTCATATGATGTCATGAGAATGAAGCCATAATTGTAGGGCCATTTCAGGAAACAAGGAGACCAGAATAATATTTTGATCCATGGAAAAAAGGGCGGTGCTTTCTCCACTTTGATTTAGTTTGTCAGTCAGGCAATAGAACATTTACAAACTTACTTGTTTTCCTCAGCATAATTGTGAATTTGAGAGTGAACATACTTTCTTTTTTTCAGTCCATCTATTCTTATGTTTAAATTGGGATCCAAAACAGGAGATACTAAGATCATGCATTCCTCACAGTAAAAACTGACTAATTTTCATTGTTCATAGGTCCAGTTGAGATTCAACTTTAGCTGCTGACCAATTTCATTCATTTAGAAAAACAGGTGCCTCTAGCTGGATTTAAACATCTTTAAAAGGACAGTGCTATTTATCCAAATTATTACTCTATCAAAGGTATGGCAAGTTTATAACAGTTTCTTGTCCACAGCCATCAACACTGTGGCCCCTAAATGACCCACCCAACTATATCATCGACACAGTTCACAGCAGTGTCCTGTGACTTACATGAAGGATGAAAAAACATTTGAAAAGCCTGAAGTAGTCCTCAAAATGTTACCTGTTTGATAGACATAGTAGACATTCATAAACCTGCATATTTCTGGCGTTGGAAGCCAAGAAAATATTTTACAACTCTGACCTTCTATTTTCAACATCTCACCTGGAAAAGCAGGTTAGGTCTAGAGAGAACCATAAAATATTGGGGTAAAGTTAGGATGCAGAAAATGAGAAGAATGTTCATTGATAAAGTTTTATTTTGTTCTGTGATGACTTTTCTCCTTACTCTGAATATTAAACTGGCCAGGTCAGGTTAGTACAGGTTGCCATCAAATGACAAAAAGAGGGAAAAAAAAAGTCAGTGAGTTATGTATGCACTTTGTTGCAGTTGCTGAATGACAATGGGGATTTGTTATGGGACTTTGTGAAACATTTCAGATGTTGGTCCACAGTGACGCTTTTGGCCTGGGGAGAAACTTTGTTTCTCCCTCCATCTTTTATCCATGACCTTCACCTAACACTTCTATCCTACTGAATTCTGGTTAAAATAAATATCAAAGGAATATACAGCTTAAGAGAAATACATTTAAAAAAAGAGAAGGAGGCATCAAAGCCAATCTCTATCCCCTATGGGTTTGGGGATTTTTTTTTTAAATCCAGCTGTTGCTCTATTTTTTATTCCTGTATTTTTTTAACTGCAGCTTAGTATTAGTAAATACATCTATAGAGAAAAAGACAATATTTCCTCTCATGAATTAGCACCTATCTTGCGAAAGATGCTCTACTCAGCATTGTAGAGAACACGGCAACCTGATTCTTGCCCAGGCCTCTCAGATTATGTTGTGAATGAAAAACTAAGGTAGAAGGATGAATGTGAATATATTCTAAAAAATGGAAAACAGGCGAGGGAGAGATTGATTCCCACCAAAGAGATCTGAGAAAGCGAAATTAAAGAAAATTTAAAGGTGGAATTTGTGATTCTAGCATTTTGGGAGGCTGAGGCAGGTGGATCAATTGAGCCCAGGAGTTGGAGACCAGCCTGGGCAACATGGAAAAACCTTATCTCTACAAATATAATATATAAAACAAGCTGAGCATGGTGGCACATACCTGTAGTCCCTGCCAGTCAGGAGGCTGAGGTGGGAGAATAACTGTAGCCCAGGAAGTCGAGGCTGTAGTGAGACATGATCATGCCACTGGACTCCAGCCTAGGTGACAGAGTAAGACCCTGTCTCAAACATAAATAAATAGAAATAAAGGTGGAATTTGGGGGATAGAAATAGTGGAATAGAGAAACCTTTTGGTAGAGAGAGGGGACATATGAAAAACTCCTCAATTAATATTTGTCCAATTAACTAAAGAGTTGACTAGTTATATAAGTCAAGAAAAATTAGAACAAATTCAAGGAATGGCATCTTTTTGCACGCTGGAGAATAAGATGCTGGAGAGATTTGAGGAAAATATTAGAAGATGAGGTAATAACAAAAAACAATGGCCACGTTCAATAGAACATTATCCACTGTGCTGATCCCGGTGGCCATAGAAGTGTTTTGAGTAAAGTTGTAATCTGAAAATATAGGCTTTAAAGGGTACCTCTGCCAGCACCATTAAGAATGGATTAGGATGTGTAATGACTGGTAGGTAGAATACCAGTTAATTAGTTACTATCGTTCTGGTAAGTTTCAATAAAATGTTTAAAATTCTATGGTGTGTTGTAATTTACAAAGTGCTCACACAAAGCAAAATTCAAAGTTTTCTCATTTGAATAGTACCTGATTTAGGGGAGAAGGGTGGGACTGAAAAGAAAGCACAGATGTGAGAGATATTGTAGAGGCTGAATTGAAGTATCTGTCTGCTGTTTAAACGTGGACAATACAAGAGCAATCAAAAGATTTCAGTCTTAGCTGAGAGCTACTTATCATCGTCACCACCAACAATATATTGAGGACATTCTGAGTGTTAGGCCCCGTTCTGAGATGATCGCCTTTAATTCTCACAACTGCATGTAGTCACTCCCATCTTAGAGATGAGGAAACTGGGCATTAAAAAAATATGAGGAAATCTGTTCAAAATCATATTACTGGTAAGTGACAGAATCAAGATTTGTTTGAATTTGAAACTTTCAACCACTTTAACATTTAGTGCCTTCTGTAATACTGGTTAGTGATGGGTATAGAAACAATCTCTTTGTTTATATCTTCCTGATTTTGTGCAAGAAATATAGGTCTTACAAAAAAATTTTAATTTGACTTTTTAAGTTATTCATTATTTGATTCAAGATAGACAGTACTTTATTTTAAATTATTATCCAGAAGCCTGTCATATTTGATTATAATGGCAACAGATCCCACTTAAAGAAATTGGCAATCTCTTACCACACTAGATTTTAAACATGATGGTGTGCAAATAATGGGAAGCTTTTCTGCCAAGGTGCTGCAGCATCATGATAGAGTCACCTTCACTCTCAGAAACTGTTATATCAAAAATCCTCAAGGCTTAAGTGACAAAATTCATTTTCCTCTTACCACCCATACACATGACAATATTTGCATTCTCAAAGTTATTGTTATGCAGTCACAAAATGTATTTCCAACATGTCTCACTTTTAGCAATCCTGTATCAACTATTGTAGTTTTCTTTTGGAGCCCAACTTAAATCTTTCAGGCCCCTGGGATCACTTAATAGGTTACTGCTTCAATGCGCTAAGTGGGCCCTTGGTGGCATGAAGCAATTAATGAGTTGTCCAGAAATGCGTGGTAATAGCTAAAATCAAGAATACAGATGAGGCTCTCAATTGCTACATCTTCTACAATGTATTTTCATGTAAGTGTAAATGTGCACTATCTGATGGTTTCTCTATGATTTCTTTCTATGCTGTGCTTGAAATCACAGTACAACTAGTACAGATTTCTTTTCCTCTATGCACTTCATTTAATTATACAATTATACACTCACTCTCCAGAGATGTTGTATTGGAAATGATCTGTGGAAAGAAATGTTTAAAGGTGCAAAGTCACACTATTATGAGAATGTAGGGTTCTTAGTTCAAATGATAGGGCCATTTAGTCACAAATATTTTTTAAAATAATAAGTATTTATTCACAAAGTAACCATTATTATGTTTCTTATCTTGTCTTTCCCTTATATGGTGCATTACTTTATTTTATTCATAAATTTGTCCTGAAGTACGGGAGAAAATACAACGACAGGCTGTATTAAAACTATTTCTTTCCAGAGAAAGCACTGGCAGGGGAAAAATCTATTTAAAGAGCATTGTCTCTTTGGTTAAGCAGGAAATGAATTTGCTACAAAGAGCTGTGGAACCCTGCTCTGATAGAATTGAAGGTAATTAAAATCTAATGGTAGAATCTAACCATTTAAATTGCAATTTAAATTGGTCAAATAGGATTGAAATCAGAATATTTGACAACCTTAAAATGGGACTATACGAGATTCACTGCTTGCATATGAAATATTTTGCTTACTCTGGATGGAAATTAACATTGCATGGATGAAACGAAATAGTTTTTACATTTATATGACTTTTCATTAGTATAAAAAGAGAGTTGTGAGCATTTTTATTTTACAATATATCATGACAAAGAACAATTGGCAGTAAATTAAAAGCTTTCAATAACAAACGAAAGATGATTAAGTATTTGTTGGTTATGAAATCTTATTATTTTAGCACGTATACTTTATAAATCTGAAGATGAGAATTTTATATTATCAAATTACATTTATTGCTGGTTTAACTCAAGGCTGCACGGTTAGGCCTAACAGTTTTTCTCTCCCCAAGTGTGGAAAACTTAAAGTTGCAATGAGTATGTTTCCACATGTAACTTTACTATTTTTATTAAAATGTTAATATATTAAAGTGGTTTGACACATGAAGTCAAGGTAAAGCTAATTTTACGTCTTACAGGAATTGATAAAACACAACAATAAAGACTAATGGAAGTTTAGAGAGATTATGATTTGCCAAAATGAATAGTTCTTCCAAGTTTTTGCTCAACACTTTTTTTTTTAATTATTTTAACTTTAGGGTTACATGTGCAGGTTTGTTTCATAGGTAAACTTGTGTCATGGAGTCTTGTAGTACAGATTATTTCATTACTCAGGTATTAATCCTCGTACCCATTTGCTATTTTTCCTGATCCTCTCCCTCCTCCCACCCTCCCACCCTCCACAGTCCAATAGGCCCCACGATGTGTTGCTCCCCTCTATGTGTTCATGTGTTCTCATTATTTAGCTCTCACTTTTCTAGTATACCACTAATTCTTACTATTTTGCACATTATATAAGGCCCTGGGTACAACTACTCTTAATACCACACCAAACACCAGATATCCAGTGTTTTTGAGGATATGATCCACTGCATCTACATCTCTCAGACTCCGTCTTATATCAGAGGACCACGGAGAATGATTTCAGGTCTTATTGGCCACATAAAACCTACATCTCTGAATAGGGCTAGGAATTGAAATACACTGATAGAAGAATGGCTAGCTAAAGTGCTAACAATAAAAGACAGATGTAGGTAAAGTCAATTTTATTTTATGTTTCAATACCTTTATTCTTCATTAAAATTGTTTTCTAATTAAGGATTTGGGGAGGGGGGTTGTAATACATTTATACAAACAATTCTCTCATACATCCCCCAAACACACATACAGGCACATTTTTTTTTTATTATACTTTAAGTTTTAGGGTACATGTGCACATTGTGCAGGTTAGTTACATATGTATACATGTGCCATGCTGGTGCGCTGCACCCACTAACTCGTCATCTAGCATTAGGTATATCTCCCAATGCTATCCCTCCCCCCTCCCCCCACCCCACCACAGTCCCCAGAGTGTGATATTCCCCTTCCTGTGTCCATGTGATCTCATTGTTCAATTCCCACCTATGAGTGAGAATATGCAGTGTTTGGTTTTTTGTTCTTGTGATAGTTTACTGAGAATGATGATTTCCAGTTTCATCCATGTCCCTACAAAGGACATGAACTCATCCTTTTTTATGGCTGCATAGTATTCCATGGTGTATAGGTGCCACTTTTTCTTAATCCAGTCTATCATTGTTGGACATTTGGGTTGGTTCCAAGTCTTTGTTATTGTGGATAGTGCCACAATAAACATACATGTGCATGTGTCTTTATAGCAGCATGATTTATAATCCTTTGGGTATATACCCAGTAATGGGATGGCTGGGTCAAATGGTATTTCTAGTTCTAGAACCCTGAGGAATCGCCACACTGACTTCCACAATGGTTGAACTAGTTTACAGTCCCACCAACAGTGTAAAAGTGTTCCTATTTCTCCACATCCTCTCCAGCACCTGTTGTTTCCTGACTTTTTAATGATTGCCATTCTAACTGGTGTGAGATGATATCTCATAGTGGTTTTGATTTGCATTTCTCTGATGGCCAGTGATGATGAGCATTTTTTCATGTGTTTTTTGGCTGCATAAATGTCTTCTTTTGAGAAGTGTCTGTTCATGTCCTTCGCCCACTTTTTGATGGGGTTGTTTGTTTTTTTCTTGTAAATTTGTTTGAGTTCATTGTAGATTCTGGATATTAGCCCTTTGTCAGATGAGTAGGTTGCGACGGAGTCTCGCTCTGTCGCCCAGGCTGGAGTGCAGCGGCGCAATCTCGGCTCACTGCAAGCTCTGCCTCCGGGGTTCACGCCATTCTCTCACCTCAGCCTCCCGAGTAGCTGGGACTACAGGCGCATACAGGCACATTTTAAGAACTTTAGTTTAGTTTACTGAGAATTTTGTATCTCAAGGAAATGTGTGCTTAACTCATAGTAAAAGACTCCACCACTATATAAAGTAACCACGTAATTTTAAGTGAAATCATTATTTCAAAAGGGAAACATAGGGAGGAAATAAAGTTCTAACAGCAAGAAGAAAACCTGGTTCTCCATCCATTAGCTTCATTGAAATTATAGACAAGCAGATGTTCATGAAAGACACAATATATTTATGTATTTTCCCATAGAAACAATGTTAAAATTGAGAGTTCTGTTCTTGACAGGAGATTTGGCATAAAAGTAAGCCTAGCTTAGGCCAACGATGTCATAAAAAAACCATAAAATTCTTCCATACGTTTAATAGTAAAATTGTGCTCACAGCCCAATAAAATGAGTATAAATATCCCATACACATTGATTATACAAGAGGGCACTCTATGCTATAAAGAATACATGCTTCACATAAATAAAATTATACTATACTATAAATTAAAACTACTTAAAATTAATATGCTAGCTATAATACAGATTGAATATTTAATTAACAATATTTTTGCTTGCCTTCTTAGAAATGTTATGATTTGAACGGCTAGGGTATCTTAAGTTGCTGTCTAAGGAAGATTGAAATGACTTCTTTTCTTTGAAAGGTTCCCTGTCTTAACCCACACAATCCAGACTGCAAGAGATGGTGAGACTGCTCAGCAGACTATATCATAAGAGAAGTAAGCTGAGAATAATCATGGATAAGAAGACACAGGCACTGGACCCTCTGGCATTGGCCAACAACCTAAAATTCAAAATCAGACCTCAGACAGATTTAGACATGATTTGGGCTAGTGTAAAATTCCAAAAGGGGGAAGTGCTGGAAGAGACACAAAAAAGAAATCCTGCAACATTAGTGATACTTTTGGTCAGGAAGCACTGCAGCTCATGACTCCCTATATAGCAGGAAATACAGTTGGGGAGCAACTGACAGAGGCAGGGAAAAGGGCTATGGAGTTTATCTGAAAAGTGAATAAGTCAAATATTAGAGCTAAGTCTAGTCTTGAGAGGTGACAATAACAGAAAAGGGTGCTACTTGATAGATATACAGATGTCCAGAGATCTAATGACAATGGATCTTAGAGGCAACAAGACAAACTTAAGACCCTATCATCAACCCTGATGGAAGAAGGGTCTCTAACACACAGTCAGGTTTGTCTTCATTGGCTCCAAAATTGGATCTTCAGTAATCTGCAGTTAGTGGCCTGGAGTAGGCATTGATCAGCACTTCCCCCAGTAGACAGAAGCTCAGATGTCATCCAGTGACCCTCACTTGATGCTCAAAAATTGAGTTCTCATTTTCAGAACAAGAATGTTATTTTATTTTAGTCCATTCAGACGTCTATAATAAAAATGTCATAAACTGGGTGGCTTATAAACAACAGAAATTTATTTTCACAGTTCTGCAGGCTAGAAAGTCCAAGAACAAGGCACCTGCAGATTCAGTGTCTGGTGAGGTCCCATTTCCTTATAGACCATGCCTTCTGGCTGTCTCTTCACTTGGTGGAAGGGGCAAAAAGCTCCCTTAAGCCTCTTTTATAAAGACGCTAATCCCATTCATGAGGGCTTTGCCCTAATGACCCCATCACCTCCTAAAAGCCCTACCTCTTAATACTATCACTTTGGAGATTAGGTTTCAACATATAAACTTGAGGGAGGGAGACACAAACATTCAGATCATGGAAATCTTGGTGGCATATAAATGCTCGTTCCAAAAAATAAACTTAGTAATATAGAACATATTTACAGCAGTAAATCATTTGCTTTTCCCCCTCATCTCATTCTACCAAGACCACCAAGGCTGCCAAAAAATGCAAATAAGTTGTCTGCTTACGTTATTGATTGTTTATTTTGCTGTTCATAAGTATGTTTATTGGAGCACTATTTACAATAGCAAAGTCATGGTGTCAACAATGTGTCCACTGGAGAAAGAAAATGTGGTGCATATACACCATGGAACACTATGCAGCTGTAAAAAAGAATAAAACTGTGTCATGTGCATCAAAATAGTTGGAACTGGAAGAAATTACCCTAAAGAAGTAAGTCAAAAACAGATACTCAAATACAGCATGTTCTCACTTATAAGTGAGAGTTAAACAATGGGTACATATGGACATAAAGATGGAAATTATAGACACTGAGGACTTCAAAAGGAGGGAAGCTAGAATGGGAATGAGGGTTGAAAAATTGCCTGTTGGGTACAGTGTTTATTATTTTGGTAATGGGTTCACTAGAAGCCCAAACTCCAGCATTAGGAAATATAGCCATGTAACAAATCTTCACATGTATACCATGAATCTGAAATAAAACAACAAAATAAAATAGAAAATGCAAATAGCAAACTGAGGAATCTGATTTGAAATGAGCCGCTTTAGCTATCTTTCTCTGCCTTCATGTTGTATAATCTGGGGAGGTGTTGATGGTTCAATTATCTGCACATGGCCTTGGAGCTTTTTATTTCAGTTTTTGGAGTCACATTCATTACCTCATTTTATTCACAATGATCTAACATAGATACCAAGATAATTATTATTATCCCCATTTTACAGATTAGGAAACTAACTTGAAGAAGTACAAAGTAATAAATGCAAATCTGTGCTTCAATAGTACTAGGTAAAGGGTCTGTCTGTGCTCAAGTCCTCTTGCAGCCCACCATGCCTGAGCCCCCAGAGGTGGGCTCCCGCGCTGCCCAAGCCTCCCCAACAGATGCCGCCCCCTGCTCCATGGCACCCAGTCCCATCGACCGCCCAAAGGCTGAGGAGTGCAGGCACCCAGCGTGGAACTGGCAGGCAGCTCCGCCCATGGCCCTGGCTCAGGATCCACTAGGTGAAGCCAGCTGGGCTCCTGAGTTGGGTGGGGACTTGGAGAACATTTATGTCTAGCCAGAAGATTGTATATGCACCAATCAGCACTCTGTCTAGCTCGGGGTTTGTGGATGCACCAATAAGCACCCTGTATCTAGCTAATCTGGTGGGGACTTGGAGAACCTTTATGTCTAGCTAAAGGATTGTAAATACACCAATCAGCACCCTGTTTCTAGCTCAAGGTTTGTAAACGCACCAATCAGCACCTGGTGTCTAGCTCAAGGTTTGTAAACACACCAGTCAGTGCTCTGTGTCTAGTTAATCTAGTGGGGACTTGGAGAACTTTTACTTCTAGCTAGAGGATTGTAAATACACCAATCAGGACTCTGTGTCTAGCTCAGGGATTGTAAACGCGCCAATCAGCACTCTGTCAAAAATGGACCAATCGGCTCTCTGTAAAATGGGCCAATCAGCTCTCTGTAAAATGGACCAATCAGCAGGATGTGGGTGGGGTCAGATAAGGGAATAAAAGCAGGCTGCCGGAGCCAGCAGTGGCAACTCTCTGGGGTCCCCTTCCCTGTTGTGGAAGCTTTGTTCTTTCACTCTTTGCAGTAAATATTGCTGTTGCTCACTCTTTGGGTCTGCATCACCTGCTTTTATGAGCTGTAACACTCACCTCGAAGGTCTGCAGCTTCACTCCTGAAGCCAGCAAGACCATGAACCCACCAGAAGGAAGAAACTCCGAATACGTCCCAACCTCAGAAAGAACAAACTCTGGACACACGATCTTTAAGAACTGTAACACTCACCACGAGGGTCTGCGGCTTCATTTTTGAAGTCAGTGAGACCAAGAACCCACCAATTTCAGACACACTCTCACGTGGTAGATTCTTGAAAATATTTATTTGCTAAATGAATGAAGTAATGGATGTCTTTTTTCCACTAAAGTATTATGTTTTAAGGTACAAGCAGAGTAAGGTAGAGATGTGAAGTCATACCAACTTGATGAATGAAGATGATAGTCACAGTTAACATTAATTACATGCTTACTATATGTCAGTCATTTGATAAGCATCTTATGCTAATTTATTCCTTAGAAGAACTTATGAAAGTGGGTAGTAGTATTTTTTACATTATACACATGAGGAAACCACAGGTTGT
The DNA here is from genome assembly GCF_000001405.40 of Homo sapiens. Taxonomy (NCBI): domain Eukaryota; kingdom Metazoa; phylum Chordata; class Mammalia; order Primates; family Hominidae; genus Homo; species Homo sapiens. Next base: position 102,491,275 of record NC_000003.12, on the reverse strand, counting down.
GTTTTAGAGCTGGAATACACTCAGATAGGCTGACACCACAGCCCATGCTCTTAGCTCCCACTACTCCAGGTAGAATCAAATTTAAAAGTCAGAAGTCACAGCGATGGCAAAGAGCAGCCGTTGGAATAGCAAGGGGAAGCCCGGCAAGTCGGGAGGTCTAATATCTACCATGTGCCTGGCCTTCAGCTAGCTGCTTTACATAGATTATCCCTAGTTCTCAAGTTAACCCTAAAAATTGTTATGAGAATCTTACTTCATAGATAAGGAAGCTGAAGCTTAGAGGCTAAATGACTTCCTCAAGGTCATTCAACTAACAAATGACAGAATTGTGGTTCATATCAGGTCCAATTCCACACCAGATCATGTTTTTTTCATTATATATAATAATCTGTGGAAGTAATATGCAGAGGAATTCAGGTAAGTGTATTTTTCACCAAAGAACAGTCTTTCTCAGTTTGAAAAGTTCACCCCTTTTAATGGAACATATATATTAATGCCTCCCAAGAATGAACAAGGAGCTATGAGGAAAAAACACAGTTGTAGACATTGCATGGTGTGTATACTTCTTTGTATTTGAGGATATACAAATGCTGCCACATATCTATGATGATCTCTTTTTAGCTTTCTGGAATTGACTTCAACTTTATTCTAGAACAGTGGTTCTCAAACTTTAGGATCAAGTGGAGGGCTTGTTAAACAGAAAATATGGGGTTCTACCCCCTGTTTCTGATTGAGAAGGTCTGAACTTGGTCCTGAGGAAGTGCATTTCCAGCAAGTTCCCAAGTAATACTTCTTGTACTGGTCAGGGGACAATGCTCTGAAGACTATGGTTCTAGAGTTATTACAAGTTTCCAATTTATTCCTCTTTACCCTAGACCCATATTCACCATGACACAATATTAGCTTTTAGGAATGAGCAATATGTTCTTTGAGCGAAGTGCTGAATTCCTTGACTTCAAGTATAACAAGGCCTCTAGGAGACGAAGTACTGATTTGCAGAGCTTATGCATTTCATAGTGAGTTCCACATTTTCCCTAAGCTAAAAAGCATGGATATAGATGATAACTAAAAGTTAAAAATAATAATGCATACAAATGCAGTGTGTGCATAGGTCCTATAATTTTTAGATTATTTGAGGTAACCCTGCAAAATAAACATAATATAGAAAGCTTCACCTAATCAATATTGTAGAATTTGTTGATTTTTCTGCCAATAATCAAAAAGAAATAAGACTTTGCTCATGTTTTGCAAATTTTTAAAAAATAGTTTTCATAGCTTCACAGCAAGTCTTGGATGTTTAGAGTTGTCAACATTCAGCTAGGAAAAGCTATGACTGACTGTTTCATTCTGACAGTTCCTTTGGAACAATTATTTAATGTGAGAATTATTTAAATGTGAGGGTAGAATGAATATAGCTTGGTGTGGCTTTTAAAATTTAGTCTCAACATCTTATCTTCCATTTACATTTAAAACAGCGCATTATCCTGTGCTTCCTGCCTTCCATCTAGAGTTAGCCCAGAGTTTACATATTGGGAGAAGTGATTTTGATTAAAGAGCAAAGGATAAACACATTAATGTGCTATCCTTGGCTCTGTTACTCGTTAATCCCATCTGAAGAAAAATAATGTTGTTTTTTTTTTTTTTTTTTTTTTTTTTTGAGACGGAGTCTCGCTCTGTCACCCAGGCTGGAGTGCAGTGGCGGGATCTCGGCTCACTGCAAGCTCCACCTCCCGGGTTCACTCCATTCTCCTGCCTCAGCCTCCCAAGTAGCTGGGACTACAGGCGCCCGCCACTACGCCCAGCTAATTTTTTGTATTTTTAGTAGAGACGGGGTTTCACCGTTTTAGCCGGGATGGTCTCGATCTCCTGACCTCGTGATCCGCCCGCCTCGGCCTCCCAAAGTGCTGGGATTACAGGCGTGAGCCACCGCGCCCGGCCAATGTTGATTTTAAGCTGAGAAAAAAATGTGATCCCTTTTGAACTGTAGAGTTGACATCAGAAAACCACACAGTCTTCAAAGCACTATTTTAAATCCCCTGGGTATGTATAAAATTACTTTTACTGGTTGCCATTTTGAGGAAAAACCCTGACATGAATAGAGTCAATGAAGGAAAGCTGCTGTAGCCTTTCTCCCGACATGCAGGAATTACAGTTATATTACAATGCAGTTATATTATAGACATTTTCATAATGGAGTCATGGCCACCCATTCTAAGATATTTAATAGGTAATGAAGGAAACATCTGAGAGTCGACAAAGCAATTATCACTGTTCTCATGGGGAGATGGGGTAAGGTGGAAATGCATAAAAAAGAGTTCGTCATTTACTTCCAAAAAATGGGTAGTGTTCAACTGAAGGGGACAATCTGAAGAGTTGCTGTATCTTTTCCACATGCCATTTCTCTCAAAAATCGTCAGGCAGTGGTGTTGTACTCATTCTGGAAATTGCCTTTATGTACAAATAGCATTCATTACATGCAGCTTTTCTCAGCTCTAAAGGGCAAGGGGAAAACAAATTATTTGTAAAATAAAAAACAATAACACTGGCATGGATTTTTTTTCTGGATGAGTGAGAAAATGCCTGGATGTTGTTTTCAAACATTCTAGCCATCAGCTCCAGAAAGCATGGACAAACATAATTTTCATTGTTGACATAATGAAGATGATGCTGCTTTTCAACCATTTCCCAAAGCATAAACTCATTTTCTGTGTGAGCTTGGCAGTGTGACCATAACAAATGCTAGTGATGTGGGAAAAACAAATGCACAAATGAAAAACAATGAGTCAGATAGCTCATTCATTGCTGTCAGTAGGAGCCACAGCTCCCCAAATCTGCTTAATATGCTGCTATTGTATAATCTGAAGCTTGTTGCAGAACATTTTCACATTGAGTAAAATGTTAGAACTGGTTAGGAATAAACAAAGCCATTGTGTTTTCACTATATCTCAAAAGAGATTTGGAAATTTATTTTCTTGCTGTATGTGCTCATTAGATTAGGTAAAAATAATTTTTTTCAGTAGGCAAAACTAAATGAAGTTGAAAATTGATGTAATTATCTCAACAGTATAGATAAAACACTTTATTCTGCTTATCAATTATCAGACAACTAAAACTGTTCTGATTTAAATTACCTAAATATTTTCTCATAAAAAGATAGCATTATAGATAGTATCATAAGAGGACTAGTATTAAAACCAATTCTTTTTCCTTACTGTTCATAGTCTATATTTTTATCAACTTCCTTCCTGTCTTTTTTCTGTGTGTACTCATATTATATATATAGTTGTTTAAGAAACAAAAGGGGTTTAATTGACTCACAGTTCCACAAGGCTGGGGATGCCTCAAGAAACTTACAATCATGGAGGAAGGTGAAGGAGAAGCAAACACTTTCTTCACAAGGTGGCAGGAGAGAGAGAGAGAGAGAAAGGGGAACTGCCAAACACTTTAAAAACCAGCAGCTCTCATGAGAACTCACTCACCATCATGACAACAGCATAGGGAAACTGTCCCCATGATCCAATCACCACCAGGTCCCTCCCTCAATACCTGGGGATTACAATTCCAGATGAAATTCGGGTGGGGATACAAAGCCAAGCCATAACATACTGCCACTGGCCCCTCCCAAATCTCATGTCCTTCTCACATTTCAAAACCAATCATGCCTTCCCAACAGTCCTCCAAAGTCTTAACTTATTCTAGTATTAACCCAAACATCCAAGTCCAAAGTCTCATCTGAGACAAGGTAAGATCCTTTCACCTATGAACCTGTAAAATCAAAAGCAAGTTAGTTACTTCCAAGACACAATGGGAGAACAGGCTTTGGATAAGTGTTCCCCTTCCAAATGGGAGAAATTGGCCAAAACAGAGGGACCACGGGACCAATGCAAGTCCAAAACCCAGCAGGGCAGTCATTAAATCTTAAAGCTCCAAAATAATCTCCTTTTACTTCATGTCTGACATCCAGGTCACACCAATGCAAGAGGTGGGCTCCCAAGGCCTTGGACATCTCTTCCCCTGTATCTCTGCAGGGTACAGCCCCCAAAACTGCTTTCACAGGCTGGCATTGAGTGTCTGTGGCTACCATTCTGAGATCTGGAGGATGGTGATGCTCCCATTCTGAGGTGCACGGTGCTACCATTCTGAGGTGCACAGTGCTACCATTATGAGGTCTGGAGGATGGTGGCCCTCCTCTCACAGCTCCACTATGGCAGCAGTCTTCTGCTTGGACATCCAGGTGTTTCCATACATTCTCTGAAATCTAGGTAGAGGTCCCCAAAACTCAACTCTTGTCTTCTGCACTCCCAAAGGCCCGACACCACATGGAAGCCACAAAGGCTTGAGGCTTTCACCCTCTGAGGCAAGGTCCGAAGATATGCCTTGTCCCATTTTAGCCACGACTGGCGCTGGAGCACCTGGGATGCAGGGCACCAAATCCCAAAACTGCACAGAGAAGCTGGGCCCTGGTCAGTGCCCAGAAGCCATTTTTCCCTCTTAGGCCTCCAGGCCTGTGATGGGAGGGGCTGCCTCGAAGTTCTCTGATATGCCCTGGAGACAGTTTCCCCATTGTCTTGGTTATTAACATTCAACTCCTGATTATTTATGCAAATTTATGCAGTCAGTTTGAATTTCTTTCCGAAAAATTGTTTTTTTTTCTACCACAGTCAGGCTGCAAATTTTCCAAACCTTTATGATCTACCTCCCTTTCAAACATAAGTTCCAATTTCAAACCACATCTTTGTGAACACATATAACTGGACACTTTCAGAATAAGCCAGGCTAGGGTAATTTATTTAAAAAAGAGGTTTAATTGACTCACAGCACTGCATGGCTGGGGAGGCCTCAGGAAACTTACAATCATGCCGGAAGGTGAAGGAGAATCAAACACCTTCTTCACGAGGAGGCTGGAGAGAGAGAGAGAGAGAGAGAGAAGGGGCAACTGCCAAATACTTTCGAAGCCATCAGCTCTCATGAGAACTCACTCACTATCATGACAACAGCCTGGGGAAACTGTCCCCATGATCCAATCACCTCCCACCAGGTCCCTCCCTCAATACCTGGGGATTACAATTCAAGATGAGATTTATGTGAGGACAGAGAACAAACCCATATCAAGTTGTTTATCCTGCTTTTTTCTTTTCATACTATAGCATAAACATTTTCTTATTTGCTAAAAGTTTTTATAACTGATTTTTCAATGTCTACATATTACTATATCACAGAAAAAATCCTGATCTATCTACGAATTCTGTATTTGGGAACATGTGTTATCTAATACTTTGTTATTAAAAACCATACAGCGATAAACATCCTTGTACCTGAATCAATGTGCATAACATTTTACAGCCATGAGTAAATGATGACACTATGTGAGTAACATAGGTGTAAAACAGAGCCTCTGTTGATAGCTGGGCACAAGGACACTCACAATAAAGACTGCATTTCCCAAACATCCTTGCCAGTAAGGTGACTATATCACTAAGTGCAATATGAAAATGTCCTGTGGCAGCTTCCAGGAACCTTCCTTGAACTATTAATGGTATATACCCTTTGACTCTGTGGATCTTTCTACATTTTGAACCATAACACAAGGGCTACAGGCCGGAGATGGTAGAGCAATGAGCCTAAAGGAACATTTGTCACTGAGGGCTTCATGGGGCAGAAATGCATGTCTGCCTGAGACATTTACATGGAACTTCTATTTTATTTAAGTTATTGCTACTTTGCATCTCTTTTACTTGCAATGGACTATAATTCTAACCAATACAAAAATGCGTACTTTAAAATGACATGAAACTAACAATCAAGTAATCTAACACAAATTAATGTTATCTATAATAATTAAAATTTTACTAAACAGCTAAGTCAAGTTGTTATTAGTTTACTCAGCTGTCTATTAATGGTACAATATCTATAAAACTCTATTAATGCTAACGAATTTCCCTGTAATCAATGTTCAGCTCTTCAACTTTTATCTCTCACTCACACACACTAACCCACACCTATTAATATACAAGGAACTTTGATCAACTCTGTAAACTAGAGTTCTTTATTCCCTCCATTTCTCTCACGTCCCAAGTGGTGAATGAGAACTTAGTCAAGGGAAACAATTAAAACATTAAAAGAACGATGACTCCAAAATGTTAACTAACTAATTAATAAAACTTGGAAGGCATATTACACCTCCAATATATTCAAATAAAATATGACTCAAATTTTTCTAAGTAAATTAGGAAAATATCATCTACTTTGTGAGGTTATTACAATACGTACTAGATATAAAAAGTATCTACCTATGGTAAGTATTCCCTTCTTCTTAGTTTTCCCCTATTACATATAGATTAAAATATCACTTATATAATAGGAAAAGCTAGATGATTCAATTATAATTCATAATTTTTCTTAAAAAATCTAATTTGCAAAAAAATTATGAGATCAAATTAAACTGTATGTAGTTTTTGCCTTTTGTCTTTGCCTTAGAATAAAAAGATTTAATGTAAATTTTAAAATTCAGATTTCTTTTAAGAGTGGAACATAATTTTTTAAAAGCTGTTGAAATATATAATTCTCTAGTAGATAAGTACTTAGATTTCAATTACACTAAGGAGATTTTATTGCCCTGAGGCTTCTGAAAAATGTGATATTGTTACTAATCCCCTAAGATAAGGCTTTTAAGAGAAATTCGGTGTAATTTATTTACAGTTCCTTTATCTCTCAAGGAGGTCAGGAAATTCGGAACTTTAATGTAACCATAACTGTTCTTTGACAATCTGTGGGAAAGGCAATGTCAGTTTTAACAACTTGTAAAATTTATCTTACAAACTGAAAAAAATGGGTGATTTGTAAGTGACTACCTCTAGATAAACGTATATAAAGACAACCAGCCTTTTAGTATTTGCCCATGTCCTATCAACCTGAAGAGATTAAAATGAGGGAACAAGAGTCACCATTATGTAGGCATCAAATAAAACATTACACACTGAGTCAAGCACTCACCAGCATCACTACTGGGCACCTAATGGCCCAGTCTGTTACTTCCCAACTTTGTTGCTTCATCTGTTCCCTCAGCAAATGTGGGCTGAGAAGTCCGACCCTGGCCATATGTGCTTGCCCTCTATTCCAACATTGCTTTCCCCATTAGAAGAGACAGATGGCTAATCTTAGTACCTTAAGTGACCCAAGTGCATGGACTGTTTCCCTATGGAACTCCTCATCCCTGTCAACATCACTTGGCTTGGGATGGGTGCTAAGGGACAACATTTGCAGCATGTAACTCATCCTCATTGGCTCATGGTATATTAATACCCACCTCTGAAAGCAAATTTTAAAACATAAGGTAAGTTTGATGAAAAACATAATAACAATCAACATATATGTATTTGCCAAATGCATCCACAAATATCATCACATTTATGACTCATGTAAGAGCTGGCAAAAATCAATGTCCTCTGATCGCTGTCATTCACCTACTTCTGCCAGGCAGAGTTTGACTTTCAGAACTAGCCCTGGGCTAATAACACTTCCAGAAGTTCCCCATGACACAAAATACTTTCCTGAGTGACTAATACTATTTAGTAGCACTCCAAAAAGCCCTTTGGAGAAACCTTCATGTAAGAGATAAAAATAATAAAATGTGATTAAATAAAAAATTCGGGCTGGGTGCAGTGGCTCAGGCCTGTAATCCCAGCACTTTGGGAGGCCGAGATGGGTGGATTGCCTGAGTCAGGAGTTCGGGACCAGCCTAACCAACGTGGTGAAACCCCATCTCTACTAAAAATAAAAAGTTAGCTGGGCATGGTGGCACATGCCTGTAATCCTACCTATTCAGGAGGCTGAGGCATGAGAATCACTTGAACCCGGGAGGTGTAGGTTGCAGTGAGCTGAGATCATGCCACTGCATTCCAGCCTGGGTGACAGAGCAAGAATCTGTTAAAAAAAAAAAAAATTCCAAGGATGTTGCTGAGAAAAATAAAGCGTACTTTGAATGAAAGCGTTTGGCTCCAGGGCCTCGTTGTGACTTTTGGGTGCCCTGAACTGATCTGAGGGGATCCACAGCCAAAGGGTTATAATACAAACCTGACACTCTGTCAATAGTGGTAAATAAAATATAAAAACAAAAATCACTAACATTTGTATTCAACAGCAATATGTCATTAGAAAGTTTAGTTTCTAGAAAAGATTTCATTTACCATAGCTGCCAAAACCTATGATACCTGCACATAACTTTAACAAAAGTTGTATATTATGAACTTTTATAGAGAAAGTACTAGACTCAATTGAAGGTATTACAGGAAGACTTGAATAAATGGATCAATAAAACAAGATTGATGATGGAAAAATCCCTCGGTATCAAAAATGTGGCAATTTTTCCCCATTAATCTACAACTTCAATGAAATCCAACCAAAGTATTTAACATAATTTTTCTCATGATATCAGCTTTGAATAAAAGTAAGATGCAAAAAGATCCAAGGCAATTTTGAAGGCCAAAGAGGAGAGAGGAAGAGAAAAGGACTTTCTTATAAGATAGACAAAGTAATAATTATTGGAGCATAATTCAAGCCAGAAGTTATTAAGGCAGGAATGTAAAGATGTCATGAAACTGATCTGTCTCCAAATAAAGAGATTTCAGTAACATGCTGTTGACTTCAAAAATCAGCATGCAAAAGAAAACATATAGTGTGATAAGGAAGTATAAAATATGATAACATTAAAACTCTGTTGTTTGAAAAATATCCACATGTAGTAATTATTTTTTAAATGGATGGAAAGAAAGCATGCAACTTACTGACAGTGATTCCTCTGGTCACATAGTTAAAAGAATTAGAGTAGAGAGGAGGACAAAATGGACTTCAACTTACATGCAAATTTTTTTATAGATCTGAAACAATTAAAAAAATGCATATTTGTCAATCCAAGATGGTAAAACTTCTGTGGTTGTTACATTGCTGTCTGCAGTTTTCTATAAGTTTGAAAGTTTCAGGAATCAAAAAAAGAAGAAAATTATGGAAATTAGGGAAGACAAGTTTGAGGAGAATTCCTATGGGTCTGTGGAAATACCATCCTTGGGGAGTAGGCCACATGGATTTGGAAACCACTGCGATGGTAACCAGGCAAAGTTCTTTACACATCCAGCTGTGAATCCAAGGCCAAATGTGTGCACACTTCTTCAGCCTGGCATATCTTTGTAAAAATTACCATAGCTCCTACTGGTTTAATCACAATATTCATGGTAACTTTCAAAAGAGTTTCTGATCAAGTCTTAGAGGCACGAATCATCCATGTTGATGATTAATTTGTGAAATAAGAGAAACTCTCAATATATATCCATTGACAAGGTAGAAAGAATTACAGTTTTTCTTAATTTTTAAATTTTTAAAATTTTTAAATAGACACAGGGTCTCACTATGCTGCCCAGGCTGATCTTGAACTCCTGGGCTCAAGCATTCTGCCCACCTTGGCCTCCCAAAGTGCTGGGATTACAGGCATGAGCCACCATACCCAGCCTGCATTAAAGTTTTTAGTGAGCATTAGTGAATTGCCTTTGTTCCACATTGTATTTATAGAGTGAGATGAGATACCGAAGAAGCACCCATGTCTTATCTTTACAGGATTCAAAAGAAATCATTGGGTTCCATTTTCTTTACAATGAGAACCCTACATCATTTTCTGCCATCTCATTTTATCAGCCACAAAATATACATTAGCAAAACGATAGCTTTTAAATAAATGAGTTCTAATTTCCAAGTTGTAAATAATTGCTAAACACAACCATATTTCCTCTAGAGTAATTTTTCAGTTTAGCCAATTGTTCACTACTATAAAAATAAATAAATAAGTTAGAGAACTACATATAGGAGAAGAAATAGCTTCAGGACCCATATAACTTTGAGTCAGGGTTGCATGAAATTGTCAAACCACAGCTCTCCCAAGATCTTCTAGTGTTAGTTGATTAGTCAAACCAGCAGGATTATTCAGTAATGGATTTTGCTCTGGGCAATGCTAACACAGCTATGCTCCTGATGAAAACTAACCTAGAAATCGGGGCCGCATTGCCTTTGACTAAAGCTCCATGTAATGATTAGCACTGCTCGTTTTTACACTGAAAATGAAAGAGAAAATTGAAGTAATTACGTTGGCAGTTTAAGTAAAAAAGGAAATATCCAGATACTTGAGGCAAAGGGGAATTGGAGATTTAAACTAAGCAGATAACAATCTGAGTTCTCAATTTCACTTTGCCAAGAATATAAAGCATTTTATAAATGAAGATTACTGAGCAGAGATTTCTAAAGATTATGTCTAGTCCACATGAGCAGAAGTCCCCAAACGAATCCTCTTCTGGCTATCTCAGCAAAACACGGCATTCTTTTTCTCTGGGGAACACTGACTGACACCAACTCCAGCTCACTCTGATATTTGTTTTCTTTACTATCCAAGTATTTTTTAAATTTTTTTTCTAAATTATGACTTTAGATTATTTTATTTTAAATGTTTCCCCACTTGTAAATAATTGAAGAACCTCATTCCCAAAGGCAGTTGTTCTATAATCAGCTTTCTCTTTTTCTTATAAATATTAAATCAAAATAAATGTGAGCTGGCCCTCCAGCCTGTTGCAATTCTTCAAACTATTCTTCATACTATGTTCAAGACCCGTGTTCACAAAAAAGGGTCTCCCATGAACTTCTGCTCTATTCTAACTTCTGGAAGTTACTGTCTGTGAGGCTTCATAAAGTGGCCTTACATTTTCCACAGCTGACAATGTCCCTCATGAACCATCATGTCTTGTGACGCCCCCAAAGCTAATTGTCAATACTTAGGGTTCAGGGTAGTGCCCAGTTTTGTGAGATTGGATTATCTCTGGGTCAGGAAAAGGATTTTGCCTCAACACTGTGTCACTTTCCTACCAACCCTCCCCCAAGACAAAGGAGGACAGCCAGATCCTGCTGGCACTTAAGAGAGACTGTGAAATTCCGGGCAGAAGCCAAGTTCCTTGTCTTTCCAGTTTTTTTCTGTCCCTACCAAAGTTTTTAAAATTGTAAGTTCCATTTTAGTTAGAGCTCAAGCTCAAAGAAAAATGTACTTCCTTACCTTTAGCTGATATCAAGAATGTGTCTCCCAACACAGGGCTCAGTATTGAGAGGGCAGACTTCATCTACTTACAGAGATCACTGACCCCTGTTGCATTAGGCAGCTTATTTTAGACTAAATCTTTCTCAATACAGATGCTCCTCAATTTCCAATGGTGTTATGTCTCAAAAAACTTATCATAAATAAAAAAAATCACAGGTCAACAATGCATTTAATGGCCTGATAAACCCATCTTAAAGTCAAAAATTGTAAATGTAACCATCATAAGTTGGAGACCCTCTGTATTTGTGAAAGTAAGAATAGGATGTTGAGAGCAGGAAGGAGAAAATTAAAAAAAAAACAAAACAGGTAAACATTTTAAACAATTATTTTATTAAACGATCATCTTTTACATGTCATCAGACCTTACCCCTGAAGTGCAAAAAACAGTTTGAGGTATTAAAACTGAAGAAACATTTGCACATATTTTGTAAGGTTTTTCACACTATAATAACTGTAAAATTCAGTATAACTAAATACTCCATATAACTGCAGATTTATAAGAACAAAGTTGTAAAAAACAGACCTGGTTTATCTCATTATAACTCTGATTCTTCCATTTATGATGAAAGGGTGGCAAAAAATAATGTGATACTTACGTTGCTTCCCAAGTGACATGTGTCCATTATTCAATTCTATAAAATGGAGTATAGAATTGAAAAGGCCAACAGCTGAAACAGCAGCCGTTCCAAAAGCATAAAAATCAAATTGACAAAACAGCTTAAATGATATAATGTCCTATTCACAGAACTTAATCGTAGAATCAATGGCAATTCACTTAAAGTATCTGAAATAGATTTACCAGCATATTTCAATACTATCCATGTATATACAGGGTCACATTAGTAGTATGGTCAGTTAATCATGTTAACACAGATAAAGCTCAGAATAGTCACTTCAAAGTTATTTTAAAGTAACACAGGGAAGAGTAGATTGGCTTTTTATGTGATTTAAACTTTTTTTGTAAAGAAATTATCCAGAGACTTTCCAGATCCCACTTTACTTGGCAACTATACCTTGAAATAAAAAGTTGATGCAATTATATAGCTAATTATTATAATATAAACACTTCCTCCTGAAATATTCAGGCAAATTGGAGAAAAAGTGTTTTTCAACTTGAGGATTGATTTAATTATTAACTCACATTGTAGACATTTCCTTTGAAGCAATTGCTTGATGATTTGCATGCAGTATAGTAAATTAAGTCCGGACTAATGGGTCACAAATGTTGAATAGAAATTAGTGATTACAGCAATTGCTTATAGTTAACATGGCAATTCTAGTAACTTCACATGCTGGGTTTTGGTGTTGGCTATTAAATTGTTTTGTTTGTTCAGTGCATAGGTAGCTTAAACAAAGAGAATGTTGATTTTTTTTGTAAGAACATGGGCTGCTTAAAGCTTGCTTTTTTGCAAAACTGATAAAGGATCAGAAGCTTCTTGCAGTTTACTGTTAGAGGAAAATATTGTTTATTCATGGCAATTATGACACCTACAAGAAGATACCTTAAAAAGAAACCCTCTCCTGATTATTGCCTGGCATCGAAAATATGGGGGAAGGAATATCTTTTTATGTAGATTCCAACAATGTTCTGCAAACTACACTTAACCTAAGTTTCCTTTTTGTTTTAGGAAAAAGGGAATCTAAATTGTTAAAAACCCTTCTAGGAACTCTTTTCACAACTACAGCTTGTTTTCACATGTGATGATTCTTGAATTAAAAATAATCTTTGCATAGTTACCTCACTGCTGGAAGCACAGCTGCAACAGCAGCTGAACTGTTTACCTGGGAGGAGAGTTAACATGTGCTGGTGTTCTCACCTGAACCAGAAGAAGAAAACTGATCGCAGCCATTCCTATTCTAATGAATAATGATCTAGGGCCACTTAGCAGTAGCCTTGGAAGCTAACAACTATTTTCACTATCTTCTACACAAAAGGGTGCCCCAGGTTAAGAGATATGTCCCAAGAGTTTCTTTTAAAATGAATATGGTCAGACATGAAAATCGGCCAAAAACACAGGAGGTCATAGAATGAGTAGTTAAATCTCAGGTATCCAAATTGGCCAGTCCTATTAAAACACATCCTGAAGCTGGGAATATCCGGATTAAAACAAAAAGCAACATTTATTCTAGGACCACGTGTGCAAATCTAAATGCCATTAATGCTTAAGGGGGAAATGCAACACATTTCATTTTTTGTCTACTCCCACCTTTTATCTTTTAACCAACAATCAAAAGAAAACTGAAATAAAATGAAATATTACTGATCCTGTAAGCCCTAAGTCCTGAATATTTTTCACTTATTGTCAATATATTCACTGGTGGCATAAAAATACGGCTCGCCACGTACATAAGTGACAATAGCAATATAATAAACTTCTTTCACTATCATTATGCTGACAAGCTATACTGTGAAATTTATCAAACCTACAAATATTGAATGTGGACTGACATGAAATTCAGACGGAACACTGACTGCAGTCACACATAGTTTAGTCAGTGAAGCCTTCTCCAGAGAGCAGGAATCTGTTATAGTCAGTCAAAGACTGGGTTTCTTATGCCATTCAACACTAAACTTGTGGGTCCCTTCCTGTGCAGAAGGGCCAGTGAGCACAGAAGAAGAGAAAAGCTCGTAACTCCCAGAATGACCATTCCTGATATCAGTGCGCTGGTGATGGCGTTCAGCTGGAAGGGAGGCATACTTGGAGAACCTGCAAATAATAAAACACACCCGGTTGTAAAGGCCCCATATAATATTTATCTCACCTTGACCCAATTTTACCTGCAAAACATCTTTCATCAGCATCTCATAGAATAGCAGCATGGCACTGAATTGTGTTACAATCTATTTGACTGTAATTCAACCCAATACCAAAGGATTGTATGGTTTAGAGGCTGCCCATGGGCAGCCAAAATCAAAAATACCAAAAAGCTATCAAATGCTATAAAAATTGACCAATAGATCACATATGAGTTTGAAAACCCTCAGTGAACTGTTATCTAAAATGGACCAAACTTGGAAAACTCAAGCTCATTACACTTAGATGATTACAGCTTTGTAACTGATCACCAAAAATGTAAAAAACATTGCAAAATATGTTAATTATCTTACCAAGTTGCGAATTGTTGGTTGGAGTCTCATCTGAGGGGAAAAAACAGAAAAAGAGAAGTGACATCATCTCTCCAAATATTTACCTTTGTTTATTCTGATTAATAATTACATTGTACCTACATTTTTACCTGTTATCTCCTCTTACGTCCACCCATAATCTCCTTGAGTAAGGCAAAAATGAAAGTCCCCCTAAACCATTCTGCTTGTCCATGCCCTGTTTCATATGTCCTGGATTTCATCATCTTTCTATTCCCCAAGCCCACATCCTACCCCTGCCCTAGGTATACAAATGTAATAGAAAAAAATATACAGTGTGCTGTTTTCTTGCCTGACAACTTTGTTTCATCATTAGCTCTCCAGTCAGGCTGGTGGGGGCAGTAATCGTTAACAGCTATTACATTTTTTATGGCCCTATAACCTGCTATTTGTTATTCTGTTATACGGAATATTCATTATTTAGTGCCACTCTATTTTAAGTATTGCCAATTTGCCCAACGTAATCTGCAAACACATCATTTTAAGTTCCAAGAAGATAAATTTACACTTAATAACTATATGAAAGGAAAACATGACTCCTGAGCCTGAGTTGTAGTTTTATTTGCATCTGTTAAGTAAAAGATTGAAGCTGTTGATTTTTGACTTTTCCCTGCCAAACACAATAATAGATGCGATAAACATATTACTTGATTTCCCAATTTTTGTTGTCCAATTTGTCATCATGTTGCTATCAACCCTGGAGCTTGTACGAGCTCATATTTCATATTTGAAATAAGAGTAATTTCATATTTGTGTTTTAATATTTGTGTTTGTTATTTGAACCATATAATGCGTGCAATTGACTGTTTATTTCTGGAATATAAATATTATTACAATCAATATGTGTATAAAACCACATAGTTCATAAACTGCTGTTTCATATATTATCACATTTCATCCTCACAGAAGCCATATGGTTTGGATATTATTGCTACCCCCATTTTACAGATAAAGAAATTTCCATCTGTCACAGCCTTTATGACAGAGTAAACATGTGCTTAAAACAAAGCTCAGTTTCAGAGGCCTTTTTCTAAAATAATATAAACTGACCAATATGAAAAATATTTCTGGTTATGAAGATGAATATCTCAAGCTATGAATCTCTAGGATTAGTATTTTAAGCAAGTAATGGGAGAACCTGGTGAGATATTTATAAAATATCTGACACCATTTTTTTTCAGACACATGAATCTTGGCAGAAACGATGGTTCTGCTGTCTGATTCTGAAGTACAATGCTCAAAATTAATACAGCACTCATTCATAGGGTTCTTTAGAATGGTGCAATGCATCGCTATAGGACAAAAAGAAAAATAACACACATTTTTATTATACAACATTCAGAAAAATCCTAACCTCTAACCAACACTACTTTATAATAACACTTCCTTCTCATGGAAACAGGTGGGATGAATGGACTATGATCAATTCTTCCAAAATATCCATGTGCTCTTTTCCCAAGATGAGCTGCCTCACTGGAACATAGGAGGAGAATATATAATGCTAAAAATTTATTTTTGAAAGCTATTCTTTTTTTTAGAAATCACACTTAATTGCTTTAAAATATTTCAACTAAAAAATAGAAAGTTCCTTTCTAATAAGTGTTTCAAATAAGACAAGAGTGCTATGACTAGATGCCCTTTCTGCTATTTTCTGCATCCTAAGGTTAACAAAAGTCAGACTGTCCCCTGCACTCCCCGTATTACCACCAACACTTCCATAGAAACAGTATCTCAGTTGTCATTAATGAGGACTTCGCTGTGGACAAAAATCTCCGTGTGTGGGGAAAAGACACACCCTTTTCCAAATAAGACTGGAACGACAAAATCCAGGTTCCAGGACTCTGAAAAAATGAAAGCATACTACCTTTGGCAGGTGGTTGAAATCGAAACCTGTGATATTTGAATACTATTTGGAATTGTATTTGACAGTGAATAAAGGTAGAGAGAATTGCTTTATCTAGTTGCTATTTCTGGTAGCCTCCAATTTTTGTATTATTGCAAAGAAAACAAACAAACAAAAAAAATCAAAGCACTGTATAGCCTTGAAAGGGAAGGTAGACATTTTTTCAGGAGACTTTTATCCCACCACACTTTTTTATTCCTTGAACCCACTTGGTCTTGACATGTACATATATGCTAAAAGAAACACCTGAAGCCTTCTGGAATTAGAACTGATTGGAATACCAAACTTTTGGGGCTCTCCAAGAGTATATTTATCTATTTGAAAGCCTATAGGAGAAAGGTGATAGCAGCAATGCCACAGCCATTTGAAAGCCAGAAGTGGCAGACAAATTGTCATTCTCTGCTTTCTCATGTAAGTAGTTGAAATAATAATTTTAAAAATGACCACCAAAGATACATGCAGAATAATTTTTTTCTCTTAGTACTAGAAAAGTTTTTTTTTTAAAAAACTTTAATAACCTATGTAGTAAAATGGACCACACATCTCAAATTAATAAGCACCGACCTTTTTACTTTTCACAGTGTTACGTTCGTTCATAGTCTGTTTCTACCTCTGAACTCTAAGATCCCTGAGGACAAAGTCTGTGGCCTGTTCTCTACTATACTCCCAGTTCCTAGACGAGTGCCAGTCCCAAGAAGGGACAAACAAGTATGCTCAAATGAATTATTAACTACTCATAAAACTCAGCAATTCTAATCGAACAAGAATACGGCTTGGGTTTCTCCACAGGAATTTAAGTAAACAAAACAATTAGGTATTGTTTTCTGGTGTTGGTGCCTTTAGATTTCCAGAATTGTACTCTTTGATTAGCATTTCCCTATCCAAGCACTTTCAGCATTTTGAAGTTTTAAATAAGAACACTTCAGGAAATTTTTCTTGAGGGGTTGCATTATGAGGGTGTGAAGATTTTCCTAAGTCAAGTAACAAAACTATTAACTATGTTGGGTAAAAAATATCCAGAATGGATTTGATTTCATTAAAAAGCAAAACAAAACAGGAGTTCTCAGGTTTAACAACTTACTGAACTCTACCTAAGCTAGATGTCTAGGGAAAAGGAGTGGTTCAATGAGCAAATAGAGCAAAACTTCCAAGCATCAGAGAGCTTTGAAGAGAGCAAATCAAGCCTGAAATTGGATTTATCTATATAAAATTGGCCACAGGACCTGAAGAGATAAATTCTAGCTGACCTAAGGTAAAAATAAAGTGAAACTAAGGAAAAAAGGTAGTTCTGGTCATGAAGTTGAACATGAAGTTTGCACAGGATTTGCATGTGGATGGATATGGCTTGAGTTCTGAGTTCTGTGTTCATGTGGAATTTTTAAAAATATATATTTTCATGGATATCATAGTATTACAATGTAAACATCTTTATATGTATATGTTCCTTTAGGCAGTGAGACCACCATGATGATCAAAGAAGACCACGCCAAAATTGTATTTATCAAAATTATTTAAAAATAATTCGAGAGAGAATGAGAGAGGATTCAAGGGGACCCTGAAAGCATGAGTGTGCTCCTCTGGGGGCTCTGCTGGTGGAGAAACCTGAGGTGACCCTGAGAAAACTCTAGCATGTTGGGCAATAAGTGACATTCTTGAGGTGGAAACTGGTTGAAAATTGGAAAGAAATCCAGGCATGACATCAGAGGCATTGTGATAGCTCTTTGTGGTGTTAACATAGATATTTTGGGCAACTGGATGTGGGATGGATGAAACCTATAAACCTGGAGAGCTGGTTACTTATGTTAGAATTAGAGACTTCTACTTATTTATCTTTACTGGGATTTCGGGGGTCTTAGAATTTTTTTTGTATATTTAAAGATTATTTTACACTAACGATACGGTTTGCGTCCCCACCCAAATCTCATCTTGAATTATAGCTTCCATAATACCCACATGTTGTGGGAGGTAATTGAATCATGGGGATGGGTTTTTTTCCCATGCTGTTCTCATAATAGTGAATAAATCTCACAAGATCTCATGGTTTTATAAAGGGCGATTCCTCTGCACATGCCCTCTTGCCTGCCACCATTTAAGATACGACTTTGCTCTTCCTTTGCCTTCTGCCATGATTGTGAGGCCTCCCCACCCATGTGAAACTGTGAGTCCATTAAATCTCTTTTTCTTTATAAATTACACAGTCTCAGGTGTGTCTTTATTAGCAGCATGAGAATGGAGGAATACAGCTAAAAAATTATTTAAAATTTGTAATACTTAGTTTTGCATAGGCAAGAAGGAAGTAAGAAGGTAATTAAGGAGGAAAAGCCATCTACCCAAGATGAACAGAAGAAATGTCACTTTAAAAGTTCTTTTCTTATAGCAAACTGACTCTAGATATGCTCCATGGAAATAAAAATCTCTTTTATTGTGCCTACCCAAAAGCAATCCTAATTATTTGGCAACAAGAACTGAGTTTCCATTCAATGTAATTCTATGAGCCATTTCTGAAAGCTAGATAGAGATCAAAAATGGAACTTTCACAAGCTACAAACCAGTCTTTTTTTTTTTTTTTTTGAGACAGAGTCTCACTCTGTCAGCCAGGCTGGAGTGCAGTGGCACAATCTCGGTTCACTGCAACCTCTGCCTCCCTGGCTCAAGCAATTCTCCTGCCTCAGCCTCCCAAGTAGCTGTGATTACAGGCATATGCCACCACACCTGGCTAATTTCTGTATTTTTAGTAGAGACGGGTTTTCACCATGTTGGCCAGGCTGGTCTTGAACTCCTGACCTCAGGTTATCCACCCCCCTCAGCCTCCCAAAGTGCTGGGATTACAGGCGTGAGCCACCGCGCCCAGCCAAACCAGTCATTTTTAAGCCGGTCAAAGCACATACCAAAAATCTTCAGGGAGTATGGGCTAAGTTTGAAATTTCACATTTAATATATTTCTGCATTATTGAAAGGGCCTATTAGTTTGTTTTTAAATAATGTTAGGTCTACACAAACACAGGGAGGAAAGTAATTAAAGCAATTGTCTGAATTTTTTGGGCCAAAACCACTTTTTGCTGATTTGCCTATTTCAGGCAAAACTTTCTTTTGACTGTGGGATGGGCAGCATGGAGAAAAGATACCGAAAATGTAACTGAAACATAATAACAGCATTAAGGCTAATATAAAATGAAGAAAACATTATTAGCACATAGTCCAAATCAGAATTATTCTCTTTTTTGGGGGGAAATTTAGAACTACAGTGTTAGAAAAAATCTTAAAACTTTTATTTTAAAAATGAAGAAATATCTTAAAACTTTATAAACTTGTTAAAAACTTTTACTTTAAAAATGAAGAAACATTTTCCCAAAGAAATGAAATAAAGCCTCTAGTCGCATAGCATGTTAGAACAAAAGCTAAACCTAGAACCAGTTTTTCCGGCCTTAGTTTCAGAGTTTTTTATGCCACATCTCTGTTTTATCCAATGGACTCTGAAAGTCTCTGGGTTCACACTGACTTAAATCTACAAAATCTATATCCCTTTACATTGTGTGTGTGTATGTGTGTAGGTACATGTATGCACATATATTTGTATACATGAGGATATGTTTATAAAGAGTTATAAATAGTTGTGTCCATTAGATTATATGAATTCATGAGCACAAATGAATGCAGTAGATGAGAGTATGTAATATGCAGAATTCTGAAAGGAAACAAATGGTACTCAAACTGGGCCATGTACGGAGTGTTTAATAGGCTATTTATAAAGACGTGGAGAATTCACAAGAGAGAGTAGAGTTAAGGGATAAGGAGAGGGTTTTCAGAGTAGTTCTAGGGAGAGAATTGTCTGGGAGGAGCCCTGTGGACGCCACAATTTCTGTGCCCTCCCATCTGCTTACAGCACCACCTATTGGTCAAGCCCAACCAGAAACTAGAGGGCAAGGGAGCTAGAGGCTGCAGCGCACTCAAATTAGTAGTCATGGGCGACAGCAGGGCAGAGGACGGTGAAGCGGATCCACAGGGTATCCAAGCGGATACACACGTCCAGCATGAGCTGGGATCACGCCTGTAATCCCAGCACTTTGGGAGGCCAAGGTGGGTGGATTATGAGGTCAGGAGTTCGAGACCAGCCTGAGCAACATGGTGAAACCCCATCTCTACTAAAAATACAAAAATTAGCCAGGTATGGTGGCAGGCGCCTGTAATCTCAGCTACCCTGGAGGCTGAGGCAGGAGAATCTCTTGAACCCGGGAGGCGGAGGTTGCAGTGAGCCGAGATCACACCACTGCACCCCAGCCTGGACAACAGAGAGACACTCCGTCTCAAATAAATAAATAAATAAAACAGGTCCAGCATGGCCTACTCGTGTGTGCGTGTGTGTGTGTGTGTGTGTGTATGTGTGTGTGAAAACAGGAAACGTAGTAAAGACAATATTGCCCTTTGTGTGAAAGTTGAGTAAACAGGGAAACTACTGTGAAATTAAAGTTGCTTAGTAGTTTATCTTGTCTCACAATTAATTAGTGCTGTTTAGGAACCACTTTGAGTTCTCGTTAGAAGCCAAGTAACGAGGCATTTTGGAACCGTCTATTACTACATACAGAAGGAGGAGCACACTTACCACTCCGAGTAATGATGGGACCAGCAGAGAGCACCGCGCTGCCAGAAGAGCTCTGGGGGCTCCAAGTCGTCCTCCTCCCAGCATCTCTCCTTTCTCTGTGGCTGCAAATCTGAGGTGTTAATGAAAACAAATGAAATTCCACACCGGCGCAGAATTGTTTCTTTATGGCCATTTGGAAAGCAGATTCTTTTGGAAGAGATACCACATGTTTAATTTTATTCATTTCCTTCCGTGCATTTATTTAATTACTTTGCATGTAACTGCTACAGTGTTTCTTACCCTGGCTTGGGCCACATTTCTTATTTCCTCCCGCTGTAATTGTGCACTGCCTCATTAATTTACATAGCTCAATGGCTCTCTTGAAAAAGTGCTGTGTTTATCAAACTTTTCTACTTTTATTTCTCTCAAGCCTTTAATAAATCCTTCCCGGAAATGTTGGTCAGCATGGACTCAAGGTAATGTGGACTCTCCATTTACCCCCATCTGTCATAGCTTATTAGTCCAAAGGGATCAATGAGTATGAAGAAATAGCTTCCCATTTATGCATAAATTGAACATAAATATAAACATATTAATGGTATTTCAAATTAAAAAAGGGCATGCATTTTTCTCAGGTTAATAATGATGTGGCCCTAGAGAGCCGGTCAGAATAGAATTTTTTTTATTCACTACTTTAAATGGATCTTTATTTTAATGGTGGCTGTATGCAATACAGATGCACACCTTTCATTGCTTTTAACTTTTAAGCTCAGTGATTTCCCGACCATCTGGCCACAATCTACCTTTCCAGCACCAGCCCAGTCCACTCCCTGGGTTTTCCAATCATCTCTACTCTGCTCTACAACCCTACTGAAGAACTAGAAGCTCTCTGATCACACTAATTTATGTGTCTCTGTCTTTGACCATCGTTTGGCCAGCAATGTCTCTCACACTCTTGATTTTGGTTCTCTGGGGTTCAGTCCTCTTCGAAGTAACAGCTGGAGTTCATCTCTAACAATCCTCTCAACCTCTCCTGCTTCATCTCTCTCACAATGGTGAATACTGCCTGTTACTACAACCCATATATTTGTCTGCCTTTGCACCATAAGATTTTTGTCTTGATTTCTTCTGTGACTAGCTAATGATCCTAAAGAATAATCTAATTAAATTCAGAATTTGTGCACACCTCATCTCTGTATCCTCGGTATAATGCTTGGCACAAAGTAGGATATTTAGCAGATCTTTACTAGACAAATGAATAAATCCTACTTCAAACTATTTGATCTAACACATATCCACTTTCTATGCAGAACTTAGTTTCTGACATTTGATAACCTTTCAGCTTAGATCAATTCAACAACTTAAAATGAAGTTCCTTAAAAACATACCGGCATAAGGAAGGGGCAGTCATCTGCTCTGCAGAGCTTGGTAACGCAGTGCAAGAAGACAGTGGACATTTTCTGATTCTTGTGTTTCACAAATCGGAACACTTCAAAAGAAAACCGGCCCCGCTGGCTTCGGCCATTCTCAATGACGGTGGTCTGAGGGTCCTTGTCACAGCTAAATTTTAGGGAACGTGAAAACAGGACATCACTGGAAAGTACCAACCTACTGGGACTTGTAAATTAATTTCTACCGTATTAAGACTCCGCCATTACATTAAGAGCTAACAGAACCATGCCACGTTACAGATATTTAATCATAGCATAAGCTAATTCAACAGATATGACAATAAAACCTGGATCACAAAATTTAAACAGATCAGTTTCTGATTGCATTAATAGTTAGAAGAATTATACTTTCATGTAGTTCAAAAATCCAAATAATTTAAAATACATAGAAACCTGCCAGAGGTGATCTCACTTATTTTCATTCTCATTTATTTTCATTTATTTTCACATCATTCCCAGGGTATATGAAAATAGAAACAGAAGCAATGTATTCTTATTGTCCTCCCTCCTTAAACAAATGATAGCATATTGTCTACACTATGTGGTACCTCGCCTTTTAAAGATTTAGCAGTGTTAGAGATCTTTCCGTATCAATATTTAGAGAGCTTCCTCATTTTTTTCCACAGCTGTATAGTATTTCATCATGGACATGTTTCAGAGTTTATTTAATCAGTTTCCTATTTATGTACATGCATTGTTTTTGAATCTTTTGCTTTTTAAAAACTAATAATGAATAATCTTACAATATATCATGTTGAACATGTACAGGATTAACTACAGAATACATCCATATAATCATTTAATAGATATTGTCACTTTGCCCTATATAAATATTATTCAATTTTGGACTTCACAAGCAATATATGAAAACAATGCTTACTTCTCCAGAGCTACATCAGCGAAATGTATGGATCAAATTTTTTATTATTCCCTATTTGAGAGTAAAAATGAACTATCACCCTATAATTTTAACTTGTATTTTCTTATAATTAATGAGTTTGTGTATCTTCACATACCTTATAGTCATTTGCATTTCTTTATCTGAAAATGGTTTGTGTCTTTTGATCAATTCTGTTGTGTTCTTGGCCATTTTCTTTCTGATTCTTATGAGTTCTTTTATGTATTAAGAAAAGTGGTTACTGGTTGTTATATAAGTTGCAAATTGTTTCCCTTTGTTATTTGGCTTTGGACATTCCGTGTGTGTGTGTGTGTGTGTGTGTGTGTGTGTGTGTGTGTACAGTTTTATTCTTACGTAGTTAAATTTTCAATATGTTATTTTGTGGCTTCTAGTATTTACACTGAAGCCAGTTTCCTTACTCCAAAGTTTTAAAGGTATTTCTCTTGTTTTATTCTACCAGTTTTAAAGTTGTAGTTTTTACCTTTAAATTAATAATCTATTTAGGTTTTATTATGGTATATTGAGTGAAGTATAGGTCCAATACTATTTTTTATCTTACTGTTATCCATGTCCAACACTGTTTTAAAAAATCTACTTATCCCACTGATTTGTGGTACCACACTCTATCTTACACTAAATTCCCATATGTTTGGGGATCTATTTCTCAGTTTACTGTTCTGTGACTTTTGTCTATGTGTCTAGCTTTGCATAATATCACATTCCTTTAATAATTGTGACATTTTATTGATTGTGATATCTGATAGAACCATACTCTGCTCATTTCCATGTTGATTCCCGGCTTATCTTTTTGTATTTGTCATTTATCCCTTTTTTTCTTGACGTGATTAGCTTGTGATTCTCTATTAATGTATTTTTTCAAGGAACCAACTTTTTCTTAACTTCTTCCAAAACATTGGTTCATATTTTCATTTTTGATACAAGTCTTATTTATGGGTTTTACAACTTCCAAGTGGTGAGGACTTTCTGGTTTTTGATATCGTTATAAATTGCTGTCTCTCTGTATATAGCTTATTGCGTATGTCGTTTAGATTTTCTGTATCCTTACTTCCTTACTTACTTGTTGGCCACCAGAAGTAAGTTTTGTAAGAGGTAAAATTCTAATTTTTAAATTTTATTTCTATGTCTTTTTATATTTCCCCTGGTTTCCACTTAATGAAATCTTCAATTTCATCCAGGGCATCATTTCATTATATCAATGTAAGATTTTTTTTTAATTTAGGAAAGTGTTCCTGGATTATATTTTTAAACAATGTGTTCTATTATTTTGGCTTTTGGGGGGACAATTCTAATTATGCATATTATACATATATCGAATTCCCTTTCTCACCTTTTTATTTCTATCTTTCTTACTTAATCCTCTTTTTATTTTCCTTCATATTTGTTTATTTTTATTTGTATTTCTTATACTTATCTTTCATGTCCCACACTGTTTCTGCTGTGATCTGCACTCCTTTGAATGCCTTCTAATTACATGTCCCTTCCTCTCACACATTTTTTTGTATTTCTGTTTATTTTCACTTATCCCAGTTTCCTTTACACATTTCCATAGCCATGGCTTTTACTGTCCTATCCTTACTTACCTAAGTTCTCATAATTCTATCTTCATAACCATGATGCTTTTTGCTTTTTAAAAATTAATGTGGGAATGTATATATTATATATTCCATGGCAGCATTTTTCTGGTGAGTTTAATTCACCTTTAAATTTTCTTTTCTGCCATTTTCGATATTTTTCCTGTAGAATATTGGAACACTGCAAGAAATACCTGCATCTGTTTATCATTCAAGTTTGAAAGAGTTGGATTTCCCTAAACCTAAAATTTTTAGGACCCCTAAGGCAATGTGGAATGGTAAATACCTTCCTTAAGGGTTTCCCCAACTCAAGGGCTCCCTCCTCTGTTTTTCAATAACAACTTTCTTTGAATATAGCAGAACTGTGCAGCTGACTGAACTTAAAAGATATTCACAGGGTTCTACCATCAGCCCTGGGTTCCTGAGGTTTATTCACCAGCCTTGCCACCAAGGACAGAGCCCCTGCCTTCCCAGGCGATTCCTTTACCTTTAGAAGGTATACTTTTCCTGGTACTTTATGAGATCTGCCACTTCTGAGGCTCTGAGCATTCTCTACTGTTTTTTCTTCAGATTCCCCAGCCCTGGGGATAGCAGTTTCCATTCAAAGTAGTGCCCTTTCCTTCTAGGTGTGTATTTCTCCAGCTGCTTCTGGGAGCTGACTCCCTTAAGACCCCCTCAGCACCCACTTTTCTTCCTTGCCTTCCTTACCACCTCTTCTACACTGCTTTTTACAACATTTTCTCTTGATCTTAACTGTTTTCACCAACACTAGCATTTACTTTAGAATTTCTAGGTTTTCTTTTCCTCCTAGATTCACAAAAAAGGACATTTGGGAAATTTTTTTTCTTTAGTTATGCATTTCACTCTGAATGGTTTCCAATAAGAAAACTGAAAAGATTCAGAACTAAGCTGCTTCTATATTCACACTAGAAGTCTGATGATCATATTCCAGATTATCAATATATGAGGATTATAGAAGTTTGGGAAAATAAGAGAAATGTCAAAAAAAATCCATAACCCTACCAAGCATAAAAAACCACTGTGAGCCTTTTGCTGTTTCTCTTTACAGTCTTTTCTGTTATATAAATGAAGTTCATTATATACACAATTATATATTAGGTTCCTTTTCCTTGATATTTTAATACCTTTAAATGTTAAAGAATCAATTATTTTCAAAGATAGAAATACCAATAGGACAGAAAGGGAGAAGGTAGGAGAAAGCCAACCATTTTTTTCTATCTAATACATAACTTTATATGATTGTAGTGCCTGTATGGACTCTCAACTTACTGGTTGTCCATAATTCACCTAGCTATTTCCTTATTGCTGAATGTATAATTTGTTCCCATGTTTTACTATTTTAAATATCACTGATAGACCAGAATGTCATAAATATTTTAAACTATATTTCCCAATTTGTAAAGCTAGAATCAAAGAATATGAAATTTTTAAGTATTTTGATACATACTGACAATTTTTCCCAAAAATGTTGCTCAAATTAACATTTCCAGAAATAGGATATGTAAGAATAACAGTTTGACCATACCCTCTGAACATCATCTTGCCCTTGATTAGCCAATAAAGTGTATTCTTTTGGTTTCCCATTATATTACTTCCATCATGTGTCAATTAGCTGCAGTGAGCTGAGCCAATTGCAATTTATAAGCATGATTAGAAGACATTGCTTGACTCTCAAGTCTGTTCAGCTGTCAGATAAAAAATGCTGAAAAGGAACTGAGATGATTGAATGGTTTTATGATCAATGTCCTTTTTTCCCAGATATATATTACATTCACTCTATATCACTGTCTATTGGGGAAGGAGGATGAAGTTATTGGCTCTAATAAGAAAAGGAGTGGTAGGTTATATTATAGTTTTATACTAAATACTGATAAATGAACAAAAGTATTTTGGGGTCTAAATTATCCAGACCATTACTTTAATTTTACTCTCCTTTTGACATATGAGACAGTCTAGTTGCAGATAAATAGTAACCTCTATTGCATTTCTTTTCCTGCGAATAATATCCTAACTATGCGTTTCCTAAGACAGTGAAATATTCCCATATTCCTAAACATGAATAAAACATCTTTGGTGGACATAACTTACTTAGAACTCTGATTCAACAATAGCCTTATCAGCATTTTGTGTTGATAACTGCTCTCAAATTTTATACTTTCAGCTTTATAAGGACTCAAAGTTCAAAATGTAAAACTTGAAATTCAAAAGCTATAATAGTGCTTTATAATTTATCTGACTTAGATATTCCATTTCAATTATCTACAACTGGGTCATTGGTATCAATATAATACTTAGACAGCTAAGTCTTACCTAAGGAAAAGATCATATCGAATGTCATCATTTGGGTTTCCTGATGGGGTAGTATAGCAATAATCCATTAAAACATTCCATCTGAAAGAATGTAAGCAAACATAATCTAGAGTCAGAATTTCCTTTTGGATATTAGTTACTAATACAAGGGAAGTAAATATTGAGAAACTTCTTTTTCCTTCTTTCTTTCTTTTCTTTTTTTGAGACGGAGTCTTGTTCCGTTGCCCAGACTGGAGTGCAGTGGCACCACCTCGGCTCACTGCAAGCTCCGCCTCCTGGGTTCACGACATTCTCCTGCCTCAGCCTCCCGAGTAGCTGGGACTACAGGCGCCCGCCACCAAGCCCGGCTATTTTTTTTTTTTTTTTTTGTATTTTTAATAGAGACGGGGTTTCACCGGGTTAACCAGGATGGTCTCAATCTCTTGACCTCGTGATCCACCCTCCTCGGCCTCCCAAAGTGCTGGGATTACAGGCGTGAGCCACCGCGCTTGCCTGACAAACTTCTTATCTCATGGAATATAATTGTTTATTACTTGTTATTTGCGGAAGTTTATTGTTCATTAAAACTTTCTCTTATTCCATCCTGCTTATTTCACATGCATGCCTGTATCAAAACATCTCAAGTACCCCATAAATATATACACCTACTATGTACCCATACAAGTTTTTAAAAAGTAAGAACTTTCTCCTGAACTCAAAGTGTTTAAAAATCTGCACCAAATTGTCAATTTCACATTAAGGGGAGTCAAGTCTAATGCCATAAAATAATTGTGTACAAGACAACTGAATGGTCAAAGTCTGAGAAGTAAACTTTAAAATGAGCTACATAGATGCTTATATGTTCACTATAAACAATAGCTTTTTGTTTCTAGATATTACTGTCTCTAACAGAATCAGAGAATGTTATAATACCAAATACAACAAAGGAGTTTAGAGCATAAATTGTATATCAGAATCAGTGGTTTGGCGATTGTGGAGTCCACAATAGACACTGTGTTAGGGTGAAGAAAGCCATGAGGCACATACATATCCACAGCCTTCCTCCACAAGGTTAGATTTTGCTCACATTTATACATTAGTCCATTCCAACTCCGATGTTATAAAAAAAATACTAATCCATGGGAAGCGAATGCCAATGAAATGGAAAAAACTCCTGCATTATTAAAGGACAATTTTAAAGACTCATACAAGAATAGAAATATTCTTCAGGACAGGAAGGGAGAAGGTAAAGAAGAACTAAATTTATAGAGTATACCAATCTCTTCAGGATGCAAAGTTTAAATAGTAATACATAAGCAACCCAAAACAGGCCATTTTCACATTACATTTTTTTATAGGGCACGGTTAGAGCTTCAGCTTTTGAGCTCCATTTTAGTTTGATTGCTCTGAATTTTCTTAAGTATCATCTGAAATTTAATAGTTTTTTTATAGAGATGTTTCTGGAGATCATTTTATGTAATTTTGACACACTCTTATGCAGAGTCCTTTCATTCTTTAATAAATTCATATTGAAGAGTAACATACATATGGAAAAGCAAGCAAATCAAGTGTTCACAGAATGACTACATTTGGTTAATCATCTTTCTGATGAAGAGATACAACATTTCGGCATCCCAGATCTTCCCATGCCCCGTTCCAAGAACCACCCCCCTTCTTTATGGGAAGACTTGTTATTCTCCAATTAATGACAGAACATGAGTGTAACCTCTTAAACTTTGTAATCTGTTATTTCTTTTTAGTAGCATGCCTAAATGGTGTGGCAATGATAATATTTTCAAACTGAATTTAAAAATGAATGGCCCAACTTTATGACTCATGAGGATTTAGGCAGTCAAAGAGTTTTAACCTAAAAAAGACAAGAGTTTGAAATTACCTGCCATCCAAATTAGTGGCTTGGACAGCTGCAAATACTTTGGTTTTCAAAGGTAATCCTATACTGGGGATAATTAACTGCTGGTTGTAGGTTGAATCCTAATGATGAAACAATAAAAAATCTATTATTACCTCCCCAACAACAGCACACTTACTACTTAAAACAACAATATTAGAGAGAGAAAAAAGAAAGTAAATCAACATAAACCTACAGAATCAATCCAAAAAGGATTTACGTGACCCTCTGGTTTCTTGGCAGAACTGTTATTAAGCCATATCCATGTAACAAATTGATTCCATGTGTGAATCTTTTTGTTTCCATAGTTTACCATATATGGTGGCTAATGTTCACTGTATCTAAATTATATTCAGTGGTCACTAGTTAATATTCAGTTTGGTTAATATTCAATGGTCAATATTTAGTTTACTTAAATTAATGTTCCATTTATTTGATTATATTAGAGACTAATATTGAGTTTATTTAAATTATATCTGTTTAAATTTAAGCCCTTTACTGTAGGCACTGTAGTTCTTATACTTCTGATAATATTTTATTTACCAAAAATCACTTACCTGGCAAATTGAAATTGTTAAAGTTTAATTGAAAACCAAAGTAAGACCATTTTAAAGTCACAGAAGAATAGAAATTTTCTTCTAGGGAGAATAGAAGAAACTACAGGAGAACCAAATTTCTAGAATGTATCAATATCTTCAAGATGCAAGCTTTAAATAATAATACACAGAAAACCAAAATGAGACATTTACTCATTACATTTTTTATAGGGCAAGATTCAGCTTTTGAGACAAACACAGACTCCAAGCTGCTAAAATACATGCCATATGGTTCCTGCACAAATTCTTTAGAGGTCACTTATAGAAGGGTATCTCAGGACTTCATTTTTACTTTTCTACCCTTATTTTGGACCAGTTCTAGAGAGCTTATTTGTATCATTCTCAAATCCACAGTAGATTAAAGCATCGGATTAGAAATTAAGAAGTAGCAGGTATAATTTGATAATGAAGAAAACCAGAAAAAATAGAGTGCAAAAAACAAACCAAAAAAACCCTCCAAATTTAAGCAGTCACATCATTTAACAGAGGCCAATTGTTTCCCTAAACTTAGTAATTCTGAAGACATTGCTGTTTGGCAGAAAAGTTTTAATGTTCATTATAAAATCTTAAAATCATTGGGAAAGACAACATATCAACCATAATATCTTTAGAAGGCTTGGAAGAAAGCAAAATATTTTGAATTTTATAATTTAAGACAGTAATAGTTGGGATGCTTCATTTTTGGAAAAAAAGTTAATACGAAACATTTTATTGCCAAATAAAGCCAAATATATAAGAGATATACTTAAAAACTGATACTCTTCAGTCTTTTGTTTTCTATATTTTGGTGATAAATGATTAGCTCCTCTAACCATGTCTGATAGGTAGTATTTTTATGTGATTATCTTTCAGGCTCCCTTTTCCAACTTCTCCAAATAATCTACACTTCATTAACTATACAGCCCTTTCATCTTATATTTGCATCATTATTGTGCAGAAGAATGCTTACTTTCTTTACAACATTATATTGCTGAGTCATTTTGCAAATGACATATGATCCACCTGTGATTTAATTATGAATCATCAATTTTTTCCTACTGGAATTGCTTCTAAGAGGTAATTTTCTGACTTTAATTTGTATGGTGGCTTTTACTCATTAGTAATATATTGTCCCTAAAATCAATTATATCCATTTTAATTTTTCTCCAACATTTAAAAAATGTTCATAATTATAATAACCTTATTTAATATTTGCTGACTCTCCACACTCTCAGAAGAATCTAACATTTAGGTAGAATTCCAATACACAAAGGCATCCTTACTTTCCATTTCCACAATGAACAAAACTGACATATTTATATTGCACAAAATAAAGCCACAGTTCAACTGGTAATCTGCATATATGAAAATCACATAGCTGATAGAAGTCATTGGTTTTCTAAATATAATTTCCCCTCAGTATACTTACTGAATCCCAGAGCACATAAAAATAAACTATTGTGCTACATCGAACTGAGTGCAACTTTTCCTCTCCAAATAACAAATCAGAAAATGAAAGTAGTTGGGATGTAATATAAAATTTCATTATCCTCAAGGGTTAGAAATAAAAAACATTCCATGTGAAATAGGAATTAATGGCTTCAAAAGATTATAATATTTTATTTGGAATGCTACAATAAAATTACATCTGGCTAGCTACATGTTAATATTTCAAAAATAATAAGTATGATTTTGGATCAACTAATGAAAGTATATCAAAATTTTTTCTAGGGTAAATTACTAATTTTTAAAAATCCTGTAAAATGGCAAAATACTATGATGACACTGTGTTAAAAAATTTTTAGTTTGAGGCATTGAAACTCTTCTGTATTATACAGCAATGATGAGCAAATGCCACTTTATATTTGTCAAAACCCATAGAATGTACAAGAGGAAGAGTAACCTAAACATAAAAGAAATGTCAACTATGGACTTTGGTTAATAATGTATCAATATTGGTTTATTAATTGTAACAAATGTTTCACACTAACACAAGATGTAAATAATAGAAAAAAATATGTGCAAGGGGAGGGGGTATATGTGGGAACTCTGTACTTTCTAATCAACTTTTCTGCCAAACTAAAACTGCTCTATAACTGATTTAAAAAGAGAAGTATTTTGGCACCATCTATTTCACTTGTAGTCTAATATCAAAAAATTGGTTATCGTATAATTAAAATATTAAGGTTATCATCTAATTATAGGCTTTTTTAAGCATTACAATTTCAGAGATTCTTTTAAGGATTATACCTTGTTAGCAACAGAACTACAGTACCATCTCTTAATGATAAAAGAAAGACCTTAATAACAAAGCCTTCCTGAAATCCACACTTCAAAATTTTGATTTTCTGCTATTTCAGTGAGAGAATAGTTTAATTTCACAGAAAATAATAGTATCATTACATGTCATATGGATCATATTTTTCAGTTTTTTAGAATCAGGAATTCTCATCTTTGTCTCACTCAATTAGAACAAATAATATTAAATCCAACTAGTAATCTCAACTCAAGCTCAGACAGCTTATGCATATAAATTAACAGACGGGAATTTTCCAGTTTAAAGTTATATAAATATTGTTAACAACAATAGTAAATATCTGACCATATCAAAAGTGAATACTGGCACACGCTTGCTGAGTATTGTAGAACCAAGTATCTTGGCAGCTTCCTTTTTTTTTTTTTTTTTTTTTTTTTTTTTTGAGACGGAGTCTCGCTCTGTCTCCCAGGCTGGAGTGCAGTGGTGCTATCTCGGCTCCCTGCAACCTCCGCCTCCCGGGTTCACGCCATTCTCCTGCCTCAGCCTCCCGAGTAGCTGGGACTACAGGTGCCCGCCACCACGCCCGGCTAATTTTTTGTATTTTTTAGTAGAGACAGGGTTTCACCGTGTTAGCCAGGATGGTCTCGATCTCCTGACCTCGTGATCCACCCGCCTCGGCCTCCCAAAGTGCTGGGATTACAGGCGTGAGCCACAGCACCCGGCCGACAGCTTCTCTTTGCAGAAGAAAGTTTAGAAACGACAGAAAGGCAATCTTGATTCTAACACATTTTAATTTGTTGTTTAGAACTCTGTGGTGTCAGACTACAAACTTATAAACATGATTTTTTTAAATGCCTTTGGAAAATGTCCTACTACAATATTTATAGCTCATTATATTCAAAGTATAAAGCACTGACTTTTAAATCAGTTGCATGAATTATAACTCAGTGCCATGATGACATGAATAATAATGCAAAAATCCGATTCATAATTTACAGAAATGTTGGTTGATAGATTGAAAAATTGATATTTAAATCAGGCATTTAAAATGTATGAATAAAAATTTTTAATCAACATCAAAATATCATTTGGGGGATTAATGTCAGAGGTATAAATAGAAATCCATGTATTTTTCACGTTTTGCTGCCAATGTCGATATTTACATGACAAAAATTTAGATAATGCTATGTAGTCAATCCAAATTATTTCAGATGTGACAGAATTGTCATCAGCCAAAACCCATATTGAAAATATTAACACATTCATCACCAAGGATGCCTCCAAGGGAAACACCATTTGTACTGTTAAAATCTTTGTATCACACATAAAAAAAATATATATTTCCTAAATCTTGAAGCTAACTGTAGCTACTCACACACCCCTACCTAAATAAACAAATAAATACATGTAAATGTAGGTAGACATTTGAAGTAATTATTTAAAATCACACTTACGATATAAAATTTAAATCTTATATCAACTTTTAGAAAATTTAATGGAGATATTATTATACCTTTATCACTAAGATATATGAAAATGGTAGCAAAAATAGATAAATGTTACCAAGGCATAACAGGGTTAATGTGGCTTTCAGTAGATTTTTATATAAAAGCCATTCACATAAATGACTCCTCACAACAGTGAAAGAGAAAATAACATCCTTCACCCATCAACTTACGTTATAAAGGAGCAGGTTCAAAGTGCTGACAAATGTGCCATTGTTCTCTCTCACAGAAATAGCCGCTGAGGACCTAAAACACATTTAGAAAAAGGAAAGCACTGATGAGATTTTAGAGTAAAAGTGATACCTAGATGTTAGACTTAAAGCACTAAAACTCCTGAATAATTCTGACATACTGTTAATTATACCTGGAGTTGCTATACTGTTTAAATCTCTGAACAGATAAAATACTAAAAAAGCAAGAGGGAACAAGTAAAGACAAGCTATTCTTTATGATCATTTTATTTTTAAAGCAATCTTTTTTGTTTGTTTTGCATTACTTTTAACAGGCTTTTGGCAGATAAGGGCTTGAATCTAATGCAAATACACTTTCATCAATTCCATTAGAATAGAAGTTTCATGAGATCAGGGAATCTGGTTTACTTTGTTCATTGCTAGAACATTGGATGGTAAATAGTAGGTAAATGATAAATTGAATAATCAATGAATTTCCATGGAATTGAAACTCAAGAATGTGTTCAGTGTGTGGACTGGGGGCAGAGTGAGAGATGCTTCCCTGTACACCCATATTGTTTTGACTCGAGGCCTTTCCTTTCTCATTTTCCATGTCAAAGTCTTGCTTCTGACCAAGGTGCTTATCATTACTGTGCTATTAAAACCAGCTATGAATATTTTTTCAATGAAGTAGAATGTGGCCTCCACATTTCCTCATAACTAAGATTAAGCAATAACTAAGACTTAATAATAGCAAATCCTAAAATTGGAGAAAGCGTTCGCTTAATCATCCCATTTTGTCAAAAATATTCAACAAATCCAGGTGATTATATTTTAATGTGGGCATAGCCCTCTCCTGGAGTACGTGCTTTGGAAATAATGCATACGTGAATATAAACAGAAGGCTACACCCTCAGTCCGTATTTGGAGCTCCTTGCCTAAAGGCCATGCCATGTTTCTGGGAGAATCATGAGCACCCTTCCAGGTGACAGCTCAACAGAGGAATGGAGATCCCAGAATCTGGGGTAGCACAGCCCAGCAGTGAAAGCATATGGCCAAGAGGGAAGCCAAGCAAAATTCAGCAATGTAGTTACCAAATGTCGTACACACTGGAGACGCCACAGGGCCTCCAGGGCCATGAAACACCCAAGGCTCTTGGGCAAAGGGAGTGAAGAGAACCCAAGGCAGACAACTGGCTAGTTTGAGTCAGCTTGATTTGGGGGAAAAACTGGTTTGGGTCTGTTATGGATCATAACAATTAGAGATAGATAGATAGATAGATAGATAGATAGATAGATAGATAGATAGATATAATAGATAAACAGATAGAGGTAAATATATTAGACATAATATGTTTCCCATTACATTGTTTGAATTTAACTATTTTTAATAAATCCTGCTATCTTTCTAAGTCCCTGAAAGATACGAAATGCCTGAAGCAAAAATGCAATATGAGAAAGCAGGAATAAAATGCAAACTTACGAAGCAAGCTGGGTATTATTAACCAGGTATTCCAATGGATAACTACAACTAAATTTGTAAAGAAGCCCAGGTAGATAGCTGATGATTGTTGGTGGGTCTGGAGTATCAATATATCCTGAAATATTTCCTACTTGCACTGAAGTTGCATTTCCATAAGCACTGACTCCAGGAATTGTGGATACCTGTTAGAATGTTAGATGCAGTTTAATGATTAAATGGCTATATATACATCTAGGCACTTCATATGCAAAATAAAACATTAAGCAAAATCTATTCTAGAGTCTAGTTCAACTATAAAATGAGAAGGTTTTGAAATATCAAGTTTATAAGTGAGAAATGCAATTTATAAGTGACATGTAAGTAAATGAAACTTCATATTTACCAAAGACACTTTACTCATACTTTATAAAAAAGAAAGGAGATTATAGGTTCGAAGGGTTACAATAAGTAATTTGAAAACACTCATGGATGAAGCCAAAATTCTCTGGCATGGCTGAAAAAAACCCTGTTAATATGATCCTTTTCCCTTTAGCTTCATATCTCCAGGCTCCAACTCTTGATGATAATGCTGTCACTCTCCCCACTTTCCCATGATGTATCCTACTCCTCCCCAGGATCTCACCTTCCCTAAGAAATTCCCCTGACTCCCCATATGCAATGTTTATCTCCATCATATTAGTAGGCAGAGGAAGAGCAGCCTGCTCGCTGGGCAGTTCCCTCAGCCATCATCAACACCCTTTGTGGGCAGGGACCATCTTGTCCACCTTTGCAAACTCAGCATAGCACAGCGATCAGCATTTTGGGCCCCAGAAAGGATTTTCAAACAAATGAATGAAGATCATAAATTTTCTGAGGATTAATCTTCTCAGGGTCTTCCTCTCTAGTTCATAAAGATACTTATCTACTTCTAGGACAATAGCTTATAGATGGGTTTTGGGGGTTCAAGAACTTTCAGAAGTTATGTAAAAATGTTGTCCATGTGTATTTTCTAGGGTCTGCTTAGCTTTCCTTGAATTCTCCAGTCTTACTAAAATTTAAGATCCACCACTTTAGGAATAATCAATAATTTTTTGACCTTCATAATACCAGAGAGTTCTTCTAGCTTCTTCGACCTTGTCAAATACAAGAGAGCACTCAATAAATATTTGAGCAGATACTACTATATTACTAAGACCTGTGATAATTTTCAACAATAGAGTAAACTTTATGCATGAACCTAACAGCACATGGGCAAAGCTGTGGCAATTATCTAGTTAATTGATAAATGGGACAAGAATCTTTATGAATGAAAACATCATTATTCCAATCCAGAGACTTAGTAGCCAACTTAATTTTTTTCCCATGAAGGAATGATCTTAGAGCAGTTGCCAAAGCTGGTAGCACCTAAGGCAAAAATGAAAGATAAGCAAATCTTCCCCTCCTCCCACTACTTGCTTTATTTGATAGCTAAACCAACCAATTCTGTCTATGAAAATAAAATACATACATACATGTATATAGCAATTTTTTGTGTGTGTGTGAGACAAAGTCTCACTCTGTCACCCAGGCTGGAGTACAGTTGTGTAATCTCGGCTCACTGCAACCTCCGCCTCTTAAGTTCAAATGATTCTCCTGCCTCAGCCTCCCAAGTAGCTGGGATTAGAGGCACACGCCACCATGCCCAGCTAATTTTTGTATTTTTAGCAGAGGTGGGGTTTCACCGTGTTGGCCAGGCTGGTCTCGAACTCCTGACCTCAGGTGATCTGCCCACCTTGGCCCCACAAAGTGCTGGGATTACAGGAGTTAGCCACTGTGCCCAGCCTAGCAATTTTTATAGCGGACTTATTCAGCTTTTTAAAAAGGTAAACAGCACACACATTGCACACTTTTCCTGGCTTTTCTCCTGAATCATTTTCTAGGCAGCAGGGCAAGGTGACACATCCAGACAAGAAAGGGAAGGAAAGGCTTCAGGGCATGGTGGGAGACAGGGAAATGCTGCTCATCTCCACATAGGCTCTTTCCTTCCACACAGAACAGGGACTTGTAATAATCAACCTGCATCACTCTCCCTTAGGTCCACTTCATAACCTCTCTGCACACAACTCAGAGAGTTGAATAAACGTTTTTAATAAAAAGAGTCAACAATACTCAAGCTGCAGGCTTGGAAATGGTCACGGGCACAATATTCTAACTGCCCTCTGGGAAAAGATAAAGAACAAGATTCAAAGAAATCTATTTTCTCTGTCTTCCATCTCCCACTGAGTCTCAGAAACCCTGGCCTTGGAATAATCAATCCTTTCTCCTTAATACAAAATAATAATTTGTGAAGAGTAAAAGTCAATATCTCCTTCCCTGGGCTAAGTGGTTATGTTTATTGCACTTCCTTTTTATATTTGCAAATTTACCAATAAGATTATATTTAAATAAGCAAAATAAAAAATAGTACTAAGTGAATTTCAGTATAACTATTTAACTAATACTCCTGTCAAATCACAATATATTCACTTCTATTAATTTTAATTCACTGGAGAGTCAATTCCTTATTTAACTCTATTTTTGGTGTTCAATGCATTAGTAAACAAATGAATGCTACAAACTAGTATTTCTAATTCAGGGTGGAAATGTTTGAAGAGATGTTTCAATTTTCACAATGACTAGAGAGAGTGTGCTACTGGGATTTCATGGTAAGACTGGATATGATAAACATTTTGAAATTCAAAGGACAATCCCACACATTTAAGAATATTATACCAGAAATACTGACAGCCCCTTTTTACAAAGCACTAGTGTTGATCATTCAATGGTAAGCATGAAAGAAGATTACAAGCTTCCCATTCTATCTTTCGTCTTTCTTTACAAATGAGGTCACTGAAAGAACAGGCCAAGCGGTTCACTGCCAGACTCACTGGAACAAATATTGTTTGAATGGTCAGATATTTCTTATAAAGCCTGAGGAATATGGCTAATGCTAAACTGTAGAGACAGATCCGTCAGTGTCACTCACACAAAATAATGCTGCTTAGAGGGGCACAGCTGACCTCAGACCCTTTGACTGCCCCACTACTATAAACATAACCATTATTGGAAGATAGAATTGTATATTTGCTAGTGCATGCCTCAAACAGGCAAAGGAAAGTGATTTGTTCAATTTTATTTTTTTTCTCAAGAGATAGATTGGGCATCTTATTCTTTCATGAAATGGGGAGATTTTTATTTATGACCCCAGACCTAGCACACAATGTCACACTAATCTTACCACCAGGTTGTTTCCACAGCCCTCCAAGGTGCTGAGATTGATGATAAAAATGACCACTGCTGGAAAGGTGTTGTTATTGATGAACCCTCTGCAGTGGGAGTCCCCATGCCTTCCATTCAGTGCCAGATCTGTTTCCGAATAACCCGAGAAAAGTACCGTGCAAAAATTAATCTTCATCGTAATAGCCTGCACTCCACAATAGACACTGATGTCTCTTTCAGCTGAAATAAAAATATATAAAAAACAAACATAAGTCAGAAAAGCAGAAAGATAAATAACATTAACATCCTACTGATATATTTATTCATCTCCTTTGTCTGTTTAACTCATTTTTATATTTGATACACCATAATCCAATGTGCCAGCTATTAAGTAAAGTAGACAAGAAAAATAGCCTTTTATTTAGTTATTTAAGGAGAGATCTTTGAGTGTAGAGATTACAGTTCACCTCTGTTTCCTTGTGCTTGATGTCCAGTGGATGTACATTAAGTGTTGATCAAGTATTGCCAAATGACCAGAGAATTGAGTGGAAACCAATCAGGTTACTGAGGAAATTCAGACCTAGAGCAACTGGATTATTCAGATCACCTGTCAAGAGTAGTGAAAATCACTACAAATGATGCATTTTCCCAAGTATAAGGAGAAAGCAGTTGAAATCCACCCTAAACCAAATTGTCAAGTACTTTGGCATTTGGTAACCCATCTTATGGGTTGTATAAATAAAAGCCATCCATCAGATTTCAATTTTATTTTGCCTAAATTAAATAACACTAGAGAGAAAGGGAATAAAAAAATAGTGTTGATATTATGAACAAAAATGCACAGCTCACTGTAGGAAAATTTTGCCAATGACTATGCATGCCTCAGTAAAAAAAAAAAAAAAAATGACCTAAACATGGAAATGTAAAACACAATTTGCATGGTTCTCCATGACTCCATGGGTTATCTGTGACGAGGTCTAGTCCATGTCTATAGAAGTGAGCACACACACACACACACACACACACACACACACACACACACACGGTCTTCATATCTCTATTTGGTTATTTTTCTACATGTAATGTAGAAAATGTATAAAGGAAATGGGGAGAGTGGCTGGTAGGTAATTCCCTAGTGGTAGATTATTTTACATTCATCAGTTTTGGTAATTGCTATAGGTTGAATTATGTCCCCCCAAAAAAAGATATGCTGAAGCCCTAACCCTCAGTACCTTAGGCTTTATTTGGAAATAGGTTGTTGCAGATTAAATTAGGTAAGATGAGGTAATACTGGGGTAAAATGAACCTGTAATTCAATATGACTGGTGTCCTTATAAAAGAAACATCCAATGAAGAGACAGAGACACGGGGAGAAACCATGAGAAGGCAGAGGATTGGAGTGATGCATCTACAAGCCCAGGCACACCCAAGGTTGCTGGCAAACCACTGGAAGCTAGGAAGAGACAAGAAAGGATTCTTCCCAGACTTTCAGAGGGAGCATGGCCCTGCCTGGATTTTGAACTTCTGGCATCCAGAACTGAGAGGCAATGAATTTCTGTGTTTTAAATCACCCCAGGACACAAGTTTCTGTTGTCTCAAATCACATCATTTGTGATACTTTGTTACAGCAGCCCTAGAAAACTAAGAGAGTGACTTTACCATTTTTTATTACCTTATTATACCAATTAGATAAAAAGCCTGAAACAAGACTCAAGTTTTCAACATGTAGAAACAAACAAAAACTGATTATGCTTTTCAATGGGGAAATGACCTTGATTGTCCAAAAGAGGAAAACCAAACAAAATAACACATATTTTTGGTGAATGATGGCATGTTCACCTAAGTAGTATGTAAATTTCATTCAAGTTTTTTAGCATAGAATTAATTTGCTTAAATAATTCAGTCCTAATTTAACAGTAGAAATGTTCAATAGCATTATCTCTTTAGAGTGTTTATTCTATATACATACTGGGTTTTTTTCCTAGCAAAGTGAGTCATATTTGGGGAATGTGAATAAGCAATATGGAAATGTCTATGTTTTGTAATAAGTTTAAACTCATTAAAATTACCTATAAAGAAAGATGAAAAATCTTTTTCATGGCCAAAAGGCAAACGGCTAGGTGTTATAGGAAATTCGACGCAATATTTCCTTTGTTGGTGGAAAAATAATGAATTAATTATGAAGTATACTTTGCCAACCTAGAAAATAATAAACACTACTTAAAATCAAGTATCTTCATACTTCGGCAACATTAACTATTTAAATGCAAAGATAATTTCTAAATGATACTTTTTTCTAAAATAATACAGTTTATTTTAATAAATGTTTATGAGTATCTATGAACTATATCTTAAATCTACTGATTTTTCTCTATCTACATGCTATTCCTTTGCTCATGACATCATTATCTCTCCCCTGGACTATTGTACTAGTCCAGGAACCTAACTGGTTCCTTTATTTCCAGTCTTAATGTCCTTCAATTAGTACAGCTGTTAATATATTAATCCAGTCGTGTCATCCTCATGCTCAGATTTTCAACAGCTACTTTTTGACATAGGCCAAAAGACCAAATCTTGAACTAGGTGCTCAAGTCTCTCCATAATCTGTTACCTGCCTACCTCTGCATGCTCCTCCCTCTCTCTCTCTCTTCTATGAATCTTGCTTCCTAAATTTGAATCTGAACATTTTTCATGTCTTTAAATGCATCACCTTGAGTGATAGAAACCAGAAAAGTAGTTACCTCCTGGGGTGGAATTGCCTACAATAGGAGCACGAGAACAATTGGGGGAAAGATAAAAATGTTCTCTATCTTGATTTGGGTGGAGGATATATAAGTATGTACATGTGTTAACATTTCAAGCAGTACCCTGAAGATTGGCACATCTTATTATATGTAAATTATTCCTCAGTACGGCATTTTTAAAAACATAATACAGGAACACACACAAAGTACATGTATCAGTGCTCTTTCTTCTGTTTGGAATGCTCCGCCTACCCCAAAGCTTTGCCTAAGTAACTCCTACTCATTCTTCAGGTTTCAAATTTTATTTACCCAAATACTTGACCTGATCCCAAGTCTAAGGTATGCCACTCTGTTTTATGCTGTCGTATTGCCTTAGAATCATATATGTATTTGTATATTTTTCTTAATAAACTATAAGTCCCATAGGCAGGAAAGGTTTTATATTAACCAATGTACTCCAGTGAGTAACTAGCTAATTAATCATATAAGGTACTGGAGCAACAGAGTGCACTGAGGATTCAAAACATAGTGATCATATTCCCAAGCACAGGAGTCCTCTCTTGTCTTCTAGGGATACATTCCAGGACTCCCAGTGGGTGCCTGAAACCACAGATTATAATGAAACATATATAGTATGTTCTTTCCTATATATACATGCCTATGATAAAGTTGATTTTTTAAATTAGGCACAGTAAGAAATTAACAATAATGCTAATAATTATTATGAGTAAATATTATTAAGTAAAATCAGGATTACTTGAACACAGCAATGCAATGCTGAGACAGTCAATCTGATAACCAAGATGGCTCCCAGTGACTAGTAGATAATGGACCATGGATAAGCTGGACAAAGGGATGACTCACATCCTGGGCAGGATGGAGCTGAATCGCGTGAGATTTCTTTACACTACTCATAACGGCATACACTTTAAAATGTGTGAATTGTTTATATATGGAATTTTCCACTTAGTATTTTCTGAACACAGTTGATTGCAGTTAACTGAAACTATGAAAATGAAACTGCAGATAAAGGGAACTCCTGTGTATTACAGTCCATTAGAGGAGACAGACACATTAGCGTGACCCACATTGACAGAAAGATTGCGTGGAGAGCTATGGAGTAGCGTAGAAGGCCGGCTTTGCCCAGACCAGCTGGTTAGGAATGGCTTCCTGGAGAAGATGGCATTAGCTCAGTCTTGAAGTATCAGTAGGAGTTAGCTAGATAGAGGAGTGGAAATTTTATAACACAGAGGGGACAAATGTGAATAATGAAATATGCTCAGGCTGGCTGGGAGCCAGGTAGTTCCCATCCATTTGTAATTAAAATGCAAAAGAGGAAATAGCAGGCAATGAGGACATGTGTTAGGCACAGGTGAGATTGCAGGGAACCTTTATACATAAAATGGCCTAAGATACCATCTACCTGGATGTCAAATCAAATCCTCAGCTGTTAGAGAGTTCACTACAACTTCACTTTATGCTTGGTGAAATAGAACAAGTATCATTGCACTCCTTGATATACCATAAGTATACCAAAGTGAATACCTATTAATGAATATGTCACAAAAGAGAGGTATCATTCTTCTTAACATAAACCAACTAAAGACCAGTTTCCTCAGCTCTGTTTAAGGGGATTAATTAATGCTTAGAATATCTCAACAAATGGCAAATGATTACTGTGACCAGATGTAGTGCTCTTTTCTGTTTTCCTATAACCAATTTGTAACTCCTGCAATGAAACTGAATTTGCTACAGGCTTATCCCACTTTAAGATATGATGACAAACTAAAGGCTTTCTGCAGTGTAAGAAAAGAGATCTGTCCAAATCTTTCCTAACCCAGTTTTCTAAGGACTTTTCACTAGTGTTCAGAGAAACACATTCTTTTCCTGGTTGTAGGTACTAAAGACATCCATTCAGCACAACTTTACCATTTGTGAGGCTTTGAGAAGGAAAAAAGAAGGATACCTCAAGTTGCCAAAGGGCAATTTCTGCCAAAAGGAGAGAGAGTTTTTTCAGTCACTGAATAACAGTTGCTCTCAACAGCTACACTTTTTAAGCCTTTTACTGTCCAATCCCTGGCCTGAATTATGATGTTCAAGACTACTAAACAACCTAATGAGTAGATATCTTTAGGGGTTTGATTTTTAATGTTTTATGCTTAAAGATACTAAGTATGTCAAATGGCAGGCCTGCAGACAGAGTTTATGTGCAGTTACATTGCCAAAACAGCAATGTTTTTCCCCTGATATTAATCAAGCTAAGCTTTTCATAGAAATTAACAATAATTGAATATTCAACTGAATAGGGTAAAAATAATGTTCTGTACCCTGTCGTCCATCTATCGGGCAATGGTTTTATGTATCTCAGATTTTCTAAAATTTTGCAAATTTTAAATATCCTGTCACATTATCAGCCATCTGTCTCTCCGTGTATAAAATGTGTCCTGATTTGAGGTTCATAGAATGTGGTTACTATATAAATGGAAGTAAAGAAGGTATGGATCCAGTTCTATATATATAAATAAGGATTCATTCAACTTCTTTACCCCCTATAAAGTTCTATTCCTAGAACATTTAATTACACCTTTTCCTTTACATACAATTACTGAAAATATATTTGCATTGTATTATTTACATATCTAATAATATATCTAACTTTGTTCTTGTTTTAACAATTTTATACTGACCTTACTTAAATCTAACAGCATTCAACTGAGGCTCATGGTGAGGCTTTTGATAGACTGCATCATTTTCAGTTCATCTCAGTACTGTTGGAGCCTTCATTTCCCTTCACTAGCATCAGAATGCTTAATATTTTCCAGTTATTTTATAGAATAATGAGTACAGATTAATAAATTATTCAAAGAATTTGCACATATGTATTCTGCAATACAAAGATGGCAACACTCCAAAATTTGGCTGTAGGCTGGAACTCAGCACTGTAGTGCAATGACTCAAGATATTTCTTCATCATTGATCTGAAAAAGTAAACATCTGTATGAAACGAAATTCTGGAGGTCAGTGTATAGTGTAAAAGAAAAAGGATGGGGAGGCCAGGTGTGGTGGCTCACGCTTGTAATCCCAGCACTTAGGAAGGCCGAAGTGGGTGGATCACAAGGTCAAGAGATCAAGACCATCCTGGCCAACATGGTGAAACCCCATTTCTACTAAAAATACAAAAATTAGCCAGGTGTGGTCACGCATGTCTGTAATCCCAGCTACTTGGGAGGCTGAGGCACAAGAATGGCTTGAACCCAGGAGGCAGAGGTTGCAGTGAGCCGAGAGTGTGCCACTGCACTCCAGCCTGGCGACAGAGCGAGACTCTGTCTCAAAGGAAAAAAAAAGATGAGATGCACAAGAATCAAACATGAAAAATCAGTACCATAAATTTTCTACTAGTCTAGAGGCAATTGGTTTTACTTATTTTCAAGATCTAAACTACATGCCACTTCATATCAACAACGTGTTTCAGGAAAGCATTTATTGTGTACATATCATGTGCCAGTCTCTGTGCTAGACTTTGAGATAACAACATTAACAAAAGACCCTGTTTCTTCAAGGAGCTTACTGAATAAAGAAGACAGAAGAAAAGTAAGCAATTACAATACA
Source organism: Homo sapiens (assembly GCF_000001405.40). Taxonomy (NCBI): domain Eukaryota; kingdom Metazoa; phylum Chordata; class Mammalia; order Primates; family Hominidae; genus Homo; species Homo sapiens. The sequence goes on along the minus strand of NC_000003.12, from coordinate 102,446,805 downwards.
GCCTGATAATGATATACTAGAGATTTGTAAACAACATTATAAACAAACTTGTCTTGGTAGCAAAGAGGTGTTTGAAAGGAATTGTTAGGAAGAAATAAAATAGTTCCAACTGGTTAGATTCTATAAGGAAGTGATTAGAAGACTGCATGAAGAAAAAGGGATGTCACTGATGTGTAGGTTTGTAGCTTTGATGAGTGGGTGGATTATGCCCTAAGATAAAAAAATTCAGGGAGAAAGATGATAAGCTCAGTCTTTGAGAGGCTGAGTTACATATGAGACATTCAAGCAGAAATGTACAGCAGATAGTTGGAAATATGAGTCTAATATTTGGGGACAGAAAACAAGAAATACAAATTTGAGAATCACCAAATATTCAGTATATCAATAATAATAGTAATAGCTGAAATTACCAATGAGAGTATTCAGATAAGAAGAGAAATAAACTTAAAACAGAAAAATAATTTCAAAGCTGACCTCTGATGAGCCTTTCTGTAATTTTCCCAATGGAGTGTAATCATCCCGTCATGTTCTATCCTATCTCACTTTAACTGTGGGTCTACTGTCTCACTTACATTATATCGGAGAGTGGATATTTACTTTCCTGTTAAATTATAAACTAATAGAGTGTTCTGGGTTTTCCTAGAGTGTATAACAAATACTCAGCAAATATTTATTAAAATACATTTATTTCAATGGTGTGTAAGTCTTTAATATCAAGTTCCAACATTTACAAACAAAATATGTATACAGTTGATATGGGTTCATCTTGAATGTTCATCTATCTGTATTCTGCCAACTGCCTGAGATGATGCCTCTGTTTTCAGTTTTCAATGAACATCAAAATCCTTAATGTCTACCTTCAAATTGAGAAAATGCAACTCATTAAATAATATAAAATTAATAGATTATTGCAATTTGTTTATTTGTATTTTATCTCTTTAAGTGTATTAGCCTTGGTGACTAGTTATCTTACCCCATTAAAAATGAATTTTTAACAGTGATAGGTTTGTTGATACCTATTACTATTAACAGCAAGCAAGTGCATGATGGCCAGCTGGGGCTAGTGTAAATACTGTGTGGTTTTGTAACAACATAAAGCTAGCAGACTATCATGGGTACCATGTTCTAACCAGCACTTCTTATACTTTACTGTGCAGATGAATCACCAAAGAATCTTATAAAAATACAGATTCTGATTCAGTGGATCTGAGCTGGGGCCTGAGTTTTGGCATTTCTTACAAGCCTCCAGGTGATGCTGATGTTACAACTTCTCAGTCAATTCAGGTGCTAAGTCACAGCTTTGTATTTTGACTGGACAGAAGATAGCTCATAGGTGGATTTCACCTGGTGAGTTTAAGCCTCTTAACAAATATCTATTTGTCTGATTTACATGCTTACAAGAGAGAAAAGTTTGGTTGTAAAAGGGACGGGAGGGAGAGAGACAAGAATCATGAAGGGGTTAGAACTGCATCTGACTCCCTCTCTCATCTGAAGAACTGACTGGTTTTGAATCTCAATGAAAGAAGGCTCATAAAATGCTCGGTAAGGCTAAGTCTAAGTAAGCCTCCTTTAGTGCTCCAGTGGCAGTGTGTGAAACAAAATTGGGAACAGGATCAGCCTCTTCTCTTACCCCCATCTCTGTCTCATTCTGTAAACCATAGCAGTTTAATACCCGGAGGAAGCAGAGCAGTCCACATCAAAAGGCAGCTACACCAAGCGGGGCAGTGTTTTCATAAAAAAGCATTTCTGGCAGTGGTGGTGCCTGTAGCACTGTGGTCAAGGAGTCCAGAGCAAAGAACCTAAGTGGACCTTTCCTGAGCATGTGTGACATGCAGTCTTGGGGAATCAGAAGCAACTGGAGAGGACGGGGGTAGAGTGGCTAGTCCACAGTGAGCAGGCAGGAGGCTCTGTACGGTTCAGATGCAGAGATTCCTGTGAATATCATCACATTAGTATTGATGTACTGGTTTGCATATACTTAAAAGTAGTATTGGTTTAAAACTGATAGTATAAACAGCAATCTGTTCAATATAGTGGGAGAAAACTTTTCTGTATGCTGCAGAGTGCTTTGTGGCATGGTAGAAAATCTCACCTGAAAATAATTTACATCCTGGGCTCCGATAAATATTCCAATACTAATTTATACCATCTTTTTAAACCATAATAATAATTTATATATCAGTTCTGCTTTTATCTCTAAAACAAGAGTGGTGATATTTGGCACTACATGGGCTTACAAATTGCCTAGAGAACAGATGCTACATATGTTGTTTTAATTCATTTTTGAAAGTTAAAATTTGCTCTTACCAAGTTTTTATATAAGATTGAGGTTTTGGTGCTAAAAGAGCTAGAAGTCCTAAAGGGGTATTGATATTTCATCTACACGAAATACCAACAGCTGATGAAGAACTTAAAGTGGATTAGGAATTCAAGTTTCCTCTGTATATTGAACAGGTTTTGTGCCACCTCAGTCTTTCATCACAACATCTGTTTCTCGTTAGCAAATGCAAGCTGTTGTTTCCAGTGCTCTAGGAAGTTCATAAGCAGTCTGAGGCAAACTTTGCAGACTTATAATCACACTTGCTGCTCCACATTCTTTGGAACCAGAAAAGTTTGGTCATCTTTTTCAGGCAGCAAAAAAAGCAAATGGGTTTTATTTATAAAAACAAAAAGTGAAAATTCATGCAATAAAGAATGCTGTTATTAAAATATGGGAGAATATGGACCCTGAATTACTCATTGAATTTGCTAATTGCTATCTTCTCCACTGCACTTTATCATTGTAAATTAATCAGAATGTGATCAGCAATAGCTGCCTGGATCTGTTCTTCTGCCTCATCTGTTGTAGTAATTGCTTTCACAGGTGCAAAGTGGAAAGCAGGCATCCTCTTGACAACTTGGAGACCAAAGCACTACCACTAAAAAGTAGGAATAAAGGAGAATTGGCCTTTCCTTTCTATACAGAGAACCAGAACATATTCCCTGGGATAACTATTCCACTAACCTCTCTTACTTTGTCTTTGGGCACAGAAAAATGCCATGGTTAAGCAAAGCCTAATATAAAATTAGACAGTTCATTTTACTGAACTCACTCATGAATTCTATTGATTAAATAATTGATTCTCAATTTTACCTCCTGTGGAACACTTGTGTTCATTGAATATTAAAATATTAAAAATATTACCGAATAAAAGATTTCCTTAGTCAAGCAGGTCTTGAAAAGACTAAACAAATTCCCCCAACACATGACTTTTCAGATCCTTAGACGTGGCAATTTCCATTGAGAATCTCCACACATACATCATTTTTAAAACTTACTATTCAAATTTCATTTTTAGACATCATTGTTTGATGGAAAGAATCTCTATTAATTTGCAGATTTGCAATATTTAACAAATGTATATCCTCAGTTTTCCTACTGTAAAGGGGGTATTTAAAAAGATTTTGTAAGTTTATTGTAAGAAATGAAAGAATTCTGTGAGGTGCCTGGTACTCAAAACATGGAACTTATTGCTTGTTTCCTTATTAGTATTATTTACAGCATAATACGAAATCACATGTTATGAAACACTGACTCATATTCAGTTTCCCATGACTACTTAGTTCACCATAAGACAGTGTCAAGCCATAAAGTTTATTGTGCTATAAGGCCATTTTCCTCTTTGGATGTGCCTTTATCATTAAAGATTTCTTTAGAGGCCAGAAAGTTTAGCCTAATCCTCATATACTTCCAAAGAAGGGGGCCTGGCTTCGGAAAATATACACTAGTCACAAAGGCCAAGTACATTCATCTGTATGTTTTACTTTAACCAAATAATTCCTTGGTACTCTAAATTCAACTATACTTTGAGTTTTATTCTAGAATCATCACAACTGTAATTTTAGTGGTTCATGAGTCTGCTTTTTGCTATTAGCTTGGATAACCAAGAGTTAACCACCTCTAAAATTAAATGGCATTCCTTTAAATTTAAATGAATTAGACCATGGTGCTTCTCTTGGTCCCAGGATAAATGCCATGGAAATTAAAGAAAATAGTTCTAATGTCATGAAACAGCAAAGGTCACATAGGGTGAGATGATTGCTCTCATCATTATTAACATTGCTTTGCATTTAGATAGCCCCTTTCCTTTGCCAGACTCATTCTCATTCCATCCCATTGCTTAGCCTCCGAGCAGCTTGTGGAGCTCCTGATGACATCAAGGGTGATCGTGATGTGGAAGAGATACTGAGAGTCAAGAGGGCAGTAAGCAATTAATCTTTAGGCTTTATTTGCTCACTCTGATCTTCTTTTTGCAAACAACCTCCAAAAAAATGGGTTAAATAATACCCATCTAAATATAAAGTCTCTCCCGGGACTTCAGCGTTATTTGGATTTTATTAATATTTGTGTTATTAAAATACAAATTTAGTGTTTTTTAAATACAAATTTTAAAATTGTAACTGTGTGTGTGTGTGTGTGTGTGTGTGTGTGTGTGTGTGTGTGTGTTTATGGGTGTATGTGTTTATGAATATATGTCTGGAAAGTTTGGGTGTTTGTTGCCTAAGCCAGATAGTACCTAAAGTGCTAATGTGTGTAAGAAAAAATACAAACAAAACACAAATATAATTGAAAATAGAGGAGGAGACTTCCTCCCTTTTTCTGACAGCATTTACTTTAGAAAACTTGTAATTAGAAGTACTTTCTCCTCTCTTTGAAGTGTGTATTAATCCTTTTGAAAACTAGATAGGATTCTTGTAAGCTTTGTGACCCAGGAATGTCTTTCTCAAGGATCTGAGAGTCATCTCTTTGAAATGTAAACATCAAGGGAGATGGTAGCCTTATGTCCCTGTTTCTGCGCTTAGGGTAGGAGCCTAATTTTGATGTGAGCCTTGCTCCAAATTGCAAAATTACCTCCTGTCATAAAGATATGAGAAGTTACTTTTTCCTCTGGATAAAACAAATCAGCTAACACAGATGGTCACCCTACTTACCAGGTAAAGTGAGGATTCATATGTGTGACAAATGGTCCTGTCAAGTCCTCTTACTTGAGGACTAGTTATTGTCTATATTGAAAACATATGTAATGAGTTGTCTCTGCTTGGCTATATATAAGGGCGAGGTTTCTTTCTGTTTTTGTAATCTCTTACTGATTACCTGTGATGTGAATCACATTCTGGTTTAATGCTTATTTAATGATAAAAGTGTTTTTATTTCTCTACTACCTAGGCAGAGAGGATTTCTAGGTTGGGAGAAGATTTTGTTTTTAGTTATATTTCCACAACAAATAATTGTGCTTTTAATTGGAATAATTGGCTCAAGAAAATGATAGAATACACTATCAGTTGTTCTTAACCATAAATGTACATTAGATTCATCTGCAGGGTTTAAGATACAGATTCCCAAGACCACATTCAGAGATTCTAACATCACTTATTTGAGGTGAAACAAGTTGAGTCCCCACTTTTAACAACTAGCCCATATGATTTTGATACAGGTGGTCAGTAGATGCCATTGTAAACAGACTTTTTAACATGATTTTTTAAAAATTCACCATATGATAAATACTTCGTTTTCCTGTCATAGTTATTTCATGGCTCTTTAACATGCCTTATTCACCTTTACAAGTATATAACTACCACACCAGTCAGATCTTCTCTGTTGAGCAATCATTTTATTACTTGGCCTTCTTATCCATCCATAACAGGGTCATGGCTTGATCACCCTTCCCAGGCCGCCAGCGACTCTGATGAGAGCCACTGCCTCCCACTACACTGAGGGACTGAACACAATTAGCATCTCTCACCTTCTCCAACTGTGGCTTTATCTCTCCTTCTCACTTAAATCAAACAAACAACTACACTTTTCCAAGGTTAACTCCTTCATCTGTACCATTGATTGCTTCGGTATTTTCTTTTCTCATTTCATCAATTATTCTTTATTTGAATTTCCATTTTTTTAATACTCTCCCTTTACTCATGTATGCTCAGGCCTCTATAGTCCCAGGAATTGATTTCAACTCCTGCCTCAGGTTGCTCCTTTCTTTTCTTTCAATTCCTGGCTCAGGTTGCTCCTTTCTTTTTTTTTTTTTTTTTTTCCCAATCACAAAAGTTATCTAAATAGTAGTCTATTTTCATACTTTTTATTTTCCTACTCCCTACTCATTGCTTATCCATTGCACAGGGAATAAACTCTCATACAGCAATCTTCAGTTTTGATCTTTCTTCTCAGACCCAGCTCTGTATTTCCTACTACTGAATAAAAGAAACTGCCACTATATATTCTAAAAATGCCTCAAGCCCATCATTTCCAAACTTGAACTTCCTTTCTAAAACATGCAAGTGTCCTATGTTTTTTTTGTCAGTTAACAGCATCAACATCCAGTTGTTCCAGTTAAAAACATCCTTTAATCTTCTCTTTCTCTCACCTCCCAAACCAAATCAATTCTCCATTTCTGCTGAGTCTACCACAAAAATATCTCTTAATAACTGTCCCCTTGTAATGCTTCCACTGCCACTGCCTTCAGGATATTTCTCTCTGCCTCTAGTCTATTCTAACTTGATTCTATCTTACACACTTGTCCTAATGTCTCTTCCTAAAACAAAATGTGACCACATCAAACCTCTTAAAAGATATGTTTAAAAAGACTCAGTGACTCTTGATTGCATTCAAAATTAAGAGAAAACACTTTTATTACACTACATAACACATGTTCTCACCAAAATAATTGACTTGAATTTACTTAAACTTCTAGCTCTCATTGGTTTACAGGATAGACAGGAAAAAGGAGCCTGTTCAATGACACCTCAGAGTTGCAGTTGGCCAAATCCGGTGTCAGAACTCTACAAGACAAATGACCAAACTGCTCAAAGAGATAAACAGCATTTTGTAAAAGCAAAGGACAGAGGAGAACTGTTATAAAACAAAATGAAATAAAAGATATATCAACAAATACTCTATGTGAAGATTTTAGAAGCAACTTGGCTGCATTTAATGATATTAAGAAATTACTGTTGGGCTTATTAGACGTATACGTAAAGGATAATGATTTTTAAGTTCTTTTCCATCACATATAAACACCAAAGCATGAATAATGCATTTATTTTAAATATGCCAGAGATGGGAGTGGTAAGGACAAAGATCAAACAAAATTTATAAATGTTGATAATTGATAACGCTAGATAATCAATATGAGTGCTCTTTCTACTAACCTCTACTTTTGTATGTTTGAAGTTTTCCATAATAATAAATGTAAAAAAAGCTCATTTTTGATATTCAAAGCCATTAACAACTCTGCCTTAGCAAATTTTTCTTGAATTCCTTTGGTCATTCCCACCGTGACCTTCATATTTTACTAACAAACCAAGCACTTACATCCTAGGTCTAAGTTCATGAAGACATTCAGACAATTTCTGATGTGGGCTCTGTTGTAGAAATCGCACTTTATCTATGTAACTACCTACTGATTGCTCTATGCAGGTTTGCTGTTTCATAGCATGCTCCAAACACAGGAGGACTGGCAGGTTTTGAGAATGTAAACCACGGCCAAAGAGATTCCATTTGCATGGCAGACTTGGAAAATTGTTTCCAATTACCTAATATTTATTTTGTAAATGTTGAACTGTGGTTCCATTACTTTAGCTAATATAAAATGATGAATACCTAGGTAAAACCTTGAGTAACTTATCATTGAATGCAGGTTTTAGAAACCTGTGGGACATGCCCATCAATGTTGCCAAATCTCGTATTTGTCACAACGTTGATGGGTTTCTGTGAAATTCATTCTGAAGCTCACCTGTGTCCTTTGTGGTAATCATCATTTCATTGAAATAGCATTTTTTTGTATTGTACAATATTTTACAATCATTTTCTTAAGATTATTCCTAAATAAATATTAGCATTTAAGAGCAGTTCTTTAAAGTCTAAATTAATTTATGAGAAAAAAAGACACAAATTTTGAATGAAATTAGTCTCTCCCAATTTTTTACACAGTAGGCAATATTTTTCATATCTGTGAGCAGCCATTATAATAATATTAACTATGATGAACACTTTGTATGTTAATATGGATATAAATTACAGCTCCAGAAAAATGTCTTGTCATTTGCCATTTGTTAATATCCACTTAATGTAAAGAGATAGCCCCCCGTTCTCCATATATATTTAAATGACTTGCTCTTCAAATATAATCACTCTTCCAGAAACAACTAGAGAATAGATTAGGCTTACACTTACCAGGAAATCTACTGTGGAGGTTGGCATCACAGTTGTAGCCGTTGAACTGAGCAGACCCCGGAAGCACTCTAATTGTTAGAAGCAGCAGCAACCATATTTGTTCCATTGCAAAACCTGGAAAAGAGATATCTATCATGTGGACACTCCCACTTAACTCCTTCACTCCTACTTACTGGAAAAACTGAGGCTGATCTCAGCTCACTGTTGGATAAGCAGTTTACATCCATGCAGCCAAAGCTCACGAAATAACTGAGGATTATCGGTAGTAAAGGCAGATATTTGGGTTACAACATTTCAATATTGTTTTCATCATTGCCTCCTGTTGGCTAAGGGTGACAAAGCTAGATTTTCATAGTAGAAGAGCTAAGGTATAAATCATAAAGTTTACAAAAGGAAACTTCTTTATTATGCATAGGAAGAACGCAAACCAAGTATCTAGCAGATTGGAATAGCATAACTAGGCAGACTAATTTGGAGATGAGTCTACTTTTTACAATACCAACAAGTATATAGTCAGAGGAATTTAAATGTTGGATACTTGATTCTAAGAGGAATCTCAATAATCTTAATGACCAAATAACAACTTTCCCTTAACAGAAAACAGAAAAAAGTCTCCCCCAACAGAAGAATTCCAGACTACTGCAACTTTTCAAAATCAATGGTTTGTGTGTCATTTTCTTAGGAAACATAGTGATAAAGCAAAAGGAAGAACAGGAAAATACTCTGTGTGTGAACAACATTGCAGTTCCTCCCACAACTGCTCCTTGGTGGGTAGTAAGGACTGATACAGACATAAGAAAACGTTGAATTCTTAGGATAAAGTAATGGAAGATTTTTTTAAATGTATCAGTGTGGGTTGAACAGTTAAATAGAAATGGACTTTTACTTAAACACCAGTCAGTTTTGCGTTTAATAATTCTTTTTCCTGGATGCCCATTCATTGGCCTGATAGAGTTAAAACATCTTTCAGGAATACCTAACTTATTCTCAGAGCATAGTTTGTACACTGAAAAGAATCTTTTGGGTTGGTGGTCTTGGTCTACGCATAAAAAGCAAAAAGAAAATAAAATTGCAAGTGGTTTACTCAAATAATTTAGTGGATTTTAAAAGCTTGGGTTTTGGAAGGAAAATGGTGTTTTAGCTGTCCTTAAAAATCTACCCTTAGATAATTAATCAAGTCTTTAGGAAAAGGAAGGAAACACATCTTGCTTTTGAATCATCATTTCAGAATAACAAGTTTACAGTGAATAAAGTCACTTTGGTGAGGATGTGGGAAAGAAAGTCATGCTCACTCTCAAAAATCGACTGAAAAAAAATATTAATTCAGCAGGAACTTCCTTCCTTTGGCACTATCACACAGTACTCGGGCACAGATCTAAAGACTTTGGAGAGAACAGCCATATGCCTAGTTAGTTCTGATTGCCTGTGACAGTCCATAAGCAAAAGGCTCACACCAGTGGCTGACCCAGACCCTAGGAGCTCTTGGCCATACCTGCGCCATCATTATCTAGCTCCTCAAGATACTTCAACTAGAATAAGACAGTCTTGCTCTTTTGGAGTCTTTGGAAGACACTAGAAAAGAAAGAAGCCTGAATAAGCAATACACTCCACTGCACCCACATTTATTCCATGCTCCATGCTCCACCACTTCCTTCTCATGATGGGTCCCAAGAACTCCTGGAAGACATTGGAAACTCTAGACCCACACTGTTGTCCCCAACACAGAGGTGTATCCTAAGAAATTACAGAATCAGGAATTTAAGTTGGTGAGTTATTTTGTGGTTCTGAAATGCTTTCTAGCTAACATATATTTTTCACAGGAGAAAATAACATTTACTGAATGTACACTTTGCACAAAGAAGGCACTTTGTGCCAGATAACTTTCCTATAGCTGCTCATTTATATTTTTTATAATGATGGGTGAGGTTACAATTATTACTGCATGTACAGAGAAAAGAATGAGTCTCAGAAGGTTTAAATGACGTGAAAATGAAGTGGAGGAACTAGAATTCAACCCTAAGTCTTTCTGATAGTAAAGTTTGTTGAACAAGCTACCTAAATTTCATCTGTTATTAAATTTAAGATTTTCTTTATTGCCATTTATCATCAGCTGTTTTCTTTAGCTTTTTACTTTGTGTATCTTTTAATAGATCTGTTCATTTATAATGAGTAAACAATTTTGATGTAATTAATACAATTTTCTTTATAGATATATTTTATAATGGGGCATTATGAGAAATAAAATTATTTTTAAAAAAGAGACAGAGAGAATTGTTTATTTCTCATTGTGAAAACAGCAAAAAAATTATTATTGACTAAACTAGACACATTTGTGTTGGCCAAAAATAAATGAAAAACTCATGTTAATTGAAACAGCTCACTGAGAACAAGTAGTAAACTCTTAGCCTTAAAGCTTTAAATCACATCTCAGGTTGTCCCAAAAAGGCATGACACTGTCCTACTCTCCTTAACAAAACCTACAGCACTTTCATAGTGATTAATACCCTAACCATTTTTTAATGAATACGAGGTGGAAGTAGAAGGCAGCTTTCTTTAACAGAAAATATATTGATTTTTATGTTAGCAGGTATAGATTCAGATAAATCCCTTCTCAGCCATTCTGTAGATTTGTCATTTAAAAATCAAGATAATGGCCAGGCGTGGTGGCTCACGCCCGTAATCCCAGCACTCTGGGAGGCCGAGGCGGGTGGATCATGAGGTCAGGAGATCGAGATCATCCTGGCTAATACGGTGAAACACCGTCTCTAGTAAAAATACAAAAAATTAGCCGGGCGTGGTGGCGGGAGCCTGTAGTCCCAGCTACTCGGGAGGCTGAGGCAGGAGAATGGGGTGAACCCAGGAGGCGGAGCTTACAGTGAGCTGAGATCTCGCCACTGCACTCCAGCCTGGGCTACAGAGCAAGACTCCGTCTCAGAAAAAAAAAAAAAAAAAAAAATCAAGATGATGATCATAGACTTTACAAAGTATAAGTGCATAAAGTATAGTATAGTTTGGACATACAGAAGGCATTGAAAACTTAGTTTCAAGGCCACCACATATTGATGTGCAGGTCGTACCCTCCACAAGGGCATCCAATGCAGGAAAACAATGTCTAGGTCTGAACTTCTTTGGACTAGCCATGTACTCTAGAGCTAAGCTACAATACAAAGTGTCTCATGGGCTAGTGACATCCCTAATTGGTTGAATCTCTATTTGAGTTACAATGATATTTGTGCTGATCTGTGTTTTAATATTAAGGCACATTAGGCAAGGAATTTTAAAAGGACACCCATATCTCTTATAAAGGCAGTATCCCTATTTTGAATCTCTATAGTCTTGGCAGGGCTTACGACATTTTCAAGCCTTCTTTATAGTTCAACTGTAAGTTAAAACAAACTGATGAACTATTATCTTGCAAATTTCCCATCCTCAACCTTACCTTCATCATTTCCCCTGCACATGGAAAACCTGAGCATCATCTTGCCATAGCAAGCTTGGAGATGCTATTTTAGCACAGTCCCTAAATACTTTTCTGAAATTGAATTGTATGGGATTGGGGGATTATGTTAACACCCTTTACATTCCTCAAAAACATATCATCCTGGCTGCTCAGGCTCCCTAGATCTTAGGCAGGTGCAATTCCAGACATGTGTATTTTAGCTCTGATCTGGTTATAAAGGTTTAGTGGAGTTTCTTTTCAGAATGTAGAACCTGATTCTGTGGTTTACTCTGGAATAATCTAAGGTGCTTGCTGTCCCACTGTGGCTCCAGCAAACTCTTGACAGAGAATCTGAGCAGAAGCATTTTTCACCTTCTCCACCACATCTAAGTGCAGCAACCAATGTCTCTGCTTGGATTTTAATAGTGGTTTACAAGAATGCCTTGTCTAATACATCCAATAATACAAAATATTAATACCACAGTCTGAGATGATAATGGCCTTGAAGATATGTGTGCAAAAGAGTTTTGTATGTGTTTCTTATTTAGAATCTTCATAAGTTTAAATTGATGGGAATGGGGAGGAGAAGGAGGATTATAAGTAAAATGTTGAATTTTAAGAAATTCAGAAGTGTTTGTGTAAAAAAAGAGACATCTGTATCTCATAAACTGTTACTAATAGAAAAGGAAGTCATATGCTAAGTGATTTGCTGTCAAATATGTCAATATTTCTCATACTAAATTTTCTTTTTAAAATGACTTCTTCCAACATATAAATCTCTAATTTCTTTGCTTAGAATTAAATTTGGAGTCAGAAAAATATAATGCACTTTTAATTCCTCCTCAATTTTATATTAATTGGTATAGTTCTGTCACAAACATTGGTCTTTAGATTTTAATATAAAATAATCTTTGTTTAATCTTTTTATTGAGATCTGTTACTGTATGTACCAGGCACTGTGCTATGTTTAATATTCAACTAATTACATAGATTTAATTTTTACTCATGTTAAAAATGTGAAAACCAAAGCTTAAATATTTTAATTGACTCGCACAGGGTCACAGACATAGTAAATGGCAATGCAGAATTCAAAAATGAGCTTGACATTTGGAATTATTACATTATTCTCTTTGACTTGATTGGAGGTTTTCAAATAAAATTAATGTCCTACTAATTTTCAGAAAGTAAATTATATTAATAATGTATGCTTAAGATATGCTCTGAATTAAATAATTCAGATGATTGAGACAAAATATTTTTTAATATCTACATAATTTTCATGACTCTATTTCATTAGGCAGTGAGTGCATAAAGAACATTGTTCTTGGCCAGGCGCGGTGGCTCACGCCTATAATCTCAGCACTTTGGGAGGCCGAGGCGGGTGTATCACGAGGTCAGGAGATCGAGACCATCCTGGCTAACACGGTGAAACCACGTCTCTTCTAAAAAAATACAAAAAAATTAGCCGGGCGTGGTGGCGGGTGCCTTAGTCCCAGTTACTCGGGAGGCTGAGTCAGAAGAATGCCTTGAACCCGGGAGGCGGAGCTTGCAGTGAGCCGAGATCACGCCACTGCACTCCAGCCTGGGTGACAGAGCGAGACTCCGTCTCAAGACAAAAAGAAAAAGAATATTGTTCTTTTCAAAAATTGATTTAATGTAATACTTATAAGTTTTAAGAGCTGACTGTGTACCAGAGTGTTTTAAATACTTTTATATGTGTTTTCTAACTATGAGATAGGCAATTTATTCTCCCTATACTGGGGAATGAGAAAACTAAGGCACAGTAATCTGAAGTAATTTGCCCAATGCTAAGCAGACAGCCACTGTTAGAATCAGGATTCACGCCCGGAGCAATGACTACAGAAACAACCCTCAACTATTATGTGGCACCGCCTTCCAGAAAATGATGCATATAATGCTAAATCAAATGGAAATTTGGCAATTTCTTGGTAAATTTGATCAGTATTGCTTTATTCTTGTGTATACTGATCAAATAATTATTGAATGTTTATATGTGTCTGGTACTCTCCAGGGAGTGGGGGGATGCTGAGGTACAGCAATCAGAAAAATTTTTATTGCATATCTGCATAGAACTTACATTCTAACTTCTAAGTCAGAAGGAACCAAAATCTACAAGTAAAATATAGAGTATATTTGTGATAAGTGCTATGGAGATGAATAAAGCAAGAAGAATAGTAGGAAGTTCTAAGGTGGAAGGAAGAAATATTGAAGTTTTAAATAAAGTGGTCAGAGATATATAACTAACCCATATAAATGAAGCTTGCTGGGGGGAACATTGATTATGAACAACCCAGATCTATGTGTCTATAATGTATACCTCACTTGCTTTTTTTTTCTTGCCATTTAGCTACTTCTCAAATAAAATAGACTTTCCTAGTGCACAAATTACTCTTTGGGAATAACTTGGACACTTTAAAAATCTGCATTAACCTTTTCAGATGAATAAAGGTGGCTCTTAGTGCCTGAGAAAAGTAATTTATTAAATAGCACCCCTGTGACCTGAAAAAAAAAGTGAACATGTTCGAAAGTGCCTTTATCTGCTCTCAAGAAATAACTTTTGCAGAGACAAATGACCTCAACAATTTATCAAACTTTTAAATTTCCTTAATTTCATTGCCTTGATATAGGCTGATCTGTTGTTATAGTTGGAAAGAAAAATAGAAAATTCAAACTAAATATCATCTCTTCAAATGTTAAACATCAATCTGAGATTTATGCACTTTTCCCCACTAAACTAAAGCTAGTTTTTTATCATACAGATTCACAAAAATGTGAAATGAGTTCTTTGGCATCGGTGAGGCCCCAGTCCTCTAATTCTTGGCTCTCCACTGCATTTACTGAGCAGCTACTCTCCACAGGCTGCCATTCCTGTAGGGGCATGGCCTCATACCCAGTGCTTCTGCATCACTCACTCAAACCTGCTCTGCAGAAAAGATCACAACAGTTCATTAAGGTTTAAATTACTGGAAACATTAAAAGATCTCAGGAAAAAAGGAGAAAAAAATGTGTGTATTTTAACAGAGATCAAAGTTTAAGTTAAAGGATGAAACTCTACTCCAGCATTGGACAACTAATAGATCCTAGGTAAACGGGCACTAAAGCCACACAGGTAGGCAACTGTATTGCCCAGCTAAGAATCATGATGTTACACAGTCTTCTCTCCAGGAAAAGTACATATTAACTCGCCCTTCAAAATCATTATTGTTTTTTGTTTGTTTGTTTGTGAGACAGAGTTTCATTCTTGTCACCCAGGCTGGAGTGCAATGGCACAATCTGGGCTCACTGCAGCCTCTGCCTCTTGAGTTCAAGTGATTCTCCTGCCTCAGCCTCCTGAGTAGCTGGGATTACAGGCAACCGCCACCACGTCCAGCTAATTTTTGTATTTTGAATAGAGACGGGGTTTCACCATGTTGGCCAGGCTGGTTGCGAACTCCTGACCTCAGGTGATCCACACACCCCGGCCTCCCAAAATTCTGGGATTACAGGCATGAGCCATCATGCCCGGCCCTAAATCATTAGTTTTAAAGTGCTAAGGATCACAACTCCTTAATAAAGAAACATGTTCTCTGATGGGGTGTCTAGACTGAAGCTCTATATTCTTTATCTTTATCTTGCACTTGCACATTAGAGTCAACATATATATTAAAAGAAAAATGAAAATATATGACCTTCATTGGAAATATTCATTATTATGTACATATACATTCATTAATGTAGAATGTCCTTGTCTTGCTAAATAAAGAAAAAAACACACCATGTACTTTCAGAATAATGCCTCAAACAAAGAAGGAAATATGTTGAGCCAACAAGAAGACATTCAGAAATTTTATGGCTCTTAAGATGCTGATGTATACCATAAGGAAATATGAATGCTAAAGGCTGCTCCTAAGAGAAAAACCTACTCCAATTTTCTCTGACACAAAGTGAGTGTTCATTTATTTCCCTTTGCCTGCCTTCCTCATTTGTCTTTCTGTTGAGGGTTTTCTTAAGTAATCTACAGCATTTAAATGATCTACAGTGTTTAGTTTAGAACATTTATTGTACAATCTGAGTTTTGGGGGAGTAAGTGAAATGATAGGTGGAACTAAGTCACTTTAAAAGCTTTCCCTTAATAATTCACCAGGTTCCTTTTCAAGATATTTGCACATTTTATTCTTCTGAAGCAGCTTTGAAGATATGCTAGCATATTGACTTCCTTCCTCCTTTCATGAAGTGTAATCATAACAAATTAATAATAAAATAATAATTTTACTAGTTATCTTAATTGCTCATTTCCCTCCAATGAAAACTTGACTATTGGTATTATTACATCAGAATAAAAATATTTCTTTCTCAATAGAGATGATAGGCAAAATATTTATGAGAAGGCACAGCACAGGAATCAATCACAAGGGACAAAATGCCAGTATCTTTTGGCTGAATATAAACCCACTCCCCGATATTCAAATGTATGTTCATGGGTACCAACAATGAATAATGGCAATATAATTTCACATCTTTGTCAACCCTTTCCTAAGAATAAAACAGCTCTTTTTCCTATAGTACTCCTCTCTTTGAGATTTCTGTTAATTAATTATTTATTTCACATATTTTTGGTGAGCAGTTTCTAAGCATTGGACTCAAGGTCTTGGGAAGTCAGAAGTAAGCAAAACAAACATAAGCTTTACCCACACAGAGCTTATAGACTATAGACAGAGGGAGTTATTAAATTAATAATCAAGCACATTAAAAAATGTTTGCAAAATATGTTAGGAAAGTGCTATGAAAGAAAAGTAAAGCACAGTAGATCCTAATTTAGATGGCAGGTGTCAGGAAAAGACTTTCTGAGAAATGCAACAGTTGAAAAGTATTGAAGGACTGAGTCAAGTTAGTCAGATGAAGGCTGGAGCAAGGTGAACTAGGTAGCATTCATCGCATGACCACAGATCCTCAAATGTCAAAACAGTCAATACTTTGTGAAACTTTTTTGGAAGAAAGTCCATCATCCTGAGCTAGGAGGAGAGGGCCAGAAGTTGTCTCCCTGTAGGCAGCAGGGCCGGGCTACACCTTTTCTCCTAAGTGGAATGGAAAATCATTGAAGACTTTTGAATTGAGTGCTACTGTTATAATACTAGGGGTGCATTAAAGTAAACATATTTAAAATATTATTTTGAAAAGGAAATAACAGGACTTGTTGCATTCTAGGTGCAGAGTGAGTACGAAAAAGGAATCAAGAATGACTCACAAGTTACATTCTCAGAAACTAGGACTATAACAGAGTCTAATACAGCCTTGAGATGTGGAGATTCCAATTAGATATTGCATTTCTCATCTTTTTTATCTATGTATTTATCCAAACATATGTACATCTATCTATCTATCCATCCATCTATCTGTTGTGGTGGTGGTGGATACTGAGTCATTTGGAAGTTAGTTTTAGACATTTTGATCCATATTCCAGCACACATCTCAAGAATAAGGGCCTTCTCCACATAACCACAATGGCATTATCAATCGCAAGAAAGTTACAATTAATTCATAAGAGCATCCAATATCAAGTCATAGTCAAACTTTCTCAATTCATAAAAAATATATTATATAACTTTCCCCCCCAATCCAGTAAACCCTAAAAAGAGTCCAAGGAGATAATACAACTAAGTGAAAAGGATGATGTATTACATTTGGTTGTTATATTCCATTAGTCTCTTGTAATATAGAAATTCCCCCTCGTCAGATAACATTTTAAATCTGTAAGAATTCCATGGTCCTACCAGACCAGAAGAATGGGAGAAAATGCAAGATTCTGTCAAATCAGAAATAAAGTGGCATGACAAGTTATTCAAATATGTTAAGAATCAAGAAATGCAAAATTTTAATCAAATATTAAAAGCTGCATGGTTGCAGAGAGAATTGGGTAATGTGTCATTTGCATCTAAGGGATGTTAAACACTTAGATTACATGAGTTAGATGAGTTGTGTGGGCTATAACAACAATGACATGAACTTCCCTAATTTATTAAGCCCTTACATAGACTATAAATAGGATTATGTTGCATGATGGCTGCAAATAAGAATCTAGCCATAGTCCCAGCCAAAACCTTTGACTAATAAGTAATTTCAGTTAGTTTAGAAGACAAATGTGTTTCAAGTGGATAAGTATCACTTAAGCCCAGGCATATATAAGCACATGTTTAAAATAATCAACAATTAGGTAAATGTCTTAATGTTAAAGAATCTATGCGTGTTGGTTTTTTTAGCAGTTCTAATGTGTTAAAGAATTTGACCTACTTAAGTAACCGGTTAGTCTTTTTATTATGACTTAAAATGTGTAACAAGTAAACAATGGAAACTTCTTATGTAAAACTGAAATGCTACCAAGGTTTTATATACATATATATATATATACACACACACATATATATAACATATATATACATATATGTTATTTAATAAACCTAAGATTGAACAAATTTATTTTTTTAATTTTTAAGCATTAAATGCTTGAGATTTTTTAATAGCAGATAATTAAACTCCTGTAAACATATGAAACTGCCCCTACTAAAAATGTAGTATATTTGATTTCTTTTCAGTACATCAATCAAATGCTTTTGCATATAAGATGAAACATTTTTCAAAGGCCACTTAAAAATTATTATTGAATTTTTTAAGTCAGAATTTAAGTTAGAATTTAAACTTAAAATCTTGAGGAATGACTAGATTTGAGCCTAGCTATTTTATTTGAATATTAATTCTTAAAACTCTAGAATATATTTTTAAACAATTCAATTTAGGGAATCAAAAACATCATAGTGAACACAAAGAAAAGTGGTTGCTTTGCTTCAGAAGCCATGTTAGATGCAAGATTCACGTCTTTAAACCGTAAAATCATAGACTACAAGGTGAGATGCTCACACTGAGTTATATAGGAACTAAAACCAATGGAAGAAAGTCAGTTTGATATTGTCTCTCACGTTTATACAGGGTAATAAATAAAGTCATTGACCGAAACAATAGAAAGACTACACATACTATTTTTATTAATTGCACTTCCCTCTTTTTTTCTGAGACTATATAGTTGAGTTTGTTAATAAAAATGCCAGTTTGATGTGACTTTACTAATTGCATAGAATATCTGTTTCTTCCTCAAAAACTTTTTAATCAAAAGGAAGCACTTCAGCTTTATAATAATTGCATTAAAAACAGTAAAACTTACAGAAGTTAATATGGGAAACTATCTTTATGATCTAGGGGTAGTGAAAGTTTTTTAAGAAAAAAAAATGCTTTACCACCATAAGTAGTGGGCTGAGCCTGCCAACAACTTCTGGAGCCTCACGGAGATATTTGTGTCTTCATGTTGTCTGTGTATTTCATGTAACATGTCATTTATGCCACATAGTAGGGCTGACCCTTGAATAAATATAACTGTAGGTTTGGGCTCTGGTTCTCATTCTGTCACGAATTGTGTGTGTGCTCTTGGGGATGTCATATGCTGGGCCTTACTGCCAACTACTTCATATGTGAAATGAAGTATTGCCCTAGAGATAAAGTACCTATGAAACTGTGATGTTTTAACAACTGGGGGATAAAATAGTAATACACTCCCTGGGACCTGCCTTCAAATATCACCTCCTTTATCAGAATGTAGGCTTTACTATTCCAAAAGGATTTAGAGATCTTCCATTGTCTTCTTGCTTTATCCATGACAATTGAAGAGGTGGCAAGTGATGCATCCCCAAAACCCTCATATCTACCTCTGGTCATTGTATAAGAGATAAAATCAGCAAGAGATCTTACAGCCTAATCTCCATGTTGCTAAAGAAAAACATTAGCCCTTCCACTTTTGGATGATTTTGTCCTTCCTTCCAGACAAAAATGGTAAAATTAAAATTACATGAAAAAAATAAGTCGCTATTGGTGGTATACTTTTATTTTATTTCTTTTTGAGTCTACATTTTTGTTTCTCAATGGCCTTTAGGAAGCAATAATCACGAAATAAAATAGGCTGCTGGTAATTTATAATAGTACTTTATTCTGTCCAAAACACATTTTCACCCCTGTTCTCGTTAACGTTCATGATTTTTTAAAATTATTTATTGACCTGTTTGGGAGGATGTAATATTAAACTTCATGACATTACTCAGGAAGGTGTTGAAGCAAACAGAGCTGCCTTTGCTCTTTAGATCTGGAAATTGATGTCAAGTGGCTGAGTGTTTTTCTTAGATAGTTGCATTATTGCCATAAGTAATATAAAAGGACAACTAAAAACATCTCCTGAAATAATAATTTCTAAAATTTATAGCTTAGCTGCTTGTGAACAATAAAACTACATCCACAAAATATGATACTTTTGGACATGATGAAATCACATCCACAAAAGTTTTAGCCAGTTGGATCAAGTAGCATATATACTCAAAAGTATTACTTAACAATCAATATTGAAATCTAGGAGAACCTAAAATTTAAGCCCTTACATTTAAACACTTCAATTAGCACCATATTAATTGCTTCTATTTTATGGATTTCATAAAATTACTCATAGACAAATGAAGATAACCATTATACAAATCTTTACATTGGAAATTAATAATTAAAAGGAAAGAATTAAGCAAGAATTCTGAATTTTTTTTTTTTTTTTTGAGATGGAGTTTCACTCTTGTTGCCCAGGCTGGAGTGCAGTGGCACAATCTTGGCTCACTGCAACCTCTGCCTCCTGGGTTCAAGCGATTCTCCTGCCTCAGCCTGTTGACTAGCTGGGATTATAGGCATGCACCACCACACCTGGCTAATTTTTGTATTTTTAGTAGAGACAGGGTTTCACCATGTTGGCCAGGCTGGTCTCAAACTACTGACCTCAGGCGAACTACCTGCCTCAGCCTCCCAAAGTGCTGGGATTACAGGCGTGAGCCACCGCACCCGGCCCAATTCTAACTTTTAAGTAGTGGCAGTATTTCTGTTTTGAAATGGCTCTTTAAAAAATGTTCGTGTGTGTGTGTGCATGTGTGTGTGTGTGTGTGTGTGTGTGCATGTGTGTGTGTGTGTGTGTAGGAAATATGTCAAAATGTTAAAGATTATACTAATTATACTATTTCAATGTTTGTATATTTGAAATTTATCATAGTAGAAATTTAAAAACAGGTGACCTATAGATAATTTATTCTGTGGTATCTTGAATAACTCACTTTACCTCCCTTGCTATCTGTAAAATAAGGACCTACATCATCTAAGTGACTAAATAACTATAACTATAACTAAGTTATAGAACTTTGCAAAGGATATTTCATCTAGTAGGCTTAAGGCATAGAAGTAAAAATAAGACTAACTTATTTAAAGGATCAAAGTAAATGTTGTCAAGATATTGGAGAATGAAAGCATTGAAAGGAAGGAAAATTATTACTTAAGAAGTTAACACGCTTTTGTGTCCCGGATGAGATGAACATAATCTAAGAAAATTATATCCCTACCATAGTCAAAGTTGGGGATGTAAGACATAACGCTAAACACAACTTTCAGCTCCTATCTCAATAACCAAAATGTTCTTTGGGATCTGAAACACCAGGCAAGCTCTAGAAATAGCTGTGAGCCACAGTAGGCAAAGTAAGCTGTTCTAGCAATGATCTCTGTCAAAAGAAAAGTTGCTTTAGTGAGGCTGGGACCAGGGACAGGGAGGAGGTGAGCAGAAGGATGTATTATTTTGGTTGAGATTGCAGATAATGTTGCATTATAACTAATAAATCAGGATTTTTGGCAAATTTGAAC
The DNA here is from genome assembly GCF_000001405.40 of Homo sapiens. NCBI lineage: Eukaryota > Metazoa > Chordata > Mammalia > Primates > Hominidae > Homo > Homo sapiens. The sequence continues at coordinate 102,425,398 of NC_000003.12, read as the reverse complement.
ATAAACATTTACGGGCATGAAGACCCCCACCTTTTCTGTATATTATAATATATAATACATTTCATAGTATTTTGGTAAAAGTTCTATCAAGAATAGTATGAAAACCAAGATTCATCATGGCAAAACTGTCTCTACCCAAAGACTTATACAAAAGATGTCACCCAGAAATACATAACTAGTTGCCAATTGAATGACAATAGCTGTTTAGTTTGGTCTATTCCTTGGTCAGTGCCATAAAACAAAGATGAAATATAAATGAGGCTTGAAGAAGAGCAGAGATTAGGTATTTGAAAAATATAAAATAGTTGCATTTCCTCCTGTATGTAATATTTGAACTTCTAAATAAATTAGCTTTCTTCACTAAAAAGAAATCAAAGTAATGGAACAACAACAAAAAAAAAAACCCCAGCTATTTTTCAAACTACCTACACAGCCTTGGAGAGTTTTACTAATTCCTTGTTCCACAGGCCCTGCTGAAAATCATGGGTTTAGATTAGAACAATAATTTGCAACAAATAATGTGCTAGAATATTGGTTAATGAGTCAAGAGCAGCATTTTTCATGAAATAGAATAGGATTGCATAGTATAGGAGCAAATAGAAAGTATTGGAATGGAAGGGAACATCTTAGAGAGCACTGTGTATGTACTGTACTCGTAAAATGTATATGTGTTTTGTATGCATTTATAGGTGTGTATATATTAGATCACTATGTAACATATCTTACTGTGAGTCATAGTCAAAAAGTATAAAAGCTACCAGTTTAGAACAAGACAGCAACATGGTACCCATGGGCCGAATCTCCCCACCCACAGACAAGTTTTGATTGGGTTCGCAGAAGTAGCAAACAAGAGGAAATTGGCATTCCAAGACAACACTCGCAAGAACAATGTTGAGAGAAAATGTATTTCCCAAGTTCTAGGTAAAGACCCAAAGTTAGATTATAGAGTTTGATTAATTCTTCATTTGTGTGTGTCTTGGGAGGATGCTTGTTATAAATATATAGTATGGTAAGGAATTAGAGGGAATAGATATAGGACATTCATTTGTGAATGAAAGGAGAAAAATATGAAGATACCTAGAAGGAAATTTGTATCTAGAGGAAATTTTTTCACAAAGGGAAAACTTGATGGCAGAGAAAGGAAATGCAAAAAATATGTATATTCAAGAGACTGGAGAGACGAGGACAATTTATAACAATAGTGTTTTCTCTTTTGCTCATTGATGCAATGTTGTAATTAATTCATAAGGAACAAAGACTGAGCCATCGTTTCCTTTCTGTTTCCTGATGGATAAAAGAAAATCATTCCCTTACATAGAGCAGTAATTAATGACTATTTGTAAACAAAGGATTAAGACTGACATCTTTGGTTCCTTTTTACAAGGATGAATTAGCATTGGTACACAGTTTCTCCTGTAGCACTCTAGTAAGAAAACCCCCATTTCCAAAGCAGCTACCTGGAATGGAGTATGTGATCTACAGCTGAAGAGTAGAGAATGGGCTACAGGAAAAGCAAACTCCTAGCCTTTCCATGGCTAGCACGCTGCTTATTGGTCATGTTAACCAATCAATTACAGAGCTGAGCAGCACAAAATAAGACCTTTTAAGACTATGCATGCCACCATTGAAAAACTCCACGTTGAAATCTCTAGTTATCTCTCTGCTTCTTGAGGGAGACTCACCTAACTCATGAACATTAGGTGAGAAATCATAGTCGAGGTCCCTCTTGTACTGTAATAATGTCAGAAAGCTACTCTTTGAAAGTTAGTGTATGCTTAGAAAATGCAAATTTATTTTAATTTTTAATGGAAATTAGAAGGTAAATTTACTGGAGAAAAAATATTTTTAAAAATCATTATGGAGCCAAAATAAAATTGTAAGATTAATATTCTGTGTTTATAGGAGAGTTCCTTGAGTTAAGATAATATAATGGTCTGCATCCTAACTGCTAATTTGAATTACTTGAGGAGTTTTAAGAAATATGAATGTCCAAATTTCTCCTACAGTGATTCTAATAAGCTTTTGAGATTACGAACCACTGAGATAGAGGAATAAGGTTTTGCTATACTTGAGATTCCATTTCTAGTTGTCTTTTGTCATTGGTAAGCATATTTTCTTTTTCCTCACCATGACTCCAGAGCTGGAATCTGAAAACAGAACTTCCAAGAAAGGATAATGCTCCCTGATGCTACAACATGGCAGTTTAAGCCTGAAAGAGTCAGCTAATCAGCAACATAATGCATTTGTCAACCCAATGAAAATGAATTCAGTTTGTATTTCTTTGATAGAGTCCTTACAAATGAAGTGAAAAGTTTTGGACCAAAAGTAAAACAATTGTAGGGAAAAAAGGAGGGATCCTTCTTCCCACTGACAGACTTGTTCTCCCTGTGGCTCTTTCCTGATCAAATGATATAAAATTTTATGCTTTCTTAAATAACCATGACATTTCACACCAAGGTTGATGAATCCTATAAATAGACTGCCTGATCATGTCATGTCCCTGCTTGAAACCCTTTGTTAATGTCAACACCACTCAGGAGAAAGCTCCAATTCCATGACACGGCAAAACAACAACAACAACAAAAAGTTCCTATCTGCCCAATCACATGTTTCTATTCCCTATGCCCATCATATCCACTCTAGACTTGCTACAGTTCCCAAATTCAATAAGTTGTTTTATATATCCATATCTTTTCTCACTTCACTGCTTCCAGCTATAAAGCAGCTCTTCCCAAGCCCACCAACCCTCCACAAAGACATCTCTCCATTCAGCTTTTCAAAAACCTTCCCATGCTCTTCTTTCAAGACACTCTTCTATCAAAACAACCCCTTCGTGCTCATAGAATTCACTACTTCTTCTGTATTTTCCTCAGAGTCTATGCATCATTCTATAATAGCAGTTCTAAAAATGCTATGCATTTAGATCAGCATTTCTCAAAGCTGGCACTATTGATGTTTTGGGCCAGATAATTCTTTGTTGTAGGATGCCATAACAACATTGTAGGATATTTAACAGCATCCTTGGCTTCTATCCACTATATACCAGGAATAGTTCCCCACAAGTCATGACACCCCAAAATATCTTCAGACATTGCCAAATGTCTCCTAGGGGGCAAAATCACCCTTTGGAGATACAACTTTGTTCTTTCCTAGTAAACCTCTAAGCTTCATGACAGCAAGAGTATGATATTCATCTTCGTATTTAGGAGCTACTAGAGTGCAGATCCACTGCAGATTTTCAAGTAATGTTTGTTAAATGAATGATTATCTTGCTACAAAGGGGATAGTGCCATATCATCAAAATGTAGAAAATTAAGTGTGTCAACATTTAGTCCTCAAGATAATGCTTTACTGTTTAAACATTCCATTACTAATTAAACTTTTCAATTTCATCTAAACATCAATCAAACTAAAATCATCAAATCAATCTATCCATCACTAGAAATAATTTATATTTATTTTTGTATGTTTTTAATACAAAAGAAAATGGGACTTGGGGGTCTAGAAATTGATTTGAAATTATACCTAGATATATAAAACTCACAATAAAAATTGCTTGAATTTAGTGAGTTCATTGGTTCAGTTTTTTTTTAAGTCTCACTAGTATTTTTATGTTCTGTAACTAGCTTTAATTAATTGGTTCACTTTCTAAAACAAGGTTCAGCTGTACTTTTTATGCCCTGTAATTAACTTTGATTTTTATAAACTAAAAAAAGCAAAACAATACAATCTTTTACCAAGTCTCCTTTTCACTTCACTGACAGTGATGGCACACATTTTAATAGAATTGATAAATAATTTTAGAAAATAGAAATATATTACCTTCATTTTAAATATTTATTCAAGAGATTTCTAATTAGAATTTCTCTGCCAGAATTCAAATACATGAGCACAAATACATAATACACAAATGCACCAAAGTTTTTAAATGTGTGTACCTATGGATAACAATTTTAAATCTCTAAAAGATGAGTAGTTTTTAAAAATTATTCAATTATTATAACTTATTACATGAAAATCATGATAAATTACATTTGAAATAGAAAAGTTGGTCACAAATTATTTCCAATTCCACAATATTTATTATATAAAGAAAAATGATTTAATTTCAAAGTACAACTCATGTAATATAAACAAGATTTATATTCTGTCATGTAATGATGGTGTGTTCAACTGAGAGATAGTGTAGTTGTAACTCTGGCTTTTCTCAGATAAGCACATATGAGCAAATATAATACTTTAAATTCTAATAGATGACAATAAGCGGTCTTCAGTCTCTCTTACTTTTTGAATGGTTAAATTTTAGATTCAAGAACTTACAATGTTAGTGAAAGGTTCAAGTTAATCTCATTTTATAGAGAATCCTAACTTTACAAACAAAGCCATTGACATTTTCATTTGGCCTTAGGTGACTTTTATCAAACTAAATATACTTTTTGAATTTAGCATCTGTATTTTTCACAGATACAGCAGTAGAAATAACAAAATTATTATATTAGTATAACTTTACTCTTCTTGTGGCTTAGCCACTTTAAAATATTTTGGTTTCATAATTTTTAAAATATTTTTGTCACTTTCCAAGAACAAATCCATAAAGCTCCATGTACAAAATTTGTTTTTTAAATATATTTCTTCATGTTCTAGGATATCTTATTGTGAGTTCCAGAAAATTAAAATGTAAACCAAGGGATTGGTAAACTACAGCCGGCAAGCCAAATTCTGCCAATCACCTATTTTTGTATGGTCCACGTGCTAAAAATAGTTTTCACATTTTTCAAATGGTTGAAAAAAAATCAAAGGAAGAATAACCTTGCGTGAAAAGTGAAAATTATAGGAAATTCAAAGTATAGTATCTATAAATGAAATGTTATTTTAACCCAGCTTATCTGTGTTCAAATTTTCTTTGGCTGCTTTTGAGATACAGTGACGTATTTTAGTAATTATAACAGAGACCAACAAAAACTAAGATATTTGTGATCTGGCCCTTTACGGAAAAGTTTGCTCACCCTGCTATAAACAATTAGAATATGACTATAAACCACAAAACATATAAATCTGGGGGACAGGACACAATGTATTTCTAAGGAAATTCAGCAAATATTGTCTTTCAGTACTTTCTCATTAATATATTTTTCTGCAAGCCTTGACAAAGGCCATTTTCCATTAGCAATAAAAAACCATGTTCATTCAAACTGGTGGAATTGATCAGCTGCTTTTTTAAGGTGTACCTTTCTTTGCCTCATCATTGAGGTCTTGAGAGTTTGAAATTCCTATAATTTCCCACTTGAAATCAACTTAGACATCTAATAATAATCAGCAGTGACTCTGAATCTGTAATACTCAGTCTAGTGCTTTATCATATCTTGGTAAAGCTGTTGTGTCTGGCTTCCAGCTACACCATTTTACAATGAAGACAAACACAGCAAACCAGATCAAGCTTAATTAATAGCCTTGACCTACTTTACATTCCAGCTTAAATACAGAAAAAAAAAAAGGACAAATTTGGTAAATTAACCAAAAAAAAAAAAATGAGTTCCTTGCAAGCAAACATTTCTAATAGGTACTTAAATGAGACAAAAGATTATCATTCTCTACTCATGAACTTAAAGTTATTCAAGCTATTGAAAAAGCTATGAAAACATGTATCTTTAGTCATTTACTGTTTGATATCATAACTGAATAGATTACAATATGAGCATCTGCTCACAGTTCAGTGGTTCAAAAGTTACGTTTAGAAAGAGATTCCTTGCAAAAAAAAAAAAATCAGTCGTTTATTACCTCTGCATTATTATAGGCCCTTTTAAGGGGAAAAGAAGCTTTAAATGTCTTGAAAGAAATGTAGAATTTTCCCTTAGTTCCCAGAATCATGAAAAACAAGAGAGAGAGAAACAAAGAAATGTAGAATTTGTTGTAATGTCTACCATGATCTTGTTACTATGTTATGAGGCTATTAACAATAATGATAACTTTTTTTGAGGATGTTTCTGAAAATCTCTAAAACAAAAATATATACAACACATTTTTAGATTTTTATATTTAGCTAAGTATTATAATAGTAAAGAAAAATAAAAACTTACATAGGGAAACTTAAAAATACAAAACTAGGCACAATTATTCAAATGAAAGTTCTGAAATGTGTCACATGAGAGAAAGCTAGTGACTGAAAAATGAAATAATAGAGATTTTCAATTATGTATTAAGATAAATATTAGATGTTTAACTAAATTCAACCTCTTTGTTGTTGCTACCTAATTTATTTAAACTGACAGTTTAGAACTGTTTCTGATTTTCCTTTTTATTTGACCCTTAAAGTGAATTATAAGAATCCAATTCAAAGGAGCAAAATGAATAATGTCATAACCCTGAAAACCAAAAAGATTATTATCTCAAATACATGAACATAGTCTCTTCCTTAACACCAAAAAGTAACTGGCTTCACCAAAGGCAAAATAGAAGAAGCCATTAGAATGGAAGGAAACTTAGAGATCACCCAAGAAATGGAAATCACAGTGTTTCCCCTTATTCACAGATAACTTCTCCCAGGTTATGGGAGATTCTGTGTCAATTTTAACAATACTAGGCCAATCATTAGAATAATTTTTATTTAAAAGAAAATCACACCATAATTATTTTCAATTATCATATCATCATTGTAATTAGAGATGATGCCACACATATCTAGCCAGCTTCTCTGGTGCAATAGAACCCTGATAAGAAATCTAAAATATACACTGTTTGCTTCCATTCATGAAGCATCTGTGAGCTGTAGCCGGCTGGCAAAGTCTGTGGCTGGAATTCATGTCTGAAGCACAACGATGTGGCAAATCCTGCACAACTTTTGACCTCAAGTCTGAACCTCAAGATTGAAGAAACTGCCAAAAGACTCGGTCCTTTCTCCAAATATAATAAAAATATTTGGGATAAATTGAAGTTTACAAAATACAATTTTGTTTCTATCTTCCTGCACCCAAGTAGGGGAAGATGTTTTTAACCTCCTTTTGCTATATTTAAGATACTTCCCAGGCCAAACATTACCCATCACTGGAACCACAACAACAACTACAGGAGTTTTGCGGGAGGTTGTCTTGTGTGTTAAAAAGAAAACATTATTAAATTAAACTGAGTCTTCCATGCTTAGTAAAAAGGCAGCATTTTTAGTCACTTCAGGTGGCTTCAGTGCTGGGCACTTACCCAAATCCCTGGTTCTGTGGAGTCAGCTGTCCTCCATGTGCTAGGTTCTGCCGCATGTGACTGAGTGTTCAAATGCCTGACCTTACCAAACTTTTTCAGAAAAGAGTCAAGGCTTCAAATGAGAGAAGAGCTGCTCTTTTTGAAATGTCTTTAAAAAAAAAAGAAAGAAAAAACTGAATTTTAGACAAGCAAATGCTTCCACAGGTCTCACAAGGTTTTACAAAACTAATCATCACCACCATGAAATCTGAGCTCATCTTTTAGGGACCTTTGTTTCCTTCTATTTCTCTTTGTTTTCATTTCATTCCCTTTCTCTTTTTTTCCCCTACCTGCGTTTGATCTTGTATTTTATACTGTACAGATGTCGTGAGTGGTATATGTGAAGTGAGCTATCATCAGCCTGATGAGGGAAAGCCTGCTGGAAAAAAAATCATAAAGTAAGAAACAAGGCCTGGGATTGGAAGGGGAGCTAATCTGCACAGTTATCAATGTCCTGTTGTGCTTCGTGAAAGATGCCGGGCCCTTTCAATACTACATTTCATGCAGTGATGAAAACGGGATATGGAATATCACCGTGAAAACTTGTTTGATTGGAATAATAATAACTAAGAGGCTGACAATGCAAGCAAACCCAACAGGACCCAATTGTCAAGAGGAAGCTAGACACTGAAACTGCTTCATAACCTCGGCTTTTGTTTAGGGGCCTCCAAGCACCTCCCACCTCCACCAGCCTTTGGAGCCTGGGACCCAATTTGGAAGTCATCTAAGCATTCCACTCCATAAGCTATTATGATTCCTCTTTGGAAAGAAGAGTGGGAACCTGCGACACAGGCACCACAGCGAACACTTTTCAAGATGTTTTGGCCGTAGTGAAGTAGTGAAATACTTTGCTACTATTTTAGTACTGAAATGCACTACTGTGCTTAGGGATAACTGTGTGGAAGATTGAAGCCTTTTGTATTGATTTATATTACTCCGTCTGCCATTTAATAATGATGGCTACCCTGAAAAAAGCACATTGCGCTAACGGTAATTCCACTGGCCTACACCTTTATAAGATTTCATTTTATTCTATTGGCTCAGGGTACTTTAACAACATTTACGTTCTCAATTACCTCTGGGATAGAGGCAAGTTGCCTATGGTTACTGCGAACTGAGATTAAAATCTAAGAGTTCGGCCTCTTAAAATTTCTAGTCAACCCCCTGGACCAAACTCTTTCCCTAAATGGTAAGTGATTTTAAATCTAATGTAACCACTAAAAATATAATAGCCAGAAGCAATTCACATTGCCTTCTATCTTCTGTTTAGTGTTGAGTGAGAGCTTGGTACTTTCTACACCAAACAAATCCAGGCTCATATTCTGCAGGGAAGTGTCAGCTTCACGAAAAAGCATATTTATAATACTATTCTACCCACGAATAGTGAAGTGCATGAGTCCACTGATTTTTCAAATACCTTTAATATAATCTGTCTTGTATTTGAGGGGGTTAAGCACTCATTAAAAACATAAATCATTAATGTATCAAATTATTGCATGTACCCCCAAATATGTACATTTATTATGTATCAATAATAGATAAGTAATTTAAGTGATCATGATAAACTTTTTTTAGGTCTTCCTAATTATGTTGACAGTAACTGCAACTTTTTCTCATTCTCCAGAGACTCATGTGTGTTTTACTCTATAATGAAGCATCAAGCTAGATGTTTTCAAGCAATGTTTCAGGTTTCGCTTTGAACGCATATCCATCATGTCTTCTACTATTTTAAAATTTAAAATGAAAATGCAACAGGTTCAAGTAGGAATTAATAAATTCTGTCATTTATAGAAAAAATCAGTAGCTCTGTCCTATAAGAAAATGAGCATTTCATAAATATTGAATACCACTACCCATATACCCTACAAGTTGGTTAGCTAAAAAGACAGTAGTAATTCCATTACAGGCTTTCAGCAAGGAAAATATAAAATAGTTGAGATAAAGTAGCTGACATTATTTGTTACTATTTTGCTTTTAAAATGTGATGAACAACAATGTCATACATCCCACAAAATTTCAAAGGAAATTTTACCAGTTATTGGAAAACATTGAGCCCCTTATCAGGGAGATTTCTTGTCTTACAAGCTGGGTGACTTGGCTGAATATTTGATTAGTTGTACAAGTAGCATATGCTTCTATCAGGGAATAATTTTAGGCATATAAAATATTCATCAGTATCTGATAGCACCAGAAGTGGAAAGCTGAGGAGTTATCCTGTGCAGAAAAGGACTTAATGTTTCATAATCAGAGAAAAGTGACCAGTGCCCTTTAGTTCCTAAAGAAGGTTGAATTTAGATTAAGGCAGTCTGACTGGTAACTATTTCTTCAAACTAAATGGTTCATTCCTGTCATCCTTTAAAAGTCATATAACTAAACTCTCAATGACTGAATTACTCCAGTTAGAAAATGAAAGTAAAAAGCCCTCCTTGTCACAGGGAGCTGTAAATTAAGCATCGTTAGTAAGTCAGTACTTTAGGATCTTGCTTATGGGAGAATTATGTCCTTTATATTATTCAGTATAAGCACCTTTTCAATATGGGAAAAGCAGATTACATTTTTTCTTTAAAGCAAAGTTTTAGCTTCACGCTAAAACATTTCATTATAAAACAAACATAAGAAATTTTTATCTCTAAACCCCTATGCTTCATGAAGTTTGTAGCATCCATCCAAATGTTTGGCCTCATTTTCAGAGCTCCTTTTTTTGCTTTACAATGGGCCTAAACTCAGCAACATAAATACATATGTACATTGATTTTTCACTTGGATTGAAATAATCAGTTAATCCAGCAGCCAGAAAATAGTTTTGAACATCAGAGATCTCACCCTCATCCCCCACCCTGGCCCAGATCACTTTACCTTTTATTTTTAACTAGTATGTTGGTATCTCATAGACACAGTGTAATGGCTTTCTTACTGCAGAGCTAAATTATAGGAGAGCTATAGGCTTTTCAGTTACTTACAAAATGAGTTGTAGTCGAGATACTCTTATTATACACAAATAAATTGGCTCTATGTCCTAATGGGATTTCAGGCCACATAGCATTGTAGACGAATTATAAGAACAGACTCAGCCACACTTGAAAGAAGGCCCAAACAAGCTTCATACATAAGTACAATCGATTTCCCAGCTCAACAAGTAATTTACCCAAATATTTCTAATCTCAGGAGTCTAAAAGCTGAATAAATTAGCCTTACTTTTGATCAGCATGAATTGTTAGTTGATAAGTTAGCAAGCAGCTATGAGGCTAAAGTTTTATTGTATTGTACATATTATTTTACCACAAAAAGAGAAAATGTTATTTTGAAAATGCTGAATTTATTACTTTAAGACCATTACTGGAAATACTGATATATTGTTCATATATGGCATGATACTTAAACATCTGTTTGTTTTTTTTGGGTATTTTCAAATAATTCCCCTTATATATAAGATTTACTGATACATTCTCGATGGTTTCAATGAAGAATTAATGGTGAATACAGTATTTATTGTACTATAATTTCTTCGCAGTTATTTATTTACACATGATCAATTCCAGGAACTAGCTTTACTAGGTAACTGATATTGAATAACTTTAAGAAAGCTTTTAAATCATCCCCAGATTTGTAAGGCATTTCCTTATTTCTTGGATTACTTAAGCTTACTTATTTCTGGAAATGCCTAATCAAAGCATTAAATTTAAAATAATTGTAAATTGGAGTGCTGATGGCTATTAAAGCGCAATTACTGTATCAGCTCACCAATACTGTCCTATTTGACAATAAAAGCACTGAAATTGTGGTTTGTATTTCCAGCAAATCTTTGTTGAAAGCCACAAACTGGATAATGGTAGGAAAAATTGTTCTAATCATATTTCTATTGTCATAGATAGTGCTATTCCTTTTAAAACCAACAATTCTAAGCAACATGCAAGCTAGAAATAGGCTACTGCTATACTTTCAATACACATTATAGAATTGTGGGAGTTTGTCCTGAACCCAGTAGTTAAATTGAGAATCCCTTCTTCTCTAGAACAGGAAACAAACTTCAAGGACCACCAAGGCTGGAAGGTGATATAAATAAGTGATAAGAGCCACCTGGTGAATGGGCATGTGAACACATTCAGCAAGTAACAGGAATCATGTCCAACTGGAAAGCACACAGCTCGCCTCCTCTCCTCAAGGCAGCAATGGTTGGCTACACTCTTCCAGAAGATTACTGACATCCAGGAATACATTATCCAACATTGCCAGAAACTTCATTTTTTTTACAAAAAAAAAGCAATCAAGGTTTTTATTTGAAATCACCCAAATTTTATATGAATTTTATATTGAAATCACCCAAATTTTATATGCTGCTCATGTTTTTTAATCATTTGCACATATTTGGACTGGATTAAACCTTTGAGCTTCCAGTTTTCCACCTTATCTAGAAGTCTGACAAGTCAATAATATGTTCTTACTATGGGATCATTTTCTACTAAAATCTCATTGCTTTTGGACAGCACTACCCAGCTGGTCAGTACTGGCATTCTCCTGAGTTAAAGAGTAGGTTTTGTATGCCCATTTATAGGGAATGTCCATTGGGCCCAGCATCAAAGTTGCATGTATATATTTTCAGCATATAAAAAGCACCATATACTTAATTTTTGTTTCAGGATAGTCATTGTCTAACAGATTTTATAAAACCATTGTCCATAAAGGAGTTTTCTAAAAAATTAAAATACAGACTTTTCATAAGAAAGAAAAATCATTTAATAATGTAAAATAAGCACTACCCTATTGATAAGTAGCAATGAGGCTACTAAATAAATATGAATAAGTTTCCAACACAAATAATTAACTTTTCAAATTGATTTGGAGAAAGTGTCTATGACCATCTTAAGATCATTGCCTGCACTGTGAACCCACTCCCAGAAACAAACACAACATGGTCTTAGTAATTTAATTTTACTGTTAAAAAAATAGTCTTTTTAAAAATTTTATGACTTAGTGTGAACTGTAGAATGACATTTAATTTTAATCATTAATTAATATTTATTTGTTTGTTTCTATATATATTCTTGATAAAAACTAAGTGTAATACACACCAAAGGACAGATGACTGAGGTGTAGTCTAGCAGAAGTCAAACCAGTTTCTATTCTAGCTCTGCATAGCCATGTAAAATCATTATAGGCTTCAAATTTTTCAAATGTCAAATAAAATTCATAGAATTATTTCAAAAATCATTTGAATAATGATAGCGGCCATATAATTAATCCAATACGCCCTCAATGCTTGAATCTCTTCTAACCATTCATGTACATAGTCTTATAGTGTCTCTCCCTCTCTTGCACACACACACACTCATATATATACACATATGTGTGTATATATAGGGATATATACATATGTCCCTGTCAAATGAAACCAGTCAATCTGTGCTTGTAAACCTGCTACAGAGCTCACAGTTCTTGATAAGGGGTAGTCCATTTTATCTTTGGAGCAACTATGACTATCAGCAAATTCATCCTTATGTTGAAGTAAACTCTATCTTTCTGTTATAGTTACTTATTCTTCCTCCTTGGAACAATACAAATTATGTGTGACAGCACTATATATTTCAATACAGTAAACTGAATACAGCTAATACATCATCTCCAAGTTTTCCATTTTTCAGGCAAAACAACTTAAGTTCCTTCAATCATTCTTATAATAGGTTAAATCCTCCCTAATATCATGTTCACTTCTAAATACCCTACAGCTAGTGTAGCAGCATCCTCTTCTCTATGTCTGGTTCTAGAATCAAATATAATCCTCTAGGTGGGAGTTAGTGAGCACACTGCACAGAATTGAAAAGAACTACTACTTAAGTATTCCAGATCCTATGCCTCCCAAAACATATTTTTGTTAAGCAAGTATGACGATTAATTTTATGTGTCAACTTGGCTAGGCTATAATGCCCAGCTGTTTGTTCAAACACCAATCTAGATGTTGCTATGAAGATGGTTTTTAGATATGATTGTTATTTACAATCAGTAGACTTTGAGTGAAGCAGATTGCCCTCCATTATGTAAATAGGCCTCATCCAATGTGAACGCCTTAAGAATAAAGACAGAGGTTTCCCAAGAAAGAAGCAATTCTGCAACATAGAAGCCCTACCTGAGGTTCCCACCTGCTGCAATTTCAAGCTCAGGAATACATCAACCCCTCACTGGATTTCTAGCCTGCCAGTCCGCCCTACAGATTTTGGACTTCCCCACAATTGCATAAGCCAATTTCTTTCTTAAAACATTCCCTAGATAGATATATAAATTGATAGAGAGACATTAAGACATTGAGATCGACAGAGATATACCCTATTGGTTCTGTTTTTCTGGAGAATCCTGACCAATACAGCAAGCCAGTTTTATACATGCTGCTGCTAAACTCCATCTCTCCTATCCTATAATTAATTTTATTTTTAGTTTTTATTTGTCCATACCCAAAATGAAAGAAATTATATTTATTCACAATAAACTTCATTCTATTTGAGTTGACTCATTATTCTTGGGGGAAGGATTCTTTTGGAGACCTAAATCTGGTCTCCCACGTATTCACTATCTGTCCAGCTTTATCTCAAATACAGATGATAGAATCATACTTGCTTCACCAAGCCCAGTTCCAGAAGTTCAATCCATATAAGAGTTACCTCTGTAAGAAAATAGTTTAACACCAGCAATAACCAATGTGAGTGTTATTCTTGTTTTTCCAAAGCATAAATAACTATTTTTAAATCACACTAGAAAAATTATAAAGCTCAAATTTAGTAATACAGTTTATTCCTACCCAGCTTACTAAATTTTCAGAAGAGATCATACCCTTTGAATGAATAATCCCAAATAAGTATTGAATTGAGCCTGTGTACCCCAAGGGGATTTAGACCATCTGCTAATTTTGCTGGGCAAAGGGTTTTTTGGTACAGTTTTACATACTTTCAGCTTTGGAAAAATAGAATCCAATTTGCCTCCAGCTCTCATCTTTTTTTCCCACAGTTAAATACTTTGTCTATTTAAAACAAACTTTTGAAACCACTTCGTGTTATTTAAAACCCAATGTATTTCTTCCCCACAATGAACACAGCTGGGGATATTAAGGCCACTAAAAGACTATTTTGCAAGCAGACACAATTCTTTCTTAGAAACTGGTGTCCTTTAAAAATTATTTCCTGAAACATTTTTAACCTTTACATAAACAATTATTAGGTCAAATAATATTTTTATTTGGTCCAATAAATATTTTGGAAGGTGAACAATATTACATTTTGAAGCATGACACAAATCTGTTGGAATTTTTATCTGACCACCATTCCCATCTCCCTACCCTCTCTGTGAACACAGGCATGTGTAGCAAGCCTTTCATGAACAAGAAATCCATTCAAGATTTGGATTCCTGGGCCAGTTCTCAGTCAGCAGGTTTCCTATGCACTTGTAGGTGCCAAACAGCAACTCTCCTGTTTCTCCAAAAGAATTCTTAATAGAGGGGGGAATAAACTTTAAATGGCTTCCTGATTTCACCATTTCTAAAGACCAATGTTAGGTTGCTGAAAGACTACCTCATTTGTGCCTTCAGGTGTCTAACAAGCTTTAGAACAGAGTAAATGATGTAATGATTTTTTTCTTTCTTTTTTGGTGGAATAAATATTAGAGTAGCTAGCAATCTGTTGCATTTTTGTGCATATAAATTTTTGAGCAATGTTTTTTTGAAAACAGCACTTCTATGGTGTTCTAGTTTTCAGAATTTCAGGCTTTCATGAGAAATTAAAGATTAACATTATAGTAATTCTAATAATAATCTGTGTAGTAATAGAAAAACAAAAGTAAAGTAATGCATGTGTTTGCCCCATACTGATTCTGAACTCCACTCCAAGCAAATATTTGCTCATTATCTGAATACAAAAAGTAAAATGTCCTCAGGGTGGGAGTGCATCCATAAACTCCTAGTCTACAGATGTGAAAAGCCAGTTTGCAGCAATAGTTCCACATATTCATGTCCAATCAGATCAATATGCAATCAAGATGAAAAAGGAAATAAAATTCACACTGAAAGGAAGACTCTCCAATTGATCAAATATGAAATTAAAACAGGAGGTAAAACACTAAAACTATTACTTTTATGAATATGATCAGTAGTCTGGAAAATGAGTTTCATACAGATATAATGACCCCTCAAGAATAATTTGTGCAAAACCTAATCAATGTTGTTAGCCTTGTGTAAATCATGCCTCTTGGTTATGATTTCTTCTCCTAAAGAATGTCCATTATCCCCTATGCTTTCTGAGGCACAAGACTACCAAATAGCCACACTTGAACCATGTGATCCTGCAAGTTTATTTGTGAAGATTTATTTGACTTCGATCCACAGTGGAGCTCTAACCTTGAAATCAAGGTAAGGCATTACTAAAATAAACAGCTTTATGGAAGTCAGCTTTTAATCACTGTTTCAGCAAAAAATGGAAACTCCATAGGTAATTGTGTTTACTGATATTCATCCTAAGGAATTTTCCTTCTTTTCAGAGGAGGTGTTCCTTCCTCAAGTTTTAAGAAATATAAGCCAAAAGGATTTAGAAGGATTTGGAAACAAATACTCCATATAATCTGAAATTAAGGAATTAGATTATATCTTTGATAGTTTAACATGTTTTTAACATAATTTTATTTTGTATAATTCCTACATTACACAGGAAATATTCTGGGCAGTGATATGTGTGGGTATGTGCTATGGTTTGAATGTCTCCTCCAAAACCCATGTTGAAATTTAATTGCCACTGTAACAGTATTAAGAGGTGGTGTTTATCAGAGGTGACCAAGCCATGAGGGATCTGCCCTCATAAATAGATTAATGCCATTATCTCGAGAACAAGGAGTGTCCTCCTACACTTTATCTTAGCCAAATGGTGGAAAAACGATGGAGTACTCTCCTGATAAACACATAAATCTGACCCCTATTTTTCTCTCTGTCTCTTGCACCTGCTCTTCCTCACCATGTGATTGTCCTTCTGCCATGTTATGATGCAGCCAGAAGGCCTTCACCAGATATGACTCCTTGATCTTGAACTTTCCAGCCTCCAGAATGATAAGCCAAGTAAACTCCTATTGTGTATAAATTGACCTGTCTGCCATATTCTGTTGTAGCAGCAGAAAACAAAGACAGTATGTTTTTGTCAACATTTGTGTATTCTGTTTATTGAGGATCTCAGGGTCCATTGTACTAGATATCTGGTTAATAAAATATTTTAAGAATCAAGTATGTTTCCTCAAGCTCACTATGCTATCACATTTGTTTGTTTAGATTATTATTATACTTCCAGACTGATTTAAAGGATCTTATAAATAAGAAGAGTAGATATAATAAAGGTTTTGTGACAAATTTAAAGGACAAACGTCAAACAGTGAAAAGGGGATTTAGTGTATAAGAGTGTATAAGGGACCATTGACTAAGATATGAACAGTGTTTTTAATAGCAACTCACAGAAAACAAAGAACACAGCCATTCTTTTTTTAGACTGTTTCTTATCATTGCTTCTTTAAAAAAAAAGTTGAGAAGCAAAGTTAAATTGCAAGAAATCTCTCTTTCCTGTAAGTCTCTAGATGGTCTGCTGATAATTTTTCTTTCTTTCATTCTCAGTTTCTGCAGAAATCATCCCTGTGCTAGACATTTTTAAGTGCCCTCCTAATATCTATTCGCTAAATTTTTCTTTCTAATAGAATAGAAATTAACTTAATGGCTAATGTTTCTGTTTGAAAATACTTAGCTTTCCACAATCCCATGAATCTGAGGATGGGCGTGTGATCCAGTTCTGACAAATAAGTGTAAATGGCAACTACAGGGTTGGGCTTTTCAGTGTTACTGTCTTCCTGAGAAATGGAGCAAACCTACTCAGTGTATCTTTTGCCCTTCATTTTTTCCCTTTTTCTCCTTCTAGAATTGAAACATAAGGTCTAGAAGGGTAATAGGTTTTTTGTGCTTGTGAGCATGAGGAAAACAACATTGGTGTAAGGATGGCAAAACTAAAAGCTAGAGGGCATCTGGGACATCGATGTGATCATATCACCATAACAACCCTGGACTTTCTGCCTGCAGACTATTACATAAAGAATAAGATAAAATAATAACATAAAGCACTTTCTTTAAGTTTCTGTGACATACAGCAAAAAACAAACTTAATTCTTGAACTTCCTTTATGTGTCCCAGTCCCAGTCTGGTTTAGGTGCTCCTCCTTGCCTCTGTGACATTTCATACAAACCCAGTATATTTAGAGTGGCACCTGAGCCTCATTGCATCGTGCTGAAAGGTGGATACTGGAGGATAGGAAAAACAGCATTTTATTATTTGCTATAAATAAATAATCATAACTCTGCTCTGTTCCAGAACCCTTATGTTGGCATTCAGGACAATAAACACAGTATTAAAAACGATGTCTCTCTTATTTTTCATAGCTCTGATCATTGCCTGATGGTACTGGGTATCTGTGTCACTCTGTGGCAGTCCATGAGTACAGAGCCATGACTGTGTTCATGACTACTGCCTAAAAGAGTTTCTAGTAAATAGCAAAATATCAATAAATACTAGTCAAATATATAAATTAATCAATCATTGAAATGAAATTTTTTGAGAACTGAATATTGTAGCTTTCTACTGATTTAATTTAAAGCAGAGAATAGATTGTAAATTTTAAAAAATTGATTGTTTATCCCAGTGGACTCATAAAGGATGGCATATGTGTGTATATATATATATATATATATATATATATATATATATATATATATATATATTTGAAAATCAAGGCTTCTATAAATACCTGAAATAAAAATTTTAAATGACTTACCTATTAGTTATAGAGTTGGTGAGATTTGAGATTTATTTTATATAAATATTGAATAACTTATCTGTATTCCTACCCAGCTGCAAAACAATAGAGTTGGGAAGAATGAAGACTTTTCAGCAATTTTAGTTCTTTCCAAGGTATGTTCAATAATGCAGTTAAACCCCTGGAGCACAGCTTCATCCATTAACTAAAAAACAACTTTAAGAGTATGCTTTAATAATTTTCAATCTCTAACATGTGAGTGCTGAGAAAAACTTAAATTTGAGGAGAATCACACCTTAATGGCATTTCAAGATGAGCTACTCCCACAGAACCTGCAGAATAAACTTGTTAAGCATCATCCACTTGGATATGTAATCACAACTTCAAAAATGATAACTTTCATTTTGTTGAAGTTGATATTGAGCTCTTACTTCTGATAACATTTGCACGATATGTTCAAGCTGACCACCTCATTGTATAAATAAAAGAAACATGTTGACACCATAAATAATTGGAAAATGCAATTCTGAACGATTTCACTCAAAGAGAAAGATAGGCTCTGAATTACAGCAGTGGATTAGAGGATGGCTAGAGGTAGTCATTCTTTTTAAAACATTTTAAACTGTGGTTTAGAATAAAAATCATTCATTTTTTAAGAACTTCTGAATGTAGCAGGTATTTTTAAAGTTCTAACATAAGAAATTAGTAAAAATTACCTAGAATTTGAGGAGAAAGTAAGCAAAATATAAACTTCTACAAGTGAAGTTAACCATAATCGATATATTTGATCAACCATTTAGAGAAGTGTCCATCCTAAAAACTTGTATATAAATGTCTTGGTACTGAGGATAAGGGTGTATAGACAAATTCCACAGAGGAAAGGACCCCAAAACTATAAGCAATAGAAGATCAATTACATATCTAAAGTTGCAATACCCAAGGTCTTCAGAAGGGTGAAATCCTGGTAAACAAGAGTTGAGAATTACATATTGCAATTACAGGTTGAGATGAGGGTAACTTGTGTAGTTGTGTGTCAAGCTTATGCCATAGAAAAGGGTGCCCTTCTAGGTTTAGAAACCTAGCCTTCTCAGCAGGTTTATTTCTATAGTGAAGAAGGATGCACAGCAATCTATTAGCATGGTTTCAAAGTTAATTTAGACTTTTCTCTGAGTTTTCTGAGAATTATCTGATTTTCCAAATGGACATCTCTTCTGTGAAGAGATCCTTAGTGTACAACTGTATGACTGCCATGCCTGGTCATATTAATTATAAAAGCAATATATTTTGAAAGCAAGCGTTTCTGTCAGATCCCATCACAGACTTACATTTCCAAAGACAGTTAATTGTCATTGATTAGTATTATATAATTAAATAAAAACAAAATAGCTTTTAAGTGATGTAGAATAGAGAATTTTAGAGCTGGGAGGAATCTCGGGAAGCATACAGCCCAACTCTTTCACTTAACAAAGAGAAAACCAAGGCCCAAACGGGCGAAAGATCCAAGGTCACCGGCTGGTTAGCCCAAGGGCAAGAAATGGAGCCAAAACCATCTCACCCCCAATCCAGGCCTCTTTTAAAGAAATTGAACAGGACAAAGAAGAATAAATTTTCTTTTACCAATGATTCAGACATTTAAAAAAATCAGAATTAGAAACAACTGGTCTATCTGGTTATAGCTGACACTGATGGAACATGCTAGTATAAGTTTAGAAGATAATTTGGCACCACAATGAGTAAGCAGTTACCACTTTGATGGTCTCATTTAACACACTTTACATTCATGCATTTGAATTCAAAGCCACCTGGAAGAGGTGGACCTGTTCCTCCCAAATTTTAGGTTCTTGTTCCTTATACCACATGACCTCAAGCCTTCTGTTAGTTATCTTGCTTTCCTTTCTGCTATTGATAGTCAACATGTCTATCTGATTTAAATGAAATATTTAAGCAACTAAAACATTCTACTTTTATGAGGCATAGATTTGGAACAATAAAAATTGAGAAATCACCCTTCTCTTTAGATTCTTAGGTAAGTATAAATAGGGCAAGGTAACTCAAAATGGAATCTTGTGGGTGTTGGGTAAAGAAAAGGTAAGGAACTTCATCTTTTCCCTGCAAATCAGAGAATGAACCAAATGTGTAACTCTCAACAATCTACTTATTTGGAGAAATGTATGGATTATTAAGTGCACTTATTATGACTCTTGCTTTGGGATTATCATAAAACAAACGCTTTTCTCATGACTCTACTCCACTTTACAATACTTGTAATATAGCAAATAGTCATCTATTAATCATAATTTTCAGTTAAAGGAATATCACAGCAGCTGTTACAAGCTCAAAGATACTAATATCTTCCTAAAAATATGTTGTTGTTTCAAGGACTGGAAAAGTGTATAGTACTATGCTGAGTAACTCTGTGGGGAATGTCTCTGAGAATATTACAGCTTTGATATGGCTTTTCTGTTATATAATACGTAACCTTGTGTCCCAGTAAACCACTTGGCTGATGGAGTTATTCTCATCTGCACATTTTGATCCTGAGTGCTGTCTCTAGGAAGAAAATAAGTAGAGAACAACTTTCTAGTGTCCAAGCACTTAGAGTTGAACTGGAAATACAGACCATACACAAGAGATAGCCGAAGAGTTAATACATCTTGCTCTGCATTGGCTCTGGCCTCTACTTACAGTTGTGCTGCTTAGAACTAGATCAATTGAGTTTTGTTTATACTGGAAGGGAAAAATTCACCATCATATGTTACATCGAATCCTAATAGAAACACCTGGAGCACAAAAGCAAAAGGAGATTTGCTATTCACTGACTCTCACCCGAAACATTCATCTCAATTCGAACTTAGGTTAACATATAGGCACTGGTTGTGTCCTCTGGGACAATTCACACATCCTCTAAAATTTAGAATTTTGAAATGAATGTTTAGGTGAAGGCAGAGTATCCAGGCAGCCTACATTTTAAAGGCTCAAAATGAAAAAAGGCACAGAAAAATAAATCAGCGGGACAACTTAGTGGTAAATACCTCATTTTCTTGTTGTGTTTACCCTTCTGATCCAAAAGAACAGTAATGTATATCCTCTTATTGCATTCTTAATAAGGTTATTTACACGCATATCCAATGAGTTTATGCTGCATGCAATAAATTCTCGGCTCTGAAATGTGGGTGAGATTGTAGACATCATTATTGGAGGAATTAACCTTGTAAATAAGGAGCACTCTTATTGAAGCTCTGGATTTTGATTATTCAAGAGTGACACGGGAATATAGGCAGTTTTCTGCAGAATTATAATGATCAGCCTCACATAATACCACTCACTATGAATAAGTAATACCATCTGGGCAACTAGTGAAGAATTCTGACTTCATTTTTTAAATGTCTAGGTACTACTTTGCAATTTTCCATGCCAACAGAGGAAAGAAATACTGTGAATATCTCTGATACATGGAATTAAGGTCTTGTTCATCTGTAGTGATCTGTATCATCAACTGGTTGGGCTTGACAAAGTTAGGAAGAGGAAATCTAAGTAGAGTAGAACCTTCTCAATTCACACCGCCTGTTACTCACATCCTCCAATATGCCCCAGAGATTCCTTTATGGCCCACCTACCACTCAACCATACCTATGTGACTTCAACTTCCACAGTTAAGACACATCAGGATAAACTAGAAGTTTATTAATTTCCTGATTTGTGAAGAAGTTATAGGAATCTAAGGGTATGATTAAGCTATTGAATTAAAGCCCAAAAATGGGTTACTGAGATCAAAAGGAAAAATTAATATTTTCTCACTTAGGTAAAAGCCTCAGATAATGTTATGTGAATTTAACTCCAGCCAGTTTTCTAACAAAGAAAAGCCTCTGAGGATTAACATGGGACTGAAGATTCTTCCACTGATTCTTTCTCCACCAATTCATGATAGTTACATATATGTTGAAGAGGTACAAGAAGAGGATATGTCAGAGAGTCTATAATTCGGATGAATATTAAATTTTTTCCTAGTAACTTGGAAACAAAAGCTCATCTATCTGTTGTCTTTTGAGCCCATGTATAAAACCTAACCACCATGCCTAAGAATCAGGGAGTAGATGGATGGAGAATTTTTTTTTCTCTCTCTCTCATATGAATACATACAGAATATATCGCATCCACAATAGTAAATATAAATCCCATTGCACATTATGGTATAGGCAGGGTTACAGAATGAACGTATTTGTGAAAATTGTAAAGCTGCTATTTGTGCACTTTAATATCTGTAAATTATATCTCACAAAATAGAACTGTAAATAATAATAATAAAGTAGGGGTGGGAAGTGGGCAGAAGCAAATATAAAACAAGAATGGCTGAATATTGATACATTTTGAAGCAGGATGATGGGTGCATAGGGGTACATTATGCTATTTTGTTTACTTTGAATAGGTTTGAGATTTCCCATAAGAAAAGGTTTTAAAAACACTAATAGTTTTAGTTTCATTATCCCACAGTCACAGCTTTTATCGATATAAGGACCATGATTAAAATCCACTAATATCTTTGACATTTAACAATGCAGACTGAAGACATCACCTTCACACAGCCCTACCTGAAGGAAACAGCTTGACATTTTCTAACCTCTGGGTTTTTGCTTGAATAAAGATGGGACATTTAAAAAGCATTCTCATTGTCATCAAATATTGTTCTATTGCCTTGGAAAGTCAGGGATACCCAAGCAACTCTACACAGTTAGGATTTTTAGGCCTGCAATGTTGTCGCCATTTCTTTCCACTACCTTAAATAGACTGAGCTACTTGGACTTACCAATGTCCTCTCACTACCGACTTAGCCTTTATTAATTCTACTACTGTATTTCTGAGATCCTCAGATTAAAAATACTCTGTACTATTACACAGCATCCTACTTAAATTACTGATATATCAATACTGAAGTCTTTATAAAAAAGTTTAGTTGATGTTCAAGCTTTGGTACAATTAAAAGTGAAGGTAAAACTGCTTTACAAGCACAGATATCTTGAAATTATTATGTAAGAAATGGTTAGTGCCCAATAAATGTTTAGTGAATGAGTGAATGGTAGAAGAGAGATATTTAAGTGATTTAAAATTTTTTCTAATTGACTTTGAAGACAGAAGTAAAAAAAGAGCAGTAAAATACTTAAACTAAAAAAGAGCATTTCAAAGATTTCATATTTAGTGTCACTGGGAAGCATTTATGGACTTCTTGTGGGCTAAGAAATGCCTCATTTTACTGAGGCATTTTTAAAAATACATATAGCATTTTTTAATTATAGAAAGGACTATTGGTCTAATAACTGCTAAGAGAAGCAGTCAAATCTCTAGGGGAAAAAAATGCCTTTACTTACAACGCATTTATTATGAGGATAGCCTTAGTTTGCTAAGTTTAACTTTGGTGAAAACTGGTTTTAAAAGATCTAACCATTGAAACCTAAAATGAGACAAAAAGCTTTGTGGAGTCTAAATTAGCTGAATAGTTACTTTTTCTCTCTTCTTTGCTACAGTTTTTGTGCCAAATACTAAGTAGCAACAGCTTAAGAATTTAAATAATCCTAACCACTCTTCAACAAAGGGGCTATACTAAATCTGCACTAAGCATTCTACACAATGGTTTTCTTTTTGTAACAAAGAGTAGCAAGTCAATCATTATCAACATCAAAAGCCAAAACTAGTAAATTAAAATTTAGACAAAATCAGCTGGTTTTGCTCCTGCCATATTGCAGTGCCTAAGTGCCCAATCCTTCATTTCAAAGAACATTAGACAGTGAATGCTCTTCTTTCTAGAAGCAAGCCAAAAGAAGTATATGCAAACTTCTAAGGTATCGTGTGAAGACAAAGCACCAATCCAATGGACTGAGTGCCCATAATCTGTGAGAAATTCAGAGGAGATGAGAACAAAAGCTTCACATTGTATGCACTTCATACACAGCCTTTGAAACACTAAGCTTTGCAGCAGCAAAAGCACAAAATTGTGCAGTCCTGTCAAATGTTACATTGCCAGAGGACGAAAATATCAGTAAGGACTGCATCTAGAAATTGCATTTTAGCAGTCTTTTGAGATGCACACAATGCACATAAACACACACATACATATATATGTGTGTCTAT
This sequence comes from Homo sapiens, assembly GCF_000001405.40. Taxonomy (NCBI): domain Eukaryota; kingdom Metazoa; phylum Chordata; class Mammalia; order Primates; family Hominidae; genus Homo; species Homo sapiens. The sequence goes on along the minus strand of NC_000003.12, from coordinate 102,401,234 downwards.
ATGAGAGAGAAAGAGATCTCTCTGCATAGCTCATTATAGAGCAGGAATATTGTAGCTGACATGTCATTCATATGACTAACGATATAATCCTAATTTTCTCTCACTGGCAAGTTTTTGATGCTTTTTTCCTTCAGGGCTACACCTTGTTTTCTTCTTAGAGTCAGCTTAACAATGAGTTGTGATGGAAATTTTGTCCTAAAAATGTTTAGTCATGGGTGCAATGGGTTAGAAAATGCTAAGAAAGCAGAGGAAATGACTCATATTGGTTTGAAATTCATGTGGAATGAAAATATTCCACACCTGTGGTCAGCTCCTGGTCTGGGTTAGTAGCCTCATGCTGAATATCATAGGCCAAAGGGAGACTAGTTTGAAGAGTGGTGAGAGGTCCATTGCTACGGGCAGTAATGGAAAGTCAGCAGGATGACCATTCTTCCTCTTTGTATTTTTTTTATTAGTGTATGGGTTGCTGCATCAGGTGTGGAAATAGGAAGAAGTGTGGGACAATATCTCTACCCTTGAGCATCACACTATCCCAATGAGGGAAACAAGACACATAAATTAAATAAATAATAAATGATAAAGTACAGTATATTTCAAGGACCAAGTAAATAGTGCAGTCAGTAAGTGTGGAAAGAGTAAAGAAAAGGGAGAGATATAGTCAGGGGAAACTTCTGAAAGAGACAACCATGGTGCTAGCCCTTCTGAGCATGGAGAAGGCAGAGGGTGGGTATTCGGCAAAGGGACCCCCGGCTTATCCCCATAGAGAAGCCTGGGACCCTCCAGCCAGGGAAAAACACAGCTCAGACTTTCCAATGTGCGTAGCAGGAGGTCAACTCTTGTTTTTATTCCAGTACCTCTAAGCCTACGACTCATCCTTTAGTTAGCGACAGGAAATGTGAGAGACTGTGTTCAACATAAAATTTCCTACATAAAACCCTGCTGAGAAAAGTGCACATCAAGGAAAATCATTCAAGACATTTACTCCTCAAGGATTTCTAAGCTCTATGCTTGCATCAGGTTAGAGCTTCATAAAGCTACACATCATGACTACCTTAGCTTGGACTAAAAGGACTAAAAACTTTCTTTACTGAGTTATGCTTTAAAATTAAACTCTCTGGCCAGGCGTGGTGGCTCACTCCTGTAATCCCAGCATTTTGGAAGGCTGAGGTGGGTGAATCACTTGAGCCCAGGAGTTCAAGACCAGTCTGTCCAACATGGCAAAACCCCATCTCTACTAAAAATACAAAAATTAGCAGGGCATGGTGGTGCACACCTGTAATCCCAGCTACTCAGGATACTGAGGCACGAGAATTGCTTGAACCTGGGATGTAAAGGTTGCAGTGAACCGAGATCACACCACTGCATTCCAGCCTGGGCGACAGACAGAGACTCTATCACAAAATAAATAAATAAACAAACAAACAAACAAACTCTCTGACTTGGAAAAATCTATCAAAAATAATAATCCCATAGTCTTTGATCCAGTAATTCTAATTCAAAAAATGGTTCCTAAAAACAATTTCCCTCGAGTATATTAATGTGTATACATGATCGTTTCGGTATTTTTTATTTTTTTCTTTGTAGTTGAGAAAGACTGGGCAAATAGATACACCTTAATGCAGTTAACCCATCCTCTGAAAATATGTATTTACCATGCAGACATTTAAAAAAGAATAATTTATCTGTCCATATACTGACCGAGAACTAGCAAACTAGGAGCCGATATCTACATGATGAGAAGGAATCATACATACGATGATCTTGGATTAGAACATAAAAGCCTTAGGTGACAACAAAAGCAAAACTCTGTAGACAAGATGTCCTGAAGGATCATAATGAAGGCCACCCATGACTGAAGTGAGGTGGATAAGGAATGAGAGGCGATGAAGACTGATATCTGGGCATGGAGAAGATTACATATAGCCCTGAAGATTGTGGCAAAGAATGACATTGTAACCTAAAAATAATGGAGCCAGCACAGTATTTTAAGCAGATACATGGTTTATCTTTTAAAATAGTCACTCTACCCTCTGTATGAACATGAAGTATACAGGTGTAACAGCAGGGTGGGGATACAAGATAGGTGGCCATTGCAGCAGTCCACGCAAGAAACAGTGTGATCACAGGGCAAATGTGGTGGAGTAAATGGTGTGGGGAAAGATTCTGGAGATAAAATGCTTGCTTCCTCTTCCTTTTCATAGTTCTTGTTTTGCTTCATTACTAATGTACTAGCGTTGTTATACATGTGAATTTTATTGTTCCATCTTGTATCCTTTTGGAAAACAAGTGGGGCATGAATATAAAGTTATAAATAAAAGTGTGTGCGTGCATATGTGTGTGTGTGTGTGTGTGTGTGCGTGCGCACGCATAAAAGCACAAGCTAAGTAGCAGCAGTATAAATATGCATGTGGGAAGAGCATGAGCCAAGAATCCAATAGACATGCCTTCAAACTTGTGTTTTTAAAGATTTTATTTTCTTTACATTTAAAAGGCATGATCTTTACTAAATATGCTCATGGTGGTGTGAAGATTAAGAGTTAATATTAAAAATGCACAGCACAGGCCACATTGAAGATGGTCAGTAATTGCTTGGGATTAAAAATGGGAAGAACCCTGGATATTATGCCACAGAAAAGATCTAGGGATTTTTGCACAGAGGGCTACAGTGCAAAACAGTGTTTTAGGAAGATGTCTCTGGAGGTAGTATATAAAGGGGAAAGGCCAGTTAGGAGATTATTGCATTCTTCACAACATCTATATTAGAAAGAGAAGGAAGAGATCTCATTATCACCCTTGACAGACAAAGAAGAGAATGACTCACCTTAGGTCAAACAACAAATCAGGGGTAGAAATGAGACTGGGCTGGAACTCACACTTCCTGATCTAAGTACGCTAATTCCCTAGACCTCTGCTGCCTACATTATTCAAATATGGTATGTGAATTTGGCTATTCATATGACCTTCTTCAAATATTAAAGCTAGCTGCAACCCACTAGATAAATAATATACCAAAGGTCAAGAGTATATAGGAAATAGTGGTTTTCCCTAAGTTCAAAAAAAATCCCCTTCCTTGAGAATTGTCTCTATTAATTTTCAATTTTTTCTAAAATCAAAGCTTTTATTTAAATGGCATCAAACCTCCTCTTTGCTACTGCTGAATCTATATGTATATATGAGTGTATATTATGTGGGTGTGCATTCACACACACATTTATCTTAAGTGTTAAAGTGATCTGTCTCCATTAACTCAACTGTGCAGAAAACACTTTTAAAGAGAAATTATTACTTAGTTCACCACATCTTTAGAACAAGTAAAGGTTTTGCAAATACCTCAAGGAAGTATTATACTCAGTAAATGTGGGAATTTGAAAGCCCTGATGATTAGTGAAGGCAGCGGCCTAGACTATGAGAACAAAGCACAAAGTCACGTAAGATCCTTCATTAGTAATAAACTGCGATAATTGCATTAAGATCCAGTGTATATTCAGAACAGGGAAAGGTGAGTGAGGTGGTATCCTGAACAGGTGGCAGATAATGTCATCTTCTAAATTCGTGCAGGAGTAGCAATGCACAGGACTCCCTGTCCTAGAGAGGCACCTTCTGAAATAGAATACAAGAGACTGACATAACACAGACCAAATATCACTACTTGTCAAAATTTAAGGCTTTAATTTTTAAAATGCTTCATCAGAGTTCTCCTACTCACTTCCAATTTATAGCTGAGAAAGGCACCTAGATTATTTTTGAGCAGCGGGGCAGTACTGGTTGACTTGTTGATTGAAGAGTCTCCCATCAATCCTCCTTCTCCAAGCAACATTCAGTGGCAAAGATGGGGCTTTACTAAGTCTACCCAATTAAGATATTCCAAAAATATTACGTTAACTGAAGCAGTAGGAGGAAAGAGAGAGCAAGAAAAACAGGACCATTGCTCACAGTCTGTCTGCCATTGATTCTGGTGTGGGAGCTCTCCCCATTGCACAGCATTCTTACATATCTTGTAATCCCTTAATTCCCTTGATAGTGAAGCTGGCACTGGGTATGCACAAAGTAGATGATCCAAAAATTTTTTTCTGACTGTAATCAAATTGAAGGATATGAAAAATTTTCTGTGAGGAGTGGTGGAATTTATTCAAAAGCAACTAACATAAGCATCAGTCCTTATTTTCTTCCTCTCCTCCTTTTTATTAAGTAGAATTTATTGTGTGCCTGTAATTAATACTAAGCACTTTACCTGCATTATTTCATACAATCCTCACTGCAAACCTATGCCATAGGTACCAAGAAATCTGCATTTTAGAAATGAGGATACCGAGGCATGGTTAGTAAGTAGTGGGGCCAGGGCTCTAATCATTTAACTTTTGAGTACATATTTTTAACCACTCTGTTTAGAGAAATTGCCAGATGTGGAAATTGAGGCTAGAAAGAGAACAGCATGTTCATAGACCACCGAGCTGTTCAGTATAGCTGGTGGAAAGAGGAAAGAGCGTAACAGAGTGCCGTGGTCAAAGGCTCAGGCTTTAGCCAGCACCACTCCATCTGAATGCTGCCTCTGCCACCGGCTAACCCTGCAATCTCAGAAAAGTTACTTATCTTCTCCCAGCCTTAGTGTCCTCATCGGGACTGTGCTGTATTAGCTATTATTCACAGTATTACCACATCTCCTTGATGCTGATGGGCACGTTTTTTCACAGTTTTATGTAGCTAAAAATCAGGATGTATTATGTAATCAATACCAAATAATCTTTTCAGCTGAAAGATGTAACCCATTAGTTTTTGTTCTGAGTGTAGAAAACTAGTCTGCGTGAAAGGTGTTTGTTCATTAACTTGTCTGAGTTCGGTGCGTTGGTAGCATCACATGCAATTTAATTTTCACTGAAATATGAATACCCAATTGTCACTTAAACGTCTTCAAAAAAGATTACTCTATGAGGCCTATGAAGCAGCTTGCATGTGAAGACTGTTACAAACAGGTAATGCAATTAGAGGCAAAAGATATAGACAATGTTTTAGAATAAATCATAAGACTTTTAAAAGTAGTGAAGCACAGCACGGCTGATTCATGCATTGCGATGGACTATCACTGAGGCACCAACATCTGCCTGACAAATGCTTCTCCTAGGTTTTCAAGAGAAACTATTAAACTTCCAACAACATGTAATTCAATTAAAGAAAAAATTGAACCATGAATTAACAAGTAGGAAATGCAAACAAAACATCTTGAAATGACAATATCTGTCTCTAAAGAAATCATGAACATGCATTATTAAAAGCAGCATGTCAAGACCAAAATACATAATTTCTAATAGCCTGAAGAAAGTCAGAAGAATCATTAAACTTTGACTGTAAAGGAAACTTGAGCTCCAAGTTTAATTATGCTATTTAAAAGGATAGGAATATACAATTGATACAAATTATTATTAGTTCATAGAAGAAATGGTTGTGTTTTGCACCCACCTCCAAGTCTTATGAAATTAGTTTTGTGTCTTAAAATAGATGACACCTTGGAGACAAAGTAATATGATGCAACTGTTATGAATGTGCACAGGTGCATTGGTTTTCTGTTACGAATTACTCCAAATATCGTAGCTTAAAACAACACAAATTTGTTCTTACAGTTCTAGAGTTCAGAAGCCCAAATTGATCTTATGGGGCTAAAATCAAGGTGTCAGCAACGACTGCATTCCTTCAGGAGGCTCTGGGACAGAATTCATTCCTTGCCTTTTCCAGCCCCCAGAGGCTGCCTACATTCCTTAGCTTGTGGCCCCTTTCCATCATCAAAGCCAGCATTCACATAACTCCAACCTCTTCGTCTTTCATCAGGTATCCTCTCTGATTCTCCTTATCAAGACCCATATGACTACATTGGACCTACTGGGATATTCCAAAATCATCTCCCTATGTCAAGATTTTTAAATGAATCACATCTGCTAATTATTTACATATACGTATATATATTTTTATATATGTGTGTGTATATATATATATTTGGTAAGTAAAGCAACATAGTCATAGGTTATGGGGATTAGGACATGGACGTTTTTGGAGTCTGTTATTTGCCTACCACTGGAGATAAACAGGTGGTAAATTGGGGTAGGGAGATTTTGTCTGCCTTGTCAAGCATTTAGACCTTAAGCAATGAAGGGTCAGTAAAGGTTATCATCTACTTCCTGATCCCTCCTTCTACTACCCCACTGATGCCATCTTCAAATCTCTGATTTAAGTTTATACTCAGTTTCTAATCTCAAAACCCATGTATATTTTTGCTGCTGTGCTTTGCACCTATAATGGCTTTACCTTTTTCCTTCCTTTTAATTGCCCTAATTAAGAATAATCTTTTGAAAAGGAGAGTCTACCCTCTTAAAAAGCCTTCTTCAAATCAAAATTTATCAGATGTGGTTACATCACCACTCTCAATTTCTTTCCATATTGTACTTTGTAGGACTGAGAAATTTGCAAATGTGACACCAAATCAATTTGTTTAGGGAAGACAGTTCCATGCTTAAATGAAAGGGTCAAACCACAGCACCAGGTGATGTTCAGAGACACAGATGACCGCATCCTAAGGAATGTAGGCCATAATTCTGGCTAATTTTACCAGCCCCATTTTAAAATAACTTCTTTGGAAAGCTATATGGAGGCTGAGGGTAATTCTTAACACTGTTAACATCAGTGATCAATGGAAACTTTTTTTTTCATTTTTTTAAATAAAGGAAGGAAACAAAAAAAGAAAATCTATGTCAATGAAACTTTTAAAGTTACCAATTTAAACATAAAAGCCAGGACATTTAAGTATCCTAAGGGAACATTAGCTTGTTCATATTTCATGTGCTTCATTTTAAGGCATAACACTTAACAGTATAATTAGCAATCAAAAATATTTTATCTGTGTACTGTGGGTGTTTGATGTTATTATGAGATCCTTGAATTTTGCATTTCCTGACTTCTATGTTTAAATGTATAACCTTAATGTTGCATTATTGTCATGTCTTACATTAGTTATTGATAGCTTCTAAATGAAATAGATGCCCTAGCAGGTCTTTTCTACCTCTAACTTCCGTAGGTAATTTCTGCAGACACACATTTTATGAACCAATGTTACAGAAGCTCTATAAAAACTGTAATGGAAAACAACACAATTCTTGCTGAAATGTATGGGGGGTTCTAAAAGGTTTTTCACTTTGTAACAATTATGTTGAATATCTTTGAAAGGTTGTTACTTGTTTTGCTTCTTTATGTCATTACATCAATTTTACCTTGCACTGAAAACCTATTTCAAAAAATTAAAGCTCCACAGCAATTTTCAACCTATCAAAGATTTAATGTAGCTTTATAAAGCCTGCATTATGTTGTTTTCTCTAAAAATCACGAAGATCTCAGGTAAAGGACAGAGTGAGTCAGTACTCAAATGTATTCTAATTGTGAAAGTCATTTCTTTCTTTGATATTCAGGATTTTCCATTGCCACATTTCACTGGCAATTGGCAAAGTGATAGTAGCTTAAATGCCAAAGATATTTCTAATAAAATTTTTACCAACTCAAAACTAGCTTTCAAACCTAAGTGTTTTATCCAGAGTTTTTTTTTTTTTAATCTACAAAGCAAATGTAATGTGGGAGTATGAATCAATCTCAGCATACATCAGGTTAGGTAGATTTCTGCCATGCCTTCTTGCCCTCAGAATGTCACCCCATTCCCCAATTCACTGACAAGTAAGCAGAATTCAAAATTGCAAACTCTGTTAGTTCCCTGTCTAAATCCAAACACAATTATACCAAAATACTCTTATTCTTTTTACTGCACTGGTAAAAGTTTGGATATCCGGAGTTGTTGAATCTGCAATTGAAGATAAGATTTTTTAAAATCTGTTTAATGGAAGAACGACTTGAGAAAGTGACTTTTCTAGACAAAAGCCTGTGATTTCACTGGTACAATGAACACACGTAATAGCACAGTTAAGCGCTTAATATACTTCTGGGCCGGTAGTTGGCTTTGACGTGGTGTCTTAAAATTTAACCAATTCAGTCACCTAAGGAAAAAGAAATGCTAAAATTTTTGGTGTTGTATCTTCACACCCTCTAGCTCAATTTCCACCTTGGAAAACTTTAGTTCCAATATATAATTACAACATACATTACATATGAATACAAAATATTTGTGTTGACAAATTCATATTGTTTAGGCCTTAGATAAGAAATTATAGACGTACCAGATACATGTGTTTGAAGGAAGAGGAAAGAAGATAGTATGCATGTAAACAGATATCAAGAAAATGTTTTCAAATTTCAATTTCCTGCTATTATTTTTGATTCTGAGTTATATAACATCCAAAATATATTTTCTTGAACTATAGTCTATTACATCTTAATGGGGAAATCAACATGTTTGCATGAAGGTACCCAATAAAAAGTGCAACTGTTTTTGAAACTCAGTTTGGTTGCTACGGTTTGAATATTTGTCCCCTCCAAAATTTATGTTGTAAATTAATCCCCAATGTGGCAATATTGAGAGGTGGGACCTTTAACAGGTAATTAGATTATGAGGACTCTGCCCTCTTAAATGGATTAAACCATTCATAGATTGATGGATTTACAGGTTAAGGAATTAAATGAGTTATCATGGCAGGGGAACTGATGGCAGAAGAAGAAGAAAGAAGGAAGGGGGAAGGAGGAAGGAGGAAGGAGGAAGGAAGGGAGGGAGGGAGGAAGGAAGGAAGGAAGGAAGGAAGAAAGAAAGGAAGGGAGATCCACCTGAGGTAACATATTAGCACATGTGATACCCTGCACCACCTTGGAACTCTATAGAGGGTTCCCACCAGCAAGAAGGTTCTCATCATTTATGGTCCCTTGACCTTGGACTTCCTAGCCTCCAGAACAGTAAGAAATGAATCCCTTTTCTTTACAAATTACCTGGTTTCAGTTATTTTGTTGCAAGCAACAGAAAATGTATTAACACAGTGGTGGTAGAAGGACAGTTATGATAAGGCCTTAAGAAAAAGACCTGAGAGTTCTTACCGTTGCTAAGCTTGTCTTCCAGCACAAAACCAGTTGCATCGGTTTATACTAAGTGCCTAAAAGAAGAGGGTATTGTGGAACAACACCATTATAAAGCAGAAGTCAGCAAACTTTTTCTGTAAAGGGCCAGATTAAAAAAATATTTTCGTCTTTGTAAGCCACATATAGTTTCTGTCACATATTCTTTGTTGTTTGTTTGGTTGATTGGTTTGTTGGTTGGTTGGTTGGTTAGTTGATTAGGGTTTTTCTTTTCAATGGCCCTTTAGAAATGTAAAACTTATTCTTAGCTATGAGCTCGAAAAAGCAGGTTGCAGAGACTATTTAGCCTGCACATTGCCCAGCCCTGTTACAGAGGAATGGAAAACACTACCAAATTGAGTGCCCATAAGGTTGTCTGATTCCCTGATACAGTTATCCCTTGCTGCCTAACAAAGCACTCCAAACCTTGAAACTACAATTATAATCACTTATTTTGCTCGCAAATCTGCAATTTGTACAGGTCTCAGTGGGGATATCTGACTGCTGCATCATAAAATAGTCAGTTGGAGTGGTTCAGCTGGGGCTGGAAATCAACTTCCCAGATGGCTCACTTAGGGCTAGTAAGAAGGTTCTGGCTATTGGATCCTTCCCAGTGGCTCCTCCACGGGGTTGCTTTGGCTTCCTTATAACATGTTCCCAATAACATGACTGTGTTCTCTCCCAAGAAAACCAAGCAGAAACTGTATCACTTTTTATACCGAGATTCAGAAATCACATCATATCATTTCTGCTATTATCACAATCTCATTCAGATTCAAGAGGAAGGAACACAGACACCCCACATCTTGATAACAGGAACATCAAGGAAGGGAATGGGAGATGGGAGACATTGTTGTGGCAATTTGGAGGATATACAATCTGCCACCCAAAAATTAAGTTTTCTCTCTTTGCTTTTAGTCTGGGGCAGGTTTGATCAGAGTTTAGTAGATAAAGTATACTTTTATAGTTTAGCCTTAGAGAATCTTTTTAAATACTTCATAAAACTTTCTGCAAGTGTGATGTATTTAGTTGCAGAATTTAAGTTTAGAAGCTAGAATCCATAAGCTCTCTCTCCAAAGAAACTGGCAGGAGGTCGGCTCTTTGGGTTGTATAAAATGAGTTAAGAAAGCCAAAATATATCAGCATACCAAAAGCAAAGCATGTGTTAAACATATCATTTCCCTTTCTGGATAATTTTCTAAGGAGACTAAAAATTTACTTAGTCTATAACTTAAAAAGGACATGGGGTCCTTTTCTGACATTTTTTTTTTCTTGGGAGCCTAGAATATCACTGGGCTTACATGCTAATTATTTGAGGTGCTTTCCAATGTCAGCAGCTTAAACCTACCTTGAAATTGTTTCAGTTTGCAACATTCCAATAATCTCTCACATGTTGGGATATTGGTCTAGACACATGGCTATGAGTGGCCAGTTAAGCAACGTGTGGCAAGGAAAAGACAGGCTGTGGTGTGCACCACTGCTCATCTCAGCAATCAATTTCAAATGCCACAACTTTATCAGTTGTTTAGAGATCTATAATCATTGTGAAGACTCACAGCAGCAAACCATGCACTTCATGTTTGTCGAGCTTTGATTTGATTTTCTCTGTTCTGTAGAGGAACTGACAGGCTTAATAGAGGCATCTGCATCATGTTGAATTGATAGGGTGAGGCAATACCTTCAAAACATACTCTTTGCTCTAAATACCTGAGTAAGCCAGATTTAACTGAATAAAATATTTTAGGATATGTTTTTATGGATTTTAAAGCACATATGCCCTATTTCTCAGTAAATCTTGTGAACGCAGATAGAAGTATAAAATGTGGTTACATGCTGTTTTCATATTTCCATTGATAGTATGGTGGTACTAAGACAGATTCTAAAACGGAGAAACTTAAGGGTAGAAATCCGGTTGGGGGTAAAAGTTGGGAAGCTGCTTTGAAGTTAGTTAGAGTAGAAAGCACGCTGTGTGTTTATTTGTTAGGGCCTAAAATTATCTTTTTGAGTAAAGCACATGGTTTTAATATAGATTGTACGTTTATTTGAGGTGCCTTGGAGAAATCTCACAGAAACTACTGAGACCTAACTCTCTTGCCTCCATCAAGTTATATCTGGTTATTAACTCTGATAAACTCACCAAAATCATAAGGAGGGTGTAACACATTAAGTATTTCTTTTTAGCCTACTTTACAAGTATCCCTTCAAAGGTCTTCCTCCAGTCCAAAAATACACTTATATTTTTTCAATATCCAATATGCTATCAACCCTACCACCATCACATATCCAAAGCAAATAATTCTTAGTAATTCTTCTTTCAATCAGCATCAGAAAACCATGACACTCAGGATCCATCTGAGAATAAGATCATTAACTCTCTGTTGCATTAGCTAATGGCCTGAAAAGAGAAATGATATTAAAAGTGACCATCTAAGAATATGCCATCCATCGGATCCTCAGGTTATATATTATAACTCAGCCCTATCTTTGGATAAAGCTATACAACCAGAAAGCTATATAAATGAACCACGTTAACCTAGACCCATACAAAATCACTTTCTCTGAGTTATGTCTCAATATTCAGCCCTAAATTTATATCTAGGGTCCAAATGAGAAAGAAACATGAAACATGCTGCCATGGTACTACAAAATCAAGGTAGAATTACTGCCTTTTAGATTATTCAGGGCCTTCTACATTGAAGTTTTTTTAATAAAAAATAAATGTTTCATTTTTGGTATGCCTTGAGGTTGCCTGTGCATGGCAAATACATACTTTTACCTAGAACCTTTGTTCATTTAAGGTAGCTTAGAGGAGTCTGACAGAAAGTAATGACTTAAAGCCCTCCCACTAAGAAGTAATGAATTCATTTTAGAGTTTAGCACTTAGCACAACTCCTGAGTCAAGATGACATGTCAACCATATGTGTTGATCTTTTTTGCCTCTGAAAATTTCACCAAATTAATTGTAAAAGAATAAATCATAGTTGAAACAAGTAGTAGCACTCTCTCCAGCACCAGGGCATACTTAGTCCATTTTTATTTTTTAAGGACCAGCCTTCCTCATTTACTTAATTACCTGCCTGGGCCATATGGGCATTTGAGTGTGCAAACATTATCCACATCCTTGAAGTGAACAACAAAGGAAAGATAGTACAACAAAAATGATGATGTGGGGATAAAGAAGAAACAGCCCAGAAGAGTTAAACTGAAGTTATACAACTGAGGGTGAAGGTTGGGGTTTCTTAACACCAACACAAGAGAAAAATTGAGTGAAAAATAGGAATATTGATTAAAAGTCAAACTCTTGCCTTTCTGTATCACATTGTAGCACCCAGACATCTATCACTTGGACAAAAAAATCAGAAGTCTCTTCTCTAAAGGATTTCCTGATTCCTCACCCCCCCAGAAATATTTTTTAACTGTGATATTTTTAACAGTTGTAATAGTCACATGCCTGCCCAATTGCTCTAAAATAAACCTATCAAAAACCACTGTGCAGAGAACTACTGATGTGCTTAATATTGCTTTATTTTTAAATATATTAAGTAGCAAAACATCATAAGGTATTGGAGGCAAGACTGCACCACGGAATAGAGAAACTAGTGGTAAACAGGAAAATGTCATTCCGGAGGAAACTGACATAATTTAGGGAGTAGAGGAGAACATTAAAATAATGAAAATAACATCCTCAGAGATAAATTAGTATTATATACATATAACAGAAAGACACACACACACACACACACACACACACAGACAGAGAGAGAGAGAGAGAGAGAGACTCCAGGAGAGAAAATCCAATAATATAGCTTAATACGTTTTAAAAATTATAGCCCAAATAATAAGTTATAAAATAATTGAAGATAAAGATTGTAAAACATTGCCAAAAATTACAAATATGAGAGAAAATATACAAGAGAGAGTATACTCTCTCAGTATATCCTCCAGGAGGTCCAATAACTAACCTACAGTAGTTCGGATGATCAGAGCAGAGTGGAAAAAGATGTGAAAATCACGACAGAAAAAACGAGAAAGAATTTCTCAGAACTGAGGCCGGGCATGGTGGCTCACGCCTGTAATCCCAGCACTTTGGGAGGCCGAGGCGGGCGGATCACGAGGTCAGGAAATCGAGACCATCCTGGCTAACACGGTGAAACCCCGTCTCTACTAAAAATACAAAAAATTAGCTGGGCGTGGTGGCGGGCGCCTGTAGTTCCAGCTACTTGGGAGGCTGAGGCAGGAGAATGGCGTGAGCCCAGGAGGCGGAGCTTGCAGTGAGCGGAGATCGCACCACTGCACTCCAGCCTGGGCGACAGAGAGAGAGACTCCGTCTCACAAAAAAAAAAAAAAAAAAAAAAAAGAATTTCTCAGAACTGAAGGACATGAATCTTAAGATTGAAATAGTGGGTGAGTGCTTAGGATAATTAATGAAAAATTACAACTAGACACTTTATTGTAAAATTTTGTAGTGCCAAATATAAAAAAGAAAATTCAAAAAGTTTCAGAAGGGATTAAAATTTACCAGGTCAGAAAAAATGACCAACAGAAGACTTAACCATAAATACTGGATGCTAAAAAGCAATACAATAATGCCTTTGAAATATGAGAGAAAATGATTCTTAACCTAGAAGGAAGTCCCAGGATTTCAACTTTGATCCAAGAGCCAGTCCTGATTGTTAAGAGTATGAAAAAGGGCCCATGATTGAGTGTAGTGGTCTCTGACAAAGAAAGTCAAGAAAAAATACCTAATATAAATTTTTTTAAATGATGACAGAATACAAAAGAGGTGAAGAAATGGGAGAGCATCTCAATATACAAATGTCTGATAGGCTTTACTATGTGTAATTCTCTATAGTCAGATGAATGTGAAAACTATATATTAGCTATCACATTTTAAAACTAATCTATAGGTAAAATACAGAAGACATGTAAAATGGAATGTGTTTTTATCAACTGTGATGATGCAAAAGTAAAAATGGTAGATTTGGGGAGACTTGGGACAGTGGAAGAGAAGGCCACAGGCAGTCACATCCTCATCTTATAAAGTGAAGAGTCAAGAGACCCAGCTCACAGTTAATTTACAGGAAAGAATGATGGAGCTATATAATTAAAATCAGAAGTAACCAGTACACAACTGAAAAATAATAATGTAATTTAATGGAAGGATGGAGGAAATTATGGAGGAGAATAGATAGCTAAATCTTTGCTATCATAGCAGAAAAGAAATAGACATCAAAAAATATTCCATCAAGAAATAACAGCATAAACATCTTATTAAAAATGCTAAGATAACAACTGGGACAGCCAAAAGGATTAAAAATGGATACTTCTGGAGAGGGAGTCTAGGGTTGGTAAGTTTTGTTTTTATTATAAATAATTGTTCATGACTTGACTTTCTAAATTGGCATATATATTTCTTTAATAACTAAAAATATGTTTGAGTAAAACCTATAACTACCAAAATGTAATAATAAATGTACTAATATTTAATATACTAACCTCCTAAATATTATGATTTCAATTTGTCTTTAATATATTCACTTGCTTCAGAAGCCTAACTTTGGGGTGATGAGACACATACACTATTTTTAGATAACATTTTATCTTATTTATTTTCAAAATATCTGGGAAGCCACAAACAACCTCTTAGGTTCTGAAATTACTAATCAAATTTGGAAATTACTGGTTAAGAATACATTTTCAAAAGTAAATTAATTTTCCCATAAAAACTTACAAACTATTTAGAAGAATACAAAAATAAATTTGCCTGTGATGAAAGAATTAAAAAACGCTTTTAAGTGTATTCTTAGAAATGTAGAATTTATAGAATGGAGAGTAACCCACTGGGGCATTCCTGGAGGAAAAGTTCTCAAACATGGCTACACAACAGAGCCACCTGTATTTGGAAAAAAAAAAAAAAAAAGACCCCACTTACATCAATTTTCTGGGGGTGGAGGCCCAGGCATAGGTATTTTTTAAAAGTATCCAGGTGAATCTGAAGTGACACCAAGGGTTGAAAACTACTGTCCTAAATGAAGCTATTTCCTAGTATCATGAGGAATCTCTTTCCAGCATTTCTTGGGTAATTTATGTGTTTTGCATTGGGAGAAAAAAAATCAGTCAAGGAGTGGAGAAAATGAGATGTGATGATTTCTTGCAAGAGATAAAAACATAACAATCAACACAGAGACACTACCGGTTCGAAGAAACCCACTAGTCAAGTTTACTAGTCCAGTGGAGAGCAGAGAGGTTGAAGTTGACATTTCTGGGAACCAGACAAGAGGAAGGAGGAGAGAAGTTTCATGATCTAATCAGGTGTCTTGCTTGTAGCTATTGCCCTGTTTTAAGTGTATGCTCATGGCCCTGTCTACTACTAAAACTAAATCATGCTTGCAACTAAAATTTATATTAATAAATTTAATGCATAGCATAATTCAAACAAATCCTGTGAGTGATGTCCCAAGAAATAAGTTTAGACAGCAAAATAAATCTTAACATTGGCGATTTTGGCACATGATTCTGTGTAGTGCTGTTAACTTTGTTAAGGTTCAGAATATTACATTATTTAGCTATAACTCAGTAGTCTTCACTGGTGTATACACAAGTATTTAAATATGCACCATAAGCTACAGCCCTTTGTAAATATATAAAATGTAACATTTCACTTATCTTTGTAATAATGTGTTTAGATATTCATAAATACTACAAGGAATGTATTTCAAGGATTATTTATGTTTTGTAGAATTCCTGAAAATCTCCAGGAATTCCAATTACTCATTGGAAAAATCCAAAGATTAATGTATGTCAGAAAGTTTAAAACATTACACCTTTCTTTATAATTGTAGTACCAGTTGTGGGTGAGTGCTGTCAAAATCAAAAGTCTTCACACTTACTTATTTCAGGTGAAGAGGACTCCATGACTGATGCAGGCTTTTGGAAGAGGCAGAATGGGGGTGGCAATAGCATTGACGGAGCGTTGGCATTGGACCAAGGAGGAAACAACTGGACAAATGTGGAGACTTTTAGAAAAAGGTCTATGTGGGTGCAGTCACTAATGGAGTTACTGAGTCCCGAATTCACTGAACTGAAAGAAAACAAGCATCAGCTGGTCATATGTTCTTCATTTAGTCAGCTTTTCTTTTTCTATCGTTTCTACAATAGAATAAGCTTCAGTGCAAACCTTGCAAACATCTTCTACCAAGATTCCCTTTATTTGCTAGCAGTGCCTTTTTTAAAGAAAGAGGTGCGGACAGTGCAGTGGCTCACGCCTGTAATCCTAGCACTTTGGGAGGCTGAGGCGAGCAGATTGCCTGAGCTCAGGAGTTTGAGACCAGCCTGGACAACATGGCAAAACCCCGTCTCTACTAAAAATGTAAAAAAAAAAAAAAAAAATAGCCAGGCCTGGTGGTACACGCCGGTAGTCCAAACTACTCAGGAGGCTGAGGCACAAGAATCGCTTGAAACCAGGAGGCGGAGGTTGCAGTGAGCTGAGATCGAGCCACTCACCGCACTCCAGCCTGGGTGACAGAGCGAGACTCTATCTCGGAAAAAAAAAAAAAAAAAGAGGTGGCCATATTTGTATCACAGGAATATCCATCTTCAACTTTTAAGTAAAAACTTAATGAAATCTGAGATACAGAATAAAAGTAAAAGTACTTAATACTGAATTTTAAATATGTTGGTCCAGAAAAAAAAAATCTGTCTTTTTTTTTCTCAGCTAGTGGCAATAATATAACCTAGTGTGTTTCTCTTGTCCCCTTGTCCATTAAGAACCTGATAGCTAAGTACTACAATTAGTCACAGTAAAAAAGATTAGGCATTTCTTTAGCCTAATTGTTTTATCTTCCTTTGTATTATTCTTATTTTGATAGTTCTGCTGCAATGTTATTTTTTTTCATATTCCTGTGTTTGTGGTAAGCCACCACAATGGAATACAAAGAAGCAGAAGAGAACACAACTTATTACAAGCATATAATATTCCATATACTTTATATACTTAATATTTACAACAACCCTCTGAGGTTTGTATTATTCCCATTTTACAGATGAGAAAACAAATTCAGATAGGTTTAGTGAATTTGCAAAGCAAATAAAAGTTAATTATCTGTGAATCCACAGCTGGAATTTTAACTCAAATGTTCTCAATACCAAGCCCATATCCTTTTTACTATAGCACAACACCGTTTTCCCTTCTACAGGAACTGCAGTTACTCTATGAAAGCTGGTGAAGGATGTTTTACTTGGTCGTGATTATAATATAATTACAGTACACACATACACACACACACACGCACACACACACATGCACACACCTACCCTCATTTGATGAAAAAACACAAGGCAAGAAAAACTTGAAAATATTCACATGACTAGGTTCTAAGCCCCTTCTTGACTCCTGTTACAGTGACTTTTTTTTTCACCCTGAAATCAACCAAGGAAAGTTGCACAAATAAATATCAGCTCCAAGGGACCATCCAAAGCAAGAGAGAAAGTGAGGGCTGTCCCCATTTATAACCTCTGAAACCAGAGCTGGAAGACTGGGATCCCAGGTCAGCTCAGAGGTTTCCCCAACATTCTTGTATGTGAGAAGACTGAAATCTTTTAAAATTATCTCTACACTGCAGTGGATTTACCAAAAAAGAAGAAAAAATTGAAAATTTATCTCTACTGCTATACTGCCAAAGAAAAGTGTAATCATTAAAATTTGTGAGGGAGCAATTAGAATGGGTGGACGTGTAATATTAAACTGTTAATAGATAAATCTTAAATGTTTTGAGTGGGGTAAGGTACTTATGAAATATAAATTTTCTACAAGTGGAACTTCTCCAGATTTCTGACTATTATGATCTCCTCCTAGGGACAGAAAAGAAAAGCACATTCACATAGATCCAATTATCCTTCACATTACTGGGAAGATACTGTAAGGTAGATATTGGAGCAACTTGTTAATTGTGATAATGATACAATCAAAACAAATGCTATTAAACAAAATGAAACATTATCAGCCATTGTAATTAGAGAGCACAATTTAAATAATCCATAAAATTTTTTTGAATAATAAAGCTGTTCTTATAGGATTTACAGTTTCATCTGCTCCTTTTCCCTCCTAGCTGGTAAATTCATCTAGCTATCATTTATTTATTAAAGTGCTTTAATCAAGGGAACTGCTCTATCGTCACATTTTATTACAGTTGGTCCTGAGCTGAGCACAACAGGAGGTTATAATTGTGCTATGGAGCACCCCTACAATTAGACACTAAAGTAAAATCACTCTATTGCTGATTAAATTGATTTTTATAATTAAATAGTCTTTACTTAAAATAGTAAAACTGACACAAAAATATGTTCTGCCTTGTTCAGCATTAGCAGGTCCCTATTTGCATCCTGAGTTTTTCATCCAGTTATGCTTAAACATGTCTTTAGAATTTGTTATTTGCTTTGCCTATATCCAAAGCAATTATATATTTTAAGGTACTCTATAAGGCTCAATTAATCTTTTTTTTTTTTTGAGACATAGTTTCACTCTTGTCATCCAGGCTGGAGTGCAATGGCTTATTCTTGGCTCACTGCAAGATCTGCCTCCCGGGTTCAAATAATTCTCCTGATTCAGCCTCCTGAGTAGCTGGGATTACAGGCGTGTGCCGCCACACTCGGCTGATTTTCTTTTTTTTTTTTTTTTTTTTTTTTGTATTTTTAGTAGAGATGGGGTTTCACCATGTTGGCCAGGCTAGTCTCTAACTCCTGACCTCAGGTGATCCGCCCTCCTCGGCCTCCCAAAGTGCTGAGATTACAGGCATGAGCCACTGCACCTGGCCTCAATTAATCATTTTTGTTGACTCCTCTGGAAAGTGGATCGAGACTGTCACTTCATTTGCAAGTGGAGAAGAGGGCACAGTAAGCATAAGTGAATTATCAAGGTCAAATCCCAAGAATAATTATAAGTACTGTCTTAAAGTTTTAACATATTCATCTTAACATTTGTCTTTAAATTTTAAGTGGTATCAAAGTGTTTAAAAGTAAGAACTGTGTAAAATGAAGCCATTTCATTATTCTTTTAATGAACGTGGTTAGCATGATGTCTCAGAACCAAGAAGTTGAAGATGGCCAAAATGTATAAACATTTAACAAGTTATAGGATTAATAATCAAATCAAGTTTTATGATTAATTAGTTTAGGATTGAGTTATAGGATTAATAATCAACCAAATACCGAGATCAGAACTAAAATACAGTTTGTACCACATGGCCATGGTTTGGTTGAGGAGTCACAGACTAGCATGACTTTCATATGTACTACTCATTAAGTAGCTTTGCAACTCACCCTATGAGCATATTTCATGTAACTCACATAGTTCCATCAGTGTTGTCAGCTTTGACAACATACAAGAGATTATTTTTTGAAATTATTCTCACTGCAAGAAATAATTTAAAAAATAGTATACAGTAAAGAACCTTACAGAAGCAGTGAAAATTATGACTCATCCAGCTAGATATGGATTCCACATTTCAATGTGCCCCTAATTACACACCTTAGAGGAGTCTGGTTGATGATATCCCATAAGGAAAATACCCTCTTAATTGATTCATTACCCAACCAACCCCAATCCGCTGTTGGCAATGACAGCCACAGAAGGCTGTGTGAGTTATTGACAAGGATTATTAAATTACTCTAATCCAGATACTTTTCAGTTCTTTACAGTAAATTAAAATAAGCTCACACGAGTTGACAAGAACAAGACAAATAAAAAAAAGAATGAAGGTCACATAAGAAAAAGCAACTAAAAGTTTTTACATCATTCATTCATCTCACAAATATTTATAGAGTGTGTGTTTTGTACTAGAGGTAGACTAGGTGTCTCAGATACCATGGAGAGAGTAAACAGGCATGACCTTTGTGCTGGTTAGCATTATCATTTGAATGAGAGAGAAATATTTTTTAATTCTACTTATCTGCTTTTGAAAGTAACACTAGAGAACAAAATAAAATGAAGGCAAACTTCACTCCTCTTCTTTCCCCTTTCTTGCTAGTCATCAGACGCTGAGGCTCTGAATCTAGTTAGTGTGAGCTTGAACTCATTATTTAATTTCCGTGTGCCCGTGTCTTCGTTAGTAAAATGAGGGAAATAATGGTACCCATGTTAAAAAATTATTGCAAAGATTAAATGAGTTAATCAATGTAAAATGCAATGTAGAACCATGTAGGGCCTACAATAGGAAAACAAACGTTAGCATTTGCTATTATAATAAAATTTTTGTTACAATTTATCTGACTTGTAGCCTTAAGTGGTTAAAGTAAAAATCTTCATAGGTAGTGACAATGTTGATGTTACAAAGCCATGGTAAGTAAAGAGCTAGCTTATTAATGGAAACCACTATATCAAGGGTCAGGTTGTTTTGTCCAGGATTAGGCATGTCTGCTCCAGATTACTGGTGGTACAGAACAGCCAAGGTTCAGATTGAGGACATTTGTCCAGGGCGTTGAGAAGTCCTTTCAGGGAGAAGAAGTAACTCATCAGTAAAAGATCAAAGCTATGAATCCAGGATGAGGATGGCAAGGTGAGGCTGAGCATTGAAAATGTCACTCAAATTGATGTTCAGCCTAGTCCTTGTGCTCTTGCTCCAGGCCTAGAATGGGGCATTACCAAAGAAAGAATGCAAAGTAAGTTTTCTTCCTCCCAACAGAATCTCCTTAAGAAGTTTAAGGTGTCAGCAATGGCAATGTCAGCAATCCCTGTGAGACTTGAGCGAGCACTAGGGACAGTAGCCAGGCACTCCACAGACTTGACTGGTCCAGCTGCCACTTTTGCTTCTAGCACGCATAGAAGCTTTCCCACAAGAAGCCAGAGCTGGACAGGACACCAATAACAGGTACCACAGGATGATCAAGAGCACTAATTTACAAAGGCTATATGAAACATCCTTGTTAGGAAATTGAATACATTTGGGTGAAGAAAGTGAGAATTTTTAGATTTTTGGCAAAATGGGCATTAGCTTATCCAGAGAAATACTGGTTGTGTGTCTTACTTTGACACTGTTGTTAACTCTCAATTTGTGCTTTTTAGGGTATTCTAGTTCTGCTACTCTAAAAAGCACTTTAGAATTTTTTAATGGGTAAACATTTTTTAGATGTGTTGTTAAAGTGTTTAATCCTACCTGTAGTTTGGAAGCAGCAATATTTTTCTTATTTTCAACAGAGAATAAACCTGACTTCCTTTCCTGGGAAGTAAAAAGTGCTCAGTATCATTTTAATAAAAGATTAGGTTTACTCTCATGAGCAATCATTGCATCCTGCAATGATTTTTGGCACACTGATACTACTTTTAATTTGAGTTGAAGTTTACTAACTATAAGCACAAAAGATGTTGTTGCTTTCTAACACATAGCTCCAGGGTAATATGAATTAATTCAGGAAACAGATTTCATCCCTGAGCAAAACATCACTAGTTCTAGATTAGGGAAAGTTTGAAAGTTCGTATCAGACAGCCTCAGCTCAATGTCTAACTTTTGGTTTCCTGCTACACTGAATAATTTTTAGGTAAGTGAGTTTTTAGCAAACATACTGAAAAATGGTTCTCAGTGAGTGCTGTTCTTCAAAAATGAATTCATATATCTGAGAACTAACAACTCATTCCAATGAAGGTTGCTGTTACTCAAAACTTGATTAGAATTCATTCTGGAAATTTTTTTCAGAGCTACTTTACAAACTGTACAAAACACCAGATCTATCAGTATAAATTATATGGTCCCATCTATCCTGATCCTCAATTTAATATCAGGTTTGGTTCAGAATTCCTTCTGTCCTCTTCCAAAGCATCAAACCCAACAAAATGAAAATAACCTCTGCTGAAGTTTTTCAGGAGGAAATTCTCTAAAGGTTATATCTCATGAGAGTTGTAACAGCATCTTGAGCAATAATAGGGTAGTTACAATATGTTTATAATCTCCTCAAAAGCTGTAAGAGGAAAGATTTTTATTTGTATACAATTAAAAATGTGCATTGTGGAATACATGTAATTTGCATACTTCCACCCAAAACATGAGTTTCAGCAAGGCTGAAGCAAAAAATTGTATTTTGGAGTTGGTCATTTTGAAAATTGAGTAGCAAGCAATTACCTAATACCAGTTCTTCATAAATTATTTTCTATGATTAAGTTTTATTTTGGGGTATTTTCTGATTTTTTTTTAAACAGGTTAAATCAGTGCCATTCCACTACATCTAAGCTCATCTCTGCATTCCCCCAGGACTTCAGGTTTGCTATGCTGTATTTTACTAGTGTATGGTGTATACATGGTGGTCTGTGTATGGATGAAATTGTTGTTATTTCCTGGATAGCTCGATTTAGTTTTATGTTTGAAAGTTTTTGTTTACTTTCAAAAACCTTGACACAAATCGACCTAAGTAGGTTAAAAAGCTGACTGTGGAAGTTATATTTTCTCAATATCTTAGATCAACAACTGAATCACTCTTAAAGGTAAAATGATTTCCTCAACTCCTGGAACACAATATATGTACTGACCTGTGTCAGTCAGGAAATTCAGAATGCCAGATTTCTGATGAAAGGCACGTTTTCTTAGAAAGGGGCCCGCCCATTCCTATATAATGGGGGCAGGGAATAATAGCATGAGCATCTGGTACAGTCTGTAGATCAGTTTTTTTGGCCCAGAGATCTGATGCATAATAGCATTATCGCAAATCCCAGACTCACCACCATTTGCCCATGAATGTTAGTGGATTCTGGCTGCACAAACAAAAACAAAAGCAGAGGATGGCCATGTCAGGACCTGTCGACTATTGACATACAGAAGATGTATGAATGCAGCCTCTTGATGATCAAGACGGAAGGAAGCAAGCATTGGAAGACTACCAAAAGTAAACAGTTTTCCTTGTCCCTGCAGGCATACGTGCAAAATAAATCATTCCTGAGATGGTGATTAATGTTTTATACTTTCTACTTCTCCTTCCAATTAAATTAAATTAAGGTACATCTAGTTACTTATGAGACTGAGTTCTTATGGCCTTCTCGAAGGCTAGTTTACTATTAATGAATGTGGTTTGCTGTTGTGCTTTTCACATCCCTTTAATGGCCTTGATAATGGTGAAGACATTCAATGTTATTGTGTTTCCTCCATTTAGTGGGTTTTATCTTAGACTCCCCTGGGTTGGGGTGAATTGTGATTTAGCAAATAGACCCATTTTTTGTGCTCCCCGCTGGGTTTTCTTCCAATGTCTGGTAGGTGCATAATTGCTGCTGCTTTTGACACAGCAGCCCCATGTGAACTGTAATGTTTGTGGGCTGATGCTTTGATCTGGAGTGAAATTTTATGAGATTTAGTGCTGTGTTATTGGATATTCTTCCTCATACCTTTATGTAGCTTCATATGCTGTCATTTTACCTATTTGATACTCGTATTGATTGATAAATCACTTCCATTGAATACTTAACCAGGATTGGATCCTGTTTGCATATTTCTAACATGAACTGGTGTTGTGTAGGTGTCCTAAATGTTAATGAGCTATCAGCAACACTTCCTTCTTGGCTCTGTGTTTAGAATGTTCAAGGTCCACATGATGTGAAAATCGTAGGAGTCAATGTCCAGCACCCCTGAAAAGATCTGGGGGATCCGTTCAAGATCTTCAATCTCTCTAAGTTTCAATTTCCTCACCTGCAAAATATTTTATTAATGGCTTATTTTATTAATTTTATTAATGGCTTACTTTTAATATTTATATTGATATGTAATATTTGTACATATTTGTGGGGTACATGGACTATATTGATATATGTACACAATGTGTAATAATCAAATTGGGGTAATTAAGGTATCCATTATCTCAAACATTTATCTTTGTGTTGGGAACATTGCAATTCTTCTAGCTATTTTGAAACATATAATAATAAACAATATATTGTTAATTAGAATTCTCCCCCATACGATTAAATACTAGAACTTATTCCTTCTATCTGACTATATTTTTGTATCCATAAACCAAGCTCTCTTCATCCTCTCCTCCCCCTTTCCCTGCCCTTCCTGTGATAACCACCATTCTAATCCTCACTTCCATGACATGCACTTATTTAGCTCCCACCTGTGAGTGAGAACATGCAATCATTGTCTTTCTGTGCTTGGCTTATTTCACTTAATATAATGACCTCCAGTTTCATCCATGTTGCTGCAAATGACATGATTTCTTTCTTTTTCACAACTGAATTGTAGTCCATTGTGTATACATATCACATTTTCTTTATTCATTCTTCCATTGATGGACACTTACGTTGCTTCTGTATCTTGACTATTGTAAATAGTGCTGCAGTAAACATAGGAGTGCAGATATCTCTTTGATATGTTGCTTTTCTTTCTTTTCATATATATACAGCAATAAGACCGCTGGAACATATCGTAGTTCTATTCATACATTTCTGAGGACCCTCCATACTGTCTTTCACAGTGGCTGAACAACTTTACATTCCCACCAACAGTGTATGATCATTCCCCTTTTTCCATATTCTCAACAACATTTTTTTGTCTTTTTGATAACAGCCATGTAAAGTACTTAAAGTAATTGATTGTCTCATAGTGTGGTCGTAGAAATGAAACAAGTTTATGGAGCTAAAACACCTAATGCCTGTTAAACACTTAAAAAATGCTAGCCACCATTAAATATTTTTAATTTGAATTTTACAAGTATTGATATAAAAATGTTGACAAATTCTATACAATTAATTTTAGAATTACTAACAATTGATTTATTAGTAAACCTTATAACTTTTATTCTTTACCTGATTACATATATATGATATATGAATTTATTATATGATTCCTTAACATTTATCTAGCTCAAATAATGCATAAATATGATTGCATATTCTTGAATGTACTTTTAGAAGATTGCTGGTGATAAGTATAATGTAGAAGAGAATAGAAATAGTTCAGATTAGATGTAGGTCACAGATATGTCTAAGTGTTATCAACACATTAATCCCACAAATTTTCAATTTTATAAAAGATCAACCATAGCTTAGAACCCATTATAGTGACAATACAGACTAGAGGGGATCAAGCTTCTAATTTCAGAATATGTTTACTTCTGTAACTTCTTAAATACCATTATGTTTTCAGGTATCAAATTTCATTTCTGTGTCACTTTAAGAAATACTACTATATTTTCAGGTATCGGGTTTCAATATAAATATAAATATGAATATGAATATATGAATTTACATATAAATATATAAATATATAAACTTATATAAATATATAAATTTATATATAAATATATAAATTTATATAAATATATAAATTTATATATAAATATATAAATTTATATAACATATATATATTTATATATATAACATAAATATATAGATTTTTATATATAACATAAATATATAGATTTATATATAATTATATATAATATAAATATATACATTTATATATATTTATATTTATATAATAAATGCATCTAATAATAAATGCAGTCTAATAAATGCATCCCAGGTAATTTCCATGAATTTACTTTTTAAAATTACAAGAAATAATATCCCTCATACAAAAAAAGGAGTAAGTAGATTGGTATTCCAATTCCCTCTGCTGCATAGTCTCAGGGTTTTCTGAACAGTAGATTGTAGTATCTTTCTGGAAAGGGGGACAGTTTTCCTCCAACCTAGGCAGCAACTTAGGCAGCTAAGAAAGATAAGACCGTGGGCTTGGATGTGAAGAATATCAGCTTAGTAACTAAACAGCCTGAGATGATGCTCAGGAAGACAGGCAGTTCTTCTATTTCATATGACTTCATTCTACTGAACTACATTTCATTAGAGGAAGAGTACAAGGTCTTCTCCACCCAGTAATTGAGCATCTTTGGTTAAAGACAGTAGCTACTGATACTTAGGCACTGTACATTTTCAGAGGTGGGGGCTTTGGGAACAAATACCTGCTGGATTAAAAAGACAAGGGAGACACAATAGTGGCAGGAAAGGGCAAAGTGGCCCTTCTTGATAATTCCATTCTTTGATGACTTTCATAAAAAAGAAGTTTGTCTCTTCCTCATAATACATTCAAATTTCTAGGAAATAGGATCAGTCTTTCCAGCATATGAACTAAGATGTATATTCTCATGTCTAGGGCCTAAGTGGCTTGTTAGTCTTTTACTCTCAGTAAGACAGTCAAGTGAGAAATGGTGATGATGAAACCTAACACAAAACCCACAGAGCTGGGCAGGCACAGGAACAAGCTTTAAGGGGCAACAGAGTCTGGGAAAGCAAACCCAGATTGGCAATAGGCATCAGCGAGGGCTGCTGGATGTTAGGAGTTGGTTTCCATCCCTATAAGGAAGCAAGCCTCCCAGGTTATAAATAATCTCTGGAGAAAATGCAGGATTTCAGTGCAAAACATGAAATGATGATCAGTCCAAAAGCCCATACTATGAATTGAGGCACACAGAATGATGCTGAACTCAGGAAATTAGATGCAATTGACCTATCCTATTCTCTATTACCGGAAACTGTAATGTAAAAGCAATATGAGAGCTCCAGTGATCAGAGGAAGGACAGTATGTTCCAGACGGGTTTTGCAGTAAGAGTGGCTCAGTGACGCTATCCTCAATCAGAACAGCAAGGAGGATGGCCCACTGTGAATACTTGGCCATACTGGGATGTATAGACTGGAGCTCCTTAAATGTCCTATTAAATCAAATTTCCTGTCAAAACATGCATTTATCAAGGAACCAAAATATGGCTTATCTGGGAAATAAGGCATGATATCAAGGGACTGAGCAGTCTGAGATGCACTGAAGTAAATAATCACTCTGAAATGGCAAGATCCTGTAAGTGGTGAGATCCACAAGTTCATCTATGGAGGAGCTGGGCCAGGAAGAGGCATGGGGACTGAGATGTGAGTCAGTGTAGATGGAGAGATAGAACTGACTCAACTGTTTAGAGACACTGTATGCAGATTCAGTGGGGAATATGCTATATTGGCTGAAAATTCTGGATAGGACAATGTCTTGGTATAAGTTGGGAAAAGAAAACTCAAAGGAAACTGAGTACATGAAAGAGAAATAGAGCTTCAGATCGCTGAAATGAGTATGTGAGTATATAACATGTGCATAAATACATTCCCAGAGTTTTGTGTAAGAGCTGTGAATTGCAGATATTATTGTCACTTCCCTTATAGGAACATCTTACTAACTGCCCAAAGACTGCTTCTGTTGGGATACACTAGTGCTATCACCTCCCCCTCATACAATGAACATAGAGGTTTGCCAGCTTCTCAAGATTTCCTTAGTATGACGTTGTGTGTGTGTGTGTAAAGCTAGAGAGAGAAGCAAAGAAAGTCTGAGTGAATTAGAATGCCATTATATGTAGCATTTTATCTTCCATAATTTTTGACAATACATAAATCCTATTTATAGAAGTAAGCTTGTGTATTAATGATTGCATGTCAATATTAATGATTAGAGCAACAAAACAATGCCTTTGGGTGGAGACTGAGAGACTGAGATGAAATCAAAGCGGGCACCATGGAAACATTTCAGAAGGAAGAGAGCTTCATTGTATTTCACTGGAGTGTTTATCTTATTTGGCACTTCTAATTAATGCACTAAGAGAAAAGGGCAATTTTTTTATTCAGATTGCCAAATCCTTGTAAACAACAATGCCATGTTAACCATTATTTTAAAAGATGGAAAAACATTCAAAATTCAGTGCTTTTGTTTCCGAACTTAAATGTACCATTTTGCCCAATGACTTCTTTATCTACTTTGATATTTATTTTTGACATCTTATGTCCTTCCTCAAAAATCCCAAATTTTTAAATGTGTTTGTTAGCCACTTGTATGTCCTCTTTTGAGAAGTGTCTGTTCAATCGTACTCCAAACCCCAGCATCACACACTCTACCTTTGTAACAAACCTGCACATGTACCTCTGGAATCTAAAATAAAAGAATATCATTATTCTTAATGTTATTAATGTGTTATCAACACATTAAGATCAGGAAATTACTTCAAGTTCATGTACTTATAGAGGCCATTCTTTAGAACATACAGGGTGTCATTAAAAAGTTTTTTTTTAACAACAGATTTGTGCAAATGTAACAAAAAGAGATTAAGTCAAGTTTAGAAAGGATGGTAAAACGTAAAAGGAGATGGGGCCACGTGCGGTGGCTCGTGGCTGTAATCCCAACATCTTGGGAGGCCAAGGTGGGAAGATCATTTGAAATTAGGAGTTCAAGACAAGCCTGGTCAACATGGTGAAACCTCGTCTCTACTAAAAACACAAAAATTAGCCATGTGTGGTGGTGCATGCCTGTCGTCCCAGCTACTCAAGAGGCTGAGGCAGGAGCATCGCTTGAACTTGGGAGGCGGAGGTACAATGAGCAGAGATCATGCCACTACACTCCAGCCTGGGTGACGGAGCAAGACTCTGTCTCAAAAAAAAAAAAAGTAAAGGGAGATGGGAAAATTAATGAATGAGGTGATGACATACAGGAAGCTATTATAATCCTTTAATTTAAAGTACATAAACATGCATTTAGTCAGAGTGCAATCTGGAATAAGAGAATTTTAGGAAATAAACAGGAGCCAATATTATACATTTATTTTAAATAAACTTTTTAATAAATACTAAAATACTGCAGTGGAATTACACACCAGATAAGGATCCCTAAATTTCCTGGTATTGGAGGCAAAGTCTCTTGTAACACCTTCAAAGAGAAGAATAAAAACGAAAATACACTAGAAAAAGTGTATAGCTTAATTTACACTAAAGTATCAGGACAATAAAAACGTGAGCAGAGAATAAAGGAATAATTACAGGAAAAGCACTACTAAGAAATAGGCAAATTGAAATTGTATATGAAGGCAAATTTCACCCACCCTATAACTTTGCCCTGGGCTGGACTAGATGACCTGGAGCACAGGGACCTTGAGGAACATATTGCAGTAAGTGTAGACACATTTGGAAATAACTGCATTTCTTAAATGCAAATGAGTAGTGCTGTTTCTGTCCACATATTTATTATTCATTGTCACTTAACCATGAACAAGTGTAAGATCCCTTTCTGGCATGAAAATATACTTGCTTACTTTATTTTTCAGTCAATACTTCTTATTCAGGTTTATAAAAGGAATTCAAGCTTGAGTAATTATTAGGCTAGAACTTGTAGAAATATAGAACTTGAATATGTAGCAATCATATTTTTGTAAGTGATCTTGGCATTAAGAGAAATGTATCATGGTTTCTCAAAGCAAGATACCTTATGGTTGCCCCATGGCAGGAACATGAAGATAAATTAGGTTGAACTAAGTAATTAGTTGAAAAATAAGAATGCAAGTAAATATGGAATATATGACTTATAAAAGTCTTAATCTTGTTTTCCAAAGTGCATGGTAACTGTTTCACTTGGAATAATTGGCCAAGGAATTTGTTAGCTAATAGATTTTGTTAGAATGATAAAGTAATTATAATTACATGAAATTTTATAATAGTCCTCTTTTTGTTGGCATATATAAGCAACAAAAAGGGAGTCTTTATTTATTTATGTTACCCTGAATAATTCTTTCTCTTGAACCTCTTTGCTGCAGAAGTTTGCATGGAATTAGCTAGGTTGCTGTACCCTCTACAGAAAGCCTCTGAGAGTTGCACAACAAAAAGCATGTGTGAGATTCAGAAAGTTATTCTGATTTCTGACTACAAGCACACTGAATCTGGCTTAGCTGTATACAGACTGAATTCCAACAGACAATCTCTTGGAAGGCATTAAAGATTCTTAGCTCTCTGCTGAGCATGGGTTCTGCATCTCCTAAGGACATTAAGAAACTCTGTTACCCAAGCTCGTTGATTTTGTTTTTTTCATTTAAGAAATGCCTCTTGATTGAAAAGAAGAAATTAGGTTTATCCACCAAAGAAGAATGAAGTGAAGAGTGGCCTTCAGTTGATCTAAGTCCCCACTCAGATGAAATGTGCCACTCTCCCTGAAGAAGTGGGAGGCAGTATGGTTGGTGAATGGATGTGGACAACA
The DNA here is from genome assembly GCF_000001405.40 of Homo sapiens. Taxonomy (NCBI): domain Eukaryota; kingdom Metazoa; phylum Chordata; class Mammalia; order Primates; family Hominidae; genus Homo; species Homo sapiens. The sequence continues at coordinate 102,371,192 of NC_000003.12, read as the reverse complement.
GGGCAATCCTAATGGTAATGTCAAGTTGAGTCAAGTCTTCTGACATAAGGGGTATTTGAAAAAATTAATAATATTATTTATGAAACTGGACAACTTACATTATATCTTTAATCCTCAGCTTTTTTATCTGGAAAATGGGAATAATGATAGAGTTATTATGAGGCTTAGAAAGATTGTAATCAATGGTAGGTATTCATGTGGCAACCTATACAGATATACCACAAATAGTAGTAAAAAGGAAAAAATTATGTAAAATGCATGAATTCAAAGACAATATTATTAATAAAATATAGAACTAGTGGTTACAGAGAATTAAAAAAGTCTGAAAATGCAGTTTTTCATGTTAAATTAAATTTTCTTTATTTCTGATCTCAAGCCCAGATTCACAAGAATACATTAGGTTGGAAGATACATGGTAGTGAAAAACTGAGTGGCATAAACTTATGTGAAAGAGCCAGGGACGAAACTCCGGATGATGTATTATTTGTCTGTTTCTCGAACTGCAATAATGGAGGTCAATTAATTAAATACTCAACATATATTAAATAAATACTCACTGTGCATTCAGCAGTGCAAATTACCACTCCAGTACCTGCTTTAAACATAACTCACACTTTATTGAGAGGAAAATAAAACTCTTTTTTTGTTGGCTTTGAATGAATTTATATACTGATATCTGCAGAAAAAAATGAAATCAGAAGTTGCATTCTTTCTTCAGCCCACATCTGATGGGATTTAGCATATGCGTTGTCTCTTTGAATTAAAAGTCCACATTACACAGTGTGCCTTAATTACCTTATGGTTAGTGGAAAGTGTGCATTTATTCAATATAGAAAAATCTATTTATGATTCAAGAATAAACCTAACATTAGACTTCAGTGTGTTTTTTTTTTAGCTTTGCTATAACAACACTTAATCCGGAAAATAAAATTAAAATTCAAAAAATTATCTTGCTGAATTATAAATTAGAAAAATTGATTTGCTGTTATCTAGTTTTTGAATTGTGTGGCTTCTAAAAAAGAACTAAAGTTGTCCACTTGGCTTACTTTAGCTATTGATCAATCAAATAGGTTCATTTCAGGATAGATTTTCCTATAATACTAGTTAGGAACAATGCAAATCTGCCTGCTAAGTGGTCACTAAGATTTTAAATAGAAGAAAAGTCATCTATAGCATGAAATAATGGTTCTCAAAATGCAAAAGTTAAACGTAATTTCTAAAAACATTCTAAAGTTGAAGCAAAATTGAAGAACATGGTATGTTCTTAAACAAAAACAAAAATTAACAGTTGGTCATTAAATGGATGTTTCCAGTGGGACATTGTTAATAGAGAGGATTGATTAAAGGCAGGTTAGAAGAGACATTGTCTCTTTTGTAGACTCAGAGCATCCTCAGGTTAGTTAAAAAGCAATGAAGAGATAAAAAGAAGAATCTCAAAAATGACCCCATGATGAATACTTAAATGCACACCTCACCCTTCCTTAAGCTTCCTATTCTCCGACACTTCAACCAAGTTTCTTCAATTAGAATAAAGCTTTGTGCTGAGGCAATTAACAGAAAATTAAAACTGCAAACATATGTTTTATTATAAATATTTGGAAAAAGTTAAGGACAAAGTAGAATTTTCTTGACCATTCTAAGGAGTAATTAGCTTACATTAAACTTGGACCCAGGCTAAATCTAGAGAAATTTAATCAAGTAGACAATAAGCCATATATTACACTTTGATATCATCCATACCTCCTGCAAGTCTTTAATAAAATCTCATTTTCACCACAAGACCACTGGTGAACATTCAATTAAACACTGTAACCTGCCCCCTCTGTGGCATCCCAGTCTCCTTACCCTGATGTTCTACATTTTCTTTCTTCCATAGTATTTGAGAATTGAGGCCATGTGATTCCATAACCTTATCTATCAGGACTGAGATACAGGAGGTGCAAGTATCAATGTAACACAGGACATTTTTGCCCCAGAAGATAATGCTGCAATCCAATAAAATACATCAATCTTTGCTTCAGAAATACTCACTTATCCATACAGTCTACTCATCTAAGCAATCAGCTCTCCTAGCAGGCAATCAACTGTTCACACTTATCAAGCAAGCATTCACTTTGCAAGACTTTCTCTACCAATCAGATAATGTCACAAAATCTGGCCAATCCTAATCAACTACCCATCTTGAAACACACATCTTAAGCCACTTGATCCCAGGCTACGAACATCAGAAACACTCTTCAGCAATCTGCTAGCCTTTTATGGACTTCTTTTGGCTGTGGATTTTTTTTTCAAAATTTATTGAATATGGGGGATCATGGCAGATGGGAAGCAGGACTAGATTGCAGCTCCAGACAGAGCAGCATGCAGAGGCTTGCATTGTGAATTTTAGCTCCAGACCAACTGCAAAAACAAACCAGCAATCCCAAGAGGACCTACAGACTCTCTGAAGGAAGCAGACTGCTCCTACAGGACCTGGGAGACACCTGAAATACTGTGAGTGCCCCAGCTGTGGAAGTGGGAAAGGGAAGAAGCTGAAGATCTGTTTGTGGGAGAAGTTTCTGACTTTACCTGGAGCTGAGTCAAGTTAACTTTCTGGCTTTTGTGGATTACAGGTGGTGGGCACCTGTAATCAGCTACTCGGGAGGCTGAGACATGAGGATCGCTTGAACCCGGGAGGTGGAGCCTGCAGCAAGCCCTGATAGCACCACTGCACTCCAGCCTGGGTGATAAAGCGAGACTCTGTCAAAAAAAAAAAAAACCTTTGGTTACAGCTAAGGCTGTGCTAAGAGGAAAGTTCACAGCCTTAAACACTGACATCAAAAAGTCTGAAAGAGCATAAAAAGAGCATAAACAGACAATCTAAGGTCATGCCTCAACAAACTAGAGAAACAAGAACAAACCAAACCCAAACCCAGAAGAATAAAGGAAGTAACAAATATCAGAGCAGAACTAAATGAAATTGAAACAAACAAACAAAAAAATACAAAAGATAAATGAAACAAAAAGTTGGTTCTTTGAAAAGATTTTAAAAAATTGATAGACCATTAGCAAGATTAACCAAGAAAAGAAGAGAGAAAATCCAAATAATCTCACTAGGAAATGAAACAGGAGATATTACAACTGACACCGCTGAAATACAAAAGATCATTCAAGGCTACTATGAACACCTTTATGCACATAAACTTGAAAACCTAGAAGAGATGGATAAATTCCTAGAAAAATACAACCCTTCTAGCTTAAATTAGGAAGAATTAGATACCCTGAACAGACCCAATAACAAGCAGTGAAATTGAAATGGTAATTTTAAAATTACCAACAAAAAAATGTCTAGGACCAGACGGATTCACAGCAGAATTCTACCAGACATTCAAAGAATTGGTACCAATCCTTTGACACTATTCCACAAGATATAGAACAAAGGAACCCTCCCTAATTTATCCTATGAAGCCAGCATCATCCTAATACTAAAACCAGGAAAGGACACAACCAAAAAAGAAAACTTCAGACCAATATCCTTGATGAACATAGATGCTAAAATCCTTAACAGAATAATAGTTAACCAAATCCAACAACATATCAAAAAGATAATCCACCATGATCAAGTGGGTTTATACCAGGGATTCAGGGATGGTTTAACATATGCAAGTCAATAAATGTGATACACCACACAAACAGAAACAAAAATCACATGATCATCTCAATAGATGCAGAAAAAACATTTGACGAAGTTTAACATCCCTTTATGATTAAAATCCTCAGCAAAATCGCCATACAAGGGACATACCTTAATGCTTAATGTAATAAAAGCCATCTATGACGAACCCACAGCCAACATAATACTGAAAGTTGAAAGCATTCCTCCTGAGAACGAGAACAAGACAAGGATGGCCACTCACCACTCTTCTTCAACATAGTACTGGAAGTCCTAGCCAGAGCAATCAGAAATAAAGAGAATCCAAATTGGTAAAGAGGAAGTCAAACTGTCCCTGTTTGCTGACGATATAATCATTTACCTTGAAAATTCTGAGGACTATTCCAGAAAGCTCCTGGAACTGATAGAAGAATTCAGCAAAGTTTCTGGATGCAAGATTAATGTACACAAATCAGTAGCTCTTCTACACATCAACAATGACCAAGCTGAGAATCAAATCAAGAACTAAACCCCTTTTACAATAGCTGCAAAACAAAAAAATTAAAAACTTAGGAATATACCTAACAAAGGAGTCAAAAGACCTCTACAAGGAAAACCACAAAACACTACTGAAAGAAATCATAGATGAAACAAACAAATGGAAACATATCCCATGCTCATGGATGGGTAGAATCAATATTGTGAAAATGACCATACTCCCAAAAGCAATCTACAAATTCGATGCAATCCCCATCAAAATACCACCATCATTCTTCACAAAGTTGGAAAAAAAAAATTCTAAAATTCATACAAAACCAAAAAAGAACATGCATAGCCAAAGCAAGACTAAGCAAAAAGAACAAATCTGGAGGCATCACACTACCTGATTTCAGACTATACTATAAGGCCATAGTCACCAAAACAGCCTGGTACTGGTATAAAAATAGGCATATAGACCAATGGAACACAATAGAGAACCCAGAAATAAACCCAAATACTTACAGCCAACTGATCTTCGACAAAGCAAACAAAAACATAAAGTGGGAAAATAACACCCTTTTCAACAAATGGTGCTGGGATAATTGGCAAGCCACATGTAGGAGAATGAAACTGGATCCTCATCTCTTTATAAACAAATCAACTCAAGATGGATTAAGGACTGAAAACTAAGACTTGAAACTATAAAAATTCTAGAAGATAACATTGGAAAAACCCTTCTAGACATTGACTTAGGCAAGGATTTCATGACCAAGAACCCAAAAGCAAATGTAATAAAAACAAAGATAAATAGCTGGGATCTAATTAAACTAAAAAGCTTTTGCATGGCAAAAGGAACAGTCAGCAGAGTAAACAGACAACCCCAGAGTGGGAGAAAATCTTCACAATCTATACATCTGGCAAAAGACTAATATCCAGAATTTACAACGAACTCAAACAAATCAGAAAAAAAAAATCAAAAAGCAGGCAAAGGACACGAATAGACAATTCTCAAAAAAGGATATACAAATGGCCAAAAAAAGATGAAAAAATGGTCAACATCACTAATGATCAGGGAAATGCAAATCAAAACCACAATGAGATACCACCTTACTCCTGCAAGAATGACCATAATCAAAAAATTAAAAAACAGTAGATGTTGGCATGGATGCTGTTATGAGGGAACACTTCTAAACTGCTGGTGGGAATGTAAATGAGGACAGCTGCTATGGAAAACAGTGTGGAGATTCCTTAAAGAACCAAATGTAGAACCACAATTTGATCCAGCAATCCCACTACTGGGTATCTACCCAGAGGAAAAGAAGTCATTATTCAAAAAAAGATACTTGCACACCCATGTTTATAGCAGCACAATTCACAGTTGCAAAATTGTGGAACCAATCCAAATGCCCATCAATCGACGAGTAGAAAAAGACACTATATAGTATATATAAGACACTATATATATATATATATATATATATATATATATATATATATATATATATATATATATATTTGCAGTGACCTGGATGAGATTGGAGACTATTATTCCAAGTTAAGTAACTTAGGAATGGAAAACCAAATATCATATGTTCTCACTGATATGTGGGAGGTAAGCTATGAGGATGTAAAGGCATAAGAATGATATAATGAACTTCAGGGACTTGGAGGAAAGAGTGGGAGGGGGGTGAGGGATAAAAGACTACAAATTTTGTGCAGTGTATACTGCTCGGGTGATGGGTGCACCAAAATCTCACAAATCACCACTAAAGAACTTATTCATGTAACCAAATACCACCTGTACCCCAATAACTTGTGGAAAAATAAAATTAAAAATTAAAATAAAAAAAATTTAAATATGATGTGTCTCACTATATTGCTTAGGCTGGTCTCAAACTCCCAGTCTCAACAGATCCTCCCACCTCAGCTCCCAAAGCATTGTATAGATGTTTGCAACAATCTCTAATATTTCCTTATATCATTGTGGTCTCAGTTGTTATGTCTCCTTTTTCATTTCTGATTTTATTTATTTGGATCTTTATTTTTCTTAGTCTAGCTAATGGTTTTTCAATTTTGTTTATCTTTTCAAAAAAGCAACTTTTCTTTTCATTGATCTTCTGTATTTTTTAGGCTCAATTTTGCCTATTTATGCTCTGATCATTATTTATTTCTTTCTACTACTAAATTTGGGTTTGGTTTGCTCTTGCTTTCCTAATTCCTTGAACCTAGTGCATTGTTAGGTTATTTGAAGTCTTTCTACTTTTTTGAAAAAGGTGTTCATTGCTATAAACTTCCCTCTCAGTACTGCTTTTGTTGAATCCCATAGATTTGATATGTTGTATTTTTATTTTCCTTTTGACAGTTTGACTATAATGTATCTAGGAGAGGACCTGTTTGGATTGAATCTATTTGGGGTTCTTTGAGCTTCCTGGATCTACACCTCTCTCTCTTTCCCAATACTTGGGAAGTTTTCAATTATTACTTCATTAAATATGTTTTCTACACCTCTACCCTTCTCTTGTCTTTCTGAAATATCCATAATGCAAGTATTTGTTGACTTAATGTTGTCCTGTATATCCTGTAGGCTTTCTTCATTCTTTTTTTTTTTCTTTTTTTTTTTTCGCTTGCCGGTGTTATTTCAATAATTCTGTCTTCAAATTCAGACATTCTTTCTTCAACTTCTTGTCTGTTGTTGAAGTTCTTGATTGTATTTTTCATTTCATTCATTGAGTTCTTCAACTGTATGATTCCTGTTTGGTTCTTTTTTATACTTCTTTGTTGATTGTTTAAATCATTAATACTTTCCAATTTCATTGGATTGTCTATCTATCTTATCTGTAGCTCATTGAATTTCCTTAAGATTATTGTTTTGAAATCTTTTTCTGGCATTTTGTATATAGTCTTATAATTGGTGTCTGTTACTGAAGAATTATCACATTCCTTTGAATGTGTCCTTTTTTTTTTTCATGTTTGATGTGTCCCTATGTTGTCTTCTGTGCATCTGGTAGAACAGTTGCCTCTTCTAATTTTATGGAGTAGGCTTCATAGAAAAAACACACTAATTTAACAGGGTCTTGGTATGTCTGTTGAGTGGGTTGCATTGGCTTTGTTTCTAGGGGAATGCAGTAATGTAGTCTCCATATAGTTTCTCCAGCTATAATCCATACTAGTGACATTCACGAGTGTCTCATGGCCTAGGCTGAGAGAGTTTGCAATGGTGGTGTGTGGCTTTGCCAGGGATAGACTCCTCAGGATGTTTCTTAGATCAGGGGTGCATGCATGCACATTGTGGGTCAGCCAACTTGGGGTCTGGCTCACTGGGGCTGGAACCACAGGCTGTTACTCTAGCCAGGGGCATGGGTGGAAAGTTGTTGTTGGGGTAGCCCATCATGCTGTTTCTCAGGCCCAGGACATGGGCACATGGTTGCTAGCTGACCTGGGCTGTGCTTACCAGGGGCATCCCATTAGGCTGTTTCTCAGACCCAAGATGTGGGCATCCTGCTGCCTTGCAGGCCTAGGACATGGCTACAAGGCTTCTTGGTTCACCTGGGTGTGTATCTGCTGAGGGTGGCCCCCAAAGATGTTTCCTAGGTCTGGGATGTTAGTGCAAGGCTGCTCAAGTATCCTGGTGGCATGCCTATCAGGAACAGTTCATGGGACTGTTTCTCAGGCCCAGAACATGGATGCAAGACTACTCAGTTGGTCTGAGGGGGTGTGTCTGCCAGGAGTGACCATGAGTCTGTTTCTTAGGTCCTGATTGCAGGTGCACAGCTACTTAGCTGGCCTAGAGGCATATCTGCTAGTGGTAAGCCACACAACACTGTTTCTAAAGTTTTGGCTGTGAGCACACAGTTTGTTCCACCAGCCTGTGGGCATGTGGCCTGCTCAGTGGCTCAAGGACTTCTCTCCCTTGGGAGATGTTTCGAGCAGTTTGACTGGCTCAAGGGCAAGTTCACCTTGGGCAGTACAGCCAGACTGTTCCTCCAGCTGGAAGTGCAAGTGGTGTGAGTTGGTTTTCCTGCTGTGCAGGACCAGTGTCACATTTGATCCAGCAATCCCACTTCTGCGTATATATCCAGAGGAACTGAAGTCAGGATCTGGAAGAGATTAGCACTCTTATGTTCGTTGCAGCACCATTCACAATAGCCAAGATGTAGAAGTAATCTAAATGTCCATCAATAAATAAATGGATAAATAAAAATGTGTTCTTTATATGTATACATGTATATACATATGACATGAATTTGATCATATGATGCATATTGATATAAATTTTCCTGATGATTAGTGATACATATATACATGTATATATGATATTATCCATTTTTAAAAAAGAAGAAAATTTTGCAACATATAATAACATGATAAAACTTGAGGACATTATGCTAGGTAAAACAAGCCAGTCAACGGGCAAATACTAAATGACTCCACTTATATGAGATTTCTTTTTTTTTTTTTTTTTGAGACGGAGTCTCGCTCTGTCGCCCAGGCTGGAGTGCAGTGGCGCAATCTCGGCTGACTGCAAGCTCCGCCTCCCGGGTTCACGCCATTCTCCTGCCTCAGCCTCCCGAGTACCTGGGAACTACAGGTGCCCGCCACCACGCCCGGCTAATTTTTTTTGTTTTTTGTATTTTTTTAGTAGAGACGGGGTTTCACTGGTTTAGCCAGGATGTTCTCGATCTCCTGACCTCGTGATCCGCCCACCTCGGCCTCCCAAAGTGCTGGGATTACAGGTGTGAGCCAACACGCGTGGCCGATAAGTTACTATTTATTTATAATAAGAGAGAGTTACTATCTATTTACAATAAGAGGAATATGGACAGTGCTTAATAGGCACTTGGTACTATCCTAAACATCAATATATATCAACTCGTTTAATCCAAAAGAACCCTATAAAGAGAATAATATTAAAAACCTTTATTAACACGTGCAACATGGGCACTAACCTCTGAGGACAGATGCTAAACATAATGCTGAAGCAGCATCCTGTAGACCCTCTCCTGAGCAAATAATTTCTTGTTGAATCACTGTGGTGGGCAAAGGTGCTTTGAGGCAGTGAGGTGAAGGGGAAGCATTCAGGGATCTTGAGGCTGCAACTACTTACCAAATAGTATGGAAGAATTTCAGTGTTTTAACAACTGGCACACAGGTTTATATCAACTGAATACCGCTAATATTACAAATGGTAATATTACTATGCCCATTTCACAGATAAAGAAATGAGGCTCCAGAGAATCCCAAGTCACACAACCATTGAGTGGAGGAGGTAATATTTGAACCCAGGGAGTCTGACTCCAGATCCTGGGCTCTTAACTACTATGCTATACAGTTTCATATTTACAAAGAAAATAATTAGCTACAAACAATAAAATGTTATCTAGCAACTAAAGTATGTCAGGCACTGTGGGATACAAGATGTAGAGAGATTCAAACATAAATTAAGTAGAATTCCAAAAAAAATAATGGTTCTAGCAAGAAGTACTAAAAGTCAGGGAAGACTTTAACCCAGAGATTGAGATTTTTCTTCAGTGAACTGAGCTTGAAAATTTACTGTTTGCACATATTATCTGAATAATTGCTCCAATTTTCCATTATGTCGTATCAGAAGACAGTAGTTTGGAAACAGGAATTTGTTAAATTTCCAGTAACATCCCCAGGGATGCAGCAGAAGTAGTTCCAACTGCATCTCAGCCAAATCTCTTTTCATTTTGGAAGTAGATGATTAACCATGATTGGCAACGATTGCTAATGACAGCAGGGGAAAACCGAATCAGTCATGCCAGGAATTATCCTAAATGCATGATAGAGGAAAGCAGAACAACACTTTTTCCCTCCCTTTCTTCATTTCTTAATGCTCCCCCACAATGGCATTCTTCCTGGTGCAGTCTCCAACCACTTGGGATTTGTTCACTGCACAGCATGGCCAGGAATTTGTGTGTTCAAAGCTCTTGCAAACAATGTTCACCTTAAATGGATCAGCATCAGCTTTTGGAAATAAAATGTGGTCACTACTTCCTATTGCTGGGTTAACCTTTCTTTATAATTAAAGTAGCGATTTGGGTTCAGACTACCTCCCGTGAAAAAATTTTAAAGTGATGATACACTTAAGATGCTGATGATACTGACTTCCACTGAACCTAAAGAGACTAAAAACTACAGACATAATTATTTTAGTATTTCTATGACATTTTAAAAAGAATATCATAGTAACTAAAAGTTTTAAAGGTTTATATTGTGTTTCCCAAATAGTAAATAACACAAAAATTAGAATAATAATTTTAATACAGTGAGCAATTTGATTAACATTTAATAATCTAGAAAATAATAGCAACTGGAGCTGAAAAACCAAATCCCTTAACACCAGCTTTCATTTCAAATGATCTCCAGGTGGCTGCTAGCCAATTTGCCACATGAAAAAAAGCCTGACACTATTGGAAAACAGACTCCAACTATTTTTTTAAAAAAAAAGAAAGAAAAGAACAATCAGTAGAGAATAGACAATGTTGTGCTAAAAGGCTATGTTATGTTGCCAAAAAAAAATTCAATCTGTGCACAAAATACCTCTTCCCATGTCTTTTGATCTGATGTAGCACTTGTCCAAATGGATGGGCTCCCTAAAGGGAAAACCCATTTCAAACATTGAGGAGCTCTAACAAATGCGAAGCACTCAACCTGGGGCTTACATATCCCAAATGGTCTCTTGCTGGTAACATGAGAACAAAATCAGTGTTCTACTCAGAGAACAGCTTTCCTGGCTTTTATCTTCTGTTCCATTTGTGCATTGATATGAAGATCAGAGTCATTGACTTGAATGTGATTTAGAATCTTGATACAAACAATGAGACATTAAACACTTTCTAGCCCTCTAAAATTTGTATTCAGACTCTTCTTTTTTCAGGATAGAATCACAGTCCCATCAGTATTCGAGGGATTTGTGCACACAGACTGCCTCTGTCAAAATTGTAGCAAGTTAATGCATTCCAGTATAGCTTGGAATTTTCTAAGGCAAATTATTACCTTAGAAAAAGAATGTAACTTGGTATTTTGACATACGTTATTTTATAGAGGGTACACTTTTTTTAATCTTTTGGTTTCGACTTCTTCACTTAAAGATTTGGAAAATAAAATTAAACTTTTAAAAAAAAAGAAAAAGAAAGCATGGAAATAATGATCTAAAGTCACAAAGAAAGGAAGGCAAAATCCAAAATCACCATCACACTATGGCCAAGCAAGAGGAGTGAAGACTACTGGAGGTGCAAAGTCTTTGGGCTTTAACTTCTTGTCTGTTCAAACCAATAAATAATGTTGCAGCATTTATTTATTCGCCAAGACTTAACAACATGTATTGCTTTTTTCATCACTTTGCCAATTTTCTTCAAAGAAATTTACTATTTCAAGCTGTTCATAAATCCTGTAACCTCTATGAGATTAGTTTCCTCATGGGTAAAATGGGAATGAATAACAATGCCTAGCTTGTGGAGTTGGTATGAGGGTAGAAATAATATATTAAAATCACCTAATAGTGCCTGGAACATAATGGAAGCCATCACTATTATCATTTCCCAAAAGCTATATCTGGACATGTAAATTGGAATAAAACTCTGAGGCCATTTTCAGACTAATTCAAACATAGGAACGCATTTTCTTGCAGATTCAAAGTAATTGAGGTAAATGTTAGAACATTTATTTGAATTATCAAGATGCATAAATTGTTTCAATTTTCCACTTTACATGTTCAGATATGGCTTTTGTGCATAGCCCTAGAGTAGCCCATTATTGAAAGCCCTCACAACTAAGTTTAACCAACCTTGATATGTAGTTGCCAATATATTGCCGGACAAGCTCCATTCATTAGTAAGGTTGCTGCTTCAGGTATCAAAAAACAAAGCTAATCCAAATATGAAGTTCCAATAACTATCCTCCATGTAATTTAAATTGGTAAAATTGAAACTTGCCTGAAAGGAGAGTAACAGAATAATGGGCCGTTTTCAGAAAATATCCCTGCCTTAAGTCATTATAATATAATCCTTTAGAACATTCTAGGAAAATTCTCAGGGAAGAAAATAAAATCTGCATCAAACTAAGGGCAGAAATTAACTTGCCTACCTAAAATTACAAACAACAACAACAAAATCTTTCATTTTTGTCTGTTGACACACAATCTTAACAACAGTTGCTCAGGGAAAGGGAAATTATAGTTTGAGATTTGAAAGTTACCAACTCTATATTTATATCATAAAAACAATATCAAAGTAGCAGTATGATATTAGAGAGTTTGCAGTGAGCCAAAATCAGGATGTTTTCCCATTAGTTACTAATAGGGCACTAAACAATTGTGAAGGTCTCATAATTTTCATCTGTAAAATGAGAGAATCACACTAGATTGGACCCTTCTTGTCCCTTGCAGCTATAACATTATGCAATTTCATTGTAAAGCCTCTATCATGTAATTCACCTTTGGTCCCTGACACATAATCATAATACCAATTTAATTGTAGAAGCAGTTATTTTCATTACTAGATTGGGCTGTACTGAAACTCCCTGGATTATGTCACATGACATAAAACAAGTGAGGGGGAAGCTCAGCTACACAAACACTGAGATTAAGAATTAAGAGAACTAGAAAAGCTCTTAGAGAAAAAAGAGCTCAAAAGGTAAGGGGACTGATTGGAGCAGGTCATGCAGAAACCACCAAAAAAAAAGAGTATGTCTATTGTTCAGAGGCTAATCAGCTAGAAAAGGCATATAAGAGGGAAGCAGATAGCTTTTTTTGTCCAGGTGGATCATATTAGTCTCAAAAAGGGGTTTTACTTGGTTAAAGTAAACTGGTTTAAACATGGTTTAAGTAAAACGTGATTTCCAAGTTTTACTCTTGGAAAACTTTTAGAAACCATGAAGTCAGAATTTAGGTAACAAGAGAGCAAGTTTGACTTTGAACTACTAAATGAGTCTGAGGACAAGCAAGCAAAGATTGAGTAAGCCAAATATGACTGTTAAATGAGTGATCTAATTAACCTCATGAGGATCTATTAGAAGAGAAGCTGCTTAAGAGACCAGTTACTAAAGAAAGACAATTCAAATAACAAGACACTACAGCCATGATTAACCATGTAATTTACTTCAAATTTTTATACTCAAGATCCTCATTCATTGTAAAACCTGACCCATAAAATATATCTTTTATTTTTACATCTGAGATTCCCATTTCCACTAGCCGATTGTTAGATTCAAGAGACGGAAAATCAAGACACGGTATTCAAGGACCAAGTTTCAAAAGAAATACATCCAGCTACCGTGATGCCTTAAGTAATGGCACTGAAATAGATCAGAAGTATGGAGGGTTCTGCTCAGGGGTTATAAAACTGTAGGGTCTTAAAAGTGAAAGTGGATTTAGAAGGCAGCTAATCCATTTCTTTTATTTTACTCATATGCCCAAGTATCCAACCCCATGCTCTCAAAGATCAGCTCCCTGTGGTTTCTTTTTAGAAAGCAGAAAGTCAGTCTCACTCCCTTACCAAATGATCTCATTAACATCACGCCCTTCTCTGTGCTGTTTCTCACTCTTCCACAGGCCACTGTTTCCCACTGATCCCCACCTGGAGTTAGGTGCACACTCCCCTCAAACGGAATGCGATGATAGTAAGAGACAGTAAATGACACTTTACAAACGGAATGCGATGATAGTAAGAGACAGTAAATGACACTTTACAAACGGAATGCGATGATAGTAAGAGACAGTAAATGACACTTTACAAACGGAATGCGATGATAGTAAGAGACAGTAAATGACACTTTACTTTCTCACTTTGTCCCACGGTTCTCGGCAACACCATCAAATAGACTTTACTGAAAAGTTTGGGTAATTCAAGGGAAATAGCACATAGAATGTGAAAAGTTAAATTATGTCACAAATAAAACATTTTCAATAATCAAGAGAGAAACACAAAACAAGTTTGCTTTAATGCCACCTCTTTTTGGCTTCCCAGACATCAGATTTCTCTATTTTATAAAAACCCACCTTCTTTTACCCCCATTTGCCTTTAGGAAAATACTACTAACTACCCCAAGGATTCTTCTCAACAAAAATCACCTATGTGCCTCCAGCAAGAAAGTCTCTCCCTTAAGAGTCATTAATTCTGGAACAATATCCTGAGGGCCTTCAAAGGGTCAATCAGTGATGACTCATAACATTCAAAGTTTTATACCATAAATCTATATAAGATAGAGCCCTCATGGGCCACTCTTTTTACAATCTCCTCATCAGCTGCATGCATAACTATATATGCTCTCAATTGTATCAATCAGGGTAGGTCATGAAAAGGAAAGCCATTGAGATGAATAAGAAGATTACCATCAGAATGGCTGGAGAGTAAAGATAAGAAAGGCCACTGCTAGCTTTCAGGAGTCAGAATGCATGGATCACAGGAAAGCCCCCGTGAAGGATCTCAGCAGCCCACACCATTAAAGTAGCCGATTCTCAAGAAGTGGCCTAGAATGAGACAAAATTTATATCATATCTACCTCTGATGATAACCACACACCTGTCCATAGTCACCACTAAAGAATAATAGCTTCTTCTTTTCTTCCACTTTCCAAGAATTACACAAATGTCTCTTATTGGCAGAATTTAATCAGAGGCCTGCTGAGAAGAGCCTAGAAAAGTAGTTGTAGAGATAGCTTAGACAGACTGGGATGATCCTCAGTATCATTCAGTCCTAACCTTTGGATACTCACCATCCATACATACCTGTTTACCAATATCTAAGTTTTGAAACAACAAAATTAAAAAACAATAGTATGCTTTCACCTAACTTGGTGAATGTATTCCTTACACAAATAAAAGCAGGTTCATCCTTTCACCTAAAGGAGAAGACATTTGCCTCTCGAGTCCCATAATTCACTGTATCCAACTCTGTTGATGTTCATGTCTATTCTCAAAGTATCCTTTGTTATTTAATATTGTACATACTGAATTATAAGATATTAAGGACTGAATTATGTCCTCCCAAAATTGATGTGTTGAAACCCTATCCCCAGTGTGACTGAATTTGGAGATATGGCCTTTAAGGAAGTAATTAGGGTTAAATGAGGTTAGAGGAGTGGGGCCCTAATCCAATAGGACTGATGTCCTTAGAGGAAGAGGAAGAGACACCAGGGGTGCATGCACACAGAGAAAAGCACATGTGAGGATGAAGTGAGAAGATACCCATCTGCAAGCCAAGGAGAGAGGCCTCGGGAAAATCCAAGCCTGATGGCACCTTGCTTTTGAACTCTTAGACTTCAGAACTGTGAGATAAAATCTTCTGTTGTTTGAGCCACCAGTCTGTGCTATTTTGCTATGGCAGCCCTACTAGACAAAGGGCTAGCCACCAGTCACATAACTTACATAAAATAGCAAAAAAAATGGGGTAGGAGAAATGATTAACACATTCTTTAGTATATAATAAACAAAGAAAAAAATATGCAGTTATCACCATCCTCATTTCTGTAACTGGTCATTTATTTTTTCCACAACTCATTCCATGTGCTTATCTCTGCCACATGTTTTGATTCCTGCATGGTCTGAGCCATGTGTGGCCTTGACTTCAATTGCTATTATCATCCATTAACTTTTACCACTGGTCATGGAAGTACCAAGAGATACCTTTAAAAATCTCCTGAGTTCTACATACTCTTTCTTACTTTGTAGTAGAAACCCTGTTTCCCTCTGATAACCAGGATGAGTCATCACAGTCAGGAAAGCAACTTTCTTATTTGCTTGTTGATTCAATGGCCTGAGAAGGCTGAAGTAACCATGTAGCAATCTCAACTGCCAGTTAAATGGAGCCCTGCTTAGTCTCCCAGTGTGATTATTCTCTTTTTAAGAAATAATAGTTTTTTAACCAGAGAACCAAAACATGCAGAAGGAGAAAGTATAAATTTTGTGAGAGGACTATTTTGGGTAAGAGTGAATAAATCCACTCTATTTCAATCCCTTGGATCCTGGACTCAAGCATTCTTTGTATTGAAGAAATAACATCATATTAGTCACTGGTTCACAGCTTATATTGCATTGCATATGACAGCTCCTCAAATTCCTAAGTGTTGTAATCCAGGGCAGCTTTGTAACTATGAATCTAATAGGCCATTCCACTGTTCTGTCAGGCCATCTGTGTTTTGCAGTGAAGGAATATCATATAAAACCAGCATCTCCTTCTCCTGACTCCCACATGGATTTAAGCCCATTACCTCTGCTATTTTATTGTACAATATCTTTCTTGGTCAAAAGCAAGATTCTGTGTGATACCTTGAGGCATTCAATTAATCATAGATGATAGTATTAGAAGAAGCATTGAAGGCAAGAAAGGCAGAGTGAGTGCCTTTTCCTATGAAGACAAATTGCTGCCCCCTCCATGATGGAAGAGATCCAATGTGATCAATGCACCACCAGGTGGTTGGCTGGTCCCCCAGACAGTGGTGTATTATCAGGGGCTCAAAAGTAGACACTGTTATTGGTAGATTAGTTACTCAGTGGTGATGACAGACAGTTCAGTCTTGGTAAAGTAAGCCCCTAATTTTGAGTCCATACATATCCACCTCCATCCCTGAAGCCATAGCCACTGTGTTCATTAGCCCATTAAAGCAAGCACAGGAATGGCTGACTGACATCCATGGAATAGGTCATCTTGTCTACTTCATTATCAAAAACCTTACTCAAATGGCTTCCCTTTGAGTATTGAGTATTTGAATATTGTGATTTAAATATTCTCTATGTCCCCATTGCAAGAGTCCTATCCACAGAAGTCTTCCCTAGATTGCTTTTCAGCAATCCATCAAGCTTGTGATTTCTAAGTTCCTTCTAAACAAACTGTTAGCTTGCTGCCCTGTGATTACTTTAGATACATACCTTTGCTACCTCTCTTTTCAGGCAAGTAAACAAAGTATTCAGAGCTCTGCCCACAGTATTCAGGGCACATTAGTGCTAGAGCAGCTGACCTTTTACTTGCATCACCATATGATGCAGTAGTATCTATAAATAAGGCTAAATAGTCCTTCTTCCTCTGTCAATTAGTCATAGGGAATGTCCCATAAGGCTATAGGTATGGGTAAAGAGATAGGCAGACGTGTAGCAAGAGTAAGGTGTGGAGCATCTGATCTACTGGTTCATGCCACTCACATGTGTTTTTCAGGACATACTTGTGCCTATTTTTATATACCCACTTCTACATGCTGAGGCATGCTATTGCCCAAGCCAAATTCATGACTTTGGTAGTCATATAACACATAGTTCATTATGGGAAGATTATGTCCCATAGTCTTCTTAAGAGAAGAATAATTAGAAGAAACAAGCATGCAAAGGCTTTTCTCAAAGCCTTCCCTCCACGTAATCCTTTTCATTCAGCTGCCCAAAGAGTGACAGGGTGACAATATGGAAGATTACCTGAGATGTTTTAGGGCAGGGGGACCTGCAAGTGGCATTTAAGACCATATGCGGATTCTATTGACCAGAACTCATCTAACTACCAAAGTGTCTAAGAAATGTAGTTTAGCTTCCTCCTCTTCACTGCTAAATAAATAGATATTTACTATTGCATAATTTCTATGAGTTAGGAATTTAAGAGTATCTTAACTTAAGAATAGCTTAATTTGGTCTGGCTCAAGGTTTTCCAAGAAGACCTTGTAATCAAGAAGTCAGCCAGGGATTCAGTCCCTCGGGATGTCTGATCAGGGAGGGTGTGCTTTTACGCTAACTCATGTGGTTGTTGGCAGGCTCCACTTCCTCGATGAAGACTGACCACCAACACAAGCACAGCTCTCCCAAAGACAAACAGAAATCATACGTTCTAGACCAGTTGTTCTCAAAATGTGGTCCCTGGACAGCAGAAACAGCATCATCACTGGGTAACTAATTCCTGGGCCACATCTTGCAATTACTATACACAAACCTCTAGGTATAGGCACCAGCAATCTATGTTTTCACAGGTTGCCATATGATTCAATGCATGCCAAATTCGAGAATCACTGGTCTGGAACCAAAAAAGGAGTAACATGAAACTTATCATCTTAGTGGCTTTCCATAATCCCCTTTCAGACTCCCAGAAATAAGAATTGATCCCATTACCCAGTCAAGTGTTTATGGCTTTAGCTACCAAGCTCTAGGGGGAAGCCCTGGTAAATACTCTCAGGCAAGAATCTACATCCTCTTTACTTTCTGTTTAGCTGGAGAAGGAAAGATCACTTTATGCTTCCAGGTACATCAAATACTTCCTGTGACAGCCACCAACATCTGTTTTCTCAATGAAGAAATGAGTTTAGACTAAATTAATACCTCTAATAAGTGGTATAATTTTAAATCTAAAGATTCAAGGGGGTAAAGACTGGTCATCTTCAAGTGGCAGAGCAATAATCTCAGCTATTCTAAAACTTCATATTTTGTTGCCTTAATTTAAAAAGCAGTCCAATTACTTCTGCAGTTTGTTTTTTTGTAAACGAAGTCACAGTCTCAATTATAATGAATTGGAACTCTATTATATATTTTGAAGGTCAAAATGAAGGTTATGATTATTAATTTAAATTCACTCTAATTTTCATTTGCTTTTTCATTAGTCATTTCAATAATACAAAATTGACCTTTCATATTGGAGAGGCAGTTAAATTTTATTAAGTTATAGTTTTGTATTGTTTTAGTTTGGTAACTAGATATTAGGTTGGTGCAAAAATAATTGCGGTTTTCGCCATTAGTTTTAAATGACAAAAACCACAATTACTTTTGCATTGATCTAATAGACATATACCATAAGTTTTCATTCGGGGGTAATTTTTTTGAGTAAGTACACGATTTACTGAGTATAAGTTATTATAAGAATTAGGTGTACCATATTTTTATAAATCTTTGGTTCTTAGTCATTGACTAGTATTTTAGTAAAACAAGAAAATTGAGATGTTCAATTTAAAAGCAGGAATGATTCACTAACCCATGAACTCATATCTTGTACATTTAGGAAAGATCATATTTATTGGTTATTTATTGTTATACAACAAACTATCTCAAAGTTTAAAGCAGTAGATATTTATTATTTTATAATTTTTGTCGGTTAGTAATTTAAGAGTAGCTAAACTTGGTCTGGCTCAAGGTCTTCCAGGAGGTTGTTGTAGTCAAGAAGTCAGCAGGGATTCAGTCTCCTCTGAATGTCTAATCAGGGGAGGGTGTGCTTTTATTCATGTGGTTGTTGGCAGGTCCCGCTTCTTCACTGACGATTGGACAGAGGTCTGTATTTCTTTTCCCTTGGGTCACTCTAAGGCTGCCTGAGTATTCATAACATGTCAACTGGTTTCTCCCAAAATGAGATATGAGAGACAGAGTGTGCATGAGAGTAGCCAATACAGAATATAAATGCTGAACTTAAATATTTTATCTCATTAATGTCAATTGTTTCCACTCAAATGAAAAGATCGTCTCTGTTAAACCTAAACTAATCTAATCCAAATCTAATTTATTAACAAAGGCCTATGTATCTCCCTGTGTAGAACACAATTACACTGTAGACCTGTTCCTACAGACTGAGAAAAACGTATTTTCTGAAACTTCCATTTCGTATTCTTAAACTACACAAGACTTTAGACAGGAAAGACCATAATGCAGAGACCATTATTTTTTATTATACCTTAATCTTGGAAATGACTTACCCTCACCTCTGTCATATGTTATCAGTCACCCATATCAAACCTGGTACATTGTGGAAGGGGTCTCCACAAGGATAGGAACACATTCAGGAGCCATGCTACAGGCTTTCTACCACGACACAACTATCAGATTTGGCAGACTGAAGATTTTTCATACAATAGTAAAATTATTTACCTAGGATGACTATTATACAGTTCTAAAACATAATCCATTTTATACCTGGGTATATTCTGGAAACATATTATATTCTGGAAACATATTATATTCTGAAAAGTTTTGTGTGAATAAAATACTGGTTAATATCTGTTTTTCCACATCTGTTTTCCCCTCTAGGTTATGAATTCATCAGGGGAGGTACTATGTCTTGTTCATGTTTATACTTCCAGCGCCTTGAACAGCAGCCAGGATACTCATGCTTAGTAAATACGTATTACTTTAAATGGATTTATCTTATATTTTAATTCGCAAAATATTTATTTTCTCATTTTAAAAAATTAAGGTATTACATATATAGAGTAAAATGTACAGAACTCAAGTGTTCATTTTGATAGGTTCTAACAATTGTATATGGCTATGTCACCCTAAACCAAAGAACATTTTCATCACCTTTGAAAATTCTCATGTGCCTCTTTCCAGTCATTTCCTCCCTTCCCCTCCACCCTCAAGCAATAACTTTCTGCTTTCTATCACCCTAGATTGGTTTTACCTCTTCTTGAACTTCATGTAAGTGGAATAACATTATGCCCAAAACCACATGTTTCTGTATCTGACCTTTCTTATTTAACATAATGTTTTTGAGAAACATGTCATTGTTGCATGTATCAGTAGTTCATTTCTTTTTATTGCTGTATAATATTCTAATGTACGTATGTATATGCCTCAATTTGTTTATTCATTCTTCTCTTACAGAACATTTAGATTGATTCCATTTTGGGCTATTATGAATAAAGTTGCCGGGAACAGTCTTTTACAAATGTTTTGTGGACATATGATTCTATCTCTCTTGGGTAAATACTAAAGAATAAGATTGCTGGATGCCACTGTTTATCATTAATCAAAGGGCTTCTTTGTCTTCTATTGTCTGTTTATGAATTTAAGAGCTAATTTTAAAAAGATTTTCTTGTGCCTAACTCCCAAAGAGAATGGAAGCAAAGCAAAGATGGAAAGACTGGTTTTTACACTAAATTTCTGGAGGGACCAAGAGAAACAGGCAGCATCCCATTGTGCAAGATTTGTGTATAAGGTTGTGGAGCAAATTCTCCGCACTAGCAGAGAGGCACCTCTGCAACATGGACTGGGAGATGTGTGGGAGCAGTTCACTGAGAGAAAGCAATGACAGAACAAACTATGGCAGCATAGACAGAAGTGGGCTTGCCCTCCATTCTCCTTGGGAATTAGCCATGAGTCAGTGGACTGCCCTTCACATTCATTTTGCCTAACTCCCATTTTCAGGACTTTTGACAAAATGTCTCCTTCTTGTTATCCACATGCCTCTTAAAGGTTCATAATCAGTACACTTCACTTGTTCATCTATTTAACAAATACTTATTTAACATTTACTATTTACTAGGAGCTAGGAAAAACAAAGCAGACAAAAATCCCTACCCTTGTATAGTTAAGTATATTTGCACTTATATAATCGAAATGCATATTTCATTTTTATTGTGATTTTACCAAATGGATTAGAATCTTGACATACCTAAATACACTGTAATATTGGATCTATTGCTTGTTATCACATCTCTTACATAACAGGTGCTCATTGCATGTTTGCTGAATGAAAAAAATGACTCAATTTGACATGAATGAAAAAATGTCTCAAAGTTTGAAAAGTGCAATAGTGATTATTATGTAATAAAGAGTTATTAGGTGAGTATATAAATTAGGATTTTCCATGAGACAGCTCAGTAATATATTCAGGAATTCTGTACCAAATCCTTTTTGGAGGTAGGTGGAGCATACTAACAATTTTGTCGCGTAGTACCCAGTGTCAATCTCAGTTAAAGATGAAGTTTACTTTTCCAAGGAAGGTTAGGTCATTTTCAGAATAAAACTAAAAAAAAAAATTTCAACTTAATATTGTCAGACATTTATCAATAACTTAATAACCACCAAACCAATACTAGGCTTGTGATTAAAGTTTTAGCATAAATACATTTCAAGATATAAAAGAAAAATAACATTTTATGAAATACATCTAATTTTTAAAAATCACATCTGAAAATCCCCTAAGAAAGCTGCAAACTCAGGACTTGCAAGGTTGTGCTGCTTTCAGAATGAATGGGATCAAAGGTTTTAAAGAACATGGGAAATACTTTCAGACAGGAAGACACCACATCAAAAGGCTATCACCAGTGACCAGTGGATGTCAGAGGATAAATCATCATCGCTAAACTGAGCTGCTTACACACAAGTTTATTTCACTTTTTTCTGATGATAATAGTAACACTCGTCCATTATAAAAAACAACAACAACAACTAAGCACACAAAGTTATAAAGAAAAAAATTAAAATCACCAGACACAATCACTGATAAATGGCGAATTTCCTTCTGATCTATTTTCTCTGCGGTATGTTTTAGTTAGTGGAGCTGTTTTGCATTTTAAAATTGTGTACAGCTTTTCATATCGAATACTGCAACATAAGCTTTTCCCCTAGAACTACAAATACTTCACTATACATCCTCTTAATGGCTTCATATTTCACCTAACTCCCTATTTTGACTATTGACATTGTTTTTATTTTTCAATATTTTAAACTATTACTACATTAAATGTTTCTGGAATTTGGGGAATTGGTTGGTTGTGTTGGTTTTTAGAAGTGTGGCAGGGAATTTATTATTTTTTACTCTAGATTTATCCTCAAGAGTGAAATTAAATGATGTGAATGTTTTAAGGTATTATTATATGTTGCCAAACTATACAACATCATAAATCTAATACATGAAGAGATAACCCACACCCTACCCCATGTATATATTTCTGAAAACCAATTTCACCTAATCGACTATAGTGACATGATGCCAACATTTGATATAGATCCAGGATTTATGTATTCAATTTTAAATACATAATCTGGCCCCACTAAACTCTGTAATAATTTTTATAGATATATCAATATTCTCTAAATGCCAGTCAGTGTCCTTTTTCTGGTTCTTAGAGAACATAGCATTTTTTAAATATTTGATCTTATTAGATGCAAAAACCCTGCAATGGGCAAGAGATAAATGCTGAACTTAAATATTTTATCTCATTAATTTAAATTGTTTCCACTCAAATGAAAAAGATTATTTCTGTTAAATCTAAACTAATCTAATCCAAATCTAATTTATTAACAAAGGTCCATGTGTCTCCCTGTGCAGGATACAATTAAACTACAGACCTGTTCCTACAGACTGAGAAAAATGTATTGCTGAAACTTCCATTTCGTATCTTAAACCACACAAGACTTTAGACAGGAGAGACCATAAGGAGGGCTCAGCAGGTATGAGGAAGGAAAGTTAATGACAAAATAAGATGGATGAACACACAGAGACAAACACCTAGACCAAAACCTTAAGTCATTTTTTCTGCCCTAATTCTAACAAGTTGAGGCAATGGAAAGCACTTTCTTGGGTCTTGTTTCTTAGGACTTCCTGATAGGTTTAATGCCTGGTCTTCAAGGAATCTTCAACAACTACAATGGACTCATTTAGAACATGTGGTAAAGGACTAAAATGTTCAGAATCAAATCCAAGAGCCTTTATTGATGAACTTTCAAGACTGAAATGAAATGTTGGTCTCAAAATATGATTAGAGGTAAAATGACAACAAATTATCTGACTAGTTATGGGTGAATAATAATGAAACAGTTAAGGAAATTGGAAGCAAAAACACCATTGTGTGACTTCAGGTAGATACGAAAGACAGCTACACATGTGTGTTCCTAAGCAACTTTTTTCATTCAAGCGCCAAATGGATCCTTTGTAAGGAACCATTCCCTATTCCAGTATATCAGGGGCAGAACTACAAAACCAGAACTAATGTAGTTATACCTAATTCTCTCTTGCTTTACAATTTACAGGTAATTGCCTGGTGTTTCATTTTTTTAATTCAGCAGACATATATGAGCACCAGTTCTGAGCTAAGCACACTACTGAGTACTGAGGATACAAATAGGGGTAAAATGTAGTTTTCTTCCCTCAAGGCATGTTTTATCTAACACTGTTTTAGGGAAGAAAATAAAAGCTGCACTATGACCAATTGGGTACAGTCATACATATTTCAGTAAATACTCATTTTATCTTTTGTACAGACATAAATAATTCAAGTCAATTCATAGAGACATTATTTCATTTAATGTCACAAAAATCCCTGTGTGGTGGGCATTAGTCTTATTCCCAAACAGTAGATGAACAAACATAAGCTCAGAGTCATGTTTCAAGTACCAAGAAGAGCCAAGATTCTAGACAAAGCTCCCTTGTGACAGTAACCACAGGGTCAGAGATTCAGATAATTCAGATGCCACCCATCTGATATTGCAGTCATTAGAGTTGAAGATATCTTAATAAATAATAAAATTAAGTAGCCTTGATTACTGAGGCATATAAAAATATCTCTTCAGATGATATTTTTAAATCATATTCTTATGATTTAAAATATCATAAAATATCATAAAATATGATATATAATATAAAATATGATGTATAATATATAAAAATATAAATATATAATGTAATATGTACGATAAAAATATGATATGAAATATCATACAATATTATATGATGCAAAATATATGATATGAAATACTATAAAATATTATATTTTAATATGTTTTTATATCATGCCCACAGAGCACCTCCCAATTATCCACTGTCAGTTGAAGAGTTTATTCCCATAGTTGGCCCCCTATTTCCTAAATAATATACCCTCTTTTTCTATTGCTGTCTTTATTCCTCCTATTCACAATGAAAGTTGTTTTCTTCCTTACTTCTGATTCAGTTTTGATATGGTTTGGCTGTGTCCCCATCCAAATCTCATCTTGAATTGTAATTCCTACAATTCCCACTTGTCATGGGAGGAACCCAGTGCAAGGTGATTGAATTATGGGGGTGAGTCTTTTTTGCACTGTTCTTATGATTATGAATGAGTCTCAAGATCTGATAGTTTTAAAAATGGGAGTTTCCTTGCACAAGCACTCTCTTTGCCTGCTGCCATCCATGTTAAGACGTGACTTGCTCCTCCTTGCCTTCCACCACGATTATGAAGCCTCCCCAGCCATGTGGAAATGTAAGTCCATTAAACCTCTTTCTTTTGTAAATTGCCCAGTCTCAGGTATGTCTTTATCAGCAGCATGAAAACAGGCTAATACAACTTTCAACCATTTCTAATTTGTTTCATTCCAATCAGTACAATTCACTTGCTCTTATCAAGCATGAATGCACACTTCTGAGTTATCTTATTTCCTCTCAGCTGCGTTCAACAGGGCCATTCATGACTTTCTTGACTTCCATTTTTGCTTTTCTTCCCTAGAGCTCTCCCTAGGCTCACAATATCCAAGTGCCCTTCTCCATTTCCTTTGATGGCCTCACAATTAAATGTTAGAATCATGCATTTCTTGGTCCTGAGCCTTGTGCTTTCCTCAGTAATCTCATTAGCATCAGTAGCTTTATATAGCCCATCTTTATGCTGATAAGTACCAAATTTCTATCTCCCAACGGCTTCTCATATGAGTGCTAGATTATTTAACCAGTTGTGTACTTGACATTCCCACTTGGCTATCAAATGAGAGTCTTGATTCTTACTAACATCTTCCCAAAAATATAGTTCTCCTCTAACTGTCCTATTTCAGAAAATTATTCCATAATCTCAATCAGTTGCTAGATAAAAACCTACAAGCCATTCTTGATTCCTCATATTTCCCACTTTTTCTTCATTCAACCAATCATCAAATGTCGTCAATTATACCTCCAAAATAAAGTTTGAATTTTTCCACTTGTCTTTATTTTCATTCCTACCATTCTTGTCTAAAACTCTATATATCTCATATATATTCTTACTGTAGCTTTGTATCTGATCTTCTTGCTCTACTTCAGCCTGGTCCTCCCCTAAAAATCCATGGATTAATTCAATAATACATATTTACTATGAGCACACAATGTGCTAGAGACTTTTCCATCTGCTGGGAATGTGAAAACAACAAAAATCCTAATCATTATAGAACTTGCACTCTAGTTGGAACAGCAGACAATAAATAATAAGTAAATATATACAGCATTTGAGATGGTGACAAATACTAAGGAGAAAAATTAAGCAAACGAGAGATGAAAAATGTCAGATGAGAGTAGCTTGTAATGTAAATAGAGTGATTGGGTTCATTCCTGATATAGCTAAGAAGGTTATAATTTTTTAATATAAATCAGTTCGTGTAACTATGTACCTTAAAAATCTCCTAACAAGCCACATTGAAGAGAATAAAATTCAAATTCCTCACTTTGGTTTAGAAAATTTTCATACTCTGTCTCCTGCCTACCTTTTCAACCTCACCCTCATCACTAGACTGAAAATGGCAGCTTCTCAGCACTCCAAATGTTTGTGCCTCAACACCTTTGCATGAGGTAAATCTTTCCTCTACCTGGAGCACTCTCTCTTAGCTCTGCTCTTACCAGGCTCCTTCTTGTCATTTAGGTCTTTGCTTAGATACCACATCCCCGGAGATGCCTTTTTTGGGCATCTGATCTTAAATTGCAAATCATCTTCTAAGCCTTGCTTACTTTGTTTAGTTCCTGTATAGCCCTTACCATAATTGTTTTGAATACATATTTTTGTACTATTTTATTACCTGTGTTTTTCAACTAGAATGTATGCTGCATGAGGGCAGACCCTCATGCTTTCTCTATTCACTGCTTCTTCCCCAACTTAGAATTATGCCTGGCACAAAAAAAAAAAAAAAGCGCTCTGTAAGCACTCGCTCTCGCTCATTGATTGGTTGAAGGAGTGAATTTAGATTCCAATTCTAATTGTTTTTGTTAAGTCAAATTTATTGAACACCCATTTTGTGCCAGACATTGTCACAATTCTTGACATTTGACTGGCCTCTAGAATGCAGGCTAAATATCCCATCTTATTTAGAATTAGAGAAATGTGAAATTCCAGTGATGAAGAGAATTTAAAAATGATTTTTAAAAATCTAATCTCTCCAGTAAATTTAAGCTAATAGATGTTTAACAATATGTCCAAATCACCTAACTTAACAAGAGTGCAGTAAAAACAGGCATCTCACTCCCAGTACATTGCCTCTTACAAGATGCAAACATTGTAATGAGGTTGTAAGAAGGAAAATGTCAGATTCCAGAATGTTGTTGTGAGTTTAGGGAATGTCCACACGGAATGTCAAATGATGTCAATGTTAAATAAAAATTATAAATTTTTATATATTCTAAGTAAAATCCATAATAACCACTGTGGGGCTGTAAAACTCTACCTTCAACTTCTTAGAGTTCCTGCTGGGCCCAAGAATAAAACTGACATAAGATAGATAAATAGGAGAAAAGCATATACATTTATTTGTGTAAGTTTTACTTGACTGGTGCACTCATGAGGAAATGAAGATCCACAGGAGCAGCTAAAGTCAATCACATGCACACTGAATGGAAAAAGAATATTAAGTTGTGACACGTGATAAGGCAGAGGGCTTATGCTGGAGTAGTTAACTGGGTAACGAAGTGACCAGGAAGATAAGGGTCAGTTTAATAAGATTTGTCTGTGCAGATTTCTCTCAGCTTCAACTTTCCATCCTTGATTATAAGAATGCTACTCTCCTTTGCTTTAAAGAAGGCATCTTTCACATGGGAACTTCATTTACTGCTTTCAAGAAACAGAATAAAGGTCAGAATGATCTTGCAACTGCTGGGTTTTTTTTTTAAGTGCTTTTAATTCAAAATAGTCAAGATGCCAGGGTAGCATATTTCGGGGTGGTATATTTTTAACTCCTTCACAACTTTCATTTCCAAGTTTTTGCTGTGAATTCCTGAATGGATATATTTAGAGAGCAAATTTTTTGTGACGATCAAGTTTTCGACTAGGCTGAGTAAATTAGTGATGCAAGGACAAAACTTTGAAAAACCCAAAATTTCACGTTTGGAAGTAACAGATTGACTATTATTATCTCCTTTCTTTACCAAGACCCCAGTAAATAAAGCCATAGGAATAAAAAAGGTATAAATACCCATCCATAGATTAGGGCTATGGGAGGAAAGAATAGAGAATGCATTCCAAGAAATATCTAGAACATGAGGACTGCACACAGGTATATAACTGAGGAAGGAGGACAGAAAAAATGTAACCTAAAGCATTCACAGAAGGGCACACAGGTGAGGGAAAATCACTTTCTCTGCAGAATCCCAAGAGGCTTACCACTCAGAAATGTCAAGTACTTAGGAAGACTGAAAACTGCGAGATAAACTGAAATTTAGTATATGCAAGTTTGACTTGACATCTGAGGATCAAAACTCACTAGCTAAGCGTCTTGCCCTGAGCAATGTATCAAAATGTTCTTCCTGAAAAAACCGAAATGCCTCAGAGATATCTTGGCACATGCAAAATCCCACAGCATAATGATCAGATCTCCATTCAACCCTCTGAAATAAGGCCACCAATGGAAAAATCTAATTCACCTACAATGGACTAGTACCCATCTTTTATTGTATCATTTATAAATAGAAACAGACAATCAAAAGTTACCAAACTTTTAAGGCAAACTTACAATATAAAAGATAGAGAAAGAGAGAGAGAGATAAGCCAATAAGAAAAAAATTACTCCAGAGGAAGAAGTTACCAAACTTTTAAGGAAAACTTACAATACAAAACAGAGATAGAGAGATAAGCCAGTAGGGAAAAAATTACTCCAGAGGAAAAAGAGAGCTAATTCAGAGAACAGGCACAAACAAAATCAATATATAATTCTAAAAAGTACTAATTAGTATCTCCAGACAGATAAGAGAAGACAATTATAAAAACAAATAACATGAAAAAGGTATATCATTTCTCAGAAATAAAAAAATGCAATCACCCAAATTATAAATTCATCAATAAGGTAACAATAAAGTTTTATTTAATACAGAAATCTCCCTGAAATCAAACAATAAGCAAATGAGATATAAGATATAATCTTTTCTGATGAGCAATACAGAGGATTAATCCAGAAAGAATAATATCCAATTAAAAGAATTTCAGGGAGAAAAGATTGGGAAAAAAAGGAGAGAAAGTTATTACAGAAACAATATTTAGAACTGAAGGCCCTATCAAGGGCCCTGCAAAATGAATGAAAATGGAGCCAAACCCAGACAAATTTAAGTGAAATATTAGAACACCAAGTATAAAGAGAGTATTTAAAGGAATCCAGAGGAAAAACAGACCATCAACAAAGAAGTAGCAAGGAAATTACAGCAGCGTTTTCAACAGCCATGCTGAATGCTAGAAAGCCATTGTTTCAAAGCAATGCCTTCAAAGTTGTAAGGAAAAATGATTTGTAGTTAGACCCCTACACCTATCCAAATTACTGGTTAGATAAAAGAGCAGAATGGAGATACTTTAAAACTCAAACAATGTACCTCCCTATCACCTTTTCATAGAAAGTTACTTAAAATGTGACTTCTGCAAAAGGAGAAAGTAAACCAAGAAAGAAGACAAGAAAATAGAGGATCTAACTTGGAAAAAAAAAAATAGAGAAGAAAAACCTACATGGCAGTCATGAAGCTTATCTAGAGTTCCATGGTACAGAGTGGAGAAGGGCAAAAGAGGACTCCAGGATCATGGTAAAATGTGGAAGTGAACTACCAGATATAATGAGAATTTGAGAAAACTGAAACTGTGAAAAAAGAATGTAAGTGAAATAAAAGGTAATGGTGAGCTGCAGGAAACAAAACAAAAACCACACAGGAAAAGAAACATTAAAATAGTATATTGTTTTTCAATAAAAATATTTCTATAATCATAGCAATATATTTATACCATTCATCAATTGGACTAAAAGTAGCAGTGAGCAGGATATAGGACTATGTAGTGCCGGCCTATCAGGGAATTAATGACACTATTTAGATTAATAAAGAAAGATACATTTTATTGGCATATTAATAAAAGATATGGGAGTATCTAACAGAATAAATAAGTGAAAACATAAAAAGTATTGTTTCTGGATAATGGATCTAAAATAAGGGAGTGAATAAGCAGAGTCAGTAACTTTTTGCTGTAATTTTTTACATACTTCTTAGGCCATCGGCATGTGCTGCATTTTTATTACAAAATTACCTTTTTCTCCCCAAAGGCTTTGTATTTTAAACCTTCACTTAATCATGTAAAAAAACGAAAAATGATTATTATCCTGCCCTACCCTTTCCCACTTCTTTGGCACCAATTATCATTTGGAAAGCCACCCATCAAGCTCTCAGTTCCTGTGGCTTCAGTGGAATTGACTCCACTTTCTTTTACATACTTTCATCACTCTTTTATAAGTTAAGAACATTTTTTAAAATAATAGCAACAGAAATTCCAAAGAAAAAAATTTAGGTAAGACAAGAGCTGAGAGAGGTAATGATAAGCCTAGTGAATCTCAAGTGCAGGCATGAGGGAGTCAGAAACCACATTTCTGAAAAGAATAGTCACATTGGGGACAAAGAATGAGGATGACCAACAGCAACACTGAACTTTGCGTGAACACTGTGATCCTGGGAAACAGCGACTGTTAAATCTCTCCATGGAAACCACCTTATTATAAAGAAATATCCTTCCCCACATGACTTATGCAAGACTCATAGATGCCCCTTCTTGTCTACGTATGACAAGATCAGACGCAGAAGCTCCAAATTCCTCTTCCTGTTCTTGGCCTTATGAATGATTAGTTGACTGTTTTGTCCCCATTGGTTAACTTCTCTCCTTCTTCCAGGCCCCTGGCCATTGATCCAGCCTCAGTCTGGGCCAGCATAGAGCCCTTCCCAAAAGCATATTGACCTTGGTGTAAAACATTCACTTGTCTTGTGGCTTTTCACAGCCACTCACTCATCCTATTTCCTCACATCTAGTTCTTGTTATTCCTTGTTTATTCCTCCCTCTAAAAGACAAGGCTTATCTGACCAACCTTTCAGATGCTTGCCGATCTCATGGCCCAAGCATTCTCCCTATTGCAATAGTGTCCCTTCCACTGTTGCAAAGGTCTCTTTCCCCCTCTTGCAATAAAGTATCTCCTTACTTAAGTCTAGATTTGTTTTTATTTGATATTGATTAAAAGTTCAAAAAGTAAACACAAACATTAGAGAGAGGGTAAGGAAAAAAATCTAAAAGAAGGCAAAGAAAGACGACAGAATTCTTCAGAGGACTTGGAATCAATTGGCACCCAGGTTGATGAGTAGGGGAGGGAGGGAAGGTTGTGAAGTCATTGAGATTTCAGCTGATGTCAGAAAAAAGCAAGTGTCCAAATAGAACAAAAACCTTCTTGAACTCCTTGATACAAAGTAGGACCAGAGATAATGACTCACCCCAGGATGGGAATGAGGACGGCCAGGCAGTGGTCAAAGGAGGAGCAAGGCCAGGCCCTACTGGAGAGACCTCCAGTCTACAGATGAGTGAGGACAGGTGGCAGCTGGAAGACTTTGTGCTGAATATTAAAGCAACACCACTGAAAAAGCCAAAATCCAAACTGTCAGCCCTGTTGATCATAATAACTGTCAATCCCCTCCTTTGAGGCAGGCATCACAACCGCAACCTTAATGAGAGCCTCAACGTGTGTGGAATCTGAAGGTGTACAGGAGTCATAAGGAAGAACACCTTTTAGGCTGCAATCCTTCTGATCTTACTACTCAGTAAAAGTGGTGAAGCCTTAGGCATAAAAAACTAAGCTTTCCCTAGTGCTCATTAAACATTGTTAGGGCAGCTCTGCAGGGGAGTTTCTGATCCTTTGCCCTGAAGCACTAACTCAAGAAAGAAGGGGAAGCAGGGGCCTATCTTTTAATTACTTGCATTTGCAACTATCAAAGCAAATTCATGATTGTCATCCTTAGCAGAACCTTGCAGTAGAATCTTTATTTTCAGATCTGGAGAATTAGCCTAAAGCAGGATTCTCAGCCAGTAAGTAGGGAGGGATGCTATCTTGGTATTATGCAGAAGTAGAGTGCTTGATTTTCATAATATAGCTAACAATTTACAATAAAATGCAGCTATTTCATGCCCCTATGTCCTTTCTGTCATTTTATGTCCTTAAAGTGTATTACAAATGATAAATGTTAAAAAAAATCTGTTCATTACCGGTTATTTACTTTTAAAAATTTAGAAACAACCAATTCGGGATTGGTTTAAAAATTTATAGTATATCCATAAACTACAGAAGATACTTACATATTGACATGGAAGGATAGCTGCAATATGTTGTTGAGAATAAAAAAGCAAGTTACAGTATATCACACATACACACAGAGAGATATATTCCAAAAGAAGAGATACAAAACCATTAATTCTAGCTCCCTCTAGGAAGCCAAATTATGGGATAGTGAGGGGTAAGAGTCTGGGTTTTCAATTTTTTTGTGTCATGCACTTCAGTATTTTTTTACAGTAACTTTGGCTACTTTTATAATTCAAAACCATCAATTTCGATGAAAAAAAATAAATGTCAATCAACAGACAAATGTTTTCTGAAAATATGCCCAGTTTGTTTCCAACATGGCTATCCTTTCACAGAACATATGAAATATGACACAGCTTTACAATCCACAAAACAGCTATCCCACCAAAACAAGAAGACATTTAAAATCTCGAAAAACCAGCAAAGCCAGAATCAAAATGTACCCTTTGAACTACGCTTCAGCCTAGGAAAATAAAAGCTGCTAGCGGTCCTGATTAGCAAGAAAACTACATCAGAATTTTCTGCCACATTTAAAAACACGTTGCTTTTATTTTCTTCCATCTAATTTTGTTGTTTATTACTACTCTGCTCACACGCATGCTTTACTATCCCCTCAGACTTCACTTACAAAACACGACTTCAAAAATAAAATTATGAAGAATTCCAAGAGGATGACAGCACAGTTTTCAACCAAAAGTCAGGCCCTCCTGAAAGTGGGGCCCTGAGAAAATGTTCTTGTCACACGCCTATAGAGCCATTCCTAGGTTTCCTCTTAGAAACACAAGAAGTTGCCACACTACCATGTAGCAGGGTCTGTGAACAATTGGGGCATTCCTATGCTAGATGTATGTGAAACACGTGAGGGATACAGGCTGAGATGTTCTGCTGTATAAAGAGTAGTCTGAACACTGTAACCACGGGGATTTTGAAGTTTATTGAATACCTATTTACTTTATTGTTTGGTAATGCATTTTAGCTTATTTTTCAATTAACTGTTTCATTCATGAGAAACTAAAAAGTCATAAATGCATGTTTGTTTTAAAAAATAAGAATTCAAATCCTGTTTCTCAAGAAAATTGGTGATGGACATGTAATTTGCAATGTGTTCTCAAGTTCATCATCTACATATGGACCTATAGTGATTTCATTGACTCGTCTTTGAAAAACAAAAAGTATCAGAATCTGCTGAAGAAGCATCAGCATCCACTTCAAAAGTTAATAGCTGTTTTCAGGAAAATGTGATCAAAGACAATAGTTTAACGTGTACAACTCTATGAAGCATAACTTTTTATTATGATCAAAAGACTTCTTCTAAATTAATTTCACTTACTTTTGCAAACTTATGAAAGGTGAAATGACAGCTGTTAGTGGGGTGGCTTCATTAACTGTAAAATTTTGTAAATAGTTGAATGATATCAGTTATGTACTAGAGTTATCATATGCTACAAGCAGAAAAACAATTCTAATAATGGTTTAACAATTTTGATATAAGGCAAGCAAGCTGAGTCTTGGCTTTGTCCAGGAAAGAACTGAAAAAGCAAGTCAGGGATAGAAGAAAATAGCTTTATTAAAGCATCAGTGTTACAGCTCCAGTGGTGTTACAGCTCTGCGACTGCTCCCAAAGGGCTACCCCATAGGCAGAGGGTAGCAGCTCAGGGCAGTTTTGCTATCATATTTATACCTACTTTTAATTACATGTACATTAAGAGGTCATTTATGAAGAAATTTCTATGGAAGGAGTAGTGACTTTTGGATCATTAGGTCATTGCCATGGAAAGGGGCAGTATCTTCTGGGTATTGCCATGGCAATGGTAAACTGACATGGCACACTGATGGGTGTGTCTTATGGAACTCTGCTTCTACCTCACCCCTATTTTACCTAGTCCTCAATTTGATCTGGTGTCCAAGCGCCGCCTCCAGAGTCAAGTACTGCCTCCTACCTCAATTTCATCCAAATCATGAAATCAAAATAAAGCTCTGAAAAGTTCTTTCTGTCAAAAAAAAGAATGTTTAGCCTTATTTTTAAAACAAAATTTAGTGAACTATAATTTTAATATAATAAAATTCACCAATTTTAAGTATACTGATAATTTTTACAAATGTGGACACTTAGATGATTACTAGCACAAAAAAAAGATCTAGAACATTTCCATCATTCCAAAACATTTACTACCAACCCTTGCTAAGTCAAATCCCTGTCCCCAGGCAACCACTGATCTACTATCACTGCAAATTAATTCTACCTGTTCTAGAATTTAATATAAATGGAACTATGCAGTATATATACTCTTTTGCATTTGGGTTCTTCATACCCAGCATGACATTCATTTATGTTGTTGCATGTATCATTACTTTGTTCTTTTTGTTGCTGAGTGCTATTCAATTGTATCCATATACCATGATTTATTTAACAATTTACCTGTTGACAATTGGATGTTTTTCATTTTAGGGCTATAATAATTCAAGCTGTCATATTCTTGTGCAGATCTTTTTGTGCAGACATATGTTTTCTTTCCTCTTGATTAAATATGTAAGAGTAGGTTTGCTTGATCATATGTTAAGTGTATGTTTCATTTTAAAAGAATCTGCCAAAATATTTTCCAAAATAGTTGCACATTTTAATGCTTCCTCAAGGAATGAATGAGACTTCCAATTGCTCCACATCTTTGCCAATCCAAAGAAATTCTCTCATCGTGCCAGGAAGTATATAGTTGTAGCTTATTGTGGTTTTAGTTTGCATTACCCAATGACTAATGATGCGCAGCATCTTTTTATATGTTTATTGGCCATTCTTTTTGGTTTTGGTTTTGTGATTTTTAGAGTCAAGGTCTCACTCTGTCGTCTATACTAGAGCAGTTTATGTTGTCACTGTTCTTTCCTTTTTAAATTCTTTCCAAGACCTTTGCATTTACATTTAAATTGCAGCATACTATCTATTTCTACAAAAAAATCTGCTGTGACTTTAATATAGTATAATTCTTCATTATTTATATCTTTAATTTCTCTCATAAATGTCTTAGAGTGGTTTTCATGGACTTATGTATATTTTGTTAAATTTTTCCTAAGTATTTTATGTAACTTGATGTTACTGTAAATGATATTTTAAAAATTTTTTTATTTTCCAATTGTTTGTTGCTAATATACATAAATACAATGGGGTTTGCATGCTGACCTTTATATGCAGATCTTTTAAGCAAAATATACTTACCAAAATGGTCAAAAATAGAATGAATGAATAGATGTTATAAGGAGGGAAATTCAGCTCTAATATTTACAGTTTTCTTAAAGCAGTTGCTAGCTAACAATATGATAGGCTACCTGGTGGAGTAGTGAGCTCTCTATCACTAGAAAAGCCCAAGAGAATTAAGGGGCCAATCAGAAGAGGAAAAAAAGCCAGAGGGACTAATCATATCTGCTACCAAGAAAAGTTTGACATTGTATGAAGAAATCATATTTTCTTAAGAAAATATACACTAAAGCTAAATTTTAGTGGTGTTCAATTCCCTATAATTGTTTTGCCAAGTATTATGTCATGTATGAAATAAAAGCAATTCTGTCTTATATATTTACACACATACAAATATACAGGTGTATTCTAATGAAGTTGCTTCCACTTGCAGGATCAAACTGATTTGTATGTTTGTGTGTGTGTGTGCACATGCATGCACAATATATGTAATAAGTTATGGATGTATACTTAGTTTTTTTCTCATCCCTTTATCCATGGTACACAATACACATTACTTCTGAAAGAAAGATAATACTGTGAGCAAAAGTATCTACTTTGATATAAAATCATCATCTCATTTTCAAAGGACTACAGATAAGACAACTGTTTTCCTCATAAAGATAGAAACTTCTGAAAAACAGGTTTTAAAATAAAAATACGAGTATACCTTAAAGCACTGCCTTTAAAAGGCCAATAATCAATGAAAGAAATTAACTCAAAGGAAAGCTCCATTGTTCCTGATCTCAAACAGCCAAAATGGAAACCAATTTTTAAAAAAGAGGTGCTAGCTGTTGAGAAGACGGGTTTTAAGTACCACTGATATACGCTACACTCTGAAAGAAATATGAATAGCATCTGGCCTCCCCTCTCCTGAACTTTGCTGACTGCACTATATAGAAAGATGCATCTGTTCCTCTCATAGAACAGATAGTAGAGTCTTTAAAAGGATACTCAAAGAATCCACAGGGATCCTGAGGCAGGACTGTTAAGCACAAACCTTGATGCATGTGGCTGTTTGCTTGACGCTGTGTGTACCGCACACACTGCTAATGTGCATCGATACCATCACCAAAGCATGGAAATTAAACCTTCATTTAGTGCCAACAGCAACAACATTTCAAAGCCAAATATTACTAAAGACAAATGGACACTTTGGCCTGAAATACTGAGCTTTTGCAAAAGCATTTCTTCCCTAAATTAAGGCTTGCTTATCTGTTTACTTCTAAGAAAAAGAGAAAAAGAAATAAGTCTACTCTGAAATATTCTTTAAAGTGGAATGAATGCATGCAACAAAATGAGAGGTCCACAAGGAGA
This sequence comes from Homo sapiens, assembly GCF_000001405.40. Classification (NCBI taxonomy): domain Eukaryota; kingdom Metazoa; phylum Chordata; class Mammalia; order Primates; family Hominidae; genus Homo; species Homo sapiens. The sequence continues at coordinate 102,334,505 of NC_000003.12, read as the reverse complement.
GTTTTGTGGGAAACAGAGGTTTATTCAATTTTAGAAATGAATTTTCTATAGCTGTACTATCCAACATGGTAGCCACTAGCCACATATGGCTGTTTAAATTTATATGAAATTTAGTTTAATTTAAAATTAAGTTCAAATTAAACACTCAGTTCTCCAGTCACATGAACCATATTTTAGTGCTCCATAGCAAATGATGCATACCAGGTGGTGCTCCATAGTGGCACACGATGACCATATCAGACAGCACAAATGTAGAACATTTCTGTAGCAGCAGAAACTCTGTTGGACATGGCCGTTTTGAAGAAAAGAAAACAATATGTTACCCAGACTTGAGCTATGGACGCAATACAAGCAGAAAAGTTGAGAACATTATCAAATAGATTTTTATAAAGTCCTACTAGTTAAGGAAAGGAGAAATATTTGGCCTTGCCTCTCTAAATCTACTTTTAATAATTATTAAGATAACTTGATCCTTAAAAAATCATTGAATAATAAGCAGTCAATGAGGAACACAAAATAAAGTGCACTGCACAAATAGCAATTGTCCAAAGAAGCTACCATCAAAAATGAAACACTGAGTAGCTGCAGGTACACAGAAGAGTAAAGGTTAGAAATTAGCAGGGATTTCTAGAATTCACGGAGGCTGGAATCTTAGATGGTTTTCCTTCATCTTGAAATAATTTGTATATTCATTCTGTAAATCTTTTGAAGGCATATCCTAATTTTCAGATTTCTGTAACAGAAAATAATATGTATGAATGAAGCTGTTTATTGAAATAGCTACATTCAAATAAAATAAGAAACAAATTATTTTTCTCACTACTGACTGGGGAAACTTGATCTTCTCCAGCCCTAGATGATACCCCTGATAAAAACATACAGCTTTTCTAGCAACTTTTAGGCAACAAAGAGTCCTGTCTAATATAACAAAATTACTTGCAGCTATTTGAGCCAAACTTCTCCCTTCCTCCAACTAAGAGCACTTAAGGGAACAGTTGAGTTGGAATCTTCATCTTTATTTATCCACCTTGCTCCTCGATTTCAATTTCCTCACTCATTGTACTGAATCTGGTCTGGTTAATGTTGGAACAGGAGAAGGCAAAGGAAAGAAGGGTCAGAAAGTTCTTATTTGACAGACTGGATATCTTAGATTTCAAAGGTGTCTTTATTTTTTGTGGAGTAGTTTGTATCTTCTTGAGAGGCACTTACAATGCCCCTGACCTACCTGCCACTCTTAGCTCTGTCAAAACAGACAGGTTCAGCCAGCCAATGTCACTATTTTCACTTCATAAAGAAGCACATCAGTCTGGTGCCAAAAGCAAGGGGTTTGGCATCAGAACAAGAATAAAAATCCTTTCTCTTCTACTTTTTACCCATTGAGATTGTGCAATCATTTTACCTGTTTACACCTCAGTCTTCTCTAGGAATATTTAGGGATTATTGTGAAATATAGGATTAGTATAGGCAAGATAAATAAAACAGAGTCTGTGTGTAGGATTTCTTTTCCTTTCACCTATCCTCTCCCTTTTTAATTATTAGTATCTGTAGTTAGATGATCATGTTGACAAAGCACTCTGCCTCATTTACACTATTTGCCTAAACTTATAAGAGAATTGCCAAATATAAAATTAGTTGATTTTAAAAGAAGAATACTTAAGAAAATTCTGAAATATTATCAGAATTTTTGATTACCAAATAATTGAAAAGAATACTGGTGGATATTTTAATTAATATTTTTTACCCACTACCCTTATTTACAAGAGACTTAAACATGCTGTAAAAAGATTTTAAGAAACTTTTTAACAGTTCTTTGAAAAAAAAATACCAAGATACTAAACTAACCAAATGTTTAACATAAAGCTTTCTTTTTACAATTAAAGCATAAGATCTTATTAATTCATGGAATTATATTTTTCTCAATAAAGAAAATTTTAAATAGTCTTATACATCAGGAGAAAATAGTTGACACAATTGTGGGCTTTCTACCCAATTGCCTATATTTGAACCCAAATTCCAGCATCCACCAGCTAGTGACCCTAGGCATGTTACTTCACCTCCCTGTTACTCACTATTCCCCTGTAAAAGGGAGACATTTCAATACTCACCCACTAGGCCTGAGTCAATGCATGTGAAGTGCTTGCATGAACACCTCACAATGAGTAACTGTTCAATAAATGTTAACTATTATTTTTTATTTAGAAATATTTTTGTTATATATATATATATATGTCAGCTAACAATATAAGGAAATTAGTATCAGAACAAAATTAGAACTCTGTTTTGTTAAGGCGAAATATAAGCACTGTTTTTCTGTGCCACAAGAATGTCAGTTACTCTAACCCTTCATTAGGCAACTGAAGAAAATTAGAAAATTTAACTTATCCAAAGGTACCCAATAAGTTGGTGTCAGAATAGAAAAAAGCATCAACTACCAACTGAAAAGGTGTTAGTTACTTTACTTAAAGCTAATAAAAAAGATAGTCCTCAACCTGGATTCCAGCTATAAAAGAACAATACAAAACAGAATATCAAAAACCTGTGGGACAACTCCGAAAGGTGAAATGTACATGTAATGAGAATAACAGAAGGAAAAAAAAAAGAGAGAGAAATGCCCAGAAGAAATAACTGAAGCAATAATCACTGAGAATTTCTCCCAAATTAATGTTAAACATTAAACCAGAGAATTGAAGATCACCAAGCAGGATACATGCTTAAAAAACGACACCTAGGCATATCATAGCCAAACTTCAGAAAATCAAAGATAAAAAAAAAAAATCTTGACCAAAGCCAAAGGGGTGGGGTGTGGGGTGGGGCACAGTTAGAAACACCTTACCCATAGAGGAGCAGAGCTAAGAATTACATCTGATTTCTCCAGAAATTATGCAAGCAAGAAAATAATTAAGTGAAGCATTTAAAATGTTGAAAGGAAAAACCCACTAACCTAGAATTCTGTACCTTATGAAATTATTCTTCAAAAGTGAAGGCAAAATGAAGATTTTCTCAGACAAACAAAAATTCAGGGAATTTGTTGCCAGAGATCTGCCTTGCAAGAAATGTTGGGAGCAAAGAAAAAGTTGATCTCATGGAGGTGAAGAATAGGTGGTGGTTAGAAAAAGCTGGGAAGAGTAGTGGGGAGGGCAGGAGGAAGGGAAGCTGTTTACTGGGTATGAAAATACAGTAAGATAAAAGGAATAAATTCTAGTGTTTGATAGCACAGTAGGATGACAATAGTTAACAATAATTTATTGTATATTTCAAAGTAGCTAAAAGGAAAGACTTGAAATGTTCCCTAAACAAAGAAATTATGAATGTTTGAGGTGACAGGTATTCTGATGACCCTGATTTGGTCATTACACATTGTATGCATATATGAAAATAGCATATGTACTCCTTAGATATTTACAATTATTATGTATCAAAAATAAATAAATATTTTTAAATGTGGTATATATATACAAGGCAATACTATTCATCCTTTAAAGGGTAGAAAATTCTGTCATTTTCAAGAGCGTAAATAAATTTAGAAGACATTATGCTAAGTGAAATAATCCAGGGATGGAAAAACTAACAACCCTTTATCTCACTTATATGTAGAATCTAAAAAAGCGCAACTCATAGAAGTAGAGAATAGAATGGTGGTTAGAGACTGGAATCCCAAAGACTGGGATTAGGGGAGAGCAGGGAAAGAAGAGACAGTAGTCAAAGACCACAGCATTTCAATTGGGAGAAATAAACTCTGGTAAAGTATTGCACAGCATGGTGACTGTAGTTTTAATAATGTACTGTATATTTCAAAATTGCTAAAAGTATAGATTTTGAATATTCTCACCACAAAGAAAAGATTAGTGTGTGAGGTGATGACTATGTTAATTAGCCTGATTTAATCATTCTATATTGTATATGTATATCATAACATCCTATTATAGCTCATAAATATATATAATTATTATTTATCTATTAAAAATAATGAACTTAGAAAACAATAAGCCATTAGCTAAGCTAACTAAGAATAATAGAGAGAAAACACAAATTACTGATATCAGAAATGAAAGAGAGACTGTAGATCTCATGGACATTAAATGGATTAAGAAAATAATGTTATGAACAACTGTCTTTGCCCACAGATTTGATAAGCTAGATGAAACAGACCAATTCCTTGAAAGACACAAATTGCAATAATAAGAAAATAAACATCCCAATTTAAAAATGGGCAAAAGATTGAAACAGATGCTTCACCAAAGAAGATATAAGCACATGAAAAGATGTTCAACATGCACTAGGGAAATGCAAATTATGACCACAATAAGATACCACTACACACCTAATAGAATGACTAAAATTAAAAAGACCCTACTAAGAGTTGGTGAGAATGAACAGCAACTGAAATTCTCATGAAATGCTGTTGTAACTTAAAATGGCACAACCACTTTGTTAAATGGTTTGTCAGTTAATAAAAAATATAACTTACACCTATCATATCAGCCACTCAACTCTCTTAATTATTTACTCACAAGAAAAGAAAGCCAGTATCTACAACAAGACTTGTAAAAGAATATTTGTCTTTATTTGTATTAGCCAAAAAACTGTAAACAAACTAAATGGCAAATGGATGAACAAATTTAGCATACCCATACAATAAACTACTACTGAGAAATAAAAAGAAATGGAGTGTTGAGGTGGGTAAAAACATGAATGAATGTCAAAATAAATACATTGAGTTGAAGATGCTAGACAAAAAAGAGTGCATACTATATGATGTCATCTATATTAAATTCTAGAATTTGCAAACTAGCCCATAAAACAGGGATTTGGATCATTTTCTGAACGGTACAATCCTGAACACCATAATGCCAAATGCTGAAATTACAGAAGATCAAAAATGCCTAATGTCCAAATTCCTACTGTCTAAACTTCCTAATGTCTAAAATCCCCCAGAATCACAATCACAAAATAGTTGCATCATGTTTGATTGACTTATTACCACGTTATTGTCTAAATGCAGAAAAAAAATTCAATTGAGTCCGCAAACTATAATGATGGATTTGGAATTAGATGTGACCAAAGCTTCTAAAAGTGAGTTTCAAAGTGTTGCCAGTAAAGTTTGTTTTGCTCCATTCAACCCAATGCATTTGTTAGAAAATTCAGATGAGTGGATTGGCCATGAGATAATGGCAATGATAAAAACTGCAGTTTAAAAATGTGCCATTTTCCTGCGTTGACATTCCTTCTAGCTGATGACCTCCCAAGAGATTTTAATTAATTAAAACCACATTTGCCTGAAGAAGCCAGTGAAGTTACTGACTGGCTTTAAAACAATTATGTGCATGGTAGGATAAGAAGGCACTTATGCAATGGTGTTGCTATTTGATCACCAGTATTATTTCCACCAAATTTGTGGTCTGTGTATGAGTACATGCAAAGTGGGTTTTCAAGTACCAAAAACAACATACAAGCATAGCATAGAAGATAGAAATACTAGTTTCAGTGTATATCAAATCACAGAAGAATTTCAAAAAGAGAAATACCACATAGAAAATGAGTGTGAATGTATTCTCCAATGGCTATGTCAAAAAAGAAAAAAAAGCAGCTATTTATCATGTTGTAAGGCCTTAAAATATAGTTAATAATCATGAAGATCAGCAACCTCTTATACATTGTCTGCATGCAATTGCCCATAATCTATCCTGTCACCTCGTCATACCCTTTTTCGTATGTTGAATTTTCTATTCAGTTTTTTATTTTTTTCTTTTATTTCATTTTTCCCACTATTTTAAATTGTCAGCATTATTTTTTACAATTCACTATGCTGTGTATTCCATCTTTGCATCATTTCCAATACTGGAGCCATAAATTGTGTTGGACTATTAGTGAGTTCAAATTCATTTTATACATTTTTTGCAAAAGTGCCTTCATGGAAGTGCATTATCATAATGTTGACTGTATGTAAACATGATGCATATACATTAAAAAATTGAAACTTCCTCAGTAAGTGAAGAGATGTCCTTTTTGTACATTTGCATTTGTGACAGATAAAATTCATGAGATCCTGGGTCTTTGGAGGGCTGGCTCAGTGGTGATGCTGGCTTTTGGTTGAGCTGGTCAAAAACTTCAGTTGTGCATCACAGTATTTCAGATGACTGCAATTATAAAGCTAGGTACACACAATTAGCACCCATAGTAATAGGTTGTATACATTTTGGTTTTTCACCTATTTCTTTATGGATGTAGTTCATCTGCTCATAACTATTATACCCATGTGACTGTCAATAGTATACCTCAGTGTATTATGCTTGCAAAAATATGTATGTTATTGTTGCCTACTTTATTGCATAAAGTGACCTATGAAGTGTTGTCATGTTTTTATATGTTTCTCAAATAAATCCATTTAAAAAATGTAAACAAATATCTTTTTACAAATTTTTTAAATTTTTTCCAAAATTGTATTTCTAGGATTTTGAGATTTGGGGATTTCAACATTTGGGATTATGTCATACAGGATTGTGTCTTTTGGGACTATAAAGAGCTCCCATGACAAAATCCTATTAGACGTGCCAGAGGGACGGCAGGGGAGAGAAGGAGAGTCAGAGAAGTTGGAGGGGAGAATTACAAAAGGGCAAAAAGAAACTTCAGGGTGTGCTGCAATGTTCATTATACCGACTGTGATAATTTAATGTGTATACATATATGTCATAACATCAAATTTAACATGTTAAATATGTGCAGTTTATTTCATGTCGATATACCTTGATGAAGGTATAAGTAAGTAAAATATTACTCACGCAACATGCTGATGTGATAACAAGTATGCTCTAAATTACGCTAAAATTATAGTTCTCAAATTTAGAAGTGTTTTCAATACCTTTAAAAAATAATCAAACATATTTACTACAAAATTTCAACATTAAGAGATTTCTTCCTGGCCTCTTAGTCAAATTTAAACGTAATTAAACTGTCATTAAATTAAACTGTCAGTAAAATTAAACTGTCATGGGTGGGGGCAGGGGGAGGGATGGCATTAGGAGATATACCTAATGCAAATGACGAGTTAATGGGTGCAGCACACCAACATGGCGCATGTATACATATGTAACAAACCTGCACGGTGTGCACATGTACCCTAGAACTTAACGTATAATAAATAAATAAATAAATACATACATAAATAAATAAATTTAAAAGTAAAATGTATATTTAAATGTAAAATGTTTTTAATAATTTTCTGAAGTTCTAACACCTTAGTGGAAAAAACTTATTCTTAATATTATTAAAAAACCCAAAAGTGATGCCAAATGGCATTGTTTTTGAGGTCTGAAGCCTTCTTCCTTGTAGATGTTTTCAAAGTGAATTTTTTTCTCCTAAGTAACCCATATTTTATACAACCAACATTCGTTTGACATTCTTACTCTTTAATTTACACTAGTTTGTGAAAACCGAAACATTCTGAGTTAAATCAAAGCAAGGATGCAAGTAGATTATTTTATCCCTGTCTCATTTTCCAAAATCATAAGTCCAGCAAAGTAGTATATACGAAAATTTTCAGGACAAAATTTTTTTAGTAAGAAGCAAGATCTTTTATTTTACGATCTCTTTTCATGATCTCTGCCATTTGCTGTAAGTCGTCTTCCAAAGGATATTTTTGCTTTAATGAACTCAATGTCATAATCTCTATACATGTATAATAAAAATACTTTGATTCTTTATTATTACCCATTAATAACATGATTAATGTGCCTTTCAAATATCAGCGACCTGCAGTGCAAATATAGAGCACTCTACCTCACACCTCTAACCTCAGGCGCAAGCTGACTCTTTGTAGACAGATTTTTAAAATTATTTAGCCATCTATCTTGCTCAACATTTACTACGATTTCAGTTTGCATTGAAATGAGAAATGCAAAGAGTTAATCAGTAACAGAGCTAGTATATTCTGTTTTGCAGCATTAACTCATCTTCATGCTTAAAGGCAGAATGCCATTCTTTCTCACTATTCCAACTACAAGTATTTAGAAGATGATTATCTCAAAGCTCTTTAAGTGTTTTTAAAAGCAGGCTAAATATTTTTTAAACAATTTTAATGTTAATGTCTTTAGACAGGCATGCACTCTCCAAGTGGTTGTATCTCCACCACTCTCTATAGCAAGCCAGCCATTTCACAAATTTCTATTATGGCTGGTCCACAAGGTATTTCAGTTTTTCACACCTAATTTATAAAGCATTAGAAGTTTTAAATTGAAAGACTGTTAGGAGTTTAAAGGATCTTAGAAATATATACCCAACCTTCTCACTTTACTAGTTAAACACAGATAAAAGATTTACTCAACACTAAACATTAAATTACCAGCAGAATAGCAGATAAATCAAACTTTCTCACTCCTAATATTCCTTTTCCATTACAATGCTCTAGTCTTTCTAGCTTCTAGTCTTAAACCTAAAATTTTCTCCCCATATAATGTAAGCTTCAAGAGGGTGGGCTATTTATCTCTGAAGTCAAAAACATTCAGAACATTCAAACAAATAAGTGATTATGAATTTTTGATAAATATATGGGTGATGCTTGGTCAGAAGTGGTGTGAGAAGCAGGAGAATCAATATTAACTGATGTAAGTTACTTCCCAGGTATTTCATATATGTAATTGCATTGAAGCCTTCCAAAAACTGCAGGAGAGAAGTTGATGCCCCATTTTATAGATGAGTAAATTAAATACCATAGGTGACAGTATACACAGTGTGCCTGATTCTATTATCTTATACTCTGTTCACTACAATGGTCCATAGCTATAACACAAAAAACCAGTAGTAACATTCTTGGTTTTAATATATTTATGATGTCTACACAACATAATAAGAGCACTTGTAATATGGTAGACATTGTGGGTCAATTTTTATGGCTTTAGTGCTATTATCTTACTAAAATGGAGATTTTATCCCCATTTTCCAGATAAGAAAATGAGGCAAGACTAATTTTAAAACTTACTTAAAGTCAAACTGTGACATGGCAGGATCAGACAGACATGCAAGGAAGCTGGCTCCAGAGTTCATGTCTATAACTAGTACACTGAACTACCACATAGACTAAAATGATGGTTCTGAAAGTATGGTTCCCTGAAGAGCAGCAGCAGCAGCAGCATCACCTGATAATTTGTTAGAAATACAAGTCATTGGGCACCACCCAGACCTATTGAATCAGAATCTGTGGGGCTGACACTGAGCATGCAGTATCTTAACAGACTTCTGATGCACAATAAAGTTTGAGAACCACTGAATGAAAAACATGAAGCAATTGTTTTTAAGATGCTCTTACTCACCTTTTCGTACACTTCTAGAATTTTTCCACGCATGTACATACTTTTAAAAATATATATCAAACTGTACTGTTTTGTCATTTTTTTCTCTAATCAATGTGTCATGAACATTTTTGTATATTGATAGTATTTTTCAAGACCGTAACTTTCAACAGCAGCTTAGTCCTCTTTCAAATGCACTTAACTTACTAGTGAAGTCCCTGTTGTGTCAAGAACCATGAAGAGTCTGAGATTTTTACCCTACTTGTAAGCCAAAAAGTTAACCTGTTACTGATTCATGGATGGTGACAGAAGACACAAGACTGTAAGTAGGAGAAAAAAGATTTTATCACTCACAGAACAGCAAGAAATAGAATCATCTGCATATTTGCATTGTCTTCCCCTCCCGTCAAGTCCCAGGAAGGTGTACCATGCTTTCAGCTGACACCTGTATACAAAAAAAGATTGCATTACAAGAGAAGAACCCAGGACCAAAAGTCTGAGGCTTTTTGACAATCTGCCAATCACTGTAGCCAGCAACACATAAGCCAGGGCTTCTCCTCTCAAGGCATGTGCTGTTATAAATTACATGGTAGTCAGGTTGTGGTCACCTTGACCTACTCATTTGACTATGTGACTAGCTACATAAGCTACTCAGAACACAAAACATATAAGCCTTGCAATCTGGAACACTTTCCAAGAATGTGGATGAATACTCAGGACCCATGGGGGATACCACTCTCAACAATTGTTGGACATTTTGAGTATTTTAAAATTTTTATTATTTTCAATAATGCCACAGTAAACCATCATGTGCTTAAAATTCTTAATTTCTTGTTATTTACTTAGGATACATTCCTGGAAATAAAATTGCATGGTCAAAAGCCTCTTTCTCTCAGCTTTGACTAATACTTCACTGAAGAGATTATGTGAAAAACCCCATTTTCTGCAAATTCTTACCAACACTAGGTAGTTTTCTGTATTATTAAAATTTGGAATGTCTTTTTAAAAAATCACATTATTAATGCTAATTATAATTAGATCTCTTTGGTTATCACTAAAGTAAACTTTTTAATACGTGTATTAGAATTTGTATTTCTTCTGTGTTTGACCCGTAATAGTATTTGCCTTTTTTTCTTGAAATTACATATTTGAATTATACATAATTGACATATCTTTAATAATCCTCATAGGCTTCTCCCTTATTATATGTGAACACCACATATATATTATCTATATATGTCCACAATTATCTTAATAATAATCTGCTGAAAGATTGATTTTCTAATTATTGCTGAAAGACTATACCACTGTAAATTTTTTTTTACCATTTCTTTAGGTAAACTACAATTAGAATAATCCACTTTTGAAAGATCACTCTGCTGATCAAATAAAGCATATTTTTCAATACAATTTGCTATTGAGAGTTCTTAGATTCTGTAGTAGGAGGATTACAGGAAAGTTTCAATAAATTTTTGTTGTAAATTTACATAGGTCTTTCTTTGTTAATGATTTGGTACTGATGGTTCTTGCTCATTTCTGGCAGCAGTCAGTCCTGTTTTAATGTAAGCCCATGATTTCAAAAATAAGAATTTGCACTGGCTATCAAAATCTTATTTTAATACATATGTATCAGTTTACTCTCTGCAGTAAAAATATGAATATATTTCCTAAGGATATTTTTTTTTGTGGTGCCCTCTGCTGCCTGTGGTTCTTATTTCCGCTTTGTGACATAACCCTGCAAACTACAGTAGAACTGTACATAAAGGAGTTATGCAGAACAGGGAAGTATTATTACAAGTGAACATCTAAATGACTCCTCTCAGCTCTGCTCATCCTCCCAGTTCTGCTCTGCCATCTTTATTCTTAAATCTATTGATTCCCTGTACATTTCTTCCATGAGCCTCTACATGGCTGACAACAGCACCATCCTAGCACCAGCCACACTCCACATAAAAATGCAATCACCAAAATAAAAATAAACTGCAAAAGTGCTTTTAGGAAACAATTTGTGACGTTCCACTAAACTACACTATTGTTTAGTCTTCATGCCCATAATTCTAACAGTTTCTAAATGGTCTTCTCATCCTCCTTCAGAATGAACCATAAACTTCCTGAAGACTACAGTTCATAAAAGAAATCTTTATAATATGAGGTAGTGCTATAATGGAAATATTGATAAATTTTAGCCTTCACACAAGATCAATGGTCTCTTGAGCCAGTACTGACCTTGATATTATTTTCTATAATATTTACCTAGGGTCAATAAATCTTGATTGTTGATACCAACTTCAGTCAATATCTGCTTACTACAGTTGGAATACAAATAAGTAAGCAGTTTTTTAAGTGAATATCACTAGCAGTATTTGTGTTTTCTTCTTAAGGTATTGTAAATCTTGGTAAAGATTTACAAATAAATCAAAAATGTCTTAAGTCAAAATTACTTAATTTTGGAGAATCAAGTCCTTTCTGTTGCATAATGGGTATGGAACATTCTATCTGGGAGTGATTATAAAAGTCAAAAAGAGAATAGTATGCTCATATTAAATTATTTGCCATGAAATGTGAAATTTCCTGAGTGCATTGAAAATCCAAAGAGTTGGTCCCAGTCACCCAGCAAGTAGGAAGCAGGCCTCTGGTATGCAGCTGAGCCAAAGCTGGTGGATGGGCAGGTATGAGAGCAAATACAGCAATGCCACTGTGGACACAGACCTGGAGTGTATGGTGTCACTCTGGAAAAGCCATGAGTTACAACCCTTCAGGTTACAAGTAACCAAGGTTGCTGGGTGGGCATGCAGGGGTTGTCAGGGTACCTCTGCAGGCTCATTTTGCACTATGTAGTTTCTGCATTAGGAGGACCACATGAAAGTGTAAAACAAGTCTATGATGAGGCTGTGAGATCACTGAGAGGGTGTGCACTGTGGGCATATAGCTGAGGCATAGCACACTGTATGTACTGACATTCCTGCACAACTGGCTCATGATGCAACTTCAGCAGCATAAACAAAACATAGCACCAGACCCAGCAGAACATCCCTTACCCTACTAATGTCCCTCCAGTCTAATCTACTAACAAAGCTTGACATTATGCTCATTTTAAAAGAGGAAAAGAAATTCCAACAAAAAATTTTATACCCAGCCAAATTAAGTTTTCTAAGTGTAGGAGAAGTAAAATAACTTCCAAACAAGTAAATGCTAAGGGAATTCATTCCCACCAGACTTGCCTAACAAGAAGTCTTTAAGAAAGTGATAAACATGGAAATTACAGACCATTACTGGCCACCAAAAAAAAAAATGGTCTATATATGTGCTTATGTTTATAGACCATTGACACTATAAAGCAACTACACAATCAAGTCTACATAACAACCAGCTAACAACACAATCACAGGTTCAAATCTGCACGTATCAGTAATAGACTTGAATGTAAATGGGATAAAGGCCCCACTTAAAAGGCACAGAGTGGTAAGTAGGATATCAAAGGATGATCTAACTATATGCTGTCTTCAAGAGACCCATCTCATGTACAATGATGCCCATAGGCTCAAAGTAAAGAGATGAAGAAAAATTTATCAAGCAAATGGAAAACAAAAAGGGCTAGAGTTGCTATTCTAATTTCAGACAAAACAGATTTTAAACCAACAATGATTTTAAAAAACAGACAAAGAAGGGCATTACGTAATGGCAAAGGGTTCAATTCAATGAGAAGACTCAACTATTCTAAATATTTATGTACCCAAAACTGAGCACTCAGATTCATAAAACAAGTTCTTTGAGACCTACAAAGAGAGTAAGATAACCACACAATAATAGTGGGAGATTTCAATTCCCCACTGACAGTACTAAACAGATCATTAAGACAGAAAAGTAACAAAGATATTTGGGACCCAAACTCAGCACTTCACCAAACTGACCTAACAGACATCTACAGAACACTCCACCTAACAAAAACAGAACATACAGTCTTCTCAGCTGCACATGGGACATGCTCTAAAATCAACCACACACTGAGCTATAAGACAAATCTCAACAAATTTACAAAAAAAATGATACCAACCACACTCTTGGATCACAGTGCAATAAAAATAGAAATTAATACCAAAAAGATCTCTCAAAACCATACAATTAGATGAAAATTAAATTAAACAATAGGCCCCTGAATGACTTTTTGGCAAACAATGAAATTAAAACAGAAATCCAAAAACTCTTTGAAATTAATGAAACGGAGATACGACATACTAGAATCTCTGAGACACAGCAAACACAGTGTCAAGAGGAAAATATATAGTGCTAAACATCCATATTAAAAAGTTACAAAGATCTCAAATTAACAACCTAACATCACAACTAGAGGAATTAGAAAAACAAGAGCAAGCCAAATCCAAATCTAGCAGAAGAAAAGAAATAATGAAAATTAGAGCTGAATTGAATGAAATGGAGATGAGAAAAAATATGTAAAAGATCAATGAAACCAAAGGTTGATTCTTAATAAATAAATACGATTGACAGACCACTAGCTAGACTAATTTAAAAAAGAGAGAAGATTGAAATAAACACAATCAAAATTGACAAAGAAGACGTTACCACTGTTGCCACAGAAATACAGAAAACCCTCAGAGATTATTACAAACACCTCTATGCAAACAAACAGAAAACCTAGAGGAAATGGATAAAGTCCTGGAAACACAAGACCTCCCAATATTGAACTAAGGAGAAATGGAAACTCTGAACAACCAATAAGGAGTTCTGAAATTGAATCAGTAATAAAAAAGCTACCAATCAGTAAAAGCCCTGGACCAGATAGATACACGGCCAAATTCCACCAGATGTATAAGGAAATGCTGGTACCAATCCTACTGAAACTATTACTAAAAGTCAAGGAGAAGTGACTCCTTCGTACCTCATTCTATGAGACCAGTATCATCCACATACTGAAACCTGGCAGAGACATAATGAAAAAAAGAAAACTTCAGACCAATAACCCTAATGAATATAGATTTAAAAATCCTCAACAAATACTAGCAAACTGAATCTGGCAGCACACCAAAAGGTTAACCCACCACAATCAAGTAGGCTTTATTCCTGGGATGCAAGGTTGGTGTAATCTATACAAATTAATAAATGTGATTCATCACATAAACAGAACTAAAAACAAAAAACTACATTACCTCTCAACAGATGCAGAAAAGGCTTTCCACAAAATCCAACATCCCTTCATGCTAAAAATCACTAACAAACTAGGCATTGAAGGAACATACCTCAAAATAATAAGAGCTACCTATGACAAACCCAGAGCCAACATCATATAAACAGGCAAAAGCTGAAAGCATTCTACTTAAGAACTGGAACAAGACAAGGATGCCCACTCTCACTATTTCTATTCAACAAAGCACAGGAAGTCCCAGTCAGAGCAATCAGGCAAGAGAAAGAAATAAAAGGCATCCAAGTAGGGAGAGAGGAAATCAAACCATCCCTGCTTACAGACAATATGGATTTACATCTAGAATACCCCATAACCTCTGCCCAAATGCTCCTTGAACTGATAAACTAACTTCAGCAAAGTTGCAGGATACAAAATCAATGTACAAAAATCAGTAGCATTTCTATACACCAACAGCCAAGCTGAGGGCCAAATCAAGAATGCAATCCCATTCATGATTGCCACAGAAAGGATAAAATACCTAGGAATACAACCAACCAGGAAGGTGAAAGGCCTCTACAATGAGAATTACAAAATACTGCTCAAAGAAACCACAGATGACATAGCCAAATGAAAAAAACATCCCATGCTCATGGATAGGAAGAATTAATATTGTTAAAATGACCATACAGCCAAAAGCAATTGACAGATTCAATGTTATTCCTATCAAACAACTAATTACATGGTTCATAGAATTAGAACTGTTGACTGAAATTCATTTAGAACCAAAAAAGAGCCTGGCTAACAGCCAAGGTAATCCAAATCAAAAACAAACAAACAAACCTGGAGGCATCACACTACCCAACTTCAAACTATACTACAAGGCTACAGCAACCAAAACAGCATAGTTCTGGGTACAAAAACAGACACATAGACAACTGAAACAAGATAGAGAACCCAGAAATAAAGCCATACATGTACAACCATCTTGTCTTTGAAAAAGCTGACAATAACAAACAATGGAGAAAGGACACCTTATTCAATAAATGCTTCAGGAATGACTGGTTAGCCATATGCAGAAGATTTTAGCTGGACCCCTTACTTTTGACCATATATGAAAATCAACTCAGGGTGGATCAAAGACTTTAATGTAAAAACCCAAAACCACAAAAACCCTAGAAGAAAACCTAGAATATACCATTCTGGACATAAACCCTGGCAAAGACTTCATGATGCAGGCTCCAAAAGCAATTTCAAAAATAAAAATTGACAAGTAAGACCTAATTAAAGAGTTTCTGAGCAGCAAAAGAAACTTAATAAACAGACAACCTGCAGAACGGGAGAAAATATTTGCAAACTATGCATCTGACAAAGTTCTAATATCCAGAATCTATAAGGAACATAAACAAATCACAAGCAAAAACCAAACAACCCTATTAAAAAATGGGCAAAGGATATGAACAGATACTTCTCAAAAGAAGACATACATGCAACAAAAAAGCATATGAAATAAAGCTCAATATCACTAATCATCAGAGCAATGCAAATCAAAACCACAATGAGTTACCATCTCACACAGTCAGCATGGATATTATTAAAAAGTCAAAAAATAACAGATGATGGTAAGATCACAGAGAAAAGGGAACACTTACACACTCCTGATGGGAGTGTAAATTAGATCAGCCACTGTGGAAGGCAGTCTGGAGATTTCTGAAAGAAATTAAAATAGAAATGCCATTTGACCTAGAAATCCCATTGTTGGGTACACACCAAAGGGAATATAAATGGTTCCACTATAAAGACACATGCACATTTTGTTCATTGCAGCATTATTGACAATAGTGAAGACACTGAATCAATCTAAATGCCCATCAGTGGTGGACTGAATAAAGAAAATATACATCTACACCATGGACTACTATGTAGCCATAAAAAAAAATGAGAGCATGTCCTTTGGAGCAACATGGCTAATCTAATTTACATTCCCACCAACAGCATATAATCATTCCCTTTTCTCTGCAACCTTGCCAGCATCTGTTATTTTTGATTTTTAATAATATTAATAGTTATGCTGACTGGTATGAGATTGTATCTCATTTTGGTTTTGATTTGTATTTCCCTAATGATTAGTGATATTGAGCTTTTTTTCATATGCTTATTGGTTGTATGTATGTCTCCTTTTGGAAGTGTCTGTTCATGTCCTTTGGCCACTTTTTAATAGGATTGTTTGTTTTTTGCTTGTTGATTTGATTATGTTTCTTATAGATTCTGGATATTAGACCTTTGTCAAATGCATAGTTTGTCCTTTGTAACAACATGGATGGAGGCTATTATCCTAACTGAATTAATGCAGGAACAGGAAACCAAATAGTACCTGTTCCACTTATAAGTGGGAGCTAAACACTGAGTACACATGGACACAAGGAAAGGAACAATAAATACCAGGGCCTGCTTGAAAGTGGAGGGTGGGAGGAGGGTGAGGATTGAAAAACTACCCATTCGGTGTTATGCTGATTAACTAGATGACGAAGCTATCTGTAAACCAGAGCCCCATTATATATAATTTTCCTATGGAACAAACTTTCACATGTACCCCTTGAACCTAAAAGTTCAAAAGAAAAAAAAAGATTGCAGTCCATTATATTGGAGCAGGTGCTGAAGGGCTAATTTGGAGCTGAGAGGCATAGAGTCAATAACCATGTTCCTGAACACATTCACACTTTGGTCATTGTTATTTATCCCTTTGAAAATTGTCTGTTGGTGTCATAATCATATTTTTCTCATGGGATAATTTTATATCTATTGTTTCTACAAATCCTTTACCTGTTAACAATGCCAATTTAAATAGCTCATCATTTATATTTTGTTTATAGATTTTGGACATAGCAGAGCTTTGAATTTTATGTAGAAATAATGTACTTTTTTGCCTAAATTTCTCTTGTCTATATGCTTAAAGTTTTCCTATTAAGATCAGACAAATAATCGCCTACATTATCTTCTGCTCTACTTTCTTTTTATTTAAAATTTAAACCCCACAGGGAATTCTCTTTAATATATGATATGAAGTAGCTATCTAATTTTATTCTTCCCCAAGTGTTTTCTAATTATCTCAAAGCCTAAAAGAGCTATTTTTCCAATTGTCTTTATTTTATGTCATGTTATTAAATAATTGATGTTTACAGAAAGAAAAATTGATTTTATGTATACCTATGAACCCATCACACATATGTAACAGATGTTACCTACATCACACATATGTAACAAACTACATGTTACAATATAGCCATAAATTTTTAAAGGAAATAAAATGTTATATAGAGAGCTATAACCCCTCTCGGTTCTCTGTTCCTCCTTTCTATTTTTTCTGAGATGGAGTTTCACTCTGTTGTCCAGGCTGGGGTGCAGGGGTATGATCTTGCCTCACTGCAAACTCTGCCTCCTGGTTCAAGAGATTTTCCTGCTTCAGCCTCCTGAGTGGCTGGGATTACTGGCACCCGTCACCACACCTGGCTAATTTTTGTATTTTTAGTAGAGATGGGATTTCACCATGTTGGCCAGGCTGGTCTTGAGCTCCTAACCTCAAGCAATCAGACCTCCATGGCCTCCCAAAGTGCTGGGATTACAGGCATGAGCCACTGCGCCCACACTCTGTTCCTCCTTTCTGCCGCCCTCATTTCCCAGAAGTAACTAACATCCTCATATTGGTATATAATATTAGCCTGTATGTTTTAATATTTTTATCACATATGTATGTATACTTATTTGTGTGTTTTATGAGTGTATGCAAATGGTATACTCTATACATCCTTTAGCAATTTGCTTATTTTTTTACTCAACATTATGCTTTTCAAATGTATCCATGTTGACAGATACACACACACTTCATTTTAATACTATGTAATGTTCTAGTTTATGAATAAATCACATTTATTTTTCCTTTCCCTAAAACTTCGAGACAGTGTGAACTGAAATGGTTGTAATGACTTACCCTCTCACCTACAACACATGAAGTTTGCCCTTGTGCCACAACTCTACAGATTGATGTTATCAGAAATTTATTTTTGTAGATGAATTGGGTATAGAAAATTATCTCGTTTTTATCCAATTTGTATTTTCCTGAGTTACTAGTAAGATTATATGTACTGACCATTCAAATTTAATTATCCATGAGTTGCCTATCATAAACTTTCCCATTTTTCTTGGAGAAATGTACAAACAGGAGGTCAATTGCTGCAGTACGGAGAGCCATGGGCTCAAGGTAGACTAATTTGCATAGAGACCCCAGTTTCTCTCCAATAGGAAAATACTGAAGACACTAAGCTTTGCACTACAGCAAACTTGAAATGTTGCTATCCTCCTGGAAAGGATTACTGCATCACTAATAATAGTAGCAGTCATAGTGATAGTAAGGGCACACATTTCCTGCAAATCTTGGAGGTGCCAGGCAGTTTGCTTGATATGTGTTGTCTCATTTAATTTTCACAACACCACTATCAGATAAGTTCTATTATTATCTTCATTTTATAGAGGAGGAAACTGAGGCTCAGAAAGTTCAATAACTTGACTTTAGTCACACAGCTAAAAAGAAGCAAAGGCAATATTCAAATTCAGTTCACAGGACTACAGAACTCAGAATCTTAACCAGGAACCCTCTACATTAAACCCAAGAGTGCAGGGAAAACAATGTAGGAACTTAGACCAGAAATGTATCACCACAAACTGGTGAACATTTATGGAACTGGACAGGACTAAGCTTCAATAGTGGCATCATATGGCAATAAGAAACTATACGTAGAAGATTAATGCAAATTTGCAATTATCTTGGAAATATGACTGCTAGCTTTTGGCCTGAGAAAGCCAGCTGAACAACCCGGAATGACAAGGAAGAAGAAGCACTCCATCAGGAAATGTTAGACTTCCTGCTAATAGGAAACTACTGTTGTTTGAATGATTAATTGGCAAAATAAAAGAGATATGATATATTGCTACTCCTAGTTAGTGAAGCAAGTCATTTTGTGTATGTTAACCTAATCTATAATGTATATACATGTACATTAGTGGATTGTGGATTTATAACTGCTTTTTAGAGGAAGGTGGAGATGTTTGGAATATGGCCCTAGCCTTTTGAGTTGATACAACAAATGGTAACGATAGGCTGCCATAATACAATAAAGGAAGTACATGGGACACAGTGTCAACTGAAAAGAACACATCTTAAGGTAAAGCCTCTATACTTATTATTTTCTTACTTTAGTATATCGCTTTGCATCAGAGACTAGTCAATGACTTGTAACTCAATGTTAGTTCTATAATATTTAGGCTTTTCTACTCATGATTCACCTAGTACTGATTTCCAAAATAATTTAGAATACCTTGCTGTTGCCTTTTGTTCAAAAAGGAACACCAGTTTGAATTGAGCTTTCCAGTTTCATGCAAAAAAATCTACCCATCCTTACATCAATAGTAATTGCTCAATTATAATTAATCATTTTAGAGAACATGTTTTCTTTTATTGTTAATTTTTGTGGGTACATAGCAGGTATATATATGTAATTTTTGTGTCTCATGTACCCTATATATAGAGAGGGTTATATACACACACACACACACACACACACATATATATATATCTACACACACACACACACATAGGGTACATGGGATGTTTTGATACAGGCATATAATACATCATAATCACATCAGGATAAATAGGGTATCCATCACCTCAAGCATTTATTCTTTCTGTTACAACCATCCAATTATACTTTTAGTTATTTTTAAATGTACAATAAATTATTGTTGACTGCAGTCACCAT
This sequence comes from Homo sapiens, assembly GCF_000001405.40. NCBI lineage: Eukaryota > Metazoa > Chordata > Mammalia > Primates > Hominidae > Homo > Homo sapiens. Next base: position 102,314,268 of record NC_000003.12, on the reverse strand, counting down.
GCTGTGCAATCAAATACTAAATCTTATTTATTCTATCTAACTGATCTAACTGTATTTTTGTACCCACTAATTATCCCCACATCCCACTCCCCCCACCCCACCTCATCCAATACACTTCCCAGCCTCTGGTAACCATCATTCTACACTCTACCTCCATGAGGTCAATTGTTTTACCTTCTTGAGCTCCCACAGATAAGTGAGAATATATGAATATTTGTCTTTTTGTGCCTGGCATATTTCACTTAACATAATGATGTCCAGTTCCATCTCTTTGATATACTGATTTCCTTTATTTGGGACATATATCTAACAGTGGTATTGCGGGATTATATGGTATTTTTTTAGTCTTTTGAGGAACCTGCATGCTGTTCTCCATGGTGGCTGTACTAAATAACATTCCCACCGACAGTGTATGAAGGTTCCCTTTTCTCCACATCCTCGTCAGCATTTGTTGTTGCCTATCTTTTGGATATAAGCTATATTACCTGGGGTAAGATAATATCTCATTGTAGTATTCAGTTGCATTTCTCTGATAATCAGTGATGTCAAGCACCTTTTCATATACCTGATTGCCATTTGTGTATCTTCTTTTGAGAAATCGCTATTAATATCTTTTCTCCCTTTATAAATTAGACTATTAGATTTTTTTCTGTAGGGTTGTTTGAGCTCCTTATATATTCTGGTTATTAATTTTTGGTCAGATGAGTAGTTTCCAAATATTTTCTCCTATTACATGAGCTTTCTCTTTATGTTGTTGACTGTTTCCTTTGCTGTCCAGAAGCTTTTTAACTTGATGTGATCCCATCTGTTCATTTTTGCTTTGGTTGCTTGTGCTTGTGGGATATTACTCAAGAAATCTTTGCCCAGTCCAATGTCCTGGAGAGTTTCTCCAGTGAATTTTAGTAGTTTCATAGTTGGATGTCTTATATTTAAGTTTTTAATCCATTTTGATTTTATTTTTGCATATGGCAAGTGATCAAAGTCTAGTTTTATTCTTCTGCATATGGATATCCAGTTTTCCCATCACTGCTTATTGAAGAGACTGTTCTTTCCTCAGTGTATGTTCTTGCCACCTTTGACAAAAATGAATTCACTGCAGACGTATAAACTTATATCTGGGTTCTCTATTCTGATTTATTGTTCTATGTGTCTATTTTTATGCCAGTACCATGATGTTTTGGATACAATAACTATGTAGTATAATGTGAAGTCAGGTAATGTGATTCCTCTGGTTTTGTTCTTTTTGCTCAGGATAACACTGACTCTTCTGGGTCTTTTGTAATTCTATGTAAATTTTAAGATATTTTTTTATTTCTATTAAGAATATCATTGCTATATTGATAGGGATTGCATTGAATTTCAAGATGGCTTTGGGTAGAACGGATACTATAATAATATTGATTCTTCCAATCCATGAACTTGAAATATCTTTCCAATTTTTGGGTGTTCTCCAATTTCTTGCATCAATGTTTTATACTTTTATTGTAGAGATCTTTCATTTCTTTGATATTGCATTTTATTTGTAACTACTTTGAATGAGATTAATTTCTTAAATTTTTTCAGATTGTTTGCTATTGGCATATAGGAAAGGTATTGATTTTTGTATGTTGATTGGTATCCTACAGTATAACTGAATTTGTTTATTGGTTCTAAGTTTCTTGTTGGAGTCTTTAGGTTTTTCCAAACACTAGATAATATCATCGGCAAACAAGGATAATTTGAATTCTTCTTTTACAACTTGGATGCTCTTTCTTTCTCTTGTCTGATTGCTCTAGCTAGGACTTCCAGTACCATGTTGAATAACAGTGATGAAAGTGAGCATCCTTGTCACGTTCCAGATCTTAAAGGAAAGGCTTTCAGTTTTTCCCCATTTAGTGTGATACAAGCTTTGAGTCTGTTGTATATGGTTTATACCGTGTTGAGGTATGTTCCTTCCATACCCAGTTTTTTTAGAGTTTTTATTATGAATGGTTGTTGAATTTTATCAAATGCTTTTTCAGCCTTGATTAAAATGATCATATGATTTTTCTCTTTCATTCTATTGATATATCATATTGACTAATTTGCATATGTTCAACCATCCTTGCATCCCTGGGATGCACATGGTCATGATGAATGACCTTTTTAATGTGTTGTTGAATTTGGTTTGCTAGCATTTTGTTGAGGATTTTTGCATCAATGTTCATCAGATATATTGACCTGTAGTTTTATTTTTTGATTTGTCTTTTTCTGGTTTTGATATTAGAGTAATATTGACCTCATAAAATGAGTTTGGAAGTATTCCCTCCTCCTCAATTTTTCAGAATAGTTCGTGTAAGATCTGTATTAGTTCTTCTTGAAATCTTTGGTAAAATTCAGCAGTGAACCCATCAGGTCCTGAACTTTTTTGTTGCTGGAAGAGTTTTTATTATGGCTTCAATCGTATTACTTGTTACTAATCTGCTCTGGTTTTGAATTTCTTCATGGTTCAGTCTTGGAAAGTTGTATGTGTCTGGGAATATGCCATTTGAAGGTTTTCCAATTTATTGGTATAAATTTGCTCATGTAACCTTTAATGATACTTTATATTTCTTTGGTATTGGCTGTGATGTCTCCCTCTTTATCTCTGATTTTATTTGTTTGGGCCTTCTCTCTTTTTTCTTGGCTAATCGAGCTAGAAGTTTGTCAGTTTTGTCTATATTTTTAAAAACAGCTTTTTTCATTGATCTTTTGTAGTGTTTTCTTCCTTTCAATTTCATTTATTTCTGCTCTGATCTTTACTATTCCTTTTCTTCTACTAATTTTGCATTTGGTTTGCTCTTACTCCTCTAGCTTTTTAAGATGCATTATTAGGTTTTTTATTTGATGTTTTTTGATGTAGGTGCTTACTACTATAAACTTTCCTCTTAGTACTGAGTTTGTTTTATTCCATAGGTTTTGGTATGCAGTGTTTTCATTTTCATTTGTTTCAAGAAGTTTTTTAGTTTCCTTCCTTCTTTCTTCATTGACCCACTGGTCATTCAGGAGCATATTGTTTAATTCCATTTGTTTGTCCAATTTCCAATATTCCTCTGTTATTGATTTCTAGTTCTATTCCACTGTAGTCAAAGAAGATACTGGATATGATTTCAATTTTTTGAATTTTTTCAGATTTATTTTGTGGCCTAACTATGATCTATGTTTGAGAATGACCCATATGCTGAGAAGAATGTGTATTCTGAAGCCATTGGATAAAATGTTATGTAAATATCTATTAGGTCCATTTGTTCTATTGTGCAGATTAAGTCCAATGTTTCTTTGTTGATTTTATGTCCTGATGATCTGCCTAAAGCTGAATATGGCGTGTTAATGGTTTCCAGCTATTACTGTATTGGGGTCTGTCTCTGTCCTTGGCTCTAATAATATTTGCTTTATATCTCCGAGTACTCCCGTGTTGGGTGTATACATATTTAAAATTATTATATCCTCTTGCAGAATTGACCCCTTTATCATTAAATAATAATTTTATTTGCCTCTTTTTACAGTTTTTGTATTGAAATCTATTTTGTCTGATATAAGTATAGCTACTTATACTCTTCTTCGGTTTCCATTATATCTTTTTCCATCCCTTTATTTTTAGTCTATGGGTGCCTTTACAGGCGAAGTGTGTTTCTTATAGGCAACAGATCATTGGGTCTTGTTTTTTATCCATGCAGCTACTCTGTGTCTTTTGATTGGAGAGTTTAGTTCATTTACATTCAGTATTATTAATTATAAGTAAGTACATACTTCTGCCATTTTCTTATTTTTTCTGGCTGTTATATGGTCTTCTCTTCTTTCTTCCTTTTTGTCTTCCTTCTAGTGATGGTGATTTCTCTGGTGGTATGTTTTAATTTCCTGCTTTTTATGTTTTTTCATATCTATCGTATATTTTTTAACTTGTAGTTACTGTGACACTTGCAAATAATATCTTATAACCCATTATTTTAAACTGATAACAACACTGATTTTATAAGAAAGCAAACAGAAAACTAATAAAGACTCAACACAAACTTCTTCCCCACTCTTTTTAACTTTTTGTTGTTTGTATTTATATCTTATTGTACTCTCTATGTATGTAAAAGTTGTCTTCATTGTTATTTTTGGTTATTTCATCATTTAATCTTTCCACTAAAGAAATGAATAATTGACACATCACAATGAGATTACTACAATATTCTGTGCTTTTCTGTGTACTTACTATTACCAATGAGTTTTGCACCTTTAGATGATTTCTAATTGCTCATTAACATACTTTTCTTTCACACTGAGGAATTCATTTTAGCATTTCTTGTAGAACAGGCCTGGTGTTGATAAAATTCCTCTGTTTTTTGTTTTTCTGGGAAAGTCTTTATTAAGCCTTCATGTTTGAAGGATATTTCTACTGCATTTACTATTATAGGATACATCTTTTTTTCTTCAGAACTTTAAATATGTCATGCCAGAGACATATTTAAAGTTTCTCAGTGTAAACTTCACCTGTCTCCTGCTCTGTAACGTTTTCACTGAGAAGTCTACTGCAAGATGTATTGGAGCTCCATTGCATGTGATTGGTTCCTTTTCTCATGCTGCTTTTAGGATTCTTTCTTTATCCTGGACTTTGGGAGTTTGATTATTAAACACCTCGAGGTAATTTTCTTCGGGTTAAATCTGCTTGGTGGTCTATAATGTTCTTGTACTTGGATATTAATATCTTTCTCTAGGTTTGGAATGTTCTCTATTATTATTACTTTGAATAAACTTTCTACCCAAATCGCTCTCCCTGCTTCTTCTTTTAGGCCAGTAACGCTTAGATTTTCCTTTTTGAGACTATTTTCTAGCTCTCATAGGCAGGATGTATTCTTCTTTTTTATTCTTTCCAGTTTTGTCTCTTTTTACTGTATTTTCAAATAATTTTCAAGCTCGCTGATTCTTCTGATTGATGAATTCTGCTGTTAAGAGACTCTTATGCATTCTTCAGTATGTCAATTGAATTTTTCAGGTCTAGAACTTCTGCTTGATTACTTTTAATTATTTCAATCTCTTTGTTAAATTTATCTGACAGGATTAGAATTCCTCCTCTGTGTTGGATTTCATTGAGCTTCTACAAAACAGTTATTTTGAATTCTCCGTTTGAGGTTATATATCTTTGTCTCTTTAGAATTGGTCCCTGGCACCTTATTTAGTTTGTTTGGTGAAGTCATGTTTTCCTGGATGTTCTTGATGCTTGTGGATGTTCATTGGCGTCTGGGCATTGAAGAGTTAGCTACTCATTTTATTTGTCACGGTGTGGGCTTGTTTGAACCTTTTCTTCTTGGGAAGGTTTTCCAGGTATTTAAAGTGACTTGGGCATTGTGATTTAGGTATTCTCACTGCAGTCATACCAGCTTCACAGGACACTCCAAGCCCAGTAATTGAATGGCTCTTGCAAACTTATAGAGGTACAACCTGTGCGGTCTTGGGTTAGAGCCAGGAGAATTCCCTGGATGACCATAGACTCTTGTTCTTTCCTCACTTTCTCTCAAACAAATGTAGTCTCTGTCTGTGCTGAGCTGCCTGGAGCTGGAAGATGGTGACATGAGCACTCCTTTGGCCATTACCACTGGAACTGTCTTTGGTCAGACTAAATGCCAACACAGCACTGGGTCTCACTTAAGGCCCACACTGTCCACTCCCTGCCTATTTCCTATGTTCATTCAAGGTCCTAGAACTCTACAATCAGTAGGTAAAAATCCAGCCAGGCTTGTGTCCTTCCTTTCAGAGCAGCATGGTCCCCTAGCCCTGAGAAGGTTTGGAGATGCTGTCCAGGAGACAGGGCCCGGATTTGGTAACTTTTGGGATCTACCTGGTGCTCTATTCTATTACAATTGAGTTGGTACCCAAGCTTAAGACAAAGTCTTTCCCACTCTTCCCTCCCCTTTCCACTTTAAATGTCATGCCACTGACATATTTTAAGATTCAAGCATAGGAGTTTCTCCTTTTGGCCACCACTATCCCAGGCCCATAGCAAGTACTGCTTGGCTACTGCCAATATTCACTCAAGGCCAAAGGCTCTTCAATCGGCTTATGGTGAATGCTGCCAGGCAGGGGTCTCTCCCTTCAGGGCAATGGAACCTCCTGGCCCAAGGTAGGGCCAAAAAAGTCAACCAGGAGCCAAGGTCTGGAATCGGGAACTGGAGGAGCCTGCTTGGTCCTCTGCTCCATTGCAGCTGAGCTGGTAACCAAGCTGTAAGACATTGTCCCCATTATTCTTCCTTATCTTTTCGCAAGCAGAAGGGGTCTCTTCACATTGTTACCGTAGTTGGGAATTCACGGGGTCACACCTGAAACCAGCACAGCTCTGAGTCACTCCTAAGTCCCACTGCAAGTACTGCCTGGATACCACTACTGATGAGTCCAAGATCTCTCTAGGCAGCAGGGAATGAATACTTCAAGAACTGTGTCCTTCCCTTCAAGGCAATCGGTTCCCTTCTGACACAAAGTGTGTTTAGAAATGTTATCCAGGAGCTAGGGCCTGGAATGCGGGCCTCAGGAATCTGCCTGGTGCCCTCTCCTACTGTGACTGAACAGGTATTCAAGTTGCAAGACAAAGTCCTCTTTACTCTTCCCTCTCCTCTCCTCAAGCTAAGGGAAGGAGTCTCTCCTGAAGCTATGAGCTTCACTGCAGCCTGGGATTGGGGGAGAGCTGACACAAGCACTTCCTTGGCTGCACCAGCTGGTGTCTCACTATGTCACATACCTTCCAAGTCCACTGACTCTGGGCCCAGCACAGCACCAGGACTTGCCCAAGAATTGCAGTCCATATGATCTAGATTGTCTTTCAAGTTTGCCTTTCAAGTCCTTATGGTCTAGATTGTCTTCCAAGATTGCCTTTTATTTAGGACCTCACTACCTTTTAGCCCACAGTGGCAGGGATTGCCAGAACTCATGTTCCAACTACTGGGTGGACGATTTGACTCTGGCTAGAGCTGGTCTAAATTCTCCATCTGTAGGTGCTGACTGAGTTCTGTCCTGTATTGCTTCCCACTATAAGAGGGCATCACTGAGTTCCAATGCAAAGTTCCACAGTCTATGTGCTCTTCTTTCCCGAAGCACACAGATTGTCTCTTCATGCCACATGTCTGCATCCAGGGAATGGGGAGGGGTAGCATCAGTAATTCAAGGCTGTATTTCCTACCTTCTTCAGTGCATTTTTTTCTTGATATGATGTTAAAACCAGTGATCACTCGCCTGATTTTTGGTTCTCATGAAGGTGCTTTTTTGTGTGGATAGTTTTTCAATTTGGTGTTCCTGTCAGGGGTCAACTGCTGGGGGTGTCTATTCAGCCATCTTGCTCTGCCTTTGCTGTTATTGCTTCTTACAATTCAACTGCTGCTCCTAATTTTATAAAACACATTTCAGTAACTTCCAATTTATACCATCATCATATTTCATTTTTAAAAATATCTTTCTTAAAGTTTTAGGACTTAAAAGAATCTCATAGATCGTCTGGGGCCAACTTTAATGATATGAAAATGGCCACTCAGAAAAGTTTTGTCTTTTACTAGTGGCAGACCTAGGGCAAAAAGCTAATCTCCAGACTATTTTAGCAAGGGCTCTTCCCACTGCTTGTAAAACTCTGAAACCCCTACCTAGAATCAGAAAAAGCATGCTTATGTGCATGCACCACCTTCCTTCCTGCTAAATATAGGTATAGATATATTTGCCTTAAATCTTTTAACTTTTTTGACTGTCCTCACCTTTCCTTCTCAGTTGCTGCACACGGCTGTCTCAATACTTGGCTGGAAGGAAAATCTCACCATCTTATCCTTAAAGGATCATTTTGGTTAAGAAAAGTTTTCTTTGAACACATGAGCAACAATATGTTATTTCATCCAACACAACTACAAAAGAAGCAGACTGATTATTTTGTAAAGCCTTAATGACCTTAATTTATTATCCCCCCTTGCATTTAGAGTATTTGCCATATGACTTTCCAGTTCCTCCCCAGCTATGTGGATTGACCAGTGGAATGTTAACAGGTGTGATGAGACCATGGCTTGTAAAGCACCTGTATGTTTGGGTTTGCTCTTTTGTGACTTTGTCATGCTATGAAAGCTTATGCCCTGGCTAGCCTGTTTGTCCCAAGATGAGGATGAGAGACACATGGAACTGGGACAACCCATTCCAGGCAAGACAAGCCTAGCACAAGGCCTCTCAGGTGACCCACAGATCCATGAGAAAAAATGATAGTTGTTTCAAACCACCAGGTTTTGAGGCAACTTATTACACAGAATTTTGTGATACTAGGTTACTGATACTCCAGAGTATACAGGCTAAAATAAATATATCTGACATATGTTGGACAAATACCTGCAGACTGTATAAGACAGGAGTGTTAGTTTCTCTTTATTATGGAGTCATTTTTGAACAATCTATATTCCAATAAGAGGCTGAGGAGATAATATTAGAGTAGTGATTTAGAGCATGATTGAAGTTAGATTGTCTGTCTTTGCTCCCTCCTATCTGATGGCTCTAAGCAAATTACTTAATTTTTCTGTCCTCAGTTTTCTCATCTATAAGTGGAGACAACGTTAGTATCCATCTAGCAGCATATCTGTCATGTAGTAAGTCCTCAAATAATATTGGTTATTAATAATAACGTACTGTCTCATCATATAATCTTGGAGTGTTGGTTAATAAGTTTTTAATTTACTATACAATCAATTTCTCTTTTCAGCTTAATTTTGAATTCATAATAGTTTTTTCTTGGCTTCTATTTCTAAGATATATCACCTTTAGATGTGTGCTTATACTTAGTAAGTTTTTATTACAAGAAACCTCTCAATGACTTACATTAGTATTCCAAGTAACACTTTTATTATGCTTCTGTGTCTCTCTTATTTTAGGACTCTTAGTTAACGACTGCATTAAACTCACACATAGTTTGTGCAAATAGTTCATGACAACTTAGACTTATTGATAAGTCATATTTGGTATTTTATTCACGATATCCCATGTCTTCTTTTCTGGTTTCCTCTTACATTTTGCTAAAGAACATACTAGAGCAATTTTAATTTTTTCAACGATGTTCAACTTTCTATCTTTCAAATTGTCTTTACTTTTCCTTCTCTCTTGAGTAATAGATTGCCTAATGGAGAATCCAATATTCAAATCCCTCAGGATTTTATAGATATGGCTACATATTTTCTGGCATTTGGTGTTAGAAAACACCAATGTCATTCTGATTTTTCTTCCTTTTCAGATAATCTGTTTTTACTCTCTAGAAAATTGCAAGACTTTTTCTTTCTCCTACGACTTCATAAATTCTTCCCCGATATTCATAGGTCCCTTAATGCAATATTGCTGTTTTGTATTCTAATTCTTTTAAATAAAAAAAAAAACAGTACTGTCTCTCAGTTTGGAAAAAAAGATATTCTTCTATTATTACTTGGATTATGTCATTCCTCCTATTCTGTCTGGCTTCTCCTTTTACAAGTTTTATCAGGAAGATGTTGGAATTTCTAAATATTTTACATGCTTTGTGAATATCTAAACCTCATATACTGAATGACATCATTCCTTCCAAGTTTCTTTGACAATTTTCATCTGTCTTATTGCACTACATTCCAAGAAAACCTTTTGGCTTGATCTTCCATAAAACCGATTTGGCGTTCAACCACATCCATTCTAATATTCGGGATTTTTTATTGTCCTGAAGTTTTCTTTTCTTGTAGTTTCTTATTTGGCTTTGGTAACAGGGTAATGCTGGCCTCAAAAAATGAGTTTGGAAGTGTTTTCTCCTCTTTCATTTCCTGGAAAAGTTTGAGAAGGATTGACATTAATTCTTTCAGTGTTTAGTAGAATTCATGAGTGAAGCCATCAGATCCTGGGTTTTTTGTTTTTTTGGGAGGTTTTTTATTACAGTTTCAATCTCTTTACTCATTATTGGTCTGTTCAGATTTTCTATTTTTTTATGATTCAGTTTTGGCAGATTGTGTATGTTTCTAGAAATTTATCCATTTCTTTTAGATATCCAATTTGATGGCCTATAATTGCTCATAGTAGTCTCTTATGATACTTTGTATTTATGTAAGGTCTCCTCCTTCATTTATAATTAAATTTGAGTCTTATCTTTTTTTCTTTAGTCTGGCTAACAGGTTGTAGATTTTGTTTATCTTTTTAAAAAACCAACTCTTGGTTTCACTGAGCTTTTGTTTTTCTAGCCTGTATTTCGTTTATTTCTGCTCTGATCTTTATTATTGATATTTAGGCAATTAGTGTAATATACTTCAGCAGTTAGGGAGTATGACTTTAGTCACATCTTTTGTATTTTTCAATTGCTCTCTAGCTGACACATAACTAGGTTGGCATCTCCTTCTTGAGGTAGTCCTTTCTCTCCCTAATTTCACAAGAATTCAAAGAATATGCTCCAGTTTTGTCTACTAAGCCACTGGACATTTCATAAACTTGAACAGTGACAGAGGTGCTAACAACATTGGACCTTAAAAGGGAAAACGTTGACCTTCTTGGAAAACTCTTTCCCCATCTCATAATACTATCCCATGCAAATATTCCCATCTCACCAGTAACCAACTCAGCATTTCAAAATCAGATTAAAGGCAGCTTTCATTAGCCAAGTTCCTCCTTATTGTCCTCTTTCACCTGGACAGTGGGTTAATGTACCCATTCAAGTGGCCTTTTTCTGAACAAAAATTAGCTCCAACGTGACAAGTCTTGTCCATCTAGATGAAAAACACTTTTGGAAATTAAGTACTTTACATTCCACATCAATTGCTCTGTTATATTTGTTTCAATAAGTATATGTTTATTTTAATTTCTATGAAATCTCCCTTTTCTTTTTTTTTTACTTTTTCTTAGTGGCCTATTCTAACTATGTGAATGCAGTGTCCCTCAAATATCTCTTAAGATACAAATTAAATTGTTTCAGTAAGTTTTTCTATATTTCACCAGTAATTCAATTGTTTCAAGAATTACTTCAGTTTGTTTCGTTTGGTGGCTTATTTTTACGCTTTTTTCTTCAACATATGGAAATTCTGAGTTGTTCATTTATATTTATAAGTAGTTCATTTATATTTACAGGTTGCTAGTGTGAAAGTTACAGCTTCTTTGATAATGAACATGATTACAAATGATAGAAGCCATGACTATAGTTAGCGAGCTGGGCAGTATCTTAGTTCATTCAGGCTGCTATGACAAATTACCATAGATGCAAGGCTTAAACAACAAACATTTATTTCTCATAGTTCTGGCAGCTAGGAAGTTCATGATTAAGGTGCTGGCAGGTCCAGTGTCTGGCGAGGGCCTGCTTCCTGGTTCGCAGGAGGCCATCTTCTTGAGGTGTCCTCACATGGCAGAGAGCAAAGATAGAGGAAGCAAGTTTTTCTCACGTCTCTTCCTATGAGGCACTAATCCTGTCATTAGGATTCCACCTTCATAACCTAATTACCACCAGAGGCCCCATCTCATAATATTATCCCATTGGGATTTGGAGCTTCAACCTATGAATTCTGGGAGACACAAAAACGCAGTCATGTAGTGGATGGGAGTTTTTCATTAGAAGGTGAGCAAGTTTAGCCGTGTTGGCAGCTGACATTACCCAGGAGCACCATTCCACTTCTCTTTATAATTCCAGTACTCACTTTAAATATCTCTTGCCTATCCCCAGTGGCAGAATCCATCTGCTTCTTTATTACCTTTCAAACTGTTCGTGCCAGTTCTGTTGGAACTGGGTGGAAATGCTTTTTCCAGGTGCTTGAAACACCCCAGTTTCATTAGCCTTCCTATCAAATGCCACAAAGTTGAATACCTTCCTTACCTCTTCATAATTACGATCCCCGGGCTTTTCCAAAAATCTCCAAACTTTTCAAAGTTCTGTTTAAAATTGAACAAACTCCTTTCTTCTTCCACTGCTACTCTCTTTCATTTGTATTAACTGTACCTACCAGTTCTATTTGGTTATTTCATCAAACAAATCCTATCTGCTTTATATCATTCAGAAATGTTTTGCTTCAGCTGGTATCACTCTTCCACATTTCCTAGTGCTGCTTTAGTGTTTGCTTATTTTTCGCCCTGGTGGAACATTAAGGAAAGAAAAGTAAACGTATGTGCTTAGTAATCAAGAAGGCACTTAGCTCCCAAGTGGCCTTTTCTCTTTATTTTTCTTTTTTTGTTCCCTATTTATTTTTATTGTATTACTTTCACTGATTTAGTTTCTTTCATTTTGTTTTTATTCAAATACACTTATAAAAGCAGTACTGGCATAGGAATTAACAATTCCTTTATTCTAATCATGTTTCTGTGATTCCTGCCTGACACAGAGTAGGTACTCATTAAGTATTTTCGAGCAAATGAATACATGAAGCAAATTATCACACACTCCCCACCCCAGACTTCAGCTTTTCCAATGTGAAATTAGGAGGCCTCTGCAAGTAATAGCAAGCTATGGCTCTTCTTGGGCTTGATAAGAAAACATTTATCATCACCGAACATCAGGCACCAAGAGGGGAGAGGCAGCCAGTGTGTGAGCAAGAGCAACCTAAGACAGAAAACTGTGATCAAAAACCTAAAAGGAAACCTATGACATCAGAGTCTCAGAGGAGTTCAAAGCAACCATCATTAGGCTTAACAATTGACTCTCCGGTGGCTACAAAACTGTGATCAGGCCAGAGGGCAAGTGAGCACTGACTGAGTAAACTAAAAGAGCAAGATAATAACACAGTCTGCCTTTAAAAGGACGCATGTAAAGATCTTCTCCCTTTTCCCAAATTCCCTTCATAAAAACCAATGTAGAAAAAAGTCTCTAGGGCCCTAGGGCCTGAAAACCCAGCACTGAGAAATTATTTTAACCTCCTGGATGGGAGATCTATGAGCTGTATATCTGAACTTAAACACTGTCTGCAAGGTTGACAATGATGATAAGGTTCCCAAGTCAAATGGTAAGTCTGACACAATCAAACACAGCTGGGGTAACTCTATACCACATGTGGTCATCCGAAACTCTTCATTAGCAATGATATTGCTTAGCAAAACTAAAAGTCAAAATCACAACAATGTTTTCAGTGAGTCTTTTACATTTTGAATCACCTTGTTACCATACTATTTCTAAGAAATCTAAGTAAGGAAAAGGAAGAAATTACAAATTTTACATCTGCTTAATATAGTGATCTTCAAACACAGTCACCTGGAGTGCTTGTTAAAACACAGACTGCCAGTCCCCACCCTCAGTTTCTGTTTCAGTAGGTTTAGGATGAGATCCAAAAATTTGCATTTCTAACACATTCCCAAGTGATGGAGATACTGCTTATCCTGGGACTATACTCAGTAATTCCATAATGTCTGCTATATCTGAGTCTGGTTTTGGTGCTTACCTTGTTTTTTTCTTGCCTTTTGACATGTGTTGTAATTTTTTGTTGAAAACTGGACATGATTTATTGAATAATAGGAACTGAAGTAAATAGGCCTTTAATGTGAGTTTATATGTTTATCTGCCTAGCAGTTAGGCTGAATTTAATGTGTGGTACAGCTATAGGTGTCAGAGGCTTCAATCACCACCGGCGACCTTGTTTTTGTCTCCCATGTTGTCTTTGGGTTTCCCTAGAAACTCATTCTTAGATACAGTTTTTGTCTTTCAGTGATCCAAGTTGTAATTCACTGTTATTACGTAGGAGACCTATTGGTGTAGTGTGATGGTATTGAGGAGGGAAGCATTCTATAATATTATGATTAAATTGCTGTTTCTTATGGGCCTGAGTCCTCGGACTGCGACCTTCAGAAGTCTTTCTTAGCCTTTTTTTCTCCCTTATGTGAGGCAGAAAAGGTACAGAGGACTCGGTTGTCTAATTGCCCTTCCTCCACATAAGATAAGAGTCTAGTAAACTAGTTTTCCTTCAGGGCAGGACTTTGATATGAAGAACACACCGGGCTTATTTCAAAATGGTTACTTTTGCCCTGCCAAAACCACAAGGGGATTTTTCTCCAATCTTCACTAAAAGAATCTGGTAGGAATCTGCTACCATATGAACGTGTGTGTACCCCCAAAATTCATGTGTTAAAACCTAACCCCTAAATTGATTATATTAAGAATTGGGGCCTTTGGGAGGTGATTAGGTCATGAGAATGAATACATTATAAGATTTGAGGGAGACTGTTTGCCCCTCCTGCCATGTGAGGACTCTGCAAGAGAGACTATCTATCAGAAATGGGGCCTTCGCCAAATGCCAAATCTGCTGGAGACTTAATCTTGGATGTCCCAGCCTCCAGAATTGTGAGCAATAAATATATATTGTTTATAAGTTACCCAGTGTGGTATTTTTGTCATAGCAGCCTGAACAGACTAAGACAGGATCCCACAGATAAATCTCACAAAAGCATGACAGGTCCAGGTCCTCCTAAGACTGGGTTCCAAGAGTTTTTAACTCTCAAGCTTGTCCACACTCAGCTTCAGCAATTTTTCGGTTACCTTTAAGAAACACTCAAATGCTCCTACCCATTACTAGCTCCAGTGTTTGTGTTTCTGGCAAGCTGTGATTCTATTTGCCTGTCTCTTCAGCTTCCCAAATAGCAATTTACCCTGTCACCTCAATTCCCTGATAGACTAAGAAGAGTTGTTGAACTACATTGTTTCTTGTGGTGAGGACAGGTGAGACATTTCTAAGTTATTTACATGTGTAAGAAGAAACCAGAAGTCTGGACTGTTTGGGGACCACTTTAAGAACCACTGGTTTAGCGAGAAAATAGCCACCTTCAGTCAATCTCAGAATACATAAAAGCCTTAGGCTCCACTGCATAGCCTCCAATACCCACATTAATTTAATAATCATTTGTAGCATTATTTTCTTCCAGCCAATGTCCTTCATGTCAAAAATAATATGTGTCTCAGAAAAGGGAGAAGACCCAACACCCTTGATTGAGAGGTCTCATGTTGTACATGTCTGAGCCTGCCTCACCCTGAGTCACATCCTCACCCTAAACCACATCCTCAAGTGTACCTGTTGGAATGCTTTTAGCTGCAAGTATCAAAATACCTGACTCAAATGGTAGGAACAATAAGAAATGTTCTAACAATAAGTATTGACTACATAAGAGAGACTCTGAAGCATAATGGACTGCAGGGCAGGGGACCTAAAGGCTCAACTATGTCGTCAAAGCCACAGGTTCTTTCTACTTTCATCCTGCTATCCACACTCTATTTTATTCTAAAGTTGGCTCCCCTTATGTTTCCAGTAGGTTCTCAGTGACAAAAAAGGCTAAATGTTTTCCTCTTCATGTCCACTGGGAGAGAAAAAACTAGTTTTCTCCAGCACTCAAATAAATGCTCTTTCTTTTATACTTTTTGGGACAACTTAGGTCATATGCTTACCTCTAAACCGATACAGATGCTCCTGAACTTATGATGATGCTATATCCAGATAAACCAATTACACGTTGAAAATACTGTAAGTCAAAAATACATTTAATACAGCTGACCTACTGAACATTATAGCTTAGCCTAACCTACCTTAAACATGCTCAGAACATTTACATTAGCCTATAGTTGGGCAAAATAATGTAATACAAAGCCTATTTTCTAATAAAATATTAAATATATCATGTAATTTTTGAATACTGTACTAAAAATGAAAACAAAATGTTGTATGAGTATTTATCATTAATGTGCACAGCTAAAAGCACCATAGTAAAGTTGAAAAATTGTAAGTTGAACCATCGTAAGTTGGGAATCATCTGTAATTACTGCCACATGAAGCTCTGAGCCAATTGGCTTAGGCTTAGGTTCCTGAACCACCATATTCAAGAAGTATGAGACACATACTTTGTTTTAACTAATCAAGAACTAATGAGGAGCTCAGTCAGTTCTGCAAACTACAAATGAGAAAAGAAAGGATTCTTAGAGCATAGAACTTTTGACATAATTTTGACATGTGCTAATATGAGTCTAAATTTGAGAATACACACCACTAGTAACTGTGAATAATTCCAGTGACACACTTTTAAGACTTCCGGTCTTAAATATAAAAAGTGTCTTGGACACAACACCTATCATGCCCACTGAAGATATTACTCTAAAACATTCTCACAAGATGTGAAATCCCTTCTCCTTTCCTCAAAAATCTCCAATTGGCTTCACAACTATTTAACAGGAGAAACAAAATAAACTTTAGCATTCCCTTTGCCTTGGACTCCTTTAGAAAGTTGTAGAGCATTATTTTCCTTTTGTATTTCAGCAATTCTGTTTGCAGGCGGCTTCTTCTTTTTTTTTTTCTCTAAGCTGATCATTATGGATAAACATAAAATCTCTAAATAGATTTTCCTAGTCAGTTAACCATAATCTTGGGGGAAAACATAAGGTAGAATCATTATTAAAAACCATTCTCAGTAATACACACATCTTTATTATGTCAGTCTTTTGCCAAAAAAAATAAGATTGATAGTAAATTCCACTTAATTTTTTTCTTCACAGAATCAAGCCATCTGCCTCAAAACACACGACCAGCCTCTGTTAGATGAATTCACACATTTTAAAGCCCCGAAGTAACCATTTGAATGGAAATTGGACACTTCTTGTCATTTAGGAAGCTTTTTTAAACTGGAAAGGCTTCTCATTTGTTCAATTAAATGTGTGTGTATGCAATACACTTTATGAAATTTATCCCAAAACAGTGAGGGCTGAAATAATATTTGAAACAGATGGCACAGCTGCTGTATTTAGAGAGCTACCCATGGACATAGATGGGGACATTGAGGGAACTATGAAGTGCAAGCCAAAATATTGTACAATCAAGACTCTTAGTCACAGCCATTAAAGATGGGAAAATCTTTTTAATGTCAACCTCTTCCATAATGGAGGTGTGTGGAAAGTGCTACGATGTAAGTCAAGTGGAATTTATACCCTTTTCTGGATGAACTCTTTTCTTCTCAGTTGAGCCTTAAAATTTGAAAATGCTGGATCTGCTGCCTTGGAGTTTTCTCTCTCTTGAATACTATTTGAAAACGATGCTGAAAGTATCATTCCCCAGGGAATGTTAGACAGTGCCGTGTGCATAGCAGAGAAAAGCAAATTATAGTGTTTAAAGCTAGAGGGAGGGAACTGATGGAAACCACAGACATCATTTCTCTAGTGCCCTAATTTTATAGGTGAGGAAACAAAGGCCAAGGAGGGTTAAATGATTTCACCTCCACCCCACAGAACTGGTCTCTGGAGACTCACTCCCAGGCAACTTCCATCACAAATACTGTTAACTAAAAGGAAAGGAAAGTTTGGGTATTTTTTTTTATTTTATGCCATTTTGTTTCATTTCATTTTAAATAAGACTGTCACATCTTTTAAAATTCCATTACTTATGAGGCAGATTTAGAAAGGCAAAGTAGGGAAACAGATCAATTTTTTCTTAAAATTGTTTTGAGGCAAAATTATTTTACAAAAATGGAAGTCTATATGCTCTAATTTGGGGAAACTGTGTGTGAGAACAAGAAGTTTGGCTAGATTTTTCATTTCACATTAATCATGTGGACATAACTTGCACGTTGTTTTAAAACACCTGACAATTCTGCATATTAATCTAATCAAGGAGGCTAATTTTTAAACACAAAATTTTTGAACTCAGAATTCGTGAGTGGGTGTAATATGCCTGAGCAAGCCCCAATCTTCTGCCGTACATATAAGTCATAAGCAGTGACCAGAAGGAAAATATTCCAATATTCATAGCAACAATTCTTTTTAAATGCAGCAGTGTCTGGAGTCTGAAGGTTCACACATTTCCCTCTCTGTGATGGTTTTACAGACATGAGTATTGAAAGCAGATGCCTTCAGTTTCTCTAGTGGAGATCCCTGAGCTACTGAAAACGAGAAATCTCAGCAATCACATTCACGCTCCCATATTCTTCTACATTGAAAAGAAATGGGTAAAGCCTTTAATAAGAAAAGCAACAAATAACTAAGTTTATCCATCATCTTCTATGAAGCACTGCTAACGAAACAGAAATGAGCCATATCCATCTTCAGAGGAACTTTTCCCCAGTAGACAATGATTCTGTACTTCAGTGGAGTCCTCCTGGTGAGGGCAAATTGACTTTCTAAAAGATTCTTGGTTATTCCAGGGACAGAATAAAGTCACAGCCTGACATGTTAACCTCCCACTACATTTCTAAGACAGGATCTATACACCTGGAACAGAGAAAGAATTAGGGAAACTTCAGGTCACTTCAACAGAAAGTCTATTTAGGTCTGAATGACCCCAACAGTTGGATTATTTACTACCTTTGCCTCACCAATTATTTCACCATGGCTCTGTGAATGACAACAGTTAAAGGGTGTTTCTTTTTCTTTGATGTGGTCTTGTGTATTAGAAAACCTCACTGAAATTCATTCCTATGAAGCTCTACATCAGGATGTATAAGTCATCCATTCAAACACACACATTCATTCACATATCTGCTAATTTGGAAAGAGAGAGAAAAGGAGAATTTTATTTTGAAAAAGAAAAGCAGCACAGCAAACCTGTCTTTGAATTACTTTTACCATTTTGTTTTTCTATCAGTATACTGGAATGTCTATCCTAGGGCAACATGGATAACTAATCTATCCCATATTCATTCCTGAAAGTTCTAATTAATGATCCAGGAACTCATTCTAAGGTAAGAGAGCCTACCATTTGGTGTTCCGTGTCATTTAGGGTCATTTGCAATTGAATGCTGCAAAAGATGATTTGTGGTGCTGACTTGTACGTATTGTTCAAGTTATCTCATGTCAAACTACACACTCTATAAAGACTGTGAGAAACTGAAAGACAGAGATAAATAAAAGAGTTTTAACACAAAGACTTTATATGAAACAAGGAATGAAACGCTTTATTAGTCTCTAAATAAAGAATTGTAAGACAGATGAGGAGAGTGTCCATTCTTAATCTGTTTGATGATAGGAAGAAAAGCAAAGACTGCTATACAGAAGAAAAATGCCATCAACAATGAGTGATAAGTTCCCAAAGACCTGTGAAGGTCAGAGTAACAGTAAGAGGGGCCACAGCAGCAGGGATGGCCACTACCAGGTGATAACAGAGAATTTAAGCTTCCAAACAAAATATATAGGCCACTCTAAAAAATTAAAGTTGTGTTTCTTTATCCTCTACTATGCATTTGAAAGTCATCTGCTTCTATTTCTTGAAAGTCCACACTTTTCAACCCAGGTTAAGACCTTCTGTCACTTCTCCATGGGCCCCTGCTCCCTCCATACAACAACCTCCAAGCCTTACTATCAGGGGAAATTCAGCCAGATATTGGGCAAAATTCACCCCCGATATTTCACGTAGGTTCTTTTCTATTTTCCCTAAGCATCGGCCAGTTTGAGAAACAAAGGGACAGAGTACAAAAGAGAGAAATTTTAAAGCTGGGTGTCTGGGGGAGACATCACATGTCAGTAGGTTCCGTGATGCCTCACAAGCCGCAAAACCGCAAGTTTTTATTAGTGATTTTCAAATGGGAGGGAGTATACTAATAAGATGTGGGTCACAGAGATCACATGCTTCACAAGGTAATAGAATATCACAAGGCAAATGGAGGCAGGGTGAGATCACAGGACCACAGGACCGGGGCGAAATTAAAATTGCTAATGAAGTTTCGGGCATGCATTGTCATTGATAACATCCTATTAGGAGACAGTGTTTGAGAGCAGACAACCGGTCTCACCAAAAATTTATTAGGTGGGAATTTCCTCGTCCTAGTAAGCCTGGGAGCGCTATGGGAGACTGGGGCTTATTTCATCCCTACAGCTTGACCATAAAAGACGGCCACACCCAAGGGGGCCATTTTAGAGGCCCAACCTCAGGGAGGCATTCCTTTCTCAGGGATGTTCCTTGCTGAGAAAAAGAATTCAGCAATATTTCTCCCATTTGCTTTTGAAGAAAGAGAAATATGGCTCTGTTCTGCCCGGCTCACCGGCGGTCAGAGTTTAAGGTTATCTCTCTTGTTCCCTGAACATTGCTGTTATCCTGTTCTTTTTTCAAGGTGCCCAGATTTCATATTGTTCAAACACACATGCTCTACAAACAATTTGTGCAGTTAACACAATCATCACAGGGTCCTGAGGCGACATACATCCTCCTCACCTTACGAAAATGATGGGATTAAGAGATTAAAGTAAAGACAGGCATAGGAAATCACAAGGGTATTGAATGGGGAAGTGATAAGTGTCCATGAAATCTTCACAATTTATGTTCAGACATTACAGTAAAGACAGGCATAAGAAATTATAAAAGTATTAACTTGGGGATCTAATAAATGTCCATGAAATCTTCACAATTTATGTTCTTCCACCATGGCTTCAGCCAGTCCCTCCATTTGGGGTCCCTGACTTCCCACAACACCTTACCATTGTGTGCAATTATGATAGGTGTACTTTTCTGGAGGTATATTATATCACAATGAAATAAAGACACAACTACAAATTAACAGACAAATATAAAATAGGTCAAACCACACCTAGTCAGTTCTGTTTCTGAGAAAGATGGTGAATTGTTCAGTGTATTCTTTGCAGCCTGAATTTTTTTTTTCAGATTCCTTTCTAGGTTTATTTATTTTTTTGATTATACTTTAAGTTCTAGGATACATGTGCACAACGTGCAGGTTTGTTACATGTGTATACATGTGCTATGTTGGTGTGCTGCACCCATTAACTCGTCATTAACATTAGGTATATCTCCTAATGCTTTCCCTCCCCTCTTCCCCCACCCCACAACAGGCCCTGGTGTGTGATGTTCCCCTTCCTGTGTCCAAGTGTTCTCATTGTTCAATTCCCACCTGAGTAAGAACATGCGGTGTTTGGTTTTTTGTTCTTGCAATAGTTTGCTGAGAATGATGGTTACCAGCTCATCGATGTCCCTATAAAGGACATGAACTCATCCTTTTTTATGGCTGCATAGTATTCCATGGTGTATATGTGCCACATTTTCTTAATCCAGTCTATCATTGATTTGGGTTGGTTCCAAGTCTTTGCTATTGTGAATAGTGCCACAATAAACATACGTGTACATGTGCCTTTATAGCAGCATGATTTATAATCCTTTGGGTATATACCCAGTAATGGGATTGTTGGGTCAAATGGTATTTCTACTTCTAGATCCTTGAGGAATCACTACACTGTCTTCCACAATGGTTGAACTAGTTTACAGTCCCACCAACAGTGTAAAAGTGTTCCTATTTCTCCACATCCTCTCCAGCACCTGTTGTTTCCTGACTTTTGAATGATCGCCATTCTAACTGGTATTTTTTAACAAGAGAAGATGCGTCTTCCTCAGAGCTAAACCCTAGCCTCCTTCCCAGAGTTTCCTTCCTCCCTGGTCTTATTACACTATTGAACACTACCATCTTACATGGAGCTGTTACCCATTTGTTCCTCTGTTCTGCAATCTATAATTTGCATATCACAAGTTGGCATATGAAATTTAATAATATTCTTAGATTTATTTAATGCTAATATTCAGTTTCATGTTGTGATTTCAGAAAAACATAACTTACTGGAACCAAGTTATTACTCTTAACCATATATGTTTCAAATACCTTTCAAAGTATAAATTATCTTCTACTTTTTCCAGTTTAAGCAACCCCACCCACACAGATGCACACAAAATCTTGTAAAAGTTGACAATTAAGAGGCCAACTTGAAGTGTGCTTATGAATGGAAATCTAAAGCTAGATAAAAGTAAATTAGAAATCCAATGATCAGAAAAATCCACTTGGGATAACTCAATTCACAACCATAACATTTAAATAATTTCTTAAAAATAAAAATCTCAGCAGGGTGCAGCGGCTCATGCCTGTAATCCCAGCACTTTGGAAGGCCAAGACAGGTGAATCACGAGGTCAGGAGATCGAGACCATCCTGGCTAACATGGTGAAACCCCGTCTCTACTGAAAATACAAAAAAACAAAAAAAATTAGCTGGGCATGGGGGTGGGTGCCTGTAGTCGCAGCTACTCAGGAGGCTGAGGCAGGAGAATGGCATAAACCCGGGAGGCAGAGCTTGCAGTGAGCCGAGATCACGTCACTGCACTCCAGCCTGGGCAACAGAGCGAGACTCTCAAAAAAACAAAAAAATAAAAAATAAATAAGCAAATAAAATTTTTAAAAAATCTCATTCTATACTTCCAATCAATGTCACTCAAGCAAATGCATCATTGTATGTAAAGGATTAAATTCCTCTATGTATCTTAGATGTCTATAGCTTTTGCAATAGAAGACAATTTCTTGGCAGAAAATGGATAAAGTTCCATATGGCTCCTGTCTATTTCTTTTAAAAATTCTGTTGCAATTAAGATCCCTTCCCATAATAAAAACATGATGAGATTGACAGTTTTCTGAAATCGTAGCTAGTATATTAGGAAAACTTGCTCTTGGTTTTCAATAACTACAGAGCATAACAGAGGCACAAATTGTTGATCAAAGAGGGCCTGAAATTTTAACTACCTTCTTAAGGAATTGTATTTCCCTGAAATTCAGTTCAACTTTAGGAAGTTCTCATATACAATGGCAACTCATTATAAATTTCTCCATTTTTATAAGCTATTTCCTGTTAAAATTTGCTTTAACTTTTTTTAAAAAAAAGATAAATGGAAATCTGAAAAGTACAAAGCAGATTGGAAGATACATCAATCTTGAGAAGGTGAAGGAGTCAAATATCACATTTAAAACTCTGTTTTCCAAAATGGCCAAATATAAGCCTTCACCCATCATTTTCCCTGCAAGAACACCGAACTGGACAACTATCCACACGAAAAGACATCCTCACAGGAACAAAAAATCAGGTTCATGATCACAGTACCTAGTTTTAACTTTATATCACAGAAAGAGGCACTACAGAGGATGGGAAAGACAGTCTTGAATTGCCAAAGCCAACCCTCTCCCTTCCTGTGGCAGTGGCCACATATTACTGAGAGAGAATCTGTGCACTTAGGGGAAGGAGAGCACAGTGATTGTGGGACTTTGCATTGGAACTCAGTGCTGCCCTGTCACAGTGAAAGCAACACCAGGCAAAACTCACCTGGTGCCCACAGAGGGAACATTTAGACCATTCCTAGCCAGAGAGAATCACCCATCTCAGTGGGCAGAACCAGAGTTCTGGCAAGCCTTGCCACCACAGGCTAAAGTGCTCTGGGGTTCTAAATAAACTTGAAAGACAGTCCAGTCCACAAGGACAAAAATTTCCTGGGCAAAACCTGTTGCGGTGCTGGGCTCAGAGCTAGTGGACTTGAGGGGCATGTGACCTAGTAAAACATCAGCTGGAGTGGCCAAGGGAGAGCCTGCATCACTCTTACCCCAACCCCAGGGAGCATAGGTCATAGCTCTGGGATAGACTCTAACATTCCAAGCCCTAGTTCTTGGATGACATTTCTACAAACACCCTGGGCTAGAAAGAAACCCACTGACTTGGATTAAGATGATGGATGGGAAGCGGGACTAGCTTGCTTCCCCAACTTGGACAGAAAGGGCAGCATGTGGAGACTCACATTACGAACTTTTGCTCCATGAACTATTGCAGGAACATACCAGGAGTGCCGAGAGAATCCACAAACCCTTTAAAGAAACTGGATCACTGCTGCAGCTCCCTGAGATGCTGGAAAACTGGGAGTCTGCTTGCTTTCACAATGGGGAGGCTCGTGGTCTGGGGCAAGCTCTCAGCCCTGGTCACCAGCTTCCTGGAAATAGAATTGGTACTGTTGGGGAAGATGAGAGGAGTGAGACCAGCCTTAAGGACTGCAGGCTGTGTGGGAATGGGATGAGGCCTGTGACTGCCAGCTTTCCCCCATTTCCATGGTGACCTGTATGACCCAGCAGATGCAGCCATAAATCCCTCTGGGAATATAATTCCATTGGACTGGGAACCACACCCCCAACCCCAACAGCAGCTGCAGCAAGCCCTGCCCAAGCTAAGGCTGAGCTCAGAAATGCCTATCCCTGCCCCCACCTGGTGGTCTTTCTCTATCTGTCCTGGTAGCTAAAAACAAAGTTCATAATCTCTTGGGAGGTCTATGGCCCTGCCCACTGCCTGAGAAACCTGAATACTTACCCAGGTGTCCCTAGGGTGAGTTTGCTTCCTCCTCCCTGTAGGACTGAAGCCGATGCACTCTTGAAAGTGCCACCACCTTGCTGGAGGCCAAAGAACACAAAACCAGTGTGCTAAACAAAAATACAAACAAGGGCCCTCACAGAGTCAACTTCACTCCCCTGCTACCTCCACTGGAGCAAGTGCTGGCATCCACAGATGCAAGACCTGAAGATGAATCACATCACAGGACTCTGCAGACACTCCCCACTACCAGCCCAGAGCCCACTAGCTCTTCTGGGTGGCTCAATTCAGAAGACCAAAAGCAATCTATACAGTTTGGCTCTCAGGAAGCCCCATTCCTAGGAGAAGGGGGAAAACACCACATCAATGGAGCACCCCATGGGACAAAAAAATCTGAACAGCAGTGCTTGAATCCCATACCTTCCCTCTGACATAGTCTACCCAGCTGTGAAGGAACCAGTAAAACAATTCTGGTAATATGACAAAAAAAGTTGCTTTAGTCCCTTCAAAAGATCATACCAGCTCACTGGTAATGGATCCAAACCAAGACAAAATCTCTGAATTGCCAGAAAAAGAATTCAGAAGTCAATTATTAAGCTAATCAGGAGGTACCAGAGAAAGGTGAAATCCAACTTAAAGAAATCAAAAACACGATACAGGATATGAAAGGAAAATTCTTCAGTGAAATAAATAGCATAAACAAAAAGCAATCACAATTTCTGGAAATCAAGGACACACTTAGAGAAATGCAAAATGCACTGGAATGTCTCAGCAATAGAATTAAACAAGAGGAAGAAAAGACCTTAGAGCTTGAAGGCAAGGCTGTTGAATTAACCCAATCCATCATAGACAAAGAGAAAAAGAATTTTAAAAAATAAACCAAGCTTCCAAAAAGTTTAGGACTATGTTAAACATCCAAACCTAACAATAAATGGTGTTCCCAAAGAAGAAGAGAAATCTAAAAGTTTGGAAAATATATTTCAGGGAATAATCAAGGAAAACTTCCCTGGCCTTGCCGGAGATCTAGACATCCAAATACAAGAAGTTCAAAGAATACCTGGGAAATTCATCACTAAAAGATCATCCCCTAGGGACATAGTCATCAGGTTATCTGAAGTCAAGATGAAGGAAATAATCTTAAAAGCTGTGAGTCAAAAGCATCAGGTAACCTATAAAGGAAAACCTATCGGATTAACAGCAAAATTCTCACAGAAACCATACAAGCTAGAAAGGATTGGGGTCCTATTTCTAGCTTCCTTAAACAAAACAATTATCAGCCAAGAATCTTGTATCCAGCAAAACTAAGCTTCGTAAATGAAGGAAAGATAAAATCTTTTTCAGACTAACAAAGAATTCACCACTACCAACCCAGCACTACAAGAACTGCTAAAAGGAGCTCTAAATCTTGAAACAAATCCTTGAAATATACCAAAATAGATCCTCTTTAAAGTACAAATCTCACAGGACCTATATAACAATAACACATTGAAAAAAATGAGTTATTCAGGTTACAAATAGCATGATGAATAGAATAGTACCTCACATCTCATCTCAATAATAACATTGAATGTCAATGGCCTAAATGCTCCACTTAAAACATACAGAACGGCAGAATGGATAAGAATTCTCCAACCAAGATTCCGCTGTCTTCAGGAGACTCATCTAACACATAAGGACTTAAATAGACTTAAGGTAAAGTTGTGGAAAAGATATTCCATGAAAATGGACACCAAAAATGAGCAGGAGTAGCTATTTTTATATCAGACAAAACAAACTTTGAAGCAACAGCAGTAAAAAAAGACAAACAGGGACATTATATAATGATAAAAGGACTAGTCCAACAGGAAAATATCACAATACTAAACATATATGCACCTAACACTGGAGTTCCAAAATTTATAAAGTAATTACTAGTAGACCTAAGAAATGAGATAGATGGTAACACAATAATAGTGTGGGACTTTAATACTGCACTGACAGCACTAGACAAGTCATCAAGATAGAGTCAACAAAGAAAGAATGGTCTTAAACTATACCCTACAACAAATGGACTTAACAGATATTTGCAGAACATTCTACCCCACAACTGCAAAATATACATTCTATTCATCAGCACATGGAACATTCTCCAAGATAGACCATATGATAGGCCACAAAACAAGTCTCAGTAAATTTAAGAAAATGAAATTATATTAAGTACTATCTCAGACCACAGTGGAATAAAATTGGAAATCAACTCTGAAAGAAACCCTTAAAACCATGCAAATAAATGGAAATTTAAAAACCTGCTTTTGAATGATCATTGGGTCAACAATGAAATCAAGATGAAATTAAAAAATCATTTGAACTGAATGATAATACTGACACAACCTGTCAAAACTGGGATACAGCAAAAACAGTGCTAAGAGGACATTTCATAGCATTGAATGATTGAATGCTTATATCAATAAGTCTGAAACAGCACAAATAGACAATCTAAGGTCACACCTCACAGAATTGGAGAAACAAAAACAATCCAAACCCAAACCCAGTGGAAGAAAAAAAAATCAAAAATAACAGCAGAACTAAATGAAACTGAAACAAACAAACAAACAAACAAAAAAAACAAAAACCACAAAAGATAAATGAAGCAAAAAGCTGGTTATTTTTAAAAATAAAATAATGTTGATTAACCATTGGGAAGATTAACCAAGAAAAAAAGAGAGAAGATCCAAATAAGCTCAATTAGAAATGAAATGGAAGATATTACAATGGATACCACAGAAATATAAAAGATTATGCAAGGCTACTACGAACACTTTTACATACATAAACTAGAAAACCTAGAGGAGGTGGTTAAATTCCTGGAAATATACAGCCCTTCTAGATTAAACCAGGAAGACATAGAATCTCTGAACAGACCAGTAACAAGCAGCAGGATTGAAATGGTAATAAAAAAAATTGCCAACAAGAAAAAGTCCAGGACCAGATCAATTCACAGCTGAATCCTATCAGACATTAAAAGAAAAATTGGGGCTAATCCTATTGACACTATTCCACAAGATAGAGAAAGATAGAGACTCCTTCCTAAATTATTCTATGAAGCCAGCATCACCCTAATACCAAAACCAGGGAAGGACAGATCTAAAAGAGAAAACTACAGACCAATATACCTGATGAACATAGATGCAAAAATCTTCAATAAAATACTAGCAAACCTAATCCAACAGCATATCAAAAAGATAATCCACCATGATATAGTGGGTTTCATACTGGGGATGCAGGGATGGTTTACTATATATGTAAGTCAATAAATGTGACACACCACATAAACAGAATTAAATCAAAAATCACATGATCATCTCAATAGATGCAGAAAAAGCATTTGGCAGAATACAGCACCCCTTTATGATCAAAACCCTCAGCAAGATCCGCATAGAAGGGACATATCTTAAGGTAATAAGAGCCATCTACAACAAACCCACAGCCAACGTTATACTGAATTGGTAAACGTTGAAAGCATGTCCCCTGAAAACTGGAACAAGACAAGGATGCCCACTTTCACCACTTCTATTCAACATAGCATTGGAAGTCCTAGCCAGAGCAATCAGACAAGAGGAAGAAGTAAAGGGCATCCAAATCAGTAAAGAGGAAGTCAAACTGTCACTGTTTACTGAGGATATGATCATGTACCTAGAAAACCTTAAAGACCCATCCAAAAGCTCCTAGAACCGATAAATGAATTCATCAAACTTTCAGGATACAAAATTAAAGTACACAAATCAGTTGCTCTGCTATACACCAACAGTGACCAAGCTGAGAATCAAATCAAGAACTTAACCCCTTTCACAATAGTTGCAAAAAAAATAAAATAAAATACTTAGGAATATACCTAACAAAAAACGTGAAAGATCTCTACAGGGAAAACCACAAAACACTGCTGAAAGAAATAATAGACAACACAAACAGATGGAAACATATCCCATGCTCATGGATGGGTAGAATCAATATTGTGAAAATGACCATACTGCCAAAAGCAATCTACAAATTCCATGCAATTCCCATCAAAATACCACCATCTCTCTTCACAGAAGTAGAAAAAATGATCTTAAAATTCATATGGAACCAAAAGACAGCCCACATACCCCGAGAAAGACTAAGCAAAAAGAACAAATCTGGAGGCATCACATTACCCAACTTCCAACTATAAAGCCATAGTCACCAAAATAGCATGGTACTGGTATAAAAATCGGCACATACACCAATGGAACAGAATAGAGAACCCAGAAATAAAGCCAAATAGTTACAGTCAACTGATCTTCCACAAAACAAACAAAAACATAAAAGTAGCAAAAGGACACCCTATTCAAACAATGGTGATGGGACAACTGACAAGCCACATGTAGAAGAATGAAACTGGATCCTCATCTCTCAGCTTAGGCAAAAATCAACTCAAGATGAATCAAAGACTTAAATCTAAGGCGTGAAACCATAAAGATTCCAGGAGAAAACGTCAGAGAAACCCTTCTAGACACTGGCTTAGTCAAAGACTTCATGACCAAGAACCCATAAACAAATGCAACCAAACAAAAGATAAATAGATGACCACGCACCCAAAAGCAAATGCAAACAAAAAAGATAAATAGATATAACTTAATTAAACTAAAAAGCTTCTGCACAGCAAAAGAAATAATTAGCAGAGCTAACAGACAACCCACAGAATGGGAGAAAATCTTTAGTCTATACATCTGACAAAGGACTAATACCCAGAATCTACAATGAACAAATGAGAAAAAAAAAATCCCATCAAAAAATGGGCAAAGACATGAATAGACAATTCTTAAAAGAAGATACACAAATAGTCAACAAGCATATGAAAAAACGCTCACCATCACTAATTATCAGGAAAATGCAAATCAAAATCACAATGCAGTATCACCTCACTCTTGCAAGAAAGGTCATAATAAAAAAAATCATAGATGTTGTCATGGATGTGGTGAAAAGGGAACACTTTTACACTGTTGGTGGGAATGTACACTAGTACAACCACTATGGAAAACAGTGTGGAGATTCCTTAAAGACCTAAAAGTAAATATGCCATTTGATCAACAATCTCACTACTAGGTATCTGCCCAGAGGAAAAAAAATCATTATACTTGCACAGGCATGTTTATAGCAGCACAATTTGCAATTGCAAAAATATGGAACCAGCCAAATGCCCATCAATCAATGAGTGGATAAAGAAAATGTGAGCTATATATATGTGTGTGTGTGTGTGTGTGTGTGTGTGTATATACCATGAAATATCAAAAGAAAAAAGGAACAAAATAATTGCATTCACAGCTACTTGACTGGAGACTATTTTTCTAAGTGAATTAACTCAGGAATGGAAAAACAAACATCATATGTTCTTACTCATATGTGGGAGCTAAGCTATGAGGATGCAAAGGTATAAGATTGATACATTGGGCTTTGGGGATCCCAGGGAAAGGGTAGGGGGTGATGGGGGGTGGCAAGGAATAAAAGACTATACATTGGGTACAGTGTACACTACTTGAGTGATGAGTGCACCAAAATCTCAGAAATCACTGCTAAAGAACTTATTCATGTAACCAAACACCACCTGTTCCTCAAAAACCAATTGAAATAAAAAAAATTATTAAAAAATAAAATAAATAAATAAAACAAACCCACTGACCTGAAGAGAAAGACTCAATCATGGAAAGATTCATCACCTACTGACTAAAGAGCATTTGGGCTCTAAATAGCAGCAGTGATACACAAGCAGTACTCATCATGGGCCTTTTGTGAGACTCAGGAACATGTTGGCTTCAGGTGTTATCCAGCACACTCCCAACTGTGGTGGCCACAGAGAGAGACTCCTCTGCTTGTGGAAAGTGGAAAAAAGCGAGGGAAAGACTTCATCTTGTGGCTCTGGTGCCAGCTCATCCAGAGTAGAATACAGCAGTAGATAGATTCCTAGGGTTTTCAACTCCACCCCTGGCTCCCAGACAACAACTCTGGGCCCCCTCTGGGGCTCAGGTAACTTGCCAACCAGAAAGGAAAGACACAGACCTGGCTTGCTTTGCCATCTGCTGATTGTAGAGGCCTAGGGCCTTGAGTGAACATAGGCAGTGACCAGACAGTGGTCATTGTAAGCCTTGGGCAAAACCCAGTGCTATGCTGGCTTCAAGTCTGACCCAGTACAGCCTCAATGGTAGTGACCACAGGGGTGTTTGTGTCACCCCTTTCTCAACTCCAGCCAGCTCAGCACAAAAAGAGAGACTGTTTGTTTGGGGTAATGTAAGGGAACAGAACAAGAGTCTCTAACTCATAATCCAGAAAACTCTTCCAGATGTCATCCAAGACCACCAAGGCAGTACCTCTGTGAGTCTGCAAGAGCCACAGTGTTACTGAGCTTGGAGTGCTCCCTAATGCAGATATGGCTGGAGAGAGCAAAAACTTAGATTATAACACCCAAATCCCTTCGAGTATCTGGAAAGTCTTCCCAAGAAGGACAGGTGCATAGAAGCCCAGTCCAAGAATATTATAATAAATATTTAAGTCTTCAATATCCAGAAGCTGACAGATATCCACAAGCCTCAGGACTATCCAGGAAAACATGACCTCACCAAATGAACTAAAAAAGGCACCAGGGACCAATCATGGAAAGAAAAGAGATATGTCACCTTTCAGACAGAAAATTTCAAATAGCTGTTCTGAGGAAGTTCAACAAAATTATAGATAACAGTAAATAGGAATTCAGAATCCTATTAGCTACATTTATCAAATAGAGGGAAATAATCAAAAGGAATAAAACAGAATTTCTAAAGTTGAAAAATGTGCACCCTCAGGCCCATCACCATGTGGAAGCCACCAAAGCTTGGGGCTTGCATTCTCTGAAGCAACAGCCTGAGCTGTATGTTGGCCCCTTTTAGCCACAGCTGGAGTTGGAGCAGCTGGGATGCAGCATGCCAAGTCCCAAGGCTGCACAGAGCAGCAGAACTCTGGGCCCAGCCCACAAAGCCATTTTTCCCTCCTAGGTCTCCAGGCCTGTGAATGGAGGAGTGCTGTGAAGGTCTCTGACATGCCCTGGAGACATTTTCCCCACTGTCTCAGCTATTAACATTTGGGTCTTCTTTACTTATGCAAGTTTCTGCAACTGGCTTGTATTTCTCTTCAGAAAATGGGTTTTTCTTTTTTACCATATGGTCAGCTTGCAAATTTTCCAAACTTTTAAATTCTGCTTCCCTTTTAAATGTAAGTTCCAGTTTCAGATAACCTCTTTGTTCATACATATGAGTGTTCACTTTTAGAAACAGCCAGGTCACTTCTTGAATGCTTTGCTGCTTAGAAATTTCTTCTGCCAGATACCCCAAGTCATCTCTCTGAAGTCCAAAGTTCCACAGATCTCTCAGGCAGGGGCAAAACGTCACCAGTCACTTTACTAAAGCATAACAAAAGTGACCTTTAATTTAGTTCTTGAAAAGTTCCTCATCTCCATCTAAGACTACCTCAGCCTGGACTTAATTGTCCATATCACTATCAGCATTTTGGTCAAAACAATTAA
Organism: Homo sapiens; assembly: GCF_000001405.40. Taxonomy (NCBI): domain Eukaryota; kingdom Metazoa; phylum Chordata; class Mammalia; order Primates; family Hominidae; genus Homo; species Homo sapiens. Next base: position 102,282,688 of record NC_000003.12, on the reverse strand, counting down.
ACAAGTTTCTAGGAAGTTCTAAATTTTCTCACATCTTCTTTTATTCTTCTGAGCCCTTGGAACTGTTCCAATCTCTGCCCATTATGCAATTCCAAGTTGATTCCACATTTTCAGGTATCTTCATAGCTGCACAATCCTGGTACCAGTTCTCTATATTAGTCTGTTTTCACACTACTAGAAAGAACTACCAGAGACTGGGAAATTTATGAAGAAAAGAGGTTTAATTGACTCACAGTTCTGCAGACTTAACAGGAAGCATGGCTGGGAGGCCTCAGGAAACTTACAATAATGGTGGAAGGATGAAGGGGAAGCAAGCACATCTTACCATGGTGGCAGGAGAGAAAAAGAGATAAGGGGGAAGCACCATATATTTTAAACCCATCAGATCTCAAGAGAATTCACTCACTATCACGAGAACAGCAAGGGGGAATTCCACCCCATGATCCAATCACCTCCCACCAGGTCCCTCCTCCAATTTAACATGAGATTTGGGTGGGAACACAAATCCAAACCATATCATAGCCTATCTGCCAGCTAACACTCTTAAGCACCACCTACTGAGGGCAGCCCAAAATACAACAATATATTTTACCAGTATGCATTGCCTGTGAAAACTAACGCAAAGATCCAGCCACAAATAAACATTTTGTACAGTGCTGACCCTCTGAAAACACCCAGAAATGAAGCCAACTGACTATATTCAACCTACATCATAGTTAGAAGAATGATAGCTCTTACACATGAGAAAGAATCAGCACAACAACTCACAACTCCAAAAGCCAGTGTGCCTCCTTACCTACAAATATAAACACTAGTCTCCCAAATACAGTTCTTAGCCAGAGTAAGATGACTGAAATGATGGGCATAGAATTCAGAATCTGTATGCCAAAATAGCTCAATGGCTCAATGGGATCAAAAAGAAAGTTGAAATCGAATGCAAGGAATCCAATAAGACAATCCAAGGGCTGAAAGATTAAATAGTCATATAAAGAAAGAACCAAATTGAACTTCAGAAACTAAAAAATTTACTTCAATAATTCTACAACACAATCAGAAGAATCAAAAGCAGAATAGATCAAGCTGAAGAAAAAATCTCAGAGCTTTAATGCCAGCTCTTTGAATCAACTCAGACAGACATTTAAAAAAAATTATAAAAATGAACAAAGGCTTCAAGAAATATGAGATTACATAAAGAGACAAAATTTGTAACTCACTGGCATTCCAAAAAGAGAAGGATAGAGGGTAAGTAACTTGGAAAATATATTTGAATATATAGCCCATGAAAGTTTCCCCAAACTTGGTAGGGAAGAGGACATACACATTCAAAAAATACAGAGAACCTCTGCAAGAGACTATATAAGATAACCATCCCCAAGGTATATAGTCAACAGATTCACCAAGGTCAAAACAAAAGAAAAAAATCTTCAAGAAAACTAGAGAGAAAGGTTGGGTCACCTCCAAAGAAAACCTTTTCAGGCTAGCAGCAGACCCCTCAGCAGAAAACCTAAAAGACAGAAAATTTGGGGACCTGTTTTTATCATTCTTAAGGCAAAAAAAATTATAACCAAAAATATTATACCCCACCTAGCTAAGCTTCATAAGCAAAGGAGAAATAAAATCCTTCTCAGTCAAGTAAGCACTAAGGGAATTTGTTATCACCAGACCACCTTTACAGGAGCTTCTTAACAAAGTGGTAAACATAGAAACAAAGGACAAAAGCCTGCTACCTCATAAATACACTTAAACAGATAGCCCACAGACAATATAAACAACTACATAATCAAATCTACAAAACAAACAACCAACAACAGGATGACAGGATCAAAATCTTATCTATCAATACATTACCCAGAATATAAATGGTCTACATACCCCACTTAAAAGGCATAGACTGGCAATCTGGACAGAAAGACAAGACCCAACAGTCTGCACATGTGATGACACACACAGGCTCAAAGTAAAGGGATGGAGGATGATCTACCAAGCAAACAGAAACAAAAAAGAGCAGGAGCCTCTATTCTTATATCAAATAAAACAGATTTTAAACCAATAACAATCAGGAAGGATAAACAATGGCAGTAAACACTGATTTAGGGGTCCATTCAACAAGAAGATGTAATTATCCTAAAGATACATGCACCCAACATAGGACCATCCAGATTCATAAACAAGTTCTTCTTGACTTATAAAAAAAACTGTGGATGGCCACACAATAATAATGGGGGATTTTAACACCACCCTCACAGCATTAGACAGACCATTAAGGTAGAAAACTAACAGAGAAATTCTGAACTTAAACTTGACACTTGACCAATTCAACGTAATAGACATTTACAGAGTACTCCACTGAAAAACCACATAATATACATTTTTCTCATATTCTAAGATTGACCAAATTAACACCAAGAAGATCACTCAAAAACTACACAGCAACATGGAAACTAAACAACTTGCTTCTGATTAACTCTTGGGTAAACAATAAAATTAAGACAGAAATCAAAAAATTTTTTGAAATAAATGAAAATAGTGATACAACATACCAATACCTTTGGGATGCAGCTAAAGATGTGTAAAAAGGAAAATTTATAGCACTGAATGCCTTAATCAAGAGGTTACAAAGCTCTCAAATTAACAACTTAAAAGAGCAACTGGAGGAACTAGAATGAAAAAGAACAATCCAACTTCAAAGCTAATAGAAGAAAAAAATGAACTAAAATCAAAGAAGAACTGAAAGAAATTGAGAACAAAAGTCCATACAAAAGATCAATGAGAGCGAGCATTGGTTTTTCAAAAGAATAAACAAGATTGATAGACCATAAGCTATATTAACAAAGAAAAAGAAAAGGTCCAAATAAGCACAATCAGAAATGACAAAAACAACTCACAACTGATCTTACAGAAATACAAAAGATCCTCAGGTCTATTATGAACATGCTATGCACACAAATTAGGAAAACTAGAGGAAATAATTAAATTCCTAAAAACACACAACCTCCCAAGATTTAATCAGGAGGAAAGTCAAAAATCTGAACAGACCAATAACAAATTTGGAAATTAAATCAGTAATAAAAATTCTTACTGAAACTATTCAAAAAATGAAGGAGTAGCAGCATTTCCCTAACTCATTCTATGAAGCCAGTATCATCCTAATACCAAAACCTGGCAGAGACACAATAGAAAAAGGCCAATATCCCTGATTAACATAGACAGAAAAATATCAACAGAATACTAGCAAACCAAACCCAGCAGTACATCAAAAAGGTAATTTATCATGATCAAGTAGGTTTTATTTCTGGGATGCAATGTTGGTTCAACATACACAAGTCAACAAATGCGATTCACCACATAAACAGAATCAAAAGCAAAAACCATAAGATTATCTCAATAGACACATAAAAAGCCTTTGATAAAATCCAACATCCCTTCATGATAAAAGCCCTCAACAGATTAGGCATTGAAAGATGATACGGTTTGAATCTGCGTTCCTACTCATATCTAATGTGGAAATGTAATCCCCAGTGTTGGAGGTGGGGTCTAGTAGGCGGTGATTGGATCATGGGGGCAGGTTTCTCACAAATGGCTTAGCATCATTCCCTTGATGCTGTCCACACAATAGCGAGTGAATTCTCATGAGATCTAGTTATTAAATAGTCTGTGGCACCTTCCCCACTTCTTCCTCTTGCTCCTGCTCTGGCCACATGCTGTGCTTGCTCCCTCTTTGCCTTTCACCATGATTGTAAGTTTCCTGAGGCCTCCCCGGAAGCTGAGCAGATGCCAGCATCATGTATTTTGTACAGCCTGCAGAACCCTAAGCCAATTAAACCTCTTTTTCTTATAAATTACCCAGTCTCGCATATTTCTTTGTAGCAATGCAAGAACAAACTAATACAAAAGAACATATTTCAAAATAATAAGAGCCATCTACAACAAACCCATAGCCAACATTATACTGTTATCAAGTGTAAGACAGTTATAGAATACTAAGCAGATGTAATTGAAAGAAAACTACCTCAAGACATTTAATAATCAAACTTCCAAAGGTCAAGGATGAAGAAGGAATCCTAAAAGTCACAAGAGAAGAGAAACAAATAACATACAATGGAGCTCCAATACATCTGGCAGCAGACTTCTCAGTGGAAACCTTACAGGTCAGGAGAGGGTGTCATGACATGCATAACATGCTCAGGGAAGAACACTTCTACCCTAGAATGGTATATCCAGCAAAACTATCCTTCAAAACCTGAGGGATTTTTTTTTTTTTTTTTTTTTTTTTTTTGAGACGGAGTCTCGCTCTGTCGCCCAGGCCGGACTGCGGACTGCAGTGGCGCAATCTCGGCTCACTGCAAGCTCCGCTTCCCGGGTTCACGCCATTCTCCTGCCTCAGCCTCCCGAGTAGCTGGGACTACAGGCGCCCGCCACCGCGCCCGGCTAATTTTTTGTATTTTTAGTAGAGATGGGGTTTCACCTTGTTAGCCAGGATGGTCTCGATCTCCTGACCTCATGATCCACCCGCCTCGGCCTCCCAAAGTGCTGGGATTACAGGCGTGAGCCACAACCTGAGGGATTTTATCAACACCAAACCAGTCCTACAAGAAATGCTAAAGGGGGATCCTCAGTCTGAAAGAAAAGGATGTTAATGAGCAATAATAAATCATCTGAAAATAGAAATCTCACTGGCAATAGTAAGTACACACTAAAACAAAGAATATTACAACACTGTCATTGTGGTGTGTAAACTATTTATATCTTGAGTAAAAAGACTAAAAAATGAACCAATGAGAAATAATAACTACAACAACTTTTTAAGTCAGAGACTACAGAGATCTAATTTTGGACCTCTTGTATCTTATCTACAAAAAGATACAAGTAAAAACAACAGAAACTTAAAAAGCAGGGGAAGGAAGTTAAAAGGTTGAATTTTTATTAGTTTTCTCTTTATTTGTTAATTTGATTATTTGTTTATGCAATCAGTGTTAAGTCATCGATTTAAAATACTGGGCTATAATATATTATTTGCAAGACTCATGGAAACCTCAAATAACAAAACATACAACAGATACACACACACAAAAGCAAAAAACTAAATATCACCAGAGAAAAACACCTTCAATGAAAGGAAGACAGGAATAAAGGAAAGAAGAAAGAGAAGACCAAAAACAAACAAAAAACAAATAACAAAATGGCAGAAGTAAATTCTTATTCATGAATAATAATATTGAATGTAAATGAACTAACACTCCAATCAAAAGACATAGAGTGAGCCAGGCACGGTGGCTCACACCTGTAATCCCAGCACTTTGGGAGGCTGAGGCAGGCAGATCACGAGGTCAGGAGTCGAGAGCAGCCTAGCAAAGAGACCAGCCTGGCCAATATGGTGAAACCCCGTCTCTACTGAAAATACAAAAATTAACCGGGCTTGGTGGTGGGTGCCAGTCATCCCAGCTACTTGGAAGGCTGAGGCAGGAGAATTGCTTGAACCTGGGAGGCGGAGATTGCAGTGACCCAAAGATCACGCCATTGCACTCCAGCCTGGGCAACAGAGCAAGACTGTGACTCAAAAAAAAAAAAAAAAAAAAAAAAAAGACATAGAGTCACTGAATGGATAAAAAACCAAGACTCGATATGTTGCCTATAAAAAACACACAAACACACCACCTCTAATACATAGACTGAAAATAAAGAAATGGAAAAAGATATTCCATAAAAGGCAAACAAATAAAGAACAGGACTAGCTATACTTAGACAAAAAAAGATTACAAGATAAAAACCATAAAGAAGAGAAAAAAGAAGTCATTATACAATGATAAAGGGGTCAATTCAGCAGGAGGATATAACAATTGTAAATATATATGCGTCCAACATTGGACCACCCAGATATATAAAACAAATACCATTAGAGCTAAAGAGAGAGATAGCCCCCAATATAATAATAGCCAGAGATGTTAACACCTCATGTTCAGCATTGGACAGATCATTCAGACAGGAAATCAACAAAAAAAATTAGATTTAATCTGCATTATAGAACAAATGCACCTAATATATATTTAACGAATATTTCCTCTAATGCTGCATCATATGCATTCTTCTCCTCAGCATATGAATCATTCTCAAGGATAGGCCATATGTTAGGCCACAAAACAAGTCTTAAAACATTTTTTAAAAATTGAAATTGTATCAAGTAACTTCTCTGACCACAATGGAATAAAGCTAGAAATCAATAACAAAAGAAATATTGGAAACTATACAAACACATGGAAATTAAACAATATGCTCCTGAATGACCAGTGGGGCAATGAAGAAAGTAAGAAGAAAATTTAAAAATTTCTTGAAACAAACAATAATGAAAACACAACATATCAAACCTTATGGGATACAAAGAAAGCAGTAATAAGAGGAAAGTTTATAACTATAAGCACCTACATCAAAGAACCAGAAAAACTACAAAGGAACAACCTAATGACATGTCTTAAAGAACTGGAAAGAGAAGAGCAAACCAAATCCCAAATTAGTAGAAGAAAAGAAATAATAAAGATCAAAGCAGAAACAAATGAAATTGAGATGAAGAAAACAATACAAATGGTCAAACAAAAAGTTGTTTTTTTGAAAATATAAAAAAAATCAACAAATCTTTATCCAGACTAACTGAGGAAAAAAGAAAGAAGACTCAAGTAAATAAAATCAAGGTGGAAAAGGACACATTACCACCAATACCACAGAAACAAAAGGATAAACAGAAGCTACTCTGAGCAACTATATGCCAATAAATTGGAAAACTTAGAAGAAATGCATAAATTCCTAGACACATATAGCCTACCAAGACTGTACCATGAAGAAATCCAAAACCTGAAAAGATCAATAACAAGTAGTGAGATCAAAGCCAGCCATAATGAAAACTATCCCAGCAAAGAAAATCCTGGGACCTGATGGATTTACTGCTGAATCTTACCAAACATTTAAAGAAGAACTAATACAAATCCTACATAAACTATTTCAAAAAAATGAGAAGGGAATACTTTTAAATTCATTCTATGAGGCCAGTATTACTCTGATACCAAAACCGGACAAAAACACATCAAGAAAAAAAAAAACAAAACTATAGGCCCATATCCCCAGTGAACACTGATGAAAAATCCTCAACAAAATATTGGTAAACCAAATTCAACAACACATTAAAAACATTGCTTATCATGACCAAGCGGGATTTATCCCAGGGATGCAAAGACGGTTTAACATACACAAATCAGTCTATGTGATATATTATATCAACTGAATAAAGGATGAAATCAATATGACCATTTCAATTGATGCCGAAAAAGCATTTGATAAAATTCAATGTCCCTTCACGATAAAAAAAAAAAATCCTCAAAAAAACTGGGGTTAGAAGGAACATACCTATACACAATAAAAGCCATTTATAACAGACTCATAGCTAATATCATACTGAATTGGGAAAAACTGAAAGCCTTGCCTCTAAGATCTGGAAGATAACAGGGATGCCCACTTTTACCACTGTTATTCAACAGAGTACTGGAAGTCCTAGCTAGAGCAATCAGACAAGAGAAAGGAAAGGAAACGAAAGGAAAGGAGAGGAGAGGATAAAAGAAAAGGCATACAAATTGGAAAGGAAGAATACCAAGTATCCTTGTTTTCATATGGTATGATCTTATATTTGGAGAAACGTAAGGACTCCACCAAAAAACTATTAGAATTGATAAACAAATTTAGTAAAGTTGCAGAATACACAGTCAACACACAAAAATCAGTACAACTTTCATATGTCAAGAGCTAACAATCTCAAACAGAAATCAAGAAGGTACTCTTATTTACAGTAGCTACAAATAAAATGAAATAAAATACCTCGAAATTAACTTAAAGAAGTAAAAGATCTCTACACTGAAAACTATGAAGCACTGATGGAGGAAATTGAAGAGGACACCAAAAAATGGAATGATATTCCATTTTCATGGATTAGAAAAATCAATATTGTTAACTGTTCATACCACCCAAATCAATCTACAGATTCAGTGCAGTCCTTATCAAAATACCAATGATATTCTTTTGAAAAAATAAACAATTTTAAAATTTATATGGAACCACAAAAGACCTAGAATAGTCAAAGCTATCCTGAACAAAAATAACAAAACTAGAGGAACACATTACCTGACTTCACATCATGCTGCAAATGTATATTAATCAAAACAGCATGGTATCAGCATAAAAAGAAAAACAAATAGACCAATGGACAGAATAGAGAATGCAGAAACAAATCCATACATCTATGGTGATGTCATTTTGATAAGTAGCCAAGAACATACCCTGGAAAAGGGACAATTTATTCAATAAATAATGCTGGAGAAATATTCATATTCATATGCAGAAGAATGAAACTAGACTCTTATCTCTCACGATATACAAAAATTGAATCAAAATGGATTAAAGACTTTAAAACATCAAGCTGTGAAACTACTAAAAGAAAACATTGAGGGAACTCTCTAGGACATTGGACTGAGCAAAGATTTCTTGAGTAATATCCCACAAGCACAGGCAACCAAAGCAAAAATGGATAAATAGGAACACAACAAGTTAAAAAGCTTCTACACAGCAAAGGAAACAGTCAACAATGTGAAGAAACAACTCACAGATATGGAGAAAATATCTGCAAACTATCCCTCTGATAAAGGATTAATAACCAGAATATATAAGGAGCTTAAACAACTCTACAGGAAAAAAAATCTAATAATCTGATTTTAAAATGAACAAAAAAATCTGAATAGACGTTTCTCAAAAGAAGGCATACAAAAGGAAATCAGGTATATGAAAGGTGTTCAACATCATTGATCATCAGAGAAATAAAAAACAAAACTACAATGAGATATCATTTTACCCCAGTTAAAATGGCTTTTATCAACAGACACATAGACCAATGGAACGGAATAAAGAGCCCAGAAATAAGGCCACACACATCTATAACCATCTGATATTTGACAAAGCTGACACAAACAAACAATGGGGAAAAGACTCCCTATTCAATAAATGGTGCTGGGATAACTGGCTAGCCATATGCCGAAGATTAAAGCTGGGCTCCTTCCTTACACCATATACAAAAGTCAATTCAAGATGGATTCAATACCTAAATGTAAAACCCAAAACTATAAAAACCCTGGAAGGCAACCTAGGCAATACCATCCTAGGTATTGACATAGGAACAGGTAAGATTTTATGACAAAGACACCAAAAGCAATCACAACAAGAGCAAAAAATGACAAATGTGATCTAATTAAACTTAAGAGCTTCTGCACAGCAAAAGAAGCTATCAACATAGTAAACAGACAACCTACAGAATGGGAGAAAATACTTGCAAACTATGCATCAGACAAATGTCTAATATAATATCCAGCATGTTTAAGGAATTTAAACAAATTTACAAGAGAAAAACAACTCCATTAAAAACTGGGCAAAGGACATGGACGCTTCTCAAAGGAAGACATACATGCAGCCACGAGCATATTTAAAAAAAATCTCAATATCACTGATCATTAGAGAAATGGAAATCAAAATCACAATGAGATGCCATCTCACACCAGTCAGAATGGTGATTATTAAAAAGTCAAAAAATAATCAATGCTGGTGAGGTTGTAGAGAAAAGGGAACTCTTATACACTGTTGGTGGGAGAGTAAATTAATTCCACCATTGTGGAAAGCAGTATGGTGATTCCTCAAAGAGCTAGAAGCAGAAGTACCATTCGACCCAGCAATCCCATTGCTGGGTATATACCCAAAGGAATATAAAGCATCCTACCATAAAGACACATGCAAATAAATGTTCATTGCAGCACTATTCACAAGAGCAAAGAGATGGAATCAAGTAAAATACCCATCAATGACAGATTGGATAAAGAAAATAGGGTACATATACACCATGGAATATTATGCAGTCATAATAAAGAATAAGATATCTTTTACATGAACATAGATGAAGCTGGAGGCTATCATCCTTTAACTCAGAAACAGAAAACCAAATAGTGCATGTTCTCACTTATAAATGGGAGCTAAATGATAAGAACTTAGGCACACAAAGAAGGAAACAACAAACGTTGGGGTCTACTTGGGGGGAAGGTTGGGAAGAGGAGAGGAACAGAAAAGGTACTCATTGGATACTGGGCTTAATACCTGGGTGATGTAATAATATATACAACAAACCCCCATGACACATGTTTATCTATGTAACAAACCTTCATGTGTACCCCCAAACCTAAAATAAAAATTATAAATTAAAAAGGAATAGTAAAAGTAATTATAATTTTAAAAAGTAAAATAAAATAAAATGGCTTTTATCCAAAAGATAGGCAGTAACAAATGCTGGCAAGGATAAGGAGAAAAAGGACCTTTACACACTGTTGGGTGGGAATGTAAATTAGTACAACCACTATGGAGAAGAGTTTGGAGGTTCCTCAAAACTAAAAATAGAGCTACTATGTGATCCAGAAATCCCACTGCTAAGTATGTACCCAAAAGAATGGAAATCAGTATATTGAAGAGATAGCTGCACTCCCATGTTTATTGCAGCACTATTCACCATAACCAAGATTTGGAAGCAACCTAAGTGTCCATCAACAGATGATTGTATAAAGAATATGTAGTACATATACACAATGGAATACTATTCAATCTACAAAAAATGAGATTCTGTCATATGTAACATGGATGGAACTGGAGATCATTATGTTACATGAAATAAGCGAGGCACAGAAAGACAAATTTCACTTGTTTTCACCTATTTGTGGGAGCTAAAAATGAAAACAACTGACTTCATAGAGATAGGGAGTAGAATGATGGTTACTAGAGGCTGGAAAGGGTAGTTGGGTGAGCGGCCAAGGGGAGATGGCTAATGGGTACAAAAATATAGTTAGATAAAATGCATAAGACCTAGTATTTGATAGCATAACAGGGTGACTAGAGTCTACAATAATTATTATACATTTTCAAGTAACTAAAAATATAATTGGATTGTTTGTAACACAAAGAAAGAATAAATGCTTGAGGTGATGGGTACTCCATTTACCCTGATGTAATTATTATGCATTGGATGCCTGTATCAAAATAGCTCATATACTCCATAAATATGTATGCCTACTACATACCACAAAAGTTAAAAATAATTTTTTTAATTCCAAAAAACCTTGGAATTTCATATTCTCCTAATGATATGGTTCTGTCCCCACCTAAATCTCATCTTGAATTGTAATCCCCAGTTGTTGAGGGAGGGACCTGGTAGGAGGTGATTAGATCATGGGGGCAGATTTCCCCCATGCTCTTCTTGTGATAGTGAGTGAGTTTACATGAGATCTGATGGTTTCATAAATGGCAGTTTCCCCTGGGCTTTTCACTCACACTCTCTCCTGCCACTTTGTGAAGAAGGTGTCTGCTTCTCCTTCCACCATAATTGTAAGTTTCCTGGGGCCTCCCCAGCCATGCAGAGCTGTGAGTCAATTAAATGTCTTTTCTTTTTTTTACTTTATTTTATTTTATTTTTTTATTATTATTATACTTTAAGTTTTAGGGTACATGTGCACAACGTGCAGGTTTGTTACATACGTATACATGTGCCATGTTGGTGTGCTGCACCCATTAACTCCTCATTTAGCATTAGGTATATCTCCTAATGCCATCCCTCCCCCCTCCCCCCACCCCACAACAGTCCCCGGTGTGTGATGTTCCACTTCCTGTGTCCATGTGTTCTCATTGTTCAATTCCCACCTATGAGTGAGAACATGCCACGTTTGGTTTTTTGTCGTTGCGATAGTTTGCTGAGAATGATGGTTTCCAGCTTCATCCATGTCCCTACAAAGGACACGAACTCATCATTTTTTATGGCTGCATAGTATTCCATGGTGTATATGTGCCACATTTTCTTAATCCAGTCTATGATTGTTGGACATTTGGGTTGGTTCCAACTCTTTGCTATTGTGAATAGTGCTGCAATAAACATACGTGTGCATATGTCTTTATAGTAGCATGATTTATAATCCTTTGGGTATATACCCAGTAATGTCTTTTCTTTATAAATTACCCGGTCTCGAGTATGTCTTTATAGGAGTGTGAAAATGGACTAATACACCTAAGCTGAGAAACCTGAATATGCTTCAATGACACAAAATTATTTCTACTGCCATCTTCAGGTGTTTTCCATCAGCTGTCTCTCGGCTTGAATCAGTCTTATTATTGCAAGGCTGTCTTCATCTTCATTTTTCAATGATAGGTTCAGCCTTCTGTTTTTGATACCACATACCTCTTTCTCTCCCTATAACTCTTTAACTTTGGTCTCAGAAACACTGACTTCTACTATTTATTGAAATTGTACAGCCACAGCCCTCTTCCAGATCCTAACTACTTTACCCTTAAATACTATAGATTATTATGACCAATAACATTATCAGCATTATATTAATAATAACAAAAAGCTTACTACTTCAAAGTTATTTTAATATAAAAGTAGAACTATCTCAAATAACATCATATTAATAAAGTCAAATCTGATGTCATAACTTTATACAGTTACACCTCAAGTCAGGTGAATTCTATGTCTGAATCTGTGTCCCAGAATTCCCTTAGTACTTAGTGCCATCTATAAATGTTTAACCAATGCTCTACTTCCAGTCTAATGCATGCAGACTTTATTATGGTATTTTATTCAGACTCGATTGTCAATTATTATTGACTATTTTTGACAAAATTTTCAGGAAAAAATAATTCACTATCACTCGATTTAGAATGATAATCACTGATAGTGAAGCACAAAAAACTCACATCCCCCACTGAGAAGATTTCCGAAGTAGTCAAAAGAAGCAAATGCTAGTTTGAAGGTTGCTATTTAATTTTCCAGTGCTATTATACAATCTGCACAGTAGTTAATACTGGAAGAGAGGGAACTAGGGTCAAGCCATGAAAGAAAAAAATATCTGTAACATTGAATAAAAAGATGTTTAGATCTAATTGTCTTCCTCTTCCACAGGGTACATCACAACATAAAGGCAAACAAAGCCTCATTTTTATTTATGAGGCTTTCATCTCTTGTCAGCAGGAAAAGCCAAGAAAGCTCTCAGATCAAGATGCTAATCTAATTCCAAGGAAACTAATGCATTTGATCTAAGTTATATGAGAAGGATGACTTATGAATATAGCCAGATGGAGAGCCACATAACTTTGCAGGGGAGAAATTCTCATGAGAATTACAATGTGAGAATGAGAGGAACCCCTACAAAGCTCCAGTTTCCAAAAATTCCCAGGATAAATTTAAGCAAATTAAAAACTTTGGGTACAGCTGCGATAGCCAATACTATGAAGAACTATATGAGAGCAAAAGCTATTTAGAAGTATTGAAGTATCCCCAGACTACACCAATATGGGTGCAGATCAGCTTTTTCATTCACAAAGATTATGCTTTCATTACTACCCATTCCCATAAACTCAGAAGAGAAAAAGAGTACTTGAATTTTCTGTTTTTCTTAGGATACACAGCTCAAGCTGAGGACTTTTAATTCTAGTGGCAAAGTGGCAGCATGCGGAGAGCAAATACTGTATGCTTGGGCCAGTGGTCCCAATTGCCCATCTTCCCCACTCCCACAATATCTGCTTCCCCCGAAACATGTATTATTTTGTCGCCAGAGTTCTCATTTCTTTAAACTGGCTCAAGTAGTTTGGCAAAATCTGGATGTGTTAGACCATTACAAAATAGGTTTGTCAAATCTTCATATCTCAGGCCAGTGAGAAGGTCAATGAGTTCAAGAGTAAGAAAACATTAGCTTACAGTTGCTGCAGTATGGCAGAGCCTCTGTGAGTCAACTAGTCTTCTCACCAACAGAAGCAAAGGAAGATTGTCAAAGATAATGAACACAGCAACCTCTCCATGACCTTTTTATTTCTTTAGCTCTCTTTCCCTCTTCATGTATCCAGTCAAATTACTCTCTCATCAATGTTCACCTCTAAAATTATCCTCCCTATATGTTGATGACCAAATTTTATTTTCTTAACTTTTGTTTTAGGTTTGGAGGTGCATGTGAAGGTTTGTTACACAGATAAACATGTGTCATGGGGGTTTGTTGTACGTATCTTTTTATCACCCAGGTATTAAGCCCAGTACCCAATACATACTTTTCTGCTCCTTTACCTCCTCCCAACCTCCCTGTAAAGTAAACTGCAGTGTCTGTTGTTTCCTTCTTTGTGTTCACAAGTTCTCATCATTTATCTCCCACTTATAAGTGAGAACGTGCAGTATTTGGTTCTCTGTTCCTGTGTTAGTTTACTAAGGATATTAAATGCCTCCAGCTCCATCCATGTTCCTGCAAAAGACATAATCTCATTCTTCTTTTTGGCTGCATAATATTCCATAGTGTATGTGTACCACATTTTCTTTATCCAATCTGCCACTGATGAGCATTTAGGTTGATTCCATGTCTTTGCTATTATGAATAGTGCTGCAATGAACATTTGAGTGTATGTTCCCTTATGGTAGAATACTTTAAATTCCTTTGGGTATATACCTGGGTATATTCCTGGGATAGCTGGGTCGAATGGTAGTTCTGCTCTTAGCATTTTGAGGCATCACCATACTGCTTTCCACAATGGTTGAACTAATTTACACTCCTACCAACAGTGTATAAGAGTTCCCTTTTCTCCACAACCCCAAAAGCAATGGTTATTTTTTGGGGTTTTAGTAATAGCCATTCTAATTGGTGTGAGATGGCATCTCATTGTGGTTTTTATTTCCATTTCTACAAGCAAATTTTATCACAAACTTATGATCTTTACTCTGCCAGACTGCCATTTCTAGATGTCAACTATATAGTTCCACTTAGATGAAGCATTTACAGCCTCAAACTTCACATGTCCAAAAACCCAACCTGGCCCTCCAAACCAGATCCTCCTTATTTTCCTTTATCTGTTAATAAATCATATTCTCCCAGGCACCCAGGCTGGAAATATCCTAACCATTTTTATCCTCCCTTTCTTCCTTTCACTTCCTTTCATCCATATTTGCTGGTCTTAAACTCCTGACCTCAAGAAATCCTCTTGCCTTGGCTTCCCAAAGCATGGGATTACAGGTGTGAGCCACTGTGCATGGCCAAGGCTCTACATTATGTTACAAGGCAACAAGTTTCTGATGTATGTATGTATATATATATATATATATATATATATATATATATATATACACACACACACACACACACACATATATATACACATTAACATATATATGTTATTTTTAATATATGTTAAATAACAATAATATAATTTGCCTGGTATTAAAAACTTTTTACAATCTGGTTCTGAATCCTGGTATTAAAAACTTTTCACAGTTTGGTTCTACATTTCCCTACATCTTTGCGACCCAAATATCTTATAAATTTATAATTCAATAAAAATATTTAGTAATAAAAGAACTATTTTATGAATATTAATTTAATCCCATATACTATAGAACTGATTTCTCCACTTTTTCTCAATCACAGTACATATTTTCACACTTTCTTACCTCTGTTCATCCCATTCCTTCTGTCTGAAATTTGTTTACCTCATCTCTACTTCTGGAAACTTTAGTCAACCTCAAGGGCCTGATTACATGTCCTCTCCTTCTTAAAGTTCTTCTTAATGCCTGTTTTGCTTTCAACTCTTAAAGGCATTTATTTGGTCATCCTCATCTCAAAGTTCTTAACCTTAATCACATCTGGATAGTTTCTTTGCCAAGTAAGGTACATATTCACACATTCTGGAGTATTAGACATAGAAATCTTTTGGGGGCTATTATTCTGCCAATCACATTATAAAATGCAAACTTTTTGAGGGTAAAACAATGTTGTACTCCTCATTTCTTCTCAAATGTCCAAAAGTGCATTTTCCAAAGTAGGAATGTACCATAAATAAATGTATCATTATATGTATTTCAGGTAGTTATCAACTATATCTGACTAAGAATTACTGTATTTCAATAATGGACAAGCAGTGAGGCATTGAGAGAAATGCCATTAACAACACAGAGCTGGCCAAGATATAAGTAACAGTTTTCTCTTTTTATTCTCTATTTAACACAGGATCTAGAGTAGTGAGTAAGAAACAACACGAACTACAAAAGATATTACCTCTTGGCTGACTGACGGCAGCAGCCTCTTAACCAGTGCCCTCTCTGTTACTCCTTTCTCTCTCGTCTCTCCAATCCATCTTTCTCAAACAGAGTTGTAATCAAATGACTTCCCTGGTAAAGACTTCAATGGCTCCCTCATTTCCTACTAAATAATGTCAAAACTAATTAGGCCGAAATTGCAGCTTGCTAGTCTCATCCCCAACTTTGCTGGTACACATTCCAACCTGCCATTTTATGAGTTAATGATTCGGGAACAAATGTTTTGGGAATATGACCTTGAATGGACTCTTGCTAGCTGAAAACTCCTAGTCTTCTCAGTGACTTTGGTGATGCCCTAGTAGATTTGTATTTTCATAAATTTATCACACAATAGAGTCACTGGGAATCCTTTCAAATCACTCTTAATGAGATTGCTTTAGACTGCAAAAACAATAAACCACTTGTGTGGGGATTTTCAATTAAAGTTAAAGGAATAAATGATTTTTGTTTACCAGTTCTCCCCAAAGCACACTGAAAGCAACAAAATGTGAAGACAACATCATCTCTAATGAAACTGAAAACGCACCACAAATTCAAACCTTGAACTAGGAAGAACATCTGCCAAAAACAATAGTGCCTCACAAGTGGGGAAGCAGGCCAGAGGAGTGACAGAGAATAGAAGAGACGGGAAGTGGTAACTGCAGTTCTACTGCTGGCTGAAGTTATATGCGCAGATTTTTAAATATACATGCTAGACTAGCACATGGAGGATTTATGACATGCCAGCTTCCCTGCAACCCTCAAGGAACTCCTGCTCATCCCCAGAAAAGAAGAGCTTACAAACTAGAGGGAGATCTACCTCAGAGGAAAGGTGATGGAGAAATTTTGGTAGGAATCTGTTTGCGATTACAATCCAAGACTGTATCATTCCCCTGCCCTCCTGTCTTAGCTTGGACTGCTATAACAAAATATCACTCATAGACTGGATGGCTTGAACAACAAACATTTATTTCTCATAGTTCTGGTGCCTGGGAAGTCTAACACCAAGGTTCTGGCAGATTCTGTGTCTAGTGAGGGCCCACTTCCTGGTTCATAGATGATGCCTTCTTGCTGTGTCCTTACATAGCAGAGATGGGAAGCAAGCTCTCTTAGGACACTAGGAGGGCTCCACTGTCATTACCTCATTTAATCCTAAAAACCACCCAAAGACCCCACCTCCTAATACTATCACATTGGGGGTAGGGTTGCAACATACGCATTTGTTGAAGGACACAAGCATTTAGTTCATAACACCTCCCCATACCATCGTTGAGCAAATAGGTGGCCAAGATTTAGGAAGCCTCACTGAAAGGTGAACAACAGTTAAAAAGGAGGCAGCACAAGGTCTATACTGAGGTGTTATGAAAGAAAAAAAGAGAAGAATATAAGGAGTGAAAATAATTGATTGAAAACTAAACATCCAAAGAAGTACTGCAAAGAAATTTACAGAAGAAAATTTCAAATAAAGTAAATTCCAAAAAATAAACAAATAAATAACTTGGACTCCGGGGGAAAATGAAGCTCAAAGAAGACAAAGAAACCAAATGAGGGATAAGATAATTTGACACATGATAAACAGCAGTAAAAAATAAAATAAAATTATTAGAGAAATGAAAGCCACATTAGAAGAAGCTAAAATTAGAAAAGAGCTTTGAAAATATGATCAGCGAGAACAGGATTAAGAGGACAAAAAGATTAAAAGATGCTTGTCCTTAGAGAGAAGACAATACAGCAGGAGGAGACAGGTGGAAGATCATGGTACTTACATTAATATTGCTGAAGAAGATATAATAGATGAAAACCTTTTTTAATTCTGTGCAACAATGTTTGTAAATTGTTACAGGATCAAAATTGAACCCGAAAGTTACATATGTAGCCAAAGTTTATTTAAGAAAAGCAACAGACAGATCTTATCAGAGAAGCAAGAAATATAAAATATATCTGAGGATTTCTTAAAAACTTCTGACAAACATAGTTTGAGTAAAAACTAAAAATAATTAAAAGGAAAAGCTCAAGAAAGGAGCTTTGGAATGAAGAAACTGGAAATGTCCACAAGACTGAAGGAATTACAATTGTAGAACAAAATGCAAATATTTTTTAAAGAGATAGATTACTGAGAGGGAAAGTGGTAGAGAAGTGTGAATGTGTGAATTGCCACAAAATTTCAGACTGAGAATTCAACACAATCCATCTAAAGTCAAGAAATTGACTTAAGTACATATGCAAATTTAGATTTATAACCACTAAAGGCTTAAACATGTATTATAAGTCTTCCTAATTGTAAAATGTAAAACAAAAACAGACCATTTAGCAAGAGAAAAAAAAATAGATTGGATTTTAAAATCTAACTGCTTGACTGTATGACAGATAAATTGAGGAAAAAAATGACTCAACATATTTTTAAAAAGGGATAAGCAAAGTCATATCAAACTAATCTAAATGAAAATAAGGCAAGCATTGCATTGCAATATTAATACATAATGGGCGAATTTAAGGAAATCTCCTTACACAGAAAAAAGAAGAGAGATTTAAAGCAGTAAAAATAAAATCCACAATGAAGATCTCATTTGCTTGAAACTTTTTTTTTTCCTAAAGAGACGGAATCTCACTGTTTCCCAGGCTGGAGTGCAGTGCCGCAATCATACTGCAGCCTAAAACTCCTGGGCTCATTGCTTGAAACTTTTGGCCCTAGTTAACTTAGCACCAAAGCACCTAAAGAAAACATTGCATGAAAAGCAGAAATTAACAGAAGCAAGTACAGTAACAGGAGTCTTTACCCCAACTCTCTGAACCTTTGACGAATCAATTAGACAAAGGTCTAATAAGTAAAGGTTCATAGAATATTAAAATATCATAATAAAACAAGTTTGTTTTTTGTTTTTTTGTTTTGTTTTATTTTTGAGACGGAGTCTCGCCCTGTCGCCCAGGTTGGAGTGCAGTGGCCCGATCTCGGCTCACTGCAAGCTCCCCCTCCCGGGCTCACGCCATTCTCCTGCCTCAGCCTCCCAAGTAGCTGGGACTGCAGGCGCCCGCCACGACGCCCTGCTAATTTTTTTGTAATTTTAGCAGAGACGGGGCTTCACCGTGTTAGCCAGGATGGTCTTGATCTCCTGACCTTGTGATCCGCCTGCCTCGGCCTCCCAAAGTGCTGGGATTACAGGTGTGAGCCACCGTGCTGGGCCATAAAACAAGTTTAATGGGTAATTGTCAGTAATATTTTTAAAACATAGATCAGATTATGTCATTCTCTGGTTCTAAATTTTCCAGTGGCTTTCCAAACTCATTACTGTGGTCACTGCCATGTTCCTCCTCACTCACTCAACTCTGGCCACACTGTCGATGTTGCTGCTCTTCTCAAATACCCTGGTTTTGTCACCTGCAAGTGCCTTTGTTGTTGCTGCTCCTCTGGCCAGGCATGCTGTTCTCAGGACAATGCCTCCTCATTGGCTTCCTTTTAGTGGCTGCTCAAATGTCACTGCTTAAGCAGGCCTTTGCTGAGTATCCCTCTAACACCTCCCCATCACTCATCCACCTCCCCAACCCAGCATTCCTCATCTCCTTACCTGCTTAATTTTTTGTCAAAGCATTTGTTAGTACTGAAAAAGTGTATGGGCCGGGCGCAGTGGCTCACGCCTGTAATCCCAGCATTTGGGAGGCCGAAGTTGTTGGATCAGAGTTCAAGACCAGCCTGGCCAACATGGTGAAACCCCGTCTCTACTAAAAATACAAAAGTTAGCCAGGCATGGTGGTGGGTGCAGGTAATCACAGCTACTCTGGAGGCTGAGACAGGAGAATCGCTTGAACCCGGGTGGCAGAGGTTGCAGTGAGCCCAGATCGTGCCACTGCACTCCAGCCTGGGCGACAGAGCAAGACTCTATCTCAAACAAAAAAAAAAGTGTATGTATTTATCTGCTTGATTGGACTTTCTGATTGATTTTCTGTCTCCTTTGCTAGAATGAAAGCTCCATAAAGGCAGACATGTATTTTGTCTTATTCACTACACCATCCCTGGTACCTAAAGTAGAATCTGGCACATATAAATACTTATATTTAAAAAGAATAAATATGCATTCACAAATAACTTGCTGAACAAATGAAGTAATGATTTCACTGAATTCTATGTCTACCAAAAAGAGAATGCCTCTTTTTTTTTTTTCCCAGGGCCCATGGAACATTTACAAAAACTGATTTATTTAAGCCATCAAGAAAAATCACAATAACTTACACAAAGTGTAAATTGTACAGGAATATTCTCTGGCTATAACACAATAAAAGAAACACATATAACAGAAAGCAAAATGAAACAAAAAGAAAACTCCAACCAGTTAAAATTTTGTGATAAAAAATGTAGATTATAGCATATCTGATAAATAACTATTGTGTATGCTGTGTACATTGAAATCTACGAACACAGCTATGGCAAAGTTCTAATAAACAATCATGGTCTAAAATGTATTACTAAGCAAGGAAAAATAAAATTAATAACAACCAAAAAGTTATAAAATGAACAAAAATTTTAAAAAGTTAAATAGAAAAAGGATAAATTAGGCAAGGGAATATATCCAGGGGTTGAGTCATTTAAAAATCAAATGAAGCAAATTTTAAAAGTACTTAAACTAATCAAGATTTTTAAAAAAACATACAAATGGACAATTTAAAATACAGAATATTCAATTTACTTGAATTATTCTTTTTTTAAAAATATGGTTTTCTGAGACAGGGTCTCACTCTTTTCACGCAGGCTAGAGTGCAGTGGTGTGTTCATGGCAACCTCAAGCTGCTAGGCTCAAATGATCTTCCCACCTCAGCCTCCTTAGTAGCTGGAACTTATTATTACTATTTAACGTTTTTAAATTTTTACAGGCATATGCCACCATACCTGGCTAATTTTTTATTATTCTCTTGTAGCTATTTTGAAATGTACAATTGAATAATGCTAACTATAGTCACCCTACTGATCTATTGAACACCAGGTATCATTTCTTCTAAGTGAATTGGAGTGTTCCTAGCATAAATAAAAGGTAAATGTTTATGGTGATGGATATCCCAATTATTCTAACTTGATTATATGAATGTATCAAATTATCACATGTACCCAAAAAATATATACATCTAATATGTATCAATAAAGTAAATAAAAATAATAAAATTAAATAAAATTGAAGCAATAAAATAAAATAAATACAGGACCTAAACACACAAAAAACATTGAATTACAGGACAATACATTGTTTTATAGTGTGCAAACACATTTGAAAATGTGAACGTAATTATTGCCCAGGTAATATAAATTTTATCAAAACTTCAAGAAACATTCTGAGGCTAAAGATTTCAAAAGCATGGAAAATAAGGCAAAATTTCAAAATCTTATTACAAAGAATAAGCTGCAAAATACAAAAATTATTAACCTAGATGGATAGATAATAGTTCAGACACAGACATACAATACTGCAAGCCAATCTCATATTTAAACACAAAAAAACTGAAAATATAGTGGAAGAAAATACCTTATTAACAATAGCCAAAAAAGGGGGAGAACTAAAAGTAAACATAACACAAACCCATATGATTTATATGAAGAAATCTCCACATTGTAAAGATGTCACTTCTCCCCCAAGCTAACCTATGAAATCAATGTAATCCTATTGAATTAATTTGCAGTGTCCCTTAATGATGATCAAGGTCATCAAGAAACATGAACATACTTGTCCAGCTAAGAAAACACTGTGAAAGAATAATGAGAAGGAACTAGCCCCACTACATAGTTACCATTCTTTAAGCTACTATTATTGAAATTGTTTGTTGTGAGCACAGGAATATACATAGATGAAAGGGACAGAATGGAGAGTCAAAATAAAGCTAAATATGCAAGGGAATTTCATTTTTTTAATAAACACAGAATTTTACTTCATTAAGAAAATGATTAATTATTCAATAAGTTAAGACCACTAACTGGTCCTTCGAAAAAAAATAATTAAAATAACTTCTGACTTTATTCCTTTCTACAAATATATTCTAGATGGAATAAAAATTTAAATGTAAACAAAGTTAAAATACAGGAGAACTTGAATAAAATATGAGTGAATATATTTATAAATATGGAGTGAGAAAAACATTTCTAAACATCACACAAACCCCAGAAACCCTAAAAGAAGGATTTCATCAATGTTGGTTTACAAAAATTTCAAATTTTATGTGAAAAAATAATTATTACAAGGTCAAAATACAAAGAACTTATTAAGAAAAGTATTTCCAAAACTTTTGAGAGAATATGAATAATTTTCTTAATATATAAAAAGGTCTGTCAAATCAATAAAAGTAGTTAAGCAATCTCTCAAAAAAGTAGTCCAAGGGCATGAACTAACATTTCAGAGAAAAAGAAGTTAAATGAGAAATAAATACAGGAAAAGATTCCCCAATCTCACTCCTTATTAAAGATATACAATATATAGCAATAGGATACTACTGTTCGCTCTCAGATAGTTTGATAATACACAATTTCATTGAGGGTGTTAGGAAACAGTTTCCTGCACATTTTTTAGATAGAAGATGCTGATACAGTTCAGTAAAGAACAATTTGGAAATAATCTAGTTAAATGTAATATACACATGCTCCATTTGGTGAGGCAATCCTGCAAGTAAGAATTTTTCTTCCAGTTATATTTACATAAGCATGTAAAGACATATACAAAATAATCCATCACAGCATTGTGAGGGCACATGTTCATGAATGAACATGCACACACACACACACACACACACACACACACAGCAGGAAGAACAACCTGTTCACCAATACAGAACTGGTTAAATAATTATGGTAAAAACACAAATGCAATAACGTGCCACCATTTGAAAAGAGATTGGTCTCAATGCACTGATTTGGAAAGATAAAACTAATAACATATTCTGGCAAGTGAAAAAGGCAAGGTACAAAAGAGCATGCATATAATCATTCGACTTGTATAATCAAAAGGATACGGAATTTTAAAAGCCTGGGTAACCATAGTAAAATGCCCTTACAGGAGCATAAAAATTTTCCAAAAGAATACATTAAAAGTTATAGTTAACCTCTAGAAAGTGGAAATAGGAGGCGGAGAAAGATATGTTTTTACTTTTCATTTTAAACTAATTACATACTGTTCAAATGTTTTATTATGTGCATGATTTACTTTGTTATAATAACAAAAATATATTTTAATTAACCCAGATTCTGAAAGATATGATCACAAAAATTAAATTATGTTTTATTGCCCTAATCACTTGGGTTAATTTCTTTTATCTTCTAAGTATTTTGAGATAAAAATAATTTATATTGTCAGAACAAATATACAGGGAAGCCAAAAGGACTATAATTTAAAAGTTTTGTGAAGTGAATTCTCAGTTGGTACAAAAAGTATTTCAAAAATCACATTTGACAATTGATTCAAGTCCAAACTTTACTTTCAACTTACTGCATCCACAGATGAGTCAAAACTTGAGTAGTTTTACTTCTCTTTATAATATTTGCCCCTAACCGAATGCCACAGAGGTCCACGAGTAATATACTTTGCAAAGCACAGTGAGTGCTTTAGAAAAATAAATTGATGTGTAATGAATCTCCAAGGGGTCTGTTAATGCTTTTTCACCCTTTCATTATTTCCTTGGAATGTGTTCCTTACCAATCAGCACAGCTTACCTTAACACCACAGTTACTTCCTGTCTCCCTTCTTTGCATAATTTCTAATAAAAGAATTTTTATGTAGCCAAACTCCCACTGATTCTAATCAGTCAAGCCTTTTGTTTTAGTGGCATGTTACTGATAATAATTCTCAGACATTGCTTTTTCAGTATGAAGCCATTTCGTTCATCTCTTATTAGTTATGTTTAATTATACCCCAAGGATATAGTTCTAATAATGCCCCATTCTTCTTTCCCAAATATCTATAACACTCACAATGCAGTAGCAATTTTCACATGATAAAAAGTAAATATGAGAAATTCAACTCTTTCTTGGTTTGCAGAGAACTTCAGTTGAATGGGAGTTATTGCAAAATTCATTCCCTCCAGGAAACAGCTTCAGTTTATAGCTAACATCCTCCTATAATCATGTATTGCTTTAACACCAAAAAATACTCAAAAAATTCAACTATGAAACAGATCCATCTCTTCATAACTTTTAGGTAGATGTTTCATTTCATCAGGAGTTTAATGTTGTTAAATTATCAATAAGAGCTAATAAATCCCAACATATGGATTGTTTTATTACTGTGATGGAGGTATTTGGCTCCAAAGTGAAAGTTTGCTCCCAACTTGATTTTCATATTTCCTTTGATGAGTTGCTCTAAAACCCTACTGATTCCAAAGAGAAGTCTCTTTATGAAACAGATGTGTATCAGTGGGAATTAGGCAGACATTCTGAGGCCTATTATCAGGAATAACATTTTTTTTCTTAGAAACATCACAACATGAATACTTCTATTCTGGGAAAGCTTTTTCCACAAATGAATCTTTGAAACTGCCTATGCGTGAGAATATTGTTATCAGTTGGTGGAACATGGATAAAGGAATTCTGTAGAACAAAGGGAAACTATGGCCACACACTTACCACAATAGGCAATTTAGAAAAATTTAATGGGAATGATGGAAACAGATACAAAGAGCAAGCCTCCAAGGTGAACCTCCTGGGTTTCCTACAACGTGCACAAGACTGAGGAAGGCATTTAAATCCCTTCCTACCTTAATAGGTTATAAGTTTATGATTTGCTGATGAAGGAGGTATTTTAGGACTGTCTGTCTTGCTTTAATCATAAACCACATTAAAAGGGAAGACCGAGTGTCCATTGCAGTGATTTAGGCACCAGCAATAAGGGACTGGGCCAGATAGTGGCAGCAGCAAGTTAGAAGAAAAGTGAAGGTGAGGGGGGAGAAATATGCAAAAAGAGGAAAGGAACCCCAGTTTAAGTGTCTTCCATCTGTAGAACACTTCACAAGAACTCTTCCATTTATTTTCTCACAACAATCCTACATAGATAAGATACAACAGGAGTGATATTCTTTATACCAATGAGGAATCTGAGGCTCAGAAAGGCTAACTGCCATGCCACTATTATGGGTCCTATTCTTGGGGTGGAATCTAGAGGGAATAGAAAAACAAAATTAAACACAGCTTTTACTACTTTTACAACCATATCCTATACTACACAGACACTGTGATTAAACAAACTGCTGGGAACATAGAAGGAGCTTAATAAATATTTGAATGAATGTTGAATAAATGAATGAATAAATGAAACTTGTTCACTTTTCAATAATTCCACTTTTTTTCTGCTTCGTTTATATATCTTTCTTTTAAGAGACAGGGTTTCCCTCTGCCACCCAGGCTGCAGTGCAGTGGCACGATCACAGCTTGCTATAACCTCAGAACTCCTGACTTTAAGAAATTTTCCCTCCCTAGCCTCCCTAAGTACTAAGAGTACTTAGTACTTACACCACAGTGTGAGCCACTGTACCCAGCCTGTTTTTCCTCAGTTCTCTGCAAAATTTTGAAGGGAGGGTCTACATCTTGGTTTTCTTTGAATCCCCAGTGGGCATGACTCCGACTAGATCCACTGTCTTCTGTGCTCCAGCCTATACAGTGATCAAAATTGGGTGGGGCACCAGCTCATAGTTCATCATCATCATCAGTCCGTGCATAGACCTTCTATTGTCATCTCCTGCATCCTAGCTTTCTGTCAGCTATCATCCCAGATCATATTCCTCTCTTTAATCCCCCCATACAGACCCATTTTAATGTAATTAATGTGAATTTTTTCTAATTCACTTTCCTAACTTTATTTTTACATTATAAGCACCCACAAACTATATATATATTTATGAGTATATTTGTATCCAAACAAATGAAGTGTCATGCTGTATATCTCATTCTGTTTACACTTCTACTTAACACATATAGAATATACAATTCATTGTTTTTGACTAAAGTATGCATTTGTATCATATATTTATATTTATTTATACTCATATTTTATAGACATTTCATTTGTTTCCAATTCTTTGCTACCACAGACAGCACTGAAATGAACATTCTCATCCACATCTATTTGCATACATGTTTAAGAGATTTTTAACTTAAAATAGTGCAAATAATTAAATAGAAACAGTCACTTTTATATAAGTCGGGATATTCATTTTATTTTGAAAAATAAAAATAGAATTTGGTAACTCTGAGCCCTTATTTCCTCAAAGAAATATTGGCTAGAGCTGAATCAGAACTGCGTGTTGTGCAGGCACTCTCCAGATGGCCACGGTACCCACCATTCCATATTGTCTCTATGTCTCACCTTTATTGCTTTATGTTATTTTCTGTATTAATTTCTTATTGCTGCTGTAGCAAATTAGCACAAAGTCAGCGGCTCCAAACAACACAAATTTATCATCTCACAGTTCTGGAGATCAGAAATCCAAAATGGGTCTTACTGCATTAAACAAGGTGTCAGCAGGGCCGCATTCTTTCTGGAGACTGCAGGTAAGAATGTATTTCCTTGCCTTTTCCAGCTTCTAGAGTTTCACTGCCTTTCTTGACTCATGGCCTCCTTCCATCTTCAAAGCCAGCAATGGCTTTCTCACATTGCATCACTTTGGCAGTGACTCTTCTGCCTCTTCAGTCCATCATTTAAGAAGCCTTGTTTACACAGCATCCACCATGTAATCCAGGATAATCTTATTTTAAAGTCAGCTGATTAGTAACCTAAATTTCACATTGCTGTGTAACATAACATATTCCTACATTCTGGCAATTAGGACTGGACATCTTTGGGAGGGTGTTATTCTGCCTACTATACTAGGTAACCCATGCAGGCCAAGTGGTGTGTTAATTCTGTCCTACGGCATCTAAGTATTGGCCTACAGTTATAGAAACTTAATAATTGTCTCTGAATTGAATTTAATAGCAACTCAGATAGTATTTTAGACACATTGATCACAAGATAATTCGGTATTGACCAGTGAATTTATTCTTTGAAACACTCATCACTCTTTTATCGGTAGTTATATGATTGAGCCATGTTGTTGAGACACTGGAAATAACCTGGCTAACAGTTTGTGTTGTGATTATTTTTGTTCTCTTCTTAGCTAAATTGAACTGCTCATTCAGTGATTGCTTTAATCACTCTCACAATTACAGAGAAAATGTTAATGAATCTTTACATCCTCACTTATAATGGAAGTATTTTACCTCCCCCAGTGTCCAAGGGAGTAACTGGACAATGCTGAATCTTAGTTTATATAGTGTGTAGAATTAGTCTTACTTTTCCTAAGTTTGACAGTGCATTTGTTCCTCTGTATGCATGAGGGATTGAGTCCAGAACACTCACATCTGCCAAAACCCTCACCAGCATAAACAAAAAGCATGCCCTCTGTATTCGTGAGTTTCCACATCCTGCGAATACTGTATGTTCGATCTGCCGTTGGTTGAGGAAATTCCATATAAGTGGACTTCACAGTTCAAACCTGTGTTGTTCAAGGATCAGTCATATTCTAGCAGTGGGTTGGAATGGTAAGTTTTTGGAGCCGTATTGTTGAGACACTGGCAATAGCCTGGCTAACGGTTTGTGTTGTGGTTATTTTTATTCTCTTCTTGAACTTCTAATTCAGTGATTGCTTTAATCACTCTCACAATTACAGAGAAAATGTTAATGAATCTTCAAATACTCACTTATAATGGAAGTATTTTACCTTCCTCAATGTCCAAGGGAGTAACTGGACAATGCTGAGGTCCCTTCAAGTTCCAATAGTCTACGATTCTGCAAAACCTTAAAGGATGATGTGAAGAGGGTTGCTATTTGGTGTTCTTGCTTGAAAGTCTCCTGCTCCTGCTGCCTATATTTTCTTACTGGAGCCCTCTTCCATGCTGTAGTTGTTTGGAAAATAAGATTGCCTGGTCAGGACAGTCTGCTGCTTTCCACCTAGTGTTGTCTCCCGTCACAGTACAGGAGACACAGAACCAGGGTGTCACCCAGACATGTGACCATCTGGCCCACCTCCTGCCCTGCTCTATCTAGATTATTTCAACTATCTGTACATCCCCAACCCATTATCTTTCTTCAGCAACCTCCTTGTGATCTAGGATCAATCCAAATATTCATCTTCATGGTTCCACCCGGTGGCTGCAGAAGCTCTCTAGAAAAAAAAAAAAAAATCGCCAAATCCTATAGATTTGTTTTTCGATAAATGTTTAGTCTTCTATGTCAGCCACATCTAGGGTGACCAATGGTCCCAGTTTGCCTGAAACTGAAGGATTTTCTGGAGTGTGAGACTTAAAAACCAGAAGTCATTAGCAAACCAGGACAACCTAACTGCATCAGTAACGAGGCTCAAAAATCATTTTCATACCCCAATTCAGATTTCTTCTCCATTCCACACATTCACATCCCACTGCTATCCCATACTTTCTCATGTACACGACTTTTCCTCTTTCTTTACAGAGAAGACTGAGATCATCAAGCCACTGCATTTAAATAGAAATGGTACATAGAAAAGGGAAATCAACAGGAAAAGGCCAGATGACTGCCTACACCGAGCATGCACAAAGTAAAATTGTGCTCACTGAATTCACCACAATTTAGGAACTGGCTTTTAGCTTTCAGAGACAGGGTGAGAAATGTGGTTTTATTAGCACACTGACTTTAAGGGCTGGGCTCTCATAAATCAAGTTCTCAAAGATGATATTATATACCAGAATGACAATATATTCTTTTATAAGAGGCTCAACCATCAGGCAGAAATACTCACACCAGTATGCCAATGCATTCTCTTTCCATGAACAAGTGACATGAAGACCGAAATTATGATCAGAAGGTCACTTTACTGATGTTTAAATTAAAAACATAGCTGGCCGGGCGCGGTGGCTCACGCCTGTAATCCCAGCACTTTGGGAGGCCGAGGCGGGTGGATCATGAGGTTAGGAGATCGAGACCATCCTGGCTAACAAGGTGAAACCCCGTCTCTACTAAAAATACGAAAAATTAGCCGGGCGCGGTGGCGGGCGCCTGTAGTCCCAGCTACTGGGGAGGCTGAGGCAGGAGAATGGCGTGAACCCGGGAAGCGGAGCTTGCAGTGAGCCGAGATTGCGCCACTGCAGTCCGCAGTCCGGCCTGGGCGACAGAGCGAGACTCCGTCTCAAAAAAAAAAAAACATAGCTATGAAGCAGAGCAGAGAATCTGATCCATTAGTCTGATTGGTACGGTATTCTTAAATAAGAGAAGTGGGAAATTAAATGATCAAAAAATTATACGTGTTAATATTGACCAGAACAAAGGAAGACAGAGAATCATGAAAAGTGTCCTCCAACAAAGGTAATGTGAGGTGCTGACTCACATCAGGGGATCTCATCTATAGTACAACACAAAGCACAATTCCAGAGGGGCATCACTCACATATGAGTACACAATCCACTTGGCCATTCATCATAACCCTGGTAGCATACTAAATACACTATGTGCCTTGTTTTTCATATTCATAATATATGTTGGAGACTCTTCCATATCAATTCTAAAGAATAATATTCTTTTTATGGTTTCATAGCATTCCTTGCTTTATACCACTTAAATTATTTAAATTTCCAATTCAGGAGGCCAGGAGACTTTTAATCCAATTTTCCCTTGTTTTCTATGCAATCTAGGTCATTAATCTTTCTCTCCTATATTTTGTTTCCCCACTCCACTGCGACCTTCCCCATGGTGTATACAAAATGCACAAGTTTTTCACTTGATTTTTTAAGCCTTTTTCTCACTAGTATGTATCTCTCCTTCCTTTTACACTCAAGATCCTAAAAAGAATGGTCTTCACTCAAAGATGACCTGTCTCTACCCATTTATTATTCAATCCACTACAATCAGGTTCCTGTCTCCATAGTTACACTAAGGCTTAGCCAGATATAATCACCAATGTCCCATTACTTGCCAAAACTAGTTACTTTTAATGCCCATCTTACTTGACCTCCTTATCAACCACATTCTATTTGGAATTCTTTCCCAACTTGGATTTACTTAGATCTTCCTTAGTCTCTTTTGCTAGACTCTCAAACTCTTCCAAGGGGATACAATCCAGGATTCTGCATTTAGCATTCTTCTCACCTCAGTCTGCATCCTCTTTAGACTATCTCAAACATCCAACATTCATCTACATGTGATTATGTCAGTATCCACATCTCTAGTCAAGGACTCTTTCAGCTCCAACCTTGCACCGTACTTCCCTGCTAGGCACTTCCATCTTGATGTTTTACAAGTACCTTAAGTTCAACATGTTCAAAATTTAAACTGTTTCTTCTTACACCATTATTTCTATTCCCCCTCTTCCTCCTTTATCTTTCAAAAGTTTTCAGAGACCTACAGTATCCTCAACAACAGCAAATGAATTTTTTTTCCAGGCTTGACACTATTCAGCCTCCAGGAATCTGCTGCCATGTCAAACAACTTTGTTGGATGGGACCGAGGATGAAGTTATGTTAACTCTGATAATATATGGCTCATGAGAAATTATCACACATTCTTTCCTCTGACAAACTCCAGGAGTTCAGGGTTTCCTCATTCATCAATTTCTCCTTTGTACCCTCAGTACAGCATCTAGCCAGACAGTCACTCATCTCAGATCTCTCAAGCACGAGTCAGAAACAGGTCCACCATGTCATTCAAACCTATAGGGACACATTAAATTATCTAGGGTGAGGAAAGGAGCAGGCAAACCCCATTCAATTCTGGGAGACACAGCAAATGAACAACTGGTACCCCAAATTCCCTTTGATATTCAAATTGTGACCCTTTAATATTCTCGATGTTACAAAAGAATTAAGACCAATATAACTGACTTTTAATAATCTAAAAATTTGGCATGTTTTCTGACATCACCTACGGAATGTGTTATCTCTCACATCTTGTTACCTCAACCAAAACTTCCATTTTTGTCATCTTATATTATCATGCTCTTTAGACTAAAAATTTTACATCAATGATTTAACACCAAAAAAATAACCCAGGGTACCAAAAAAAGTCTAGTTCACAAAGATTTCCACTGCATCTCTACAAAAATAATGAAAAATTGAAAACTATGTAAATATTCAACAACATGAGAATGGCTAGATAAGTTATGGAATCCTCACTAAATAGAACCCACATATCCAACAATAATTTGCATTGTTATGGGTGGGGACAATCTTAGGTCATAACATTGAGCTAAAAAAATATATGCAAAACTAAACTACAGATGAACTGGAGAACTGTGTATAAAAAGGTTCTGCATAGAAAAAGTAAAAGTAAATAAATAAGTAAAATGTTAATAGTTTTCTTTATATGATGCTATTTTATTTTTTCCTTTCCAATTCACAAATTATCCATTATGAGTATTTGTTACTTTCATAATTGTAAAAATAAAGCAACTTTTTAAATGTGTGCTAATAAAATCTCTCTGTGAACAATAAAATAGATTTATCTCTATAGTAGGTTTGAGATCACTTTCTCTTGACCCCAAGCCCTATGCTGAGTAGACAGAAACATCTAAACTGAGTCATCTTTCTTCTTTCTCCAAATAACTAAATAAACTGGCCACTAAGTATTTTAATAATATGCACAAATAAACCTAACAGCTGGTAATGAGACATTGAGCTTTCATCTCACTGCCCAGGAAAGATGTTTGAAGAATGATTGAAAAATA
The DNA here is from genome assembly GCF_000001405.40 of Homo sapiens. Lineage (NCBI taxonomy): Eukaryota > Metazoa > Chordata > Mammalia > Primates > Hominidae > Homo > Homo sapiens. The sequence continues at coordinate 102,250,842 of NC_000003.12, read as the reverse complement.
CCAAAAGCTGGATAATTATCCAATATTTTCTTAATATTACAAACTAGTTATCTAAAGACTGGAAACATTGAATTTTTATTTTTTAATCAATGCATCAGGTAAGGAAGCATTCTCTGAAGGATATTATCTTGCTGCTTCAACAATTAACCTACCCATGTTTACCACTTCAGAATTAGTTTACCTGCCAATCTCAATCTGCCAGGACTCTCTCTTAACTTTCTAAATGTGAACTGTAGCAATTCTGCAAACCAGTCTATTCGGCAGTTTGTCAAGAAATAACTGCTACTGTTTATTACATTTTGTCTTTCCTGATGAAGTTATTGGGGACTAGTTCAGGTTTTTAACAGTTTTAATTGACATATTTATTAATTCTTACTTTTTATGTGTATTATACGTAGTGTTGGCATGCCATGTCAAAACGCTAAACTTTACAATTCAAAACTCACCACCACAGTAGGTAACTTCCTCAGGTTATTAGCAAATGTCACTAATGCAGTTTAACAGTGAATATTAAAATAAAATGTCTGTCTTTAGACCTTCTTGATAATCTAAAATAGTAATTATATGCATTAGTGATAACTCTGACAATGAAGCTCTTAATTTTTAAAATCCAAAGTGACCTTTTCTACAACTTCTTAGCAAAAAATGGAAAGAAACTGCAATTAGACTATCGGGACCATGTTATCATCGTCCATCTTCTTTCAATCCAAAACAGTAGGTGATATAAGAAGGAAAGTTCTAAAGTTTTTTAATTGGAACTAATTCCTATTGACCTCTAGCAACTTTGGCAAAGCTCAAAATAGCAGATAATAGGATGATTAATGCTTTAATCCCCTAACAAAAGAGTGTTGAGCCTGTTACTATTGCTCATTCCCTTCTCAGAATTTATTTAATTTTGTTTTTCTTGATTCGGAACAACTGCCTTTAAATGAAAGAATTATGTATAGCTCAACCATGTGCTTGTTACTTACAGGAAGAATAAATATAGATCAAGACAGAAAAGACAGGGATTCTGTTAGAATCTAAGAAGTGCTTCCTCCATTTTTGTGGTGCTATGATATTTAGTATGTATTAAATGTCCCCATTACTTAATGAGATATATAAAAAATATACAAATTCTTATCTTTGAAGACTTTATCTGCTTCTTCAATACTTGTCAACATCCAACTACACTTATTACATGTGTACAATGTGCAGATATAGAAGTGTAAGATGCTCTCGTGCTCAAAAGATTATAATTTCAAGTTGAGATATATAACTACTTGATTTACATTCACAAGAGATTAGGAAGGACATGAGTCAAACTAGTCCTACTGGTGTGGAATAGATTATTAATATGATAAGAATTCAGAGAAGGAAAACTCAGGAGGCTCTTGAGTGGTCAGAAGGGCTTCCTGCAAACTGGTGAATAGGATGCCCTTGAAAGTTTCCCTTTGTCCCATCTGAAACTTATGTTGAACATTAGTCTGCAATGTAGCCATATGAAGAGATGGGGCCTTTAAGAGGTGATCAGGTCCATTCATGGATTAATGGTTTAATGGATTAATGGGTTATCACAGGAATGGGTTAGTTATCATGAGAGTAAATCTGTTACAAAAGCCAACATGGCTCTGAGCTCACCCCCTCACCCTGGGATGCCCTCTGCCATGCTATGACACAGCACGAGGCCCTCACCAAATGCCAACCAGATGTAGTCACCTAATCTGGACTTCCCATCCTCCAGAGCCATAAGAAATATACCTCTTTTCTTTGTAAATTACCCAGTCCCAGGTATTTAGTTATAGCAGCAGAAAACAGACTAGGACACAGCTCAAGTTGGGATAGGTAGGAAAGAAGAGTACTTGTCTAACCCCTTACAAAACCCATCAGCTACTTAAGTTTTGGCTGTGCTTATTTTCTAATTGTGTTTTAAATTTAAAAGACATTTAATTTTTTTAGATAAAGGAGACTTCAATAAGAAAAAATGTGCTGGAGAAAACTTTTTGGAAAATCATAGTCTTCTCTTCTTCCATAATGCAGAATTTGAGGAATTATCTTGGGCCAGGAAAAGAAGGAAATTGGTGGTGGAAGGCAGGGTAGACGTCCAGGGAAGATGCTAGAGAAGCATATCCATAACCAGCTGATGAAGACAAGCACCCTGTCTTTCTTGTTGGTGTTTAAGTCTTTACAATCAGCTTCATAAGTCTAGTGTCCTGCTTTCCCACACCATTTTTTTTTTTTTTTTTTTTTTTTGAGATGGAGTCTCTCTCTGTCGCTCAGGCTGGAGTACAGTGGCGCGATCTTAGCTCACTGCAACCTCCGACTCCCTGGTTCAAGCTATTCTCCTGCCTCAGCCTGCCGAGTAGCTGGGATTACAGGCACGCGCCACTACGTCCAGCTAATTTTTGTATTTTTAGTAGAGACAGGGTTTCACCACGTTGATCAGGATGGTCTCGACCTCCTGACCTCGTTTCCCACACCATTCTTAAGGCAGGCAACAGCCAGCCCTAGCATTCCAGCCATCTGCACTGCCTCATTTATATGAGACAGATGACAGGCAAGCAGCAGAGATTTACTAGTATACATAGGTTACAAAGAAGATTTTTCAGTAGATTCTCAGCAGCCAGAGGCTGCAGGAAGGCTGAAAAATCTAAACTAAGTACAACGTTTAAAAAATGTTTAAGTATACATCATTTGTACCATCACAGAAAATAAATTCTTTGAGAATGCTTTGGGTTAGTTTGAGTTTAAAATCTCATGGTACTTAATGCTTTTGCTTCTTTGACTTAATCCAATAGTTTACAAGAAATAAATTATTTTGGGGCTTAGAAAAACTGCTGTGCTCTGGTTTATTCTCAACTTATTCGGTCCCCAACATTATCATTATAGGGCTCCCCTTCCCACTTTCTGTCTCTGCTCCCCAAACAGTAACCTTGGAATAACCAGTTCTTTCCAAGCCACTTGATTCTCTCAGAATGTATCTAAAAGTATCCCACTCCCAAAAAACCTTTGAAATTCTATTCATATTCTTTGCTGCTCAGAAATTGCTTATGCTATATTGATTTCTCTCCTTTTGCTAAGAAGTCAAGCTAAAAACTATGAAGGTCAGAAAAAGCTCCTCAAACTGGGTTTCCCCAAGGTTGAATTTTCATTTTCATAAAATGAAATTCTCTCTGGAATCCAAACAGGTTGTTCTCTTATTTCCATTATGGTGGTTTATAGGCCTGGCATGTTTTCTAACTCTCTTCATTCCCAAATATCTGAGCTTTGCCCCAGACTGTCCCGTAATCACCTGTATGATAATATCAAAGCCATCCTCTGGAGTGCTAAGGAAGCAAGGGAGAAAGGCGCCAATGTTTGCTGGGTAAAAGAGGTTAGTTCTGCTTCATTACAAATCTAATAAATGAAAACTACAAAGGAAACTCAGCAGATTGTCACTAAAATGTCAATAAACATGGGAAGTATTAAACATGAGGCTCATAGTAGAAAGCTCCCTAAGATGTACCCTCCTTTCAGTGGATCTGGAGTGCTCAGGATTTCCTCTCCACTGCTGCCACCACCAAACCCTACTGCCTGATGCCAGAGCCAAAAATGCAGATGGCCATGGGAGCATTATGGAAAGAGCACAAGTGTGGAGAATCAGGCATTCATCACAGTAGACAGCCTGTAGTACTATCAGTGGCCCTCTGGGCTCAGAGCCCCAGTCTCAAGGCCAAGTTAAACAGAACCGTGTAAGCATGCAGAGGCATGACACGACTGCTCCTCTCTCTAGATCTGAGATGAGTATGGGTATAGGGTGTCCACTTGAGAGGTCAAGGCAGAAATTTTGCAATAAAACTATTTTTTAATTTTCTCTTTTTCATGTGTCACTGGTAAAGGAATGTTGTGGGGCCAAGGTAGGTATTTGGGATTTGTGGAGGTCAGCACATTGGAATTGAGGGCTGTCTACCTGCACACATCTTCATGAGTGGTCCAGATGTACAACATGTGGCAGAGGTCCAGTAACTTACCCAAGGTCATACAAGCATCAGAAAATAATAATAACAATTAATAATAATAAACTCTCCTCTCATAGGCTTCATTCATGTATTTAAAAGTGTTACTTGATAAAACATTTTGTCAGGGAAAAGAAAAACAAATTATTCTTTGCTATTAAAAATATGGAGAGCATTTGTGCATTATAAGATATTCATTGTCGTTTAACCACTTTTCCCTAACAACATCCTTGAAGGGAGAACCAGTAGTTTCGATGAAGCAACTGAGACACAGGTTTACATTTTGATGAACAAAACAGGACTAGAAAGTATGATCAATCTGATGAAAAAAATTAAAGCCATATAAAGAGAAGCCTACATGAATTTGAATGAATATTGGGGTTTTTTCTGATTTTAAAAGTTTGCTGTTTTTGTAAAAGTGTCACTAACTTAAATCCAAACCAAAGATGTGATGAATTCTAATGAGTTGAGAAGATATTGTATAAGTCATAGAGCAATATTCTCCAACTCAAAATCCTCTTTAATTATACAGAAGATGAAGCACTTTTTCTTTCTCTATTTTTTCATTTGAATACAAATAAAATTCTCATGGATTATTCTACTGTTTCCCCATCATGTTTATGTTCATTTGTCACTTTAATGATTAGAATTACACTAATTCTGTTTTTGTTGTTGCTGTTGTTGTTGTTTGAGATGGAGTTTCACTCTTGTTGCCCAGGCTGGAGTGCAATGGCACGATCTTGGCTCACCACAAACTCCGCCTCCTGGGTTCTAGCAATTCTCCTGCCTCAGCCTCCCGAGTAGCTGGGATTACAGGCATGTGCCACTACGCCAGGCTAATTTTGTATTTTTAGTAGAGACGAGATTTCTCCATGTTGGTCAGGCTGGTCTTGAACCCCCGACCTCAGGTGATTCACCCGCCTCAGCCTCCCAAAGTGCTGGGATTACAGGCGTAAGCCACCGTGCCCGGCCTTTTTTTTCTTTTTTCCTAATTTGATTTTGAATTAATGACTAGTATGCCTATGAAAGAAGGAAGTTCAAAATACAAATAACGTATTCTTGTTGGCTGTAGCTTTTAAGTGGACAGTACTTAATATAAGAATATTATTTTTATAGTCACTCAAATACTACTTTTTACATAAACAGGCACAAAAATATTAGCAAATTATTATATACATATTCTGGTTGAAAAGCAGAAAAATGTCAATGGCAATAAGTGAAACAACCTATTGAAAATACTTCCACTAGAAGAAGTAAAATAGTCATTGATCAGACAGTTAACTGAAAATACATAAAACATGGTCAACAGATAGAGAAGAAAAAAAAATCTTGCTCGGTCAGGAATGGATGCAATAGGTCTCCTTTCCTTAATAGATCTCTTTTAAGGTCAGGGGTACAAGTGTAGGTTTGTTACACAGGTGGAATTGTGTCATGGGAGTTTGTTGTACAGATTGTTTCATCACCCCCAGGTATTAAGCCTAGTACCCATTAGTTATTTACAACACACACTGGGGCCTTTTGGAGGGTGGAAGTTCGGAGGAGGGAGAGGAACAGGAAAAAAAGATCTTTTCTCTTATGAGACTTCAAGATTCTTTCTCCTTTCCTTGTACCTTGAGAAAAAAAAATGAGCTTTTGTTATCAGTGGCTCTGTAATGTAATTGCTGGTCATTAAAATAATTTGACTCAAAACTAACACCAGGCAATCAGCCTTGAGGTTTTGTGTGTTTAGTGAGGAGCAGGACTTAGAGGCCTATGCAGGGATGGGAGACGAGGGTACTCCAGAAATCTGGTACTCCAGAAACAAGGAGAGCCTCACATAATCTCAACACTTTTCTAATTATCATTTAGAAAGCAGCAATCCAATTGCCCCACAACTGCTGAGGAGAAAAAAGAATAAGCAGCTCTCCCTGCCTTATTCCCTACTAGAAACCAATCTACACTCCTGCAAAAGTAAGCTTCCTAAACCTGTCCAAAGCTGTTCACTTTGGACAGACTACGTCTGCTCAAAAGTCACCTGTGGTTCCCTGTTGCCAGCATAATAAAATTCTAAGCTTTGATGTAAATATCTGCTCTGACTTAATTCTACTCCGTAAATATTTGTCACATTTCCTCTTTTGTATATTAGCCACTCCTTGAGCAACCTCCATGCCTTTGCTTGATGCATTCCACCTGCCTAAGATGGTGCCTTGTTGTCTGCTACATGTCCTTCATGACCCAGCTCAAGTCATCACTTCTCCACAAAGTCTTCCCAATTGTCCACTTCATAGTCATCTCAATTGTCCATTTCATAGCCATCTCACTTCTCTCTAGGTATTTATCTTTGCCATGCACTGGCCACTCAGCATATTCCATCCTGTTATACCCTTTATATCCTGAGATTATAACTACAGTATACCTTTATTGAATGCAAGGACTATATATCTGACAATATTTCTCTTGCATTCATCATAATGCCTGATATGGAGTAACAATAGCACTGTATATATCACTAAATATATATATCATTATATATCACTATATATATCACTATATATATATATATATATAGAGAGAGAGAGAGAGAGAGAGAAACACTTTGGAATATACAAAGCACTTGCGACTTCCAAGGTAGCCATACTCCCAGCAACATAAACACTGGACCCCACCATCCCAGCCTTGCCCCAGGAGGCTCCCACACCTATTCTCACTATTAACTCTTTGCTTTCAGCTTATAGATGAGGACACTGAGACTCAGAAGATTCAGTTTCCCTGTAGTAAGTCAAAACCTGATTCTTCTACTTAACCACACTGCCGCTATTATGAGCATTCAAAATATTTTTGTGGACGTATGCCATGACTATCAGCACCACCACCAACTCCAGGAAGTTAGTAGAAGAGCAAAGATGTGTATGTGTGTGTGTATTGTGTTGTGGCAATGACCGAGTGTGGTAGATAAACAGTGTAGCAGTAGCAAATATACAAAATCAAGAAAAACAAACAAACAAATAATAGTTGTGATATTTAAGAGCTTCCAAGTTTTAAGCCTGTCACTAATTAGCTGTATGCTCTTGGGCAAGTCATCTGCAACAGATTTCTACCTGGTGCCCCAACTCAGGCAAAGATGATATAACCTCAATCCCCTTGTCCTTGGTCCCACCCAAAACAAAAGAATTTACAGGCCTGTACCACACCTCAGACCATAACCAATACCTAACCAAGGAATATAAGGATGATGATTATTTAAAATGCCAGTAGACATTAATTGAAGTTGAAGCTAAAGCACCAAGGAATATTACCTCCTTTAGGATTATTTAGAAAAACAGATAATTATGGGTCTGAGATGCTTAAGATATATGTGGTTCTGTTTAAGGTAGGAGTGTGAACTTAGTGCACTGTTACTATCTTCCATAAATCCCTATTGTAGAGTTTATAGGTGAAAACAATATGAAACTCTAATCTTGGAAACTGGATTAGTAAGAATTAGCTGTGTAACCATGTGGGAAAATTCACTTAATCTTTCCACACTCAATAACTCTACCTGTGAAATGAGGAAAGTGGTTAGGTCAAAGAATTTTTGAAATCATTTACATGTGTTAAAATCTTCACCTAAATATTATTGATAAATTTAAAATAGATCCTTCAAATACATTTTTTTAAAGCTGAGTTTTGACTGATCTTTATAGATAATTTTTTAAGTAGTGTAGGAATGTTAAGCAGTATATTCAAAAGCCTGCATGTAATTATAATAACTGCTAAGCATAATTAATCTTATTCATTCCATGCCCAGCTATTTACCTAAATCTTTACTGTAACTTTTAGCTAGGTGGGATCTCTCTGTGACTCTGTGACTCTATTTGAAAGAAAACAGAATCCCAACAAGGCTTCCAGAAGACTTCTTTTAGAGCTCTGCTGTGAGGATTAATGAAGCAAAGTCTCCTGCTATGAACTTCAATTCCAAGAGAATCAATGGCCCCAGGAAGGGTTGGAAGGAATTCCAGCAGAAGTCAGAATAATACATTCTCTTCCCATCTTTTTCACTAACCATTGAATCAAGAGTAATGAGTTTCGGCTTGCTCGTCGTCATTAGTTCCAGCTGTAAAATGGAGGTAAACATACAGTCAAGAACTCTTTCCCCCATAAGCCTGAGCAGGGCAGCTCCTACTGCCATCTATTCCGTAATTCCCAAATTGCTGGCATTTGTTTTCTATTGCCGAATCCAAATTACCACAATCTCAGTAGCTTAAAACAAAACATTTATTATCTCACAGTTTCCTTAGGTCAAGGCATGGCTTAACTGGGTCCCCTGCTCAGGGTTTTACAAAGCTGCTGGGCTGCATTTTCATCTGGAAGCTCAAATGAGTAAAAATCTGCACCCAAATTCATTGAAGTTGTTGATAGAAATTGCTTCCTTGTAGCTATAATACGTAGGGCCCTGGCTTTTTGCTGGCTATTGATTGGAGGTCACCTCCAGGTCCCGGAAGCTTCCCATTATTCCTAAAGGCTCCCTGCAGTGTTGGCTTCTCCAACATGACTGCTTACTTCATCAGGCCCACAAGGAGTCTCCAGTTCCAGAACTCATATAATCTATAGCAGTCACAGAAATGACATCCATCACCTTTGCTATGTAAATACCTAAGCATGAAAGTGCCATCTCATTGTCTCATGTTATTGCCTAGAAGCAACTAATAGTTCCTGCCCAAAGCCAAAGGGAGAGTATTACACACAGCTGTGAACACTAGGAAGTGGATTGATTGTGTGTCACCTGAGGGTCAGCCTGCCAAGCTGCCCTTAACACCAAAATCAACCATCAGGCCCTATGGCTGAAACACTCCACTCTTACCAAGAAATTTCTCCCTCAGCATCCTCCAATTCCTCTTCAATCACCATTGCTTTCAAAGTCATTCTGACTGCCTATAGCCAAGCCACACTCCCTACAGACCCTGTCCATTCATTCTGCAAAGCTTATTGATCTCTTGATATGAGCCAGGCCCTATGCTAGTATAGAATACAGAATAATGTCATCCCCCAACCACCATCACTAGAAAAACATAATGTCTAGTTCCTGATTTCCAGAATCTGTGAATATTATCAAATAAATCGCAAAGGGGAATTTAGGTTGCAGATGAAATTAAGATTGCAAATCAGCTGGTCTGGAGATAGAGAGATTATCCTGATTTATTCAGGTAGGTTCAATACAATCACAAGCGTTCTTATGAATGAAAGAAGGGAGCAGAAGAGACAGTGTCAGAATGAAACGATGTGAGAAGGATTCAGTTGGTCATTGCTGGCTTTGAAGATGGAATGATACAACAAGCCAAGGAATGTGGGCAAGCTCTAAAAGCCGGGAAAAGACAAGAATTTGAATTCTTCCCTAGAGCTTCCAAAGTGGAGTTCAGCCCTGCCAATACCCTGATATAAGCCCAGTTATCACTATTTATAATTTCTGACCTCCAGAAGTATTAAGCCATTAATGGCCTGATGGTTGATTTTGGTGTTGGGGGCAGCTTGGCAGACCGATCCTAAGGTGACACCCAGTGAATCCACTTCCATGTGTTCAAGAGTGTGGAAATTTGTCACAGTACTCGTAAAAAATGAATACTCCTAGGATCTAGGGACACGAAGATAAGAGAGACAAGGACATGGTACTTGCCTCGGAAGCTAATAGGCTAATGGGGTAGAAGACAGACAGATAACTTCAGGGAAGGGGATAGGGCTGCTGTTCACCATGAACCAGGATCAACTTTTCAGCATTACATATACCCAGCTCCTTCTGAGGTCATTGACTGACCTGCTTATGGCTGTGGAGTAAGAGCTCTCCCTTCTTCTATAAAACAAAGATGACATGTTCTGCCTTATATATTAATGAAAAAAACAAGGCTTGGCACACCCAGTTCAACACTCAACTACAGAGCATTTTACTAAGTGCCAGGAGCATGAGATACAAAGATGAATAAAGCTGATCCTTGCCTTCAGAGGTTTTAAATCCTTAGGGAAAACACACATGCATTCATAAATTTTATTTAGTGGTAAGTCCTATAAAAGAACTATGTACATAGGCCTTTGGGAATACAGAGAAGAAGTAATTAATTATGCTGAGAAAGATGAACGAGAGTAATATAATGTTCCAGAAATAAAGTGACTTGTGAAATGGATCTTGAGGAGTCAATAGGAGAATGCCAAGTACAGAAAGAAAGTCAAGTAGAGAGAGCAGCATAAGAAATGCCTGAAAAAAATAAGAGAATAGATCACATTTGAGAAATCTAAAGTGGCTCAGAGTAATTACAGCCTGGGATACAAGTGAAGGAAAGGAAAGATAGGATATCAAAGTAAGACCCCCCAAGGTTAGGAGGAGTCAGTGGAGAACAGGTCTACTGGCTATGCCCACAACCATGGACTCTTTCACACAGAACTCAGTTTCACATAAGGGATCTTGCCAGGAATGGTATAATAAGCCTAAGTGTGTTTTAAAGGGTTACTCTAATCACAGTATGGAGAATGGACTGGAGTGGGGGAGGTGACAAAGGAAGCAGAGATACCTGATAGAGGCCTCTGCCATGGACCAGGAGAAAAATTATAAGGACTTGACCTAACACAGTGGACATCGAAACAGAGAGGGAAAAAAGGATTTTTGAGAGCTATGTCTGAGGCTTGAGCAAATGAATTTAATACAGGAGGTAAAAGAAAGGACTTAGAAGAATTTTCTCCAGGTTTCTGCTGAGGCAGCCCAGTGTGGAGTGGTGGTATAAATCCATGCTGCTCAAACACGAGGATGGTTGGCGGGGCTGGTTAAAACACACGCTGGCCCACCCCAGAGTCTCAGGTGGGGCACTACTGTAAACTGGGCTAGGCAGGGCAAGTAAAGAAACAGGTTTTAAGAAATTAAAATGAAACTAAATTATTGGTAAGGAAAGAATGAGCAATCTAAATTCCTTAAGGGAAGAAGCTCTGTGAATTTAAGCTGTGTTATCTTTCAAAGAAAACCTCTGTCAAAAACTAATCAGGGATGCATTAATTGGTTTTGTATTATCTGAGAAAATTGTCAGAGAATGATAAAAATCTACTTCAAATCTAGCACATCCCAATGTCAACTCTAAGAAGCTTTTATCAATGTAGATACCAATATTTACATGCACCATTATTTTAGCTGCTAAAACAAATTTTGTAATAAATTATTCATCAATTACCAAAGTAACCATCTTATTTCATATAAGAAAGGGGAGGAGAAAAAAAGTAAGGCAGCAAAAAGAGGTCCTTGTGGGAATTACCTAAAATTTATGTTTAAAAATCTGCACCCAAATTCATTGAAGTTGTTGATAGAAATTTTTTCCTTGTAGGTATAATACTTAGGGCCCTGGCTTTTTGCTGGCTATTGATTGGAGGTCACCTTAATCTGAAATTAAGAAGACACTGGAGAGTGCATATTTATACCTAATTGGTTACTAATTTGTATTAATAATCATAATATTTGTTTATATTTCTTTCCCACTAATATTGGTTTAAATTTCCACAAGTGTGTGCTGATCCATATGTTTATATTTATCTGTGCATGTGCATGGCACTTGATTTTGTTTGTTTGCTTGCTTTACTGTATAAGCAATAGACCAAAAAGTTAAAGCTTGAGGTCATAATTTTACAAGAGCATGATGAGAACTGAAGAAAAGTTTGATAATCCAGAAGCTTGGGCTAATTTGTCACAAGTGTGGTTATGAGGATATAGACCTTTCTCCCGAGGGCATCAAATTCAAGGAAGCATTTTAGAAAATTCACAAGTATTGAGAGATGTAACGGAATATGAAAGCCTGGAAGTTGTATATGTCACTATATAAATTGTGTGAGATCACAGTAGGTATGAAGCAACTCCTCTACTGCTAAAGATTACCTCAAAAAGAGAAATGTAAATACATAGCTACCAACTTCCTCTCAGTGTATATTGAGCTATATTTTTCTAATCCCAGAAACAAGTTTAAATAAAAATTTTTATTCACTTTTACCTGGACTGATACCACAACATCATAGTCATCAGGACTGAAGAATAAGTTTTGTAGTGATGGAGGAAGATGTTTCAGTGTAAAACTAATCAAAATGAAATCAAATTTATGCCCTAGCACGTTGCTACTCACAGTGAAGTCCAGCAGCATTAGAATCACTTGAGAACTTGTTAGCAATGCAGGATCTCAGGCCCAGTCACAGGGCTGCTGAGTCAGAATTTGCCTTTTAACAGAATGCCCAGGTGATTCATATGCACATTAAACTTTAGGAAGCATTATCTCAACACCTGAGCACCAAGTCAACAGAGTTTACCAACTACAGTGTGACAAATGGGTTACAGTTGGGCAGAATTAACAATTTCCACAGCCCTCAGCAGAGCTAGGCAGAGCCCAGATCCTTTAAAGCCATTGGGCCAGCCTCCTGTAGCCATGTCCTGGCTTATCCATTTACCCTCATATGCTGTGCAAACACAGGCTTGAATTTTATATGTGTACTATGTACACAAAGGAGAATGTTATGTACTTTTCATGTACTAAATACATTAAAAATGTTAAGCCAGCACTATCCTAACCAACTAAACTTAAACAAGTGTTAGAATGTGAATTTAATTTTGTGCAGTACTTGATGTCATGATACATGTCATAAAAGCATCAAGTGGTACGATACCAACATTAACAATACATATCAAAATTCTAGAATTCGCATAGCTGCTGCTTTGTTTGAAGACTTACTATTTGTTATCCTAGGAGTCAGGATGAAAACTCAACCAATGCTTTTCCAAAAGTAGCTTTCGGAATTGGTTTGAGGCATCTCTTTTTATCTGATGGGAAGTGAAAGCCACTGTACTGAATTAGAAGATGATAGCACACTCCAAGAATGAGAAGAAGCTAGGCTTAGAAGCAAGTCCCTTACATTTTCTTTTCAAAAGAAATCCACATCTTACTTCTTATCCAGAAAGATTTTATTTTAACATTCTTGTTGGAAAGGGAGCATCACTATAAATAAAAGCATGTCAAATTCATAACTCAGATTCTTTGTAATGCAGGGCAACTTCAGAACAAAACATTCTATGTGCTCTGCCATCTTCATCTCAACAAAACTCATATCCTCTAGACCTATCTAATACAGTCTAATACAGTAGTCACTACCCATGTATGGCTATTTAAATTTAAATATAAATTAGCTGAAATTTAAATTTCAATATTCATTGAAATTAAGCAAAATAAAAAATTCAGCTCCTAATTTGCATTTACTACATTTGAATTGCCCAAAAGGCATATATGAGTAATGGCTTCTATAACAGATGTATAGATATAAAACATTTCCATTATCACAGAAAGTTCTATTAAATGGCATTACTTTAGACTTTACATATACATTATGTTCCTTTGCCAAGTTCCTGCAGAAAAAGAGACAAAGGGCCTCTTTTTGTCATATTACTGCCCTTTAACACAACTGACTTAAGTCCAGTAATAAAATAGTGAGCCAACCACACATTTACTCTCAAGCTCCTTCCTTCCTCGCTGCGCCAGGATCAGGAACTAGTAAGACTTCCCTGACCACTACAGGAAGATCACAGACCCAGGGCATATTCCAGAAGAAATGTGGTTAGAGTGCTTTTAACCAGGCTCCACATTCTTCCTTTATAGTAGAGTGTTGAAGCATGCCCACTCCGTTCCTACACCACCCAAAATGCTCTACCCAAATGGCCACCATTTAAAAGAATTAAATTATGTCTATTAGTTCATTCTTTCAATTCTCACTAATATTTGCATTCATGAGGTAATCCATTCTACAAATACATATTGAATGACAACTATATCCTAGGCACTGTGCTACACACAGAAGATATAGCAATGGCCAAGACAGACGTGGTCATTTTTCTTCATGGCACTAAAAGTTTAGCAAGAAACAATGAACAAGTGATTACCGATGTGATAAGTACAACATCGGGGAAGTAGCACATAATAAAACAGAGGCCTTAACCTAGTTTTCTGAGTTAGGGAAAGCTTTCTGAGCAAGTGATATTTGAGGTGAGTTTTGAAAGACAAGATCCTACTTAGAGGAGGGGAATAAAAAGGAGAGAAATGACATCCCAAACAGTGGTAACATTATGGTCCAAGGCATCGAGGTTGCAAATAACAAAACAAAAATGGAAAGAGAATCAGTGTGACTGCCTCATAGAGGTTCAGTAGAGAGTGGTAGTGATCAAGGTAAGATCAAAAGTGTCACCATCTGATTTACATTTTTAAGGGTCACTGACTACAGAAGATACATAGGAATGGAGCAAGAATGAAATCAAAGATATTATTTAGACGTTCTGTGCAAAACCATGGGCTGGGGAAGAAGGCAGAGTAAAAGCAGTAACGGTAGCAAAAAAAAACTTAGAGAATGAACAAGCCCTAAGATTTAAAGGATATTAGGAGTGAAGAAGAGAGAGGAGTTTAAAAAATGACTCCCAGATTTCTAGTTTTAGGGATTGGCTGGATGATAAACTGGCAAACACTGGAAACACTGTGGGTTGCAGGGGACCAAGCATTAGAGTGAAGTGTGAGGTCTGTGAAATTAAAGACTTCTGTGAAACATGTTAAAATGAAGATATTGAGTAGGTAGCAGATAGAGCTATAGGTCATAATCATGGGTGTAGATTGAAATCACAGGGGTCAATATGATCACCTAAGGAGAGAATATGAATTCAGAAGAAGAGCCCCTGCAATAGAGACTCACACCTTGCCACATAAAGGGCTACAGCCTGTGTTCTGAGAAGGACAGCCCTGGCTTCACAAGATTTAAAAGCTAATAAATATTCCATTCAGAATCACCCAGGATTCAATCTCAGCAATCACACATTTGCAGTTGGCAAGATTGTTTCTCCAAGGTTTTCTGCAAGATTTGAAATATTTAAACGCTTTCAGATCTTCATCCCTGTCTCTTTGATTTAGAGCAGAGAGGTAGTGCTCATGGTGGACTTTGGCAGTTCTGGTCCAGAAGAGACGTCCTCCCTCCATTCCTTGAGATGCACAGCCATCTGGTGGCCATCACTTAGCGGAAGAAATCTTACCTTCTCTTTGGGTTGGTTTGAAATCCACACACCTTTTGGATGATCTCCTATGCCTACGAAGCTATTTTTAGCTTATTTTATAGCATCATTGACCTTGAAGTGTAATTGAGCCGGAAGATCAAGTGAAAGTAAAAACAATCACTTTCTCCCTCCTTTCTTCAAATATTGTTTTATGCAAACATCAGAATCTGTGGGCTTTGTTAATGGCAACAAAAAATATAGACTGCAAAAGTCCTCATAAATTGCTATAACACCATAGACATTCCTACCATTGATATTAATATCACATTTTAATTGATTTATGGAATTCAATTAACTCTAGTTTGGGGGGTTTTTTCCAACATTAAGCCAAATTCTGGGCAACAAAATGTATTTAATTGCTGATAAAATAAACCAAGATGGTTGCTTTACTTCATGGTTTCAGTGTCAGCTGCAAGCTTTCAAGCATAGCCCCGATATTAACAGACAATACTAAATTAACTCATAGTGTACTTTCTATTCCTTCCCATACTTCTCTTCTTACAGAAAATATATTGTAAATGCATAGAAAAATTATTTCATACTTTCAAGGATGGGCTATGTCACATCAGTGGTGTCTCCTATACACATATTATGATATACAACCCTACCTAATGAAACAGTTTTCTATTTGGGCTGAATTTCAACCAAAGCAATGAACTAAGATAGGTTAAGGTAAAGAAATTGATAGCATCACCACTACTTATTGTCAGGGAACCACAGAAACGGTTAGACACTAACTTTTTTTTTTCAAACTTCCAGCTGCATATCACACAAAATAATTACATAGATTGTGGTTTTCTGAGATTTCTCATTGACAAGAGATCAAACATCCTTTTGTCACCTGGGCCTAATGGATAACATTCAGTTGTTTTAAGAAGAGATGAAACTCAAAGTCAAAAACCAAAGCAAAATTTAACAAATGACAAAATCATGAAATAAGACCAAAGAACCAGTATAAAACCATGTGCTGTCTTAATTATCTGAGTTCCCTACAGTTCAAATGTTATAAAAGCATCCCTATGGAATTGTTTGGTCTTTTATCTGAAAGATGTCCAGAATTTTCATTTCTCTAAACCTATCATAATCATTGGATGAATCATTGATGGATAAACTTGGAGAGTGCTGGGCTGTGTAGCATTAAGCAGTGTACTAAATAAAACAATTGCTGTCCTTGCAGTAACCTAATGTGGCCAATGTATGAAGCAAATAATAGAGAAGCTGAGAAAGCATACTGAAAATGATAAATCATGCAAATAAGCATTATGCTCATAATAAAAGAGAGTAACATCACAAACATCATTATAGAAGAGAGCTCCAACTCTCTCTCTCTCACACACACACACAGACGCACAATTTGACCAAGTTGATGAAATAAATCAGATAAAGAAATGCACAGCAGAAGTTAAAAAGTTATGGCAACTGTGAAGGTAAGACTCGGCTTTGATACTTCCTACTAATTTTTGGTTTGGGGATTCATCATTTGTGAGGTAGCTTAATGAAGCCCCTTATCCTTGTTTTTTTCTTTGTAATTCTCTGGTTTTCTTTCCATCTTAACTCTCTGAATAACTTTGGAGCAGCCACCAAGCTGAAAGCAGAAGGCCAGATTGCTAGCAGCACCTCTCTAAATACTGTTTGGGCTACAGTGAGCAGTGGTGTGTGTCCAGTCTGTGCATGTGGTAAATTATGTGAAACAACCATCCCCAAGAGACCCATGTTACTATATCAGGAAGTTCACAGTGCATATCTGAAGGATCTCTTTGTTCATGAAGGCTTAAGCAAAGTTCAAAGAAAATCTGCTCCCCAGTGGATAATCTTAAATCAAAATCAGGATGCCACACGCTTGATTCATGAGCCTATAAAACCCTATGGGTCCTGACATATATGGACATACTCTTGGATTCCCAGTAATTCTTCTTTTGCTCTTTCCCCTAACAGCATCAACTTTCCTTAGGTCATCTTCACATCCCAGGAGTTTGTGCAGGAAAAATTTCAAAAGCCCCTCTTAGAGTGCATTTCTTTAAAAAATACTTGACTGTTTATTAGTATTCAAACAAACCTAATATCAGCCTTGAGTCCTCAGCTAAGAACAATTTCTTACTGATCTATTTTTGTCACATGAACTTAGAGATGACCTGCAATGCCAAGAAACCTAGAGAGATTGATATTGACCTCTCATGGCAAATATGTACTAGACATGATCCATCACATCTGCCCAATTCAACCCTGTATTAGTCTGGCTGGGCTGCTTTAACAAAGTGCCACAGACTGAGTGGCTTAAACAACAGAAATTTATCTTCTCACAGTTCTGGAAGTCCAAGAGCAAGGTACCAACATTGTTCATATATGATGAGGCCTCTCGTCTTGCAGACAGCACCTTCTCTGTGTGTTCACATGGTCTTTCCTTTTGGCACAGGCACTACTTCTGGTGTCTCTGCCACTTCTTGTGAGAACACCAGTCCTATTGAATTAGGACCTCAAGTTTATGACCTCATTTAACCTTAATTACCTTCTTAAGGGTCCCATCTCCACATACATTGGGATTAGGGCTTCACCATATGAATTCAAGGAGCCAAATTCAGCCCATAATAAACCCACACTTATCAAGAATATAATAAGAGAAGGATATGGTTCTAGACCTAGGAAATGCAGAAATGAATAAGACATTGTCCCTAGACTCAAAAAGTACAGACCTTAATATGGAAAGTCCGTGTGTGTACAATTATGTGGGGTGAAAAGTAAAAATATCGGAATCTAAGAGAGCGCTAAGATGCTAGAGAAGAGAGAGAGCCAGTGGATGCATTTATACAAAGGGTGTAATATAATAATGTGTCCTTTCTAATGATCATTCAAATAACAGTGTGGAAAGTGGACGGGGGTAATGAGACTGGAAGCGAGATGGAAACTTAATAGATTCTTATTAACCCAGAATGGGGAGGGAAGGCTTTAGCTAAACCAATGGAAATATGGTTGAAGACAAGGAGACAGATTTGAAAGACTTTCAAGAAGTAAAGGTAAGAGAATTTGGGGAAATTGATTATTTTTGTCACAAAGGACTTCTGAGAGAGAATTACTTTAATTTTTTAGTTTAACTTTTCTCACTTTACTCATTCATTAGCATTTCCACATCCCCTTAATTTACATCTCTATTAATATCAGTAGCAAATACCTTTAATTTAACATATTCTGACATAACATATTCTGATAATATATTTCTAATATATTCTGATAATCCTTCCCAAGTTTATACAAAATACACTTTAATTTTATATATTTCAACATGTTAGCTATTGTTAGTGGATACAGAGAGTAAAGGCCCAGTAAAAAATTCCCAACAGCTTTAGCTATAAATTACTTAATATACACTTAGAAATTACATCTCAAGTTTAACCTGTAAACTGTAAACTTATCCTACTCTGAAAGCCAAAATTAGTTGGTCATCATTATGTTTTCCTTCTGTGTCATGACACCACCATTCTACTGGGCACCCAGTCAGTTCTATGCCTTAGAATCACCATAGACTTTTCCTCTCCTCTGATTCTCTACGTCGTAAGTTACAGAGACCTGCAAGCCGTCCTTTACCTTCTAAAGTTTAAAATGCCTTCAGTATTCATCCTTTCCTTTTCAACACCAGCAGAATTCTTCCAATGCAATCTGCTTGCAACAACCACGTAGACCTTACAAAGACACAAGTCTGTCAACACACTCAGATTTAAGGCCTCACCTGACTCCCTCAGGCAGAGTTAGCACCTTCTGTTAGAGACTGCATCATAATTACCTGTTTATTTGCCTCCCTCTAACTAGACGGTAAGATCTTTAAGTACAAACCTCATACCTTGTTCGATCAAATCCACACCACACAGTTTCAGATCTTGTGTATACTTTGTTTGTCAGATTAATTAATTGATTAAGAGAGTCCTTGTGCTAATTGAGCTTACATTGGTGATTGCATTAAATATAGTGTTGCATAAGAATATGCTGTTTCCCCTGT
Source organism: Homo sapiens (assembly GCF_000001405.40). NCBI lineage: Eukaryota > Metazoa > Chordata > Mammalia > Primates > Hominidae > Homo > Homo sapiens. The sequence continues at coordinate 102,231,830 of NC_000003.12, read as the reverse complement.
TCATGTGTAAAGTACTTGAGCGCCAGGCCAAGGCATCAAATGTATTTATATCTGAGAGAACTTGAGGCAATGCCTTAAATCTACTAGATTTCCTTACTTACGCATTTCCTTACTTACCCTATATGAGTAAGTTTTATTCAGGAGGTCACATAAGGTGGCTATTTCTCAGATCCTCTTCCAAAATGCATTGAGCCGACATGAAGAATTAACTAGTCCCTGAACCCTACAGAACTTCCATCTCTGCTTTGTTTGGGAGCAAAGAGGGAAAAGGGGACTATGGTCATTGTAGGCGATCAGAAACCAAAGTTAAAAACTGAATTTTATAGCCAGAGCCAACTACTACTCTCCTATCTTCTTTGAAATGTTGTCTTGCTCTGGCTTCTAAAAAGCTGATGCCATCAGCTAACTGCCAACTGCCAAGTCATCAGATCATCTCAGAGCCAAAGAGTTAAGCTATGGAGTGAAAAATAAGCCCTGTCCTCACCCCACTCCCACTCCTTTTCTCTAAACTGAAAATGTTTTATTTATATAGGTTGCCTTACTGAAAGAGACACAAGCCATAGGGAACAATATTAAAGCAACTCTTATATTTTATAGGTTGCCTTTGCCTTGTAAGAAGCCATATTTTAACTTGGTACTATTGAAAATACCAGACTAAGTTCATATTCAACAAATGGGATCGAATGGATTGTTCAATGCAGTATCCAAACGGCTCATTCATAACAATGATAGAACATTTATTGAGTGTGTCCCTTGTGTATCAGGTACTAACTGCTTTATACACTTTCTGTCCTTTTGTGCACATTCTAGCATTTACACCTCACAACAATCCTATATGGTTACAAGTATTCCTATTTATGTATTAAAAAGATGAGACTGAGAGGCCCCATATCATGTCCAAGGTTACACAATTAGTGAACTAGGGTAGCTAGAATCAACCAGTTCAGTCTGATTTCTAAACCCATCACCTTACCACTACTCCTACCTAATCTTAACTGAGAAACTCAAATTCAAGGGGTAATTGTCAGTGCGGCCAAAAGGACTCAAAGTCACAGGATAAACATGTTGCATTTTCCTGGAGCAATTTTACTCAATGTCAAAGCAATTAAATGCGTTTTAATATATTAAAACAAGCATAAATACATGTTAGTAGAATGCAAATCTCACAAACATTTTTGAAATAAAATAGAAGGCACCACAAAATTCTCTCTTTGTGAGGCTGGACTGATTCAGGCTTTGTCTCAGACCCTGCCTGGCTCCTTTCCTTCCCTTCTCACTCCCAGGAGTATTTATTTGGTGCTGCACTTTATTAAAAAGCTGGGATGCACCAGGCATGGTGGCTCATGCCTGTAATTCCAGCACTTTGGTAGGCTGAGGTGGGAGGATCACTGTAGGCCAGGACTTTGAGATCAGCCTGAGCAACGTAGTGAGACCCTGTCTCTATAAAAATTGTAAAAATCAGCTGGGTGAGGTGCCATGCACCTGTAGTCCCAGCTACTCAGGAGGCTGAGAGAAGAGGCTCACTTTAGTTCACTTTAGTCAAGATTGCATCAGCTAGGATCACACCACTGCAATACAGCCTGAGTGACAGAGTGAGATCCTGCCTCAAAAAAAAAAAAAAAAAAGAAGAAGTAGAAAAAGAAGAAAGACAGAATACTCAGATGTGACCCAGAGAATTGTCCACATTAGGAGATACATTTTAGGGGCAGAGGGGCATGGGCAAGACATGGCCATGGTTTCTTAGGTAAGCTGTTCACGTTCTTAGAACTATTCTCCCCAAGCAGGAGACGAACAATTGAATACTGCATAGAAGAATCCTAGGCAAGGTAAAACTCAATAGAAAACAGAGTTAGAGAATCCAAAGCTGGAAGGGTACCAAGAACTTCCCCTTCAGGTTCCAGATTCAGGATCTGCTGGGCAGTAAAGAAGAGAAAGGAAAGAGAAGCAGAATGATAGTGTGGGGGAGGGAGAGGGAGTTATTTGGGATACTAGTTAGTGTTTAAATGTCTTACCAATTGTGGATGACCACCTGAATTTAGTCTTGGTCAATATTCCTATATCATTGTCGTTGGTTGCCTAAACCAGCATCTAAATCTTTTTCCTATTTAATGAATTTCTCACCATATGAATCTTGATAGGAGGCAGAAATGAATCCCACCTGAGAAGCTGGAAATGCCAGCCCCTGGAATATATGGCCTAAGCGCTGCTGATCAAACACACCTGCACAGAGGCAGCTGTTATCCTTTCTGCTCCTGTTAGGACTGCCTCAGCACTTGGGGCTGACCTGGGCGGAAAATGAAGCCCATCAGTTGATCCAGCTGTAAAAAGCTAAAATATGCCAAAATCAAGGAAAAATAGGGACAGCTATTTGATGATGATAGTTGAATGGAATTTTTGTATAAAATCAAAAGGTCTTAGAAACAGCCATGAGCCACAAACCAGTGTTTTCCACTAAGGTATGAAATCCATAAATTTTGGCTTGGTCTTACCTAATGACAGATCGGCTTCCCTCTTAGCTTCTCAACAGTCAACATGATTAACAGCCCAAGATGGTTTCTTTTTTCTGTGCTCCTCTACCGCCATCTCGTGGACAGAAAGTCAGCTGCAACTCTGGCTTCCCTGCGATCCACAAACAACAGTACAAGCTTTTCCCTGAGTCTGTAACTGCAGGTCTGTTAAGGCTTTTGCGGCTGAAAAACATATGGGGCAAAGTATCCATTTAGCTGCAGCAAACCAATATCTTGAGGTATCCATTCTGCCCAGGGCTAGAATTGCACATTCTGAACAGGTTAGTTTAGCGATAACTGGTAACATTGGTTTTGTATTTATAATGTTTCTTATTGAAAAGTCTACCTTTAGAATATTTTGATCTTGCCAGTAATTTTTGCTGCATTGCAGCACAATATAATATAGAGCACAAATAATTGACACAAGAAAATAGAAGCTCCTGGTAAAAAAAAAAAAAAAAAAAAAATTCGTGTGGCTCCTAATGCCCTGTGCGTTCTAACTTGCACGGAGGTCAAACATGGCACACAGATGTGGCAATGGAGAATCAAAGAATTTTGAGCTTAGGAAATCTTAATGACCATCTGATAAAGGTAAAAATGAAGCAGAGCAAAGTACCTACAGGATATATTGTCGAAGGAACTTATTTTCAGGCCAGACGCACCGGTGCATATTACGTGTAGTTGATACTGCCGCTCTATCTCCTCTCCTTTCTCTCAAGGTCATTTCACCTGCCTATCCGGCCCTTTTCTCCTCTAAATTTACTGTGGTCTTTTTCATTGGCAAAATTTACCTTCTCCAATAAGAAATTTATTAAAACATGGAATCACAGAATGTTAGAGAAAAATATTTTTCAGAACCTCTAATTCTAGTTTTGTATGAACAGGATCTAGGTATTTTCAATCACTTGCCTGTAACAGTCACAAAAGCAGCTAGTTACACAGCCACCGGGTGACAGCTTAATGCAAATCTGGAACACTCTGAAAAAAAAAAAAAAAAGGAAGGGCCATTGTAGGGTAAAGGCAACCATATGTAGCCATGTGCGTAGGACATACCCATGTCTTGATTCGGGAGAAAATCATTTTAAGGAGCAATAGATGTCAGCCATTTTTTTTCCTTCACTTTTTTTCTACATGTCAGTTTCCACCATGGAGAAATGCCTTCGGGGAGCTGGCATCAATGCATGCAATAGCCCATTATGGCAGGTATTATCACTGGGGAAAACTACAGAGTGTTTGTCCATCTGAACACATGCAAAGGAAACATTTTGAATCCCATGCTGCCCAAGCAGACTACTTCTGAAGGCCACATTCAGCTTGGTGATAGCCAGACTGTAGCCTGTAATTAATGGTGTCACTAAGAAAGATGTTCAAAGTAAGGCTTCCAGACTATCAGTGAATCATTTCACATCAAGTTGTTGCACATCATTACCAATGATCAAGGAAACTGAGTTCTACTACATACATTTTCTCTAAATCTGTGTTGTAAAAGATGATAAAAAGAGGAGGAAAGCGAAACATAAGAGGCCAAACATAGCAGTACATTTTTTTAAGTATCCCTCTCATGTAGACCAAGTACATGGCCGAGTAGAAACAATAAAACAGGGTAAACCTGAATATAGTTTATATTCCATTATCATTCCATTCAGCACACACTTTATGTGCCATCTGTAGACTTGTATAATTGATTGCCACAGGACATAACTATTTTAAAAGACAATTAATTTGATTACCAGCAATGAAGTTTTTATCTATGCAAACTAGGAAAAGACAGTCTGATGAAGAAAGTAATCAAGTTTCCAAAATCAAAATGCAAGATGCACCATTCAGGAGGGTGGAGAGAGGAATTCATCATTTGGGAAAGGCTGGACTGAGAAATACTGCATTTCAGGAATTTCTGGTTTCTACTTCATCCACCAAATGGTAATTCTGCTTCTAGAAACCAGATCTTGGACTACGCTGAATATAAACCTCCACTATATGCATAACCTACTGTTAAAGATTTCATCTACTGATTAAGCCAAGGGAAAAGAAGAGAACATTGCTATTGCTGAGCACCTATCATGCACCAGGTAGTTTGCTAGGTATGTTTTATCTATCCTCTATTTTAATCCTCCCAACCAATTCGATAAGGCTGGTTAAGATGATCACACCTAGATCACACAGCTGGTAAGAGATTGGGGAAGGCTGAATAATAAACCCACTCAAGATATCCATATCATAATCCCTAGAACCTGTTAATGTTACCTTACATGGCAAAAGGAACTTTGTAGATGTGATTAAAATCAGGATTCAAAGATGGCAAGATTACCCTAGTAATCCAGGTGGCCCATAAATGTGATCATGTTATCCTCATGAAGGGGAAATTTTACTACAGAAGAGAAGGCGATACGACCATGGAAGCAGAGGTTGGGGTGATGTAGCCAGGAGCCAAGGGATGTCAGCAACCTTTAGAAGTAGGTGAGTCAAGGAATGGATTCTCCCCTGAAGCCACCAGGAGGAACAAACCCTGCTGACACCTTATTGCCCCTTAAAATGTATTTTGGACTTCTGATCTCCAGAAATAGAGGAAAATAAGTTTGTGTTGCTTTAAGTCACTCAGTTTGTGGTAATTGGTTACAGCAGCAATAGAAATGAATGCTGACAAGAATCCAGAATTCTAACCCAGGTTTACTCAAACCTGAAGTCTGATTTATTTTCAACTGCTTAACACTGCCTGTGGTTTGATTAAAAACCCTGGAATTGGGTACAAAAAGATTCATACCTTGTCCCAATTTGAATATTCCTGAGATTTAGAACTGAATATTAGATTAGTTCACTGAATTGTTGGTCCGATTAAATCATTACAATCATCTCACTTACTAAGAGTGATAGTTATAAACCATTGACTCAAAAGAATCAAAGAAATTCACCATTTAAATGTAGCTAAATTAAAGTCAGTTATTTTGACTCAGATAATGCCATAAAACTTTGGAACTTTGGGCTAAAATATACAGATATTGAACCAAAAGTGTTTTGATGCTTTTCACCTATATTCAGACAGCCATTAATTTTATACACCTAAGCTTATTCTCATCAAGAATCTTACAGACTTGCATATTGACTTTTCTCTGCTAACACACTCATAACAATGTAGAAATCTAAAAACCTGGATTCTGGAGATAGAAGAAGAATGGTTACCATAGGCTGGGAAGGAGTGTAGGAAGGTATGGGGGAGATGGGGATGATTTAATGAGTATAAAAAATAGAAAGAATGAATAATACCTAGTATTTGATAGCATAACAGAGTGACTATAGTCATTAATAATTTAATTGTACATCTTAAAGTAACTAAAAGAGTATAACTAGATTGTTTGTGATACAAAGGATAAAATACTTGACTCATTTTACATGATGTCATTATTACTCATTGCATGCCTGTATCAAAACATCTTATGTATCCCATAAATGTATACACCTACCACAAAAATTACAATTAAATTTTTTTAGAAACTTGGATTCTGTCATCATTGACTTTTCTATCAATTAGCTATTCAATTTTTATCATCACCCATCAATATCTCCAGGCCTCAGTCTCCTCATCTGTAAAATAGGGGAGTGGGCAGAAGCCTGCCAAGCAGATCATCTCTAAGGTTCCTTCCAGCTGTAAGATGGGATGATAGCAGAATTCTCACAGCAAAATTCCTAAGTGGATTTCAAATGTGCTTGTTAATGCAAAGTGCCACTAGAGGTCAGATTAAGTTTGGTAATTCTATCTGATCAGACATGGAGCTGGAGCAAAAGCAAAAGCTATCCTTAGGTTGATACCTTGCTTAGCAGGCCTGCACCTTCCCCCTTCTGAGCTGATGAATGTTGATCCCAGTGTTAGAATAAAATAGGAAAATCTCTGAAACCCGAAATTACATTCATTAATCTGTAATTTGTAATTGGCTGCTACCAGAATGCTTATCTTTCTTTGCTTGCCTGAATGTCGTTAATTAAATGTGTCACCTGAAGCTCTGGTACTTCGTGTTTGCTCATGTTACTGTGTTAATCAATCAGTCGCACAAAATTGGAAGCTGCTGAGAGAGACTGAAAACGTTACCTGCAAACTCTTTGTGCATCTGGGTGTAACTGTATTAAGAACATGTGATTATGTGCGGGGCATCTGACTCACAATACATATTCAAAGCGAAGTATAAAGGAATTAATGAAAAACAGAAAGAAGGAGAGGGGGCACACATTGTCCTCAGGTACGTGCCTTGTCAAAGCTACTGATCAGGACCAGTGTTAGGCACAACTGTGAAACCTGTAGAATTAGATATTTGTAGCTGCCGTTTTCTGTGTAGTTTCCCACCTTCCTTCAGCTCCCCGGCTTTCTCAGCATCCATTTCAAACTCTGCTCTCAAGAGACATCCAAATAATTCAAATGCAGTAAGATATAAAAAACTAATGATGTGATTTTGCTCTCACTTGCATTTTGTCTGAGAACAATGCCTATTAAAGGGTGGAATTCTAGAAGCAGAATTGTAATCATCTGGAAAGCTACTAATGTGGGAACAGAACATTTGCAAAATCATCCCACAGAGCCGACACCATAGGCCAACGGCAAAGGTTAGCCTTGCCTCCCACTAATACACACAGTACGAATTGCTAGTTATTCCCTTTTTTAAAAAACAAGTATTTATTGAGCATTCATTGTACATGAGGTTCCCAAATGCATAGGGTTGCTTCATGAGGACCCAGTGATTTCTCCCTGCATGACATACTAGGAAGCAGTGGAAGCCTCGGCATTATTTCTGTGGCAAGGCCCTGGGGAACAGGGATCCTCCTCCCCTTCCACTATCTCCCCTATATAAAATTAAATGTTTGTGGTAGCGGGCAGGAGTGAGCAATTCTGAGAGCGGTACCAAAAGGATGGATGTTCTGGCCTGACCACCCAGCAGGTGGCCTCAGATTATCCAGATAGTTCTGTGGTATGAGAACAAGGCAATATCTCCTAGTGGCTGTCACTCAAGAAGACCAGATGCCAATCTCAAAACCTCAGGGACCTCTTAATTTCTAAGGTGCTGATGCACTAATATTTGGGTTCACAGACCTGACAATTCTGCCTCCAGCTTCTTCTATATGAGATCACCCATCATGGCTATAGCCTATGTCTATCTTAAAACAGCTGCCACAAATCCTCAATTCCCTTTGATAAGTATATTCTCAGTAAACAGAAATAACACTTTGTATTTACCTAGTACTTGGTACTTTACCGAGTGATACAGAAAATCCTTTCATCTACTCTGTAAAGTTAAATACTATCATCCTATACATTGGCTCATATTTCATACATTTTTAGAGTTGGTAGATCATCTGCTCCACCCTCACCTCCACACTTAACCATCTTGCATTGTCCGATGCAATGTCTGACACTTCCCAAGCAAACCCCTTCCTTTCACAGCACTCAACACCGCCTTTCACAAGCACAACTATTTTATAGATGATGAAACTGAAATCCAAATACATTAGGTGACTCTCCCTAAAGCAGAACATATACAAGTGGAGGATCACAGTCTCAGACTAGTTAAGCAGTTTTCAATTTTCATCGCATTAAACCTCTCATCAGCATTCAACACCTTACTGCTTTCTTGAGCCATGTCTCTGAGTTTCAGTAGCACTACACCCTCATTTTTCCATGATCCCTTCTTCTCATTCTCCTCAGGAACATTAGGTTGGTCAGGCTTAGTCCTGAGCAACTCTTCTTTTCTTACTCTGTGGTCTCTCTTTCATTTGTCTCCTTTATTCTCCAAGTTTTAAATATTATCTATGGAAAACGGCTGAATAGGAACAGCTCTGGTCTGCAGATACCAGCGGGACCAACGCAGAAACTGGGTGATTTCTGCATTTCCAACTGAGGCACCCGGTTTATCTCATTGGGACTGGTTAGACAGTGGGTACAGCACACGGAGGTTGAGCAAAAGCAGGGTGGGGCGTTGCCCCACCCAGGAAGTGCAAGGGGCCCGGGGCCTCCCTCCCCAGCCAAGGGAAGCTGTGAGGGACTGTGCTAACCGGCCCAGATACTACACTTTTCCCACGGTTTTTGCAACCAACAGACCAGGAGATTCCCTCGGGTGACTACACCACCAGGGCCCTGGGTTTCAAGCACAAAAGTGGGCAGCTGTTCAGGCAGACACCAAGCTAGCTGCAGGAGTCTTTTTTTTGTACCCCAGTGTTGCCTGGAACTCCAGCGAGACAGAACCGTTCACCCCTTTGGAAAGGGGGCTGAAGCCAGGGAGCAAAGTGGTCTTGCTCGGTAGGTCCCACTCCCATGGAGCCCAGCAAGCTAAGAATCACTGGCTTGAAATTCTCACTGCCAGCACAGCAGTGTGAAGTTGACCTGGGGTGATCCAGCTTGGTCAGGGGCGAGGCATTCACCATTACTGAGGCTTGAGTAGGTGGTTTTCCCCTCACAGTGTTAAGGAAGCCAGGAAGTTCGGACTGGGGGGAGCTCACCTCAGCACAACAAAGTGGCTTGGGCCAGACTGCCTCTCTAGATGCCTCCTCACTGGGCAGAGCATCGCTGAAAGAAAGGCAGCAGCCCCAGTCAGGGGCTTATAGACAAAACTCCCATCTCCCTGGGACAGAGCACCTGGGGGAAGGGTGGCTGTGGGCGCAGCTTCAGCAGACTTAAATGTTCCTACTTGCCATCTCTGAAGACAGCAGCAGATCTCCCAGCACAGCCCTCAAGCTCTGCTAAGGGATAGACTGCCTCCTCAAGTGGGTTACTGACCCCTATGCTTCCTGACTGGGAGACACCTTCCAGCAGGAGTGGACAGACACCTCATACAGGAGAGCTCTGGCTGGCATCAGGCAGGTCCTCCTCTGTGATGAAGCTTCCAGAGGAAGGAGCAGGCAGCAATCTTTGCAGTTTTGCAGCCTCTGCTGGTGATACCCAGGCAAACAGAGTCTGGAGTGGACCTCCAGCAAACTCCAGCAGACCTGCAAAAGAGGGGCCTGATTGTTAAAGGAAAAACTAACAAAGAGAAAGCAATAACATTGACATCAACAAAAAAGATGCCCACACAAAAACCTCATCAAAAGGTCATCAGCATCAAAGATTAAAGGTAGATAAATCCACAAAGATGACGAAAAAACAGAACAAAAATGCTGAAGATTCCAAAAATCAGAATGCCTCTTCTCCTCCAAATGATAACAACTCTTCTCCAGCAAGGGCACAAAGCTGGATGGAGAATTAGTTTGACAAATTGACAGAAGTAGGCTTCAGTAGGTGGGTAATAGCAAACTCCTCTGAGCTAAAAGAGCATGTTCTAACCCAAAGCAAGGAAGCGAAGAACCTTGATAAAAGGTTACGGAAACTGCTAACTAGAATCACAAGTTTAGAGAGGAATATAAACGACCTGATGGAGCTGAAAAACACAGCACAAGAACTTGTGAAGCACACACAAGTAGCAGTAGCCGAATCAATCAAATGGAAGAAAGGATATCAGAGATTGAAGATCAACTTACTGCAATAAGGCATGAAGACAAGATTAGAGAAGAAAGAATAAAATGGAATGAAAAAACTCTCCAAGAAATAGGGGACTATGTGAAAAGACCAAACCTATGATTGATTGGTATACCTGAAAGTGACGGGAAGAATGGAACCAAGTTGGAAAACACTCTTCAGGATATTATCCAAAAGAACTTCCCCAACCTAGAAAGACAGGCCAACATTCAAATTCAGGAAATACAGACAACATTACTAAGATACTCCTTGAGAAGAGCAACTCCAAGACACATAATCATCAGATTCTCCAAGCTGAAATGAAGGAAAAAATGTTAATGGTAGCTAGAGAGAAAGGTCAGTTTACCTACAAACGGAAGCCCATCAGACTAACAGCAGATCTCTCTCCAGTAACCCTACAAGCCAGAAGAGAGTGGGAACCAACATTCAACATTCTTAAAGTAAAGAATTTTCAACCCAGAATTTCATAATCCAGCCAAACTAAGCTTCATAAACGAAGGAAATATAAAATCCTTTACAGACAAGCAAATGCTGGGGGATTTTGTCACCACCAGGCCTGCCTTACAAGAGCTCCTTAAGGAAGCACTAAATATGGAAAGGAAAAACCAATAATAGGCAGAGAGCCAAATCATGAGCGAACTGCCATTCACAATTGCTTCAAAGAGAATAAAATACTTAGGAATACAACTTACAAGGGATGTGAAGGACCTCTTCAAGGAAAACTACAAACCACTGCTCAAGAAAATAAGAGAGGACGCAAACAAATGAAAAAACATTCCATGCTCAATGATAGGACGAATCAATATCGTGAAAATGGCCATACTACCCAAAGTAATTTATAGATTCAAAGCTATTCCCATCAAGCTACCATTGACTTTCTTCACAGAATTAGAAAAAATTTACTTAAAATTTCATATGGAACCCAAAAAGAGCTCGTATAGCCAAGACAATCTTAAGCAAAAAGAACAAAGCCAGAGGCCTCATGCTACCTCATTTCAAACTATACTACAAGGCTACAGTAACCAAAACAGCATTCTACTTGTATCGAAACAGATATATAGATAAATGGAACAGAACAGAGGCCTCAGAAATAACACCACACATCTACAACCACCTGATCTTTGACAAACCTGACAAAACAAGCAACGGGGAAAGGATTCCCTATTTAATAAATGGTGCTGGGAAAATTGGCTAGTCATATGCAGAAAACTGAAACTGGATCCCCTCCTTACACCTTATACAAAAATTAACTCAAGATTCATTAAAGACTTAAACATAAAACCTAAAACCATAAAAACCCTAGAAGAAAACCTAGGCAATACCATTCAGGACATAGGCATAGCCACAGACTTCATGACTAAAACACCAAAAGCAATGGCAACAAATGTCAAAATTGACAAATGGGATCTAATTAAACTAAAGAGCTTCTGCACAGCAAAAGAAACTACCATCAGAGTCAACAGGCAACCTACAGAATGGGAGAAAATTTTTGCAATCTATCCATCTGACAAAGGGCTAACATCCAGAATCTTCAAGGAACTTAAACAAATTTACAAGAAAAAAACAAACAATCTCATCAAAAAGTGGGCAAAGGATATGAACAGACGCTTTTCAAAAGAAGACATTTATGCAGCCAACAAACATGAAAAAAAACTCATTATCACTGGTTATTAGAGAAATGCAAATCAAAACCACAATGAGATACCTTCTCACGCCAGTTAGAATGGAGATTATTAACAAGTCAGGAAACAACAAATGCTGGAGAGGATGTGGAGAAATAGGAACGATTTTACACTGTTGGTGGGAGTGTAAATTAGTTCAACCATTATGGAAGACAGTGTGATGATTCCTCAAGGATCTAGAACCAGAAATACCATTTGACCCAGCAATACCATTACTGGGTATATACCCAAAGGATTATAAATCATTCTGCTATAAAGACACATGCATACATATGTTTATTGCAGCACTATTCACAATAGCAAAGACTTTGAACGAACCCAAATGCCCATCAACGATAGACTGGATTAAGAAAATGTGGCACATATACACCATGGAATACTATGCAGCCATAAAAAAGAATGACTTCATGTCCTTTGCAGGGACATGGATGAAGCTGGAAACCATCATTCTCAGCAAACTAACAGCACAGAAACAGAAAAACAAACACTGTATGTTCTCATTCATAAGTGGGAGTTGAACAATGAGAACACATGGACACAGGAAGGGGAACATCATTCACTGAGGCCTGTCGGGGGTTGGGGGGCAAGGGGAGGGAGAGCATTAGGACAAATACCTAATGCAGACAGGGCTTAAAACTTAGATGACAAGTTGATGGGTGCGGCAAACCACCATGGCCCATGTATACCTATGTAACAAACCTACATGTTCTGCACATGTATCCCAGAATTTAAAGTATAATTTTAAAAAGAAAGAAAAAAGAAGCTGGCAAAGAAGTAAAAAAAATAAATATTATCTATGATATATATATTTCCAAATCTATGTCTCTAAACCACAACCCCTTTTTTGAGTTACAGGCTTATTCATCCAAATGTTAACATGTTGTTTCCGTCTTGATATTTCCACAGCTGAATGCTTTATCTTCTCACCCAAATCTACCTCTACAGTCGTCCTCATTTAAGTATACGACCCCCCTAGAAAATTGTTTCACCTTCAAATTCCTCTCTCTTTTCTCCACCATTAAACCAATCAAACAGAAACTAGTGTAGAATCTATCCTCAAAATGTATCTTGAGCCCATTGCTTCTATATTCAAAAATATAAATAAAATTATAAACAATGAGAAAAAAATTGAACATTAAATATTTAATAATATTGGAAATTTATTGTTAATTTTGTATGTAGTCAGTATTACAATCATTTTTAAAGATATGCACTGAACCATATAGATAAAATTATATGTTGTCTAGAAATTGATTTAAAATAATCTGAAGTATAGGTAAGTAGGGAGGCATAGATGAAATAAGATATGCCATACAGTGATAATTATTGAAGCTGGAAGATAAGCACATCAGGTTCATTATGTTCTATTTTTGTCTATGTGTATAAAATTTCATAATAAAGTTATACATAAATTTTTAAATGGGTTGCCTCAAACAATGTAAGGAAACAAGATAATGTTATACTTTATAGATGTATTTCAATAAGTTCTTTGTCAGCCATATGATGTGGTAAAAACAACGGCCATTTACCCTGACATTAATTGCATAAAATGATTCAAAATTATCAAGAAGACTCTATGAAATATAGTTTATATCCACTATCTTTAAAGATTAGTCTTTCTCTAAGTAGATTTTGTACTTTAAAATATTAATGATCATTTTAAAGCCATCAAAATTACTAAGGCATAAATCACCATACAGAATTATGAAGACAAATATCAACAGGTTTTTTTAATAGTGGTTCAAAGTATCATGCAATAACTAACCCAGGACTTCACAATATTTCATTAAATATGTAATAAATATTTAATCTCCTACCTAAGGATTAAAGAAAAACTATATACCATTGGGAAACATTGTTCTTTCTACAGTAAATGCATCTGGAAAATAAAACACCTGGGAAATAAAACAGGTACAAATTATAATGCATTCTTTTGTTAGAAAATACTATTGGAAGACACAAAAACCTTGAGGATTTAAAGAAATAAATATTACCTGGTGTGGGAAGTTTGTTATACAATTGGATAAAAGTATATCTGTTTTTCAGCTTATGATATATTCTAGTATTCTAGACTTTTTCCAATGATTTTATATATATATAAATATAAATAAATATATATAAAACACTAACTTTATTGAGAATAACAAAAAGTATATTCAATGATCTTTTCTACTTATAAATTATTTCTCTAATGTATGTATAAAAATTTTAAACTACTTGTTGATGGAGTAACAGCTTTGACTATAATAAGAAAGAATAATAATTTCCAGAGTAAGTTGTAGAGAGAGCAAATCACATGAAATTTTGGCACTCCATTGTTCAAAGACAAAGCAGATGAAAATACAGCAAAGCAGGTGAAAAAGAAGTGCACAGAGTGCTACCAAATGTCATTGATGTAACTGATTTTACAAAAACAAGATCTTTTTTTTTTTATTAAAGTTTTAGGGTACATGTGCACATTGTGCAGGTTAGTTACATATGTATACATGTGCCATGCTGGTGCGCTGCTCCCACCAACTCGTCATCCAGCATTAGGTATATCTCCCAATACTATCCCTCCCCCCTCCCCCCCACCCCACAACAGTCCCCAGAGTGTGATATTCCCCTTCCTGTGTCCATGTGATTTCATTGTTCAGTTCCCACCCATGAGTGAGAATATGCAGTGTTTGGTTTTTTGTTCTTGCAATAGTTTACTGAGAATGATGACTTCCAATTTCATCCATGTCCCTACAAAGGACATGAACTCATCCTTTTTTATGGCTGCATAGTATTCCATGGTGTATATGTGCCACATCTTCTTCATCCAGTCTATCATTGTTGGACATTTGGGTTGGTTCCAAGCCTTTGCTATTGTGAACAATGCCACAACAAACATACGTGTGCATGTGTCTTTATAGCAGCATGATTTATAGTCCTTTGGGTATATACCCAGTAATGGGATGGCTGGGTCAAATGGTACTTCCAGTTCTAGATCCCTGAGGAATCGCCACACTGACTTCCACAAGGGTTGAACTAGTTTACAGTCCCACCAACAGTGTAAAAGTGTTCCTATTTCTCCACATCCTCTCCAGCACCTGTTGTTTCCTGACTTTTTAATGATTGCTATTCCAACTGGTGTGAGATGGTATCTCATTGTGGTTTTGATTTGCATTTCTCTGATGGCCAGTGATGATGAGCATTTTTTCATGTGTTTTTTGGCTGCATAAATGTCTTCTTTTGAGAAGTGTCTGTTCATGTCCTTCGCCCACTTTTTGATGAGGTTGTTTGTTTTTTTCTTGTAAATTTGTTTGAGTTCATTGTAGATTCTGGATATTAGCCCTTTGTCAGATGAGTAGGTTGCAAAATTTTCTCCCATTTTGTAGGTTGCCTGTTGACTCTGATGGTAGTTTCTTTTGCTGTGCAGAAGGTCTTTAGTTTAATTAGATCCCATTTGTCAATTTTGGCTTTTGTTGCCATTGCTTTTGGTGTTTTAGACATGAAGTCCTTGCCCATGCCTATGTCCTGAATGGTAAAGCCTAGGTTTTCTTCTAGGGTTTTTATGGTTTTAGGTCTAACGTTTAAGTCTTTAATCCATCTTGAATTGATTTTTGTATAAGGTGTAAGGAAGGGATCCAGTTTCAGCTTTCTACATATGGCTAGCCAGTTTTCCCAGCACCATTTATTAAACAGGGAATCCTTTCCCCATTGCTTGTTTTTCTCAGGTTTGTCAAAGATCAGATAGTTGTAGATATGCGGCATTATTTCTGAGGGCTCTGTTCTGTTCCATTGATCTATATCTCTGTTTTGGTACCAGTACCATACTGTTTTGGTTACTGTAGCCTTGTAGTATAGTTTGAAGTCAGGTAGTGTGATGCCTCCAGCTTTGTTCTTTTGGCTTAGGATTGACTTGGTGATGCAGGCTCTTTTTTGGTTCCATATGAACTTTAAAGTAGTTTTTTCCAATTCTGTGAAGAAAGGCATCGGTAGCTTGATGGGGATGGCATTGAATCTGTAAATTACCTTGGGCAGTATGGCCATTTTCATGATATTGATTCTTCCTACCCATGAGCATGGAATGTTCTTCCATTTGTTTGCATCCTCTTTTATTTCCTTGAGCAGTGGTTTGTAGTTCTCCTTGAAGAGGTCCTTCACATCCCTTGTAAGTTGGATTCCTAGGTATTTTATTCTCTTTGAAGCAATTGTGAATGGGAGTTCACTCATGATTTGGCTCTCTGTTTGTCTGTTGTTTGTGTATAAGAATGCTTGTGATTTTTGTACATTGATTTTGTATCCTGAGACTTTGCTGAAGTTGCTTATCAGCTTAAGGAGATTTTGGGCTGAGATGATGGGGTTTTCTAGATATACAATCATGTCATCTGCAAACAGGGACAATTTGACTTCCTCTTTTCCTAATTGAATACCCTGTATTTCCTTCTCCTGCCTAATTGCCCTGGCCAGAACTTCCAACACTATGTTGAATAGGAGTGGTGAGAGAGGGCATCCCTGTCTTGTGCCAGTTTTCAAAGGGAATGCTTCCAGTTTTTGCCCATTGAGTATGATATTGGCTGTGGGTTTGTCATAGATAGCTCTTATTATTTTGAGATACGTCCCATCAATACCTAATTTATTGAGAGTTTTTAGCATGAAGGGTTGTTGAATTTTGTCAAAGGCCTTTTCTGCATCTATTGAGATAATCATGTGGTTTTTGTCTTTGGCTCTGAAAAACAAGATCTTGACAATACTTTGTAATGAGGTGGAGAGTAACCATAAAAATCTTTTGTACCTCATGAAATTCCCCCAGTTCCGCTATGACAAAGTACTTAAAAGATGTCACGCTTACTGATAAGATACCCATTTTCCTTTTACAAAAAGTCATGTGATCCAGATTTGTTGAGCTTTTCTTTAATGCTATGTGGCTATCAGTAGAATACACTGTTGCATATAATTTTTAAAATAAAGAAAGAAAGGAAAATCTGTCTCTTCAAATTAAAAGTGATGCTCCACTTATCTTTTGTATCTTTTGTTTCTGTTTTCGTTTTCTAATAGCCATCATAACAGGTATTAGATGTTATTGTGATTTCAACTTGCATTTCCCTGATGTTTAGTGACATTACACACTTTGTCATATACCTGTTGGCCATTTGTATGTGTTCTTTGGAGAAATGTCTATTCAAATCCTTTGTACATTTTTAATAAGATTTTTTTCATCGAGTCATAGTAGTTCCTTATATATTTCAATGTTAACTCTTTTATCACATATATGATTTGCAAGTATTTTCTTTCATTTTGTAGGTTGCCTTTTCATTTTGTTGATTGCTTAATTTCCTCTGCAGAGCTTTTGGTTTGATGTAGTCCCATTTGTAGATTTTTACTTTTGTTGTTTGTGCTTTTGGTATCACATTTTTAAAAAATTGGCTAGACCAATATCATGAAGCTTTTTCCCTTTTTTTAAAGGAATTTTACAGATTTAAAAAATAGCAAATGTTGGAGAAGATGTGGAGAAATTGGAACCTTTGAGCATTCTTGATGGGAATGCAAAATGGTGCAACCACTATGGAAAACAGTATGGCCATTCCTAAAAAATATTAACAATGGAACTACTGTATGATCCAGCAATCCCATTTCTGGATATATAAGAATTAAACTCAAGATCTCAAAGAGATACCAACACTTCCATGTTTACTGCAGTAGTATTTAAATAGGCAAGATATGGAAACAACCTAAATGTCCACCAGCAGATGAAAAGATAAAGAAAATGTGGCATATACATACCACATTCAATTCTTTGAATGAGGAAAACCCTGTTACATACAGTAACAAAGAGGAAACTTGGGGACATTATGCTGAGTTAAATTAGCCAGTCACAAAAGAAGACATATTGCATGATCACACTTATGTGTTCAAGTATAAAGTTTCAGTTAGGCAAGATGAATAAATTCTAGATATTTGCTGTACACATTGCACATATAATTAACAATACTGCACTGTGCACTTAAAAATTTGTTAAGAAGATTTCACGTTGTGTTCTTATCACAATTTTTAAAAAGTTATGCTTCAATGTTAAGTGAGGAATTGGCTGATTTTTCTAAAATTTTAGAAAAAATGATTCTGAAAATGTGTATTGAGAAATATTTTCATGATTAAAAGCTTGTGTTGCTATAAATCATGTGTACCACCTCTAAAACCTTTCATATCTGCACACTTAAGAACATGGAAACAGAATTACTTAACCCAGCTAAATATCCTCCAAATGAAGTATTTCAATATGTTTTGAATCCGATTTTGATGACTTTTAAAAGACTAATTGCCTTAGGGAAGATGGATATTACAAACAGAATTTCAACAAAACTCTAGCATGATTGGTGTATGAGAGTTAAGAATAAACATTTTATAGAGCAATAACAATGAATAATATACTTCTTTATTTGGATCTGTTTATTGATATCTGTTATATTTTTCACATATAACATTATACCACTAAAACTAAGTATTGAATTGAATTGTGCTTGGAACTAGAACTTTAATTCTCAATATCACATTGTTTTAAAAATAATACAACTATTAAACCACAAAAATATTATTTATCATTATTATTGGCAAAAAAATATTTTCATAATTTATAACCTATTTTAAATATGATTTATGACATCTGATGTGGTTTGACTCTGTGTCCCCATCCAAATCTCCTCTCGAATTATAATCCCCACATGTCAAGGGAGGGACCTAGTGGGAGGTGATTAGATCATGGTGGCAGATCCCCCCATGCTGTTCTCGTGATAATGAGTGAGTTCTCATGAGATCTGTTGGATTTATAAGGGGCTTTTCCCTTTGCTCAGCACTCATTCTGTCTCCTGCCACCTTGTGAAGAAGGTGTCTGCTTCCCTTTCTGCCATGATTGTAAGTTTCCTAAGGTCTTCCCAGCCATGTGGAACTGTAAGTCAATTAAACCTCTTTCCTTTATAAGTTACCCAGTCTTGGGTATTTCTTTATAGCAGTGTAAGAACAGACTAATACAGTAAATTGGTACTGCACAGAGTGAGGTACTACCATAAAGATACTTGCAAACGTGGAAGCAACTTTGGAACTGGGTAACAGGCAGAGGCTGGAACAGTTTGGAAGGCTCAGAGGAAGATAGGAAGATGTGGGAAAGTTTGGGACTTCCTAGAGACTTAAATGGTTTTAATGAAATGCTGATAGTGATGTGAATGCCAGGATGAGATGGTCTCAGATAGAGATAAGGAACTTCTTGGGAACTGGAGCAAAGGTCACTCATGCTCTGTTTTAGCAAACAGACTGGAGACATTTTGCCCCTGCCCTAGAGATCTGTGGAAATTTGAACTTGAAAGAGATGATCTCAAATTGGAACTTATGTTTAAAAGAGGAAGGAGAGCAAAAAATTTGGAAAATTTGCAGCCTGACCATAAGATAGAAAAGAAAGACTCAGTTCCTGGGGAGAAATTCAAGCCTGCTGAAGAAATCTGCATAAGTAACGAGGAGCCAAATATTATGCCAAGACAATGGGAAAAATGTCTCTAGGGCATGTCAGAGATCTTCACAGCAGTCCCTCTCATCACAGGCCTGGAGGCCTACAAGGGAAAAATGGTTTCATGGGTTAGACCCAGGGGCCCCTGCTGCTCTGTGCAGCCTTGGGACATGGCACCCTGTGCCCCAGCCACTTCAGCTACAGGCATGGCTAGAAGGGGCCAAAGTACAGCTCAGGCCATTGCTTCAGAAGGTGCAAGCCCCAGTCGTTTGCAGCTTCCATTTGGTGTTGGGTCTGCAGGTGCTCAGAAGTCAAGAATTGAGGTTTGGAAACCTCTGCCTAGATTTCAGAGGATGTATGGAAATTCCTGGATATCCAGGCAGAAGTCTGCTGCAAGGGAAGAGCAGCTGTCATGGAGAACCTCTGCTATGGTAGTGTGGAAGGGAAATGTGGGGTTGAAGCCCCCACACAGCACTCCCACTGGGGCATTGCCTAGCAGAGCTGTGAAAAAAAAGACACTATCCTCCACACCCCAGAATGGTAGCTCTACTGACAGCTTGCACCATGCACCTGGAAAAGCCACAGACACTCAATCCCATCCTGTGAAGCAGCTGCCCCAGGTCATGGGAGCCCACCCCTTGCATCAGTGTGTCTTGGATGTGAGACTTGTAGGCAAAGGAGATTATTTTGGAGCTTAAGATTTAATGACTGCCCTGTTGGATTTCAGACTTGCCTGAGTCCCATAGCCCCTTTGTTTTGGCCAATTTATCCCATTTGGAATGGGAGCATTTATCCAATGCCTGTAACCCTATTGTATCTTG
Source organism: Homo sapiens (assembly GCF_000001405.40). NCBI lineage: Eukaryota > Metazoa > Chordata > Mammalia > Primates > Hominidae > Homo > Homo sapiens. Next base: position 102,211,869 of record NC_000003.12, on the reverse strand, counting down.
GAAGGAACTAACTTGCTTTTGATTTTACAGACACCTAGGCAGAAGGGACTTGCCTTCTCAGTTAAGATTTTGGACTTGGACTTTTTGGTTAATGCTGGAATGAGTTAAGACCTTGCGGGACTGTTGGGAAGGCATGACTGTGTTTTGAAATGTAAGAAATACATGAGATTTGGGAAGGGCCGGGACAGAATGATATGGTTTGGTTCTGTGTCCCCACCCAAATCTCATCTCTAATTGTAATCCCCATGTGTCAAGGGAGGGACCTAGTGGGAGGTCGTCGGATCATGGGGGCAGTTTCCCCTATATATTTCTAGTGATAGTGAGGGACTTCTCATGAAATTTGATGGTTTTATAAGTGACAGTTTCTGCTCTTTCTCTCTCCTGCCACCTTGTGAAGAAGGTGCTTGCTTCCCTTTCCACCATGATTGTAAGTTTCCTGAGGCCTTCCCAGCCATGTAGAACTGTGAGTCAATTAAACCTCTCTCCTTTATAAATTACCTAGTCTTGGGTATTTCTTTATAGCAGTGTGATAATGAACCAATATAACATTTCACCCTTTTTTACTCCAACTTTTATATGTGTTTTGTAATTTATATAACATATCAGTATAGTAGTACAACTATAAAATAAGTATACATTTTTAGGATAATTGGCTAATTTTTTCATCTAATAGGATGCCTCCAGGATTCAAGTTGGAGGATGGACACTTAATTCAACCTTAAATAGCTCAGGACCACCTTCCTTCTGTTTATAAAAATGAAATCAGATACAACGAATTTAAAGGGTAGCCTTAAAAGGACAAGGAAGAATAGGGTATGTCATGAAAGTTCAGCACAATGTTTAAGGTATTTATTACCAGGTAGCCAGAATATAGGCCTTAGTAAACACTGAGTGAGGTAAGATGAGGAAATTGCTCCTGAGGGTAGAATAAAGAATTGTTAACAGACAAATCCTCTCCACTGTTCCAACAATGTAAGCCATGCATAGTCTCAAACTTTTCTTACGCACATGGACAAGAACCAGAAAAAGCACTTATTGAACAAGGATATTATAATTGTTAAGAATGTGTTATAATTAGATCACATCAGAAAATCTGCTAGATGACAATTTTCTTATGCAGTCTCCTGGTAATGGAATTTTCCCTGTGTCTATGAAAAAGTGGTTTGTTAAGCAAATAAATAATACAACGAAGAAACTTCTTGAGAGAGAAGACTTTAGAGGAAGTACACTATTGAAAGAATATGTCAGTTAGGAATTATTTCAATGTACTTATTAAAATACAGGATTCTCTAGCACAATGGCTTTCTAACTTTTTGATGAGGACTCACAGTAAGAAATGCATTTTACAGCCTATCCCAAACACATGAATATGTAATTGAAAAGGGTTTCATAGAAAAAATGTTGCCCTTATTTCATAGAACATGATATATTTTATTCAAGTTCTTTTTTAAATCTTTTCATAACTTTTTTAATGATTTTTCTTCCCACCAATGAGTCCACATCTGCAACTTGAAGGACATTGCTCTAGAACCTATAGTTTGGCTCAGTATCTCCTGACCACAGCATTATTCTACATATCTGCAAGTAACAACAATACATTTTTAACTGTGTATTACTCCACATGATTTTTGATCCAGACAGATCATTTCTCCAAATAAGAGTGAGCTTACAAACTTTACAAAATTTCACTGTTCCTGAAAGGTTTTGATGGAGTCAAGGGTTTGGCCCTCAAGGGCAGAGGGTATATACACAGGCAAGTGGGCCAGGAAGGTGACACAATGGGCAAAGCCTCCTGATTCTGAGTGAGAAACACAGCAGCATGAAATGATGATAAAAAGCAGCTGATTAACAAACATGTAGAGCACTTGCCATGTACCAGGCACTGTTCTAAGCACTTTGCATGTATCCTTGTTTATTTCTCTAACAACTCAATGAGATAAGGACTATTATCAATCTTATTTTACAGATAAAGAACACAAGGGATGGTTTGGTCAGTTAATTCTTTCACAGTAACCTGTTAGTAAATTTGGGATTTGAACTAGGACTCCTGGCTCTAGGAATCATACTCTTAACCACTCTACTGTCTATCTTGAGACCTCATATGAAGTCCCTCATTTTTAAATATTAACAAATTTTTTTTTTACTTATATGCAGGTCAACCAAAACTTGCCCATGAGCTAAATATGGCCTCTGAGCTAGCAATCTGCAAGCTCTGCCTTAGAGTAACAGAAAAGAAAGGAGAACCCAACAGAGAGAAGCACCAGAGCAGAAGGCAGAGGATGAGGCTCATTCCTGCCTCTGCCTTACAGTGGACTTTGGGTAAATCATGTTACTTCTCTGAGCTTCAAAACCCCTACCCCCAAATTACAGTCTTGAGGCAGATGATCTCTAAAACATGCCACCTCCAACATTCTATGATGTTGCAGGAAGTCAGGGACCCCAAACAGAGGGACCAGCTGAAGCCATGGCAGAAGAATGTGGATTGTGAAGATTTCATGGACATTTATTAGTTCCCCAAATTAATACTTTAATAATTTCTTATGCCTGTCTTTACTGCAATCTCTAAACACAAATTATAAAGATTTCATGGACACTTATCACTTCCCCAATCAATACCCTTGTGATTTCCTGTGCCTGTCTTTACTTTAATCTCTTAATCCTGTCAGCTGAGTAAGATGTATGTCGCCTCAGGACCCTGTAATAATTGCATTAACTGCACAAATTGTACAGCATGTGTGTTTGAGCAATATGAAATCTGGGCACCTTTAAAAAGGAACAGGATAACAGCAATTGTTCAGGGAATAAGAGAGATAACCCTAAACTCTGACCGCCAGTAAGCCGGGCGGAACAGAGCCATATTTCTCTTCTTTCAAAAGCAAATGGGAGAAATATCGCTGAATTCTTTTTCTCAGCAAGTAACATCCCTGGGAAAGAGAATACGTGCCTGGGGGTGGGTCTCTAAACAGCCCCCCCTGGGCGTGGCCGTCTTTTATGGTTGAGGCTGTAGGGGTGAAATAGACCCCAGTCTCCCATAGTGCTCCCAGGCTTACTAGGAAGAGGAAATTCCCACCTAATAATTTTGGTCAGACCGGTTGCTCTCAAAACTCTGTCTCCTGATAAGATGTTATCAATGACAATGGTGCCCGAAACTTCATTAGCAATTTTAATTTCACCCCAGTCCTGTGTTCCTGTGATCTTGCCCTGCCTCCACTTGCCTTGTGATATTCTATTACCTTGTAAAGTACTTGATGTCTGTGACCACACCTATTCACCCACTCCCTCTCCTTTTGAAAATCCCTAATAAAAACTTGCTGGTTTTTGCAGCTTGTGGGGCATCGTGGAACCTACCGACATGTGATGTCTCCCCCTGATGCCCAGCTTTAAAATAAATCTCTTTTGTACTCTGTCCCTTTATTTCTCAAGCCGGCCAACACTTAGGGAAAATAGGAAAGAACCTACCTGAATATCGGGGCAGGTTCCCCGACACTATGAGCCTAACAAGCTCAGGAGACATAGCAGATTAAATCAAGAGAGAATATTAAAAATAGAGAAAGGATGTCTAAACAAGAAAGAGCCAAGGAGGTAGGACAGGTGAGAAGAGAAAGAGTGGGGGAAACAGAGTGAAGAATGAGGAGATCCACAATGAAGAAAGCTCATGGATGATAAGACCAGATCAGTCTGTTCTTCTGGGATGCTATTAAATAAAGTAAAATATAAATAAGATTATAGTTAAAAATTATTTGCATATTTTTCTTCTTCAACTTAAAGTTAAGGACAGGACACAGTGGTTCATGTCTGCAATCCCAGCACTTTGGGAGGTTGAGGCAGGAGAATTGCTTGAGGCCAGGAGTTTGAGACAAGCCTGGGAAATACAGTGAGATCCCATCTCTACAAAAAAATTCAAACATTAGCTAGGTGTGGTGATGCACGCCTTTAGTTATAGTTACTCAGTAGGCTGAGACAGGAGGATTGCATGAGCCCAAAGGTTCAGGCTGCAGTGAGCTATGATCATGCCACTGCACTCCAGCCTGAGCAACAGAGCAATACCTCTAAAAAATAAGAAATAAGTAATAAAATATAAGGTTAAAGAATTAAGACAACAAAGTCAAACAGATGACTAAAGATATGGTATAAACATAGAGCAGGCAATGTCAAATACAACTTTTGCTGGTAAACTGAAGAAATCAGCAATAGGGTATCAGAATTTGGGGATGAAGTTTACAGGGAATGAAAGAAAAATCCGCAAAAACATCCTGGCCAATCTAAGAAAAAAAATCTATGCCCTTCTGGCTTAGAATCAGGATCTGAAGATCCTTCACATGGGCAAAAATGTCTCCTGTCACTGAGCCATCACTCTGAATTGCGCAGTTTTTCCTCAGAAATTGTTTTGGCAAGATGGAAAAGAAATTGTGGGCTAAAAACCAGCCATGGAATGCTCAGAACTGAATTTATTCTGAGAATTTATTGCTTTTTGAAATGCATTTGTCTGGAAACATTTTGAAGCAAGCTGCCTGGAAACTGGGAGTTAAGCAGATGCTCCCCACCCACCCCGACATCCCTAATTGCCCAGGAAAGCCTATCCACCTCCTTCTGGGAATGAAGCAAACTTAAACATGTCTGAAATACACTAAAAGCCAAGACTTCACCACAGTGCGATATATGCATGTAACAAAATTGCACTTGTGGGAGAGGGGTGGAAAGCTCCAATGATCCTATGTCCTGTAAGGACACCAAGTTAACAACTATGTACACACACACACACACACACACACACACACACAAATCACCTTTATAAGAACCAAAAATCAGGTGAGCCCTCACAGCACCTAGTTTTAACTTCATATCCCTGAAAGAGACACTGAAGAGGGTAGGAAAGACTCCTGAGTCACAGATGCCACCCCTCCCCCATCTGCTAGCAACATCTGCATGGTGTGAAGAAAGAATCTGTGCATTTGGAAGAGTTTAAGCACAACAATCGTGAGACTTTGCATTGAACTCAATCGTGCCCTGTCACAGCAGAAAGCAAAACCAGGCTGAACTCAGCTGATGCCCACTCATGGAAGGAACATTTAAACCAGCCCTAGCCAGAAGGGAATTACCCATCCCAGCAATTAGAACTTGACTTCTGGCAAGCCTCACTACTTCGGGCTAAAGTACTCTGGGGCTCTAAATAAACTTGAAAGGCAGTCTAGGACACAAGTACTACAACTCCTAGGCAAGTTCTAGTGCTAAACTGGGCTCAGAGCCAGTGAATTTGGCGAGCACATGACCTAGTGAGACATCAGCTGGGCTGGCTAAAGTAGTGCTTGTGTGACTCCTTCCCCAACCCCAGGCTGCACAGTTCATGGCTCCAAAAAACACCCCTTCCTTTCACTTCAGGAGAGGGGAGAGAGTAAAGAGAACTTTGTCTTGCACCTTGGATACCAGCTCAGTCACAACAGGATAAAGAACCAGTCAGAGTCATGAGGCCTCCTTTCCAGACCCTAGTTCTCAGATGGCATTTCTAGACATACCCAGGGCCATAAAGGAACCAGCAGCATTAAACAAAAAGACCAAGTCCCAGCACAATCCATCACCTGCTAACTGAAGAGCCCCTGGGCCCTGAATAACCAGAAGTAATACCCAGATAGTACCTGATGGGCCTTGGGTAAGACTCTGAGACTCGCTGGCTTTAGGTGAGACTCCGCACATTCCCAGTTGTGGTGGTTACAGGAAGAGACTCCTGCTTGAGAAAAGCAGACAGAAAAGTAAAGGTTACTTTGTCTCATACCTTAAGTGCCAGCTTGGCCACAGGGGGTAGAGCACCAAATGGGCTCTTGGGGTCCACAATTCTAGGCTGTGGCTCTTGGATGGCATTTCTGGACCTGCTCTGGGCCACAGAGAAGGCCAATCCCTTGAAGGGTGAGTCCCAGGGAAAGCAGCATTCAGCACAAGCTGACTAAAGAGCCTTTGGGCCTCAAGGGAACATCAGCAGTAGCCTGGCAATACTCCTCATGGGTCTGTGGCGGCAGTGGCCATGGGGTGAGGATTCTCTGTTTGTAGAAAGAGGAAGGAGGAGTGGGAAGGACTGCATCTTGTGGTTTGAGTACCAGCTCTGCTACAGTACACTAGAACACCAAGTAGACTTCCATGGTTTTTAACTCCAGTCCCTGGCTCCCAGATGGCACCTCTGGACCTGACAAGGGGCATAGGGGAACTCTCTGCCCTGAAGGAAAGTACACAAGGCTGGATGGCTTCATCACCTGCTGATTATAGAGCCCTAGGACATTGAGCGAACATAGGCAGTAGCCAGGTAGTGGTTACAGTGGGCCTTGGGTGAGACCCAGTGCTGTGCTGGCTTCAGGTCTGATCCACTGCAATCCCAGTGGTGGAGGTCACAGGGATGCTTGTATCACCTCACCACCACCCACTCAAAGCAGCTCAGAACAGAGAGAGAGAGAGACTCTGTTCGTTTGGGAGAAAGTAAAAGAGAAAAACAGTCTCTGCCTGGTAATCCAGAGATCTCTTCCAGATCTTATCCAAGACTATCAAGGCAGCACATCTATGAGTCTGCAAAAATCACAGTGTTAGTGGGCACAGGCCCCCAATGCATATATGGCTGAAACCACAACACCCAAGTCCTTTCAAATACCTGCAAAGCCTTCCCAAGGAGGATGATTACAAACAAGTCCAGACTGCAAAGACTGTAATACATACATAATTTTTCAATGCCTAGTCACAGATGAATATCCACAAGCAACAAGACCATCCAGGAAAACATGGCCTCACCAAATGAGCTAAATAAGTCACCAGGCACCAACCCTGGAGAAACAAAAATATGTTACCCTTCAGGCAAAGAACTCAAAATAAGTTCTGAGGAAATTCAAGATCATACAGAGAAGAAATTTAGAATTCTATCAAATAAATTTAACAAAGAGATTGAAATAATTAAAAAGAATCAAGCAGAAATTTTGGAGTTGAAAAATGCAATTGACATACTGAAGAATGCATCAGAGTGTTTCAATGGCAGAATTGATCAAACAGAAAAAAGAATTAGTGAGCCTGAAGGCAGGCTATTTGAAAATACACAGAGTAGACAAAAGAAAAAAGAATTAAAAAAAAATAAAGCATGCCTACAGGGTCTAGAAAATAGCCTCAAAGGGACAAATCTAAGAGTTATTAAGAGGAGGTAGAGAAAGAGATAAGGGTAGAAAGTTTATCCAAAGGGATAATAACAGAGAGCTTCTCAAACATAGAGAAAGATATCAATCAAAGGAAAGTTATTAAGCACCAAGCAGATTTAACCCAAAGAAGACTACCTCAAGGCATTTAATAAACTCCCAAAGATCAAGGATAAAGAAGGGATCCTAAAAGCAGCAAGAGAAAAGATACAAATAACATACAATAGAGCTCCAGCACATCTGGCAGCAGACTTTTCAGTGGAAACCTTACAGGCCAGGAGAGAGTGGCATGATATATTTAAGATGTTGAAGGAAGATACTCTTACCCTAAAATAGTGTATCTGGCAAAAATATCCTTCAAAGATGAAGGAGAAATAAAGAATTTCCTACGCACAAAAAAAAGCTGAGAGATTACATCACTCAGACCTGTCTTGCAAGAAATGCAATCAGAAGGAAAAAGGTGTTAATAAGCAATAAGAAATTATTTGGAGATACAAATCTCACTGGTAATAGTATGCACACAGAAAAACAGAATATTACAAAATTGTAATTGGTGAGTAAACCCTTCATCTTAAATAGAAGGACTAAACAATGAACCAAGGAAAAATAGTAACTAAAACAACTTTTCAAGACATAGTACAATGCTACAATAAGATGCAAATGGAAACAACAAAAGGTTAAAAAGTACAGGGGTGAAGTTAAGGTGTAGAGTTTTTATTAACTTTCTTTGTGCTTCTTTATTAATTTGTTTATGCAAACAGTGTTAAGTTGTCACCAGCTTAAAATAATGAGTAACAAGATAGTGTCTGCAAGCCTCATGGTAATGTCAAATCAAAATATACAATGGATATTCAAAAAATAGAAAACAAGAAATTAAATAATACCAGCAGAGAAAATCTTCACTAAAAGGAACAGAGGAAAAAAAGGAAAGAAGGAAAAGAAGACCAGAAAACAAATAACAAAATGGAAGATGTAAGCACTTATTAATAATGACATTGAATTTCAATGGGCTAAGCTCTTCAGTCAAAAGACATAGAATGGTTGAATGGAATAAAAAACAAGATCCAATGATTTGTTACCTACAAGAAACACATTTTACCCATAAAGACACACACAGACTGAAAATAAAGGGATAGAAAAAATTTCAAGCCAATGGAAACAAAAAAGAGCAAGAGTAGCTATACTTAAACCACATAAAATAGATTTCAAGACAAAAGCTGTAAAAAAAAGATGAAGATGGTCATTACATAATGATAAAGGGGTCAATTCAGCAAGAGGATTCAACTGTAAATATATATGCATCCAACACTGAAGCACTCCGATATATAAAGTAAATATTATTAGAAAGAAAGAGAGAGACAGATCCCAATACAGTAAGAGCTGGAGACTTCGACACTACTTGCAGCATTGGACAGATCTCCCAATGGAAAATCAACATAGAAACATTGAACTTAATCTACACTGTAAACCAAATGGATCTAATAGATATTTACAGAACATTTCAGCCATAGGCTGCAGAATACACATTCTTCTCCTCAGCACATAGATTATTCTCAAGCATAGACCATATATTAGGTCACAAAACAAGTCTTAAAACATTCAAAAAATTAAAGTAATATCAAGTATCTTCTTAGACCACAATGAAGTTAAACTAGAAATTAATAATAAGGAAATTGGAATACTATACAAACACATGGAAATTAAACAATATGCTTCTGAATAACCAGTGGATCAATGAAAAAATTAAAAAGGAAATTTTAAAATTTCTGAAAACCAATGAAAATGGAAACATAACACACCAAAACCTATGGGTTACAGTGAAAGCAGTAATAAGTGGAAGGCTTATAGCTATAAGTGACTATATCAAAAAAAGGAAAAATTCAAAGAAATAACTTAACAATGGATCTTAAAGAACTGGAAAAATAAGAGCAAACCAAACCCAAAATTAGTAGAAGAAATGATAGAGATCAGAAAAAAAAATTAACTTGGCTTGAAGAAAACAATACAAAAAATCAATGAAAATAAAAGTTGGTTTTTTGAAGAAATAAATGATTTTGAAAAACCTTTAGCTAGACTAAGAAAAAAGAAAGACAACCCAAATAAATAAAATCAGAGATTAAAACTGAGACATTACAACTGATACTGTACAAATTCAAAAGATCATTAGTGGCTACTGCGGACAACTATATGCAGAAAACCTTGAAGAAATGAATAAATTCTTAGACATACACAACCTACCAAAATTGAACCATGGCAATCTCCAAAACCTGAACAGACCAGTAGCAAGTAATGAGATAAAAGTCATAAAAAAAATCCCCCAGTAAAGAAAAGCCCAGGATCTGATGGCTTCCCTGCTGAATTCTACCAAACATTTAAAGAAGAATTAATACCAGTCCCCCTCCAAATATTCAAAAAAATACAGGAAGAGGGCATACTTCCAAACCCATTCTACAAGGCCAATATTACTCTGATACCAAAACCAGAAAAAGACACATTTAAAAAAGAAAACTATAGGCTATTGTCACTGATGAACATTAATGCAAAAATCCTCAATGAAATACTAGCAAATCAACTTCAACAAAACATTAAAAAGATCATCCATCATGACCAAGTGGGATTTATCCCAAGGATGCAAGGATGATTTAACATACACAAATCAATCAATGCGATACATCATATCAATGAAATGAAGGACAAAACCATGTGATCATATCAATTAATACTGAAAAATCATTTGATGAAATTCAACATACCTTTATGAAACAAAAACTCAAAAACTAGACATATAGAAGCAATATACCTCGATATAATAAAGGCCATATGCAACAGATCCATAGCTAGTATCATATTGAATCAGGAAAAACTGAAAGCCTTTCTTCTAAGATCTGGAACACGACATCCTTACTCCCTCCACTTCTGAACAATTATTTCGTCAATGTAGATCTGAAAGAAAGACAAACTTGGAAACTAAAATGAATAGTCTGCCACTTCAATCCCAGCCCCAACAGTTTTTACTAATTTGTTGTTGCTATTTTATTAAGAATATCTAATATGTATCAAGCTCTCATTTTGTACCCAGCACTTTACTAAATGCTTTACACTACTGTTTCACCTAGTCCATATGAAGAGCCTATGAAGTACATATAATTAATATTTCTACTTTATAGATAAGAAAGCCATGTCTGCAGAGGTCAAGTAACTTGTTCAGAATCTCACAGACCCCAGAAAACCTGACTCCTGAGTGAGTGTGCTCAGGCACAATGCTATATTGCCACTCAATACTTGGTGGTGTTTTTGTTTCTAAAATTAACCAACTGTAATAGGTAATCAATAGTCATTCAGTAATTATTTATTGAATGTCTACCACATTCCAAGCACTATTGTTTTTCCTGGAGACACAAAAGTCCACCCTCATGGAACTTATATACCATTTGGACAAGGCAGACAATAAATATGACATAAGTAAAATACATCAAGAGGTGATGAGTTCAATTGGGAAAATAAGAACCAGGTAAATAAATGACAAGAGTGCTGAGGACACTGCACTCAAAATAGTATGGTCCAATTGAGCCTCTTTGTGAAGGTGAGATTTGAGCAAGGACTTAAAGAAGGTGAGAGATTCATTTGGAAGAGAATTCCAAGCAGAGGGAAGAAGTAGTGCAAAGGCCAAAAAGTAGAAATGCACTTGATTTTTCAGAGGAATCAGTTAGGAGGCCAGAAAAGCTGGAGCAAGGACTAAAGTCAGTGATGTACCAAGGTGGAGCAGGCCAAGGTCATGGAGGGTGTTTAGGCCATTGTAAAGACTTTTTGTGGTGACTCAGAACCTCCCCAGCTGTGGCACTTCTCAGCTTCTCAGTAAAACTCTGATTTTACTCTGGAGGAAATGGGAAATTATTAGAGAGTTTTGAGCAGAGAGTGGTATGGCAAACCTGCATTTTAAAAGAATCTCTTAAAATACTGTGGGCAAGTAAGAGCTGAAGCAGGGAGATTAATTAGAGGATGTTGCAATAATTCAGATTAGGGATGATTGATGATAGGAGGACTGGATGGTAGAAATGAAGGTGGCAAAAGTTTGTTGGGTTCTAGATGTATTTTAAGGATAGAGCCACAAGGATTTTCTGATAGATAGGATATTGAGTGTGAGAGAAAGAGAAGTGTCTAGAAAATCTCCAATGTTTCTGACCCAAACAGCTGGACAAATGGAAATGCCATTAACTAAGAAGTCAAGGACTGTAGTGAAGCCAGTTTTGTTTGTGGTCCATTTGCATAGGTGTGGGAGAAGATGAGGGTTTTGGCTTGGGACATGCCAAGTTTGATATCTATGAGGTATTCAACTAGACATAACAAGTAGGCAGATGGATATATAAGTCTGGAATTCAAGGAAGTTCAAGGCTGGAGATGTGATTTGTCAGTAGCTAGATAAATAATCCATGGGTCTGAATGAGATCACCAAGTGAGTGAATGCAGAGAGCTCTGGAGCACTCCATTGTCACTAAAAAAAAAAAATCCAGGAAGCATATGAGAAACCAGCAGGAGACTGAAGTAAGTAATGAGAAAGAAGGTAAACCAAAAGAGTACAGTATCCTAGATGTTAATAAATAAGAAAGAAATAGGAAAGAGTGATAAACCGTATCAAGTACTATGGATAGGTCATTAAAATTGCCATTGAATTTAGGCATGTAGAGGCTGTTGCTAACCTCAACAAGAGCAGTTTTGGTAGAGTAAGTAAAAACAAGATTGAGTTGTATTTAAAAGATTGGGAGGAGAGAAACTGTAAGTATAGAAATACTACAAAAAAAATGCATTTCAGGAGTTTAGGTGAAAAGGAGGATAAAATGTGCTAGTAGGGAGAGGAAAAAGTAGGAACAAGAAAGTATTTTTTAGGATGGGTGACAAAATAACATGCTTTTTGCTGACAGGAATGACATAGCAGAGAGGGGGGATTAGTGATATAGAAAAGAGAGGAGATGTACACAAGAGAAAAAAATTACTGGAAATATTTCCTTGAGTATCAAAGTTGGGATGGAATCTGGTGCCCAAGTGGAGAGGTTGTCCTGTAGATAATAAAATGGATATGACATCTATGGTAACAAGTGAAAAGACACGATATAAGGAAACATGTCCTGATAGCTGAATAAATAAGGTGTGGGAACTTTGTGGTTTCGATTTTCTTATTGATTTAAAAAACAAAATCTTCAGTGAAGAGGGAGTATTAGGAGACAGCATTCAAGTGTTCCAAACTAGTTCTGATCCTCCAAGAAGCAGGTATCAAGATGCAAATAGATATAAAAGAGATTCATTGGGGAAACATCCATGAATAATAACGGGAGAGAAAGCAAGAGACATGGAAAGAGTCTTCAAACTTCAATCCAAATCTTCCAGCTTTGAAAGAAGAGAGGAAGGAGAAAGAGACTTAGACTGAAGTACAATTCTGAGAATGTCTCACCAGGCCAATAAAGTGTCCCAAAGCAAAGAATCCCATTAAAGCAGTCTCATGTTTGATAGGAGTGGCCTGGTTCTAGTACTCCCACCAGTCACTGGCTGGGAGAAGTCCAGGGGACGAATGGTCTTACTATGAATGCCACAGTGAACCCGATTGTGCAGCAGCTAGAGGCTGTCCATCACCTGTGCCCCACAGATACTCTCAGCAGGAGATCTGAGTGACACACCTCCATGATTGTCATGAGGTTGGAGGAGAAGGCGTAAAATAATCATCTGGAATAGAGGGCGAGTGAATGACTAAGAAAATGTAGTCTGTTTCTCAGTCAGCACTAACGGCCTCTTGATAGACAGGTTTCTGACCCAGTGGCTGTGTTTTTGCCCAGGTGTATGAAATTGCTCAGATTCAGGGGCAGAGTAGATGGAAAATGGGTTTTAATCAGGATTGAGGTTCTGTCAAGTTATAATAAAGCAAGAGAGGGGCTTGAGGTATTTGAGGCTGTATGCATGGGAGTGAGAAATAATTGACATGGAATTTAATCTGGATAAAGAAAGAAATAAATACATAAGGAATAATAAATAGTGAAAAAGTAGAAGAACCAACACACTGAAATCCATTCTGGGATTAAGGGATAGATGGAGTTCAGGTACTAAAGAGAGTGAGCTAGAAATGTAGGGCAGGGCACTAGACAAAGAGATCAGAGAGTAGCATATATAAAATTGAGATTATGAAGGGGTTGCAGTCATTGGGAATAATAAGGCCTAGGATATTACCAGGGAAATGAGTGGTTGAGGTAGAATACAGAGCAATATCATCATTGTAGGGGAGTTCCAGAAATGGAAAAGGCAGTGTTGAAGGAATCATTTGTGCTGTGATTTTTGTTGAAATCACCAAGAATTGAGACAGGAATAGTACTGAAGAGTGTAACAAAGAGCCAGTAGCTAAATTCATCCAGAAACAAATAATCCAAGGACCAGAGATGAAGGACAGTAGAAGGTATAGTATGATGAAGTGAGACTCAAAGTTCGAAGAGCTTAGGGTAGAATGGAAGAAGAACAGTCTGAAAATGGTAGTAAGAAACAAGGAGGGACACCTAACCCATATCTAGACTCAGTGGAAGTAGAGTTTCAAGAGGAAAAAAAAATGTCACCAAAGGAAAGGGCTACAGGCGAAGTAGGATCCTCAAAAAAGATCTTGGTTTTGGTCAGAGCAGGAAGGTGAACAAAACTGTGTCAGGGTCCAATCAGGAGAAAAGAACCCACATCAGATAGTTTATTTTACTCAAGGAGTTGGTTATGTTAATAAAAGTTACTGGAAGAGCTGAGAAGCCCAATGAGGTACAGTAAAGAAACTCAGAGATTAACAAGAGTAGAAGGCCACTGTCAGTGATTTTTCTGGAAAGCCCAGAGAAGGAGGAGATGGTTCCATGCCCAGGAGCTCAGCCACCTGGCAGGACCTGGAACCAGGTGGAAGCTGGGACCAAAGAGGAAGTTCATCCAGAAGGAACCAGAACAAAAGAGAAGACACTGCGAGAGGCTGATGTGGAGAGGATGGGGAGGAATACCCTGTTTCTCCTTTACCACCACTCGTTAATGTCCCACCAGTGCTTTCTGTTTTCTGAGCCTAGATGGCAGCCAGGTGACAACAGAGCTTTTGCCAAGCTCTGTCACCTGTAATAGAGAGCAGAGGAGAGGAAAAGTGGGAAACAGGCCTGAAAACAAGCAGGCAAATGATCAGCACAGGAATCCAAACAGCTGATGCTACAAAGGTTTGGCTATGATGTTCCATGAGTTCCTGAGGGTCCAATGGAAATATTTCAGGAGCTGGGGAGGGATTGGACATGGTACAAAATCGAGCATGTGCAGAATTACATGAAAAGTGCGGAAGATAAAGGGAGACCAGAAGAAGTCTGGGGCTTCTTACAGCAACTGAAACAAACAGGAGTTAAGAAAATAATGAGGCTGGTCCTAGTGAGCTGCAAACAGATGGTATCAGGGAGGGCTGGGGACATGTGGTTTACTATTTTTTGGCATTAATGTTAGAAAAGGCCTGCGCACATATGTAAGTCAAGAAAGAAGTGGCTATGGAAAGTAACAGAGATGGATAACAGCAGAAAAAAAAAGAAGAGAAGAGATTAAAAGAAGAAAAAACAGTTAATCAAGTGTAGGAAGCATCTTAGTCTACAAATTCTGATATGTGAGAAATACAGCTTTATTTGTTTCAGAAACCAATCTCTTTCTCGAGTCCCTATTCCACTGAGGTAGTAGAAATGTAACCTAATTCTCTCCAAGTTTTATTTTCATCTAAATTCTTCAATCTTACTTAGTACTAAGGTGTGTGTGGTTGACATGCCTGTGTGTGGCTAGTGTGTGTGTGCACATGTGTGTGATGGGAGTGGGCAATTGAAGGAACACTTGCATTTGAACCTCAGAGTCATCTCACACTGGCATCTACTGTCCCATCTCAGATCACACATCCTCCTCAGTGGCTGGTCCATCTGGGCACCTGAAAAAATGTCCTTGGTTTCCACCTGCACGGTCCCTTCAGGAACTCCTTCTCCACCATTCTTGGTTGCAAAGATGTCATTTGCTGCTCCCTCATGATAATACGGTGTGAGAAACTCTAGGAGCCGTCTAACATCCCATCTGGTTAGAGCCACATGGCAGAGCTGTTTTCCCTTCTCTCACCAGCTGCTCTGAAGAGAAATGAGGTATAGGCTGTCTCTCCTCTCAGATCCCCCAAGCTATCTAGAGCTATTGTCAAAGCCTCCAGCTTGGCACAGGACCTTTTCCAGGAACCCCCCCAAGCTTCCTTGCCTTTTCTCATTTATTTCTTATTCTGATAGCCCAAGGAATCCTTCCTGGTGGGGGAGGCCATGGGTGAAAAGTTTTCCTCCCTAGTTTCCAAGCCGCTTCTGTCTTGGTCTCACTCCTGTTCTAAGCCCTCATGAAGAAACAAAAGCCCCAACAAAGCTTTTTCCCTCTCCTGAGGCAATACATATGGGCTAGTTATTTATATGGAGGCAAGTAAGAGACAAAGAGGAGAAAGTGCCATGGGGAAAAAAAAAAAACCATAGGATAGTCTTTCAAAAATATTATACCTCCCAGAATCCGAGACAAGGTAGCAGCAGGCTGGCCTAAGCATCACACAAGAGCAGAGGAAGGCTAACAGTAAAGAAACATTTTGAGTTGGAGATTACAATTCATACTAAATGGTTATATTTTCTTAAACATTTCCCTTTCATAGGATGAGCTTCTCTGTCAGGAAAAAGGTGAGATACTTTCTGGGAGTAAAATGAGGTCGAATTGAAGAAGGTTTACTAAGGACAATCAGCTCTAATAGCCCTTTGAACCATTAACACGTGGGTTTCTCACAACAGGTAAGGTTGGCATCACAATTCCCTTTTACACATGACAGAATGAAAGCCTGGGCATTCATCCAAAGTCACATGAACCAGTGGCAGTGCTGTGAAGGTTTGAGGTGAGTGGAAACGTTTATTCCCATCAACTCCTGGCTTCCTTCTTCTCCCATGACTGAGCTTTAAAACGTAACTTGTCTTCAAGTGTATAAAACTCTCCAATCAGTGATTTAAGAAAAAAATTTTCTGTGTCATTGACAGGAGTTGTTACCTGCTTGAGAAAATGAAACCAGGACGTGACTCAGCATGGAAAAGTGGGAAGTGATTTTGTGGGAACATTATCTCCTACAGTAACCAATTTTGCTGGGGCTTTGATTTGCTAATGAGCAATACTTCCACAGAAACATACATATTTTCATCATATAACTCCTAAGAGCAGTGCACCTGCCTCCTGGGACAGGCTGGCACAGGCACATTCTTATGCTGGAATCTGTGTCCCAGGGGTCAAGTGGGATGGGTGGAGTACATTTCTGAAGCAGCCTGAAGCAGGAAGAGCAAGAGCTGTGTAATTGTTCAGTCTTTGGAGAGCACCAAAAAGCAGACTCCGGAAGCAGAGTTCAGCCATCAAGTATAGAGCAGAGAGGACACCAGAGGCAAGATCTGAAAGTCCAAAGCAGGTAGAAGCAGCACAGAAGTGAAAATAATAGTCTAGGGGAAGCTTAGCCCTCCAGACTTTACAAGAAGTCAGCAAGTGATATTAGAAAAGAAATAATTATGCTTTAAATACCATCCCCCATGTAAATATTTCTTTTTTTAACTTCATTGTTTAATAACAATGGGTTATAACAGGCAAATGATTTTTTCTGAGATGGGGTCTCACTCTGTTGCCCAGGGTAGAGGGCAGTGTTGCTATCATGGCTCATCACAGTGGGGCTCAAGCAATCCTCCCACATCTGCCTCCAGAGTAGGTGGGACTATAGGGGCGAACCACCACATCTGGCTAATTTTCATTTTCATTTTTATTGTAGAAGTGGAGTTTCACCATGTTGCTCAGGCTGGTCTCAAACTCCTGGGCCCAAGCAATCCTCCCACTTTAACCTCCCAAAGTGCTGGAATTACAGGCATGGGCCACTGCACCCAGCCAGACATGTGATTTTTAATTTGACTTTTTTCTTCATATATTATGAATATTTTACCTTTCCTTTATTTTTCAATCTACAGCAGTTTGATTTTTGCTATGACTGCTCCCTTGTCTGCCCTAATAAAAGAAACAAGTGGTACAATCATTGCTAAATCTAAGGCCACCTCCAGTCTTGTCTTACTTTTATCTTCCTTGGCCACTTCTTCCATAATCAAACATCCGTCCTTTGACTTTCTCAACATGCCTTTATCCTGGTTTTCATCTATTTCTAGCTGTTCCTTCTGATCTCCTCGTTAGTCACTCTCTTCTGATAACCCTTGAATATAGAAGCCAGACCCCTCTCCCTTTCTATTTTATTTTACCCACCACCTCTGCATTTTGATGCATATATTCAAATATTTAGCCCTATCCGTTCCTGACTTCTGGACCCTTATGCAACCTGGATTTCCCACTGACTCGTTAAACTCAACATGCCCAAAGCAGAATTTCTTATCTCTTCTTCCTTCTCAAATATGAGGATCGTCTTTCTTTCAGCTTGGAGGCAGCAATCGTCACAGTGCCCTCTTGCCTCTTCACCGTAGTAACATCAATAACCACAGAGTTGACATTTATGGAACTCAAATGCTATGTTAAGACTTTACAGACATTTTTTAATTTTCTCAAGAAATCTATGAGGTAAGTACTATCATCACCCTTACTTTACAACAAGGAAATTAAAGCTTAGGAAGGTGAAGAAACTTGCTCAGGGACACCCAGCAAATAAGTGACAGATCTAAATGTCAGACATAAAAATGTGTCTCCATAGCCCAGAGATCACACTCCTAGCCCCACACACTCTCATAAAAAGACTCACTAAGTCTGGAATTGTGAAAAATGAATGTTTACAAATGTGAGAAAATAAAATAAAATTCAAAATGTAAAAATTGATTAAGATGAAAACATATGTTGTTTATTCAAATGTAAGTGTCCACCTGGATCAACCTGGCTGGCTCAGCTTGGCAGTCAGTTCTGGTTTCTTCTTGCCACAATCTTGTCTATTTTGAATGCTAGACTACATTGAGCAGACCCTTTGTCCAAGGGAGACCTGGCTTCCAGATCCTGTAGGATCTTCAGCTTCTTCCAAATGCTGCTTATTAGAATTAACCTCACATCTTTGAGCTAGTAGACTCCCCTTTTGGTCTGAATTGACCCTCTGAGCCCAGCCACATTCCCTGCAATAAGAAAAGCACTTCCCTAACTTAAAACCAAGCTTCAGACCTCTCTGAAACTACTTGCTCCTCTTCCTCTCTCTAAATGACTCAACTGGAAGTTCTGACATTTCCATAACACATTCTTCTATGTGTGATTTGGTACTGAATGATATGTTACACTAAGTGATTCCCAAGGCTGGTGCGACCCCTTAGTAAAGACCAACATTACCCATTTCCCATAACCCAGGCTGTTGTCATGGCCTGTCTAGTGGTTCTGTGGCCCAGATTTCATCATCCTTGGAGCCAATCTGGATTTGTCAACTCCCACCCAATCCCCACCCCATTCTTGCCCCCATCCCCAAGGCCTAGAAGACTTTTTAATGATTCCTTCAGTTTTTTAAGACACTGTCCCTCCACCGAACTTTCCTAGGATATATTCTTGTTCTCAACTCATTTGCAGGGCAGTGATCTGTATAGTTTGTTTTGTTTATACAAACATTTATTGAATACCAGCTATTATGCCAACCACTGTGCTTTGAGATTGTGCTAAAGTTAAACAATGAGAAATAATCCCTGAATTCAAGGAAATGCTAGTCCATGTGGAGAACCAATAAGCACACAAATTATACAAGGCAGTGAACCAAATGCTCAGTCAAGTCTGAGAATGGAGCCTCCAAGCTGAAATATTAGTCTTTAGAGCAGAGGTCCTGTGGGCACTATACCTTTAAGGTTCCTAAGGACAGGAAATGAATCTTGTTTATTATTCTACCTCAACCTCTAGCAAGTACTTCAGTACACAGAGCCAGTGCTCAATAAATAGTTGTTAAATGAATAATTGCACCTCCTTACAAATTCCAGGTGATCTGAGTTACATTACGCAGGTTTCACAGAGCCAGACCAGGTAAATGAGAATACTCTTAAATTGTATCCCAGCAGTGCGGTTCATGAGAAAGAATTCTAATGTTGGGCTGGCCCTGAAATCAGTGAAAATGTGCTTTCTCCTAGCAGCCCCCATCTGCCGACACAACTTATCTCTACTGAATATATCTTACACATCCTCAAGTTCAGCTGGATACTTGAGCCTGCAGTCTTTTGCAACCTGTTTGAAAACTTCCAGAAGCAGAAGACTTACTCTCCATGAGGCTCAGTGCAGCTCAGACAACCAAGAACTCTTTCTTTTTGATGAGATAACATGTGTCTTCCTGAAATCTCCACACATTTGCCCTAGGTTTGGCCCCTGAAAACACAAAGAACAAATATGATACTTCTTCCAAAGAATAGCTCCTCCTCAGATACATGGAGGTTGAAGCTCACTGAACCTTCTCTTGGGCTGCCTAAAACTGTCCTCAATGTTACCAATTATCCTGCACTTTCTGAGTTCCCTCATAGCCTTGACTAGTCTCCATTAAACACACTCTTAATTTCTTATATCTTTTTTTGAGTTTAGTAACCACTATAGAAGAATAGAATATACTACTCCAAGTACCACCTGATATCAACATAAACAAGTGCTATTACCTTCTCTATTCTAGATATTATATCTAAATTAACATGGCCTACAATCATATTAAATTTTTATCCCAATCATAGCACATTGCTGATTTATGTTGTGTTTACTGTCGAACAAATTTTCACGTAAGATATTGCCAAGTTGTTTCTCTTCATCTGGGACATTGTATAGTTGATTTTTGACCTAAGGGTGGGGTTTTTCATTTTTTCCCCATTACATTTTATCATGGTAGATTCAACTTATAATTCTAGTAGATCTCTTTAAGGTCCTAAGTCTGTCATTCAACAACTTCAATATTTTTCCCAGTTTAAGCTAATTCATTTATTAATTTAAAATGGGTAATTTATTGAGTACTTCCTGGGGGCTGGACATTGTTCTAAGCACTGGGGATTCAACAGTGAACAAGACAGACAAAGCGCCTGTTTATGTGGAAATCACAAGTGTTAGGGTACAGGTAAGAGAAGGGCTGGGAAAGGGGGCATTGTGAGGTGAGGAATGCCCTCATGAGATGAGCATGCCTTCTATATGTTAGATATTTAATAAGAATTAACCTGATCTCTCTCTCCAAGTTGACAAAAACACTCTGGATATGCTCTCCTGACCAGTTACACTTCTCAGTTGTCTACAGGAATGCCCACTGAGAACCTGGCATCAACAATCTGTTGCATTTCCTTGGTTTTCATCCAAGTACCTATTCAGGTGCCCTAAGAAAAACTTTCATAATCCCCTTGGGAATATAACTGGTCTGACACACTTCACCAGTCTGAGGTACAAACACATCATGTCTATTTTATTTTCCTGATTTGTCCATTAATCCCAACTAGTTCTCCTAAGAGAACTGCATACCAAGGAAATACAGAGAAAGGCTGTCTTTATAAAATTCAAAGACTGCTGGGATCCTTTCCTCAACATAACAGACTCCTTTGTTTACATAACTAAAGGGAACTTACGATTTTTCACGTAAGTATAAAAACGTAATACGAAGATAATTTGCTATCTTCACTTCTGTATTTAGAAGAGGCTAGAATATTAATTTTTAAGTATACTAATTCTATTAGCAGTTAGGGGAGGGGTGGCACTTCTTCATAAGAGATCAATTTGAAAAAAAAAAATACAAAAGGCCCTAAGCATTTCTAGGCATAGGCTTTAAAAGCCCTGGCTTGTGTACATAATAAAGATGAAAAAAGTAGAGAGATAAGAGACCTAGAAACCTGATCCACTTTTCCACCAGGAAAAGGAGGAAAATGCTCTTCTCTTTTCTCATGGTTTCTATTTTTCTTTTCTATTTTAACTTCAGAAAAAGAAGTCAAGACTGAGAGGAGAGAGACTGCTGAACTGGAATAAACTGCAGAAGCTGGATTAGAAGACATTGAGCTGGCCAAAAATACAATACATTTTTAAATTGCAGCTTTCCAAACTAGCCTTGACATCTCACCCCAGGCACTGGCAACCTATCCCATAGCCAGCTACAGGCAGCCTGCTGGGGAATTTCAGTGCCACATCAGCCATTCACCCGCCCTCGGCAAAGTACGCTCCCTCACCTTCCTACCTCCTTCTTACCGGCCTGGTCCTGCAGGCACCCAGGGGCTGGCACTCCACCAGGCCATTCCTCCAAACAAAGTCGGCCTTTCATCAATGGTCCCAAGTGCAAGATTCCCCTTCCTACACACTCTAGGCATCAACACATCTTCATGCCTTATCCGATCTTGGTTATCAAACTCTAGATGAGAAAAATGAAACCCAGTTTATTTATACCTTAGAAAAGAGTTTGTTAACCAAAACACATTTCTCAGAAGTGGAGTATGACTTATTAGACTTTATATTATTCCGTGTTAATTTTTCTCCATCTAATCATCAAAAGTGAAATACAGGACATCCACATGACTCATTTGAACACAGCTGCACCCCTGTGTTAGCAAGTGACTTGTACCAGTGCCATTGGGCTCAGTCAAAACAAAGAATCATCACTTAGAGGAGGTGAGGTTTGACCAACAAATTCTTTAGACCCTGGTAGTCAGTGCAAGAGCTTCTGAATGATAACAATGATAAAAGTAATAGCAGCAGCTAATATATACACAATTAAACAATGCACATTACATGGATTATCTCATTTCATACATGCAACAATCTTTTACAATTATAGCAGTTCCACAAAGTAGGGAATTTCTGTTTTAACTAGTCCTTCAAGAGGCAATTACTTTTCTCTAGTGTTCTGCTCTTAGGACTGGAAGGATGAGACTTTGCGACCAGAAAGACTCATCATTAGAGTGGGCAGCTCCTTCCTTCCTCATGCCACACCCACAGGCAGCTGCCTTCCCTTTCCTGCAGCAAACAGGTCCCATCATATCCCACAGATGCAACCAAATGATTTCGTATTGCTTTCAGCAATTACATGAAGAGGCATATGACTAAATCAGCCTATTATCCTCATTTCTCAACAGCCCTCACAATATTGCATTTATAGAATTTTGGTGTTGTGGCCTTCAAAACACATTGGTATTGTGACCTTACTAGAATAATCCTTTAGAGTCACAGACATTTATTAAAACAAAGACCATGTTTTCTGGTAATAAAAGCTAAGGGAGGGTATGAGAATTTATTCTCCAGGTTAACAAGGACAAGATAACCCTCAGCATGCATCTGCAAGTAGAATGCTGTGTGAAACACTCCCTTATCAAACTCTTTCCTGAATAGCAACCCTCAAGGCAGCCTGAAATGTCTTATTATTTTTATGCTTCTGCATGTGCACCTGTATTACCAATAATACCCTGTCAATGCATTGAGTTTGTTTGCTGTTTATTTCCTAACAAGAAACTGTTCATGGTATGGAGTAGAGAAGGAGTATTTTCATGGGATAGGCATTTTGGAGAAGAAAAAAAGCAAATGAGAGAAGTGGGAAAATGTTTTCAGTGAAGGTATTTGCCTTGATTCACATTTCTTCCAGAATGTGCTTTCTTTCTCATTATAAAGGTTGGATTTTGAAAGTCTTCGTTACCCAATGAGTTTAAGAGGTGCTTAGAAGCGTCCGAAAGCAGAGCCTTGGCCAAGCAGATGGTCTCTTCTTGCTCTACCATTCACATTTCTATTCCTTTCACCTTTCACTTTGGCAATGAGAGGTTAATGTCTGCAAGGTAAAGCACTAAGCAAAATTTAATGCCTGAAGACTCCCTTAGCCTTTGATAATTGCTAATTCTTTGGCAATAAGAATGTTTCTATCTTTCTCATCCCCAGGCCCAGCACAGTGCCTGGCACTCAGAGAGCAGATTATTATTTGGTGAATTTACTTGAGTCAAAATGAAAACCCAGCCAACTCATGAGCCTGCCTAGGAAAAGGAGAAGCTCTTTGGGGCAGATGTTATCCGATCTTGGTTATCAAACTCTAGATGAAAAAAATGAAACCCAGTTTGGGATCTGTTACCCCAGAACTATAAACTTCTTCCAAAGCTGCCCCAAAGCAGTATAAGGAGAATGTTATTAATTAATAAATCCAGATATTATATACTTATTTCTCTAAATACAAGAGAAAATATTTTCCCAAAAATCAGAAAATAGAAAACAATTAAAGCAACATGCATCTACCAAGAAAAGGTTAACAGTTAAGCACTTTGCTGCTGAACTTGGGTTATTGTAGATGGACGATGTTAATAGATTTTTGTTACTAGATTTTTCAGAGCTGATTTAAATAGAAACAATAAGATATCTGGAATCTGGAAAACTTGTGTGTTCCACTGGCAGCAGTAAATCTAGTCTTTTGGTTTTGATTTATTTCATTCTTAATTTTACATAATGAAATTTTCATCATTCTCAATTTAAAAATAATGACAGTTGAAGCAAACAGCAGTCCTGATGACTTCCCTTCACAAGCCTCCCACTTTGAGGAAGCCATGTTCTTTCACTGGAGCAGAAGCACATACCTTCATCCCTTTCTCTTTTTTTTTAAGTTTCTTTTTTTTTTTTTGCATACCCTTCCTCAGCCTTAAATATGAAATGTATGGGAGTTGTTCTTCCTCACTGTAATATTCAAGCAAAAATATAAGCCAGTTAATGCTCTTTTTGTTTGCCCCCCCTCCTCACTCCCACAGTCACTTTGCAATACCAGGTCCTCATCACCTTAAGAATTATTCTGGCAATAAGACTTTTGATACCCTCATCCTCCCCATTGCCAGCCCAGGCTTCTCCCTTAGACTGAGTCTTCTTACCTGTGATTTCCTTAAGGGCAGGCACCATATTTATTCATTTGCATTCCAAGCAGTCTGTGCAACTTCTAATACACAGTGAGTTTTCTTTAAACGATTGATAATTGAGTGAATGGATTACCAAGCTGGCTTCCTAAATATAGCTCATTGCATTGTTCCACTGCTGAAATCTTGTTAATGGCTGGCTACAGCCTGCCTCATCAAAATATAGTTGATCGCATTATTACATATTTCCTATTTGTGAATTCATCTACTTGATAAAATTTTTCTGTAATCCCAAAATCAACACTCAAGTGCTTTCAGGGTCACTCATAGGCATGCGCAGAGCAACAAATTTTGAGTCACCCAATGTGCATGTTCCCAGCTGAGGTTGAACAGGGCAACACTCTGCCTTCTTGTTTCAGCTCTCAGACTTTAAACAAGTGTCCCTTCTATGGTCTATTTAGTGCCATGTTGTCTCATATTTTTGTGCCATTCATTCATAATTTTGCTGTTTAAAATGACACCCAATTGTAGGGCTCAAGTGCTACATAGTGCTCCTAAGTGCAAGAAGCCTGGAATATTTCTCAGGGAGAAAACACGTATATTAGATAAGCCCTGTCAAAGCATAAGCTACAATGTGTTGGTAGTGAGTTCGATGTTAATGAGTTGGCAACATATATAAAGTGTCTTTAAACAGAAACACATATCAAACAAAGTTATGTATTGCTTGGTTGTAGAAAATGCGAACAGAGGCCCACAGGAACCTAACCCTGAATTTCCCCTAGGATCAAAAATTCCGTATTTGCTAATTCAGTGTTCGTGGTGACCTCATAACTGCCATGAATAACTAGAATCTGTTATAAATTGTCTCTAATTGCATCCCGGGGCCCTCAGATTATTGAGGGCCGTGCCTATTACCTCAGCCCCTCTACTCCTTAGCAGTAAGTATCCACACAGTCACCTTGCTCCCTCTAGACCAGGCTTCTGTCATGTCTGCTTTCCTTCATGTTTAACCATAAGGTCCTCTCTAGATCTCACTTTCTCCATGAAGTCTCCTCTGCAGAGTTTAGCCCCGATTAATTGACTCATCTTTGAACCTTTAATGTAACTGTTACCTTGTCTGTATCATGATACTTAACATTTAACTATATGCAATCTTGATTTGGTCCCTACTTAATTAATGTTATTTGCTAGCCAGTTTGGTTACAATCACCTTAAAGGCAGGTGTTCACCTCATATTTATATCAGTTTCCTTTATTTATATGTATATATAAATATACTATCTACCTAATAAGGCCAAGTGGTTCTAATCTACCTTTTTTCATATTATTATAGAATGATGGAGCTATAAAGAGCATAAAACTCCTCTAGGCTATCCTGTATTTTTATAAAGGAGGAATCCAGGACCTAGCAAGTTCCCAAGGACATGTCATTTTTATGTCTGAAACAGAAGTTGGGGCCATGACTCTCAGCTCTGTACAGTTTCCATTGCTCTAAACCAGCCATAACAAAATCCTTTCTATTAACATTTATTTTTATAGAAACAAAGTTTATCCATACTTACATCTATGAAAATGAAAAATAGGAGTCAGCTGTAGCTGAACCCTAATTCACTCTAGAAATTGGTCATGTTCATCTATGGATATGTGAACCAACCAGAGGAAAACATAAGCCACTACCAATTCCATGAGAGGTGTCCCATCAAGAAAATTTTCCTTTTAAGTTAATGATTGTTTCAAATTGTCTGTGTTTTGATTATGTGTATAATTTTTTTCTACATTTAAAGCCTTATAGTCAGAGAAAATTACAAGATAACTTAAGCTCCAGTAAATATTTTTGTTATAGAAAGATGAGATAGGGTAATTAAGATAGGATTTTAAAGAATAAGATAAAATTAGAAAGGAAAAAGTAGGATAGAAATATAACTACAAGAAGCTAACAAAACGATCTCAAACTTCTGACTGATAAGAAAATGTGTTCATGTATTTTTTTAATGAATTTTTACAATGTCTATAAATAATCTTAAAATATTTCAACATATATAGTATTTTTTGTTTGTTCCAATTAGTTTAAATTTTCACTATAGGAGAAGTCCGTTGCCTTAATGAAAAACATGCGGTCCAGGAGTGATCAGATGGGGATTTAAAAGGGAACTTTCTAATCCAAATACAGCTAACAAAAGTCTTCCATTATCCACGTCTCCATTAGAACTGAGGCTTTCTAAATGAATATTGTGAATGTCAGAAATGGGTTTTAATTAATAGAAATACTGACCTGTTGATCAGCATGATGGATATTGGAAATTGGCTCTTTGACATAATTAAGAGAATTCAGATATGTGGCTTGGCTAAACATACTTTAGACACTTATCTATATTTGTTTTAACAGACTATATGCTAGGCTTGATTCCCTAAGTCCTGACTCCAGCTAATGGCTTAACAGGAATACTAGATGGCTGGTGCTAATTATTCATATAACATAATCTTTCCATAGAATGTTGTTCTTGGCCTTAAGTGACTCTTTCAGACAAAGAGTAGTTGAAGCACATAAAAGAACAGAGGGCTGGTGTGTCACTGAGTTTACAGAAAAAGTAGCAAGAACTGATTTGAAGTAACTTTGCTACTTAATGTTTGTTCATCAGTATCTGCATGGTGGCAAAATTTGACATGAGATGCAAGTCCATGGAAGAATGGCTGTCACTCCCTCGATCATTTTTGCATTTACCAACCCCATTACTATTTGATCATGCTGTTAGAGCACCTTGTCATAGGTCAGTTGGCTAAATAGGTGGTAGAGTGTATCAAACTGCTAGAGTATCTGGATTCCATGGTACACGTTTAAAAGAGTAACGTGGCTGGGCACAGTGGCTCACTGCTGTGATCTCAGCAGTTTGGGAGGCCGAGGCGGGCGGATCACCAGGTCAGGAGATCAAGACCATCCTGGAGAACACTGTGAAACCCCGTCTCTACTAAAATTACAAAAAAATCAGCCGGATGTGGTGGTGGGCACCTGTAGTCCCAGCTACTCGGGAGGCTGAGGCAGGAGAATGGCATGAACCCGGGGTGCGGAGCTTGCAGTGAGTGGAGATCAAGCCACTGCACTCCAGCCTGGGCAACAGAGCAAGACTCCGTCTCAAAAAATAAATAAATAAATAAATAAAAAGAGTAACGTAATTTCTAGTAATGCTATTTACACATATAATGAATAATTACAAGTGCCAACTTCAAAATGCATGATTAGGTACATAGTTCTGCTGTAGGATTTAAGTGGTATGTGAGCAAAAAGTTTGAGCATCACTGTTCTAAGCTGCCTGCAGGTCTATCTTGGCTAAGGACACTTAAATGTCTGTTAGATGTGGCTCATCTGATGCCATTTACCGCTTCTGCTACACAGTTTACCCTCCCACTTGCCTCAGTTTACCCTCTGCAGAGCTGCTCACCTGAACTCCCCCCGGCCCTCAGGAGTGACAGCAGAGAAAACACCACCTAAAAAATGATTATGGTAATGCAAGGGCCCAGAATATAGAGACGCATGATAATGTGGGTGGGAAGAGTGCTGAGAGAAAGAGGGACCTGAATGTCCATGTAAAACCTGCACCTAGTGTGCAGGCTAGAGTGGTTGCCACAACAACCCCTCCTTAAGGGCCAATTTGCAAAGGCTGCCTTGCACCCAACCGAGCAGGACTTCTGAAATCAGACAGTAGGTGAAAGACTTAACTCTTCCAACAGGGACGATCACAGGGTGATGGAGGTATTTGAAATCTCTTGAGGTAAGTAGTGTATGATTTTGGTGCAAACTCAGGGTCTCCTTCTCCAGGCATAGAAATTGGCTATGCAAGTGGCGATTACAGCCAGAATGCTACTTCTAAAATACACAATTAGACATTTCCCTAACTTAAAGCCTTTTAGCAATTTCCTATAACTTTCAGGCTGACAGTCAAACTCCTTAACTGAGCACGCAAATGCTTCATAATGTAGCACATTCCATACTCTCTGGCTTCATCTCCCAATACTGCCAGAAAGCACTCTGCATTCACTATGGCTATCTCCAACAAGGAGCAGGCCTCCAGCTGTGTCAGGCTATTGTCCCAACTTTGGGACTATACAAAAACTAGTAGGTCTGCCTAGAGAGCCCTTCCTACTACTTCAACTGGCCTGCACCTCTTCCTCAAAGACAGAGCTCAAGTATCATTTCCCAGGCCTCACATTTCCATTGTTTATTTCTTTGTGCCCCTAAAACAACCCTAATCTGGCATTCATTATATTGTGCTGTATGTATTCATTCATTCACTTGCTAGCTCTCCTTGCAATTTCCTAGTAGGCAAGGCCTGAGGAAAGAGGAAACCAGTTAATTATATAAATGAACTAAACAATTACACAAAAGGACCTGGGAGATGGAGGAGTTGGGAAATGAAATAGAAATGAGGAAGACAGGAAGAGGTACAGAGGCAGAGGGAATCAATGGACTCTCCCCACCTGCTTTCCCATCCCAACATGCAGGCCTCCGTCCCTGCTTTGTGCTCTGTCAGAAAAATCAGCAGGGCTCAAAAACCAGCCCTGCCACTTAGCTATGTAGCCTGGCATAAATTACTAATCCTCTCTCAACCCCAGTTTCCTCCACTTTCAAATGAAGATATAATTATATTAACTTCCATCATAGAGTTGTTATAAAGATTAAATTAGCTAATGCTTATGTTGCACCAGACACAGAGCCTAGCACATAATAAACACAGGATAAGATATTAGCAAAAAAAAAAAAAAATGCATTTCTAGTTCATGTTGAAGAATAAGAGAGCACACTTTTTTATTGTTTTGTTTTTTATTTTTCTTTAAGTTCTGGGATACATGTGCAGAACATGCAGGTTTGTTACATAATACCCCCGCTCCCCTTGCCCCCAACCCCCTGAGAGGCCTCCATGTGTGATGTTCCCCTCCCTGTGTCCATGTGAGAACACACTTTTTCTCAGGCTTCATAAGGCACATGGCCTGGACTAAGGTATGGACTAGTCTGATATAAAGTTATACTCTGATCCAGAACATTTAATCTCAGTGTTGAGCACAGCAGAGCAAACCTAAATCAGTAATGTCACCACCAATTTGAGTCCATTCTTTAGCTGAAGGATGACAGCAATAACAAGCTTGGGGTTGGGGTCAGGAAGATTTTGCTATATCTGTATTAACAACATAGTTTTAGTGTCTTGACCCTTAGAAAGAAAATTAAAAAAGCATGTGAGGTTGTTCTATGAAGATCTAAGGAGGATCCAGCCCCACAACAAAAGAGGCTTCACTTAGTGGGGCCTGAGCTTCGCAAGCCTCCTGAGAATGCTAAAAAGTTCTTTTTCTTCTCACATGCATAGTAACAGAGTATTTGCCTGTTGACCCAACCACTAGATTGGATTCGGAGGTAAAATATTATCCAGTTGGATTAATTATTATATCACATTGGACTGGATGCCTCTGCCATGCATCAGTTTTCTTGGTTGGCCACTGATTAATAATCATCGTCTTAACATTCTAGACATGCTGCCTGATTAGTAGTTCCTGGCAGCAGTGGCTGATAGCAGTTACTGGAATCTCTCCTTACTGGGTGATTACATAATATCTACACCTAACTGCACAGCTGGTCACGATAAGCCACGATGTTTGTCCTGAAGATAGTGTCATTTTCACCAGACTGATCTCCTTATTATTTGCTCAGCTCGCTTCACTTTTGCCACCTTTGTGCCTTGCTCTCTCTTTCCTCCCCCCACAATGGCTTTTCTTCCTCTCTAATTGTTCAAATTCTACAAGTCTTTTAAGGCCCAAGTCAAATGCGCCTTTTGACCATCATGAACTCAAGTAAAAAACAGCTTGTTTCCAAATTCCCACTGCACTTTATTTTCTATGCAGTGATTTTTGTTTTATATCCTCTTTCTTTACTAGTGCAATGCCTCACACACAGTAAGCACTAAATGACAGTTTATTGAAGGCATGAACTAGTGACCTACTACAACTAAGGCTGCAATAGATTACTTGAAAATATAAATAAATAGGTTATATTTATGAAAAGAAAACACTTTACTCCCTATGAGGAAATCCTGCTTTGTAACCAATAGCTAAGTCCACTTCCTGCTGTGTGCCTCCTGAAGGGCTTGGGAAGCAGACTCTAGGTGGAATGCATTCTAGAATTTCATCTCTGGCTTGTCACCAAAATAACTTGGCCTTGCTTTCAATCCATGGATATTGAAACTATGCCCTAAAGTAGTAGCAGCAGAGTTCAGAGTTAGGGAAATTTGGAAGTGATGTGATGACTTTAAGTTGATGCTTTGGATTGAAGGCAAAAATGCCCTCCACTTCGTGGATCTACTTATTCCTAGAAACGAGAGTCTTTGAGGGGCTAGAAGTGATCAAGAGATGGGTCAGGGTAAAAGTTGGGGGAAAATAGAGGAGATTTATATAGACTCAAAATTCAGGAATTATTTTCAATGGTCAGATTGAGCAATGGCATGCTTGTTATGAAATAGAAAAGGCTCACCAGTTAGAGATGCATGCTGCAAAATGACATGATTTCTGGGATTTGCTTGAAATACTCAAGAGAAAAAAAAGGAGGAATGAAGAGAGAGAGCAAGATCCGCAAAATGTTGTTAGCTCTTTAACAGATTGATTAGTGTATGAAAGCTCATCATACTAGTCTCTCTACTTCTGTGTATTATGACATTTCTACGCTAAAAAGATTTAAAAGAAATACTCTTTTAAGACAGTAGTTACCCTCTTCTAGCTGATATCCACACAAGAGTTTTGTCTGAAATGACAAAGAAGGGGGAAAGGGAATTTTTATTATGTTGATCACCAGGTTTTGCCATCTGATTTAATCCAGACAACTCCAAATCATTGTTGTGTTATGTGCTCTGTTAAGAAAGTTAAAAATCCATGTGTGCACCATGACCTGGAAAAGATATCCATTGTCTTAATTTCAAACACACTAATAGTTATTTACATTGTGTCCTCAGTCAAGATTTCAGTCTGACTCTGGTAGACCAGTTCTTTGGTGTTTGTTTGTGGAGTGGGTAGAGGGAAGAGAGATCATAAGTAGCCTACAGGTTAATAAAATTCCTGGCAGCATACCTGGTAATAATCTGGGTAAACATGTAGTCATTCAGCATATCTCCCCTAATTTAAATTTAGCTGTGAACCATTAATCAAATAAAGTATCTTTCACAGAAGTTAATTAATAACTGTGTGCTTTTCTTTACTTTTTTTTTTTTCACCGTCAAGCAAAGGTCAAAGAAATTCAGACCTTTTCCTGTTGTCTTAGAGGAAAATAGCCCAAATTTCTATTCACAGAGTAATGTAAGACACCAAACGGATCTGTGCTGTTAAATGTAGCTTGTTGCTGTTTGCAAGTACCACCAAGGACTGGAATCCTCAGATAGCTGAGGAACATTTTTTCTTCATTGCTATTTTTTTCCCTGGGATGAGCGTATGTTTTTAGAAAAAACTACATTTTTTGGTCCCAACGTCACTGAGTATCAGATGGTAGAAGACGATAGAAGAGACAGGAAGTAATTTAATTGACTCGCCTAACAGAACTGGCTTGGCAGCGTATTACAGGAAAAGGAACACTCTAGTTAAGATTAAAAAATAAAAATAAAAAACCTTAGCGAGCCCCTTTATCAGCTGCTACTTGCATAGAAAGAATTTTACGGGGTTTGTGGGCCTAATAATACTTTAGCAGATCTAGGCTTTGGGAAGTGGAATTGACTAAGCTAAGCTTAAAGAAGCCGGCAGAGACATTGAAACTGGCAGGTGCCTATATTTTTACATTCCTCTGTCATTAGAGTATTATGTTCATTCGAATTTCTTCGGAAAAATCATCTAATTCAGCATTTCTTAAATATGTTTACAGAACTGAAATATTATTAATCATTATGAGAAAAAGTGCTTCATGGTCAAATGAAGCTAGGGAAATTCTGGGTCAAATCAAGTTCAAGTGTTTCTTTACTTTGAGACTCTCCAGTACCTTTATTATGTTAGTAGGTATTATGACTCTTCAAGAAGAGAAATGCTGTAAGACCAGAGGAGTTTTCAGAAATCATCTTGCAAGACTAGTTTTCCAAAAATATATTGATGACTATGATATGAAAATAAACTCAGATACACATACATGCACACACACACACACACACACACACGCACAGAGTAAACATGAACAAACTGGAAGATATTTGTGGACCATTTTCTTTACTGGTGTGAATAAGTCTAAAGGCAGCTACAATTTTTTGCCTACTGACCAGGGAATCTTTCTCTTTCATTTAAAGAAATAAGAAAGACCTATTTTTCCAGCACGCCTTCAGACTAGAATCTGGGCAGCTGCTTCCTTCCTGCTCTAATGCTAGCAAATCCAGGAACCAAGAAGCTGATAAAGAAGGAGATGCCTTCCTTTCTGCTTTTAGGTAATGAACATTTATTACTGTGGCAAAGAAGCAGGCTCCTCATAAGCTCCAGCGAACTTACTAAGACCTGGCCCTGACTTTCTGTAAACCTTGAAAGAAATCAGTAGATAAATTACTTTCATTCTTTCCTTTTCTCATTAGAATAAAGTGAGTATCCTTTAGCCATCTCAAAAGCCATGGCTATGTATTCAAAAATAATTTAGTACATTTATACGGTAAATGACAATAATCATAAACTGCCAAACGGACATTTGATGCTATGATTGTGATGTTTTAGCTGTCTTGACATAAAAATTAAAACAATTCCACTCCAATAATCACAACTCAATTTTGATAATAATAATTAAGACTATGACTAGAGCTGACCCCTGAACTGAGTGACATGTTTATTCAAGCATTACATTTAGTCACAACTCCAGTTTCCTTTTCCATTTATTATTTGTCAGAAAGGAAAATTACTGCATGTTAGCCTGAATTGTTCATATCCTTGGGACACTATACCAAGAGCTCATTTCCTCTCCATAGTATTGAAAAAGAAATGCAAATTGTCAGTACAAAGAGTAAAAATACCCTGACACATAAGCCAACAATTTGCCTTGTTGTAATTTATAATAGGAACAAGAAGGAGCATGATACAGAGAAGAATAATTAAATATCTATAAATACGTTAAAGTTTTGGAGTGGGTTTTGTTTGCTTGCTTTTTATATTTTTATTAAATATGCACACTCGTAGAATAATACATGCCTACCATTACCTCTTGATTTGATTGTATTTTATTTTGATTGTATCCACTGATTCCATATAAGAAAAATGCTCATAAATGATCTTTTTAATATTTTAAGTAAATACATTTTTATTTTCTTTCAGGAAAAGGAAATAAGACATTAACTCCATTGGAGTGACCCCACTATTTTGGTGATCCCAACCCTTCATGCCAAGCATCCTGTCTCCAGATATTCTCAAAGGTTCCACCATGCAGAATACTAGAGCAGTCAGTGCTAGGTTCTATGGGGAGAAGCAACTCAACTTTTCTCAGCTGTGGTTCTAGATTGGAGATAAAGGAGAAGAAAGCAGAGAAAAGGGTGATTAGTAACTAAGAGGTGTGACAAAAAGGAAATCCAGAGGACTCCTCAAAAGAAGCTGGAACATTTATTTTTTATAATTTTAAGTGTATATGGTTATATATAAATTAGAACTGGATAAAGGGATACAGTATGCTAGGTATTCAACACAAGGAACTGACACAGAAGATAGAATTTTTTTTATTTTTATTTTTTTGAGACAGAGTCTCTCTCTGTCGCCAAGCTGGAGTGCAGTGGCACGATCTTGGCTCACTGCAACCTCTGCCTCCCAGGTTCAAGCGATTCTCCTGCCTCAGCCTCCCGAGTAGCTGGGACTACAGTTGCATGCCACCACATCCAGCTAATTTTTGTATTTTTAGTAGAGATGGGGTTTTACCATGTTGGCCGGGATTGTCTCGATCTCTTGACCTCGTGATCTGCCAGCCTTGGCCTCCCAAAGTGCTGGGATTACAGGCGTGAGCCACCACACCCGGCCGATAGAAAGAAATTATTTAGGCAGATAGTGAGGGTAAAGGAGTCCTGGGCAAGGCTTCCCTTTTAACAAAAAGCAGCCCCAAAATCATTTCTTTTCTAACAAAGAGCAGCCTGAAAAATTGAGCTGCAGACATAGATAAGCAAGCTGAAAGCTGGCATGGGTAAATGCTGGCAGCCATGCCAATAGAAAAGGGCTAACTGGAAGCCACGTATGTTCAACATGGAGGTGCCATCTTCCATTTTCTCTGTCACCACATGTACAGTAAAGAACCAGGCAACATGGCACCCGCCAGGTAAAGAACCCATCAGCATGATAAAAGGTTAGGGTGGGGCGGCCAGTTTTATCACATGCTTTACAAATGGCACACCTTGTACTAACCAGTGTTTTGCACCTTATGCAAATAGCACACCTGGTCTGGCCAATTTTTTTATGCCCTATGTAAAACAGACACCGCCTCCTCAAGCTCATCTATAAAACCCATTGCATTCCACCACAGAACTGGCAACCCATTTCTCTGGGACCCCTCTCTCTGCAGCAGAGAGAGCTATTCTTTCTTTCGCCTGTTAATCTTCCACTCTTAACCTCACTTCGTGTGCCTGCGTCTTTGATTTCCTTGGCGTGAGGCAATAAACCTCAGGTATTTACCCCAGACAATGACAGCACTTCAGTAAAAGGGCAATAGGAACAACTGGCTATGCCCCTATGAGCAGAGCTTTATGTTTATGTTCCTGAGATTCTTACATGAGGATTTTGTCGTCCTGTGAATAAAAAAAAGAGGGGGGGGGGTCGTTGTTTGGTTGTTCGTTTGGTGTTTTTTTTTCTTTTTAATTTATTTTTTTATTTATATTTTTATTTTTATTTTTTTAATTTTTTTTTTTTTTTTTTTGCTATTTGCAAAGAGAAAAACTCTAAACTCTAAATATGAGCTTTATTTATTACATTCAGTGACAAAGCTTCCCAACTAATCTGGAAACTCTTTGAAACGGCCCAGTGATGTATGGATAGACACACCCATTTGTGGTAGAGGTCAAGGATATGTTCTAACCACCAAATGGGAAGTCTAGGCATTTTTGTTTCTTTTTCTATTTTTACATATGCGTTGTTTGAATTCACACCATCAACTTGAGAATACATTTTCAAGAACAATATTTTAAAAAAGCAACGACTTGTAGTATATTTTGAATTTTGAATAATATATAGCTACCAGCTTTCAATTATAAATCAATGGAAATTTTATATTTCTCATTTATTTAACACCAGAGAGAAAAGCACTTCCACATGATTAGATAAAAACCCAGTTTTTGTGCTATCAGCATAAAATGACCTTCATGTTTTTCTCCCTTTTTCAGTTCTTCTGTTATATAAAGGAAAGATTTCAACAGAAACTTATGAAAGAAGACAGATCAAAAAAAATCCCTTATTTGGAAGTTAATGTGTGATGCCAGTTCTGAGCGACTACAATGGCTTTTAAAATAACTTGCATAAGCCCAGAAGTCTATGTAACAACTTTATGAAATGATCCGGGGTAAGATAAAAGAAGCATTCAATCAAAATCTAAGAATAAAGCCAAGGTTAAATTAAGCTGTGTTTACCAGAAGTTATGAATTAATGACAAAGGTATACAATTTTATATTTAAAAGTATATATATTACTTTAAATATTTTCTTTTAAAAAAGCTTTGTTACATTGTTTGTGTTTAAATAAAGAAACTTTTTATGAAAAGAATTTAAAAGTAAGAAAATACATTAATATCAGTTTACTGAAGATTATGCCTAGTTCCAGAATGTAGTCAAGGTACCTCATCACTATCCAATAGGAGCCTAACTAGTTAAATTAAAAAGTGATTTAACCTCCTTAAAATAGGCTCTGCAAATAGAAATGCTAAACAATAATTTCAAATAACACAGCCCCTTTTAGTATTTTTAACTAGTAGTCAGAGCTGGCTAAGAAAAAGGCATACTCAGCTAACACCTGCAGCATTGGATGAGAAAATTCTATCTCATCTCAATGCTGAGGTGGACAGGTATTTGTGGAAAGTCACTGGTGAGCAGTGTAGCTCTTCACAAACATGGGCTTTTGTCTTCTTCATACTCACATATTGACTCATGGATTTTCATGTTTTTCACTCTCTTTCTCACAGTTTTACCTCTTCTCCATTCAGTCCAAACCAGCCTCTACGAATCAGCCCACCATAGTCTAGGTACCAGCCTCAGTTCTACTTACACTGTTGCTGAGACAGAGCCTAAGAGGGAACTCAGTTGGCAATGGTTGCCAAGCCAACTCCAGCAGCTACTCGGGCAAGAATTAATAGTGAAGTCTAAGCCCATGAAACCCAGGTGGGCAAAAGGTCAGGTGCAATCCTACATGATAGAAGAAGAGAGCTAAGTTTGAAGAGTTGGGGGGTAGATTTCAATATGGCCAGAGATAAGATCCAATCCTAGCAACAGTCTACTACATTTAGAGGGATGGTGACTGGGGAAAGGGTAAAAAGCAACTGGCATCCTCAAGGACTACCATCAGACTTTATTTATTATTACAAACGAATGCCTCCAGTCATGATGGACCAATGCAGGCATCAGGTTATCTGAAGTGATGCCAAAGTGTTCTTATGCTATTGCCCACATTCTATTCTTCTAAGTAGGATATATCCATAAATAACCTCTTCTGAAGAGTTATAGAACTGTCACATTGAGAAAAATACCTGGAGGTCATAATAAGAAAGATATAATTGAATCTTTGTCTTTTGTGAGTAAACATCCTGATATGGTGAACTGGAAATGATTAATGCTTTTCTTCTTTCCTTGCCAAAAGACAGCCATTTGCTTAATTGAATAGAAATAGAAAAGCCTTTTTTCCATAAATGGAATGGAACTCAACTGGCTTTCATAGGCAGAAAAAAATGAAGCTCTCATTAGATTATTTATGGAAGTAATCCAGCTTTGGAATAATAACACTCTCCTAGTGGTTTTCCATGGAACTATGGCAATAGGTAGTTACATGCAAATCAAAGCTGGTTCAAGTGAATCCTCTGAAACAGGACTCCATAGATACCACAGAAATATGAGGATGTAACAAAAGGTGAATATATACAAGTAAAAACAAGGTGACATAAAACAAAGCAATGGAAAGGTTTTGATGGGAGAAGTAGATGCAAAAAGAAGATTTCTCATTTATTTTTTGGTAGAATATGGAAACCCTAAGTCTGACTATTCTGTTATGAAGCTAGTAGCCTCTGTGCTGTCTTTCAGCCCTGCCTGCTTCCCTTTGTGGTCGTGTTTTGTTTTTACATCCATGAGAATCTAATTCAAATAGACTTCTTGCACGCAACCCTTGTTTATTTAGATTATTTTAAAATCTCTGTCAAAGGAATGAGTAATTGAATTAATGTGTAACGTGAATACTATTTACCCTTTTTCCACCTTCTGCCTTCTGTCAGCTTAATGTCCTCCCATTCATTTTTTGCTTTCCAGAAGTTGAGGGAAATACCAATCATATGTGGGGAATTCTATTTTGGTACATAATAAGGGAATTTTCTTGATTGTTCATGTTCTGTGCACTCTAGGTTTTTTGGTGCTTTTTGTATCTTCCATAATCATTGAAAACTCCCCCAAAAAGCATAGGTTATTTTACTGTTACATTTATTAATAAAATCCAACAA
Organism: Homo sapiens; assembly: GCF_000001405.40. Lineage (NCBI taxonomy): Eukaryota > Metazoa > Chordata > Mammalia > Primates > Hominidae > Homo > Homo sapiens. Next base: position 102,174,245 of record NC_000003.12, on the reverse strand, counting down.
ACTTTTCTTTATAAATCCATTTTTTTTCTATCTTGTGTGAGTCTGGAAGCCACAATAATGTCAATATTGTCTTAACATTAAATCTTAGTCAAAGAGGACCGTGGCTCATTTTTTATGTATGCATATTTGATATGGCTTTGTTGTTTTGGTAAACAATTCAAACAGTACAGAAAAATACAAAAGGAACATAATTGTCACCTGAAGTTCAGCCCTCAGATGTTTCCAATGTTAGCATTTCTCTGAACATATGCCCCAATGTATCTCCGTGCCTACAGACACATATGGAAATGAATATACAATTTTATATTAAGGGGATCTTTCTATTCAGACTGTTTGAAGCATGGTTTTTTCACTCGACCATATCTTGGACATGTGATTCCATGCTTATAAAATCAGAACTCCAGCCAGGCGCAGTGGCTCACATTGTAATCCTAGCACTTTGGGAGGCTGAGGTGGGCGAATCACGAGGTCAAGAGATCGAGGCCATCCTTGCCAACATGGTGAAATCCCATCTCTACTAAAGATACAAAAATTAGCTGGGCATCGTGGCAGGCACCTGTAGTCCCAGCTACTTGGGAGACTGAGGCAGGAGAATCACTTGAACCTGGAAGGTGGAGGTTGCAGTGAGCCGAGATCACGCCGCTGCACTCCAGCCTGGGCGACAGAGTGAGACTCCGTCTCTAAAATTATAATATAATATAATATAATATAATATAATATAATATAATATAATATAATATAATCCTCGCAGCTTGCAAGGCTGAGTGTAATCTGGCCGTGTCCACTTTTCATATAGCATTGGCGACTTCTCCCACCTTAGTCATCTCACTGGCCTCCTTGTCATTCCTCAAGCAAACAAAGCTTATTCCTACCTGATGGCCTTTATATTTCTGCTTCCTTCCTCCTGGAATGCTTTTCTTTCCATTTTTTCTTTGAGAGACCACCTCATGCTTGACGTTTAGATCCCAGCTGAAATGTCCTCTATTCAGAGATCTCCCACGATGACTTTATCTGAAGGGGCTACTCAGTCCCTCTACATTTAATTACCCTGAGTTATTTTCATAATAATGTTATCTCTGTCTGAAGTTATTTGATTAAGTTGTCAAATGACTGGGACATTTTTAATTGAATCATCTTAACAATAAGGAGGTTAATAAACAAACCAACTGTACTTCAAGCAAATCAAGACATTATCAGAAGCCAAGACTCAAAGAACAATGGGCATGACTTTAGAATAACTTAGGGATCCTTGACTTACATCTACAAACATAAAAGAACAACTGGAATGTCATCTAGAGCATACCAAGAATTCTCACAGTTATTGTTTATAAGTTAAAGAGTTTAAACCATCCTGGTATAGATTTCTTTATTATAATATTTATAAACTGCAAGACAGTTGTCAAAATCTAAATTTTAGGTTACATAAGCTTCCAATAAGTAAAATTATCTTTATGTTGTAAGGAAGATTAGAAGTTTAGCTTCAATGATGAGGTCCCTAAGACATAAAAATGGTAATAAAATATCTTTTCTCAAAATCTACTCATTAATAAACAATCTGGCAATGGAGTCTATAGCCAGATTTTCTGTGAGTAATTGTAAGTATAAATCATACTATCATTTGAGAAAAACATGCATCTCATCTCTAAGAGGAAAATTTTTAGAAACATTGAGAAAGAGTGACCTGGTTCAATTAACATGAATACCATGGACATTTGAAGAAAAAGGAGACTAATGATTCTAAAAATCATTTAATAAAGAGCACTTTATTTGATTTAAAATAAAAATAAAAACCACTATTTTGAGGGCTGTTTTGGTTATTTCTTAGTAATAAATTCACAGGGCTCTAGGACTCTCAGAAGCATCCTGAAAAATGTGAACACAGGCACTAAACATATACATTAAAGATTAATTAGTAGAAAACAATTCCTGTAGAATTCAGAACAAAGTGCTTATAGTTCATTTAAGTAAAAAAAAAAATGTTATTTTCCAATTTAAAGGATACTTGGAAATTAAGCATTTCTTTCTTCCCACTGAACTATATATTTTAAGACAATTTGGGATCTTCAGTTGGCCATGAATGTCTATTGAGTATGGATGTGTTTCCTCTACCCAGAACTTGAACTCATTAAGGGAGGGAAGCATTGTTAATTTCATAATTGTACAGAAAATTCCACTGTAGAAATGCCTGCTGTAACTGAAGCATTGCGTCAAGCATTCTGAAGTTGTCAAATGAAATTAAATGATGAGAATAATTTTGGAGATGGTTGTTTTGTACTTTTGGGGTGAATCAATTTTTCTGTCCTTTTATTAAGTATGTTACAAGTCTACAATGTTCTTCCCATTACTCCCCAAATACAATAATCAAAATCTCCCATTCTACTTGCACAACATTCATATCCAGTCTTTTTAGGGCTCCTTCTCCAGGTGTTTTTAAGGTTTTCAATGATTGCATGTACATGTTCCACAACTCTGTGTAGGTTGTTGGATATCCATTGTCAATTCAGGCAGCTGCTCCACAGATCTCTGCTGCTGCAGCTCTCCAAAGTCCAGGCCACAGTGTCCAGTAATACTTTACTGAAGACTGGGGCATTATAAAGGGAAATGGGGAGTCAGAGACAGAAAGCTTAAAATGGAATTAATTATTTCTCCTCCTAAAGACAATTGGTCATATCTCTTCACTGGAAGTCTCTCAACTGATCTCCATCCTCCTTAATGTTGATGCTTACTGCCAACACGTTACTTCCCATAGACAGAAGCATCCTAAAGGGACCATTACCTTTCATTGCTCCCCCTACTTAATCAACATGAAATCATAAAATGTGTAGGGATGCCACTCTGCCCACAAGAGTCAAGAGTTCCTATAATAGAACAGTTGAATTTTTCTTTATTCCTAACTTTTGCAATATAGAATGGCATTTTGGATTTACCTATGGATAACTGGAAGGGGACATTAGAGTTTTGCCCAAAAGAAAAATACAATCTTGACCCAAAGATAAATTATGGCTCTACCCTTAGAGCAACAGAGAAAACTACTAAGAGCTTTAAAATCATAATCTGGTAGTTTGAATGAATAAATTAGATCTACAATATAAAAAGATCTGGAAAATATTAAAATGTTGCAAAATAATATAGCATAAAATAATTTCTGTAAATGTATTTTATATAAAGATACATATGGACAGTAAGTGTACAGAAACATGAGCAGGGAGGCTCTTCACCAATCTTAAAATATTGGTTGTCCGTGGGGAAGCAGACAGAATGAGCTATGAAAAATAATACAAATGAGACTTCAATTCTATAAGATTTTATTTTCAAAAATAAAATGAAAAAAATGGCAAAATATTTACATATTATAAATCCAGGTGGTAGACAAGTGAATGAATAAATATATTTAGCAGTTCTGGTTCTGATATTTGCAGAGTAGCTTATGGTAGATAAACCATTCCATAGATAACAATCATAAAGTCTGGACAAAATTTAAGAAACAACACGTTGACGTCACTGTAGCATGACCAAAAGAAGATAGATACCAGGAGGGAATTATACTGTGTAATGTAGGTATATTAGGCTTTTCCACTTTGTATATTTTCCAGTCTGTATGTCTCACCTACAATTCAAGCAGAAAGATGCAGGTTTGTTGGTGTCAGTTGTCAAAGGGCAGAGTTTGGATCCAAGAGTCCCAGTGGAAAATAACAACTGGAAAGCTAAAAGAACTTAGCAGAGATTTGGCTGCTCTGCTTTACAGAGAAGAGTCTAGAGTCTGCAGCGGGGGTTTGGTTAACATCTTGGGCTTTCTACATACTCATCCAAATAAAACTGAAAATCAACCTTTTGCCTAACAAACTTAAAACCAAATTACAATTAATCATCCAGTAATTTAATTTCCTGCTATGTTATTATATACTAGATATGAAGAATGACACATTGTAGAGATCTGGATTCTATTATCTTCCTCTGAAGTGTGTTGATTTGTTTTTCTAACAGGTAATTAGATTAATACCTGTGCAAATCACCCCAACTCCCAGGCACTCTTACAGCTGTGGTGATGGTAATGACAACAATGAGCAGAAGAAGGGGAAAATTTCTCTCTGGCCAGATGGTCTGATTCTTGGTGGTGCCAAGAATGTGCAAGGCAATCCACTGCTTTTTTTCTCTCTATCCTATCATGACTTAGCCCAGATGCAGAGGCAGTTCTAAGAAATGTACAAGTTCTAAGAGTGGGGAGACTAAGTCCCTAGGTTCCTTGCCACAGGAATGGAGAGTAGTGGGTGATGGATACCAGGAATCAGAAAATGTCAGGAATATTACAGAGAGGACAGAGCTGAAGAAAATGATCTCATAAATTGCCTGCAAACTTTTAGTCTCACTTTAAAACTGTGAATGAATGGATCTAATCCTAAACAGCAAGATTCAGTTGAGAACTGAACTACAACATAGATCACTGAATGGATCCCAAACTGGCCACTGATGGTGCACACATAGGACAAATAAGAAAAGTGCTACATATTAATAGATTTTGAAAACAGAACAGGCATAGAACCACCATCTACAGAAAGGTGGTTAAGAACCTGGATATAACCAGTTTAATTGTCCAACTAAAAGAAAAAATATTTTCCATAAGATTTAAACAAGGCCTATAAATTGCTTTGGCTGTATGTCCATTTTAACAATACTGATTCTTCCCATCCGTGAGTACAGAATGATTTCCCATTTGTTTGTGTCATCTCTAATTTTTTTTAGCAGTGTTCTATAATTCTCACTGTGGAGACCATTCAACTCCATGGTTAGCTGTATTCATCAGTATTTTATTCTTTTTGTGGCTACTTGAAAGTGGAGGGTGGGAGGAGGGAGAGGACAGAAAATCTACATAACAGGTTACTATGCTTATTACCTGGGTGATGAAATAATCTGTACACCAAACCCCCATGACATGCAATTTACCTGTATAACAAACCTTCACATGCATCCCTGAACCTAAAATGAAAGTTAAAAAAAAGTAGAAAATAAACAAGACCTACAGTCACATAACGAAGTATTCAAAATATTCAAAATATCCAGGATATAATCCAAAATTATTTGATACACAGAATGTGAGAAACATTTCAACATCTTGCAAAGTAAAAGGCAATTAGTATATGTTAATTTCAAAATTACCTGGATATATTGATATTGTTAGATAATGCCTATAAATAGCAGCTCTCATAACCATGCTCTAAGAAATAAAGTAAGCATTCAGGAAACAAACAGAAAGATAAAAAGTCTCAGCATATAAACAGAATATATAATAAAGAGGCAAATAAAAATTTTAGAGCAAAATAGTATAACAACGAAATAAAAAAGCTACTCGATGAGCTCAATAACAAAATGAAAGTGACAGAGGAAAGCTTTAGTGAACTTGAAGATAGATTACTAGAAATTATCTAAGCCATACACACAAAAAGAAAAATGATGTTAAAAAAATAAACAAAGTCTCAGAGACTTGTGGGGCCATACTAAAAGATTTAACATTCGTGTCATTGATATATTAACAGCAAATGAGGAGGACAAAGAATGAGAGCAGAAAAAACTTTTGAATAAATAATGGCTAAAAACTTCCTAAATTTGGAAGAAGATGTGAACTTATGAATTCAAGTTCATTGCGCTTCAAAATAGTATAAACTAAAAGGAATTTATGCCTAGACACACCATCATCCAAACATATGCAAATATCACAACAGAAGTCAAGAAGGTAGAAATGGTGGAACAAAAATGAGAAGAAACCAAGATTTAAAAAGTAAATAAAGTAGGCCGGGCGCGGTGGCTCACGCCTGTAATCCTAGCACTTTGGGAGGCCGAGGCGGGTGGATCACGAGATCAGGAGTTTGAGACCAGCCTGACCAACATGGTGAAACCCCGTCTCTACTAAAAATACAAAAATTAGCCGGGCGTGGTGGCGCGTGCCTGTAGTCCCAGCTATTCGTGAGGCTGAGGCAGGAGAATTGCTTGAATCCGGGAGGCGGAGGTTGCAGTGAGCCGAGATCGCGCCACTGCACTCCAGCCTGAGTGACAGAGCGAGACTCTGTCTCAAAAAAAAAAAAAAAAAGTAAATAAAGTAGTAGACCTAAATCCAAACATATAAATAATTAAATTAAAAGTGTAAATGCTGCAAATACACCAATTAAAAAGCAGGTTTCAGAATGTTCAAAAGTAGACCTAACTATATGCTACAATCAATCTATACTTTAAATGTAATGATACAGGTAAAGTAGAAATAAAAGGATAGAAAAAAATGTAACACCTAAATACTAATCAAAAGAAATCAGGATTGGCTATATATCAAATTCATCTTCAGAAGGAAAAAAGCTTTGAGCTAAGAAAGATTTTCAGAGATAGTAGGGGACACTACTTAATGATAAAAGGATGAACTCATCAAGAGACTTGACAATCTTAACCATGTATTATTACCCAATAACAGAGCCTCAAAATACATGAGACAAAAATTGATAGAATGAAATTTGCCATTGGAGATTTCAACACTCTCACTCAGTAGTAGATAGAACAAGTAGATAAAAATTAACAGCAATATGGAAAAACAGAACTCACTATTAACTAATGAGCTGGTTAACATTTATAAAACATCCCACCAACAGATAAAATATACATTCTACTCAAGTGCACATAAATATATACCAAGGCAGACCATATCTTAAGTCAACAAAAACCTTAACAAATTTATTATTCATTTATTTTTAAAAAATAGAACAATACAAGATGTGTTCTCTGATCACAGCGCAATTAAACTAGAATTCAATAACAGGAAGATAACTAGGAAATCTCCAAATACCTTGTAATTAAACAACACAATTCTAAATAATTCATAGATATGCTCTGGTTTCTCTTCAAATCATATAAATCTTTTACCTTTTACTAAATAATTCATAGATCAAAAAGGAAGTCATAAAGGAAATTGGAAAATCTTATGAACTGAATGACAATGAAAATTCAACATATCAAAATTTGTCAGATGTAGTTAAGGTGGTGATTAAAGAGAGATTGATAGCATTCAATACTTATGCTAGAAGAAAAGAAATTTCTCAAATGAACTATTTAAGTATCTATGTTAAACTAGAAAATGAAGACCAAAGTATATCCAAAGCAAGCAGAATAAAGGAAATAATAAAAATAGGAGTAGAAACCAGTAAAATTGAAAACAGAAAAATAATATAGAAAATTAACAAAACCAAATATTGATTTGTTGAAAACAACAATAAAATTGATAAACCTCTAACCAAGTTGACACAAAAAAAGAAAGAAGATACAAATTGTCCATAACAAGGACAAAATAGCAGATATTACTAAAGACTCTGCAGATACCAAAAGGATAATAAGAAAATACTACAAACATAAATTTGACAACTTGAATGGAATGGGCCAATTTCTCAAATAACATGAGCTACCACAACTCACCTAATATGAAATATATAATTTGGATTTTCCCATATCTAATAAAGAAATTTATTTTATACTTTATAAACTTCCCTAAAATGAAGCTCCAAACCCAGATGATTTCACAGATGAATGCAACCAAAGATTTAAAGAAGAATAACATTAATTCTATAAATATCTTCCAAAAAATTCAGAGAACACTTCTCCACTCATCCTGTAAGGCCTGCTTTACCCTGATACTCGAACCAGGCAAAGACAATATGAGAAAAGAAAATTATAGGTCAATATATAAAATATTACTAAATCAAACCAGCAATATACAAAAAGAGTAGTACACTACTACCAAGTGGGGTTTATCCCAAAAGTGCAAGGTTGATTGAATATTTGAAAATCAACCAATGTAATACACGATATTAACAAGCTAAAGAAGAAAAAAACACATGATTATATCAATGCATTTGATAAAATTCAAAAGTCATTCATGATAAAAGTCTCAGCAAACTAGGAATAGAAGGGAACTTCCTTAACCTGATAGAGTGAATCTATAAAATTTTCACATCATACTTAATGGTGGAGACTGAATGCTTTTCTTCTAAGATCAGATACAAGCCAAGGGTTTCCACTCTCACCACTCATATTTAGTACTGTACTGTATGTTCTAGCCAGTGCAATAAGCAAGGAAAAAGAATAAAGGCATACAAATTAGAAACCAAAAAAAAAAAAAAAACTGTTTCTATTCGCAAATGAAATGATTACATAGAAAATCTGAAGGAACTTTTCTTAAAAAGTGGAGCTGGGGGTACAGTCTTAAAACTAATAAGTAAATTTACCAAGACCTCAACCTACAAGGTCAACATTTAAATATCAATGGTATTTCCATACACTAATAATAAACTATATTGGAAAGTGAAATTTTTAAAAAATATCATATAGAGCAGCTCCAAAAAACAAACAAAAAATTTTAACTAATACTTAAATATAAGTATTTTCTACCCCCCTCCCTAATGGGTATTATCAGGTCGTGGGTCTCCCCCCATTTTACCGTCATGAAACAGGATCCTCCACCCCTGCCAAGTCCTAGGTTATACTTTATACATAAATAAAATATGCAATTCTGATGCACACACTTGGTGATGGCAGAAATCTGTGGAAAGGAAGTTCATAGTTGGTTTGGCAGAGCAAAAACACAAACTACAGACGGCAATAGATTCATGATTCAAGCCAATTAATTCAGAGGAAAGAGCATTTTAGAGTCATAGGTGACCACAAGAATGTAAGGACTCTGGTAACAGAAAATCTTGAAGTGGTGGCATTTGGATTTTCACATGGCATGAAATGAAGATTTGACAAAATTCTACATCTAGAGTAACCATCTGACTCAGCAATGACACCTATGTACTGCCACATTAATTAGGAGAACCTTCCAAATATGTCAAAGGGGATGCTGTCTCCTCCAGAACAAAAACAAAAAGATTTCTCTGGCTTCAGTTGTGTTTAGAGATTTTTTTTTTTTTTTTTTTTTTTTTTTTTTGAGACGGAGTCTCGCTCTGTCATCCAGGCTGGAGGGCAGTGGCGCGATCTCGGCTCACTGCAAGCTCCGCCTCCCTGGTTCACGCCATTCTCCTGCCTCAGCCTCCCAAGTAGCTGGGACTACAGGCGCCCGCCACCACGCCTGCTAATTTTTTGTATTTTTAGTAGAGACGGGGTTTCACCGTGTTAGCCAGGATGGTCTCGATATCCTGACCTGTGATCCGCCCGCCTTGGCCTTCCAAAGTGCTGAGATTACAGGCGTGAGCCACCGGGCCGGGCCTAGAGATTATTTTTATTCTCCTCTAGGTTCTGTGGCCACTAACAACTAGCTAGTGGTTTTGGGAAATTTTCTGGTGCCAGTTTATTAATACTTTCTAAATAGTGAAGCCTTGATTAAAACAACTTTAAAAATACTTTTATTATTCATGTTCCACCAGGAAGCAAAATTTTATTTTTATGTCAATATGTGCCACTAGCATTAAAAGAAAGATTGTTGAGTTGGTTTGATTGATTGATTATTCCAAAGGGTGGTAATACTTCTGCGAGCAGTGGGAAGTATGTCCTGTGGATCCACCCTAATGAGGTTCTGTGAATGTGACTGTGACCCTTGCCTTGCTCTGCAATGGAGAAAAATAATCATTATTCAGAAAGAAAAAATAACAAAACTTGCAATTGTATATTATGAAAAGTAATTGCAGCCTTTCTTGAACATTAAACAAAGGATACCCTTTTTAACACTTTTGAGTCAATGTTTTCTTTTCCTTCATAGGACAGCATGCATATGAGTAAAATAAGATCATGTAGGACATGGCAAATCTAATTAATATGGCTATACTCTCATCCGTCTATTTAATCTGTACAGCTATTTCATAATATAGGTTAATTTGCTAAATATAATATAACCTGTAATTTGTAAATCTATTGCCTAGAAATGAAAAGTGGTACCATATAAAGTGTGAATTAAGCAAAATGTATCTTTAATTCTATTCCACATTGCCTATCTATGATTTTCCCCCACCCCCCATCCCCATATCCTTCATCTAGACCTGTACTATCCAATAATGGAGCCATTAGCCACATTTGGCTATTGACATTTTAATTTATATTAATTAAAATTAAATAAAATTTAAAGTTCCAGTTCCTCAGTCACACCAGCCACATTTCAAGTCCTCTATAGTCACATGTGGCTAATAACTACTATATTGAACAGCCCAGCTATAGAACATTTTCATCATTGCAGGAAGTGCTAATGGACAGAGTTGCTCCAGACTCTGAGTCCTTCTGCTATCCCGTCTCTGGCCAGGATTCTACCTACCCTGGGCACGCCTTCCCAAGTGTCTTCAGATTTTTCTTCCTTCCACTAATCTTACCCTCATAACTTCCCTGAGCCTTCTCACGACGTCCCATAAAAAGCACAATTTTGTAATTCCTTCCTTGAGGACCTTTCTCTCAACTTAAATGACTTGATAAACTGGTTCATGCTTAGGCAATTTGTGAATGCTCAGAGTTCATGTGTTCTCTCTCCAAAATAACACATTGGTATTTTAGCTGAAAGCTTCTGGAGACATTATGCATTTACAGAAAGGGTTAACTCTCAAAGTGGTGGCTTTAGGCACCATGGTAGCCTAGAACCTTGGTGAACAAACCTTAGAATGCAAGTGCCTTTAGAGCACCTTTCAAATTACATTATCCTGGTGGCCTGTTCACCCACATTGGCCTTGGGCCACTATGCTGATTTGTCTCCTAGGAATGCCAGAATACCCCTCATTGTTACCACAGAGGCATAATATTTATGCATCTGACATGACGTTTATGAATAGTAGGTCAAAAGAAATATGTTTGTTTTTCTTGTAACTGTGAAAGTTGTTAGAGTTCAGGATAGGGTTTTGGTATCAGAATCCATTTACTCTGTTCATTCTGGGCTCCCTGCCAAAGTATCACACAAACAACAGTTAATAGCAAAATAAGAGATAATATAAGCCCCTTAGTAATAGCTTGACAAATGTTTCCTTCTCCCCCAGTATAATGCTTTGATCAAAACTGAACTAGAAAATGCAGCTTAGACCAAGAGATATGAAAAACAAACAAAAAGGCTTCTTACTCCCTAAGTAAGAGATGATTGGGTAAGCAGACAAACTCTAGTTTGCCCTGTGGTTCATTCACTGGGTTAGAAAGAGGCTGCTGTGCCTCAGGGGACAGCCCTCCCTTGCCTGCTTTCCACATACAACAAGAAAGACAAGAAATAATCCTTCTTCCTCAGAGGGCCCTGGCTCTTTAACATGCTCAATAAAAAAGGTAAAGAAGAAAAAGAAGATAGCCAGGCCAGCCTCAGAAGAAAGTCAAGTGCTGTGTCCAGTGTTCCACATCTGGGCTCAGCTGGTTGCTTCCTCATGGTGTCATTTAACTTACTTTCTATATGTAGAAATTTTATATAACTAAGCTTCCATTTTTACAAGAAAAATATTCATATCAATGGCATCTCTCCAATGTTTTGTTTGCTTATTTGGGGATTTTAATTATTTTTTTGTTGTTCTTTGAAGTAATCCATGCACATAGTCCTCATAGTGAAGTAGTACTAAAAGGTTTGTTTTAAAAAGAAGCAGTCCCCTCTCCTCTCCCTACCCCTCCCGGAAGCTACACTTTCATCTCTTTTTAGCTATTCCTTCTGGTTGTCACTGAATATTACAATATTCTGGTACTTACTGAATATTATTTTTAAGACATTTTGTTATGGAAAATTTCAAACACATGCAAAAGTTAGAGAGCAGCATGATGAACCCACCTTATGTACTCATCACTTAGTTTCAGTTATTATCAACACATAGTCAATCCCATGTTATCTATACAGCTACCCATTTACTCACCAACCTCAAAGGTATTATTTTGAAGCAATACAAGACAGCATATCATTTTAACCAAGAATATACCATTCATTGTATATCACTAAAGGAATAGGTCTCTTTTCAAATACATCTAATTCCAATTATCTCATAATTCTTCCTTACAGTTGGTTTATACAAATTAGTGGGCATGATGCATTTTTTGCTACGTCATTTAAATCTCCTTTTTTAAAAAAAAAAAATCTATAGTCTTAGTTCTCAACTGGGGCAATTTTGTTCCCAGAAGACATTTAGCAATGTCTGGAGATGTTTTTCGTTGTCATAACTTGGTTGAGGAGAAAGGGGGAGAGTTTCAATGGCAGGTAGTGCATAGGGGCCGGGATGCTGCTAAAAGCTCCAAAACACCAGGACAGCCCCCAACAACAAAGAATCATCTGGCACAATATATATAACAGGATTCTATTCCCTGCCTCCTCCTCTTATTTCTTGAAGGAACCAGGTCATTTGACCCCTAGAGTTTATCACATTCTGGATTTTGCTGAAGGCTTCCCCGTTTTGCCTTGGAACATGTTTCTCATTCCCCATACTTTCCGTAAGTTATGAATAAAGACAGAACACATGAAAGTACTAAGCCAATAGAGAATATTGAAACATCAAAATTTCCGTGTGAAAATGTGAATCAAGTGGTTGAGTCATAGGAGGGCCTACGGGTTTTTTATTTTTATTTTTTTTTTGAGAGTTCATCCCTCTTGCTTTTGCAAGAACAAGGACATTGAGGCCTGGGGAGGTAACAGGAGTTGGCTAAGTTCAAAATCAAATTTCCTGAGTCTCTGCCTCTTTGAAATTTGAGATATAGCTCTATTTTTTGAGAGATAAAGTCTTAATCTGATTAAGGTTTGATATTTTTGGCTAGAATATTTTGTAAGTGGTGATGTGTACTGGCAGTAGAAGGCATGGAATATCGGGTTGTCTTTTTTGCTAGCAGCCATTGATGATCCTGGCCTAAAGCCTTTATTTCATTAGGATTTGCTCACCAATGTTTTAAATAGTTCATTTCTTCCTATTGAAATATTATTTAATGAAAATATCTTTACTTTTTTGACTATGAAGTTAATGTTTAATTTTTAAATTTGTATTTAACAATATAAATACATGTTTAGTTTTTTTGGGATGGTAATACCAGCCCCTGAAATAACTGCTCTAAAACTTTGGCTTATATTTTTCCACACTTTTTAGTTATATATACATATGTGCGAAGTGTGATTAGATAATACATGTAATATGACAATTTTGCCATTTTCATTTTTATTTAATAATATATAGGAAAAATATGTTCATGTCTACTACATGCATATCTACTGTCTTCCTCTTTTTTTCCACATTATAAGATTCCATATATAAGAAATACCCAAGATAGGTAAATCCATCGTGACAAAATCAGATTAGTGGTTGTCCAAGACTGAAGTGGAGCAGAAGAGAAATGGCTGCTTAATGAATACAGGTTTCCTTTGGGGATGATAACAGTCAGCAGCACCAACTCACCACTATGTGAGTGTCTGTCTCAAAAGTGAGTCCTCTAGGCCCACTCCAGCTCATGCCACCAGGAGAAAAGACAATTGTTCTAACTAAGTCCTACCAAATTTACGGATTCATGAGCAAATTTTTTGTTGTTGATTTAAGCCACTAAATTCAGAAGCATTTTGTTAGACAGCAATAAATAACTGCATTCCTCATTATTATTCTTTCCAAATTTTATTTTCAACATTCTTCATATAAAATTTATTATCAATTTTGTCAGTGGTGGATTCTGATTGGCATTTTACTCAATATATAGATTATTTGTGGAGAAAGTTGATATCTTTATCATCTTTCCTCCAAAAAATACTGTATGTGTTTCTTCATATATTGTTTTGTATCTTTCATGTATGTTTCATAATGCTCTTTATAGAAATGTCTTCCTAGACACTTTTTAGTTTTTATTGCTATTGTAAATCTTGAATATTTTTGTACCAATTATACATAACTGAATAACAAAATCTAAAATTTAATGGTTTAAAACAATACCCATTTATTTGTTCAACATTTTGTTAATTGGACATTTGAACTAAGCTCAGCTAGGAAAAGGGCACTTTTTCTGGTCTAACCAGGGTCATTGATACAGATGTAGTCATCTGGTGGTTTCACTGGCAATAGATTTCCTAGCATGGCTTTACTCATATGTCTGGTGTTGATGCTGGCTATTAGCTGATTAGTTTAGTGGGTATCAGCTGGTTAAGCTCATTTCTGCTTCGCATGGCCTTTTATCCTAGAGACTAGAGGATAGTATTGGACTCATCCAGAGGACTCTAGACTAGATACTGCAGTTCTTCACATCATGGAATAGTGTTTCAAAAGAACCAAAGTGAAAGCTGCAGGACCTCTTGAAACTGAGACTCAAAGCTACATAGCCTCAATTCCCACACATTGTGTTAGTCAAAGCAAGTCCAAAGCCAGCCCAGATTTATGAGAGTGTAGAAATCAATGCCACTGCTCATGAAAGGAGCTGAAAAGAATCTGTGGTTATCTTTAATATTCCACATTTATCCATCACATATATAATTTGCTATGTAAGAGAAAGTTTTTTATTTGTACACAGTAATCTTAAAATGTACCAATGAGTTGAGCTTCTTTTTACCTTGAATATTTTAATGTATAGTCTCTTGGCTATTCTATTCATAAAATCCTATCATTTGAAAATAATGATAGTTTTTTCTTCCTATCTATAACGAACATTTTTGTTTTATTTTCTTGCTTGTTGTATCGGCTAGAATCTCCAAAACTGGTGATAATGAAAATAGTTTCATCTTATTTCAGACACTAGAAAGAATATCTTTAGGTTTTAAATAGCTAATATAATTTTTAATATTGACTCCTAATAGGTTTCTTCTTTTTTCCAACCAAGGACATGAAATTCAATTAATCAAAACTCTTGGGTCATGATACCATTCTCATTATTGGACCATGAACAGCTCTTTTTTCTGTTTACTTTAAGGATGTTTCTTCTATTTTTACTTCATTAAGGGTTTAACAGTAGATATTGGACTAAATCAAATTCCTCTTCTACATCTACTAATATGATTTTCCTCCTTTAATATATTATTAGATTACTTTTCATTGTGCTATGTCCCTGGACTAAATCTTACTTGGTCACTGGAATTATTAGTAGCATATTTATTTTTATTTTTATTTTTATTTTTATTTTTATTTTTATTTTTATTTAGAGGGAGCCTTGCTCTGTTGCCCAGGCTGGAGTGCAGTGGCACGATCTCAGCTCACTGCAACCTCTGCCTCCTGGGTTCAAGCGATTCTCCTGCCTCAGCCTCCCAAGTAGCTGGGATTACAGGTACCCACCACCACGCCCAGCTAATTTTTGTATTTTGGTAGAGGTGGGGTTTCACTATGTAGGTCAAGCTGGTCTCAAACTCCTGACCTCAAATGATCCGCCCACCTCAGCCTCCCAAAATGCTGGGATTACAGGCATGAGCCACAGCGCCCGGCCATAGCATATTATTTTATAACTGATTTGCATGTATTTGTTTAGGGTCTTTTTCCATTTATAATTTTGCATGAGATTTGTTGTCTTTTCATGAATGGAGTTTACATTGGTATTGTGATTTTTTTTTTGAAAGTTCATAGGATTTTGGGTCTGAAGACTGAGTTATAACCACTGTTCTTCTACTAATAAACTGGTCAAGTCACTTAACTTCTTCCTCCAATTGTAATAATGTCTACTTACCTATTTGACAAGTTATCACAAGAAACAGATGAGATAAAGTATATGAATGTTCTTTACAACATACAAGGCAAAACGGCTAGTTATTATTTCAGCAAGCAATAATTCAAAATAACAATAGTTAGCATTACTGAATGCTTGCTAATACATGAGGTTTTGTGCTGTGGACTTTACATGAATCATCTTATTTAATCCTCTCAATAAACAATGAGACAGATACTCTTATTAGGTTAACAACCATAGGATTTAAAAAATTAATAATATGATTAAGGAATTTAATTGTTGAATTCTTAAGTCAGGTTATATCAATTAGAAGTCTGTCATCCTCTGTTTTCATTTCTTTCCTTCGTGACCTTCTCCTACGGTGTATAGGCTATGCTGTTTGCTCTTGCAAAACTACTCCTTATACTGCTTTGTGACTGGGAATCCTGGCTTGTATAGACAACATCAATGGATTTCCATGTTCTCTGACTCTGATTGGGCTCAGCTGATAGATATCACAAGCCACTGTACCTGTATTTTATGCTTAGGAAAAAATTCAAGAAGACAAGCTTGAATTTGTAGTATGTCCAAAAGCTACATAACCTACCTTTCTCATCTGTTCTATTTTTTTCCTGGTTTTCATTACTGCTCCTCTTTAAGACTTACATCTTCAGAAATGTAGATAGGCATAGTTATGAAATTATGTTCTTTTTTAAAACTACATATCAAGGTGGGGTATGGTGGCTCACAGTTGTAATCCCACCACTTTGGGAGGCCAAGGTGGGTGGATCGCTTGAACCCAGGAGTTCGAGACCAGCCCTGGCAACATGGTGAAACCCTATCTCTACAAAAAATACAAAAATTAGCCAGACATAGTGGTGCACGACTGTGGTCCCAGCTACTCAGAGGGCTGAGGCAGGAGGATCATTTGAGCCCAGGAGGTCGAGCCTGCAGTGACCAGTGATCATGCCACTGCACTCCAGCTTAGGTAACAGAGCAAGAACTTGTCTCAAAAAAAAGAAAAAGAAAAAAGAAAAAAAAGAAAAAACATATCAATATAAGCCTGGTTGTTTTTCATCACAGCATTGATTCTTAGATAATTACTTTTAAATTCTGAACTTCTCTGTAATTTTAGAGATATGGTGTAGCTCCAAATTAGATATTAAAGATCAAGTGCTTTGCTACCACAAGATGTATGGTGGATAGAATAAGGGGTAATAGTATACTATTGGGTTGGTGCAAATGTAATTGTGAATTTTTTTCCATTACTTTCAATGGCAAAAATCACAATTACTTTTGCACCAACCTAATATAATCTTCCCTGGCCAAGCCAAAGATTCTTTGTGACCTCGCATTTTTAGAAGGCACAGAAAAGCCAGAGCATTTTCAGAGGAAAGGGATCCAACTGGCAAGAAAACATACAAAGAATAATAGAAAGTTCTGCATGTGCTTAACCTGGAAGATAGAATTTTGAGGGGGAGCAGGAAAAGAGAGTTGACTTCAATCTTGAAAGGTGGCCACATTAGAAGGTAGTTATGTTTGTTCCATATGGCCATTGTGAGTATTACAGGAACCTTTTGGGTAATAAATAAAAAGTGACTGTTGTTAGCTCAATACAAGCATGGTTTGAGCTCAAGTCTAACATCACAGGAGTCAGATCTATCTAGTAAATTAAAGGGACATGTCCAAGTCCCATTTGCAAGAAAAATTAAGGAACTCCCTGGATGTCATTTCATTGTAAATAAAGAGGTCAGTGGGCACAAAGCTGTCAACCCAAACACAAAGCCTTCTTTAGCTAAGGGAGAGTGGACTCAGAAATGCACGGTGAGGTCTCCTGATTTAGCCTCTTGATGAACTCATGACTGCATGTTCAGCAAGAGAGGTGGGGAGGTAGATGGTTTAGTGCCATAAATAATAACCAAAAGTACCATTTTCACTAGCAAGTCTACAAGACTTTGGGGCAAAGTGGCTCTGGGTTGAAGCCATACTGACTAAAAGTTATTTAAAAGGGAAAATTTTTTTTTCTACTGACTCACAACACAGGAAAAGAGCAACAGGACAAGAAACAAACAGAGGCTGCTTCATGGTAACTGAACATGACTCACTGAGCGCATGTGAAACATTCCCTGGATACACCTCAACAAGCTGGGAGTTGAAGGACATTTTAGGTATTATCAGGGGAGGTATGAAAAAACCAAACTCAGGTTACTTAAAGAGACTTATCCACCAGTGTGAAGTATCAAAACATGAAATAAGCGACCTAGAGAATACACTCTCGGGGTTAGGAGGAACATGTCTTCATATCTAGCCCAGCACTCCCATACAGTGGGCTCTTAATAAATATTTACTGAATGGAAATTTAACTTTTCTTTTTAAAATATTTTATTTTAATTTTTATGGGTACATAGTAGTTGTATATATTTACAGGAAACATGTACTATTTTGATACAGGCATACAACGTGTAATAATCACATCAGGGTAAATGGAATATGTATCAACTCAAGCACTTATCCTTTCTTTGTATTACAAGCAAACCAACTGTACTCTTTCAGTTATTTATAAATGTACAATAAATTATTGTTGTCTATAGTCACCCGGTCTATGATCAAATACTGGATCTTATTTATTCTAAATATAATTTTGTACCCATTAAAAAATGTCCCCCCTCCACCACCTCCCTACTCCCCTACCTTCACCCCACCCTCACACTGTCCTTCCCAGCCTCTGGTAACCATCATTCTACTCTCTATCTCCATGAGTGTAACTGTTTTCATTTTCAGCAACCAAAACTGAGTGGGAACATGTGAAATTTATCTTTCTGTGCCCAACTTATTTCATTCAACATAATGATCTCCAGTTCCACTGATGTTGATGCAAATGACAGGATCTCATTCTTTTTCTTTTCTTTTTTTTTTGAGACGGAGTCTCACTCTGTTGCCCAGGCTGGAGTGTGCAGTGGTGCAATCTTGACTCACTCCTGGGTTCATGCCGTTCTCCTGCCTCAGCCTCTGGAGTAGCTGGGACTACAGGCACCCGCCATCACGCCCGGCTAATTTTTTGTATTTTTTTTAGTAGAGACGGGGTTTCACTGTGTTATCCAGGATGGTCTCCATCTCCTGACCTCGCCTGTCTCAGCCTCCCAAAGTGCTGGGATTACAGGCATGAGCCACCGTACCCAGCCAATCTCATTCTTTTTAAAGCTAAATAGTACTCCATTGTGTAAATGTATCACATTTCCTTTATCTATTTTTCTGTTCATAGACACCTAGGTTGCTTCCAAATCTTGGCTATTGTGAATAATGCTGAAATAAATATAGCAGTGGAGATGTCACTTTAGTATACTGATTTCCTTTCTTTTGGGTGTATACCTAGCAGTAGGATTGCCTAATAATATGTTATCTCCATTTTTAGCTTTCTGAGAAACCTCCAAACTGTTCTCCATAGTGGTTGTACTAATTTACATTCTCACTAATAGTGTACCAGGGTTCCTGTTTCTCTGCATCTTCGTCAGTATTTGTTATTGCCTGTCTTTTGTATAAAAGCCATTTTAACAAGGATAAGATGATATCTCATTGCAGATTTCATTTGCATTTCTCTGATGATCAGTGATGTGCCTTTCATCAGTGCCTTTTCACATTCCTATTTGCCATTTGTATGTCTTCTTTTGAGAAATGTCTATTAAAATCTTTAGCCTATTTTTAAAATGGATTATTAGTTTTTTCCTATAGAGTTGTTTGCGCTCCTTCTATATTCTAGTTATTAATTCCTTGTCAGATGGATAGTTTGCAAATATTTTCTCCCATTCTGTGTGTTGTCTCTTCACTTTGTCGATTATTTTCTTTGCTGTTCAGAAGCTTTTTAACTTGATGTGATTCCATTTGTCCACTTTTGCTTTGGTTGCCTGTGTTTGTGGGGTATCATTCAAGAAATCTGTGCCCAGTCCAATGTCCTGGAGAGTTTTCCCAAAGTTTTCTTTTCCTAGTTTCTTAGTTTGAAATTTTAGATTTAAGTCTTTATCCATTTTGATTTTATATTTGTGTGCAGCAAGAGATAGGGGTTTAGTTTCATTCTTCTGCATATGTCTAGTTTTCCCAGCACTGTTTATTGTAGATGTATGGATTTGTTTCTGGGTTCCCTGTTCTGCTTTATTGGTCTGTGTGTCTGTTTTTATGCCAATACCATGCTGTTTTGTTTACTCTAGTTTTGTTGTATAAATGGTCAGATAATGTGATTTCTTCAGTTTTGTTCTTTTCACTCAGGAGAGCGTTGGCTGTTCTGGGTCTTTTGTGATTCCATATAAATTTTGGGATTTTTGTTTCTGTTTCTATGAAGAATGTCATTGGCATTTTGATAGAGATTGCACCGACTTTAACAATGTTGATTCTTCCAATCCATGAACATGGAATATCTTTCCGTTTTTGTGTCCTCTTCAATTTCTTGCATCAATGTTTTACAGTTTTTATTGTAAGGATTTTTTACTTCTTTAGTTAATTCCTAGCTATTTAATTTTATTTGTAGCTATTGTAAATGGGATTACTTTCTTGATTTCTTTTTCAGATGTTCACTGTTGGCATATAGAAGTACTACTGATTTTGTACATTAATTTTTTATCCTGCAATGTTACTAAATTTGTTTATCAGTTCTGATAATTTTTTGGTGGAGTATTTACATTTTTCCAAATAAAAGATCGTATCATCTGTAAACAAGGGCAATTTGACTTCCTTTCCAATCTGGTGCCCTGTGTTTTTTTCTCTTATCTGATTGCTCTAGCTAGAACTAACAGTACTATGTTGAATAACAATGGTAAAAGTGGGCATTCTTGTTGTGTTCCAGATCTTAGAGGAAGGACATGAAGTTTTTCCCCATTCAGTGTGATACTAGCTGTGAGTCGTCATATATGGCTTTTCTGTGTTGAGGTATGTTCCTTCTATACCCAGTTTTTTTAGAGTTGTTATTATGAAGGGATGTTGAATTTTATCAAATGCTTTTCAGCATTAGTTGAAATGATCATATGGTTTTTGTCCCTCATTCTGTTGATATGGTGTATCACATTGATTGATTTGCATATGTTGAACCACCCTGGCATCCCTGCTTTAAATGCTACTTGGTCATGATGAATAATCTTTTTCATATGGTGTTTAATTTGATTTGCTAGTATTTCATTGAGGATTTCTGCATCAATGTTCATCAGGGATAGTGGCCTGTAGTTTTCTCTTTTTGACGTGTTTTTGTCTGGTTTTGGTATCAGGGTAATATTGACCTCATAGAATGAGTTTGGAAGTATTCCCTCATCCTCTATTTTTCAGAATAGTTTAATTAGGGTTGGTATTAGTTCTTTTAATGTTTGCTAAATTTCCAGAGTAAAACCATACAGTCCCAGACTTTGCTAGGTGATATGATTTGGCTGTATCCTCACCCAAATCTCATCTTGAATTGTAGCTCCCATAATTGCTGTGTGTTGTTGGAGGGACCTGGTGGGGGAAAATTGCATCATAAGGGTGGTTTCCCACATGCTGCTTTCATGGTAGTGAACAAGTATCATGAGATCTGATCATTTTATAAGGAGTTTCCCCTTTTGCTTGGCTCTCATTCTCTCTTACCTGGTGCCATATAAGATGCCCCTTTGCTTTTCCTTTATAAATGACCAGTACCAATTTACTGTATTATTCTGTTCTCATGCTGCTAATAAAGACATACCCAAGATTGGGTAATTTATAAAGGAAAGGTGTTTAAAGAATTCACAGTTCCACATGGCTGGGGAGACCTCACAATCATGACAGAAGATGAAGGAAAAGCAAAGGGGCATCTTACATGGTACCAAGTAAATGTGGAAGCGAGTTTGGAACTGGATAACAGGCAGAGGTTGGAACATTTTGGAGGGCTTGGAAGAAGACAGGAAAATGTGGGAAAGTTTTAAACTTCGTAGCCACTTGCTAAATGGCTTTGACCAAAATGATATGGACAATGAAATCTAGGCTGAGATGGTCTCACCTGCAGATAAGGAATTTGTTGGGAATTGAAGTAAATGTGACTCTTGCTCTGTTTAAGCAAAGAGACTGGTGGCATTTTGCCCCTACCCTAGAGATGTGTGGAACTTTGAACTTGAGAAAGATGACTTAGGGTATCTGATGGAAGAAACTTCTAAGCAGCAAAGCATTCAAGAGGTGATTTCAGTGCTGTTAAAACGCATTCAATTTTAAAAGGAAAACAGAGCATAAAAGTTCAGAAAATATGCAGCCTGATGATGTGATAGAAAAGAAAAACCCATTTTCTAAAGAGAAATTCAAGCTGGTTTCGTGAGCTGGGCCCAAGCCTCTCTGCTGTATTCAGCCTAGGAACTTGCTGTCCTGCATCCCAGCCACTCTAGCCATGGCTGAAAGAGGCCAAGATATGGCTTGAGCAGTGGCTTCAGAGGATGCAAGCCCCAAGCCTTGGCAGCTTTCATGTGATGTTGATCCTGAGGATGCACATAAGAACTGAGGTTTAGAACCTCAGCTTTGATTTCAGAGGATGTATGGAAATGCCTGGATGTCCAGGCAGAAGTTTGCTGCAGGGGCAGAGCCCTCGTGGAGAACCTTTGCTAGGGGAGTGTTGAAGGGAAATGTAGAGTTGAAGTCCCCACACATAGTTCCCACTGGGGCACTGCCTAGTGGAGCTTTGGATCACCATCCACAAGACCCCAGAATGGTAGATCTACTCACAGCCTGCACCATGTGCCTGGAAAAGCCTCACTCAATGCCAGCCCATGAAAGCAGCCAGGAGGGAAGATGTACCTTCAAAGCCATAGGGATGGAGCTGCCCAAGACCATGGGAACCCATCTCTTGCATCATCAACATGACCTACTTGTTAGACATGGAGTCAAAGGAGATCATTTTGGAGCTTTAAGATTTGACTGACTTGTTGCATTTCAGACTTGCATGGGGCCTTTAGCTTCTTTGTTTTGGCCAATTTATCCCATTTGGAATGGGTATATTTATCCAGTGCCTGTACCCCCATTGTATCTAGGAAGTAACTAACTTGCTTTTGATTTTACAGGCTGATAGGTGGAAGGGACCTGCTTTGTCTCAGATGAGACTTTGAACTGTGGATTTTTGAGTTAATGCTGAAATGAATTAAGGATTTGGGAGGCTGTTGGGAATGCATGATTGGTTTTGAAATGTGAGGACTTGAGATTTTGGACAGGGCCAGGAGTGGAATGATATGGTTTGGCTGTGTTCCCACCCAAATCTCATCTTGAATTGTACCTCCCATAATTTCCACATGTTGTGGGAGGGACCTGTTGGGAGAGAATTGAATCATGGTGGCAGTTTCCCCCATACTGTTCTCATGGTAGTGAATAAGTTTCATAAGATCTGATCGTTTTATAAGGGGTTTCCCCTTTTGCTTGGCTCTCATTCTGTCTTGCCTGCTGCCATGTAAGATATCCCTTTGCTCTTCCTTCATCTTTCACCATGATTGTGAGGCCTCTCCAGCCATGTAGAGCTGTGAGTCCACTAAGCCTCTTTCCTTTATAAATTACCTAGTCCTGGGTATGTCTTTATTAGCAGCATGAGAACAGACTAATACACTGGGGGACTTTTTATTACAACTTCAATCTCATTACTTGTTATTGGTCTGTTTGGGTTTTGGATTTTTTCCAAGTTCAAGATTGGTAGGCTATATGTGTCTAGAAATTTATCCATTTCTTCTAGATTTTCCAATTTATTGTAAGTGGAGTGTTGAAGTTTCCAGCTATTATTGTATTGAGTGTCTGTCTCTCTTCAGCTCTAATAATATTTGCTTTATATATGTGAGTTTTCCAGTGTTAGGTGCATATATATTTATAGTTGTTGTATTCTCTTGCTGAATTGACCCTTTTATTATTATATAATGATCTTCTTTGTCTCTTGTTAGAGTTTTTGTTCTGAAATCTATTTTGTCTGATCTAAGTATAGCTACTCCTACTCTTTTATAGGTATCCATTTGCATGGAATATCTTTTTCCATCTCTTGTTTTCATTTTATATGTGTCTTTATTGAATCTTGTTTTGTTATCCATTCAGTCACTTTATGTATTTTGATTAGAGAGCTTAGTCCATTTATATGTAATGTTATTATTGATAAGTAAGGACTTACTCTTGCCATTTTGTTATTTTTTTATGGTTGTTCTATGATCTTATGTTCCTTCTTTTCTTCCTTCCTGTCTTCCTGTTAGTGATGGTGATTTTCTCTGGTGGTATGTTTTAATTTCTTGCTTTGTAATTTTTCTTTATCTGTTGTATGTTTTTTGATTTGAGGTTACCATGAGGCTTGTTGATAATATCTTACAACCCATTACTTTAAACCTAATACAACTTAATACTGATTGCTAAAGAAACAAAAAAGAAAAGAGAAAACCAAAAAAAACTCTACAATTTAACTTTATCCCCCCACTTTTTAACTTTCTGTTGTTTCTATTTATATCTTATTGTACTATCTATGTTTTGAAAAGTTGTAGTTATTCTTTCTGGTTGGCTTATCTTTTAATCCTTCTACTCAAGATATGAGTAGTTTACACACCACATTTACAGTGTTATAATATTCTGTGTTTTTCTGTGTACTTACTATTACCAGTGAGTTTTGTACCTTCAGATGCTTTCTTATTGCTTATTAAAGTCCTTTTCTTTCAGATCAAATAACTCTCCTTAACATTTCTCGTAGGACAGGTCTATTGTTGATGAAATCCCTCAGCTTCTGTTTGTCTGAGAAAGTCTTTATTTCTTCTTTATCTTTGAAGGATACCTTTAGTGGATATACTATTCTAAGAAACAAGTATTTTTTTTCCTTCAGCACTTTAAATATGTCATGCCTCTCTTTCTTCGCCTTTGAGGTTTCCACTGAGAAGTCCGCTGCCAGACATATTAGAGCTCCATTGTAGGTTACTTCTTTCTTTTCTATTGTTGTTTCTAGTATCCTTTCCTTGATCTTTTGAAGTTTGATTATTAAATATCTTGAGGAAATCTAATTTGGGTTAAATCTGCTTGATGTTCTATAACCTTCTTGTACTTGAATATTCATTTATTTCTCTAGGTTTGGGAAGTTTTCTGTTATCATCCCTTTGAATAAACTTTCTACTCCTATCTCTCTGTGTCTCCTCTTTAAGGCCAATTACTCTTATATTTGCCCTTTTGAGGCCATCACTACTAGGACTGTGCTGGGTCAGACGCAAAGCCAGAAGACCATTGGATCTCACCCCAGGCCCACAGTAACCACTGTCTAGCTACCACCTATGTTTACTCAAGGCCCTGGGCTCTACAATCAGTAGGTGGGGGAGCCAGTCAGGATTGTGTCCTTCCATTCAGGGTGGTGAGTTCCCCTTGGTCCCAGGTGGGTCCAGAGATACCATCTGGGAGCCAGGGACTAGAGTCAAAAACCATAATAATCTATCTAGTGCTCTAGCCTACTGTGGCTGAGCTGTCACCCAGGCCACAAGATCTTCCCATTATTTCCTCCTAATACCAAAAGCATAAGAGTCCTTCCCCATGGCAACCACCACCTCAGGCCTGTGGTGAGTACTACCAAGCTACTGTTGATGTTCACTCAGGGCCCAAGGGCTCTTCAGTCAGCCTATGAGAATGCTGCCAGGCTTAGGACTCCCCCTTCAGGGCAGTGGGCTCCACTCTGACCTAGGGCAGGTCTAGAAATGCCATCTAAGAGCCAAGGTATGAATTTGGGAGCCCTAGGAGCCCAGTTGGTCCTCTACCCCACTGTGGCTAAACTGGTACCTAAGCAACAAGACAAAGTCCTCTTTACTCTTTTCCCTTTCCTTTTCTCAGGTAAAAGGAGTCTCTCCCCATAGCCATCACAGCTGGAAAACACCCTGGGTCACATCTGAAGCCAGCACATCTGTGAGTTTCACCCAAGGTCTGCAGCGAATACTTCCTGACTTCCGCTGACTATTCGGTGCCCAAGGATGCTTTAGTAAGCAGGTTACCACTGACCACACAGAAATACAAACTCAGAGACTACTAATATGCACACACTAATATGCACCTCTATGCACACAAGCTAGAAAACCTAGAAGAGATGGATAAATTTCTGGACACACACACCCTCCTAAGACTGAACTAGAAAAAAAATTGATTCCCTGAGCAGACCAATAATAAGCTCTGAAACTGAATCAGTAATAAATAGCCTACCAACCAAAAAAGCCCAGAATCAGATGGATTCACAGCTGAATTCTACCAGATGTACAAAGAAGAGCCAGTACCATTACTACTGAAACTATTCAAAAAAAATTGAGGAGGAGATACTCCTCCCCAACTCATTCCATGAGGCCAGCATCATCTTGGTACCAAAATCTGGCAGAGACACTTGATACAAAAATCTGGCAAAAAAGAGAATTTCAGGCCAATACCTTTGATGAACATCGATGCAAAAATCCTGAATAAAATACTTGCAAACTGAATCCAGCAACACAATGAAAAGTTAATCCACCACTATCAAATAGGCTTTATTCCTGAGATGCAAGGTTGGTTCAACACATGTAAATCAATAAATGTAATTCATCACATAAACAGAACTAAAGGCAAAAACCACATGATTATCTCAACAGATGAAGAAAAAGCTTTTGATAAAATTCAACATCGCTTTATGTTAAAAACTCTCAATAAACTAGGTATTGAGGGAACCTCAAAATAACAAAAGCCATCTATGACAAACCCAAAGCCAACATCATATAGATTGGGCAAAAGCTGGAAGCATTATCCTTGAAATCCATCTCAAGACAAGAATGCCCTCTCTCACCACTCCTATTCAACATAATATTGGAAGTCCTGGCCAGAGCAATCAGGCAAGTGATTGGAAGAGAGAAAGTCAAACTATCTCTGTTTGCAGATGACATGATCCTATATCTATAAAACCCCATAGTCTCATCCCAAAAGCTCCTTCAACCTATAAACAACTTCGGCAAAGTTTTAGGATACAAAATCAATGTATAAAAATTACTAACATTCCTATACACCAACAACAGCCAAGTTGAGAGCCAAATCAGGAATTCAATCTCATTCACAATTGCCACAAACAGTATAAAATACCTAGGAATACAGCTAACTGGGGAGGTAAAAGATCTCTACAATGAAAATTATAAAACACTGCTCAAAGAAATCAGAGATGACACAAACAAAAAGAAAAACATTCATGTTCATAGATACGTAGAATCAATACTGCTAAAATGGCCATACTTAGGGCAATCTGTAAGTGCTCAAAGCAATTTACAGATTCAATGTTATTCCTATCAATCTACCAATGACATTCTTCACAGAATTAGAAAAAACTATTTTAAAATTTATATGGAGGCAAAAAAAGAGTTCAAGTAGCCAAGGCAATCCTAAGCAAAAAGAACAAAGCTGGGGGCATTACATTACCCAACTTCAAACTATATTACAGGGCTACAGTAACCAAAACAGCATGATACTTGTACAAAAACAGACACATAAACCAGTGGAACAAAATAGAGCGCCCAGGAAAAAAAAGTCACACATCTACAACTATTTGATCTTTAACAAAGCTGACAAAGACAAGCATTGGGGAAAAACGTCTTTGTTTTTTGTTTTTGTTTGTTTTTAGACAGAATCTTGCTCTGTTACCCAGGCTGGAGTGCAGTGGCACAATCTTGGCTTTCTGCAACCTCCGCCTCCCATGTCCAAGCAATTCTCATGCCTCAGCCTCCCAAGAAGCTGGGATTACAGGGATGTGCCACCACACCCAGCTAATTTTTGTATTTTTAGTAGAGACAGGGTTTTGCTATGTTGGCCACGCTGGTCTCGAACTTCTGGCCTCAAGAAATCCACCTGCCTTGGTTTCCCAAAGTGCTGGGTTTACAGAAAGGACTTATTCAATAAGCAGTGCTGGGACGACTGGCTAGCCATATGCAGATGATAGAAACTGGACCCCTTCTTACACCATTCACGATGGATAAAAGACTTAAATGTAAAACCCAAAACTATAAAAACCTTGGAAGACAACCTAGGCAATACCATTCCAGACATAGGAACTGGCAAAGATTTCATGACAAGGATGCCAAAAGCAATCACTACAAAGGCAAAAATTGACAAGTGGGATCTAATTAAACTTAAGAGTTTCTGCAAGCAAAACTATCAACAGAGCAGACAGACAATCTACAGAATGGGAAAAAATTTTGTAACCTATGCATCTGACAAAGAACTAATATCCAGCATCTGTAAGAAACTTAAATTTACAAGAAAAAAAATACACAACCCCATTAAAAAGTGAGCAAAGGACATGAACAGACACTTTTCTAATGAAGACTTATATGTGGTCAACAAGCATATCGAAAAAAAACTCAATATCACTGATCAATAGAGAAATGCAAATCAAACCACCATGAGATACCATCTCATACCAGTCAGAATGGCTATTATTAAAGTCAAAAAATAGCAGATGCTGGTAAGGTTGGGCAGAAAAAGGAATGCTTTGACATTTTTGGTGGGGGTGTAAATTTGTTCAACCATTGTGGAAAGCAGTGTGATGATTCCTCAAAGAGCTAAAAACAGAACTACCCTTTGACACAGCAATCCCATTACTGGGTATATACCCAAAGGAATATAAATCATTCTACCATAAAGACACATGCACACGTATGTTCACTGCAGCACCCTTCACAATAGCAGAGACATGGAATCAACCTAAATGTCCATCAATGGCAGACTGGACAAAGAAAATATGGTACATACACACCATGGAATACTACTATGTAGCCATAAAAAAGAATGAGATCATGTCTGTTGCGGGAACATGGATGGAACCTGAGGCCACCATCCTTAGCAAACTAATGTAGGAAGAGAAAGCCAAATACCACATGTTCTCACTTATAAGTGGGAGCTAAATGATGAGAACACACGGATATAAAGAGGGGAACAAGAGAGTTTTGGGCCTACTTGAGGGTGGAGAGTGGGAGGAGGGAGAGGATCATAAAAATATCTATCTAGGCCGGGCGCAGTGGCTCACACCTGTAATCCCAGCACTTTGGGAGGCTGAGACGGGCGGATCACAAGGTCAGGAGATCCAGACCATCCTGGCTAACAGGGTGAAACCCCGTTTCTACTAAAAATACAAAAAAATTAGCCAGGCATGGTGGCAGGCGCCTGTAGTTCCAGCTACTCGGGAGGCTGAGGCAGGAGAATGTCCTGAACCCGAGAGGTGGAGCTTGCAGTGGGCCGAGATCACACCACTGCACCCCACCTGGGTGACAGAGCAAGACTCGTCTCAAAAAAAAAAAAATCTATATAGTACCTGGGTCACAAAGTAATCTGTACAACAAACCCCAATGACACAAGTTTACCTATGTTGGCAAACTGCACACGTACCACTGAATCTAAAATAAAAGTTTTTTTAAAAAAAAGAAGAATAAATAAGACCTAGTATTTGATAGCACAATAGGGTGACTACAGTCTATCATAATTTAATTGTACACTTAAAATAACTAAAAGAGTATAATTAGATTATTTGTAACACAAAGGATAAATGCTTGAGGGGATAGATACCCCGTTTTCCATAATGTGATTATTATACATTGCATTCTGTATCATAAAATCTCATGTACCTTATAAATACATACAACTACTATGTACCCACAAAAAATTAAAAATAAAAATAATTTAAATAATTTTTATATATTTTTTAAGTTTCAAGATCATGAAAGATAAGGAAAAACTGAGGAACTGTCACAGATTGGAAAAAATAAGGAAGACACGACAACTTGTTTTTCAAGTTTCAATTTCAAAACAAATTGTTTTTCCTACTCTTACACACTTAACAGTCACCACACCACACAACATAACACAGAATACTTCTGATGGATTGGGAACAGGAGGTTCTCCATACTCCAAGCAATTCTCCAGTGAACAACAACTAAGTGTTGTAAAATTCAATTCAATTCTGACATTATCTGCCTGGAGTTAGAGTCAGATACCACACACAATACTGCCCCCCAACTTCAGATGCCAGTAACAGGGTTGTCACCTATACTTCTTCCTGACTGGCTATAAATCAGGGTATCTATGATCCCCTTCTTAGGTTCAATTGCTTTACCAGGATGGCCCACAGAACTCAAGAAAACACTTCCATTTACCAGTTTATTATATTAATAAAGGATATGATAAAGGATATAGGTGAACAGCCGATGGAAGAGATGCCTAGGACAACGTATGTGAGAAGGGGCTTGGACCTTCCATACCCTCTACAGGTACACCACCCTCCAGGTACCTCCATGAGTTCAGCAATCTGGAAGCTCCCCAAACCCTAACCTTTTGCAGTCACAGTGGTGGAGGAGGATTGTTCTTCTGCAAAGAAATTCTGTCAGCCAGTCCTAACATCCTAACATTATTCATTCCAAGAAGTGGATGATAGCAACGGTGTTTTCCCTAGAACTGTCTGAGTTGTGGTTGGGAGCTGTTCCTGACTGTGAGGCTCTTGACTGTCCTGCTTCCAAGCCTGGATTTTCGGCCCTCTTAAGATTTTGTAAACTATCGTCTATTGTGTAAGAAATCTTTGTCTGATTAAACTAGCTAGTGTAGATTTTGTAGTTGACAATTGAAAGCCTACCATTTACTTGCTGTGTGCTCTTGAATAAATCATCTCAACTCTCTGGGCTTCCGTTTTCACATAAAAAATAAACAAGATTACTACTTCCTTTGCATTAAGTATTTAAGTGATATTTAAATGACTTTATTCCCTTAATTTCAGTACCTGCCATAAAGTAGGTTCTCACGAAGTGTGAGGTATCATTTTAGAGGAAGAGATGACCTGCTATTCAAAATGCAGTCTGTGGACCAGTGGCTTTGGCATTACTTGAGAACTGGTTAGAAATACAGAATCAGCAGGCACTGTGGTTCATGCCTGTAATCCCAGCAACTGAGGAGACAGAGGCGGGAGGATAGCTTGGGCCTGGGAGTACAGAACTAGCCTGGGCAGCATGGCAAGATTCCATCTCTAAAGAAAAAATTTTTTGATTGGCCTGTGTGGTGACACATGCCTGCAACCCCAGCTACTTAGCATGCTAAGGCAAGAGGATCATTGAGCCCAGGGTTTTAAGGTTGTGGTGTGATTGCACCATTGCAATCCAGCCTGGGCAACAGAGCAAGACCCTGTCTCTAAAAAGAAAAAAAAAATATATATATATATATATATATATATATATATGCATACATGTATATATATGAATGTAGGATCTTAGGTCTTACTCCAGATCTAGCAAATCAGAATTTGCATTATGGAAAGACCCAAAGACCCCAGTGATTCCCATCCATTAAAGTTGGAGAGGCAGTGGTATAGGGTGGTCATTAACAGTCAGACTGCCTAGGTTCAGATCCTGCCTTTGCTGTCAACAAGCTGTGAGACTGGATCAGTCTTCAATCTTTCTCTACCTCGGTTTCTTTATTTGTGAACTGAAGATAATTGCAGTCAGCTCCTCATAGTGTTGTTATGAGGCTTGTGATAGGTGTAATAATAGTCTCCCACAAAATGTCCACATCTTAATCCCCAGAACCTGTGAAAAGTTTTCATGGAAAAGGGGAATTAAAGTTGCAGATGGAATTAAGGTGACTAATCAATTGAAAATAGGAAGACTATTCTGGATTATCCAGGTGAGCCCTCTATAACCACAAGAGTTAAAAGATGGAAGAGGATAGTAGAAGCATGAGCATCAGTCAGAGAGCAAGAGATTTGAAGATGCTAAGCTTCTGGCTTTGCAGATAGAGGAAGGGGTCACAGCTGAGGAATGCAGGCAGCTTCTAGAAACTGAAAAAGGCAAGGAATTGGCTTCTCCTCTAGAAGTCCCAGAAGGCATCAGCCCTGCCTTGAGCCCCATGGGACTCATTTCAGGCTTCTGACTTCTGGAAGTGTAAGATAATAAAGCTGTGTTGTTTTAAGGGAAAGAAAAAAAATCCTGTTCTTTGGAGTTTTATGAAGGCTTCATTATATAGGCATGATTGAGTAAATCATTGGTTATGGGTGATCAACTCCTCTTCGGCCCCTCTCCACTCTCCCTTCCCTGGAGGTCAGGGGAAGGGGCTGAAACTTCCAACTCTCTAATCACACGACTGTTTCCCTGGCAATCAACCCCCATCTTGAGGCTATCCAGGAGTCCACAGTAATCACTCTTTTGTTGTTTCTATCATTCAGGAAATTACAAAACTCTTAGGGACTCTCTGTCAGAAACTGGAGTCAAACACCAAATAGTAGAAAAATGATTATCATAGCATCTTTGTCTGCAAAGAGTTTAGGGGCTCCTAAACTTCCTCTTATATTTTCTATTATTTCACAGCTAAATGCAATGCATTATCCTGGAACAGAAAAAAAATACATTAGTGGGAAAACTAGCAAAATCCAAATAAATCCTGTAATTTAGTTAATAGTAATTGAGTTCTAAGGTAAATTTCTTGGTTTCATAATTGTTCCATGGCCACATAAGATCTTAACAAAGGGAAGGAAAGTGAAGGGGATATGAGAACTCACTGAAATGTTTTTGCAACTCTTCTGTAAGTCTAACATGATCTCAAAATAAAGAAGTTTTTAAAAATGTGATGAGCACACCTCGGAATTTCTAGGACATCAGGAGTAGAACACTGGGTAAAATCAGTACACACTCACTAGTGTTAGGAAACAGTTTCAAAGGAGAACAGTTTCAAAAAATTCAGGGAAATGACAGTCATGATCTCACATCCAGAGATCCTAAAGAGAAGGTGATTTAAGAAAAACAGTGGACTCCAATATAAACAGCAAAACAGAGGGATTTCTGAATCATCTTTCTGCCTCTCTCTTTCCCTCATAACCAATCAATCGTCTAATCCTATCAGTTCTACCTCCTAAATGCAGCTCATTTCTAACCCCTGCCCTCCGTTACTCTGTGCTGAACTAGTCGGTATTTTCTTCTTCCTCTTGACTAATGATTTCCCTTCCACAAGCTTTCTAAGTCTAACACATCCTAAGTTGATGTCACCAGAATATTTTTTAAAAACAGGAATCTAACCATTTTTCTCCTCTGTTCAAAAACTTTCAAGCTTATTCCATTTAGGATAAATCCAATTTCCTTACTATAACATACAAAATCTTTCACTATTTAGTCAGTCCTTAACTTCAGCCTTATCTCTCTTTACTCTCCCAAAAAGTAGATTGCACTCCAGCTGCAGGATTAGTTATAAAGCCTGGATTATATCATCTACTCTGGCCTCTGTTCAAGTTATTCATTCTTCAGAGGATACCATGTTAGCCTGCTTCTCTGTCCTGCAAGCTCTTATTTATTTTTACTCAAACAGCACTTCTGTTTCAGACAGACTTTGATTCTTCACAATCTCTCTACCCTATTCTTCATGCCCTGCTAGCAGAATTAACCCTATCCCTCTGCTACACTCCCCCAGGGCATTTTGAATACTGTTAACAAACACATACCACATTGCACATGGCTTGTGGTATATGAGCTATGAGCTTGATTCTCTTAGTAAAGTGTGACTCCTTTGATGTCAAAGTTCATGTGTGCTTCAGTTTTGAATCCCCAGCACTGGCTCACGATCTGGCTCTTAAGGGCCAGTCAACACCATTGATTAGATTGAACCGAATTAAAATATAATCAAATCTGATTCCATCGCATGCAAAGGGAGCAGGTGTTAAAGAAATCGATACAGCTACGTATGTTTCTATTGAACTCAAATTTTACAATGGCACAAAAAAACTGGGGAGAAAATAATACGTATATGATTATGGATGAACATAAAAGGGTGGTATAGAGCTACAAGTTTACTACTAGAAAGGCTAATAACCAGAATGATCTAGGCTTGAAAAACAAAAAACGTTATTGACAACAGAAAGGGCCCTAGTAGCTACATTAACTTCAAGAAGAATAAGTAAGGAGAAAGCCCACTCTTTGGGAAGATGAAAATAATGTCAAGGATTAAAAGCAGAAACCAGAATTCTTTAACTTCATTTTGCTTACCTCTTTTTCCCTCAAGGAGATATTCAGATTATAAGGCACAGAAATAAAACCAGTTTGATTTGAAAGAAATTATATTGGTAGATTCAATTATATCCAAGGGTAAAAACAACTTGCTGATATGAACCATTTACACAAAATTACTGTCAGCAATTTGTAAGAAATTATGAAGGATAGAATTGTGCAAGGGCCTGAAGATGAAAAACAAAGTTGTAATTAAACACAGAGTAAACATGCCGCTACACTCCAGCCTGGGTGATAGAGACAGCAAGTGAAGAAAAAGAAAAGAAAACAAAAGGAAAGAA
Source organism: Homo sapiens (assembly GCF_000001405.40). Lineage (NCBI taxonomy): Eukaryota > Metazoa > Chordata > Mammalia > Primates > Hominidae > Homo > Homo sapiens. The sequence goes on along the minus strand of NC_000003.12, from coordinate 102,140,425 downwards.
AGAAGAGAGAAAAAAGAAAGGAAGGAAGGAAGGAACGAAGGAAGGAAGGAAGAGAGAGAAGGGAGGAAGGAAGGAAGGAAGGAAAGAAAGAGAGAGAAAGAAAGAAAAGAAAAAGAAAGAAAGAGAGAAAGGAGAAAGAGAGGGAGGGAGGGATAGAGAGAGGGGAGGAAGGAAGGAAGGAAGGAAACAAAGAAAAGAAAGAAGGAAAGAAAGGAAGAAAGAAAGAGAAAGAAAGAAAGAAAGAAAGAGAAAGAAAAGAGAGAGGGAGGGAGGAGAGAGACTCATCACACATTTTAGGAACCACGAGTCTCTCAGTTTAATATTGAACTCAAGTTAAATTATACAAGTTATTTGAGAAATGATTTGTTAGATATTGTCAAGCTGTGCTATCCAATATCATAACCACTAGTCACATCTGACTAAATTTAAATTATTTAAAATTTTAAAAAATTTACAAACTGTCTACTGAGTTGTACTAGCCACATTTCCAGCATTTAGTAGTCACAAATAGCTAGCAGGGTACCATATGGGGCAGCACAGGTCACAGAACATTTCCATCATTGCAGAAAGTTCCCTTGGACAGTGCTGTTCAAGAAAATAGTAATCACCATAAGCCATATAATTAATTGAGAATGTTACACTGAACTAATAAAATCTCTATCATTTGATAGAACTGTTACACTGTTGGAGACGGGAATTGCTGTCAACAGACTCTCTTGATTTCGGCAAAATATCCAACAAAATTCCTTATGAAACCCTAGTTGATAAAAATGAAGAAATAGGAACATGACATAATGTAATTGAACAAACAACAGTCCCCACAGAGTGCTGATTGATGAACTAATATAATTTGGGAAAGAATGATCTACTAGTTTATCCCAAAATCTTGTCATTGACCTTCTCTTGCTAAATATTTTTATCAGTAATTTGTCTGACAAAAAGAATGGTTATGAAGTTTTCAAATTACAAAGTAATTTTGAGCTTATTTTATAACCTTCTGGAGATCAGTTTGCTAAAATATATCAAAATTGGTCACCACTGTATTTCCAGCAGCCAGCACAATGTTATGCACATTGTGGATTTTTTAAAAAATATGTTGGGCCGGGAGCAGTGGTTCACAGGTGTAATCCCAGCACTTCGGGAGGCTGAGGCAGGGTGGATCACGAGGTCAGGAGTTCGAGACCAGCCTGGCCAACATGGTGAAACCCCATTTCTACTAAAGATACAAAAAAATTAGCTGGGTGTGGTGACGTGCGCCAGTAACCCTGGCTACTCAGAGGCTGAGGCAGGAGAATCGCTTGAACCTGGGAGGCGGAGGTCACAGCAAACTGAGATCACACCATTGCACTCCAGCCTGGGTGACAGTGCAAGACTCCGTCACAAAAAAAAAAAAAAAGTCAAATAAAATTTGAATAAAGTGAGGAAAAAAGCAAATTATAAAAAAACTATGTAATATAATAATAATTTGAAATAAATGCACATGTACTATATTGCAAATGTAATAATATAATATACATATGTGCATAGAGAAGAACACTGTGCAGACATACACTAAAATGTTAATAATATGTATCTCTGGTAATAATATTTATCTCCCTGACAATGAGTTAGGAATCATCTTTGTTTTCTTATTTTAGCTCGTCTGTACTTTCTAAAAGTTCTGTTATAAACGGATGGCTCTTTAGCCTAAGAACAACATTTTAAACAAGGAGCAATGGCAAATACTGTATATTTGATTTAAAAAACCAATATTCAAAAGAAAAAAAGCCTATTTCAACATGCTAGAACAATAGCCCATAATGTACAAGAGGAAGCTTAAAAAGTATATGTAAGAAAATCTAGGTTTTAAATTCTGAAAATCCTCTGGAAAAGTACAGTTTGGAGGAGACTAGCCTAACAACTATTTTGGTAAAATAAACATAAAATTTTTAAATAAATTGAGTACCAAAATTTCCAAGAGTGACAATGGACTCAGAAGACATTTACAGGATTTAACTTGCCCAGAACAGGGAGAGTGATGGTTCCTCTGTACTCGGTCACTTTGTTTTATAAAGTAGAGCTTACCAAAAGGTTGAGAACCAGAAAACCGAATGTACTAAGAATCCTACAACATGAGGAAAATTGGCAGAATTGGTGATTTTTAGCCTAAAATAGAGAAACCATAGGAATTCCTTGATACCTTGTCTTCAATAGGTACTTGAATAGTTATCACATGGAAAAGAGTTATCACATGGAACAGAAGATCAGGTCAGCAATGCAGAGAACTTACAGGAGATCAGATTTCCACTTGGTGTAAGAGAAAACAAAACAAGGAAAAAATAAATTGAATTCATAAAAACCTGCATATGAATGTTTATAGCAGCTTTATTCATAATTGCTAAAACTTGAAAGCAACCAAAATGCCCTTCAGTAGACAAATGCGTAAATAAATTGTGGTACATCCAAACAATGGAATATTATTTCATGCCATAAAGAAATATTTATCGGTCGCATGCGGTGGCTCACACCTGTAATCCCAGCTCTTTGGGAGGCTGATGGGGGCAGATCATTTGAAGTCAGGAATTTGAGACCAGCCTGGCCAACCTGGTGAAAACCCTGTCTCTACTAAAAATACAAAAATTAGCTGGGTGTGGTGGTACATGCCTGTAATCTCAGCTACCCAGGAGGCTGAGGCAGGAGAATTGCTTGAACCTGTGAGGCGAAGGTTACAGTGAGCTGAGATCATGCCACTGCACTCCAGCCGGGGCGACAGAGCAAAACTCCATCTAAAAATATATATATATATATTTATCAAGTCATAAAAAGCCATGGAGAAAACTTAAATCCATATTTTTAACTGAAAGAACTCAATCTGAAAAGGTTATGTACTGCATAATCCCAACTATATGTATGGATTTCTGGAAAAGACAAAACAATAGAGACAGTAAAAGGATCGGTGGTTGCCAGGAGTTTCGGGAGAGGGAGGAATGAATAGGTGTAGCATAGAGGATTTTGAGGGCAGTGAAACTGTTCTGTATAATACCATAAAGGTAGATTCATGTCACTATATATATACATTTGTCAAAACTCTTAAGATATACAGCACAAAGAGTGAAGCCTAAAGGAAATTATGGCCTTTGGTTGATAATGATATGTTGATGTTGGTTCATTGACTGTACCATATGTACCACTCTGGTGTGGGATGATGATATTGGGGGTAGCTATGTGTGTGTTAGGGGAAGAGTACATGGGAGATCTCTGTATTTTCCACTCAGATTTGCTGTGACCCAAAACTTCTCTAAAAATAATAGTCTACTAGTTAAAAATAAATAAATAAATAACAAAAAAGACATTGAACTCCTTTGTGAGGTAGCAATCTGCCCATCACTGTAAATAAAGGCTGAGAGAATGGCTGTCAAGAATACTACAGAAGGAATACCTGAATTATAGAGAAATTGTATGTCTAACCTCTACATTTTCTCCCACCTCTTAAGTTCCTATCATTTATTCATTCAACAAATACACTTTCTAGTTATTTTTAAGCGTGAGATATTTGTACCTCTGGGAATATGTGATGGTAGACCAGTAGATACCCAAAGCCACAGAGTATGCAGGGTGTATCTTCCAAGAGCATTGATTTTTTTAGATTTTTAAGCTAAAGCTTATTTTATTCACAGAAATTCCATTATTTATAAGCACCTTAGAAACAAACAGATGTTATGATTAATTTCCTTTTTCTGTTTCCCTCTTTGAAGTACATTATGGTCACACAGTATGTGCAGAGAGAAAGTAAAACAATTTACTTCTATTGTAGAAAAAAATTAATACATTTTTTGTGCTGATATGAACAGCAAAACTAAAGAAAGAAAAAGAGAGAAGCCAGACAGAATGAGCATGTTAATGAGAGAAATGTTAAATATGTAAAGATAATTGAATACAACTTGAAATCATGCAATGTCATAAAAGCATTCCTATTGCTACCTTCACATTACCAATAAACTGAAATTAGTCATATAACTCTGTTCTCTGCATGTCAGCGCACTTCATTCAAGCATGAAGACAAACTCACTGACAACCTAGAAAAATCAACATCCTTGACGTGTCTTTACACTGTTACAGGTATATGTTGCCTCAAACATCCTCATTCAATCAACAAAGTAATTGCTCTCCCTTCTAAGCTCCCACCCACTAAATTACTCTGAGAAATGCTTTTCAAACCACTCCCAGAGGACCATCACATTTTTCTTGGGAAGGAATTAGGAAACTTACTACTCTGCTTACAAAGCCAGTGGTTTTGGTGCTGGGGTCTGGTTTACAACCCTGGCTGGGAGACTGGCCTCAGGGAAGAGGGTATCCCAGCCCAGGGCTCAAGGACTAACTCATTAGGAGCCCTCCTTCCAGAAGGCGCTGTTCATTTACACCAACAGGTGTATGTATACCTGTTGTTTATGTCCATTTACAAAATTCTCCTAAAGCAATTTAATAGTGAAAGAAAACCTGGCACATCAAAAACCGGACTCCGTATTTACAAGATTCTATAGAAAGGTAAGTACACAAGATCTAGAGAATGCACTGGGCGTCTCCTTCCTGTGAATATTTGAAGTTTACATTTTTATTTTATTTAAGTTATGGAGGATATGTATTTGTTTTCTCTCAGTGCCATAAAAATAGTTTATCTACAAGAAATCTTACAAAAGTCAGGTCAGGACTCCTGCCTAATGAATAAAAACCAGATGTCAAGGAAACTTCTACCATAGGACTTTTGCTTCTATGCTTCTAATAATGGTGCAGAACTATGACTGCACCAATATTTTGTTGTTGATGGGTTTGATTTTGGTTTTGGGGTTTTGGTTTTTAGAATGGGGAAGTTTCAATCAGGAAAAGTAAGGCTAGAAGTAAGGTTTGTCTAGAGATTGGCCAGACACAGCGAGGAAACAAACTTGAGATTTACTGCAAGAACAAAATGCTTATCATACAAAAAGGGCTCCTGGAAAAGATGTGATGGATGTCATCGGGGTGCTTCCTCTTTCACTGAGAAATCAGGAGGCGCTCGAGTCTTGAAGATTAGACACACACAGGGGACCAAGCCCTCGAGCTCAATACCTGTAATCCCTGTAAATCTAAGAAGCAAGGAAACTGATGGTGTCTTTGGTTCTTTGCCTGTTTAGGGGGTCTCAGCAACTCCCTAGTAGAAGGCAGGATTTTCCTGTTACATGGCAGTGGTAAGATCAGGGCAATCAATAAACATCAGATACACAATAGATTACCTGGGTTTCTAGGTGTCAGAAGTAGCTGGTTTTCAGAGAGCTGCCAAATACTTTTTCATTCAGTTTTTCATTCTTTCAACAAATATTGTTGAATGTGCCTGGCACTATCCTTTCTAGTTATACAGCAATAAACAAGCCCTTTTCCTTCAAGAAGCTTACATTCTAATGGGGAAAATGAGGGAGGAGAAGGAAAAAGAAGGAACAACCAGTAGCTGCTGACCAGAGGTCCCAAGGTAGACCACCACAAAGTGCTTTTCAGTCCAGCATCCTACTATCCTCCATCCTCCCTATCTCGTAAAGCCTATGTAATTGGTGGAAGGCTCTAACTGGGTTTTCGAGACAAAAGGCTATTTTCCAGCAGCAGCCCAGAATTCGGATTACCATTTAGGAGCACTTCTATGGAACGTCAATATTAATTTCTGAGCTTGCAGGGTTGTCTTTCTACTCATCTCCATTTCCCAGGTTCCTATGAGTAGCAGTGAACATAGCGGAAATTGTACGAGCTTTAGAGCCACACCCACTGAGGAAGTTGGAAATTAGGTGACCCTGAATACGTTACTTAGTCTAAGTTTAGTCATATGTAAAATGTGGAAAATACCTAACTCATTATCTGATTATAAAATGAAATGATGTACAGAAGGTCTCTACTAGAGTGTCTGGCACATGGCAAGTGCTTTTGACATATACCTATTATTATTATTATTATTATTATAGGAGTTGTCATTTCCTCCTTAACAACTTGCCAAATTCCTTGCCAAACAATACCAAGAGATGAATGTATGGCTGTGCTAGCCCCAGGGAAGTGAGGAGTTATGAAAACCACCCTGCAGGGGCCTTCAGAATCCATGTGGCTGGGTGTACTCAGTTATACCCACAGAAGTCTTATATAAATTTTATTGACTGCCCAATGTTATAAAATATTGCAAACTCCTTCCCAAATTGACTGAGAAGTTAGCCCTGGAAGTTTAGTTGTTAAGCCCTCCCCTATGGACACCGAATTTGTTAAAATATTATATGCCTCCTCAAAGTGGCATAAGATTCTTGGAAGCTATGGTTGTTCTTTAAGGAGACAGAACCAATAGGAGATAGATTAGATGATAGATAGATAGATAGATAGATAGATAGATAGATAGATAGATAGATAGATAATTAGATATAGAGATATATGAGAGGAGCTTTATTAGAGGAATTGGCTCACCCAGTATGGAGGCTGAGAAGTCCCACTATAGACTGTCTGCAAGCTGGAAAACCAGACAAGTTGGTTGTATAGCTCACCCCAAGTTGGAAGGTCTAAGAACCAAGGAAACTGATGATACCTGAGGCCAAAGGCCCAAGAGCCCCCAGAAGGCCACTGGTGCCAGTCCCAGGGTCCAAAGGCCAAAGAACCTGGTGTTCTGATGTCCAAGGGCAGGAGGAGAAGAGTGTTCCACTCTAGTGGGGAAAAAAAGAAAGGAAGCAGCATGACCTGAATATTCCTCTGTTTCTGCCTGCTTTGTCCTAGTCAGGCCCCCAGCTGATTGGATGGTACTTGCCCACACTGAGGGAAGGTCTTCCCCACTCAGTCTGCTGACTTATGTGCCAATCTCCTCCAAAAACACCTGCACAGACATATCCAGAAACAATACTTCAACAGCCATGTAGGCATCCTTCAATCCAGTCAAGTTGATACTTCAAATTAACCATCACAGCTGGGGTTAACCTAAAAGTGCCAAAACCAGTTGCCCACTAAAGACTCCTCTGATGATCAGCCAGAACCCAAGGTTTGCCATGGACGAACAGCTCCTCATACTGCATAGGTCGTCTGGCGTGGAGTGGGGTGGAGGAATTAATCTCGTATTGGCTACACAGCTAGATGTGTAGATGTGGAAAGTGAACAAAAAGACAAGAAGGATAAAGCAAAGTTTACCAAGGCGTTGGTATTTGAGGGTATCCAGGACCTAGGAGGCTTCCCCAGATGCCTCTGTCACTACCCCCAATACCAAAGTTTTCTTATATGCTTGTAGGGAAACATAGAGGAGAGCAAGTTACCTTCTAAACACACACCAAAAGACAGAGGGGGGGATTTTAGTTCTGTTGAGGATAAAATGGAGGACAAAGATGTAAGGAGGAGGCGAAAAGGCAGGTAGGTGAAAGCTACTTGAATGAAAGGGTCGCAGAGGGTGTTCACAGTGAGATGCTTTTGAGAAAGCTCAGGCTTCCAGGGAGGCAGGAAGAATTGCCAGGTGAGGCTACTCAGTGACAGGGAGGTGAAGAGACAATAGCCATTTTCCATTTTTATACTAAAAGTGCAAATTGCGTGAATCACAGCAAAGCCATCACTCATGCCTTTGTAAAACATACAGATGAGAATGTGGTCCAGAAATGTAAATCCCTGTGCACAGAAGCGAAAGATTTGGGGATGAAGGTAGTTCTGCTCTTCCCTGAGACAAAGCCTCTTTGCCCAGTGAGCCTCATGTACATAAGTTTTTACCACCAGGTTAAGGAAGATAAGCAGAACAGACTGTTCATTATGACTTGTCAGAGGAAAGCAAGAAAACTGTAATGTCTGGAGTGTTACTTAAGTTTGTTACTCAAGAGTGTTACACCCTGGCTTGAGTAGGTGCAAGTCAGAAAAGCAGCCTTTTTTTTCTACTCTGGGCTTGATGGAGTTCACAGCAGCTGTGGGAGTGTAGATAGAGGGAAGGCTATGATTTGTGGAACTGGTGGTGTCTCATGGGATGGTACTGGGAGTTCTGGAATGGGCCTGCTGTGGGATTCAGACATGCCTTATTGTTTAGGAAACTGAAGAATAGGTTGCATAGAAGCCCATTTCTTGTGTGCCTGAGCAGCCTCTAAGGAGAAAACTCAGGTCTGAGAAGGAGCCATGCATACTGAGTTTGGCTAATAACAAAAGATTAAGTTTTAGTGGGAGATGGACAGGGAAGTATGAGCCCAAAATGGGGGCTGTTACTCTGATATATCTCCAGTTGTACTCATAATTGGGTCCTAGAGAGAAGAGAAAGGCTGTAAGTAAAAATCTGAAAAGGAGGCTTAAAACTCAGCAAGACCTTAGTACAGCTTTGAGGTCTTGCTCCCAGAGTGTAGCACAGCAGAAAAATGGAGTCCTCCTTTTTGCTACAACCCACCCCACAGCAGGGCTTTACAAGGTTTCCAGGATCCATCAGTGCCTAAGGACATAGAAGGATCGAGCAGTGGTGCCCCACAATAGTTAAGTGGTTTGTGATGGCATGTGAGACCATCTCTGTTGGCAAAAATTCTTCAGGGGCACATTACAAGAAATTGAGGTTCTGTGAAAACAGGAGAGGCCAGAGTCAGTGTAACTGGTGTTGTTCACACTGTAATGAGACAATATCATGTTGTTGTTGATCATGTGAACTTGATAATTAAACCTGGATTCAAATTCAGGTTCCACACTAACTGGTTATGTGACCTTGTGCAAATGATTTACTAACATCTCCGGATCTGTTTTCTCATCTGCAAAATAGGGATAATCACGAGACCTAATTTAGAGCTGTTGTGAGGATTAAATAAGTAAAGAGCTTGAAAGAGTTCCTGGCATATAAGAAATGCTCAACAAGTGTTCGATATTTGTTATTGTTTGTTTTGCTTTGTTTCGTTTACTAATATGGGTACCTATGTGTACCTACTGACAGGTGATACCTAAGAAAATATGTGAAAGAAATAATTTCTTCATCGACAACAAAAGAACTTTTTACCACCAACAATAAGACTTGAGGGACTTCTACTGGGCTCATTGATTTATTTTTCTTTTAACTTTTTAGTTTTAGAGGTACATGTGCAGGTTTGTTATATAGGTAAACTTACGTCACACGGGTTTGTTGTACAGATTATTTTATGACACAATAGTCATTTTTTTTCTGCTCCTCTCCCTCCTCCCACCCTTTACCCTCAAGGAGACCTCAACGCCTATTGTTCTCTTCTTTGTGTCCCTGAGTTCTTATCATTCAGCTCCCACTTATAAGTGAGAACATTTGGTTTTCTGTTCCTGCATTGGTTTGCTAAGGACGATAGACTCCAGCTCCATCCATGTTCCTGCAACAGACATGATCTCATTCTTTTTTTATGGCTGAATAGTATTTCATGGTGTACATGTACCACATTTTATTTATCCAGTCTGTCACTGATGGACATTTAGATTGATTCCATGTCTCTGCTATTGTGAATAGTGCTGCAGTGAACATTTGCATGCATGTGTCTTTACGGTAGAATAATTTATATTCCTCTGGGTATATACCCAGAAATGGGATTGCTGGGTGAAATGGTAGTTCTGTTTTTAGCTCTCTGAAGAATCAATATGCTGCTTGCCGCCATGGTTGAGCTCCCACCAATGAATCTCCTATTTTCTCTCATAATCTTTCACTTGGATTACTATAATGCCCACCTGAGTGCACCTGGCTTCAATTCCACCCTCCATGTTACTCTTGGTATAAATTACAACCACAGTTATCTAGAGCCCTAGTTTTCTCAAGGAACAGGTGAATTTCCTTTTCATCTTATAGCAGAAAGTGGAGGGGCTACTCATTGATTTACAAATTTAAAAGTCCTGACTTGCTCAGTGTGACCCTGGAAAAAAGCACAAACAGCTCATATCTCTTAACACCCTACACTTGATCTTCCCAAGTTCAGTGTTTTTCATGTCCCTGCATCTCTCTGGATAACCTTATGAAACCCAACAAGGAACCAACTCAAGATGAGTAATGGTGTAGTGACTCAGAAAAGAACAAGATGTCTCTGAGTGAAAGAAAACAGTGTGCTCCAACAGCAGGAAACCAGGAGCAGTAATCAACAGGAGAGCCAAAACGCAGTCTTGAAGCAGCACAGCTGCCAACTGCTAAAAATTTCCTCAGGTTGCAAACGAATTAAAATAGTAACTGTGCTCTGGGTAAACTCCAGTGTCTAAAATATGTTGTCTTCCCCAGTCTCCTTAAGTAAGGTTACCTTTTGAGGCATGCTCTTTAAACATCTCTTTGGAACAGGAAGTTCCCAAGCTTCTATTTTGCTGTATGAAGCAAAATAGAATCTACCCACTGAGGAAGGATCTGTCAATTCACTTTTTATTTTTAGCTCTTGGGATGTAGTTGTGGTATATACTGCTAGCTTCCAAACCAATATCCTTCTTTTCTTTTTATTTTATTAACAGAGTCCACATTTCAGAGGGCACAGTAATGTTTACAGATAAAACTTATGTTACCCAGGTTTCCTTACATATAGCAGTAGCCACATGACATAGAGTTCCGGTTCAGAAAATATGAGCAGAAGTCATTGAGTAGGGCTTCTGGAAAAATTCTTAAAAGACTCAGCTAGCACACACCTTTTTTTTCTCCTTTTTCCTTTATCCTGTCTGAGATACAGGTAGAAGGGCTAGAAATGTAGCTGTAGCCATCATCTTGCAAACATAAAGGCAAGAGAATCATAAAGACCTTGGCCCAAAGAGCATCAAGCTGCTGAACTAATGCCAGCAAAGACTTACCTCTAGACTTCTTGTTATAATAGAAAATAAATCAAAATTTGATTAATTACTAATATTTGTGTCTGCTATAACATGTACCTGATTTTATTTTATTTTATTTTTTTATTATTATTATACTTTAAGTTTTAGGGTACATGTGCACAATGTGCAGGTTAGTTACATATGTATACATGTGCCATGCTGGTATGCTGCACCCATTAACTCGTCATTTAGCACTAGGTATATCTCCGAATGCTATCCCTCCCCACTCCCCCCACCCCACAACAGTCCCCAGAGTGTGATGTTCCCCTTCCTGTATCCATATGTTCTCATTGTTCAATTCCCATCTATGAGTGAGAGTATGCGGTGTTTGGTTTTTTGTCCTTGCGATAGTTTACTGAGAATGATGATTTCTAATTTCATCCATGTCCCTACAAAGGACATGAACTCATCATTTTTTATGGCTGCATAGTATTCCATGGTGTATAGGTGCCACATTTTCTTAATCCAGTCTATCATTGTTGGACATTTGGGTTGGTTCCAAGTCTTTGCTATTGTGAATATTGCTGCAATAAACATACATGTGCATGTGTCTTTATAGCAGCATGATTTATAGTCCTTTGGGTATACACTCAGTAATGGGATGGCTGGGTCAAATGGTATTTCTAGTTCTAGATCCCTGAGGAATCGCCACACTGACTTCCACAATGGTTGAACTAGTTTACAGTCCCACCAACAATGTAAAAGTGTTCCTATTTCTCCACATCCTCTCCAGCACCTGTTGTTTCCTGACTTTTTAATGATTGCCATTCTAACTGGTGTGAGATGGTATCTCATTGTGGTTTTGATTTACATTTCTCTGATGGCCAGTGATGGTTAGCATTTTTTTCATGTGTTTTTTGGCTGCATAAATGTCTTCTTTTGAGAAGTGTCTGTTCTTGTCCTTTGCCCACTTTTTGATGGGGTTGTTTGTTTTTTTCTTGTAAATTTGTTTGAGTTCATTGTAGATTCTGGATATTAGCCCTTTGTCAGATGAGTAGGCTGCGAAAATTTTCTCCCATTTTGTAGGTTACCTGTTCACTCTGATGGTAGTTTCTTTTGCTGTGCAAAAGTTTAGTTTAATTAGATCCCATTTGTCAATTTTGGCTTTTGTTGCCATTGCTTTTGGTGTTTTAGACATGAAGTCCTTTCCTATGCCTATGTCCTGAATGGTAATGCCTAGGTTTTCTTCTAGGGTTTTTATGGTTTTAGGTCTAACGTTTAAGTCTTTAATCCATCTTGAATTAATTTTTGTATAAGATGTAAGAAAGGGATCCAGTTTCAGCTTTCTACATATGGCTAGCCAGTTTTCCCAGCACCATTTATCAAATAGGGAATCCTTTCTCCATTGCTTGTTTTTCTCAGGTTTGTCAAAGATCAGATAGTTGTAGATATGCGGTGTTATTTCTGAGGGCTCTGTTCTGTTCCATTGATCTATATCTCTGTTTTGGTAACAGTACCATGCTGTTTTGGTTATTGTAGCCTTGTAGTAGAGTTTGAAGTCAGGTAGCGTGATGCCTCCAGCTTTGTTCTTTTGGCTTAGGATTGACTTGGCGGTGCAGGCTCTTTTTTTGTTCCATATGAACTTTAAAGTAGTTTTTTCCAATTCTGTGAAGAAAGTCATTGGTAGCTTGATGGGGATGGCATTGAATCTATAAATTACCTTGGGAAGTATGGCCATTTTCACGATATTGATTCTTCCTACCCATGAGCATGGAATGTTCTTCCATTTGTTTGTATCCTCTTTTATTTCATTGAGCAGTGGTTTGTAGTTCTCCTTGAAGAGGTCCTTCACATCCCTTGTAAGTTGGATTCCTAGGTATTTTGTTCTCTTTGAAGCGATTGTGCATGGGAGTTCACTCATGATTTGGCTCTCTGTTTGTCTGTTATTGGTGTATAAGAATGTTTGTGATTTTTGTACATTGATTTTGTATCCTGAGACTTTGCTGAAGTTGCTTATCAGCTTAAGGAGATTTTGGACTGAGACAATGGGGTTTTCTAGATATACAATCATGTCATCTACAAACAGGGAGAATTTGACTTCCTCTTTTCCTAATTGAATACCCTTTATTTCCTTCTCCTACCTAATTGCCCTGGCCAGAACTTCCAACACTTTGTTGAATAGGAGTGGTGAGAGAGGGCATCCCTGTCTTGTGCCAGTTTTCAAAGGGAATGCTTCCAGTTTTTGCCCATTCAGTATGATATTGGCTGTGGGTTTGTCATAGGTAGCTCTTATTATTTTGAGATACATTCCATCAATACCTAATTTATTGAGAGTTTTTAGCCTGAAGGGTTGTTGATTTTGTCAAAGGCCTTTTCTGCATCTATTGAGATAATCATGTGGTTTTTTGTACCTGATTTTAAAAGGGACTGATAAAGTAGCTTAAATGGGAAATAACAGAAGTAACTAATATACTATCCATGATCTATGATGTATCCTTTCTTTTGTGCATGTGATGTGTGTGTATGCATGCACATCCATAGGTATAATACGTTAACACTCAGATGATGTTATGTACTGAATGTTTGTGTCCCTCCAAAATGTGTATGTTGAAGCACTAACTGCCCCCACCCCCACCATGTGATGGTGTTTAGAGATGTCTTTGGAAGATAATTAGGGTAAGATGAGGTCATGAGGTTTCAGCCCTCATGATGGGACTAGTGCTTTTATAAGAAGAGATATCAGAAAGCTCTCTCTGTCTCTCCATGCATGCACATGTGTGAAGAAGAGGTCATGTCAGCATACAGCAAGATGGCAGCCACCTAGAAACCAAGAGAAGAGGCCTCAAGATAAAACCTACCTTGCCAACACCTGGACTTCCCATCCATTGGTCTATGAGAAATATATTTTTGTTGTTTAAACCACCAGTCTGTGTATTTTGTTGTGGCAGTCCTAGCTGACTAAGACAGATTATTTCTGACTCCCAAAGAGGATCAGTTAGTATTTCTGTGGCCCCATCTCTACATAGCAACAATATCAACTTTAGCATAATTAACTTGTCCTTCTGAGTCATTTTTATGCCAATATATAGATATCAGTAGGACCAACAGTGTCAAAAAACACATTATACTTCAAAATGTTTTTATTGATTATATTCAACACCTCTAGGATCACATTCTCTCACTGAATACAGGCCTTAGGAGAATGAACTTTCTTATTTCTCTAATTAATTTTCTTGAGAAAGCCCACTTATGCCACTTTTGCCCTTTTTGTCTTCAAAGATTGAGGTGGAGTCAGTTAGCTAAACAAATAATGCCCATATGTGTCCCATAAGTAAAGAGGAGGAGACAGGCTATGAAACCCCAGCATCTTAATAGTTTTCTGATTAAGCAAATTATTTTATATTTTTAGATTTATTTTTATATGAACTACCCATTTGTATCTCATATGCTAGATACACTTAATGATTGTCATCTATTTAATAAATTCTTAAGGTACAATGGGCCTACCTCACAGATATTGCAGGTTCTGTTCCAGGTCATCAAAGTAAAGCAAATATCACAATGAAGTGAGTCACACACTTTTTTTTATTTTGGAGTGCATATAAAAGTTATGTGTACACTATACTGTAGTCTATTAAGCATTCAATAGCATTATGTCTAAAAAATGTACATAAGTTAATTTATGTACATTTTAATGTACGTAATTTAAAATAAGTTATTGCTTTAAAAAATTGTAGACACACAGACACAAAGTGAGCATATGCTTTCAAAAAAATGGCATCAATTTTCAATTTGTAAAAATACACAATAAAGTGAAGCACAATAAAACCGGTATGGCTGTATATCTTTCCCAACTTCAAAATATTTACTGTGATAACAAGCCTTGTCACCTGGAACTCTCCTACCTTGAAATTATTGTCAACATTCAAATATGTCAATCCATTAGTGACAACCTAAGACCTCAAGGCTTTGAAAGGGTCTTTGAAAAAAAAAAAAAGAAGTCCACAGTCCAAAGTCTCATCTGAGACAAGTCAAGTCCCTTCTGCCTACGAGCCTGTAAAATCAAAAACAAGTTAGTTACTTCCAAGATAAAAAGGCATTGGGTAATACACCCATTCCAAAAGGGAGAAATCAGCCAAAACAAACGGGCTACAGGCCCTGTGAAAATTTCACTTAACTATAATAAGGAGTTCTTATTTATTTACTTGCCCAGGGGCTTGACGGGAATTATTGCACCCTAATAGGACTCAATGATAAAAATTATTTTGTTTTCCACATCAGAAATTTTATGTAAGAGACAGTAGTATAAAGCCTGGATTTTTGGAATCAGACCTAGGTTCAAAGTTCAACTTCAACACTCTATATTACAGAGCTTCCCACTATCGATCTTCCTCTAACTGTTAATACAATTTTAGCTCAGGTTGGTGAAAAACATTGATCCTTTGGTTGAGTTCCCCAAGAGTAGCCTCACTGAAATAATCTAGCAACAGTAATTTTATTCAAAGACAGGTTCTTAATACAAAAAGACCCAGAGTACCTAAAATTAAGCTAACTTCTCCTTTTAGAGTAATCAAGCTTTGAAGAGAGAAGCAATAGATTCTTTATTATTATTATGAACACTCAAGGAATATTTATAACATAGTGGAATCAAGTTGAGTCACCAAATTTACTGCTTGCTTAGATATGTCTAAAAATTACAGGAAATTGAAAAAGCAATACCCTTGTCGAGTTCATAAAAGCCAACCAAAAAACTACCAATTGAAAATGTAGTGAAAATTAACAAGATGAATCATCCAAATTGAAAAATGAATTCAATTCAACGTCATTTAGATGAATAAAAAAGCCTAGATTCTAGAGATAATACCTCAATGACATTTCCCATGTTGCTTTTGCAGATGAGTGACCTATGTCTTCAGTTCAGCAGCATAAAGGGAGCACTGTGGATCTCTGGCAATGTTTATTTGAGGAGTTTTCTAAAGTAATATTACTTCTGAGCTAGAAGCACTGATTAGAAAATTGAACTATGGCCCTATGTTTAAGAGGTTATCATTTTTAATACCACAGACTAAAAAAAGCACACAGATAAAATAATAAATCAAGGCCTTCTGTGATATACAGACGCAAAGTGGCTATCCCCAAATCACACAAGTCCTATCTAGTAAAAACAGAAATGACTTTGCATGTTCTCTCCCTCCCCAGGGTTCCTAGGGAGGTGAGGGTTCCTTTTATTAAACAGGTTTTCGCACTTCCAATTATGACACAGTGAATTGATTGTGTAATCACATCCCAAACATTGAAGTCAGCCTAACTTTGTTTTGGTTTCTAAGGGGTGTGTTTGTTTTTTTCATTTCAACCCAGGATTGTGTATGTTTTCCTTGAGTTTTACCACTAAATGTGGAGCACTCACTTTCTTCTTAAATATGTAGGCTTATCTTATCATCTACAATACTTTCAGGTTACACTTTTGAGTATCTTAATTTAGAAAATTATTTTAACATAGGATTGTTTTGTAACCACTTAGCAAATTAAAGTTAATACTTTAGGCAAAAGAAGGCAAATTTGGAGGCTTGGACATCAGCAAGATGACAAAATAGTAATCTCCAGCATTTATCCCCTCACATAATGTTAATTTGAATAACAACTTGAACGAAAATAGCTTCACAAGAACTAAGGAATTCAGGAGACAGATTATAGCACTGGGTGGAGCACAGAAATAATAAAAGATACATTGAAGAGTACAGTTTCATAACCTGAGTCACCCTTCTCCCAAGCCCATGCAATGTGGTGCTGAGAAAGATACCCTCTGCTTGGGGGAAGGGGAGTGAGGTGAATATCCAACTTTGTCATGAACCAGACCTGCTCTAGTGAACCCTGATGCCATATCCGCCCCCATGGACCCAAGCACCAGGCCAGCCCCAACAGACCCAGGCTCTAGGCCTACCACAGCATCAGGCCCATCCCCAGGAACCCAGGCTCTAGGCTCACCTCAACCTCAGACTGACTACTGCAAGCCTAGGTTCCATGCCAGCCCTTGTACCAGATTCCAGGCCCACCCTAGCATCATAACAACCCACCTGGCCAAAGGCTCCAGGCAAACCCTTGCAGACCCACACACTAGGTCTAATCAAGTGCCAGGCCAGCCCCCATAGATTCAGCTTCTAAGCTAACCCCTACATACCCAGGCTCCAGGCCTACTCCAGTATCAAGCCAGCCCCAGTGGCCTCAATCTCCAGGTTTACCCCTGTGTATCCACATTCTTGGACCACCCTAGTGCCAGACCAACCACCCACAGGATTAGGCTCAAAGCCTGCCCCAGTGCCAGTTCAGCCCCCATAGACTCAGGCTTCATGCTGGCCCCCAAGGACACAGGATCCAGGCCCAGCCATGTAAACACAAGCTCCAGGCATGCCCAAGTGGACCAAGGTTCCAGGCCCACCCCTATGGACCCAGGCACAAGGCTACACTCTGTGGACACAGGTATCAGACCTGCCTACTCAATGACCCAAGCACTAGGCTACCCTACCCAAGGACTCCAGCAGCAAGCTAGTTCATGGGCCTCATCAGCTTTCCTGCCCAGAATCTCTGAACAGGCTGACTAGTGAAGCATTTTCTCTGCCAAAACCAGTTTGTAAAGACTTGAAATGGTGCCGACTTCTTCAAATGTGCAGACACTAATGTAGGTTACAAGAATCGTGAATAATCAGGGAATGATGACACCATAAAAAAGAAAAAAACAAGAAAAGCACCAGTAATGAACCCTAGAAAAATGAAGATCTACAAACTGCCTGAAATATAATTAAAAATAATTGTCTTAAAGTAGCTCAGTGAGCTACAAGAGAACATAGACAGACAAGTAAACAAAATCATAAAAATAATACATGAACTAAGTGAGACATTCAACAAAGTGGCTAAAACTATAAAAAAGAACAAAACAGGAATTCTGGAACTGAAAAACACAATAACTGAACTGAAAAACTCCTTAAAGAGCTTCAATAGCCACCCTATTCAGGAGGAAAAAGAATCAAGAAGCATGAAGACACATCATTTGAAATTACCCAGTGTGAGGAAAAATAAGAAAATAAATAAAGTGAAAAAATGCCTATGAAACTTATGGGACACCATCAAGGAAACCATATATGCATATGAAGTTCAAAAAAAAAAAAAGAAAAAAAGAGGGGAAAGAAAGCCTATTAAAATAAATAACTATAGAAAACTTTCAAAATCTGGGGAAGAAAATGAACATCTATATCCATGAAGCCCTAAAAGTTTCAAATATATTAAATATAAAGAGATCTTCACCAAAACACATTGTAATCAAATTCTCAAAAATTCGAAGACAAAGAAAGAATTTTAAAAGTAGCAAGAGAAAAATGACTTATTACATAGGAAGGAACTACCCCAAAAAACTAACAACACTTTTCTGAGCAGAAGCCTTGCAGGCCAGGAGAGAGCAAGATAACATATTCAAAGTGCTTAAAGAAAAAGAAAAAGCTGCCAACCAAGAATACTACACCTGGAAAATTTGTCCTTCAGTAATGAAGAGGAGATAAACACTTTGCCAAACAAACAAAAGCTGTGGGAGTTCATCACCACTAGTCTGTCTTACAAGAAATGCTAAAGGGAGTTATTCAAGTTGAAATGAAAGAATGCTAATTAATAACATGAAAACATAAGAAAGTATAGAGCTCACTATAAAGTAAGAATATAGTCAAATTTAGAATGCATTGATACTATAATGGTGGTGCATAAATAACTTTTAAGTCTAGTATAGAAGTTAAAAGACCAAAGTACTAAAAATACAAATAGTCACAATAACTTGTTAATGGGTACACACATAAAATGATGTAAATTGTGACATCAATAACATAAAATACCAAGAAAAGAGAAGTAAAAATGTAGAGTTTTTATGTGGTTGAATTCAAGTTGTTATCAGCTTAAAATAGATTGTTCTAACTATTAAATGTCTTATGTAAGCTTTATGGTAACCACAAAGAAAAAACCTATCATAGATACATAAAAGATAAAGACAGAGAAATCACAGAATGCCACCACAAAAAAATTATCAAATCACAAAAAAAGATACCAAGCAAGGAAGAAATAAGGGAAGCATAAAAGTCTGTAAATAGGCCAGGCATGGTGGCACACACCTGTAATCCTAGCACTTTGGAAAGGCAAGGTAGGCAGATCACTTGAGGTCAGGAGTTTGAGACCAGCCTGGCCAATGTGGTGAAACCCTGTCTCTACTAAAAATACAAAAATAAAAAATTGGCTGGGTGTAGTGGTACATGCCTGTAATCCTAGCTACTCAGGAGGCTGAGGCAAAGAATCACTTGAACCTGGGAGATGGAGGTTGCAGTGAGCTGAAATCACACCACCATACTCCAATCTGGGTGACAGAGTGAGACTCCATCTCAAAAAAAGAAAAAGTCAGTAAACAATTTTTAAAATGGCAATAGTGAGTCCTTCCATATCAATAATTACTTTAAATGTAAATGAATTTAGGTCTCCAATCAAAAACACACAGTGGCTGAATGTATTTAAACAAAAAACAAAATCCAACTATGTGCTGCCTACAAGTGACTCACTTTAGCTTTAAAGACCTGTATCCTGAAAGTAAAAGAACAGAAAAATATATTCCATGCAAACGGTACACAAAAGAGAACAGAGTAGCTATACTTATATTAGACAAAACACATTTAAGTCAGAAACTGTAAAAACAGACAAAGAAGATTAGTATAACAATGATTAAGAAGTCAATTCATCAAATGGCTACAACAATTATAAATATATATGTACCCAACATCAGAGCACCTAAATATATAAAGTAAATGCTAGGAAAAACAAAGGGAAAAACAGATAGTACTACAATAACAGCAGGAGATTTCAATACCCTACTTTCAACAATGGATATATCACCCAGACAAAAACTCAATATGGAAATAGTGAACTTCAACAACACTGTAGGCTGTATGGACACAACACATATATGCACAACTAGCACTTTGGAAGGCCAAGGCAGGCAGATCACTTGAGGTCAGTAGTTTGAGACCAGCCTGGCCAACATGGTGAAACCCTGTCTCTATTAAAAATACAAAAACAAAAAAAATTAGCTGGGTGTAGTGGTGCATGTGTAGTGGTTCATCTACAGCTGAAAAAAAAAACACATCTTTTCAAGTGTGCATAAAACATTGTCCAGGATAGATTATAGGTTAAGCCATAAAATAAGTCATAACAAATCAAGAACACTGAAAACATATCAAGTATCATTTCTAACCATAATGGTAAACAAATTAGACATCAAAAGCTGAAGGAAAATGGAAAAATTCACAAATACATGGAAATTAAACCACACACTCCTGAACAACCAATGGGTCAAAGAATAAATCAAAAGAGAAGATTTTTTTAAAAAATTGCTAAATTTATATGGAACCACAAAAGACTCAAAATAATCATAGAAATCTTGAGCAAGCTGAAGTCAACACACTACCTGATTTCAAAACACACTACAAAGCTAGTATGGTGCTAGCACAAAAACAGACATAAAAATACAGACCAATAGAACAGAATGAGAGCCCAGAAAGAAATTCAAGCATTTATGGTCAATTGATTTCTAATAAAGTTGTCAGGAACACACAATGGTGAAAGGATAGTCTCTTCAATAAACAGGGTTGGGCAAACTGGATATCCATACGTGTAGAAGAATAAAAATAAACCCTCACCTCACACTATATACAAAAATCTACTCAAACTGGATTAATAACTTAAACATTAGACTGAAATTATAAAATTTCTAGAAGAAAACACAGAAAACTTTTTTTTTATATAGGTCTGGGCAATTTTAGCGTGTGTTGGGGGGGACAGGGGTTGGTGCTTGTTAGTTTGTTTATTGGTTTGTTTGTTTTGATGTAACTCTAAAAGTTCAGGCAACAAAAGCAAAAATAGACAAATAAGATTGGCTCAAACTAAAAAGCTTCCACACAGCAAAGGAATCAATAGAGTGAAGAGACAACCTATGCAATGGGAGAAAATATTTGCAAACCATACATCTGATGAAGGGTTGATATTCAAAATATATAAGGAACTCAACTTTTGCTGTAGTTCCAATGTATATATGTCTTTAAAATTCATATGTTGGAAGCTGATACCCAATGTGATGGTATTAAGAGGCAGAACATTTTGGGAAGTAGTTAAGTCATAAGCACTCCATCTTCATGAATGGGATTGGTGCTCTTGTAAAAGAGATGGAAGGGAGTGCTATAGTCCCTTTTTTTCCCTTCCACCATGTGAGGACAGCAACAAGACACCATCTTGGAAGCAGAAGGATAGGCTTCACCAGATACTGAATCCGCTCGCACCTCGATCATGGACTTCCTATCCTTCAGAACTGTGAAAAAATCAACTTCTTTATAAGTTACCCAGTCTCAGGTGGTAAAACAAAGTAGTAAAACAAAATCAAGACAACCCAATAGCAAGAAAACAAATAATCCAATTAAAAAATGAGCAAAGGACTTGAATAGACATTTCTCAAAAGAAGACATATACAAATAGCCAATGGGTGCATGAAAAATGCTAAATATAACTAATCATCAGGTAAATGCAAATCAAAACCACAATGAGATATTATCTCATACCTGTTAGAATGACTGTTATCAAAAAGACAAAAGATAAGAAGTGATGGCAAGGATGTGGAGAAAAGAAAACACTTGTATGCTGTTAGTAGGAATATACATTGGAACAGCCATTGTGGGAAACAGTATCCAGGTTCCTCAAAATGTTAAAAATAAACTACCATATTATTCATGGATCCTATTTCTAAGTATATATCTGGAGGACATTAAATCAGCATGTTGAAGAGATATTTGCACTCCCATGTTCACTGCAGCATTATTCACAATAGTCAAGATATGAAATCAGCCTAAGTGTTCATCAATGGACAAATGAATAAAGAAAATGTGGTAAATATATATACAATGGAATATTATTCTGCCTTAAAAAGAAGGACATCCTGTCATTTAGGACAACATGGGTGAACCGGGATGACATTATGCTAAGTGAAATAAGCCAGACAAAGAAAGACAAATACTGCATGATCTCACTTTTATGGGAAATCCAAAAAAGTCAAACTCATAGAAGCAGAGAGTAGAATGGTGACTGTCAGGGGCTGGGGTGGTGAGGAGGGAATGGGAAGATGGTCAAAGGGTACAAAGTTTCAGTTATGCAGGATAAATAATAAGTTCTGGAGATCAATGTAGAATATTGACAATAGTTAATAATAGTGTATTATATACTTGAAATCTGCTAAGAGATTACATCTCAAATGTTCTCACTGCTCAAAGACATACAAAAGGTAAAGTTATGGTCTGAATGTTTGTGTGTCCCCAGAATTAATATGTTAAAACATAATCTCCAGTGCAGTGTTGTTGGCAGGTATGGTATCTGGCAGGTGATTAGGTTATGAGGGCTCTTCCCTCATGAATGGGATTAGTGCCCTTATAAAAGAGGCCCAGGAGAGCTTGTTTGTCCCTCCTGCTATGTTAGGCACCATGTATGAAGAATGGGCCCACATCAGACACTGCATCTACTGGTCCCTTAATCTTGGATTCCTCAGTCTCTAGATCTATGAAAACAAATTTCTGTTGTTGATAAATTACCCAGTCTGAGGTAATTTGTTATAGCAGCTTAAACAGAACAAGACAAGTAACTATGTTACTTATGGTAAATATGTTAACAATGTGATTTTTAAAGTGTATGACTATGTTGCATATTTTAAAAATTGGAAATTTAGATTAAATAAATGCATGACAAAAAGAAAACATATAATAGAATAACATATAACCTATTTGTACATAGAAGAAGCTGAAGCCAAGAGAAGTGAAATGTCAACCCAAAGACCAAAGATGATTAATGGCAGAGCCTACATTGAAACCATGGAGAATCAATTCTGCTGGGTGAGACAGAGTAATCAAGCCATCTAAGGTAGCAGGGTGGCCAGGGATACCAAAATCTATAAATCTGGTATTCTTTAGCTGTCATTATTTCTCATCTCTGAAGCTCTTGACATTGGAGCAAATTCTATGTCTTTATAGTACCCAACTTCTAATTAAAATTGCCAAGACATGTGGCATCTACATTTTTAATAAAGAACATGCTAAGAACATGGAATATATCTGACTAAACATCCCATGGAGGAATAAAAATCAAAGCAAGAAGCTAAGAACTGGGGTGTCAAAGTCAATTGGGAAGCAGAAAGGGCCTTGTGTCAAGACCTGGGAAAGGTCCCAGTCACCAATCAGGCTATTAGGATGGGGTTGGATAGGGACCATACAACCAGGCTTGCATTTATGGGTGATTCCCACAGGCAGCTCACACTTAGTACTCTCTTCCCCGCCCTTATTTCCACTACCTTTATTCAGATTTCCTGATATCATTAACGCAAGTCTGTTTCTTCTGCTAAATTGTCAGTTCCAGGGAGGTCAAAGGCAATGTCTTCATCTTCACATGCCCTATTGTGCCCTGTGCCCCACACAGTACTTTGAACACAAAAAGCCCTTAAATTCTTAGAACACTAGAAGCAGAAAGGCCTTTGGAAAATACGTAATTTTTATCAAAATTTTAAAAACTTATTTAAAAGCAACAAATCCCTCTTCAAATGAAATATTATCTAGAACCTTCAATATATAAAACAGATAAAAGAGGAGATGCTCTGGTAGAAGCGGGAGCAGGGGAAGGGGGAAACAGACAAAGGTCAACTCAATAATTTCTCATCCTCATTCCTCTCACCAACCCCTGCAACACTTCAGGGAACACAATTTAGAAATGTCTGATGCCATGCAACCCCTTTATTTTCTAGATGGAGACATTCCTTAAAGGTGTTTTTACAGAGTTAACATATCCAAGGCAAGGCTGGTGAGCTGCAATGGTTCGGGTCATCGTGTTTCTCTTGCCTA
This sequence comes from Homo sapiens, assembly GCF_000001405.40. Classification (NCBI taxonomy): domain Eukaryota; kingdom Metazoa; phylum Chordata; class Mammalia; order Primates; family Hominidae; genus Homo; species Homo sapiens. The sequence goes on along the minus strand of NC_000003.12, from coordinate 102,116,780 downwards.
TTACCTGAAGTGCTTGCTTAAAAATGCGGATTCAGCCAAGACCTAGAACAGATTTGAATTGAATTAAGGCTGGTCCTAATGATTATGCAGGCCCTCAGGTGTACAGCAGGCCCTCAGTAAATTTTTAATGAATCAATAGGTTGAAATGTTGAATTGAATAGGAGTCTCTCATCAGACTTTCATAGACTTTCTCATATGCATCAAGCATGGAAAGTAAAAAGATAAATAAGATAAAATCCCTGCCACTGGAGAACTCACTGTCCAGTAAGAGAGAAGTAAACACATCATTTAGTACTTTATGATAGGTAATTAAACAGAAGTACTTCTGGGGTGCTGTTTGGGCCACAGAGGAGGGGTTTTTAACCCAATAGGACACATGCTTAGAATACAATGCCTGAGCCAAGTCTTAGAAAATAATTAGGAATTAACCGATCAATGAAAGGTAAGAAGGAACAGCGTAAGTAAAGGAAAACTTGAAAGTAATATATAACATGGTTTATCCCAGTTCCTAGCAGGAGACAAAGGTAATTTTAGGGAGCAAAGAGGAGTAGAGTAGTGTCGCCCATATGTGAGGTTCTTCCATCTTTGGAAGGCAGTGCATGACCAATACCCATACTTGCTCAGAGATCACCTCCAACCGTACAGGTAGCTGAGCCTAGTGGGGTGCTTGGGAAGTGGCAGTGGGAGAGCAGAGCCAGAAGCCAGTGAGCCCAGAAAGTCCACCCAGTCTTGAGCCTTGAAGCCAGAGCACCGGGGCCATAGCAGCCAGGAGAGACTGGCATGGAACAAAGCCTCTAAGGACTCCAAGTAAAAAGGAAAATCACAAAGGTGTTGATTAGTTCAATTCTTAGCGTGGTAGAAAACACAAACTTTCCTTGTATGTGCCATTTGGAAGGAGTCAGTTGATTCAGTCTATCTGAATGAGTAGGTCAAGGCAGGGGGAGAACATATGGTAGAGAACATAACCTGTGTAGACTCTGGAAACACATGCCTTCTTCCTTCCTAGAGTACGTATTTGGAGGAGACCCTCATTAGGAACTGGAAACAATATTCATTCTGTCTGGTCCTGCTCAGTTTATAGACTTTCCAGAATTAGTTAGGCAGCTTTCCTCTATCAGGATAAATGGATGAGGCAGGGAGAGCACTGAGGTAATGGGCACCTCGCCTATTTCAACAAGGGCCATCAATGGACATCTCTTTATTTACCAGATTCAGGACTAAGTAGTTAGCAGACGGCCTAAGGGCTATTCTGAAAGGCTTTTTAAAGATTGTTTGAGATTGATGAGGATCCACAGACCCCATGAAAAGTTAATCATTTAGTGTATTGTGTATCTACAAATGTACCTGACAATGTAGGGGCGGGGGATAGATTAATGATAAATAAATAAATGAGAAATGATTTCAAAAAGGAGAAAGTGCTCTGAAGAAAATAAAATATGGTAATGTTTTAGATAGGATGGGAGCAGTTACGTTTTAATAACAAACAATCCCAAAAATATCGTGTCTTAACAAAGTTGTGTTTTCTGTGTTTTGCTTTCTTACTCATGCATTTATACGCCACACATTGCCAGGGGATCTGGTCCATGTTGCTCTCATGCCTGGACAACACCAAGGGTAATGAGACTGCACCATCACATCACTTTTATGTCCTGTTGGTCAACACTTGTCCCAGAGTCCTACCCACCTGTAAGGGTGTCAAGAAAGTACACTTTTCCCATGTGTCCCAAAGGAGAGGAGAGCCACAGATGAGCACACAAGATGGAGGGGCAGGGGAGGCACAGCGGCTGACTAGGGTGGTCTAGCAATGGTGTTCCAAGGAGACAACATTTAAGCTGTGACCTGAAGGGTGAGAATAAATCCACTATGTGAAGGGCAGGAAGGGCACTTCAGGCAGAGGGAACAGCAAATGCAAAAGTTCCTTAGGTTAAAGCAAGTGTACAAGGAAATTAATGAAGGCCTGTTTGACAAGAGAGCTGTGAGGGAGGGGGAGAGTGGTAGTCAATGCAATCAGTGAAGCCAAATGATGAAGAACTTTGAGGTTCATGATAACAGACTTAGCTTTTATTCGACGTGTGCCCCAAACTCAAGTTCACTAATGTTTCCTCTTTTTAATGAAAGCAAAAAGCTATGCTTATATAACACTGAAAATAAAAATTCAGTTTTTGCTTTCCAGAATTTTCTGTTTCCCAGACTAAAATGAACCTTTATCTTTTTCATATTCACCTCAAGTTCACCTTTTTCTAAAACATTTGAAATACCGCAGAACATCGTGACAGGCTGTATAGTGTTTCCTGGAACTATTTACCTCAGTTCTGCGTTTTCTCAGGCCTCACGTCAAAGTCTTGATCGGCACCCAGATCTGTGCTCATAGCTGCTGACAGAACACACATTTTCTCAAAAGGCAAGAAAAAGGAAGCCACCATTCTGAGAAGAGAAAAAAAAAAAACTCTCCAGAGGAATATCTCTTCTCTATTAGAACCCAGTGTTTCTAGAATAGAGCCACATATAGAAAGCTTCTTACTCTTAAAGAAATTATCTAGATTGATTAATGTTCTAGTGTTTATTGAGTTTCCAGAGTAGCTGGAAGGTCAAGGGAGGTCTTGAGACCTTTATTTTTCATGCTGTTTATGTTTAACAAAAATTTCTTCAAATCCAAAATGTTGTCATCTGGTCTCTAACAAAAATAACAACTTAATAAAAACATTTGATAAAATCTCTGTGAACCTCAGGTTTTTCATCCATAAAATAGACATGACCAGTAATAGCAACAAAGCCAAACATTGAGATGACAGGGCTGCTGCTGAGTGGGCTCAGCCTCCTCACTTCGAGCCATGTTGACTGCCTCGTGGAGGCACCGTGAGCTTTCTCAGCGGTCTAGTGGAGAAGTGAACTCAGCCGAATGGCTTGCATGACACGAGGTGTTGCAGGCTGCTTCACAAAGGCCACTAACATGAATAGTGATCTGTCGGAAATTTGACCGAGCAGCTCACCTGATTAGAATGTATTGCAAAATAGCGACATTTTTGTTCAGACAACTCTGCTACAATATCCTTAATGTCTGCCCTGTAGTAAAGTATAATCATTAAATATGCAGACTTTGGAGTCAGTTAATCTGATATCCAGTCAGTTCACCCACTCACTAGCTGTCGATTAACCTCTCTACGCTTCATTTTCCCTTGTTTGAAAATGGAGATAGTAGGGTTTGTTTAATCAGGTTATTGGAAAGATTATGGCATATTTCCTGTAAACCTGTCAGCACAGTATGTGATCCATGGTAAGTCTCAGTAAACATTAACTTCATCATCATCATCATCAACCTTGAAAGGAGAAGAGTCACTACTTAAAAATCTACACATGACTTGGGAGTGTCGATTTTTCAGTTTCTAGCTATCAGGCTTAAATATTTAAGAATCATTCCAAAGAGTAAATTCAAATGGGGGAAGAAATGCTGAAACTTCCTCCTGACATTCAGTCTTCAGCATAAGGAATTTCTTCCTCATTTTTCAGTTTTTGTCCCTATTTGTTTGTCCATGTGTTTGTTTTTTCCTTTCCTAAGTTGAGATGGAGAATTTCTACTATGTCAGAAACCCTTTGTATCTGAAGTTTGTAACTGGACAACTCTAAGCCTTCTTTTCTGCTAATTCCAGCATTGCATAACACAACTGAAGTCAGATTCTACTTTCAAGATAATTCTTTTATTCTTTATAAAAATTAAATAATGTATGGTGAAAGTGTGTGTAAACAATAGGTTTCCATTAAAATGTCACCCATTATCATATTTATTGTTTCCTTAGATCCTTCAAATATCATAAAACATTGTCACCCACACTGTAAAGGTAACTGGGTTAACTAGTTTGACTAGTTAAAGGGAGGCCAATTGTGGGTTTTACTCTGTTCTTCCATCTCCAACATGAACTGCCTTTGGAACAGGTCATACAAACCAGAAGAGAAGCAATCAGCTATAGATGACAGCTAAAGAGCAGAGGTGCATAATTTACTCCAATGATGTCTTCCCCAAAACATAAATTCATAAAAATGCTTAAGATCACCATAGATAAATGTCAGTATGGCTCCTCTGGTTCAGTAGACAATAATCTCATAAGTAGCATATTCAGCTAAAATTAATTCTAAAAGTCCACAATTTATTCCAAAAGTATAAATCTGCTTTTACCTGAATTATTTATTCAAGTAGCACTTTTTTGCCAGAAAATAATGGTTTTTATGTAAAATCCAAAATCACTAGGGATTCTTCAAAATTTTGCATCTGATATAGGGTTTAACACTTAACATGTGGCATAAAGAGAAAAGGAAAGATGTAGAGGTTACCTGAGCTTGTATTACTGCTTCCATTTTTTCCTTCTTCAATTGCAACCACCTAACTTTAGGCCCTTCCCGTAACAAGAGGGGGTTAATAGGAAAGGTTCCTAAACAGACGTCATGCTTTATATGTAAAATGCCAAACACACAGCATACACTCTATACATGTTCATTTCTTCCCTCACACAACCCCAACTTCTGCATTCATTTGCTAGAATACTACTATATCGGTTTTCTCTTTTTACCTCCAAAAGAGCCAGTATAGCAAAAGATGTGTGTGTGTGTGTATAGTGAATATATTGAATATATATATTATATATATATAGTGTGTATATACAACACAGAGTTGACCTTTGAATAATGCAGGGGTTGGGGCACCAATCCTACCCCACTCCCCACCCCACCCCCACAGTTGAAAATTCACATATGACTTTTGACTCCCTGAAAACTTAACTACTAATAACCTACTGTTGACCAGAAGCCTTATTAATACTATAAACAGTTGATTAACACATATTTTGTATGTAATGTGTATTATATACTGGACTCTTACAATAAAGTAAGCTAGAAAAAAATGTTATTAAGAAAATCATGATTCTTATTTTTAATTTTTAAAAAAGAAAAAGAAAATCAGATGCAGGGTGTGGTAGCTCACACCTGTAATCCCAGCACTTTAGGAGGCCAAGATGGGAGGATCACTTGAGCCTAGGAGTTCAAGACCAGCCTGGGCAACATAGTGGGAACCCCCATCTCTTTTAAAAAGATATGAAGAAAATCATGAGGAAGAGAAAATATGTTTATTAGGTATTAGGTGGAAGTGGATCCTCATGAAGATCTTCGTCATCATGATCTTCATATTGAGTAGGCTGAGGAGGAGGAAGAGGAGGGCTTGATCTTACCATATCAAGGGTAGCAGAGAAAGAAGAAAATCCACAGAACTTTTAAAATAAATATAGTCAGCCTTGGCCGGGCCCAGTGGCTCACACCTATAATCCCAGCACTTTGGGACACCGAGCTGGGTGGATCACGAGGTCAGGGGTTCAAGACCAACCTGGTCAAGATGGTGAAACCCCGTCTCTACTAAAAATACAAAAATTAGCCGGGTGTGGTGGCACATGTCTGTAATCCCAGCTACTCGGGAGGCTGAGGCAGAGAATTGCTTAAACCTGGGAGGCAGAGGTTGCAGTGAGCCAAGATCACGCCACTGCACTCCAGCCTGGGTGACAGAGCAAGACTCTGTCTCAAAAACTAAATAACTAACTAACTAACTAACTAACTAAGTAAATAAATAAATAAAGTCAGCCCTGCGTATCCACGGGTTCCACATCCACAACCAAAGGCAGATCAAAAATACGGTATTCACGGAATGGGAAACTCATGGATATGGAAGACCAGCTTTTCCTATAAGCAGATTTCTCAGGTCAACTGCGGGACTTGTGGGACTTGAGTATGCAGGGATTCTGCTATATGCAGGGAGATGGGGTTCTGGAACCAATCCCCCACAGATACCAAGGCATAATTGTATTCAATTTGATTAGATAGAAAAGCATATCAGCTCTTTTGAAGAATAATAATGAGGCTTCAGTTAATTAGAAAAAGTTATGAAGGAAAAAATAGTAATATAAGAATTCGATATTTATAACAAAAACAATCTAAAAGAGAAATAGACCAATATTTTCAACAAATATTATTCACAGAGGGTATCCATCTATAGTACATAAGATCATACAAACTGATGAGAAAAATCATCAATATTCCAATAAATAAACTAGCAAAACACAAACAGTTAATTCTACAAGAGGAAATAAATAAATGAAAAATGCTTAATGTAGCTAGCAATAACAAAAATACAAATTAAACAATGAAACAGATAAAAAACTGAAGAACACAGTTTGGAGTCAGACTTCGCCTCAGATCCTAGCTTAATCACCTTACCAGCCATAAGATCCTTGCAAAGTGTTTACCACTCCAAATGTTAGTCCCCTCCTAATGAACATATTAACCTCACATGATTGTTTGGAGGATTAATAAAATAATCTTGTAAGATTTAAAATGTAAGGTTATATTCATATTGATTTCTAGCTTTCTTTCTATATTTTATGTTTATCATTCGTGTCTTTAAAATTAAGTATACTTTACAGTTTTTGAATATAGTATTCTATATATGTTCATCAGGTCACTTGGTTAATTTTATAGTTCAAATTTTCCATATATTTTTTATTTTTTTGCCAGCTTATTTTATTTAAAAGAATGTTAGAACTTTTTTACTATGTTTTGGCTTTAACCATTTTTTCATGCAGTTGTCTCCATTTGTTCTTATATCATATCAGGATGTATAATTGATAAATGCAAATTTGGAATTGTTAAATCTTCCTGGAAAATTGAAACTGTTATTATTATGAAGTGTTATTCTTTATCTCTAGGGATGCTTGTTGCCTAAAAGTCTACTTTGTTTGGTATTAATATATTCATACCAGCTTTAAAAAATAATAATAATCTTGATGAAGTACCTAATATAATACCTAATGCAAAGTAATTACAATTACTTAATAAATGGTTGTTATTATCATGATTATTGCCATGTAATTCTTACTATTCTTACTATTATTCTTACTATTATTATTACCATGTAATTCTTAAGAAACAAACATTTTAAATTAACACTTAAAATCTTCTCATTATATATTTCTCAAGATGGTGGTGGTAAAATTTGTGTACCCATTTAATAATAATGCCTTTTTATATTGGTCTAACTTTTGCTAAGTTCAAGTACAAAAATATTTATGTCATGGGAAAAGCTACTTGCAAACCATATATCCGATAGGGAGTTAATATGCAAAATATATAAGAAACTCAGACAAACTCAATAGTAAGAAAACAAACCATTTAATAAATGAGAAAAGAATCTGAATAGATATTTCTCAAAACAAGGCACACAAATGGCCAATAGGCATATGAAAAAAATGCTCAGCATCACTAACCATCAGACAAATGCAAATTAAAACCACAATAAGATATCACTTCATACCTGTTAGAATGGCTATTATCAAAAAGACAAAAGATAAGTGTTGATGAGGATGTGGAGGAAAGGGAACACTTGCACGCTGTAGTGGTAATGTAAATTAGTACAGCCACTACGGAAAACAGTATGAAGCGTCCTCAAAAAGTTAAATAGAGAATTATCCTGTGATCCAGCAATCCCACTTCTAGGTATATATGTAAAGGAAATAAAATCAGTATGTCAAAGAGACAGCCATACTTCCATGTTTATTGCAGCATTATTCACAATAGCCAAGACATGAAGTCAACCTAGGTGTCCATCAAGGGATGAATGGATGAAGAAAATGAGGTACAAACAATGGAATACTAGTCAACCTTAAAACAGAAGAAAATCCTGTCATTTGTGACAACATGAATGAAATCAGAGGACATTATATTAAGTGAAATAAGCCAGGCACAGAAAGACAAATACAGGTATATCTTAATTTATTATACTTTGCTTTTTTCTACTCTGCAGATAGCGGGTTTTTTTATAAATTGAAGGTTTGTGGCAACCCAGTGTGGAGCAAGTCTATTGGCACCATCTTTCCAACAGCATGTGCTCACTTTGTGTCTGTGTGTCACATTTTGGTAATTCTCTCAATATTTCAAATGTTTTTATTATTATTATATCTTTTATGGTGATCTGTGATCAGTGATCTTTGATTTTACAATTGTTATTGTTATTGTTTTGGGGTGCCACAAACTGCACCTGTATAAAACGGTGAACTCATTAAATGTGTGTGCTCTGACTGGTCCACCAACCAGCTGATTCTCTGTTTCTTTCCATCTTCTCAGGCCTCCCTATACCCTAAGATACAATAATATGGAAATTAGGCCAATTATTAACCCTGCAATGACCTCTAAGCTATTCAAATGAAAGGAAGAGTCTCACATCCCTCACTTAAATCAAAAGCTATTAATAGAAATGATTAAGCTTAGTTAGAAAGGCGTGTCAAAAGCTGAGATTGGCCAAAAGCTAGGCCTCCTATGCCAAACAGTTAACCAAGTTGTGAATGCAAATAAAAAGTTCTTGAAGGAAATGTATAATGCTACTCTAATGAACACACAAATGATAAGAAAGCAAAAGAGTGCTATTGCTGATATGGAGAAAGTTTTAGAGGTCTGGATACAAGATCAAACCAGCCACCACATTCTCTTAAACTAAAGCCTAATCCAGGGTAAGGCCTTAACTGTCTTCAATTATAAGAAGGCTGAGAAAGAGGTGAGGAAGCTACAAAAGAAAAGTTGGAACCTAGCAGAGGTTGGTTCATGAGGTTTAAGGAAAGAAGTTGTCTCCTTAACTTAAAAGTGCAAGGTAAAGCAGCAAGTGCTGGTGGAAAAACTGCAGCATGTTATCCAGAAGACCTAGCTAAAATCATTGCTAAAGGTAGCTACACTAAACAACAGATTTTCAATGCAGATGAAACAGCCTTCTATTGGAAGAAGATGTCATCTAGGCTGTTAATAGCTAAACAGAAGTAAATGCCTGGCTTCAAAGTTTCAAAGAATAATAATCTGACTCTCTTGTTAGGAGCTAATGCAGCTGGTGACTTTAATTTGAAGCCAAGATTCATTTACTATTCCGAAATATCCTAGGGCCTTTAAGAATTATGCTAATTTTCTCTGCCTGTGCTCTATCAATGAAGCAACAAAGCGTGGATGACAGCACAACTGTTTACAGCAGGGTTTACTGAATATTTTAAGCCCACTGTTGAGACCTACTGCTCAGAAAAAAAAGATTCATTTTAAAATATAATTGCTTATTGACAAGGCTCTTCTAGTCACTCAAGAGCTTGATGAAAGTGTGCAAGACTAATGTTTTTATGCCTGCTAACCATTCTGCAGCCCATGGATCAAGGAGTAATTTCAACTTTCAAGTAATATTATTTTAGAAATACATTTCACAGGGCTATAGCTGCTATAGATGATTCTGTTAATGGACCTGGGCAAAGTCAACTGAAAACCTTCTGGGAAGGATTCACTATTCTAGATGCCATTAACAACACTTATGATTCATGGGAAGAAGTCAAAATAACAACATTAATGGGAGTTTAGAAGAAGTTCATTCTAGCCCTCCTGGATGACTTTGAAGGGGTCCAAAAATTCAGTGGAGGAAGTAACTGCAGAGTTGGTAGAAATAGTAAGAGAACTAGAATTAGAAGTGAAGCCTGAAGATGTGATTTAATTGCTGCAATTTTATGATAAAACTTGACTGGGTGAAGAGTTCCTTCTTATGGATGAGCAAAGAAAGTAGTTTCTTTAAATGGTATCTACTCCTGATGAAGATCCTATGAACATTGTTGAAATGACAGCAAAGGATTTAGATAAGACATAAATGTCGTTGATAAAGTTCGATATGATTGACTCCTATTTTGAAAGTTCCGCTGTGGATAAAATGTTATCAAACAACATTGCATGCTATAGAGAAATCTTTAGGGAAAAGAGGAGTCAATCGATGTGGCAAATTCATTACTGACTTACTTTAAGAAATCGCCACAGCCACCCCAACCTTTAGCAGCCACCATCTGATCAGTCAGCAGCCATCATCAACGAGGAAAGAACCTCCACCAGCAAAAAGATGACAACCCACTAAAGGCTTAAATGATTGTTGGCAATTTTAGCAATAATATAATAAAGTATTTTTATTCAAGATAAGTACATTTGTTTTAAATATAATACGTACACTGAATAAGCTACACTATAGTATAAACATAACTTTCATATGCACAGGAAGCCAGAAAATTCATATGACTCACTTTATTGTGGTAGTCTGGAACAGAAATTGCAATATCTTCAAAGTATGCCTGTACCACATGATCTCACTTGCATGTGGAATCTAAAAAGGTCAAACTCATAAAAACAGAGAGTAGAATGGTGATTACCAGGGGCTGGGGCAGTGTTGGCGGGATGAGGTGTTAGAGAGACATTGATCAAAGGATACAGAATTTCAGTGAGATAGGAGGAATAAGTTCAAGACATATATTGTACAACATAGCGACTATATTTAATAACAATGTATTATTCTTGAAAACTGCTAACGGAGCACATTTTAAGTGTTCTCACTACAAAAATTAATAAGAATGCGAGGTAATACATATCTTGATCACTTGATCTGGCCATTTCACAAAGTATATTGTACACAATAAATATATACAATTTTGTACATTTAAATAAATGAATAAGGGAAAAAGTTCATGTATATTTTGTGAATGTATCCTAGAGTAATAAAATAAAAGGTTGAGTTATTCATCATATGATTATTTATAAAATTAAAGCAACAACATATAACATAATTATTTTTAAGAGACGATGTCTTGCTATGTCGCCCAGCTGGACTTGAACTCCTGGGCTCAAGTGATCCTCCAGCCTCAGCCTCCCAAGTAACTGGGAATACAGGTACAAGCCACCGTGACTGATTCTGCCACAACATAGATATTCAACAATTCAAAAATGTTAGCCAGGCGTTGTGGTGTGCACCTGCAGTCTCAGGTACTTGGAAGGCTGAGGCAAGAGGTTGCTTCAACCCAGGAGTTCAAGGCTATGGAGAGCTACGATTGTGCCACTACACTCCAGCCTGGACAACAGAGTGAGGCCCTGTTTCTTAAAAAAGAAAAAAAAAATTATTAAACTCAGAACCCAGTAGCCATTAAGGAATTAATGACATAGTTGAAAAAAATATTGAATGTGGTAACAGTAGGTGTTTGTGTGTGGGGTGTGATTTTGACTAGGAAGATGTTTATAGATATTAAATGAATCGGAGAGGGCATAAAAACCTGAACCTAAGGGTTCACAGGTCATAAAAAACAAAGTACCTTAGGTTGGATTCCCCCAAAACAGATCCTGGAGTAGAGCAAGGATTTATATGCAAATAATTGATTGAGGAAGTGCTCCCAGCAGACACTGGTAGAAGAGCAGGGGAAGCAGCCAAGATTAGGGAAGGGGCCAAACAAGGTGTCACTTTACTCAAAGTCTCCCAGGGCAGTTTCAGCCTGATTCCACAGGGGAATTCTGAAATGTAAATTACACTCCACAGTTTCTCCTACTCAAGGAAAGTGGGCTGAGCTTTCATATTCTGGCACCGGTCATCAGCCAACAGCTGCATATTGAGGTGTGAGGCTGGGGAGAACTCCCAAGAACTCCAGACTCCCAGTGCCTGTGACCATGTGGACCTCGGGTGACCCCAACGCGCAGGTGTCAGAAGCGACAGCTCACAGAAACTGGAGCAGGGTGCACAAAAGCAGAAAAGAAAAAAAATTGAAGGGGATTTGGACAGAGTATTACTAGAATGAATATCATGAATTTTCCTTTTCTGACTTCATTTCAACCGTATGTTTAAATCATACATAAATATTGTAAGAGGATTATACTTTCAGTAGCAATCCATCGCTACAGTGCAAAATCCAAATGTGTTGGAGTCACAGTCAATGTTCACTATAATCAGTCTTATTTTTGAGGATATGCCACCGCCAACATGAGTGACCTCTTTGCAGACATGACCATTCTATCCATCCACCTCTAGAGACACACGTTACACACACACCCCACATGTTCCTCTTCAAACATTGCCATGGACTAGACCTCCCAGCCTTGGGATGCTTTGCCCACAAACCACATCCAGTCTCCCTTTCCTCGCTCAGGACCTAAAGGAAGTAAAGATCCAAATGACCAAAATTATGAGGCCTATGAGTTTGACTAGAAGTCTGCAATCAGGTTCAAGTTTCCATATTTGAGTATCTTAGAGGGTTGGGATTTGAGGCTATAAGTGATACTTCCATCAGTTCTATGGATAAAATAAAATTCAGAAAGCAGCCTGCGGATGCAACTGCAATTTAGGATGTCACTTCTATGAGAAATCTCTAAATTTCAAGCATTTATTTAAAAATATCTTTAAGAAATGCCTCATTTCAAGCATTTAAGAAATATCTTTAAGAAATTATATATATAGTATATATAGTGTATATATACAGTGTGTGTGTGTATATATATATATATAGTGATTCACTAAGAAAATTAATCTCATATCTAAATAGTCTCAAAAGCCAGATATGGTGGCCCATGACTGTAGTCCCAGCTACTCGGGAAGCTGAGACAGGAGGAACAGATGGCTTGAGCCCAGGAGTTTGAGGCTGCAGTGAGTTATGATCACAAGACTGCACTCCAGCCTAGATGACAGAGGGAGACCTTGTCAAGAAGAAAAGAAAAAAGGAAGGAAATGAAACAGTAGGAAAACGGCTGAAGGGAATAGGGAATAGTACAAAACATGTAAATGTATTTAATTAAATGTTGTATAACAATGTTGCTTGTGGAGTTGTAATAGCACAGGGAAATGCTTATGCAATAATGTGTGGGAAAGTGTCATATGAAATTTATTAAGCATATTTTCACTGCAGTGAAATATTAAGTATATTTGCACTTGGTATATATTGGAGATTGATTTCAGGACATGCGTATACACATACCCCACCCTCCACAGCCCAAGCCCCACTACCTCACCACCCCTAGCATACCAAAATCCACACACACTCAAGTCCCACAGTTGGCCCTGCTTATACAAAAGTCCACCTCTGTACACCCTAATCTGACATCCCACAAATACTGTATTTTCAAACTGTGTTCAGTTGAAAAAAACCCTCATATAAGTGGATCCATGCAGTTCAAGCCTATGTTGTCCAAGGGCCAACTGAGTTCAATTAAAATAATAAGCATAACTTGAAGCCTACCTGTAGTTCCTTCCTTAAACGTTTCCCTAGAGTTACCGTGGTCTCTGAACACACTCTGGCTTTAAAATTCGACCATTTGATGGTTCTATCCTATGTCTTGGAACATATCCCAGTGGCAAACCAGCTCATTCATCAATTCAAATACAGATATATCTAATAGGTGACAATTTTATGTGCCAAGCATAGTCCTGGGAGCTGAAGACACAAAATGACTAACGGAATTTACAATCCAGCAAGGAGCTGCACAGAGCACAGAGCAACATAGTAAATACAATGGGTTGACTGTGTCATAGAGGTGTTAACAAGATGGTCTGGAAGCTCAGCTCTGTTATACATCTATTTGGTTATTTTCAGCTCTGTTTTATACCTGTTTGGTTATTTTTGGCAGTCTTGCTTCAGGAACTATTCAGAAAATAATTATTGATTATTTAATTGATGGAAATTTAGATAAACCAAATTAATGCATTCATTTAACTAAGCAAATGATTCAGCTAGAATCTTCAGAATATCTAGTCACATTATCAACTTAATAGATAGCGATTGACTTTACTTCTATTAACATAACATGGAACAACAGCGGGCAAGGAAAACATCAGCGCATCTTGAGAGACAGGAATTTTTAAACTTAAACTCTTCTCTCCCTTCAAATCAGAGGTTCTCAAAATTGTATGTGCATAAAAATGATCTGAAAGATTTATTAAAAATGCAAATACACCTGAGCCTCAAGAATAAGCACCTGAGGTTATTTGAAGGCAGTAATATAAAGATGCCTTAAAAATTCATAACTTTAAATAATTTAATAAATATATTTTGTGCAGGTAATATTCTAAAATAATAGCTTTAAAAATAGCACCTTAATTAAGGAAAACACTTCTACAAAATGCTCAAAGTAGAAAAAAGTTAAATATATATGCTGTGTAAGAAATATCATCACTGTATATACAGACTCAGTTATTAATTAAAGAATATTGAATCTACTACTTACATCTGTCAACATTACAAAATCTGTTTACTCTGTCACTTGTTAAGACAAAAGAAAATATTGTGAAATTGGATTTTTATTATCTGAGCTGTAGCTCTAAGCTTAACTGAAATTAATCTTTAAACATGGCATGAATCAAATTTCCTTGCAGACGTTCAGTTGGTGACAGGCACATCTAAAGTTTTACTGACTGATCATAAGTCAGAATCCTAAAGCAGAACGCTATGGGGGAAAGAAAAAAATGAAGTTTGTAATTAACTTTTGGGAACATGTTGCCTTCCTTCTAGCTGCCTGTAATCTACAAGTTAAGATTTACACGTGAAAATTGCAGCACTTTTGAAAATCTGCCACAGTAAAAAGAAGGAAAAATCCTTAAGACAAAAGAAATTTTTCAAGTGGAAAATCAGTCTCAATATGCAACAGTATTAGCTGGGTTGTTGTCATAAAATCTAGTTTGTTACACAAGATTTTTAAATTCATGTAATTGTTCTGGTGATAACAACACAGGGGAAGCATAATGTACCAAGGAAAAATTAAGAAGAACTGATTTCTTTTCTTTTTGTGGGGGCAGGGGGTGGAGTTATTTATTGATTTTTTTATTTTTTGAGAAGAGTCTCGCTCTGTCGCCCGGGCTGGAGTGCAGTGGCGTGAACTCGGCTCACTGCAACCTCTGCCTCCCTGGTTCAAGCGATTCCTCCTGCCTCAGCCTCTCGAGTAGCTTGGACACAGGTGCGTGCCACCACGCCCAGCTAATTGTTTGTATTTTCAGTAGAGACGGGGTTTCACCGTGTTAGCCAGGATGGTCTTGATCTCCTGACCTGGTGATCCACCCGCGTCAGCCTCCCAAAATGTTGGGATTACAGGCATGAGCCACCGTGGCCGGTCCTATTTATTTTTTATTTCACTTTAAGTTCTGGGATACATGTGCAGAATGTGCAGGTTTGTTTCATATGTATACATGTGCCATGGTGGTTTGTTGCACCTATCAACCCATAATCTAGGTTTTAAGCCCTGCATGCATTAGGTATTTGTCCTAATGCTCTCCCTCCCCTTACCCCTACCTCCCGACAGGTCCCGGTGTGTGATGTTCCCCTCCCTGTGGCCATTTGTTCTCATTGTTCAGCTCCCACTTATGAGTAAGAACATACGGTGTTTGGTTTTCTGTTCCTGTGTTAGTCTGCTGAGAATGATGGTTTCCAGCTTCATCCATGTCCCTGCAAAGGACATGAATTCATTCTTTTTTATGGCTGCATAGTATTCCATGGTGTATATGTGCCACATTTTCTTTATTCAGTCTATCATTGATGGGCATTTAGGTTGGTTCCAAGTAAGTCTTTGCTATTGTAAATAACGCTGCAATAAACATACGTGTGCATGTGTCTTTATAGTAGAATAATTTGTAATCTTTTGGTTACATACCCAGTAATGGGATTGCTGGGTCAAATGGTATTTCTGGTTCTAGATCCTTGAGGAATTGCCACACTGTCTTCCACAATGGTTGAACTAATTTACACTCCAACAGTGTAAAAGCATTCCTGTTTCTCCACAGCCTCTCCAGCATCTGTTGTTTCCTCATTTTTTAATAATCACCACTCTAACTGGCATGAGATGGTATCTCATTGTGGTTTTGATTTGCATTTCTCTAATGACCAGTAATGATGAGCTTTTTTTCATGTGTTCGTGGGCCGCATAAATGTCATCTTTTGAGATGTGAGAAGACCTGATTTCTAATGCCAGCTCCACCACCAGTAAGCTCTGCAACCACTGATAAATCACGTAAATTCTCTGAACTTCAGTTTTCACATGTATAAGATTCAGGGTCTGATCACTAGGTGGTCTCTAGTGTCCTTTCCAGTTTCATAATTCTAAAAAGCAAGAAAATAAATAACACAGTGAAATAAATTTCAAGCTCACAGAAGACTATGTGTTGACATTGAAAGATGTCCATGAGGTATTGGGACTGCTGTATTGCTATTGCCTAGCAGGTCTTTGACTTCTTTTAAGTGCTCAATTAACATTTGGTAGGTAAGTAAATGAATGAACCAGTAAAATGACACAGTATAAGAAATACAGTTTAGTAGTTTAATTTATTTATGTTTCTATAAAATGTAGCATACCAAATCTTGGTCAGCCAATCAATGAGCACTCAGTTTGACCTCTTGTGAAGAAAGGCTATAAATGAATCAAAGGTTCTGGTTGAAGAGATGAATGTCCACACACAGAAAAGTGATATGAACTGGGTACCAAATCCACATGTGAGGATCAGCTGATAATCTGGTTACCAACCTCAGTACAAAGGAAAGCATACAGCAAGATCCAATGAAGGATTCCTGAGAAAATGTGTTGGGATCTCGAACCAGGTAAAGTTGAAGGGTTGGCCGATGAGGGCTTTGTGAAAGGGTTAAAAGAGAAAAGTCATTTTAATAATCAAGAAACAGATTCACTTGACTAGGGACAAAACCTGGAAATAAATGAAGCTAATGCATGGCAAAAGGTTGTTAATGGGGGAATTTTAACACTGGACAGTTTATCATCAGAAATAGGAAACGTAGCAAAAATGTTCCACAGCTACACTGTCCAATACAGAAGTTAACAGCCACATGTGTTACTGAGTGTGTGACATGTGTGTGGTCCAAACTGAGGGGTGCTGTAAGAGTAAAATACACACCAGATTTCAAAGAGTTGGTACCAAAAGAAAAGAGGGCAGAGATGTAAAATATCTTATAAATATATTTTTCATTAGTTTGTTCATTTTAAGAAATTACCTGTTGAAATAATAAAATTTGGGATATGGCAGGTTAAATAAAATGTACTGTTTAAATGATTTTCACCTATATTTTTATATTCTTGTAAGATGGCTACTAAAAATTTTAAATTATATATGTTACTCACATTATGTTTCTGCTGGACAGTGTTGCTCTAGACAGATCGTCCCAGCAGCAGTCATCAGAATTTTTAGAATTTTTAGAATTATAAAACTGGAAAGGACAGTAGAGACCACCCAGTGATCAGACCCTGAATCTTATACATGTGAAAACTGAAGTTCAGAGAAGTTACGTGATTTATCAGTGGTTGCAGATCAGCTGAAAGGTGAAGTTGTAGGTAAAAAAAGTAGGAAGAGAGGAATTAATGAATAAAACACAATAGAAAAGAAATCAACAGATGAAAGATAGACATAACAATAACTATATATTCACAGATAAATTAACATACTAAAAGTTTCTAATCTCTGAACACCATGATGGCACCCAGGGTCACTGGTGCCTGACCCATGGCAGATGCCAATGTATTCCTTTCTGATAAGAGAGGCTCCTTTAACCAAAAGACTGGAAATTATCAGAGTTTCATTTGGGCAACATGGAAATGAGATGGAGTTCATCATTTGACTTGCCTGAATGAGGACAGAGACTATTTAGTAAACATTTTTGTAACACTTACTATGTTCCAGGCCCTCTTCTAAGCACTTTATACATACTAATGCATTTCGCTTAAGATAACAAAACTAGGAATGAAATTCAAGACTTTGGACATATTTAATACAATAAAATGTTTATGATGTCACAGACCTATAGATTCTGAACCAGAATAAACCTCAGAGATTTTCTGTCCAGTCCCTTGCTGTAAAAAGTACTTTACACATGAGGCCACTACAGCCAGGAGAGATGTGTGACTTCCCATGGCCCCGGTGGGAGCCAGGTCTCGGGTTTCTGGCCACTTAGTTAGTGAGATCATTGTCCTTCTGCAATCAACCACACCTTATGGATTCATAGTTTCTCAGAGTTGAACGAAACATATAAGATCATCTACACTAGTGATTCTCTGGGGATATCCACATTTATATAAATGACACTCCTATTGATGACAGGTACTCACTACTTCCTTACTCCACCTCTCTCTCTCTTTCTCCTACTACATAGGAACTCAACTGGAAGTTATGATGCAGCAACTGAAAATCACTTAAATTGCTCAACTGGACCATATCCCATTACCCTCTCTACTATTTCCTCTAGGGAGGAAGAAACAAGGCCCTGCCTTTCCCAGCAATAACCAGTAAGACTAGGCTGGCGTTTATATATATAGTGCTTAGAATAGGGCCTGGAACATAGGAAGTGTTACAAAAACATTTACAAAAATGTTTCTTTGTCCACAACAATAGTAGCTATCAACAGCTTTAGAGAGACACTTCATGAACCAGAGTCAAAAGGCTGAGGAAGACAATTGACCTAGGAGGATATATCCCTGGAGTGCTCAGGAGAGTCTGGCACTATAGGCAGGAGAAATTTCTCTGATCCAGGGCCCCTCTGGAGAAAGCCCCCATACTACCTCTGTGAAAGCTCTAGGAATCCCTCATGACTGCCAGCCCTGCACTCTCTACCCTGAAGGCATGGACAATGAATGAGGATAAATGATCTTATCATAACATTGAATCAAGTTCAGATGGACACTGATTACTAATTAGTGATGGCCCTAGCATTCAATTCTCCGTGTTCATTGCTAATCATAACCATACAATTGAAAACTCTGTTTCTTGGTTATGAAATACACGTTTTACAGCTTCATTTGTATTTATAGCCTAATTAGCTCTTTAAAATACAGACACAAATTGCATTAGAAATTCAGCTGGAAAGGGATTTCATTAACTGTGTGTTATTTTGATTAAAAATTATATTATCTCAATCGATTTTTTTTCATTTTTCCTTTTTTTATTTTTAATTTTTGTAGGTACATAGCAGGTGCATATATTTATGAGGTACAGGAGATGTTTCCTTAATTGACTTTTAAAAAGATAAAACCAAACCTCATGATCTTGCTAAAGTTGGGGCCTATAGAAAATTTCTTTTCCAAAGTTTAATGAGCTCCACTAATCAGGAATGAATATCTTCTTCACTGGAAAAGCATAAACGTGGAGAAAATCCCCTGTGTCAATCAAGATTCAGCCAGAGAATGGAAATCATACTATTTCAACCAGGAACAAATTCAATTGGAATTTTATAAGCACACAATTGTTGCTTATAAACAAAATTTTTTGGATTTTTATAAGCACACAGTTCCTTACATTGAATTTGTAAGGAGCAAAATGTAAGCTCCTCCTTACATCGACTGGAGGAGCAAAAGCCAGGAAGAAGCCACATGTTTCAGGTCTGTGGCCTCAAAGAGAAAGAAAACTGCTGCCACCCAAAATCGGGACCATGCAAGTAGCTACTACCAACTTCTCAGCTTCCTGCAGTTCCAAAATGGGTGAAATGGCAACCATTCACATCTGGAAAGCCTACTCAATTGCCCACCACCATTTCCAACTTGTTTAGTGTTGCTGTAAAGGAATACCTGAGGGTGGGTAATTTATAAAGAAAAGGGGTTTATTTGGCTCATGTTTCTGATGACTGGAATGTTCAACACTGAGCAGCTGCATATGGTGAGGACTTCAGCCTGTTTCCACTCATGGTGAAAGGCAAAGGGGAGCCAGGGTATGCAGAGATCACAAGGTGAGAGAGGAAGCATGAGAGAAAGGGAGGTAAATGCCAAGCCATTTTTAACATCTACCTCTCCCTCCCCCTCACCCCAGCCCAGGGAAGGCATTCATCTATTTATGAGAGATCTGCCCCCAAGACCCAAACCTCACCCATTAAGGCCCCACCTCCAACACTAGATCAAATTGCAACATGTATTTTGGAGGGGACAAGCATCCAAACCACAGCACCAGGGGACGAAAAAGAAAAGGTATTCCTCTCTTCTACTTTCCAAACCCATGTGAGAGCATCTCATAGGGATAGCCCTGCCAATTTGAAACTTTGCTAAGCAAGTGAGCCCAAGAAACATAATTTCCAAGCTTCCAGCTACAGCAATACAATGGGGAGCTTAAAGGGGTATAAAGGTGCGAGTGTCAGTAAATAATTCTGATGCCAGAATTACCCCAGTAAGTAAGCAAACTTCCAAACCCCATCTTCATCACAAGAGAACCCAGGAAAATGCCTCTTTGGTCACTGAGACAATACAAAGATAACAAATTGCCTTTTAAGTACATGTAAGTCATCACCCCAGATCTTTTGTGACCCCAGAAGATGAACTAATCTCTACCAACAAATTACAGAGAAACTAGCCAGAGCCAATATTACATAGTCCCCACCACTAAGACCCATGATGAAGAGAACTTCATGTAAACGCTAATGGAATATTTCCTTTAATAATAAAAGTTACCCTTATAGTAGCATCAAAAAAGAGGATTTCCTCCTTGTAAGGCTCAATTCATTCCCTCCAAATTCTCAAGCAATATTTAGCTGTGTTTTTTGCACAGATGATCAAATAATAATGACAAATGACTTCATAACATTTCCAACATAACACTTTAGAGAAATATCACACTGCATTTCAGCTTGAAGAATACTTGTTTATCCCTCTCTGGTTTTACATTATGAACCTGTTTATATTCTTTCAGTTTCGGTTGAAAGTGACCTTTTAGATGGGGATTTTCCATACATGATTCCTTTTTCCGGAAGAAGAGCCAAAGTTTTTTCATTTACACCAAGTTATGAAAGGTTTCCTTTCCTCTAAAAACAAATTTTCAAAATAATTTTAAATACCTTATTTTCAAATCTTTCTTATCTCTACTATCCTAACAAGAAAAAAGAAGCATAAAATAAAGCTCTGTCAGCTGCAAAGTGCCATCTTTTAATATCTTAATAATTGTATCCTTCATCTGACTCTTTTAAGAACCTTTGAAAGGATGTAACAATAAATACGTCCTTTGGATCTGAGAGTACATTTTCTCCCTAATGGAATAATGAATCTGCCTCCATGCCACACTAATGACAACAAATGTATTTTACCAGGGAACATGTTATACATATGAAATCTCACATAGAATCCCAAAGTGGGCATCATTTACAGGGAAGAGTTGTTATAGAGTTGAGGCAGGAGTGGGACATTTACAGCCTGACTCTCACAAGAGTTCTCAGGAGCATAATTTAGAATCATTTAAACCACACAGTTCACACTCTTCCCTATCATCTTTGACATCTGGGTTTAGGATTACAAATGGATGATTTGCCCTTTAAGCTGCCTGCAGCCATTATAGCTAATGGCAGAAGACCTTTCCAGAGAGTCATTTCAGGAGCAAAGTGCAGCCTGGGCTCCCCTGGGATAACAGACCATTAGACTGAGCAGACAACAATTCTGCGCTTCTTCTGGTCACACACCTGAGGATTCTAGTCCAGGGCTAGTCAGACCTAGTTGTTTGTGCATTTCTCTGGCCAACAGGTGAGAAAGAGCAGCAATGGCCTGAAGGCTACCTAATGCTTCTGGCTTGGTCAGCTCACCCTGATCCAGGGCATGGCAGGACTGGCCTTGGCTGTCAGCTAAGCTTACTGACCATTGACAGTCAAGGCCCTGAGGAAATCTGGCTCACTATAAATTCAGTGACAGATTTTGTCCTTTAATTATTGCATATAAGCTATTACTTTGTATAGTATATTTCTTAGTACGTGCTCACCACATAAAGGAGTGATCTAGAGCCATACTGTTCTGTCACTTACAAGCTCTGTGATCTTGTGTAACTTAATTAACTTTTCTAAGACTATTTCTTCACTGGCAATCTCAGGATGATAACAATAATACATACTTCATACATTTATTGAAGGGTTTAAGTGAAATAATGTGTAAAATGCTTAGCACAGAGGCTCATGTCGTAAGCAGTGGCTAAATAATAGCTATTTGTATTTTTATCAATAAAAGTTGTGTTTTTTTATCATTTCTATTATTTATTTATTTATTAAAAAGCTATTGGATTTGTGTGTGTGTATGTGTATGTACACACACAGCCAGATATGAAAAATACTGCATAAGTCATTTCTCTCATAGGAAAACTAAAGTTAAGAGAAATTAAATGATCAATTGGAGTTGTCTTTTACTAATATACCCTGTCAGTTTTGATAAATATACAATTTGCTGGACTCCATGAAAGATTTAGTGCATATGTCTGATTATTTTAACAACCCATGTTTTATGGTCAGCATTATTTGTTACCAGAAGTCAGTGCTGGGTTAATCAGGGATTAACCTGTATGTGCTAGCAATTGGATATGACACATGAAGATCTAGACTCTCCTAAAGTAAATAAAGAAGTAATTACAACTGTAAAGTAACTTTTCTCATCTTTATACCTGTAAAACAAGGTCCCTACTCATTCTATGATTTCCTTCAACCTCCAGGCCTAGAGCTTCTTTCAGTGGTAACAGTGTTAAATCTTTGTTATTTTGGGTCTTAGAAATGGCTGTGAAATTTTTAAATGAACAAAGTGAAAA
The DNA here is from genome assembly GCF_000001405.40 of Homo sapiens. Taxonomy (NCBI): domain Eukaryota; kingdom Metazoa; phylum Chordata; class Mammalia; order Primates; family Hominidae; genus Homo; species Homo sapiens. The sequence continues at coordinate 102,094,423 of NC_000003.12, read as the reverse complement.
TAATTCAGGGAGATTATTTTCAGCTGATAACTGTCTACCCACCTATTTCACAAGAGGTTAGCCATGTCAAATTCTTAAGAAGATAAATACTGTACCCTCCTCTTTTTACATGGAACCTTTCCCCTGTGATTATCAAAGAAATTGATAACATTTCCCAGAAGCAAACATTCTTTCTTTCTTGTATATCTGGGCCCAGGAGCTAAAGGATATACCCAAGATCATACAAATCAAATTGCAGGGCCAGAAATAGGAGCCCTCTTTGGATTCCACCCCATGGTTCTCCTTATCACATACCTGAACTAGTTCTTCACAGAGTGAAATGGGGTGGAATTGGGGGTATGCTGAGTTATCACTGAACAGTCTTCAATCTCTTCAAATCCTAGTTGGGGAGACATGGAGGCATAAAATTAGAATTGGCCTGACATAATTAAAACGAAATATTATTGGACACTTGACATTTTAATATTCTAATTTAAATATTTGTTAAAGTGCCACCATAGGAGTAAGTATATAACTTCTTAAGATGACAGCTTTGAAAGATAGCCCTCATAGGATATGGTATGTACACACACACACAGACACACATACAGACGGGGTGGGGGGTATATTCTGGCATGTTCATTCATTCAACAAAGATATTTTGAGCTCTAGTGTATGCCAGGCTCTGAGCTAGGCACTGGGGCTATTACAGTGAGCAAAACAATAACGTTCCCAAACATCATAGACTTTACATTCTAGGGAAGGAAACATGCAAACAAACAAGTAGAAGCATAAACTATATTCTCCCCAATGTAATATATAGAAAAGAAATCAGGGGTGTTCCAATACTATGCAGCTGTGTGAGGATCAGAGTGCTTGTGCCTGGGGAGGGCTCTGGGCTTCATGTAGGGACAGGACAGACCAGGCCAAAGGGAAAGCTCATGGTGAAATTCATCCTACTGGCTTCAAGGCAGAAGGCGATGTTAAGGCTGTGAGTATTGAGGAAAAAGGAGAGATGAGGGTTATGCCAGAAATATTCACAGTTCTAGAATACCCTATGCACTCCTGAAAGTGGTGTTGTGAATGCCAGGAAAGGACTTTCTTATCTGGTGTGTGAAGAGCTCTGAGACTTCCTCTTGACTCTCAGTGAATCAGCCACATGTATTTTTTCTATAACTCATAGAGTTGTACAGCTCAGCAAACTTGCAAACACATCAAGGTTTTTGGTTTTTGGTTGGAAGTTGTTGAGTGTTTTTGCCCATACACATTTTTTCTTCTGTATCCTGCCATCAGCACCTAAACACTTGATCTACAAGTAATACTAGTAGAGTCTAATGCAATAAAAGAGTCGGGGAGGGAAGGAAATTAAGAATGGAGGGAAGGTGAGAGAGAGATGTAGAGAGAGTTGTCAATCTGTGTAACTAAGTCAATGCAAATGATTGATGTAATGAATTATCTGCATCAACTTTAAACCTATTGTCTACCACATCCAACCACCACATTGCTTTGGCTACAGAGATCAGTTTAAAGAGCAGATGATTAAAAGAATTAACCACACTTTAGAGGTGAAGAAAGTTGATTTTAGGGAGTTGGTGTGGTTTATATATTACATTGAAGGAAACGAGGAAATCCACAGTAAGTCAACCTGAAACGGATTGAGTCATCAGAACTATGGTTTGCCACGGTGATTACAGTATTCCTAAGGTATCTGAAAACACTGAGGTCTATGATTTTTAAGCCACTTCATCATCATCCACTTAGAAAAGTGATGATATCAATCTGCATTGATGCAACTATTTAAGTGGGCAAGCTTAGTCAATATGGAAAAAAAACATAACGTGTGACATATAACTGAACAAAACCAAACAATAACCAAATTTTAGAAAAAAATTTAAATCCCTGGAAAAAAACAAAATAGGCTATCAGTTAATGTCATATTCCATACCTGAAGTTCCAGGGACGTAGAGGTGTCTCGAGAAACTGTTTATCTATAAACTTGAAACCTTTAAGATTGAACATAATCCCAAATTCATAACATCCTTGGTCAGGAAGTCTCCAGGGAAACACTTTCATTCAGAATCTGTCCTGGAAACTTTATACTCACTGTACCTTATGAAGTTTGAACCAAGTCTCAAGTCAATATGAAGTCAGAAAAGACAGCAGATCTAAGCTTCCTAACTGGTCCCCAAAATTGCCTCATGTTCTTTAAGTTCCACAGTTTAACTAAATGGTGATGGGATCTTCCTAGGTTTATGACTGAAATAAAAGTATTGTTGGAAAAGGCTGTGTGCTTAAAATCTCTGTTGGCTTCTGCAAATCCAAAGCCCACCCTGCACCCTGCTCTGAGCTGCGGAGACTTCCCCACTTGGCTGTATCCACAGGCTTCATCATCCTCTGTCCTCTGGCTTCAGATGAGCTCAGCCAATGAGGAACCTGGGTACAAGCTAGAGGGACATAGGCCTGCAGACGTAACTCCTCTGCTCTGGCCTTTACTGACTCTAGACTACTGCACTGCACAATCTCTTTTGGTTTTTCTCCCCCCTGCCCACAACTTTGTTAGTACTCCCTTTATTAATTTATCTTCAAATTATCCTGTTTAACAGTGTCATCTGTTCCCTACTCCTGACTCTTGGTACACTGTTTTTTTCCAAGAACAATTTGGACACTTAGACCTGTTCATTATATAGACCACTCCCTTTAGAAAAAGAAGGGATTCATATGAATTGTTTACATGCTCAAACATACCTGGCTTGGTCTAACAAGTTTAAATATGAGTTTAGAAGAATTTGGTCAACACTTGAAATTCTGTGCTTTTTCAGAGTCTAATGATTTGAGGGGAAAAAAAAAACTTTTTAACATTAAGTCTAATCTAAGCACATGGTTTAGTAGTACTTCCACGTGGAGGAAGCATTACTTAGTTGGCACCGGAGTATGTGTTCTTAAAATGCAAAACTGACTTATTTACCCATTTACATCAGTTAAGAATTCACTTTTTAAAAGTTATGTCCTTTAATTGGTGGTATTTCTTATAAAGTTTTTAAAAATTAATTACCTAAATTTTTTTCCACAGTGATGATGGGTTTGTCCTGACTTGTTCATGGCCTCTTGCTTGGGTTTCCTTGTAAACAGGGGCAAAATGTGTAAGACGTCTTATGGGGCTTAGCACTGTAGCTAAGACATAAATAGGCTTTTTAAAGATTGTTTCCTCTGTACAAAATTCAGTGACTCAAATAGGAGGCAAATTTGTGAGCTTGTCGCCTTTACCACCATATTCAGGTCAAACAGGGTAAACTATGGAGCCCAATGCACCAGTGAGTGAGCCAACACTCACCGAGTGGTAATAATAATAGAATTGGTAGTAATTACCATTAACGGAATACCCTGTATGTACCACATGTTGTGCGTCTAAATTAGCCCTCACAACTACTCTGTAAAGTGCTATGGAAAGCACCACGGACACTGTGAACTTCTGTGTTCCATTCTCAGATGATGAGTCAATAGGAGCAATGAATTCCTCTGATTGTGTCTGGGGTAGGATGAAGAGTTAATACAGGACCTAAGTTAACCCAATCAATGAAGCGAAGGATTTATATTCCAGACTGGAAGGTTGGAAATTTCTTTCTGTCTTCAGCTAGACAGAACTAGAAAGCATTCATCTCTATTGTCACTGGCAACCACCTTATAATTACAAAGGGAAGCAGCTGGAGATGACATCTATATCTGGCAAAGGAAGACGTGGAAATATCCTGTGTCACCAATGACATTTGAGCCACTGATTGTTCTGCACCAGAAACCCACGCTATTTCTGGGTTTCCAATTAATTACATGAGATAATAAACTTACCCGTTGCTTAAGCCCATTTGAAACTGGGTTTTCTGAGACTAGGCTTCTTAACACAGATAGCATTCCAAATGATGCAGATATTACTATCTCCATTTCACAGAGGAGAAAATTGATGCCTAGAGATCCTAAGTCTCTTCCTCAGTGTTACACAGCTAACAAATTGCACGTGCACAGTAAGAGTCCAGGTCCTGCGCTTTGTCCTCAATCACATTTCCTCTCCAAATTAAGTACTAAAGCCCCTTACTTTCACAGCATGTGAACAGAATGCTTAATGGCCTCTTGTATGGGTAAAAATGCACTTGAAAAAGTGGAAGAGTTTTGTCATTCTATAGCTATTTCTCTGTTAAAAGCAAATGGTAAGAGTTAAACAATAAATCCATGAGTCAAAGACTGATGCTATTAAATATATCAGCCATGATTTTAGAGTCTAAAAATACACCAAACACCAGACTATAAAATGTTCTTGACGTCAATAGACGACTCAGCAGTCAGTTGAGGTCACTTTACAACCTTTCCACAACTGCTTCACAGAGAAACCTATGCTTTTCTCAGGACCATAAAAATACTGGACCGCACAGGCAGTCAGCCGTTAACTACACAATACACTAAATTCTTGTAAACTATGGGTTATGAGACTATCCACGGACAATTCATATAATCTCATGACCTGAACATAAAGTACATCCTGTAAAGAGAGCATCACTTGTCTTTTTAAATCTGCATTACCTGTTTTTAATGCATTTAAGTTTGAACCTATGCTACTGAAAAAAATCTTCAGAGCTAACAGTTTCTGCCATTTGGTAAAAATTCAATGAAATCCATTCAATTGTTTTAATAGCTAATTAGCTGTGTCCCATTACTGTTTATCTCAGGCTCTAAAACATTGTCTGAAGGCATTTTCACAGCTTCATGTCACTAGGCATCTTTTCATCTGGAGTTTAACGGCAGCAACTACAAAAGAAGAATCGATCCCCTCTCTCCTCTCCCAGTGAGCACTTGCCTCTGAGGCTATTCCCTCTCTATACTTACATTTAAAATAAATAGATTCCTATGCAAAAAGTGGTTCGTTCAATGGGGAAGGAAAACCAGGCCCCAGTGTTTGTACTTAACTGGCCCATTAAAACCTTAAACTTAGATTTGAATCTAAGTTCATGTGCCATATCAACATAACTTCTGGCACACCTGATGCAGCTCATGGATCTGATAGCTCATAAATTCTCCCCCCACTGAAGTTATGTCCAAAGGCCAAATACAGAAAGACATTTTATTTGTGTGTGAACAGATTATGGCTTTATAAAGCACCAGCTTTGGAGCAGAGCCGTAATTTATGGCATTCAGACAGTACAAACAAGGATAAAGAAATACTATTATTTTCACCATGGAGCATTGAGTAGAAAAGAAATATAAATGTTAACCCATCTGGCATCACTGCATTGCAATATATCTGTTTTATGTTCTGTGTGAGATGAGATTTTTTTAATGCTTTTAAGATATCAAAATAAATTGCACAGACTTGTGATACCTTGGGGGTTCTACCTGGTGGCTGATATGATGGGGTGAACTACACACACAATAAAAGGGTTTATAAAGTTTAGAAATTGCCTAATCCAATATATTGGGAAGAATCAGATAAATGATGCAGGCCAAGAGAAGTTAGGTGTATGAATGCCAGCCCACATAATACAAGGACATTATTCTTGGGTCTAGGTAGACAAAATGTATTAGACTATTTGTAACTTCCATTGTGTTACAGAGATGTGGCCTCTGAATTCCAGAGCAGCTGACCTGTAGTCCCCAAGTCAAAGTAAGCTCTGTCTGAACGAATTCTCTTGAAAAGATTGGTCCTGAGCTTACAGGCCTCTGTTTGTGTGTACATCTAAAAATAACCTGGAGAATTATACTGCTAATAGGAAGGAAGATGCCACACATTTTCTTCTGTTTTTGGCCTTTGCCTGCTTTTCTATAAGATAGCTTGATTTTTATATCAATTCATCATGTCTATTTTATGTTTTGTAGATATTTTTGCCAGTCCATCATTTGTCTTAACTTTGCTTATGGTATCATTTGCTCAATCAGAACTTAAAAAAAAAGCAAAATTTTAATCTAGTCAAGTTTATCCATCTTTATTTATAGTTAAGAATGTCTTCCTCACACATGGTGAAACAAACTTTCTCTGAAATTTCTTTGAATATTTTCACTATGTTTTTTCATTTATGTCTTTAATCAATCTCAGATGGTTTTTTGCATGAGCTGACATAAATAAATTTTCAAAAACATGAAAAGATGCCCCTTGCATCACATCTGACAGGAAAATATAGCAATATGACATACCACTACTTTCAAATCAGAGTGGCAAAAATTGTACAGTAATCTTTGATGGGTAGTGTGTATATAAAAAGGATTCCTGCATACTGTCACTTGGCCTGTGATTTGCTATAGCCTTTTTGAAATGTAATCTGATGACACATTTCATTTGATAATCTAATACTTAAAAATAAAAAAGCACTGATGTATAATATTTAAAAAAGAAGTTCAGTGCATCTCTGTTTATTAACAGTAAAAATCGGCCAGGCACAGTGGCTCATGCCTGTAATCCCAGCACTTTGGGAGACCAAGGTGGGTGGATCGCCCACAGTCAGGAGTTCAAGACCAGCCTGGCCAACATGGCAAAACCCTCATCTCTACTGAAAATACAAAAATTAGTCGGGCTTCGTTGTGCTTACCTGTAATCCCAGCTACTTGAGAGGCTAAGGCAGGAGAATCGCTTGAACTCAGGAGGCAGAGGTTGCAGTGAGCCGAGATTGCACCATTGCACTCCAGCCTGGGTGACAGCAAGACCCCATCACAAAAAAAAAAAAAAAAAACAGTAAAAATTATCCATATGTCTGTCATTAGAAAGACTCCTGCACAGCCAGTTTATTTGGAAGGTGACTCCAAGAGGGGATCATGGGACCAGGGAGAATGAGGCGGGGAAGATTGAAAAGCCCAATTAAAAATGGAAGTTGATCACTCCTGAAAGCAACAGCACTTGATTCTGCCTCCTGAATAACTTACAGAATTGCCCACTGGCGGTCAGGAGGTGGGAGCACAGCCATTAGAGAGAAACTCTAGAGAAAAAAAGCAAAACAACTCAAGACACATACTTGAGTCAAGATGCTGTCAGCACAAGCTGATTCTACATTCACGTGGAACTGTCCCCTTCAAGTGTGGCTGACATCAGAGGTGGCCCAACTGGACATGTCATGAGGCTCCTGGTAGGTGAACGTTTGAATAAATTATGGTATATCAGTCATATAGAAAATTATGCAGCCACTTAAAAATGAGTGAGATACACATATATTGACCTAGAAAGATGTAATAATATATTAGCAAAGTAAACTATGGCACACCCTTTTTGTCATGTTTTCCTTTTTAAAAACTTTTTTAATTTTTGTGGGGACATAGTAGGTGTATATATTTTATCATATTTTCCTTTTTAAAATTAAAAATATACGTGTGTACTTATATATCTTTATATGAATATAGAGGAATGTCTGAAAGGATATATACCAAATTGTTAACATTTGTTTACTCAGAGATGGAAAGTGAAAGAGAAAATTATTAAACATTTCTTTATACACCTCTGCATTGTGTAAATTGTTGCCCCCAAATATTAATACATTATTTTGGGACATTTTAATTATCTTTTTTAAAAAGGTAATTACTTGAGGGACATTAAAATTCAACCAATTTACTCTATATCTCATAAGTACATATGATTATCCCATGTCAGCTAAAAATAAAAATAAAAAATAAAATAAAAAAAAGTAAACCAACTTATCCCTATCTACAGCCTCATTCCCACTTGAGAGCTTTCTACGGAAAGAAGTTCATTTCATTGCTGGACAGTCATAATTGTTAACTGCTAGTAAAAACCGTTCTATTTCTGAGCCAAAACTGTCTTTCTTTTGTTTGTTCTATTTCTGCTCTCTAGATTGTCACTGTTTGATATGGCCTCCAGATACATGGACTCTTAAGTATTTGAAATGCAGCTAGTCCAAATTTAAATGGCTTTTATGTGTAAAATACACAGCACTATATAGATATAGACAGATTTTAAAGACTTAATATATTGTATATGTATTATATAGTATATATACATAATTTTACACATACAGGTTTTGAAGACTTAGTGATTAAAAATGGTATAAATAATCTCATCATAATTGTATATTGGTTATATGTTGAAATGATAATATTTTGAATACATTGAGTTAAATAAAATGTTAAGATTAATTTCCTTTATTTTCTTTTACTTTTAAAATGTGGCTGCTAGAACGTTTAAAATTACATATGTGGCTTTTATTTTATTTCTGTTGGACAGTGCTACTCTAGAAGAACATTATTTTTTCTTCATGGCAATTAATGTAGTCTTTACTTATCACAGTTACACCTGCAGTTTCTTCAATCATTTACTAGCTATTATCTTGTTTCCTATCCCAGAAAGTGTCTAACACATAATAAGCAGTCAATAAAGATGTGCCATTGTAAGTTGAATAGTGCTTTGGAAGCTAGGAGGAGGTGCTTTCCAGGAAAGAGCTATCATCAGAGATGAATGTTCAGAGAGGACTTAGTGATTAAGAGATCATTTGTGTTCTTGGAAGCAACGTGCTCTTCATATTAATATGCAGGACAGAAATTAGACTGCATGAGGTTTTGAAATGAATGGGTAGTGATTAAGTGGAGGCTGTAAACTTAAACTCTTTGTTGGAAGAGACACAGAAATGTTAGTTTAAGAGGTCCAGAGAAAGTTTTTTTAAATAAAGACTTAAGAAGAATTTTTATAAGGAGAGATACTATTTCTGAGCCTCACTCCATCATTATAACCATTCATCTCTGCTTTTTCTCTCTTAATGAGCTTTTAATAGCCAAACAATGTTCATGATGACATCAACAATTAGCAAGAGCTTGCCTGAAGATGGAAACTACCAAATAACTTTACACATTTTTCATGTGAGGTCACCTTTCATGGTCGTATGGGTGATGCATTGCCCAAGCCAGGGGGCATGATGCACTTACAGAGTCCTGATTCGAGCTGGTGTATGTCAGCAATGGGTAGAGCTCAAGGAAGAGGTAAGGCAAACAAACAAAAAATAACAAGTGTTGGAAGGATATAGGAAAATTGAAACCTTTGTGCACTTGGTGGGAAAGTAAAATGGTGCAACTGTATGGAAAACAATATGCGGGTCCTTCAAAAAATTAAAATAGAATCACCACATGATCCAGCAATTTCACTTTTTGGTATTTACTCAAAGGAAATAAAATCAGTATCTCAACAAGATATCTGCATGCCCTTGTTCATTACAGCATGATTCACAATAGCCAAGATATAGAAGCAACCCAAATATCCATTAACAGAAGAATGAACACCTAAGTGTCCATCTATGGGTGAATGTATTTAAAAATGTGGTGTATACAAACAATGGAATATTATTCAATCTAAAAAAAAGAAGGAAATTCTGTCATAAATGACAGCACGCATGAACCCTGAGGACATTAAGCTAAGCAAAACAAGCCAGTCACAGAAGGACAACTACTGCATGATTCCATATATGAGGTGTCTAAAGTAGTCAAGCTCACAGAAGCAGAAAGTAGAATGGCGGTTGCCAGGAGCTGTAGGGAGAGAGAAATGAGCTGTTGCTGTTCAGTAGGTACAAAGTTTCAGTTATGCAGTATGAAAAAGTTCTAGAGATCTGCTGTAAAACATTGTGCTAGTTAACAATAGTGTACTATTTGCACATGTAAAAATTTATGAGGGTAGTTATCGTGTTATATGTTTTTTACCATCATAAAAAAGAATATATTGGTTCCTTCATGAGTTAATCTATGGCTTTTTCCTGATGAAACTCATTGTTCAATGCCACCGGCATACAAGTGTTCAAACTGACCATGTTGCTCAGTTCCTTGTAGTGGGCTTGAATAAAAACTTAGACTAAAAGATAAGCTTTAAAATACACATAATAAATTTACAAACTAAAAGCTTAAAAAATCTGAAATTTCAGAGTTTTTTTCTGGTTTCTGGAGAGGGTCATGAATGAAATATGAAACCATTTAGTATTTCCTTCTAATGCTAAAGTTTTGTCATAGCAACGATAAAGTAATTATTCTGTAGCAGCTAGAATTCTGCTTATGAGAAGAGTTGCTTTTGTTGAAAAAAATGTTTTGATAAGCCCACATGGGAGCTAAGCCTCATGGACCTTGGCATTGGGTGGTGATAAAACTTTGTAGAAAGAGAGAAGTTGCTCCGTGTAACTGAGAAAAAAGTATTGGAAACTCAAGGGAGAATCCGGAAGAAGATATGGAAAAGAGAGAAGGGGAAAGAGTGCAAATAAAATGATGGATTGCCATGTGTGACGCAACCCTTCCTAGAGCCTGCAAAATCTTTAGTAAAACCTACAAAAAATTATGCAGTACTCATTACATTCCTGTGGAGTCTGGTGAGTTCAGCTGCATTTTAAAACCCTGACAGGTTTATAAAATTATTATTTCTGAAATAAACCAGACATGTTATTCCTATCTTCTGCATAAAATACCAAATTAATGGGAAAATGATTATCTCAATGATATGGGATCATGGCTTTTATTTTATCCACATTAACCGGAAAAAATGAAGAAAGGTAAATATTTGTATCTAAACTGTATAGATTGTCTACCATAACTCAATTACAGTACACTGTTCGTTTCCTCAGGTTTTTGTATATGTGTATGTTTTTAAGTTGACCCGAATGCTAACTAACTTTTAGACCTTTTTATGCTTAAATGTTTCTTGATATTCAAAATGTCAAATTCATTTTCTTTTTCTGGACTATCAAAAAAACTTTACTTAGCAGCCATCTCCAGTTGTCAAGCTCAGATACCTCCCAGGGCAGGGAGTTCAAAGTCCAAAACCTCCGAGATGGGGCAGGTGGTAGGCAAAATGTAAAATAGATTGATGTTGGGAGTTTCCAGCTCACTTTTCCTCAACTCCCTCTTTTAAGGTTTCTGCCCAAGACATTTCTCAATCATCTAATGTAGCTTGATTCTAAACCTTAGAGAAGAAACTTGCCTTATTAAACCAATTCAAGCTGACAGATTTGATGGAAATAACTGAATTCTAAAGGAGATTACCAGACATGGGCAAGGCTAATCATAAAGAATGAATCATAAATAATAGAATTTCTACTACCAGGAGCAGGTAATGTGGGAAATATATGTTGAGTAGACATCACACAGGTGACTGTCTGGTCTCCCTATGCCTTAGTCTAATCTTGATCCTTTGGATACCCCTCGTGTTTCAGAAATAATAATAAAGGAAATATTCAGTTTTGAAGGGTCAGAATTCTCTAGAATAGACAGAGATACTTCCTCATCATCCTTTTATTTTGATTAATGGAAGAATAAACCAACCAACAGAGTTCAGCTTTCTTGGGTTTCATCAGTGGAGAGCAAACTCCTGTGTGTATCATGGATAACAAATTAGTTTGGTTCTATGATCAGCCTGCCAAGTAGGCAAAGCACCACAGTATCACAGAATATCTGAGCTGTTCCTGGAGAACAGAGGCTGTGTCTTTATAAATTCAGAAAATGATTTACCCCAGCAACACTCAATAACGTTTGCTGAACAGGTTATCTTAAGCATCATTTAGTAAAACTTACCCTGCAGTGCAGGAATGAATTTCTGCTACAACAAATAAAGATCTCTACTCAACTAAAAGTGTCATGAAAACAACGTTTTGCTCACCCTTGTCTGGCAAAATATCAGGCAAATAATAAGACCTAAAAACAACAACAATCCTAATGAATGAGTTTTTTAAATATACCAATTGTACAGAACAATGGACCAATGGTAATGAGATTAAATTGAATAAATACATATACACTATGACATATTTGTTGTACAGATTCTTTCATCACTCAGGTATTTTTCCTCATCCTCTCCCTCCTCCCACCCTCCACCTTCCAATAGGCCCCAGCGAGTGGTTGTTCCCCTCTATGTGTCCATGTGTTCTCATCATTTAGCTCCCACTTCTGAGAATATGCAATATTTGATTTTCTTTTCCTGTGTTAATTTGCCTCCAACTCCATTCATGTCCCTGCAAAGGACATGATCTCATTATTTTTAAGGCTGCCTAGTATTCTATGGTGTATGTACCACATTTTCTTTATCCAGTCTATCACTGATGGGCATTTAAGTTGATTCCATGTCTTGCTATTGTGAATAGTGCTGCAATGAACATATGTGTGCATGTGTCTTTATAATATAATAATTTGTATTCCTTTGGGTATATATCCAGGAATTGGATTGCTGGGTCAAATGATATTCCTGTCTTTAGGTCCTGGAGGAATTGCCACACTGTCTTCCACAATGGTTGAACTAATTTACACTCCCACCAGGCATCCTTTATTCCTTCATCCTTTTCCTGTATGGCTAGATTCCAACTTGATTCACTTTCCTATTCATTGTCTTCTGAAAAAGTCCCTTTTAGATCAGTGGCTTAAAACAGAATCTTGTTATCACAATGCCATCTGACCAGTACGATGGTAAAAATCTTTGCTGGCAGCAAACTTTGCTGCCAAATATCATATTTAGTCCATCCTCTCATTTCCCTTTAACTTTTATTGAGCACAGATGCAGAATGTACTATACTAAGTGCCATGATGTTTAATATTTTGGATTAAACAGAAAACAAGTCATTCTTACATTAGTAGAAAAGTTGTGTGAAGTTTCCTAAGACATAGCCATAGAAACAAATTCAACTAATAAAATGAGTTTACAATTACTCACTTACAATTACTTACACTTCCCCTTCTTGAGAAATTAAACACCGTTTTGGTTTCTGATTCTTTGTAGGTATGACCAATGTTTTGTTCCTTCTTTTTATTTGTCATTCCTTCTGGAAAATTGTAAGATCTGCTTTTCATTTCCAGTGCTCGGAAATTTCACAATAGGATTTGATATACATTTTTTATTTTCTGTTGTTATAATAGGCACTTGGCAAAACATTTAATAAAATTTTCTTATATATTTTATAATTTTCTTTATTTTATTTGCCTGTTTCTATAAGATCTTGATCCACTTAGACCGTTTGCCTGCTTTCTTCTTTTGTCCTTCACTTTCCATCTTCTGATTTTGGTTTGTTTGTCTTGTTGTTTTTTTGTGGTTATTTTGATGTCTTGGAAATGTACTGTATAGGTGTGCTAGGAGTATCATAACAAAATACCACAGAATGGCTATTTTTAAAAAGAGAAATGTATATTCTGGGAGTCCTGGAGTCTAGAAGTCCAACAGCATGGTGCCAGGAGAGCTGGTTTCTCTAAGTTCTCCTTTCTCCACTTGCAGATAGCTGCCCTCTTGCTGCCTCTTCATGATCATCCTTCTGTGAGGGACATACTTGATGTCTCTCTATAAGTATTAATCGCCTCTTCCTAAATGGATATCAGTTACATTCCAGTAGGACTTACCTTAAGAGCCATATTTTACCTTAAGTACCTCTTTAAAGCCCTATCCCCAAATACAGTCACATTCCCAATACTGGAGATTAAGACTTCAATATGGCCAGGTGTGGTGGCTCACGCCTGTAATTCCAGCACTTTGGGAGGCCCAGGCAGGTGGATCACGAGGTCAGGAGATCGAGACCATCCTGGCTAACAGGGTGAAACCCCGCCTCTACCAAAAATAAAAAAAATTAGCTGGGCATGGTGGCGGGCGTCTGTAGTCCCAGCTACTCGGGAGGCTGAGGCAGGAGAATGGCGTGAACCCGGCAGGCAGAGCTTGCAGTGAGCCAAGATCGCACCATTGCACTCCAGCCTGGTGACAGAGCAAGACTCCGCCTCAAAAAAAAAAAAAAAAAAAGACTTCAATATATGAATTTGAGGGGGGACACAAGTCAGTCTGTAACATTTACTCAACAACTGTATCAATGTTTTGGTTTAATGTTTAATTTCTACTGTCATCATTTTTATATTTGATGGTCTTTTTTATTCTCTTTTCATTTTTATAGTATCCTGTTCATGTCCATGGATTCATTATCTTCTCTCTCTGAGAATCTTAGTTTGTTTTTTTTTCCTACATTGTCTTTGCTTCCTCTGAGTTCATTTCATATTAAAGTGTTTTCTCAAATATCTAGACAGCTTTGGCTGTTCATTCATATAGAGTGACTTATTTAAGACCCTGAAAAGCTGATTAGAAGTTCTGTGAAAATAGGTAAGACTAGACAGTGAACTTCATTGTAGGAAGCTCAGGCTGTAAACTGGCTTATTTTGTTGGATCAAGGGAGAGGATCACATTATGACGAGTGATGAGAAGTGGGCTGTAACCGTGGAGCGCAAGGGTGAAAAATCATGGGAGATTTGCTTATAATGGTCCCCCGTATGATGGGCGCCCTCAAGTCTCAACAAATTCCACATGAAGAAAGGTTCAACAGCAATGGTGTGGGATGGCTTTCTCACATGGTTCAAAAAGATGACGAGCTTCAAAAGATGAGGAGCTAGCTTAAACTAGTATAAAACTCACAGCCCAGAATGAAAGTAGGAGGGGGAAGACTTGACTAGGCAGGAACACCACACGGCAGGCAGCATCATACTACAAGCTTTTTGTGCCACCCCATTCAAGCCATCATGTATGTATCACTGCCACTTAGGCACTACTCTCTGCTACTCTCATGCAGTGGCAACAAGGGGAGATGGAGGAAAGAGCTTGTTCTGCATTACAATTAGTATTTTTATCATCAGAAGAAAAAAGAATAATTCAGCTTTTGAGAGACTGTCCCAAATGAAGGCTAGTCCAAATAACTTGCACTCAGTTTTAATAATATTTTATATGTGTCTAAAAAAACTTTTCCACTTGACTGTTCCATGAATGTGTTTTGTAAACTTTGAAACACTCTCTAAACCCTTATCAGCGCTGTTGCAGGAACTAATTCCTCCCTCCCTTAAGGGCACTCGGTGGTAAAGACCTTGCCCAGATCAACAAGCCCCAGGGCAAAAGACAGCTCTGTTTCCTTGAAACCTCTTTATTTTTTCCTGCCACACAGTGAAAAAAATGGCCTGAAGTATCATCTGAAAAAGCAGAACTACTAAAATCCACCAAGGAAAAAAAATCAGTAAAGCAATGGCTATCTTCAAGACTTTTCTCATGAAGCCTGTCTGCTTTGGGGAGAAGAGGAGGAACACTCTGCTCATCCTAGCCAAATTCTTTCTTCAGGCATTCCCCAACACCTCACTCCTCAGGTTTCTCAACCTGGAATTCCTTCTACCAGGAAAAATAATCTTCGGTTTTGTGATTCGAAATGTAGTTGAAAATGTCAATACCCGGAAATTACATTTACTTTCAATCACATAAAAATGTGTCTGAAGATCCCTTCTTGAGTGAGAGGAAGAGAAAAGTTTGTCTTCTTTGCATTTTATTTTATTTTGAACAAAATATAAAAGAGGCAGGGAAATGAGTGGAGAGGAGGAAGCTGGGAGCACTGAGAGGAGTGTGCTGCTTTTCAAACTTCAGCCACTTCACCATTCTGCATGGGGCCCAGCCCAGCAAAAGGGCCTTTGTGCTCAGGCAGGTACAAAGCAGTTTGACAAACAACCGCTCAGAGTTCCTCAGAATCAGGAAACGAAAAAAGCAAAAGATAACAAATATTTTTACAGACCATACTTCTGCTTCATTCTTTTTAACACATTGTAATTAAGTAACGTTTATTGAGAGGCAGTAAAGAGTTGGTGTGTAAAATAAACCTTTTGAAGACAAACAGTTCACCTGCCTTCCATTATTTTTAAAAATACAGATTGTGAGATTTCAAATAACATTTTGAATTAAGACATGTGGTTTTTTTCTGCTAACAAGAGCTTTGCAAAGAGCTTACTTCCTTCAAAAGCAGGTTTAAGAGAATAAGGCCCCACTGAAATAAAGCCCTTATCAACGATAGAGCCTCTGAGAGCTTGCCTTAATTCCTGAAATGCCCATTGGAAATCATTCCTCAGAATTAAGGGATTGAAAGTATTATTAGCAGGCGTGTACATTATGAGAGAGACCTGTGGTCCTATTCTATCTCTGGCACTTACAAGCTGCATGACGTTTATCCAACTTAATGACAGTCTTGGTGTTTCAGTCTCTCCTCATTTGTAAAGAGGGATAGTAATACTTCCAAAACTGTTGTGAGAATAAAATGAGATAATGTATGAAAAGCACCATGCCAGGCACTCAATAAACCATATCTATCATTATTATTTATTAGACCACTGACTATGTTCAGTCCTCTAGGAACATGACAATCTGATATGGGATCTGGGAAAGGAAAGGCTTAGCAGCAGGGATTTTGAAGGCCAGTCCTGATGAAGTCCTCTGTGAAGAGCTCTAAGCAACCAGAGATCAGCTTGAGAACACTAATGAAGAGAAAGGGGTGCTGGAGACCCACTCATAGCATTGCCCAAAGCTGTCCCTGTGTCGTTCATTTGCTTAAATGCTCAGCATAATATTTCAAAAATAACATTTCAGAAATATGCCAAATACTCCTCTTAAATATTTTTGATAGGCTGGGGCCTAAATATAGACTGTGAAGAGAGGCGGGGAAATCCAATCAACTTTTTGGATCCTAACACTACTTAAACTGTTCCTGACCATGGGCATGTGAAGAATGCTCCTTCAAAGCAAATTTGAATGCTAAGAAGAGTATCTATTTTCAGACTCAGAGAAATCTCAGTGGTCTTCCTTCCATCTCTCACTGAGACTAGACAATACTGTCAAAACTGACAGACAGATTGCCCTTGGAGTCCAAATCACCAGCACGTTCACGAGGACCAGCAAGTCTGTATCACCAACCTACATGAAGGAAAGAAGACAAGTTATAGCCTCTCACGCACAAGCCTGGTGCTTAGAGGAAAGCAAAGGAAAGAGACACTGAAGAATTTGAACAGCAAGTCATTTTAAAGCAGGATGGCTGGCAAGGGGTACAGGACTCTGAAAACTTCCATTAAGGATTTGGGATTTCAATTTTTACTATTCAGACAAATCAACTTTAGAGGCACAAATTCCCAGAAAACTCAGAATCATCCATGACAACCTTCAAGTCCTGTTTCTCCAGTCGTCACTGATTACCTTTGTTTGTTCTTTCATCAATCCTCTAGAATCTGCCCATTTCTTTCCATGACCACTGCCCATATTCAGGTCCCCACATCCCCGACCCTTCCTTAAAATCCCCCCTACTCTCTCACATCCAGAATTATCACAATCATTTCATAATGAATGCAAATTAAACCATAATGAGATACCCCAGCCAGAATGGCCATTATTAAAAAGTCAAAAAGCAATAGACGTCGGTGTGGATGTGATGAAAAGGGAAAACTTATACACTGTTGGTGGGAATGTAAATTAGTACAACCTCTATGGAAAATAGTATGGAGATTTCTTAAAGAACTAAAAGTAGGTCTACCATTCGATCCAGCAATCTCACTACTGGGTATCTGTCCAAAGGAAAAGCCATTATATAAAAAAGACACCTGCACACATATGTTTATCACAGCATAATGCACAATTGCAAAGATGTAGAATCAACCTAAGTCCCCAACCAAGTGGATAAAGAAAACGTGGTATACATATGGAATACTACTCAGCCATAAAAAATAAATAATGTCTTTTGCAGCAACTTGGATGAAACAGGAGATCATTATCCTAAGGGAAGTAACTCAGGAACAGAAAACCAAATACCACATGTTCTCATTTGTAAGTGGGAGCTAAGCTATGGGTATGCAAAGGCATACAGAGTAGTATGATGAACCTTGAAGACTTAGAAGTGGGGAGAGTGGGAGGTGGGGTGAGGGATGAAAAACCACCTACTGGGTACACTGGGTACAATGGACACTATTCAGGTGACAGGTGCACTAAAATCCCAGACTTCGCCACTATACAATTCATCCATTTAAGCAAAAACCATTTGTGCCCCTAAAATTTAAAAAAAAAAGTAATAATTATTTCATGTTTTTTTCCCAGTCTTCCTCCTACTCTTTAGAGGAAAAGTCTTCTTTAAAAAAACAAAAAGAGTCTCTAAAAATCCTCCTACATGAGAAACTGTGGCAGGATTCTCAACTAGAACACAGGAGTATTTACCTTAGAACATCTGGAAGACTGCTGAGGTGGCCCTAAGGGGACTGGGAGGAGGGAGGGTGACTGGCATGAGGAATTGAAAATAACTCTTGTAAAATCACTTATCCTCAGAGAAGACAGGCATTCACATAAAAGCTTGGCCTTCTAATAAAGCTTCAGTGTTAGGAGGGAGAGCAGGTTTTTGGTGTGATATCCGTTAGTCAAATTTTCCTCTGGCCCAGGCCCTAAGAACTCATAATTAGGTCCCCAAGAAGAAAGTGGCTGAAAATACAAACTAAAACAATTAATGTTAATATAAAGACAGAAAATAGATCTTGACACATCAGGGAAGGAAACAAAGTGGTTTTGGCACACTGTGGATTGGCCCAGAGAATGGCACTGGCTCTATAAAACATCTAGCCTAAGTGGCAGGAGGTGGAAGCTATCAGTGGTAGGAGGGAATTTCCCAACTTCCCAAAGTCATCAAAAGGTTCTTGACATCTTTGCATTGGCCTTACCAGGATTAGCAATCCCAGTCCCAGCAAAGGGTCATGAACAGTCAAGGCAAAGACAAAGAAGGCAAGCTCTGTGTGTGAGCGAAGAATGCTGTGCTTATCAGCGTGTGTGAGACAATCCTGGGCACTCTACAAATTTGGGAGAATTGCTTTGAACGGAACTTATAAGGCCCCATGCAAGAGGCTGCGGACATTTATGCTGCTGTTGTGGTCCCCTTTTTACCTTCAGGTTGGGATGGCCTGGGAAAATGTGGTATTAATCATAGAACAGTTTACAAGGGAAAAGAAATTAATATTTGTTAATGCCTGCAATATGTTAAGTACTATAATAGATACCTTCACATATATCTCCTTTAATCTATAAAATAACTATAAACCAGGGGCTTTTCCCATCGTTTTAATTAAAGATAAAGAAACTGAGATTCAGGCTGGTTAAACCTACTCAGAATCACATAACCAGCCAGGATTGCACCTAGTTCACCTGAATGTAGGGTCTTTGTTTTTATTATTATATTCACACTTGTGTGGGAAAAGCATCTTCCTCAATGACTGCTACCAAATGGACAACATCAGAACATGACTGATTCACCACCATTCTACATTAAGTATTATGTCCTGAATATGCTCTGTTGGCATCACAACAGATGACAAAATATAAACAAACCAAACTTGGGGACCCATTATGTTATTTCTACAAAACATTTTATCTGCAGGAAAGAAATCAGAGCAAAAGACAACAGCTGGCAGGTCCCAGTCTCAGTGACAGCTGTGAATTGTCTTATCTACACCATCAGTGAAATTGTAGAAGAGTTGCATTATAGCAAATGAGAATGAAATGAACTTGGCCTTGTGCTTATGCAAGCTTCTTGTTAGTGTTCTGCATCTGGGATTCTTGTGTCCACTGGAAACACAATCTGTTCCACTGCATTAAGCATTCTTTGAACTTAGGGAAATAAATCCTGTTTAAGACAAGTACATATTTGAGTAATCCCAGGATCTACCCACTAAGATCTATGCTGCAGTGATGTGGGAACACTCCTAAAGTCAACAAAATTGTGTTTATCTGTGAAAGTGTGCATAGAAAGAAAGCCAGTGGGCATTTTAGTGGAAGAAATAAAGAGAAAATGAAGAGGGTGAAGAAAGAGATTTTGGACCCTTAGACATTTCAGAGACATCTCAAACTCGTCTTAGTCTAAGCTAAACTCCTCATCTTGTCCGCCAGATCTTGCTCCTCTTCCTGGGTGTATTGTCTCAGAAAATGGCTCCAACATTCACACAGTTGTCCAATCCTGAAACCAAGCATTGAAAGTGGCTTCTCTCTCCCTTTGCACTCACATCTAGTCATTCACTGAGTACTCTTGTTCCTACCTTCTAGTTATTTCTCAATCCCTCCCTTTGACTTCAGTCCCACTTACACTACATGAATTAAAGTCACTGTTATATCTTTCTTGATTCACAGAAAAATTTTCCAGCTGGTGTCTATCCAACCTGTGTTTGTCCCCATTAAACCATTCTCCAAAATACATCAAGGGGAGTATCCTTATTTGTATTTCAATTGTGATAAAATACACATAACATAAAAGTAACATCTTAACCATTTTTAAGTGTGTGTTTCAGTCTACAACCATGCCACTTGTGACTGGCTTATTTCACTTAGCATAATGTCCTCAAGATTCATCCATGTTGTAGCATGTATCAGAATTTCCATCATTTTTAAAGGCTGAATAATAGTCCATTGCATGTATATGTGAGACTTTCTTTATCCATTGATCCATTTATAGATATTTAGGTTGCTCTCATTTTGGTTTTGATTTGCACTTCCCTCATGATTGGTGATGTTGAGTATCTTTTCATATGCTTCATCAGCCATTTGTCTATCTTCTTTGGAGAAATGTCTGTGCAAGTCCTGTGCTCATGGTTTAAACTGGGTGTTTGTGGGTTTTTCTCATGTTAAGGGTAGTGTATCACATTTGTCTTCCACCATGATTTTTTATTTCTAAATATAGTTTTATCAGATTTTTTATAAGTTAAGGCCATATTTAAAATGCATAAAAGCACATTGTTCCTTTTATCAGTATGAAATGTCAACCTGTTTCTTTTAACGCATTTTGCCCTGAATTTTGTTACTCGTAATTCTAATCTTGCTATGCTAGATACTTGCTGTTGCTGTCAGTAATTGCCTGGCATATATCTTTCTTCTTCCCTGGGTTTTCAAACTCTCGGGGATATTTTAAAGTGACTCTCTTTTCACCATAATATAGCTAGATTTTTTTAAAGATCTTTTTTAAAAGATTTCATGGTTTTTTGTTTTTTTTTTTTTTTTGAGACGGAGTCTCGCTCTGTCACCCAGGCTGGAGTGCAGTGGCACGATCTCGTCTCACTGCAAGCTCCGCTTCCGGGGTTCACGCCATTCTCCTGCCTCAGCCTCCTGAGTGGCTGGGACTACAGGCACCTGCCACCATGCCCAGCTCATTTTTTGTATCTTTAGTAGAGACGGGGTTTCACCCTGTTAGCCAGGATGGTCTCGATCTCCTGACCTCGTGATCCGCCGGCCTCAGTCTCCCAAAGCGCTGGGATTACAGGTGTGAGCCACCATGCCCAGCCTAAAAGATCTCATAGTATCTTTTTTAAAAGATCTCATAAAACAAATATCTTATTCGAAAAACTTGATGGCAAGCATACAGATATGACCAAGAAAGAAGGTCCCTACTCTCACAGGGGCAATCAACCTGTCCACATTTACTGTGATTACTGTCACATGTATGCTTGTTTCTAATAAATTATTTTGTATTTTCTCCTTACTATGCTTTCTCTTTCTCTTCTTTCTCTTTTGATAAATTCTGTTATATTAATCTAGGTTACTTTATTATATATATTTTTGTTGAATATCTTGAAAAGGATGGTTATATATTTAATGAAATTTTGGTCCCAGCTTGTTACTAAATCCATCTTTCTCCTATTGTTTTTTTAAATCAATAAATATTTTAATTCATGAATGTGTTTTAACAACTTCTTTGCTTATCATTATTTCTTGCTGGAGTATATACTTTAGAAGTTCTTTCATCAAGGGTGTATGCATGACAAATTCCAGTTGTTCTTATAATCTGAAAAGATTTTTTTTATTTTCTTTTTTTTAATTCATTTATTTATTATTATTATACTCTAAGTTTTAGGGTACATGTGCACAAGGTGCAGGTTAGTTACATATGTATACATGTGCCAGGCTGGTGCACTGCACCTGCTAACTCGTCATCTAGCATTAGGTATATCTCCCAATGCTATCCCTCCCCCCTTCCCCCACCCCACAACAGTCCCCAGAGTGTGATGTTCCCCTTCCTGTGTCCATGTGTTCTCATTGTTCAATTCCCACCTATGAGTGAGAATATGCGGTGTCTGGTTTTTTGTTCTTGCGATAGTTTACTGAGAATGATGATTTCCAATTTCATCCATGTCCCACAAAAGGACATGAACTCATCATTTTTTATGGCTGCATAGTATTCCATGGTGTATATGTGCCACATTTGCTTAATCCAGTCTATCATTGTTGGACATTTGGCTTGGTTCCAAGTCTTTGCTATTGTGAATAGTGCTGCAATAAACATACGTGTGCATGTGTCTTTATAGCAGCAAGATTTATAGTCCTTTGGGTATATACCCAGTAATGGGATGGCTGGGTCAAATGGTATTTCTAGTTCTAGATCCCTGAGGAATCGCCACACTGACTTCCACAATGGTTGAACTAGTTTACAGTCCCACCAACAGTGTAAAAGTGTTCCTATTTCTCCACATCCTCTCCAGCACCTGTTGTTTCCTGACTTTTTAATGATTGCCATTCTAACTGGTGTGAGATGGTATCTCATTGTGGTTTTGATTTGCATTTCTCTGATGGCCAGTGATGGTTAGCATTTTTTTCATGTGTTTTTTGGCTGCATAAATGTCTTCTTCTGAGAAGTATCTGTTCATGTCCTTCGCCCACTTTTTGATGGGGTTGTTTGTTTTTTTCTTGTAAATTTGTTTGAGTTCATTGTAGATTCTGGATATTAGCCCTTTGCTGGGATTACAGGCATGCACCACCACACCCGGCTAACTTTTGTATTTTTAGTAGAGATGAGGTTTCACCATGTTGCCCAGGCTGGTCTCCAACTGACCTCTTGATCTGCCCACCTCAGCCTCCAGAAGTGCTGGAATTACAGGCATGAGCCACCATGCCCAGCCAAAGATCTTTAACCCTAATTTCTGATGCATAATTTAGAATAATAAATATTTCTGTATTAAAGGATATTATTCTCTGAGTTTTTTAGATATTGTCCTGTTGTTTATGGCATCTAATATTGTTAATAGAAAACATGACATTATTTTAATGTTTATTCTTTTACTTTGTATTGGGGTCCCCAACCCCCAGGCCACAGACCTGTAGGAACCAGGGCACACAGCAGGAGGCGAGTAGCAGGTGAGCCAGCAAAGCCTCATCTTTATTTATAGCTGCTCCCCAGTGCTTACCTTACCACCTGAGCTCTGCCTCCTGTCCAATCAGTGGAGTCAATAGATTCTCATAGGAGCACAAATCCTATTGTGAACTGTGTATGTGAGTGATCCAAGTTGCACACTCCTTATGAGAATCTAATGCCTGAAGATCTGTCACTGTCTCCCATCACCCCCAGATGGGACCATCTAGTTGCAGGAAAACAAGCTCAGGGCTCCCACTGATTCTAATTATAGTGAGTTGTATAATTATTTCATTATATATTACAATGTAATAATAGAAATAAAGTATAATAAATGTTAATGCACTTGAATCATCCCGAAACCAACCCCTCCCCCATCCATGGAAAAATTGTCTTCCATGAAACCTGTCCCTGATGACAAAAATGTTGGGGACTGCTGATCAATATCATATCTCTGACAGAATTTAGGGGTGCTCTTATTGTATCTAATGTTCCAAAGTTTGAGCATAATATCTATATACATATTTTTTGCCTCTTTATTACTTCATGGGATTTTTTTCAACTCAAAGATTCATATCTATACTTCCTTCTGGAAAATTCTCATTCATATATTGGCCATTCAAAATTCTCTCCTACGTATTTCATCAAATGTATACTGAATCTTCTGAATCCATTCTCATGATCTCTTAACCTTTCTTTGCTATTTGTCTTCTCTATTTCTTCGTGCTGCATTCTGAGAGACTTCTTTAGGTTGATCTTCAAGTTTGGTAATTTGTTCTCCAGCTTATTTTACAGTTGCCATTTCCTACTTTGTCTCTTGGATAATCATATATTTATTTTAAAGTTCTTTCTTTATTCCTGCATTAGCTATAACTGCTCAAGTATCAGTTATCCCATTCATGCTGTTTGTTGTCTATCTTTAATGATGTTGCTCTTCCTCAAATACTTTCTAATTATCTTACACTCATCTTTCACAGGTTTCTCCTACATGCATTCTGGGTTGTGACAGTCTCCTGATATATGTTCCTTCAGTTGCCTCATCCCCAGCTCTGTATCAGGGAGAGCTCCAGACCAGGCTTAGACCAGGTAAACAAAGGATTGCCTTATTTCCAGACAGTTTGTACTTTCCCTCCTTAGACACTCTTAGCATGAGGCATTTAAAAAAAATCGGTAGAGACCAGTCTCTCTAATCCAAGATGACTAGTGTCCTTATGGAAGAAATGGCATCTGAAGAGGCAGAGACACACACAGAGGAAAAGCAGTGTGAGGACACAGAAAGAACATCATCTACCAGCCAAGGAGTGTCTGAGACCACCAGAGGCTAGGAAAGAGGCATGGAATAGATGATCCCTCACAGTCCTCAGAAAGAACTAACCCTGCTGACACCTTGGTCTTGGACTTCTAGCCTTCAGAACTGCAAGGCAATAAATTTCTGTTGTTTAAGCCACCCACAAAATTTCTGTTGTGGTACTTTGTTTCTGTGTGGCAGAGGAACTCTGGACCCTGCTGAGAACAGGTAGCCCCTTTCAGCCCCCAGCCATGGGCAGATAGAATGGTGTCAGCCCTGCTTCCAAATATTGAAAGGCTCCAGTTCCACAATCCCAGTCCCCTAAAAGCCCAATGGATTTAGGCCCTTATTACTATCATGGATTCCTGTCTACTTCCTCTCCCCTCACTTTTTGGCAAGCTTCTGGATTTCTGATTTGTATTTCCCTTTTCTTATTTTCAAGCATAAGATGTATTTAGTAATACAATTTTAATATACTGATATCAACTCCATATGATAGAGTGGAAGGGGAGATTTCTGCCTGTGTTCAACTTGCCATCTTCAGGTAAATGGAATGACCAGTCCAAGCACAAATCTCGCTGCTCTTTTCAGCATGAGTCCCTTCACTGCTCCAGTATGCTTTTGAATAAGTCAAAAGATGTATTTATGGCTTCAAAGATCATACAGCCTGGATTCTGCCCACCTTTTCTGACTCATCTCTCACTGTTTCCTAACTCACAGTCTAAGACACAGTCATGAATTTCATTTCCAGACTTCATGTGCTGTTCACCCTGTGTGGAACACTTTTCTCCACTCATTTTAGGTCTCCACAAATCTAGGAGTCAATTCCTCCAGGAAGCTCTATATGACAAACAAAAATCAGATTAGGTGTCCCTCCTAAGAGTAGTCTTAGCTTCCCTTGTAGTTACTCCACCACAGCCCTTACCACTCTGTCCTTGATATCCAGATTGCATGACTGTTACTCACTCTGGACTGGGCACTCCATGAGGGCTGGGGCCATTCATGCCTCCGTGGCCAGCACAGTGACTGGCTCATGGTAGGAATTCAGTGTGTTTTAAAGAATAAAACATGCATGCCGCCAAGAAAGGAAGTTGGAGAGAGTTAGAGAAGACATTAGGAAGAATTGAAGGGAAAAAGATCTGGAGACTCAAGAGGGTCTCAGACTATAGTCTTTATTAATGAAAAGTCATCTTTTTTTATTGAAAAACTTTGACATCCATCTGCCATTGTTTTACCCCAACTGCTCTCTCTCTCTCTTGCTCACTCTGTTTTCAAAGAATGCATTTCTTTTTCACTGGATTTCCCAACTGTATCATTTTGCTAGGGCTGCCGTAACAAAGTACCACAACAGAAATGTTGTGGGTGGCTTAAACAACAGAAATTTATTGCCTTGCAGTTCTGAAGGCTAGAAGTCCAAGACCAAGGTGTCAGCAGGCTTGGTTCTTTCTGAGGGCTGTGAGGGATCATCTGTTCCATGCCTCTTTCCTAGCCTCCGGTGGTCTCAGACACTCCTTGGCTGGTAGATGATGTTCTCTCTGTGTCCTCACATTGCCTTTTCTCTGTATGTGTCTCTGCCTCTTCAGATGCCATTTCTTCCATAAGGACATTAGTCGTATTGGATTAGAGAGATGGGTCTCTACAGATTTTTTTTAAATGCCTCATGCTAACAGTGTCTAAGGAGGGAAAGTACAAACTGTTTTATTGCTGAAATTACCTTCAACAGGAATAATTTTGATGGCATATGAGTCACTTCAACATAATTGCTTTCTGCAAAGTTGCTGTCTGCAAGGGGAACAATGGAAATATAAAAACCCTGGTGATATATTCTATTACCACCTCAATGACAAATCTTGATAAACTGGGTTTGGCTTGTCTGAAAGCTAAAGAAAAAACTACTTTTAAGTACAGTTTCCTTCACAAATAACAGCCATTTAAGTATTTATGTCAGTATCTATTTATTCTCTAGGAACAGGTTTTGTCAAATAAACAGAAAAAAAATTACTTTCAACTGTTACATTTTAGAATTCAATTACAGTGCCCTTGATTTTGAAGTCAGTAGTGTACTGGGTTGCTGATCTTGGCACTGTGCATTCCAGCTATTGTTATTCTACAGCTTTGCCAACCAAAATGAACACTTCATTCAACTATTAGTATTTTTCAGCAATAATGGAGATATAAATTTACCCAAGGCAGGTGAGTTTTTGCTTAACTGCTAACGGAGTAGAGTATTATGTTGATAGTCAAAAAAAAATTATCATTCAAGATCCAAAGATAATAAACCTGGGAGAGACTGGTTGGGTTCAAGAATAATCTAAAATTTTAGATCATGATCCAGGTGAATCCAAAGCATCACATCACCTCCCTTCTTCCCCCTCTTGGCCTGCCCCAGACTTAATTTAATCTCCCCAGCATGTGACTCCTGAGTATATACCTTAAGCCCAGATCGGACTTTCCTTCTCAGCCTTCACCATAAGGACCAGCTCCTAGCAAGATCTCTAACCTCCCCTTTCAAAGTCACATCCCAGGAAATAACAGAAAGATTTATTCACATTAAGATGTAATAAAGTACTGATAAGTTAAATATATTATAAAAGAGACTCAAGCCTAGGTCAAAGAAGTGAAGAAATTCTTTTTGGAATTTTAAGTCAAGGAGGGGGTTGTTTGGAGAGTTGGAGTTCCCAAGAACCCTAAAAGTCATCCACTTTTTCTACATATTAGGTTAAAACTTACCTATTTTCAAGAGGATTTACCCCCCTGCTTCAGATATATGGCCTGTACAACGATTACTTGGAGCACTAGGCTCATCTCTGCTGACACAGAAAGAAGCTCAACTTACTTGGTAGATTTTCATCAATACTGTAACTGTGGCCCATGAGACATAAAATAAAATATAAAACAGGGGAGAGGGATTCAATTAGTGCTACTCCCACAGAAAGGAAAATGTTACAAAGAGGAAAGAGGAGAGCAGAATTCAAATAACTCTAGTCACACGGCAAAAAAAATAAAAAAATTAACTGCAACCTGGACAGGGGGTACCCAATTTGATTTACCCAAGTAAAGTGATTTCAAAAAGGTTGAAGAGACAACCAGATATTACTTTTGATGGGGTACTCCACTAAGGAATTTGTCTTGCTTGCTGTAATCTCACTCAAACACATACACACACGCACACACACACTCACACACATCACATTTGAGTTTGCCTCTGGATTAAACAATCAATTTATAGAAAAATATATTAAATGACATCATGTCACCATGGAGATCAATTCAGCACAGTCTACACTGGGAAACTCTATAGAACAAGTGACCCACTTTCTTCAACAAATAAATGTCAAGGAAAAAAATAAGAAATTAAGAAGCAAACTGACAGGTTAAGAGACTTAAGAAGAATATCAACCAATCACAAAAATCTTCTTTAAATACAGACTTAGACAAACTAAGAAATAATAATGATTCATGTAAGACAATTTGAAACCTGAACCCTGTCTAAATAGTCCATGATATTAAAAAAATTGTTATTAATCTTAGATGAGATAACGGCATTGTGAGTCTTTTTAGTTTTAAGGCCTTACCTCCTTCTAAAGACATGTGAATGACCTAAGTGGGCTGTAAAATGACATAGTGTCTGGGATTTGCTTCTTAATATTAAACAGGGTAGAAGGAAATGGGTGGAAGTACAGTTTTTAAAAATATTGGTTATGAAGTAATAATTATAAAATCTAGTTAATGAGTCTATTCTGCTCATTATGCCTTTCTGTCTCCTTTTGTATTTGTTTAAAATTTTCCAATAAAAGGAGTTTAAAATATTGAAAGAATTTACAATGAAAGTTTGGAGATGAAAAAGAAACTTGAGATAGACACAGGCCACACATAATGTAATTGGTTACAAAACCAAATGCCAGTTAAAAAGTTTAAGGTATTGATACAGCAGATACTGCCTGATTCAACTCAGCCTGTTCACCTGTGATTACTAAAGAATCATTCTGTGACCCAGTCTTGAATTTGCATTGCAGTCTATTCTAGGATTCCTTTTTATTTCAATTTGAAATGTATGATTGATATCTGATTTGATGTTTTAATTTTAAAAGTATAAAATCATTTGATTTGTTTCTGAATGCATTTGAAAGTTGAGAACCTGATTTCCTTGAGTTATGAATCTTTTTATCAGATATACAACAGTTGCTTAAGAACTCAGAAAGATGATACCATGAGAGACATTTGAAGTGTTTGAGAAAATCAAGGTACTTATGTTCTATACGTATCTTTTTTAATGTTTAAAGGAATTCAACTTACTGACATTTTAATGGGGTCAAGTGTATAATTAATCTGTAATCAAAGAACATGTAGAAATAATTATTTTATTTATAGAAAATTTATTTAATTTATAAATAGAATACAAATTTGAAGGCTAAACTTAATAGCTTAAGAAAAATGTTTTGTAAATGTCAACTTTAATAAAATAAATACTAACTTAAGACCCAGGTAACCACAGATAAATAGTCCTTTCCAAACACAAAAGCCTCTCCCAGAAACTAAAAAACTTAAATGACACTGTTATTGTGACTTCACACAGATGAAATCAGAACAAAACATCTTAAAAATACTACTTGCTAACAAAAAAAAAGAGTACAGGGGGACACTTAGACGTCATTTCTTCATGAGGTTGTGTCTCTATGAGATCACAATAACCAAAGAAGAGAATAAAAAATACATTTATTTTTATTATATGAATAATAAGAAATAAATGGTTGGACTAATTTATTCTTAGTTTTCAGGATCAGGTTGACAAGTGAAACCAATAGACCAGTGTTTTCAGAATACAGGTAAAGATCCATTAGTAGACTGTGAAATTGATTTCATGGGTCACGATGTCACATAATAAGAATGAATTCTCTTTCGTGAAACTTTCATTTGGTTGAATTTACTAGGTAGTTATATATATATATTTCTTATTGAGGATGATGTTCAAAACAGCTTGAAAGCCACTGACATCAATTTCTAGGCCTCTTTTAAACCCCCTTCATAGCATTTTTTCTAAAATATAAATGTGTTATCTTTTCTAATTATAAATTTTTTTCACAAACAGAAGTTGTGAGAGATTACAATTATAAATGTGAAACACGTTTTTTATTGTTCCATTACAGAAATGTATAATAAAGATTTTTTTAATCACCTATAGTCCCATCATTCATTGTGTTGTGTAAAAAGGGTAGATACTTTTATCTATCAAAATTTCTCTAAAGTATTATACATGAGGAAGTAAAATATTTGATAAATCTTAAGGTAAAAGATAAAACACTGAGAGATCCTGAACCGAGCAGACTTATTCTGTGTGGGGCAGTGAAAATAAATTTTCTGTTGCCCAGAGTAATGAGTGAAGTTTTTAAGAATAGGATGGGTGTGAAGCCAGTAACGGTGGTAGAGGGGGTGTGTTTGAAAATGGGACCTTTTCCCCATGAGTCTCTCGGGTCACTTTAATAAAATTACTAAATTCATGAAATGTTTGGGTACAAGAATTGATGCGCATTTTGAATTTCTTGGCATTGAACATGAGTGAGGTAGCACATCAAAAGGTAGAAATATGAAGGCAGGGAGGAGCAAAAGGAAATTAATCCCAAGAGTTAGCAAATGTTTTGAGAAAGCATCTGACTCTTTCAAGGCCAAGATATTTGATTTCAGATTAGGTTTAATCACACTATTGCGGAGCAGGAGATCTGCAGTGTCACAGCCTTCCAAAGCGGGTGTGTAGGTATGTATATAAAACATGTATGTTAGGCAGCACCTGGATGCAGTTCCAACTACTGAGAAGGCTGAGACAGGGGGATTGCTTGAGCCCAAGAGTTTGAATCCAGCCTGGGCATCATAGAAAGATCCCTGTCTCAAAACAAAAGTATGCATATACATCCACTTTTTACGAAAGAGGAATAATTCTACATATGTTGCTTTGTTGTCTCCTTTGCCATTTTTTGTGTCAGAAAGCACAGGTCTCTGTATGAATAAATAGTGCATGGTATGCTCAAACAATGAAGTATTTACAGGTATCCATATCAATAAGGATGAATCTTTAAAACATGGATGGGTGTCTCCATGCCCAGGGCAGTTGGATGCAGAGGAGGAACATCCAGGCTGGAGGCAACTCAGAACCACTGGTGGTGTGTTTGGTGAGGGTAGGAGGGTGGGGCAGGCAAGCAGTGTGGCCAGAAATAAGGACAAGGCAGGGTAGAGGACATGGTGCAAAAAGGGAGGCATCTCTGAGGAGGTGCCATTTCAGCTGAAACCTGAGTGGAAGAGTGCCATGCAGAGAGAACAGCAGGGACCAAGGCACATAGGCACACTGGAAGGGACAGGTGGCAAGTGAGGTGAGCAAGGCTGCTTGTAGGCCGGGGCTAGGAAGGTGGGGGACATGGAGGATGGGCGGTCTATGGTGCCCAGGCTTCATCCCAGCGGCCGTGAAAGGTCCAGGCAGGGAGGCACTGTCAGAGCCTTCTGGCAAAGGCAGGGAGACGGTGGTGTGGGCGTAGAGGCCCCAGTCCAGGCAGGAGGCTGCTGCAGTAAAATCCAGCACTGAGAGGGAGAAGGCCTGCCGGGTTTGCTCACCTCTGTGTTTCAGGTGTCCCCACTGTGCAGTCGTGGCCCCATGGTTATATGTGGAAGAAACAAAGGTATTCTCAGCCTGAGATGGTATCTGAATGAGATGATGGAGGCAAGGAAGAGGGAAGGGAATAGTTCCAAGCCAATATTGAAGGAAGAACAAACATGACTTGGAGATAGATTAGACGTCAGGGCTTGGAAAGACAGGAAAGCATCCAGGACGAAGCTTGGTGATCCGGGATGGACAGTGCAGACCTGGTCTGCAAGTCATTGCTGTTTTATCTTTGTACATGATTTTTCTAGCCAGTGGATGATGATACCCTTCACTTGCTCAGTCCCTCTGGCTCCATCCAGCGGAGTCAAGTGTGCCCTATTTGACACCCCTGGACAGGGCCAGAGGTACTGATACTCTGGGATAAGGGGTATCTGAGGGGTGGAGGGAAAAAAGACAGCCCAGGAGGAGGGCCTGCCTTCTGAGTCCCCTCCAATGAGGCACCCACATGTTCCTGCAGATGGAGACTGACCACTCAATCAGTCTGGGTTGGGGTACTCGTTTTTGGATTTAGATTTGACGTGATAGGAATTTAGAAGTGAAATTCCCTGCGCTATTGTCACATCTCCTGCTGTGGCCAAACATGAAGGAGTTAAGTGGAACAGGAGGGAAGCCCCAGTGTCCCTGCTGCAGGGAAGAGAACCCAGAGTTTGGGGTTAAGGAGGGATGGGTGGCCTTGGTGGCAGGCAAGCAGCATTATGGGGGTCTCTGAAGAGACAGTAGCAGTACCTCATAGCCCGATCATCAGAAAGGATGCCACTCATCCCAGGACCAATCACCAACATGCTTCTGAAGGGCTCGCAGCACAGGGCCTGTGCCCTCACCTTAGCCCAGTGACCCTACCATGGCAAAAGCAGTATAGGGGACAGAAAACCAGCTGGGCTGACAGCGCCCCCACAAACACCCTTTTTCTTAATGCTCTAAAATAATTTAATATGGCATGCATATTAAACTTTAGCACATTATACTAAATCTAAAAGTATAAACTATTTAGACAAAAACATGGATGAATCTCAAAAAGTCTCAGAATACATTACAGCCTGATTTCTTTTTACAAGTTTAATACCAGTAAAAACTAAGCAAAATCCAATGTAGAGATATCATTGCTAACAATATAAAGAAAAACAAGACATAAAAGCAAAATTAAAGGGAGTGATTACCTCTTAAGAGAAACAAATCAAATATAATTGTAGTAAGACACAAAAGTTTGGTTAATGTTCTATTTGTCAAGGTGAGTAGTAGTAACATGACTGGAATTTCTTTTATTATTTTTTAAACATTATATATATATGTTATTTTCACCCTTCTGTGCCCATTTTTGCACACATTTTAGAAGTAAAAATATATGAGAAGATAGATATACACCAAGGATTGAAAAAGTTGGCC
The DNA here is from genome assembly GCF_000001405.40 of Homo sapiens. NCBI lineage: Eukaryota > Metazoa > Chordata > Mammalia > Primates > Hominidae > Homo > Homo sapiens. The sequence continues at coordinate 102,062,229 of NC_000003.12, read as the reverse complement.
AAAATCTAGATACTGTGGTGGTCTAGATGGTATTTTAAAAGTTTAGACTAAAGGGCCCACATTTTTAAATGTGGAAAGATTATGTAAAAGGCCTTATCTTGAAAACTGAAGGGTGTAGGGCAATACACTGAGCTGAGATAGCACAGCCTGTGGGCTTCAAGTTCTCATAATGCCCCACCACTTTCTAGTCTTCCTTAAATCTGGACCCCAGAGGCATTCAATTTTCTAACTCCCAATGCCATGTTCAATGGCCATGTAACAAAGCAATTCTACCATAAGCCATCTAATCATAAAACCTGTGTAAAATTTTACAGTTACATTGTTGGAAATACCTTAGAAGTACAATATGAGGGTCAAAGGATATTCCCATTTAAAACTTAAATAGATATTTCCTTTAAATAAGTTGCACCAATTGAAATTCTCACAAACATGTATGAGAACGCCTATAGTCTTTATAGCCAACAATGACTAAGAGTAATTAATATTTCCCACTCTAAAAGATAAAAACTAGTAGCTAATTGCTTTTAATTTGCATTTATGTAACCACAAATAAGTTTTGCTTTTTTTCATGTCTATGGCCAATTCAAATTTTTGTGTCTATTAATATCTCTGGACCTTTTTTCATTATATTCTTTGTGATTTATAAATTATTTTATGTATTTTAAATAATAATTGATAGTCCCAGTTTGTCATCAATCTTTAAACATTGTTTATTGGGTTGGGGAAGGTTGTCACAGAGATTTTTAATTTTATGTGATCTGATCTATTAATATTTATAAGGGTCAATTTAGGAAAAATAAAAATATTGACTCGGTGCATTTTTTTCAAACAGGACAAATTTACCTTTCATTGTAAAAATAATGCACTCATTTTTAAAAAATCAAACAGTACAGTAATATTTAAAGGAGAAAGTAAAATTCTACCAGCTGTGATGGTCTATATTTTAAATATTATCCCCTGCCCCCCAAAAAACTTACTTTACACATTCATTGAGCCCCTTGGAGGAAAAAAAGTATATTCTTATATGTCACTATCTTTACTAAACAGAGGAATTTAACTCATTAAACTTGGCACCACTTTTCCACAATGTAAATATATAAGTTTGCTTACAAAGAAGGCACACAAAGGTGGCTTTCTAATCTTTCATTCTGAAATCCAGTGGTAGGGCTGTTCATAGAGCTGACAGAGCTGCACATGGCCTTTGGGACAGAGATGAGTCATCAGTGACCAAGTACACAGCAACCTGGGAATATTCCCTCCTATTCTGGTGGGCTTTCAAGGCTAATAATCAAGGGCTCTCGCCTTATCTGCTTCTTCCTTAGTCTTCTCAGCACATAGTGAATAGGCCATATTAATGAGGAAGATGAGGCATAGGTGCCTTTTTTCTGATATTTAAAATATGAATCACCATAGATGGTAAGATTCATGGTTAGTTGTACTTTCTCTTTTAAGTGTTCCTGTACTCTTTGAATTAAAATAATAATAATACATTATTTTCATAATAAAAGGTAAACTTGTTCTATTTGAAAAGTAATAAAGATAAATACACTTTACTGAAGAGTACTAACAGTCTAAGTAGTGTATAAGGACGGAGAGTCAGCAGCCTTATTCTGCACTGAAGCTGCCTACCTCCCCCATCTCCTCTGAAGACTTTATTTTTTATATTTATGTTTACAATCTAATCACTTTACATAAAACAACCCGTGAGTTTAAGCTCAATTTTTATTTCTCCAAATTCATTTATAAACTCTATTTCTCTAAATCCATCTGCCAGTGAGTACACATATTTGAGATAATAGGTATAATTATACAAACATTCAATTTTTTGTTTTACATTATTCACCTAAATAATCTCATGTACTTTTTTTTTTTTTTTTTTGAGATGAAGTCTGGCTCTGTTACCAGGGTGGAGTGCAGTGGCGTGATCTCCGCTCACTGCAACCTACACCTCCCAGTTCAAGCGATTCTCCTGCCTCAGCCTCCTGAGTAGCTGGGACTACAGGCATGTGCCACCACGTCCAGCTAATTTTTGTATTTTTAGTAGAGACGGGTTTCACCGTGTTGGCCAGGATGGTCTCGATCTCTTGACCTCATGATCCACTCGCCTCGGCCTCCCAAAGTGCTGGGATTACAGGCGTGAGTCACCGTGCCCGGCCCTCTTAGGTACTTTTCATTTCACCAAAAGAACCCCCAGAGATTTTATTTCTAATGTCTCTGTGGCATTCCATCTTCTTATTTTATATATATATTTTTTTGTGATTTGTTTAGCTATTACTTTCTTCTTGAACACTTGGATCATTTTAGGTTATAAATTCTCAGTGTTAAATTTGAAACATGTCTGTGCAATTACTTCTTTGGTTGTTTATTTGGGGCTTATTTTATTGAAGCCTCAGCTCCAGGTTAAAGGTTATGAACAGCTTTACAGCTCAAGTTAGTGGCACTTTCGGTGAAACAGCTGTGGTCTCGTCATGTGATTTCCTTTCACAGAGTGAGTTTCATTAGTACTAATGAAGGAATAAAGTAGAATTTCTCTAGTGGGAACCACCCAGCTGTGGTCTGCTGCCCATGACATTTTGCTCAAATTCCCTCAGACATGAGCACCACAGAAATTTTTTAAAAACGAGTCTGACCCATTCACTCAGGAAGAAAGAACTCCTCCGTGGGCAGTTGTCCCCTTTACTAGCTAGCCTCAACAAGTTGCTCCAATCACAGGGGGGTCTTAGTCCATTTGTTTTGCTATAGAGGAATACCTGAGGCTGGATAATTTATAAAGAAAACCGGTTTACTTGGCTCACAATTCTGTAAACTGTACAAGAAGCATGGAGCCAGCGTCTGCACCTGGTGAGGGCCTCAAGCTGCCTCTACTCATGGCAGAAAGGGAAAGGGAGCTGGCACAGGCAGAATACATGGTAAGAGGAAGCAAGAGAGAGAGAAGAGGAGGTGCCAGACTCTTTTTAATAATCAGCTCTCCAGAGAACTACTAGAGTGAGAAGGGAACTCACTCATTACGGAGAGGACAGCACCAAACCATTCGTAAGGGATCCACCTCCATGACCCAAACATGTCTCATTAGGCCCCACTTCCAACACTGGGGATCAGATTTCAACCTGCAGCTTGGAGGGCCAAATATCCGAACTGTAGCACAGGACCTCTGAGGGACTGACTGCCTCAACCCCAAAGCAGACAGCAGGTACCGCCCCACAGGTCCCAAGCCCATACCAGACATCATGTTGTACTCTTTCTAGAGCATGGCCTTATTACCAGAGTTACCCATGAACAGCTTGCCCATGGGCATGGCATCTTTGGAATCTGTGTAGTCCATATTGTGCAGGCTGTCAACCCTGCCCACCCTTCATACAACTCTCAACTCCAAACATCATGAACTCCACTCCCATTAACAAATAAATATCTTTTTAGGATTTCCTTCAGAACTTTGCCCCCAAACTCTATGCTCAACACAGTGGCCAGAGTGACCCATATAAATGTAGGCCAGATCCTGCCTTTCTTTTGTTCTACCCTCTCCCCTCCCTAAAGGCTTCCCAAACCAAAGGTCTTTCAATGGCTGAAAGACCCTGTGCAGTCTGACTCCCTGTTAGGTACCTGACCTTTTCTCCTCCCTCCCATCCACTCTATACTGAACACACTTGTCTTCTTTCTGTTCTCCAATGCATCAGACACACTCCCACCTCAGGATTTTGGCACTGCTGTTCTCTCAACCAAGAACACTTTTGCCCTAGAAGCCATCAGTGTGCCTCACTCCCTTGCTTCCTTTGGGTCTTTGGCCAAATGCCACAACTCAGTGAGCCTTCCTTAAATCTTTTTGAAATTGCAACCATCCCTCTCCTGCCACTTACTACTCTTCTTTTCTGCTTTTTTTCATAGTATTCATCAGCTATTTCATATACACCTTGTATTTATAATAGGTCTCTACCACTATACTCTAAGGTCCTTAAGAACAGAGATTTTTGTTTATTTTGTTCACTGCCATATCCCCAGTGACTCCCAGGATGAGTGACTTGTACATAGCAGGCACCAAACATGTATTTATTGAATGTGTTTCTCTGAACCCTGCACAATGCCAGGAGAGATTTACAGGAACAACCCCTGTCCTCCAGAAACTCTTAGTGTAGTTGGGGAGTTTGACAATTGCTAATACTTTATAAAGTCAGATCTCTAAGGTTAACACCCTAACACCTTCTTAGTTCCTCTTAGATACTGTGACTGCACCTAAGGGAAGGTGCCTTTAGGAGGAAGGTAGTTCATAGGTTGTGGTTTTGTGGTGGAACCTCCTGGTTTCAAGTAAGCATTGCTGACTTGGACAAAGATCTGAGCTTATTTTTTCTAATCAACTGTGCTTTCTCTATGAACATTGATGTTTTTATTAAAATAGCAAAGGATAATAAATGCCTCTCTTGTATTATATTTAACCCTTGAGGCAGAGAGGTCCAAAACACAAAAAAACCTATCTGATATTTTAGGCAGAGTTTCTCTTGACTCAAAACCACTTCTAGCACATTCATTAGGAAGGTTACTATCAAAAATAAATAAATAAATAAATAAATAAAACAAGTGTTGGAAAGGATGTAGAGGAAATGGAACCTTTGTGTACTGTTGGTACTAATGTAAAAATGGTGCTGCCACTGTGGAAAACATTAAGATAATTTCTCAAAAATTAAAAATAAGGCCAGGCACAGTGGCTCATCCCTGTAATCCCAGCACTTTGGAAGGCTAAGGCAAGTGGATCACCTGAGGTCACAAGTTCAAGACAAGCTTGGCCAACATGATGAAACCCCATCTCAACTAAAAATACAAAAATTAACTGGGCATGGTGGTGGGCCCCTGTAATCCCAGCTACTTGGGAGGCTGAGACAGGAGACTCGCTTGAACCAGGGAGGCAGAGGTTGCAGTGAGCCAAGATTGAGCCATTGCACTCCAGCCTGGGTGACAAGAGCAAAACTCCATCTCAAAAAAATAATTAAAAATAGAATTACCATATGATCCAGCCATTCCACTTCTGGGTATATATCTGTTATGGTTTGGATCTGTGTCCCTCCCAAATCTCATGTCAAATTGTAACCTCCAGCGTTGGAGGAGAGGCCTAGTGGGAGGTGACAGGATCATGGGGGTGGAGTTCTCATGAATAGTTTAGAACCCTCCCTTTGGTGCTATTCTCATGATAGAGTTCTTATGAGATCTGGTTGTTTAAAAGTGTGTGGCACCTTCCCCATTCTCCCTTTCTCCTGCTCTGGCCATTTGAAGATGCCTGCTCCAGCTTTGCCTTCTATCACAACTGTAAGTTTCCTGAGGTCTTCCCAGAAGCAGATGCTGCCATGCTTCCTGAACAGCCTACGGAACCATGAATCAGTTAAACCCCTTTTCTTTATAAATTATCCAGTATCAGGTATTTCTTCATAGCAATGTGAGAAGAGATGAATACAATATTCAAAAGAATTGAAAGCATAGACATGAAAAGATATTGGTACACTCATGTTCATAGCAACATTGTTCACAAGAGCTAAAAGGAAGAAACAACCCAAGTGTCTATTGGGATGAATGGATAAACAAAATGTGGTACACACACACACACACACACAAATATTATTCAGCCTTGAAAAGGAAGGAAATGCTACAACATGAATACATGTTGAGAATGTTGAAGTATGATTCTGTTTGTATAATGTATCTAGAATCATCAGACTCATAGAACTAGAAAGAAGAATGATGGTTGGCAGGGCCTAGGGGGAGGAAAGAATGGAGAGTTGTTTAGTGGGTATAGTGGGTTGTTGTTTAGTGGGTATATTCAGTTTTGCAAGATGAAAAAGTTCTGGAAATTAGTTGCACAACAATGTGAATATATTTAACACCACTGAACTGCACACTTAAAATTCAGATAAGTTTTATGTGTATTTTACCACAATAAACACTTTCAATTAAAAAATACAATACACCTATAATATAAGAGAAATCTCTCTATTGGACATTTGAATATGTGGGCACTAACTCCTTTTGTGTAAGCACATTGGTCTCAATATATCAAAAAGATTTTTTAATAAAAAAGGAAGGAAAAATCAATGGGCATTAGATCGTCTATAATGGGAATACTACAGTAACTTAAAATTCCTCTATATTCTATTCTTCCTCAATTTCTTGAAAAGTTTTTTGGTGATATCAGCAGTCCCTGGGTGATGAGTGAGGGCAGGACACTTTTCATACCTGGGATTCACCCTCTAGTGATTTGACATATCCACCCAGGGTTACTGGCTCACAAGGGTGGGTGCGTCTAACCATCTCTCCAGGAGACAAAATGGTTAAACAAGAGTAAAGGGCAGGTTTCTGGACCTTGAAGCTTTCTTTAAGATTGACCAGTGAACAAGATTTCTTCTCACTCCAGGCAGCAGATCCAGCATAAGGAAAGTTAGAGAGGCATGAGGAAAATACAGTTCAATCCCGACATCGATGAAGACTTCAGTGCTTTAGGTGCATGTGGCTGCTTAGGAGAGATCAGTGGCAGATAAGAATATGCTATTCATTATTTGGGGGGAAATTATTTAATCTCTCTAAGCTCAGCTTTTTTATTGTAAAAAATGGAGATAAAACTACTGACTTCACAGGATTCTTGTGAAGGTTAAATGGGGTTCATTGAAATGTCCTATCATATTGACTCACACATAAAGAGACACATAGTAATAGTTCATTACCAGTCTTAGCTGTAAATCATGAAAGATCTCATGATCTAAAGCAAAGAGTTTGAATTAGTCCTATAAAATATATTTTTTAATCTTTAAAGTTTTTTAAGAGTGATATGATCACATGTATATTTTAGAAAAGAACATTCAGTAATAACATGTTAGAAGTAGACAAGATTGGAGAGCAATAAAGGAAGGAAGAGTAGTTTCAAGGTTAGTGCAAGATTACAGATGACAAAAGAGGAGTGTGTAAGTAGTTACATTGCAATTAGCCAAAACAACCAAATAGTCCCTGTTTATTCTTAGTCAACAGAAATGGAAATGTTCATGTAAGCATGGAAAAGCCTTTTTATTTTCATTCTCTCTGTGTCTCCGAAAAGGAAAGAGGTAACAGTGAAAATAATAAATAAAGCTTTTTTACCCTGGGCCCTACAAACAACCAAAGATTTTTAATGTTATGGGGAGAGCAAGCATTATAAGGAAGAGAGGAAGTTTTCTGCCAGGCCTTTTGATATTATACTCCCCAGAGCTGGAACATACTGGTATCGTAAATGAGTACGATACCAGGTTCTCGAATCATGTTTTTATTCAACACACTTTTGTTATAATATTTATGAGAAAAAGCAAAATCAATTCCTGGCAGGGATCACTGTCTGTGTGGAGTTTGCATGTTCTCGCCAGGCCTGCTTGGGTTTTCTCCAGGTTCTCCGGCTTCCTCCTACATCCCAAAGATGTTAGGTTTATCGGTATATCTAAATTGTCCTAGACTGAGTGAGTGTGGGTGTGGGTATGAGTGTGCCCCGTGATGGGATGGCGTGCGGTCCAGGGCTGGTTCCCACCTTGCCTCCTGAGCTGCCCCATGATAGTCTCCCAGGCCACCTACGACTCTGAACTGGAATAAGTGGGTTGCAAAATAAATAAATGAACACAAGTTATTGCCAAATACAAATTTGTAATGAAATAAAACAATTTTTAAAATTCATAAAATCTATGATAATCATCCAAATGCATGACAATAAATGATGTGGTATGAATATTTGTAATTGTGTTTGAACTGCGTGGTGGGAGGAGGTGCTCTCTACCATTTTTACTTTGCAGACACTTATTCTTTGATTTAACCCACCACCACGAAGACTGCCATCACTCACTGATTCACCAAAAACTGGGTAAATAATTATCTGACTCGTTCTTATTAATCTTTCTTAAATATATGTATATAGCTCACACTTATTTCAATGTTTGATATTAGAAGTGTTTTGGGTCAGAAGTTTGGTAATGTTTTTGTTACCAGAAACATACCATAGGAACTTAACTCTTGTTTAAATCAATTAGCCTCTGATAAAATTTGTTTCATGATGTGTTGTTTCATTTAAAGTCACAATTTTCAAGAACCTATCAACAAGGTCAAGTGAGGACTTACTGTACTTGAAGGATTTCATCAAAAGTTAGAAAATTCTGGATGAATTGTTTACTCATAGCTAAAAGTAGGAGCTGATTGCAGTTAAGTAGTGATAGCATACAAGTGAAACCAATTCCCAAATGGATCTGGGTGTTTGAAAAATCATTTGTGTAATCCTATTTAGATACAACAAATTTTCAAAGTATTTTTCTTAGCAATATTCTTTATTTAAATTAGATTATATACAGCTCCACAATATATTTAAAAAACATAAAAGGCTGAGCTGTTTTGACTAAATATGCGCATGATGAATATATGAATCTGGCATGAGTAAGATGAGTGAGAAGGAGAGAAATCCTGGCCTAACAGCATCCTCTATGCTCCTTCTGGAAGCCAGTTCAAAAAGCACTTACACAAGGACAAATACAACTTCTCCCTTTGCATAGGAGGCAGTTTGGGGTTTGAATGATGCCAAATGAGAGTACACATGTAGTAGAATGAAATTCGCATATATTAACTAGGTACTTCCCACCTATTCTTTGTCTTCTGGCCTTTACCGATGAGTCAGATAACATTCATGCCTCAGGGTCAGCGCCAAAACATTACACAGCCAGAGAACAAAGAATTTTAGTTGCATAAGTTTTAAGGCTCAAACATATACTAAGGCTCAAAGTAGACTTTCATAAATCCATGTCTAGATCTGTGAAGAATGTAATTGGTGGTTTGATAGAAACAGCATTGAATCTGTAAATTGCTTTGGGCAGTGTGGCCATTTTAATTACATTAATTCTTTCTACCCATGAGCATGGGATGTTTTTTCATTTGTTTGTGTCATCTCTGATTTCTCTGAGCAGTTATTTTGTAATTCTCATTGTAGAGATCTTTCACCTCCCTTGTTAGCTGTGTTCCTAGGTGTTTTATTTTATTTTATTTTATTTTACTTTATTTTGTTTTATCTTTTGTGACAGTTGTGAATGGGATTGCATTCCTCATTTGGCCTTTGGCTTGGCTGTTGTCGGTGTATAAAATGTTAGTGTTTTTGTACATTGATTTTATATCCTGAAATTTGGCTGAAATTGTTTATCAACTGAAGGAGCTTTTGGGCCAAGACTATGGGGTTTTCTAGATAAAGAATCATATCACCTGCAAACAGGGATAGTTTGAATTCCTCTCTTCCTATTTAGATGTCCTTTATTTCCTTCTCTTGCCTGATTGCTCTGGCCAGGACTTCCAGTACTGTGTTGAATAGGAGTGATGAAAGACAGCATACTTGTCTTGTCATGGTTTTCAAGGGGAATACTTCCAGCTTTTGCCCATTCAGTATGATGTTGGCTGTGGGTTTGTGTATTAGTCTGTTTTCACACTGCTGATAAAGACATACCTGAGATTGGGAAGAAAATGAGGTTTAATGGACTTACAGTTCCACATGTCTGGGGAGGCCTCACAATCATGGTGGAAGGCAAGGCGGAGCAAGTCACATCTTTACATGGATAGCGGCACTCAAAGAGAGTTTACCCAGGGAAACTCCCCTTGTCGAAACCATCAGATCTCATAAGACTTATTCACTATCATGAGAACAGCATGAGAAAGACCTGCCCCAATGATTCAATTACCTCCTAACAGGTCCCTCCCACAACATGTGGGAATTCAAGATGATATTTGGGTGGGGACACAGCCAAACCATATCATTCTGCCCCTGGCCCCTCCCAAATCTCATGTCCTCACATTTCAAAACCAATCATGACTTCTCAACAGTCCCCCAAAGTCTTAACTTATTTCAGCATTAACTTAAAAGTCCACAGTCCAAAGTCTCATCTGAGACAAGGCAAGTCCCTTCTGCATAGAAGCCTATATAATCAAAATCAAGTTAAATATTTCCTAGATACAATGGGGGTACAGGCATTGGGTAAATACAGCCATTCCAAATGGGAGAAAGTGGCCAAAATGAAGGGGCTACAGGACCCATGCAAGTCCAAAATCCAGCTGGGCAGTCAAATCTTAAAGCTCCAAAATGATCTCCTTTTAATCCATGTCTCACATCTGGGTCATGCTGATACAAGAGGTGGGTTCCCATGGTCTTTGGCAGCTCCGCCCCTGCGGCTCTGCAGGGTATAGCCTCCCTGCCAGCTGCTTTAATGGGCTGGTGTTGAGTGTCTGTGGCTTTTCCAGGTACACGGTGCAAGCTGTCAGTGGATCTACCATTCTGGGGTCTGGAGGAAGGTGGCCCTGTTCTCACAGCTCCACTAGGCCATGCCCCAGACTCTGTGTGGGGGTTTCAACCTCACATTTCCCTTCCACGCTGCCCTAGCAAAGGTTCTCCATGAAAGCACTACCCCTGCAGCAAACTTCTTCCTGGACATTCAGGCATTTCCATACATCCTCTGAAATCTAGGCAGAGGTTCCCAAACCCCAATTTTTGGCTGCTGTGCACTGGCAGGCTCAACACCACGTAGAAGCTGCCAAGGCTTGAGGCTTGCACCCTCTGAAGCCACGGCCTGAGCTCTATGTTGGCCCCTTTCAGCCACTGCTGGAGCAGCTGGGATGCACGGTACCAAGTCCCTAGGGAGTACACAGCACGCAGACCCTGGGCCCAGCCCACAAAACAACTTTTTCCTCCTAGGCCTCTGGACCTGTGATGGGAGGGGCTGCCATGAAGACTTCTGACATTCCCTAGAGACATTTTCCCCATTGTCTTGGGGATTAACATTTGGCTCCTCATTACTTATGCAAATTTCTGCATCCAGCTTGAATTTCTCCTCAGAAAATAGGATTTTCTTTTCTATCTCATTGTCAGGCTGCAAATTTTCCAAACTTGTATGCTCTGTTTCCCTTTTAAAACTGGATGCCTTTAACAACACCCAAGTCACCTCTTAAGTGCTTTGCTGCTTAAAAATGTCTTCCACCAGATACCCTAAATCATCTCTCTCAAGTTCAAAGTTCCACAAGTCTCTAGGGCAGGGGCAAAATATCACCAGTCTCTTTGCTAAAACATAGTAAGAGTCAGCTTTTCTCCAGTTCCCAACAAGTTCCTCATCTCCATCTGAGACCACCTCAGCGTGGATTTCATTGTCTATATTATTATCAGCATTTTGGTCAAAGACATACAACAAGTCTCTAAGAAGTTCCAAATTTTCCCACATTTTTCTGTCTTCTTCTGAGCCCTTCAAATTTTTCAAATCTCTGCCTGTTACTCAGTTCCAAAGTCACTTCCACATTTTCGGGTATCTTTTCAGCTGCGCCCCACTCCACTGGTACTCATTTACTGCATTAGTCTGTTTTCATGCTGCTGATAAAGACGTACCTGAGACTGGGCAATTTACAAAAGAAAGAGGCTTAATGGACTTACAGTTCCATGTGGCTAGGGAGGCCTCACAATCATGGTGAAAGGGGAAAGGCACTTCTTACATGGCAGCAGCAAGAGAGAGAATGAGAGCCAAGTGAAAGGGGTTTCACCTTATAAAACCATCAGATCTCGTGAGGCTTATTCACTACCATGAGAACAGTATGGGAGAAACCGCCCCCACGATTCAATTATCTCCCACCAGGTCCTTCCCACAACACATGGGAATTATGGGAATATAATTCAAGATGAGATTTGGGTGGGGACACAGGGCCAAACCATATTAGTTTGTATTCATATGGAACAAAAAAAAAGCCCAAATAGCCCAGGCAATCCTAAGCAAAAAGAACAAAGTTAGAGGCATCACGTTACCCGACTTCAACCTATACTACAGGGCAACAGTAACCAAAACAGCATGGTACTGGTACAAAAACACACAGGTTAATGGAGCAGAATAGACAGTGCAGAAATAAGGCCACATACCTATGACCATCTCATCTTCAGCAAAGCTGACAAAAACAAACAATGGGGAAATGACTCCCTATTCAATAAATGGTGCTGGGATAACTGGCTAACCATATGCAGAAGATTAAAACTGGACCCCTTGTTCACACCATATACAAAAATTAACTCAAGATGGATTAAAGACTTAAATGTAAAACCCAAAGCTATAAAGACCCTGGAAGACAACCTAGCCAATACCATCCTGGAATAGGAATGGGCAAAGATTTAATGACAAAGACACCAAAAGCAATTGCAACAAAAGCAAAAATTGACAAATGAGATCTAATTAAACTAAAGAGCTTCTGCACAGTAAAAGAAACTGTCATCAGAATAAACAGACAACTTACAGAATGGGAGAAAATATTTGCAAACTATGCATCTGACAAGGGTCTAATTAATATCCAGCATCTATAAAGAACTTAAACAAATTTACAAGAGAAAAACAAACATTATAAAGTGGGCAAAGGATATGAACAGACACTTTTCAAAAAAAGACTGCATTAGACAATTCTCACACTGCCAATAAAGACATACCTGAGACTCAGTAATTTATAAAGGAAAAAGATTTAGTTCACTCACAGTTCACGTGGCTGGGGAGGCCTCAGGAAACTTACAATCCTGGTGAAAGGGGAAGCAAACATGTCCTTCTTCACATGGCAGCAGAAGGAGAAGTGCTAAGCAGAAGGGGAAAATATACCCTTATAAAACCATCAGATCTCGTGAGAACTTACTATCACAAGAACAGCATGAAAGTAACTGCCCCCATTATTCAATTACCTCCCACTGGGTCCCTCCTATGACATGTGCAGATTATGGGAACTACAATTCAAGATGAGATTTGGGTGGGGAAACAGCCAAACCATATCAAAGACATGCATGCAGCCAACAAGCATATGAAAAAAAGCTCAGTATCACTGATCATTAGAGAAATGCAAATCAAAAACCACATTGAGATACCATCTCATACCAGTCAGAGTGGCGATTATTAAAAAGTCAAAAAATAGATGCCAGAAAGGTTGCAGAGAAAAGGGAACACTTACACAATGTTGGTGGGAATGTAAATTATTAATAGTTCAACCATCGTGGAAGCAGTACAGCAATTTCTCAAAGAGCTAAAAGTTGAACTACCATTCAACTCAGCAATCCCATTACTGAGTATATACCCAGAGGAATAAAAATTATTCTACCATAAAGACACATGCACTTGAACGTTCATTGCAGCACTATTCACAATAGCAAAGACAGGAATCAACCTAAATGCCCATCAGTGACAGAGTGAATAAAGCAAATGTGGTATATATACACCATGGAATACTATGCAGCCATAAAAAAGAACAAGATCACATCTTTTGCAGAAACATGCATGGAGCTGGAGGCTATTATCCTCAGCAAACTGATTCAGGAACAGAAAGCCAAATACCGTATGTTCTCACTTATAAGTGAGGGCTAAATGATGAGAACTCATGAACACAAAGTAGGAAACAACAAACACTGGGGTCCACTTGAGGGTGAAGGGCGTCAGAGAAGGGAGAGGAAAAGAGAAGATAACTATTGGGTACTGGGCTTAATTCCTAGGTGATAAAATAATCTGTACAACAAACCCCAGTAACATGAGTTTACTTAGGTAACAAACCTTCACATGTACCTCTGAACCTAAAATAAAAGTTTTTTTAAAAAAGAAAATGTGGTATATACACACCATGGAATACTATTCAGCCATACAAAAGAATGAGATCATGTCTTTTGAAGAAATGTGGAAGGACCTGGAGGCTATTAACCTTAGTAAACTAACGCAGGAACAGAAAACCAAATACCACATGTTCTTACTTATAAGTGGGAGCTAAATGATGAGAACTCATGAACAAAAAGAAGCGAACAACAGACACTAGGGCCTATGTGAGGGTGAAGAGTGGGAGGAGGCAGAGGAGCAGGAAAAATAACTAATGGGTACTAGGCTTAATACCTGGGTGATGAAATAATCTGTACCACAGACCCCCATGACACAAGTGTACCTATGTAACAAACCTGCACATGTATTCCTGAACCTAAAACAAAAGTTAAAAAATAAATAAATAAATAAATCTATGCTATATACAGAATGACATGTGAAATGTGACTTTTAAAATATCAAAAAAAACAAAGTTATCAGCATTAAAAAAAGTTTAGAAGAACCCTTGCCTAGTCACTTGAAGAGGAGAATAAAAGCTAGTTGATTAATTAAGGATTTTTCTGGAATCAGAGAGAAATGGGCATTCCAAGCCCTTGGCTCCACTCCTACCCCTTGGGTGTGGGTAGGGAAGAATGATCACGGTTTCAGCTCTGGGAGATTCTGAAAGTTGGGCCTCATTTCCTGAGGCACAGATCAAGGAGACAAAGAGCCAAGTGTAGGTTTGACACCTTACCCTACAACAGTATGGTCTAACAACAGTAGAGTTAAAACTGTGTAGGCAGAAAAAAAAAATGGCAGGACTTTGGGTCCCAAAGCACTGTAGAGAAGCATCTGAAAGCTTCTGTTTCTCCAACAGAAGAGGCAGAACAAGGGCCATAAAATTGGAGCAGGAACTTCAAGCTTATTTCCCTGAACTGACTTAGTTAAAACATTAAATGACTGAGTAATCACTAATGTAGCTGATTTTACCTGAACTTTTCTGCCATCAGATGAAGATGGGGTTTGAGGTAAAAGCTAAGTTCAGTTAAAGACAAATAAAGCATTTTTGTGCATGTGAGTTTATGACTTGTAAAAACTTATACCCAAATCACTGATAAGAAATATTTTCATCATCAAAAAATTCAATCTAATGCCAGAAGTCAGTTTATTAAAGCAGATTCAAGTAGATCATAACATTTCTTTTTTTTAATTATACTTTAAGTTCTAGGGTACATGTGCACATCAAAACAGAGATATACTGTGATTTCTCCATAAGGACAGTAACAAAGCACCAATCTCATTACCAAAATCCCTGAAGGTAGATGAGTTTCTAAAATCCCTGGGAGTAGATGAGCTTCTGAACTCAGAATGTTTCAGATTTTAGACAGATAAAACTGTATGTTATAGCCCGGAAGGGTCTAGGGTATCACCCACAATCAAATATAACATGAATATACACACTACATGGGATAAAAATCACAGACAAAAATGATAAATAAAGCCAAATCAGTTCAGGTTTTTTCTCCAAATTTGTTCAAGTCAGACCAGGTTTTTCTAATGAATAATAAAAGCTTTCCATTTTCAGAACTTTCTGGGTTTCAGAAATGAAGATAAGGATTGTGAATCTTTCAGAAGCTTAACATGGTTCAGAGAAGGTACCAAAAAATGTGAAACTTGAGTTGCACCTTGAAGTCGGGGTAGGACTTGAATGGCAGGGAAGAAAGACATTTAGACGGAAGCCATGATATGACTAAAAGATGTCCAAAAATATAGGTCTAGGAAGTGGCAAGTAAATCAATTTGGGAGGATTGTGGTAAGACCCAAGATTTAAAAGGTAGGATGGGATAAGATTTTGGAAGGTCAAGCTAAAATTTCACAACTTCTGTTGAAAGTACCCAGAGATTGCAGGTGACTTTAATAAAAAGAATAAGTGTCAGCTCTCAGTACTCAATCATGTACACCAACAATTGATGATCGAATGCCAAACGCACCCCATTTTTCATGATCATTGGTGTACATGATTGAGTAGCCAAGAGTTGGCACTTATTCAGGACAAGAAAGGGAGGCAAGGGGAAGAACAGGACACCAGCACTGGTCCTGCCATTTGGAACAGTACCCACTAAGATTCTGACAGACAGGACAGGTACAGTATTAAAGAGTTTGGTCATCTCCAGCCTCAGTTCAGACACACACTCAGGGTCAGGACTTCAAGATAAAATAGCAGGATATCTCCACTGCCATTTAACAAGGAACCAGGTGTCCTCTCCAACACAAAATACCACTGGAGGAGGAGAAGGAAATTCAGATTTGATTAGTTTAATACATTTACAAGTTACCTAACCCTTGGTATGTGTTGTTTAACTGCTATATTAGTTAAGAGAAGGTGGGTTGGGTGGAGAACACATTAATTCTCAAATCTTGAAAAGTTCGTTTCTTACTCAAGTTCCTCATCCAGCCCTGGTCAGTAGAACACTATCTTGCACATAGTGTCCCAGGAACCCAGGCTGACAGAGTCCCACCATCTTGTGCTTGCGCCATCTAGAATATGTCCCCTCCCAGTTTGCCTTGGCCCAAAAGAAACAAACATTTCTTCCACTTATTTTTTTTTATTATACTTTAAGTTTTAGGGTACATGTGCACAATGTGCAGCTTTGTTACATATGTATACATGTGCCATGTTGGTGTGCTGCACCCATTAACTCGTCATTTACATTAGGTATATCTCCTAATGCTATCCTTCCCCCTCCTCCCACACCACAACAGGCCCCAGTGTGTGATGTTCCCCTTCCTGTGTCCAAGTGTTCTCATTGTTCAATTCCCACCTATGAGTGAGAACATGTGGTATTTGGTTTTTTGTCCTTGCGATAGTTTGCAGAGAATGATGGTTTCCAGCTTCATCCATGTCCCTACAAAGGACATGAACTCGTCATTTTTTATGGCTGCGTAGTATTCCATGGTGTATATGTGCCACATTTGCTTAATCCAGTCTATCATTGTTGGACATTTGGGTTGGTTCCAAGTCTTTGCTATTGTGAATAGTGCCACAATAAACATACCTGTGCATGTGTCTTTATAGCAGCATGATTTATAATATTTTGGGCATATACCCAGTAATAGGATGGCTAGGTCAAATGGTATTTCTAGTTCTAGATACTTGAGGAATCGCCACACTGACTTCCACAATGGTTGAACTAGTTTACAGTCCCACCAACAATGTAAAAGTGTTCCTGTTTCTCCACATCCTCTCCAGCACCTGTTGTTTCCTGACTTTTTAATGATTGCCATTCTAACTGGTGTGAGATGGTATCTCATTGTGGTTTTGATTTACATTTCTCTGATGGCCAGTGATGATGAGCATTTTTTCATGTGTCCTTTGGCTGCATAAATGTCTTCTTTTGAGAAGTGTCTGTTCATATCCTTCACCCACTTATTGATGGGGTTGTTTGTTTTTTTCTTGTAAATTTGTTTGAGTTCTTTGTAGATTCTGGATATTAGCCCTTTGTCAGATGAGTAGATTGCAAAAATTTTCTCCCACTCTGTAGGTTGCCTGTTCATTCTGACGGTAGTTTCTTTTGCTGTGCAGAAGTTCTTTAATTAGATCCCATTTGTCAATTTTGTCTTTTGTTGTCATTGCTTTTGGTGTTTTAGACATGAAGTCCTTGCCCATGCCTATGTCCTGAATGGTATTGCCTAGGTTTTCTTCTAGGGTTTTTATGGATTTAGGTCTAACATTTAATTCTTTAATCCATCTTGAATTAATTTTTGTATAAGGTGTAAGGAAGGGATCCAATTTCAGCTTTCTACTTTGGCTAGGCAGTTTTCCCAGCACCATTTATTAAATAGGGAATCCTTTCCCCATTGCTTGTTTTTCTCAGGTTTGTCAAAGATCAGATAATTGTAGATGTGTGGCACTATTTCTGAGGGCTCTATTCTGCTCCATTGGTCTATGTCTCTGTTTTGGTACAAGTACCATGCTGTTTTGCTTACTGTAGCGTTGTAGTATAGTTTAAAGTCAGGTAGCATGATGCCTCCAGCTTTGTTCTTTTGGCTAAGAATTGACTTGGCAATGTGGGCTCTTTTTTGATTCCATATGAACTTTAAAGTAGTTTTTTCCAATTCTGTGAAGAAAGTCATTGGTAGCTTGATGGTGATGGCATTGAATCTATAAATTACCTTGGGCAGTATGGCCATTTTCACGATATTGATTCTTCCTACCCACGAGCATGGAATATTCTTCATTTGTTTGTATCCTCTTTTATTTCATTGAGCAGTGGTTTGTAGTTCTCCTTGAACTACACATCCCTTGTAAGTTGGATTCCTAGGTATTTTATTCTCTTTGAAGCAACTGTGAATGGGAGTTCACTCATGATTTGGCTCTCTGTCTGTTATTGGTGTATAAGAATGCTTGTGATTTTTGCACATTGATTTTGTATCCTGAGACTTTGCTGAAGTTGCTTATCAGCTTAAGGAGATTTTGGGCTGAGACAATAGGGTTTTCTAGATATACAATCATGTCATCTGCAAACAGGGACAATTTGACTTCCTCTTTTCCTAACTGAATACACTTTATTTCTTTCTCCTGCCTGATTGCTCTGGCCAGAACTTCCAACACTATGTTGAATAGGAGTGGTGAGAGAGGGCATCCCTGTCTTGTGCCAGTTTTCAAAGGGAATGCTTCCGGTTTTTGCCCGTTCAGTATGATATTGGCTGTGGGTTTGTCATAAATAGCTCTTATTATTTTGAGATACATCCCATCAATACCTAATTTTTTGAGAGTTTTTAGCATGAAGGGCTGTTGAATTTTGTCAAAGGCCTTTTCGGCAACTATTGAGATAATCATGTGGTTTTGGTCTTTGGTTCATTTATATGCTGGATTACATTTATTGATTTGCGTATGTTGAACCAGCCTTGCATCCCAGGGATGAAGCCCACTTGATCATGGTGGATAAGCTTTTTGATGTGTTGCTGGATTCGGTTTGCCAGTATTTTATTGAGGATTTTTGCATCAATGTTCATCAGGGATATTGGTCTACAATTCTCTTTTTTTGTTGTGTCTCTGCCAGGCTTTGTTATCAGGATGATGCTGGCCTCATAAAATGAGTTAGGGAGGATTCCCTCTTTTTCTATTGATTGGAATAGTTTCAGAAGGAATGGTACCAGCTCCTTCTTGTACCTCTGGTAGAATTTGACTGTGAATCCGTCTGGTCCTGGACTTTTTTTGGTTGGTAAGCTATTAATTATTGCCTCAATTTCAGAGCCTCTTATTGGTCTATTCAGAGATTCAACTTCTTCCTGGTTTAGTCTTGGGAGGTTGTATGTGTCGAGGAATTTATCCATTTCTTCTAGATTTTCTAGTTTATTTGCATAGAGGGGTTTATAGTATTCTCTGATGGTAGTTTGTATTTCTGTGGGATCGGTGGTGATACACCCTTTATCGTTTTTTATTGCATCTATTTGATTCTTCTCCCTTTTCTTCTTTATTAGTCTTGCTAGCGGTCTATCAATTTTGCTCATCTTTTCAAAAAACCAGCTCCTGGATTCATTGATTTTTTGAAGGGTTTTTTGTGTCTCTGTGTCCTTCAGTTCTGCTCTGATCTTGGTAATTTCTTGCCTTCTGCTAGCTTTTGAATGTGTTTGCTCTTGCTTCTCTAGTTCTTTTAATTGTGATGTTAGGGTGTCAATTTTAGATCTTTCCTGCTTTCTCTTGTGGGCATTTAGTGCTATAAATTTCCCTCTACACACTGCTTTGAATGCGTCCCAGAGATTCTGGTATGTTGTGTCTTTGTTCTCATTGGTTTCAAAGAACATCTTTATTTCTGCCTTCATTTCATTATGTACCCAGTGGTCATTCCGGAGCAGGTTGTTCAGTTTCCATGTAGTCGAGTGGTTTTGAGTGAGATTCTTAATCCTGAGTTCTAGTTTGATTGCACTGTGGTCTGAGAGATAGTTTGTTATAATTTCTGTTCTTTTACATTTGCTGAGGAGAGCTTTACTTCCAACTATGTGGTCAATTTTGGAATAAGTGCGGTGTGGTGCTGAGAAGAATGTGTATTCTTTTGATTTGGGGTAGAGAGTTCTGTAGATGTCTATTAGGTCCGCTTGGTGCAGAGCTGAGTTCAATTCCTGGATATCCTTGTTAACTTTCTGTCTCTTTGATCTGTCTAATGTTGACAGCGGGGTGTTAAAGTCTCCCATTATTATTGTGTGGGAGTCTAAGTCTCTTTGTAGGTCACTAAGGACTTGCTTTATGAATCTGGGTGCTCCTATATTGGGTGCATACATATTTAGGATAGTTAGCTCTTCTTGTTGAATTGATCCCTTTTCCATTATGTAATGGCCTTCTTTGTCTCTTTTGATCTTTGTTGGTTTAAAGTCTGTTTTATCAGAGACTAGGATTGCAACACCTGCCTTTTTTTGTTTTCCATTTGCTTGGTAGATCTTCCTCCATCCCTTTATTTTGAGCCTACGTGGGTCTCTGCATGTGAGATGGGTTTCCTGGATACAGCGCACTGATGGGTCTTGACTTTTTAACCAATTTGCCAGTCTGTGTCTTTTAATTGGAGCATTTAGCCCATTTACATTTAAGGTTAATATTGTTATGTGTGAATTTGATCCTGTCATTATGATGTTAGCTGGTTATTTTGCTCATTAGTTGATGCAGTTTCTTCCTAGCCTTGATGGTCTTTACAATTTGGCATGTTTTTGCAGTGGCTTTTGCTGGTTGTTCCTTTCCATGTTTAGTGCTTCCTTCAGGAGCTCTTTTAGGGCAAGCCTGGTGGTGACAAAATCTCTCAGCATTTGCTTGTCTGTAAAGGATTTTATTTCTCCTTCACTTATGAAGCTTAGTTTGGCTGGATATGAAATTCTGGCTTCAAAATTCTTTCCTTTAAGAATGTTGAATATTGGCCCCCACTCTCTTCTGGCTTGTAGAGTTTCTGCTAAGAGATCAGCTGTTAGTCTGATGGGCTTCCCTTTGTGGGTAACCTGACCTTTCTCTCTGGCTGCACTTAACATTTTTTCCTTCATTTCAACCTTGGTGAATCTGACAATTATGTGTCTTGGAGTTGCTCTTCTCAAGGAGTATCTTTGTGGCATTCTCTGTATTTCCTAAATTTGAATGTTGGCCTGCCTTGCTAGATTGGGGAAGTTCTCCTGGATAATATCCTGCAGACTGTTTTCCAACTTTGTTCCATTCTCCCTGTCACTTTCACGTACACCAATCTGACGTAGATTTGCTCTTTTCACATAGTCCCATATTTCTTGGAGGCTTTGTTGATTTCTTTTTATTCTTTTTTCTCTAAACTTCTCTTCTTGCTTCATTTCATTCATTTCATCTTCCATCACTGATATCCTTTCTTCCAGTTGATCGAATCGGCTACTGAGGCTTGTGCATTCATCATGTATTTCTCGTGCCATGGTTTTCAGCTCCATCAGGACCTTTAAGGAATTATCTGCATTGGTTATTCTAGTTAGCCATTCGTCTAATTTTTTTTCAAGGTTTTTAACTTCTTTGCAATGAGTTCGAACTTCCTCCTTTAGCTCAGAGTAGTTTGATCATCTAAAGCCTTCTTCTCTCAACTCGTCAAAGTCACTCTCCATCCAGCTTTGTTCCATTGCTGGTGAGGAGCTGCGTTCCTTTGGAGGAGGAGAGGTGCTCTGATTTTTACAATTTTCAGTTTTTCTGCTCTGTTTTTTCCCCATCTTTGTGGTTTTATCTACCTTTGGTCTTTGATGATGGTGATGTACAGATGGGGTTTTGGTGTGGATGTCCTCTCTGTTGGTTAGTTTTCCTTCTAACAGTCAGAAACCTCAGTTGCAGGTCCATTGGAGTTTGCTAGAGGTCCACTCCAGACCCTGTTTGCCTGGGTATCAGCAGTGGAGGCTGCAGATCAGTGAATATTGGTGAACAGCAAATGTTGCTGGCTGATCGTTCCTCTGGAAGTTTTGTCTCAGAGAGGTACCCAGCCATGTGAGGTGTCAGTCTGCCCCTACTGGGGAGTGCCTCCCAGTTAGGCTACTCAGGAGTCAGGGACCCACTTGAGGAGGCAGTCTGTCCATTCTCAGATCTCAAGCTGCATGCTGGGAGAACCACTACTGTCTTCCAAGCTGTCAGACAGGGACATTTAAGTCTGCAGAGGTTTCTGCTGCCTTTTGTTTGGCTATGCCCTGCCCCCAGAGGTGGAGTCTGCAGAGGCAAGCAGGCCTCCTTGAGCTGCGGTGGGCTCCACCCAGTTCAAGCTTCCTGGCCACTTTGTTTACCTGCTCAAGCCTCAGCAATGGCGTGTTCCCCTCCCCCAGCCTCACTGCCGCCTTGTAGTTTGATCTCAGACTGCTGTGCTAGCAACAAGCGAGGCTTCGTGGCCATAGGACCCTCCAAGCTAGGTGCGGGATATAATCTCCTGGTGTGCCATTTGCTAAGACCATCGGAAAAGTGCAGTATATGGGTGGGAGTGACCTGATTTTCCAGGTGCCGTCTGTCACCCCTTTTCTTGGCTAGGAAAGGGAATTCCCTGACCCCTTGTGCTTCCCGGGTGAGGCAATGCCTCACACTGCTTCGGCTCACACTTGGTGCACTGCACCCACTGTCCTGCACCCACTGTCTGACAATCCCCAGTGAGATGAACCTGGTACCTCAGTTGGAAATGCAGAAATCATCTGTCTTCTGCATTGCTCGTGCTGGGAGCTGTAGACTGGAACTGTTCCTACTTGGCCATCTTGGAACCGCCCCCTCTTCCACTTATTATTCACTGGCCAGAACTAGGCATGTGGCCCCAACTGAAAGGCAAAAGAGGCTAGAAAATAAATGGAAACACATACAATGTTTGGTGAGCACTAGCTCTTTATGTCACAAGTGAATAGACTACATACTATAATAATTTTAATTTTTAAAAAATGGTTATCTCAGGATAACTTTATGGAATGTTGAAAATACAAGTTTACCTAACATCTGTTGTTCAGTTGTACATATAATCTACATTGTGTTTATACTGTGATTCCTCTGTGCCAGACTGAAAACATGAAGTAGACAATAGTAAAATAATTTCAACAAATGTCAACTGAACAAAATTTGAGATTACCTGGTAAATTGAGTATTAGTTTGGATATCCCTCTCCCGAAGATGTATTATAATGGCAATTGCTTTCTTTGCCAAGGAGTAATATTTATCTGTAAGGCTTTTTCCAATTAAGAAAATATTCAATGATGATAAAGTAGAAATATGATTTTTTTTCCTTCACTCTTCCAGATAGAAAGCAAATTCTGCCTGGTGTGGTGGCTCAAGACTATAATCTCAGCACTTTGAGAGGCCAAGGCAGACAGATCACTTGAAGTCAAGAGTTCAGGACCAATCTAGCCAACATGGTGAAACCCCCATCTCTATTAAAAATACAAAAATTAGCCAGGCATGGTGGCATGCACCTGTAGTCCCAGCTACTTGAGAGGCTGAGGTGGGAGAATCACTTGAACCTGGCAGGCAGAGGTTGCAGTGAGCTGAGATCACACCACTGCACTCCAGCCTAGGCAAAGAAGCAAGACTCCAAGAAAGAAAGAAAAGACAGGGAGGAAGGGAGGAAGGAAGGAAGGAAGGAAGGAAGGAAAGAAGGAAAGAAGGAAGGAAGGAAGGAAATTCTATCTTGGGCAGGAGTTGTAGATACATCATTATCCTGACAATCAGAACCATGATTTGGAAAGATTAATCTGATGGAAATATGCAAATAGGTTAAAAACTATTGTCAAAGAAAGCAGTTAAGCAGCTCATACCAAAGTTCAGCTGTGAAGTAAATGATGACTGTGTGCCGTTTCACACAAGAAGTACTTCATGAATAGGAACCTTCTTTCAGACTGAAACCAGAAACAATCTTAGTTGCTAAACTTCATTAGGAGAGAAGTTACCATGCATAAATGATATGTCTTATGACCACCGGATCTTCCAGATTCCCCTTCCAGTATGTTGGTGCCTTCAAGTGAGAGAGATAAAGTTCTCTCAGCTTCTTCTCTTGTGGCTGAGTTTGCCACAACCAGCAGCCCTGACACACACTATTGGTAAACAAAGCAGAAGTAATGTCACAAGGCATGGGCTTGCCGAGAAGGGTGCCCAAAATAGCAAACCTCATAGCTTAATTTAGAAGAATCTTTACAATGTCAAGCTTACAAAGGTTAAAAAAAAAAAAAAAAAAAGAAACAAAGAAAGAAAAAAGAAATGTGGGGCTAAGCATGGTGGTTCATGCCTGTAATCCCAACACTTTGGGAGGCTGAGGGCTGAGGTGAGGATATCTTGGGGCCAAGAGTTTAAGACCAGTCTGGGCACCATAGTGAGACACTCTCTCTAGAAAAAAAAAAAACTTAAAAATTAGCCCAGTGTGCTAGTTTGGGCCTGTAGTCCTAGCTACTCTGGAGGCCGATGAAGAAATCTCATGAGCCTAGGAGTTCAAGGCTGCAGTGAGCTATGGTCATACCACTGCACTCCAGTCTGGGCCACAGAGCAGGACCTTGTCCAAAAAAAAAGGGAATGTGGTAGCATTTTCAACAAGTATAAACTATGTGGTCTTGTCTATTCACAGATCATTTAAAGATGAAAGCTTTAATTGGGGGGAAAGCCATATCAGCCAATGGCACTGTGAATTTTTGGCAGAGGCATCATCAATTCTAATAACTTTTATCAAAACCAATGGTTTTAAGCATTCAAGCTTTTATTTACCCCTCTGTGGTCTGAAATAACCATTGGCGTTTGGAGCTGTTTTTGTTTATTTAATTTGGTTTTGTTTTAATTGGTCTTGAAGTCAACATACTCAGGATTTGCAATGTAGAAATGAGTTCTATGAAGGCAGCAGATTCTTGATTTCTTTCGGTCTATAAGTCTTCCCCATTAAAAGCCTATACTCTGGCCAATAAGAACTAGAAGTAGAAAATAAAGTTAAAAGCAAGCTCAACATAGTGAGGTTCTAACTCCATATGTTGCGTTTATGGAGGCTTGTTTCTCTAACTCTTTCCTGGTCCTCAGACACCATGGGAGAATAAAAGTAAGCCACTGGTACCTTCTTCTGCCGTAAACTTTTCTCCAACATAAACACATATTTATGTTGACATGAACATAAACACACAGTCACACACACTCATTGCTTTGGAAATGGTAATTCCCATTAGAAACATGCAAGTTTAAATTTAATGTTCTTTGTACTTAGTGGTAATTCACTTATACTTATTTTCTTTGAGAGAGTGAGACAGGAAAGAATCTCAAGAATCTTTAAAGAAATGCAGAGAAGGCTAGCTGTGCCAGGTAACTGACGAAAAGCAAATTAAGGTCTCCGTTTTCAAAAGAAGAATGAAGTTAGATTTCACAAACTCAAATAATGAAAATATTATCAAAGGCAGGCTGAGCACAATGTCTCATGCCTGTAATCCCACCACTTTGAGAGGCCATGGTGGGCAGATCAGTTGAGTCCAGGAGTTCAAGACCAGCCTGAACAACACAGTGAGACCTTGTGTCTAGAAAAAAAGAAAAAGAAATAAAATATTATCCACGACATTAATAAACAGATAGCTTGTGAACTTAAGAAGGGGAAATGATAGGTCACTAGAAGACATCGTGGATGCACTAAGAACACATTATATGAGGCTGAGTTCATTTCCATTTTTGAGAATTCAACTAAGTATAAGAGCAGAACTCCATAACTATTGTGTATTTAGAGTTTATAATACATTTCATCTTTCATAATCTCCATGAATACCAGTGAAGAAGTAGAGGCTAAATGCTAGTGGCGTTCAGTGGTTTAACGTAGAGTTGAATGACTAAACTCCCCAGGCTCAGAATCTGTGCCCACCTGAGTTAGTTGCCCAGTGGCTTGACACAGGGCTCATTCTTATCTCTTTGCTACTTAACCCATTTATCAAGAACTTCCATAGCTTCCATAGGGACCTAGATATCATGGATATCAAATGTGATAACCTAAAATTATAAGACTTGTTGATAATTAGCTCCAAAAATATCTCAGCAAGATGAAGTAATGGTCTTGATTTTCAGTTCACTAACCACGTTTCAGGTACAGTTTACTGAGATGGAAATAAGTGTGCTTCCTTATCTGGTACAATAAAACAGAGCTCTATTTTAAAATAAATGCTTAATTATTATACAGAACACATATTTCAAAGGTGATTTCTGGCTAGCAATTTAAAAGAAAAAAAGAATATTAAAATGCAATACTTGGTAACTTTTTCATTAATACTTAACTTATAGTGTCAACACCAAATCTTAATAACTTCTCAAATTCAACACATTTAAGTCCTTTCTTTGGAATTATGACCAAATCAAGGATCTAGAGATTCAGGCTCTCTTAGCATCTTTTTGATACTTGCTCTTCTCATCAATTTCTAGTTTCCCTTCTCTAGTTAACTGAAGGATAGGGTTTAACTTCCCTTTTTCCCCCACTCTTTCTTCTACAGTCACAGAAGCACAACTCCCCACATCCGTGCACTAGGTACAGCTTAGTGACCAACACCTTCGGTACTGCTAAGGATCCCTACAGAAGTTCTGCCTCTACTGTCAACTAGCAGAGCTATGAGGCCTTGGCCCAGACCCATCACCTCTCTGGGATTCAATGCCCTCATCTCTAGAACTATGTGGCCTCCAGAGTCTGTTTGCTCTCAGAATCTTTGACGTCATGATTCCTTACCATAACAAGTATCATTTATAAATGAAGGTAAAAATGGTCAACTTTAAAATTAATAATAATAATAGTATGAGAAAATAAATTCAGTAAAACTAGGCCTCTTAGACAGACAATCAAAATGCAACAGAAATCCCTGAAAGATTCAATTGCTTCAGTTTCTTAGAACCCAGTGAGTAAATAGATCATCTTGTAGGGGGTCTTTAATGAATCACTTTTCCTCTCTCAAGTCAATGTTTGATTGGTGTGTGTGTCTGTGTGCACTGTCCCTCTAGTTAGAGTTCCTCTAGAAACAAGAATAGATTCTTTTCCATCTCAATGTCTATCACATAATAATCCATCACAAACACTTGAAGACTGATAACTGGCTTAAATCTTTTATTGACAAAATTATATAAATCCTATTTGTCTGCACTGTAAAAAATATATATGAAATGCATTAATCAGTTAGAATTTTATTTGCTATATGGAGGGATAGTGTTCATTGTTTACTATTTCATTGGAAAAGCTATCAAATAACTTTATCTTTTTATAGCACCTATGCCAAATCACATGTACCTGTGAATTCCACAGTTTGTTTGTGCATCATACACCACATAATCTTTTAATGGTTCCATGTTTCAAGACATTGTTATCTGGTGACATAAAGTAGACTTTACAACCTAATAAAAATGTATGGAGTTTAAAATGTCATACTTTAAAAATTACTCAAACCATAAATCTAAGCCTCTTTTAAATAGAAAGGGGTAGTGCCTTTACTAATCCTCAAGACTTATTACATTTCTGCATCTAATTTCTCCATCCTTGTTCCTAGGCTGCATAGAGTTGCTGGAAAAAAAATTATAGAATGTGCTCAAAGCACCCTGGAATAAGAGAACAAAGGACATACATATATAAAGAGTGACAGCCTACAATTCAAACATTGATGGGTAACATATGTGCTTAAAGGTAAAGCCAACATCAACATTAATATCTATTCAAAAATTTCATTCTCCTTACTTTGGTATGTCTGGGTTTCAGTTGCTATTACTAAAAGTTCTGATTTCTCATGAACATCAAAGACAGTAGCCACACTCCACAAAGCGCTTAAGAAAACCTTGTTTTCAGTTTGACTCTTGTCTATACTGCACAGATACTTTAAAGGGAGAAGCAAAGACAAAATATGAGAGTGCTGGACTCATCTATGCTCTTCACCAACCAGACACTTGTTTTGAGTTCCTCATTGTTATTGCTGTTGTCGCTTGTTACTATCTTTTCCTCTTCTGGATTCAACAGTGACTTACTCTGTTATTCTTGCCAACCCATTTAACACGTCTGGCAGTCTCTGTAGAATCTTTCCTGTCACTCCTCAAACTAACAGGTATGCTGTAAAAAATGGGAGACTTTGAAGACTTGAGGAATATTAATTGAAGAGGGTATTTAATGGTGACATAGTAGGGGTGCTGTAAACCAGAGGTCAGAGATAGATATGAGTACATGGACTCCCAGTAGACACCAGATGTGTAGGCCAAAACCCAACATTGTGGCCTGTAGAATCCAACTGACTGTGAACAAGCTTACCTACATCCTCAAGCTCCTCTTGGATTATTCTTCCCCTCACATTGACTTGACAGTAGGTCAAAACTCCCCAGTGTTGTCTACTCCTGCCACTCCTAAGAATTATTATTACTTAGGAGGCAATATACTCTTATCTCTTCCCAGCCACTTCCATACCACCATTCTACCATGAGCTCTCAGCAATGCCTGGCCTTTTGAAACATACTTCCCTAGGCCCTTGCTCCCTCCTTGTTGCTGTTTTCAATCCATGTCTGGGCCCTTCAGTGTCTTCTTTGATAGTTTTGCCTTTGGCTTAAAATCTCCCAACTCATTCCATGGCAACATCTTGTTAATCTCAATATCCATACAGATGGCCCCTTCATGCTCCAACTCAACTTTCTTACACCACCTCTGCACCCCTCACTTATGTACCCATCCAAAATTTGCCCTTGCATCTGACACTGCAGAATTACTTCCTTATGAGATTTTTAACTCTAAATTTTCCTTCTTTGACCATAACGTATCCTTCTTCTCTCACATCTACTGGAATTGCTGCTAAGTCATAGCCTTCAACCTGTTCATCCCTCGATTTCCTTAATTACCTCACTTCCTCCTTGACATGCTTCCTTACCCACTCTTGGTTCTAACAGTGAACAACTTGAAGATTATTCCCATTAGTACCCAGAATATGCTGCTGAATATTACCAAAGAAAATCTTGAACCTGGGTCACTTATTTTCATTCCAAAATCATCCTTCTCTAGCCTCAGGAGGGCTCTCACTGCTGTTCACAATTTTAGAACTTATCTCTGGATGAGCCTCTATCACTTTTGCCATAGCAAAGTGTTATCAGTAACCTCAAAGTCTACCCTCTCCGTTGTCTTCCAGTTTCCTAATAATGTTCTACATGATGCAAATTTAATTATCTTTTCTTTTCTGTACTTTTAGCACATGCAGTCCATTCTTTACTTTACTACTTTTCAGAAGAGGGCATTTCTGTCCTGCTACTACATTGTCCACTGTCGTCCCAACTCTTCCAAGAATGTGTTCCATCAGTCATCACATTCATCTCTTCCTCTCTGGAATTATTTCTCAGCCTGCAATTACATTCAGATTTCCTACACTCATACCAAGTTTCCTTAACCATTCTACTTCCATGAGGTACCACCTTTCCTGTATCTTTTGCAACCATCAAACTTCTTGAAAGTGTCTATACTTGATGCCTCCACTTCAACTTTCATTTATTCCTCACTTATGTGGCATTTGACTAACAAAGTCAGCCTCTCCAAAGTCACCAATGACCAATTAGTCATCTAGCTTTTTTAATTAACAATCATTTTCACCAAGAACATTTAAGGACATGGGGAAATCCCTATGATGCACTGTTAAATTTTAAAAAGTAACAAAAAGTATAGAGTACAGTGCCAATTAAAATGTTGATATGCCGGTGTGTGTCTGTTCAGGAAGTGAGTGGGGGAAAAAATCACAAAAACAGTAAAGGTTAGACAGTAAAGATTAAGGGTTATTAAGAGTATAAAATTACAGATATTTTAATACATTTTTATATTTTCTACATTTTCTATAATGAATATTACATCCATAATCAGAGGAGCAAAAAGGATTTAAGTGTTTACATTTTTTTCCTTCTTCTTTTTTCTCAATCCCTCTGACATATTTCACCCCATTGATTGCTGCTTCCCAAAATTCTT
This sequence comes from Homo sapiens, assembly GCF_000001405.40. Classification (NCBI taxonomy): domain Eukaryota; kingdom Metazoa; phylum Chordata; class Mammalia; order Primates; family Hominidae; genus Homo; species Homo sapiens. The sequence continues at coordinate 102,032,747 of NC_000003.12, read as the reverse complement.
CCCAGGACCAGCTTCACAGATGTGCAATCTATGCAATAACCCAGGGCCCCAGGCTTAGAAAAACTTTGTGTTTGGTTTAAGCCTCTCCTGTTTCCATTTTGAAATTCCTAATAAATTTTTAACAAGCCCCACAATGTTATTTTGCTCGAGGCCCTGCACATTATATAGTTTGTCCTAACTCTGCCCTCAGCCTCTGACACCACAATGTCTTTTTCCTACCTAACCTCTCCTTTTCTATTTCATCATTCCACTCACTAAACTCAGAAGTTCATTAGAGTGGTTACCATCACCCACCTTACCTCTATCTCCTTTGCCATCTCACTCATGGCTTCAGTTCTCACTTCATTAAATACTGCCCATATCTATTACCTGAATCTTGAGCTTCAGATCCGCATTTCCACCCATAACCTGGATATTTCCACAAAGATGTTCAGTAAGCACTTCACATTTAACATGTTCGAAATGGAATTTAGCATCTGCTTATGTATTCTTCCATGTCCTCCTTCTTTCTCTCAACTTTATATTTTGGAGATTTATTCATGTTGATGCATGTAGCTGTAATTCATGTATTTTTGCTGCTCTGTAGTATTTCCTTATATGAATATACTTCAATCGACTTATCCATGTATGGGTTTTTGTAATTTTTTATGTCTGAGTACACACATGCAAGAAGAGTTTCCAGTGAAATTGCTATATCAAAGAGCACACACAAGTTCAGTTTTACCAGGCATACCAAACTGTTTTCAAAGTGACTGTGTCAGTTCATACTCCCACTTGCAGTATATTAAAGTTGTTTTTACTCCATATCCTCACCAACACTTGAGTAAAATCTTTGTCAACTTCGTCATGTCTCATTATGATTTTGATCCACATTCCCTTGATTATTAAGGAGAATGAGCATCTTTCATATGTTAATTATATATAAAAAGTGTCTTCTTCATGTAGTGCCTTTATAATGAGAAAACATTTTTTTAATTAAGATCTATACCACAGATTAAGATCTATGTTGTGATGGGCAAGTTTTTCAGTCAATCCTGAAGAACACTAAAGATTTACAGTCCTACCCTCACTGAGATGGTAAACTTGACCAGTTACAAACAATTATACTTTGGGATTTTATTGATTAAGTAATATGCTCTCAAAGTGATAATGTTGTGTGATAAAACTAGCTGTGGAGGAGAAACCAAGTGTGGCTGTTAAACCTTTCTATGGCCTATCATGCAACCAGCATGGAGTTACTTAGTGCCATGTGAGAGACAAATTTCAGAGTAGGCACAATGTGGAAGAAATAATTTTCATTCCACACAGCAGTACCCAACTCCTACCCCCAGCAAGAACGAAAACTAGAGAAGAAGATACAAATATCTATTGGCTGATGAAGAGTCTACTCCACTCAGGAAAGAACATGTGGAAACCATGAGAAATGAAAGTACCCCGCCAAACCCAGCCAAATCCAACCTCACCTCTCCTAGACACTTCCCCCTACAGTTTCTGGAGTTTCCCAGGTATGTTCTTTGCATAAGTCACTGTTTCATGTCTATCATTACCTAAATATTTTACATCAGGGAAGAATAAGTGTCTTGAGGCAAGGAATCTCCAAAATTGTTTTGAGGTTAATTAACTGCATAGCACATGTGGCCATGAATTTCAGGTTCCTGGATTAGAAAGACAGAGATGACTATTAATTCTGTTCAATCTGACCGATATTTGCTAAGCAGCTACTGTGTCCAAGAAGAATATGATAGAACCCTTGCCACTCAGTAAGCAAACTTTATATACCAAGAACAAGAAAGAATTTCACAGCTCCTACCCTAAAATAGAAAGAGTATTATCAAGCCACACTCTTATTGCAACATATTTTTGTGCAATATATTTAATAAAATTCTAAATTTGATATCTGTTCCTCATTTTTTTCCCATATCTACTGTGAGGAAATTCGACTTGACATTTCTTTCAAAAGACTATTGGTAATTCACAATTACTGCTCTAGCACTTCCCCCTCTGAACTAAAAAATAATAACAGCTGGACTTTATTTAATGCTTACTCTGTGTCAGGAATTTTAGCAAGTGTTATATGCATAATAGCTCATTTAAGCTTCATAACAACCTTTGTTGTAAAGGTATGTATGCTTTGTCATTGTTTTTGTTTTAGGTATAATTCACATAAAATAAATTCACATATTTTAAGTATACAATTTGATAAGTTTTGATGATGTATATTCCTATAAAACCATCACACAATCAAGACAATGAGCATATCCATCACCCCCAAAATGTTTCCTCATGATCTTCTGTAATCCTTCCCTTCCACTCTTTCCTGTTCTCTCACCCTTCCCCATTTCTAAGCAAATACTGATCTGTCACTGCAGTTTACATTTTCCAGAATTTTTAAAAGTGGAATTATACTGTACTCTTTTCTCCAGCTTCTTTAAACAGTGTAATAATTCTGAGTAATCCACGTTGTTGTGTCTATCAATAATTCATTCTTTTTATTGCTTGGTAATATCCCATTGTATGAATATATCATGATTTCTTTAACCACTCACCTGTGACATTTGGCTAGTTTCCAGGTTTTGGCAGTTACACCAATGAAGCTGCTGCAAACATTCACATATAAGCTTTGAATAGGCATATGCTTTCATTTTTCTAACCTAAATATCTGGGAGTAGAGGCACTAGGATACTTGTAGATGTATATTGAACAGTTTAAGAATCTGCCAGTCCTAATATTGCTGTGACAAATTGCCACAAACTGAGCAGCTTTAAACAACACCAATTTGTCTCTTACAGCTCTAGAGGTCAAAAGTCTAAAATCAAGATGTCACCCAGGCTATGTTCTTTCTGGAGGCTTCAGGGGCAAATTCTTTTGCTTTCCTTAACTTCCAACCTGCCTGCATTCCTTAGATCATGGCCCATTCCTCAGGACATTCTAACCTCATACTTCTGTGTTCACATCTCCAGCTACTGGCTCTGATTCTCCTATCTCCCTCTTCTAAGGACCCTTGTGATTGCATTGATGTCACCTGAGTAATTCACGATAATCTCTTTAATTTTCAAAATTTTTCATGTAATCACATCTGCAAATTTCCTTTTACCACATAACAGATTCACAGACTCCAGGGATTAGGATATAAGCCTCTTTGAGGGCCACTATTCAGCTTAGCCCACACTGTCTTCCATAGAGGTTACATCATTTTACATACCCATCAGCAGCATAAGAGAGTTATAGTTCCTCCATATCCTCACCAACATTTGTTATGGTCAGTTACTTTAATTTGCATTTCTCAATAACAAATGATGTTGAACATCTTTTCATATACTTATTTGCTCTCTATAGATCTTCTTAGGTGAAGTGTCATTTGAAATCTTCTTTCCAATTTTCATTGGGTGTTTTTTGATTGTTGGATTTTTAGAGATCTTTAACTATTCTTGATACAAGTCTGTTATCAGCTATGACTTGCAAATATTTTCTGCCAGGCTGTGGCTTGTTTATTTGTTCTCTTACCAGTGTCTTTCAAGAAAGGCTTATAATTTTGATTGTCTGATATATAAATGTATTTTTATAGATTGAGCTTTGAGTGCCATATCTTAAAAATCTCTGCCTAATCTAGGTTTAAAAAGATTTTCTCTATGTTTTTCTAAAAGTTTTATAATTTCAGTTCTTTCATTTAGATCTATAGCCCATTTTGAATCAAGTTTTACATATAGTGTAAGATATAAATCAAAGCTCTTGTTTTGCTTATGAATATCCAACTGTTCCACCACCATTTGTTGAGAAGTCCATCCTTTCTCCACTGAATTGCTTTGGCATCTTTTAAAAAAAAAAATCAGTTATCTCTAAATATGTCTAATTTTGGACTCTTTATTATATTCATCCATTTGTCCATTTGTCCATTCATTTGTCCATACCAATATCACACTGTCTTAGTTAATGTCATTTATAATGTCTATATGTAATTTATAAAGCTGTCTTGGTTATTTTAGATCTTTTGCATTTTCTATTTGAATTTTAAAATTAGCTGGCAATTCACATATAAAAGCCTGTGAGAATTTTTATTGGGATTGCATTAAATCTTTAGATCAATTTGGGGAGAAATGACCTTATAGCAACATTGATTCTTCTGACATATGAACATTGTATATCTCTCCATTGTTGAGTTTTTCCCAGTAATATTTTTTAGATTTCAGTAAACAGATCTTGCTCACCTTTTATCAAATACAGCGGTATTTTCATACTTTTGAAGCTATTTTAAATGATTTTTTTCAATTTCTCATGTTCATTGTTAGTATGTACAAATACAACTGATGTTTGCATACTAATGTATCCTGCCATCTGGCTAACTCAGTTCTTATAGCTTTTTGTAGATTCCATTGGATTCTCTGCATGGAAGATTATATTGTCTATGAATAAAGATGGTTTCCTTTCTTCCTTTCCAAACTGAATGTTTTTAATTTCTTTGCTTAGTGCTTTAAATTTTTTATAATTTCTGATTTATCAGCATCCCACCGATTTCATATGTTGTAATTTCATTTTCATTCAGTTCATAGTACTTTCTTATTTCCCTTTTGAGCTCTCTTTTTTTACATTTTTTCCTACTGACTCATCAAGCTTGATCCCTTTTGATCGTTTCTTTGACCCAATGGGCAATTTAGAAGTGTCTTATTTAGTTTCCAAATATTTGAGGATTTGCCAGAAAATCATTCTGTTATTGATTTCTAATTTAATTTCATTGTAGCCAGAGAACAGACTTTGTAAAACTTTAATTCTTTTTAAATTTATTGAGATACGTTTTGTGGCCCAGAATATGATCTTTGTAAATATTCTATATACACTTGAAAGTAAATATCTATGCTGCTTTTTCGGGTGAAGTTCTGTATAAATACTTCTTAATATGAATTAAGTCATTTGATTGTTTTGTCCAAGTTTCTTATATTTTTACTGATTTTCTGTCTCTTTGTTCTATCAATTGTGGAGAGAATGATCCTGAAATATCTGATTATAACTGTGGATATGTCTATTTGTTCTTGCAGTTCTATCGGTTTTTGATTCCAGTATTTTGATGCTCTGTTATTGAGCGTATGAACATTCAGGAATGTTCTTTTCTTCTGGTAAATTGACATCATTATCAGTATAAAGTACCTTACTTTATCTCAGGATAAAATCTGAAATCTACTTTGTCTATTATTAATATAGCCACCCTAGCTTCCTTTTGACTATTGTCAATATATTTTTTTCTATCCTTTTAGTTTTGACCTTCTTGTGTCTTTACACTTAAGGTGCATTTCTCTTAACCAGCATATATATATAATGTGAAAATATCTGCCTTTTAATTGGGGTGTTTAGTCCATTTACAACTAGTGTTAACTATGGATATGGTTAGATTTAAACTTATCTTGATACTTTTTTCTATTTTTCACATATGATCTATGCTCTCTTGTTTATTTTCTGCCTTATTCTGAATTAACTGAATATTTTTATGATTCCATCTTGTCTCCTTTATTGGCAGTATTAACAATAATAATTTATTATTTTAGTATTTGCTTTACAGTTTATAGTGTACGTCTTTAACATATCACAGATTACCTTCAAGTGATAATATACAACTTACATATACCGTAAGATTGCTTAAACAGTGTAGTTTTATTTTGCCCATTTCAGCCTCTGTGTTATTTTTGTCATACATTTTACTTCTACATATGTCTATTATTTGTCTATTTATGTCAGTTTTCTCTTTGGTTTTCTGCATAATAAATTACCATAAACTTAGAGACTTAATATAACACCCATTTATTATCTCAGACTTCTGTAAGTCTGGAATGACCTCGCTGGATTTTCTGTTCAGGTTCTCACAATGTCGAAATCAAGATATCAGCCAGCTGTATTCTCATCTCGAGTGTGGGTCTTGCTGCAAGCTCATTTCTGTTATTAACAGACTATAGTTCCTTATGGTTTTAGAAATCAAGTTCCCATTTCCTAGCTGACTGTTGACCAGGGTTTACTTTCAGGTCATTGCAGCCACTCTCTGGTCCTTGCACTTGAACCTTTTTATCTACAAACAAATCAATGCACCCAGTCTTTCTTGCGGTATTCAATATTGAGGTATTCAATACCTCTGCCTTCCCCTTCTGATAACAAATGGAGGAAACTCTGTTTAAATGGACTCATATAGTTAGTCAGGTCCACCTGGGTAACCTCCCTATCTTAAACTCAGCTGTGCTGTAGAATACAACATAATCACAGGAATGATATTATCATCAGATTCAATGGTTCTGGGGATTAGGGAATGGAATCTTGGGAAACATTTCTAGAATTCTGCCTACCACCATATGTTTAATACAAACCATACACTACATTGTCATTGTTTTCTTTTAATATTTAATTTTCTTTTAAAATATTTAAATAATAAGAAAAATATCTTATGTATTTACTCATGTAGTTACCATTTCATGTTCTTCATTTCTTGTGTAGATCAATATTTCTATCTGATGTCTTTTTCCTTCTGATTGCACAAATTCCTTTCACATTTCTTGTAGTGTGACTCTGCTAATGATGAATAATTCAGACTTTTGTATGTCTAAAAATGTCCTTATTTTATCCTGTTTCTCAAGGATATTTTCACTGGGTATATAATTCTATGTGACAGTTTTTCTTTTTGGCACTTGAAGATGTTGAGTCACTGTCTCCTCACTTGCGTTGTTTCTGGTGAAAAGTCTCCTCTCATCTTTATATTTGTTCCTCTGTACATAATGTGTCTTCTTTCTCTTCATGCCTGTAAGACTTTCTCTTCATCAATATTTTTATACAGTTTAATAATCTGCTTTATGCAGTTTTCTTCAAATTGCTTGGTTTGGGGTTTCATTGTACTTCTTGGATCTGTGGGTTTATAATTCACTAAATTTGGGAAGCTTACAACATCTTTTTAAAAATACTTTTCTGTATTTTTTAAGGAACTACAGTTACAGCTATATTAAGCTACTTGAAGTTGTTCCACAGCTCACTGATTACACTATTTATTTTTTTGTTCCTTTTTCTCTGTGTTTACTTTTGAATTGTTTCTATTGCTATATCTTCAAGTTCATTATTTTTTTCTGCAATGTCCAATCTGCCATTAATCCCACCCAGTGTCGTCTCAGACATTGTGATTTTCATCTGCATTGGTTTTTGTTTTAGAGATGGAATCTTGCTTTGTCACCCAGGCTGGAGTGCCGTGGCACAATCATCGCTCTCCACTGCCTCAAACTCCTGAGCTCAAGGGACCCTCCCGCCTCAACCTCCCAAAGCACTGGGATTACAGGCATGAGCCACGGCACCTGGCCAGTTTCCATCTCTATAAGTTGGTTTGGGTCTTTTTATGTCTTCCATGTCCCTACTTATCTTATTGAACATACAACATAGTTATAATAACTGTTTAAATGACATAAGTGCTAATTCTCACATCTATACCAGTTCTGGATTGGTTTCAATTGATTGATTTTTTTTTTCATTACAGGTCATAAGTTCCTACTTCTTTGCATACCTGATAATTTTTGATGGGATGTCAGATGTTGTGATTTTACCTGTTGAATGCAGAATATTTTTGAACCTCAAAAAGATTCTTGAGCTTTGTTCTCAGATGCAATTAAAATACTTCAAAACAGTTCGATCCTTTTAGGTCTTGCTTTTAAAATTTGTTAGGCAGGATCAGAGCCATGTTTCATTTAGGGCATTATTGTTCACTGTAAAGGCAAGAACCTTTAAATAGTCTACCCAGCGTCCTGTAAATTATAACATTTTCCAGTCTAGCTAGTGGGATCAGATACTAATCCTGGCCCTGTGTGAATGCTGTGCATTATTCCATCTGTTCCTTTTGAGTGGTTATTTTTCCAGCTCTGGATAATTTCCTCAAATGTAAGTGCTGGTCAAAACTGAAATGAATACTTGACTGGGTCCCTCTGCAACTCTTCAGAGTTCAAATATATGACTTTCATTCTAAGAATTTTCTTGCCCCTGTCTAATACTTTAGCCCTATATAGTTACTAAGCCCTGAAAGCACCTACAGCAGTGTGTACAATAATTGAAACACTAGAGTGCTCTCTCTAAATAGGTGCTATATCACCTTTGCTGTGCTAAAAATGGTTATAGAACTTAAGGGTTTTTTTTAATCTTATACAACATTTTCATATAGCATTATACAGTAAAAATGAACACTACAGATGCATAATTAATTTTCTTGAAGACAGCATGCATTCAGAACTTTCTACAGTGATGATTCATCTTCATGCTGCCTTCTAGCCCACTCAGGTGATCCAAATGACTTTTCTGATGGGGCTTTCCCAGCAGGCACAAAATGAGTAGCTGGGCACATTCAGGGTCCCAGGTATTTTATATTAAATAGAACAGAAGGGTGATTTAGCTTCCTTTTTGGTAAAGTAAATAAATATGAATTAAAAATTTTGGTAAAGTGGTAAATATGAATAAAAAATTCATATTTTAAATGTGAACTTTAAATCACAAAATATAAATGTCCCTTTTAGCTCTGTAGTTTTGGTTTGTTTTATCTTAATTTCTGGTGATATTTTATCAGCATTGGATTGGAATACTACAGCTTTTAGTTCTTCACACTATTGAGCATTTAATGATCTGTGAAGAAACCCTTGAGAAATTAACCTTTATCTGAACAATTCTTTTGTAATCCTTAATATGGTGAGTTATTTCATCTTCTAATTTATCTGTTTACAATTAATATCTCAAAATACTACTATTAAGTGTTTTGTTTAATAATGTAAAAGGGAAAGACTTGCTGTGATGATTATTTTTTGTGTGTTCTGGTGTAGACAGCCTTAGAAATCTTTATGAGAGAGCCCTCTGAAGATCAGTCTTCAGCTGACTCTTGTCTCTTGCATCTTCACCTTCAGCTAAGCCTGTCAATAGTCTCTTCCTTCTCAAAACAAAACAAACACACACAAAAAGGTGAGGGGATCTTCCTCCTTTCTTGAAATGTTGTCCTGGGTCTCTTTACCCTTATCACTACCTTACTGAGTCTCCCCTTACCATCAAATTTTCCAAATACTTTGCAGCCTCCACTCCTTTATTCCCCACACATTCTTAAATCCTTGTAATCTGGTGTTTGCCTTCTACTAATTTACTGAAGCTAGACTATCAGAAGTCATTATCGGATTATGTAGTAACAAGCCAAATTCCCTTTCACCTTTACAGCTCTGCAACATTTAATGTAACAGATGACCCTTTCTTGAAAATCTCCTCTTCTGTTGACATTTATAACACAACACTCTCTTGGTGTTCCTCCTCCATCTACAACCTGATTGCTGCCTACTTATCAGGCTCCCCTTTCTGCTCCTGACCCCCTAAGTTCAGGCTTTCCTAGGGGATAAGCCTTTGGAACCCTTCCCTATTCTTGTTTATACTCTCTCCCTTGACACTCTCATTCAATATCAAGACTTCAACTATGACTTTTAGAAACATGGTTCCCAACCCCTCTATCTCCAGCCCTCCAGTCTCTGCCACATTTTTTATTGCTATGGGAGACATGTTCACCTAGGTTTCCCTATAATGCTTCACCCTCACTCTGTCAATGACTGAATGTAAGACTTTGCCTTACAAATGTATTTTATTCTGTATTCTGCAGTTTATTTTATAACAAATCATATACAGTCGCTCAGGATTAAAGTCTGACTCTGATGCCCAATTCAGCTGATCAGATCTGGATTTTCTATTTAAAACTATCCTCTCCTCTTAATTCCCACTCCCACTATCCTGTTCTCATTACTTCTGTATAGACTGGAGCAATCCACTCCTCCTTTGGTACCTCTCTTTCTCTAAAGCATATTCTCACTTACGCTAATCTAATCTGAAGGTACAGCTCTGATCAAACATGACTTCATAACTTCCTTCTCAAATGCCTTTGACTGCAGAAAAAAGTCACAACTTCTTATTGTATAATATATCCCAGATCTTTTTTCTACCTTTATTTCCTAAAACACTCCATCAAATATCCAAGACCTAAACCAAATTGAACCACTCTCTCGCTCTCTGTTCCCAGAAATTCTAGCACTTCCGTACTCCAGACCCACGGTTGGTTTAAGTGTTTCTTTTTCCTGGAATGCTCTTCTCCATGTCTTTATCCTGTTCTTCATTGAAAACCAGCAAAAATAACACCTCTTTAATTAAACTTTCCTGTTATCCCCAAACCTGGAATCAGCACTCTTAACCCTGTAATGTTTTATATGGGTCATTATTTTTTTAACGATTTACTTTGTACTGCAGCAACTTTTATGTGTCCTGTCTCCCTTGGTAGACTATAATCATTATTCAAATTACTTTTGCATTCTTCATGATGCCTGCATGTTACATGGTAAAAATAATAAATACTTGATGCCGAATTTATCAATCAGTTAATTCATCAAATTTAAATGCTTCTGAAGGGGAAAAATGATATGTGAGATAGATTCCTTAGTTTCTGAAATAACTACAGTACAAGGGAGCCCATAATCAATGCTATGTGGTAGAAGAGATAACAAGTACTCTAAGACAGCCTTACTTAAAATAAGGATGACTGGGGGTAAGAGGTCTTCTAGAAGAATTTTGGTATTTAACATAGGTAGAATATTATAAGCAGAAATGCAAAGGACTACATTCCAAGTTCAATGTGAACAGAGGCACAGAGAGGAACGCGAGTTAAGGTGTACAGAAAACAATGAGTAGAACAGTTGGACCAAAGGAGAGGGTTCATGTCGGGGATACCGAAGGATAAAGCTGGAAGGGCTAGTTGGAGGGAGATCATGTGCTCTCTAGCCCATTGATGGATGGAGCTAGTGGCAACTGCCAGGAAACAATGAACCCTGGGCCCTGATCATCAGCATGATCAGGCTCTCACTTGGCCATGAGGACTATGAGAGCTTTCCTACTGTCACTGTGGGGAAGCACACTATCTTATAATGGTCCGTTCCAGGTATTTTTGTTTCCAGTTTATTTATCCATTTATTTATTCAAACATTCATTAACACCTACTGTATTCCAAACATGGTGCAAGACCCTGATGATTTCAAAATGAATAGCTATGCTTCTGACCCCTGGAGATGCACATGTCAGTAAAATTGCCAGCTTTTAGTTTTTTCCTGACTAAACTCTTATGGAGATGACATGAAATTTTATTTGGAGTACAATCTAAATACTTCTTATGATTCTTCTATGTTTGGTTTTGCTTTAGTTGCTTGTTGGATTTGTCAGCTAAATATATTGTTTTATAAAAGAGAAGGAAGCTAGGCACTTCTATTTTTACTTTAACAAAAGTACATCAAGAAAACTTTCTCCCCACAGAAACAGTAACAGATCTTTGTGATTCAGATATTTAGTTACTATCTTCTCTCTGAAAGAAAATACCAGAATTGTTTTACCTATAGGTATATTCTTCAATTTGTCACTGGTGAAATGCCCTGAAATATTTAGGCCTTGTTTAACCTAGAAATTCTAGCAGTTTTGGAGACAGCAACGCTGTTAAGAATTTTTTTCCTGAACGCAGTTACAGTAAATGATAACTGAAATTTCTTCCCCTATATCCTAACCTAACCCAGAAACTATGAAGTAATCTTCCTGAATTATTTTGTGTCCATCCGAGGAAGAGGAAGAAAAATGGATAAGGGATTTTTCTCTTTTGGATTCTTTGTGTGATCTCAAGGGCTTAAAACATTAATTATACTACTCTCAAATGAAACTGCTGACACCATTCTTTTGATGCCCATCAACTTCCTCTCTCTCTTCATCATTTCCTCTTTAAATGTTGTTTTCTACTAATATCATACTTTCTTTTATATAATAGTTATATTTTTAAAAGGCAGCAGATGAGGCTGCCCAAAGAGCTGACATAGATATCAAGTGGAAAATCAAATGTAGCAGCAATGTAGCAATAGCAAGTTCCGTATTCAATATCCTCTTTCTCCTTAAAAGAACTGATGAAGAATCTTTGAAAAACAACTTCATTGGTTTTAATGACTACTGAAAGGGAGGTGTGTAATAGGGGAATTATACAGAGAGAGGGTAAGGCAATGCCATCTGGATCCTATTGGATGGTTCAGATAGGACAAGGTGATTCTTTGAGAAATAGAGCCAGCAAAAATCCAGGAATTACTGGAGTAAGATTTCTTTCAATTTGGCACACACTCCTAGAGTATTTCTAGAGCACTGTGGTGCTAAGAACTGGAAATCCTGCCTCTTCCTCATCTGAGCCCATAGTGAGAACCTTGTATTTGGGAAAAGATCACAATGGATATGCCTAGTTTGGGTCATGCCAAACAATGGTTGCTCTTCCAGAGTCCCCAAGTAATAAGCTTTTGGCCACTGATACCAAGCTCACTGCCCACTGAGACACAAATGCCTATAGTAACCTACAAGTGCCAATATTAGATTTTCTCCAAGGTACCACATTGCCAGAACTTGAAATTACATGGTGATCTCTGAACAAAATGAACCAAAACAGTGAAAAATTGATATTGTAGTTCATTCTGTTCTAATGAAGATAGTGTCGGTCATGCTATTTCAAGTTCTTAAAAGAAAACTAGGATCAGTTAGGTATAGAACATAAATACTATAGTTCCATAGGACAATAAAAAAGAACAAGGAAAGGACAACATCATCCCTGATATCAATGGAGCTGTAAAAGATGGAAAGTGGATAAAGATGCAGTAACTAACTTAGTGTATGCTAAAGGTATTTAGATTGCATCTTCCTCTAGTGAGTTGAGCAAAGAGACACAGAGGTAGCAGACATAAAAAATAGAAGTGTAAAGCTCGGGCATGAATGAAAGAGTTGGTTTAAAGTATATAGACTATTTAAATGCCATATTCTTTTATCAAACTGAAGAATCTAGGCAATTACCTCCTCTTCATCTCACAGAGTTGAGGAATTTTTGCTGAAAATTTTAACCTGAGAGATCTAGACTTATAACACAGAAGATAAGAAGATCAAGAGCTAACAAAAATATGCATAGTAAACAGTGGGGGTAACCAGCTCCCATTTCACCTTTATGCCAAGAGCCAGGTCTCACCTCTCAGACCAAAGAGTTGATAATTCTTCTCTAGAGAGACTGACCACTTACAAGAGGATCTTACAGACACTGGATCTTGGAATCTCCCAAAAGAAAAGCTGTTCATACCTGATCACCCTTCAGAGGGAGTCACCAGAGTTCCCTTCTCCAATGGAAAATATTCCAATGAGCTTTTTATTGCTTGACTTAAATACGAGTGGGCAACAAGGATCACTAGACACTTAAGCAAAACCTTCATTATGAAGAAACTAAAACAAGCAGAAAAGAAAGAAACATAGGTAAGACAGACAATACAGAAGGCAGAAAAAGATTTTAGAATAAGCATATTAATTTCTCAGAGAGATATAAAAGAAATGAACTCATGATATATGAAAAGTATACTATAAAAGGAACAGTCAGGAAACAAGAAAGAACTTTCTGAAATTACACATTTTAAATTGATATAAATTCAGTAGAATAATTGAACAAGTCAATCAAGAAGCTCTTGAAGGAACAAAAAAGAGATGAACAATAAAAAAGAAAACATAAGAAAATTAGAGAATTAATCTACAAAAAGTAATATCCAATGAAAAGAAATCTAGAAGGAGAAGACAATATTTTAAAATAAGTAATACAGGAAATTTTCTCCAAATTCAATGACATCAAATGCCATATTAAAGCACCACTTCAGCTTAAAATGTAGACACTTCAGCTTAGAATGTAGAAAATCCAAAATGATGTCACTCTCATTCTAACAATAAGAAATGGATAACTTACAAATGATAAAAGAAAAACTTCAACCAAATTAAATTTAAAGGAGTTTAATTGAGCAATGAATGATTCGCAAATCGGGCAGCCCCCAGAATCACAGCCGATTCACAGAGACTCCAGCATAGCCATGTGATGGAAGAAGATTTTTAGACATAAAAAGGGAAATGACATACAGAAGTCGGCAGTGAGGTACGGAAACAGCTGGATAGGTTACAGGTTGGCATTTCCCTTATTTGAACACAGTGTGAACACTTAGCATTCTGTGAGTGGCTGAAGTCTGGCCGCTGAGATTGGCCAAGACTCAGTTATTGTTACAGGCGCATACTCCTGAGTTAGGTTTTCAATCTTGTCTGGCTATTAAGCTAGGTTACAGTTCATCCACAAGGACTCAAATATAGAAGTATGGAGTCTATCTCAGGCAATATTTAGTTTGCTTTAACATAAATGATAGTATTTTTTAAGCCATCAAACAGCTGAGAATGAAAAGGAAGAACCACCACCATCACCACAATGAACTAAGGACTCCAGAACAAGCCCCTCTGGAAATTAAAGCAGCTGAACTGTGATTCATTTACTTCCTTTACCAGGGAGATGCTGCTATAATAGAAAACATTAAAGAAGGTGGGTAATCTAGTCTAATCCTGGTTGACAAAGTAACTAGAATTCCAAGTGAATAGGCTAATTATATTTTATAGGAGAAGGGTCCTTCTCTGTGGAATATTCTTGACATAAGAATATTCTTATCACTAGTTAAGGATTATTACTGACCCATAATATATGGATTTATGAGTCATAGCTCCTTAGAAAATGGCACATAAACCACGGTATAAAATGGAGATGTATCATGATTAAACACTCTCACTATATGAGATAATAACTCAATATTTTACTTAGAGATCCTGTCTACTCTGAACCAAGCACATGTCTCTGATGTAGAGAGGATCTGAGAGCTACCCTCAGCATCTCTGATCTCTTGTGCTTTGTCTGAGCCTCTTTATTACCTGACCTGCATACTTGAAATTAGAAGTAAAACTCAATAGTGGTTACTGTCTCCGATTCTTCAGAACCTGATTAGACAATTTGCTTTATCTCACCCTCCTGGGAAAAAAAAAAGAAAAGAAAGAAACCTGTGGCTGCTTTCATCCTTGCTTGAGCAGAAGGAGAAGCAAGAAGCTACCATTGACATGGGTAAAACACAATAGTTTATTTAACAACTTTTAATAAACTTTTAAGGCTGATGGTTCAGCATCCCTAAGCTTCTCAAAAACAGAGTCTACACCCACCTCCCAGCTTTTATCCATAGGCCTTCCCCATGTGCTTACAAGAAGACTGGGGACAGACCACAGTTTCTGAGATAAAATCCCCTGAGACCCAGGCATAATGGACCCACTGGTATCTGAAGGAAGAATGGAAAATCTACGAGAAATCCTCCAGGCACCCTAGGCCCTCAGGAAGTATGAAGAAGTGGTCACCTGTAGCTGGAATAGGAGCAAAAGAGGTGACAGAGACCCCCATGAGATGCAAGCATGTGAGGCCCACTGAAGTCTGAGGACAGAATGGAAAGACTGAAGGAAACATTCCAGAAACTCTAAACCCTACCCTGAGCACAAGGAGGTAGCAGTCTATAGCTGAGGAAGGAGAGGAGAGCTGAGACAAACCCCCTTGAAAGTTCTGATATGAGGGGTCTGATAGAGTCTGATGCCAGGGCTGGAGATCTGGGAGAGACACTCTGGGCACTCTGAGCCTTACACTGAGTACAAAGGCAGCAGCCAACTGTGGTTGAGGAAAGCAGGATACCTGAGAGAGGCTCCGTGAGGCATGGGCATGTGGGGCCTGCTGAATGCTTAGGGCAAGGTAATATCCAGGCATTTAGAACACAAGTCTGCTAGAGGGAAGAGCCTTATACCATCTTCAATTAATTTGAACCCAGAGGTAAACCGAATACAACTAACACAACCACTAAGTCCAAACCCAGCTCAACTACAAACTAGATTAACACAGTCCCCTAGTGAAACAAAATAAGAGAAATGCATTTTATGGGCAAAAATGTTATGCACTTCAAGATTTACTATTCTTTTACACACACAGTGCAGTATTTAATAAAAAATTATGAGATACACAAAGAAGCAAGGTAATGTGACCTCTCCTTGGGAGAATGTTATGGACTTAATTGTGTCTCCCAAAACTCATATGTTGAGGCCCTAACCACCAGTGTGACTGCACTTGAAGATAGGATTTTTAAGAATGTAATTAAGATTAAATGAGGTCATGAGAATGGGGCCCTAATCTGATAGGATTTGTGTCCCTCTAAGAAGAGGAAGAGATACCAGAGACCTTTCTCTTTCTCTCTCTTTCTTCCTCTCTCTCTCTGCACTTGCACCGAAAAAGTGCCATGTGAGGGCACAGCAAGAAGGTGGCCATCTGCAAGCCAGGAAGAGATGCTTCACCAAAACCCAACCCTGCTAGTACCTTGATCTTAGACTTCCAGCCTCCAGAACTGTGAGAAAATTAATGACTGTTGTTCAAGCCACCCAATCTGTAGTATCTTGTTATAGCAGCCAACATAACTAATACAGAAGATGAAACATCCAATAAAATCAGACTGATATAATTATAATTATAATTATAATCCAGAGGTTACAATTAAACAGGGATTTTTAAATACCTGTAATAAAAAACTGTATTAAAGGAGCTAATGTAAATGATGAACAACATGTATGAAAGATGGGAAATTTCAATATGGAGATGGAAACTATATTTTTAAAGGTTAATGAAAATGCTAGAAATTAAAAGCCCCATTAGCATGTAGGTAGCAGATAAATATATATGTACCAAACAACAAAGCTACTGAATAAAAGAAGCAAAGCTACTGAATAAAAGAAACAAAACTTGGCAGAACTAAAGAGAAAAATTGGGCAAATCTACAAATATAATTAGAGAATTTAACATCCTTGTGTTGACATAGCAAAGCTAGATATGTTTCATAGAATGCCCTTTTGTGTGGTTTTAACTCACTTTTGGTCACAAGAAAAACTGAAGTAAGATTTAGAGAGCAAAAGTGAAGCAGCAGCCATTACACTCTGAATGTTGATGTAGAACACCAAGTGCTGTTGTAACTCACACATATTGTTACTGAGCTGTTGCTTCATCTGGCACACATGGATCCTACAGCAACTCAATCTCCCATTGGATCTGCTCTCTTAACTTCTCTTGAGTCCTGAGCAATGCACATATGCACGTCTATGGTGAAGGGTGACCATTCCTTCTGTAGGTCACTCGTTTCATGAAAAGAATTAAAAGGCTTTTTTCTTCACCTCCTTCTCTGCCTCTTTTCTTAAATTTAGTATTTTTAGTATTCCATTTTACCTCTGGATTTACTTTTTAGTTATGCTTCTTTATGTTAATTAAAAGGAATTAAAGATTCATGTTCTGGTCTATCCTGATGGAGTCCACTTTTTCCTTACAAATTTCAATTTGTAATTTCCTTTCTCTGCTTCAATCTAATTTTTATTTCTTACTACCAGCTCCACTAATCCATATCAAGTTTAGAGCTAGCACCAGGAAGAGAGGAAACAACAGTTCATAGGTTTCTTCACCAGCTCTTAAAATTGCATAAAGTCTCAAAACTGCTCTAAAAAATAAGGTCTGTTTTATAATTGCATAAGGTCTAGTTTTCTTTTTCCATATCACTTACTGTTTCTACTTTTCAGACTGAATCCTAATCAATACAAATTTTCTCTCAATAATTGAAAGAACAAGTAATCAAAAAATCAGCAAAGATACTGGAGAATTTTAAAGACAGTATCAACCACCTTTATGTAACTGACATTGAAAGAACAGTCTACTTAACAACAGCAGACTACATATTCTTCTCAAGTGCTCATGGAACACTCACTAAGCTTGACCATATGCTAGACAGTAAAGCAAAGTCTCAATAAACGTGAAGAGATTAAAATCTAACAGTATGTTCTCTGCCCACATCAGTGTTAAATAAGAAATCAAATATAATAAATGCTTTAAAATCTAAATCTGTTGAAAATTAAGAAAATGCTTCTAAATAAATAATGAGTAAAATAAGAAACGCTAAGAGAAATTTTAAAACATTTGAATTAAATAATAAAAAAACAACATACGTGGGATGTAAATAGTCCGTATGGTGAAACATATTGCTTTCAGCACCTATTTAGAAAAAAAGGAATATATAAAGTCTGTTTCCACCATAAGAAATTAGTTTTTTAAAAGAGCAAATAAAACTCAAAGTGAATAGAAGAAATAAAAATAGAAATACAAATCAATAAAGTTAAAATTTTCAAAATAATGAAAAAGTCAAGGGTTTCTGTTTTTAAGAGTAATAAAATTGATAAATCTTTAGCAAGAGATTAACAAAAAATAAAGAAGAATCTCCAAAAATCAAAAAAAAGAAAGCACATTACTACAGAGTCTATAGATATTAAAAATAATAATAATGGGATGTTTTGACCAACTTTTAACAATAAATTTGACAACTAAGATGAATGCACAAATTTCTTGAAAAACATAACTACAAAACTGACAAAACAAATAATAAAACAAGACAAAGACTTTTTATTTTTTTTATTTTTTATTTTATTATTATTATACTTTAAGTTTAAGGGTACATGTGCACAATGTGCAGGTTTGTTACATATGTATACATGTGCAATGTTGGTGTGCTGCACCCATTAACTCATCATTTAGCATTAGGTATATCTCCTAATGCTATCCCTCCCCTCTCCCCCCACCCCACAACAGTCCCCAGAGTGTGATGTTCCCCTTCCTGTGTCCATGTGTTCTCATTGTTCAATTCCCACCTGTGAGTGGGAACATGCGGTGTTTGGTTTTTTGTCCTTGCGATAGTTTGCTGAGAATGATGGTTTCCAGTTTCATCCATGTCCCTACAAAGGACATGAACTCATCATTTTTTGTGGCTGCATAGTATTCCATGGTGTATATGTGCCACATTTTCTTAATCCAGTCTATCATTGTTGGACATTTGGGTTGGTTCCAAGTCTTTGCTATTGTGAATATTGCTGCAATAAACATACGTGTGCATGTGTCTTTATAGCAGCATGATTTATAGTCCTTTGGGTATATACCCAGTAATGGGATGGCTGGGTCAAATGGTATTTCTAGTTCTAGATCCCTGAGGAATCGCCACACTGACTTCCACAATGGTTGAACTAGTTTACAGTCCCACCAACAGTGTAAAAGTGTTCCTGTTTTTCCACATCCTCTCCAGCACCTGTTGTTTCCTGACTTTTTAATGATTGCCATTCTAACTGGTGTGAGATGGTATCTCATTGTGGTTTCGATTTGCATTTCTCTCATGGTCAGTGATGATAAGCATTTTTTCATGTGTCTTTTGGCTGCATAAATGTCTTCTTTTGAGAAGTGTCTGTTCATATCCTTTTCCCACTTTTTGATGGGGTTGTTTGTTTTTTTCTTGTTGGAAAAAACAAGAATTTGTTGGAGTTCATTGTAGATTCTGGATATTAGCCCTTTGTCAGAGGAGTAGATTGCAAAAATTTTCTCCCACTCTGTAGGTTGCCTGTTCACTCTGATGGTAGTTTCTTTTGCTGTGCAGAAGCTCTGTAGTTTAATGAGATCTCATTTGTCAATTTTATCTTTTGTTGCCATTGCTTTTGGTGTTTTAGACATGAAGTCCTTGCCCATGCCTACATCCTGAATGGTATTGCCTAGGTTTTCTTCTAGGGTTTTTATGGTTTTCGGTCTAACATGTAAGTCTTTAATCCATCTTGAATTGATTTTTGTATAAGGTGTAAGGAAGGGATCCAGTTTCAGCTTTCTACATATGGCTAGCCAGTTTTCCCAGCACCATTTATTAAATAGGGAATCCTTTCCCCATTGCTTGTTTTTCTCAGGTTTGTCAAAGATCAGATAATTGTAGATGTGTGGCACTATTTCTGAGGGCTCTATTCTGCTCCATTGGTCTATATCTCTGTTTTGGTACAAGTACCATGCTGTTTTGCTTACTGTAGCCTTGTAGTATAGTTTAAAGTCAGGTAGCGTGATGCCTCCAGCTTTGTTCTTTTGGCTTAGGATTGACTTGATGATGCGGGCTCTTTTTTGGTTCCATATGAACTTTAAAGTAGTTTTTTCCACTTCTGTGAAGAAAGTCATTGGTAGCCTGATGGGGATGGCATTGAATCTATAAATTACCTTGGGCAGTATGGCCATTTTCACACTATTGACTCTTCCTACCCATGAGCATGGAATGTCCTTCCATTTCTTTGTATCCTCTTTTATTTCATTGAGCAGTGGTTTGTAGTTCTCCTTGAAGAGGTCCTTCACATCCTTTGTAAGTTGGACTCCTAGATATTTTATTCTCTTTGAAACAATTGTGAATGGGAGTTCACTCATGATTTGGCTCTCTGTTTGTCTGTTATTGGTGTATAAGAATGCTTGTGATTTTTGTACATTGATTTTGTATCCTGAGACTTTGCTGAAGTTGCTTATCAGCTTAAGGAGATTTTGGGCTGAGATGATGGGGTTTTCTAGATACACAATCATGTCATCTGCAAACAGGGACAATTTGACTTCCTCTTTTCCTAATTGAATACCTTTTATTTCCTTCTGCTGCCTGATTGCCCTGGCCAGAACTTCTAACACTATGTTGAATAGCAGTGGTGAGAGAGGCATCCCTGTCTTGTGCCAGTTTTCAAAGGGAATGCTTCCGGTTTTTGCCCGTTCAGTATGATATTGGCTGTGGGTTTGTCATAGACAGTTCTTATTATTTTGAGATATGTCCCATCAATACCTAATTTATTGAGAGTTTTTAGCATGAAGGGTTGTTGAATTTGGTCAATGGCCTTTTCTGCATGTATTGAGATAATCATGTGTTTTTTGTCTCTGGTTCTGTTTATATGCTGGATTACATTTATTGATTTGTGTATGTTGAACCAGCCTTGCATCCCAAGGATGAAACCCACTTACCCATGGTGGATAAGTTTTTGATGTGCTCCCGGATTCAGTCTGCCAGTATTTTATTGAGGATTTTTGCATCGATGTTCATCAAGGATATTGGTCTTAAATTCTCTTTTTTGGTTTTGTCTCTGCCAGGCTTTGGTATCAGGATGATGCTGGCCTCATAAAATGAGTTAGGGAGGATTCCCTCTTTTTCTATTGATAGGAATAGTTTCAGAAGGAATGGTACCAGCTCCTCTTTGTACCTCCGGTAGAATTCGGCTGTGAATCCGTCTGGTCCTGGACTTTTTTTGATTGGCAAGCTATTGATTATTGCCTCAACTTCAGAGCCTGTTATTGGTCTATTCAGAGATTCAGCTTCTTCCTGATTTAGTCTTGGGAGGGTGTATGTGTCGAGGAATTTATCCATTTCTTCTAGATTTTCTAGTTTATTTGCATAGAGGTGTTTATAGTATTCTCTGGTGGTAGTTTGTATTTCTGTGGGATCGGTGGTGATATCCCCTTTATCATTTTTTATTGCGTCTATTTGATTCTTCTCTCTTTTTTTCTTTATTAGTCTTACTAGTGGTCTATCAATTTTGTTGATCCAGCTCCTGGATTCAATGATTTTTTGAAGGGTTTTTTGTGTCTCTATTTCCTTCAGTTCTGCTCTGATCTTGGTTATTTCTTGCCTTCTGCTAGCTTTTGAATGTGTTTGCTCTTGCTTTTCTAGTTCTTTTAATTGTGATGTTAGGGTGTCAATTTTAGATCTTTCCTGCTTTCTCTTGTGGGCATTTAGTGCTATAAATTTCCCTCTACACACTGCTTTGAATATGTCCCAGAGATTCTGGTATGTTTTGTCTTTCTCCTTGTTGGTTTCAAAGAACATCTTTATTTCTGCCTTCATTTCATTATGTACCCAGTAGTCAAGATTGCTCATTCAGGAGCAGGTTGTTCAGTTTCCATGTAGTTGAGCGGTTTTGAGTGAGTTTCTTAATCCCGAGTTCTAGTTTGATTGCACTGTGGTCTGAGAAACAGTTTGTTATAATTTCTGTTTTTTACATTTGCTGAGGAGTGCTTTACTTCCAACTATGTGGTCAATTTTGGAATAGGTGTGGTGTGGTGCTGAAAAGAATGTATATTCTGTTGATTTGGGGTGGAGAGTTCTGCAGATGTCTATTAGGTCCACTTGGTGCAGAACCAAGTTCAATTCCTGGATATCCTTGCTAACTTTCTGTCTTGTTGATCTGTCTAATGTTGACAGTGGGGTGTTAAAGTCTCCCATTATTATTTTGTGGGAGTCTAAGTCTCTTTGTAGGTCAGTCAGGACTTGCTTTATGAATCTGGGTCCTCCTGTATTGGGTACGTATATATTTAGGATAGTTAGCTCTTTTTGTTGAATTGATCCCTTTACCATTATGTAATGGCCTTCTTTGTCTCTTTTGATCTTTGTTGGTTTAAAATCTGTTTTCTCAGAGACTAGGATTGCAACCCCTGCCTTTTTTTGTTTTCCATTTGCTTGGTAGATCTTCCTCCATCCCTTTATTTTGAGCCTACGTGGGTCTCTGCATGTGAGATGGGTTTCCTGGATACAGCACACTGATGGGTCTTGACTTTTTAACCAATTTGCCAGTCTGTGTCTTTTAATTGGAGCATTTAGTCCATTTACATTTAAAGTTAATATTGTTATGTGTGAATTTGATCCTGTCATTATGATGTTAGCTGGTTATTTTGCTCATTAGTTCATGTAGTTTCTTCCTAGCCTTGATGGTCTTTACAATTTGACATGTTTTTGCAGTGGCTGGTACCGGTTGTTCCTCTCCATGTTTAGTGCTTCCTTCAGGAGCTCTTTTAGGGCAGGCCTGGTGGTGACAAAATCTCTCAGCATTTGCTTGTCTGTAGAGGATTTTATTTCCCCTTCACTTATGAAGCTTAGTTTGGCTGGATATGAAATTCTGGGTTGAAAATTCTTTTCTTTAAGAATGTTGAATATTGGCCCCCACTCTCTTCTGGCTTGTAGAGTTTCTGCCAAGAGATCCACTGTTAGTCTGATGGGCTTCCCTTGGTGGGTAACCTGACCTTTCTCTCTGGCTGTCCTTAACATTTTTTCCTTCATTTCAACTTTGGTGAATCTGACAATTATGTGTCTTGGAGTTGCTCTCCTCGAGGAGTATCTTTGCGGTGTTCTCTGTATTTCCTGAATTTGAATGTTGGCCTGCCTTGCTAGATTGGGGAAGTTCTCCTGGATAATATCCTGCAGACTGTTTTCCAACTTGGTTCCATTCTCCCCGTCACTTTCAGGTACACCAATCAGACACAGATTTGGTCTTTTCACATAGTCCCATATTTCTTGGAGGCTTTGTTCGTTTCTTTTTATTCTTTTTTCTCTAAACTTCTCTTCTCGCTTCATTTCATTCATTTCCTCTTCCATCACGGATACCCTTTCTTCCAGTTGATCGCATCAGCTACTGAGGCTTCTGCATTTGTCACGTAGCTCTCATGCCTTGGTTTTCAGCTCCATCAGGTCCTTAAGGACTTCTCTGCATTGGTTATTCTAGTTATCCATTCATCTATTTTTTTTAAAGTTTTTAATTTCTTTGCCATTGATTCAAACTTCCTCCTGTAGCTCGTAGTAGTTTGATCGTCTGAAGTCTTCTCTCAACTCGTCAAAGTCATTCTCCATCCAGCTTTGTTCCATTGCTGGTGAGGAGCTGCGTTCCTTTGAAGGAGGAGAGGCACTCTGATTTTTAGAGTTTCCAGCTTTTCTGCTCTATTTTTTCCCCATCTTTGTGGTTTTATCTACCTTTGGTCTTTGACAATGGTGATGTGCAGAAGGGTTTTTGGTGTGGATGTCCTTCCTGTTTGTTAGTTTTCCTTCTAACAGACAGGACCCTCAGCTGCAAGTCTGTTGGAGTTTGCTAGAGGTCCACTCCAGACCCTGTTTGCCTGGGTATCAGCAGCAGTGGCTGCAGAACAGCAGATATTGGTGAACCACAAATGCTGCTGCCTGATCGTTCCTCTGGAAGTTTTGTCTCAGAGGAGTACCTGGCCGTGTGAGGTGTCAGTCCGCCCCTACTGGGGGGTGCCTCCCAGTTAGGCTACTTGGGGGTCAGGGACCTGCTTGAGGAGGCAGTCTACCCGTTCTCAGATCTCAAGCTGTGTTCTGGGAGAACCACTACTCTCTTCAAAGCTGTCAGATAGGGACACTTAAGTCTGCAGAGGTTACTGCTGTCTTTTTGTTTGTCTGTGCCCTGCCCCCAGAAGTGGAGCCTACAAAGGCAGGCAGACCTTCTTGAGCTGTGGTGGGCTCCACCCAGTTCGAGTTTCCAGGCCACTTTGTTTACCTAATCAAGTCTCGGCAATGGCAGGCGCCCCTGCCCCAGCCTCGCTGCTGCCTTGCAGTTTGATCTCAGACTGCTGTGCTAGCAATGAGCGAGACTCCGTGGGCGGAGGACCCTCTGAGCCATGTGCGGGATATAATCTCCCGGTGTGCTGTTTTTTAAGCCCATTGGGAAAGCGCAGTATTAGGGTGGGAGTGACCCGATTTTCCAGGTGCCATCTGTCACCCCTTTCTTTGACTAGGAAAGGGAATTCCCTGACCCCTTGCGCTTTCTGGGTGAGGCGATGCCTCACCCTGCTTCAGCTCATGCACAGTGCGCTGCACCCACTGTCCTGCACCCACTGTCTGGCACACCCCAGTGAGATGAACCTGGCACCTCAGTTGGAAATGCAGAAATCACCCGTCTTCTGTGTCGCTCACGTTGGGAGCTGTAGACCAGAGCTGTTCCTATTCAGCCATCTTGGCTCCTCCCAGCAACAAAGACTTTTTAAAGAGGAAAAAGACACTGGCTAACTTATCTAGATTTTAAAAAACTTAAACATTAGTAAATCAATTAAAGCATTACATTTTTTAAAATGCATCATGATTAAAGGATTTATTCCAAAAAATCAAGTTTGGCTTAACATTATCAGAATGTCCAGACAGGGCACGGTGGCTCACGGCTGTAATCTCAGCACTTTGGGAGGCTGAGGCAGGCGGATCACGAGGTCAGGGGTTCAAGACCAGCCTGGTCTTGAAACCCTGTCTCTACTAAAAATACAAAAATTAGCCAGGTGTGATGGCATGCGCCTGTAATCCCAGCTACTCAGGAGGCTGAGGCAGGAGAATCGCTTGAACCTGGGAGGTGGAGGTTGCAGTGAGCAGTGATCACACCACTGCATTCCAGCCTGGGCGACAGAGTGAGACTCTGTCTCAAAAAAAAAAAAGAATGTCCAATGTATCGCACTAAATTATAGATTAAAGGAGAAAAATTATATTATCAAGAAAAAGCAAAATATTAACCAAACACAAAAATCTGTTCATGATTGAAAAGAAGGAAAAAACCTTTCCACAAACTAGGAATAGAATGGACATTCTACAATCTAATAAAGACATCTATGCCTTTATTAGGCATAATGCATAATTAGGCATTAAGAAAACAAAAAGCTTGTGTTTTCTTAATGGCAAAATATTAAATGTTTTCTCCCTAAAATTGGGAACAGGGTAAAAATGTCTGCTTTTATTGTTTTTATTCAACATTATGTTTGGGTTTCAGCTTCCTTGAGCAGGGAGCTTGCTCTTGAGAGAAGTGACTTCAGCTGAGGCATTTCCCGCAGTGTGGACTGAAAGCTGAGGGTTATTTGCTGGCAGTACTCCCAGAACTTGGTAAGAGCTTCACTCCTGAGGGAGAATTTAAGTGCCTCATTACTGTGTCCATTACATATTTTGTTTCTGAATCCTCTACATGACCTGTTAAACACAATTATAAAATGAAAAAAATACCCAGAAACAGTGCTAAGAAAGCCCCTCAATAGAAACTGTGGGCAAATGTCCTTTGTAGCTCATGAAGAAGGTTGTCCCCATCAGAGGGAAAAAAATATGGCTGCTGAGTTTTAGAACATTTATTTAAAGATAGAGTTTTGTCTATTTACTTCTATCAGAAATTATCAGTGTGTCTATGACTCAAACTTCCTCTAAGTTTTTATGTTCATATATTCATATTCTTTGAGTCATTTGTTCAACAGTAAAATCATCTATAAAGTTAGTCTAATCCCAGCAAAATTTCCACCACAGCTTTCTTTTTTGGAACTTTTCAAACTAATCTCAAAGTGTTTGTGGAATAAAAAATTTGCAAAAATAACCAAAAACCTTTTTTAGAAAGAAATATATAAATGGTGTGGGGAAACATGCCTTACCAGGTATCAAAGCATAAAATAATGTTACAGGAATTCAAGAAGTATATATCTGCCCTAAATTTAGCAAAAAGATGAGTGGACCAATATAGAAATTACAAATAAGACTTATGAATATAAGAATTAACATTTTTGACAAGTAGTAAAATGAAGGAATGTTCCATAAATGTTACTAAAATATATCTAATAAATGCATTATTTTCCGACTCTATCAAAATTAAAAGTTCACAAACACTTCACATTTACCTAGAATGGATAACAGTGGATATTGACTATATACATTTACCGGATCACCTAGGCATCCATCAGAGCAACAGAGGGTAGAGGATAAATCCTACAAATATTCAGGGGCCTGTCACATCAATAAATTTTTTAGGGGGCTAGTGGCCTGAAGTATGCCATGATGTTACCTCCGAAGTAGAGGACAGATTCTTGTACTTTGCACCTCCCACCAAGAAGGAATACAACCCTTAATAGACTTGTTCAAGTTCTGGAGATAGTGTATTGCATATCTAAGATATTGGTTCTACCCATTCACTAGGATACATGAAAGGCTTCCAGCTTTGAGTAGGACCTCGAGCAGAGAAAAGCTATGAAATAGGACTAGATTCTGGTACAAGTGGCCCTGCTTTTTAAATTATATAACCAGTAGTCATTATTGCATTAGAGACATCATTAGTGGGGAAAGATGTTGTGCAAAGTTTATGACAAACACTAATGAGAGAGCAAGATTATGCTCCCTGCAGTGGAGAATTACTCAGCTTACAAATGACAGATTCTGCTGTTCCACTGAACTCTAGTAGAGATGAATAGCTTGTTCGTGGGACATTAAGTGGACAAGTGGCCAGAACTACTGATCATGAGCTGTCAGATCCACAAAATCATAAGGTCAGATGGAACCAGAAGCAGGCCATTAAAATGTGCAAGTGCCACATCTGGGATTTAGCATGAACAAAGCCAGAGAGTTCAAAAAGGACACATGAGCAGCTAGCCTAGATCTGCATGTCATTGTCATCCACCACTACTGCACCAACTCATATATGTGGTCACATAGCAATTACCATGTGACTAGCTCACTATGATCATTTTATGTGTCAACTTGACTGGGCCATGGGATGCACAGATATTTGGTCAAAGAGCATTCTGAGTCTTTTCATAAGGATGTTTTGGGATGAGATTGATATTTAAATCAATAGATTAAGTAAAGCAGATGATCCTCCACAATGTAAGTGAGCCTCATCCAATCAGCTGACAGCCTCAGTAGAAAAAGACTGACCTCTTCCAAGAAAGAATTCTCCTGCCTGACAGCCTTCTAACTGAGACATGAGCTCTGCAGATTTTGGACTTGCCAGTCTTCAAAATCGTCAGTTGATTCCTTATAACCAATATCTTAAGATAAATATAAATCTTTTAGGAAATAGGTAAATAGATTAGATAGGTAGATAGATAGATAGATGATAGATAGATAGATAGATAGATAGATAGATAGATAGATAGATAGAAAATAGATAATAGATAGATAGAGATAATTAATTCAGCTTCTCTGCAGAATGCTGACTAGTAACAGATTTTGGTTCTGAAAGTGGTTCCAGAGGAACAGAATCTGCAGGATGAATTTTCTGAATTGGTTCTAGAGTTTCTGAAATTGGCTCTCTAATCTGGCTAGTTTTAAAGATACGAGTGACTCTATTTCCAGTAGTAAAAATAGCATTGGTAGTCCCTAGCGTGATCTGGACTATCACGAATAATAGAGGTACACAAAATATTACCACTGAATACTCCCAACCAAACACTTATAAGAAGCAAGCATCTAGTGACCATGTATATAATATTTTTGAGCATTGTTGTCAAACTAACAAGTATAATGAGATTGCCTGGTTGTTCCTTGTCACTGAACAAAATGGAGAAAGAAAAGGATGAGCTCAAGCATTAAAGTTTTTTGCATAAAAATGACATGAAAACTTCTATATCTGCCCTAAGACATTTATCTCCTGTAGCTGCAGAACTGACGTAACTGAAACCATACCCAAGCTCTGTATCCTGTGACTGAATTACAATGCAAATTACTTTCCCAGCCTATCATGTATTGTTTTCCTTCTTGATAGGAAGTACATAGTACAATAATCTGCCCTTTATTTTGGAAGTAATGTCCTGGCATGCTCCAGGCCACTAAACTCCTAAACATTTTATTGATGTGATAGGACGCTGAATATTTGTAGGATTTGTCTCCTATTCTCTGATGTTCTGAGGAATGTCCAGGTGATGAAGGTAAATATATATAATCAATATCCACTGTTATCCATTCTAGGTAAAGATGAAGTATTTGTGATTCTTCATTTTGCTACTCATTAAAAGTATTACTCATTCATATATGCATGAGTCTGATGTGGAATCTCTATTTTGGTCCACTCATCTATTTGCTTATCTGGAAGCCATAGACATACTTGTTTTGGGTGTTTTGTTTTTTTTGGTTTTTTTGTTTTGTTTTTTAAGAGACATGTTCTTTTTATGTTAACCAGACTGGACTCAAACATCTGGCCTCAAGTGATCCTCCTGCTTTGGCCTCCTAAAGTGTTGAGATTACAGACATGAATCACCGCACTCAGCCTGAGACATACTTCTTTAATTCCTGTAACATTATTTTATGCTTTGATACCTGGTAAGCCATATTTGTCAACACCATTTATATATCTCTTTTTTAAAAAGTTTATTTGGTTATTCTGTCCACTGATAGAATGAAGGTATCGATTAGGAAAGAACGGGATCCTGAATTTGCAATGGGAATATGTGGGAAGAACCTAATGGAGCGAGGGACAAAAATCCTCCAAATTCTGATGAGTCTTCTTTGCCAGTAGAAGCATCCTCTCCACCCTCATCTATAGGGATTAACCCTGCATTGTCTGAGGAAAAGGTAATGGCCTCCTCTGAGTCCATTGCCTAACAAGGCAATGCCGATTCTCCTCAGGACTTATCCCCAAAACCCCTTTGAATTTTAGACTTACACCTAGACTCAAGTCTCAGCAGGACCCTAATGGTGAGGTACAAAGTGTGACCCTTGAGGTGTGCTACACTCCAAAATAACTACTTGAGTTTTCTAATTTGTACAAACAGAAATCTGGGGAATATATGTGGGAATGGATATTAAGGGTGTGGTATAATGGTGGAAGGAACATAAAGTTGGATGAGGCTAAATTTATTGATATGAGCCCACTAAGCAGAGATTCTGCACTTAATGTTGCAGCTCAGGGAAATAGAAAGGGCTCTAACAGTTTGTGTGGTTGGCTAAAACATGGACCAAAAGGTGGCCCACAGTGTGTTAGAAATGCTGGACTTGCCTTGGTTTAATGTAGAGAAAGGGATTCAAAGGCCCAGAAAGATTGGAATTTTGGAGTAAATTTGTCATTTAAGGTCTACTCACCCACCCTGGCAGGGTCCAGAAGACATAACTTTCACCACAACTGTGAGAAATACATTTTTGAGAGGAGCTCTAACATTTGAAGAGCTGTACAATCACTCTTCTCTGTAGACCAGATCCTGCAATGGGAACTGCAGCCCCTGAATTGGGAAATCTAAATACAACAGTAGTAATTGGATCCCAGGGTGGCAGAAGCCAAGCGGCAGCCCTCAGTAACCACCAAAGGCAAGGTGAGTGTGGTCACCATGATGAAGAGCAGAGTCAAAGCAGTAATCATCCTGTGTGATTGACTAAATGATCATGGTGTTCCTACAAGCTAAAGAGATAAGAAGCCTACTAAATTCTTACTTCATCTATGTAAGCAGAAAAGATCTAGGTCAAGTGAACCGAATTCTAAAGTGAATCAAAAAAACAAAGGAGGCACAGGCCCTCAATTAACCTTCTGATGAGCCAATTTACAGATCAAGGCCCCCTTGAATAAAGGGGAAGCTGGTTCCCCTTGAGGAAGGACATAGCACACTGCCAAATATTTAGACTGTTAATCTTTCTCCCAAAGAGATCTATAGTCTTTTACAAAGGTAAGTATGTACTGAGGGGAGGGGGAAATCAGACCTTTCAGGGACTACTGGACACTGGCTCTGAACTGACACTAATTCCAGGACACTTCAAACATCACTGTGTTTCATCAGTCAGAGAAGGGGCTTATGGCGGTCTGCTAATCAATGGAGTTTTAACTCATGTCTATATCACAGTGGCCTGGTATGCCCCTGAACCTATCCTGTAGTTATTTTCCCAGTTCCAGAATGTATAATTGGAGTAGATATACTCATCAGGTGACAGCCTCCCCACATTGGTTCATTGACCTATGGTGTAAGGGCTACTACAGTAGAAAGGGACAGATGGAAGCAACTAAAACTGCCTCTATCTAAGAAAATAGTAACCAAAAGCAATACCACATTCCTGGAGGGATTGCAGAGATCAGTCCACCATTAAGGACTTGAAAGATTCAGGGGTGGTGATTCCCACCATATCCTCATTCAACTCACCTATTTGGCCTTTGTAAAAGACAGATGAATGACAGATCATTGTGAGATTAGTACAGTGACTCTAACTACAGCTGCTATACCAGGTGTGGTTTCATAACTTGAACACACCAACACATCCCCTGACACCTTGTATTTTCCTGGTATTTCTTGATACCCATTAGTAAAGACCACCAGAAGCAGTATGCTTTCAGCTGGCAGAGCCTGCAGTACATCTTCACTGTCCCACCTCACGGATATATCAACTCTTCTTCCCTATATCATAATTTCATTTGCAGGAATCTTTTTTTTTTTTTCCTTTTCAGACCAGAGTCTCACCCTGTCACCCAGGCTGGAGTACAGTGGTGCAACCTTGGCTCACTGCAACCTCCACTTCCCAGGTTCAAGCAATTGTTGTGCCTCAGCCTCCCAAGTAGCTGGGATTACAGATGTGCACCACCACACCCAGCTAATTTCCTGTATTTTTAGTAGAGGCAGGTTTTCACTGTATTGGCCAGGCTGATCTTGAACTCCTGGCCTCAAGTGATCAGCCCGCCTTGGCCTCCCAAAATGCTGTGATTACAGGCATGAATGACCATGCCCAGCTGTTTGCAAGATTCTTAATCACTCTTCTCTTCCACTCTTCCCTTCCCTTTTATTTCACTGACCAAACACATTGATGACTTTATGCTAATGGGGTCTAGCGACCAAGAAGTAGCTACAACTCTAGATATCTTGGTAAGACATTTGAGTGTCAGAGGGAGGGAAATAAATCCAAGAAAAATTCAGGTATCTACCTCAGTGAAGTTTCTAGGGTTCCAGTGGTGTGTGGCAAGTTGAGATAGCCCTTCTAAGGTGAAGGGTATGTTGTTGCAACTGGACCCTTGTATGACCGGAAAGGTGACAAAACAACTAGTGAGCCTCTTTGAATTCGAAGGCAACATATTTTTCTTTTGACTGTGTTACTCTGGCTCATTTGCTGAGTGACCCAAAAAAGCAGCCAGTTTGAAAAGGGCTCAGAACAAGAGAAAGCTCTACAACAGGTCCAGGCTGCCATGCAAGCTGCTCTGGCACTTTAACCATAAGATCCAGCAGATCAAATTGTGCTTGAAGTGTCAGTGACAGATAGGAATGCTGTTTAAAGCCTTTTGCAAGCACCTGCAGCACAAGCCCTTAGGATTTTGGAGCAAAGACCTGCCCATCCCCTGTGGATGACTACTCCTCTTTTGAGAAACAGCTCCTAGCCTGCTACTGGGCCTTGGTGGAGACAGGATGCTTATGAGCCACCAACTTACCATGCAATCTGAGCTCCCCATTACAAACTAGATATTATCTCGCCTACCAAGCCATAAAGTTGGGTGTGCACAGCAGTACTCCATCATCAAATGGAAGTAATATAAGTGATGGAGCCCAAGAAGACCCTGAAGGCATAAGTAAATTACATAAAGAAGTGACCCAAATGCCCGTGGCTCCCACTTCTGCTATGCTAACTTCTCTCTCCCAGACTGCACCTAGGGCCTCATGGGGAGTTCCCTATGATCAACTGACAGAAGACCAGAAGACTTGGGCCTGGTTTGCAGATGGTTCTACATGACATGCAGGCACTACTCGAAAGTGGATGGCTACAGTACAACAGGCCCTCTTTGGAACATTCCTGGAGGAAAGTAGTGAAAGGAAATTTTCCCAGGGGGCAGAAATCTGAGCAGTGCACCTGACTGTTCATTGCTTGGAAGGAGAAATAGCCAAATAGTTGATTATATACCAGTTCAAGGGCTGTGACCTATGGTTTGGCTAGATGGCCAGGAACCTAGAAGTAATGTGATTGGAAAATTGTCTTCCCACATAAGCTACCATGATCCCGTAAAGAATCATGCTTGCTTTTGCACCAATGATTCCCCCAACAACCGAAGTAATATCTGATGCATGTTCGGTACTCAAAGAAATATGTGTGAACATCATGAATCAGTTAATGGACAAACCCACTCTAATCTGGCTTCCTTCCAAATCATGCACATGAAACTGTTGCATGTTTCCAAATCCAATAGACACATTTCTCTATACATGTTATTCCATTTCCCAATTAGTCCACAATTCACTCTTTGAAACTCTCCTCTTTTGGCTTTCATGAGACCACTCTTTCCAGATTTTTCCCTGGTTCCACTGTGTTTTCTTTTATTAGATACTCTTTATAGGCTCCTCATTGTCTCGATATGATTACATTTTGAGTGGCCCAGAGATGGATCCTGGGCATTCACTCTCCTTAGGCAACCCATGCAATCTATGCCAGGCTTGACATGTTGCTTCAGTATAGAAACTGCCATGAACAAATCAGTTAGAGGGTGGGGACGATTTCTGACTTTTCCATTTCAAATGAAATTTCTGGTTAGATACTTGAGACTTCAGAATAGATGAAATGATTTATTCATGTGCAAGGTGGAATACTGGGAAACCCCATATCAAGTTCATAGTCTTGCCTTAGGGGCTTTGTGATATTCTCAAGCTGTAGTTGCCTGCCCTCCTAGCCTGAATATTGTACTTTTTCTCTGCCCAGTCTTGCCACCTAGTCTTCCTCTGATCTGTCACTTGCCCACTCCCAGTGCCTTTGTTCTCACACTACACCCTCTTTGTACCTCCTATCTGCAAAATCTATTATGTACTTTCTGCAGGCACACACAGGCAGTGTACAGCAACAAGGTAATCATGCGTGAGAAACAGAAGCGCAATTAACATCTGCACATTTTATCATATGGCCACAAATCACCTCCCTGAATGGACTCAACTCGCATTTTTTCTGTCATTCATTCACCACTTCTGCATGCTCCCCTGCAGTAGCCACAGTGCCCTTTATTCAGAGGTTAGCCAAAGAAACCAGACTTGCCTCTGTGATGTACCATGACAGCAATGAAAAAGGAAGACCAACAGAAAACAAATGAGCTATAGTACATCCATTTCTCACACTCTCTTTCTGGCCAATTTAAACACTGCTGGATCTATAAATCAGGACCACATTTTGTAAAGTATATCATCTTAAAACACAGGGAAAAAAATTAAAGGCCAACCCTCCAGACAAAAATATTCAACTAGATGTTTACAGGCAGAGGATTCCACAGGTTTAAGACTCCCAGACATTTTTTCTTGGTAACAGATGTATTTTTCCCTATGCCTAATACCATCTCTCTATTAGTATAGTTAACAAGTGAAGGCAGGAAGAAATAAAAAGACTCTTGAGTAATTAATCTAGTTATTCTTTGTCTAGGTACCTGCCTGAGTAGATGTATCTCTCATAATTAGGAAGCTGATGACTTGGTGAGATGTGCCTTCGCCAATTTAATCAGCTAACACCCTTAGGATTTACAATCTAGAAAATAATGGGTAGTAATTTTTAAATGACCTAAATTATTATTTTATTTACTGCACCATTCCTGTTCATGTTTGTTGCAACTTATTCTGAACCACCTCAGCAGAAAGAAATGTAAATTATTTGCAAGTTCTGCTTGTGTCTAGCTCAGCTCCTGAAAACAAGGATATATAGCTCAGGGAGCTGACTTATGCCCTTCCTCCTACTTTAGCACTTAGTACAGAGAAGGACTGTTTTATGATCTGTTTTTCCAGATGGATAATGCAGGGCCAAGCTGCACCATGTTCCTAAGAGAAAGCCAAGAACATAAGTCACACAAGCCCTCAGGAAGAGAAGGAAAGAATGAGTGACAGTAGACCGCAGATGTGAGCAAATTCATGGAGGATGGAAACTGAATGAGGGAATGGTGGCTGGCTTAACTTAACAGAGGAAAGTGCATTCTAAATACCTATCATAAAAGCAACAAAGAGAATAAGCCTATCCACTCCACACTTTGGAACTGCCTGTTTAAAAGTTGATCCCCGGACCCCACCAAGTCTACAAGCTCCACCTCAAGGACAGAATGGAAACTGTATTCATCGAGGGGCTTTTAATTGACAAATAAAAATTGTATATATTTATCCATGTATAATATGAAGGTTTGAAATATGTATACACTGGGGAATGGCTAAATCAAGCTAACTAACATCTGCATTACCTCACATACTTATTTTTTGTGGTGAGAACACTTAAAATCTACTCTCTTAGTAATTTTCAAGAGTACAATATATTGTTATTAACTATAGTCACAATGTTGTCTAGCAGACCCTTCTCAGAATCTAACAAAATGTTTGGCTAGTAATAGGGGCTCAAAAAGTATTTGTGAGTGAAAAGAGTGAATATATTAATTAATTTGTTAATGTATTCACTGGCAGGTGTATTTACCTAATTCAGTCTTTAAAATAATGTTCTATATTCCAAGTTTTCCTTAGGGAGTTAACCCAATATTATAGCTTGATTGTTTACACAAGACCCATAAAACAAACTATAATAGCAATAGTCAACAAAGAGATGATATTGGCATAATATAATGCTATATTGGTTTTATTGTGCTGCCATAACAAATTACCAAAAATTTAGTATCTTAAAACAACACAAAGTTATTGTCTTATGGTTCTATAATTCTATATAATTCTATAATGTCTTATGGTTCTATAATATAAGGTCAGAAATTCAAATATGAGTCTCACTGCACTAAAGTTAAGATGTCAGTAGGAAGCCAGATGTGGTGGCACATGCCTATAATCCCAGCACTTTGGGAAGCCAAGGCGGGAGGAGTGCTTGAGCTCAAGAGTTCAAGACCAGCCTGTGCAACATAGTGAGACCTCAATGCTACTAAAAATAAAAAATAAAAACAAAGATGTCAACAGGGCTGAGCTCCTTTCTGGAGGCTCTGGAGAGAATGTTCCCTTGCTTTTTCCACCTTCCAAAAGCCACCCACCTTCCTTGGCTCCTGGCCCTTCCCTCCATCTTCAAAGTCAAAAACAACTGGTCAAGCCCTTCTTACAGTGCATCTCCCTGAGCCTGTTTTCATCATCACATCTCTCTCTGACCCAGCTAAAAAAGGTTCTTCTCCTTTAAGGACTCATGTGATTAGCTTGGACCCAACCAGATAATCCAAGGTAATCTCCTCATTCCAAGGTCCTTAACCTCAATCACATTTTCAAAGTTCTTTTGATGTGTAAGATGACATATTCACAGATTCCAGGGATTAGGACCTGGACATCTTTTGGGAACTTCATCAATGGGACTAGACTTCCAGTCCAGAACCATTGTGTTGTACCAGGTAAATGTCCTTGTCACCTCTTGGAAAGGTCCGGTTCCCCTGTAGCAATTTCAGTGTCAGTCACGCTGATCTTGGGAGGGAAATTCTCCCACAGCTAAATCATCAAATATCACCTCAGGGTAAGCCCCCAAATATTCCCCTCATAACAAGGCTTAATCTGTCTTCAATCATAATCACCTAACGGATTCTTTCATCCAGATGTGTCAAGCTGACCCATTTTTCTCAAAGAGGTAAAGAAACTAACCATGTAGAACAATACACCTGCTAAAACACACTGAAAATGAAAAAAAAAAAAAGAAAAATGTAAATTAGCTTTCAGAAGAAATCCTTTCAATTCATGCTTCATTGGAATGGTATCTTTCCACTACTAAAGGTCATTTATCAATCCAGTTTTTTTATAAAGGTTTTCTTTTCAGTTTGGTGATGGTTATTTTTCTCACTTCTGCCCTTGGCTTTTCTCTTATCCCACCATGCAGAAGGAGCTGGTGGGCTTTTATTGTTCTGTCTTCCACCATTATTGGAGAATATTACTCTCAATCCCAACATTCCTGGGAGTAAATTCGTCTTCCCTCACAACCTGGTCTTCCTTGCCTTCTATATCTCCACAGCTCCTGCTGCTGTAGGATTGTATTCAGACAAGCCCTGGTTGGTTGAGTTATTGTTACTGTTCCAACATCATGACACCTGCAGTCAAAAGAGGGCCCAAGACATTTATTAATGTGCACCTCTGAAGAAATAGCACCAGAGTGTTTTTCAAATGCCTATAAGCTTTACTTGAGAATTGACTGTTTATTCCAAACTAAGGTTCTTTCTTTGATTCTTCAAGGTTTGAGAGATCATGTTAGAGCTCACGTTAGATTGCTCCATGACACATTGTTCTTATCTAGGATATGCTGCTGCTCAACCTTCTATGAAACTGAGTTTTGAGCAGCTGTAAACAATTAAGGGGACATTTCCAGGGAGAAGGGGGATGTGTAATTCCAGAATAAAACTTAAATCACTCTATTTGTTATACTAATTTTCCCAGGTAAACAGTATTATGAAATACTGCCAGTTGGAAATTTTCATTTCCCAGCATTGAGAAACATTCAAAATATGGGAGAAATCCTCCTACTAGGAAGTTTATTAACAAAGTTTTATTAAGATGTTTAAATAAAATTCCAAATTATCACATAAGTCAAACATTAAGTGACGGTTTACAAGTAGATGTTAAAATTTCCTGGGTAACCTTAGTGCTAAAACTAGTGACTCATTCTTCCTTTCTCTGACAGACACACAAGATCTGGGTCCTCTCAGCTTTCCCGAGACATTGCTGCAAATTATATATTCGGTCCTCTCCCACACTCAGCCACATTCTTCACTGGGTAGCTGTCCCATTCTTTCCATAGAACACCCTCTGGCACTCCATATACTAGACCTTGGAAGTGGCCAGGAAAACCTCCCTCGAGCCCCTCAGCTGCACACTAACTTTCCTCTCCACTAACAGTGACTCTGGCTTCAGTTGCATAGGTTTTGATCTTTTCCCTTCCCAGATACTAGAAGGGCATGGGTCACCTACTGATTTTTGCTTACCATGCTTCCTTTCCACTGGAGGCCCTCATCACCTACATTCCTTTCATTGTAACCATCAGAAAGGCAATTTATTCATAATTTCTTTCACTGGTGGTCACAGTTTTGTTTCTCCTCCTCCACCATCCTGCCCAATAATATGTAATTCTATGCTTTCATCAGTGACTTTCTATCCTGTTTCAATATTTTTTTGATCCACAGTCTCATTTTCCTATTACACCTCCTACATTCATGGCTGTGAGCTTACGCAGGTATTATGGTAGCATCACATAGCAAATAATGATAGGCACAAAATCCATGCTGAAAAATAGAAAGTTTTAGTTGCTGTAATTGCTGCTGGTTATGCAGAAGGGTAGGCACACAGAAGACTATTTACCTTTACTTCTAAGCAACAACTAGAGCATCTCTAGAGTCAATCAATGTCTTATCTTACTCTTAACTGGCTTGCAATAACAAGACAATATTTCAAATAGTGAATAAGGCAGCTCCTTTTTAGGTCCACTG
This sequence comes from Homo sapiens, assembly GCF_000001405.40. Lineage (NCBI taxonomy): Eukaryota > Metazoa > Chordata > Mammalia > Primates > Hominidae > Homo > Homo sapiens. Next base: position 101,995,091 of record NC_000003.12, on the reverse strand, counting down.
AAATATGGATCTAAAAAGCTATAAAGCTCATTAATTAATCACAATTATCTTCACCTTTTCTATTCATGCAGCGATTCCTTGTTTGAAGGCTTTATCATGTGTCATAAAACCAAAGCCAATTTAAAAATAAAAGCACGTTGTTCATTACTATATAATTTCTAGGAAATACGTGATTGATAACCTATAGTACTTACCACTGTGCCTAACACAGAGTGAGCTTCTCAATAAATGGCTATTGAATGGATGGATGAGTTAATGTGGGAAGAAGGTAATAAAACTTATTTCCATATACTGCACATGACAGTTCATCCATTACTTCAAAGTCAGAACATATATGCTGTTTCTTGAATGAATGCCCAGCATTTTGAAAAGAAGTAGATAACTGAATGTAGATCAAGGTAAAATCCAGCAGTGATGACACACCTCCATGCCATTTGGCTCCATTTTTCGTCTGCCTGTCACAGCTCCCAACCATCGTGTCAGAACTCATTCTGTCTTCCTTATTGAAACTATTATTCATAGTCAAGGTATCTGCAACAAAAAACAAACAGGGAAATCAAATGTTTTGCATTCATTCCTCTTGGAGACAGCTCACAAGTCAATCTTTCTACTTTCACCTCCGCAAACTCTTTACCAATCAGCACCTCTCCCACTGTGCCTTAGAAAATCTTTTCCCACCCTGATTTGGAGAAATACAAATCTCAATGTTGAATGGAATACCAAAGGGCAAAATAAATACAGCTCTGATTCTGTATGGGGTGGCATCGTACTTTTTTTGGCTTCATAAATTCTCTCAACTGCAGAGAAGAAGCAGAACCAAAGCTGAGATTCACAGACTTGAAATTCTCTGTCTTAACTCAGGTATTGACCCTGTTTTAGAGAGGAAAGTCCAGAAGCTTTGGTCAATTTGTCATCATTTGCATTCTTGGGAGAATGGGGGAATCCATTTGGCATAGGCATCCAGGGACTTGAACCTTCTCTGTGGAAATGTGGTGGGTATAGTTTGGGCCAGAATCCCAGGTTCAAACAAGTAAGTCTTACTTTTAGATTCGAAATCTTCCTGTTTATAACAGTAATAAGAAATGATAGGGATGAGTGACAATATCATATTATATGACCCCCCTCCTTACTTGAAACTGTGTCTGGGTTAGACCTAATCTAGATTTTTAGATGCCTGCAATAGGTTATGCGGAGCCGGTTTTTATAACATTGATTCCACAATGCTAATTGCTTCACCAAGCATCATAAGGATAAGGCCACTTGCTTGCTTCTTTCTCAATCAACAACATGCAACAAGAATGCCCCTGTCCTGTCCTCCAACTAAACTATGTACTCTAATAATGTAAGAAAGATACATAAACATCTCCTAAAAAAGGTCAGATGAGATAAAGACAGTTTGTTTCAGTTTAGCTAGAGTCACCATCAGTTTTAACTCATCTAAGGACTAAAAACCAGAATGCTTTTACAGCCTTTCATCAACAGCAAAGAACAATTTAGTCTGAAGAGACACAATTTACAGATTGTTAACTGCAGTTTCACATAATCTTTTTGAAAATTTGCAAGATTGTAGCGGAAAAAAAGTAAATAGCCCTATGATTAAAGTTACATTGCCAGTGTTTGATTCTAAAGGGACCAATGTTCAAAAGCTGCTATGGATCCCATGCTGGAAGGTGAGGTACTCAATGTACAAAGCACTTGCCTCTCCCCTCATCTCACCACCATCACTAACATACCCAGGATTATGGGTTGGCCTCTGTGGCTATGAGCAAGCCACCAGCCCAACTGCTGCCATGTTCTCTTCTGCAAAGGAACTATCCACAGAGACTAGCACTCAGTGTACTTCAAAAATGAAAGGATAAACTTAGCCTTAGGACGCCTATCCACATGCCAGGCTGGGAACACCCACATGTAAATCATGCTTCCAAATCAGCATTTCACTCCAGTGCCTGCATGCCCTTTAATTGTTCCTGACTTCTATCCTTCAAATCTGGTGCAGCCTCCTATGCCTGTGGGTGGTAGAGTTTTTCTGTCTCTGCCACAGCCAGAGCCTCTCAGAACATTAGACCAAATCTGGCCAGTGGGTTATTGTTCATGGAAAACAACTATGCGTCTCTGAAGACAAAAACCACAAGCTATTTTCTAATCACTGAATAAATTGAGGAAAAGTAACAGCCTCTCCTAGATAAATGCAATTCATCTCCCTAACAGCTCTGGGAAATGCTCCATCTCTGTGCAGAACTCAGTCTTTACATGCCACACAGTATGTGATAACCATAGGGAAAATGTAAAAAAAAAAAAAAAAAAAAAAAAAAATGACCACATTCCTCTGGGTTGCTAGTGCCTCCCTCAAAATTCTCTTTCACCTGCTACTCCTAGGTCTCTATGGTCAGCTAATAGTTTTTTAATCCCACTCTTGAATGGCAAACATACAGCTCCCAGCCTTACTTTATGAACTTATATTTACAGATATATTTTGTCTTTCATTGATTTTCTACACACAAGATTCTCAGAAATAAATGCAGTCAAAGAGGTACTGTAACTTACCTACCGCTCAAAATTAGTCAGTTTTTAATAATGGGGAAATCTACTTCTAAACTCTTCTCTTAAAGTCTACTTCAGAAGAAGCCCTCTGTATTAGTCCTTTCTCACACTGCTATAAAGAACTGCCCAAGAATGGGTAATTTATAAAAGAAAGAGGTTTAATTGCCTCATAGTTCTGCAGGGCTGGGGAGACCTCAGGAAACTTACAATCATGGCTGAAGGGGGAGCAAACACATCCTTCTTCACATGGCTGGAGAATACACTGAGTGCAAGCAGGGGAAATGCCAGACACTTATAAAACCATCAGATCTTGTGAGACTCACTCACTGTCACAAGAACAGCACAGGGGAAACCACCCCCATGATCCAATTACCTCCACCTGATCCCACCCTTGACATGTGGGGATTATGGGGATTATAATTCCAGATGAGATTTTGTATGGGGACATAGCCAAACCGTATCACCCTCTCTGTCACCAAACCTTCCCTTCTTCATGTACCAACTGGCACACCACCAGGAATTTGAAAAAATACATAGAGTGAGCGAGGGCTGATCCTTGCTGAGAATGAAGATCATAGATCCAGAAGAGAGATTAAATATGCAAACCCAAATTTCCAAGATCATTGGGGTTTCTGCCACAGTATTCTAAAGACGGCACAGGAGGAGCCAGGAAGCTGGGTCCCCTGAAGCTCTAGTTTCTTACTTCCCAAGGATGTCTACTAACTAATTAGAAGTAAAGAGGATAAGGCAGGAGATTGGAGCAGAGAGTCATAGCCAGGAATAGCCAAGGTAGGGCCACCAGAGTGTTTCTAGATATCTCAAGCAATGGTTCCAGAAGTAACTGCTGTGTACGTTACCAGAGGCAGGGTCACACCCTGGTGATCACAAAGAATTTTACATTGTTTTGATGCATTTACTCCCATTGTACTCTCTAATTCTAAAGAAACAGAGCATCCAAGGAATATTAAGCACTTTTACCCAAGATATTTCATTTTATTAATACTAGCCCTTTAGAATTTTAATCAGTACTAACACAATTATTTTTACATAAACCAGCCTGGTTTTCTGTAGCATGTTTCTGACAATGGTATAGAGATTTAGCAATAATGTATTTGACCTGGTAGTTTAGGACCCTGGTTTCTCTCAACCCAGACCCTCCCATAGTTATTTGGTTAGCTATCTGGCAGGCAAGTAATAAACAAACCACTCCTTTTATATCTTCACCCATACAGTGGGGTGGTTAGATTAGAATAGTCTAAATTCCAGCTAATTCTAAGGTTCTTCCATCATTTGGTACATTTATTGAGCTCTCTAAGTACCTAGCATTATTGGAGGCATGGTGGAAACACACACAAACACACACACACACACACACAAATATATTTTTAAATGCCTCCACCTTCAAGGAGTTTAAAACTTAATTAGTTAATACTCTGGATCAAACTAGACTATGATTTCCTTAAGGGCTTGTATTGGGCCTAATTTATTTCTGTCTCCCACAGTGTTTAGAGGAGTGTGTATTAAATAATTAAATAATGCATGAATGAGCAAAAATGCACATGCCTAAAGCCAACACCTGTGGGAGTATAACACTGAAAGTAAGAGAAGATCAAGTTCAGAAAAGGTGTGATTAGCATCAGAAGAAGGCAGTGAAAAGCAATGCACACCAGCCTCTGAGGATGTGATAATTCCAAAGACAAATGATACAAAAAGCAAGAGTCTCCAGGATGCTGAGAGACTTGTGATTACTGTGCCCTGGGATGTTTTCAGGTTTCCCGCTTTCCATCAGGTAAAGCTTCCCAGTAATAATGCAGCCTGACCAGAACCCAAAATAGGATGGAATTTGGATAGCTGAGGAGAAAGTAGAAAATTCTACAAGGAATTCTTTAGAAAAGAAATAAATTTAACATGTTTGAGGGTAGAAGTGATCAGACTTACCAATAAATAAATAAGATGTCATGCTAGAGAGTGTATCCATTCATTTGTTCAACAAATATTTATAAATATTTACATAAATATTGAGCATATGCCTTGTGCCAGTTATGGTTCTGGGAACTGGGGAGACAGCAGTGAACAAAACAGACAAAATTCCTGCCTTGATGGAGCTTTCATTCTACTTGGGGGGAGACAAAACAAAAGAAAAATATAGAATGTGTCAGGTAGGAATAACTGGTATGGAGAAAAATAAATCAAGGAAGGGAGAAATGCCTGTCAGGAAAGGCCTTAGTGTGGGTTTAAGGAATGGAAAAACTAACTTATACATGTTCTCACAGCCCTGTATCTCTTCAGCTGTCTCTCCTTTGTCTAATTCAAATCCACCCTGCAGTGGCATAATCCCATTTTTACTCCTCACCTTCCCATTTCATGTGTGATAAGTACAACAGAGACCACGTATTTATCCGAAATTTGTACCAGGCTGCTTAACCCAGGTCTCTGACTGGGTTGCACCAAGTCTCTAAATTTGCACCAGGTCTCTGACTTCAATCATTGCCTCCAACTTTGATGGAGCACTGAGCCAGCTCAATATGAAACTTGAGAAATCCATATGTGTGTGGTGACAGACGCCTTTATAACACGCTCCATCTCCTTCTTATCGAGCCTACCTCTCTGTAGGCCACTCAGGATCCATGGTCTCCCCTTTAGGCTATGGAAAGCAATAAATGGTTTCATAGTAGAAATAATGTTTGGAGAGTCTCTATCTAGCAGTAGGAAGATAAGGTAAGAGGTTATTACTTGAGAATGTGAGGTTTTAAAGGTGACAGTAAAAAGGGGAAGGAAGATAAAACAAAGTAAGTAAAGAACTATTTCAAGGAAATTGTATAGGATGAGGTAATGAATGTTTTTAGGGACTTAAACTATTTCAGTATTACACAGATAAAACTGGGAGAAACTTAGGGAGGTTTTAAAGGAAGATAAATTCAGGCTTGGACACAATGATTTCTGAATGAGTTCATAATAATGAAGGCATCTAAGAAGGCAGCTAAAAATAGTGTTTGAACGCAGGTGAAAATTGGGGGCTGGAGAAATAGAGGCAAGCATTATCTACAGAGAAGTAGGAGTTGGGATCATAAACTAAACCTATTCTCCAGGGAAAAAAGAAAGCATAGAAAGATAGTAACATAATACTTAGGGCCAGCTTAAGAAGCTCCTTCAGAGGCTGCATGACCTTGTAGCAATATTTTAAGCAGCACTCAAAGCTTCTAGCATAGGCATCTTGGTATGGTGAAAGGAGCCAACTCATAGCACGTACTTTCTCCTGTGTGCAGAAATTTAAAAACTAAATAAGTTTTCATGTCTTGTTCTGTTTTCATCCATATGTTTATTGTACTTCACGCTTCCCTGCTGAGGTGATTTTTTATTTTTCTGTTTGGCCCTCCTCCATCACTTCAAACTACAATGCTCCCCCATTTCTGAAACTCCCACAACCCTGTTTAGCCTTCCACCTATGACAATGGTCAGTCTCCCACAGGCCTTTGGTTGATTTCTCTCTCTCACCTTTTTTTTTTTTTTTTTTTTTTGTAGTCAGTCTCACTATGTTACCCAGTATGGTCTCAAACTCCTAAGCTCAGGCAATCATCCCACCTTGGCCTCCCAAAGCACTGGGATTACAGGCATGAGCGACCACACCCAGCCAACTTTGGTTGATTTCTAAATGCCCTTCCTGGCTCACATTTTCCTGTGATGAAACTGAAACTTGTTATTACTGATGACAAGCAACTGACTCTTTACCAATGAATACAGCCAAAAAGCTGTGAGACACTATCTCTGGGTCAGGCTTGATCTCTGCAAGCGCAGTTGTCGGGGCTGGGAGAAAATACTATCTCCTCAGAAGCATCAACATCACCACTTCAACACTAGAGACAAAAAGGGTACCACTATGAGAACACCACCCTTTGAAAAATGACCCACCTTGGCACCTGTGCTCAACTAGGAGTCAAAACCAGACTCTTACTTTAGTCGCTAGCCAGACAACACTCTAAGTCTCTAGAAACTACAGCATCATGTACAATAAATTACCTTTTTCCTTATGGGACCCATTTCTGTGTTTCTGGGTATGTGTGTGTGTGTGTGTGCGTGCACATGTGTGTGTGTTTAACTTAAGGATTCTTTAATTTTTCTCAACTCAGAGGCTGTGTAGATATACTATCTCATCTAGTTTATAGTTTATTGCTGCCTATCTATCTCAACATATAAAATATGTTCATGCTGTGTTTTAGAACATTAATTATTTTCTCCTCTAGGGAAGCAAACAGTCTTGAACACAGGGAACTTCAACAAACATTCAAGCATTCAATAACTGGCCAGTGTATAAAGTACTTAAAATTTTTAAAATATTCAAAAATATTTTTAAATGTTAACTGAGAAATTTTTTAATTAAACTAACTGAGCACACACTTCTGCATTTCAAGTCCAGAATGAATATATGGCTTGTTCAGCCCACTTCTGCCTTCTCATGAACAGCAAAATCTAGACAAAAGTCATGACTAAATGACTCTTCTGTGGTTACTCTGGCTTCACAGCCAGAAGAAAAGTCAATTGCTATGTAACCACAGGGCTTATCTGTTTGTTCATTAAAAGTGCTGTAAATAACAGTTTCTGTGATAGTAGTTTTAATTAACAAAAATTAACAAATTAATTTTAATTTTAATTTGCTGTGGCTCACTCCTGTAATCCCAGCACTTTGGGAAGCTGAGGTGAGCAGATCACTTGAGGTCAGGAGTCCAAGACCAGCCTGACCAACATGGTGAGAAACCTCGTTCCTACTAAAAATACAAAAATTAGCCAGGCGTGGTGGCACATGCTTGTAATCCCAGCTACTTGGGAGGCTGAGGCAAGAGAATTGCTTGAACCCAAGAGGCGGAGTTTGCAGTGAACCGAGGTTGTGCCACTGCACTCCAGCCTGGGCAACAGAGCGAGACTCTGTCTCAAAAAAAAAATTAATTAAAAAAATTCACAGCATTTAGTTAACAAAATCCAAATTGAATAGACCATGTAAATATCTGATCAGTCTTTTGGCAATTTGCATATAATACACAAACTAATCATGAAACGAGAAATTCTGCAGTTGCCCTAGATTTCGTACTGATGGAGAGCAGAAGACCTAGACACAGCCAGGCCCAGCAAGAAACAATATGATGCCACCTGACCTCAGGAGAGTACACTGAAGTTCTCCTCCCCATCCACCCCTCAACTTTATCTTCCTCTTACTCACCTCTAGTGAATTACCTTGATTCCTAGTTCACCAAGGTAGTTAAAGCCATGTTAAGATTCTCCATCTGCCATTTCATTTCTCTAGCTTGGCCCTATACTCATCCTACTAGTCTTTCTGCCTGCAGTTCTCCCAACTTCATAGCACTCCAATTTTCTATTCCCACCTGATCTACCTTCCTAAATCCCACTTTCCATCATGTCACTCCTCTGCTCAAAGGCCTTCAAAGAATCTACATGGCCCTCAGTATGGCCCTCCAAAACTTGACGCTGGCTACCTCCAACATAAATGTTTTCAGCCCAGATCATTCCTTTCTATATTCTACACTCTGCATAGACTGTCCTTTCTTCCTCCTTATTCCAAGACCTCTAGAAAACGGAAACTGGAGCAAAGATTACAGGGTATTCCTTTATTTGGGGAAGTACAATCCTGGGACAACAAGAGTGGAGGAGAAGGACAATGAGACAGAGAAAGACATCAAGCAATGTGAGATAATGCATAACAATGGCCTCTTCTTCACAATGAGCTGGAAGAGTCTCAGCCACTCCCTTGGAGGTCACCTGCTCAGCTACCCAGCATGTCTCTAGACAGACTGATCAGAGAAGCTGTGTCTCACATTAGTCTATTAGAGGAAGGAAGGGAAAGAGTGTGGTTGGTCCTCCATATCCTTGAGTTCTTCATCTGTGAATTCAACCAACTGTAGATCAAAAATATTTTTTTTTCTTTTTTTCTTTTTCTTTTTTTTTTGTTTTATTACACTTTAAGTTTTAGGGTACATGTGCACATTGTGCAGGTTAGTTACATATGTATACATGTGCCATGCTGGTGCGCTGCACCCACTCAAAAATATTTTTTAATTGCATCTGTACTGAACATGTACACTTTTTCTTGTCATTATTCTCTAAACAACACAGTATGACAACTATTTACTTAGCATTTATATCATATTAAGTACTGTAAGCAACCAGAGAGATTTAAAGTATGTGGGAAGATGTGTACAGGTTATATGCTAATATTATGCCATTTTATACTGGGGCATTGAGCATTCATGGATTTTGGTATCCAAGGGAGGTCCAGGAACAAATCCCCCATGGATACCAAGGGATGACAATACTTATCTGCCCAAATTTTTCTAGCTCCTGTTTTTCTCTGTCAAAAGTCAACTTTCCCACACTTCTAGATTGTATTCTCTGGACTCTTTGGGAAGCTGCTTCGGAAGCCACAGCTCATGCGTAGCCTGTGTGATACAATATACAAATCTCAAAGTGGTGGAAGAAGCCGGAGACTCCAGGCAAGAAACTGGTCTGTCTCAGGTGCTAGACACTCATGGACCTGTCATGAGGTTGTGTCATGAGGCGCAGCAGCAGCAGCTAAGGCAGAGCAAATGGGTGGAAGAGGTTAAGGTTCTAGAGACAGATCAGCCAAGAGAATCTGCAGAACTGTATATGTTCAATATGCCTTCTACTCTTCTAGCCAAACAGCCCAGCCATAATGTTTGCCCACTGGAGCTTTCGGTTCTTGAATTATATTGTGATTGTGAAGGTTAATTAAGTATGTGTGTGTGTGTGTGTGTGTGTGTGTGTGTGTGTGTGTGTGTTGTCTCCCCAATTAAATTATAAGCTCATTAATAGCAGGTACCAAGCCTACATTCCCACGTATACCCATCTCTCAACTAGCATAGTATGAATGCATAAATGTCATCCCATCAGTAGTTGTTTGGTGAGGGAAAGACTGGAATATCCTAGAGAACAGTGGATCTAAGAGTCACTTTAGCCCAAGTGTACACAAGAATGGCCCCTTTTGGCTCCACAAAAGTATAGTTTGCACTTTGGAAAAAATCCTAAAGGACACCTAAATCATTCCCTCATCTCATCCTGTGTTTTCATTTCCTGAACAGTGAAAAATTAAAATGATATAGGTTCCAAAACTACTCAGAATAAATTGGCTCTTGTTTTTTTAAAAAGAGAGAAAATGAACTCTTTTTCTATCCAAGAGGAAATTAATAAGAATTAGGTGTTTGTTCATCATTCAAATTTTACCTTTTTCTGTAAACAAATATATATTTCGATTCAAAACCATGCAACATGATAAAACGGTTAAGACCACAGACTCTGGAGATAGTCTCTGGTTCAAATCTCAGCTCAGCCACTTACCAGCTGTTAAGAGTAACTTAACTTCTCTGTGCTGTCATTTACTCACAGATAAAATGAAGGTAACAGCACCTACCACAAAGGGTTATTATGAACATAAAATGAATAGGCATATGTAATGCCTGAAACATGGCAAGCCGTATATTAAATGTTTGCTTAATAAATAAACGAGGTAATGGGACTTGAAAAGGAAAGACAGAAACAAGCAAAATTATATACTGTTAAGAACTAGAAGGGTTTTTGGAAGGCAGCTATTCTAACTTTCTTTTGTATTCCTTACTTGATATCTCTCTGTCTTTAAGGATTATTACTAATTCCTTCCCCTACAATATTGCAGCACTTGACTTGTATATAAATCTCCTTGTTCTGGTTGGTTTAATATGTGATTGCAAATTCTTTGAGACCAGAGACTCTAATAGTAAATAGCACATTCCTGATCATATATAAGTGTGGAAATTCTAGTGAATAAATAAAGCAAAAGGTATGAAGAGGTGGAGTTAAGAAGCTCAGCTTAAGTTTAAAAAGTAAGTTACTAACTAGATAATATCTAGCCTGCACTCCAAGAAAAGCATTTTATTGACTCATTGAAAAATATGTGCGTCCCACCCAACAGGCTGATCTTTTTATTTCCCCATTCTTCTGTCACCACAGCAGGTGTGGCTTATCATTCTGGACTCATCTTGACTGTTCTATTTGCCCGGTTACCTCTGCTTCTTTCTCTCTGTCTCTTAGAACTCACCTCACTGGGTCCTTACCACCTGGCTCTATTTCCTAGCTTTACGGCTGCTCTAGAGAGATCACAGAATGGCCCAGGGCAAACCCCAAACCAAACACGTTCCAGCTTTTATTGCAACTAACATTTTGCTATCCCTAACCAAAGACCTGGAAGTGTCTCTTCCAAAGGAGGAGATGTACCTTGGGGGTCACATACTGGCCCCATTACTACTTTCTGCAGTTCCTTCCATGGTATTCCTCATCACCACAACCCCTACCCAGTTAACCACTTAAGGATCCAAATATAAAATTATAAATGTAATATGAGGATGTTTCAATACACCACCTTTATAAAGAGATCACTTACTCAATTCCATTTGGGTTGACCTAATATCTGTAGCCATTGGGCCACATCAGCCTTAGAAAGAAATCATGGTGCCATGTTTCATACAGAGGCATTTTATTTCAAACCCACCCCCAAGTTTGCCTGGAACTTAAATCCTATCAGATTCTGTATCTTCTCTAGAGTTCTGGGTTTCAACATTCTATTGTGTATGGATTTGTACCATGGGTTGGAAGAAGAGGGAAACCTTTTCTCATCCACTGTGATATTTGCTATATCAAAGGAAGCTAATAGGAGGACGTCTTCCAGAGAAGAGCTTTGAACTAAGCCTCTGAGATATGCATTTATCATGACTTTCTGGAAGAATATGATGAGCAACTTTCTCAAAGCAAAGTGCACATCTTACTAGAGAACATGGGATTAGGGAAGATGAATTTCTACTCTCTTGTTCACTATACCCTGTGTCCGTAGGATTTCCTGCTAAAATATTTGTGATAACTTAACCTCAATGCACAGGTTAGGCAATTGGACCACTAGGTCCTTTGAGAATATAAAATATAATAAAATTTTAGAGGGACCTTAAGATGGTGGATTCTAATTTTTGGACTTAAAGTAAGGAAACATGACCAAGAAAGGTAAAATTAGATGGTCACAAAGCTCATTAAAATCAGAATTTAGGATTTGAATCCAGACCTCCTAATTATATTGACACTGGGTTCTAGTGCAATGATACATAGTAATAAAAGTAACCTGAGAAATTATAACATTTTATAAACTATTAACACAACCAATCAATGCTTAATAGCAACAATGTTTATTATTTTATTACAAATTATTCTCTGTGTAACTCTAGTGTGTTAAACTCTTTGGACAATCAGACAAGGCTCAGGTGTGTCTGAGCTAACAGGAACAATTAACAGTTTGTTTATTCTTTCCTTCCCATGAGTTGCATTTTATAAACTTATAACAAGGTTAATCATACTACAGAGAAGAGGTGAGTTTGTATCTTGCCTTCCCTGGGCAATATAACAAACCTTATAAGTGGGGAGCTAAATGATAAGAACTCATCGACATAAAGAAGGAAACAATAGACACTGGGGTTTACTTGAGGGTGGAAGGTGGGAGGAGGGAGAGAAGCACAAAAAATAACTATTGGGAACTAGGTTTAATACCTGGGTGATGAAATAACCTGTACAGCAAACCCCTGTGACACGAATTTACCTATATAACAAACCTTCATGTGTACTCCTGAACCTAAAATAAGAATTTTTTTAAACTGCATCAGTGACACATAAAGATAGAAAACCAATTAAAATGCTGGCATACTTTTACATACATTGGATGATTATAGGTAGCCACAGAGATGAGATTCCCAGGTATAAAGGGACATGTTGTTTAAGTGGGAATGTTCCTGGCATTTTTCCTGCCTTTTCCCATTTACATGGGGTCCTGGCTTCTGCCAACCCTGCGCTCGGAGAATCTCTCTGCCATAGCCAGACTCACCCTGTCTTTTGTAATACAGAATCAGAAGGAAATGGTGAGGGAGATTCAACACAAAGGACGCAGGAAAAGTTCTCCAGCGTTGGAAAAGAGAAGCACCACAAGGTGCAAAAGAAGAGGATGAGAAATGAAAGAGAACAGTAAGAGGGGTGGCTCTGAGCGGTGTATCTTCTTCCAGAACTTAAGAAATACAAATTCAGTATTTGTATTTAAGTAATTCTAAAGTATTTTAGAATTAGTTCTTGCTTGCTGGACTATGTTTTATTAATCAAGCATCACTCTGAAGTAAAGCCATGTGGGCAATTATGAGAAATATAGTTTAAGTTATCTTCAGTTTTAAATTCTCTTAAATTTATATTCTATTTTTATTGTTCCTGCCTTTGCTTTTTGAGAAAATGGTCCTTTTATTAACACATAAAAGTTCTAGATCTTATTGTATAATAGCTTGTAGAAATCATTCTCGTAATACATAGTCTTTCACATGCACGTGAATGTTCATTGCAGCACTGTTCACAATAGCAAAGACATGGAATCAACCTAAATGCTCATCAGTGACAGATTGGATAAAGGAAATGTGGTATATATACACCATGGAATACTATGCAGCCAAAAAAAAGAATGAGATCATGTCTTTGCAGGAACATGGATGGACTGGAGGATATCATCCTTAGAAAACTGACACAGGAACAGAAAACCAAATACTGCATGTTCTCACTTATAAGTGGGAGCTGAATGATGAGAACTCATGAACACAAAGGAGGGAGCAATGGACACTGGGGTCTACTTGAGGGTGGAGGGTGGAGGGTGGAGGGTGGGAGGAGGGAGAGGAACAGAATAAATAACTGTAGGGTACTAGGTTTAATACCTGGGCGATGAAATAACCTGTACAACAAACCCCTGTTTACCTATATAACAAACCTACATATGTACTCTTGAACCCAAAATAAAAGTTAATAAAAAAACTGCATCAGTGGACATAAAGATAGAAAACCAGTAAAAAGGTGGCACACTTTTACATGTATTGGATGATTATAAAACACATAAATACTGCAATAAATGTGAAACTTTACCTTTAAAAATAAAATAAACCATTAGACTATTAAAATATATATAATAAATATATATTTAAAATATATATAATATATGTTTATAATAATATATAATGTGTAAATATTTATACAAATATAATGATTTATAAATTTAATTTATATTTAATTTATAGTAATTATATTAATATAAAATACATAATACTTGTAATATTGTATATTAATATATATTTTTTTGAGACGGAGTCTCACCCTGTTGCCAGGCTGGAGTGCAGTGGCACAATCTCGGCTCACTGCAACCTCTGCCTCCCAGGTTCAAGCGATTCTCCTGCCTCAGCCTCCTGAGTAGCTGGGACTACAGGCACGCAGAACCACACCCAGCTAATTTTTGTACTTTTAGTAGAGATGGGGTTTTGACATGTTGGCCAGGATGGTCTCAATCTCTTGACCTCGTGGTCCACCCACCTCAGCCTTCCAAAGTGCTGGGATTACAGGCGTGAGCTGCCTCACCCAGCCTAATATAATTTTTGTATATAGTCTTCAAACTATTCAGTCTCAATTGATAAAATAATCACACTTTTAAGATTTCCTAGGAAATTAAATATTATTAATTATGTAAAAACCTTTAATTCATTTAGAGGTTTATATCAGAATTATTTATAATAGCATAAAAGCAGGAAACAATTTAATACTGAATAATAGTGGAATAAAAAATTACACAAGCATTAAACATTATATAATAAATGCTTATTAAAAATGTAATAGCACTGGGAAAGCTTAAAATATAGGGTTATATACAAAAGAAAGGATTCAGAACACGGGCACATCAATCCTGTCCAGCAGATTCAGTGGGCTTGATGTAGAGTCCAATATCTATTTTTATATAAGCTCCAAGGTGCAACTCTGCAGATCAGCATAGAAGCTGTGTAGGGAAAACCTTCAGACACAAATTATGAGCTTCCACCAACACTTCTATCCTCTCCAAGACACAATAAGAAAGAAGTTCCCACACATCTCACCCCCTCTGAAGAACCAGAAAAGGACAGAAAGAATGAAGAAGGAAAGAAAGGACGAAGGAAGAAAAGAGGGAGGAGAAAGGGAGAGACGTGGAAGGAGAGAGAGAGAAGATGACAAGATAAGTTCAAATATGTTAGAAATCACAATAAATTTGAAGGCACTAAATTTACCTATTAAGGTGCTCAAGTTAGGAAGAAAGCACGAAACCATGCTAGTTTTAGATGTAAAAGAAAATGACAAAATGTTAAAAAATACAGATGTGAAAAGATACAGTGTGCAAATCCTAAGCGAAAGAAAGCAAATGTGGCAATGTTAATAGCCAATGTCTAATCAAGACAAAGGAAAAAAATCTATTTAGAAAGTTTTGTGTTCTTTACATAGTTTTGAAATATATCAATCAAAATTCACAAGAATTATAAGAAAATTACAAATCGGTAAACAATGGGAGACTTTTTACACTTTTCTCAGAATGTACATATCTTAGAAAATTTAATTAAAATAGAGCATAGAAAAGTCTGTTCCTTTCTGCTATGAACTATAGCGAGTTGAAAAATATCCAAAGAAAGATTCTCTTCACAGCAGTAATGAAACTATAAAATGCCTAGGAATAAAATTAATAAGAAACGTGTAAGACCTAAATAAAGAAAAGAAACTTAAAGATGAGCAAAATCACCACATAACCGGATAGGAGGACACAGAGTACACTAATATAAATTTTCTCCAGTGAAATTAAATGAAAATCAGATAAATTCTGGTGTAGCTATACTATGGAACAATTTGCTATTCGTTTGTTTAAAACAAAATAAAAGAAGTAAAATTCTTACCTGCTAAGAGGCATTAAAGAGTTAGGCATTTAAAAGAAATTAAAAACATTAGAAAGAATTATGGGAGGATATAATTACAATATTAGAGTAGTAAAGTTCTTCATAAAACCTAAAATTCATTTTTAATTGACTAATTATACAACTATGTAAAAATTTAAACCTTCTGCATTATTTTTTTTAAAAAACACCAAAAACAAAAACAAGATAAGCAACCAACCAACAAACTGGAAGAAAATATTAGCGATACAGATAAATCAAAAGAAAAAACGCTTAATAACCAGAATATAAAACAGGGTATGTGAATTAACAAGACACCGACCATTCTTATATCAAAGGATACAAATTGGTGATTCACAGAAGAGGAAATACAAATAATTATATCAACAAAAAGAGTAACATTTAGTGAGCACTTAATATAAACCAGAAACCTTTCTAAGAACTTTGCAATTGTTATCTCATAAAGTCTTCATAACATCCCTTGAGGCACAGAGAGGTTAAGTAACCTGCCCACCAGTAATTGTTTTGACGGAAGTCGCCAAGTGGCAGTTGGAGTCTGCAACCAAACACTATTACTCCAGAAGCTTTGCTCTTACTGACTACCTTTTTCAAGAAATGAATACATGAAAATACACTTGACATCACTAGTATCAGGGAAATGAAAATTAAAACAGGAGTTAAGTTTTTAACTATCAGAGTGGCAAAAATTAAGTAAACTGATAATTTTGGAAACAGATACCCTTTATGCTTTGTCTGGGACATGATCTGCTGCAGCCTATTCATGGAGCAATTTGACATTATCTATCAAAGTATAATGTGCTCATAACTTTTGAAACAAGTTTTCCACTTTTGTGCATTTTCTAAAAAGATGTTTGCAAACTTGCACAAGACTGTTCAGTTCTTGGAAACACATGCCCTTTGGAAAAATACCTAAAGAGATGTTTGAAAATTTGCACAAGAACGTTCAGTGCAGCTCTGTTTGTAAAACTGAAAAACTGGAAATAAGTTAAATGTCCATCAATAAGGAGAATGCTTAAATAAACAACGGTGTAGCCATTCTGTGGAAGACCAAGAAGGTGTGAAAAAGAAGAACACAATTTCTATGCACTGTCATGGGAAGACAAGTTGCTCCCATACATTGCTGGAGGGAAGTAAATTGATACAGCCTCCATACCTCCATGCAGGGCAATTTGGCAATATCTGTTGTAGGGATGGCAAAATTTAACCTCCATCCTCTTAGTGTCCCTGCTGGGCCCGGTAATTAAATTTACATAAGATAGATTAACAGAAGAAAAGCACACAGATTTATTTATTTAAGTTTGACATGGCATGGGGAGCCCTCCCTCAGAAGGAAATGAAGACCCAAAGAAGTAGTTAGTCAGTTGCTTATATATTAAATTAGGCAAAAAACAGTAATTTGTAAAGAAGGAATTAAATTGTGTTGGTAGGCTTAAAAGATGAGTTAAGCCTTGTTAAAAAAAAAAAAAGGTTGTACAGAATTCTCTTGGTCTCAACTTCTCAGCTTTTGAGGATCTTTTTCATGGGAAATTTCATCTGTTGCTTTTAAGAAACAGCAGAGTATTCTTTTTGCCCCTACTGTTTTTCAAGTGCCTTTAACCTAAATAGTCAATATACCAGAGTGACATATTTTTAATTGTTTCACTGTCAAGATTATAAATGCACACAATTGATCCAGAAATGCCACTTCCAGAAATTTATTCTATAAATGTTCTCTAGTATGCATGAAATGCCCTATATACAAAGCTCTTTATTGCCACAATTTTTCAATAGGAAAATATTGAAAACAAACTAAATCAGTAGGTGACAGGTTAAATAAAGGATGAGAAATTCACAAAATGCAATACTACACAATGCTATTTATAAAATGCCTTAGTATCAACTGTCTGACATACTATACTACTACAGCTATTAAAAGAAAAAGAGGAAGCTTTTTATCTGCTAGTATGGGATAATCATCAAGACACATTAAGTTTAAAAAGAACAAGGTGCAAATAAATATGTAGAGTATGCTACAGTTTGTTTTTTGAAAGCAGGGGTTTACAGACTTGTATATGCAAAGAATAACTGTAGGCAGTCACACAAGAAACTGGTAACACTGGTTGACTCCAAGGAAAACTACATGATTGAGACACTGAAGTAGTAAGTGAGAGACTTTTCACTTCTTTTCAATCTTTTGGATTTATACATATATAGCATGTAATTATTTAATGTGTACATAAAATATGCGTATAAAATATTTAATATGCAATATTTACATGTATTAAATATGTGATATGTATATAAAATACACATTTTTAAGATAAAGCAAGCTGCAGAACAATACATGCAATGTGAGCTCTAGTAATATTAAAAACTATATTTTATTATTTTGTTATGTATGTATTCATGTACATATGTGTACAGAAAAGGTTCCAACAGTATCCCTGTGGGGGAGTGGAAAGGCAGAAAGAGGATTTTAATCTTTTTACCATTTATGGCTTAATATTGTAAAAATTTTTGTAAAGAAAACACACACATATATATACATATCACATATATATGTATGTATATATGTATGTATGTATGTAGTCTCATAAAAGAAGTTAAAAAAAAAACTTCCAAAAACATGAATGGGAATAAGAAATCCTTAGTTCTCATTCCTGGTCTAGGAATGGACCTTGGGCAAATCACTTAACCCCCTGCAGCCTCAATTCCCTCATGTATAAAGTGAAAGAGTTGGACTAAGTGATACTTGAAGCCATTCCTGCTTGATAGTCCAAGAATTGAATCTATTAATTCATAACACAATACAATGGTAAATGAATTATTAGCCAGCCTTGAAATTTTAAGCAAGAGCATGATGTGCTACCAATTTAAAGAGGAACTATGTTTTAGTAGAAAACTCTCGAAAAATTTTTTAGAATCAGGAGAATGAAACTAATAGTAGGGTTTCAGGGGTAGAGAAGGTTTTCTTTAGAAACCCTTTCTGAAGTCCCTCCATCACAGACACCTAATTTTAAAGCTGGTCTTGGCTACACTCCAGTCATGATAGTGTTACATGACCACATAAGGTCATGGCTTTCACAAAGGCCTTCACAGCTCTGAACACATTAATCAAATTGTCCCATCAGCTTTCCAGAATATTGTGTAATACTAACCTCCTTTTCTAGCTTATCTTTCAACTAATTTTTACTCTTTTTTGTTGACCAGAGCTGTTACTCATTTTTCTCCCTAAAGTCAGGAGATAAATACAATTTTAGATCTTTCAACCACAGATTTTAAACTCTGCCCTATATGAAAACTAGTTTAGCTCATCCTATAGTTATATTGCTGTTGAAATATGGAAAGAATATGTACCAGCATGATTTCAAAAGTTAGCTAAGCAGGACTTTTCTCGTTTTGTTTTATTTTATTTATAATGTTGTTTTATTTTAGATTCAGGGGTACATGTACAGGTTTATTAAAAGGGCATTTTGCGTGATGCTGAGGTTTTGGTCATGATTGATCCCATCACCCAAGTAGTAAGCATAGTACCCAATAGTTAGTTTTTCAACACTTGCCCCATTCCCTCTCTCCCCACTATTAGAAATCTCCCATGTTTGTTGTTCCCACTTTTATGTCCATGAGCATCCAATGTTTACCTCCCATTTGTAAGTGAGAATATGTGATATTTGGTTTTCTGTTTCTGTATTAATTCACTTAGGATAATGGCCTCCAGCTGCATGCATGTTGCTGCAAAGGACATATTTTCACTTTTTTGTGGCTGTGTAGTATTTCTATTTTTTGTGGCTAGTGTATATGTACCACATTTTATTTATTCAGTCCACTATTGATGGATATTTTGGTTGGTTCCATGTCTTTGCTATTGTGAATGGTGCTGCAATGAACATGCAAGTGTATGTGTCTTTTTGGTAGAACAATTTATTTTCTTTTCGATATATACCCAGTCATGGGATTGCTAAGTGGAATGGTAGTTCTAAGTTCTTTGAGAAATCTCCAAATGGCTTTCTACAGTGGCTGAACTAATTTACATTCCCTCCGGCAGTATATAAGCATTCTCATTTCTCCACAGCTTAACTAATATTTGTTGTTTTTTGAATTTTTATTAATAGCCATTCTGACTGGTGTGAGATGGTATCTCACTGTGGTTTTAATTTGCATTTCTCTAATGATTAGTGATGCTGAGCATTTTTTCATGTTTGCTGGCCATATGTATGTCTTGGTTTGAGAAGTATCTGTTTATGTTCTTTCCCCATTTTTTCTTAATTTTTAGTTCTAGGGTACATGTGCAGGATGTGCAGGTTTGTTACATAGGTAAACATGTACCATAGTGGTTTACTGTACCTGTTAACCCATCACCTAGGTGTAAAGCCCAGCATGCATTAGCTATTTTTTCTAATACTGTCCCTCCCCCACCCAACCCCCAACAGGCCACAGTGTATGTTGTTCCCCTCCCTGGGTCCATGTGATCTTATTGTTCAGCTCCCACTTATAAGTGAGAACATGGAGAACATGCAGTGTTTGGTTTTCTGTTCCTGTGTTAGTTTGCCGGGGATAATGGCTTCCAGCTTCATCCATGTCCCTGCAAAGGACATGAACTCATTCCTTTTTATGGCTGTATAGTGTTCCATGGTATATATATGCACCACATTTTCTTTATCCACTCTATCAGTGATGGGCATTTGAGTTGAGCCCGTGTCTCTTCTATTGTGAATAGTGCTGCAATGAACATACGTGTGCAGGTATCTTTGTAACAGAATGATTTATATTCCTTTGGGTATATACTCAGTAATGGGATTGCTGGGTCAAATGGTGTTTCTGGTTCTAGATCTTTGAGGAATCACCACACTGTCTCCCGCAATGGTTGAACTAATTTACATTCCCACCAACAGTGTAAAAGCGTTCCTGTTTCTCCACAACCTCACCAGCATCTGTTGTTTCTTGACTTTTTAATAATGTCCATTCTGACTGGCGTGAGATGGTATCTCATTGTGATTTTGATTTGCATTTCTCTAATGATCAGTGATGTTGAGCTTTTTTTCATGTTTGTTGGCTATGTGAATGTCTTCTTTTGAGAAGTGTCTGTTTATGTAGCAGGACTTTTTTAATATCAAGTAGTTCATGGGTCAGAATTGAAGAGTAGAAAAGAAAAGAAGGGGTCACATCAAAGGGAGACTTAGAAATCTTTCTGGCTCACAGTCTCAAAACATCTTTTTCTGGCATCACCACTATTATAAATTTTGTGAATGCCTGTTCTAGGTCAGAAAAGAAACTATAATAAACCTTGACCCTAAAAGTTGTGTAAGATTTTTTTGAGGTTCTGGTCCTACAGGAGCCGACTCTCCTATGCATAAATGTCGAAGCCTATCTAGAAGGATTGTAGATAAAAGAGCACTAGTTTCAATGTTAAAAGTCCTCCATTCAAGTTCTGGGTCTCATTCACTAGCCATGTGACCTTAGGCCAGGCACTTATTCTCTTACGGCCACAGCTTTGTTTTGTTTCATCCTCCAGGATATCAGCTCACATTTCTCTGCACTCCTTACAGGGCATACAGTATTAAGCAGGGACTCAGCAAGTATTCACTCATGAGTCTAACCCCATGGACCTAGCATATTCTCATGGCTAGGACTTCTATGCAGAGATTTAACAGATCCAGATGAATTCTGGGTTACAATCCAACTCTGTTCCTACCATGGGTCAGGATAGGAGTTAAAATTCAGTCCCTGGAGTTAGAAACCCCTGGGTTCTAATTCTGGCTTGTCATTTTTTAGTTCTCTGACCTTAGACAAGTTATTGCTTTCCCTCTCTGAGCCACCAGTAATACTGGTACCTACTTTGTATATGGTTATTATGAGAATTAAATAACACGATGCTTGTAACATATACAAAATACAGCACATGGGCTGGGCCCGGTGGCTCACACCTGTAATCCCAGCACTTTGGGAGGCCGAGGTGGGCAGATCACTTGAGGTCAGGAGTTCGAAACCAGCCTGCCCAACATGGTGAAACCACATCTCTACTAAAAATACAAAAATTAGCTGGGTGTGGTGGCACACACCTGTAATCCCAGCTACTCAAGAGGCTGAGGCAGGAGAATTGCTTGAACCCAGGTGGCAGAGGTTGCAGTGAGCCAAGATCGTCCACCGCATTCCAACCTGGGCTACAAAGCGAGACTCCGTATCAAAAAAAAAAAAAAGAAAAAAAAAAAGTACAGCACATGGTAAATGCTTGAAAAAGTTTAATTACCAATATTGTTGCTGCCCTTGAAATAAACATAATGGTCATATCCATCTTTTCTCTGGCTACAGGCAAAGCACTTCTTGCAATTAGCCTCCTCGGCAATGGCATGTTATGGAAACAGTATCTGAGTTAAGTTCTAAACTTTCTCTGGTGAGCTTTTCAGTATGAAAGCCAAGTTCCAACTTGTACCTATCTATCTGTCATCTTCTAGAAGCATTTGTCATACAATTTTTGTTACACCAAATGCAATAAATAGTGCTTGAATAGAAGCATAATAAGTAAAAGCATATCAGCAAATTTTTTATTCTAATTGCTGTTTTTCTTTCAAGCCCAATTTAGATGCCACTCTCTTCTGTGAATCCTACTTCCATCTCCCTGCCTTTCATGCCCCATGCCCTGAAGTTACTCACTCATTTTCTCTTTTCTGTACCTTTGGCATGTTTTCATTGTAGTAAGTAGGATTGTGTGTTGTCAAATATTGATGCCTGTTTCCTCTTCTAGATTGTACATGCCTCAGGGGCAGGTTCTAGGTCTGATTCATCTTTCATCTCCTACTACCACAATGCCTAGAACACACTTTTAAAAGTGTTTGTGGAATAGATTAGAAATAAATTGAATTTTGAGGTTCAATACGAGAAATATCTGGAAAAATTATCCCCAAAATGGCTAGAAAACAGCCTACAGAGAAATCCAGAGGAAAAAAAGTACAGAAACAAGATTGGGGGATTGGTGTAGATATAATATAGCAAGTAGAACATTCTGGGTTTGTAAATCAATCCCTGCTCTATTTTGGTTTCCTCTTCTGTGATCACATGTCTGCTTGTGAATAAGTCAAAGTGGAAACGACCTTAGACTATGAATTTAGAGACCTGGGTTTAGTCCCAGCTCTGCTATCAACTGCCAATGTCACTTCCTGTCTCTAAGTCTGTGTCAGACATAATGGATCCTAAGGTCTCTTCAAACTTCTCTTCACACAAGCACAATATCTGGATCCATTGCCATTAACCTCATTCTACAGCTAGGACAATTGAGACACAAAGACCACAACCAACTCATTCAAGAATTTTACAGCAACTGGCACCTATAGCTAGTGATTGAAGATGGATGGAAAGACTCCCTGTCTGGAGCCCAGCCCTGCAGAGTCACCCTACACCTGGTGGGACAAGGGAGTTATAGGAAAAAGCAAAGCTTCTCTGACCTCCACCAAGAACAGGAAGTTCCCACATCTGTGGGAGCCAACTAATTGCATAGTATCAGCTTTCAGTACAATCGCAGCTCCTGGATTCCTGGTAGACATGCAAGAATGTCTTAATTAATGTCCCTGTGCAGGGATGTCTTAATCAATGTTAAGCAATTGGCAGAAATTGCTCAAGCCCCACCTATCAAAACAGGAGTCTTGTCTAGGTCTTCCTATTTTCCCCAGTCACTGGAGCTTCACTGGTGTCTGACAACTAGATCCAGGACCAAGTCCAAAGTTGAGAACCTGATTGGCCACTTGACTTAAACACCCCATTCAAACAGAATACTTGAAAACCTTGAAAAAGAATAATCTGAGGCAGAGGTGGGCGGATCACCTGAGGTCAGGAGTGTGAGACCATCCTGGCCAACATGGCAAAACCCCATCTCTACTAAAAATACAAAAATTAGGCCAGGCGTGGTGGTTCACACCTGTAATCCCAGCACTTCGGGAGGCCAAGGTGGGCAGATGACAAGGTCAGGAATTCAAGACCAGCTTGGCCAACATGGTGAAACCCCATCTCCTCTAAAAATACAAAAATTAGCTGGGTATGGTGGTGCACACCTGTAATGCCAGCTACTCAGGAGGCTGAGGCAGGAGAATTGATTGAACTGGGACCTGCAAGGCAGAGGTTGCAGTGAGCCGAGATTCCACCACTGCACTCCAGCCTGGCAACAGAGCGAGACTCTGTCTCAAAAAAGTAAATAAATAAAAATAGCAAAATAGCCGAATAGGAACACCTCTGGTCTACAGCTCCCAGCAAGATTGACGCAGAAGACTGGTGATTTCTGCATTTCCAACTGAGGTACCTGGTTCATCTCACTGGGACTGGTTGGACAGTGGGTGCAGCTCACAGAGGGCAAGATGAAGCAGGGCAGGGCGTCACTTCACCCGGGAGGCACAAGGGGTTGGGGGTTTTCCCTTTCCTAACCAAGGGAAGCCGTGAGTGACTGTACCTGGAGGAACAGTACACTCCTGCCCAAATACTGCGCTTTTGCCATGGTCTTCGCAACTGGTAGACCAGGAGATTCCCTCCCATGCCTAGCTCAGTGGGTCCCACGGCCACAGAGCCTTGTTCGCTGCTAGCACAGCAGTCTGACATCAATCTGGGATGCTGGAGCTTGGCAGGGGGAGGGGCATCCACTATTGCTGAGGCCTGAGGCGGTTCTATGCTCACAGTGTACACAAAGCGGCAGAGAAGCTTGAACTGGGTGGAGCCCACCACAGCTCAGCAAAGCCTACTGCCTCTCTAGATTCCACCTCTGGGGGCAGGGCATATCTGAACAAAAGGCAGCACAGCTTCTGCAGACTTAAATGTCCCTGCCTGACAGCTCTGAAGAGAGAAGTGGTTCTCCCAGCATGGTGTTCGAGCTCTGATAACAGACAGACTGCCTCCTCAAGTGGGTCCCTGAACCCCGTGTAGCCTGACTGGGAGACAACTCCCAGTAGGGACCAACAGACACCTCATACAGGTGGGTGCCCCTCTGGGACAAAGCTTCCAGAGGAAGGATCAGGCAGCAATATTTGCTGTTCTGCAGCGTCCGCTGGTGATACACAGGCAAACAGGATCTGGAGTGGACCTCCAGCAAACTCCAATAGATCTGCAGCTGAGGTGCCTGCCTGTTGGAAGGAAAACTAACAAACAGAAAGGAATAGCATCAACATCAGCAAAAAAGACATCCACACCAAAACCCCATCCATAGGTCACCAACATCAAAGACCAAAGGTAGATAAAACCATGAAGATGGGGAGAAACCAGAGCAGAAAGGCTGAAAATTCAAAAACCAGAACGCCTCTTCTCCTCCAAAGAAACACAACTCCTTGCCAGCAAGGGAACAACATGGACTGAGAATGAGTTTGATGAGTTGACAGAAATAGGTTTCAGAAGGTCGGTAATAACAAACTTCGTCAAGCTAAAGAAGCATGTTCTCACCTATCACAGGAAGCTAAAAACATTGAAAAATGGTTAGACGAATGGCTAACTAGAATAACCAATGTTGAGAAAAGCTTAAATGACCTGATAGAGCTAAAAACCACAGTATGAGAACTTTGTGAAGCACACACAAGCTTTAATAGCCAATTCCAACAAGAGGAAGAAAGGATGTCAGTGGTTGAAGGTCAAGTTACTGAAATAAACAGAGAAGACAAGATTAGAGAAAAAAAGAGTGAAAAGAAACAAACGAAGCCTCCAAGAAATATGGGACTCTGTGAAAAGACCAAATCTACGTTTGATTGGTGTACCTGAAAGTGATGGGGAGAATGGAACCAAGTTAGAAGACACTCTTCAGGATATTATCCAGGAGAATTTCCCCAACCTAGCCAGGCAGGCCAACATTCAAATTCAGGAAATATAGAGAACACCACAAAGATACTCCTCAAGAAGAGCAACCCCAAGAGACATAATTGTCAGATTCACCAAGGTTGAAATGAAGGAAAAAATGTTAAGGGCAGCCAGAGAGAAAAGTCGGGTTACCCACAAAGGGAAGCCCATCAGACTAACAGCAGATCTCTCTGCAGAAACCCTAAAAGCCAGAAAAGAGTGGGGGCGAACATCCAACATTCTTAAAGGATTTTCACCACAAAATTTCATATCCATCCAAACTAAGTTTCATAAATGAAGGAGAAATAAAATCCTTTACAGACAAGCAAATGCTGAGAGATTTTGTCACCACCAGGCCTGCCTTACAAGAGCTCCTGAAGGAAGTACTGAACATGGAAAGGACAAGCAGTACCAGCCACTGAAAACACATGCCAAATTGTAAAGACCATTGACACTATGAAGAAACTGCATCAATTAACAGGCAAAATAACCAGCTAACATCATAATGACAGGATCAAATTCACACATAACAATATTAACCTTAAATGTAAATGGGCTGAATGCCTCCAATTAAAAGAAACAGACTGGCAAATTGGATAAAGAGTCAAGACCCATTGGTGTGTTGCATTCAGGAGACCCATCTCACATGCAAAGACACACATAGGCTCAAAATAAAAGGGTGGAGGAAGATCTACCAAGCAAATGGAAAGCAAAAAAAAAAAAAAAAAAAAAAAGCAGAGGTTGCAATCCTGGTCTCTGATAAAACAGACTTTAAACCAACAAAGATCAAAAGAAACAAAGAAGGGTATTACATAATGGTAAAGGGGTCAATTCAACAAAAAGAGCTAACTATCCTAAATATATATGCATCCATTACAGGAGCACCCAGATTCATAAAGCAAGTTCTTAGAGACCTACAAAGAGACTTAGAGTCCTACACAATAATAATGGGAGACTTTAACACCCCACTGTCAATATAAACAGATCAATGAGACAAACAATTAACAAGGATATCCAGGACTTGAACTCAGCTCTGGACCAAGCAGACCTAATAGACATCTACAGAACTCTCCACCCCAAATCAACAGAAAATACATTCTTCTCAGCACCACATTGCACTTATTCTAAAA
The DNA here is from genome assembly GCF_000001405.40 of Homo sapiens. Classification (NCBI taxonomy): domain Eukaryota; kingdom Metazoa; phylum Chordata; class Mammalia; order Primates; family Hominidae; genus Homo; species Homo sapiens. The sequence goes on along the minus strand of NC_000003.12, from coordinate 101,968,822 downwards.
TTGACCAAATAATTGGAAGTAAAACACTCCTCAGCAAATGTAAAAGAACAGAAATTATAACAAAGTGTGTCTCAGACCGCAGTGCAATCAAATTAGAAATCAGGATTAAGAAACTCACTCAAAACCACACAACTACATGGAAACAGACCAACCTGCTCCTGAATGACTACTGAGTAAATAACGAAATGAAGGCAGAAATAAAGATGTTCTTTGAAACCAATGAGAACAAAGACACAATGTACCAGAATCTCTGGGATACATTTAAAGCAGTGTGTAGTGGGAAATTTATAGCACTAAATGTCCACAAGAGAAAGCAGGAAAGATCTAATATTGACACCCTAACATCACAATTAAAAGAACTAGAGAAGCAAGAGCAAACAAATTCAAAAGCTAGCAGAAGACATGAAATAACTAAGATCAGAGCAGAACTGAAGGAGATAGAGACACAAAAACCCTTCAAAAAATCAATGAATCCAGGAGCTGGTTTTTTGAAAAGATCAACAAAATTGATAGACCGCTAGCAAGACTAATAAAGAAGAAAAGAGAGAAGAATCAAATAGACACAATACAAAATGATAAGAGGATATCACCACTGATCCCACAGAAATACAAACTACCATCAGAGAATACTATAAACATCTCTATGCAAATAAACTAGAAAATCTAAAAGAAATGGATAAATTCCTCGACACATACACCCTCCCAAGACTAAACCAGGAAGAAGTTGAATATCTGAACAGACCAATAACAGGTTCTGAAATTGAGGCAGTAATTAATAGCCTACCAACCAAAAAAATCCAGGACCAGACGGATTCACAGCCAAATTCTATCAGAGGTACAAAGAGGAGCTGGCACCATTCCTTCTGAAACTATTCCAATCAATAGAAAAAGAGGGAATCCTCCCTAACTCATTTTATGAAGCCAGCATCATCATGATACCAAAGCCTGGCAAAGGCAAAACAAAAAAAAAGGGAAGTTTAGGCCAATATCCCTGATGAACATCGATGTAAAAGTCCTCAATAAAATACAGGCAAACCAAACCCAGCAGCACATCCAAAAGCTTATCCACCACAAACAAGTCGGCTTCATCCCTGGGATGCAAGGCTGGTTCAACATATGTAAATCAATAAACATAATCTATCACATAAACAGAACCAAAGACAAAAACCGCATGATTATCTCAATAGATACAGAAAAGGCCTTTGACAAAATTCAACAGCCTTTCATGCTAAAAACTCTCAATAAACTAGGTATTCATGGAATGTATCTCAAAATAATAAGAGCTATTTATGACAAATCCACAGCCAATATCATACTGAATGGGCAAGAACTGGAAGCATTCCCTTTGAAAACCAGCACAAGACAAGGATGCCCTCTCTCATCACTCCTATTCAACATAGTATTGGAAGTTCTGGCCAGGGCAATCAAGCAAGAGAAAGAAATAAAGGGATCCAACCAAAATGCCCATCAATGATAGGCTGGATAAAGAATATGTGGCACATATACACCCTGGAATACTATGCAGCCATAAAAAAGGATGAGTTCATGTCCTTTGCAGAGACATGGATGAAGCTGGAAACCATCATTCTCAGCAAAATATCACAAGGACAGAAAACCAAACACCACGTTTTCACTCATAAGTGGGAGCTGAGCAATGAGAACACATGGACACAAGGAGGGGAACATCATACACCAGGGCCTGTCGTAGGGTGGGGGGCTGGGGGAGGGATAGCATTAGGAGAAATACCTAATGTAAATGACGAGTTGATGGGTGCAGCAAACCAACTTGGCACATGTATACCTATGTAACAAAGCTGCACATTGTGCACATGTACCCTAGAACCTAAAGTATAATAAAAAATAAAAATAAAAACAAATTACTCGGGCATGGTGGACGTGCCTGTAATCCCAGCTACCCAGGGGGCTAAGGCAGGAGAATCACTTGAACCCAGGAGGCAGAGGTTGCAGTAAGCCAAGATCACGCCACTGCACTCCAGCCTGGGCAACAGAGCAAGACTCCATCTCCAAAAAATAAAAAAGAAATAATCTGGAAGTGTGAGCTGTGTGCACCCATTTTAGAGTAAGAAAGCCATTCGACCTCTAGAAGTAAGGTAAAAGCCTAGAGATGAATCATAATTTAGTTTAGCTTAAACATTTGTAATGTAAGAAGTTTTATCTAACTCAAGTTTTTGAGTTCTTAAAGAGAGCCTGGAAGCCTAATACACTGTATATATATTTATTATATTTACTCTTTTAAACTATACTTACTCAGTGGTTTTTAGTATATTCAAAGAGTTGTGCAATCATTACTACTATCTAATTTCAGAACATTTTCATTACCCGAAAAAGAAACCCCACCCTCATTAAGTCACTTCCCTATTCTGGAAATTTCATATAAATGGAATCATACCATATTGGCTTTTTGTATCTGGCTTTTTTTCTAGGGTACTTTCTAGCTCTACAACTCTGGACAACAGGATCTAATAAAAAAGGAGAAGCCCATCTTGAAGACATCATTCTTCTTTTTCAGAAGTTCCTAAAAATACACTGTGAAATATTAAGAATGTAGAACTCATGGACTAAGATCTGGTCTAGGCTATAGACTCCCTAGCCCATTGGGAGGGATATTCCTCAAATTCCCCAGACTGATTACCATGTGGCCTAAGTCTGAAGATCACCCTAAAGACAGAGCATGGTATCATGGGAAATTCAAGAGCATCAGAGCTTCACAAACCCAAACCCTGGCACAGCCACTCACTAGCTTCAGGGTGACCTTGAGCAATCTTTTTTTTTTTTTTTCTAAGACAGGAAAAAGAATAATCTGAGGCAGAGGTGGGCAGATCACCTGAGGTCAGGAGTGTGAGACCAGCCCGGCCGACATGGCAAAACCCCATCTTTACTAAAAATACAAAAATTAAGCCAGGCGTGGTGTTGCACAGGCTGGAGTACAGTGGTGCAATCTCAATTCACTGCAACGTCCACCTCCCGGGTTCAAGCAATTCTCCTGCCTCAGCCTCTTGAGTAGCTGAGATTACAGGCATGCGCCACCATGCCTGGCTAATTTTTGTATTTTCAGTAGAGATGGGGTTTCACCATGTTGGCCAGGCTGGTCTTGAACTCCTGACCTCAGGTGATCCTCCCACCTCGGCCTCCCAAAGTGCTGGGATTACAGGTGTGAGCCACTGCGTCCGGACAACCTTGAGCAATCTATTTAACCTCTTTCATTTTTCACTTTCCTCTTCTGCAAAATGAGGATGACAGCAATACCTTCTTTGCTTGGTTGTTATGAAGACTGGAAAAAAAGATACACAAAGTACCTAATGCCTGGCAGAGACAGGGCCCTCAATAAATTATTATTATTATTATTATTATTATTACAATTACACAACTATTATTATTCTTCTTCTCTTAAGTGCTTTTACTTATCACCCATGACAAGTGAACAAAGAACTGTTCACCTGAACAAATAATTATGTTGGTCATGGTCTTTGCCTTCTCGGAAATGACAGACTATGGTAAATATAAAATATACCTCTTTTCGCAATCTAAGATTACCTGTCCCTGTTGTACTTTAATCTCACCACTTAATGTTGGAGAGGAATATAATGAAGAGTATGCTGTGTTCTTTGTGCACATGTTTAATCTACAATACTGGACTGGAAACTTGTGTCAGCTCAACTCTTCTACGAACAAGATGCCAAGACAAAATTAGTCATGCAGGAGATTTCTTGGGAGAAACGCCTGTGAAGGATTTGGGGAGGGGCAACCAGCATGGGCAGGGAGGGCCTTCAGAATAGGAGGGAAGGAGGAGGACTGGGTAGTAGGAGTCAGACGGCATTGCAGCACTGAGTCTGAGCCAGGCCGACCAGGAGGCCTCAAGCAAAGACTCCTCATTAGAGGAGTCCCATGCCAGCCAGAAATAGCCTGACCATGGTACCATACAACTACCACATTCAGTTACTAGCTAGAAGAATCCCCAGAAGTCTGTGACTTGTCAGCGTGAATGCAGGGGCAGAGCCAGAGGGGCCGCAGCTGGAAACTGTCAGCTAACTACCCTCCTCATGAGCTTCTCACGCAAGTGGATTTGAGCAGTGCACGCCCGCAGCCTCTAGAGAACTCCCTGAAGACAATAATTGTGTTGGTATTATTGCTTGTACCTAGTAAGTTCTCAACAATTGTTTGTCGAAAACTGAATACGTGATGGTTTTTAGCAACCAGCAGGAAGAACAACCCATTTGCTAAATCCAGGTGGATTAGGTCTCATAATTCCTGAAGAAAGAAAATGTCTTCCATCATTTGAAGTAAATGACAAGGCTCAGAAAATACTCCTGTGGCATAGCAGATCCCAGCCTCCAAACAATAAGTGGGTTGGGGGTGCTGAGGTGATGAGCTGACAGCAAAAGAAAGAAGTGTCAGGCAAAAGTGGCCTGAATTAAACCCACCATTGACTTCATTATGCACTTAATTTCACTTGTATAGACATAGCCACAGGATGAAGTAACCAACAGTGGGTATGGCCTCAAAGGTAAAAGCAAGGTGGTACAAAAACTGCTTCTGAAACAGATGACAGAGTGGAGAGAGCCTCAGGAGCTCGGGGTGGAGGGAAGATTTCAATCGTGGAGGTACACTTGCCCAAAGCAAGCACCCAGCAACTGGAAATCAGGTCACCGCAGCACTCACTGGAGGCTTGAAAAGGATAACTAACTCCAGTTTTCAAAGAATTAAAATAGCTATGGGTGAGGCAAGAGGAAGAAATGACTCACAAATCTGGAGGTAAAATGAGATCTCTGAGCTAATGATGACAAATAAAGGAGGGCAGAGAGAAGAAGCAGTGTTCTTGTCAAGTTCATTTCTCATTTTCATAATAGACAGCTATCTACTTCAATTAAAAATGATTTATTGAACACCTGCTATGCACAAAATGAAAGAAGCAAGGTTTCAAAAACATTCCCATGTCCAAGCAGCATGACTGAGCTCCTCCCAATGCCAGGTATATATGGTGGAGTCTGCAGAAATGAAGAAAATCATTCCCAGTGACTACCCTAAATCCCACCAAGGAGACAAATCCAAAAAACAATTAAAATACAATAACATAGTACATTGTGAATCATGCAGTGATAGAGGCAGGTCTAAGTGTTATGAAAACACTCTAAGTAGGGCAATCATTTAACTCATCATTAAACCAGAATGCTTTGAAAGTAGAAGGGGGCATTATCAATAATTATACTGTGACAATGGGCATAAACTGGGATTGTTCCTGGACAAACCAGGATGAATATCATCCTAGTTGTAAGGAAAAAAACTGGGGAGAGGCCAGGCATGGTAGCTAATGCCTGTAATCCCAGCACTTTAGAAGGCCAGGGTTGGGGGACTGCTTGAGCCCAGGAGTTTGAGACTAGCCTGGGCAACACGGTGAGACCCTGTCTCTATTATTTAAAAGAAATAATGTTTTTCTAAAGTGGGAAGAAAAGGATAAAGAGGAGAATTAAGGAGGAAGAAAACTGGAATTAAGAGGTCAAGTTGTTAAAGAGGAAAGGGATTAGATGGGCATGGCAGAGTAAGAAAAAGAAATAGCCCAAAGGAGTGACTAGAATTTGAAAGCTGAATCTCAAAAATAAAATCATTTGATTTTACTACTCTGAGGCTCAAGGTAGTTAAATGACAAAGCTGAGATTTGAACCCCTGCTTGTGAACTCCAAAGTCTGTATTATATAATTAGTAGCACAAGCACAATTAGTACTTAGAATGTCTAATTTCTAAGTCAGTGCTACTTTTACTGCACTCTACAGAGTAAGTGAGCTTGTACTGGGTTGAAGAGCATCCCCCAAAATTTATGTCCACATGGAACCTCAGAATGTGACCTTGTTTGGTAATAAGATCTTGAAGATGTAATCAAGTTAGGATGAGGTCATGCTGGATTAGGGTGGGCCCCAATCCAGTAACTGGTATTCTTATAAGAAGAAGAAAATGAGAACACAGACACACAATGAGAATGCCATGTGAGGAGACATAGAGACGCACAGGGAAGAATGCCCTATAAAGATGAGGGCAAAGATTGGAATAACATGTCTACAAGCCAAGATATGGCAAGGATTGCTGGCAACCACCAGAAGAAGCTAGGAAGATAGGAAGAGGCAAGAAAATATTCTGCCATTGAATCTTAGGAGGAAATATGGCCCTGCCACCTTTATTTCAGAATTCTAGCCTCCAGCTCTGTGAGACAATAAATTTCTGTTGTTTAAGACACCAAGCTTACGGTACTTCATTCCAGCAGCCCTAGTAAACTACCATAGAGCTAGAGAAAAAAAGAGCAGGAGACAGAGCAGGAAGGGTGAGACAGAAGGGAGGTTTTAGGGAGGCCAGGAGCAAAGAAAAAGGTGATGTCACCAAGACCCCAAAAACCAAAAACTGTTTCTTTGATTCCATGATGACACCTCCCCTTATCTCCAACCTTACCATTCTCACCACTACTCTCTCTTTTAAGGATCCCATAACATTGTTGGTCAGTTATACCCAAGTAAAAAGAAAACTGTAGTGAAAGCAAAGAAAGAGTTGACATGAGCTGCTGATAGGAATTAAACCCACACCACTGTGGATGTCAGCTATGAACAATGACTCACAGCTTTAACTAGGAAAGTTGATTTTGATAAATTGAGGATAGCTATGGTAATCTCTAATCACTAAAATAGTAAGACGGTGTGTAAGTATCAAGCTGATAGGAGGAGAAGTTGAATAATGAAAACATTAGATGAATATAAAACCAAAAGTTAAGAAAGAACAAAAGGGGAGCGAAGAAAACAAAGATTATCAGTGATTGCATCAAATAGAAATGAAATAAATGATTCAATTAAAAGAGAAATTATTGTATTATTAAAAAAAAAACAAAACATGCTATATACTTACTAGAGACATGTCTAAAATAAGAGGATATAGAAAGGTTGGAAATAAAAAGATAGAAAAAGATATGTCAAGCAAACACTAAAACATAAAACTATCTGTGATTCTCTCTGATACAGACCTCAGACAAATATTTAGGAACACATAGTGTATTCATTCATTTTCTGTTGCTTATAATGAAATACTTGAAACTTGATAATTTATCAAGAAAAGGAATTTATTTCTTGCAGTTCTTGAGACTGGGAAGCCCAAGGCCAAGGGGACATATCTGGTAAAAGCCTTCTTGTTGGTGAAGACTTTCTACACAATCCCAAGGTAGTGCAGAGCATCACACAGACAGGGGGCTGAGCATACTAAGATGCTAGCTCAGGTCTCTCTCTTATAAACCACAAGTTCCCCTCCAATGATAACCCATTAATCCATTAACTCATTAATTCATTAATCAATTAATCCATGAATGAATTAATCCATTCATGAGGGGAGAGTCCTCATGATCCAATCACATCTTAAAGGCTGCACCACTCAATATTCCTACATTAGGGATTAAATTGAGCATGAGTTTTGGAGGTGACAAATATTCAAACCATAGCACATAGTTCATTTGGAAAGTGATCACAAGAAGCTCTAATAGGAGAACTGGGAAGGGGAAAGGGTGATAAAAGGAAGAGAAAGAAGCCAATGCCAGGTATTAGTGAGCAGGTTACCACAAAGGACACCTGGGAGTCAGCCCTGCTGAGGACCTCTGAGAGATAATACAGAATATCCCTCACAGTGGTCCCACCCAATAGATGACGAAGCTGAGTTATTTATCCTCCAGTTTCCATCTGTCACTGGATGAGGACTGCTACTGGTGTTTCAACTTCCCAGAACCTTTAGCCTCCCTTCCCTGCACACGAACCAAGCTTACCAGAGAAAGCTCTCAAATGGAGTACTGGTGATGGCAGTAGGAAAACCATCAGTGTGCACAGCAATGGCAAGTGACAGGAAAATATGAGCAGAATATTAAGAGGGTCTGCTACATAGTTAAAATAGATTTTAAGGGGAAAATCATTACTAGTGGTAAAGAGGGATATTTTACTTTTTAATTTATATAAATGTATGGGGTGCAAGTGCAATTTTATTGCATGCAGAGATTGCATAATGGTCAAGTCAGAGCTTTTAGGGCATCCATCACTCAAATAATGTACTTTGTACCCATTAAGTAATTTCTCATCCTCCACCTCTCTGTCATTCCTTTGCTCTTCTTAGTCTCCATTGTCTATCTCCCATTTTGCAGGTTGTCTGTTCACTCTGTTTCTTATTTTCTTTGCTCTGCAGAAGAGTTTTAGTTTCATTAAGTCCCGTTTGTCTATTTTTGTTTACTGTGCTTTTGAAGTCTTAGTCAGAAATTCTTTTTCTAGGCCAATGTCCAGAACAGTTTTCCCTAGATTTTCTTCTAGTATTTTTACAGTTTCAAGTCTTACAGTTAAGTCTTTAATCTTGAATCGCTTTTGTGTATTGTGAGAAATAGGCATCCAGTTTCATTCTTCTGTCTGTGGCAATCAGATTTTCCCCATGCCATTTACTGAAAAGGGTGCAAGAGGGATACTTTAAAAACATAAAAGTTTCAGTCCATAGACATATATAACAAATATAATTCATATACCCTTAGTAACATAGCATCAAAATATATAAGGCAAAAAAATGACCAAACTAAAAGAGAAAATGGACAAATCCACCATCTTAGTAGAATCTTAGCAATATCTTACTAAAGATATTGAAGATCTGAACAGCACAACAAATAATTTGATTTAACTGACACACAGAGGACACCTAAGAACTTCAGAATACACATTCTTTTCAAGTATAAACAGATATTTACAAAAATTGAAAGCCATAAGCAAGTCTTACACATTTCTAAGTTTAATAGTATTCATAAAAATGTTTTCTAACCACAGTTCAAGTAAGGTAGAATTAATAACTAACAGATAAGTGAAAATCTCACCCACCTGGAAGTTTAAAATATACTTCAAAATAACCTACAGATTAGTGAAAAAAACATAATGGAAATTAGAAAGCATTTTGAACTAATGATAATGAAAATATGACACATTAAATTTATTATGTGTAATTAAAGTTGTGCTTAAAGAGAAATTTATAACCATAAATTAATATTAGAAAAGGATTCAGACTTGACTACTTGCCAGCTGTGTCATCTTGAGTAAAATCGTATCTTCTGCTGAACTTCGTTTCCTTACTAACACAGCAGAGGTGCCAATAACTACTTCAGAGAGATTTTTTTGTGAAGATAGGATGATTTCGAATGTAAAGCTTTTAACCCAGTAGAAGATCTATTAACCATTTGATAAATGTGACTATTCCCAGCCAGGGGTCCCTTCCAGGTTTAAGCAAGCTGTTGCATAGGAAGTCCAGAAGTTCCCAAGTTCTGCATTCAGTGACCTCTAGGATGAGAAAGTCAACACAATAAGCCTTCAGCCTCTGGATTTGAGCTCTTTACACTGTTGATTTGCAGATCAGGCTGTTGTGGGTATGCTGTGACATAGTGAAGAAACAGGGAAGAAAAGGAGGATGCCTCTCAGTAAGACCCGAGGCATTTCCGTCCACACCACTTAAACACACTCCATACCAGCACAAACACCAACATAAAGTAATAAGATTGTTTTGGTTACTTTGCAATGTTACTCTCCCCCCGACCTTCCCCATGTCCTTCCACACATTCCCTTAAGCTTTGAGGCCTTTTATAAGAATTTGGTGTCCTATGTTGCTTTCCTCTGCCCTCATTGTTCTATTGCTTTGTCCATCTTACTTGATTTTTTCTGATGAAAGAGTAGGGAGTTTAAAGGGCCCTCAAGGATAATTTATCCCACCCATTCCTTTGACTTTTGTGTTTTGTCTTGTTTGTTTTTGAGTCGGAGTCTTACTCTGTCACCCAGGCTGGAGTGCACTGGCATGATCATGGCTCACTGCAGCCTCAAACCCCTAGGCCCAAGCAATCCTCCTGCCTCAACTTCCCAAACAGCTGGGCTTACAGGTGTGAGCTACTGTGCCTGGCCCATTCCTTTGATTTTTATATATGTGGGAAATGAATATCAGAAAGGTCAACTTGGCTCAAAGTCTTTGACAGAATGTAGTCTAGAATCCAGTTCCAAGTTCATTACCATTTCCTCAACTGCATGTTGCCTCTCCAGTAGCTCTCTGGTCTCTGAATTATCTTCTACAGAGAATAGAATTCCTACTTAATAGACATCTTTGACCCATGGTGTATTAGATTCCTATGGCTGCTCTAACAAACTGCTAATAGATTGGTGGCTTAAAACAGCACAAATATATTTTCTTATAGTTCTGGAGTCCAGAACTCTAAAATCAGTTTCACTGGAGTGAAATTAAGATGTAGGTAGAGCTCCCTGAAGTCTCAAGGAAAGAATCCCTTGCATTGCCTTTTCCTGTTTCTAGTAGCCACCTGCATTCTTTGGCTCTGGCCCTTTCCTCCATCCTCAAAGCCAGCAGCATAGCATGTTCTCTCTGTGACTCTGTTTCCTTCTGCTTCTGTCACATGGCCTTCTGTCTTCTGTCTTCTGTATTAAATCTCTCTTCACTTCCTTCTCTTTATTTATTTTATTTTATTTTATTTTATTTTATTTTATTTTATTTTATTTTGAGACAGAGTCTCGCTGGCTGGAATACAGTGGCATGATCTCAGCTCACTGCAACCTCCACCTCCCGGGTTCAAGCAATTCTCCTGCCTCAGCCTCCCAAGTAGCTAAGATTACAGACACCCACCACCACACCAGGCTAATTTGTGTATTTTTAGTAGAGACGGGTTTTCATCATGTTGGCCAGACTGGTCTCGAACTCCTGACCTCAGGTGATCTGCCCACCTCAACCTCCCAAAATGCTGGGATTACAGGCATGAGCCACCACACCCAACCTCCACTTCCTTCTTATAAGGACACATGTAAGTGCATTTAATGTTCACTCATATAATCCAGGATAATCTCCCCATCTCAAGATTTTTGACTTAATCACATCTACAAAATCTCTCTTGCCATGTAGGTTAACAGTCACAGGTTCCAGGGATTAGGACCTGGATATCATGGGGAAGAGAGGGGAGAGGCCATTATTCAGCCTACTATACATGGTAACTGATTTAATGAAATGGATAGAAATGGCTTCCAAAATTATGACCTGCATAAAAGCACTCCAATACAAACTGAAAAGGTGGGGTTAAAGAAGTTGTCAGAGAAAACCTAATATCTGGAGTATAATGAAATGCTTAGAAAATATTTTTGATTTTGTTTGAATCCTAGCTCAACAAATCAACTATACAAATATATTTTTAAGACAAGCAGGGACATTTAAATGTAGACTGGATATACTAGAGGTTACCCAAGAATCACTGTTAATATTGTTAGATGTGATAACTATGGTTATGTAAGAAAATGTTTCTTTTTAAGAGGTGCATAATGAAGCATGTAGAGGTGTAATGACATGAGGTCATGAGAAAATTTGCTTTAAAATACTTCAGCAAAAAGTGAAATAAACCAGGCACAGAAAGACAAATACTATGTGATCTCATTTTTGTGTGGAATCTAACAAGTATTGAACTCATACAAGTAGAGAGTAGAATGGTGGTTACCAGAGAGTGGCTGGGAGAGGCAATAGGGAGCTGTTGATCAAAGGGTATAAAGTGTCAGACAGACAGGAGGAATAGGTTTTAAGATCTATTGCAGAGCAGGGTGACTATAGTCAACAATAATATGTATTTCAAAATAACAGAGTAAACTTCAAATGTCTCACCATAAAAAATGATACATAATTGAGGTGATGGATATGTTAATTTACTTGATTTAATCATTTCACATTTTATACATATATCAAAATACCACATTGTACCTCATAAATAGTTATAATTATGATTTGTCAATCAAAATAATATGAATAAAAAAGACCAGCAAAAATGTAGATTTAGTAATAAAGCAAGTATGGCAAAATATTACTAATTATTGAACATGGGTGACAGGAATCGCAAAGTTCCTTTCTCTGCTATTTTAATATTAAATTAAATATTTAATTATTTTAAATTATTGATTTTATTTTAATAATTTTTTATCTCTATTGTTCTGTACATTTGAAACTTTTCAAGGGAAAATTAAAAGTATTAAAGCCTCCATTTTAGAATATAAATTGCCTGTCCCAATCCCCAACACTCAGCATCTGACCAGTTGCTCTATAGGAAAGATAAATTGGAAGTTAGGAAACCTGCCTGCCAGAATCAAAGAGGAGTGATGAGCCTATGTGTTTAATGTCTGATGGGCTGAGTGCTTGGTAAACATTGCAAAAGAAATCTCAGGGTTTTGACAATAGATCCCCATAGGAACATGTTTGTATGTGAGTATTGATTACGTTTCTCTTTCTCAAACCCCTTTCTCCCTGTTTCTTTATGGGATTATAATATCCAACATAAGGCTCCTTTCCCCAGTGAGGTTGGAATATGAAGGGAATATGAAGGGAAATCAATATAATCCTGTCTTCTCACTGGCTTCCCAATCTATGACATATAATATCTGCACATCTTGACCAGACACACAAGACCCTTTGTGATCTGGACCCTCCCAAAGATGAAGATCGATTTGCTCCAAGAAGAAAATTAAGCTCCAGGAAATGGAAGATAAATACAAAGGAATGTGTGTTTAAACACCAGTCCAACGAAGAATTATATAACAAATAGGAATTTGGAGTCAGGCTTTGGATAATAGGATAGCAACTCTGTTTACAGTTCTTAACACTCCCAGAGCCACTTCAAGGAACTACCCAGAATTTAATTGCAAATTCATACTCTGAATTGAAAGATAATTGATTAGGTGATTGGCATGGCATTAAGATAGATAGACAGACAGACAGATAGATAATCTAGATATATAGGGAAACCTTCTTTTCTAAACCAAACATCATGGTCTCTTCTTTTACAACAGGACATAATATCTCAAGTGGTAAGTGCCATAGAAACTTCAGGACACATGGATGTCATCGCAAATATTTTCCTCTCATCAATGGAACAAAACTATACAAATAGATATTTTAGTATAAAGTAAGGGGCCTCCCAGATTGCAAAACTGATTTTCTTGCTTGCAAAAATTGCTTTACTTCTCACTCCCATTCACCATCAATCCATCACCTTACAACAAGCTTTTGCCTATTCTTAAAAGCATAATTGGATTTGGGAGATAAAAGTTTATGCAATAAATAAATATATATACAAGATCCTATGTACATCCAAATTGTTTATTTGGATTATCCAACTGTCACTTATTCCAAGTGCTTGGCTTATTCCCAGAACTCCTCTTTAGTTGGGCAAGCACTATGTCTTCCGTACTTGCACTTTATTTCTTCTTGCTCATAGTAAACTGATGTAAAGTTAAGATTTTATTAAGGTACTTGGATTGTTTTCCCTCTTCTCTGAACAACTATATATTCATTATCTACTACTTTCAACTAGAAATTATTATACATTGACCTCAATTATTCTCTATTTCCCTTGAGATTTTTCTCTTTTTTTAAATAATTTCAACTTTTATTTTAGATTCAGGGTGTACACGTGCATATTTGTTACCTGGGTATATTGTGTCATGCTGAGGTTTGGGGTACTATTGATTCAGTCACCCAAATACCAAGCACAATACTCAGTTTTTCAGCCCTTGCCCTCCTCCTTTACTCCCCCAAGACGTTTTTCAATTTTTTTTTTAAGACTAGTCAAGTGCAGCAGTGAGAAGCCAGGAAATAGCAGAACAAGGAGTTTGATCTGTAACTGACTGTGAACAGTGTAGATAACTTACTCCCTTTGGACCAGCTCCAAGACTTTTCTTTACAAAATAAACAAACAAAAAGTATGTTTCTGAAGGATGTTGAATTTGGCGATGATTTCTTGGATACTATACCAAAAATACAGACAACAAAAGAAGAAATAGATAAATTGGACTCCATCAAAATTAAAAACTTTCATGCATCAAGGCATACTATCAAGAGATTAAAAAGACAACCCACAGGATGGGAGAAAACATTCGTAAGTCATATATCTGACTACAGATTAATATCCAGAATATATAAAGAACTCCTACAACTCTGCAATGAAAATAAAAACAATCCAATTCAGGAAGGAACAAAGGATTTGAATAAACATTTCTCCAAAGAAGACACACAAATGGCCAACAAGCACATAAAAAGATGTCAATATCCGTAGTCATTAGGGAAATGCAAGTCAAAACCACAATGAGATATTACTTTACATCCATTAGGATGGTGATTTTTTATGGAAAATACTGCAAGAAGTGCGTTTACTAAAATACAAGCTGTGTTGGCAAGGATGTGTAGAAACTGGAACTCATGCGCGTCACTGGTGGGAAAGTAAAATGGCACAGCCACTATGGAAAATGTACGACGTTTCCTCAAAAAGTTAAAAATAAAATTACCATATGATCCAGCAATTCCACTTGCAGGTTTATGCCCAAAAAAATTGAAAGCAGGGACTCAGATACTTGTATACCCATATTCATAGCAGCACTATTCACAATAGACAAAAGTTAGAAAAAACCTAAGTGTCTATCATCAGATAAATGGATAAACAAATGTGGCAAACACATACAATAGTATACTAGCCTTAAAAAGGAAGGAAATTCTGGCCTGGTGCAGTGAAATCCCAGCAATTTGGGAGGCCGAGGCGGGCAGATCGCTTGAGCTCAGGAGTTCGAGCAGCCTGGGCAAGATGGTGAAACCCCATCTCTACCAAAAATACAAAAAATTAGCCAGGCATGGTGGCACATGCCTGTAGTCCCAGCTACTCAGGAGGCTGAGGTGGGAGGATCACCTGAGCTTGGGAAGTTGAGGCTGCAGTGAGCCAAGATCATGTCACTGCACTCCAGCCTGAGTGACAGAGTAAGACCCCATCTCAACAAAAAGGAAATTCTGATACATGCTGCAACATGGATAAACTTTAAAAACATTATGCTAAGTGAAATAAGCCATACACAAAGAAACAAATATTGTATTATTCCACTAATAAGAAATACCCAGAACAGGCAAATTCATGGAGACAGAAAGCGTTACCAGGTGCTAAGAGAAGAATGAAGACATTATGTAATGGGTACAGAGTTTCTGTTTGTGATAATAAAAAATTTCTGGAAATGGATAGTGATGGTTGCACAACACTGTAAATGTACTTAATGCCACTGAACTGTACAATTAAATCATTTAAATAATCATTTCTGTGTTATGTAAATTTTACCATGATTTAAAAAATAATTTTTAAAAGTATATTTCTTAAGGACTTGGCTAGCCAGCAACAACTCTAGTATTCTACACAAAGCCTAGGAATGACAGGCACACAGTGGGTATTTTAAATATATTTGCTCAATAATTGATCAGCTGGTATGTTTCTTGGTTGCCAGGATCATTATTTACATGAACAGGGAAGGGAATGGAAGACAAGCAAAGAAAAGAATATTAGTATCTACTATGTCCCAAACACTGTTAGAGGCTTAAGATACTCTAATTCACTTAATCCTTAAAGACATAAAATTCAAAAAGAACTTCACATCATGATCAGGACTTCAACTGGGTATCCTGCTTTGTTCACTTACTGTCAGTATTTTTACATGTCGTGTCATCTTCATGTTTATCAAGAAGTCAACATGTGATATGATTTTGAGTAGATGTGGGTCAGATAGATGTCAGGTAGCTTCTGTAGGGCAAGCTGAAGCCCGTTGGTGACTACAACCACCGGGTTGACCCTGAGGTCCCATGAGACAGCTCTACAACACTGGACTTGGGACTCTCTTCAAAGATGCCCTACTGGCGCTAGACAGGTGAGCAATGGGGGAGATTCCTCATCAGTGCAGCCCCAAGTACGTTTAATTGTTCACTTTTATAGTCAAGATTTCTCCCTGGCCTCCAGCCCTTCTTTTGGAGGTTGGGGTCTAGGGGGAAGAAGGAACAATGAGGACTTATCAAAGGTAGACGCTTGGTTGGGAAAAACTGCTGCTGAGCCTATATTTATATTAGATTTGGAAATATGAAAATAAATGCCCACATTTTTTGGGTTTTGTTTGTCTAGCATAATGGGAAAAACCCAAACTGCCTTTCGGCTGTTCTTCTGACTGTATGATTCCAGTTTCTGTGACTTTTACCTATAAGTCAACTTGAAATGAAAACAAAGGCATTGGAAAGAGGCCCAAAGGACTTGGGGTCAAATCCCAGCTCCACGACTTACCAGGTATATGATCTTAGCAAGTTATTTAAGGTTTTTTTTGTTGTTGTTATTGTTGTTGTTGTTTTGAGACACAGTCTCGCTCTGTCACCAGGCTGGAGTGCAGTGGCGCAATCTCTGCTCACTGCAACCTCTGACTCCCTGGTTCAAGCGATTCTCCTGCCTCAGCCTCTCGAGTAGCTGGGACTACAGGCATGCGCCACCATGACAAGCTAATTTTTGGACTTTCAGTAGAGATGGCGTTTCACCATGTTGGCCAGGATGGTCTTGATCTCCTGACCTTGTGATCCGCCTGCACTGGCCTCCCAAAGTGCTGGGATTACAGGCATAAGCCACCGCGCCTGGCCGTTATTTCATGCCTTTAGATACCAATTTTATCATCTATAAAATGGCAGCTTGCCATCATGTAGCGCCATGTAGCACAGTCCTAGAAGCAGCCTGCCTAGATACAAATCCTGGCTCTCCCACCTACCAGCTGTGAGATCTTGATCAACCTTCTTACTCTTTCTAGGCCTTAGTTTCCTAAGCTAAAAAATGAGGATAATAAAAATATTTAACTAATGTGTTTAATGAGGATTAAATGAGTTAATGCTTGTGAAGCCCTTAGAATGAAATCTGGTACCTAAGAGGAGCTGAATAAAAATTAACTTTTAATATTATCATATCAGTGTTTAACTTTCTCTTTTAAAAAAGATAGCCCCAGAGATTTAAAAACATTCGAGAAATATGACCTTCCATAAAGCTTGCTTCCAGTCCAGTGACTGCATGTTTTAAACACAAGCAATACACCACAGTTTTGCTTTAGATGGTTGGAGCTATATAATAGAAAATGTAAAAATTTACTGTAAATTCTTTAGTAGAAACTTTAAAGGAGGAATCATTTTCTATGGTGCTGATTATCCAGAAATCCTTGGAGCACTCCTGCTGCCAAATAGAACAAAAAATAAGCTTTGAAAACACACAGCTTAAATGCCTTAATTCTTTGGAAAGTTTCTCTTTATTTAATTCCCAAGCTCCAATAATAAAGAAATATTGCTTCAGGAAAGAATAGAGAAGCCACATGGTTATGATCTGTTGACATGTTTGTCATAGGATGCAATGTCTGAAATACAGCACTGCAGGTCTGACTGGTTCTATTGTCTGGAATTAAATGGCAAGGAATGGGAGCCAATGCCACAGGATATCAGGGATTGAGCAATGAAGGGAAGCTCTATCTTCAATCCTAGGTTTTTCTTCCTTTCTCCCTGCTCCACTCCCCTACCCCTGCCCCACTCCCCTACCCTGCCCCGCTCCCCTACCCCTGCCCTGCTCCTGCCCTGGTTTCCAAAACTACAATTTTAATAAAATCCCAGGTGAAATGAAAGAAAGAGCTAAAGTAGCATGTGGATTAGATAAGTTGGTCTTGGTTCTTGATATGTTCCTTCAGTTGACAAATTACAACAGCTGAATTGAGTCCACTAATAGATTCAGAGGTTTCTATGTGTGGCTTCAAAGAAAACATAATTGGTAAATCCACCAGTTTGGTCAGTTTGGTTAGGCTGCTTTGGGTACATATCTACCATAAGACATATGTACAAAGTCCAGAAATTACACTTAGGGAAAATCTCCCAAGATTACTACTTTATTGACAGATTATTATTGGATCCCCTGAGCATTAACTCAGAACTGTTTCCAACTTAAAATATTGAAGCCCCATCTTGAAATGATAAGTTCAGGTCTAAATTTAAAGGAATATGGGTTCAATCTCTCCATTCACCTCTGTGTTCTCACTTCAATTGGCACTTTCATTTACCCATGACGCATTCCACCCTCACCAGATCTTTTTCTTCAGCACAACTCAGACAAAACCACTTATTAACAGAGTAGAAGCAGTCAGAGCCAACAAGGCAGGAAGAAGTGGTTCAGGGCTAGGAGCAGATGATTCATCGACATAAGTGGACACACTTAAGTCCTTGTTAAATTTTCTCATGATTTCTCCCATGCAGAGTTACAAGGAACCAGTGAAAATACTTTTGTCAAACTGAAAATGTAAGTTACTGAGAAGGTCATTTGATCTTGTGGCTTATGAAAGGAAAGACTTGGGAGTGTGGAGGCACGTCAATGGTAGCTGACGCTACCATTGGCAAAATCAGCTCATCTCCAACTGACTCAGATTGGGCCAAGAAGATTTGACAATTGTATCATATAGGAATTTATAAAAAGTTGGTTAATGGGTTTAAAATGCTAAGTTGACTAAGGTGTCCTCAGACACACTGAGCCTTCCTGCAATGCCCTCTTAATATAAAGTTTTCCGGATACCCGCTCTGATTATCCCAGCTAAATTGCTTTCTAATCAGAACTCACAATACTTTATTAAAACAACTAATGTTTCTCTTATCTATTTATTTTCTAGTTATTTGTTTCTTTTCCTTGAGGGCAGGAGCCATATCTTACTTTTCTTTAATTTTTCATAGATTTTTATGTAGAGTAGGCACCCAAAATATTGAGTGAATGGCTTTAATTTTCCTGTCATGTCCTATTATATTGAAAGATCTCTAATCATTTTTAATGCTGAGGAAGTATTGGCAAGAATCCAAATTTCTCTTAAATTTTATTTTTAGTGCATTTGCATTCCCACTTACATTGTAATTAGGCTAATTATCAAAAGCTTGATTTCAACAGGGCAGGATGGCTCAGACCTGTAATCCTAACACTTTAGGAGGCTGAGGTAGGTGGATCACTTGAACCTAGGAGTTTGAGACCAGCCTGGGCAACATGGCAAAACACTGTCTCTACAAAAAGTACAAAAATTAGCCAGGCTTTATGGCACAGGCCTGTAGTCCCAGCTACTCCCGAGGCTGAGGTGGGAGGATCTGTTGAGTCCAGGAGGTTGAGGCTGCAGTGGGCCCTGGTGGCACCACTACACTCCAGCCTGGGTGACAGAGCAAGACTCTGTCTCAGGTTAAAAAAAAAAAATGATTTCCCAGAGTATACAACTGTCAAAAGGAGGAAGATAGACCAGAAGAATGCTGCATGAGTGGCAAGAATAAATAATTTTGGAATTAAAACTCTTCCCTAGCTATATTAGGTCATGTTCCCCAGAAAAGAGACTATGGTGGGGATTTGCATGAGGATTTTATTGGAGAGTGATCTCAGGAGTATCTGTAAGGGGCTGAAGAAAAAAAGGATTGAGCAGAAGGAGAGACTGAACCATTATGTAGAAACAACAGTGGTCTCAGCTGATGTCAGGGTGGGCTGGAATAGCCCTTCAGAGTTGTTCCAAATGGAGGCAAAGGAGCCTGGAACATTTTGCGTATCACATAGTCATGGGTGCAGGCTGCTTCTGAGCAAGGAGCATAGGTGTATTCATCTGTTTTCACACTGTTTATAAAGACATACCTGAGACTAGGCAATTTACAAAAGAAAGAGATTTAGTGGACTCACAGTTCCACGTGGCTGGGGAGGCCTCACAATCATGGCTGAAGGTGATACGCATGTCTCACATGGTGGCAGACAAGAGAAGAGTACTTGTGTAGGGAAACTCCCCTTTATAAAACCATCAGATCTCATGAGACTTATTCACTACCACGAGAATAGCACGGGAAAGACCTGCCCACACGATTCAATTACGTCCCACTGGGTCCCTCCCACAACAGGTGGGAATTGTGGGAGCTAAAATTCAAGATGAGATTTGGGTGTGGACACAGCTAAACCATACCAATAGTCTTGGGCAAGGAAGCTGAGGACAATCCCTAGAGTGGGACTTGGGTAAAAGCTATCGGCAACAGGTAACACTCTAAAGGTGCTGAAAGAATGAGTACCTCAGTATTGAAGTGGAGGACCTGGGTGGCACACCATAGTATCCCCTCCACAATCTAATCTAAAAAGTAAATAATCCACACATATGGCCAATGAAGTGAATATATATATAAATAAGTCAACAATGCTATTTAACCAAGAAAGTCAAGTCACTAAGTCTTGAATATTTTTTAAATTACTTGGGGAAGTTATTGGGAAAATTATGTATCTAAAATACAATTTCTATCATTTATTCTGCCTAGCTATATTGGATAAATCACTCAACATATTGATTTAAATAAAACTAAGAAGGCTTGGATCCATTGCTTTCCCCTAGGAGGCTGATAGAAACATACTCAGCCTCATGATAACACTAGCTGCCTCTCTAGTATTGCTAATACTAGAATGAGGTAAAATAGTGCTACAGTTAACAGTATTATAGTTAACAGGTCCTAGCTGTGCCTGACACACACTAAATTCCCTTTAATGACAGTATGGAATTTTAACATTAATATAAAGACCCAGTAACACTGATTGGTTTACAGCCGTTCTTAAGTACAAACGCCTATACCTCAAAAAATGCCATTATCTGGGCCTGATATGGAGTTACTACTTACACAAAAGATTTCACATATTTATCCCATGAAGAATGAGTTTGTTTGAATGCACTGATGAGAAACTAGTGGGACTTCCCAAAATTAGATACCCAAACATGCTTGAATGAGTTCAAGTTCGTGTAGCAACCATGATTCTAAAAGTCAGAGTGGCCCACCATAAGAACTGTTAGCATAAGTCCCAAGATGATAAAAATAATGGTTCTATAATATGAAGACTATCTTACAAATGGAAATACTATTAGTCGGAAGTTAGGCAGAAGTAATACCACGGAGGCGCTATATGCTGCTATAAAGACACATGCACACGTATGTTTATTGCGGCATTATTCACAATAGCAAAGACTTGCAACCAACCCAAATGTCCAACAATGATAGACTGGATTAAGAAAATGTGGCACATATACACCATGGAATACTATGCAGCCATAAAAAATGATGAGTTCATGTCCTTTGTAGGGACATGGATGAAACTGGAAATCATCATTCTCAGTAAACTATCGCAAGAACAAAAAACCAAACACCGCATATTCTCACTCATAGGTGGGAATTGAACAATGAGATCACATGGACACAGGAAGGGGAATATCACACTCTGGGAACTGTTGTGGGGTTGGGGGAGGGATAGCATCGGGAGATACACCTAATGCTAGATGACGAGTTAGTGGGTGCAGCGCACCAGCATGGCACATGTATACATATGTAACTAACCTGCACAATGTGCACATGTACCCTAAAACTTAAAGTATAATAAAAAAAAAAAAAGTAGTTAACAGGAACCCTTAAGTCAGACTCTCCAGAAAAAAAAAAAAAAACCCCACTACCACATTTTTGCTATGTACACTCTTAGGACAAGTCAATTAACTTTCCTGAGCCTCAGTTTTCTCATTTGCAATTAGTAATAGTACCAGCCTCATTCAGATTGTGCTGCTATTACACAGGATTGTACATGGAAAGTGCTTAGCAGAATGTTTTCTATATTTATATACACAAGCAACCAGTAAATACCAAAGAGTAGTAATGAATATATACGAAAATATTGTAAATTCTGAAAAAAAAAAAAAGTTCAAGCAAGATAGTTCGGAACTATATTCAGTGAAGTATGTTCTTTTGGAAGAGATCCATAAGAAAACCATCTTTTGAAAGTTTAAGTTATAAAACTTCCCACGGCCCCATAGTATTGTGAAACAATGGTCAGGCTCAATTGTTCTAGTTCAGCATATTCTTGTATCATGATTTTAAACTTTTGGCCCATAATCCCTCTAAAAGATTTTTTAAAAACCAATGTAACTCTTTGCATATTTAAGTTACTTTTTTATTATAGGATTTTTTACTTTATTTCTTATTATTAGGAAAGAGGAATGTATACATTTCATGAAATGAATGTGGTCTAATGGGAATAAATCATCATAATATAATTTGATGAGGCCAGGCACGGTGGCTCACACCTGTAATCCCAGCACTGTGGGAGGCTGAGGCGGGCAGATCACCTGAGGTAAGGAGTTCAAGACCAGCCTGGCCAACATGGTGAAACCCCGTCTCTACAAAAATGCAAAAAAAAATTAGCCAGGCATGATGGTGGGTGTCTGTAATCCCAGCTACTTGGGAGGCTGAGGCAGGAGAATCGCTTGAACCCAGGAGGCGGAGGTTGCAGTGAGCTGAGATTGCTGCATTGCACTCCAGCCTGGGTGACAGAGCAAGACTTCATATAAAAAAAAAAATGATGAAATAGGTTTTAACTATCTTATTAAGTAATGTGTAACTACTAATCTTTAAACACATCTCAGAAACAGCCATTGCCGTTTTAAGAAGTTAGTTGGAAATTTAGTATTATACATTTGACTAGTTCTTCACAGTTTTCAAAGAAAACTTTATACTCTTATCTCTTCTGATAAGCTTGATCTCTGAACTATCTTAGGCAGGCATACTACTACTCTTGAATCTTGGTGGCCTTTATAGAGACATGGAAGGGAAGATGGCAAAAATTCAGCCAAAATTAAGTTGTCCTGAAGCTGACTCTCATTTCTCATGAGAACAACTCTAGGAAGTTGTAGGAAAAGGCTTCAATATTTTCCCATATGTTTTGACTTTCTGTATTTAACTCAGCCAACCACTGAGAGAGCTCTTTTCTTTGAGGGAACTTCT
The DNA here is from genome assembly GCF_000001405.40 of Homo sapiens. Lineage (NCBI taxonomy): Eukaryota > Metazoa > Chordata > Mammalia > Primates > Hominidae > Homo > Homo sapiens. The sequence goes on along the minus strand of NC_000003.12, from coordinate 101,946,130 downwards.
TTCAGTTCTTAAGAAAGTAGAAGGATGATAATTTCCCACATGGTTGATGAACTGAAAATACTATCAGTGCATTTATAGCTTTCTTCAACAGGAGAGAGAGAAAAGGGCAGAGAGAGACAAAGATAACTGCTAAAAAGGAAAAGGGCAATTTTTATTTTCCATAAGATCATTGGTTCTTGGGTTGTAGGGGAAATATTGACAGAATCTGAAACCTAATTGATTGTTATCAAAAGATTGTGCAGATGGCTCAAAAACTGTTAGGCAACATTCACACCCACCTATTTTCCTGAACTAATATCCTGGAAAAAGCTGAAATTTACCTCTTCAAAATCAATGAAGGGAAAAGATCACAGAATTATTTAGCTAGAAACATTTATTAAATATCTAGTTCATTATTTTATTTTTAGATGCCTAGGAAATGTGAAAACATAAGAATTATCTTTAAACATATCTTTTAAAATCTATTTATTATCATTGTGAATAAATAAAAACAAGTGATATATAACGCAGAAAGTAAATGGGAAATAAAAAGAGTCTCCTCTGATGCACTCTTCATACTAACGTACAAATTAAGGATATTTTTTCTACAGCCAGGTTGCAAAGTGTTGGTACAGCAGAAACTCATTGTTACAAAAATGTGAGGCACATTATTTACCATAAGAAGTTAACTCTGATGTGTTAGGATGTTGTCATCCAACTAAATGAAATTATGACATTCTAGAATGTCTATGTGTAGTTTAATTACTTCAGAGCCCAAGTTAATGAAACCAAAGCCTTGGTTCCATAAATTTAAACCCCATATTGTTCCGTTATTTGAGCCCTGTTCTGTTATATGGCTAAAGCCTGCTCCCCTGATCTTGACCATGCTTTTTAAAGATGTATATAAGGGTTACAGAAATAATCCAGTAAGAAAGTACAGGTCATCCTACAGAAACTCATTCACCACAGCCAGAAAATCACCTCAAAGTACATATGCTGCTAATGGAAGGACATACTAAAGGATAAGATCACAAAATAGTAGGCTTAGGAGGGATCTTTGAGATCATCTAGTAGGAGACTTCAGTTTACACATAAAAAAAAGCTTAGAATTTCAGAAATTATATAATCTGTCCAAGGTAAGTGGGTGGCAGAGCTTGAAATAAAACTTGATTATTCTGAGCAACATATTCAACTGTAAAATTAATATAACATTCCTTGGCCTACTCATCTCATAGGGTGGTTGTGAAGTTTAAAATGAAGTGATATCCATGAATATAATATTTTAAAGCCATCTAAACATTGCAATTAAACATAAGCCAGTATTATTTAGGAAGCAGTATGGTATATTGTAAAGAAAACCTGAATTTAAGTCCTAGTTTAACCACGTATAGGATGACTTGGCCAAGTCACAAAATATCTCTGAGCCTGAGTGTCTTTATCTTCAAAAAAGAGAAAATAATGTACTATTTCACCAACCTTACGTGGTTGTAAAGATCAATGAGGCACATAATACATGGTAAAAGTCATAATAAGCTGAAAAGTGCTATGGCAATGAAACCCAAACATAACTAATGCTTCATGTGGCTCAATTACACAGAGTGTTATTAAAGAAAAAGAAAAAAAAAAGCAGTCCAGAAAAAAAAAAAAAAAACATGCATGCTGACACACATTGTTATTGTCTGGTGTTTGATTTTTTTCTGTTTTAGCCATCCTAATGGATGAGAGTGTTATAGTGGTTTTGATTTGCATTTCCTTAATGTCTAACAATGTTAAGTGTCTTTTCATGTCCTGAGTCACCATTCGTAACTCTTTGGAGAAACGTCTATGCAATTTATCTCCCAATTTTAAATTGAATTATTTGTCTTTTATTGTTAATTGTAAAAGTTCTTTATATATTCTGAATACAAATTCCTTATTAGAGATATGCTTTCTAAATATTTTCTCTCATTCCATTTGTTGTCTTTTTACATTCTTGATGTTATTTGAAGCACAAAACTTTAAATTTTGATGACATCCCACTTACCTTTTTTTCTTCTGTAGAAGAAAAAATTTTGTGCTCATTCAAATATATATGCCCAATACAGAGAAGTTTAAAGTTAGTCCAGGAACAAGAGGCTACCTGCCCTAAAGCTGTCCTAGCCAAACTGAATCTTGACTGGACATAAAGTACAGATCAGAACCCTGCCCTACAGGAATTCATTGATTTCTATGCTTTTCCACCATCCCACCCCTCCACTCCCACCAAACTCCATCCCTAGTTTTTGTCAAAGTTTCTTTTGGAAGATTCCAGTATTATCTCAACTGAACTAAAAGTAAGCAAGGCTCCAACTCTGCCAAGGTAGGTTGGAAAATCAGTATGCAGTATGCTGTCAATAATCAGATGTCTTTGTGGTATACCTTCAATTAAAAAGCTCAGAAAGTCCAGTATAGAAAGTATGGACCCAGAATGGGCAGAACTGGAGAGACTCATGACTATTCTTCACCTCTTGGATAAACACCAAAATGGCAACAAGAAGTGAGAGCTAAAAGTTCCAAGTCAGAAAAGCACAAAAAGTAGATACAAGAACCCAAAAAGACATAGTAGTCAGTGCATATTTTGCAAAGGAGCAGATTTTTCTGCATGTCTCAGAGGGTATTAAAGGAGTGTTATCCACCAATATTTCTTTTCTAAAGTAGCTGCAGGTTAGCATCATATCCAGCTACAGTGAGATTAGGGACATCTTAGCATTCTGACTACCATAAAATGTAACTAGACTAAACTAGAAGGTTTTAGTTCCAATTCCCTAATTATAGAAGAGTATCTGATTGATCCAGGCCAATCAAGTTATCACCTCTGCTCCAATCACAGTGGACCACATCATATAGTATAAACATGACTCTTACAGTAAGAAAACCTGAAAACATATCTACGAGAATAGGTTATGGTAATATCACTACCTGGCAGGAAGAGTGCTAGTCTATCAGGTTACATAATCTCTGGGCAATTCCACAGAGACTTTACAGTTGGGTTTCTTTTAATGAGTCTGTCTCATCTGTCTCATTAAGATCAATGGTGTAGTTATTAATAAAAACATGGCCATGGCCACACCTGTAGTCCCTGCTACTCAGGAGAAAGGCAGGATTGTTTAAGCCCAGGAGTTCGAGGCCAGCCTGGGCAACAGAGACAGACCACATCTAAAATAAATAAATAAATAAATAAATAAAATAAAAAAGTTGGGATTTTATCTGTTAATGTAAAAATAAAATACAATTTAAAAAAAAAACAGTGAGTTTTTTTTAAACTTTTGCATGGACACACACCCAATTCCCACAGATCAGTTAAATTATCACTGCAGTTTATGAGACCAGATACTTTTTGTTACAAATACATACTTATGCTTAATTCTCTAAACACAGTGAATTCTTCCATAACACAAAATAAGCCCAAATTCTGAGGTTTTTTTAATGTTGTAAAGTTATACTGCATTTAACTTTTTTATGTGAATAGTTTCAAATTACATTTTCAACTGGGAGCATGGATCAGTGGTTAAAAACAGGAAGTTTGATGAGCAAACTTGAAACCAGTGAAAATACAGAAGATAATGAGGGAAATTCAGAAAAATCTGAAATCGGCGACAGATGTGACAGTTATGGAGCAGTTCCTAAGTTTTCCCACATGAACCTGGTAGTGGAAAGCAAGATTGCAATATCCTGCCAAACATGCCAAACAAGCAGTAAATCAGCAGAAGGCAATCATAGGCTGTTCTCACATGCTGATTGAAAGTGATTTTCTTAGTATTTTGGATATTTAATAAAAGTTTTGTGACTCTCGTTAATCCTGGAATAATAATTGTATGAGACCACGATGCTAGCAGAATTATTTAAAAACCAATCATGCAAATTTTAACAAAGAGCACCAGAATTCAATGAAAAGCCCAGTTTAAGAGGCCAAAAAGAAATTTCTTGAAGTTTTCCTCAAAGATAATTTCTGAATCTTCTTAGAAAGAGAAGCCTATATACTTGTAGAAACTAAAGTGAAATAGAGAAAGGAAAGCTTTAAAGGCATCATTTCAAATAATTCATTTTTAGAGTTCAAAAAGCATCAACAACTGTTTAGGAGAATAAAGTTAACCAGATTTTTTTTATCTTGCATTTAAATTAAAACATCAATATTAATTTAACCTTTTTCTTGGTCTTTGCTTGCTAAACTTATAATGGTGTATTTGATGATAAAATGATGAGTAAACAAATTTTCCCTGAGTTATGGGTATATATTCAATCTCAGACACACAAAGCTGTTGGAGGGATGACGATCACAGCCCAAGCCCTCACAAAACCTGAATGCCAAGCAACTTAAGCAGAATTCACCAAAACCACACCATCTCAGAGATTGCCTTCTGATTTTCAAAGTGTGTCTAATGGAGCAGTAAATGCTCTATGTTATGCTTAAAAATGTGTTTTGAATACTATTCTTTTTAGACAAGTTTATAATGAAATGAAACTTTGTCAACCATATAGATGTGTGCTGTCTTAACCAGAAGAAACGACTGGTCAGGGTTAAACTGCTATTTTTCATCTTAAAGAACTTTTTTAATCGGACTTAATTTGGCTACTCAAAGGCCTTCTTGGATGATATCCAAGTTCTTACTTATGATTTAAGTTTGTGAAATAAGTGGCTTATGTAAGGGTAAGATATGACTACAAACCGTCCAAGATTTGTGTTAGTTCGACTTAACAATGGTGTGAAAGCAACATGCGTTCAGTAGAAACCATACTTCAATGATTGCATACCTATGCAATCATTCTGTTTTTCACTTTCAGTGCAGTAGTCAATAAAGTACATGTAATATTCAATACTTTATTATAAAATAGGCTTTGTGTTAGATTATTTTGCCCAACTGTAGGCTAATGTAAGTGTTCAGAGCATGAGTAAGGTAGGCCAGGCTAATCGATAATGTTCAGTCAGTTAGGTGTATTAAATGCATTTTGAACTCATGGTATTTCAAGTTTGCTATGGGTTTATCGGGACTTAACTCCTTCATAAGTTGAGGCACATCTGTATTATTAAATCCTAGTCAAGCCAAGCCAACACCATCAGTCCCAGCAACACTGAGTGACCTGCCCCAGGCATTTTCTGAGGTGCTTACCTTACTCTTATATCCCACCTTGAAAGAATCAGACTCTGAGAAGTCTTGTCACAAACCTGTGGTCCATCAATTAACAAGCTTTTATTGAGCACCATTCTGTACTCAGCACTTACATTCACGAAACCTTAAACTCCTCTGTGTACTTAGTCTGTTTTATCTCTGCTTCTGTCAGAATGAGTGCCGTTACATGAGGGATCCCAGGATCCCACCAGCTTGCCTGACATATCGGGTTTCAGGGCGCCGCTGTGATGACTTACAGCCCAGTCTTTTCAGTACATTGTCATTTCCTCTCTTTACCACATCTCATTCTTTCCAGGGCATTTCCTCTATTTTCAAATACAGGGCAGTTTGCCAACATATCTTCTGTTTTGGAATAGTAATCATTACACTATGCCGAGAATTTAAAAAGCATTAGAATGGAGACTGCTTTTAAATCCCCCTCACTCTGTCAGCATAATCCTAGGTATTGCTGCTTCTCTTGGGACACGTACTTATTTCTATTTCTTACTTTTCTGACCGAATTCCAATAATTACCTCATAACCCAAGGAAGCTGCCCTTTTTTCTTATTATTCCTCTTATCTTTTCTCTTTCTCTTCTCATAAACAGTGGTTCTGTTGTCTATAAGACTTTCACTTTCAAGCATAGGTCTGTATATCAAAGTTAAACTATTTTAATTGAACCAAAAGGTTTTCAGGGCCTGCAAGACTAGCTACTTAAAAATATAGATATATTAATTAGACACAGGCTCAAAACCTTATTGTATCATGAAGGGAGGAATGGGTAAGTGTGAACAAGTAAATAAATAACCACTAAAATGAGAACTAAGGTGAACATGAGAGGTGCAAAGTCTTTTGGGGGCCAAAGCAGAGAGAAATCCCATATGTTTAAAGAATCAGGGAAAGCATCATGGTAGAAATAGATTTCAAAGATTGAGACTGCATCGTTGTCAATCCTAGACCCAGGAGGAAAGTTAATAGAATAGAAAAGTAAGGACATGTTGAAGGAACAGTGAATGGTACCACTTGGCCAAAATAGACCTCACATGTAAGAAAGTCATGGCACATATGTCTCTAAGATAACTTGGTCCACATGTTTTCCTACTTCATTTTCTTGGAAATGATGAATAAGTGAAGTCTTCTGAGCAGAAGGGTGTCCTAATCAGAGCACACATGAGGAAGAAAAACCAACCAGCAGTGAATGCGGTGAATCCAAATGTCTGAAGCAGGAGCAAGAGCCATGTCGGGAGCCGCAACAATTGTCCAGACAAGAAGCAACACAGTCCTGAACTGAGCAGGCCACAACGGAAGGAAGAAAGGAGAAAAAAAACGTGGAATGAGCATCTGCATTTCAGGAACTGCATGAGGTCCTTGATGCATATTATTCCATTTAATGGAAAAGAAAAGTGAGTATGAGAGGCATAACCACGATTAGGGAAAAGAATGAGATCAGTATTTATTTAGGACTCCACATAAAATGTGCAGCTCTCATCCAATCCTCTCAATTGGCTAGGTAGGGAATGTTATATTCCCTGCTTTATACATAAGGATATCAAGACTCTGGTGAGCTTAACTAACTGGCTCAAGACCAAAAGGGTAGTAAGTAGCAAAACCATGATCTGAACTCAGACTTATCTGACAGCAAAATAGATGCTCTTCCCACCCTGTGTACCACAAAGCCTATAGAATCTTCCTTACTCCATAATTTAGTAGGCACAGGGTGTGAGAAGTAAGGACGAATAAAAAATTACTTGTGAGTTGTGAAAGATGATTCATTAATAGTGGTGTCATTTATAAAAACAAAATAGAGACAATCAGTTGGAGTTTGGAGTTTGATGAACATAAGTTAATGGGCTTCATTTTAGATACACTGAGTTTAAAATCCTGGCTGGTTACCTAAGTAAGAAAGTCTTAACAGCAATTGGAAATTGCTAGATTTTAGAATCATCAGGAGAAAGATTTTGAGATGAAGGGAAAAAAGATTGAAGAAATTCATGTGTAAAGCAATGTGAGTAGATAAGAAGTCACATGAGGCAAAGAATGTGGAGAAGATTTTATTTTATTTATGGAGCAGTAGAAAGAAAAAGCAGCTAGTGAAGGAGGTGGAAGAGAAGTTTCCAGAAAGATAAAAGAACCAGCAGGCTATGGTATCACAGAGGCTATAGAAGGAGAACATTCAACAAACTGAAATTTCTGCAGAGACAACAGGGAGAATGAGGACTGAGACAAGTCCATTAGATTTGTTGGATATGAAACTAAACTCTCAGTGATTTTCCAGAAGGTGGTTTCATAGAGGGGTAAAGGTAGAAACCATATTACAAGGGGTTAAGAAGTGAATGTATAAGCAGGAAGTGAAAGCAGAATTTGTATTCTTTTAGAAGAAGTGTGGTAATAAACGGAAGAAAGATAAGGCAGTAACCTGCTACAGCAGCAGGGTCAGAGGGGGGTTATTTTAGGATACAGAGGGCTGGCCATATTTGTGGCAGAGGAGGAGAGATTGGAGATTGAAGATGGAAGAAAGATAGGGCTTAAAGGATGGAGCAAAACTGAGAGGAGGTGAGCAGTAATAGAATTAAGAGCAGTGTTCTTGGCAAGGAAAAAAGCAAGTTACCTTGTGCTGAGGTAGAAAAAAGGAAAAGAGGGTAACCCTTCAAGAGATATTGAGAGAATTCACGTGGACTGTCCTCATTCTCAGTAAAACATAAAATGAATAGCCAATATCAGGAAGAGAAAAAGATTTTCTCCAAAAGACTGGAGCTCATATTCTAAAGGGAAGAAAAATGTTTATGTTGGTCACAAATAGAAATTCAGTTTTGCAACATTATCAAACTTCAACAATTTCTCAGGGCTACTCTCTATAGCATGTATTTCCTTTCCCAGAATCAAAGCTGTTGTTCTCTAAAAGTACACGTATTTCCCTTGGACTGCATGGTTATAATTTGGACAAGGAAGATAGCCCTTTTGGTTGTCAGAAATAAAGCAACTCTCTGGACTCTTAACTGTGTTCTTTTGAGAAGAAAGTTCAAGATGTTCACTTAGTAATGTTTGCCAAAGCAAGCACTGTTCTCAATGTTTTTTATCAAAGCCTATCGATTATATGATTTTAATTTGTCTACAAGTAACCAATACCATCTTTTAGCAAAACATTCTATTTCATGTGGATTAGAAACAGAAATTTTAAAATAGCCTCAGTTACTGGAGCTGTTTTCCTAGTCCTTTCCATTGTCACCTTTAATCACTAAGATTATAATTATTATATAATTATCATTATCATTCATTGATCTGATACTCCTTGTGGGATATACAGTGTACATGAATATTATTTAATCTCATAACCTTATAGTGTAAATATAATTATTGTCATTCCCACTTTGCAAATAAATAAATAAGATTAGGTCACATAACTTCTCCAGGATCTCAGAGCTAGTAATGGTAGAACCAGTACCAGTCCTAGTCTGATTTAAAAGCCTGTGCCTCTAAAGACTAAGCTGTACCACCTCACAATTCAGTTGGATATTTTGTTACATACAGTTTTTTCTTGTTCTCTAATTTCTTTGGTTACTTAAGAAGTCTCCTTTCTGTCCCCCTCCTCACCATGACAGTATAAATTCTTTGAAATCAGATACAAAGTCTAGTATCCTTGAAACAGTCTAGAATATTGTACATACTCAAAAAATGTAAATGTAAATTGAAATAAGAGTAAAATCAACCCAGAATCTTGCGCCATTTTTCATCACATCTACTTTGTTTCCACTACACTTCCTATGCTCACCACCCCTCTCATTGGTTTCAAGAGAACATGCAAGTTTGAGAATGTAACTATATCGTGAAAAATAACACCATAAAGTGGCTTCTATAAATAAGACCGTTCTTGTCAACTGTGTAAATGCAGTGAAGATGAATATAGATTTTTCTCATCAACAATTACACAGGAAGATTGGAGCTGAAAATTCCCTGATTCCTTCCCCTTAGAGATGATGTTCCCTGGTTCACTCAACAGCTGTTCATTGAGTGTCTTCTACTTGCCTCACCCAGTTCCTGCCTTCTGAGTTCTCAGACAAGTAGGGGAGACAAACAGGTGTTATACAATTACAGAAGAGCCTGGTAATGCCGGAACAGAAGTAGTAAGGATGGCTGAACGACAGCCTGACACTTTTTCATCATTAATATATGTATTTCAACCTAACTTCCCAATATGGACTCATTTCCTTTTTGCATCAACATGAAGCCTCAAATGAAACCACACAGTGTATTTCATTTCAAAATGAAACTCATGACACAGCTAAGAAGTGAGTCATCCTCAGAGACCATGAAATTTCAATCCCAGTGGTTGAAAGACTGGCTGGGTCTTTTTCTTTCTTTCTTTTTTTTTTTTTTTTTTTTTGAGACAGAGTTTTGCTCTTGTTGCCCAGGCTGGAGTGCAATGACACGATCTTGGCTCACCGCAACCTCCACCTCCTGGGTTCAAGCAATTTTCCTGCCTCAGCCTCCTGAGTAGATGGGATTACAGGCAAGTGCCACCACGCCCAGCTAATTTTGTATTTTTAGTAGAGACAGGGTTTTTCCGTGTTGGTCAGGCTGGTCTCAAACTCCCGACCTCAGGTGATGCACCCGACTCGGCCTCCCAAAGTGCTGGGATTACAGGCGTGAGCCACCGTGCCCAGCCTGGCTGGGTCTTTTCTATCATTAAGCTGCATTATGTATTTCTCGGGCTGAACTGTTTTTAACCATTCATTTTAATTTAGCTGATAATTGTCAGAATGGCTCCTCTTTTTACTATAATGATAAAACCTGCAACTCTCCACAGTCACTAAAAACAGTTTGGAACAAAGGGCAAAGAAAGTGGAGAAATTATTTTCCTCACTGACCTAGATAACAGAGGAAATTAAGCGATTTGATCACAATTTTTCCACAGTGATTAGCCTCACAGCCTAACCTGTATTAATTACTATTTTACTCTATTGTGTGAGCTATAGAATTTTGTAAGTTAACAAAAGGCTACATCTTTTCACTTTGGAATGCAAAAAAAAAATAGAGCTAGGAAATCTTGGAGTGAAGCATAGATGCAGACCAATAACACATTTCAGTGTTTGTGAAGATGCCATAAAGGTAGCTTCCTCTGCCATGTGGGCTACATCTTTTCACTTTGGAATGCAAAAAAAAAATAGAGCTAGGAAATCTTGGAGTGAAGCATAGATGCAGACCAATAACACATTTCAGTGTTTGTGAAGATGCCATAAAGGTAGCTTCCTCTGCCATGTGGGTAATGCCATAGCTGCTTGTCTGTTTCCCGTCCTTCTCTTGAAAAAAAAAAAGCTTCAGTAATTTCTCTGGGTTAGAACACAAGTTAGTGTGAACCAATCACACAGTAAGCACCATTAGACTTCATCAGCCCCACCCTGACACATCAAAGCACACACACATAGCACAAAAGGAGAGAGAGAAATTATATCTCACTAATGCAGAAACAAATTCACCGTCACCTCAACTTTTAGCTAATTTTTTAAAAGCATTTCTGTGTGTTCCAACACACCAAATCTTTTATGTGATCTTGCATTATCTCAGCTTCCATACTCCTTCCCTTCACTGCTATTGTCACTTCTCAAAGTTGTGAAGACACATTTCTACTTCAGGCCTTCCAAGCTAAGGTTGTGTAAATAATGCACAGACCAGTGAGTCTGAATTTTTAAAACCTTCGCAGAGGCCAGCCCTGAGGCTGCAGATCACATGCAAACCACGTCATGGCTTCCAGTGGCACCAACATGCATCAAGACAAGAAATTTAGTTCATGTAGTGCTCACTGGAAAATCCTAATGAATCACCAACTATATGGCAAGCAAGGAAATTGACAGCCTGTACTCAACCTCTTTATTCTCTGTAACACAGAAGTGACGATAAGCCAGATAGAAGTGCTTAGATTTCGGCCGGGCGCGGTGGCTCACGCCTGTAATCCCAGCACTTTGGGAGGCCGAGGCGGGCGGATCACGAGGTCAGGAGATCGAGACCATCCCGGCTAAAACGGTGAAACCCCGTCTCTACTAAAAATACAAAAAATTAGCCGGGCGTAGTGGCGGGCGCCTGTAGTCCCAGCTACTTGGGAGGCTGAGGCAGGAGAATGGCGTGAACCCGGGAGGCGGAGCTTGCAGTGAGCCGAGATCCCGCCACTGCACTCCAGCCTGGGCGACAGAGCGAGACTCCGTCTCAAAAAAAAAAAAAAAAAAAAAAAAAAAAAGAAGTGCTTAGATTTCACAACTTCCGATAGTTTGGTTTTGGTCAAAATCAAGGTCCTTCCTAAATACTTATCAGTTGGGAAGATGGGTGGGACACATAACTACTTCTAGGGTGAACATCATATTTTCTTTTTTTTTTTTTTTGAGACGGAGTTTCACTCTTGTTGCCCAGGCTGGAACGCAGTGGCACAATCTTGGCTCTCCACAACCTCCACCTCCCAGGTTCAAGCGATTCTCCTGCCTCGGCCTCCCGATTAGCTGGGATTACAGGCATGTGTCGCCACGCCTGGCTAATTTTGTATTTTTAGTAGAGACAGGGTTTTTCCATGTTGGTCAGGCTGGTCTCGAACTCCTGACCTCAGGTGATCCACCCACCTCGGCCTCCCGAAGTGCTGGGATTACAGGCATAAACCACCACTCCTGGCCCGGTGAACATCATCTTCTCTCGACCTTACCAATTTTTTTTTCCTCCTTAACCTAAAATGAGAGACCCTACCAATTTGAGTGTACAACTAGAACAAATCTTAATCTTTCTTTCTCCCTTTGAAATGGAGTCATGTCTTACTCCAGGACTAGGTGGGTTAGCCCATAAAGTGAAAATTTTACGCAATTCAAATTACCCCTGAAAACCCCATAAGTCCCCCATAGAGTGCAATGTCTTCTGTTGGTGATCTTATCAGTTCCTCTAATAGTTCTCTAAGGCTTTTGATTAATTTTCAATTCCTACATTGAGCATGTCAACAAATCCTTCACCACCCACTTAACAAGTCCCTTGAAAATCTGTTTCACATCTTTATTGTTGACCAGGAAAACCCCTAACATCATTCATACAATCGTTCCATGGAATTTTTTTTTTTTTTTTTTTGAGCTGGAGTCTCGCTCTGTCGCCCAGGCTGGAGTGCAGTGGCATAATCTCAGCTCACTGCAACGTCTGCCTCCCGGGTTTGGGTGATTCTCCTGCCTCAGCCTCCCGAGTGGCTGGGATTACAGGTGCCCACCACCATGCCCAGCTAATTCTTGTGTTTTTAGTGGAGATGGGGTTTCACCATGTTGGCCAGGCTGGTCTCGAACTCCTGACCTCAAGTGATCCGCCTTCCTCGGCCTCCCAAAGTACTGGGATTACAGGCATGAGCCACCACGCCCAGCCCGTTCCATAGATTTTTACTTAAGACATGACCATTTGGGGCTTGACTAAATCTTTTGCCTGCTAGAATGAACAAATAATTACACCACTACTTCTCCTAACCACTGAGCCCATCTCTGTCTTTCCATCTCTACCACTGTCTCTCTGTCCCTGCCTCATTTCTTTCCTTCCCTTCTCTTTTTTTCTGCAAAGCTCAATTCCCATAAACTGCTCATAAAATTATCTGTATAGAGGGAATATTCTCAAAAAGCATTTATAAACCCATTTACCTGATTTTCTTTCATCATATTTGTCATTTTTTGTTGCTCTCACTTATTCATTCATTCATTCATCCATTCCACAAATAGTTGACACTAGCTACATACCAGACACCATTCCAGGCATTGGGGATATATCAGTATTCATTTTCAGTGGGGTAGACAGTAAAGAGATATACACCTGGTAAACAGTCAGATAAACAGTCAGACAGGAGTGAGTGTTAAGATGGGGATTGAGGACAGGGTGGTCAGGCCTCTGAAAAAGTGACATTTGAGCAAAGACCTAAGTAAGCCAGGAGATGAGCTATGTTAAACATCTGGGGAGCAGTGTTCATGACAGAGGGAGCAGCAAGTGTAGAGGCCTTCACAAGACAGTGGGATTCGAGCATTCCAGAAACAGCAAGGGAACTTTCAGTATCGATGAGCTGAGAGCCCAAAGGGGAATAACATGAGATGGGTTTGAGAGCTGGCCAGAGTCCAGGAGGACTTTTGGGTTTTATTCGTGAACATTAAGCAAAGCCCTGGGATCTGGGTTCTTTTGAATAGGGAGGTTGCATGATCTAACTGTGGCATTTTTAGAAGGATTTCTCCAGCTGTTGTGTGGGGAATAGTGTGGGAGTGTGCTGTAGAGAAGGAAAGATGGGAGACTGAGGAGCCTTCTCCAATCCTGTAGCATTGTCCAGTGTCTCAAATTAGTGTTTTCCAGAATTTCACTTTTCTGTCAGGGAAAGCAATTGAGAAAATATTTCTAGTTAAGTGATTTTGTTAACATGCCATACAGCTTTCACAGAGTCCTTCCTTCCCTCTCTGTAAGTCTGATTCTCTACCAGGAAACCAGCTCTGAAGCTGGTCCTGAAGGCGAGGCACCCTGGTGCCCAGACGCCACCTGGGCCCACGTGACTGCAGTGAATGCTGCCCTCTTTCCAGTGGAGGAGTCCAGCTGCTCCCTTTCTTTTTACATGGCAGAGCTTCTGGAAGCTTTATGAAAAAAATAACAATAGCTCAAAATCAAAGCTTCAATGTGTTCTTTGACCCCCCAAAAGAGCTAAATGTTTCTAATAAAGTAATGTGTATTTAAAATGGACAGTAAGTTTTCCACTGAAATATATTGAATATGCATACAATAATTCTCAAATACCAAGAGAAAAATATTACCTTTGAAAATTTACTTCTTGAGCTTGGAAGACCTTCAGAAAAATCAATTCTGAATAATCTACTGATGTTTAAGAATCTGAATGTTTTCACTATGACACACACCTGTGTGCACACACATACACACACACACACACAACCTTCCTTTCATAGTCTCATAATGAGGAAGGTGAGAAGCAAGCCTCCTTCTCTTGAGAAGCAATGACTTTTTGTAAGTGGGTATGTATTTACAACAAAGGGCCTGTTACTTCAGATTTGTAAAAACTAGTTCAATATTTCATTTTAATCCCTTTATTAAACACCAGTCTAGATAGAATTTTTAGTGCCCTGAAAAGTCTGTCAATGTAACAGACTGAGTTTCAAATCTGTAAGAAGTGATTTTTTAACTTTACCTTTAACTTATTAAAAATCAAATAATGAGGGTTTTTGTTTTGTTGTGCTTTGTTTTGAGATACAGACTTGCTGTGTCGCCTAGGCTGGAGTGCAATGGCATGATCATAGCTCACTGCAGCCTCGAGCTCCTGGTCTCAAGCGATCCTCCCACCTCAGCCTCCTGAGTAGCTGAGATTACAGGCATGTGCCACTATGCCTGACTAATTTTAGTATTTTTTCTAGAGACAGGGTTTTGTCATGTTGTCTGAGCTGGTGTCAAACTCCTAGCCTCAAGCAATCCTCCCGCCTCGGTCTCCCAAAGTGTTGGAATTAGAGGTGTGAGCCACTGTGCCCAGCCAAATAATGAGATTTGTTTTAATAAAAAAAAAAAGATAAAAGTACCTTTTGTAAAATATATAGTGCAAATTATCATCACTAAAATCCTCATTTCTTTTACATATGTATATGTGTGTGTACATGTATATATACATGTATGCACATTTTTATATAATTTTTTATCAAGTATGTCCAGAGTATTTTTGTTTAAACCTTCTGGCAACCCTATCGCTTAGCTCCACTCAATGCCACCACACCCCTATTCTAGTAATTGGTGCTGCTCAACTGCCTGAGTGCATCTACTGCCTGCTGGGGTCATGCCAAGAAAAGTAGATGTGATTCTTTAGGTCATCTGGATCCATTGAAGGTTTCAGAGAAGAAGAAGAATATAATTTTTCAATATTCACTTATTCAAGCATATGTTGTGCATGAACTATGCATTAGCACTGTGCTAAGCAATGGAGATACAACCACAAATAAGACAGAGCGCCTATGCCCTTATAGAGAAATGTACCTGCCACATGGAAAACAGGGAAGCTGTAGGTAGCCGAGTCCCAAGGCAAAAAGACTGTAGGAGCCTTTGTCATAGTCAAAGAAGAAGATATCATAAAGCTAAAGAAACCCCAGGGACATGGCAGAATTAACTGGATTTTGTCACCCATTTAACTGTCAAGGTTTCTTTCTTTGCCAAATCTCAGTTAATTCTCTCCAGAATTTTCCCTATAGAAGTTTATAACACTTTAGAACTCTGAGTAATCCAAGTTCAGAGACAGCTCTACAGAGTGCCCTGCTTTGTTTGCATATAAATAAATAGAATACATATTATTGATGAGTTTACTTAAGGATTTGAGTACCTGGATGTTATGGTACTAAAAAAGAGGAAACATGGGCCAGGCGCAGTGGCTCCCACCTGTAATCCCAGCACTTTGGGAGGCCAAGGCAGGTGGATCACCTGAGGTCGGAAGTTCGAGACCAGCCTGGCCAACATGGAGAAACCCCGTCTCTACTAAAAATACAAAAAAATTAGCCAGGTGTGGCGGCGCATGCCTGTAATCCCAGCTACTCAGGAGGCTGAGACGAGAATCGCTTGAACCCGGGAGGCGGAGGTTGTGGTGAACCAAGATTATGCCACTGCACTCCAGCCTGAGCAACAAGAGCGAAATTCTGTCTGAAAAAAAAAAAAATTTAAAAAAAGAGGAAACACTTCCAGAAAAGGCAAGAAAAATAAAGTTTTGTTTTATAAAGGCCACGAGGATAAAATATAAGTACTAAAGTCCACATTAAATAGATACCACTCATCACTCTCTATAAAATGTTACAATACTTGCTGGTATTTCAATAGAAACTGACAAAGCTAAAACTTTGGCACAATCTGAAATCTGGCAGGTATGATGTTTGGCCACTCTATAAGGTTGCCTTTGTCCTAGAACCTTCTCAAAAGAAAATGCAAGGCTAGGGGCTGTGGCTCACACCTGTAATCCCAGCATTTTGGGAGGCAAAGGTGGGAAGATCACTTGAGCCAGGAGTTTGAAACCAGCCTGGGCAACACAGTAAGACCCCATATCTACAAAAAATGTATAAAATAAAATTAGCTAGGTACAGTACACACACCTGTAGTCCCAGCTTCTTGGGTGGCTGAGGCAGGAGGATCATTTGAGCCCAGGTGTTTGAAGCTGCAGTGAGCCACAGTCACTACTGGACTCCAGCCTGGGCAACTGAGCAAGACCTTGTTTCTAAAATAATTAATTAATTTAATTACAATTAATAAGAACATACAGACTGCCTCAGAGCACATTTTAAAACAAATAGTCCGTGCCAAGGGAAAGAAGTCTTGAAGGGCTATTTGGTTTGCTTTTCAGAAGTAAATGAATAGAATAGAATTAGGCTGGAGCAAGTCTTTCCAGTTAAATGGGTGGCTGATACGTTCAGCCACAGAAAGAGGAAATCTAACTGTGAAGGATGAACCCATCTGTGGGGGGCAATAATCTTCCTCCAAGTGAAGAGCCTAGAGACACTTTGCTCTTTAAAACAATTTATCTGCTAAGTCTGGCATCTAGTTTACAAAGATCCTAAGCCAAGCTCAAGTCCAAGTGAGAGCAGTGGTGACTCTGTACGCATTTCTATGCCCATCAAATTTATTGAAATTTGCAGATATATATGGCTGTGACTACATGGAGAAACGGTGATAGTCAGTAAAGTCTCAATTGCCTGTGTGTAGGCATTATTATTTTGGTTATCTAACTGCATAACAAGCCGCCTGAAGCATAGTGGCATAAAACAATAAACATACTATTATGTTCCTTCATTCTAGTGGTCAGGAATTTTAACAGGACAGAGATAATTTGTCTCTGCCCAGTGACCTCTGGGGTCTCAGCTATGATGACTCTGAAGGCTGTGAAGTGACTCAAAGGGTATGTCTGGAATAGCAGGGACAGAAGAATGCACTCTCAATATTCACTTTTCTTACTCACACAGCTGGCACTTGGCCTGGGGTGGGTGAAGGGCAACTTCAGCTGAGGCTGTCACTCAGAGTGCCTACATGTGGCCTCAACAGCAGTCTCAGGGTAATCAGCTGTCTTCCATGATGGTTCCAGGTGCCAAGAACAAGCTTTCCAGTGAACAAGAAATATGCTTCATGGCCTCTTGTGACCCAGTGTCAGAGGTCACCTAGTGTTACTTCTACTGCACCCAACTGGTCCAAGCAATTACCAGCCCACTCAGATTCAAGCGGAGGAGAAATAGACCCCACCTCCTAATAGGAGAAATGGCAAATAATAAAAAGTAGGCCAGGCGCAGTGGCTCACACCTGTATTCCCAGCACTCTGGGAGGCCGAGGTGGTTAGATCACTTGAAGTTGGGAGATTGAGATCAGCCTGAGCAGCATGGTGAAACCCCGTCTCTACTAAAAATACAAAAAATTAGCCAGGTGTGGTGGTGCACACCTGTAGTCCCAGCTACTTGGGAGGCTGAGGCACGAAAATCACTTGAACCCAGGAGGCAGAGGCTGCAGTAAGCCGAGATCATGCCACTGCATTCCAGCCTGGGCAACAGAGCAAGACTCTGTCTCAAAAAAACTAAATAAACAAACACATTAACATTATATAATAGAGACACATAACAAAGCTGAAAATTATTTAATTAAAAAACTAATACAACTTTTACCAATCTATGGTAAAATGGATTTAAAAAAAGAAAAGTATAAATAAAATCAGGAATTCAAAAAGAAAAAACATTTGAAAACTTAGATAATACATTAAAATGTCTTGAAAAATATCACTTAACACAAATCCCTTCGAGTAAAACATGTTAATAGTTTTCTAACCATTAAAGATACTGGGTCTGCAGTCTAACCACTTGTATTGGCTTCTATGACATTTTCCACTCAAATAGTGCATATTTGGTTATTGAAGGCATATACTCGATTTTTTAAATATAATTACAATTTAACAGAAATTATTCCAATCTATAGAAAACAGAAAAAATACTCAATTCTGTTTCCGAGCTTTGTATAACCTTTATTTTAAAAACTGACAAAAGCAGTACAAAGAAGGAAAATAATAGGCCAGTTTCAATCATGAACATAGATGCTAAAAATTAAACATAGTATAAGCTAAACAAGTCACCCCAACTATTCTCTAATGTACTGAAATGTTCTAATTTCTTGACCCACTGGGTAGGTCATTGTTCCCACTGAGTGGGTACATTGAGTTTTGTAAACCATTATCTTTTAAGCTGAACAAACATATATTTGTTCAAATATATTTTGTGCACCCTTCCATTTATAGGATATATTTCATAATTTTGTTTTTTTGAGACGGAATCTCACTCTGTCGCCCAGGCTGGAGTGCAGTGGCACGATCTCGGCTCACTGCAACCTCTGCCTCCCGGGTTCAAGCAATTCTCTGTCTCAGCCTCCTGAGTAGCTGGGGTTACAGGCAACCACCACCATGCCAAACTAATTTTTGTATTTTTAGTAGAGACGGGGTTTCACCATGTTGGCCAGGCTGGTCTTGAACTCCTGACCTTGTGATCCACTCACCGCGGCCTCCCAAAGTGCTGGGATTACAGGCGTGAGCCACCACGCCCAGCCATATTTCATAATTAAAAAAAAAAAACACTATTCTCTAGAAACACCTGACACATTCATTCACTCTCATTAAACTTATTTGATGTCCATTGACCCTCTCAGAAGTCTGCACTTGGTGCTACACAAAGTGTGATTCAACACCTAGTAGCAGCAGCAGCAGCAACATCACATAGCAACTTGTTAAAAATGAATATTCTGGGCCCCACCACAGACCTACTAAATCCGAATTTCTGGACATCCAACTCAGGAATATGTGTTTCAACAAGCCCACCAGGTTATTTGAAGATTCACTCAAACTTGAGAAACACTGCTCTACATAACAGTGACAAGCAATAGAGGAGTTACAAGCAAGAGCCTGGGACTCGAGCCCAAGAGAACTTGAGCCAGAGGCAACTTTGCGTTCAAAATCACACCACGGCCTTACCTGCAGCACACATTGCACCATGTTGGGTTTTCCTTCTTTGAAGGACCAGCCTCGCCTTGACCAATCTTATTTCACAGTAAGGATGATAATTTTTCAATGACTCATACCTGAACATCTGTGTTAATTATATGGCTATTGTTCTTCAATTATATTACAAGATTTCTTCTCCACAATGGTCACTGTGGAAGCCACCCAGAATAAACTCGCTGCTGTATCTCTGAGTGAACAGGAAATGTGTTCATTCCAAATTATCCAGGAACAAGAACTCTCTTTAATTCACTGACTAATCAACCGTTTGTGGGAATACTCAAACATCCTCCTCCTTCCTGCCACCTCTCTTTTGTCATTTTCACTCCTCCCCAGAACCCTTGTAAATAAAGGAGAAACAATAGACAGTTACTTTCAAATAGGTTCCTCCGGATACCTGCAAATGACTGTGTGGGACTAGAGACCAGAACAGTTGGTCAGAACAAGACATCTTTTAATCATTGATTAAAATGCTCATTTTATAGATAGCTAAATTAAGCCTTAAGAAAGCTGAATAGTCATCAGTGATAGAATTAAAATAAAACATTTCTTTTTATTTTTATCAGATGTATACTTTCACATAATTTGAAAAGACATATCTTTTTTTTTTTTTTTTTTTTTTTTGAGACGGAGTCTCGCTCTGTCACCCAGGCTGGAGTGCAGTGGCATTATCTCCGCTCACTGCAAGCTCCGCCTTCCCGGGTTCACGCTATTCTCCTGCCTCAGCCTCCCGAGTAGCTGGGACTACAGGTGCCGGCAACCACGCCTGGCTAATTTTTTGTATTTTTAGTAGAGACGGGGTTTCACCGTGCTAGCCAGGATGTTCTCAATCTCCTGACCTCGTGATCCGCCCGCCTCCGCCTTCCAAAGTGCTGGGATTACAAGCGTGAGCCACCAAGCCCGGCCCGACATGTCATTTTTTTAAATATGAAAAACAGTAGCCCCCGATCTAGAGGAAACAATTTTCCACTCCTTCAGAGGATTCTTTGGAATTTATCACTATATCTCTAAATAATATGAGCATATTGTATTTCTTGATGTCTCGGTTTTAGTGATTGTCTACTGATTTTCTAGGAGGGAAGGTAAAGCTTTAGCTTTCTTTAACCCTCCCCTCACCCCACAGTAAACACATTCTTTCCGTTACTACCACCACCCCCCTCATTCACTTAATAGAGTTGCATTGAAATTTCAGCTAGATCAACATTCACTGTTTACATTATCATGACTATGTAAATGTCATTCACAGCTGAGACATGTAGTCAACTACAATTAATTCCATTTCCTGCACAAGCTTTTATTGACTGGGAATGGGAGAAAGAAGGACCCAGGTGAGAAGGAACTGCTGTTTGCTTGTTTTTTCTTATTTGCTCATAAGATGAGTAGTATATTTACTTATCATCAATTCAATTCCAAACTCTGTCACATATCTAAAACTCCCATAAACATTGTGAAACACAGTGTCAGATAGTCTGTTAACTTCATCTTCTTAAGAAAATATTTGGCTGGCAAGATGGCTGAATAGGAACAGCTCTGGTCTGTAGCTCCCAGCAAGATCAACACAGAAGGCAGATGATTTCTGCATTTCCAACTGAGGTACACAGCTCATCTCATTGGGACTGGTTAAAGAGTGGGTGCAGCCCACAGAGAGTGAGCTGAAGCAGGGTGGGGCATCACCTCACCCAGGAAGCACAAGGGGTCAGGGAACTCCCTCCCCTAGCCAAGGGAAGCCATGAGGGACTGCACCATGAGGAACAGTACCTTCTGGCCCAGATACTATGCTTTTCCCATAGTCTTCACAACCCGCAGACCAGGAGATTCCCTCAGGTGCCTACACCACCAGGGCCCTGGGTTTCAAGCACAAAACTGGGCAGCTGTTTGGGCAGACACCAAGCTAGCTGCAGTTTTTTTCATACCCCGGTGGTGCTTGGAATGCCAGCGAGACAGAACCATTCGCTCCCCTGGAAAGGGGTCTGAAGTCAGGAAGCCAGGCGGTCTAGCTCAGGGATCCCACCCCAATGGAGACCAGCAAGCTAAGATCCACTGGCTTGAAATTGTTACTGCCAGCACAGCAGTCTGAAGTCAACTTGGGACACTTGAGCTTGGTGTGGGGAGTGGTGTCCACCATTACTGAGGCTTCAGTAGGTAGTTTTCCCTTCACAGTGTACATGAAGACTCCAGGAAGTTCAAACTGGGCGGAGCCCACCACAGCTCAGCAAAGCTGCTGTATCCAGTCTGCCTCTCTAGATTCCTCCTCTCTGGGCAGGGCATCTCTGAAAGAAAGGCAGCAGCCCCAGTCAGGGACTTATAGATAAAACTCCCATCTCCCTGGGACAGAGCACCTGGGGGAAGGGACAGCTGTGGGTACAGCTTTAGCAGACTTAAACATTCCTGCCTGCTGACTCTGAAGAGAGCAGGGGATCTCCCAGCACAGTGCTCAAGCTCTGCTAAGGGACAGACAGCCTCCTCAAGTGGGTCCCTAACCCCCATGCCTACTGACTGGGAGATACCTCCCAGCAGGAGTCGACAGACACCTCATACCGGAGAGCTCTGGCTGGCATCTGGCGGGTGCCCCTCTGGGATGAAGCTTCCAGGGGAAGGAACAGGCAGCAATCTTTCCTGTTCTGCAGCCTCCACTGGTGATACCCAAACAGGGTCTGGAGTGGACCTCGAGCAAACTCCAGCAGACCTGCAGCAGAGGGGCCTGACTGTTAGAAGGAAAACTAACAAACAGAAAGAAATAGCATCAACATCAACAAAAAGGACATCCACACAGAAACCCTATCCGAAGGTCACCAACATCAAGACCAAAGGTAGATAAATCCACAAACATAAGGAAAAACCAGCACAAAAAAGCTGAAAATTCCAAAAACCAGAACACCTCTTCTCCTCCAAAGGATCACAACTCCTCATCAGCAATGGAACAAAACTGGACAGAGAATAAGTTTGATGAATTGACAGAAGTAGGCTTCAGAAGATGGGAAGTAACAAACTCCTCTGAGCTAAAGAAGCATGTTCTAACCCAAAGCAAGGAAGCTAAAAACCTTGAAAAGAGTTAGATGAATTGCTAACTAGAATAACCAGTTTAGAGAAGGACATAAATGACCTGATGGAGCTGAAAAACACAGCACAAGAACTTCATGAAGCATACACAAGTATGAATAGCCAAATCGATGGAGCAGAAGAAAGGATATCAGAGATTGAAGATCAACTTAATGAAATAAAGTGTAAAGACAAGATAGAGAAAAAAGAATGAAAAGGAACAAACAAAGCCTCCAAGAAATATGGGACTATGTGAAAAGACCAAACCTACGTTTGATTGGTGTACCTGAAAGTGACAGAGAGAATGGAACCAAGTTGGAAAACACTCTTCAGGATATTATCCAGGAGAATTCCCCAACCTACCAAGAAAGGCCAACATTCAAATTCAGGAAATACAGAGAACACCACAGAGATACTCCTCAAGAAGAGCAACCCCAAGACATATAATCGTCAGATTCACCAAGGTTGAAATGAAGGAAAAAATGTTAAGGGCAACCAGAGAGAAAGATCAGGTTACCCACAAAGGGAAGCCCATGAGACTAACAGCAGATCTCTCTGCAGAAACCCTACACACCAGAAGAGAGTGGGGGTGAATATCCAACATTCTTAAAGAATTTTCAACCCAAAATTTCATATCCAGCCAAACTAAGCTTCATAAGCAAAGGAGAAATAAAATCCTTTACAGACAAGCAAATGCTGAAAGATTTTGTCACCACCCGGCCTGCCTTACAAAAGTTCCTAAAGGAAGCATTAAATATGAAAAGGAAAAACCAGTACCAGCAACTGGAGAAATGTACCAAATTGTCAAGACCATTGACACTATGAAGAAACTGCATGAACTAACAGGCAAAATAACCAGTTAGCATCATAATGACAGCATCAAATTCACACATAACAATATTAACCTTAGATGTAACTGGGCTAAATGCTCCAAGTAAGAGATACAGACTGGCAAATTGGATAAAGAGTAAAGACCCATCAGTGTGCTGTATTCAGGAGACCCATCTCATGTACAAAGACACACATAGGCTCAAAATAAAGGGATGGAGGAATAATTACCAAGCAAATGGAAAGAAGAAAAAAAAAGCAGGGGTTGCAATACTAGTCTCTGATGAAACAAACTTTAAACCAACAAAGATCAAAAAAGACAAAGAAGTCCATTACACAATGGTAAAGGGATCAATTCAACAAGAAGAGCTAACTATCCTAAATATATATGCACCCAATACAGGAGCACCTAGATTCATAAAGCAAGTTCTTAGAGACCTACAAAGAGACTTAGGCCACCACACAATAATAAAGGGAGAATTTAATGCCCCATTGTCAATATTACACAGACCAATGAGACAGAAAATTATTAAGAATATTCAGGACTTGAACTCAGCTCTGGACCAAGCAGACCTAATAGACATCTACAGAACTCTCCACCCCAAATCAACAGAATATACATTCTTCTCAGCACCACATCGCACTTAACCTAAAATTGACCACATAATTGGAAGTAAAACACTCCTCAGCAAATGTAAAAGAACAGAAATCACAACAAACTGTCTCTCAGACCACAGTGCAATCAAATTACAACTCAGGATTAAGAAACTGACTCAAAACCACACAACTACTTGGAAACTGAACAACCCGCTCCTGAATGACTACTGGGTAAATAACGAAATGAAGGCAGAAAAAAACAAGCTCTTTGAAACCAATGAGAACAAAGACATAATGTACCAGAATCTCTGGGACACATTTAAAGCAGTGTGTAGAGGGAAATTTATAGCACTAAATACCCACAAGAGAAAGTAGGAAAGATCTAAAATCAACACTCTAATATCCCAATTAAAAGAACTAGAGAAGCAACAGCAAACAAATTCAAAAGCTAGCAGAAGACAAGAAATAACTAAGGTCAGAGTAGAACTGAAAGAGATAGAGACATGAAAAACCCTTCAAAAAAATCAATGAACCCAGGAGCTGGTTTTTTGTAAAGATTAAAAAATAGACTGCTAGCCAGATTAATAAAGAAGAAAAGAGAGAAGAATCAAATAGACACAATAAAAAATGATAAACGGAATATCACCACTGATCCCACAGAAATACAAACTACCATCAGAGAATACTATAAACACCTCTACACAAATAAGCTAGAAAATTTAGAAGAAATTGATAAATTCCTGGACACATACACCCTCCCAAGGCTAAACCAAGTCTGAATAGACCAATAACAAGTTCTGAAATTGAGGCAGTAATTAATAGCCTACCAACCAAAAAAAGCCCAGGACCAGATGGATTCACAGCCGAATTCTACCAGAGGTACAAAAAGGAACTGGTATTATTCCTTCTGAAACTATTCCAAACAATAGAAAAAGAGAGACTCCTCCCTAACTCATTTTATGAGGCCAGCATCATTCTGATACCAAAATCTGGAAGAGATACAAAAAAAAAAAAAAAAAGAAAATTTCAGGCCAATATCCCTGACGAACGTCGATGCAAAAATCCTCAATAAAATACTGGCAAAACGAATCCAGCAGCACATCAAAAAGCTTATCCACTACGATCAAGTTGGCTTCATCCGTGGGATGCAAGGCTGGTTCAACATATGCAAATCAATAAAAGTAATCAATCACATAAACAGAACCAATGACAAAAACCACATGATTAACTCAATAGAGGCAGAAAAGGCCTTCGATAAAATTCAACACCCTTTCATGCTAAAAACTCTCAATAAACTAAGTATTGATGGAATGTATCTCAAAATATTAAGAGCTATTTATGACAAACACACAGCCAATATCATACTAAATGGGCAAAAACTGGAAGCATTCCCTTTGAAAACTGGCACAAGACAAGAATGCCCTCTCTCACCACTCCTATTCAACATAGTGTTGTAAGTTGTGGCCAGGGCAATCAGGCAAGAGAGAGAAATAAAGGGTATTCAGACAGGAAAAGAAGAAGTCAAATTGTTTCTGTTTGCAGATGACATGATTATAGATTTAGAAAACCCTACCATCTCAGCCCAAAATCTCCTTAAGCTGATAAGCAACTTCGGCAAAGTCTCAGGATACAAACTCAATGTGCAAAAATCACAAGCATTTCTATACAACAGTAACAGACAAAAAGAGAGCCAAATCATGAGGGAACTCCTATACATAGTTGCTATTAAGAGAATAAAATACCTAGGAATACAACTTACAAGGGATGTGAAGGGCCTCTTCAAGGAGAACTACAAACCACTGCTCAACAAAATAAGAGAGGACACAAACAAATGGAAAAACATTGCATGGTCATGGATAGCAAGAATCAATATCGTGAAAATGGCCATACTGCCCAAAGTATTGTATAGATTCAATGCTATCCCCATCAAGCTACCATTGACTTTCTTCACAGAGTTGGAAAAAACTACTTTAAACCTGATATGGAACCAAAAAAGAGCCCGCATAGCCAAGACAATCCTAAGCAAAAGAACAAAGCAGGAGGCATCACACCACCTGACTTCAAACTATACTACAAGGCTACAGTAACCAAAACAGCATGGACTGGTACCAAAACAGATATATAGACCAATGAAACAGAACAGAGGCCTCAGAAATAACACCACACATCTACAACCATCTGATCTTTGACAAACCTGACAAAAACAAGAAGTGGGGAAAGGATTCCCTATTTAATAAATGGGGTTGGGAAAACTGGCTAGCCATATGCAGAAAACTGAAACTAGACCCCTTCCTTACACCTTATGCAAAAACTAACTTAAGATGGATTAAATACTTAAATGTGAGACCTAAAAACATAAAAATCCTAGAAGAAAACCTAGGCAATATGATTCAGGACATTGGCATGGGCAAAGACTTCATATCTAAAACACCAAAGCAATGGCAACAAATGCCAAAATTGACAAATGGGATCTAATTAAACTAAAGAGCTTCTGCACAGCAAAAAAAACTATCATCAGAGTGAACAGGCAACCTATCCATCTGACAAAGGGCTAATATTCAGAATCTACAAGGAACTTCAACAAATTTACAAGAAAAAAACAAACAACCCTGTCAAAAAGTGGGCAAAGGATATGAACAGACACTTCTCAAAAGAAGACATTTATGCAGCCAACAAACATATTTTTTAAAAGCTCATCATCACTGGTCATTAGAGAAATGCAAATCAAAACTACAATGAGATATCATCTCATGCCAGTTAGTATGGTGATAATTAAAAAGTCAGGAAACAACAGATGCTGGAGAGGATGTGGAGAAATAGGAACGCTTTTACACTGTTGGTGGGAGTATAAATTAGTTCAACATTGTGGAAGACAGTGTGGCAATATCTTAAGGATCTATAACCAGAAATACCATTTGACCCAGCAATCCCATTACTGGGTATATACCCAAAGGGTTATAAATCATTCTACTATAAATCATTCTACTATAAAGACACATGCATATGTATGTTTATTGCAGCACTATTCATGATAGCAAAGATGTGGAACCAACCCAAGTACCCATCAATGATAGACTGGATAAAGAAAAGGTGGCACATATACACCATGGAATACTATGCAGCCATAAAAAAGAATGAGTTCATGTCCTTTGCAGGGGCATGAATGAAGCTGCAAACCATCATTCTCAGCAAACTCACTAACACAGGAACAGAAAACCAAACACCGCATGTTCTCACTCGTAAGTGGGAGTTGTACAATGAGAACACATGGACACAGGGAGGGGAATATCACACACTGGAGCCTGTTGCGGGGTTAGGGGCTAGGGGAGGGATAGCATTAGGAGAAATACCTAATGTAAATGACGGGTTGATGGGTACAGCAAACCACCATGGCATGTGTATACCTATGTAACAAACATGTGCGTCTGCACATGTATCCCAGAACTTGAGTATAATTAAAAAAAAAAAAAAAAAAAAGAAAAAGAAAATATTTTCTGGATCTTTGTGATTTGCTTAATTCTGGACATTGTCCTCTATGCCTAATATTGAGCTATTGTCCTGAGATCTCCCTTCATTCATTCTGAAGAGTCTTTCCCAACCTCTTGCATTAAATCTCCTGCTTCTTTTTTTTTTTTTTTTTTAAGAGAGTCTCGTCATTCACTGCAGCTTTGACTTCCTGGGCTCAACCCATCCTCCCACCTCAGCCTCCTGAGTATCTGGGACTACAGGCACATGCCATTATGCCCAACTAATTTTTGTATTTTTGTAGAGATGAAGTTTCACCATGTTTCCCAGGCAGTGTCCAATTCCTGGGCTCAAGTGATCCATCCTCTTCAGCCTCCCTAAGTGCTTAGATTATAGGTGTGAGCCACGCTACTTAGCTAAATCTCCTGTTTCTTATTTCCCATGTTTTTCTCCTTTTTTAGTTTACTCCATTACGATGGGTCATATCCAACAATAAATCTCTGAGATCATATTCAGCAGTAAATCTATGAGAATCTCATAGAAGATAAAAATGTTCATACCTTGAATATCAGAATTTCAAAATTCTATTCTCATATTTGCTTATGAATTTCCCCAAGTATAAAATTCTAGGTTAAGAATTAATTTTCCTCAAAACTTTTTAAGGTATTTTTCCAGTCTATTCTAGCCTCTGTTGTTACTACTGAAAAATCAATAAGTACCCTAATTTTTCACCTTTTGCATGTGACTGTGTTTGTTTGTTTTCCATTTCCGGGAGTTTTTAGAACTTCTTTGTTTCCCCAGTATTATAAAATGATGTACATTGGAGTCAATCTACTTTTAATCCATTCTGCTGAGCAGCCTATGGATCCTTTCAACCTGGAAACTCTAACCTTCAGTTCTAGAAATTTGTGTTTAATTATATGGGTGGTGTATTAGTCCATTCTCAACTGCTATAAAGAAATACTTGAGACTGGGTAATTTATAAAGGAAAGAGGTTTAATTGACTCACAGCTCTGCATGGCTGGAGAGGCCTCAGGAAATGTACAGTCATGGCGGAAGTCAAAGAAGAAGCAAGTACCTTCTTCACAAGGTGGCAGGAAAGAGAGAGTGTGAAGGGGGGAGACCCCTTTATAAAACCATCACAGTTCATGAGAACTCACTCACTATCACAAGAACAGCATGGGGGAAACTGCCCTCATGATCCAATCAGCATGGGGGAAACCGCCCTCATGATCCAGTCATCTCCCACCAAGTCCCTTCCCCAACCTATGGGGATTACAATTTGGATTACAATTCAAAATGAGATTTGGGTGGGGACACAGCTAAACCATATCAGGCAGTGATTTCCTCTGTTCTATTTTCCTTCTTTTCTTCCTCTCCCTTTGAAACTCTTGATATAAAGACATTGAATCTCATGATCTGGTCCTCTAATTTTATTATATTTTCTCTTCCCTTTTTCATATTTTCCTTTTGTTCAACTTTTATAGAGATTTCTTTAATTTTATCTTCCCACTGTTCCATTGACCTTCTCATTTCTGTTATCGTATTTTTAATTTCTAAGAGTTCCCAATTGTCCCCTTTTAAAGAATCCTGTTTGTGTTTCATGAATGCAATATTATCTTATGTTTCTCTGCGGACCCTAATGATGATGTTTTAAGTACCCTTTCCTCTGAAAAATTTTCTTTTCTCCTAAGTTGATTTTTTTCTGTGTGTTTGTTTTGTCTCTCTGTTTCATGATGAAATCTTTTCTCAGCTAGTTGATGACTTTGTCTGCCTATTCATTTTTAAGAGTGAAGCCCTAAAGGAGCTGACTGGAAGTTCTGAGCCTGTGATTGGGACTTGACTACTATGGGTTTCACTATAGCTATTAATCTAGCTGGGCCTTGGAGCTCCTTCTCCTCCTTGGAGCTCCCTCTCCTCTATTGTCAGTACCATTACTTCTTATTCTTGGTCTGGTTGAGTTCCTAGAGAAGAATCTTCTAGTCTCCTATCTACAAGATATAGGTCTGCCTGTCAAAATTTTGACAAGTGAGTGTACAAGAGGTCTGGGGTGGTCTCAGTACTCAGGATGTAAATATTCGCTTAATTCCTCTGTTTTCAGCTCAACTGTATTGACAAATCCTATATTCAGAATGTAAATATTTGCTTAATTCCTGTTTTCAACTCTATTGACAAATCCTAGTGCAGAGACCCTCTATTTTACAGTCTCCAGTGGGCAATTTTCCTCAGCTTTCTTCCAAAGTGAGTTGGGTGGAAAACAATTGTTAAGCGTATGGACTGGGAAAGGAGGTCAAATTGCTTTTTCAACAGACTCTAAATTGATGCTATTTTATTTAGCACTACCTCCCCTCTTCCAGGAAAGCCCATGTACCAGTTCCTCAAGCTTTTAGAAGTCCCGTGGTGTAAATCAGATTTCTTCTCGGCTTTTCCACTGCTGGCTTAAGATACAGCTTTCTCAAATATTTCAAATTGTGCTGATATTGTCGCTCATTTTTTGTCATTTTATATTTACATATTTCTCCTCAAAAAAATCCATTTATTACCATTTTATGAGATGTTAAAAGGAAGTAAAAGTGTGTGCCCAGTTCACCATCTTGACCCAAAATTCCCAGAAATAAAATCCACACCAAAGTTCTTCATGCATCAAAAGGTAAAAGAATTTCAATGATTATCTAGAGAATTTAATCAACATTAAAACATCAAAGATTCATCAAAAAACTACAAATAGAACTACCACATAACCTAGCAATCCCACTACTGGTCATTTTTCCAGCAGAAAGAAAATCAGTATATCAAAGAGAAATCTGTACCCCACATTTATTATAGCACTATTCACAATAACTAAGACACTAAATCAACCTTGGTGTCCAACAATAGATGAATTTTTAAAATGTGGTATATATATAAAATGGAATATTATTTAGCCATTAAAAAGAATGAAATCCTGTCATTTGTGGCACCATGGATGAAATGGGAAGACATTATGGTAAGTGAAAAAAGCCAGGAACAGAAAATTAAACACTGCCCGTTCTCATGCATATGTGGAAGCTAAAAAAGTTGATCTCATAAAAGTAAAAAGTAGAACAGAGAATACTAGAGGCTGGGAAGGGTGGAGGAAAGGGGGTGTAGGGAGAGATTTATTAAAAGACACAAAATTACAAGAATGTAGGAGAAATCAGTTCTAGTGTTCTATACCACTGTAGGATAACTATAGTTAACAATAATATATTATATAGTTTCAAATAGCTAGAAGGAGAATACTGAATGTTCCCAAAAAAAAGGCATAAGTAATTGAGATGATGGATATGCTAATTACTCTGATTTGATCACTATACATTATATGTTTTAAAATATCACTATGTTGCCCATGAATATGTATAATTATTATGTTAATTAAAAATTTTTTAAGCCATGTGCTGTGGCTCATACCTGTAATCCCAGCTACTCGGGAGGCTGAGGCAGGAGGATCACTTGAGGCTAAGGGTTGAAGACCAGCCAGGGCAACATAGCAAGAACCACCTCTAAATAAATAAATGAATAATTTTAAAAATAAATAATCAACAGAGTAAAAAAATTAAAATTAAATATTTTTTTTAAAAAGTAAAAAGTCAAAGAAAAGGCAGAAGAAATCATTAATTTAATTAGTTTGAAAAACTGTTGGCAATAAATTTTGGATATTACACCAAAAGCATGAGCAACAAAAGCAAAAATAAACAAGTGGGACTACCTCAAATGGAAAAGTTTCTGCACAACAAAGGAAACAATCAACAATATGAAAAGGCAACCTACAGAATAAAAAAAATTTGCAAACCATATAGCTGATAAAGAGTTAATATCCAAAATATATAAAGAACTCATTTCAACAACAAAAAAACACTAATGATCAAATTAAAAAATGGACAACACACCTAAATAGACACTTTTCCAAAGAAGATGTAAAAATAGCCAATGATACATGACAAAATACTCAACATCATTAATTATCAGGGAAATGCTAATCAAAATCATAATGAGATATCACCTGACACTTGTTAGGATGGTTATTATCAGAAAGACAAAATGTAACAACTAATGGAAGGGATGTGGAGAAAAGAGAACCCTTATACATTGTTGGGAGAAATGCAAATTGGTACATCCATTACAGGAAACAGTATGGAGGTTCCTCAAAATATTAGAAATAGAACCACCATATGATCCAGCAATCCCACTTCTGGGTATATATCCAAAGAAAATAAAATCACTATCTATGCATTACCATGTACATTACTGCATGGTCTCACTTACATGTGGACTTTTAAAAAGTCAAACACATAGAAACAGAGCACAAGGATGGTTACTATCGACTGGGGGGATAGGAGAAACAGGAAAATGTTGGTTAAAGGGTATAAGATGAATAACTTCTGTAGACCTAGTGTACAGCATGGTGACTAGGGTTAAAATAATATATACTTGAAATTGGTTAAGGTAAGTAGATCTTAAGTATTCTTATCACCAAAGAAAGCTAACTACAGGAAGTGATAAATATGTTAATTAGCTTGATATGTAATCATTTCACAATGTATACATATGTGAAAATATCACATTGTATACCTATCTACAATTTTTATTATGAACTATACTTCAACAAAGCTGGAAAGGAAAATTATTCGCCAATATCTGCAATAACTGACTATACCCAAAATCTATTCCACTTCTACCTGTATATGCAATGCAAGTAGGTACATATGTGCATCAAAAATCACATGCAAAATTTTCCACAGTAGCACTATTTATATTAGCCAAATACTGGGATCAACCACAATGCCCATCAACAGTGAAACGTATGATAAATTGCAGTATATTCATGGAATATGCACAAAATATACACAAGGGAATACTATAAAAGTATTGCTGTATTTAAGAACACAAACATAATGTTGAAGGAAAAAAGGCATGTACTACAAAGCACATGTTATAAAATTCTATTTCTGTCAAGTTCGAAAGTATTCTATGGTGATAGAGGTTATAAAAGCATCCACCTTGGAGAAAGAAAATAATGACTGGGAGCAGATATGAAGGAGGCTTCTGGGGAGCTGGTAATTCCCTGGTCTGAGAGGTGGTTCCATCAATGTGTTCCCTTTCTATAAATGCACCAACTGTACACTTCAGATTTGCTCATTTTTCTATGTTAGGCTTCAATTAAAAAGGTTCCTTCAAAAAAAATTACCAGAAGAAAGGGCAAACCACTAAAGTGATTCATTCGTTACCAAATTCTCTGATTCAAATAGTTTATTAGATTCAAATGTCAGATTTGCCACTTATTAGAATGTGACTTTAAGTAAGGCATATAAATTCTTCTATAAAATTAATATTCAGTCATTCGTTCATCCAACAAAAGTGTATTGAGTGCCTCCTATTATATGCACTTGGGATATAGCAATGAACACAAAACAACCAAATCCTTACCCTCATAGAACAAATATTCTGAAGGGAAAGAAAAAAATGACTGTTCTACCTACCTAACATAATTTCTGTGAATCTCAAGAGAGATTATGCTAAGCACTTGCTACTCAAAGCGTGGTTTGTGGACCAGCAATATCAGCACCATCTGGGAATTGGTTAAAAAGGCAACTGCAGGCCTACTCTGGACCTGATGAAACAGTATTCTCACTTTAACAAGATCCCCAGGCAATCAGTGTGTACACTGAAGTTTGAGAAGCACTGCCATAATACCTTGTGAATCATAAAATGCTGTCAAATGTAGGTTATTATTATTATTAGTCATGCTCACCGTGAAACTGGCTCAAACCTGCTGGGTAGTTACATTTCTATTCCAGCAAATAAGGGATATGAGGGTAAAAAAAACACATGTGTACTCCCATTCTAAAGGGTGTTCTATTTCCAGGACATGTTCCAGGAGTGTTTTCTTTCTGTTGTTTGTTTTTTAAGTCAGTCTCAATTCTCCAAGTCAATGGACCCCTCTATCAAAAGCCCTCATAACGAAAATGCTATTGGTGAACCTAATTGCTGGGTTTTTCAATGGGTACAACACCATTTCTTGGTAATCTAACAGTGAACCTAGGAAGAGCACTTTGATAAAGTAATAAAATGTTGAACAATACAGACTTCAGATTTACAGAGTTTTATTGGCATGTTAGTGTATCCCAGATTTATTTTACATCCTTCATCTCCTGACACGCAGAGCTAGCTCAGTGTTTTCCTGCAGGCTGTTTGGTGGATCTCTAATTAGCCTTGTTCCAACAGCACTTTTGTGGAAGTGAGAACTATTGTCCTGGAAATTTAGGACTCATCAGGCCTTCAACAACTATCTTAGATAAGAAAAGATATTTTGTCAAATTGTCCCTATGGTAGTGTTACTCAAAACTTAATGTGTAGGTAAATCACCTAGAAATCATATTAAAATACAGTTTTGGATTCACTAGGAGTGGGGTGGGGCTCAAAATTCTTCATTTTGAATATGCTCTTACTTAATACCGATGTTACTAATTCCCAGACCATACTTTGAGTAGCAAGGTCTTATCCTTCAGGAACTAAAGAAAAACAAACAGTAATTTTGAACCACAAGGCTCCTCTAACATACACAGAAATGTCTTCTGAAAACCAATGTCTAGCAAACCTGTGTAAGTTAACTTACTGTTTTTGTTTTTGTTTTTGTTTTGTTTTGTTTTTGAGACAGGGTTTTGCTCTGTCACCCAGGCTGGAGTGCAATGGCGTGATCATGGCTCACTGCAGCCTTGACCTCCTGGACCCGAGCAATACTTCCACCTCAGCCTCACAAGTACCTGGGACCACAGGTGTGCACCACCACATGCCCAGCTAATTTTTATATTTTTTTTATAGAGACAAGGTTTCCCCATGTTGCTCAGGCTGGTCTCAAACTCTTAAGCTCAAGCAATCCATCCACTTCAGCCTTCCAAAGTGCTGGTATTACAGATGTGAGACACCACACCCAGCCAACTTACTGGTTCTTTAGAAATTTTGAAATTAAAAGAGCCACATATTTAGAAATAACTATATAAAAACTGGAAGTGCACTAAAATGTTAAAATTGTGTTTTCTTCTTATTTCTGCATTCTAGATTTTCTAAAAAATATAATTAAATTTTGCAATAAAAACAATAAATATTAGTTTAAAAAAATTTTTTTTTTTTTTTTTTTTTACAAATTAACCTTATCCCACACTATACACATTGAAGACTAGGTTTAATAAACAGTTATTGGAGGGGCAGCTGGCAAGATGGCCAAATAGGAACAGCTCCAGTCTGCAGATCCCAGCGAGATCAATGCAGAAGGCAGATGATTTCTGCATTTCCAACTGAGGTACCCTGTTCATCTTACTGGGACTCGTTGGACAGTGGGTGCAGCCCACAAAGGATGAGCCAAAGCAGAGTGGGGTGTTGCCTTATCCTGGAAGCACAAGGGGTCAGGGAATTCTCTCTCCTACCCAAGGGAAGCCTTGAGGGACTGTGCCCTAAGGAATGGTGCACTCCGGCCCCGATACTATGCTTTTCCCACAGTCTTCGCAATCCACAGACCAGGAGATTCCCTCCAGTGCCTATGCCACCAGGGCCCTGGGTTTCAAGCACAAAACTGGGCAGCCGTTTGGGCAGACACCAAGCCAGCTGCAGGGGCTGAAGCCAGAGAGCCAGGTGATCTGGCTTGACTGGTCCCACCCACATGGAGCCCAACAAGGTAAGATCCACTGGCTTGAAATTCTTGCTACCAGCACAGCAGTCTGAGGTTGACATGGGAGGCTCAAGCTTGGTGAGGGGAGGGGCATCCGCCAATGCCGAGGCTTGAGTAGGCGATTTTACCCTCACAGTGTAGACAAAACCACCAGGAAGTTCGAACTTGGTAGAGCCCACCCCAGCTCAGCAAGGCCACTGTGGCCAGACTGCCTCTCTAGATTCCTCCTCTCTGGGCAGGGTATCTCTGAAAAAAAGGCAGCAGCCCCTGTCAGGAAAGCCCCCATCTCCCTGGGACAAAGCACCTGGGAGAAAGGGCAGCTGTGGGCACAGCTTCAACAGACTTAAACGTCCCTGCCTGATGACCCTGAAGAGAGCAGCAGATCTCCCAGCATAGCGCTTGAGCTCTACTAAGGGACAGACTGCCTCCTCAAGTGGGTCCCTGACCCCCGTGTATCCTGACTGGGAGACACCTCCCAGTAGGTGCCCACAGACACCTCATGCAGGAGAGCTCTAGCTGGCATCTGGCAGGTGCCCCTCTGGGATGAAGCTTCCAGAGGAAGAAATAGGCAGCAATATTTGTTCTGCAGCCTCCGCTGGTGATGCCCTGGCAAACAGGGTCTGGAGTGGACCTCCAGCAAACTCTAGCAGACCTGCAGCAGAGGGGCCTGATTGTTGAAAGAAAATTAACAAACAGAAAGAAATAGCATCAACATCAACAACAACAACAAAAACAACAACAAAAAAAAAACGTTCACTCAAAAGACCCCATCTGAAGGTCACCAACATCAAAGACCAAAGGTAGATAAATCCATGAAGATGGGGAGAAACCAGCGCAAAAAGACTGAAAATTCCAAAAACCAGAACACCTCTTCTCCTCCAAAGGATCACAACTCCTCGCCAGCAGGGAACAAAATGGACAGAGAATGAGTTTGACGAATTGAAAGAAGTAGGCTTCAGAAGGTGGGAAATAACAAATTCCTCTGAGCTAAAGGAGCATGTTCTAACCAAACGCAAGAAAGCTAAGAACCTTGAAAAAAAGGTTAGAGGAATTGCTAACTAGAATAACTAGTTTAGAGAAGAACGTAAATTACCTGATGGAGCTGAAAAACACAGCATGAGAACTTCTTGAAGCATACACAACTATCAATAACTGAATAAATCAAGTGGAAGAAAGGATATCAGAGGTTGAAGATCAACTTAATGAAATTAAGTGAGAAGACAAGATCAGAGAAAAAAGAATGACAAGGAATGAACAAAGCCTCCAAGAAATATGGGACTATGTGGAAAGACCAAGTCTCCATTTGATTGGTGAACCTGAAAGTGACAGGGAACCAAGTTAGAAAACATTCTTCAGGATATTATCCAGGAGAATGTCCCCAATCTAGCAAAGCAGGCCAACATTCAAGTTCAGGAAATACAGAGAACACCACAAAGATACTCTCAGAAGAGCAACCCCAAGACACATAATCATCAGATTCGCTAAGGTTGAAATGAAGGAAAAAATGTTAAGGGCAGCCAGAGAGAAAGGTCGGGTTATCCACAAAGGGAAGCTCATCAGACTAACAGCAGATCTCTCTGCAGAAACCCTACAAGCTAGAAGAGAGTGGGGGCCGATATTCAACATTCTTAAAGAAAAGAATTTTGAACCCAGAATTTCATATCCATCCAAACTAAGTTTCATAAGAAGCGAAGGAGAAATAAAATCCTTTATAGAGAAGCAAATGCTGAGAGATTTTGTCACCACCAGGCCTGCCTCACAAGAGCTCCTGAAGGAAGCACTAAACATGGAAAGGAACAACTGGTACCAGCCACTGCAAAAACATACCAAATTGTAAAGACCATTGATGCTATGAAGAAACTTCATCAACTAATGGACAAAATAACCAGCTAGGATCATAATGACAGGATCAAATTCACACATAACGATATTAACCTTAGATGTAAATGTGCTAAATGCCCCAGTTAAAAGACACAGACTGGCAAATTGGATAAAGAGTCAAGACCCATCAGTGTGCTGTATTCAGGACACTCATCTCATGTACAAAGACACACATAGTTTCAGAATAAGGGATGGAAGAATATTTACGATGCAAATGGATAACAAAAAAAAAGCAGGGTTTGCAATCCTAGTCTCTGATAAAACAGACTTTAAACCAACAAAGATCAAAAAAGACAAAGAAGGGCATTACATAATGGTAAAGGGATCAATTCAACAAGAAGAGCTAACTATCCCAAGTATATATGCACCCACTACAGGAACACCCAAATTCATAAAGCAAGTTCTAAGAGACCTACAAAAAGACTTAGAGTCCTACACAGTAATAGTTGGAGACTTTGACACCCCATTGTCAATATTAGACAGATCAACAAGACAGAAAATTAACAAGGATATTCAGGACTTGAACTCACCTCTGGACCAAGAAGACCTAATAGACATCTACAGAACTCTCCACCCCAAATCAACAGAATATACATTCTTCTCAGCACCTCATCGCACTTGTTCTAAAATTGACCATATAATTAGAACTAAAACACTCCTGGCAAATGCTAAAGAATGGAAATCATAACATGCTCTCAGACCACAATGCAATTAAATTAGAGCTCAGAATTAAGAAACTGACTCAAAACTGCACAACTACGTGGAAACTGAACAACCTGCTCCTGAATGACTACTGGGTAAATAATGAAATTAAGGCAGAAATAAAGATGCTGTTTGAAACCAATGAGAGCAAAGACACAATGTACCAGAATCTCTGGTATACATTTAAAGCAGTGTTTAGAGGGAAATTTATAGCACTAAATGCCCACAGAAGAAAGCTAGAAAGATCTAAAATCAACAACCTAACATCACAATTAAAAGAACTAAAGAAGCAACAGCAAAAAAATTCAAAAACTAGCAGAAGACAAGAAATAACTAGGACCAGAGCAGAACTGAAGGAGATAGAGACACAAAAACCCCTTCAAAAAAATCAACGAATCCAGGAGCTGGCTTTTTGAAAAGATCGACAAAATAGACAGACCACTAGCCAGACTAATAAAGAAGAAAAGAGAGAAGAGTCAAACAGATGCAATTAAAAATGATAAAGGGGATATCACCACTGATCTCAGAGAAATACAAACTACCAGTAGAGAACACTATAAACACCTCTATGCAAATAAACTAGAAAATCAAAGAAATGGGTAAGTTTCTGGACACATAACACCCTCCCAAGTCTAAACCAGAAAGAAGTTGAATCCCTGAATAGACCAATAACAAGTTCTGAAATTGAGGCAGTAATTAATAATTACTGCAGTAATTGAGGCAGTAATTAATAGCCTACCAATCAAAAAAGTCCAGGAGCAGATGGATTCACAGCCAAATTCTACCAGAGGTACAAAAAGGAGCTGGTACCATTCCTTCTGAAACAATTCCAATCAATAGAAAAAGAGGGAATTCTCCCTAACTCATTTTATGAGGCCAGCATCATTCTGATACCAAAACCTGGAAGAGACACACACACAAAAAAGAAAATTTCAGGCCAATATCCCTGATGAACATCAGTGCAAAAATCCTCAATAAAATACTGGCAAACAAAATCTAGCAGCACATCAAAAAGCTTATCCACCACAATCAAGTTGGCTGCATACCTGGGATGCAAGTCTGGTTCAACATACGCAAATCAATAAACATAATCCATCACATAAAAAGAATCGATGACAAAAACAGCATGATTAACTTAATAGATGCAGAAAAGGCCTTCAATCAAATTCAACACCCTTCATGCTAAAAACTCTCAATAAACTAGGTATTGATGGAACATATCTCAAAATAATAAGAGCTATTTATGACGGACCCACAGCCAATATCATACTGAATGGGCAAAAACTGGAAGCATTCCCTTTGAAAACCAGCACAAGACAAGGATGCCCTCTCTCACCACTCCTATTCAACATAGTATTGGAAGTTCTGACCAGCGCAATCAGGCAAGAGAAAGAAATAAAGCGTATTCAAATAGGAAGAGAGGAAGTCATATTGTCTCTGTTTGCAGATAACATGATTGTATATTTAGAAAATCCCATCATCTCAGCCCAAAATCTCCTTAAGTTGATAAGCAACTTCAGCAAAGTCTCAGGATACAAAATCAATGTGCAAATATCACAAGCATTCCTATACACCAATAACAGACAAACAGAGAGCCAAATCATGAGTGAACTCCCATTCAAAATTGGTACAAAGAGAATAAAATACCTAGGAATACAACTTACAATGGATGTAAAGGACCTCTTCATGGAGAACTACAAACCACTGCTCAAGGAAATAAGAGAGGACACAAATAAATGGAAAAGCATTCCATGCTTATGGATAGAAAGAATCAGTATTGTGAAAATGGCCATACTGCCCAAAGTATTGTATAGATTCAATGCTATCCCCATCAAGCTACCATTGACTTTCTTCACAGAATTGGAAAAAACTACTTTAAAGTTCATATGGAACCAAAAAACAGCGCATATAGCCAAGACAATCCTAAGCAAAAAGAACAAAGCTGGAGGCATCACGTTACCTGACTTCAAGCTATACTACAATGCTACAGTAACCAAGACAGCATCGTACTGGTACCAAAACAGAATAGAAGCCTCAGAAATAATACCACACATTTACAACCATCTGATCTTTGAAAAACCTGACAAAAACAAGCAATGGGGAAAGGATTCCCTATTTAATAAATGGTGTTGGGAAAACTAGTTAACCATATGCAGAAAACTGAAACTGGACCCCTTCCTTACACCTTATACAAAAACTAACTTAAGATGGATTAAAGACTTGAAAGTAAGGCCTAAAACCATAAAAACCCTAGAAGAAAACTTAGGGAATACTATTCAGGACATAGGCATATTCAAAGACTTCATGTCTAAAACACCAAAAGCAATGGCAGCACAAACCAAAATTGACAAAGGGGATCTAATTAAACTAAAGAGTTTCTGCACAGCCAAAGAAACTATCATCAGAGTGAACAGGCAACCTACAGAATGGGAAAATATTTTTGCAATCTATCCGTCATCTGACAAAGAGTTAATATCCAGAATCTACAAAGAACTTAAACAAATTTACAAGAAAAGAAAAACCCCTCAAAAAGTGTGTGAAGGATATGAACAGACACTTCTCAAAAGAAGACATTTATGCAGCCAACAAACATATGAAAAAAACCTCATCATCACTGGTCATTAGAGAAATGCAAATCAAAACCACAATGAGATACCATCCATGCCAGTTAGAATGGCAATCATTAAAAAGTCGGGAAACAACAGATGCTGGAGATGATATGGAGAAATGGAATGCTTTTACATTGTTGGTGGGAGTATAAATTAGTTCAACCATTGTAGAAGACAGTGTGGCGATTTCTCAATGATTGATAACTAGAAATACCATTTGACCCAGCAATCCCATTACTGGGTATATACCCAAAGGATTATAAATCATTTTACTATGAAGACACATGCACACATGTTTAATGTGGCACTATTCACAATAGCAAAGCCTTGAAACCAACCCAAATGCCCATCAATGATAGACTGGATAAAGAAAATGTGGCACATATACACTATGGAATACTATACAGCCGTTAAAAATGATGAGTTTGTGTCCTTTGCAGGGACATGGATGAAGCTGGAAACCATTATTCTCAGCAAACTACCACAAGAACAGAAAACCAAACACTGCACATTCTCACTCATAAGTGGGAGTTGAACAACAAGAACACATGGACACAGAGAGGGGAACATCACACACTAAGGCCTGTCAGGGGGGTTGGTGGTTAGGGGAGGGATAGCATTAGGAGAAATACCTAATGTAGATGATGGGTTGATGGGTGCAGCAAACCACCATGGCATGTGTATACCTATGTAACAAAACTGCACGTTCTGCACATGTGCCCCAGAACTTAAAGTATAATTTAAAAAAAAAAAAGTTGGCCGGGCACGGTGGCTCACGCCTGTAATTCCAGCACTTTGGGAGGCCGAGGCGGGCAGATCACGAGGTCAGGAGATCGAGACCATCCTGGCTAACACGGTGAAACCCCGTCTCTACTAAAAATACAAAAAATTAGCCGGGCACGGTGGCCGACGCCTGTAGTCCCAGCTACTTGGGAGGCTGAGGCAGGAGAATGGCGAGAACCCAGGAGGCGGAGCTTGTAGTGAACCGAGATCATGCCACTGCACTCCAGCCTGGGCGAAAGAGCAAGACTCTGTCTCAAAAAAAAAAAATTTTTTTTTGGAAGAAAGTGTGGCTATTCTTCAAGGATCTAGAACCAGAAATACCATTTAACCCAGCAATCCCATTACTGGGTATGTACTTGGGTAATCCTTTGGAGGATTATAAATAATGCTACTATAAAGACACATGCACACGTATGTTTATTGAAGCACTGTTCACAATAGCAAAGACTTGGAACCAACCCAAATGTTCATCAGTCATAGACTAGATAAAGAAAACGTGGTACATATACACCATGGAATAATATGCAGCCATAAAAAAGGATGAGTTCATGTCCTTTGCAGGGACATGGATGAAGCTGGAAACCATCATTCTCAGCAAACTAACACAAAAACCACATGTTCTCACTCTTAAGTGCAAGTTGAACAATGAGAACACACAGACACAGGGAGTGGAACATCATACACTGGGGCCTGTCTGGGGGTGGGGGGGTTAGGGGAGGTATAGCATTAGGAGAAATACCTGATGTAGATGACAGGTTGATGGGTGCAGCAAACCACCATGGCACGTGTATACCTATGTAACAAACCTGCATGTCCTGTACACGTATCCCAGAACTTAAAGTATAATTAAAAAAAAAAAAAAAAAAAAGGTTTTGGTTTCTCCACAAATATCACAGTGTAACATATATTCAGGTTCTCTCTGACTCTTTCTCTCTGTCCATCCTTCCACCAATAACTGGTTCATAGTGGGCAGCTCTGAGCACTACAAGAGGTCAAGTTATAATGGGCTCCAAATGTATTCAACAGTACATTTTCCAAAGTAAAGAACTGCTTTTTTGGCTTTTGGTTTTACCATCTTAATGGTGAAACTGTATGTGGATTCATTAAAAGTAAATAACTGCTACTCTCTAAGAGTCTATAATGATGAAAAAAGTCTTCATTAGAAAAAATTGACTGGCCAGACACAGCGGCTCACACTTGTAATCCCAGCACTTCGGGAGGCTGAGGTGGGCAGATCACCAGATGTCAGTAGTTCAAGACCAGCCTGGCCAACATAGTGAAACCCCATCTCTACTAAAAATACAAAAATTAGACAGGTGTGGTAGCACGCACACCTGCAATCCCAGCTACTTCAGAGGCTGAGGCAGGAGAATCACTTGAACCCGGGAAGCAGAGGCTGCAGTGAGCCGAGATCACACCACTGTACTCCAGTCTGAGCAACACAGATTCCATCTCAAAAAAAAAAAAGAAAAAAGAAAGAAAGAAAAGAAAAATCTGGACTTCCCAGAAGCATTTTGTGAGTGCTTTCTTTGATTAATAATTTACCTTAAAGCAATTCAAAGACAAAACTGGTTCATTTTCAAATTCACATCATTGTTGATGATCCAGTCTTACAACCCAGTAGAAAAAATGCCACAAGAGTGGCAAGGCAGTCTGACCAGAGCTTGTCCTACCCGCTACCTTCCACTACCTCTAATCATACTCAGCATTTCTTGAGCACTTGTCACACATCAGGGACTACATTAAACATGTTAGAGGAATTATCTCAATTAATAGTCACAACAACCTGTTTTCCCTACTTTATAGACGAGAAAACATTAGAGAGGTTAAGTAACTTGCCTACGGATACTTAATAAGTGGTAAACAAGACAGGATGTGACTGATTCCAGGCAATATGTGTCTCAATGGCATTTTTACAAGCCAGGGAGCATATCAAAAATGCAGTGTTTACTAAGTCACCTCATATTTCTTTTCTGAATCAACCCCAAACTTATTCATTATGCTTATCCATTAATTGTTTTGTAGCCACTAATTAGCTGTAGCTTGTCCACTGAGAGCTTGACAGACTCATCTGTTTTCCAAATTGACTGTATATGGATTTTTAGAATTTTCTCATTTTAAAATAAAAATTGAGTAGATATGCTCACAGAAGGATTGAAGTTCTATTATCACCAATATTTCATATGTTATTGGGTTTTCAATCTCATTTTGTCTTAATTTTTCTCATTTGTGTTGCCCTTGAAGTTGTAAGTTTTAGGGCTTAGGGGCCATGTCTTTTTGTTTGAAAACAAAAGAGCTTCAGAATAAAAGATTGAAAGATTAAAAAAAACTGTTAGCAATGAATGCTTCTGGGTTAATGGGATTGTGCATAACTTTTTTATTTCTGTATTTTCCAATTTCCAAATTTTCCACGAAGTTCTTATAGCTAGAGAAAAGTATTATTTTAAATAATTTTAACTTCTCTTGTCTATGACAATATATGTTG
The DNA here is from genome assembly GCF_000001405.40 of Homo sapiens. Taxonomy (NCBI): domain Eukaryota; kingdom Metazoa; phylum Chordata; class Mammalia; order Primates; family Hominidae; genus Homo; species Homo sapiens. The sequence continues at coordinate 101,902,926 of NC_000003.12, read as the reverse complement.
ATTTCCATAAAATGCCTCATTAACACTGAAAATAATCTAAACCCTGGTATCAGTAATAAATAGAAGTAAAATTCTTAGATTCATCCAAGGCAAGGGCTGCATGTGCTGGAGGCCTAGTGAGAGGGAGCCACTCCAACAGAAGAAAGGAGAAAAGTTGGAAGCAGAGAATTTTAGTGCCCTCATCATTGCTCCCCTGAATTCAAGCGGCCCAGGTTCATAAACCCACAGAGTGCTTTCTACAGGTCCACAAAATAAAACCTTACAGCACCCTATATGACAGGTGGGCTCTATAGCAGAAATGTGACTTGTCACCTGCCTGGAGCACAGAGCCATTCACAGTCCCAGAGATGGTTTTTCTAGGCAGTGAAGTGGTTCTGAGATTCTGTCTAGGATACTTTTAAGCATAGACTCAGAAATAACAAGTATTTAATGAAGGTAGTCAATACTAGAAAGATTCCTTCCATCTCAGAGAAAAAACTTGGAAGCTAGAAAGACTTAGGTTTTTAAACAGGGATTGGTTTCTCTGGCATTGCAGATATGTTGAAATACATCGAAACCCTTGCTCTGCCTGCTTCCTGATGCTTTTGTTATTATTGTGCCTTGTGATGTCATCAGTTGTGAGCTGGTGATATCATAGTGCATTATTTGAGCCCTAGTCATCACCCAAGTGCTGCTGAGAGGACAGATGATTGAGAGAATGACAGAGAAAATGTTGGAATCTCCTCCTATGCATGAGTCAGAGAGGAAATTGCTACCATCTTCAAGGTCTACTGAGGAAGCACATACTGAATGCTGGAAGCACCAGGGGAGATCCCCAGCTGTTCTTGTCAGAGCAACCCTGAAAGCAAGATCAGAATGGCTGCTCCAAGAGACTGGACCAGGCCACAAAGCATACAGAGAAAACAAGGGTGGGATACATGGATACAGAGAAAACAGGGGCGGGAAGGGGTATGGGGGACATACTTTGGGAAGAAGTCCTCCAAGAAATAGTAAAATCTTTACTCAGGGAAATAGTACAATGCCTCCAGGAGGTAAGACAGAAGCAAAACTTGACAGAAGCTCATCCTTAATCCCTTTGGAAATACAGATTTCTCTCTGGGCCAGAATCCTAACAAGGTAGCCCAGTGAATCCTTGGAAAACAACCATTAAAAGCACGATTTTATGATTTATAGACTCAGTGACTGAATTAATATCACACTTCTGACGTGTACCAGCTGTGATTTAAGGTGATTACTTAACCTCTCTGAGCCCCAGCTTCCTCATCTGTAAAATAAATAATGAGCCCTAATCATAGAGATGCCATAAGAATTAAATGAAGAAATGTTTATAAAGTACTATGTATAGAAAGTACACAGTGCCTAGCATAAAGTAGGCCTACAAAAAAAATAGCTACTAAGTGTATGTGTGTGTGTGTGTGTGTGTGTGTTTGTGTATAGAATTGTGTATTTTTGAATACCTGGTATATCTCATGACAAAGAAAGATGAGAAGCATTCTGGTTTTGGTTTTGGACTTATTAAAGGAGATATTATGCAAAATGTTTTATATGTCAGAATCCCCCCAAAAAATTAGTCCAAATAACAGTGTACCATGACAAAGTTATCCTGTGTTCTGGGTTAATGGCTTTTCAAACTCATTTGGAGTCGGTTTAGGTAAAATACTGTGCAAGTTTCTATATATCAAAGAAAAATTGCACAGCATAGAGCTAAACAGGCAAGAAAGACTGTATTCAATACTTATTGCCATAGGAGTCAAGTCTATTGCAATAGGGGAGAATGGTTAAACTTGAAAACAAAAAGAGGGAGAATTTTTAAGCACTGGAGTGAGCAAATAGAAAAGTACTAGAGGACATTAGCGCTGGCCAGTGGGAGTAGGCCATCTGTGTTTGCTAGCTGGTGCTTGTTCATGTATTAAAGCTAGGCTCCTATGGTCCCACAGAGACTGGGAAATAGGGGAGCTGTCTTTCTTGATAATTACATTGCAAAGTGGCGGCTCCCAGGTCCTTGTGAAAGACATTCCTGGGTTATAAAACTTGCAAGAGGTTGGGAGAAGATTGACCTCTCAGAGGGCCAAAGAATTTACAATTACAAGCTTTCTACAGTAAATATTCTTCCTTCTGAACTACAGTTCTATGAAAAAGGGGGGAAAAAAGAAAGGAAAAATGAAGTACATGCTCTAAGAAAAAGAGAGCTCAAGGGCCTATACTCGGGAAGAAGCCTGTCTAAAATTTAGTCAAGCTGAGGGGAACTTTAAGACCATCTTGATCATATACCCAGCTTGGCAGGGTCTGCCTTCATGTATCAGTGAGGAGATTGCCATCTAAAGCATGTCTTCTCTGGAAGCACCTGTCTAAAACTAGTTGCCTACCTCCATTTGCAATAACCTGACTTTCATGGGTCTGGACATTCCCCTCATTTGAGTCATTCTCCTGTGTTAGACAACAAAGTTGAGTGCACGGTTTGTAGGAGACCATAGTTAATAACATTGGTGTGATCTGGGGGCAGGAATGAAGGACCTACCTGCATCTCTTATTAGCCTTTCTGTCAGGGAAAGACCTCAGCAAAATTTTGATGTAGACAAAGGCTTTCCAATCTTTCCTTCCTTTTCAGCTCTTCTTGTTTCAGACACCGTATGCCCTCAGCCTCTCCCCTCTCCTTTCGTTTTCTCCCAGAAACTAGCTTCTGAATCTTATACTAAAATGGAACAAACTGGCTAATAGCCTAAAATAAGCCAAAATGTTTGTATATTACTAAAATCTTAAACTTGGTGAAATCTTTTGTTTGGGCCAGCAGTGAGTTAAAATGTTACAGGACCTCACCCTTAATGCTGAAACTGCCCCCTTCTAGCAAACAGTTGTCACATTGAAAGACAGGACAGGAAAGCATCGAGGGAGACCCCAACCTGCCAAGGACAAACCTGGATAGCTGGGGAATGGCCCCATGCCACAGCAGGGAAAGCAGGCACTAAGGTGAATGCCTGGAAATGAGGGATGACAGGGATTCTGGAGGCCCTTGAAGAAGGATTCTAAAAGAATATGTCTAACCAAAGCTGGGAAATGAAGATCAGTGTCTTCTCCCTGTAACTTTTGTCTTGAATGAGTTCTAGAGATGAAAGAATATGAGACCCTAAAAAACAACCCTTCTGTTCACCTTTACCCCTCAAGTACTGTCTCAGGCCTTTCCTTCTGGTCTCAAAGCTCTTTTAGGAGATGGAGTTCCCCATACAGTCCAAATAATATGTCAATTGCTTCTATATCACTACTCCTCTCAATAATTCATTTTAATACGTATAGCCAAGACACAGTTATATGAGTTAATATATGTAAGACAGGAAAAGGGTTGCTGGTATATAATAAGGTATATGCTATATGCATATTAGCTATGATTTTTATCATTATTATGCCACAGCCCTGATTGTGAGGGATATTTGTCAAAGCCAGAGTAGAAAGATACCCCAGTTATAGCTGCTAGGTCAGCACCATAAAAGAGAGGAACCCAGTACATATCCATAAAGGAAGATGCAATCATCCTGTTCTTTATAATGACTTAAGATAGCAGGATGGATAATATCTTTCCAGAGACAGACTTCCCCAAGGATGCCAGTCTTGCTGCCTTGTATCAGTCAACTGAACCTATTCTTACTTGGGGTTACCTCTGCCCAGCACCACAGATACATGTAGGATCTGAATGTGGAAGATCTCCAGCTCTGGTAATATTCCTCTGAGATATTTCTTGTAAGAAATTCATCTGTAAAGCAAATATAAGGGAAAGTCCTGTGATACTTGAAGGATCGTCTCTCTTGACTCCTGTCAGCATCCTTCAAAGTGACCAGCTAGATTGATTTCATAACACCCAGTCCCAGCAACAGCAGTTCTGCTTCCGGGGGAAGGCCAACTTCCAAAAATCACAATAGAACCGTTGATGTAGGGTAATTTAGTGCTAAACGGACCCAGCAGGGTGGGTTTTTTTTTTCTTAAAAGGGAAGAGTGCAGTAAAGATAGTTTGGTTTGGGGCCTGACCTAAATCTTTCACTTCCTCTTACAGGAGAGAAGCAGATGTTAACTACAGGGTTGGGGAGGGAATGGGGAAGAAGAAGAGAACAAAATAAAATTGTGGTTCAAATTATTGTTAACACGTCAGTCTGATGATGCTCATTCTCTCATGTAAGCATTTAGAAATTCAACACAGAGACCATCTTCATTTTTGTTCATAAATTATTTATGCCTACTTCACCTTTTCTTTAAAGGCACAAATAAAATAAAATAAAAGTGAAGCCAGCAAAAGACAAGCCATCTTTTCAACACATGGTGCTGCAATAATTAGATATACAGAAAGACAAAGATGAATCCAAACCCTTATCTCACATCATACACAAAAAATTAATTCAAAACGAATCAACATTCATTGGAATTTATCAAATTTTTTTAAGTTTTGCACTTCAAAAGATACCATTAACAAAATAAAAAGGTAAATCACATACTGGGAGAAAAATACTTGTAAGTCATGTATCTGGTAAGGGACTTGTATCCAGAATATATAAAGAACTCTTACAATTTAATAGTAAGAAGAAAACTCAATTTTTAAAGTGGGCAAAACATTTGAATAAACATTTTACTAAAGAAGATATCTGAATGACCAATAAGCACAAGAAAAGATGCTTAACATCATTTGTTACTAGGGAAATGCAAATTCTTTTTTTTTTCTTTTTTTTGAGACAGGGTCTTACTCTGTCACCCAGACTGTAGTGCAGTGACACAATCACGGCTCACTCCAGCCTCAACTGGAGTCAAACGATCCTGCCACCTCAGCCTCCTGAGTAGCTGGAACCACAGGTGTGTGCCACCTTGCCTGGCTAATTTTTGTATTTTTTGTAGAGACAGGGTTTCACCACATTGCCCAGGCTGGTCTCAAGCTCCTGAGCTCAAATGATCTGCCTGCCTCAGCCACCCAAGATGCTAGGATTACATGCATGAGCTACTGTACCCAGCTGGGAAATGCAAGTTAAAGCCAAGGTAAGATACCACTGCACACCCATTAAAATGGCTATAATCCAAAAGGCAGGCAATAGCAAGTGTTGGTACAGACATAGAGAAACTGGAACCTTCATACATCGTTGCAGGATATGTAAAATGGTACAGCTACTTTGGAAAACAGTTTAAAAGTTAAACATAAATTAACCATAAGATCCAGCAATTCTTCTTCTAGGTATCTACTCAAGAGAAATAAAAATGTGCATCCACACAAAAACTTGTATGTGAATGCTCATAGAAGATTACTCATAATAGCTGATATGGTTTGGCTCTGTGTCCCTTCTCAAATCTCATGTCGAATTGTAATCCCACAGGTCAGGAGAGGGACCTGGTGGGAGGTAATTAGATCATGGGAGCAGATTTTCCCCATGCTGTTCTCATGATAGTGAGTGAGTTCTCATGAGAGCTGATGGTTTAAAAGTGTGGCACTCCCCACCTTAACTTTTTCCTGCCACCATGTAAGACATGCCTTACTTCCCTTTTGCTTTCCGCCATGATTGTAAGTTTCCTGAGGCCTCCCCAGCCATGTGGTACTGTGAGTCAATTAAACCTCTTTTCTTTATAAATTACCCAGTCTCAGGTGGTTATTTTTAGCAGTGTGAAAATGGACTAATACTATAGCCAAAACCTGAAAAAAATCCAAATGTCCATCAACTGGTGAATGGATAAATAAAGTGTGGTATATCCATACGAGGGAATATTATTCAGCAACAAAAAGAATGAAGTACAGATAACCCCTGGTTTACAAGTTTTGACTTTACAACCGGTTTATCACAGTATTAAATGCATTTTCCATTTAAAATATTTTTGACTTACAATGAGTTTATCAAAATGTAACCCCATCATAAATCAAGGAGCACCTATACTGACGGACGAGGATGAATTCAAACCCTTATCTCACATCATACACACAAAACAACTCAAAATGAATCAAAATTCATTGGAATTTATCAAAATTTTTAAGTTTTGCACTTTAAAAGATACCATGTAAATGATACATGTTATTACATAGATTTTCCTTGAAATTGTTATGCTCAGCAGTGGAAGCCAGCCACAAATGGTTTGACTCTGGTGTGATTTTGTTTACATGAAATAACCAGATTAGGCAAATCTATAGAGACAGAAAGTAGTAGATTAATGGTTGCCTGGGGTTGGGAAAAAGGGTCTTTTCAGGATGATGAAACTATTCTAAAATTGGGTTGTGATGATAGCAGCACAACTCTGTAAATTTACTAAAAATGATTGAATCGTACAGTTCAAATGGCAGATTTTTATGGTGTGTAAATTATACCTCAATAAAGCTATTAAAAAGAATACATACATCAAATAAAAAGCAAAGTCAGCAAATACTAACATCAAACAAAATTAGATTTGAGAGAATGCTTGAATTTAAAACTAATTTTCTGACAGTCAAGGCAAAAGGCAAAGACATTCATGAGGCTATATAACATTGTTTTTGTTTTAAAAAATTAAAAAGAAAGAAAGAAAAAAGCATTCCTGTAATCCCAGCTACTTAGGAGGCTGAGGCAGTAGGACAATTTGAGCTCAGGAATCCAAGACCAGGATAATTTGAGCTCAGAAATTTGAGACCAGCCTAGGCAACATAGTGAGACTCCATCTCAATTTTTTTTTTAAAAAAAGGCTAAATGTTTATGTTCTCACTCATAAATGGGAGCCAAGCCATGAGGATGCAAAGGCATAAGAATGACACAGTGGACTTCGGGGACTCAGAAGTAAGAGTGGGAAGGGGGTAGGGGATAAAAGACTACAAGTTAAGTTTAGTGTATATTGCTCTGGAGATGGGTGCACCAAAATCTCACAAATCTCCACTAAAGAACTTACTCATCTAACCAAATATCACCTGTTCCCCAAAAACCTATGGAAATAAAAATTTTTTAAAAAAAGCTTAATTTTTGTCTTTGGTTGGGTGCAGTGGCTCAGGCCTGTAATCACAGCACTTTGGGAGGCTGAGGAAGGCAGATTGCCTAAGCTTAGGAGTTTGAGACAAGCCTGGGCAACATGGCAAAACCCCATCTCTACAAAAAATACAAAAATTATCTGGGCATGGTGGCATGCGCCTGTGATCCCAGCTACTTGGGGGCTGAGACAGGAGGGTTGCTTGGGCCCAGGTGGTTGAGGCTGCAGTGAGCTCTGTTCATGCCACTTCACTCTGGCTTATGTGAAAAAGTGAGACCCTGTCTAAAAAAAAATTAAAATAAAAATTAAAAAACAAATTTTTTCTTTATCTGTTTCCTGCTGCTATAACAGAATATCACAGACTGGGTAATTTATAAAGAACAAAAGTTTATTTAACTCATGGTTCTGAAGGCTGGTAAGTCCAAAAACATGGTGTCTGGTAAGGGTCATCTCATGGTGAAAGGGAAGAAGACAGAAGTAATTACATTAGACAGAGAGGCATCAAAGGCTGGACTCACTTTATAACAACCTGCTTTGTGATAACTAACTCTCTCTTTTAATAATGACATTAATCCATTGGTTGGAGCCCTCTCATTAAGCCCTACCTCCCTCTCAACACTGTTGCATTGGGTATTAAGTTTCCAACACATGAACTTTTGAGGGAAACTTCAAACTATAGCAACTTTTTTCAGAAACAACTTTTTCTCTGCTTCTGACTTCCACCGAATAAAGAAAAAAAATCTCGTGTTCCAAATATTAGAGAGAGAGTCTGTAAAATTTGAGGGCATGTTGTTAGGTCTTAATTTGGGCACAGAATTTTCTGTTGAGACAGAGCAATAATACACTGCAGAACTGAGTTTAGGGTATAGCAACTCAATACCAGGAAGGAGCTCAGAGAAGCTAAAGAATGAGTGTTTAGCATCTCTTTTTGGCTGTATTTCTCACATAACATTTTTCCCATATGGGCTTTAATAAGTTTTCCATAGAAGACAATCCAAAACTATGTTTACTAATGAGTTCATAATGTTCATACCTGATTGAAAGTATTGGGCTGAAACACCTGTCATGTAGACAGTTAAGGAAAGTAGAGTCCAGTTTATGCTCTTACCCAGGAGTATGGCCTTAAACATAGAATAGGCTAAGAAAATCTACAGGTAAATAAGACTTTTCTCTACAAAGCAACTTTGGATATGTCTCCAAGACACTAACAAGTATGGTGAAGCTCTAAATTTCTGCACCTACAGCGTTAAGAGATACACCTGGCCTGAAGGATTTTTAGGATAGAAGTTAGTTTCCATCTGTACCTGCCAGTTAAGAACTTTCATGTGGATCCTGTGGAGCTATTAATTTGAAGCAGAATTGAATCTCCATGGCTCCGATGGGTGATGCTGGTCCCAAAATACACAGCACCACCCCTGAAATATAACTATACTTATCTATCTGTTTAATAAAGCTCTATTAAACAAGAGTACATTCTAAAAATGGCATGCTTGACACCAAGCTGTTTCTCCTGATAGAAACCAACCATTCAGTGAAGGACCATGTCATCAGCAAAGAGAATAATAGATACCTTCCTGTTTGCTATGGCAAAAGACATAGCATCCGTTTTATCTAAAAATGCTGACCCAAATATTATGAGTTAAAAATAAAGAACTGAGTACAGCCACATTTAATGCTACTTAAAATTGGAATTTACCATGAAGAGCCACTGTATTTTACAGCAGGGACAGTGGCGGAGTCACGGGAGAAAAATAAAAAGCCTTGGACTTAATAAGACCCTACAATATTGCTCTAAATACTTACTGCAAAAATCTTAAAACGCTCTTAATCTCAACAACAAAAAACCTGACTTTAAAAATAAGCAAATGACTTGAATAGACATTTCTTCAAAGAAGATATACTAATAGCCAATAAGCGCAGGAAAAGAAGTTTAATATCACTAAGCATCAGACAAATGTTCATCAAAACCCCAAGATGCTGCCCATTAGGATGGCTACTATCAAAAAATAGAAAAGTGTTGGTGTGGCTGTGAAGAAATTGAAACCCTTGTGTACTGCTGGTAGGAATGTAAAATGGTGCAACCACTGTAGAAAACAGTATGGCAGTTCCTTAAAAAATTAAAAAGTGTTAGGCCAGGCGCAGTGGCTCACGCCTGTAATCCCAGCACTATGGGAGGCCAAGGTGGGCGGCTCACGAGGTCAGGAGATCGAGACCATCCTGGCTAACACGGTGAAACCCCATCTCTACTAAAAACACAAAAAATTAGCCGGGCGTGGTGGCAGGCGCCTGTAGTCCCAGCTACTTGGGAGGCTGAGGCAGGAGAATGGCATGAACCCGGGAGGCGGAGCTTGCAGTGAGCCGAGATAGCATCACTGCACTCCAGCCTGGGCGAGAGTGAGACTCCGTCTCAAAAAAAAAAAAAAAATATTAAAAAATATTACCATACGATCCAGCAATTCCAGCTCTGGGTAGACACCCAAAAGAATTAGCAGAAACTCATACAGATACTTATACATCCACGTTCATAGCAGCATTATTCATAATAGCCAAAAGGTAGGAAGCAACCCAAGTGTTCATCAACAGATGAATGGATAAACAAAATATGGCATATACATCCAATGGAATATTATTCACCTTTAAAAAGGAAGAAGATTCTGACACATGCTACAACATGGAAGAACCTTAAGGACATTATGCTAAGTGAAATCATCCAGTCACAAAAAGACAAATACTGTATAATTCCACTCATATATGGCACCAAGAATCATCAAATTAATACAGACAGAAAGTACATGGTGGCTGCCAGGAGCTAGGGGGAGGGAGAAATTGGGAGTTGTCTAATGGATACAAAGTTTCGGTTTTACAGATGAAAAGAATTCTGGAGATTGGTTGCATACACACACACAAAGTGTGCTACTTATGTATTCATGTAAGGAAAAAAGTGAATATACTTAACACTTCTGAACTGTACACTGAAAAGTGGTTAGGATGGTAAATTTTATGTGCATTTTACCACAATTAAAGATTCTTTAGTGTTCTCAATTTCTCCATTAGATGAATCTTCATGCCAACCAGAAACTGCTGAACTGAGTCCAAAGACTGCCTGATTCTAGCAGGATGTTAAACCAAGTAAGCCAGACCTGTGGCTCATTGAAAGGAAAATCAATATGAAGTTGCCCTTTGGTAGCTGTTGCATACTATATTTTGAATTCATCTTTGATAGCCTTCATCACACCTTTCCCAGGCTTGAGCTTGGAGAAGTGAAGAACAGAAACAGCAAGATGAAGATGAAAGATCACTGGCCCAGAAACCCGGCCCTTCATTATTTATTCATACTCACCATTGAATTTGGTCTTTTATTTTTGAGAAGGCTAGAAATGTTTCGAATGGTATATAATGACTTCCAATACCCTTTATTTATCAGCAAGTCTTGTGGAAGGAAAAGAGCCCTCTGATTACCTATCAATAGTGATACATTATCAGACTTTCAGCATTTATAACAAAAGGCAAAGACACTTAAGGACAGCAGCAGTGGTGGCCAATCAAAGGCGGAGATTCTGACACAATGGAAGGAAAGAAGGAACAATGAACAGACAGAAAACAGAAGGGCTCTGCAGTCTGCAGGAGGCAGGCGAATGCATGAGTGGAGGTAAGGAGTGATGTGAGATGGAGAAAGCCACACAGAGGGAACCAACTGTCTCCCATACTGCCCGCACCTCAGTTCCCAGCAGACATAGCACCTGTCCCCTCTTCTGTGTGTCAGGAGGGAGTGAGAAATGAGGGTGTGCTCAGCTGTGGCCTCATTCTATCTCAATGGTTCCAGAGACCTCAGAGGGCAATGGCTTTACTAAGAAACCCTGCAAATGATCTTACCTCCACTTTACAGTGAATTAGAGGCCATGAGGCAAACAGGTCCTCACATTCCTACCCATGCCCCTGCCTAAACATTTTGCATCCACACCAGGGACTGCTTCTTCCTCTCTGTTACAATGACAGTGAAGTCTCTTCTTTCTTCCTGTCCAAGGCTACTACTTCCATTCCTGTACATTTTCAGGAGCCATGTTACTCCCTCTAGCCTCCTATATTTTCATCCATTCCCTCTCCTTAGCATATACATATATTATACATATATGTATACATATACATGTGTTATACATATATTATACATATATGTATACATATACATGTGTTATACATATATTATACATATGTATACATATACATGTGTTATACATATACATATGTATGCATATACATGTGTTATACATATATTATACATATGTATGCATATACATGTGTTATACATATAGTATACATATATGTGTGCATATACATGTTATACATATATTATACATATATGTGTGCGTATACATATGTTATACATATGTGTGCATATACATATGTTATACATATATGTGTGTGTATACATATGTTATACATATTGTGTGCATATACATGTTATACATATGTGTGTGCATATACATGTTATGCATGTGTGTGCATATACATGTTATACATGTGTGTATATACATATGTTATACATATATGTGTGCATATACATGTGTTATACATATATGTGTGCGTATACGTTATACATATATGTGTGCATATACATGTTATACATATATGTGTGCATGTACATATGTTATACATATATGTGTGCATATACATATGTTATACATATATTATGCATATATGTATACATATACATATGTTATACATATATTATACATATACGTATACATATACATATGTTATACATATATGTATACATATACATATGTTATACGTATACGTATACGTATATTATTTATATATATACACACACACACACACACACTCAGATCTAACCCATTATTGAATAAATACAAAATAAAAAAATTAAAATTCCTGAATCCTGTATCCCTTTTGTTAAAGTTTATGGGAGGCTATTGTTTTGGGCTAGCCTCCTGCACTAGGCCCTGGCAGGCCAGACCAAACCAGAATGAGGTCACTTGTACTAAGTGCCACATAATCAAAGTGAACTTTGAAATGAGCTCATTTTCTAAAAATTAGGAGATTCCAGTCAACCTGAGTCAGTGTAATAAGGAAGTCCCCTCTGTTTTAACCCTATAAGGAAAGTCACTTTGAAACAACCAATCTATTTTTTGTTGTTCATTTCCACTTTCTTCAGCCATTTTCTGCCCATAAAGCCAACCTCCTCTGCTCAGCAAATTGGAACCCTCAGAATGAGGTGTTGCTGATTCTAGAATTGCAAATAAAGCCAATTCAATTTTTAAACTAAATTTATTGTAATTCTGTCTTTTGACATCTTTTAAGACTTTCTGTTGCTTCTCAGCTAGAATTCTAAAATTACTTTTTTTTTTTTCCTTTTTTGAGACAAAGTCCCACTCTGTCACCCAGGCTGGAGTGCAGTGGCACGATCTTAGCTCATTGCAACCTCTGCCTCCTGGGTTCAAGTGATTCTCCTGCCTCAACCTCCTGAGTAGCTGGGATTACAGGCAGGCACCACCATGCCTGACTAATTTTTGTAATTTTAGTAGAGACTTGGTTTCACCACAATGGTCAGGCTGGTGTCGAACTCCTGACCTCGTGATTCGACCGCCTCAGTCTCCCAAAGTGCTGGGATTATAGGCGTGAGCCACTGCGCCTGGCCAGAATTCTGAAAATTTTAGTCCACACTTATCTCTGTTTCCTTATCTCCTCAGCCAAGTGAAATCTCACTGCAGCTGATCTCACTAAGGTCACCAATAATCCACCTGTTGTACAATATGGAGACATTTCAAGTTATTGCATTGTAGGACCAGACCACTTTGACCAGGCCATACTCCTTAAAACGTCTTCTTCCTCCTTTGCTGTCCTTGACTCTGTTCTCTGTTGGTTTTCCTCCTTCCTCAGACTAAGCCCTGTTCAGACTCCAGCAGCTATCATCAGTTCCTCTCCCTGAGGGCCCATATCATCTCTAGTCACAAAATATAGCAATGTGGCACAATGTTAAAACTGAGTAAACCCCCGGGCGCAGTGGCTCACGCCTGTAATCCCAGCTCTTTGGGAGGCAGAGGTGGGTGGATCACCTGAGGTCAGGAGTTTGAGACCAGCCTGGCCAACATGGTGAAACCCTGTCTCTACTAAAAATAAAAAATTAGCCAGGTGTGGTGGCATGCGCCTATAGTCCCAGCTACTCAGGAGGCCGAGGCAGGAGAATTGCTTGAACCTGAGAGACGGTGGTTGTAGTGAGCTGAGATTACGCCATTGCACTCCACCCTGGGCAACAGAGTGAGACTTTGTCTCAAAAAAAAAAAAAAAAGCCTGAGAAAACCTCTAGCAAGACTTTCATAGACTGGTTTATTCAATGCAGTGATGCTGAACCCTGACTGCCCATTAAGTTCACGGAGAACTTTTACAGGGATATAAATACCCCACTTGGTAGTATTTCTGATTTAACTGGTCTTTGGTAAGCCCCAGATAACAGTATTTTCTGAAAGCTTCTCAGTTGAGTGTTAGTGCTCACCAATAACCTTGTCACTCCATGCTGGGACTATAAGGACAGGAAATTTGCAAAATTCATAATTATCATTTTTAGAACTTAACCCTTTAGTTGGATTTTAGGATTCTGAGACAGGGTTTTTTCTTATCTTTTTTATTTTGTCTTTTAGAAACAGAGCCTCACTCTGTGGCTCAGGCTGGAGTGCAATGGTACAGTAATGGCTCACTGCAGACTCAAACTCCCGGGCTCAAGCAATCATCCCACCTCAGGTTTCCAAGATGCTAGGACTAAGGCATAATTTTATGTTTTATAGAGACTGTCTCACTATGTAGTTCATATTGGTCTCAAACTCTCTTGGCCTCACGCAATGCTCCCACCTCGGCCTCGCAGAGTGCTGGGATTACAGACATGAGCCTCAAGCTCGAAGTTTTAAATGTCTCCTTAAAAGTTTACATTAGAAGGTTGTTTAAAATTGGCTCATCTTTGGTCATGCCAGATCTGCAATTACCACAGATTTCTCTCACCTTCACTCAGCCAGAAGCCCATAGAGACCAACCAAGTCATAAATTTTATTGAATGAACACGTGGCCCTGTTGGCTGCAAACACTGGAAATTTTTGTCTTCCTCTCCCTGCAGAGTTTGCCAGGATTCTTGGGAGTGCCTTCCAAGAACCAACAGGCCCTAACCCAGAGGCACTGGCCTTCCCTTCTGCTTCTGCCTTGAAGGTGCAGAGTCTGTTGTGTGCCTGCCTTGCTAGAGAAATTCTGCCTGTTACTGTTTACGAGGGAGGCGTCTCTCACAGGGATGGCATGACCAGAGAAACATATTCACACAGAAGCAGTTTTATTTGTTTCGTGTGTTTAATTATTTGACTGTGGTTGTGGTTTTGGGGGCTTTAGGATGAAAGGGTGGGGAAGGAGTTGGCCAAAGGGGCCTGGAGGATAGGAGCAAAACAACCATAAAAAGCTGTGAGACCCAACCACACTAAGAAACAATTCCAACTGCCTGGCCCACCTTTTCCTCCCATCTTTTGCCATACACATTCACCCACCTACTCACTCATTTTAGAGAGGGAGGAAGAAAGGCCACAAAAAGAGACAATACTTCAAAACTGCATCTTCAATTGCAACCAAACTGTTGTTGCTAAGTCACCTTATAACAAAGGGATGAAGTCTCAAAGATCTGACCCTTTAGTGATTGTGGAAGATTCTGGAAATCTCATGTTGCCAGGAGATAAGAAATTGGATATTCCCTATCCACTAGGTTCTTCTCAGCAAAGCTGCAGAGTCTTACCAGGAAAAACAACAACAAAAAGAATTCCCTTCAAATTTCAAGTCAGGAAAACTCAGGCCTTAATCCGAAGCTCAGGATAGTATAGTGTAGAGTGCTCCAAATTGGGAATGACTTAAGAACTACATTTATGCTACTCTTAGTAAAGACCAGATTCTCCATATTTTACTTATTGGAAGAGCAGGCTAAAGGGAAGGAGGGACAGAGCAACAGTTTGCAAAGGACAGCAAATGCAGTCAATCAAAAAAGTGATGATGGCAAAACATGTGGCACTGGTCCTAGCTTTTGCTGCATTGGTTGCTGTGCTTGTGATTTTAGTGTCATTGTTTGTTCCGCTACTCTACTACAAGGAAATGGTAAAAGTTATTTCATGTAGGAGAGTAGAATTCTGAGTGGTGGGTGACCATTATGAGAAGCAGATTTCAGTTCTGGCTGTCAGAGGGGCTGCTTGGAAAGGCAATGAGATGCCTATGCTATATATATTCATGGTCATCAGGGAAACCACTGCTTAGGATTGTAGGGGAAAATCAAATCAGAGGCACTGGTCTTCAAGATGCCTCTTGGACTAGAGAGTCAATGATTGCAGCAACAGATTACTGAAACTCTCTTTCTACCTCCAGTGATTAACAAATCTACTTCATCTAAATTTTGCTTCCTCATTCCTATTTAACCTTTTAAAATAAAATAAGTTCATGGCAAATTTTAATAATCTATTAAATACTCAGCACAGGGATAGGTTTTCTAAATAATAGAGGAAAATTTACTGTGCTAGAGAGCAAAATGAGAAAGAAAGCTAAAGAAATAGAAAAGTAGGCTGGGCGCAATGGTTCACACATGTAATCCCAACACTTTGGGAGGCCGAGGTGAGAGGATCCCTTGAGGCCAGGAGTTCAAGACCCTAGGCAACATAGTAAGACTCCATCTCTACAAAAAAATAATAATAATTAGCCAGGGGTGGGTGCACGCACCTGCATTCCCAGCTACTCAGGAGGCTGAGGCAGAAGGATTGCTCGAGCCCAGGAGTTTGAGGTTACAGTGAGCTATGATTGAACCGCTGCTCTCCAGCCTAGGCAACAGAGCAAGACCCTGTCACCAAAAAAAAAAAAAAAAAAAAAAAAAAAAATTACATTAAATTAAATTTAAAAAAAGAAGAAACAGGAAAACAATTGAAAAATCAGAAAATTCCAGAACCCCTTGAAAATCTTCCTCTCTCCCTAATGAAGACCATGGGGCCTCCTTGTCTGTAAAGAACCATGACTGTCCCAGCATTCTGCTTGGCTACTCCCTTGCTTGACTCATTTTCACCTAAGGGTAGAGAGGGCAAAATTACAGGGAGGTGTTTGTTGGGTTTCGGCCACACTTTTAAACTTACCTGGGTCACACTCTGTGGGCTTGGAGCCATCTGCCTCTCCTTGGTGATTAACGCAGCTCCACAGAAACCTTCTGTTCTCTGCTCCTCCTCCTACCTGGGGCAAGTACCAATGGTTTTCCGGCTAGAGATGAGAGGGAAGGCCAGTATGAAGAACACTTATCTGTGATTAAAAGGATGGCAAGAAAATGAAGACCTGGTAACTTGCTGTTAGTGGGATCAGTGTAAAGATCCCACTATCACTTTTACTCAAGGATCCCTTGAGTTAAGAATGCCCAGACCTGCAATACCATTCAGGACATAGGCATGGGCAAAGACTTCATATCTAAAACACCAAAAGCAATGGCAACACAAACCAAAATTGACAAATGGGATCTAATTAAACTAAAGAGCTTCTGCACAGCAAAAGAAACTATCATCAGAGTGAACAGGCAACCCACAGAATGGGAGAAAATTTTTGCAATCTACCCATATGACAAAGGGCTAATATCCAGACTCTACAAAGAACTTAAACAAATTTACAAGAAAAAAACAACCCCATCAAAAAGTGGGCAAATGATATGAACAGACACTTCTCAAAAGAAGACATTTATGCAGCCAATGGACATATGAAAAAATGCTCATCATCGCTGGTCATCAGAGAAATGCAAATCAAAACCACAATGAGATACCATCTCATGCCGGTTAGCATGGCGATCATTAAAAAGTCAGGAAACAACAGGTGCTGGAGAGGATGTGGAGAAATTGGAACACTTTTACACTGTTGGTGGGAGTGTAAATTAGTTCAACCATTGTGGAAGACAGGGTGGTGATTCCTCAGGGATCTATAACTAGAAATACCATTTGACCCAGCAATCCCATTACTGGGTATATACTCAAAGGATTATAAATCATGCTACTATAAAGACACATGACACATATGTTTGTTGTGGCACTATTCACAATAGCAAAGACTTGGAACCAACCCAAATGCCCATCAATGATCGACTGGATAAAGAAAATGTGGCACATATACACCATGGAATACTATGCAGCCATAAAAAAGGATGCGTTCATATCCTTTGCAGGGACATGGATGAAGCTGGAAACCATTATTCTCAGCAAAATATCACAAGGACAGAAAACCAAACACCACATGTTCTCACTCATAAGTGGGAGTTGAGCAATGAGAACACATGGATACAGGGCAGGGAACATCACACACCAGGGCCTGTTGCGGGGTAGGGGGCTGGAGGAGGGATAGCATTAGGAGAAATACCTAATGTAAATGATGAGTTGATGGGTGAAGCAAACCAACATAGCACATGTATACCTATGTAACAAACCTGCACATTGTGCATATGTACCCTAGAACTTAAAGTATAATTTAAAAAAAAAAAAAAGAACACCCAGACCTGGACAGCATTATAATGCAAACACCCTGATCAGGTCCCATGTGTTTTTCCTGGGGAAACAGGGACTTGAAATCTTGATCTTCCCAGGCTTCTGTGGACCACAACATCCTCCACACAGACTTCAGGTCTTTCTAAATTATGACCTGATCCTGGTTCTTCCTTGGCTGAGTTATTTCTGGGGATTCTTCTCTCCTACATCCCAATTTCCTTCAAAGTCAATGAGGCCCTCCAAGATCTAGCCCTTGTTCTCTCTCTCTCCCGTCTCATTTCCCACCATGCCAGGTCTCAGACTCTTGCAAATAAGTCAACACAAAATTCTGTTTCATATCTCTGTGCCTTTTGTACATATCTTTCCTCTTTCCTATGTTGGATGTACCTGACAAACCCATACTACCTGAAGGTGTGGTCAATCCTGGGATTTTCCTGAGTTAGACCCTGGGGCAATATGTAAATGAAGCCATGAGGAACAGGCAAGTTCTTGCTCATTTTTATATTGCCATGAGCAATCAACTCACATGTGTAATCAACTCCTCCAGATCTTATTTTTTTGTAGGGAATGAACAAAGCAACACGTCTCAGCCAATGTGGTTAGCCCTCTTTTGCCTAGAGGGAATATGATGGAGGGAGACTTAAGAAGGTGCTTTTCCTTAATGCCATTGAGGAGGACAGTAAAGATTACTTTCTTCTTTGAAGATTCTAGGTAGCAAAGGTCCACACTATTGTAGACCCTTATAGAGTGTGGGACATGGATCTGTTAGAGTTCTACACTAATTACCCCCTTCCTCTCCATCCTTCTTCCTACTTCTCTCCATCTCGCGTCCACCATTTCCACCAAGTTTAGTGTTTTACAGTCACTGGAGTTGGATTAAAGATTTAGCAGAAAGTAATTGTTAATTTAAATATTAATTGCTTCAACCCTTCCTACTAAGGTTACATATAGTTTTTTGATACACTGGAGAAAATATATGTCCTGATCAGGCACACAGTGCTGATATGTTTTCTTTGGAGTCATACGTAAAATGTTTTATATTACAAATTCTATCACTAATTAATTGTTTCTCATATTTGTAGAGTACATACTTTATACTTGAGCATATATTATTACATTTGATCCTTGTATCAGTTTAAAGCCTCATCAGAAATTCTGTCTATTCTGCCTATTAAATCTCTCTCAGACCTGACTCATCCTCCCTTTTTCTTTTTGCCTCTGCCTTACCTTAGGCCTTGATCAATTCTCACCTGGATTTTTATATTAGCATCCTAAACAGCCAGCCAGACCAGCTGGCATCTCGTTTTTCTTTTTCCTCTGTCTCCACTGCCTCCCTCAAAGTCCATTCTCCACTACTACATACCTTTCTAAATTACAGCCCAATCCTGTTACCTCTGTAGTTTAATTATTTTGGAGGTTCCCTTTCACCTACACAAAACCCAAACTCTTTTCCATGGTACACAAGGCTCTCCAATATCTGTTCCTTGCCTGGCTCTAATCTTGTTTCTTACCCTCTAGGCCTCAAATTTTTAGAGTTGACTGAAGACATAATGCTTTCTTATGCATTTATGCCTTTATATATCTTTCCTCTCTGGAATGCCCTTTTGATCTTTGCCTATTTGGTGACACATACTCATCCTTTGACAGAGTAATCTAGTGTCTCCTGTTCTATGAAACTGCCCCCACCACTCAAAGGCAGAACTTACTACTCTCCCCTCTAGTCACAATTTAACCCTATACTTATTTCTATAATGGTACTTATTGCACTGTTTTGAAATAATAGCTTCATTATGTTACTGTCTCCCAGTAAGCTATGAACTCCATGAAAACAAGAAATTTGTAATATTTATCTTTATATGTTTATTGCTTGCACAGCTCATTGCAGTTAATCTATAAATCATTGTTAAGTAAGTGAATGAATGGGGGAAGAAGAAAGATGAATACAGGTCTGTTATTATTATTCCCATTTAACAGGAAAATAAACTGGGCTCAGGGAGATTAGGCCTCTTGCCCAAATTCCACCTCAAGCCCATGGCTCCTGACTTCAGATCCGGGAGTCTTTTCTTCAAACCATCTTCCTCCAGCCAGATGAACACAATAATAGTATACCTGAAATCTACTTGCACTCTGGATTATTCATTTCCTATCTCTGAAACAGGGAAATAAGATCATGCCTAGGACTTACAAATCAAAATTTTGTGATCTATGACCTATATACAAGATAGATCAGTTGCCTATTGCTGCATAACAAAAAACTCCAAAATTTAGTAGCTTAAAACAAAAATCACTTATTTTGCTCATAAATCTATAGCTTGGACAGGACTCAGTGGGAACAGCTTATCTCAGCTCCATGGTTCCTCAGATGGGGCAGCTCACTGGGAGACTTAAGGATACATTTTCAAAATGGCTCCCTTGTATGGCCGGTATGCTGGTGCTGGCTGTCAATTAAGACTTCAGTCAGGACTGTGGGCCAGATTCCCCTCCACACAGTCCTTTTTGCAGGCTACTTAAGCTTCTTTACAGCATGGTGGCTGGTCCCAAGTGCCTCAAGAGAAACAGGCAGAAGCCATATTGCTTTTATGACTTAGCTTCAGGAGTAATGTAGCATCACTTCTGAATCCAGATTTGAGGGTAGGAAATATGGATCCTGCCTCTTTATGGGAAGATTTTCAAAGTCACTTTGTAGGAAGAGCTAGTGAACAAGCAATCTGCCATTATGGATCTCTCTAATGGTATGGAATCAAGAAAAAAAAAAGAAATTTGAATATAGAATATATATGCCAAACAAGTATTATCTTTAAAATATCCTTGAAAAGCTACATTCATTACTCAAAATGTCTTGGGGGGTCCCCTCTGAAATTGTCTTCAGGGCTTGGCATGGTGGCTCATGCTTACAATTTCAGCACTTTGGGAAGCCAAGGCAGGTGGATCACTTGAGCCCAGGAGTTCAAGACCAGCCTGGGCAACATAGTGAGACCTTGTCTCTAGTAAAAAAAAGAAAGAAATTGTCTTCAGGATCAATGCTAAAAACATTGAACACTTACTATATACTAATATAAGTCACTGCTAAAGGCTAGTCATACAAAACTGAAGGCACTTAAACCAAAAACTTAGTAGTTCTAGTAGCTATACTAAAAGATAGAAGTCAACACAAAGTACTATTAGAGCTCAGAGAGATTAACTTACAATTTGGAAAACAGAGAAACTGTCATTATATAGATCTCTAAAGATAAGTAGGAATTCAGCAGGAATGATGAAGGCCACATTAAAACTTCTGCAAAAAGGGGGTAATAAATATAAATCAATGGGAATAAGGAAAGGCTATTCCATAAGGAACAACGTGGGCAAAGGCATCAGGTTGGTACATATTGAAAGTCAAGTAGTTCAATGTAAGCAACCAGAGTTAATGGCACTAGCATAGGAAGTAAGTCTGTAAAGTTAGGTTGAGCTTAATTAGGGAAGGTCTTGATACTTTTATTCTGCAAAGAGGAGGCCTTGGAATCAAAAAACTTCATCCCCAGAGTTCAGATTTTAAAAGTGGACTCTGGCAGCTCTTTATAAAAGAGATTAGAACAACAAGAAATGGGAACTCCTCAGGCAGAATTGCTCAGGCCCTCTGCTCATGTTCTACCACTATTTATGTTACTCAGACTGCTCGTCTACTTCACTTGGTTTCAAATGATGTTAAGCTGTTCTCAAAAAACCAAACCCACTCTAAGGAGCAAAACTTACTACCCTGGAAGGTTTTAAAAAAACAAAACATTCGGCTGGGCGCGGTGGCTCACGCCTGTAATCCCAGCACTTTGGCAGGCCGAAGGGGGCGGATCACAAGGTCAGGAGATCAAGACCATCCTGGCTAACACAGTGAAACCCCATCTCTACTAAAAATACAAAAAAATTAGCCGGGCATGGTGGCAGGCGTAGTCCAGCTACTCGGGAGGCTGAGGCAGGGGAACAGCGTGAACCTAGGAGGCGGAGCTTACAGTGAGCCAAGATCGCACCACTGCACTCCAGCCTGGGCCACAAAGCAAGACTCCGTCTAAAAAAAACAAAACAAAACAAAACAAACAAACAAATAAAACATTCCCAAAAAGTGAAATCCCCGAAGCTGGAAAATCAGAATGTAGAAATATGCTTTCATGTGGAAAGGGGTAGGCTACATTTGGATATATAAGTTCAGGTGTGTTTGTCAAACAGTCATATTACTTTAGAATCGATAGTGGGTATGTATAAAGTGCGTATGAATCTGTGTGTACAGGTATCAACGTGCCAAGAAGAAATAAAAGAGTATGAGGACACTGCGTTAAGTGCTGCAGCTTTTGGAGTTCTTCCCTGGTAACCATGGCCTCTCACACTTCAGATAAAAAGAATATCTGTCATTTGCCAGGCACAGTGACTCACGCCTGGTATCACAGCACTTTGGGAGGCCAAGGTAGGAGGATTGCTTAAGCCCAGGAGTACAAGCCAGCCTGGGCAACATAGCAAGCCCTCCTCTCTACAAACAAAAAAATTAGCTGGGCATGGTAGTGCATGCCCGTAGCCTTGGCTATTCAGGAGGCTGAGATGGGAGGATCACTTGAGCCTGAACCCAGAATGTCAAGGCTGCAGTGAACAGTGATCACGCCACTGCACTCCAGCCTGGGTGACAAAGTGACACCCTGTCTCAAAAAAAAGAGATGGGGGTGTCCATCATTCAACCACCAACCAAAACCAGAGTAACAACTTAACTTTCAAAATAATCATCAAGCACCACAGGGTCTGCCTGCTCCTTTGTTGCCTCCTTAGCGCAATTCTACTAATATAAAGGATGAGTTTCAATCGTAGCAAATTATGCAGAAGAGAAGTAAAGATTTTATAAATGGAGTAGCATTTTAGTTAACATTATTCACGTCTGGGCTTCTGTGACAAAAAATACATATATATTTACCAATCTTTCAGGGACATTGTGAGATTTAAATCATTTATGTGGTACCATAAGTTTCAACCAAAGTGTTCAATGTGCTTTCTCTACAATTAAGTCAGCTGTATAAAACTATAGCTCATACTCTACATAGCACTTTATTACATAAAATTTGTCTCAAGCAAATTTATTATATAAAATTTTATCCAAGCAAAAGTATATAACCACAACAGGGAACTGGCAGAATCATCTTTGTTTTTTCAATCATTTTTTTTTTTTCACTAGTTGCTGAGCAAGGTTCTAGAATAATAGCCTTTCGGGAAATCTCACTAGCAAGATTGTAAACCCATGTGGATTATGAACTCCTAATTATTCAAATCATGTTTTGTTTTGGTAACTTAAACGTTCTCTTTCTGTATGAAATAATATATTTCCTTCTCCTTTTTTTGATACTCAGCAGTTTCTTAACGACCAAGACAATTTCCCTTTTCTGGCCATCCAAATATAGTCATATATACAACAACATTGGAGTCTCTACAAAGTACTGCCCTAAGTAAAGCAATACCTAGAATCATAATTTTTAAATGCAGATTAAAATATCCACTGGTCAATACAAGATTTTTCTCTGCAAAGGAGACAATGTTGTATGATAGATAAAGCAGATGCATAATAAAAGGTAAGATGAACCGTGCCATGACCTGATATTATTTGCTTTGCCACCTCTCCTGACCTCAACCTTTTCACTCTCAGAAGTGAGATAACCTACCACACAGGGTTAGTAGGAGGAGAAAACCAAATCTTGCCTATGAAATCAGTTTGTAAAGCAAGGAGGTTTATATAAGTTACATTGTTATCATGATGGTGTAAAGTTACCAACTCTGGATACCCTTCCATTAAAATATGCATACGGTGGGAAGTTGGGATTTGGGGAGAACAAAGAAGGCACTGGACAAGTTATGGAAAGGATTCGAGGGCAGGGGAGGAAAGGTTAAAGTTAGGCTTGAGAAAAGAGTGCTAGGGAGACAATAATACGGACCTATGCAGAGTCATGTGAAAAAAACGAAAGAAGTAAAAATGTACTTTTACTAAAAATTATTTTGCGTAAAACACAACAATTTGTGTCTGCATATTTTAAAGAACTTATCTTTTTGAAAATGTTTGCCAGAGATGCAAACCTTGTCATTAGAGTTTGGCCTGTTGAAGACAGTGCCAAATAAGGTAGTTGTTTGCCCACACATGCTTTTGCCAGAGTGCCAACAGGACACTCCCTATAAAGAGAGTGACTCTGGTTGCTGTCTTTCAATGGGCTCACCTTTAACTGCCTGTCTAAATTACATTTGTTTTTCCTTCTCAGCATTCTCTGTTTAATCTAGTCTCATGGGTGTCCTACTTTGAAAGGTTACAATCAGTGACAGAGAATAATTTTAATATTATCATAAAAATGTTATTTACCCAAGCAAAGTATATAACTTATTGTCTTTATTGTATACCAGGGATATAACTTATTGTCTTTATTGTATACCAGATATTTTACATATATATTATTATTCAATTCGTGCAAGTTATCAGTGATAACATTTCACAGGTGAGAACACAAAGGCTTGACAGATTGAATTACATACTTAAAGTCAAACAACTAGGAAATTTTTACTGCTGTGTCTGGCTTCAATGCCAACACTGTTTCTCAGACAAAAGAGACTGTGTCAGGAGTTCTACCCAAGTGATTCTTGGCAAAACAAAAAAACAAACAAAACTTGAGTCAAACTCTGATGTCGGTGATGGTAAGTGTTGGAGCATTGCACTCCAGAGAGACAAAGGGCGGATCAAAGGTCCTTGCCCATCCCCTGTAAATTTTAGTGACTTAGTAGAGAAGTGTAGCATTGGCTTATATTGTCTATCAGTATGAAACCAGGCAAAGACTTGAAAGAGAAAGACAAAGGTGATTTCAGGAGGTTGAACCCAAGACCTCTAAAGTTCCAGCCGGGCATGGTGGCTAACGCCTGTAATCCCAACACTTTGGGAGGCTGAGGCAGGCAGATGACTTGAGGCCAGGAATTTGAGACCAGCCTGGCCAATATGGTGAAGCCCTATCACTGCTAAAAATACAAAAATTACCTGGGCATGGTGGTCGTGTAATCCCAGCTACTCGGGAGGCTGAGGCAGAAGAATCACTTGAACTTGGGAGGCAGAGGTTGCAATGAGCTGAGATAGAGCCACTGCACTCCAGCCTGGATGACGGAGTGAGACTCTGTCTCAATAAATAAATAAAATAAAGTTCCTCCCCTCTTGTATTTCATAACTCCCTGATTTTTGGTACCCTTTTCTAGGTTTCCAAACCTAAAAGTAATTATATCACATTATTTTAAGAACAGTACTATTTCTAATAACTTATTCAGCCCCAGGAATGAGGATATAGTATGTAGAAAATCGCTCTTGATGGTTTCATGAAATCCTTCCTTCAAAAAGAAACCACAGCAATACCCAGTCCTTCTATAGATATAACATCTGGGTTACTGAGACATCCTAAAGCATTTCTGGAGTCTGCCACAAGGTTTGGGTGTACCCTCCTAGCCCAAGTTTCCCAAGATCAAAATAGCATCCAAGAAATGGCTGGTTAAAAGTTCTCTGAAAATGTCATGCTTCTCAGGAATGTTATATAAGATTTTATTTAATTAAATTTAAGGAAAAATCCTCAAGTTTCACCATTCCATTCCCTTGCCCTTTCCCTGGACACCCCTAATTCCAGAGCTTATACAACAGAAAAATGCTACAAACATTGAGACCAAATCTACCTTTTGGAGACCTGCACCAAACCTGGAGGACTGAACCAACTTTTTGGAATTCAACTCACAGCAGAAAGCAGGGTCAGAGACAGCATATCAATATATCCACTCATTTCTTCAAGTAGCTGTGCATCTTTTATCCCGGCTCTGCCTCCACTCTATTTGTACTACCACCATGTCAAATATGCCCAAACTTTAGGTTGGCACTACCCTTATAACAATTATATGAGTCATAGCAGGAGGGTGCCATGATGCTAACTCAACTCACTCCATAGTCTACAGCCTGAGGAGAAACGTCAGGAATAAGTTGAAAAATCTACCCTTAAATTTCACTGAACAAGACTGCAACTCCTTCTCGGGTGCCACCTTTGCTTTCTGCTCATGGGTATTTTCCACA
Source organism: Homo sapiens (assembly GCF_000001405.40). Classification (NCBI taxonomy): domain Eukaryota; kingdom Metazoa; phylum Chordata; class Mammalia; order Primates; family Hominidae; genus Homo; species Homo sapiens. The sequence continues at coordinate 101,877,372 of NC_000003.12, read as the reverse complement.
AGATCAACTGGACTTTCAGATATTGAAAATAGATGAGGTTTGGATCAGAAAGCCCCAGTTTGTAGAACCTGTTTTTACAAAAGTACATTGGGATATCAATAAATTCAGAACACTAAGGGCTCCTTTCATAATGATCACATTGCCCTGCTCATCTCCAACAATCCTAGAAAAAAAGACAGTTTTCTGTCTTCGTGCAACAGGATCACCTCGGGAAATTGTTAAAAACATACTTTCCCAGAGTTCACTCCAAGTCTGCTGAACCAGAATCTACAGAATTTCCTGTAGAAACCAGGGATATCTGTTTTAACAAGCTTCCTAGTTGATCCTAATAAAAATGCAAATTAGAGAAATATTGCTTCAGCCTAAATTGGTGGTACAATCATTCAAAATCATGGTGTAATTCATGGTGCTAAGGCACTAAACATTTTCTTCACAACTTGGATCTCTCCCAGACTATCTAATTGCCCTAAGAGATGGCAGTTTCCTTTCCAGAGAGCTCCAAGCTCATACTTGTGAGCATTCAACAAGGGGCAGATTCCAACTCAGACCCTATGCCTGGCCAGATGAGATGAAGATATAGACAATTTCCTCCCTTCCCCACCTGCCCTCACTCCTGGCCAACCAAGAGCCGGCTGGTCACAAATGTGGTTACTTCATCAATAAGAATCATATCCTATGTCAGCATTAGTTTGTTTTCGGGGTTGGTGCGGGGGGGGGGCTTGCAATAAAATGACAAAACTAGTTGGGCAGAATACTCTTTTTTATGTCAACAAAAAAGATTAAAGGCAGAATATATTTACAGAATGTAATATCTTCACTTTCACAAGGAAGAACTAAATCTCCATTTCCATGGTAAATACGATGAACACAAAAAGCTTGGGACTAAGATCCCTAGGGTGAGAGTTCAAAATGGCACTGACCACAACAGATAAAGATCTGAATCACAGTGTGTCCTGTAGCCAGGCGAGGCCCGAGTTTACTCTTTATACTCTGAGCCTCGATGGAGAGGAAGTTCAAAGACAGTTAGCAACTAATGGGAAATTCATATTCATTTTCAGCATCGCATGTTTTTCCCTTTTTCACTTCCACAGTTGCAAGTTGAGTTTCTATACGCAAGCAGACAGCCACGGGTAAGCCCAGTTGAAGTAGTGCCAGCTGACCAGGTCACACAAAGGTAAATGCATAGTGTCTGACCGAAAGCTGGAGAGAACTTCATGTGGCCATGAAAAATAGGATCGTCAGTGTCTCATGAAAATGGGAGAGTCCTTGATCAAATATTTTCTAAAACACCAAAAAGATACACATTTAAAATAAGCTTATGAAAATTATTAAAGTGTTCAGCTAAAAATGCAGTAAGAACTGTATTCATTGATGCATTCAGCAAATGTTTATTGATCACATACTTACTATACAGCAGTTACTGTTCTAGGCACTGGGGATTCAAAGATGAATAGACAGACTTACCCCAAAGAGCTTTGATTCTTGTAGGTAGGAGACAAATATGTGAACATAGGTTAGCAATAAGGAATTATGGGTGTTATAGCAGGTGGATGGACAGGTAACTGTGGGAACAAAAGAGGGAATATTCAAGTGGTCTTTGGAAAGAAAGCAGGAGATAGCCTGTGTCAAGTCTTCAATAATGAGTAGGTGTTCACTGGCGGATAAAGTGAATAGAAACTTTCAGGGAAGCATGAACAAAAGCCTCAGTCGTGAAATACATGGCACCTTTGGAAAAATGAAATAATTTGGGACAACTGGAACATCACAGACTGCAAGCGATAAGACCTAATGAGGATGATTCTAAAAAAGCAACTCCTCATGAGAAGCTGTAAATGATATGCTAGGTGCTAAGTAAGGCTCAATGGGACACCAGTGAAGAACTTTAAAAGTCTTAGAGCTGATACTGAATATAAGAAAAGAGATATTAGAGGCACGGAAAAACCAGGATAGAGACCATTGCAATGATCTGGACAGGATCATAAAGCCTGAATTAAGGCAGGAATACTGAAATAGAGATGTGTACAGATGTTAGAGCTGTTCCGAGTAGATATAATTCAGAGTAGAAATAACAGGCCATTCACCAAAGCTCAGCTGACCTAGTGTCCCTCTTCTGATTCTTCCAAGTAGTCAAATTATTTGTTCAAATGATTCCACGTAGGGCATAAATGCTAAGACAGCAGTCTAAATTCGATTTCACATCTCTGATATTTAGAAGTGTTACTGAGCAGTAAGATAGCTGAAATACAGGCCAAGCAGGATGGAAAAGAAAAGAAGAGTCCAAGGTAATGTAAAATAAACAATTCTCTATGGTTGCCGGCAGTTGAAGGTTGGGGGTTTGACTACAAAAGTTATCGAGAGGGAATTTTTTGGTGGGGAGCGGAGGGACATGAAACTGTTCTATATCTTGATTGTGGTGACATGACTCTAGATTTTTGTAAAAACTCATAGACCTATACACCAAAAAGAATACATTTTACTGTATGTAATTTTTTTAAATAGGAGAGAAAGGCAAAAAATAGACAATCCTCAATAATAAATCAAGTTCATAGGAATCTGAGACAGGAGGCCTACTCACTCTTTGACATTCCTTCATTTATTTAACAAATACTTACTGAACACATACGCCATGTCAAAAACTGTGCTAGGTGCTGGATACATGGTAGGAAATGGGTTTCATGGAGCCTACAGTCTAGTGGAAAAGACATCCATTAAATAAATATTTATGTAAATTCAATTACAATTGTGATTTAAAAAAATACATGTTATGAAAGCATGTAACAAACTTCCTGGAAGTAGTAATATTGAAGCTAAATTCTGAATTATACATTTCAGTTGATTGACAGGGAAGAGGTTGTGCTCAAGGGAAAGAACATTCGGAAAGACCCCGAGGTAGGAGTTCTCACATACCCACATGTGCTCACAAATTCCCTCACAAATTTACGATGCAGGTTAATATAATTTGAGTTTCTAGAATCCTTTATGCTATATAACATTTCTTTTCTTTTTTAGAGACAGGGTTTCACTCTGTCACCCAGGCTGGGGCACAGTGGCACAATCATAGTTCATTGCAGCCTCAAACTTTTGGGCTCAAGCAATCATCCCACCTCAGCCTTCCAAGTAGCTGGGACTACAGGCATGCACAACCATGCCTGGTTAATGTGCTTATTTTTTGTAAAAACAGGATCTCGCTACGTTGCCCAGGCTGGTCTGTAAATAGAATTTTTAATTAGTAATTAATCATGTTCAGGTACTAACTAGTAGTTAATTGGTAATTGATTTATTATAAAGAATTGGTTAATAAATATAAAGCCTTAGAGACAGAACCTAGAACATTAAGTATATAATAATAGTAAGTTATTATTACTACTATTATTTTTAGAAACCTTCTTTTTGTTTCCTAGAGAGGGGAGATGGCTGTTAGACTCAATTTTTAGAAATAACGCAGAGAAACTACACTCTACTCCACTATACTAACTTCCTATGAATGGAGTCAGTGTCTGAGTCATAGGATGGGACTCATGACTATTATAAATGCTTTTTCAGCCCAAACAGAATCTTTGGGCCCCCTCTTTGGTAAATCCGTTTCTGTTTACATAATTTAATCTTTAAGAACACATCTTGCAAACTTTCACTTCCAACTATGATGAAACAACTGGTATAGGACTAGCTCTCCACCCATAAACAATGAAATGGAAAATAATATATGAGGCAATTGTTTTTCAGCATTGGACAACAGGAAATTAAACACTGTGATCTCTGAGAGAGGAGAAATTCATTAGGTGAGGCCCATGATTATCCTGGATCTCTGCAAGGGTACAATTTTCCAACCACAGCATAGCAAGCTAGAATCCAATCTGAGCACAGTAGTTCTGCTGAGCTGACAAGGCAGAGATAAGAGTTCAGAAGAATCTGTAGAGCAAGGCACCAAAACGAAAGGTGTTTTGGGGGTGGTGAGAAGGTGGGTCCCAGAAGTTGTATGGAAGATTCTCTATGAATTCTTGACTCAGGGCTAAGGTGCACGTGCCCATGTCAAGACTACCCGGGTCTTATAGTAAGTATAGAGAAGTGTTAGTGCAGAGACAAGTACAGAACAGCAATTGTAGACATTAAACAGTGCTGAAGAACATTGAAGTTTTGGCCAATCCAAAGTGACAAGATCTTATTATTAATTTATTAACACACCAAGCATCTGAGATACCAGAAGAGATTAGAACCATGCTTTAGAGTAAGGTCCACTCCAGGCCCACACTAACAAAATTAAAAAACAAGTCTTTTTTTTTTTTTTTTTTTTTTTTTTATGTGATGGAGTCTCACTCTTTTGCCCAGGCTGGAGTGCAATGGTGGTATCTCGGCTCACTACAACCCCTGCCACCCAGGTTCAGGCAATTATCCTGCCTCAGCCTGCCAAGTAGCTGGGATTACAGGCGCCCACCACCACACCTGGCTAATTTTTGTATTTTTAGTAGAGACAGGATTTCACCATGTTGGCCAGGCTGGTCATGGACCTCAGGTGATCCGCCCACCTCAGCCTCCCAAAGTGCTAGGATTACAGGCATGAGCCACTGTGCCCGGCCAAAACCAAGCCTTTAAAATATCTGCAGAATTGGAGGTCGAAATGTGCCAAGATAGAAGAACTTGGGAAATATATTGAGTTTTCCGGAGATGTACCCTAGCAAAGCACGAAAACTAGCCTACAGAAATGCAAGGTAATTTGCAGGTAATGAAACTGCCTAATAGAAGACAGGGTAACACTTCTCAAAAGAAGAAAACAAAATCCAGAGCCTAAAGTCTACACAATGTATTACCAACAATGTCCAGCATACAATTTAAAAATTGGTAGAAATTAAACAAAAACCAGGCAAACATGATCCACATGACCCACAGTCAAAGAGAAAATACCAGTCTCAACATTACTGAGATCTTGGGTTTAGAAGACAAGAAAGGACTTTGATTTTTTTATTTTATTTTATTTATTTTATTTTTTTTTTTTTTTGAGACCAAGTTTCGCTCTTATTGCCTAGGCTGGAGTACAATGGCGCAATCTTGGCTCACCACAACCTCCGCCTCCCAGGTTCAAGTGATTCTCCTGCCTCAGCTTCCCGAGTAGCTGGGATTACAGGCATTTGCCACCACGCCAGGCTAATTTTGTATTTTTAGTAGAGACAGGGTTTCTCTATGTTGCTCAGGCTGGTCTTGAACTCCTGACCTCAGGTGATCTGCCTGCCTCAGCCTCCCAAAGTGCTGGGATTACAGGCCTGAGACATAAGGAAGGACTTCAAAAGCAGCACCTATAAATGTGGCTCAAAGAATTAAATGATATATGTTCAAAGAATCAAAGTACTGGTTTAATGAGTGAAAAGATAGAAAATCTCAGCACAGAAATGAAATCTATAAAAAAGAGCTGTATAGAAATACTGAAACTGAAAAGTTCAATGACAAAAAGAAATCACAGTAGATCAGAGATGGTAGAAGAAAGGCAGTGAAGTTGAACACAGGAAAACAGGCCAATAGAAAATATTCAGGCTAATGGATGGAGAGAAAATAGATTCAAGAAAAATAAACAGATCCTCAGAGACCTTCAGGACAATAGACAATGGTATAAATAAGTATAATTAGAGACCCAGAAGAAGAAAATGAAAATGGGGCAAAATAATTTTTTAAGAAGTGATAAAAAGGCAAGCCACTGACTGGGAGAAATTCTTATAATACATATATCTGAAATACATTTATATCTAGAATATATATTTTAAAAAACTGTTACAACTCAATAAGGGGCTAATTATTTTAACAGACAAAAGCTTGAACAGATGCTTCACTAACAAGATATATGAATGGTAAGTAAGCACAAGAAGAGATGCTCAACGTCATTAGTCACCCCGGAAATTAAATCTATAAGATAATACTACACATGCATTAGAAGGGCTACTATTAAAAAGACTGGCAATACCAAGTTTGAGGGAAGATTGAGAAATCTCTCCCGCATTGCTATTAGAAGAGAAAAATGACACAACCACTTTAAAACAGAGTTTGGCCATTTCTTTTAAGGCTAAACATACACTTATATGAACCAGGTACTTCACTCCTAAGAATTTAAAATTAAATGAGAACATATGTCCACACAAATACTGTTCATATCAACTTTATTCAATAATAGTCCCAAACTGGAAACAATCGAAATGCCCACTAATATGTGAATGGTTAACAAATTGTGTTATTAGTGCAATGGAATTCTACTCAGCAATAGAAATATACTTTAGTGATCAATGCACCAATGTGGATTAATCTCAAAAATATCATGCAGAGGCCGGGCGCGGTAGCTCATGCCTGTAATCCCAGCACTTTGGGAGGCCAAGGCAGGTGGATCACGAGGTCAGGAGATAGAGACCATCCTAGCTAACAGGGTGAAACCCGTCTCTACTAAAAATACAAAAAAAAAAAAAAATTAGGCAGGCATGGTGGCCGGCGCCTGCAGTCCCAGCTACTCGGGAGGCTGAGGCAGAAAAATGGCGTGAACCCGGGACGCGGAGCTTGCTGTGAGCCGAGATCGCGCCACTGAACTCCAGCCTGGGCGACAGAGCGAGACTCCGTCTCAAAAAAAAAAAAAAAAAAAAAAATCATGCTGAGTGAAAGAAACCCAGAAAATAAGAAAATAGTACAGACTGTATGATTCTATTTATACGACGTTTTTGAAGAGGCAAAAACTAATCTACAATAATATAATAGAAATCAGATCAATAGCTGTGTGGAAGGAGAGATTGACTGCAAAGGGGCATGAAGGAAATTTCTGGGATGTCAAAAATGTTCTGTATCTTGACTGGGTGGTGGTTACATAGGTGTATACATTTGTTAAACTGTACACTTAAAATTTATGCATTAATTACACCTCGCAAAGTTGATTTTTAAAAGAACACTTGCATAACCCTTTAAATTAGGAGCCTTATTATCTTCATCATAATTCTTTAATGAGTCATTCAGCAATAAATTTTATAAGGAACAAGTTATTTATGAATCACACAAAGGCACCCCAAATGAATGTCTAATCATTCATTCATTTCTGTGTGCACGACTGGAGAAATAGATGCCGGTTAAACTAATAAAGCCCCTGCCCGTCATCTGTGATCCTAGGCTGCAGAAGAAACTGTAATGTAAGTTCTCATCTTGGTTCCAAGAGCTCTCGGCAACTATTTCTTGACCAGTCTCTGAAGTGAGTGTGTCTATTTATTTTAAACAAGTTGTACCATCTGAAATCGTGGCTGCTGCAGAGCTAAGGGGTTCTTTCCCTACAGCAGGGTTCCCCAACTCCAGCGCCATGAACCGGTACCAGCGATGGGCGAGCCAGCATTACCGCCTGACCTCTGCCTCCTGTCAGATCAGCCTCTGGCATTAGATTCTCACAGAACCGTGAACCCTATTGTGAACTGTGCATGCAAGGAATCTAGGTTGTGTCCTCCTTATGTGAATCTAATGCCTGATGATCTGAGGTGGAACAGTTTCATCCTGAAATCATCCACCCACCCACAGCCCATCCATGGAAAAACTGTCTTCCATGAAACTGGTCCCTGGGCCAAAAAGGTTGGAGACCGCTGCCCTACAAAATATGCCCCCCTCTCACAGTAGAGGTAAATGGCTAGAGTCTGGCAACACAGTAAGCTGATGCTACTACTGGTCAGATATGCTGTCCTAATCACCTTCTCCTGCTCCAGGACCCTTTTATAGATTCTTTTGAAAACACTGGCAATAGGGAAGCTACACTTTCCTTTCCTTGAAATTTTCCAGGCCGGGCACGGTGGCTCATGCCTGTAATCCCAGCACTTTGGGAGGCCAAGGCAGGTGGATCACGAGGTCAGGAGTTCAAGATCAGCCTGGCCAACTTGATGAAACACCATCTCTACTAAAAACTACAAAAATTAGCCGGGCATGGTGGCATGCACGTGTGGTTCCGGCTACTAGGGAGGCTGAGGCAGAAGAATTGCTTGAACCCAGGATGTGGAGGTTGCAGTGAGCCGCGATCATGTCACTGCACTCCAGCCTGAGTGACAGGGCGAGACGCCGTCTCAAAAAAAAAAAAAAAAAGAAAAAGAAAAAAAGAAATTTTCCCATCTGGAATGGGGAAGTGCTGGACAAAAGTGAGATATCATAAACTAAAGACACTGCTAGCCTGTGTAATGACCACACATCCTAAGACCAGTGCCCCCATTTATTGGAAAACCTCTCTTGCTGATTTGGAGCCTTAATTAAAATAGCAGGAAATGCATAAAATTGCACTATAAGCTCAAACCCTGTGTTATATATTGTATTAACTTTCTATTGCTGTGTAACAAATTACCCCTAAATTTAGCAGCTCAGAACACCACCCATGTGTTATCTCACAGTTCAGCAGGTCAGAGTCTGGGCGGGGTTGGCTTGACTCTGCATGAAGTAACACAACGCCAAACTCAAGGTGTCAGCAGGGCTGGGCTCTTATCTGGAGGCTCTGAGCAAGAATCTGCTTCTAAGCTTAATCAGGTTGTTGGCAGAAGTCAATTCCCTGTGGATGTAGGCCTGAGATTCCATTTTCTGTTTGGATATTTACAAAATACCTGTATTCCTTGGCTCATTGCCCCCTTGCTCCATCCTCAAAGCCAGTAATTGTGGGTTGAGTCCTTCTCAGGCTTGGAATCTCTAAGATTTCCTCTTCTGCCTCCAGCCAAAGAAAACACTCCGCTTTTAAAGGGCCCGTGTGATTAGATGAGTAGTTTCCCTATCTTAAGGTCAGCTGGTTAATAATTACTTTATTTACCTTTGCAAAATCACTTTTGCAATGTAACCTAACAGAATCACAGGAGTAACATCTGAGGCAAAGATAGCCCTAGGACCATCTTAGAATTCTGCCTACGATTCCAATGCTAGATTCTATCCAGCACCACTCACCTTCTTCGTGTCCTCAAAAATACCACTCACCCAGACATTTTAAAGTTGTATTTAAAAAGTAAATGCTGCAGTGGCACACACCTGTAATCTCAGCACTTTGGGAGGCTGAAAAGGGAGCATTGGTTGAGGCCAGGAGTCTGGCCTGGGCAATATAGTGAGACCCCCATCTTTACAACAAGAATAAATTAGCCGGGCATGGTAGTGTGCACCTGTAGTCCCAGCTACTCAGGAGGCTGAGGAGGGAGAATCACTTGACCCCGGGAGGTCAAAGCTGCAGTGAGCTATGATCATGCACTGCACTCCAGCCTGGATGATAGAGTGTGACAAAGAGAGGGGAGGGGAGAGGGAGGGAAGAAGGGGAGGGGGAGGGGGACAGGGGAGCAGAAAGAAAGGAAAGAAAGAGAAGGAAGGAAGGAAGGAGAGAGGAGAGAGAAGGGTTGGAAGAAAGGAAAAAAGGAAGCAAGGAAGAGAAAATTCAGATTCAGAGCTCACTTTCCTGATTGCAATAATTAAGTCTGGAATATGACAGAAAATACCAGATATGAAAGTTAGAGGAATTGTGTTTTAATCCCAGGAGGTCAGGGAAAGGAGCAGTCAGTAAGAGCTGGAAAAAGCTTAATAGAGAAAGTGGCACCCAAGCAGGGCTTTCTAGGATGCACAGAATTTGGGGAGGTGAGGACTTGACAAGAGACAGGAATAAACAGAGCATCAGCTGATACAGTGAAGAGACCCACCTGATAGCCCACTGGGGAAAAATGAGATGAGATTAGACAGGCAGGGTCAAGCTAAGGTCAACATAGCTTTGTAAACCAGGACAAGAGTTTGCATCTGATTCAACAGGCAGCATTGAGCCTTTGAAAAACTTTCTCTGTTTCTTTAACAGTATGCCAAGTAGTGGAAATTTTGGGATTGGTAAGAAAAGCAGGAAGATTGGAGGAAGAATAATTAGAAAGCTATTTACTGGGGACACAAGTTACTTATCTGTTAGCGACTCTTACTGACAATCTATAATGCTTGGAGTGGGCTTTAACTTATTCTAGAACAAAATATGGGGGCAAGAGGAAACAAAAATGGCAAAATGTTTATAATTGATGAAGTTTCATGATAGATGTATGTGTTCAATATACTATTCTGCCTACTTGTATGTGTGTTTGAATGTTTCCGTAATAAAAAGTCAGGTTCCTGTCTATTGTGGTAATCCAAGAATAAAGCCTTGAAAACCTAGATGTGGGTGGTGGCGGAGAAAATAGAAAAAAAAAAAATTAACAGACTTTTTTTAGCTACCCTATTAACTGATTAATAGACATTTTGACCTTGATAACAAATTTGATATAACTTTAGCTGAGGGAAGAAACAAAACTGATTGATTTATATAGATAGGGAAATAGAATAATGTCATAAAAGAAAAACTTGTCAGCTGTCTATAAATCCTGCACTTTAAATGACGTACCTCATTAGCCTGTATGATTAGAATGTGTATAGAAATTAATAACCTGTGTAAATTAAACTTCTGTCTATACATCTTCTTATTACACCACATTGGCAGGATCATGGATGGCTCACTGCAGCCCGGAACACTGGAGGCCCAAACAGTCCTCCCACCTCAGCCTCCAAGTAGCAGACACTACAGGCATGTGCCACCACACCTGGCTAAAAATTTATCTTTAAAAAAATTTTCCAGGAATATTTTGAGTAGAGGCACCATCCAAATGCTTACTTGTTTTCCCAAATGATATATTTTGAATTTTCCTTTGATATATTTTTCAAAATATATATTGGGATATATTCAAATATATCCCAAATGATATATTTTGAATTTCCTGGTGTAAGAAGTTACACCAGACAAAATTGCTATCCTGAAGACGACCAATTCTTCCATATCTGTGAGAGCCTAAAAAGGAGAATTTTTTGAAAATTTTAAAATATTCTGGAAGGAATACTTCTTGGGAGCAAAAAGAAAAGGATACCTTTTTTAAAGACAAAAGAAAAATGATATCTAATGTAAAAAAAAAAACACCTCTGGCACCAATTCAGAAAAGCAGACTCTCACTGGACACACTCCCACTGAGGCAAACACCAAAACTAACCCTAGAGTGCTGGAAGAAAATAGCAGTTCGCCTCCAGACCAGTCGACACCTGGGGCTTCCACGAAGGCCAATCAGGAAGTACCCTACAGTCTTACACAATCACTTGAAATTAAAGTACTACCTGAGAGATGTTTGGCTGCAAATAGGGAGAGCAGGCCATGTGAATTAAGATACCATGAATTGAGTTAATAAAAATAAATAGTAATTTGAAACTTAAACCCCAGATCAATTAAGCTAAGGAATCTAGTGTTGTTTCACAATCTGAAATTTGTCCCGATTGTCAAGCCTACAGGAACTATGCTGATCCAACAGGTAAACACATGCTGGATCCAACTACCAAGTTCCCAGAGCTGCTGAAATCTTTATTTCTGGAGCAAAAGCCAGAATCCTATCACTTAAAAAGATAATATCTAGAGTTAAAACAGTCTATTTCAATTGAGTTTTAGCAAAGTGGAATCAATTGTTATTGTATGAAACTGGATTTGACCCTTGACTTTTAAACATTTGCAGTTTTCAGTGACTAACTCCTCTACTGTTATCATTCCAAGATCAGATGCCGTAAAGCATAGGATTTTAATTTGATTTGGGATCATGTTGCTTCTCACACAGCTCTAGGTAGTGTGATCCAAGGTGAAGAGCAGCAGATTCATTCACATGTGTACCAGGGAGCAAAATGACAAGAGACAATTATAAAAGCTTTGTTGGAAGTTTAGGATACTTAAAGCTCTTTTAATCATTATCATAATTTTTGAGTTACAGCTCAATAAATATTTTTGTTTCTCTTAAAGTTTATCAATGGTAAATGAGTTGCCTGGTCAATGTTTAGTATTATAGCTAATAAATGAAATAGAGATATTTTACCATACATTAGATCAATAATAATATGTAAAAGATACCATAGATTCTGAAGACAGGCTATAGGATTGCTCAGAAAGAAATATTCATAAGTTCTAGAGATCTATTGTACAACATTGTCCCTATTATTGTACACTTTACAATTTCGTAAGAAAATAGAATGTTCTTACCATGATAAAATGATTTTTTAAAAAAGGAAATATTAATCTTACTCATTTTTTAAGAGAAATAATGATAACAGAAATTATTATAAATCCTCTTTCCTGGTGTAGTAAGTTTTAAGTTAAGGCTGCCCAAAGATATGTCCACATCCTAATCCTCAGAACCTGTGAATGTGACCTCATTTGGAAAAAAAGTCTTTGTACAATTTAGAATACTGAGGCCGGGCGTGGTGGCTCATGCCTATAATCCCAGAACTTTGGGAGGCCGAGGCAGACAGATCACTTGAGGTCAGGAGTTCGAGACCGTCATGGCCAAAATGATGAAACCTCGTCTTTACTAAAAATACAAAAATTAGCTGGACATGGTGGAGCACGCTTGTAATCCCAGCAACTTGGGAGGCTGAGGCAGGAGGATTGCTTGAACCTGGGAGGCAGAGGTTGCAGTGAACTGAGATCGTGCCACTGTACTCCAGCCTCGGTGACAGAGTTAGACTCCGTCTCAAAAAAAAAAAAAAAAAAAAAAGGTCAGGTGCCGTGGCTTACACCTGTAATCCCAGCACTTTGGGAGGCCAAAGTGGGCGGATAATCTGAGGCCAGGAGTTCGAGACCAGCCTGACCAACATGGTGAAACCCCGTCCCTATTAAAAATACAAAATTAGCCAGGTGTGTAGCCAGGTGTGGTGGTGCATGCCTGTAATCCCAGCTACTCGGGAGGCTACTTGAATCCAGGAGGTGGAGGTTGTAGTGAGCCAAGATGGCACCATTGCACACTCCCCCTCAAAAATAAATAAATAAATAAAATTGAGATGAGGTCATCCTGGATTACTCAGGTGGCCCCTAAATTCAGTGGTAAGAGTCCTTGTAAGAGATATACAGAGAGGAGGCACAGGGAGGAGAAGGCCATGTGGAGATGGAGCAGACACTGGAGTTATATTGCCACAAGGCAGGGAACACCTGGAGTCACTAGAAGCTGGAATAGAAGGCATGAATTCCACCTAGAGCCTTTGGAGGGCACATGGTTCTGCCAACACCTTGGTTTCAGAATTCTGGCCTCCAGAACTATGACAAAATGAATTTCTCCGAGTTAAGCCACCAAGTTTGTGGTTATTTGTTAGACAGTCCTAGGAAACTAATATACTTGAGAAACTTAAACACCAGAATCACCTTAGAAAAGTGATTTCTGAAAGCAGGAAAAAAAAATAAGGTGACTCATGATTGTATCTTCAAAGCTAGTTTCTATACCATAGGATCCAACGTGCCTGGCACACTGCACATCTTCATCAGTTGCCACTTCATCCCCATACGCATTCCAGAAACCCATTCTGTTACCACCATATGGCTACTGCCCAACCACAGCTACTCTCCAAAGTCTGCATTTCCTAATTAATTTAGACTAAAACTGCATTAGAATCACCACATATAATCTGCCAGAAGCCCTGAAAATCCTGGAGATTCTGATTCAGGAAACCTGGGGTGGGGCCTAAGTATTTGCATGTTTAACAAGCTTCACATAAGATACTAATGTCGACCAAAGACTGAAACTTTGAACCTAGGGCACTCAGCAGCTGCACTATCTCACCCCCAAACCCTCTTGAGCTGACAGGCAAGGGGAATGGTGTGATGGAGAGAGCAGGGACAACAGGCCAGAGGACAAGGAGTACAAAGGAAAAAGCAAGACACATTTTGAGAGGAATCTACAATCAGCTGGGCGTGATGGCTCATGCCTGTAATCCCAGCACTTTGGGAGGCTGAGGTGGGCAGATCAGTTGAGACCAGAAGTTCGAGACCAGCCTGGCCAACATGGTGAAACCCCATCTCTATTAAAAATACAAAAACATTAGCCAGGTGTGGTGGTGCGTGCCTGTAATTTCAGCTACTCAGGAGGCTGAGGCACAAGAATTGCTTGAACCTGGGAGGTGGAGGCCGCAGTGGGCCAAGATCTTGCCACTGACTCCAGCCTGGGCGACAGAGCGAGACTCCGTCTCAAAAAAAACAAACACACACACAAACAAAAACAACCAATCTTACCCCTCCTAGAAATGTGCCACCCATGCAATGTTTCTGGGTCTGCACAGACTCCAAAGGCTTGAAGCATAAAAGTACTGGATTAAGTCATAAACTGTATGTAGATAATAAAAATATTTATACACTGAAGAATAAAATATGCCAAGAAAAAAAATTTTTACAAAGTGTTGAAATTAAATTCAACTTAGGAACTATTTATTGAATGTCTACAATGTGTCAGATACTGTGCTAGGTGCAGGGCCTCTGATGACTAATAAGGCAGTGTCTCCCCTTCTCTCAAGGATTAATCCAGGGCACCAGCAGGTATAGCCAAAACCTAGTAGCATGGTTACAAGTAATCTCAAACCTTGTACCCAGGCCTGATCTCAGAGGAACCATCACAAACTTAGCCAGTGACTGAAGCTGATTTCTCTCTGAGGTCGTATTCAATACAGAACAACTGAGGTTATCAGAAAATGGAAGTTAGTGGTCGTATGTTTAAGTTGACATTTGTTAAAAGTCAGAGACATTTGAGGAAATTTTCCTGTCCTGATTAAGTAAAAATATAGAAAGGATATTAAATGTTACTGATTTGACTAACAAATTGAGCTGGAAGATTTGGTCTCTGACTCTTGTAGGGATTCCTTAGTCAATATCAAACTACAGCACTAACAGTCCTTTGCAAAGACAGACTGCCTGATTTTTTTCCTTAATGAGTCCAACTATGCCCATGCCCATTTTCATTAACATATCATCCATGTCACTGTGAAATCATGTGGCAGAATTAAATTCAGAACCATGATAGCCAATAATTCATTAGTAATTAATAGTATAACTCTGGCTCAAAACATCACCTCCCCCAACAAAACCAGTGACTCTAACCAGGATTGGCATATATTCGTTCATTCAACCAATATTTTATGAACTATTTCCATGTGCCAGGCACTGTGCTAGGCACTGAAGTTGCAGCAATGAGCACACAGTCTTGGCTTCTGTGAGGCTTTAAGATGTATTCAATCAAGAGCCATTTCCCATATTCCTGTGGCAGATATCACGCACCAATCACAGCAACCTCTCCTGAAGGTTCAATCCAGCAACCTTCTCCTGAAGCCCCTACGAGCCTGAGGATCTTTCTCAACTTGATACTCAAAAATATTACCAGTCAGAGGTGGAACACAAGATGAACCTTATTGGCCACTTCCAGAGTCTAACTAACTATATTAAAATCACCTGCTATTCCCACAGACGCCTATGCTTTGGTTCATGCTGTTTGTTTCTTTCATCTGCCTCTCCTCCCTTTATATGAACATCCAAATCAACTATTCAGAAGATACAGTTCAAATGCTCTACCTTGAATCCTCCCCAGTCAGAAAGAAATGTCCCTTCTGAATCTCTTTTTAAATGCTATTTAACATAGTTTACCTAATAAAGTACATGCCATGTCTCTCACGTAAACATCTTAAGGCTAAGAAATGTCTTATATGTCTTAGCCTCAAATTATTTACATCTTTGCACACACACACACGCACACACAAACATACTTGCTAGATACTGGTTCAACTATGAGAGAATTTGGGATTAAGAGAGAACATAGAAGCTCACTTGGGTAAAGCTCACTGTAGGGCTATGTTCAGTGGGAGTACATCATTTCTGCTGTTCTGGTTAACAAGTTGCATTTGCAAAGCAAATTACCCAAGATTTTGTTATACGAAAGAAGAAAAGTATGTGCAGAAATGAAACTAAAGTGGATTCTTGTGAGTCATGGTCTTCTAAAGGTTGTGAAGCCCCAAATATTGCACACAGCATTTGTGTGTATACATATATTTGCATTTTCCAGGGAAAGGATTCATAGCTTTCACCAGATTCTCAAAACAGCTGTAAGAACTAGAATATATGTGCAATAATTGTAACAACATACTGACAGATATTGATGTGTTTGTTCTCACACGTCAAAATGGCTTGCTGGCAAAGGGAAGAACCTTTCCCAGGTTTACATCTCTCTAAGGATGATCCTGGTAATCTCCAAACTGTTATTCCTATGATTCACTGCTCCCACTTAGCTTTTTTTTTTTTTTTTAAGCATCTAAACATGTGAATGATCGACAGCATCTATTAAACTTCCATGATAATTTCAAAACCTAACAGACTTCTCCTAGTAAACTTAGCAAATAGATTTTGATGTTAAATCTTGTATACTTTCAGGAAACATGTTCTCCAAAAAACCCAAATTAACATAAATTAACTAACTCAAAGGTATTTAAAATCATCAATAGTACTTTTTCTATCTAGGGAAATAAGGCACTAGGAAAAGAAAATGCATGTAAGACAAATAATATTAGTGAATTAGTTTATTTAAAACCATCAGTTTTTCCAATGTGAATGGACTGGTTCATATCACACCATATTTAGAGATACAAGGTGATTATAACTAACGTGTCTACAAGACATACTGGGTCAAACAATGTGATCAATCCAAAGGGTATCTTTTTAAAAAGAATTTAAGTACTCAGCTGCAAAGATAAGTTCACTAATGAGATTTTCTTTTTTTTTTTTTTTAAAAAAAAAAGGTTTTTAATGAGTCAAATTTATTACAAAAACTTAGTGTGTAATCAAAGCCAAATACATTCCTCAGGCATGCCAGCGGCAAGCAAAATAATGTTAATAGAATGTTATTAAAAAATAAAACTTTTTCTGAATGATATATATAAAACATCATGGCACATTATCATCATTTGACAACAGAAAACAGGAAGATATGTTTCAATACTGACTTTTTGTTGTTTCAATAAAGGTAAAAAAACAAAAATTTCAACAGAACACATAAATTAGAAATTCTAGAGGGTAAGCCATAAAGAGGTGTTCTCTTCCATGCAACTGCCAGCCGGGCATGGTGGCTCACTCCTGTAATCCCAGCATTTTGGGAGACTAAGGCAGGCAGATGGCATGAGCTCAGGAGTTCAAGACCAGCCTGGGCAAGGTGGCAAGATCCTGCCTGTACAAAAAATAAAAAATTAGCCAGGCGAGGAGTGCACACCTGTAGTTCCAGTTACTCAGAAGGCTCAGGTAGGAGGATCACTTGAGCCCAAGTCAAGGCTGAAGTGAGCCAAGATCATGCCACTGTACTCCAGCCTGGGCGCCAGAGCAAGACCCTGTCTCGGGAGAAAAAAAAAAAAAAGCATGCAATTCCCTACAAATAATGTATAATTTCAATGCATGAGAAAAAGCATCTTTACAATTCGAATATATCTTTCAGCCAGTAAAGGAACAACTCCGTAACTCCCCATCTGCTTTATCTACAAAGACTTAGTGATTACACAATAAAAACTCCTTAGTAAGAATTGTAAAATTTTTTTAAATAGCAACAATTCACTTGTTCTTTTCTATTTTATGGACTTATACATTTCAAATATGACCATGTTAACAACCAAGTATGTACAATATTTTTAAGGACAAAAATAACAATTATATACAGTTTGCAAAGATCAAATTCTAACCATGGACACCTTTCATCTAGTCCAATGACTGAAGCCTGTCCAACGCCAGTAACTCCCAGGGACTAAGGCCAAATGAAGCCTCAATGCTGTATTTACCTTTTTCCTTTCACATGCTTTTTCTTAAAGAAACATTTACAATTTACCTGCTTTGAAACTGTCAATAGCTATATTAATAATGTTTTGTGCCACAAATCAAAGTCCTTTCCTACTCAAAAGCTACTGTTAATTGAAGGCAATGTTACCATTGAGATCAAATTCAGATGTCTAGATCCCAGATACCTGGGTATGAAATATGCAAATCTGCCAAGAGAAATTAGATATTTTTCTTCTTTTCTTTTAATATAACCCACTATATAATAGTGAACTAAATATGTTTGTTTCATAGAAACAACTTACATTTGCCAATATAAGGCAAATGGTCTATGTACAGATACATCAGGACTGCCTAACTGACAGTGAGTGTTGCTAGCCAGGCTCCAAGCTAATGGAGCTAATACGGTGGAGCTCTCTGCTGAATGGACTTTCCCTTCAGGATACGTCGGATCTGGAAGAGAAACAAATAAAATTTGTGAGGTTTATTTCTTATGGCCAATGTGGTGTATTTCCTTCTGAGTTTCATTCCTTTCTTATACCATCTACACTACTCCTATTAACTTGTAAGTATACGAAGAAATACACACAATATTTCTCAAGATTTTGAGGTGACTTTTAAAAATACTAAACTCCTTTTAAACTTATTTCAGATCTCTTATAATAATCTTTGAGTTCAAGAAAGTAAAACATCTCCACTAAAAATTATCTGAAGTTGAAAATCTCCATAAACTTAACACCTATATTCTTTTCCTAATCTTTACTCTTGCTATTTGTGAGAACATTTAACATAAGACAGTAATTAAGGCATATTATAATATCTCACTTATCTTGAAGTCAGCCTCAACTAACAGGAACAGAAAACCCACATTTTATGATACACACACAAGTAAATCCTTAATACCATTCAAGTCAAAACAGCTGTCATGATATCCAAGTATTAAAGCATCTACACGTAACTTCATGGATCACAGAAAAGATCCCGGCTCATTCAGAGTGATTCATTTTACATCCCAGTCTGACAAATTTTATTTTCTATCTCTCAGCCTCCAGCAGATTAGAAGCAACAATTTAGATGAAAGGCGATTGGGGTAGGGGATACAACTGATAGCTGCTAGAAGGAAACACACGACCACAGTATGACAATAAAAGCCAGGGAAAAGAGCCTCTACCTGCCCAACACACACAAAATACCAAAGCAAAAAGGAGATAATCTGGGAACATTTAATGAAGAGTTAAATGGCTTAATATCTCAATGATCCCTGAGAGCATAGTTATATGACTGCACACCACAAACAGTGAAGTAGAAGCAAATACTGGGCTTAGGACTCTGCCTTTTACAAGTTAATGATGGTTCTGGTCCTTGGAACCTCTCTGAATATCAATTTTCTCAGTTGAAACTTGAAACTTGTAAAGTTCTTCTAACTATTAAATGATATACATGAAAACTTTTTACAAACTATAGAAATATTCTTTCTAAATTACAAAGAGCTCTATAAATAGGGGCTACTATAACATTATGGTCATAATGACAGCTCAGAATCAAAGAAAAAGCTAAACTGCATTCCACGTATTTTATTTTGTGATTAGTAAAGTATGTAATGACCTACCCACAGCCACAATCCCCCTCATTCCTCCCAGGAAAAGAGTTCCATCAAAAACATTTTAAGTTCTTGAAAGAATAAGTTCTTGTTATCTAAAAAGTTTACTCATGAAACTATTCAATACTCAATGATAATATATAACCATATTTGATGAGTAAAGCATTAAATATGCTGTTTAAAACAAAATATTTCTAGGTTTGAAATTACATAAGTAATTTTTCCATTTTTTGTTCAGTATCACTTCATAGACAGAAATAATTCTAACTATTGATGTTCACTGATCTCTTACTCTGTACCCGGGACTATTGTGAGCACTCCACATGTAACAACTCATTTAATATCCACAATATTTGAAGGCTCATACATTACAAGACTAAGATTCTCTTTCCTTGGTATCTGCAGGAACCTTGGTATCTTCTCTTTCCGAACCTTAAACCATTCTGACTTACTCTAACCCTAAGTGTGTGTCACAGAATACTACCTGACCTCTAACCATTTTGAGTCTATGGATAATCCCTCAAATTTCTTAATTGCTGTTTCCAAACGAAGAGTAACTCCACAATGCTATGACAGCTACCGTGAGACACAGACACTGATAGAGTCCACCTGAAGAGCAACAGCTGGCCTTCGCCCTGCACAGCCTCATCTCCCTTTCTGTTTCAGACTGCAGTGCCAAAAAATACTTCCTCTCCCTCCTGTGCCTCTCACCTGTTCTCCCACAGGGCCATCGGGAACCAAATGCACTGGCTGTTCGTTCTCCAAGTTCCGAGTACTTGGGTCTGCTCCCTTCCTCATCAACAGGCGGACAGCATCTAATTGTGTCAACCGATACTGCAAGCTGGCAGCAACATGGAGGGCAGTGTTGCCATTGTAAGCCTGAAGACAAAGAAATGAATTATCAGACATCAGGAAGGGGGAAATTTCATGAAAGGAGCTCAAAAACTTTGAGAGGGTGTACAGAAGGCCATTCCAACTCTGGTGTACCTTTGCATTCACAAAAGACAGGCAACTGGGCAGCTCCAAAAAGAGGCGAATGAGTTCCAGATTTGCTTCTTCAGCTGCCAAATGCAGGGCTGTGCGGCCACTTTTGCGATCCTTGTCAAAGGCAAGAGGGAGGAAAAAAAAAAAAAAAAATCCAGATACTATGCCTCAGAATACACTTTTCACCCAGTCTCCTGAATGTCTGATTCAGCTTCAGAGACTCACTTTGAATGCTCCCTTCTCCAAAATGCCTTGCTTAATCCCAAGCTAAATGGAATCTTTTATTCCTCTTAAATTTCCTATTAATTTGTCTATATGCCTCTTGTCACAATGTACCTTTTTATACAGGGTGGCCATAAAATGTAGAAAAATAAATATTTTTAAATCCTATGTCATAACCTATCAGTAAACCATTTATTATGTATTCACCTACATTTCCAGATTTGGTAGCCTCCCTGTAGAGTTATATTTAGCTATATCTCTCACCTATTTTACTAGTCAGTAAGCCTCAAGGGTCCAAATGGTTTATGACTTAGGCATTTTTCCCCCATATACTCAGTGAATAAAACCAAAATTTTAAAAGAATAAACTATTTTCCAGCTTAAAAACCAGAAGATGAATTCCACATCCTACAACAATGAAGAAATCCTTACAAAAAGCACCTTTATTCTCAGTGTATGAAAATGGAAGCCAAAATGACAATATCAATTTCAAGCATTTTCTTTACCTTTCAAAGACTATTTATTTTATACCTAAATGACCTTTTGGATAATAATTCATGGATTTAAAGCAAATCAAGAAAACACATGAAATGATCTGTTAAAATCTGGGCTTCTTGGCCGGGCGCGGTGGCTCACGCCTGTAATCCCAGCACTTCGGGAGGCCGAGGCGGGCAGATCACGAGGTCAGGAGATCGAGACCATCCTGGCTAACATGGTGAAACCCCGTCTCTACTAAAAATACAAAAAATTAGCTGGGTGTGGTGGTAGGCACCTGTAGTCCCAGCTACTGGGCAGGCTGAGGCAGGAGAATCGCTTGAACCAGGGAGTCGGAGGTTGCAGTGAGCCAAGATCGCACCACTGCATTCCAGCCTGGGCGACACAGTGAGACTCTGTCTCAAAAAAAAAAAAAATTCTGGGCTTCTTAACCACCCATACATTGCTACTCACACCATTAATTTCAGAAAAAAAAGAAAGAAGTTTGAATCTGTACTTGGAAGCAAGGTCTTTTGCTATATAACCAGTTTCTCCCCTACCCCATCTTAAACCTTTTCTGTGAATTTACCTTCGCTTCCACCGCTGCTCCCATTTGAATTAGGCACTTAATGGTATCAACCAGACTCTTATTCTTCAGTAAAAGCTCCTGAACTTCAGGTGAATGAGGCTGTTGATTTCTCTGGAGTTCATGGACCACAGCATTGTGGGCTATGACTGCACAGTGAAGGGGAGTCAGGCCTAGAAGAAAAGTATAATCAAGCAGTGGTCAAGCATCCCATCAGGTCTTTTGGTCCTTCTATAATGACAAATGCTGAGGATGGCCTCTAACTTAACCTATAAATGGGCTCCACAAGAACTAGTAAGGCAATCTGAATATTGTCTCTTTTTGGGTCTAATTTTACCTACAGAATATTTTAGCTTTAATTACCTTCCTTCTTAGTATACTTAGCACCCTTAGACCTTATGGTTCCCCCTAAGTGGCTCTGAATCTAATAAAGTTTCAGTTGCTTACCATCATAGTTAGTTGCCTCAAGATCCACAAACTGATTACTTCCCACTGCTCCCTTCTGAATCGCCTGCAGATTTTAAAAACAGACATCTGTTAGCTACATAAGCTGCGCATATACCTATTAGAATCCCCAAGAAATGAATAAGTTAACTCAAAATAGATCATTGCAACAGGCAACCTATATCCGACTTCTAATATCCAACTCTATCTCTCTGGCCTTGCAATGATGGAAGCCTGGTTTGCTGCCTCTTACCTGAAGCACCTGGGAGTGGCCCTTCTCAGCACACACATGCAGAGGTGTTCTTCCCCAGCAGTCTGTGGTGTTCACCTGTGCCCCGATGTTCACCAGATCCTGCACAATGAGATGCTGATTGGCAGCCACTGCCACCTGAAAGGCACTCTGTGGATATCCAGAGGAAAAAAGATATTTTAAACATACAATGTTATCATAACAAGGAATATGAAACTAAACTATGACTGAGGGAAAAACCCACAGAGAGAAAATAAATCCTTTGAATAAGCAATCAGATACTGTAAGACAAGGAAACTAAAGTAAGCCTAGGGTGTGGCTTTATTACTCTCAGTGTTTGGTCAAACAGCTACAAAGTTAACATTAATAACTTCAAGGTTGATGGTAGCAAAAAGTCAACATCTCAAAGTTAATATTAACTAAACTCTCTTGATCTTGAGCTCTAAGATGATCTACACATAAGGCTGGTCATCATTCACTTCACCATGACCCCCTCTTTGCCATTTCAGACTCTGTCAAGGTCCTCACCTGTCCATTGTGCTCTTTAATATCCAGCATGTGAAGTGCATTCATCTTTCTTGCAAGAACATAGGAAAGTGCCCTTCTCCCTTGGGCAACAGCAATATGAAGGAACCTGGGGAACATGGAAAGGAAAGCGGGTGAATCACTTCTGATTTCACTAAGTTGTTCTTTTGAAAAAAAAAAAAAAATCTTCCTTTAGCCCCCTTTTTATATATTGGTACACTCAAATGAAACATTACAAAGCATAATTTGTCTTTTCTGCTACATTGATAATACACCCCAGTTGGAACAGGATGGGTTAGGCTATCAGAAATAAGAAAAAGAAGAATGTCAAGCACCATACTGATCAACTTAAATCTATTATTTTTAATACTCATAAAACCCCTATACAAGAGGTATTATCATTTTACACGTCAAGGAACTGAGACCTAAGGAGGTTAAATAACTTGCCCAAGGCCACAAAGACATCAGGACAGATTAAGATCAATCTACAAACCAACTCACAGTTTATCCCTAATCATGATCTAACTGTTTCTGTTCTATAGACATAGTCTACGCTGGTCTTCCAAACTCAATTAATCAAGAAGATACAGATATTTTTATCAATTTAGAACAGATTATCTGTTCAGCCAAAAAATTTTTTGAAGGAAAACCCTTTCTTGACATACTAGCTATCACTGAGTGGCGGTTTCTATCTACACCAGTCATCTTGGTTAGCCAACCACTAACTAAGGTATACCTTGTTATACCCTAGAAAAATTATATGCTCACTAGTCCAACAAGTGTGGCTTACCTAATTAAGAACATGAGATAAAAGAATACTCACGTGTCACCATCTGCATCCTTTGAAAGAAACTGGTCTTGGGAAATATTTGCCAATTTGCTTTCTTCCTGCTCCACCTGCCACTGAAAAAGTGATTTCCCTAACTGTGTGGTGTTCATTGGATTTCCCATGTTTGAGAATGGCAGTGAAGTGTTTGAAGAGTCAGAGGCCATCTCGTGCCCCACCATGGCCTCACAGGCGCTGCTGGGCATCATGCTGAAGCTGTGCAAGTGAGCATCATTTTGCTGCTGAACACTGGAGGAAGTCTGCATGGGATTAGCAATATTCTCAGATTCCCTTTGATCACCAAGAAGGGAAACTAAGCTTTGGTTTGGGCAAAACTGTGATTCTGGACCATCAAAGAGGTTTGGTTCATAAGCGGGGGACTGGGGAGGTATGGGAAAAGGACTGTATTCCAGAGTTGGTTTGTGGGTGTAGTGTGGCTGCTGCTCTACATGCTGGTTCTGTGGAGAATACTGGTACAGGGAAGCCTGGTCTATCATTTGTTGGGAGCCCCTGACTTGGAATGGTTGGCATTTCTGAGGTGGAGAAAAGACCTGCCCTCCATGGAAGTCCTGACACTGCTCTGCGGGGGAGCTCTGAGGGACCACCACGGGGTTCAGCCAGCTAACTTGAACTGTGTTCAGGGAAACGGGGCTGCATTCATTCTTAATGTTGATAATGTTCTGAAGCAGATCAGCACTGCTCTCCTGTTTGGGTTCATTGAGATGAACATCTTCCATGCTCTCCCCGGGCGTTGGTGTTTGAGGTGGTGTCTGGAAAGAAGGAAAATGCAACTTGCACACTCACTTCCTTCTAAAATTATCCCAGGAATAATTTCCAAAGGATAGTCAGAGGAAAATGGTGAGATACTTACCAAAAATTGGGAATGCAACAGAGCTGGCCTTTTGCAAGCAGGTCCATCAGACAACGAATCGGGCCCTTTCCTTTTCCCACTGTATGATACTGTGTTCTTCAATTCTGTACCCAAAGGAATACAGCCTCTGTCATCATTTTATTTTATAAATGTTACCCATAATTACACTCTATTATTTACTCCAAAGCCCTGAAAAAATTACAAATACAAGTAACTCTTACCTCTGAACTGTTCTATGTTCACACCTTGTGTCTATAAAGAAAAAAGTTTCCAATTTAGTGTATACAAAATGACTTCCTCTTAATATACATCAGTAAGTAGGCTTATCTCTACCACCCTTTATAGCTTACCATAAATCTCTGATATGGTTTTTCTATCAATATTGATTTTCTATATCAATTTTTATTCTATCTTGCGACTTCCTCATTTTCACTTTCACCTTAGCTCAACGCAGGTCAAGATGAAATTAATAAGACCATTTGATTTTTCCCTTTCTAGTTAAAATGTTCCATTTCAGTTGAGCCTCTGAACTTGCCTTCATTTATTTATTCATTGAGTTTCTCTTGCCCACCTACCAGGTGTCTGGCACTGGGCTAAGGAGGATACAACAGACCAGACAAATATGGTCTCTGTCCTATGGACTTTGTCATCTTATGAAAAATTTCAAGTGACTTACTTGATGACTGGACCTAGGTCATCATAATAACCCTGACAGACTAACCCCTCTCCCCAACTCTATACTCAAAACAGAAAAATAGATGTCACCTTAAAATCATCCACAGCTTGGCCAGAAGCCTTCTGTTTATGACTTCGGATGTGCAACAGGAGTTCCTTCACTGAGTTCTTTACCCGAACACCTTGAAAGGGGCCTCTCTGCTGCCTGCCAACCCCCATATGGGGCTCAACTGTTCAAAAGAAAACAAAACATATTCCTGGTTAAATATCTTCACAGACATAAACGTTAATAATCCCAAAAGTATAGCTGTTGCCTAATGTATAAAGTCCCCAAGCAGCACATTGCAAAACCTTTCCAACTTGCTCTGGTCAATCAATGGCCTTGTGAGTCCCGAGCTCTGCTCAAAGGTCCTAAGTTGCCTGATACCTTTCTCCACTGGGTACCCTAAGAAATTAAAGTTCATAAAAATTTGGTCAAGGATCCTCAGAGCCAATAGGTAAACCCAAATTAAGCCTCTCTATCTCTCAGCTCTAACCACCCATGAGAGTGGATCACATTTTTTTCTCAGCCCTAACCACCCATGAGAATGGATGACAGATTTTGCCATCCTGACTCTCATAGTTCTATAATTATTCTTGACTTTGGAAAAACTTTGGGGAGCAAGTGATAAATGATGCACTTTTAGCTTTTTAAACCAATGGTTTTATGTTCACATAGAAATTTTAAAGTCTATCAATTCCGCTTACCTAAGAAGGCACAAAACAACTTCTTTCAAAGATCTCTATGTACGAAAACCTGACAATTAACAACGTCTTAGATTTATGTCTTATTATTTCCTTCAATTCAACTGTGCCAAAAAAGCTGCTTAAATTCACTGAGCTTAAACACATTTCTACATATGCACACAGGATTTCCCCTCATTGACTGTTTTTGGAATTACTTACACAGGTCTTCTAAGTAAAAAGGAAATATGCTTGTTTCACTTTTAAACTTTGAAATACACTTTAGCATTTGGTATACAAGTACAGTACTCCACTTCTGATCACTATTATGTCACAACCTCTTAGTATGTGTGTTGAACACAAATTCACAAAGTCAGGAAATGAATAATTCAGCCGCTCCATCAAGTGTACAAAAATAAGATGGGGCAAGAAACAACGCATAATTTGAACATCTGTATCTATCATAAATACATGAGATAAACAGTTCAATGATAGGGTAAGTGAAACATTAGTTGGCTTTATTTTTAAGTTTAGGGATTTCAAGAGATACCAGAATTGCCAGAATCTAACACAGCATTTTTCTGGAATGACAGCAGTTCATAATCCAACGTCACAGAAAGAAAAAAATGCAGTTTCAGAAATCCCCTGTGGCTGTGTGGTAAACCAAGGGACCAGCAGAACAGTTTCAGCCAGATGAAGGCCAAGTGGGTAAGAAAAGGTCCTAAACACATATTCTTTCTGGATCTGCTACGCAGTGGTTTAAATCGCTTTTCGCATGATTTTAAATGACTTAAAATGAAAATGAGATATCACTTTTTAAAATAAATGACAACCAAAACAGGAGTGGCTAAGAGTGGGAAACACCGGAAAGAGACGTTCTTTAAAATCATGCTAATTACTCTCAACGTTCAATTATCGAGGCGTTTTTCTAGCCTACCCACAGGGGCATCCTGTTTTCCCCCAAATTATGCAACTCGGTTCACTAAGAAAGGAAACCAATTCGCAGCCCATGAAAGATAACATTACGTCTTTCTCTGCTAGATATGGCTTATCCATTTTTTTTAAGGCACACACAACAAAAACAAGACCGCAAAAATTCCGGGCAGACTTCCGAAACTCGCCAAACTAAAGGCATAACTTGAGTTGGTTTTCAGCCCGGCTTCACCTTGATAACAGCAGTTTCCTTTTCTTTGACGGTCAAGTCTTTTTACTGAAAAATTCCATAAAAACTGAGAAATAAGTCATGACCTTTAACGCTATTCCCAAACCCTTATCCTCTGCTACAGCTTTCCACTAAAATATTCACAAGAAGAAAATTACACCTACATCAGACCCCAAATCTCATCATAGTTTATTAATTATGACTCAACAAAGCTGCTTCTTAGAGAGCGAGCGATCTCCTGGTCACTCGCCCGGCAGTCAGAGCTCGGCCGAGCGGTTTCTGAAGCCCCCCCGAGGCCCGCGGGAGGGAGCCGGTTCCGCGGGCCGGCGAAGGGCGTGTAGGTCAGGCAGGCGCCCGGCCCGGGCAAGGCGGGGAGTGGTAATTGATGGCTAAGGTGCGTACGTCCTAGCTCTAAGGAGGGCGCAGGGGCCACCCTCCATCTGGGGAGTCCCGCTCCCAACCTCCTAGGCGTGCGCGCCCCGAGTACGCAGCGGTGCGGGGCCGGCGGGTACCTGGCTGGCGCTCGGCGCGGGCGCCGCCTCTCGACCGGGACTCCACGGCGCCGCAGGAGGACACCGACGAGGCAGAGGAGAAGTCGGAGGAGTCGGAGCCGGGCGAGCCGGGCGCCGAGGGGCCCAAGACCGAGCAGCTGGCGTCGCAGGCGCCCGGGGCGGCGGCGGGCGGCGACGCGCCGTAGAAGTAGCTCAGGTTGAGCGGGCTGGTCATGAGGCCGCAGCCGCCCGCCGCGTCCCGCAGCCCCTCTCCGCCGCGGCTGTCGTCCAGCAGCTTGTCCACAATCATGCTCCCAGGCTGGGCGCTCGAGGACCCCGACACCTGCGCCACCGGCTCGCTGCGCGCGGCTGCCTCCCGGGCTGGCTCAGGGAGCTGTCGGCGGGCGGACGGCGCGGGCCAGTACGGGCGCGGCGCGGGACTGCCAGGGTATTTAACGGGCCGCAGCGCTCGCCGACCTCCCCGGCGCCCGGCCCGGCCATTGGCGGTGCCCGGGCCGCCTCCCAGCCCCTCCTCCGGATGCGTCCGATTTCCAGTAAAATGTACAGGATGAGGCAATGCGCCCTCCGCCCTCCGCCCTCGCCCCGCCCGCCCGGCTCCGCCCAGACCGACCGGTTGTTTGCCTGCCCTTCACCGGGAAACCCCGACAGCGCGCGGCTTCCAGCCTCCCGCTTCCCGCCTCCCGCCTCCCGCCTCCCGCCTCCGGGACCCCGTCCCTCGCCCGGGCCATCCCTGCCCTCTAGGCCCCCGCCGGGCCTGGGCGCCCGGGGAGAGGGCGCGCGGCGCAGGGCTGGGCCTGCAGAGGGAGGCGGGAGTCAGTGGAGGGAACCGGTTGGCCTGGTTCTTGGGGACTGGCAAGTCCTGGAAGGAGCGCGCCCCGCACCCCTCTGCCTGCCCCGGCGCGGCGAGCTGTTAGCCCAGTTAAGGCATCTCTGGAAGGTTCTTAAGGGCCTGTCTCCTCCGGCGCCCCAGCGTAGCCTCCCTTCTCAAACATAGCGTTTGTCGACGGTTTTAGGCAACATCCCGAACTGAAAGAGATGTTGGAGCATTTTTATGTTCTCAAATTATCTGCTGGGACGCAAATAATGTTTTAGGTGCAGCCATGAATAAAAAGTAATGCCACACTTCTGTATCCTTCAATACTAGAACAAAGCCATCTTAGCAAAATAATACACAAACATGTAGGTGCTGTAGTATATGTAGATATAACTTTTAAAATTCTGCATAGCTTTACACTATCTGATAAACTAACACAGTAATTTTGGCCTTTCCTATCTTGAATACTTTTTTCCAATGGATTTATACAACTATTTGTTCAAGTCCAACTAGCAAAAAATGCGGGAATGATAAGGTTAAGTACACACATGCTATGTTTAAATAAACCGATTATGATTAAATAACACGAGGGATACAAAGTTCAGTGAGCCACCTAAAAGGAGAAACAACAGGTCTGGTAGAGGAAAAAGGAGGTCAGGAGGAAAATCTTTGCAGGGGTGGTGGCATTTAAGATAGGTCCTAAAGGATGGGTGGGATTGGGGCCCACAGCATTTACAGAAAGAACAAGAGCAAAGAATTAAGGAGAGGGTTCATATTAGAGTGTATAGTCCCCTTTTACGATTGTCAAGAGGAGAAGATGGCATTAAATATAAAAGATAACTTGGTGCCTTTGGGTGGAGCACCTCCAGCAGCTGAGACACTGGAATTTTATTTAATAAACATTGAGAAAACATGAATTTTAGGTAGGCAAAATTAATCTGCAAGCAGTTGAGAGAAGATGAGGAGCCCAGAGGCCATTAGGATCCACTGCAGTAGCCCAGGAGAGAAATGACTGGGCACTGGGGCAGATACAGTGGGAAAGGAGAAAGTAAATTGACAGAAAGCAGAGCTGGGCAGCATTGCTAGGGCAGAACCCACAGGTCTCGCTCTTTTGGAGGGGGGGAGAAATGAAAGGGTCCCCAGTCAGGCCATGGCTTGGAGCCACGACCAGGTGAACAGGGCCACCAGCTCCAGATCACAAGGGATCACAGAGCAGAATGTTTGGGTTTTAGGACGAAGGGGGGGACACGATGAGTTTGGATTGTTACTCAGTATTAGTAGGTGGCATAAGACCCTGGTGGGGGTAGGTCCAAAGTAAATACAGCCATACCCCACAAAATGATGTTTAAGTCAATAATGAACTCCATGTACAATGGTGGTCCTGTAAGACTGTAATACCATATTTTTACTGTTTCTTTTCTATGTTTCCATATGTTTAGATAGACAAATACCTCTGTGTTACAGTTGCCTACAGTATTCAGTACAGTAACATGCTGTGCAGGTTTATAGACCAGGAGCAATAGACTATACCACAGAGCCTAGGTGACTAGCAGGCTAGACTATCTAGGTTTGTGCAAGTGCATTCCATAATGTTCAAACAACGACAAAATCACTTAACGACACATTTCTCAGAATGTAGCATCGTTAAGCAATGCATGACTGTATTTCCTTGTTTCTCACAAGTGTATTTCCCTAAAACTTCTTGCTGCCTCTCCCTCCAACTTTTTGATAACTTTAAAAAATAAAAAAGAAAACAAATCCCTTGGTTTATCTGTGGAAAACACAAGACTTCAGTAATTGCAATTCCTTGGAAACCAAAATCATTTAAAAGATGCTCCAAATAAGATGTTGAGTGTGATGGTTAATTTGATGTGTCAATTCGACTGGATTAAGGCATGCCCAGGCAGCTGGTACAACATCATTTTGGGGTATGTCTGTGAGAGTGTTTCTGGCAGATATTTGCATTTGAATCAGTAGACAGAGTAAAGTAAGATCCCCCTTCGCCAATGCGGGCAGGCATTCTGCAATCCACTGAGGGCCAGAATAGAACAAAAAGCCTGAAGCTATCTTCTTGAGCTGGGACATCCATCCTTTCCTACCCTTAGACATCAGCACTCCTGGTTCTTGGGCCTTCAGACTCTGACTAGGACTTACACCACCAGCTCACCTGGTTCTCAGGCCTTCAGGCTTGACCTAGAACTGCATCACCAGCTCTTCTGGTTCTTCAGCTTATGGATGGCAGATGGTGGGACTTGTTGGCCTGCATAATTGTGTGAGCCAATCCTTCATAATAAATCTCTTTCTACATATTTATATGTACCCTATTGGTTCTGTTTCTCTGGAGAACCCTAATACATTAGAGTTTCTCAATAAAATCTATTTGAATTTTGTTTTCTACCCACCAATATTTTATGTATAATAAAGGATTTAAATGCCCATTCAAATAAATCCGTAGAAAGTAATTTTTTACAAAATTAATTATCCTCCTGTTTTAATTAATTATCTTCCCATTTTACATGAGATATGAAAATTCAAGCCACAAATTCATGGCCTCTGGAGAACTTAATCTAGACCAAGATGGTCAACAAAAGACTAATGTTTCAAAACGAAGTTTTCTGTGCAATGCCAAAGCAATAGTACTGTTTGACAAGACCACAACCCCCAATGCCCAGAAGCCCTCCCATACACATCAAAAACAGTTAATATCGCTACAAAAAAATTTAAATGTACTTTGCTTTATGTAAATGTTGAAATACAAATTCAGTTTGATCTATTAAGTCGAATGATAGGATGCTGCCATTGTTCTAATCAAATATGGTTGAACACTCATGCTGTGGGAGACAGCCACCATGTTACGAGGACACTGTCTGGAAAAGTCAACTGAGGCCAACAGCCAGCACCAATATGCCCGCCATGTGAGTGAGCTACTTTGAAAGTAGATTCTCCAGCTGCACATCGGGCCTTCAGATGACTGCAGCTCTGGCCAACATCTTGACTATAGTCTTACGAGACACTTTGAACCAGAACCCTCAAAAACACTCAAGAGATTTCTGATGCACAAAAACTGTATACGAAATATGGGGCCTTGAGAATTTGTCCAGTTACACTGCTCCATCGAAAGCAAAGAAGAGATTGAAATCTTCATCTAACTGACTCTGAAGCCTCATCTTTTGCTTTAAAAAACGAGATTAGAGGATTCATTTACTCCAGGCTCAGAGGTACTGTCTACATCTAAAGATACTGAAAAAGATGAAATGATACATCAGAGAGTTCTGTGACAACTCATAGAGGGGAGAAATCTAATCCAAAGCTACTGGAAGAAACTGTAAAGAAGAAATAAAAATATGAGAACGCTATCTTTCCCCAGGCTTTATAAATGTTAATAATTTACCTTATTGTATCTTATGCAATAGAACATTTTTTAGTTTTATGGTGTCAATTAACATTGTAACACTATCTTGAGACCAATAATCCAGAGTTTCAAAAAAGGAATTGAGGGCTGGGCTGGGTGCAGTGGCTCACGCCTGTAATCCCAGCAATTTGGGAGGCCATGGCAGGAAGTATTGCTTGAGCCCAGAAGTTCAAGACCAGTCTGGGCAATATAATGAGACCCCATCTCTACATAAAATAAAAAATTTAAAAATTAGCTGGGCATGGTGGCACATGCCTGTGGTCCCAGCTACTTGGGAGGCCGAAGTGGGAGGATCACTTGAGCCCAAGAAGTCAAGGCTGCAGTAGGCTATGATCATACAACTGCACTCCAGCCTGGGTGACAGAGCAAGACCTTGTCTCAAAAAAAAAAAAAAAAAGGAATTGGATTTTTTTTTTCTTTTTTTGAGACAGAGTCTCGCTCTGTCACCCAGGCTGGACTGCAGTGGCACGATCTTGGATCACCACAAGCTCCGCCTCCCGGGTTCACGCCATTCTCCTGCCTTAGCCTCCCGAGTAGCTGGGACTACAGGTGCCCGCCACCACGCCCGGCTAATTTTTTGTATTTTTAATAGAGACGGGGTTTCACCGTGTCAGCCAGGATGGTCTCAATCTCCTGATCTCATGATCCCCCACTCCTCAGCCTCCCAAAGTGCTGAGATTACAGGCGTGAGCCACCGTGCCCGGCCAGAATTGGATTTTTAAGTGTAGATGTAATGAACTTTTGAAAAGCCAAAGACAATTTGGAACAGCTTTTCAAACTTGAGATGAAAAAGCCAGTATCTTACAGGATAAGTTATTGTACTGCTTTGGCTGAAGAAATGAACATCATAGGTGAAAGACCAATAAAGCCTGGTAGAGTTTATTTTGCTGAATATTTTCTAGATGAAAAGTCAGCAAAAGAAATCACAGCACTGCCACTTTGCAACAATGCAGCAGCTCACTGAATTAAAGACTTAACTGCAAACTGGTTTTGTCTGCAAAATTGCACTTTTGCCTTAGAAATGGATAGATCTATGGACTGTCTGGACTTGCTATTTCGGTTATATTCATTTCCAGCACCGGCCAGTCATCAAAGGTGTTTTATTTTAATGCATGACAACAAACACAAGGAATGCTGAAACATTCAAAATGTACAATAACTTTTCGAATCTCATCATTTATCCTGAAACAATTGTGTTTACATTTGAAATGATGGTACAAAAGCAATGGGTATAACTAATGGTGCCTTAAAACAAATCAAGGCAGCAGCAACAAAATGAACTAGTAATCATTGTATTCTTCACCACTGTCTACTTGCAGAAAGAAAAAGAATAAAAGCCAGTTTCACCTAAAAAGTCCTGGATGAAGCAGTAACAATATTAATTGACTCTTGTATACATCATTTTAATATTTTATGTGGCAAGATGGGAAATATGCATAGAAGTTTGTGCTGCATCCTGAAATATGACAATTGTCTCAAGGAAATGCACTTGTCTATTAGCTTGAACAGTATGTCATTGCCATTTGTTCTAATCAAATACTGTTTGAGTTGTGAGCTGAACTGCCCTCTGTTTTTCATGGAACACCAATTATACTTGACTGACAAACTGTTTCAGACTCAGGTATTTGTCAGTTTTTGGTTTGGTTTGGTTTTGTGTTTTAATGAACAAAGTGAGCCTGTCATGTTAAGGAAAATAACAGTATTTGTTGCCAATAATAAAATTCAAGTTTTTCAATAAAAATTACAATTTTGGGAAACTTCTGTTGGACACCTTGAGCTTGATAGCTTCCTAGTTCTAGAAGACTTTTTTGATGAGCCCAGTGATGATGCGCTATTAACAAATGTGATTTTTTTATATTATATAATGAAATGTGGCAACATTTAGAAAATTTGCATAACTCAATTAACTAATAATTTCCAAATGAACAATGCAAGACATTATAAAATCACACATGGGTGAAAGAGCCATTCAAAGTGGCCAATGGATTTTAATGTATCAGAAGATGTGGCCAATGGATTTTAATGCATCAGAAGATAAAAAGTTCATTGATATGGTTTCAGGTTCCATCTTGCATCTCTCCTTTAAGGAACTACCACTTGTTTTGGTATAATATTAAATTAGAATATCCAAATTACCTGAAAAGACTATTAAGCTATTTCTTCCTTTACCAACTACATTTGTGTATGAGACCAGATTTTCTTTATACTTTCACCAACATAAGATATTGTGACACATGTTTCTTTTTTAAGAGACAGGGTTTCACTCTGTCACTCAGGCTGGAGTGCAATGGCATGATTATAGCTCATTGTAACCTCTAACTCCTGGGCTCAGTCTCTCCTCCCACCTCAGTCTCCCCAGTAGCTAGGACTACAGGCATGCCCCACCAGGCCTGGCTAATTTTTTTTATTTTTCATGTTTTGTAGAGATGGGGTCTGGCTGTGTTGCCTAGGCTTGTCTGGAACTCCTGGCTTCAAGTGATCCTCCCACCTCAGCCTCCCAAGTCACTAGGATTACAGGCGTAAACCCCTGCACCTGGTCAACTGCAACAAATTAAATGCAGAAGCAAATATGAAAATCTGTCTTCTGTAAAACCGGATGTTAAGAAATTTGCAAAGATGTGAAACAATACTGTTTGCATGAAGTTTTTTTTTTTTTTTTTTTTTTTTTTTTAGAAAATACAGTTTTTAAAAATAAATTAGTAAGTACAGATTTAAATAATTTTTAGGGATCGAATGTAGGCAATGTCCTATCAGTCAACTCAAAAGTTCCAGATTGGACTCATAATTGTTGAACACCTGGTTCTGAAACCCTCCTCTCTTCTCCATCTCTAATTTCCACTATCCAAGACAGGCCTTTATCTCTTACTTGATGCAAATGATCACCCATCCAGCCTTGCCCACTTAAAACCCATCCTCCAGACTGCCATCGGCATACCAATGGAATGCTGGAATGCCAGGAATTCTTCTAAGAATTCCTCCACACCAGGGGTGTTCAATCTTTTGGCTTCCCTGGGCCACACTGGAAGAAGAATTGTCTTGGGCCACACATAAAATACACTAACACTAATGGCAGCTGAAGAGCTAAAAAAAAAAAAAAAAGAAAAGAAAAGAAAATGAAAAAAGAAAAAGAAAAAACATCACAAAAGAATCTCATAATGTTTTAAGAGAGTTTATGAATTTGTGTTGGGCCACATTCAAAGCCATCCTGGGCCACATGCAGCCCATGGGCCACAGGTTGGACAAGCTTGCTCTACACTATTTAAAAATCCTTCAGTGGCTCTCTACTGCTTTTAGCATGGAGTCCAGTCTTCTTAGAATGACAGATGTCCAAGTCCTGCCTTCCTCACAAGCTTCATCTTCCTCATTACCTTCAGTAACACGAAACTGAGTATAGTTTCCCACAGCTCTGAGACTTTGCTCTTGCTGTTCTTCTCTCCTCTTCCTCAACCAAAATCTCATGCTCACTTAATACCCAACACTCACTCAAGACTCACTTAATATCCAACACTTCTGGAGCCTTTCCTGACCCTCCCTTCCTCCCCTGACCCCAACTCTCAACCCCACTTCTGGACTAAGGGCCTTTCCTCTCAGTCCCCACACAGACTTCTATCATAGCTCTTAGGATGTGCTAAAATTAACCATTTATGAGTCTGTCTCCTCTATTCCACTATAAGCTCCCAAGACATGTATCCCTTGTCAATAGCCAAGTACCTGTTACTTAGTAGGTAGTTACTTGGTACATATTTAACTGGATGGTAGAAACAAGTGGAAATGCTTCCAAAATTATTTTATGTCAATACCGTACAGACATCAAAACAAATACTTTGGCCCCTTGAATTAGAATCTCCTCATTCTCTGCACTTGGATTATTATAAAACTATTTTCATCTATCTTGTAAATATAAAAACCCAGCTGCCTTTTGCCCAGAATTCTTTGTAAAGAACATAAAATCTTTCAGGAGCTTTCAAAACAGATATCATCTTATATGTTGATTTGTTGAATGCTTTTCCTTAAAAATAATAATTTATTATCCCCATAGCAATGTAAAACATACTTCAACATCTCAAGAAACATTTAAACTTCAGGGTATTCTAACAGATTTTTCTAATGCAGATGAGTAAATCAGACCACATATTTTCAAATTCTAGTTATTCTTCAATATGGTAGTGCTTTATAAATGTCAGGTACTTTTCTAAGTACTGGGGCACAGCGGTACCTCAGACAAACACTAATCTCTGTCTTTGTGGAGCTTATACCTGGCTGTATGAACATTCTGGTCCATATGGTATCCATGTAATAGAAACAATTACTACTTCTGAGACATATGAACTCAGTTCTACTGGCACTTATATACTTCCCAATAGGCCACCTGACCAACCAGGCTATGGCACAGACAGCTGTAGTTAGTAAGTTCTGTAAGCTTTTTCCTTACAAGAGTGTAACCTATTCTTTTGTATGTTTTAATCTGGAAAGATCAAAAGGTTGTCTTTAAAAGTAATTCTCTAGGTCCTGTTTGCAGCAAATTATTAGCACCTGATATCAAAGCACAGTATACCATATTGAGGAAATTTCTCCAACCAGTAACCTAATCATCATACAGATGAATTAGCAAAAGGTTTGCACATCTCAGAACATCCTGCTCAGTGCTAAGAGAATAAACTTGATACCCCGTTAAGTACTGTATGTATAGTATGTACAACTTTGCATATTATGGACTGATTGTGTGAAGACAAAATTAATAGTGTCCCCGGAGTCATCTCTCTGCAACTTCCTTTTATATGAAAGCATCAAAGGAGATGCCATATACCACTTTGTCCTCTTCACAAATATTTTCTGAGCACCCACTAGGTGTGAGTGAGTCGTCCACTATGTAAAGTAACTCCACTGCTTTCCAGCAGGTACACAAGGTCTGTCCCCTGATGGGCAGCCAGAGAGGCACCTTGCACAAAGTCAGGTCACACAGTTGAACATCCCAATAAACAGATGCCTTATAAACAGACCCTGAATCACAGCAATGCTACAGTACCCTGAAATACCTTTGCAGCATCCCATCTTTCTAGCCCAGCAGAAATCCAAGTGTTTAAACTGAAAACAAAACAAATTTTTCTTCCCCTTTAACATTTCATTTCTAAAGAAATGAAAAGTTCTTCCATTTGATTTCAGAAAATATCCACATACTATAAAATGCATATGGTTCATACAAAATCATATATATGAAGGAGTGATGTTTGGTGTTAGTCTGAAGGGCTACCTGTGTACCACACTTTCTAATAGTAATAATCAAAACTCACACAAAACATCCACATGAAACAAGTGCACTTTCCTAACTTTCACCCTGTAAATGGTTCTTAGCTCATGAGAGTGTTTTCTGGTTTCTATTTATAATGATGAACTTTACCCACTATAGACACCAAGAGGTAAAAATGAAGTAGGTGAGCTTTGTCCAAAAAGGCAGAGAGCATTACAAGTTCCATGGCTTCTTCTGCTTTCTCTGACTTGTTGACAACTCCAAAAGTTTCATTTCCACACATATGAATGAAAGCATCCTCCTAAACACTGAATGTGGGAATACTGTCAACTCTTGCCTGCTTTAAAGGACACTAAAATCTGAACTGCCTTAAAACAGAATGGTGAAGGACCAAAAAGTATCTTCTAATCCCAACTCCCCTTTCTCCCTCCTTTTTTCCTCTCCATTCTTCTTTGTGACACTCTTTCCTACACAAATCCGCAGATTCTAGACAGTAATACATAGTTCAAAATTACCCATCCCTGTACCCTTCTACTGTAAAAAATGTACATGCTCTGGGAAAGGATCTCAGTTTTCAGGAAGAAAACTAATAAGCTAATTTACATTGTACTACAAATAAATGATAACTGTTACTTTTCCTGGTAATATTTACTTTTTAAGGAGAAAAAAAATTTTGAAGGCAATTAACCCCAAAGAACTGAATATTTTATAGTTGAATTTTAGGATCCACAGAAATTAAGAAAATTTTTGACGAAAGACCCTTCACCATTCCTTTGTATGAGGTTTGGCCTACATGGATCTGCAAAGGCCTAAAGCTAAGAAACTTCTAACCATTATACTTTTCCTTTATATTTTGACTTAAACCTCTTTTCCCCCAAAGAAAAGGCTAAATTTGGAAGGTGAGTTAAATTGAGCTTAAATTGAGCTCACTAATCTAGAAATGAAGTACAGTACTTGTAAATGTTCAGTACATAGTTGCTTCATAAACATGTTGATTAGAATTTATGTTTTGCAAAACTTTCATATCCAAAATCTTCTTCCCCCTTCCCTTTTTAATACAGGTAACACATATTTGTCAAACTGAATGAGGGATAAGAATATAATTTTATGTCTTATTTAAAGGCATGAATGCCTTATATGCCACATTTTTTCAAGAAGAATTTTAATTCTGGAACTTTTAATTCAGAATTTAAAACTTGAGGTTTTTTTGTTTTGGGGGATTTTAAGAAATTTTTGTTTGTTTTTATAAGTCTCTAGGGATTTATATTGAATTTCTGTAAACAAGGACAGTAGTGTGTGCCACACAGAAAGACTAGTTATAAAAATATTTAAGATCTGAGGAGAAATCAGCTTATATCATATGTAACATATATTAATACCAACAAAATAATAAATTATAGATCCATAATATAATAATACTTTGGAACACTGATAATGTTTATAATAGCTACCACTATTTAATATCTGCCATATGCGGAATACTATGTACTTTATATACACACATTATCTCTAATGTATGTAACAGCTGGGAGAATGGTCAAAGAGCGAGGTAAAATATGCAGTTATGAAATCTTGCCAAACACAATGCATACTAACAGACAAAATACATCAAACATGCATAGCTATCAACAGGAAGAATTTTATGAAGGGATAATTTAATACTGGAATTAGTGAGGAAAACTGAATTCTCAGTTACTAAAAGACTATGCAAATTTAATACAAAGTTGATGACAATTATTTATTCAAACAATCACCTTACCTCCCCAAAATTGCTTTTGCTTACATTTTCTGGATACTTTAGGCCAGGAGTTGGCAACTACGGCCTGCAGGCCAAATCCAACCTATTGCACAGCTGTCACCTAAAAATGGTTTTTACATTTTAAAATGATTACATTTTAAATGTTTATATAAGTGCCTGCATAATATCCTCCATCTTGTCTCTTGGCCCACAAAACCTAAAATTTTTACTATTTGGCCCATTACAGAAAAAGTCTGCCAACCCTTGCTTTAAGCAAAAGTGCTTAGAGGCACTGCAGTGTCATGGCTTTGAAGCCTGCATACCTATCTGTAGCATTTACCAGCTACGTGACCTTGGGCAAATCTCTTAATCTCTGAGCCTCAGTTTACTTGCCTATAAATTGAGATACTAGTATCTAAATCAAATTTCTAATATGGCATGAGATAATGTACAATGTATGTCAAGTACTTGACACATCCTAGATGCTTAATAAGTGTTAGTTCCATTCCTGTTCCCATAAATTATTATGACCATTGAGTAAATCTCCCTCTTATTTGTGTGCATATGGCTACAGGGAGTGGAAAATGATAGATTACAGGTTGGACAAAAGCTGTTAGTCATACCTTGCATCTATATTGAATTTTTCTCCCAGAGCACTTTCACACGTATGCAATCAAACTGATTACAAAAGAGCATAATTATAAAAATATCATAACTGTAGAATTTGTAAGTCAGACAACTATTACAGTGAACAGTTCTTAAAGATGTACTAAACTGGCCATAGGTTCAGTAAACAGGTTCTCTTGTCGATGTCCTTCTCTTTTTCTCTGTTTTCCAACAATCATGCTCAGAATTTCATCTCCTAATCTGATTCTGGATTTTATAGACTTGTCCTGTTGCCCTGCAGAGTGTCCTCTTCCCATCAGCCTACATCATTCCATACAGTGTTAAACGTCCATAAAATTCTAGTAAACAAGGGGTCTGGGGGACCAAAAGTTAATTCGGCAGTAAAGAGGAGAGGATGGAAACCAACAAAGACACCCTTTCGTTTTACATGTTCTCTGTTCAGTTTAACTCTCAGATTCTTTCTTCTGTGATTCTCAACCCTGTGTTTTCCACCTGACAGGTATGGCATGCCCCATCAGAAAGGTGCTCTGTGGCCTGTATGATTTTTCTTTTTTTTTCTTTTTTCTTTTCTTTTTTTTTTTTTTTTTGAGACAGGATCTCACTCTGTTGCTCAAGCTAAGTGCTGTGGCTCAATCACCCACTATGATTTTCAAAAAGGGGATGTGTGGCCCTTGAAAACACTTCCTCAATGATTTTTTAATAGTCCTTTAAGGAGGAATTCCCCATCTGCTGAAGAGTCACTGCTTTAAATGACTTAACACAATAATTCTAGTGCCAGGTATACCACTCAGACTAGTGAGAAAGAAAAGCTAGATTTACTGAGTCTTCACCTGTATAAAATACAAGTAGATTCACATTTACCTTTGATTATGATCCCTTAGAAAAAGGAAAGAGAGTGGACTTGGTTTAAA
This sequence comes from Homo sapiens, assembly GCF_000001405.40. Classification (NCBI taxonomy): domain Eukaryota; kingdom Metazoa; phylum Chordata; class Mammalia; order Primates; family Hominidae; genus Homo; species Homo sapiens. The sequence continues at coordinate 101,837,167 of NC_000003.12, read as the reverse complement.
TGCCTATCCTACCTAAGGTTGTATTTTATGACTTCATCACACCATCCCATAATTGGCAGTACTCCCAGAGAAAAGAATGGAGAATGGTGTAAACAGATTTCTTATGTTCATATGATCTGGCACCCACATCGGTACAATGAGATGGGAATCTTTAAATACAGGGAAAAGAGACCTCACAGAAACCAAGGACTCCACAAATAACCTATGAAAGTTACAAAAAATATAAAAGTAGATACGAATAGATAATCTGATCAAAGTAACCAGAGTGCTGAAATGCCTGGCTTTTTAAAGAGAGTCATAACTACTTTGTCATAAAGAAATGATGTAGCAGAGAAGAGACCAGGTGATCTTGGTTTGGGGAAAGTACAAGTTAAGGGAAAACACAGAAACAAACCCAAGTTTTTAGGTTGGATATTTAGAGATTCTCAAACATATGTGTCTGTACGTTCATTTATTAAAAGACATTTGTTAAAGAACAAATTTTTACTTTAAGAAAAGATAAAAGGGAAATATCCAGCAATCTAATTATCAAATTAAATTATATTGATTATAGAAATTCACCTATTCATGGATTCACTCAGTAAATATTTATTGACCACCTACAATGTTCCGGACACGCTTCCAGATACTGCGAATACAGTACTGAACAGAAAGGCCATCGATGCCCTTACAGAGCTTACATTCTACTGGGAAAGACAGACAATAATCAAAAAGCTATATAAGATAATGCCAGGTGGCCATGATGTGCTAAGAAAAGCAAAGCAAGGTCAAGGAAGAAAGCCAGAGGTGTTATTTTACGTAGAGAGTTCCCGGAGAGCCTCCCTACTATCCTCCAAACCAGTGTGACAACAAAGCAGTTTCAGATGTGAGAATTCTTGTCTCTTGTCCTTTTTGAAGTCTGAGCAATCTTACCCACTTCCACAGGTTCAGTTCTGACCTGTCTAGAGTTGATTCCTATTACTAGCTCTGACCTTTTCTCTGAGTTCTAATTCCATGTTGCCAAGAGTATAATCAAGTCTAAAATGAAACTTGCCATATTCCCCACTCTGTCCCTCTACCCTCACCAAAGGATTATCTTCATTTTTCCAGAAACCTCTAGAGGAATTAAAGATTTGACTGTTTCTACTCTTTCATTCCACTATAGAAAAGTGTTAATAGTTCCCTCTCCGAAATGGTCCCCATTCACCCCTTAGTACTCTACTAATTCTAACTACCTTTATGTTTAAGAGTAGCTAGAAGTTTGCTTGAGGAAGCAATGATATTCATGTTTTCCCCTGCTGAACCACAATTGGACCTTATGACCTTCCATATCAAAGCTAAATGTCTGTGCCTGGTTTTCACATCCTCTAAAATCAAGCTACATCAAACCTATCTGTTATGGACTGAATGGTGTCCCCCCAAAATTCACATGTTGAAGTCCTAACCCCCAGTACCGCAGAATGTGGCTATGTTTGGAGATGGGGCCTTTAAAGAGTGTAAGTTAAAAATGGGCTGTCGGGGTGAGTCCTCATCTAATCTGACTGGTATCTTTATAAGAGGGTAGAGACACCAGGGATGCCCATGCACAGAGAAAACGCCACATGTGAGGACGTAGTGAGAAGGCGGCCATGTACAAGTCAGGAGAGAGGCCTCGGAGAAACCAAACCTGCCAACACCTTATCTTGAACTTCCAATCTCCCAGAACAGTGAGAAACAGATTTCCGTTGTTTAAGCCACGCAGCCTGTGGTATTGTGTTACGGCAGCCCTAGCAAACTAAAACATTATCCCATCATACTTCTATCTCTATTCTTCAGCATGCAGTCCTTATGAATATCTTCTAAAATAGCACACTAATTCTTGCCTCCAAATTTTTACCCAAGCTAGAATTCTTGCCTGTAATATTCTTCTTCCCTTGATTAAAAGCATGGGGTTCTGAAGTTAAACAAACCTGGGTTCAAATCCAAGCTCCATTCACTTAATAACCATCCAGCTTTAATTAATTTCTCTAAGACTCTTTTCTCATCCATAAAATGGGTATATTAACTGCATTCAGCTAGTAGGTAGGTTAAACGTGGTAGTGTCATGAGATGCCTAGCACAACTCCTGGCACATAATATACACTCAATGATGGTAGTTATAATTATTACTCATTTTTCAAAGTTCTAATTAATACTTCATTGTTAAGCATTTTGGCCTCTTTGGACCATCGGCCCAACTTGAAGAGAACATAGGAGAAGAGGAGGACCACAGAGTCAAGTCTGGAACCCTTCAGGGCCCTGATGCTGCCTGCAAACAATGGACAGCAGATGTGATGGGGAGCCATTCAGGGGTTTCGAACAAGATAAAAACACGATCACAGTGGCAGCTGTGTGGAAGTGATCAGGAAAGACTCTGCAACAGTCAATGTGACAGGTCATGGAGGTCTGAACTGAAGTGGTGCTCCTGGGCATGGAAAGAGGGGAACTGTTTAGAGATTTCACACATTTAATCTATAGGCAAGAGACTGAACACAGAAAGACAGGGGAGGGGCCGGGTGTGGTGGCTCACGCCTGTGATCCCAGCACTTTGGGAGGCTGAGGCGGGTGGATCACCTGAGGTCAGGAGTTCGAGGCCAGCCTGGCCAACACAGTGAAACCCCATCTCTTCTAAAAATACAAAAATTAGCCGGGCGTGGTGGCGGGTGCCTGTAGTCCCAGCTACTCTGGAGGCTGAGGCAGGAGAATTGCTTGAACCCCGGAGGCAGAGATTGTAGTGAGCCAAGATAGAGCCACTGCACTCCAGCCTGGGTAACAGAGTGAGACAGGAAAGGAAAGCGAAAGGGAAAGGAAAAGGGAAAGGAAGGAAGGAAGGAAAGAGAAGGAGAGAGAGAGAGAAGGAGGTAAGGGAAGGGCAGGGCAGGGCAGGGAAAAGAGAGATGAGGGTCAGAGGTAACTCCAAGGCCTTGAGGATAATAGTGGTGGCACAAAGAACAGAAACAAGAAAGCCAGCTGAAGGAGAGTTGGGGAGGTACCAAGTCTGATTTTAACCTTCACATTCTGTTCCCTGCACTGCTCCTGCCACTCTACCTCACCCCTTATCTGCACTCTGATTGGGGCAGTCTCTGTGCCCTACTTATCCAGTAAAATTTCAAGAAAGAATCTAAAAATTAATTCCCACCAAGGCATCAACAGTAACCCTTCTTAAAGGTTATTTGCATTTTAAGAGAGGCTCCCAAAAATGAACAACCATGAAGTTTGGAGAGCCAACAAACCTAAGTGAGGTATGGGGTGGAGAAAGCATGTCCTTTAACATTATTATCACCACCCAGTCCACCTCCTGCCTGCTTCAATTTGGCTGCAATCTGTCACTCTGCCCTAGATTTTGACATTACTGTTGGGTTTAACAATCCCTTTCTTATCTAAATGCTGGATACTGTTCAATACTAGAGGTAAACACACAGAACTGTTTTCATTGGCTGTTTACAAGATACGAAACCTTACCACAGAAGAGCAGGGTTGGGAAGGTCCATGATATATCAGCCTCTGCCATCTTTCAGACAGCTCATCTCTCAAGACACTAGAAATGCCAAGGGTAAATTTGGCAGCCTTGCCCAGTGATCACTTTCAGTTTCCAAACTCTTATCTTCCACCTCAAATTAAACGCACCTCCTTTTCCCATAGCAAAGATACAACATAGAAAGTTCTTATGGCCTTCAGAACAACTTTTCACAGCTGTTATGATTAAAAAATAAATCATCATTTCATTTTTTTTCCACCCTGGGTTATTTGTTCAACCAAAATTTATGAAGTCACCCTGTGCTATGCTACAGAGGTGAGGGAATGGGTGTGGAAGGGGAGGAGAAGGGTAAAAATCAGAACTCACACAATTCCTATCTTCAAAGTGTCCTCAGTTCATCTTCATTCACAAGACCTAATCCCCACATCTATGGATCACCTTTGTAGCTCTGGCCCTTTTAAACCTCCAGCAAGCCTCCCTAGGTTTAAGATGTGGAACTGCATTGCCAGCGGTCCAAATTTCCAAAAAGATCTGACCCACATGGAATCTAAGTGCATTACCTCAATGATTCTCATAGGAGTTATTCTCAACCATGCACATCTTCATAAGTGTGTGCACTGTAGTATGTGGACATGCAAGGGTGAATAAATAGGAGACAGTGTTTTAATAGTGGTGCCGAATCACTGCGCAGATTTACTCAGAACTTCGTGTCATTTTCTATCACATATTCATGGTGTACGCACTTATTCACTGCACTGTGCCAAATACTGCACAAAATGAATTAAAAACAAATTCATCATGGTGCATCCACTGTGTAGAATAGTATGGCAGTTCCTAAAACAATTAAACATAGAATGACTTGATATATCCCCAAAAGTAAAGAAAGCAAGGATTTAAACAGATACTTGTACACCCATGTTCACAGCAGCATTATTCATGATAGCCAAAAGAAACAATCCAAGTGTCCATGGACAGATGAATGGATAAACAAAGTGTGGTATGCACACCTACACACACGCTGGAATATTATTCGGCCTTAAAAAGGAAGGAAATTCTGACATTTATACAACATGAATGAACCTTGAAAATATTACGCTACATGAAATAAACCAGTCATAAGAAGATAGGTATTATATGATTCCACTTACATAAGGTATGTAGAGTCATCAAATTCATAGAGACAAAAAGTAGAGGGGTGGTTGCCAGGGACTTGGGGGAGGGAGAAATGTAGAATTATTGTTTAATGGATATGCAGTTTCAGTCAAAGGGAAGATGAAAAAGTTCTAGAAATGGGTGGTGGCAAAAGTTGTAATATGAAAAGTACTTAGTGGCACTGAACTGTACACTTAAAAATGGATAAGATGGCAACTTTTATGTATCTTTTATCACAATTTAAAAATATATATTTAAAGTATTTAAGGATATAATCAATAAAGCTTTCCTGAAATAAATATGAAGCCAGGCATGGTGGCTCACACCTGTATCCCAGCACTTTGGGGTCCAAGGTGGGAAGATCCCTTGAGGCCAGGAGTTTGAGACCAGTCTGGGTAACATAGCAAGCCCCATCTCTACAATAAAAAATAAAAAAGAAAGAAAGAAACAAAAAAGAACAAAGAAGCTTGGCATGCTGGCATGCACCTGTAGTAGTCCCAGCTACTGATGAGGCTAAGGCAGGAGGATCACTTGAGCCCAGAAGGTAGAGGACACAGTGAGCTATGATCATGCCACCATGCCACTGCACTCCAGCTTGGGTGGGAGAGCAAAACTCTGTCTCAAAAAAAAAGCAAAACTTTGGGAGGCTGAGGCAGATGGATCACTTGAGGTCAGGAGTTCAAGACTAGCCTGGCAAACATGGTGAAACTCCACTCTACTAAAAATACAAAAATTAGTTGGGCGTGGTGGCATGTGCCTGTAGTCCCAGCTACTCAGGAGGTTGAGGCATGAGAATCACTTAAACTCGGAAGGCGGAGTTTGCAGTGAGCCAAGAAGGGGCTACTGCACTCCAACCATGGGCGACAGAGGGAGATTCTGTATCAAAAAAAAAGAAAGGAGAGAGAGAGGAAAAAGAAAAAGAGGAGAAGGAGGAGAAGAAGGAGAAGGAGAAAAAGGAGGAGGAGGAGAAAAGAGAAAAGAAAAGAAACTAAAAACGTTGTTCCCCCTCTGGAAACCAGTACTTTTAAAATCCATGAAAAATGAGGATGTAGACACAAAGCAAGACACAAAAAGACAACAAACCACAGAAAAATCTTTTGACCTCAGTTGAATAAGTACATCCAGAGCATTTACAATGACATGTCTCAACCTTTCTTTCAGTATTAGACCCCACTACAGGGTCTTTTTAGACATCTTTTTCCTAATCATCCCCTGATGAAAGTTTAATATCACAGATATACTGTATATCTATTATGTACTATGGCCCTTTGGGGGCCACAAACTATTGTAATAGCTAAGATTTTTCCCTGAAGAACCTATTTTTGCCCTCTTGGAGATAATATCACCCTCTCTAAGAACGCATGATTTACAGTATTAGACCCTCTACAGATTCACAGTACTAGGCTGTCTAGCAAACTTGACTGAAACAATCAGAGGAATGGGGATGCACATAAACTACTCAATGCTAAAACATATCCAAAAGTCTTCTACCAATATTAAAAGTGCCTGCATGTTGCTAAATATCTGAACAAACAGTGAAAAAATCATTTTTAATGTCTCCAAATATCTGGAGGTTGGCATTTTATAGATATAACATCTAGGTAATTAACAGTATTTTGATAAGTTTAATTCAGATATTTGGTATCATGTATAGAGAATGTAGCATTGTGATTATTGTTTAATATAACCATGACAGAATTCACCATTTGTCGTGGTTATATTTCCCATTCTATCAAAAAGACACATGCACCTGTATGTTCACTGCAGCACTTACTTACAATAGCAAAGACATGGAATCAACCTAGATGCCCATCAACAGTGGACTAGATAAAGGAAATGTGGTACGTATACACTGTGGAAATCTACACAGCCATAAAAAAGAATAGAATCATGTCCTTTGCAGCAACATGGATGCAGCTGGAGGCCATTATCCCAAGTGAATTAACACAGGAACAGAAAACCAAATACCACATGTTCTCATTTTTAAGTGGGAGCTAAACATTGGATACTCAAGGACATAAAGATGGCAACAAAGACACTGAGGACTGCTAGATGGGGGAGAGAGGGAGGAAAGCAAGGGCTGAAAAATAACTATGATCAGTACCTGGGTGATGGGATCAGTTGTACCCCAAACCTCAACATCACGCAATACACCCAGGTAACAAACCTATACATGCACCCCCTGAATCTAAAATAAAAGTTGAAGTTACAAAAATAAATAAATAAAATAAAGCTAATTACAGCTACCTAAAAAATGCTGTAGGGCTAAATGAGATCTTGCTGGTAAGCTCCCAAAACAAGTGTTTAATAAGTGTTAATTCCCAATCCACTAACTCCATCAGCGGCAGTAAATATTTTCATTCCCTACGGTTGAAAGGAAGGTATTTTACTTCACAGACAATCCCAAATTAAAGGAACAGAAAGTGCTTTAATCAGAAACCACATATGCTAGTTTTAAGGAGCCTCTTCACCAAAACTGAGAGGGGGCATGATGCTCTCCAAGCCTGTTAAAGATTACATAACCCTGAAACTGTCAGTAAGCAGAGAGCTGAATTCCCCTCTTAGATGTATTCATATGTCCTCTTGCTATGGAAAATAGCAGAAATTCAACAAATTGGTTTAAAAAAATACTACTAAACCACACACACACACACACACACAAAAAATCTTAGTTCTCATGAAATCACAGTAAAATGCCTATAAATAAAATTCATAGTAATTTTGTAGCAACTTCAAAAAAATGTCTAATTTAAGAGAAAAATCTTAGAAAAATCCCACTGCCCTTTTTGACATCAGCCAGAAGCTAGGTAACACCTGGATGCTACTTGTTTAGAAATATCAGCCCTTCTCACCCTCGAGAGTTCAGCATCAGGCCAAGAAAGCCAAAAGGTGAAGTTCAGCCAGGGCCCTCGAGATCTTCCTGTTAACCTGGGAGAAAAAAATCAAGAGGCCTCCAGATCAGTGTCAGCTATGAGCCAAAAGAAAATGGTGTTTTCAGGAGCAATTCATTATTGGTCTCAGAACAATTAGAAAATCTTTCCCCTCAGTAATGCTTTCCATGGCTCTGTAGCTTCTGAAAGGGTTTGTTTTGCTCTCTGAGAGCTTTCTTGTCTTGTCTGTTACAGGACAAGAAAGAGAAGGGTTTGCCTCCTCTTCCTCAGTGAGGAAAAGTCTGTATCTGAACAGCTGGATTATGCTGACCTCGGTCATCACCTCCACACTGGAGAGGATGCTGCCAAATGTTTCCGTCATCTGCACTGTGCACTGATGTCATGTGCTAACTCCTCTCAGACTGACTCTGCCACCGCAGTGCTCCACGCCTGTACCCTGCCCAACTGTGTCTTTGGCCTCAGCAGGATGATGTTAGAAAGACGGTGGAGAGGGGTGGTGGACCATACACCGTATTCTGAGGCCAAATAAATAAACAGGCAGGGTTATCTGCCTGTTTAGATGATCTGTGTGGCTGATGCCCTGCTCCATCAGGGATTATGCGGGGTGGTGAATGAGACTAGGATAAACTTTTCTCTCCTTTTATTGTCTAAACAACCTACTGTCTAACAGAAGCAAAAAAATATTCCACCCAGCCAGATATTTCTTTAGATGTCAGATTTAAATAGAGGAAATATATATTACCAAATGCTTAAAATTTACGTAACTGTCATCCTCTTTGGGACAGCACCTTCAGCCACTGCAGCGAATTCACTAATCCCAATGAAGAGAATCTCTAATCCATTCTATTTAGAAATGTGCTTTTATTCAAACAAAACCCCTTAACATATACAGATTATCATGAATCTGGGGGTCCAGCCAAATCATCAAATTTCAGGTTTTCCTCATTCATAAAATGGCCATTCATACATTTTAATTTTACAGCTGTAAGAATGAATGAGGGCATGCTATAAAGTATTTCAATTTACTCTGATATATTTTCCCATATAGTTTCATGCCTACGGTTGGTGGGAAAGTACTCCTCTAAACCCACACATCAAATCTCCTGGGAGACTTCTGCCTCGGGATATCATAGTTCTAGGTCACTGACAGAAGATAGTGTTACATTAGATTTATGATACTTCATCACCCATTCTATCGATCTCCTCCATTAGTATCTCAGTCCTTCCTGGGCCTTTAAAGCAAACAGACATGATTCTTGCTATTACTAAACTACAAAAACATCCCAGATTTTCTTTCTCCAAAAAACTATCCCCCAATATTTTGCCCCAAAGCAAGTATGGCTACTCAAACATAGGAGAGTGACTCCAAAGTTAAGAATCTGACTATGGGAATAGGAAAGAAAAAGAAAAAAAAAATCTTACCATTTAAGATATTTTAATAAAATATCAGATAATAAAAATATACCTTTGTGTTTGAAGAGTCAAGTCACACAAATACGTAAGAGCAAATCAATTGTTTCCAGCTGTAATCAGCGATAATAACCCAAGTACGTGACAGCATGAGAAAGACGATCAGTTTCCTTTTGAGGTTACATGATAAGCAGCAGCTAAGCAGCCTTTTTCTCTAAGAACTCGCCGTCTGACCTCGTGGCAAGAGGAGGCCAGCCCCTCTCACTGGCGCCCTTTATAGCGTTCGCTTTCAGTTCTCCACTCTAGTGAGGACGGGGGCGGGGGAAGCTAAGAGCCTGTTTTCTAAAATGCAGAATACGGTCATCCTCTCTTTCGAACCGGGTTGCGTGGGCACTGAGGAGGGCCAGAGGAGGCAGGGAGGGGGCAGCGAGGCCTAGATTTGTGGATTTTTTTTCTGCACACTGGAAATTCCCAGACCAAAAAGGTACCGACCCGAGTCCCGGACATTCCCCTCGAGGGCCGGCTCCAAGACCTGGACTGGAGCCGCAGGGAGGAATCAGAGGCAACATCTACAAACAAAACTTTTTCCTTAAAGACGTCCTTTTAAAATGTCCTAGTGAATCTCCTGATGGGCATTAGAGTTGCCTTCTCATTAGATTCACCTCATCTTATTTCGCTTTTTCTGTGTGGCCCCTAAACGTGAGGGTGCAGTGGGCGGGTGGAGGGAGTTACCTTTTACCATATAGCTTTTACAATACGGCAATCAAAAAGTAGTATCGCAATCATGTGCCTTCACTGACTAATTAAAGGACAAGAAATCTGTGACATAAATAAAGCAATGGTCCTGTAACATGAAGATCACTTTATTTTCAAGGAGTAAGGGGAATGGTAATGGGGTAGATTTAACAGCAAATGAACCACTGCACAAAACTGAAAGGATTTCTCCTATGACATTTAGTTTCACTTCTTTTCCATTTAGGACACTAGCTGCTGTAATCTCGGTACTACTTTTTTTTAAGTTATCTTCCCCAAGCAGTGTTACAATCCAGCTGGAATGGGCATTAGATATACACATCATTAGACTCTTAAAAAGAGGCCCGATGGCCTCTCATTTAACCAGAATATTAAAAAAGAAAATATATGTACACACATATAAATATATTTAAGTTCACACTTTTTTATTTTTTATTTATTTATTTATTTATTGAGACAGAGTTTCACTCTCGTTGCCCAGGCTAGAGTGCAATGGCATGATCTCGGCTCACTGCAACCTCCACCTCCCGGGTTCAAGCGATTCTCCCACCTCAGCCTCCTGAGTAGCTGGGATGACAGGCATGTGCCACCACACCTGGCTATTTTTGTATTTTTAGTAGAGATGGGGTTTCATCATATTGGTCAGGCTGGTCTTGAACTCTTGACCTCAGGTGATCCGCCCACCTCGGCCTCCCAAAGTGCTGGGATTACAGGCATGAGCCACTATGCCCGGCCCACATTTTTTTAAAAAGTTAAAATGTAAAAGCACTTTTAAGAGACAAGTTAGACAGAAGGTGGTGGAGTACATTTTCTGCTCTCCTAGCTTCTGTGTCCTTTAAACTCCTGCCCTCAACCATCCTCTTATCGTCCACCACCTCCATTCCCCTAGGATTCCCAGGTCCCCTTAGCACTCAGGGGCTGTGGTCTCACCTTCAAATGAAAAACAACAACTTCAAAATTTTATTTATTGCACACTGAGGTGTCAAGAATCCTAAGTACACTAATACTACATTGTAGACATAAACCAGGTAGAATAATGCTTAACACAAGAAAATAAATACACTTGAAGTGGAATTTCTGGCATTAGTGACTAGCTGATGTTAAAAAGCTGAATTTACCCAGAATCCACAGAGATAATGCTGAGCAGTTTTTTAGAAAGTTGGGGAGGCTTATTTCTGTTGTTTCCCTTGGGTGTTTATTTCCCTGTACCTCTCTCAGTCATCACTATTTCCTTGAACAGGGTCCAGAAACAGACTCATTTCTGGCATGTAACACATGAATATATAAAGGCGTACCATATTTATTCTTGTCAAGTACCCTGATTTACCAATCTGCAAACTAAGTTTTCAGATTGATAAATGTGAAACTGGATTCAGTTATTAAACTGGATCAAGTTTCAATCTGAAACTTAATAACTGAATCCAGGAAGTGTCAGTTAAATGGTCTTAATTAAAATGATAGTTGTTCAGAATGGCAAAATGAATCATACTGGAACACCAAAGGTCTGTTTTGCATTCGCTGAAGAAAGGTTACTTTTAGTAGGATAATTCTATAAAATGTAACTTGCATAGAAAGGCTTTATTATGGGTTCTGTCTGTCACAAATAGCATCAAATCAATCATCTCAGTTCTGGAATATGAGATTCACTACATTAAATTAATACTTTCATTCCAAAATAGAAATTCATATTTTAAACCACTGAAATTGATATAAACCACTGCTTTAATATTGTAAACCTAAATGTCCAACTATAATGACCAACTTATCTAATAATGAAAACTGCAGTAGCAGAACTATTAAGCAGATCTTTATAATTAACTTATGAAGACTATTTAACATAGAAAAATATTTATATGTAAAAAACACAGACCCAAATTACATATTCTCTATAAGTATATGGTTAAAAAACCTGCAAGAAAATATACCTAAATGCTAATGTTCATTGCATTCAGATGATAGAATTATGGATTTTATCCATAGATTTTTCTTCTAGATTTTATAGTTTTTAAAAATTATGATGCCCCTTATATTTATATTGGGAAATATACATTTAAACAAACTATTATTTGGCTACCATGCTAATATTCACAACCATGTGGCACTAGCCTAAAATAAACTTTTCAGAAGAAACTAAATTATTCTATCTAAATATTCTGGGAAACGTTTAAGTGATATTGGAATCTCTATCAAAATTTCCACACCAGAGTGAAGAAAGACAAATTAGATGTGGGATGAAAGTTGTTCTCACTGATAAGTGAGAGCTAAATGATGAGAACACATGGACACATAAAGGGCAACAACACACACTGGGGTCTATTGGAGGGTGGAGGGTAGGAGGAGGGAGAGGATCAGGAAAAATTACTAATGGGTACTAGGCTTAACACCTGGGTGATGAAATCATCTATACAACAAACCCCCATGACGTAAGTTTACCTATGAAACAAACTGGCACATGTACCCCTGAACTTAAAAGTTGTTAAAAAAAAAATTTTTTTAAGAGAGATGAAAGTGACTCAAGAAGCTGTGTCACCAAATCTTTGAGAGCTATGTCACCAAATCAAAAAATAACAGAAAACCAGACAAGATCATAAGAAATCATTTGCACAATCAAGTGGCATCATTCCAAACCACTGGAGGAGCAATGCCCGCTTTCTTTTTAAAATTCTCCTGGGAAAATTACTCCTCAGCCTCCTTTATAAATCCTTGAGGAAATGTCAAGTTCTTTCACGACAAGAAAAACTCTCAGCTGGGCACAGTGGCTCACACCTGTAATCCCAGCACTTTGGGAAGCTGAGGTGGGCAGATGCTTGAGCTCAGGAGTTTAAGACCAGCCTGGACAACATGGCAAAATGTAGTCTCTACAAAAAGATACAAAAATTAGCTGGGCATGGTGGTACATACCTGTAGTCCCAGCTACTCAGGAGGCTGAGGCAGAAGGATCCCTTGAGCCCAGGAAGTCAAGGCTGCAGTGAGCCATATCATGCCACTGCACTCCAGCCTGGGCAAAAGAGCAAGACCCTGTCTCAAAAACAAATAAATAAATACAAACGCTTCTTTACGAAAGTCTCACAAGTTTAGCTGAAAAGAGATATGGACTCTCACATACCTTATTTCAGATCTAAACATGAGTTCCTCATCTATAAAATGGAGCTAATATCACCAATACTATTGGATCATGAACAGAATTAAACCAGTTATTGGTAAATCCCCCAAAATAATAAACAAGCCATGTTTATTCCCTCATTCTATCTTACCTCTTCTCTTAGTGTTTCTCACAGTGTGGAATACCACCATTGCATCAGAATCACTGAGCACTCGCCACAAAGGTTGGTTTCATAAATCCCAGAGGCATCATGGTCCCTCTTTTTTTTTTTTTTTTTTTTTTAGAGACAGGGTCTTGCCCTGTTGCCCAGACTGGAGTACAGTGGCACAATCAAGGCTCACTGCAACCTCTGCAACCTTCTGCCTCCTGGGCTCAAGCAATCCTCCCACCTCAGCCTCCTAAGTAGCGGGGACTACAGGTGGTGCCACCACACCCAGCTAGTTTTTGTATTTTTTTGTAGAGATGGGGTTTCACCATGGCACCCAGGCTGGTCTTGACCTTCCGGGCTCAAGCAATCCGCCCACCTCAGCCTCCCGAGACTATAATCCCTGCTGGGATTACAGATGTGAGCCAACATCCCTGGCCTTAATTCTTTTATTATTTAACAAAAATTTTTTAGAGATAAGATCTCTTGTCTGTTGCCCAAGTGGGAGTGTAGTGGCGCAATCATAACTCACTGCAGCCTCAAACTACTGGGCTCAATCAATCACCCTGCCTTAGCCTCCCTAGTAGCTGGGACTGTCGGCCCACACCTGGATAATTTTTTATTTTTTGTAGAGATGAGGTCTTACTATGTTGCCCAGGCTGGTCTCAAACTCCTGGCCTCAAGCAATCCTCCTGCCTGGCCTCCCAAAGTGCTGGGATTACAGGCTTGAGCTACCACACCCTGCCATGACTCTTTAATTCTGCATTTTTGTCAGATACTACAAGTGATCCTTAGGTACTGTAAAGCGTAAGGACCATTAAAATTAAACTATTTTAATATATTTTATTACCTCATTAGGCTCAGAAACAATTAAAAATCTTCTTTCCCCCTAAAATACTTTAAAAACTTGAAGGTGTTCCTCAAGGACAGGAAAGTAAGATCTGGGGCCCTCCTATTTTAAATTAAAAACCCAAATTATTTGACCCATTCTTCTAAGGGTATATATTGTTCATACTTCAAGCATCTGTCTTCCTCTCTAAAGCCTCCCTAGTTTCTTCATCTGTCTACTTAGGAGCAACTTAAACTAGACTATAATCTATCACAGCTCAAAAAGAAAAGAGTACTTACTAAATGATCCCAAATTAAACTCGTTTAAAATTAATAAGTCAAATAAAATTAATAATTCCATTCTTCTTAGATAGCCAGTAGGAATAGCAGCTTCTTCCAAGCATGAGAGAATGGGTGTGCCTTTTATGCCCAAATCAAGAAATACCAAAAAACAAACAAACAAACAAACAAAAAACTGTCATGAATTTTAGTATCTTATTAATTTCTAATTAGATTTTAACTTCTAATTTTGGTAAGTAGTTCAAAATAACAACAACAACAACAAAAAAAAAAACACCTGAAACTAGTGGAAAAAACTTCCACAGCTTTATAATATCGTAGCATTCTTTACACAAAAGTCAATTCCTAAACCCTCAAATTTCAGAACATAAAAATAAATTTCCATTTACAGATTTCCCCCTTCCAGTTCCAAAAGTAGTTATTCTAGAGTAAGTATTCAACACATAAAATTTAGCTGAATCAAATAAAAAACAATCACCAAATGCAAATATCAATTCCAAAGCACAGATTTTATATATACTGCTTTCATATTTCCCTTTTGCTTCTTTTCTAGATAAAAGCAGGAAATTGTAAATATTCACTAAAAAACTCGAACCAAGCACATTGGCCTTTTCAAGTAATTCAGAAAAGGTAGATCATCAAGAGAAACTCCTGAGACACAGCAGTCTTCAGTGCATTCACAAGAGCCTCTGACTATAAGCTTTCTCTAGTTAACCGCCAGAAGATGGATTACTTGTGCTATGCATGCAGATGCACTCAATTTCCTTTACCAGATAAGCTACAAACACTCTACTACCAACCAAACTTGTCCCTTCCATCAAAACATTTTTCATACTCTTTAGCAAAGTAGTCACCCCTCCTAGGAGAAGCTAATTCAAATACACTCATTAGCATCTTTGGTTACAAGAGCAATATAGTGTGTAGATGCAGTTAAGAGTTCTACCATGGCTAAGTCAACATTGGATAAAATCCTATAGGTAGATATAAATGTAACCTGCATTTTCTAAGCTCCTTATAAGTCATCATATTAAGTCCAGATCTTTTTGAAATTTTATACTTATTAAGGGCAGTCATCTCTCACTGGGGCCACTTTCTGTAACTCAGGTCAATTGAGAAGGTCATTGAATATGATTCCTCCAGTCCCTTCCAAGACAGGCTAGGTTTCCAAGGGGCACACAAAGGACAAGAACATGTCCAGCTGGTTCTTCACAATAACTTCATCTGGATGCAGCTTGTGCGGTAGATAATGGGCCAGGGTCATCTCCCAGGCATCGACGAGATATACTCCAACCCCTGAGAACATCCTCCGAAGGATGGTGTCCAGCTGAAAGTTGTACCAGTCGCTGTTGAAAAGGCTCACCTCAGGTCCCAGCTCTTGGGCGTTGGCCGTCCGGATGACCACCACGGTCTTTGGGCTTCGATCGAGGAGCCGAACCACTGCTCGACGGATGTTCCTGAGCCGCCGGATGTACACTTCCAAAGGGAAGGTGCTGAAGTGAGACCATACAGCTATGGCAACCACTGTGTTCTTCCCTCCCACAATGCCATTCAGCTCATTCGCCACATAATGGAGCTCATTGCTAAAGACAGTCGTGAAGCGGATGGGTGGACCATGGCAGCGGTATTTGAGCAGGATGTTGTGCTTCTGGTCCACTGCAAGGAAGGGACCCACATTCTTGGGACTACCCAAGTTAAACTCCACTAAATCTGAAACAAGGAAAACTCAAGTTCATAAAAACCTTCAAACCAAGCACATATATTTTGATTATACCTTATTAAGTGGCTTCAAATAACAATTTTTTTTTAAGTACAACAAAAAGGTACAATATAAATGTAAAGGGAATACCTATTTCACTGAACTCTGCCCCCTTTTGTATCAATGGGCCTTTATTCTAACATGTTTATTATTTAAATTATTACATAAACATAACATTCATTATAAATAACACCATCAGTGATAGACTCTACACTACACCTGTCTATGCCTGAAAAACAAAATAACCCATTTTTCTCTAATTATTAGGCCAAGAAATGTTGCTATTTGCACTGATCATTGCAATCTTTTTTATCTATGTCTAAAAAGTTTGGGTTTTTTTACTTTTATTTTAGGTTTGGGAGTGCACGTAAAGGTTTGTTACATAGGAAAATGTGTCACATATTATTTCATCACCCAGGTTTTAAGCCCAGTACCCAATAGTTACCTTGTCTGCTCCTCTCCTTCCTCCCAACTCCCCCACTCAAGTAGACCCCAGTGTCTACTGTTTCCTTCTGTGTGTTCATAAGTTCTTATCATTTAGCTCCCGCTTATAAGTGAGAACATGCAATATTTGGTTTTCTGTTCCTGTGTTAGTTTGCTAAAGATAATAGCCTCCAGCTCCATCCATGCTCCCACAAAAGATATTATCTCAATTTTATGGCTGCATAGTATTCCATGGTACATATGTACCACATTTTCTTTATCCAGTCTGTCACTGATGGGCATTTAGGTTGATTCCACGTCTTTGCTGTCGTGAACAGCGCTGCAATGAACATTTCCTTGCATGTGTCTTTATGGCAGAATGATTTATATTCCTCTGGGTATATACCCAGTAATGGGATTGCTGGGTCGAATGGTAGTTCTGCTTTTAGCTCTTTGAGGAATCACCATACTGCTTTCCACAATGATCGAATTAATTTACACTTCCACCAACAGTGTATAATTGTTACCTTTTCTCTGCAACCTTGCCAGTATCTGTTGTTTTTTGGCTTTTTAATAATAGCCATTCTGATTGGTGTGAGAACCACAATTTCATTGTGGTTTTGATTTGCATTGCTCTAATGATCAGTGATATTGAGCTTTTTCTTCATATGTTTGTTGGCTGTATGTATGTCTTCTTTTGAGAAGTGTCTGTTTATGATAATTTAAATTATAAAAATCAAATTGGCATTTACATTTTATTCTCCTAACAGATAAATATTATTTCTCTCAAGACATGGGCTTTAACTTCTGTTTTATGAGCACATATCAGCAACCAAATACTTCTTTGGGGAAATTCCGTCATTTGTAACAACATGGATGAAACTAGAGGACATTATGCTAAGTGAAATAAGCCACACACAGATGTCTTTGATGTGGAACCTCATGCAATATTTGCCTTATACTGACTTATATGTGGAACTTAAAAAAGTTGAAGTAGAGAGTAGAATAGTGGTTACCAGAGGGCTGCTAGACGGGTAGGTGCAATGGGGAAATATTAATCAAGGTCTCAGAAGGAAAATGTTTTAGACATCTATTGCACAACATGGTAACCATAGTAAATAATCATGTATCATATATTTCAAAACTGCTAAAAGAAGAGATTTTAAATATTCTCACTATAAAAAAGTAAGTATGTGAGGTGATGGATATGTTAATTTACTTGATGTACTAATTCCACAATGTATATATATAAAATATCACATTGTACCCCATAAATATACTTATCTGTTGATTAAAAATGAATGTTTTTAAAAATAAAATTAAGGCAAGTTCAAATGTAATTTTGAAAAATGAAAACAAACACCTCTTTTTGCAATAAGCAAAAGAAAGAAGCAACCCTGTTTCTTTTGACTTTCAATTTTACCCTGTAGATGAAAAATCATGTTAATGTCCTACAGAAAAACTTCCATCTCTATCATGAGAATAACACAGATAGCATCGCAAATTAAAAATTCCCTTTTCTCCCTCTAAGTTGTATTTCAAGGTCCAGTTGCCTGGAGACATTCTGAAGGTCCCAGGAATCAGTGGCAGTCCTTGTTATTCCTAAAAAACTCTGTATAATTCATCACTTAGTACGTGCACCCATGAGGAAAGAAGATGTGTCTCATATCCCTAAATATTCCCTTAAGTGCCTTAAGTAAATGTTGACAATCCAATTTAACTAATATTTCCTTAGCACCTACTTAGTGCCCACTACTATAGGTGCTACAAGCCAGCAATGCTCAGATGGATAAGCTATATAGTCCTTGCCCTCAGTGAGTTCACGGTCAATTTTGAAAAAGTAACATCAGAATATAATTGTCCTATAGGATGGGCAAGGTGGCTCATGCCCATAATCCCAGCACTTTGGGAGGGCAAAGCAAGCAGCTCACTTGAGGTCAGAAGTTTGAGACCAGCCTGGCCAACACGGTGAAACCCGTCTCTACTAAAAATACAAAAATTAGCCAGGCATGGTGTCAGGTGCCTGTAATCTCAGCTACTTGGGAGGCTGAGGCAGGAGAATCACATGAACCTGCGAGGCAGAGGTTTTAGTGAGTAGAGATCACACCACTGCACTCCAGCCTGGGTGACAGAGTGAGACACCATCTCAAAAAAAAAAAAAAAAAAAAAAAAAAAAAATATATATATATATATATATATATATATATATATATATAAATTGTCATATATTCTTAAGGGTTAAAGTAGGTTTCATTTTTTTCTCCTTGCATTTCCAGGTTTCTCTTCTAGATTTTCCTACCTAACTACTACTTAGCATTTAGCCCCATTTTAACTGAATAAAATCTCAAGCTACCACTTTCTTTTGATTAGATCAAGCACTGACACAGGCTTTATTTTTATCAGGTGAAGATATGTCTGTAAAGTATATGGTGGGACGTGATGAAAACAGTCAGTGTGATCCTTGTCATCAAAGGAAATACCAAGCTACATCATTAGAATTTAAGAAGCAAGCAACTACAGACACCTAGGAAGGCCCTCACTGGTCAGCATCACATCAAACCTTGTCTAGCATCAAGCCATACAAAGTATTTCCCTTCTCCTAATGTACAAATTATACTTTATCAAACAAAGCTTAGTTATATCTGTTTCAATTTAAAAAACAAGCAAAACAAAAAGTGGAACTGACTTTACACTTTTGGGGACAATATCTACTTCCCCTTTCCTTCTAAAAATTAAATTTAAAACTAAGTTGAGGCCAGGTGTGAGCCATCAGCACTTTGGGAGGTTGAGGCGGGCGGACTGCTTGAGCATGAGAATTCGAGACTAGCCTGAGCAACACAGTGAGACCATGTCTCTACAAAAAATACAAAAAAATTAGCTGAGTGCAGTGGCTCACGCCTGTGGTCCCAAATGCTTGGGAGGCTGAGGTGGGAGGATCGCTTGAGCCCAGGAGGTTGAGGCTGCAGTGAGCCATGATCACACCATTGCACTCCAGCCTGGGTGAGAGAGTGAGACCTCATCTCAATCAATCAATCAATAAAACTAAGTTGACATAATAAATAAAAAGGCTGATAAAAACAATCACAAACAACTCACAACAAACCATCAGGCTTTACTTTATTAAAAGCCTTGCCCACACATGGCCATTAAAAACAGTTCCCACAAAACTATCAGCTCTCTAAATTGTAAGCAGGGTCTTTATTTCTGCTCCTTCAGGATCCCTCCTTCCTTACCTCATCCATACCCCTTCCAGAAAGAAAAGAATGCCCTTGTGAAGAAGGGGTGGGCCTCCAACCACTGGGGTTTTGTTCTGAGTCTGGAGAACAGCCCCAGAGCCAAGCAGAGAAATCAAGAAGCTAAGAATGCTGGAACTTACCCAGACTCCCTCAGGAGGAGCCAACTCCATCTCAGAGTCACACCAATGGTAGGCCCAATGGATGACACAGGGATGGCTTTGCTGCAAGGATGCAATATGGACTACCATAGGTCTGGCTGCTTCCTTCTACTCAAAGCTACTATAAACTTGGAGTTGGATGAGACAGAACTAGGGGAGAAACAACTGGAAATGCCCACCTCTATTTTACAACCCAGAATATTAGAAGGGAAAGACACCTGTGAAGTGACATGGTCCAGCTGTCTCATCTCACACATGGAGAAATGAAGCCCTAAAAAGTAAATGACTTGTCCAAAGTCATACAGCTCATCAGTGACATAAACCTCAATGAGAACCCAGTGCTTCCATGAGTACAACACAACACAGCTATTGATCAGAAACTGTCACACATCTCTCCAGGGTTTGGGTACCTCTTTAGTCCTACACAGAAATATATGTTTCCTCACCTGATAACCTTTCTTCAGGCACCTGAGTGAGTCTGCTTATTTCAAAGCTGATGTGGGAAAGAGTTACGAAACAAAAGGCACAGTACCAACCTGGAACAAATGTAGTAAGGTATTCAAACCATTGCCTGATTGTTGAGTCACCAAATAAATGCACCACTTTTCTTTGTAAGCACTCTGTAATGTTGTCAGGGTCATTAAACTGACGCATCTTAAACTTTCTGGGCCTCCACTGGTCTTTATAATAATACCCAGAAGGAAAAGTTCCTGAGCCTTGAGATAGTTCTAGACTGTTAGTTTCTGCAAAGAAAAAAGAAAAACAAATATTTTAATATTCTCCTCCAACAATAGATGAAAAATGTCCCAAGAAACAATTATGCCCATGTATTTGTTAGCCTGATAGCATGTGGGAAACATTTCCTGCTGTCAGACCTCAAATCCCAGACTTTTCTCCTGATTAAAAAAAGGTTTTCCACAGCCATAAAAAAGAATGAGTTCATGTCCTTTGCAGGGACATGGATGAAGCTGGAAGTCATCATTCTCAGCAAACTAACACAGGAACAGAAAACCAAACACCACATGTTCTCACTCATAAGTAGGAGTTGAACAATGAGAACACATGGACACAGGGAGAGGAACATCACACACCGTGGCCTGTCGGGGGGTTGGGGGGAAGGGGAGGGAGAGCATTAGGACAAATACAAGGCTTAAAACCTAGATGATGGGTTGACAGGTGCAGCAAACTACATGTATACCTATGTAATAAACCTGCACATTCTGCACATGTATCCCAGAACTTAAAAGTAAAATTAAAAAAAAAAAAGGTTTTCCTTTGTACAAAAATGGGAAGATCTGAAATGGGCATGAAGGTATTGGTGGACAGAAAGGAAAGGAGGGACTTTCAGCATTCCCTCTGCTTACATTTTTTTTGAGATGGAGTCTCACTCTTTTTGCCCAGGCTGGAGTGCAGTGGCACAATCTCGGCTCACTGCAACCTCCGCCTCCTGGGTTCAAGTGATTCTCCTGCCTCAGCCTCCCAAGTAACTGGGATTACAGGCACGCATTACCATGCCTGGCTAAGTTTTGCTTTTTTTTTTTCCGAGACAGAGTCTCGCTCTGTCGCCAGGCTGGAGTGCAGTGGCATGATCTCAGCTCACTGCAACCTCTGCCTCCTGGGTTCAAGCGATTCTCCTGCCTCAGCCTCCCGAGTAGCTGGGAGTACAGGCGTGTACCACCACACCCAGTTAATTTTTGTATTTTTAGTAGAGATAGGGTTTCATCACGTTGGCCAAGATGGTCTCAATCTCTTGACGTTGTGATCACCCACCTCGGCCTCCCAAAGTGCTGGGATTACAGGCGTGAGCCACCACGCCTGGCCAATTTTTGCACTTTTAGTACAGATGGGGTTTCACTATGTTGGCCAGGCTGATCTCAAACTTCTGATCTCAAGTGATCCGCCCGCCTCGACCTCCCAAAGTGCTAGAATTACAGGCGTGAGCCACCATGCCCAGCCTGATTACATATGTTTTTATCAAAGCCAAATATAAAGGAAGACAAAACCAAAGGAAATGTGTGGACATAAGCATTTATCCAGCATTCTCCCAGAAGAGAACAGTTTCTCACCCACATGCCTGCGAGGCAAGTAACAACTTAGACTAATACTTTACACATACAGAGTAGTATTAGTTCACTGTTTTCAGCCCATTAAAAGCAAAGTTAGAATCCATGAATCCCATCTTCAAATTTTAATTTTAATTCCAAAAAAACACCACTTAATATGGAGAACAAACTAATGGCAGACAATCTAACGGATTATTCTCCATTATACAAAAGGTTCAGAAAGTCTTTATATATAATGAACAATGCTAAAAATACATCACCAATGTGTACCTCCTGGTTGTAACCTAGTTACACTTGATAACACAAGCAAAACGACCTTTCAGAGGGAAAGTCAACATCCTTCTGCCCTAACACCTCCTGTAGAAAATGCCACACGTTACATGCTTCAAAACAGACTGTGATGGCTAATATTTCTTGCAAGTTTACTCTGCCTCAGACACTATTCTGAGCAAACGTATTATCTCATATGCTCACAGTAACTCTTTGAAGTAGGTCCTATCACTATCCCTACCTTTCAGAACAGCTAAACAACTTGACCAAGGTCCCAGAGCTGAGCTAGTAAGGAGCAAAGCCAGCACCTGGCCCAAGCAAGTGAGCCCAAAGCCCATGATCTTAACCACTGTGTGCTAGATCACTTCTCAAAAACAGATGTTTATAGATGTTAACCATTTCTTTTTTTTTTTCTTGAAGGTATATATTTATTCATTTCTAACAATTATTCAAACCTACAATCTTCAAGAAACCACCAGGTTATATCATTTTCTTACACAACCTTTATCAAAGTCCAGTCATTCTATAGTCACCTATTAAGCCACAATTTGGACTCTAAATGCTTACACAACTCAGAAATTTAAATTTAAGTGACTCCCCTATTTGTGACTACTTTTAGCTTATTTGACTTGACATTATCTGTGTTACTCCAAATTATTTTGGTTTTTATCCCTCCAAAGATGATGTTCTATTTGACACAGAGTGCATATCTAATCTTTTTTTCTTCGGCATCTGCTAATTCTTTGCAGGTTCAGAGCCCAAGTAGAAAAGGAAACTGAACGCTGATTTTAAAAGCTTTATTTGGCAAATGCGATTATCAAAGAAAAATTGTCGGGGGCATGTAGGGTAAACATTTCCTAGGCTTGTTCAAAAATAATTTCTCAACATGTTATCAAGTGTAGCTTTAATATGTTACTGCACCTTGTGCAAAGCTCCCTCATTATATCAGTACATCGAGGCTGCATAGTTAGAGAGCTCCAGAGACGACACCTAGGGCCCACAGAAAACATTTACTAGAATGAGAATTAAAAGTTATTTTGATGTTACAATTTTTTACCACTGTTAATTCGGTAGACTCGGTTATTCTGTGTCAAATATGTGTTATAAAGAAAAGTATATGTCACACAGGAAACAATTACCATTTCCATTCAAATGTTAATTATATTTACTACCAGAGCTAAGGAAAGCAAATCAATTACTAAATCTGACATTAATTCTTTAAACATGCTGCATGCTACATGAGAAAAAAATCATATTTTTTAAATGAAATGCACATACCTATGTTGCCCCCTTATGGTCAACTGGGACAAAAACATTTCCTGACAATTTTAATATGATTTTTAAGAAGTCTGTGGCTGTTTAAATGGTGTTTCTTGGAACTCACAATGCAGTTCATGTAAGATAACTGAGATATGAAAGTCTCCTAAATAGATAATATAACCCCTAATGTACTATTCACATGGAATAAAAATAATTAAAACAAAAAATAAAAATGAGTTATTACTCAACTTTATGGTTATCTTGAAAATTGCTGGTGAAGGAAGAAGTTTAAACAGAGGTGGTTGTAAAAGCAGATATGAAGATTTGGGCAAAACCAGAAGGGATATTTTTTATTATTTGAAAGTAATGTCCCTGCATCTCTAAAATTTCTTGGCTTCTCTTTAAAGCCCATGGTTTGCATTTTCCTCCAAAGGGTGTCACGCCATGTAATCCATTAGCCATAATGAGGGCTGTCTGGGCCAAAGATGGAACAAAACGAAAGAGAAAAAGGCAGAGAGATAAATTTCCCTAAATCATCCAGAAAGAGTTGGACGAAAAGGACACAACGTGAATTGAGGTGGGGCGGGGCAGGGAGGGCTGCGGGGTGAGATGTGCAGCAAACCTGTCCATTAATTTTATGGTATGGAATTGTCTGCAGAATTAAGAACAGTAAAAGGCAGGACAAAGGGGAGTACACAGTTTATAAGGGGGAAAACAAGACAGAAGAAATGGGATCAACCAATTCCCTGCACCAGAGACTGCCATGAGCATAGGAAGCTTGGGATAAGGTCAGTAGGGAGGGACAGCCCTCAGCAGGATGAGGAATGAGGATAGTGTATATTGAGCTGGTTAGGAACACTCTGTCAAGTGCTGGGAATATGAGAAGGGCCCAGCTACACAGTAATTGTAATGGCTTGAGTTTGAGTTTACTCCTTGAATTCCCCCTATGAAACCTTGGAAATTTAATTTTCTTTCCTATATATTTTAGTCCCCTAAAACCTCTGCAGTTTACAGAGGTAAGCTAAGAATGCTATATAGATAGAAATTCTATAAATTCATAGACTGTTGAATGGGACCTTAGAGAGTAGCTAGTCCAAATATCTTTTTTTTTTTTTTTTTTTTTTTTTTTTTTTGAGACGGAGTCTCACTCTGTCACCCAGACTGGAGTGCAGTGGCGCAATCTCGGCTCACTGCAACCTCCGCCTCCCGGGTTCACGCCATTCTCCTGCCTCAGCCTCCTGAGTAGCTGGGACTACAGGCGCCTGCCACCACGCCCGGCTAGTTTTTTGCATTTTTAGTAGAGATGGGGTTTCACCGTGTTAGCCAGAATGGTCTCATCTCCTGACCTCATGACCCACCCGCCTCGGCCTCCCAAAGTCCTGGGATTACAGGCATGAGCCACTGCGCCCGGCCGTCGAAATACCTTTTAAAGATGAAGAAAGCAAGTCACAGAGTGACTTGGCAAAGTTTCTCAATAAGCGTAGAGGCAGGTAGTGGTAGAGGTGGTACCACTTACAAAGAAATACATTTTGCTGATATATTGAGGAGGCTTCCTTCCCTCAAATGCTATCAGTTAGTAGTTTTATATGCAGAACATGGGCCCTTTGATTTTCCCGGTTAACGAAATTAAAGATATTCTGTATCAAATTATTCTTTCCAGTAATTGGAAAGTAGTTGTCTTTAAAATAGCTTTGTCCCTTTGACATCTGCATCCAGATAATTAAATTTTTTAAAAATAAAATAGCTTTGTCCCATTTGTTATAACATTTATCTGCCATTTTCTAGAAATCAACATCAGATGAGGTCTCATCCACAAAATGACTAGTTTCGTTTTTACTGCATAACATGAAACACTATCATTCACTTCATCATTTGTATACTAGAAGGTTGATAAATTTCACTACTGCAGGCCAGGTACAGTGGTGGCTCACACCTGTAATCCCAACACTTTAGGAAGCCAAGGCAGGCGGATCACTTGAGGTCAGGAGTTTCAGACCAGGCTGGCCAACATACAAAACCACATCTTTACTAAAAATACAAAAATTAGCCAGGCATGGTGGCATTGTGCCTGCAATGGTAGCTACTTGGGAAGCTGAGGCAGAAGAATTGCTTGAACCCAGGAGGCAGAAGTTTTAATGAGCCGAGATCACACTACTGCACTCCAGCCTGGGCGACAGAGCGAGACACCTTCTCAAAAAAAAAAAAAAAAAAAAAAAATTAACTACTGCAGGCAAACCAAAGCATCAAGACATCATTGGCCATACCTCCTAAACATGGTTAAGGGGCAGTAGGGAAAATGCTAGATGAAGAGTCACGGGACCTACTCTAAGTCTGACTCCACATTTCCAACTCTTGAGACTTCAGAAATCATTTAAATTTTCATCTTATTCCCTAACTATACCCTCAGAGTCTAACAAAGAAGGACTCAAAACGATGACACAATAAGTGAAATCTCTGGACTTTGGTCACATCATCTATAAAATGGGTCAACTACTAGTTATTTTGAAGGGTTATTGTGAAAATTCAATACTGTAATAGTGTGAATAGTAAAGCGCATGCTAGGGTCCTGGAAACATCCTATATGTTCTAAATGTTCAATAACTTGATCTAGATGGTAGTTATTTTATTAGTTTTCTATTGCTGTGTAACACATCACCACAAACTTAGTAGCTTAAAAACAAGAGACATTTATTAACCCACAGACCTGCAGGTCAGGAGTTTGGGACATCGCATAACTCTGTTCTCTCCTCAGAGTCTCACAAGTTGAATCAGGCTATTATCAGGGCTGTGTTCTCTGGAGAAAAGCCTTCAAAAAGGTCATTCAAGGCCGGGCGCGTGGCTCACGCATGTAATCCCAGCACTTTGGGAGGGCAAGGTGGGTAGATCGCTTGAGCTCAGGAGTTCGAGACCAGCCTGGCCAACACAGTGAAAACCCCGTCTCTACTAAAAACAGAAAAATTAGCCAGGTGTGGCTGTAATCCCAGGTACTTGGGAGGCTGAGGCACGAGAATCGCTTGAACACAGGAGGCAGAGGTTTGCAGTGAGCCAGGATCGCACCACTGCACTCCAGCCTGGGCAACAGAGCAAGACTCTGTCTCAAAAACAAACAAACAAAAAAAAACAACAAAAAAAGTTCATTCAAGTTGCTGCCAGAATTCAGTTACTTGTGGTTGTAAGACTGAGTTTCCCATTTCCTTGATGGTTATCAGCCAGGAGATGCTCTCCAGCTACTAGAAGTTGCCTATATTCCTAGCCATGTGGCCCCCTTCATCTTTAAAACCAACAACAAAGAATCTCCCTCACATGGAATCCTTCTTACACTTTGAATTTCTTCAGGAAGAACATGGCCCCTGTTAAGGGCTTATCTGATCTAAGGTCAGGTCTACCTAGGATAATGCCACTCTCTTAAAGTCAACTTTGTCATATAACATAATCAAATCATAGGAATTATATACCATCATATTTACATGTCGCTGCCACAACTCAAGGGGAAGGAGATTATGTAAGAGCATAGATCACTGGAAGTCATCTTAGTATTCAACCTGCCATAGCTACAAAGATACACACAAATGTAAAACTTCATTGTTCTTATCTATACTGTTGCTATTAGATCAAGTCTTATTCTAAACTCTCAGTAAGTTCCCCCAAAAAATATAACCTCAAGTTGTTGATGAGGTCAGAATCTGTCAAGGTCCCTGAGCCACTCAGCTGTGATAATCTGGGGACTACATTACAGGTACTAATGAAAACTCAGCAGTAATTCTGGCACTGGGAAAACCTGACATAAACCAGATGCTTGCTCTTAAAAAGGTAGTCAGCTAGAACTAAAAACTGTTTTTCCTTGCTTTTGACTGGAATTATGCCCACAAGTAGCAGTAGCACTGCCAATCTCAGGCAATCTAAATATGAATCTTAACAATAGTTTTACCTTGTAAGAATATTAATTAGCTAATACATAAATACAATTTCACAGGGAAAAAACTTCAAAATATAGGATTCATAAGTGAAATAAAAGTAGAAATACTGTAAACCCCTTCTAAGGCTAAGGCAAAGAAAATACAAGACAAGCCTCAAATATCTTGTGGTGCCAGAAACTAAGGAAGTGCTCAAAACAAACAAAAGGATGACAGCACACAGGATGACAAAAGGGCACAAAGAAGCCAAACTGAAAGTGTTCCCCAACTGCCAAAACTGGAACAATTTGAGCAAAAATAAAAGCAAATAAAATAATGATTGAATTGGATTGGATTATAATTTTTTTTCCTTCATTCCAAGGAATGAAATTTTCATGAGTCTACACTGATATAAATACTTAAAATGAAGAAGGGACAACTCTTCTTTGCAAAAGAATTCCAACTAATAAATGTTGAAAGAATGAGAGACATTAAAAGTCACAATTAGAATTCCACAGAAATCATTGCCACAGGCAAGATCTGATGAACCTTGATGAATGCTAAAATTAGTTGGTGAAAGTTTAAGCAGAAACAGAATGTTTGCATAGAATGAAGCAAAAGAAGGAAAAAAAATTATGAGCCCTTGATTTAGGGTCTTTGAATGCCCCCTGCTGGTCCACAGAGTGAAATTCAATGAAGTTCTGCCAAGCTGGGTTCCTTCCATAGTCCATAAATCAATTGCCCTTCTCTTTTCTTTCCAGTTATATACCTGTTACAACAAGATGGTTTTCCTATTCAAAACCAGGATATTCTGCTCCTACTAATTCATAGTTACTTTCTTCCTCTAAAAATATATCAAAAGGCTCACTAATTACCAAATCTATCTTCCCTCTAACCAGAAGAGTACATCATAAACCCACAGCCACTTCCTGGCTAATCCTCAAGACTTGTCAGGTACAGGTAAACTTTCCAAAGTTCCTCCCACTGACCATCCCTGGGACACCTAGGGACATCACAATAAGGGCAAGCCAGTCGAGTCTGTGAGAAGAAGGACAGATCCAGTAGTGGGAGACAGGGCCTCCTGAAGATGTCGGACATGGAGAGTGTTTAGAGCGCAGTACTACTGAAGGACACCTTGTCTACTGACATCTTGACCTCAGGGTTGAGGCCCAAACAGATAAAAGATAAATGTCTCATATATATATATATATATATATATATATATATATATATCCTCTAAAATTAGTAATTCATTTGGTTCAAGTAAATCAAAAACAGCTCTTCATCAGGAAAAGACTGGGAATTCTTGTGGCATATGATACTAGAGACAAGAGATATAAACTGGCAGTGCCCTGGCTGCATATGGGCCAAACAGATTTTATTTAGCCCATACAATATTTTCAAAGTCTTGAATTGGATGTCAATGTTCTAAAATATGGAGATATCACAGTTAAAAAATCAAAGTTTCTGGTTTCTCTTGGAAAAACAAATCTACGGAGCTGGGCATACAGGGTTTGTTTCTACATGGTAACAAAGCAGCAGAAACTGAAAAGAGGCTGCCCCTTGAGATGGTCCTTGCTCTTCAGTTCCTTCCCCACCACTCATACAAGGCTTGTGGCTAATATCCACTCTGCTTGATCCACAGGTATTAAATATCAAGCCCCTGCAGCAAAAGGGTTTGCCAACATCTGCAGAGTGCAGTACTATTAGTTAATATACTTTTAAAAGCTAGAAGGACCTTGCCCGCCATCTGCATAAGCCTCACTAGTAACATTCATCCCTTCTTTCTAAAAATCACGATAGCTAATTATATCTATTCTGCAAAATTTACATTTACTGCTCTGAATTTTGTTCTTTTACTATTAATATTCTACACCAATAAATCAGAGTCACCCGAAAAGTTTGTTAAAACTTTCTTGCTCAGCCCCACCAGCCAGGGTTTCTGTTTCAGTCATCTGAGATAGGACCTGAGAATTTGCAATTCTATCAGGTTGCCTGGTAATGCTGATGCCACTGATCCACAGACCACACTTTGAGAAGAGCTGCTATTCTCCAACCCAATGTTATTTTAAACATTTCCATGATAATTTTACCCATATCTCTAGAGCAGCAATGTCCAACACAACTTTTTGTGATGATTTAAACATTTCCATGATAATTTTACCCATATCTCTAGAGCAGCAATGTCCAACACAACTTTTTGAGATGATGGATAAATTCTACATAAAATGCTGTCTACATATAGTTATTGGGCATGTGTGATTAAATAACTAGATTTTGAATTTTATTTAATCTTAATTGATTTAAATTTGAATCACTACAAGTGACTAGTTGCTATCATATTGGACAAGGTTGTTCAAAAGACTCTTGAGGAGCCAAACAGAAGAGGGCTGGCAAGAGAAGAAAACTTTTACATGAGCTTAAATAGCAAAACTCGGCCGTGCACATGTCTGTAATCCCAGCACTTTGGGAGGCCAAGGTGGGAGGATTGCTTGAGCTCAAGAATTCAAGACCATCCTGGGCAACATGGCAAAAATTTGTCTCTGCAAAAAAAAAATGCAAAAATCAGCCAGGTGTGGTGGTGTGTGCCTGTAGTCCCAGCTACTCGGGAGGCTGAGATGGGAGGATCAATTGAGCCTAGGAGATCAAGGCTGCAGTGAGTAAAGATTGCGCCACTGCACTCCAGCCTAGGTAACAGAGCAAGACCCTGTCTCAAAAAAATAAAAATAAAATAACAATAAATAGCAAAACTCAGAATTATGCACATAAGATCTGATTTTTTTAATCAAACAGTACTTTTAATATTTTCAATTGTGCCCAGAAGTAACTATGGCATATAAGTTTTTGCAACATAAATGAAACGACAGAGCCTCAACCCAGTTAGTAAGAAAAACAACAAATCATCAAGCTTATTCTTTTTTTTACCTTTTATTCTCCTGGGAATCACAGTTACCCAATCAGGTCCACTGGAGTTGACTGGCATTTTGATATTGACACCACTTTAAGAGGAATAAAAAAGCACAAGCTCAGGTTCAGGAACATTTATTTTCAGATATATGTCTTTATTGGCAAATGATAAAATGACTAATTTCACGGAGCCTTATTATGATGAAATATACTTATGAATGTTAACCAACACAAAATAATAAACTGGGTCTCTTGTAGTAAGCAGGTTTTATGTACATAAAAACTGAAAAGAAATTAAATTGATTCTTAAATTTCACTCCACTGTATACTGCTAAGAGTGCAAACTCCAAAATGACCAATTCTGGTTTGAATTATGTACTCCCCTTGGACTCAGAGAATGGCTCACACTGACAAGAATGTCTATTTTGTCATTACTTAGTTTTCAGGCTGCAAGTATACGCTGCATTAAGTCATGTATCAGATTCCTCAGGCCTTTTCCAGATCTGACAGGAGTCCTAGTGGGGACACTTGCCCCCCAGATACTTACTCATGCAGTACTTTGCTCATCATTACCAGGACTCTTTAGTGTCTGTTCCCCTTACTAAAACATGTACTACTCAAGGGAGGCAGCAGGGGAAAAAAATAAAATAAAATAAAACATATACTACTCGAAGATAAGGGTGGTGCCTCATTCATCTTTGTATCCTAGCACAGGCCCTGGTCTAGAGTCCACACTCAGTAAATATTTTTGGAGGGCTGCATTAAAACATGGGGGAGGGTGGAGGTAAGGAGAAAAGCACTCGAAATCCGGGGCAACTATTCCAGAAACTGAGTCACAATAAAACTAGGTCTCTTGTACTTAGACCAAAAACAAAAACATAAAATGTTAACTTCTCAAATTCTTGATATGGGAATGTGCAGTCATTTTTTATTATTTCATCAATTTCAGAAAAAACTGTTTATTCAACAAATAATTCTTAAGCTTCTTAAGCCAGGTACTGTCCTAGAATCCAGGGCTACTACAGTAAGCAAAACACACAGCATCTCCTTCTTCATGGAGCTGACATGGAGACAGACAAAAAACAAGTAATGAAGGAAGTGTACAGGCCTGGCCACATTACAGCATAATCAAATTTCATAGCTTAAATAAAGTGATTTTTAAGAGAGCACATATAAACTACTTTCATGAGTTTAGACTTTTATGGTAAGAAAAAAATATACAATTTACTTGTCTATAGTTATAATAATTATATAATTATTATTGTACAATAATAATTTTCTTACAAAAACATAATTTCCTGTAAAAATATTTGCAGGAAAACTTCTTCTATAATTTTCCTGCCAAAATATTTAGCCTCAATCTAATCACATGGAAAGTGAAAACAATAAAGCAAATCCAAAGCAGACTGGGCGTGGTGGCTTACGCCTGTAATCCCAGCACTTTGGGAGGCCAAGACGGGCAGATATCCTTGAGGCCAGGAGTCTGAGACCAGCCTGGCCAACATGGCAAAACTCCATCTCTACTAAAAATACAAAAATTAGCCAGCTATGGTGGTGCGTGCCTAGTACTCCCAGCTACTTGGGAGGGTGAGGCACAAGAATCACTTGACCCCAGGAAGTCAAGTGAGCTGAAGGTTACAGTGAGCTGAGATCACTGCACCGCACCCCAGCCTGGATGACAAAGCGACACCCTATCTCAAAAAAAAAAAAAAGGACATTCTACAAAACAGCAACATCAAAATTGCCAATGTTGTACAAAACAAAATAGGCTAAAGAATTCTTTTGGATTAAAGAGATAACCAAACACACTGAGTAAGCATAGATTAGATTAGTTAAAATTAAAAAGATAGCTACAGAAGTCATTATTGGGACAACTGAAGAAACTTGAATATCTAATATGAACTGCATATTAAATAACAGTACTATAACAATGATAAATGTCCCAAATGTGATCATTATGGTTATATGTTAGAGAAAGTCCATTTTCTTAGGAGAGGCATATTTATGGAGTGCAGTGCCATGATGTCTGCAACATACTCTCAGGTGGTTCAGGGGAAAAAATTATACACAGATACATATAAACACAAAGAAAGATAAAGCAAAATGTGTCAAAACAATAATAGTGAATCTAAGTTAAAGGTATATGAGTTCATTGTTATTATTCCTGCAATGTTTCTAAAGATTCAATTTTTTAAACACAAAGTTAGAAAGAAAAAAGTAGCAATCATGCTAAAATAAAAGGGAAATGTTGTAGGTGATAAGCCCATTCTTTCAAAAGGCCTTCCCTTATATTAATAGGATCTTTAAGGAAACCCCTGTTGTCCTTTCCAAAAGTAACACTTTTATTCCCTTATAGATAAAGAACAAAGATGACATATTTTAATTGTTCAACTGTCATTTAGGGAACCAAATACCAAGGCTAAGCTTCTTAATTCTTTCTGGTTTAAGTAAGGTTATGAGCTACCAAGGAAGAGAAGTAAAAAAGGATATCAGCTCAACATATTTGGGCCATGAGCTCAAAACAGTATACCCAAAGATCCCCCAAAAAATCAATTTCAATCTTTTTCTTTTTCTTTTCAGATGGCCTTATGCAATATTTCAGAACTTTAACAGAATAAAGGGTGGAAAATGAAAATCAATTATGAGAACTCTGTCAAATGTTTGCTTTCCAAAAACTTACACCACCTCAGACATTGTTTTCTCAGCAAACTTCCAGGTAAATAAAATTCCGCAATTATTCTACAACAATGTACCATCAACCAGCCTCACCCAGGATATGCAAGGAAGGGCAGGGACAAACACATTATTTTATCCTTGTGGGTTCACGGGTGCTTTTTTGTTTTTAATGGTAGAATTTATAGTCAGAAATACTTTTAAGTTTTACACTAATTTAGTTCTCTAAACTTTCTCTATTTTCCACCTGGAATTTGCGTAAATTACTATGTTTCTTCCTCTTTGCTAGGCCACTAAGTAGACTGACAACGTAACTCTATAGGGCAATTATAGTTAACAATCATTTACTATATATTTCAAAACAATTATGACAGTGGAATTGGAATGTTCCCAACACAAAGAAATGATAAATGCTTTAGGCAATGGATACTCCAATTACCCTGATTTGATCATTACATATTATATGCTTGTATCAAAATATCACATCTACCTCAAAAATATGTGCAACTAGGATGTATCCATAATAACTTAAAAATCTAAAAACACAACTCTAACGGGGTATGGTGGCTCACATCTGTAATTCCAGCCCTTTGGGAGGACAAAGCAGGAGGACTACTTGAGCCCAGGGGTTCAAGACCAGCCTGGGCAACATAGTGAAACCACATTTCTACAAAACATACAAAAATTAGCTGGGTGTGGTGGCGCACACCTGTAGTCCGAACTACTCGGGAGGCTGAGGTGGGAGAATCCGTCGAACCCGGGACGTTGAGGCTGCAGCAAGCTGCAATCATGCCACTGCACTCCAGCCTGGATGACAAAGTGAGACCCTGTTGCAAAACAAACAAACAAACCAACCCTCTAAAATAGGGTAATTGAGTAGTCTTCATATATAGGCAAAAAAGTACACAGAAATAAAATAATCTGCTCAGTCACTAATAAATAGCATGTCTGAAACCTGAACCCACGAATAAAATGAAAAATTTTGTTTTGGTTTTGTTTTGAGGAGTTGTGAAATTTAATTTTGTTTTCATTTTGTACTGAGCCATAGAAAATACTAGTCTTCTCAGCAGTACAGTAAACACTGTACATTGAGTAGTGCTCCCTCTGCTGGCCTTCTAAAAGTATGGCATGAACCCACTACATATGTACATAATCTGGTATGACCAAAAGCTGACTTCAGGGTGGAAAACTGAAGAGTTTTATTTTAGGAGCTCCTACAAACCACATACTTTATGGTAGCAACTTTTCTCCCATACGGTAATGAGTGGACATAAAGTATGAAATTTTTAGGGTGCCCAGATATCCTTAACAAAAATACCTCCCTTTTATCCAACAAAAAAATTCTCTCTACCAAGGAATGTTTAAAAACAATATATTTCACTAAAAAGTAAAAAACATGTATACATTCTTTCAAACAATTGTACTTTTTGTTGAGACAGGGTCTCACTCTGTTGTCCAGGCTGTAGTGCAATTGTGATCACAGCTCACTGCAACCTCAAACTCCTGGGCTCCAGCCTTCCTCCCACCTCAGCCTCCCAAAGTGCTGGGACTACAGTCATGAGCCACCACGCTTGGCCAGCATGGTACTTTTTAACCATGTAGCTTTTATAATTTTTTATTTCTTAGTGATGTTATGGAATGTTGAAGAAAACACAAATTTTAATTCATACTGGTTCCATATTCCTTTCTGCACATTATTCCATGTATTTCTCATCATGCTGAAAATATTTTAAGCTTACATTTGAAATAGAAATTTGAACACAATACTGCAATAATTTCAACAACTATTTAGCTTAAAAAATATAGTTTTCTGTGGTATTCCTGACTTCCTATGCTTATTAAGTCAACCCAGCAATGTTGCCATATTCATAGTTTTTTAATCAGTAGGTTCAAATGATTTTAAAAACTGTTATTATGTTACTTTTTAAAGTTTCAGTTCATTAGATACAAAGATAAAACACCAGCCTGACTACCAGCCCTACCAGCCCTGTTCTTGGATTATTTTTTTCTTTACATAAAATAGATGGGGTCTTGCTATGTTGCCCAGGCTGGTCTCAAACTCCTGGGCTCAAGCGATCCTCCCGTTTCAGCCTCCCAAAGTGCTGGGATTACAAGCATGAGTCACCACATCTGACCCTTAGATAACTTCTATCTGTTCTGTGAATAAGGGATTTTACTTACACAGCTACTGTGTAAACATGCTATGTGGTTCTAAAGGAAAACACAGATATGAGGGTAAAGAACAAAAATTCAAGGGTAAAAGGTCTTTAATTTGGACTCAGATAAGCATTAAGCTTCATTTTTAAAACACTAATGAAAAATACAAATCTATGTTTTTTTTTTTATTCACTACCTCTTCTGTATTGGGCCAAGTTGAGAGAGAGGTAAGAAACACATACCGAATACCAGAAAGTCTCCTAAATGGGACAAGGACAGTGGAAAAGAACTCTTCAAATCATCCCCAAGAAAAAGCAGTACATACCTCTGGAAGAAAGCACTCTCTGCAGCGGTTAGGAGACCTTTCAGGTATCCACCTTTGAAATGGGTAATTCTGCTGCTGCAAGGGAGCTTCTTTGGTTTGAAGCAGAACCAGGGCTCCCCAGTGTAGAGGTCTGTAAAGTTACACAGGGGCAGATTCCCAGGAAGACACACGTTGCACTCAGTAGTTTCAGAAATTCTTCCTGAACGGAAGAGACTCTTGAAATAGACCCTGTCTGGTTTATCTTCCTGTAAGCGCTGAAGAACTCTGATCCCTTCACTGGGGTGGACCAGAGATACGGATACTTTAACTTTGCCTGGCCATAGCAAAGTAAAGAAAACCTTGTAAAACCCATTCTGGTAATCCACCACCCTGCCCACAGCCCCAGCCTGCAGCTTGAGGGAGTGAATTCTGGCCTGCAGGTAGTCTCCACCATACTTCTTGGGCTTTCTTTGAAAATCCTGCACATGAACCAGCACCTCAAGCTGGCTTCCCACCTTAAAGAAGGCAGCAGAGTTCAAGATGACAAAGTAGCTGGAAGAAGGGTCAGTGCTCTTCACAAAGGGGACTGGGCCCACATCAGGAACCTGCCGGTGCAAGGCAGCCAGCAAGGAGTCCTCCTCCATGCGCTCCTGGCTGGACAGGGTCTGCTGATCATAGCCACAGTAGGGATTTCGGCTAATTCCTGTCACCTGGGAGGAAACAAACTGTCCACTGCTGTCGATGAAAGTGGCTGAAACAGTCTCATGGTCCAAGTACTGAAGAAGAAGACACAAACAACAGAAATTACCACTATAATAGGTCTCTGTATTTTGGCATAAATTCAGAGGGCTCCCCACACTTCTGTGAGTTTTAGCTCCAGGAGCTCAATCAGATTCTCACAGTGAATATCAAAGAAAAATCCCCTTGGGCTTCCGGGAAGAGAAAGGGAAAAGGACCCATTTTGAAGTATGCAGAGCACTGTGTTGTTCTTAACAAAGCTGCCCCTCAAGAGAAACCACTTTATCAGAACCTAGCCTATTGGAGTTTTATCAGAGCCTAACCAACTTGAGAGAAGGGAAATATCCAACTCCAGCCCACTCGAGCCACCCAGTCCAACCTAAGATGGAGAAACACCAAGAAAAAAGTAAAGGAATGGAGAAAGATATACCATGCTAACACTAATCCAAAGAAACCAGTAGTAGTTATATTAATTTCAGACAGAGCAGATTTCAAAGCAAGGAAGGTTAGCAAAGATAAAGAGGGTCATTACATAATAATAAAGGAGTCAATTCTCCAAAAAAAAAAACAACCCTTAACATGTATGTACCTAACCAATGAGTATCAAAACATGTGAGGCAAAAACTAATGGAGAAATAGATGAATCTACATTATAGTCTGAAACTTCAACAATCCTCTATCAGAAATACACAGATCCAGCAGGCAGAAAATCGGTAAGGACATAGTTGAATTCAACAGCACCATCAATAAACTGGATATAGTTGACATCTGTAAACTACTTCATATCAAGCTCACATGGAACATTCACCAAAACGGACCACATTTTGGGCCATAAAATACACCTTAAAAATTTTTTAAAATAAAAATCATACAGTGTCTTCTCTTAAGCCATAATGAAATTAAACTAGAAATCAATAATAGAAAGAGAGCTGGAAAAATCCCAAAATGGTATACAAATGGGTAACATACAAAATCTCATGAGAAATTTAAAAATATGTTAACTAGGTGAAGGTGAAAATATAATTCATTAAACACTATAGAATGAAGCAAGAGAAGTGCTTAGAGGGAAATTCATAGTACTATACATATTTTAGGAAAGAAAAACAACCTAAAATCAGTAATTTAACCTTACATCTTAGCAAACTAGAAAAAGAAGAGCAAACAATATCCAAAATAAGCAGAAGAAAAATAATAAACATGATAGCAGAAATCAATGAACTTGAAAACAGGAAATCAATAAAGAAAAATCAATGAAACCCAAAGCTGGTTTTTTAAAAGATTGATAAAATTGATAAGCCCTCTACCCAGGCTAAGAAAAAAAGAGGGAGGACACAAATTATTAATATCAGAAATGAAAGAGAAGCCATCACTACAGATCCCATGGACATTAAAGGAATAAAGGAATATTATGAACAATTCTATGCCCATAAATTTGATAACCCAGATGAAATGGACCAATTCCTTGAAGGATACAATCCATAAAGAATGCACCTAATGATGCAAAAGTAATATTATAACTAGTGGAAATCAAATATAAAAGAATGAAGTAGGCCAGATGCGGTGGCTCACACCTGTAATCCCAGCACTTTGGGAGGCCGAGGCAGATGGATCACAAGGTCAGGAGTTCAAGACCAGCCTGGCCAACATGCTGAAACCCCATCTCTACTAAAAATACAAAAATTAGCTGAGTGTGGTGGCAGGCGCCTGTAATCCCAACTACTCGGAAGGCTGAGGGAGAGAACTGCTTGAACCCAGGAGGCAGAGGTTGCAGTGAGCCAAGATCGCGCCACTGCACTCCAGGCTGGGCGACAGAATGAGACTCCATCTCAAAAAAATAATAACAAATAAATAAATAAGAATGAGTAGGGCTTTCTTCATCACTTAGAGCAGGAAGTTAAGATATATTATGCTGTTGGGGAAATAAAAGGACTAGATACATTATTTAATGTTATATATAGAAATAAAATTAATTTTACAAATTGTGGAAGGAGAATGAAGCAGAGGCCTCATCTTTCATTATGTTAACAGTAGTAGATCAGGTGCAGTGGCTCATGCCTGTAATTCCAACACTTCGGGAGGCTGAAGCAGAAGAACTGCTTGAGGCCAGGAGTTCAAGACCAACCTGGGAAACATAGCAAGACCCCCATCTCTACAAGAATTTTTTTTTAAAGTTAGCCAAGCGTGGTGGCATATGCCTGTAGTCCTAGCTACACGGAAGGCTGAGCTGGGAAGATCACTGAACCCAGGAGCTCCAGGTTGTAGTGAGCTATGATCACACCATGGAACTCCAGCCAGAGCAACAGAGCAAGACCTTGTCTCTAACAAATAAATAAATAAATATAAATTAAAACTGGGCTGGGCACAGTGGCTCACGCCTGTAATCCTAGCACTTTGGGAGGCAGAGGTGGACAGATCGGGATCGTTTGAGCTCAAGAGTTCGAGACTAGTCTGGGCAACATGGTGAAACCCTGTCTCTACTAAAAATACAAAAATTTAGCTGGGTGTGGTGGTACACACCTGTAATCTCAGCTACTCAGGAGGCTGAAGCACGAGAATTGCTTGAACCCAGGAGGCAGAGGTTGCAGTACGCTGAGATTGTGCCACTGCACTCCAGCCTGGACAACAGAACAAGACTTTGTCTCAAAAACTTTAAAAGAAAAAAAAAAAAAATATATATATATATATAGACACACATATATATACATTATATATATAGACATATATCTACATACATATATACATACATATATACACATACATATATATGTGTATATATA
Source organism: Homo sapiens (assembly GCF_000001405.40). Taxonomy (NCBI): domain Eukaryota; kingdom Metazoa; phylum Chordata; class Mammalia; order Primates; family Hominidae; genus Homo; species Homo sapiens. The sequence goes on along the minus strand of NC_000003.12, from coordinate 101,798,495 downwards.
TGAGGATTGCTTGAGCCCAGGAGTTAGAGGTTACAGTGAACAATGACTGTGCCACCGCACTCTAGCCTGGGCAACAGAGTGAGACCCTGTGCTTAAAAGAAAGAAAAATTAAAAAACAGCAGTAGCAGAAACAGCCAACATTTATTGTGATCACTTATGTGCTGGATACTCTTGTAAACAGTTTACATGAATCTTTAAATTCAATGTTCAAATTATCACATGTGGTAAGTCCTGTTATTATGTCCATTTTAGAGACAAGGAAACTGAGGCAAAGAATAGCTTAATAAGCCAAAAAACACATGAAAAAATGCTCATCATCACTGGCCATCAGAGAAATGCAAATCAAAACCACTATGAGATATCATCTCACACCAGTTAGAATGGCAATCATTAAAAAGTCAGGAAACAACAGGTGCTGGAGAGGATGTGGAGAAATAGGAACACTTTTACACTGTTGGTGGGACTGTAAACTAGTTCAACCATTGTGGAAGTCAGTGTGGCGATTCCTCAGGGATCTAGAACTAGAAATACCATTTGACCCAGCCATCCCATTACTGGGTATATACCCAAATGACTATAAATCATGCTGCTATAAAGACACATGCACACGTATGTTTATTGCGGCATTATTCACAATAGCAAAGACTTGGAACCAACCCAAATGTCCAACAATCATAGACTGGATTAAGAAAATGTGGCACATATACACCATGGAATACTATGCAGCCATAAAAAATGATGAGTTCATGTCCTTTGTAGGGACATGGATGAAATTGGAAACCATCATTCTCAGTAAACTATCGCAAGAACAAAAAACCAAACACCGCATATTCTCACTCATAGGTGGGAATTGAACAATGAGATCACATGGACACAGGAAGGGGAATATCACACTCTGGGGACTGTGGTGGGGTCGGGGGAGGGGGGAGGGATAGCATTGGGAGATATACCTAATGCTAGATGACACGTTAGTGGGTGCAGCGCACCAGCATGGCACATGTATACATATGTAACTAACCTGCACAATGTGCACATGTACCCTAAAACTTAAAGTATAATAAAAAAAAAAAATTAAAAAAAAAAAAGAATAGCTTAATAATTTGCTCAAGGCCATGTAGGTTAGAAGCAGCAGAGGATTAGAAGCCAAGCTGTCTGAATTAAGACCTGTGTTCTTAACCACCCATGATACACTGCCTCATATGAACAAGTCAGGAGATACCTTGTAAAGTTCACAAATCAAGATATAAGTATGTAATGTATAATTAGTGCTAACTACCCAAATAATTAAAAATAAGCAACTACATTCACTCAGAGTAAAGAATGGGGAGGGGATCCAACTGTGTACTTAATACCATTCTCCATTCTTTGAAATTTCCATCTATTCCATGAATTACTTTATTAGTAAACAGGATACAGGAATAAATGGGCAGGAAAAAAGTTATATACCTAACCTGAGGCATATAACTAATCTACCTAAGATGTAGAAAACTACATCTTACGTTATGCAATTGGTTAAACTGCAGGGGAATAAACAACAAAGCAAAACCAAAAATCTCTCTCCTCAATAGCTATAGCATTTCCTTGTTTCTAGTAAAACACTTAAACAAGGCCTCAGGATCCCCACCTATAACAAACCACTTCAAAATCCTACATAAGGTAAAAATAATCTCAAGATACAAGAATGTTTAATGCTCTTCTTAGATTCTGTATTTTTCCCCTCTGATTTTATACTAACATACACACATTTTCACTTTAAAGAATCTCATTTAGGAGGCTTCATTTTAAAGGAGTATATGGCAGTATTTGTTCATTTAAAAAATGGCATGGGGAAAACAAAACTGACTTTGAAAAATTCCCTTTATTAACTTACTGATTACCTTTCAGGAAATGTTCCAGCCACCCTCTCCTTTTTAGTTGTTGTAAGTCTGTGACACACCATTAAGGACCAAATCATGCACCATGTGCTTACAGCATAGCTCCTCTTCCTAACCTTTTCCTTTCTTCCTCGCCCAACTGACTGATACATGCAACCCAATCCAGAAATCACCACACATTTGGTGGTAATTCCCCTGAATTTTACTTGCAAATGACAAAAATGCAAAAATGTCAATTTGCTTAATTTTCCTAAAGACAAGGGCAACTTCACACCCGCCATCTTTTTAGGTTTAGAGCTAAGAGGAAATACCAAACAGATGGCTCACTCCTCAAGCCATCATAACCTATGGGCTGGAGTGAACATGGTGATTGCCTGTCCCACATCCATTTCACTCCTGGCCTAGTGAACCATAGCAATGCTGTTTGCTGACCTGTCAGCCCAGGGGTGGGCCTAACTGATGGAGGGGTAGTCCCAGGTAAACGGCTGGTTCAGGAATGGGCATGTGACCCAATTCTGGACTATGAGAACCAGGTGAGGTTGCTGGAGGCTTATGCTTGCATGCAGCCAAATCCAGGCACCACTAATTCCCCTTGGTAACAGCTATTTGAATTGTACTTGCAAATGAAAAAACACAGTACCTTGAGATCATTTCAAGAGAACAACTGTTTCTTCAGGTGGGCATGTACAAGAAAGCAAAAACGCCATTGCTCTGGTAGCCATCCTACAATCAACCATGAAGGAGGATGCCATAGATGAAAGGTAACACACAAAAGAAGGCACAGTTAAGAGGCTTACAGACAAACAGAGGCTGATTCCCAAAAGAACTATGCCCAACCTATCTACTGACTTCTATTCAAATGAGTAATATATATTACCATTAGCTTGAATTGGGCATCTTTACCTGAAGCCCAAAGCCCTAATACACAGGTGTTATAATACATATCTAAAATATCAATGAATAAGGCAAAAGAAAAAAAATACAGAACTTGCTCAATGAGAGTTTATCGGAGAAATAAAAGACTGCAATTCTCCCTCCAATCTTTTGCTAGATATTGTTACAAATACCCCCTTCTCATAATATGGACTGCTTTTTTTTTTTTTTTTAGATAAGTCTCACTTTGTTGCCCAGGCTGAAGTGCAGTGGTGCAATCTCAGCTCAGTGCAACCTCTGACACCCAGATTCAAGTGATTCTCATGTCTCAGCCTCCCGAGTAGCTAGGATTATAGGCACCCGCTACCACGCCCAGCTTTTTTGTATTTTTAGTAGAGACGGGGGTTTCGCCATGTCGGCCAAGCTGGTCTCAAAACTCCTGACCTCAGATGATCCGCCCACCTGGGCCTCCCAATGTGCTAGGAATCCAGGCATGAGCCATTGTGCCCAGCTTATGTAATATTTTTCATTACAATTGAGTCTGCGTTTTAGAAACTGATAAGATACTCCAATCATAAGAGTATAGTGAGTGTCAGAAGCATAGTATGGAAAGGGATTAGAGAGTGAGAGACTGACAAATTTCAGAGCCAGAGCCTTTTCTCCATTTACTCCAAGCTTCTTTATCAATTATCATCACAGTAATAAGTAGCTTAAAATTCATGACAACAGTATCATGCTGGACAAGATGACCTCTTCAGACAGGTGAAAATGCTTATAGCTCACTCCACTAAAAGACGCATCTGATTTTCAATATCACAACTGTTTATTCAATATTGATACCTGCCTTCTCCATTCAGTAGAGAAGAGTTAGTTCGTTCAAATAATTAGAGCCTTTAGCTGGCATTAAGTACGGAAGTTTCCAAGAACTAAAGTAGAACAAAAGAATAATTTTCTAACATTCCTTCCTGACTGTTATAACATTACTGATGTGGGACTGCAGCCTACCCTCTCAAGTCTCTCTGTCTCTCCCTTTACCTTCCTCCTTCTCTACCCAAGAACTACACAACTATCTTTTTTTGTCTATTATAATACTTTGTGTGTTGAATATGATAAAATTAACACACACATTCACAAAACCAATGCAGTAAGTGCCATGCACACTTAAGGTCTTGAAATTTATTGTCCCTCTGCCATCCTACTCCATCTAGAAATCCATTATTTCGAACTCCATCTAGAAAACCATTATTTCAAGTCCCACACAAACCTCCTGGGCTCTACCCTCCTACCTTCCATCTTCTTCACAGCCAGAAACTCCCTGAATGTCCTACCCTCTAAGCAAATGTATCTGCATTGCCAACCATCAGGATATCTTTCCCTCTTAGGTCAGAGGAAGGAACACGGCTCCTCCTATGTAGTTAATAAAATAACAAGAATACTCACAATATACTCATGCTCCTTGTCCTATAAAAGGTTATATGCTCCATCTGTGCTCTAGATCTCATCCTCTCCTCCCCCCTTCAGCTTCTCTATAATCTCTTTCCCCACAAATTCAAGTCCCTCAAACTTCCACTTCCAGCAAAGATAGAGAAACAGTAATGCGATTTAGCCTCTCACATGAAACAACTGAAAAAAAAAAAAGGCAAAATACATGAAACAATGGTTTTCCAGACACTAGGCATCAGACAATAAAACACAGTGATGCCTGAGAGACAGTAAACAAACGAGATGAGCCCAAGGACTGTCCTTAGCTTAGTGTCTTGAGAGAGTTTCCAGGCTGCAGCACAGGAAGAGGAGCCCCGGTGGAGCATGGCAAAGCACCCAAGGCAAGGAGATGAGGCTGAGAGTCTTAAAGACCATGGTGATTATAATTCACAGGAAAGCAAAACAACTGTGAAGAAAAATAACTCAGGAGATCTACAGACAGTCCCACTCAAGTATTCAACAGAGCGATGATAAGCATATGTGTATAAAGAAACTATTGGAGGCTGGGGAGAGAACTACTGAAAGCAAAAATAAAAATAAAAATAAAAACAATAACCTGAGTTTATACAGGAATAGTACTTCCTACCAGCCAGACTGGAAAAGCACAGATAAAAAAAAAAAAAAAAAAAAAAAAAAAAAGACCTTGTCAATTAATACAAAAAAAAAAGGCAGAAAAAAAGGAAAAAGGGGAATAGAGAAGAGGTGGGACAAATAAAAAACAAACAGCAAAATGGTAGATGTAACCATAATGCTTTCAAAAAATATATTAAATGTAAACAGGCTAAGCACCCCAACTAAAAGGCAGAGATTGTCAGATTAGATAAAAAACAAGATCCAATTACATGCTAGCTAGAAGAAACCTGTTTTAAATATAAAAACACCACAGACAACATGAATGAGCAAAAGCTGGAAGCATTCCCCGTGAAAACCAGCACAAGAAAAGCATGTCACCTCTCACCACTTATATTCAACATTGGAAATCCTAGCCAGAGGATCAGGCAAGAGAAAGAAATAAAGGGCATCCAAATAGGAAGAGAGGAAATCAAACTATCTCTGTTTGCAGACGACATGATTCTATATTTAGAAAAACCCATAATCTCAGCCCAAAAGCTCCTCTAGTTAATAAACAACTTCAGCAAAGTTTCAGAATACAAAAACAATGTACAAAAATCACCAGCATTCCTATACATCAACAGCAGCCAAACTGAGAGCCAAATCAGAAAGGCAATCCCATTCACAGTTGCCACAAAAAGAATAAAATACTCATGAATACAGCTAACAAGGGAGGTGAAAGAGCTCTAAAATGAGAATTACAAAACACTACTCAAATAAATCAGAGAAGACACAAACAAATGGAAGAACATTCCATGCTCATTAATAAGAAGAATCAATATAATTAAAATGGCTATACTGCCCAAAGCAATTTACAGATTCAATGCTATTCCTAGCAAACTACTGACAACATTCTTCACAAAACCAGAAAAAAACTATTTTAAAATTCATATGCAACCAAAAAGAGCCCAAATAGCCAAGGCAATCCTAAGCAAAAAGAATAAAGCTGGTGTCATCATGTTACCTGACTTCAAACTATACTACAAGGCAACAGTAACCAAAACAGAATAGTACTGGTACAAAAACAGGCACAGAGACCAACAAAACAGAATAGAGAATCCAGAAACAAGGCCACACATTTATGACCAATCTGATGTTCAACAAAGGTGACAAAAACAAGCAATGAGGAAAAGACTCCCTATTCAATAAACGGTGCTGGAATAACTGGCTAGCCATATGCAAAAAATTGAAACTGGACCCCTTCCTTACACTACATACAAAAATCAACTCAAGATGGATTAAAGATTTAAATGTAAAATCCAAAACTGTAAAAACCCTAGAAGACCACCTAGGCAATACCATCCCAGACATAGGAATGGGCAAAGATTTCATGACAAAAACACCAAAAGCAATTGCAACAAAAGCAGAAATTGACAACTGGGATCTAATTAAACTTAAGAGCTCTGGCACAGCAAAAGATACTATCAATAGAGTAAACAGACAACCTGCAGAATGGTAGAAAATATTTGCAAACTATGCATCTGACAAAGGTCTAATATCCAGTGTCTATGAGGAACTGAAACAAAATCTACAAGAAACAACCCCATTAAAAGATGGGCAAAGGACATGAACAGAAACTTCTCAGAAGACACACATGCGGCCAAAGAGCTCAATATCACTGATCATTAGAGAAATGCAAATCAAAACCACAGTGAGATCTCACACCAGTCAGAATAGCTATTATTAAAAAGTCAAAAAATAACAGATGCTGGCAATGTTGAAGAGGAAAGGGAACACTTATACAGTGTTGGTGTGAGCGTAAATTAGTTCAACGATTGTGGAAAGCATTATGGCAATTCCTCAAAGACCTAAAAGCAGAACTACGATTCCACCAGCAATCTTATTACAGAGTGTATACCTAGAGGAATAGAAGTCATTCTACCATAAAGACACATGCATGCAAATGTTCACTGCAGCACTATTCACAACAGCAGAGACATGGAATCAACCTAAATGCCCATCAAAAACAGACTGGATAAGGCCGGGCGTGGTGGCTCACACCTGTAATCTCAGCACTTTGGGAGGCTGAGGCAGGCAGATCACGAGTTCGAGATCAGCCCGGCCAATATAGTGAAACCATGTCTCTACTAAAAATACAAAAATTAGCCAGACGTGGTGGTGGACATCTGTAATCGCAGTTACTTGGGAGGCTGAGGCAGGAGAATAACTTGAACCTGGGAGGCGGAGGTTGCAGTGAGCAGAGATCGTGCCATTGCACTCCAGCCCAGGTGACAGTGCAAGACTCTGACCCAAAAATAAATAAATAAATAACAGACTGGATAAAGAAAATCTTATGTTCCATAAAAAATATAAGAAAATGCAAGAAAATCTTATATTACATATACAGCATGGAATACTATGCAGCCATAAGAATGAAAGAGATCATATCTTTTGTGGGAACATGGATGGAGCTGTAGGCTGTTATCCTTAGCAAACTAACACAGGAACAGAAAACCAAATACGGCATGTACTCACTTGTAAGTGGGAACTAAATGATAAGAACTTATGAACACAAAGAAGGAAACAACAGACACTGGGGTTTACTTGAGCGAGGACAGTGGGAGGAGGGAGAGGAGCAGAGAGGGTACTGGGCTTAATAATTGGGTGATGAAATAATATGTACACAAACCCCCACTGACATATGCTTTCCTGTGTAACAAACCTTTACATGTACCCCCAAACCTAAAATGAAAGTTTTAAAAAAAATACAATTCAATAAATAAATATAAAAACACAAGTAGGTTTAAAAAATAATAACTGGCTGGGTGTGGTGACTCACACCTGTAATCCCAGCACTTTGGAAGGCCAAGGCAGCTGGATCACTTGAGCCCAGGAGTGCAAGACCAGCCTGGGCAATGTGGCGAAACCCCGTATCTAAAAAGAAAATACAAAAAATTAGCCAGACGTGGTGGCGCACACCTGTTGTCCCAGCTACTCAGAAGGCTGAGAGGAGAGGATCACTTGAGCCCGCGAGACAGAGGTTGTGGTGAGCCATGGTCATGCCACTGCACTCCAGCCTGGGCTACAGAGCATGACCCTGTCTCAAAAAAAATAAAAAATAATAAAATTATGGAAAAAGATATACTTGCTAACAGCAAACAAAGGAAAGCTAGAGTGGTTATATAATATCATACAGAGTACATTTCGGAGCAAAGAATTTTACCAAGCATGAAGAAGGCCAACTCATGATGATAAAGCAACTAAATTCATCAAGAGGACACAATTCTAAACATTTATGTACCTAAGAACAGAATTTCACAACACATGAAGTGAAAACTGACAGAAATGCAAGGTGAAATAGACAAATTCACAATTATAGTGAGAGACTTCAATATTCTCCTTTCAATAACTGATAGAGCATGTAGACAGAAAATAGTAAAGATATACAGAAGACAACCAACACCATGAACCATGTTGATCTAACTGACATTTATAGAATACTCCATGCAATAAAAGCAGAATGCATTCCTTTCCAGTACACATAGAATATATACCAAAATAGACCATATTTTGTGCCATAAACAAATCTCAATAATGTTTTAAAAGAATTCAAGTAATACAAAGTATGCTCTCAGGGGAATTAAATGAGGAATCAATAACAGAAAGGTATTTGCAAAATATCTAAATATTTGAAAGTTAAATAACACTTCTAAATAATATATGGGGCTGGATGCAGTGGCTCACACCTGTATTCGCAGCACTTTGGGAGGCTTAGGCAGGAGGATCGCTTGAGTCCAGAAGTTTGAAAAAAGCCTGGACAACATAGTGAGACCCCATCTCTGCAAAAACATAAAAAATTAGCTGGGCATGGTTGCAGACACCTGTAGTCCCAGTTACTTGGGAGGGGGAGGTGGGAGGATCACTTGAGCCCAAAGGTTGTGGCTGTAGTGAGCCATGAGCATGCCACTGCACTCCAGCCTAGGTGACAGAGTGAAAATTTGTCGCCAAAAAAAACCTAAATAACACATGGGTTAAAGAAAAGAAAAAGGGAAATTAGAATGTAATTCAGCTGAATGAAAATGAAAATGAGAACAATATCTAAATGTGTGGTATACATTAGAGCAGTATATAGAAATACATTTTTTATTATTTTTATTTTTATTTTTTTAGAGACAGGGTCTCACCCTGCTGCCCAAGCTGAAGTGCAGTGACATGATCATAGCTCACCATAAAGTCAAACTCCTGGGCTCAAGGGATTCTCCCGTCTCAGCTTCCCAAGTAGCTAGGACAACAGGCACACACCACTACACTCACCTAATTTTTCAAAATTTTTTGTAGAGATGGGGTCTCACTATGTTGCCCAGGCTGGTCTCAAACTTCTGGCCTCAGGTGATCCTCCTGTCTCAGCCTCCCAAAGTGCTGGGATTACAGGCCTAAGCCACCACACCCAGCCTTGTAGAAGAAAATTTATAGCATTAAACATTTAATTAGAAAAGAAAGATCTCAAAACAATGACTTTAGCTATCACTTTAAGAAACTAGGACGAGACAATTAAATCCAAAGTAAACAGAAGAAGGGAAATAATAAAGATCAGAATGGAAATTGACCAAACAAAAAAACAGAAAAAATACAGAAAATGAAATCAAAAGCTGGTTCTTCAAAAAGATCAATAAAACACAAATCTCTGGTCAGAGTGATCAGGAGTAATAAGATAAACACAATTCTACAGATATTAAAAAGATAAAAGGGGTTTTGGAAATCTATTCCAAGACAATGTAAATAAGACTTAATGCTACTGAGGCCAGGCATGGTGGCTCATGCTCGTAATCCCAGCACTTTGGGAGGCCGAGGTGGGTGGATCGCCTGAGGTCAAGAGTTCAAGACCCGCCTGGCCAACATGGCAAAACCCCATCTCTACTAAAAATACAAAAATTAGCTGGGCATGGTGGCAGACGCCTGTAATCCCAGCTACTCGGGAGGCTGAAGCAAGAGAATCACTTGAATCTGGGAGGAGGAGGTTGCAGTGAGACGAGATCATGCTACTGCACTCCAACCTGGGCAACAGAGCAAGACTCCGTCTCAAAAAAAAAGACTTAATGCTACTGACCTGTACACCTAAAAATAACTAAGATACCAAATTTTATGTGTTTTCATCACAATTTTTTTAAAGGATAACAAAGTAGATCAAAGACCTAAACGTAAGAGCTAAAACTATAAAACTCTTAGAAGAAAACACAGAGGAAAGGTCTTACAACATTGAATTTGGTGATGATTTCTTGGATATGACACCAAATACACAGGCAACAAAAGTCAAAACAGATAAACTGGACTACATCCAAAGTAAAAATTTTTATGTATCAGAGGACAAAATCAGAGTGAAAAAGCAACCTATGGAATGGGAGAAAATATTTGCAAATCATATGTCTGATAAGGAGTGAATATCCAGAACACATAAAGAACTCCTACAACTCAACAACAACAAAAAACAAACAAACAACTCCGTTAAACAGTGAGTACCGGAATTGGATATTTATCCAAAAGCACATGATAGAAAGATGCTCAACATCATTAATAATTATGGCAATGCAAATTAAAACTACTGTTATACATTACCTCACATCCACAAAGAAGGCTACTATCAAAAAAACAAAACAAAATGACAAGTGCTGGCGAGGATGCAAAGAAATTGGAACCCTTGTGTACTGTTGATAAGGATAAAAAATGATGCAGCTATTATGGAAAATAATATGGTGGTTCCTCAAAAAATTAAAATTACCATATAATCCAGCAATTCCATTTGCGGGTACCTATTCCAAAGAATTAAAAGCAGAGTCTTGAAGAAATACTTGTTATCCATTATAGCCAAAAGGTAGAAACAACCCAAATGTCAGATGAATGGATAAACAAAATGTGGTATGTATGTACATGCTGTAGCATCTATCGGAATTTCCTTCCTTTTTAAGGTTGAATAATATTCCTCCGTCTATGTGTAGACAGAGAAGTATTACTCAGCCTTAAAAAGAAAAGAAATTCTGATACATGCTACATGAGTGAACCTTGGGGACGTTATGCTAACAGAAATAAGCCAATCACAAAAAGACAAATACCAGGCCAGGCTTCATGGCTCACACCTGTGATCCCAGCACTTTGGAAGGCCAAGGTGGGAGGATCGCTTGAGGTCAGGAGTTCAAGACCAGCCTGGTCAAATGGCATAACGCCATCTCTACTAAAAATACAAAAATTAGCTAAGCGTGGTGGCACACGCCTGTAATCCCAGCTACTCAGAAGGCTGAGGCATGAGAATCGCTTGAACCCAGGAGGCAGAGGTTGCAGTGAGACAAGATCGTGCCATTGCACTCCAGCCTGGGCAACAGAGCGAGACTCTGTCTCAAACAAACAAACAAACAAAAAAAGGACAAATATCATATGATTGATTCCACTGGTATAAGGTACTTAGAGTTGTCAAGTTCATAGAGACACAAAGTAGAAGAGTGAATGCCAGGGGCAGGGGATAGGCAGGAATGGGTAATCATTGTTTTTTGGATTTGTTGTGTTTTTTTTTTTGAGACAGTCTCCCTCTGTAGCCCAAGCTGGAATGCAGTGGCATGATCTCAGCTCACAGCAACCTCTGCCTCCCAGGTACAAGTGATTCTCAGTAGAGACGGGGTTTCACCAGGTTGACCAGGCTGGTCTTGAACTCCTGACCTCAAGGGATCCTCCCACCTCAGCCTCCCAAAGTGCTGGGATTACAGGTGTGAGCCACTGCGCCTGACCTAGGTAATCACTGTTTAATGGGTAAAGAGCTGCAGTTTGGGAAGATGAAAAAGTTCTAGACATAGATGGTGGGGTGATTGCACAACAATGTGAATGTACTTAATGCTACTCAATTGTACACCTAAAAATGGTTAAAATGACAAATTCTATGTTAGTTATTTACCACAAAAAATACTTTAAAAAAAGAGTTTCTAAAATATCTAGACACATCATCAACAGCTTCCAGGTAAAAGGAACTATCGGTGTAGGATTGGTAGTATCTTATATAGTAAAACACACAAGAACAGTTTAAGCAAAGAAAAAGAAGAAGAAATACTTAGCTTTTATGCCTTAAGCCTATTTCTAATAGGAAATCTTTAACAGAATCTTTAACAGAATTACTTCACATTCTCCATAGTACCAAACAAATTTTACTCACAGCGCACAGGAAAAGATCTGTAGGACCTTAGTGTGCCCATTTCACAGAGAGATTAGGTGTTCTGCTAAAAACCACAAAGTTGATTCCAGCAGGAGAAATTTTTTTAAAAGCCTATGGCTTAGCTTTTAGAGCACCTTAGGCTAATAAAACCCAATAAGAAAAGAAATGCCATAATTAAGTTGGATATGTAATCTGAGAAGTACCACAAGCCAACAAAACAAAAGGACAGCATCCTTTATACAGAAACTCCACCATAAATTTTGGTTATATGAGTTCATGTTGGGGCTGGGGACAGGGAAGAAGGAACACTACTAAGTACCTTCTTAGTGACAGGCCCTTGTGAGGGATTCAGTAAGACATGGTCCCTGAGTACCATCTAGTAATCTCCAACACAGACTCATCTACTCCCTCCCTTGAAATACTCCTTCAGCTTTTTTCCATGGGTTGACTGAAAGGTCCCCTCCTTGAAGAGGTTTTTCCTTCATCACTCTAAAGGTATCCTAGAATAGCTCCCTTTCCTTTTTGCACTTTTCACAATGTCCAATTATCGTTACTATTATTATGTGATTATGATTACTACTACTTTTCTTCCATGCACACTTATTATGTGAGCACTAGAAAGAAAGGCCTGTAAGTGAAGAAATGTCTTCACTGTACCCTCGGTGACTAGCAGCGTATATAACCATTGTGAGCACGCAAATACTTACCGAATAAATGAAAACAAGAACTGTGACTACGATAATCTTCCGATAACCAACGTTTTCCCAGGCTAGTTAGCCCCAGATCCCCAGACTCGGCTCCCTTAGTTATGAGGGATTATACTGGGTACTCACCTCTACCTGAGTAACATTGATGACCAGCACCACCACCATCAACACTGCAAGCAGACAGCAGAAAAGCCGTAGTTTGAAGAAATTGGTCCACATTGTCTGGCTGTGTCTTGTTCACCCATGGCCGACACCATGCTACCTTCACTCTTTAAAATTCCATGTCTTTGCTTTTCTGAGCTGCAGATGAGCTTTCAGTTTCATTTGCTTCTATCCTGCTAGTACCCTTAAGAGCTCTTATGCAGAGGAGAGACTGCAGTTGATTCAAGAAGCACATTTTTCTTCAAAGAAATCCTTCAAAGAGGAGAGATGAGAGAACATCACCAATTGCAATGGCCTAGGGTGGGGTGAGAGGAAAAACATCACATTTCCTCTTCCTTAACCTTATCTAAGGCCCAAAGTCACAAGGAGAAAGCAAAGAGCCAGAGCACAGTAACGTCTTTTCATTTCCAGACAATCTCCTCAAAGTTTCCTTTCCCAGTGTCAGGCTTCCGTGTAAATACAATATTTCCCCTATTGCCTATTTAGGTTTTAACTTTTAAGAAAGTAAGGAAGTATGTCTTCAAACTCAGAAATTGTGAAATAAAAGTAACTGCTAAATTTCTACAGAGACCTCAGTCAATAAAATCACTTCCCTTCCCCTTCCCTTTAAGTTATGTAACACTGCTACATTAATTACACTTAAAGAACATGAAGAGGAAACTGTTTTCATGAAGAGCTCTGGGATACTGTGCAAAGCATCCTGACATTCTCTGGCAAACAAGAAGTGCTACCCCTCTCATACAGAGGTATGGCAGGAGACGCGACACACTCTTTAGGTTTCCAGCTCTCCCCACCACATATGTGGTCCTGATGCTCCCTCAGCTACATGATAAGGCACAGGAAGACACACACCTGCCTGGAAGATGTGGGAGAGGAAAGTCAAGCTTGAAAAATGGGTAACAGGATCCCAAAATCCTTCATCACACCTGCTAGAGGCAGAGGACTTCAGAGTCAGCAGTGCCTAACTGTTCTCCCACGTAACAAATTCAAATGCTCTTTCCACTTGCCATTTTGATACAGGTAAACAGAAAATGTCCTAGTATTCTATCCCCAGGGAGACTTTCCATGAAGGGCAGGACACAGAAATAAAGGCAGAAAGGGTACAAAATCATGGTGCAGAGTATCTCAGAATAACTCAGCTGCATCAACTCTCCCCTCCACTTTGTGTTGGACCTGGCAAGCCCCCATTCTCTCACTCCTCTGCCTCACCTGTCTGAACCAGTCCCAACCACAATGACAATGCCAATCAGCTTCACAAAGGAGACAAGGGTGAGCCATTCCAACAAGCTCTCCATCCTCAGAGTTCCCATAGCACTTATTATTTTCACTTCTCTGCTGATCTCTATTTGTATTTTTTTCTCCCTCATGCTCCCTCTATTTGTATTTCTTATCTCTCAAACTAGACTATACCAATTATGACTGTATTTTTTTAAAAAACCATATATCAGAGAAAAGCAACTTAATGATACTGCATTATACTTTTCTGATTTGCTCAAGGTACTTAGTTCTTTACATGGTACACAATGATTCAACAATCTATGCAACAAATAATTATGGAGGCCTACGCTATACCACACACTGTACTAAGTGCCAGAAATTCCCCTTGAAAAGCTTACACTCATATTAGACAAGATGTCAGCCCCTTCTTAAGGAGAAATAAATCCACCAGTCCTGGCCACCTCCACAGGGATGCCAGGAAATGTGAAAGACTGTGCTTCTCCATTTCCTGACACCTCCTCTCTCCAATATCCAGACACTCATCCACCTCAAACTGTCTATAACTTCTTGGAAGAAACTGGCTGTAAAATAGAGGATAACTCTGTCATCAGGGTCCCAACTGTTCTGCCATTGAAATCCTTCTCAAAAAGTTGTCCATAAAAAAAAAATCAGGTTTCCACAATGGCCAGAGAGGGAAAAGACCAAAGATGGTAGTCCACAGGAATTTAGTTGCACCATAGGCAGGTGTGGTCATGCATTGTGTGGACACTAGCCATTTAAAGGACATCAGTGTGGTTCAGCCAGGCAGCAGCAGCACACAGCTGTCAGTGATGCAGAAAGAAGGCAAGGGCAGGAGACTCTAAAGCAAAAGAACTACAGGACCAGAGGCAGCAATGCAAGAAGTCCCTCCCAGCTAGAGGCTTCTACTGACAATAATTTAGGAGGATTGTGCCAGGAAAAGACCTGACTCTGTGCTGTAAGTAGAGCACTGACATTTGAGAGACCCATTTGTACACCTAAATAGATGTTGCGTGAGGCACACTAGACAGACCTCTCTTTGAAAAGATATATACCAGGCCAGGTGCAGTGGCTCACGCCTGTAATCCCAGCACTTTGGGAGGCCGAGGCAGGCGGATCACAAGGTCAGGAGATCGGGACCATCCTGGCTAACATGGTGAAACCTTGTCTCTACTAAAAATACAACAAATTAGCTGGGCGTGGTGGCGGGTGCCTGTAGTCCCAGCTACTCGGGAGGCTGAGGCAGGAGAACAGCGTGAACCTGGGAGGCGGAGCTTGCAGTGAGCGGAGATCACGCCACTGCACTCCAGCCTGGGTGACAGAGCGAGACTCCGTCTCAAAAAAAAAAGAAAAGATATATATTAAAATTTTAATAGTTGTCACCTCTTGGCAGTTTTTGTTTTCTCCTTTATCTGTATGTCCTAATTTTTCACCAGGAAATAAAAATCACAAATACAAAGAATAAAGCTGGGCCAGGCATGGTGGCTCACGCCAATAATCCCAACACTTTGGGAGGCCAAAACAGGAGGTTTGCTTGAGACCAGGAGTTTGAGACTAGCTGAGGCAAGATAGTGAGACCCCCAACTCCACACACACAAAAAATTTTTTTTTAATTAGCTGGGCATGGTAGTACGCACCTATAGTCCCAGTTACTCAGGAGGCTGAGGTAGGAGAATTGCTTGAGCCTGGGAGGTCGAGGCTGCAGTGAACCATGATCATCACACCAATGTACTCCAGCCTGGGCAACAGAGCAGGACTCTGTCTCAAAAAAAAATGAAATAAAATAAAGAATAAAACCAATTTCTAAAAGTAAAAATTAAAGATGAGACATAGCAGAAACAAAGCATTAAATCACATCTGTGAAATCAATTCAACTTAAACTGAAAGATTTTTAAGTAAAAGAAGAAAACTATTTCACGGCATGAGGTAATTGTAGTGTAAAAAAAAAACTGTAACAGGTTTTTGGTATTTTCCTATAAACATAAAACCTACGCATTATAACAGGAATGCTATTTGCAAGGAGCCTTAAAATCAAGTAAGAACAACAGTGTTGGCAGGGAATGATTATAGAAAAAAGTTCCTCAGATTAACCAAAAAAATAAAAATATATAATTCAATGTAATTTACCTTTTTTGGAAATTTTCCAAGAAGAGATGCTTACTGGAACTAGAAATTAGAAGTTACGTCTAACTTTCCTTCCAGCATGAAATTCTGAACTCAGGCAATTTTGACCAGAGGTCCTCATTTTTTTCATGCCACATGTGAAGCACACATAAATGTTTTTTACATTTCTATACAATTCTTCTTGCTGAAACAAAAATATGCATATGATATAAAGGTTAAAGATACTGAAAATGAAGTAAAGAAAAACATTAGAAATTAAGAGTACAATTTTACAGGCAAGAGAGTTATACATGATATAGTGGGAGGAGTGGGCATAGGAACGTTTCCTTTTCCTTACTAATAAAAAACAGTAATTTAAATAGTCTATTTAAATACATGAACTTCAACATGGTAAATCACTCTCAGACCTTGGCTGAAGGTCAAAACTTTATAAACAGCGATATAAGTGAAAAAATATAAACCAAAGATAAAAGCTCCAAATGTTATTTTTCTTAAAAACTATTATAATTATTTAGTTCAATGATCCAATGATCTTGTTTTCCCCTACAGAAAAAAGGGGTATCTGTACAGATCTAAAAGTTATTATTCAAGGAATCTAAACTTGAGTGATCCTGTTTTCAAATGTCAGACCACCACTTACTCATGCTTTATTTTTATAATATGTGCAAAGAACAAGCAAAAAGTTAAATGCATGCTCTGCCTTACATGTGGAACCCAGTATTTGTTGGAAGTGTTCTGCCAAATTTTTATTAAGCCTACTTCCATATCCAAGACTCATAGTGGCCAATCTAACTTCTTTATGGCCTGTGACAACAACCCCAGACTGCCATTAGGGTTCCTACCCCCATCTCACAAGAGAATTACAAAGCAGTCACTTACATCATTTGGAATTACAATTGTCAGTAACACAAATGAAATTCCTGAGTTCAATATTAAACAAAGAAAATCAGACAGCAACCCTATCCTCTGGGGAGCTAATGTTCTCAGGCAACCATTCCACAAAGATAATATATTATAGGACAACTGCATAGAAACTGTCCAGTTTCTGAGGCAGTCCCTATCCTAACTACTCTGACCTGTTGGCCAAATAAATGTAACTGTACTAGTCACAGCAAGTGTCTGGAACTTTAGTTCAGAATATATAGTTCAGAACAATAGTAAGAGACAAAAGCACAGATTTACATGGAAAATATCTACACTTAAATGCATATATTTCAAACTTTGCAAAGAGTAGCTGTATTTCATAGGATGCTGAGTAAGACCTTGAAACAGGGCAGGATCTACAGAATGAAGAACTGGAGACCCATCCAGGACCCTAACAATGATGGGTTAACCAAATAGGGTCAATCCTTGAAAAAAGATGAAGCAGGGGCAGTAGTCTGCAGGACTTGTTTCCACAGATTCCATTTCTCCTTCGTGTCCCGCAGCCTCACATGCACAAAGTGCTGACTCATCTGGACCTTCCCTTGCCCTTCTTCCAAAGCAGGGCCCCATGTATTCATGGAGGTTACATAGCAAGTGGAGAAGTAATAAAATCAGTTATATAAGTCACACTGTACTAAGTGCTATTTTTTAAATATTGAACACATTGATAGGTTGTGGTCCTCAACCCTGCATGAACATTAATAATCATCGTGGAAGCTTTTTAAAATACAAACAACTGGGCCCCACTCAAACAATTAAATCAGAATCTGTAGGAATAGGCCCAAGAAGTAGCTTTTTTTAAAAAGGTCCCTAGATGATTACAACATACAGCCAAGTGGGAGAACCACTAGTATAGAGTGGCCAGGGACTGTTATTCGTTTCAGTTGGTAAAAGGATGGCCTTTCCAAAATGATGTTTGAATTGTAACTTAAATTGTCAGGTCAGGACAACCCAATTCCCAGGCAATGGGGAAGGCTAACCCCACTTCAGTGATTTATCCCTTCGTTTCCTTTCTCAGTAACAAATAACAGCACTCTATTGGCCCCAAAGAGATTGTGAGGATAACAGACATGGAAAAAAAAATACTAAACAAATTCAAAGAAAAGCAGAACCCAAACACTACGGAGAAATAGTATACTGCTGCCTCCAAACAATTATCAGGGTCTGGGAGTCCTGCCAGTTTCAAATATATCCTGATGTTCCAAATGATAATTAACCACAGTGAGGAGCGGGGAGGCCCACCAAAGCAGTGTGATTCTTTATCTTTAGGAAATGTGGCAACAATCCCCCTTTAATGTAAATAATGAAAAGCAAAGAAAATTTACAATTTTGCACAAATGCTGCATAAATCCTGCCTCGGAACCCCTCTTATTACCACCCTAGTGGCCTTTGATCAGGCAGAAATGGGCAACAGGCCAGGGTCTCCATATCACACCTTGTAAAGTTACACTCGTTTCTCCCCATACGACCTGAATCTGATGTCCCCAAACGGCAGCTCAGTAAGGCCAGAACAGTCCACCGTGTGACAGCAGCGCCAGCCAAGAGGCAGCTGGTGCCCAGAGCAGCGATGAGCCGAGAGATATGAGATGGGCAGGGAGGCGTCGCCAAGTGCTCCGCACCGGGTTAGTGAAGGTGCCTGGAGGACAGAAGTCTTTCGCTGCGGCGTGGAGGTCCGAACTGTACCGAGCTGTGGCGTTGCCGCAAGTGGAGGAAACTGAGGATGGAGATGCTCGCTCCCGGCCCCGCCCCGCCCCGCCCCGCCGGTACTAGCCTGGGCTCCGGCTTCTTAGCTGCGACGCTTTGGCAACCCAGGGCTCCAATTCTGCCTATGCCTTCGACCCGGGCCTCCCCTCCCTGGCACCTATGCCCACAGCCACGACTCCAGGGGCTGCACCTATCAGCACGGGGCTGGGGACTCGGGAGCAGATGCGCGCGGAGGGAGGGGCTTCGCAGTCTAGGAGCGCGCTGGCAGAGCCGGGCAATGGGTCGCTCCGCCCGCAGCGGCCCCTCCCGACGTCCGCACACAGACCACATCCAGCACTCACCTCCGGGACCCGCCCGCCCTTCGCTCTCCGGGGGCCAGGGATCCTGACGCCCCGGTCGGTCGCCGCAGCGCCAGGCCGCTAGCCCCCCGCTTCCTCACCCGGCGACGTCTCCTCACCTCCGACCCCCGGCTACGATTGGTGGAGCTTCGGCGGGGGCGGGCCGAGGGCGTTGACTGACAGCAGCACGCGCCGGGCGGAACCCACAGGCCTGGAAGCGAAGTTGGCACCCTGGCGCTCTACGCCGCCAAGCTCCTGCTCGCGACGCGACACTGCAGCTGTCGCCCCGCGGATCGAGGTCTGGCCCCTCTCACGACCCAACTCCTCGTGAACTTCGGACGTCTGAGTTTCCTGGGAGCATCCACCTACCTCAAGGCTTTTCGCTTGTCAGCGAAAGTGCCCACAACCGCAGTTGACTCTAGTAGGGCAGTCTTTCCTGTGGAGTGATGGAATTTATTGTGCCCTGAACCAGAGAAATGCGATTTGCCAAGTATAAGCACGGATATAGCGGATCCTTGAATCTTTTCCTTGCTTTGACATTAGTCAACAACTTCTACTCGCCAGTAAAACAGCCCGTTCCTTTTACTCTCACTGTACATGATGTCGGTCTCTTGGCAAAGCATACTTTCCTCACCCTCCACCATCCCCAATTCTGGGTTATCCTATTTTGGACATTTTTCTAACTGGTAAAACGTCGGTAGCAGTTTTGTGAAATTCAGGAACTGAGAGGAGTCCTGAGAAGACACTTGTTCAAGAAACCAGAAGGAATTGTGGGCTGCACCGTGTTTCTCTGTGCTTGGAGCACAGTGGGGTTAACACAGGCCCCAAAAGCAGGCCTGCCCCCGGACTATTACCCCAAGGTTTAAGAAAAATAATTAATGTACATGACAACTAAGTATTTTTCCATTTCTTGACCATAATGGACTCTGCATGCTCATTCAGATGTTTTCATGGCAGGCCTGCTTCGTGGGCAACCAGATCCGTGAATGGGATAAAAGGAAGTTCTGCCACAGGGTGGAAGATCTCTTCTGTAGTAATGATCTTCTTTTTTTTTTTTTTAATATACTTTAAGTTCTAGGGTACATGTGCACAACGTGCAGGTTTGTTACATATGTATACATGTGCCATGTTGGTATGCTGCACCCATTAACTCGTCATTTACATTAAGTATATCTCCTAATGCTATCCCTCCCCCCTCCCCCTACCCCACAACATGCCCAGGTGTGTGATGTTCCCCTTCCTGTGTCCAAGTGTTCATTTATGCAGCCAACAAACACATGAAAAAATGCTCATCAGCACTGGCCATCAGAGAAATGCAAATCAAAACCACAATGAGATACCATCTCACACCAGTTAGAATGGCGATCATTAAAAAGTCAGGAAACAACAGGTGGTGGAGAGGATGTGGAGAAGTAGGAACACGTTTACACTGTTGGTGGGACTGTAAACTAGTTCAACCATTGTAGTAATGATCTGATACTCCTTCTTCCTCGAGGAAATACAGCACTCTGGGACCTTTTGAGGACATAAAAGGGTAGCTTCCTTCTGCTATCGAAGAAGAGCCTCATATACTAGACTTCTGCTCTGATTATGCTTTATCTCCCAGTAGGATCCCCCGCCTCATGTACAGCTTGGCTGTCTTACAAGTGGTAAAATACTTAGGACAAGATGACTTCTAGGTCATGGTTTTGGACCTCATTGACCCCATTCTCCCCCAAGCACTCATAACCCTGAGGCATTTGAGTGATCTTACCTATATTTACCTATATTTTACAGTCATAACCACAAATAAGAGCAGCCACTGCACTCCAGCCTGGGTGACAGAGTGAGGCCCTGTCTCAAAAAATAAAAAAATGTTTATATGATGATATGAAACCAAAGGAACTGGTCATTTCTGCCCCATCTGAAAATGTAGTTTACACACTAGTGTTTATTAATGCTAAACTTGATTCTCTAAGCAAAACAAAGCATAGATCTTAAGAGTAGACAAATAAAAGCAAATAAACCTGTCCCTGATGGCAGAAGCTTGAGGCACAAGCACATTAAGTATTTTTATATTTCTTGACCACAGTGGACTCTGTGTTCATTCAGATGTTTTCACGGAGGCCTACATGCATACTCCTGAGCCCAAGTCAGTTCCTCATTCAGTTCCTTTGCTTCCTCCCTTTGAACAAGTCACTGAAATTTGGGCCCCAAGGCCATCTACCTACTGAAAATTAAGTGACCACTGTCACATTAGGTACCAACCACTCTGTTCCAAAACACCATGAACAATTGGAGGAGGCTGCCAAGGGTAAGAGACTGAAAGTGAGTGAAGTAGTTGATGTCACTACTGCGTTGGTCCATGCTCTCAAATTAATGGACATATTTTCCTTTTAAAAGTCATAATTGGCCAGGCGCGGTGCTCATGCCTGTAATCCCAACACTTTGGGAGGCTGAGGCAGGTGGATCTCCTGAGGTCAGGAGTTTGAGACCAGCCTGGCCAACATGGTGAAACCCCGTCTCTACTAAAAATACAAAAACATTAGCCGGGCATAGTGGCAGGCGCCTGTAATCCCAGCTACTCGGGAGGCTGAGGCAGAAGAATCGCTTGAACTCGGGTGGCGGAGGTTGCAGTGAGCCGAGATCACGCCATTGCACTCCAGCCTGAGCAACAAGAGCGAAACTGTCTCAAAAAAAAAAAAAAGTTATAATTAATGATGGCTAATCTCACATGCATAGTTTAGGGAAAAATGAGATCAATTTTTTTTTCCTCCACTCTTGATTTCTGCAGTTCAGTAGTCCTCAAATCAAATTCCACTGATAATCAAAATAACATCAGTAGCATTTTTTTTTTTTTTTGAGATGGAGTCTCACTCTGTCGCTCAGTCTGGAGTGAGGTGGCAGAATCTCGGCTCACTGCAACCTCCACCTCCCGGGTTCAAGCGATTCTTCTGCCTCAGCCTTGAGAGTAGCTAGAATTACAGGCGTGTACCACCACACCCAGGTAATTTTTTTAATTTTTAGTAGAGACAGGGTTTTTTACCATGTTGGCCACGTTGGTCTCAAACTCCTGGCCTTTCAAGTGATCCACTTGCCTCAGCCTCCCAAAGTGCTGGGATTACAGGTGTGAGCACTTTGGGAGGCCGAGGCAGGTGGATCATGAGGTCAGGAGTTTGAGAGCAGCCTGGCCAATACGGCAAAACCCCATATCTACTAAAAATACAAAAATTAGCGAGGCGTAGTAGCACACGCCTGTAGTCCCAGCTACTCAGGAGGCTGAGGCAGGAGAATCGCTTGAACCTGGGAGGTGGAGGTTGCAGTGAGCCGAGATTGCGCCACTGCACTCCAGCCTAGGAGAAAGAGTGAGACTACATCTCAAAAAAAAAAAAAGAATATTGATCAGGCATTTTGTAGACTACCCCTCAACTTGAATTTGCCTGGTGTTTGTTTACTCATGGTTAGACTCGGGGAAAGAACACCAGAATGAAATGTCTTCACTGCATCAGATTAAGGAAAATGTGACATGATTTATCACTGGTGATGTTAACCATGATCATTTGATTGAGGTGTTATATGCTACGTTTCTCCGCAATAGAGTTGCTAATTTTCTTTTTCCATACTCCATCCATTAGTAGCAAGTCACTAAATCCAGCTCACACTCAGGAGAGGGAAATTAAGCTTTATCTTATGAAGGAAGGAGTATCAATGAACTTTTGGGTACATGTTTAAACCACCATAATAATCAATATATATTTAAGGGAAGATACTTTGAAGCTACACAAATATTCTATCTCTTCTTATAGTTTTGCCCACTAATTTAGGTATTCATCGTGGATTTCTGTTGTAGCAATTATTATAGTGGTTTTCGAATGGTGATTTTCCTATTTCCTTCATTCTTTCTGCATTTATTATTTGGAAGTCTTCTCTAAGAGTTGTCCTTCTGTACCCTGAGAGGATTAAAAACTTAGAAAAAAAAATGAAAGAGTTGCCCCTTCTTCTCCAGCTATTTATTCAATAATTTACATCAGGGTGCACTCATGGATATTTATTTTATTCCTTGATTTATAATCTGTTGTTATTTTGCTGCTCAAATTATTTCAGCTTTTGCCATTGGGACCTCTTTCAGGTTGCTTCATGTATCTCTTTTACATGCTTGATCATTTGTTTGCTTATCACTTCCTTACTTTCTGGCACTTAAGATGTTCTGGGATCACTTTTTTTTTCTTTGCTCCGCCCCTGGAATCAACCATTTCTCCAAAGAGCCTTGTTCCCTTTTATTGAAGAATTGTAGAGACCAAGACATGAGTGCTATGTATGCTTGTTGCTACTGAAGGATCATTCTTTCTAGGCCTGTACAGAGCTAAAAATGTACATGGGTATACTAACCCATGTATAAACATATGCACTGTATCTTTATATATACATTTACATTTATATAGACATACATGTCTATATTTACTTCCATAACTACCTGTGTAGACATGAGTTCATATTGATATCTCCAACTCCAATCCAGCACCACAGGGTTCATTCCTGCATTTCTCCTTTGCATATTTGTAATTTCTTTTTCTAACAGTGAGATAGCTGGCCATGATTATCTATATTTACTTATTTGTTTAAGCCTAGTATAGATGCAGTTACAGAATAGACAACCTGTACCCCTGTAAGAAACATTTACCAACCAGAGTACAGTGTTCCTATACAGTTCTTTTTGTCTCTAGCTCAGTGAGGTTATGTCATAAATTTGTAATACAGTTGGTGTCATTTGTCATAGTCCACATTCCATTCTGAGATCCCCTTGACATCCTCAATAGAGATTTATTTTTTGGCAAAACTTGAAAAAAGTTCAGACTTTGTGATGTATTGTTCTATGGATTTTGACAAGTTTGTAGACAAACGTATCCACCATCACAGTACCATACAAAATAGTTTCACCCTAAAAATTCCCACATGCAAGCCCTTTTTAGTCAATCTGTTCCTCAATCTCTAACAACCACTTATCTATTTTCTCTCCCTATAGTGTTGCTTTTTCCAGAATTTCATATAAATAGGATCATACAATATGTACTCCCCAGATTATGATTACCAGAAAGTTTGGGAACCAATACTCTTGCTAATTCAGATCTGATGAAGCACCAACATCCACTTCATCACCAAACTGGGAATCAGCTTCAATTGTTTGAGGGGGCAAAAAGTTTTCTTTTCCTTCAAAGATAGATGAAACAATACAAGAAAAGCTTTGCTATCCTACTCCCTCTCCAGAATATGGACTTCTGCTCCCACCAATTTGAGTCGTATTTGTTTCCAAACCAGTTTATTCCAGTTATAACGTGATTATAATAATATAATCTAAGCACTTTTTTTTTTTTTTTTTGAGACGGAGTCTCCCTCTGTCACCCAGGCTGGAGTGCAGTGGTGGGATCTTGGCTCACTGCAAGCTCCGCCTCCCGGGTTCACGCCATTCTCCTTCCTCAGCCTCCCGAGTAGCTGGGACTACAGGCGCCTTCAACCACGCCCGGCTAATTTTTTGTATTTTTAGTAGAGACGGGGTTTCACCATGTTAGCCAGGATGGTCTCGATCTCCTGACCTTGTGATCCGCCCACCTCGGCCTCCCAAAGTGCTGGGATTACAGGCGTGAGCCACCGCGCCTGGCAATCTAAGCACTTATTATGTGAACCTTTGAAATCTAGTGTAAAAACAAAAAATATTCAAGGAAAACAAAGTTGAGTGTTTCGGAAAGACTCAAAAGTGAATTGCTTAAAAAGGTAAAAAAACTGCAGTTGAGTTAGGTATGGGCAAGAAATGTGTCAAAAATCAGATGGAGAAATTATAAACACCTAGAAGTATTCTGCATTCTGATGGCTTTATACATGTTTTTAAATTCTTACTCTATTTTAAAGAAACTAAAAATGGAAATGGTGCATTATAGGTAAAATTTAGACACAGAACTACAGAGCATCTATACTCAAAGAAAAGAACATTAGAAAAAAACAAAGGACTCAAACATTACCTGATTTCAAGACTTAGTATAAAGCTATAGTAATGAAGGTGGTGTAGTATTGAAATATAAACAAATCAATCACTGGAACAGAAGACAATCCAGAAATGGATTCATACGTATATGGCCAGTTGATTTTTGCAAAGGTGACAAGACAGTTAAATGGGGAGAGGACAATCTTTTTCAACAAATGGTGCTGGATACCTGGATAATCATATGTAAAAAATAAAGAAACCATAAACTTTATCTCGTACCATATAAAAATTTAACATGAAATGGATCATAGGTTTCAGTGTAAGAGCCAGAACTACAAAACCTCTAGAAAAAAAACTTAGAATATCTTTGTGGCCTTGGGTATGGCAAGATTTCTTAAACACAACACCAAAAGCACAAACTATTTAAAAATCAACATATTAGACTTCATCAAAATCTTAACCCTTTTCTCTTCAAAAACCATGATCATGAACATGAAAAGGCAACCCACAGACTGAGACAAAATATTTTATATTTGTTCAAGGACTTGTGCCTAGACTATATAAATCTTTTTTTTTTTTTTTTTTTCTCTGAGACCAAGTCTTGCTCTGTCCTCTGTCACCCAGGTTGGAGTGCAATGGCGTGATCTCGGTTCACTGCAACTTCCACCTCCTGGGTTCAAGCGATTCTCCTGCCTCAACCTCCCAAGTAGCTGGGACTACAGGCACATGCCACCACACCCGGCTAATTTTTTGTATTTTTAGTAGAGATGGGGTTTCACAGTGTTAGCCAGGATGGTCTCGATCTCCTGACCTCGTGATATGCCCACCTTGGCCTCCCAAAGTGCTGGGATTATAGGCGTGAGCCACCGTGCCTGGCCTAAATAATTCTTACAACTCAAAATAAGGAGACAGACAACCCAATTTAATTGTTTTTTTTTTTTTTTCACACGGAGTCTCACTCTGTTGCCCAGGCTGGAGTACAGTGGTGTGATCTCGGCTCATTGCAACTTCCACCTCGCGGGTTCAGATGATTCTCCTGTCTCTGCCTCTAGAATAGCTGGGATTACAGGTGCGCACCACCACACCCAGCTAATTTTTGTATTTTTAGTAGAGATGGGGTTTCATGATGTTGGCCAGGCTAGTCTCGAACTCCTGACCTCAAGTGATCTGCCTGCCTCAGCCTCCCAAAGTGCTGGGATTACAGGTGTGACCCACTGTGCCTGGCCCCCATTTTTTTTAAATGGATAAATTTTTTGAATACTTCAAATTTAGGGACACTTAACCAAAGATAGACACACAGCAAATAAATTAAAAGATGCTGAACATCATTAATCATTAGGGAAATGTAAATTAAACACACCGAAATACTACTATGTATCCACTAGAATGGACAAAATTAAAAAGACTGACCATACCAAATGTTAGTGAGGATGTAGAAAAACCGGAACCATCATATACTGCTAGTGGGAATGCAAAATGCTACCACCACTTTGGAAAACAAAACTGGTTTGTTAGTTTCTTAAAAAGTTAAGACATATACCTACTGTAAGATCCAATCATTCCACTCTTAGGTAGTTACCCAAAATAAATGAAAACACATGTTCATACAAAGACTTAATCACAAATGCTTACACCAGCTTCAGTTCGAATAGCCAAAATGTATCAATAACCCAAATGTCCATCAGCAGATTAATGGATAAACAAATTTTGGCAAATACATACAATGAAATACTACTCAGAAAGCAATCAGACGAATCTCAAATAATCATGCTAAGTAAAAGAAACCAGGTAAAATAGGATGTGTCATGAAGGGAATGAGGAA
Organism: Homo sapiens; assembly: GCF_000001405.40. NCBI lineage: Eukaryota > Metazoa > Chordata > Mammalia > Primates > Hominidae > Homo > Homo sapiens. The sequence goes on along the minus strand of NC_000003.12, from coordinate 101,771,549 downwards.
TCTCTTGGAATAGATAAGTTTGCCATCTTGATTGTTGTGATGTATTATGGGCACAATGTGTCAAAATTTATCAAATTGTCCGCTTTATTTTTTTGTACTTTTTTTGAGATGGAGTTTCGTTCTGTCACCCAGGCTGGAGTACAATGGTGCAATCTTGGTTCACTGCAACCTCCGCCTCCTGGGTTCAAGCGATTCTCCTACCTCAGCCTCCCAAGTAGCTGGGATTACAGGCACCCACCACCAATGCCCGGCTAATCTTTTTGTATTTTTAGTAAAGATGGGGTCTCGCCATGTTGGCCAGGCTGGTCTCAAACTCTTGACCTCAAGTAATCCACCCACTTCGGCTTCCCAAAGTGCTGGGATTACAGGCATGAGCCATCAAGCCCAGCCAAATTGTCCACTTTAAATATGCAACTTTAAATATGCCTTAAAAGTTTTAAAAAAGGAAATAAAAATTAAAAATAATTATGCCTTTAAATGTCCACTTTAAATATGCCAATTATATTTCAATAAAAATATTTTAAAGTTTATGATGCATAGATACATATATATATCATATATATATAATCTTTTATGACTCCCTGCTGTAATTTTTTTATTCGCTAACCAACTACAGGTTCCAATAGTGTCAAATGAGAGGGCTTCTACTCAACTTACCCCCCAACACTCACTACCTTCACTAGCCCCGGACGATGTCATCTATGCTCTTTGAAGGATGTCTGCTCTTCTCTGTCTAGAGAATTCTAGTGAGTATCTAGAGGTAACGAAATCTATACTGAATAAAACTGAATTAGCATTCCTTCCACTTCATATCCATTTTCATAAGGCAAAAGCTGTTTTATTGTAAATTCACTTATATAATGAGAATACTCTGGACATTGCTTAGTAGGGTTCTATTTGCAATTTATTCTGAACTTTATCCATTAATTACAAGCACAATGAATAACAATCATTACTACTAATCACTAAAATAAACAGATGAAGCACTCAAATGTATAAACCTTTTATTTAAAATTAGACAGACTCAAATACAAATTAAATAAGTACAATATAAAATAGTAAGCCTTCATAAAACACATCATAACCACTTTAAATCATTTACTATTTCTACAGCAAAATTAAAGAGAAATCTAAATACAGTCCAAAATCAAATTATTTTTAAACTCTTATTGTCAACATTAAAATTATTACAAAACATTCAAAGATATTTAATTAGAAGATGAACAAGGCCAGGTGTAGTGGCTCACGCCTGTAATCCCAGCACTTTGGGAGGCCAAACTGGGTGGATCACGAGGTCAAGAGATTGAGACCATCCTGGCCAACATGGTGAAACCCCATCTCTACTAAAAATATAAAAATTAGCTGGGCATGGTGGCGTGTGCCTGTAGTCTTAGCTACTCGGGAGGATGAGGCAGGAGAATCACTTGAACCCAGGAGATGGAGGTTGCAGTGAGCCGAGATCACGCCACTGCACTCCAGCCTGGTGACAGAGCGAGACTCTCTCAAAAAAAAGAAAAGAAAAAGAAAAGAAAATGAACACAACTACTACAGAGTGATTCCTGCTATCCACTAAAATAAATAAGAATTAAAATTCAGTGTGATTTCCATTCATCCACAGATAAAAAGCACCTCATCTTAAGAAGACAATTATCTATTTCTTTCCAAGGCTGTGAGGACTGCTTTGTTTATTTGACTTTTAATTTTAATATGGCACAACAAGCTTGATCAGTAAAAGCAATATCATTAAAAATGTTTAGAATGTTCCTTACAGACCCTTTCTGCTTCACTTCATGAATGAGGGTATCATATATTTAACATTTAAAACATTATGACACAATAAATACCTTTTAAAGGTATGTGGCAAAATAAAAATATACTCTGATTCGAGCTGGTGTTTGGAAAAAATAAAAATATACATTAAACAATGAAGTCTCGGCTGGGCACAGTGGCTCACACCTGTAATCTCAGCACTTTGCGAGGCCGAGGTGGGTGGATCACTTGAGGTCAGGAGTTCGAGACCAGCCTGGCCAACATGGTGAAACCCCATCTCTACTAAAAATACAAAAAAATTAGCCGAGCCTTGTGGTTGCACACCTGTAATCCCAGCTACACAGGAAGCTGAGGCAGGAGAATCGCTTGTACCCAGGAAGTGGAGGTTGCAGTGAGCTGAGACCAGCCTGGGTGACAACAGTGAAACTCTATCTCGAAAAAAAAAAAAAAAACACACACACAATGAAGTCTCTTCTTTCCTTTATGATGGAGAAATGATCATATTCATTCTATTTTTTTCTTTTTACCATCTTAACTCCCGAGGAAAAACGTTTTATATTTTTATTATCAATGTTATAAATCCAATTCTAAGACTTTGCACACAAAAAATACCAAGGGAGATAGTATAATATCTCAAGCTTGTATTTTCCTGAAATTATTGGGAAAAAGTAGAACTAGACTTAAGTAGATAACAGGAAAATACAGTATTATGGTGTTTGTATACAAAAAATAATCCAAAACAGATAAAAACACACGCTCAAGATGGCACCCACATTATTCCAGAATAAAGTTATTTACATATATACAAACGATTATATGACTAAATAAATGAACATTTTCCTAAAACATGCATATTGTGAAGCCTTTTATAATTAAACCTATAAAATCAAACTAAATTGCATATTATCAACTGTCATGATTACAGCTTTCTGCACACCAGGAGAGTTAACATTTTAACATCTGTTCTACAAAACTGAAGATAAAATGTCATCAAACTCAGCATTTCTCTAGAAAATTTTATATACCTCAGCAACCTGTCATACTGCCTGTCGTCAAATAAATGGACTCTAAAATGTACTTATTCTTTTCAGAAAAAAATTTTTTTTGTAGAGAGGGGGGTCTTGCTATGTTGTCCAGGCTGGTCTTGAACTCCTGGCCTCAAGTGATCCTCTGGCCTCAGCCTCCCAAAGCACTGGGATTACAGTTGTCAACCACCACGCCAGGTCTCTTTTCTAAAACTTTAATTTCCACTATTGCTCTTTTGAAACCATTTTAATCAAGTCACATTTCTTAGAAAAAATTCACTCAGGGTTCTGAAGGAATTAGTTATTTTCTACAAGCAACTCTGTCATGAGTGATAGAGTTGTAGCTCTCTTAGAAGTTTTTTTCCTCTTTCAAAGAGAATGAGAAATATGCAGAGATTTCCTTACTGACTCACTAAATGTAAAGATTAAGAGGACATAATAAAATTTTGGACTACAGTAGCATATAGGTTTTCAGTTTATTTACTACTAACTAGCTATAACTTAGACAAGTCATTTAACATGCTGTGCTTTAGTTTCATCTTTGAAACAAAGAGATTCGAACAGAAATCTCTTAAGCTTCCTTCCAACTCTTACATGGTATGATTCTGTGCTTCTGCAGGAATTCTTAATTGATAAACTGAATCTTCCATAAATCAAGAGAACTGATGTGTACTAAAATAGCACAGCTGAACTAAACCTTTCCTTGTTAGGAAAAAAACACAAAGACCATGTTCAAAGCTTAACTTTCCAAACCTTACTAGACCCATTCCCTCTTCAGCCAACCAAAGAATAGCCCATAGAGTTAAAACCAAATATTTTAATTATATAAATTACTTTTAAAGTATAATGTAAACCCATTAAAATATATTAACTCTATGCCAGTTTTCCTACACTCTAATTTACAGTATTTTCATTTTATCTACATTCAAGATAATATGTACAGTTAAGGAAGGGGCTATTTAATATTCTTGCACTTCTAAACACTAGTAAAAGTTAAATAAAACACAGACGAAGAACAGAATATTAACAATTATCATATTGTGCCAAATTTTTAATGAAAGTATGCTGAGTACTATTTGTGGGCTAAAGAAACAAGGCAAAGGTAAAAAAGGAAATCCTGCTAACAAGTGCTGATGATCAAATGAATTTAGTTGTGTTTTTCCATAACTTAAAAAAGACAGGAGGGAGAGGATTTTAGCAGAAATCTATTTAGGTAATACTGAATCATGACATTCCAGCAGCTTTTATGAAAAACTAATGTATAAAGTAGTATTTTGGTACTAGTGCAGTGGAAATTGGTTTTTCTTTGTCTAACTATGGACAGCAAGTGAGGCACTTAACTTTAAAATAGAAAAATAGGGTATATTTAAGAAGACATTCAAAATCATTCAGAAAAGATAATTAGCACTATTGAAAAAAAGTTAGAAATTCCATTTTTATTTAACATGCATTCAATGTTACACATGTTTCACTAAGGAAAATCCTTCTGAAAGTAAGATTACTCTTTTATTTATAAGAAACAGAAAATATTTCCTTTTCAAGGGATTCTGGATTTCTAAGAATAAAATCCAAGTCGTCTCAACCTGAGTGCTACGTATTTATAAACTGAGAAAAATACGTCTTACCATACAGGAAAAATGTTATGACTATCAACAAATACCATGAGCTGGGAGCAGTGGCTCTTGCTTATAATCCCAGATACTCGGGAGGCTGAAGTGGGAGATCACTTGAGCCAGGAGTTCGAGGTTATAGTGAACTATGATCATGGCACCGCACCAACAGAGCCAGCCTCCATCTCTTTAAAAAACAATAACAACAAATGCCACGTACCATGTGATCCTCAACTTTATCCTTGAAGGATCAGATGCTTTTATTTTACATAACTTCAGAGAAGGGCACCTAATGACTACAACAGAATAATAGATATTTAGCACCTAAATTTAGAGATGCTTAAGTATTGCCATAGTTTTAAATAGCTGTATGTCTGTAAGTTGAGGGAAACCAAATACATGTTGTTAAACGATATTATCCTTAATTACAAATGCATCTACCTACAATATTCAAACACAATCTTATTTCTCCCTGAAGTTGCAGACATATATATATATATATATATCCCTTTTAACAAGTAAAGTGAGGTTTATTATTTCTTCACCATCATTAAATTGTCTTCCAAATGTGGAACTTTTTCAGGTTAGACAAAAAGTAGTTCCTAAAAAGTCATTCATATTCGACCAGTAGTATTACTTTAAATGTTCTTCACTATGGGACAGAGGTCAAAATTGAAGTGAATGGCCACGGACCTTCTGCTGAAATATATAAGTAAAAATAAGCAGGAACAGAGGAGATGAACATACATTAATTTCTGACAACATGTTGGCACAAAAATGCTTACCTATAGGGTGAAAAAGCACTTAATGAGAGGATAAATATTTGCCATGAGAGTATTTCAAGTGAATGGAGACTAGTGTTTCCTTTCTTCATATCTAAGTGAAATATTCTTGTGTTGCCTAAGTAAACTTGACTTTAATCCTGGATAGAACACTTTACTTCATATGTTAAAACTGATGCATGACATTAACTGAAGTTTTCCATGAGACAATTTAATCATCCCCATTGAGAAATCTTATAATCCTACCTTTTCTTCCTTAATTTGCTTATAGAAAGGCTTTCCTTGACTCCGAAAGGAGGAAAAAAGGCTTTAAAAAAACATTTTACACCAGGGAGACTGGCAAATTTCAATAATTCACAATCCTCATATTTCTCATTTATATTTGCTTTATCAAATTTCATTCCTTGCTATATAATTAATTTTCTCAGACACAGAAGGGCCAAAATTCTCTTATTTATATATTTAAGGTAATTTTTTCTATTTTCTTTAATATATTCTAGCTTATTTTTGAAAGTAAATGAGTACATGAAAGAAACAGGAACATTGTTGATGCAATTCAGTTAAGAAATAAAGTGCATATAGCTTTCAATATAAATAGTTTGGTACCTTACAGCTAAGTAAAAAGCTAACAAAATCAAAATGAAAACTCAGCTCAATATCTAGAATCTGAAAAATATAAGACATGAATACAAATTCTATATAAGTAGTAACAAAATTAGGGGTAGGGAGTATTTCCCTCCAAAAAAAAGCAAAGGCAACTGAAAGTATTTTTAAGAAAAGTTAAGTGGATATCTGCCTCCCAAAAGACATGCTACACAGTAACACCAACATGCAATAGCTGAAATGTAGAATCACATTCTGGCTGCTGCCCCTGAACTTCTGCATTTAATTTAGAATTCTCTTGTGTCTGGCTAATTTCACCTTGCAAAGGAGGAGATATGCCATGACTCTCATCTACAGAAGCACCGTCAGACAATGTATCTAACTGTACTGGGAAACAAGCAATGTGAAGTTTGCTATCTCTTGTCTCTGTATCAAAATTGGTCCTCTCATCAGCATCTTCCAGCTGTTGAACTGAAGTTAAATACTGTTCAAGCAGACTATTGTCCTGCTCGTTATTTGAGCTTTCCTTATTCCATTCACCATGTTCTTCACTAACATCCCCTAAATCTGATTCTTTGCCATATCTGACTGTGTCAATGGAATTCCCCATTATGGAGCTTTCACTGCCTTCTGTGGAACTTTTCTCAAAATCCAAAGAATGCTGCAATGAATGAACTTGTTCTGTTAGAGAGGAATGAAAACCAGAGTCTGGAAATTCTGGTAATGATTTCTCTTGAGGAGCTACATCAGAAGCAATAAACCAATCAGCATTTTGATCACAAGAGGACTCCTGGCTTTGGGTAAATAATGGATGTTTCGATGGCACAAGAGTACTTGATATAGGAGGAACATCAGTATGCCAGGAACTTAGACGCTGGTCCACTGTCTGTTGCCAAACCTGTAGAGACCTTACCTATAAACCAGAGAATACAGTTGTATTATAAAATAAAAAGTGTTGTTTTTGTTTGTTTGTTTTTGAGACAGGGTCTCGCTCTGTCACCCAGGCTGGAGTGCAGCAGCACAATCATGGCTCACTGCAGCATCAACCTCCTGGGCTCAAGTGATCCTCCCACCCCACCTCTGCCTCCTAACCAGCTAGGACTCCAGGTGCCCACCACCATGTCTGCCTAATTTTTTTTTTTTTTTTTGAGATGGAGTTTCGCTCTTGTTACCCAGGCTGGAGTGCAATGGCACAATCTCGGCTTACCGCAACCTCCACCTCCCAGGTTCAAGCAATTCTCCTGCCTCAGCTTCCCAAGTAGCTGGGATTACAGGCACCCACCATCACACCTGGCTAATTTTCTATTTTTAGTAGAGACAGGGTTTCCCCATGTTGGTCAGGCTGGTCTCAAACTCCTGACGTCAGGTGATCCGCCCACCTTGGCCTCCCAAAGTGCTAGGATTACAGGCGTGAGCCACCGTGTCCGTCCATCTGGCTAATTTTTAAAATTTTTTCTGTAGAGATGAGGTCTCGCTTTGTTGCCCAGGATGGTCTTGAACTCCTGGGCTCAAGCAATCCTTCTGCCTTGGCCTCCCAAGTGCTGGGATTACGGGCACAAGCCACCACACCCCACCTGTCTATTTTACAATTTTCCTTTGAGCTCTTTTTTCCAGCAGTCATGAAGCTGGCAAATGGCAGAACTGGAGCTAGAAACTGCTGACTCCCTTTATCTTTTCCATAGCATCCCAAGCCTAAAACCAGACTGGCACAAATGGTACATGTCCCTGGTAACAAAAGGCCCTCACCAGGAGTGGGAATGGGCCAAAGCAATTCTCTTGCTTCTACAAGAAAAACAGCAAGAAGCACAACAGTACATGTCTAGCTGACTAAGGGGTCAATAATGCGCAACAGCACATGCCTAGCTGAATAAGGGGTCAATAATGTATTCAAGATATAATGAGATCTATTCAATAAGACAGGTTAGAGCCCTTGAAATAAGTAGATCTTGTAAAATAAGTCTCATTTTAGATACCCAGGTAGAGATTACAGTTTTTAAGTATTAGCTAACAATATAGTATATGCAACTTTCTAAAATACCTAAAAACATACCAAATTCTTGATAATATGACCCCTAATTTCTAAAGTATAACAAAAATTCCAAAATTTTACTGTAAAAACTGCAAACAAGAAAGCAGTATGTACAGTTTTTAGTTTCCCTTTGACCCCCCGCCCAAGGTAATTACTGACAGCAACTTGATGCATATCCTTCCAGACTTTTTTCTAGGTCGTATTTTCAAATATACAGGGAAGCTGAGCACACTGGTGTGTGCCTGTAGTCCCAGCTGCTTGGGAGGTTGCAGCAGAAGGATCACTTGAGGAGTTCAAGGCTGTAATGCGCTAGTGCTGTTTTTTTTTTTTACTAAACAGTATTATTTTGGAGATCTTTCCATGTTGGTGAATACCATTACCTTATTTTTTTTAACTATTCCATGGTATTCCACAGTATTATTATTCTATAATTTAACCATTCCTCTATTGTTGGTAACTACAAAACTTTACAAATCAATAATTATTTTTTCATTTTATAGGTCAAATCCTATTATAACAAATTTGGCCAGGTGATGTGGCTCACTTTGGGAGGCTGAGGAGGGAAGACTGCTTGAGCCCAGAAGTTTGAGACCGGCCTGGGCAATATGGCAAGACCCCATTTCTATAAAAAAGAAGAAATGAAAATTTTATTAAAATATTTTCAAGAAATTATCATCAAGAAGTATTTGATGTGATACAATGCTAGTAAAACCAACTGCCTAAACTGTCCCTAAAGTGTGCTATTATAGGATTCAAATACTCTCCTATACAGTTATGAATACTTTTTAGGACATGCATATTGTAGTCATATACCATCTTAATCACAATTCATTCAAATATTCCCAAAAGACAGATCGATAGCTACATGAAATTTCAAATTGGGGTTGTTGTATCTATTGGAAAGCTCTAACAGCCTTCAGTTAAGCCACTTTCCTCCTGCTTTATACTATTTTGTTTTTCTTGTCAAAATTGTCAGAATATTTTTCTTCAGATTAAATAAAATGCAAGAAAATTCACTGTCCTAGTTCACAGTTAGTGGCGAAGAACACAAGCCATACCCTTAACCTTGAACAAGAGTGCTTAATACACCTGAGTACTCTATGATTATCTCAATGAATATAGAATCTGTATTTGATCATATATGAGGTAAATCAGCAGGAGGGAGTTTACCTGGTTCCAAAGGAATCTGAAAGCTTCTTCTTGTACAAATTTTTTAATACGTTCTTCATCTCTTTCTTTTCGTAATCTACAATAATTCAAAACACATTATTGACATAAGGAAGGGTGCTTTGACTCAGACTTCCTGTTACAACTCATAAACACATGCATTGTAAAGAGATTAATAATCTAATAGTTGTCTTTCCCACTTTTAGAATATCTAAATTAAAACCTTATTTTATTTTTATTTTTTTAACCTCAGAATCAAAATGGAACAGTTTTATAAGTGACATCATAAACCTTAATTTTGAACTGTGACTCAAAGTAGAAGCCAAAGGAGATATGACTGAAATACAGGTATTAGTTCTACAAAGTATTTCCAGTAATAAGAAATAAAATAAAATGTTAAATGGCTCTTTGTCTGGCTTCAATTTCTCAGCCAAACAAACCAAAGGAACAGAAAGTGCAAAAAAGGAGTGGCTATCCAAAGCCTCCAAAACAATTAAGGGTCACATTTAAGTACTCGTGATCCAGCTTGAAACACCCTCTGCTAAAGACTAATCCCATCAAACTTCACTATTCTGTTTCCCCAGGTCTCCGACCTACTCCTTGCTAACAAGAGACCTCCCATCCATTATTCCTCATTCATTCATCAAAGTCTGAGGTCTGGGCTCACTGCTGTTCTCTCCATACTTAGGCCTATCACAAACCTAAGGCTCCTCCTTTAGTGATCCATTATCACCCAAACTGTCAAGACCATTTTGTTCCACACCTCTGACCCAATTCTCCACTTTCTCTAGCCCCCCAAGCCTTTCTCCTGTGCCATCTAGAACTCCTGAATTATAATTAGCAAACTCCCTTATATACTCCATCTCTCTCTGAACTTTTCCTTGTCCAAAGCAGACCCACTTCTGAGAGCACTATAGCCCTCTGAAGTGGAAGCTATTTTTCCCTGTCACACATCAGGGTTCAAAAATTGCTTCTCACTATTGTTTTCAAATGATTCTTCATCTCCCTCCTTTAACTCCTGCCATCCTGCTAAATTTCCCAAAATTCGTTGTCAAGTACTGACCTCCCACCATCTGCTCCCATTCAATGAAGTCTCAGCACCAGGCTTTCTCTTTGCCCCATACCTGTCATCGTTTTTGGAGACCTCAACATTCACATGGATGCTCTAACAATAATCCACCCCATGTCAGTCACCCATTCTCATAGTCTCACCCTAGACCAAATCATTTTGACTACACTACTTTCAGAAATGGTTCTAAGCACCCAACACCAACCACTACTTCCTATCCTCCCAGTTCACTTGCTGTTGTACCCCACTGCAACAATCTAGACCTTCAGTCCAATGATCCTTCCCCCCTGCCTTCACTTCCCTTTTACCTCATTTAAAATTCCAGCCAGCCTGGGCACAGTGGCTCACACCTGTAATCCCAGCACTTTGGGAGGCCCAGGCAGGAGGATCACCTGAGGTCAGGAGTTTGAGACCAGCCTGGCCTACATGGTGAAACCCTGTCTTTACTAAAAATGCAAAAAAAAAATTAGCTGGGCATGTGGCAGGTGCCTGTAATCCCAGCTACTCGGGAGGCTGAGGCAGGAGGATCACCTGAACCTGGGAGGCAGAGGTTGCAATGAGCTGAGATCGCACCATTGCACTCCAGCCTGGGTGACAAGAGCAAGACTCCATCTCAAAAAAAAATTTTTTTAGATAAAAAATAAAAATAAAATTCCAGTCAGCAAGGTAATTCACACCTGTAATCCCAGAACTTTAGGAGGCTGAGGCAGGAGGACTGCTTGAGGCCAGGAGTTCAAGACCAGATGGGCAACATAGACTTCATCTCTTTAAAAAAATTTTTTTTAATTAGCTGGGCATGGTGGTGCATGCCTATAGTCCCAGCTACTTGGGAGCCTCAAGTGGGAGAATCACTTGAACCCAGGAGTTCAAGATTACAGTGAGCTATGATCACGCCACTACACTCCAGCCTCAGCAAGAGGGCAAGACCCCATCTCAAAAAACATATAAAATCTAAGATCTATCATTATTACTCCCTCTCAAATATCTTCAGCTCTCTTGCCCTTCCCCTGCTCTCTCTACAATATCACCTAGGAAAAAAAATCATTCCTGGCTGAACCAAATTAACCATGCCTGAATCAGACCAGAGCAGCTAAGAATTGCTGATGAAAATCATACAACCTGACCTATTGTTTTGCACTTTTAAGCATTTTCTCACATTGTCCAGCAACCCTCCTCCATTTTCCTCATAAGGTCATGTTTAAGATAACTACCTCACACCTCATACTTCTCTCCTTACACCTCCTTCACCCTCTCCTCATTTTCAGGTGTTGACCACATCTTATACATTATTGAAAAAGAAGCAGCATCAGACAGGACTTTTTCCCATCTCCCACCATCAAACCTACCACCTTACCTGCTCCTGCTCCCATTTCAGGCCACTTCCTCTACTTCGACACTACATTTCTTCCTCTCTTACCTTCTCAAGAACTGCAATCCTGCTCTTCCTCTTTTTTTTTTTTTTTTTTTTTTTTGCTGCACCATCAGTTTTTCCCTCCTTATTTATTCATTCCATCAACACATGAACAAACTCTATATCTCTCATCTACAAAAGAGAATGTTCCTTTAATCTAGATTCTCCTCCAGACACCACTTAACTCTCTTTTCTCTTGTTTTCCTCAAAACAACTCTTTCCAAGAATTGGCTACACTCATCCTTCAAACTCTTTACCTCTCATTCACTATTCAACCCATTCCAAAATGGCCTTCATCCCTCTACACCACTGAAGCTGCTCTTGGGAAGGTCACTGTGCAGTAAAGAGTTAACTCAGCAGGATGGGGATGTTCAAACACTGTACATTGCAAAGATAAGACTGGCCCTTGACTGACTCCTGGGAGATAATCTCCAAGCCCTTGGAATATCCTGACTGAAAAAGAATATCTTTATACACCTGGGGTCTTGGTCACATCAGATAGTTTAGGCAATCAATGATTTCTAGTCAACATCTGTTTTGTTCGCCTGGGGTCCTGGGTCCTGGGCCATGGAGTATCAGTGTGACCTCTATGTGGTCTGAGGTGTAAATAGTTAAGATCAGTTACATGGGTACTCAATACCTATGTGACTGGCCCACAATAAAAACCCTGGACACCAAAGATGAGGTAACTTTCGTCAGTTGGCAATACTTCATATGTGTTATCATACATCATTGCTGAGAAAATTAAGCCCTGTCTGTACAACTCCACTGAAAGAGAACAACTGGAAGCTTGCACCTCATGTCTCCTAGACTCTGCCCTAGGCACCTTTTTTCTTTACTGATTCTAATCTGTATCCTTTTGCTGTAATGAACCATAATGACGAACAGAATAGTATTTTCCCAAGTTCTGTGAGTCCTTTTAGCAAATCATCCAACCTGAGGATAGTCTGGAGAATCACCAACACAGTCACCAATAGCCTCCAACTGCCAAGTTTAATGCCTGTGTCCTCTCTGTGGCACCTCTCATCTCTCCTGAAACACTTGCTCCTGTTGAAGGTGGAACTCTCCTAGTTTTCCTACCACTCTGGCTGTCCCTTCTCAGTATCCTTTGCTGCCTCTTTCTCTTCTACCTGATAATACCAGTAAATATTACTAGTTGCAATATTAATGAAATCCTAACTTTCCTGGGCTAGCAGTCAGTAAAACATACGAGCCATGGGATTAAGGAATAATTCCTATTGTAGTCATATAGAATTTTAGCCCCTTCTGAATCCCTGCTATTTTCTTTATTTCTTATGTCATGTACTGAATTCCATGTAGACTTCATCATCTTCTCATTTTTATACTTGGTTTTTCAATGTTTTCTGTACCTTTCTATGTTTAGAATTATAGATCCCTATAAAGCTCACGTTCATTGAACATTTATTACTACACTGCATCTATGTATCAAGTGCTTTGCTGGGGATGGAGATGAGGAGATAGAGCAGATAGTGTCTGCTCTCCAGATGCTTTCGGTACACTGTAGGAGACAACCAAAGCAACAGTGGCTACATTGTGTGAAAAGTGTTATAATCACAGAAGCACAGTGTTCTGAATCAACTATAAGAATCTAACACCCTCAAACCAACAAAACAGTGCATCAAAAGGACTTCTGACCCACCTCCTTATTTCATCAGTTAAGCAGACAATGTGCTCTTGCATTCTGCGTAGCCGGATTTCGTAACGCACATCTTTGGCTTGAGGGTTGTAGTTCCTGGCATAAAATCCCCGCCAACAGGCCTGAAGCTTGGTGGCTGCATCATTTAATTTCTGAAGGGCAACTTTGTCTTGTCCCAAAGCAACAGATCTCTGGGTTAAAATCATGGGAAGTTTCTCTGAAGTTGCTTGAGATATGGTTTCTTTATTTTCTGGTTGTGTATTTTCTGGTTTCTTTATGTCTGATTGTTTCTGCTCAGTTGACTCAGGAAAAAATGTAAGACTGTGGTTATCATCCTTCAAGATAGCACTGATTATTGTTGGCTCAGGACAAGGTAATAGTCCAGCTTTCTCATTTACCTCTGTATTGATTTCACTTCTCATCATTTGAACAGAATTCTCATTTGCAGCCCATAAAGGCTGTTCCTCTTCCTTATCCAACACCTGGCTTTCCAGCCCTTTCACAGATTCATCTGCAACACCATCATCTTCTAGGCCCAAGTTAATGCCCTGCAGCCTCAGCTCAACTGTAGGTGATAGTGGAGACAGTCCTGATGCAACTGGCATAAAAGTAGACTCTGAAGAGAGAAGACTACAGTTTAACTTGTCCTCATCCGTCTGTATGTCTTCCAGGTGCAGATCATTTCGAGAATATCTCGTAGTGTGTACAGAGGCTGGAAAATTATTCTTAACCGCAAATAACTGATCATCATTACTGTTTATCCCAACCCAAGAATTCACTTGAATGACGGGTTCTAGAAGAATCAACAGAGTATCATTTAAACCACTAAATGTTTACATTTTAGTTATGTCCCTTTAATGAAATCTATTCCTTGAAATAGAGTAAAATGCAAAAAAATCCCCTCAGTGACTTCTTCCAATATGCCGAAAACATCAAACCAAACATTTTTAAGAAAATGAATTCTTGTGATAATCATAAGAATAATCAAAGCATCAGGTCTATATAAAAGGTAGTAGTCCTTGAAATGTTTCTTAAAATTAGAAATATAGCAGTTATAATATACATACATATATAGGTGTGTTTATACATAGATATGTATAAGATCTAAATGATTACTGAAGTTAGTAAACTAACAAAAAATTATGAAAATATGCACCTTTTTCTGCTTTATGATACCCGACAAATTAAACAACTTGGAGAAAAGGGATCAGAGATAAATTCATTTCTTACCACTTTCCTGGGATATCTGGCAATCTTGAACAGGGCTTGAATGCTCAGGAATAAGGGATGCCCTTGTTTCAACAGGAACAAGAGGAGACAACTCTTCATTTTGGCTTTGGTTCATCAACTGCCTCTGGTGAAACCTAAAAATCAATAATACCTGGTCTAATTTAACACAAACCAAAAAAAGAAAGATTTTCTGCTTCCTAGGTAACAATGTCAAAAAGGCAGAAGTTTACAAGTTCTCAAAGTAGGTACTTTTAATTAATGCCAAATTATAAATCCTCATTTGAAAGCACTGGATAAAGAAAGTTAAGAAGCTTATTTTGTAATTGCAAAGACAGACCCTACTATGCACACATACACACATACAAAAACATTTAAAGGCAGGATCTCTGATAAAGAAAGTAAATATTAAATGCTTCTGGCAATACTTTTTCTCTTTTTTTTCACTGTACCCTTTGAAGGCAGATATACCTCTTAAGTATTCAAAAACCCACAAGAAACACCTACATTAAAGAACAAATAGGTCGGGCACGGTGTCGCGCACCTGTAATCCCAGCACTTTGGGAGGCCAAGGCAGGTGGATCGCTGGAGCTCAGGAGTTCAAGATCAGCCTGAGCAACATGATGAAACCCCATCTCTACAAAAAATATAAAAAATTAGCCGAGGCTTGGTGGTGCGTGCCTGTAGTCCCAGCTACAGGCACGGACTGAAGGGGGTCTGAAGAGGGAGGATCATTTGAGCCCAGGAGACTGAAGATGCAAGGAGCTGAGATCACACCACTGCACTCCAACCTGGGTGACAAAGTGAGCTCCTGCCTCAAAAAAGAAAAAAGGGGGAGGGGTGGCAGACGCAGTAGCTCATGACTGTAATCCCAGCACTTTGGGAGGCCAAGGCGGGCAGATCACCTGAGGTTAGGAGTTCAAGACCAGCCTGGCTAACATGGCAAAAACCCATCTCTACTAAAAATAAAATATTAGCTAGGTGTGGTGGCGCATGCCTGTAATCCCAGCTACTCAGGAGGCTTAGACCCGAGAATCATTTGAACTGGGAGATGGAGGTTGCAATGAGCTGAGATCACACCACAGCACTCCAGCCTGGGCAACAGAGTGATATTATGTCTTAAAAAAAAAAAAAGAACAAATATATTTTTTAAAAATCCTATCCCGTTTCCTGGTGTAGTAGCTCATACCTATTATCCTAGCACTTTAGGAGGCCGAAGCAGGAGAACTGCTTGAAGCCAAGAGTTTAAAATCAGACTGAGGAACAAAGTGAGACCTCATCTCTACAAAAAATTAGCCAACCATGGTGGCATGCACCTGTAGTTGCAACTGCAGTGACCTATGACTGCACTGCTGTACTCACAGACCAAGAGACCAAGACCCTGTCTTTAAAACAAAAAAACCCCTCTATTCCTCCATACCATATTGTTTGGCTGTTTGCAGTGCACGATTCAGCTTCCCTGCAGGAACTGTTGCAGTGACAAGGGGACTGAGTGTCCAGAAATGTGGGCCGCAGCACTTGCCTCAGGCTTACTATCACCATAGCAAAGACTCAGAGGTATTTTAACTTGTGAATTCATCAGTTGTTAGAAATAAATGGGCTTACCTCTGTTTGCTCAAAATCTTCTCTAGTTTGGCATCCTCTGCAGTTTGAAGACCTAGTGTAGAAGTGAGGGGGCAGACTGTAGCCAGATATTGGACAAGCTGGATGTGCTGGCCAGGCCGATATGCTCTCCCCTTGCCTTGACTATAGAGCCATTCAGCTTTCAAACTGGAATTGGGGAACATAAAAAAGAGGAGATGGCATGAGAATAGTCAACACACATTGTCAGGCAACAATGATCTTCCTTGTTAACTTACCTTTATAGCACCATTGTATGTTTTTCATAAATAAAATTCACTCAATTTTTTTAAAAAATCTATCATTCTGACTCATATTCACCATTCTAATAATGTTTCAAACCCTTTTTCTTGCTTAGGGGCACTTCCATTGAGCTTGGACTAATGGTGCCAAATATTTTTAAATCATTTTCAAGGAAGCAATGAGTATTCTCCCCATTCATTCTGTCACACTGAAATGCCTAAATAGATGAACTGCATTTGAATCCATTAGTTCATAATGACAGTTAAAAGAAAAAAAAAAACTAGCCGGGCATGGTGGCATGTGTAATCTCAGCTACTCAGGAGTTGGGGTGGGAGGATCACTTGAGGTCAGGTGTGTGAGGCTATAGTGCGCTATAATCATACCTGTCAACCTTATAGTCCACCAACCTTATAGTCCACCCCTCAAAAAAAAAAAAAAAATCAAACCTGAATCTGAACAAACATCCATATCCAATTTACAGAAAATACAAAAGGGAGAGGAATATGTCAAAGGACACAGGGATGTAGTTGGTAAAATGAGCAGATAATGGGAAACTCTATAGGACAAATACTCTGACTTCTTCAACTACAACCAAAAGAAAGAAAGAAAAGCAAGGGAGAGAGAGAGAAAAGAAAGCAAAGAAAATAGAACAAAGACAGATAGATTGAGAGATTCAAGAGAGTCATCTTGGACATCTAGCCAAGTTAAGCCTTCGGATGACTCTAGCCCCATCTGTGATCTGAGTGCAAGCCCAGGAGGCCCCAAGAAAGAACTGCTCAGTCAGCACAGCAAATCTACAGAGTATGCCATAATAATATACTGCTGCTTTAAGACACTAAACAGAGTAAGAAAGAAACTTAAGAAATGTATCAACCAAATGTGACATAAGGCTGTAATTATTTGAATTCTGTTTCTAAGATACAAAATTCATTTATAAGGATTGAAAATATAAGACTGAATATCTGATATTAGGGCACTTGGTTAATTTTTTTTAAGATGTGATAATAGCATTGTGGTTGTTTCTTTAAGAGTTCTTCTCTTTAGAGACATATACTGAAATACTAACAGGTGAAATGATATGTAATCTGAGATCCGCTTCAAAATAGTACAGAAGAAGGGAGAGTGAGTGAAGGTATAAGATGAAGCAAGGGCCAGGTATGGTGGCTTATGCTTGTAATCCCAGCACTTTGTGGGGCTGCGGTGGGAGGATTGCTTGAGCCCAGGAGTTTGAAGCCAGCCTGGACAACAAAGCAAGACTCTTGTTTCTTAAAAAAAAAAAAAAAAAAAAAAAAAAGATGGCCAAATAGGAACAGCTCCGGTCTACAGCTCCCAGCATGAGCGATGCAGAAGATGGGTGATTTCTGCATTTCCATCTGAGGTACCGGGTTCATCCCACTAGGGAGTGCCAGACGGTGGGCAGAGGACAGTGGGTGCAGCGCACCGTGCGCAAGCCGAAGCAGGGCGAGGCATTGCCTCACTCAGGAAGCGCAAGGGGTCAGGGAGTTCCCTTTCCTAGTCAAAGAAAGGGGTGACAGATGGCACCTGGAAAATCGGGTCACTCCCACCCTAATACTGCGCTTTTCCAACGGGCTTAAAAAACGGTGCACCAGGAGATTATATCCCGCACCTGGCTCGGAGGGTCCTACGCCCACGGAGTCTCACTGATTGCTAGCACAGCACTCTGAGATCAAACTGCAAGGCAGCAGCAAGGCTGGGGGAGGGGCGCCCGCCATTGCCCAGGCTCGCTTAGGTAAACAAAGCAGCCGGAAGCCCGAACTGGGTGGAGCCCACCACAGCTCAAGGAGGCCTGCCTGCCTCTGTAGGCTCCACCTCTGGGGGCAGGGCACAGACAAACAAAAAGACAGCAGTAACCTCTGCAGACTTAACTGTCCCTGTCTGACAGCTTTGAAGAGAGCAGTGGTTCTCCCAGCACCCAGCTGGAGATCTGAGAACGGGCAGACTGCCTCCTCAAGTGGGTCCCTGACCCCTGACCCCTGACCCCTGAGCAGCCTAACTGGGAGGCACCCCCCAGTAGGGGCAGACTGACACCTCACACAGCCGGGTACTCCTCTGAGACAAAACTTCCAGAGGAACAATCAGACAGCAGCATTCCCAGTTCACGAAAATCTGTTGTTCTGCAGCCACCACTGCTGTTACCCAGGCAAACAGGGTCTGGAGTGGACCTCTAGCAAACTCCAACAGACCTGCAGCTGAGGGTCCTGTCTGTTAGAAGGAAAACTAACAAACACAAAGGACATCCACACCAAAAACCCATCTGTACATCACCATCATCGAAGACCAAAAGTAGATAAAACCACAAAGATGGGGAAAAAACAGAGCAGAAAAACTGGAAACTCTAAAAACCAGAGCACCTCTCCTCCTCCAAAGGAATGCAGTTCCTCACCAGCAACGGAACAAAGCTGGACGGAGAATGACTTTGACGAGCTGAGAGAAGAAGGCTTCAGAAGATCAAACTACTCCGAGCTACAGGAGGAAATTGAAACCAAAGGCAAAGAAGTTAAAAACTTTGAAAAAAATTTAGACGAATGTATAACTAGAATAATCAATACAGAGAAGTGCTTAAAGGAGCTGATGGAGCTGAAAGCCAAGGCTCGAGAACTACGTGAAGAATGCAGAAGACTCAGGAGCCGATGCGATCAACTGGAAGAAAGGGTATCAGTGATGGAAGATGAAATGAATGAAATGAAGCGAGAAGGGAAGTTTACAGAAAAAAGAATAAAAAGAAACGAACAAAGCCTCCAAGAAATAGGGACTATGTGAAAAGACCAAATCTAGGTCTGATTAGTGTACCTGAAAGTGACAGGGAGAATGGAACCAAGTTGGAAAACACTCTGCAAGATATTATCCAGGAGAACTTCCCCAATCTAGCAAGGCAGGCCAACATTCAGATTCAGGAAATACAGAGAACGCCACAAAGATACTCCTTGAGAAGAGCAACTCCAAGACACATAATTGTCAGATTCACCAAAGTTGAAATGAAGGAAAAAATGTTAAGGGCAGCCAGAGAGAAAGGTCGGGTTACCCACAAAGGGAAGCCCATCAGACTAACAGCGGATCTCTCGGCAGAAACTCTACAAGCCAGAAGAGAGTGGGGGCCAATAATATTCAACATTCTTAAAGAAAAGAATTTCAACCCAGAATTTCATATCCAGGCATACTAAGCTTCATAAGTGAAGGAGAAATAAAATCCTTTACAGACAAGCAAATGCTGAGAGATTTTGTCACCACCAGGCCTGCCCTAAAAGAGGTCCTGAAGGAAGCACTAAACATGGAAAGGAACAAGCGATACCAGCCACTGCAAAATCATGCCAAATTGTAAAGACCATCAAGGCTAGGAAGCAAAATAAACAGCTAACATCATAATGACAGGATCAAATTCACACATAACAATATTAACTTTAAATGTAAATGGACTAAATGCTCCAATTAAAAGACACAGACTGGCAAATTGGATAAAAAGTCAAGACCCATCAGTGTGCTGTATTCAGGAAACCCATCTCACGTGCAGAGACACACATAGGCTCAAAATAAAAGGATGGAGGAAGATCTACCAAGCAAATGGAAAACAAAAAAAGGCAGGGGTTGCAATCCTAGTCTCCGATAAAACAGACTTTAACCAACAAAGATCAAAAGAGACAAAGAAGGTCATTACATAATGGTAAAGGGATCAATTCAACAAGAAGAGCTAACTATCCTAAATATATATGCACCAAATACAGGAGCACCCAGATTCATAAAGCAAGTCTTTAGTGACCTACAAAGAGACTTAGACTCCCACACAATAATAATGGGAGACTTTAACACCCCACTGTCAACATTAGACAGATCAACTAGACAGAAAGTTAACAAGCATACCCAGGAATTGAACTCAGCTCTGCACCAAGCGGACCTAATAGATATCTACAGAACTCTCCACCCCAAATCAAAAGAATATACATTTTTTTCAGCACCACACCACACCTATTCCAAAATTGACCACACAGTTAGAAGTAAAGCTCTCCTCAGCAAATGTAAAAGAACAGAAATTATAACAAACTGTCTCTCAGACCACAGTGCAATCAAACTAGAACTCAGGATTAAGAAACTCACTCAAAACCGCTCAACTACATGGTAACTGAACAACCTGCTCCAGATTGACTACTGGGTACATAACGAAATGAAGGCAGAAATAAAGATGTTCTTTGAAACCAACAAGAACAAAGACACAACATACCAGAATCTCTGGCACACATTCAAAGCAGTGTGTAGAGGGAAATTTATAGCACTAAATGCCCACAAGAGAAAGCAGGAAAGATCCAAAATTGACACCCTAACATCACAATTAAAAGAACTAGAAAAGCAAGAGCAAACACATTCAAAAGCTAGCAGAAGGCAAGAAATAACTAACATCAGAGCAGAACTGAAGGAAATAGAGACACAAAAAACCCTTCAAACAATTAATGAATCCAGGAGCTGGTTTTTTGAAAGGATCAACAAAATTGATAGACCACTACCAAGACTAATAAAGAAGAAAAGAGAGAAGAATCAAATAGACACAATAAAAAATGACAAAGGGGATATCACCACCGATCCTACAGAAATACAAACTACCATCAGAGAATACTACAAACACCTCTACGCAAATAAACTAGAAAATCAAGAAGAAATGGATAAATTCCTCGACACATACACCCTCCCAAGGCTAAACCAGGAAGAAGTTGAATCTCTGAACAGACCAATAACAGGCTCTGAAATTGTGGCAATAATCAATACCTTACCAACCAAAAAGAGTCCAGGACCAGATGGATTCACAGCCAAATTCTACCAGAGGTACAAGGAGGAACTGGTACCATTCCTTCTGAAACTATTCCAATCAATAGAAAAAGAGGGAACAAAGCTGGAGGCATCACACTACCTGACTTCAAACTATACTACAAGGCTACAGTAACCAAAACAGCATGGTACTGGTACCAAAACAGAGATATAGATCAATGGAACAGAACAGAGCCCTCAGAAATAACGCCGCATATCTACAACTATCTGATCTTTGACAAACCTGAGAAAAACAAGCAATGGGGAAAGGATTCCCTATTTAATAAATGGTGCTGGGAAAACTGGCTAGCCATATGTAGAAAGCTGAAACTGGATCCCTTCCTTACACCTTATACAAAAATCAATTCAAGATGGATTAAAGACTTAAACGTTAGACCTAAAACCATAAAAACCCTAGAAGAAAACCTAGGCATTACCATTCAGGACATAGGCATGGGCAAGGACTTCATGTCTAAACACCAAAAGCAATGGCAACAGAAGACAAAATTGACAAATGGGATCTCATTAAACTAAAGAGCTTCTGCACAGCAAAAGAAACTACCATCACAGTGAACAGGCAACCTACAAAATGGGAGAAAATTTTCACAACCTACTCATCTGACAAAGGGCTAATATCCAGAATCTACAATGAACTCAAACAAATTTACAAGAAAAAAACAAACAACCCCATCAAAAAGTGGGCAAAGGACATGAACAGACACTTCTCAAAAGAAGACATTTATGCAGCCAAAAAACACATGAAAAAATGCTCACCATCACTGGCCATCAGAGAAATGCAAATCAAAACCACAATGAGATACCACCTCACACCAGTTAGAATGGCAATCATTAAAAAGTCAGGAAACAACAGGTGCTGGAGAGGATGTGGAGAAATAGGAACACTTTTACACTGTTGGTGGGACTGTAAACTAGTTCAACCATTGTGGAAGTCAGTGTGGCGATTCCTCAGGAATCTAGAACTAGAAATACCATTTGACCCAGCCAACCCATTACTGGGTATATACCCAAAGGACTATAAATCATGCTGCTATAAAGACACATGCACACGTATGTTTATTGCAGCACTATTCACAATAGCAAAGACTTGGAACCAACCCAAATGTCCAACAATGATAGACTGGATTAAGAAAATGTGGCACATATACACCATGGAATACTATGCAGCCATAAAAAATGATGAGTTCATGTCCTTTGTAGGGACATGGATGAAATTGGAAATTATCATTCTCAGTAAACTATCACAAGGACAAAAATCCAAACACCGCATGTTCTCACTCATAGGTGGGAATTGAACAATGAGAACACATGGACACAGGAAGGGGACCATCACACTCTGGGGACTGTTGTGGGGTGGGGGGAGGGGGGAGGGATAGCATTAGGAGATATACCTAATGCTAAATGACGAGTTAATGGGTGCCGCACACCAGCATGGCACACGTATACATATGTAACTAACCTGCACGTTGTGCACATGTACCCTAAAACTTAAAGTATAATAACAATAAAATTTAACCAAAAAAGTTTAGTTTATTTAATAAAGATAATTAGAAGTATTCCTTCCATGGGCCGGGCGCAGTGGCTCACACCTGTAATCCCAGCACTTTGGGAGGCCGAGGTGGGCGGATCATGAGGTCAGGAGATTGAGACCATCCTGGCTAACACGGTGAAACCCCGTCTCTACTAAAAATACAAAAAATTAGCCAGGCGTGGTGGCATGCACCTGTAGTCCCAGCTACTCGGGAGACTGAGGCAGGAGAATGGTATGAACCCAGGAGGCGGAGCTTGCAGTAAGCCGAGATTGCGCCACTGCACTCCAGCCTGGGCAACAGAGTGAGACTCCATCTCAAAAGAAAAAGAAGTATTCTTCCATGGAAACATCCCTGTGGACTAAATCAAAATCATTTAGAATCTTCATGAAATCTGCTCTAAGTCTGCATACATTCTCCTGCCAAACAAATGGCATGTTGAAAGGTTGTACAAAAATAGGTCCAGAGTAGAAGACAATCGCCAACTTTAATATTTCTCAGCAAGCAATATTTCTAAGTTAGAGATGATCTGTACTTTGGGAAGACAGAAAACTGAAACTAAGAGGCTAGAAGAAAGGGCTCAAGTTTGAATATCCCACAGTTTAAGTTTTTGTGAAAAAAAACACAAACTGTAGATCGTCAACTGCTATAAGATCTGATTTTCCACTTTGCTTCACATGAATTCATCAATAAACTTATCCCTACACAAATTATATTAAATCCTACGTAAAAAAAAAACCAAAAACAAAAACTCCCTGTCAATTAAAATACCATTTTCAATTAAAAAAAAAATTAAGACTCATTCAGCTCTAACATATTAATCTTTTTTTTTTTTTTTTTTTTTTTTTGAGACAAGGTCTCTCTGCCACCCAGGCTGGAGTGCAATGGCACTATCATGGCTCACTGCAGCCTCAAACTGCTGGGCTCACTCAATCCTCCCACCTCAGCCTCCCAAGTAGCTGAAACTACAGGTATGCACCAGCATACCCAGCTAATTTTTTCATTTTTTATTTTTTTTTTAGAGATGGGGACTCACTATGCTGCCCAGTCTGGTCTTGAACTGCTGACTTCAAGTGATCCTCCTGTGTTGACCTTCCCAGGCACTAAGATTACAGGCATGAGCCACCATGCCTGGCCTCTAACATATTAATTTCAAGTCATTGCATTATGATTCCACTCTTGAAAGTGAAGGAACTGTTTACTTAAAACAAGAGAAGTAACAACTATTAAGAAAGGGAACTTAAAACAACCTGCTCTGTCTCTTTAAAAAAAAAAAAAATGTAATACCAGCTACTAGGGTGGCAGAGGCAGGAGAATTGCTTGAACCAAGGAGGCAGAGGTTGCAGTGAGCCGAGATCGCACCACTGCACTCCAGCCTGGGCAACAAGAGCGAAACTGTCTCAAAAAAAAAAAAAGGAAGGCCAGGCGCGGTGGCTCACGCCTGTAATCCCAAAACTTTGGGAGGCTGAGGTGGGCGGATCACAAGGTCAGGAGATCGAGACCATCCTGGCTAACACAGTGAAACCCCATCTCTACTAAAAACACAAAAAATTAGCCGGGCGTGGTGGCAGGCGCCTATAGTCCCAGCTACTCGGGAGGCTGAGGCAGGAGAATGGCCAGAATACGGGAGGCAGAGCTTGCAGTGAGCCGAGATCGTGCCACTGCACTCCAACCTGGGCGACAGAGTGAGATTCCGTCTCAAAAAAAAAAAAAAAAAAAGGAGTTCTGAATAAAAGGGTATCTGATATTTGCTTTTAAAATGCTCCAACAGCATGATTTATAGTCCTTTGGGTATATACCCAGTAATGGGATGGCTGGGTCAAATGTTATTTCTAGTTCTAGATTCCTGAGGAATCGCCACACTGACTTCCACAATGGTTGAACTAGTTTACAGTCCCACCAACAGTGTAAAAGTGTTCCTGTTTCTCCACATCCTCTCCAGCACCTGTTGTTTCCTGACTTTTTAATGATTGCCATTCTAACTGGTGTGAGATGGTATCTCATTGTGGTTTTGATTTGCATTTCTCTGATGGCCAGTGATGGTGAGCATTTTTTCATGTGTTTTTTGGCTGCATAAATGTCTTCTTTTGAGAAGTGTCTGTTCATGTCCTTTGCCCACTTTTTGATGGGGTTGTTTGTTTTTTTCTTGTAAATTTGTTTGAGTTCATTGTAGATTCTGGATATTAGCCCTTTGTCAGGTGAGTAGGTTGCAAAAATTTTCTCCCATTTTGTAGGTTGCCTGTTGACTCTGATGGTAGTTTCTTTTGCTGTGCAGAAGGTCTTTAGTTTAATGAGATCCCATTTGTCAATTTTATCTTTTGTTGCCATTGCTTTTGGTGTTTTAGACATGAAGTCCTTGCCCATGCCTATGTCCTGAATGGTAATGCCTAGGTTTTCTTCTAGGGTTTTTATGGTTTTAGGTCTAACGTTTAAGTCTTTAATCCATCTTGAATTGATTTTTGTATAAGGTGTAAGGAAGGGATCCAGTTTCAGCTTTCTACATATGGCTAGCCAGTTTTCCCAGCACCATTTATTAAATAGGGAATCCTTTCCCCATTGCTTGTTTTTCTCAGGTTTGTCAAAGATCAGATAGTTGTAGATATGCGGCGTTATTTCTGAGGGCTCTGTTCTGTTCCATTGATCTATATCTCTGTTTTGGTATCAGTACCATGCTGTTTTGGTTACTGTAGCCTTGTAGTATAGTTTAAAGTCAGGTAGTGTGATGCTATAAATCATGCTGCTATAAAGACACATGCACACATATGTTTATTGTGGCATTATTCACAATAGCAAAGACTTGGAACCAACCCAAATGTCCAACAATGATAGACTGGATTAAGAAAATGTGGCACATATACACCATGGAATACTATGCAGCCATAAAAAATAATGAGTTCATGTCCTTTGTAGGGACATGGATGAAATTGGAAATCATCATTTTCAGTAAACTATCACAAGAACAAAAAACCAAACACCGCATATTCTCACTCATAGGTGGGAATTGAACAATGAGAACACATGGACACAGGAAGGGGTACATTACACTCTGGGGACTGTTGTGGGGTGGGGGGAGCAGGGAGGGATAGCATTGGGAGATATACCTAATGCTAGATGATGAGTTAGTGGGTGTAGCACACCAGCATGGCACATGTATACATATGTAACTAACCTGCACATTGTGCACATGTACCCTAAAACTTAAAGTATAATAATAAATTTAAATAAATAAATAAATAAATAAAATTCAAAAAAATAAACAAAATAAAATATTCCAACAAAAAATGTGGAATGAAACAAGACTGGCAGAATATTGACAATTGTTGAAGCCGCATGGTGGGTACATAGATGTTCATTATGTTATTCTAACTTTGTATATATTTGAAATATCCCTTTAAAAAAAAAAAAGGATATTGGCTAGGTGCAGTGGCTTATATCTGTAATCCCAGCACTTTGGGAGGCTGAGGCGGGAGGATCCAATGAGCCCAGAAGTTCCAGACCCGACTGGGCAACATAGCAATAACCCATCTCTACAAAAAAGTTTAAAAAATGAGGCTAATTTTTTCTGGTGGCATGCATCTATTCCCAGCTACTCAGGAGGCTGAAGCAGAAGAATCGTTTGAGCCCGGGAGGTTGAGGCTGCAGTAAGCTGTGATCCTGTCACTGCATTCCAGCCTAGACAACAATGTGAGACCCCATCTCTGAAAATTAAAAAGAAAATATCTAGCACTAGGAATTTCAACTTAAATAATTTTAAAAAGGAATATTAACTTTCTCCAAGGTTCTGCTCCCATATGATCTCTAACTAAGCAATAGAGTTATAGCTTTGTGCAAGTTCCTGTCAATAGCAAAACAGAGATCTAAACACATTCAGAAAGAACTCCAAACACTGAGGTGCCACACAAAGATGCTTGTCTCTCCACAGGTACGCTTAACTCTGAGAAATGGCTCAGCCAAAGCACCACAAGGTTTGGTTACTGCTCAAGTTACTCTTTTGGGTAATACATACACTCAAATCAAGATCTAGCTACCTGATGTTATCAAAGAATCTAGGATACATTTCATAATGGAGAACTTTAACCTGGGTGTTCTTAGCAAATAACAACCAGGATGGGCAGACTTTAAAAACTGAAAATTCCTTCCTGTCCTTCAGGGCAATTCTCAATGTTGACCAGGAAAATATTTTCAGCACTGCTCAGGCCAAACACCGATTTTTAAGGCAATAGCTCTCCCTTAGAATAATGTCTTCTTCCTGAACACAATACTTCCAGAGTTGTTTTAAAGCATGGGAGCACTGTTGACAGACTACAACTGCAACATCATTTTGTCTCTAGCACGGCACCAACCATCTAAGTTCCTAGTTTGAGAGTAACTCTATCCTTTTTTTTTTTTTTTTTGAGACAGAGTTTTGCTCTTGTTGCCCAGGCTGGAGTGCAATGGTGCAATCTCAGCTCACTGCAACCTCCGCCTCCTGGGTTCAAGTGATTTTCCTGCCTCAGCCTCCCAAGTAGCTGGAATTACAGGCATGTGCTACCACACCCAGCTAATTTTGTATTTTTAGTAGAGACGGGGTTTCACCAAGTTGGTCAGGCTGGTCTTGAACTCCTGACCTCAGGTGATCCACCCACCTTGGCCTCCCAAAGTGCTAGGATTACAGGCATGAACCAATGTGCTGACCCTTTTTTTTTTCTTTTTTTGAGAACTCTATCCATTCCTGTATAGGCTGATGTGCTATTATGAATAGGGCTGCTGTGAAAATGCATGTACATGTCTTTTGGGAGACCTAAGTAGCTATTTCTATACAGTATACATGTGAAGTAAAATTGCTGGGTAACAAAGTATATATGTACATTTAGCTTCAGTAGATACTTCTAGTTTTTCAAAGTAGTTGTACCATTTATCGTCCCCTAGAGTGGTTTATGAGCATTCCAATTGCACCACATCCTTAGTATTATCAGTCTTTTTTTTTTTTTTTTGAGACGGAGTTTCACTCTTGTTGCCCAGGCTAGAGTTCAATGGCACGATCTCAGCTCACCGTAACCTCTGCCTCTCGGATTCAAGTGATTCTCCTGCCTCAGCCTCCCAAGTAGCTGGGATTATAGGCACGCGCGACCATACCCAGCTAATTTTTTTGTATTTTTAATAGAGCGGGGTTTCTCTGTATTGGTCAGGCTGGTCTCAAACTCCCGACCTCAGTGATCCTCCCGCCTTGGCCTCCCAAAGTGCTAGGATTACAGGCGTGAGCCACTGCACCTGGCCATCAGTCTTTTAATTCTGGTTATTCTAGCTGGGTGCAGTGGCTCAAATGTATAATCCCAGCATTTTGGGAGGCTGAGGTAAGAGGACTGCTCTAGCCCAGGAATTCAAGACCAGCCCGGGCAACACAGCAAAACCTTATCTGAACTAAAAATTTAAAAATGAGCTGGGCACAGTGGTGTGTGCCTATAGTCCCAGCTACTTGGAAGGCTGAGACAGGACGGTCCCTTCAGCGTAGGAGGCGGAGGTTACAATGAGCTATGATCATGCCACTGCACTCTAGCCTGGGAAACAGAGCAACACTCTGTCTTCAAAAAATATATATATATTTTTTCTAGGAGAAACTGGTTGAAGATGCCATAATAACCAGGAAAAAAAAAATTTCTAAATTATTAAAAAGTTACCATAAAGTTACTTCTAGTGAGGAGGGGAGTTACGACCAGAGGGAAACAAAGGGGATCTCTAGATGCTGGTTGTATTTTTTTTTTTCCCACTTTGTTGCCCAGGCTGGAGTACAGTGGTGCAATTTCATCTCACTGCAACATCTGCCTCCCTGGCTCAAGCAATCCTCCCACTTCAGCCTCCTGAGTAGCTGGGACTACAGGCACACACCACCACACCCAGCAAATTTTTTGTATTTTTTTGTAGAGACAGGGTTTCACCATATTGCCCAGACTGGTCTCAAACTCCTGGGCTCAAGCAATCCACCCACCTTGGCCTCCCAAGTAATGGGACTACAAGTGTGAGCCACCACGTGCGGCCATGCTCTCTTCCTGTTCTCTGAAGTGATTATAAGGATATTTTAAAATATTATTTTAAAACTGTATCTTAATTATGTGATACTTTTACAATTCTTTATTTATTTATTTATTTTTTTGAGATGGAGTCTCGCTCTGTACTTCTACAATTCTTAAAAATGTGTCTGGAAAAAAATTTGCTATTGAGCTACCCTCCCATCTCTTCCTTCTTCCCACACTTTTTTTTTTTTTTTAAATACTTTAAGTTCTGGGATACTTGTGCAGAATGTGCAGGTTTATTACATAGGTATACGCATGCCATGGTGGTTTGCTGCACCCAGCAACTCGTCACCTACATTAGGTATTTCTCCTAATGCTATCACTCCCCTAGCCCCCACCCAACAGGCCCTGGTGTGTGATGTTCCCCTCCCTGTGTCTATGTGTTCTCATTGTTCAACTCCCACTTATGAGTGAGAACATGCAGGTGTTTGGTTTTCTGTTCCTGTGTTAGTTTGCTAAGAATGATGGTTTCCAGCTTCATCCATGTCTCTGCAAAGGACATGAACTGATCCATTTTTATGGCTCCATAGTATTATTCCATGGTGTATATGTGCCACATTTTCTTTATCCAGTCTATCATTGATGGGCATTTGGATTGGTTCCAAGTCTTTGCTATTGTGAAAAGTGCCACAATAAACATACATGTGCATGTGTCCTTATAGTAGAATGATTTATAATCCTTTGGGTATATACTCGGTAATGGGATTGCTGAGTCAGATGGTATTTCTGGTTCTAGGTCCTTGAGGAATTGCCACACTGTCTTCCACAATAATTGAACTTACACTCCCACCAACAGTATAAAAGTGTTCCTATTTCTTAACATCCTCTCCAGCATCTGTTGTTTCCTGTTTTTTTTGTTTTTTTGTTTTTTTGTTTTTTTTTTTTTGAGACGGAGTCTCACTCTGTCACCCAGGCTGGAGTGCAATGGCACAATCTCAGCTCACTGCAACCTCCACCTCCTGGGCTCAAGCGACTCTCCTGCCTCAGCCCCCTGAGTAGCTGGGATTACAGGTGCGCGCCACCACACCTGGCTAATTTTTTTCTATTTTTAGTAGAGATGGGGTTTCACCATGTTGGTCAGGCTGGTCTCGAACTTCTGACCTCGTGATCCACCTGCCTCGGACTCCCAAAGTGCTGGGATTACAGGCGTGAGCCACCATGCCCAGCCTGTTTCCTGACTTTTTAATGATCACCATTCTAACTGGCATGAGATGGTATCTCATTGTGGTTTTGATTTGCATTTCTCTAATGACCAGTGATGATGAGCTTTTTTTCATATGATTGTTGGCCGCATAAATGTCTTCTTTTGAGAAATATCTGTTCATATCCTTTGCCCACTTTTTGATGGGTTTTTTTCTTTTAAATTTGTTTAAGTTCTTTGTAGATTCTGGATATTGGTCCTTTGACAGATGGATAGATTGCAAAAATTTTCTCCCATTCTGTAGGTTGCCTGTTCACTTTGATGATAGTTTCTTTTGCTGTGCAGAAGCTCTTTAGTTTAATTAGATCCTATGTGTCAATTTTGGCTTTTGTTGCCATTGCTTTTGATGTTTTAGTCATGAAGTCTTTGCCCATGCCTATGTCCTGAATGGAATTGTCTTGGTTTTCTTTCAGGGTTTTTACAGTTTTAGGTCTTACATTTAAGTCTTTAATCCATCTTGAGTTAATTTTTGTATAAGGTGTATGGAAGGGGTCCAATTTCAGTTTTCTGCATATGGCTAGCCAGTTTTCCCAACACCATTTATTAAATAAGGAATCCTTTCCCCATTGCTTGCAGGTTTGTCAAAGATCAGAGGGTTGTAGATGTGTGGTGTTATTTCTGAGGCGTCTGTTCTGTTCCATTTGTCTATATAACTGTTTTGGTACCAGTACTACACTGTTTTGGTTACTGTAGCCTTGTAGTGTAGTTTGAAGTCAGGTAGCGTGATACTTCCAGCTTTGTTCTTTTTGCTTAGGATTGTCTTGGCTATACAGGCTCTTTCTTGGTTCCATATGCAATTTCAAGTATTTTTTTCTAATTCTGTGAAGAAAGTCAATGGGACCGGGTGCGCTGGCTCACGCCTGTAATCCCAACACTTTGGGAGGCCGAGGCGGGTGGATCACCTGAGGTAGGGAGTTCAAGACCAGTCTGACCAACATGGAGAAACCCCATCTCTACTAAAAATACAAAATTAGCCAGGCGTGGTGGCGCATGCCTGTAATCCCAGCTACTAGGGAGGCTGAGGCAGGAGAATCGCTTGAACCCACGAGGTGGAGGTTGTAGTGAGCCGAGATCATGCCATTGCACTCCAGCCTGGGCAACAAGAGCAAAACTCCGTCTCAAAAAAAAAAAAAGAAAGTCAATGGTAGCTTGATGAGGATAGCACTGAATCTATACATTACTTTGGGCAGTATGGCCATTTTCACAATATTGATTCTTCCTATGCATGAGCATGGAATGTTTTTCCATTTGTTTGTGTCCTCTCTTATTTCCTTGAGCACTGGTTTGTAGTTCTCCTTGAAGAGGTCCTTTACATCCCTTGTAAGTTGTATTCCTAGGTATTTTAGTCTCTTTGCAGCAATTGTGAATGGAAGTTCACTCATGATTAGGCTCTCTATTATGTTGTATAGGAATGCTTGTGATTTTTGCACATTGATTTTGTATCCTGAGACTTTGCTGAAGTTGCTTATCAGCTTAAGGAGATTTTGGGCTGGAACAATGGGGTTTTCCAAATATACAATCATGTCATCTGCAAACAGAGACAATTTGACTTCCTCTCTTCCTATCTGAATACCCTTTATTTCTTTCTCTTGCCTGATTGCCTTGGCCAAAACTTCCAATACTATGTTGAATAGGAGTGGTAAGAGAGGGCATCCCTGTCTTGTGCCAGTTTTCAAAGGGAATGCTTCCAGCTTTTGCCCATTCAGTATGATATTGGCTGTGGGTTTGTCATAAATAGCTCTTATTATTTTGAGATATGTTCCATCAATACCTAGTTTATTGAGAGTTTTTAGCATGAAGGGGTGCTGATTTTTTTTTTTTTTAGATGGTGTCTTGCTCTGTCACCCAGGTTGGAGTGCAGTGGTGTGATCTCAGCTCACTGCAAACTACGCCTCCCGGGTTCAAGCAATTCTCTGCCTCAGCCTCCTGAGTAACTGGGATTACAAGTGCCCACCACCACCTCTGGCTAATTTTTATATTTTTAGTAGAGACGGGGTTTTACCATTTTGGCCAGGCCGGTCTTTAACGTCTGACCTCATGATCCACCCACCTCGGCCTCCCAAAGTGCTGGGATTACAGTCGTGAGCCACTGCGCCCCGCCAGGGGTGTTGAATTTTATTGAAGGCCTTTTCTGCATCTATTGAGATAATCATGTGGTTTTTATCATTGGTTCTGTTTATGTGATGGATTATGTTTATTGATTTGCATATGATGAACCAGCCTTGCATCCCAGGGATGAAGCCGATTTGATCGTGGTGGATAAGCTTTTTGATGTGCTGCTGGATTCGGTTAGCCAGTATTTTATTGAGGACTTTTGCATTAATGTTCATCAGGGATACTGGCCTGAAATTTTCCTTTTTGTGTGTGTGTCTCTGCCAGGTTTTGGTATCAGGATGTTGCTGACCTCATAAATGAGTTAGGGAGGAGTCCCTCTTTTTCTTTTGTTTGGAATAGTTTCAGAAGGAATAGTACCAGCTCCTCTTTGTACCTCTGGCAGAATTCAGCTGTGAATCCGTCTGGTCCTGGGCTTCTTTTGGCTGGTAGGCTATTAACTACTGCCTCAATATCAGAACTTGTTATTGATCTATTCAGGGCTCTGACTTCTTCCTGGTTTAGTCTTGGGTGGGTGTATGTGTCCAGAAATGTATTGATTTCTTCTAGATTTCTAGTTTATTTGTGTAGAGGTGTTTATTCTCTGATGGTAGTTTGTATTTCTATGGGATCAACGGTGATATGCTCTTTATCATTTTTTATTGTGTCTATTTGATTCTTCTCTCTTTTCTTATTAGTCTGGTTAGCAGTCTATTTTGTTGATCTTTTCAAAAAACCAGCTCCTGAATTCATTGATTTTTTGAAGGGTTTTTTGTGTCTCTATCTCCTTCAGTTCTGCTCTGATATTTGTTATTTCTTGTTTTCTGCTAGCTTTGAATTTGTTTGTTCTTCCTTCTCTAGTTCTTTTAATTGTTATGTTACGGTGTTAATTTTAGATCTTTCCTCCTTTCTCCTGTGGGCTTTTGGTGCTATAAATTTCCCTCTACACACTGCTTTAAATGTGTACCAGAGATTCTGGGATGTTGTGTCTTTGTTCTCATTGGTTTCAAAAAACTTAATTTCTGCTGTAATTTCGTTATGTACCCAGTAGTTATTCAGGAGGAGGTTGTTCAGTTTCCGTGTAGTTGGGCGGTTTTAAGTTTCTTAATCTTGAGTTCTAATTTGATTGCACTGTGGTCTGAGAGACTGTTATAATTTCTGTTCTTTTACATTTGCTCAGGAGTGTTTTATTTCCAATTATGTGGTCAATTTTAGAATAAGTGTGATGTGGTGTTGAAAAGAATGTATATTCTGTTGATTTGGTGTGGAGAGTTCTGTAGATATCTATTAGGTCTGCTTGGTCCAGAGCTGACGTCAAGTCCTAAATACCCTTGTTAATTTTCTGTCTTGTTGATCTAATTTTGACAGTGGGGTGTTAAAGTCTCCCACTATTATTGTGTGGGAGTCTAAGTCTCTTTGTAAGTCTCCAAGAACTTGCTTTATGAATCTGGGTGCTCCTGTATTGGGTGCAAATATATTTAGGATAGTTAGCTCTTCTTGTTCCATTGATCCCTTTACCATTATGTAATGCCCTTCTTTGTCTTTTTGATATATGTTGGTTTAAAGTCTGTTTTATCAGAGACTATGATTGTAACCCCTGCTTTTTTTTTTTTTTTTTTTTTTTGCTTTCCATTTGTTTGGTAAATATTCCTCCATCCCTTTGAATCTATGTGTGTCTTTACATGTGAGATGCATCTCCTGAGTGCAGCACACCAATGGTTCTTGATTCTTTATCCAATTTGCCAGTCTATGTCTTTTAATTGGGCTAATAGCCCATTTACATTTAAGGTTAATATTGTTATGTGTGAATTTGATCCTGTCATTTTGATGCTAGCTGGTTATTTCACTCGTTAGTTGATGCAGTTTCTTCGTAGTGTTGATGATCTTTACAATTTGGTATGTTTTTGCAGTGGCTAGTACTGGTTTTTCCTTTCCATGTTTAGTGCTTCCTTCAGTGGTTCTTGTAAGGCAGGCCTGGTGGTAACAAAATCTCTCAGCCTTTGCTTGTGTGTAAAGGATTTTATTTCTCCTTCACTTATGAAGCTTAGTTTGGCTGGATATGAAATTCTGGGTTGAAAATTCTTCTCTTTAAGAATGTTGAATATCGGCCCCCACTCTCTTCTGGCTTGTGGGGTTTCTGCAGAGAGACCTGCTGTTAAGTCTGATGGGCTTCCCTTTGTAACTTGACTTTACTCACTGGTTGCCCTTAACATTTTTTCCTTCATTTCAACTTTGGCGAATCTGGCAATTATGTGTCTTGGGGTTGCTCTTCTCGAGGAGTATCTTTGTGGTGTTCTCTTTATTTCCTGAATTTGAATGTTGGCCTGTCTTGCTAGGTTGGGGACGTTCTCCTGGATAATATCCTGAAGAGTGTTTCCTAACTTGGTTCCATTCTCCCTGTCACTTTCAGGTACACCAATAAAACGTTAAGTTTGGTCTTTTCACATAATCCCATATTTCTTGGAGGCTTTCTTCATTCCTTTTCATTCTTTTTTCTCCAATCTTGTCTTCACAGTTTATTTCATTAAGTTGATCTTCAATCTCTGATATCCTTGCTTCCTTTTGATCAAATCGACTATTGATACTTGTGTATGCTTCACAAAGTTCTCGTGCTGTGTTTTGCAGCTCCATCAGGTCATTTATGTTCTCTCTAAACTGGTTATTCTAGTTAGCAATTCCTCTAACCTTTGTTCAAGGTTCTTAGCTTCCTTGCATTGGGTTAGAATATGCTCCTTTAGCTCAACGGAGTTTGTTATTATTCTGAAGCCTACTTCTGTCAATTTGTGAAACTCATTCTCTGTCCAGTTTTGTTCTTTTGCTGGCAAGCAGTTGTGATCCTTTGCGGGAGAAGAAGCACTCTGGTTTTTGGAATTTTCAGCCTTTTTGCACTGGTTTTTCCTCATCTTCGTGGATTTATCTACTATTGGTCTTTGATGTTGGTGACCTTCAGATGGGGTTTCTGTGTGGATGTCCTTTTTGTTGATGTTGATGCTATTCCTTTCTGTTTGTTAGTTTTCCTTCTAACAGTCATGCCCCTCTGCTGCAGGTCTGCTGGAGTTTGCTGGACATCCACTACCTGTTTTCCTGGCTATCAACAGCAGAGGCTGCAGAACAGCAAAGATTGCTGCCTGTTCCTTCCTCTGGAAGCTTCATCCTAGAGGGGCACTCACCAAATGCCAGCCGGAGTTCTCCTATATGAGGTGTCTGTCAACCGTTGCTGGGAGATGTCTCCCAGTCAGGAGACACGGGGATCAGGGACCCACTTGAGGAGACAGTCTGTCCCTTAGCAGAGCTCAAGGGCTGTGTTGGGAGATCCATCGCTCTCTTACAGAGCCGGGAGGCAGGAACATTTAAGCCTGCTGAAGCTGCACCTACAGCTGCCCCTTCCCCCAGGTGCTCTGTCCCTGGGAGATGCGGAGTTTTATCTATAAGCCCCCTGACTGGGGCTGCTGCCTTTCTTTCAGAGATGTCCTGCCCAGAGAGGAGGAATCTAGAGAAGCAGTCCGGCTACAGCAGCTTTGCTGAGCTGCAGTGGGCTCTGCCCAGTTTGAACTTGCGGGAGATTTTGTTTACACTGTGAGGGGAAAACCACCTATTCGCACCTCGGTAAAGGCAGATGCCCCTCCCCCGACAAGCTCGAGCATCCCAGGTCGACTTCAGACTGCTGTACTGGCAGCAAGAATTTCAACCCTGTGTATCTTAGCTTGCTGGGCTCTGTGGGGCTGGGATCCTCTGCGCTAGACCACTTGGCTTGCTGGCTTCAGCCCCCTTTCCAGAGGAGTGAACGGTTCTGTCTCACTGGTGTTCCAGGCGCCACTGGGATATGAAAAAAACTCCTACAGCTAGCTTGGTGTCTGCCCAACGGCCACCCACTTTTGTGCTTGAAACCCAGGGCCCTGGTGGCGTAGGCACTGGAGGGAATCTCCTGGTGTGTGGGGTTGTGAAGACCATGGGAAAAGCGTAGTTTCTGGGCCAGAGTACACTGTTCCTCCCAGCACAGTCCCTCACGGCTTCCCCAGGCTAGGGGAGGGAGTTCCCTGACCCCTTGCACTTCCCGGGTGAGGCAACGCCACACCCTGCTTCTGCTCACCCTCTGTGGGCTGCACCCACTGTCTAACTAGTCCCAGTGAGATGAGCCACGTACCTCAGGTGGAAATGTAGAAATCACCCGCCTTCTGTGCTAATCTCACTGGGAGCTGCAGACCAGAGCTGTTGCTATTCAGCCATCTTGCCAGCCACCCCCCCACACACTTCTTTAGTGCAGGACAACCCCAGAGAGAGAGGCTACCCCAAGTGGGAGCCCACTCTTCCCTATCTCCTGAAGTCTCTGAAATTAAATGTTTGCAAAGCATTATGGAGAAAGCTCAAAAAATATTCAAATTCACCTTAAAGTCACTTGGAATAAAACCATTTCCACAGTATAGAAACACAGACTTTTTTATCATTATTTATCCAATCAACAAATATTTTCTGTCTTGACACTCTCTTTAGTTTCAACAAACTCTTCAACCTTTAGTCTCTATCCTTATATAATATCATTTATTAAGCACCTACTATATGACCAGTCCTATGTTCTATACATCATCCTTAATCCTACCATCCATGAAAGCAAGGTAGTACCGCTATTCACATTTTACAGATGAGGAAACTTAGCCTCAGAAAAGCCCTAAGGAACTTGACAAGGCCACACAGCTAATAGATAGCAGAGAAAAAAGTGAAGCCTTCCCCTGTCTATCGTAAGCAGGTCTCATCTCTCTTTGTGGGTCTCTCTTTACACCAAACCTTTATCTCTGCCCACATCACCATGCTGCCTCTCAGACATGAAAATGTTGCCAGTCCTACTCCCACAGAAGAAGTCAACAACTGTACAGAGGATTATCCAAGTAAACCCATATTCCAAATCTAGAACTAGTCACAGTTTGAAACAAAATAAGGTTTATTCTCAGAGCAACATTCACAGCAGGAAAAAGAAAAGCCACCCTTTCCTGTAGGCAAACTAGACCTGACATATGTCCCTCACCCTACACCAGCACCACCACTATCTAGCTCTTGGCTGCCATTCCTCACGGCCCTGTGCTTTACTCAGAAACTATACAAAACAGCAGAGAGACAGAGAAGGGAGACGCTGTCTGTAATCTACCACCCGTCCTCCCATCAGGAAACTCCTGAAGTAACTACTGTCTGTAGTAGAGAAGAACAAAAAAAGGCGAGGGATAATGTATGTGTTGAGTCCATAATGCATGTGTGTATGTACTGAGAGAAAAAAGTTAAATGAAGCATAGTAGACAGAATAAAGTCATCTCAACTCTCACTATCCCAATTCCACTCCCTCCTTCCCATATCCTAGTTCCTTACCTCCCCTAAAGCTCTCATTCCACTGATCAGGTATCAGGGTCCAGAAGACTCCATTCTGCAGGGATCCCAGCTCCAAGCCACAGAAACTATTAATGATTTACAGGTGGGGGAATTCTTGCTTCTGCTGCTTCACAGGTATAAGAAGGGGAGAACCTGGCCAGGTGCAGTGGCTCATGCCTGTAATCCCAACACTTTGGGAGGCCGAGGCGGGCGCATCACCTGAGGTCAGGAGTTTGAGACCAGCCTAAACAACATGGAAAAACCCTGCCTCCACTAAAAATACAAAATTAGCTGGGTGTGGTGGCACATGCCTATAATTCCAGCTACTTGGGAGGCTGAGGCAGAAGAATCGCTTGAACCCAGGAGGTGGAGGTTGTGATGAGCAGAGATCGCGCCATTGCACTCCAGCCTGGGCAACAAGAGTGAAACTCAGTCTCAAAAAAAATAAAAAGGCTGGGCGCGGTGGCTCACGCCTGTAATCCCAGCACTTTGGGAGGCCGAGGCGGGTGGATCACGAGGTCAGGAGATCGAGACCATACCGGCTAAAACGGTGAAACCCCGTCTCTACTAAAAATACAAAAAATTAGCCGGGCGTAGTGGCGGGCGCCTGTAGTCCCAGCTACTCGGGAGGCTGAGGCAGGAGAATGGCGTGAACCCGGGAGGCGGAGCTTGCAGTGAGCCGAGATCCCGCCACTGCACTCCAGTCTGGGCGACAGAGCGAGACTCCGTCTCAAAAAAAAATAAAAAATAAAAAAATAAAAAAAAAAGAAGAGGAGGACCAATCACCACATCTGCTACTAGTTCCAAATTAAAACTCTGCATTTTCCCAGAGTTATCATTATAATGAGTATTTGGAGAATTCTAAGATACTACTAATACTGCCCTTACATGGCATTTGGAGCTGGATGATAAAATAGAAAATAAAATGAATAAAAAATACGGCCCTTATATATGTGATAGATTAATATATTACAAGCTTTTGTGAGACTGATCTGAGATCCTACACAGGATCTATAACATGATGGTTTCTAAGCAAAAGTGTTCCAAGCTCCAAACAACTGATTAACAAAAGAACTTTTAGAAATCAAATTGTTGTATGTAGGGCACTAAGACTACTAGCTCCAATCTCTGGGGCCGAGATTTCTTCTTTTTTTTTCAGAGACAGGGTCTCACTCTGTCACCCAAGGTAGAGTGCAATGACACAACCATAGCTCACTGTAACCTTAAATTCCTGGGCTCAAGCAATCCTCCCACCTCAGCTTCCTAAGTAGCTAGGACTACAGGTGTGTACCACCACACCCAGCTAATTTTTTTTTTTTTTTGAGATGTGGTCTCCCTATATTGCCCAGGCTGGTCTCAAACTCCTGGGCTCAAGCAATCCTCCTGCCTCGGCTTTCCAAAGTGCAAGGATTACAGGCATGAGCCACTGCACCAGGCCAATATTTATTTCTTATCCTTTTTTAGAAATGACAGAAAATCCTAAATGACCAGCATATAGTCTGCTACATGACTGCACTAATACTCTTGTTATCTAAATGCACATTTTAAGAAATACTCTATTAATCTGTAGTAAACTAGAAATGGTCTTTTCAGTAACATTTGTGATGTTAAAGAGCACATGTTTACCTTTCCTTCTGAGAAATCACATATCCATCTAGGACTCTGAGGTTTAGGCACCAGCTGACGATGTACGGCCGATAGTCAAATCCTGGGATGGATGGTGTTGCCATCACACAAGGATTGTTCATAATCGACAACTGTTCCAATTCAGTTAAGGATGCCAAAAAAGAGATCTGGAACAAAAGATATCTTTGTTGAACAAAAGGACTATTCAGTGTCAAGCACAAAATTTCCACTGATTACATATCTTTGGCAGCATTTGAGAATGTGATAATTTCCCTCTTGTTCTGAAAAGTGACAAGTGTCCATTGACTTCCAAAGTTTCAACAATATAGCCATCTGTCCCTGCTGCACAAAATCCCCTGGCAAATATCAGCACTGTTTCCTAGCAGAAATAACCCTATTTTGAAAACATCACAGCAGCCAGGAAAGGTGGACAGGGAGTCTTATAAACCCTTATAACGTAGATGTCCCTCTACCACCAATCGCCTCCCAGTGGAATGATAATTACAGCTTTACAAAGGAAATTAGACCTTAATGACCCACTGACACTAAGGAAAAGTGGAAAGATCTAGAGCCAAGCATTTCATATGAATGGCAGTTTCTTCCAAGATGCTCACAGTCTAAAAGTAAGCTCACAACCCTCTCCTGTGTCTTTCCTAGGATTTCCAGCTTCCTGAATCTCACAAAATACCCTCAAATTTTACCTCATTTAAGTCTCGGATTTCATTTTCTGCCAAAGAAAGTATAGCAAGACTTCTGGGTAGGTAAGCAGGTGCCATTCTAAGAGAGGTGATGATGTTTCCATGTAAAAGCAGGGTCTTGAAAGTAAAAACAGTATGAATTACAAATGAAAAGATTACAAATAAATTGGCCTATTGTGACAACACCAAAATGGTACATATAAGAATAAAGGAATCTACTTTATTATATTTCTCATCACACACAAATCAAAGACTGTTAATGCTACAAGGGTCCTTGATGATCTTCTGGTCCAACTCTCTGTTTTCATACCAACATCCTAAGCTCATGATATTTTAAAGACTTGTCCAAAAACACATGCTTGGCATAGCAACTAGGCATGCTGTGAGATTTAACTTATGAGACACTGAGCAATTTCTAACACACTTTTTCATTTTCTTTTAAAATATCAAAATAGAGGCCATGTGTGGTGGCTCATGCCTGTAATCCCAGCATTTTGGGAGGCCAAGGAGGGAAGATTGCTTGAGCCCAGGAGTTTGAGACCGGCCTGGGCAACATAGTGAGACCTGGTCTCTACTAAAAATCAAAAAATTAGCCAGGCATGATGAGGTGCACCTGTATTTCCAGCTACTGGGGAGGCTGAGGTAGGGGGATCACTTGAGCCCAGGAGGTCGAGGCTATAGTAAGCCATGACTGCACCACTGCACTCGAGCCTGGGTGACAGCAAGACTCTGATGTCTCAAATTAAAAAAAAAAAAAAAAAAAAGTCATTAAAACAACCACATATAAAGCAAATTTTCCAAAAAAGAGAGTGATAACCTACATCCATAATTGCAACTGTATTCTCTAGGTAACTAAAAAATAAAGGGAGGTAGAATGTGTTACTTGCAGATAAAGCTGACTCACATTAAGTCAGCAACAACCAAGAATAAACCCAAAACTGAACACCCAGGATTCTGATCAGATAAATAGGCTTCTATTCCAGCAAAAAAAAAAAAAAAAATTCAATCATCTTTGGTTCATTTGAATTCTCTTAGCATCTATTAGGACAACATCTGGCTACATCAAAATGTTTAGAATAATTATTGCTAAAAATGATTTCTGCTAAAGATCTGGGAAAAAGTGAACTAAGATACTGCTTCTAGGGCTTAATGAACATATCTGATGGTAATAATATCCAATGAGGCAACAATATTTAAAATGTTCTACATGTTTTTCAAGACTGTGATTTCAACTGTTACTTATTTGACTGCATGATACATTCCCCTCCATAAAAAGTGCTACATGCTACATGTTTTTTTCTAAGTGAAATTAATTTTGACAATTAGCTAATACCTATTACTTTAAAAACAGCAATTCTGAATGTCAAAAAAAAAAAAAAAAATCCAGACTTGGGACCCAGCGCAGTGGCTCATGCCTGTAATCCCAACACTTTGGGAGGCCGAGGCGGGTGGATCACAAGGTCAGGAGTTCGAGACCAGCCTGGCCAACATGATGAAATGCCATCTCTACTAAAAATACAAAAATTAGCTGGGCGTGGTGGCATGCACCTGTAGTCCCAGCTACTCAGGAGGCTGAGGCAGGAGAATCGCTTGAACCTGGGAGGCAGAGGTTGCAGTGAGCCGAGATTGCGCCACTGCACTCCAGCCTGGGCAACAGAGCAAAACTCCGTCTCAACAAAACAAAACAAAACAAAACAAAACAAAACAAAACAAAACAAAACAAAAAAACAGACTCGGCCAGTTCGGTGGCTCATGCCTGTAATCCTAGCACTTTGAGAGACTGAGGCAGGAGGACTGCTAGAGTCCAGGAGTTTGAGACCAGTCTAGACAACATAGTAAGATCTCATCTCTGGCCAGGTGCAGTGGCTCACGCTTGTAATCCCAACACTTTGCGAGGCCAAGGCAGGAGGATCATGTGAGGTCAGGAGTTCAAAATCAGCCTGGCCAACGTGGTGAAATCCTGTCTCTACTAAAAATACAAAAAATTAGCCAGGTGTGGTGGTGGGCGCCTATAATCCCAGCTACGCGGGACGCTGAGGCAGAAGTATCACTTGAACACAGGAGGCAGAGGTTGCAGTGAGCCAAGATTGCACCACTGCAACCACTGCTTGGGTTGCAGTGAGCCAAGATTGCACCACTGCTTGGGTGACAGAGCAGAACTCTATCTAAAAAAAAAAAAGAAAAGAAAAAGATCTCATCTCTACAAACACTCAAAAAATTAGCTGGGTGTGGTGATGTACACATGCCTATGGTCCTAGCTACTTGGGAGGCTAAGGTGAGAGGATCACTTGAGCCTGGGAGGTCGAGTGAGATTGTACTACTACACTCTAGCCTGGGTGACAGAGCAAGACTCTGTCTCAAAAAAAAATAAAGACAGACTCAAATTCAGGAATGATTAATCTCAACCTCACCAAAGATTATGTACTATATAATAACTGAAGTTACTAATATTGGTTGATTGGGCATACAGGGAATTCCATCATGTTCAGAGAATGGTAAATAAAATTAACCTTAACTACAATGACCAGTTTCACATCAAATAAATGAGTTATATAACTAACAACAAAAAGTTTCAAACTTAATTTCTGGTATTCTAACATAATTCCTTTTTTTTTTTTTGAGACTGAGTCTCACTCTATTGCCCAGGCTAGAGTGCAGTGACCCAATCTCGGGTCACCACAACCTCCACCTCCTGGGTTCAACCAATCCTGCTTTAGCTGAGTAGCTGGGACTACAGGCTCGCACCACTATGCCCCACTAATTTTTGGTATTTTTAGTAGAGATGGGGCTTTGCCATGTTGCCCAGGCTAGTCTTGAACTTCTGAGCTCAAGCCATCCACTCGCCTCAGCCTCTCAAAGTGCTGGGATTACAGGCATGACCCACCATGCCCAGCCCATAATTCTTATCATAAAGAAAGCAATCTGCTCATACAAAGCAGGCTAATTTTAGGTCAGTAAGATTACTTTCTCTTGGTATTTTGCTATAAAACTTCACAAATGACAAAGAAAACATACTTACTTTCAGGGATACCAATTTAGATAGATCACCTATCTGGGATATATTATTGTCTGATAAATCGAGATGCTGTAGAGCTGTGCAGCTATTGATCTGTTCCATGGCCTATCACAAGAAAAGCATCACACTATTTAATGAAAACAAAATCAAAAAATAAAATTATTCCCTAGTTCTTTGCAGCTGAAAGAGTGTCTTCCCTCCTCTTATTATTAGAAGCAGAGTAGAAGAACTTAGCAAGAGAAAAGGGGCAGTACTAACAGAATTTAGTAGATTGTCAGGTTGTAAACGTACACTTTCATTATCTCTCTATGAGTAGAGGGCTACCAAGTAGTTCATACCATCCAAGATCTTTACAGCTTGAAAAAAAACATAGTAATGGCCAGGCGCTATGGCTCACACCTGTAATCCCAGCACTTTGGGAGGCCGAGGTGGGTGGACAGCCTGAGGTCAGGAGTTCGAGACCAGCCTGGCCAACATGGCGAAACCCTGTCTCTACTAAAAAAATACTAAAAATTAGCCAGGCATGGTGGGCAGGCGCCTGTAATCCCAGTTACTCTTGAGGCTGAGGCAGGAGAATTGCTTAAACCCAGGAGGCAGAGGTTGCAGTGAGCCAAGATCGTGCCACTGCACTCCAGCCTGGACAATAAGAGCAAAACTCCATCAAAAAAAAAAAAAAAACAAAAGAAACCATAGTAATAATATATGACAGTTGGTGGTATAGAATAGAGTTTACAAGTTTAGATTAAAACCAAACAGCCTGGATTTACATTCTGGCCCTGCAACTTCCTAGCTGTGTGACCTTGAGCAAGTTACTTTTCTGTGCTTTAGTTCCTTCACCTTTATAACACGCATAATGTCTATATCTACTTCGCAGGCTACCATGAGATTGAATAAGTTAATACAGATAAATGTTTAGAACAGTAGCTCAGATACATTAATGGCTCAATAAAAGGCAGCTATTGGTAATCTAGTCCTCTCAGCTAGCATGCCAAAAAATAAGACGCAGAAATATGTATTAATTTACCCAAAATTACACAGTTACTAAGTAGTGCAAGTAGGACTAGAATTCAGATCTCCTAACTTTTAAAACTGTATATTCTCCCTTATAGCATTAAACATTTACTTAAAGCTTAATTCAGCATGATATAGTCTCCCTCCTAAACACTCTATGGTTTGATCTACTTTTTTCTAAGTACAATATAGATTCTTTGTTCAAATTTAAAAGAATATTATGTCATATTATATGTTTCAAAATGAGATTTAT
Source organism: Homo sapiens (assembly GCF_000001405.40). Classification (NCBI taxonomy): domain Eukaryota; kingdom Metazoa; phylum Chordata; class Mammalia; order Primates; family Hominidae; genus Homo; species Homo sapiens. The sequence continues at coordinate 101,727,676 of NC_000003.12, read as the reverse complement.
TTTTAGTTTATTTTAACAGAGATTATCCCTGGAGAGTGGGAGTGGGTACTTTCACTTTTTAATTTGACTTATTTCTACATTGCTTGAATTTTTTTTACGCAGAATAGTTTTGTAAACAAAAAAGAAACCATTCACCTTAAGATTATTTCCTGCCAAATTCAGCCATTCCAGATGTACTAGTTCCTTTAGCCCTTCCACACAGCCAATGCTATTATGAGGCAAATTTAATACACGAAGCAACGTCAGCTTGGCCACACCCATCATCCGAACCAGCCGATTATTAGCTACTGATAACTGTAAAAAGGAAACATATTGTTATTTTTAGGAATAACATATATAAAATATTTCACATTAAAGTGATTTAAAAGGTTTATTTAGACAGCCAAACACTCTCAAACAAACTCCTTTTGTACATTTCACATATATTGTCTAAATATTCTACAGTATGACTATCAGTTTTTTGTTATTGTTCCTGGGCAATAGAAAATACAGATAAAGCTGAGCGATCAGACCTCCTCTAACTACTAAGACATTTTTAACACAGCAACAACTTGAGAATGTAAGTTCCACAAGAATAGTGCTGTTAAACTCTCAGTCAAAACTTAATACAGTGCCAGACATATAAGAGGGACGCAGTAACCATTTCTTGAATGAAGGAATGAATGAACTCTTTACCCCCATCATGAGGTAAAAGGTTACCTTAGTAACACAGTATTTTGCAAAATAAAATGCTTCCTTTTCTTAACAATGCTTTTTTTTTCTAATCTACTCTCAATGTAGTACATGTATGTTCATCTTCAGAAGAAACTGTCATGTAAAAATTTAAGGCAACAATGACTGCTTGCTAGGGCTGCACAGTTACTTTTTGTCAGGTTATTTTATTGTTTTGTTTAATAATAAATTGATCCTATGTAACCATTTCCCAGATTGCAATACCTACCTGTATTAATCGTTTGCATTTCTCCAGATTTTCCAATTTAATAATCTGATTTTTATCCAGAATCAAAGTGTGAATATCAGCTTCACAGGGTAAATTTGGACCTAATTTCTGTAGTCCCTGTCCTGACCAATTGACCACTGATCCTTGAAAAGAAACGGAAATGTTAGAAAACACAAATAAAATAAAACATGTACAACAGCTAAGCATAGGGCTGGAATTATAAAATCTCTATACCATTTCAAGTTAAAGAACAGTAGAGCATAATAAATATCAACATTGTAAAATTAAAGCAATCTTGAGTTCTAAATGACCAGATTGAATTACTCATTTTTCTTCAGAAATATCAAATTAAAACTAGACGTGTGATATTCTCCTCAAGTTGCTAAGATATACTTTGAAAATTTTCACATTTAAATATGGACGATTACTTCCATTTGTTGTGCCTAAGTAATGATACTATTGTTTAAATGTTACTAAACTTTTGACTGCAATCCACCAGCTTACAGCCTAACTACCAATATATCCTAAAGTGCCCAAACTGTGATTTTGAAAATCAAAGTATAGTTCAACTAATTCTCCCATAAAATAGGATAATACACCCATTTCCCTAGCTTGATATGAGAATTAAAAGAGAAACCATATGAATAGTACTTAGCCCCGTTCCTGCCACCGGGCACTCAATAAGGCACTTTAGTATAACATAGACGTTCAAACCCTGGCTCCACCAATTAACCATTGTGGTATATTAGGCAAATTATTGATTTCTTTTGGGCTCCCTTTTCTACTCTGTAAAGTGGGGATAATACCTGCCTTATAAATGTAGTTCTACAGAGAAAATGAGATAATGTAAAAAAAAAAACAAAAAAAAAAAGGACTGAGAACATCGCCTGGGTCATACAAAGTGCTCTGTAAATGTTAACTGCTATTAACAGTTAAGTAGCCCTGGTGGGCTTGAGAGGTGTGGTTTAAGAAAAGCCGATCTCCAAAGAGGGCGGGGCCAGAGAAACGGCCAATTTCAAATTTACACCCAGATTAGGACTACTGCAGGAAATAATTATGCCAGATTGCTCTCCTGGAGGATTTCAACGTTTTCCCGTTGTCTAATGGCTCTTAGCATGTGAGGAGTCGTGAGCCCCTCTGAAAAATTGATGAAAGGGGTGTGCTGTCTCAGAAAAGTGCACAGCCTTTGTACACAATTCCAAGGGGTCGACAGAGAGGTCTGAGAACCATCCACCAACTCTTCCCCCAAGAATTTACAGCTCCCAGAAAATGCACTCCTGGTCTAAGCCATGAAGACGGGCCTCGACCCCTGGGCCCTGTCCCCGATTTAGAGGACTGACTGCTGCCAAGCCTCGGAGCTGTAACCAAAACAAAAGCAGCTCGCGTCCGGCGCCCCAAAGAGGTAGGTATCTTCAGGCCACAGAAGCACCCACACAGTCCTGTGCTCTACTGGGCAGCGACCAAACTCGATCCTAGGACCCGTGTGCAAGAACAAGGAGTACAGAACTGCGGGCTCTGGATCATCCCTTAGATTTTATCACGGCCACTGGCCACCTCCGAGGAAGGGTTCAAAGCCAGACTAGGCAGCGGTCTCTGAGGGAAGGTTTTCCTGATGGTTCCAGGAACCAAGAAGAGAGGGAGATGTGTGAAGCGAAAGAGGGAGATCCCAAACATTTCGCTTAGGCACCCATGACTCAAAGTAAATGGTCAAGAAAGGTCATCGCAGCCCGAAATCCACCGCCTCCTCAGCATCGGGAGCGCGGGAGCCAGGGCGCCGGGCCGCGCGAAGGCTTCTGGGGGCTGTAGTCCCCCGCTCGGCCCTCACCGCGACGCCGGAGAGCTGGGAACGGCAGGTGAACTACAACTCCCAGAGGGTAGCCCGCCTCCGCGACGACCACAGATCCGCATCAAAAGAACTGGTCCAGAACTGCACATCTAAACCTAGGTTTTCTGCTCTCCACTATTTAATTCAGCTCCGTGAAGTAAACCTTAGGACTCGGGGTAGGGATCGCCTTACCTTCTCCGGGAGGCAAAGCCGCGTCCACGCGCGCCACCGCCATATTTGCTGCTTGCTAATAATACCAGGCAACCGTCCTCCCGCGGCTCTGTGGAGCTTGTAATCTGAAGGAGGGAGCCGGAAACTATAACTCCCAGGATGCACGGCTCCCAGACGGCCCAATTGGCTGCTTACGCCTAATGATGTGAAGCTGGAGTTAGAATCTGAGGGTAGTGAGCTCAGGGACCCTGGCCCACTCGCTTATTTGACAGATGAGTCAACTGCGTTATTAGATGATCATTTCACTTCCTTGTCCAGGCGTTTGCGAAATTTGACACTTTTACCATCGGGATGATTGTAAGGAAGCTACTTAATGCAGACTGCATTTTACAACTCATTGCTGGAAGTCTCTGTGGGGGCTGCTCCATTCTTTTGATAATTGTGAATAAGTTGAAAGTTTTCAACTCCGCTATAGGAATGACCGATCTTGTTGAGATCATAAAAGTGGATACATTTTATTTGAAATTTTAGTTAAGTAAAAGTAAAGTATGCCGAAATAGAAACTTTTATACAGTATTTTTAAGTGATTGTTTGATTGTTCTTGAATATTTGACAAATCTTTTGACTTACGGGTATAAGTATGAACCAAGAACTTTTCCAGGGAGTATTCAAAATAACTTTAAAATATAATCTCCAGGCCGGGCGCAGTGGTTCACGTCTGTAATCCCAGCACTTTGGGAGGTCAACGCAGGCTGATCACCTGAGGTCGGGAATTCGAGACCCGCCTGGCCAACATGGAGAAACCCCGTCTGTAGTAAAAATACAAAAAAATTAGCCTGGCGTGGCGGCGCATGCCTGTAATCCCAGGTACTCGGGAGGCTGAGGCAGGAGAATCGCTTGAACCCGGGAGGCAGAGGTTGCAGTGAGCCGATATCATGCCACTGCACTCCAGCCTGGGCAACAAGAGCGAAACTATGTCTCAAAAATATATATATTTTATATAGATATTGCATATATTATAATTATATATAAATTATATATTATATATGTTATATATTTAGATATTATATATTATATGTTATATATTTAGATATTATATATTATATATGTTATATATTTAGATATTATATATTATATATGTTATATATTTAGATATATTATATATGTCATATATTTATATATTATATATTATATATGTTATATATTTAGATATTATATATTATATATGTCATATATTTAGATATTATATATTATATATGTTATATATTTAGATATTATATATTATATATGTTATATATTTAGATATATATGTTATATGTTATATATTTATATATTATATATGTTATACATTTATATATTATATATGTTATATATTTATATATTATATATTATATATGTTATATATTTATATATTATATATTATATATGTTATATATTTATATATTATATATTATATATGTTATATATTTATATATTATATATTATATATGTTATATATTTATATATTATATATGTTATATGTTATATATTATATATGTTATATATTTATATATTATATGTGTTATATATGTTATATATTATATATTATATATGTTATATATATTATATATTATATATTATATATGTTATATATTATATATTATATATGTTATAGATTTATATATTATATATTATATATGTTATATATTTATATATTATATATTATATATGTTATATATTTATATATAAATATAGATTATGTATATAAATATATTTTTATATAGTCTCCAAATTCAAGAAATACATTGCCTAGTTGGAAGAAAGCAGGCTCACACTTTTTTCTTTTTTTTTTTTTAGAGACAATTTTTTTTTGCCCAGGCTGGCCTTGAACTCCTGAGCTCAAGTGATCCTTCTGCCTCAGCCCGGCAAAGTGCTGGGATTACAAGCGTGAGCAACGGCGCCGAGCCTTCTTTTGATGCAACTATTATATGCTAAACGGTGTGATTGTGACTGAGCTCACTAATATTTCAGGGAATTGAGAAAGAAATAGAATCTGAAATCTTCAGTGAAGACTTGATGGAGGAAGTAAATGTACCCATCTTTTGATGGGTAGACTGAACAGTTAGTTCTAAAGTAAAAGGTGAAAAGACAGCACAGGCTGCAGGTGGTAACGAAGTTGTGCTCACAGGAAGTGAGAAACTAAACAGAGTATACAAAAAACTTCTGCTTTCTACTACCAGCTCTCCCACTTCCTCTTGCAACCTTTATTCTGAACTCCCCTCTTTCTGAAACAGCAATCTGCAAAGTCTGATCATTTTTGCTTGGGAAAATCTAGTAATTCATGCTTCTAGATTTCCAGGCACTGGATTCTCTGAGCATTCCCCCTTTCCTGGGTTCTCCTATCTCTCTACACTTGTTTTAACTCCTTTCGATTCTTGTTTCCTGCTGCTTTGGTCTAAAGACAAATTTCCTAGTTCTGAAGGGGCAATTAAGACTAGGATTTTTTTCCTTTTAACCAAGAAACTCCTTACCTAGAGAACACAATCTTACTATATGTGTAAGAACAAAGTAAGGCCGGGCGCGGTGGCTCACGCCTGTAATCCCAGCACTTTGGGAGGCCGAGGCGGGAGGATCACCTGAGGTCAGGGGTTTGAAACCAGCCTGGCCAACATGGCGAAACCCCATCTCTACTAAAAATACAAAATTAGCTGGGCATAGTTGCACATGCCTGTAATCCCAGCTACTTGGGAGGCTGAGGCAGGAGAATCGCTTGAATCTAGGAGGCGGAGGTTACAGTGAGCGGAGATTGTGCCACTGCACTCCAGCCTGGGCAACACGAGCAGAACTCTGTCAAAAAAAAAAAAAAGTAAGGAAAGAAAGAAAAGAAAGAAAGAGAAAAGAAAACAAAAGAAGAAGAACAAAGCAAGCCTGAATACTGCCTCTGCTAACCCTTATTCCCTGGAATAGGCCATAGGGATCTGGGAGAAAGGGTTTATGGTTCTTTACAATTTAGCATGGTAATTACTTGATAGGGAGTCCTGGAAGCTTAAAAGGTACTTAAGAAGCAGAGGTTCCTGCAAGTTTACAGCAATAGCTGAAACATTGTTTGCCTGGTTCATCTGCCCTGGAATCCAGAGGAAAGGACCAAAGGACTTTTTTTATGCAGCTAAGTATAGTCACGGCTTTTAAAGTAAGTAGCCAGATGTTCCTGGGCAAGGTCTCACATGCCCAAGTGACTCAGCAACGCTTTAAAATTACTGCACAGAAATTCTTTTGTGCTTCAAATAATAGCTTTTACGCCTAAAATCAAATTGCTACACTTTAAACTGCCTCATTTTGTATATATGTTAAACTCTATAAGCTCAAACCAAATTAGGATTCTACTACTTAAAACTATGAACCTCTCAGTAAGGTAATGTTTCTCTGGCAGGCCCAGGCCCTATGAGAAAGACTTTCCTATCAGCACAGTATACTTAATCCCTACGACAGCTGATTACCCCGATCTTTGCCATCTCTAATTCATCTGCCCACAGTTACTGGCATGATCTAAGTAAAACAATGCCTTTTAGCATGTTATTCCCCTCTCAAAAACTTCTCACTTTAAGTTCAACTTGCAAGGGCCACCATAATGTGGCTTCACCCTACCTCCCACCGTTCATCCTACTCGTTTTCATTTGGTGTTTTTGAGTGAGGGATTGATATAATGATACTTGTGTTGTAGAAAGGTTAAACTCATATAACAAGGATGAATTGAAAGTAATAATAGAATTGAAAGGAAGAAGGCAGGAAGGAGATTGTCGTAATAGAGCCTGGTAACCTTCAACAGCGGTTTCAGGAGAGTATTATAAACAAGTTTAGATAACACGAAGTTAAGAGACTAGGTAGACAAGAAACTGGAACATTTGTGGATGGTGCAATTTACCTTGAGAAAATGAAGGTGGTTTTCTAATTAGGATTGAAATCATATTTGAAAGAAGTAAATGTAACTTTGAAGTTTTCATTCAAGTTTTAAAATGAAGAAGTTACTAATGTAAAGAATTTTGACACTGTAAAGATTTGGAAAATATGCGAATATTTTAACAATAAAAAAACCTTTTTTTTTTTTTGACACAGGGTCTTGGTTTGTTGCCCAGACTCGAGTGCAGTGGTACAGTCCTGGCTCACTGCAGCCTCGACCTCCTGGGCTTAAACAATCCTCCCACTTCAGCCTTCTGAGTAGCTGAGACTACAGGTGCACACCACCACACCTGGCTAATTTTGGTTTTTTTTGTAGACAGAGGTCTCACCATGTCGCAATCCTCCTGCCTTGGCCTCCCAAAGTGCTGGGATTATAGACGGCCACCATGCCTGGTTTAACAATAAAAAATCTTCATGCAAAGGTTTAGGTGCATAAAATTATAAATATCTCCTTTCTTGATTAATATTCATGTGTAGACTCTTCCGGTCCTGCTTCCTTATCTATAACCTATGGCATGGAAAGAGAGATTGCCAATATTCACAGGTTATCCAGATGGCCCAAATGAGATTAACTTTCCTCAGTTATTATTATTATTATTTATCTCCTGCTATGTGGTAGGCTTTGTGATAACTAGTTTACATATATTGGTTCTAAATTTCACAAAATCCCTACAAGTAGATGCCAAGAGGTTATGTTACAGTTGTTGGAAACAATATAGGACACCCAGTTAAACTTGAATTTCAGATAACAATGAATAATGTTTTAGTATAAGTATGTCCCAAGTATTCATGTTGCAATATACATCTTATGCAATACTTACATGCAATATTTAGGACATAGCTATATATAAAAAAGTGTTGTTTATCCAAAATTCAAATTCAACTGGTGTCTCATATTTTTATTTGCATTTATATTTATCTTGTTAATTTCCAGCAACCTAAAAAGAAGGACAGACAGAATTTTGGTTTTGTTTGTTTGCTTTTTGAGATGGAGTCTTGCTCCATAGCCCAGGCTGGAGTGCAGTGGCGCAATCTCAGCTTACTGCAACCTCTGCCTACAGGTGCCCACCACCATGCCTGGGTAACATTTGTTTCTGTTTTGTTTTGTTTTGTTTTGTTGAGACAGGGTCTCACCCTGTCACCCAGACTGCAGTGCAGTGGCGTGATCTCAGCTCACCGCAACCTCTGGCTCCTGGGTTCAAGCAATTCTCCAGCCTCAGCCTCTTGAGTAGCTGGGATTACAGGCATGAGCCACCCCACGCCCAGCCATAATTTTGAATCCATGTTCAACTACATATTAAACTTTTCGGCGAGGCGCAGTGGCTCATGCCTGTAATCCCAACACTTTGGAAGGCCGAGGTGGATGGATCACCTGAGGTCAGAAGTTTGAGACTAGCCTGGCCAACATGGTGAAATCCTGTCTCTACGAAAAATACAAAAATCAGCGGCATGGTGGTAGGCGCCTGTAATCCCAGCTACTCGGGAGGCTGAAGCAGGAGAATCACTTGAACCCGAGAGGCAGGTTGCAGTAAGCTGAGATCCCGTCACTGCACTCCAGCCTGGGTAACAGAGCGAGACTCCGTCTCAAAAACAAACAAAAAACAAAAGAAATAAACTTTCCAAGTGACTGATTTAAAAATATTATTAGCTGCATTTTTAAAAATTTCTTAACTTTTTAACAGACATGGGGTCTCACTATGTTGCCCAGGCCGGTCTCAAACTCCTGGGCTCAAGCAATCCTCCTGCCTCAGCCTCTCAAAGTGCTAGGATTACAGGTGTGAGCCACCACACCTGGCCAAATGCACATTGTATTTTCGTAATTACAGCCTTAATGAATATGTTCATAGACATGTATATATTCATATTTGTGTTTAGAAAGAATTCTGGAAGGAGCCACAAGAAACTATTAACTGTAGTTGCCTAAGGGAAGGGTGAAATGGAAACAGGACAGAGGGACTGAGGAACAGAGCTGGGGAGAAATTTTTCACTGAATATATTTACATATTTTTAAATCATATGAATGTTTTGCCTACTCAAAATACTACATTTTAAAAGAAAATAAAATAAAAATCAGTTTTGCAAGCCGGGTGCAGTGGCATGCAACCATAGTCCCAGCTCCTCTGGAGGCTGAAGCAAGAAGAACACCTTAGCCCAGGAGTTTTAGGCTGTAGAGCCCTATGATGATGCCTGTGAATAGCCCTTGCACTATGACCTGTGCAACATAGTGTGAAATTAAATAATTTAAACTTAAAGCTGTTGGAAATTTAAAATATTTTCAGCCTTGAGAGGAATATGGCTATGTGGCCTGAATCACATATCATGAAGCTACAACTTCTGCTTCTCCAATTATAGATTAAATCTCATCTTCATTCTTGTCCTGCAAATGATTAGGAAAAACTGGATGGTACTAGAAGTAGAGGTATTATTATTTTTATCTCTAACAATAATAATAATTTTTTAAAATCAGTTTTTCATAATGGCAGCAGACAAAAAATTATCACTGCAGTGTCTATGGCTAACAAAAGGCCCCAGAGAAACTAGAGCCCAAAATCCATGACAATGGAAAGAAACCACAATATAAGAAATGCTTGTGAACAGTTATGTTTGAGTCAGAATGGGAATGGTGATGTTGTTTTGCTGGGTACCAACTAGCACACCTGGTTAATGGGAAGATAACCAAGGTGTAAGGTTTTTTGTCTTTTTTAATTTTCCAGCAAATTGCAATACATAAGTATACTATGATTCCAGTTTTTTAAAAAAATTATGTATCAGTAAAGTGTGAAAAAATTTAACAAAGTCTGAACCATGGAGACCCCAGACAACAGAGCCTGTTTAGCATACTGAAGGAGCACCAGGCTCCAAAGCTAGACCATGGAAGAATCCCATTATTGTTATTTGCCAGCAGCATTATCTTGACTTGTAATTTAAACTCTGTGGTCTGCCCTGTGAAAAATGGTAATATTAATAATTCCCAATCCATATCACTATTGTGATAATCTAATCAATTAAATCATGTTAGAAATCCAAATAGTGCCTAACATGTGGTAAATACTCAATAAAAGGTACTGATTTTTTGTTGTTGTTGTCGTTGAGACAGAGTTTTGGTCTTGTTGCCCAGGCTGGGGTGCAATGGCGTGATCTTGGCTCACCACAACCTCTGCCTCCCAGGTTCAAACGATTCTCCTGCCTCCGCCTCGCGAGTAGCTGGGATTACAGGCATACGACAATACGCCCGACTAATTTTGTATTTTCAGTAGAGATGGGCTTTCACCACGTTGGTCAGGCTGGTCTTGAACTCCCAACCTCAGGTGATCCTCCCGCCTCGGCCTCCCAAAGTGCTGGGATTACAGGCATGAGCCACCGCGCCCGGCAAAAGGTACTTACTGATTTTTAAATTGTTGCTAAGGTGGCACTGTCCAAGAGAAATAGGTGTACCTCATATGAAATTTTAAGTTAGCTAATAGCCATATTTTAAAAAGACAAAATATATTTTATTTATTCATATTAGCATTTCAACATATAAACAACATAAAAAATAATGAGATATTTTGCATTCTTTTAATTTTTTTTTTTTTTTTTTTTTGTGATGGAGTTTCACTCTTGTTGTCCAGGCTAGAGTACAATGGCGCAATCTCGGCTCACTGCAGCCTCTGTCCCCACCCCCCAGGTTCAAGCCATTCTCTTGCCTCAGCCTCCCGAGTAGCTGGGATTACAGGCTGTGCGCCACCACACCCAGCTAATTTTTGTATTTTTAGTAGAGATGGGGTTTCAACATGTTGGCCAGGCTGGTCTCTAACTCCTGACCTCAAGTTATCCGCCCGCCTTAGCCTCCCAAAGTGCTGGGATAACAGGCATGAGTCACTGCCCCCAGCCCCTAAATTTTCAATTGAGAATATAATGAATCATTTTTATAAAAGTTCTACTGCCTTTCAGAAAAACTTCAAAAGAGATGAAATAGAAACGTCAAGGATTTCTTTACTACTCTTTTAAACAAAACACAACTTCTTCTGGTTTATTTACTTTATTATTTATTTAGTTTACCTAAATAACCTGAAAAATATTCTTGAAATTAATTTATACTTCCACCTCTTTTTTTCCTCATATTTAGCTGATACACAGGGGGGAAAATAAAATGAATATTTTAGAATCTCATCTTGAGTTGGTTAATTCTTCATTTTTTCTAGCCCTGACATTGCATTCTTTTTTCTTTTTTTTTTTTTTGAGACAGTCTCCCTCTGTCGCCCAGGCTGGAGTGCAGTGGCGCAATCTCGGCTCACTGCAACCTCCGCTTCCCAGGCTCAAGCGATCCTCCTTTCAGCCTCCAAAGTAGCTGGGACTACAGGTGTGAGCCACCACTCCCAGCCATTTTTTTTTTTTTTTGTATTTTCAGTAGAAATGGGGCTTCACCATGTTGGCCAGGCTGGTCTCCAATTCCTAGCCTCAAGTGATCTGCTCGCCTCGGCCTCCCAAGGTGCTAGCATTACAGGCGTGAGCCACCGTGCCCAGCTGACATTGCATTCTATTTAAGATTCCTGCTTTAAGCATGTTCTGACTAGGCAGGATGCGGTGGCCCATGCCTATAATTCTAGCACTTTGGGAGGCCGAGGCAGGGGATCGCTTAAGCCCAGGAATTCAAGACCAGCCTGGGCAATATAGAGAGATCCTGTCTCTGCAAAAATTAAAATGAATTAGCCGAGTATGGTGGCACAAGCCTGTGGGCCCAGCTACTGGGGAGGCTGTGGTGGGAGGATTGCTCAGGCCAGAGTTTGAGGCTGCAATGAGCTGTGATCATGCCATTGCAGTTCAGCCTTGGTGACGGAGTGAGATCCTGTCTCAAAATTTAAAAAATGTTGTCCATCCTCCTGAAATCTCATTGGTTTCAGGGATGATAGGTTGGTAGTTTACCTCTAGAGGGGTAGTGGAAGCAATTATTCACTGGTCCCCCAACCTGTGTTGTTTTTCTCTCCCTCAAAGAGCTTCCTATTTGTCTAGCACTAATTCCTGACAAGAAGCCTGGATAGAACCTCATTATAACATGGCAAAGTAATTAACCCTCTGTCTAAATTCTGTGGAATTTTGTTGTTGAAATTCTTTGACTTTGGTTTTAAATTTCTTTTTGGTTTACTGACCACTTCTGAAAGACCATAATCTACAAAAATTGTGGCCCATCTTCTAGACAAGTGCACAGAGAACACACATAAAACTGTCAGTATATAACCTTTTCTACTGTTTGGTTTTTACTATTGTATAACACCTACTCAAAAGCATAATTCTTTCTGACTTCAGAGCAATTGACTTTTTATTTTATTATGGTTTCTGACTGTATGAGCAATATATGGTTTTTTTAACATTCAGGAAAACAAAATAATATGTAAAATACAAAGTGAAAGTTTCGATAATCTCACCCCTTAGAGATGCATTGTCTAATATGGTAGCTAATATCCACTTTTGGCTACTGAGCATTGGAAATGTGGCTAGTCCTAAATGAGATGTGCTATAAGTGTAAAATACACACTGGATTTCAAAGACTTACTTAAAAATAAGAATGCAAGCCCGGGCAACATGGCAAAACTCCATCTGTAGTAAAAATACAAAAACTAGCTGGGCATGGTGGTGTGTGCCTGTAGCCCCAGCCACTCATGAGGCAGGTGGGAGGATTGCTTAAGCCCAGAAGTTGAGGCTGCAGTGAGCTGAGATCGGGCCACTGCACTCCAGCCTGGGCAACAGAGCAAGACCCTCCCTCAATAAAATAAAATAAAATCACAGCTATTTGGGAGGCTGAGACAGGAGAATCGCTTGAACCCGGCACAGGGTGTGGGAGGGGAGTGAGCCGAGATTTCGCCATTGCACTCCAGCCTGGGCGACAGAACGAATCTCCGTCTCAAAAAAACAGAAAAGAAAACCAAAAAAGAAAATTAAGTGAATAAGTTCTTTATTTTTTACAGAACAATATATTTTTTAAATTCTAACTTTAATTTCTACCTGGAAGATTTCTAGCGCTTAGAAGCTTCGGAACATTTTAAGAGTGGTAGTTTTGCTCTTTCCTCCCACCTTTGACTTGACTCCTTTTTTTAATTAAAATTGTTTTCATTTTTTATTATTTTTATAGAAACAGGGTCTCACTATGTTGCCCAGGCTGGTCTTGAACTCCTGGCCTCAAGCAATCCTCCTGCCTCAGTTTCCTAAAGTGCTGGGATTATAGGTGTGAGCTATCACGCTTGGGCGATTTTTTTTCTTTTTCTTTTTTTTTTTTTTTGAGACGGAGTTTTGCTCTTGTTGCCCTGTTGCCAGGCTGGAGTGTAACGGTGTGATCTCGCTCACCGCAACCTCTGCCTCCTGGGTTCAAGCGATTATCCTGCCCCAGCCTCCCGAGTAGCTGGGATTACAGGCATGCACCACCACGCCTGGCTAATTTTGTACTTTTAGTAGAGATGTGGTTTCTCCATGTTGGTCAGGCTGGTTTCGAACTCCCAATCTTAGGTGATCCACCCACCTTGGCCTCCCAAAGTACTGGGATTACAGGTGTGAGCCACCACTAGCCCAGCCCTTTGTTTTTTTAATGAGGAGGTATGATTGTAAATTTATGGGTGAACGTGGCAGGGCCACGGTGCCCATATATGAGGTCAAATGTTATTCTGAATGTCTCTGTGAAGGTGGTCTTGCGATAATGTGGGTGTGCCTCAACCAATCAGTTGAACTGAGTAGAAGACTGACCTCTCTTGAGCCAAAAGGAATTCTGCAACAGACAGGCTTTCAGATTTGAATCACAGCATTGGCTCTTGTCTGGGTCTCTATCTAGCCTGCTGGTCCGCCCTGAAGTTTTTGAATTTGCCAACCTCCATAATAATGTTAGCCAATTCTGGCTGGGCGCAGTGGCTCATGCCTGTAATCCCAGCACTTTGGGAGGCCAAGGTGGGTGGATCACCTGAGGTCAGGAGTTCAAGACAAGCCTGGCCAACGTGCTGAAACCCTGTCTCTACTAAAAAATATAAAAATCAGCCGGATGTGGTGGCACATGCCTGTAATCCCACTACTCAGGAGGCTGAGGCAGGAGAATCACTTGAACCTGGGAGGCGGAGGTTGCAGTGAGTCGAGATCGCGCAACTGCACTCTAGCCTGGGCAACAGAGCAAGACTCCGTATCAAAACAAAACAAAAAAAATTTTACCTTTCCAGTGAAGAGAAGATAATATCAAACACAGAAATATGTAATGTATATTGGTATGCTGAGTATGCTGAGAAATGCAAATGTGTTTTTATCTTTAGAAATTGGACTTTTAAAACTTTGAAATCACTGAGTTTTGTATTTAACTACAATACAAAACCTACAGCACAGAAGGAATATGAATAATCTCTTTTAAAATACTAATTCCTTTTCTTTTTTTTTTTTACTAATGGCTGGTTTTAATTTTTTTAGAGGAAATACTATAATTTAAAAAAAAGTTCCAAAATATTTAACAGAATTTCCAGCAATGATTATTTCCAAAATGTAAAGATTTGAAACATAATTTATACAAAACTAAAAACCAGAAGGATTCATTCTTGCTTTTTCCTTTTTTAAAAAATCCAGACATTTGTCACAAGAAAGTTCGGCATGTGATAGCAGCTGTAGCCTCAGTCACCCTCAGAATCGCTGTCCCTCCTCATGAGGACAGAGTGCCACACTGATGACAGCAATACATCTTCAATCGGCTTCTTAGGGTTTTCCTCCAGGTCCATCATAATTGCTCCAGATTCAGACAGTTTCCATTCCAACTCATCTCTTGTCAGGTTCATGCCACCAAACACCAGAGGACCAATAAACTGAGCCTTGATATCTCCTTCCAGGTAAACAAATATCGGGGCAGATTCCTATCAGGATAATTGGGTATGCAGGTTGTTGAAATGGCTTTGATAAATTTGACATCAGGAAACTTCCTGGCAAGTCCACTGAGGTTCTGATTTATCAGGGCACAGAGGGGAATTCCTTGTTTGTAAAGGTGCAAGATGACCCACAAGCCCTCACCAGCTTTGGTAACTTCTTGAACATAATCCTTCCCTGAGATCTCCAAAACTTCTCAAAATTTATTCTTCAGTTTAGTTGCTTTCCACTCAGCCAGTCTCTGCTGTCTGCACATTTCAATAGCACATTCATCCTCCTCATTAAACTCGTCTTCATGATCCTCCAGCTCTTCCAAAGTCATATCTTCATATGTTTTCACCACTGACTGCTGGAGGATGCGCTGCTCCTCTTCTGCCTCCTCTTCCAATTCTTTCAGACTTTCCTTGGGGGGTAAGATACCCTTTTTGCGTTAAGATGTCATTCCACTCAGTGTCTGCGTTGGGGTCCTGCATCTTGTTTCCAGTTCAGTTGCTCAAGCCAGCTGTGCCACCTTGTTTTTTTGTTTTTTTGTTTTTTGTTTTTTTGAGACAGAGTTTCGCTCCTGTTGCTCAGGCTGGAGTGCAATGCACAATCTCGGCTCACTGCAACCTCCACCTCCTGGGTTCAAGCTATTCTCCTGCCTCAGCCTCCCCAGTAGCTGGGATTACAGACATGCGCCACCACACCCGGCTAATTTTTTGTAGAGACGGGGTTTCACCATGTTGGTCAGGCTGGTCTCAAACTCCTGACCTCAGGTGATCTGCCCGCCTTTGCCTCCCAAAGTGCTGGGATTACAGGCGTGAGCCACCGCACCCTGCCAATACTAATTCCTTTTCATGACCTCAGATGAACAAAACTACTCAAAAGGCTGCTATGTATAGATGTTCTCTAGCAGGGGTTGGCCAACTATGGCCCAAAAGCCATGTCCAACCTGCTTCCTGCTTTTGTACAGTCCACAGCTAATTATGCTTTGTACATTTTTAATGGCTAGAAAAAAAATTTAATATTTTGTGACACAAAATTATATGAAATTCATATTTCAGTGTCCATGAGTAAAACTTTATTGGAATACAGCCATACTTATTCATTTATCTACTGTCTATGGCTGCTTTTACACTATAACAGAGTAGTCATGACAAGAGACCATTCTCATCACTTGTCACTGCTGCTATCCATTACAAATCATAGTTACACTTTGTAACTTGGCAGCATTTTGAGTAGCATGCCTATTGCCATACCCCAAAATTTTATTTTTATTACCAGCATATATCCCTCATGTCAAAAAAAAAAAAGGTGTGGTGACACACACTGTAGTCCCAGTTACTCAGAAGGTAAGGTGGCAGGATCAATTGAGGCCAAGGAGTTCGAGGCTGCAGGGAGCTACAGTCACACCACTGCACTCCAGCATGGGTAACTCCAGGCCTTGTCTCTAAAAAGAAAAAAATGAGAGAGAGAGAGAGAGAATTGGACTTAAAATATCCCATCTCTAAGGTACCATGAAGCATGGATTATTTTATCAAATTCGATGGCAAAGCCTGGCGCTTACTATGCAAATGAAACTATTTATGTGCTAAAAGAATGCTATATGTTAATATTATTAGAATAAGCAGTCATCACAATATTCCCAAATTACAGAAAATCAGTCAGAAAAGGTAAAAAGAAATTAAAGAGTATGTCAACACAGAATTTCCTCACAAAAAAAGAAAGTGAGGCTGTAACTAAAGTAAGTTTCCAAGTGCCTCATTTGTTAGCCTAGTAAGAAAAGTCATTCATTATAGCATGTTAATTAAATGTTTGATTGAAGTGGCTGAAGAAATGTATACAGAAAAAATAAACTTGGCCAGGTGCAGTGACTCACACCTGTAATACCAGCGCTTTGGGAGGCCAAGGCAGGAGGATCACTTGAGACCAGGAGTTCAAGACCAGCCTGGACAGCATAGCAAGATCCTGTCTATTAAAAATAATTAATAATTTTTTTTAATTTAAAAAAAGTTAATTAAAAATTTTTTAATTTTTAAATTAAAAAAAGAAAAAGAAACTTACTTAAAACTATTAGCCTTTAGGTGAGAACAGCTGCTTAAAGTGTTAAGGACACAGGACACAAACATCAATAGTAAAACAAGGCAAGTTAGCCACATGAGGTGGCCTATGCCTGTAGTCCTAGCTACTCAGGGAACTGAGTCAGCCCAGGAGTTCAAATCCAGCCTAGGCAACACAGGAGATCCCATTTCTAAAAAAAAAATTTTTTTTGATTAGAAAAAAAAAATTTTTTTTTGATTAGAAAAAAAAAGCAAGGCAAGTGATTTTGAATGGTTTTCCTTAGCTTGTACTGAATTGACAGGTGTTATTGATGTTGCTCATTTGTTCCTATATATTCAAGGAGTCAATGATTGAATGGACTGAAGAATTAGCTCCAAAACAGCTGCATGAAACAGCTGAGAATATTTTTAACGAAGGTGAAAAAACACTAATTAAGTACACCTGAAGTAGAATCGCTTTGCTATATTGCAACTGATGATATAAAAAGAGAAAGGCTTAGTTTGACAGATTTACAATGCTTATGAAAATATAAGGTGTTTAAATCCTATGGTTATGACATCATTTGATTATTAAAAAACAGTTTGTGGAAAACATTTGAACTTACCATGTACAGATATTATTGAATCTGCAGTATCAATGATACAATTCATTCATCCTCATGGACTTAACTGTTGTTAGTCCATGAATTTTTGGTCAAAATGGCAGAATATCCTACCTTGCCCTGCCACATAGCATTTGATGACTTAGCAGTGATAACATTTTATTGTGATGTTTTTTGAGAGCCAAGATTGAAATTTTTCTAAATGAAAAGAATTTCTCTTAACCACTGTTACCTTTACAAATCATGAGACCTATAAATTTAGAAAGAAGATTTTATGTTTTATAAAGGCTTACAGCCAGCCAGGTGTGATGGCTTATGCCTGTAATCACAGCACTTTGGGAGGCCAAAGCGGGCGGATCACCTGAGGTCAGGAGTTTGAGACCAGCCTGGCCAACATGGTGAAATCCCTTCTCTACTAAAAATACAAAAAAAAAAAAAAAAATTAGCCAGGCATGGTGGCGGGTGCCTGTAATCCCAGCTACTCAGGAGGCTGAGGCAGGAGAATCGCTTGAAACTGGGAAGAGGAGGTTGCAGTGAGCTGAGATTGTGCCATTGCACTGCAGCCCGGGCGACAAGAACAAAACTCCGTCTCAAAAAAAAAAAAGGTTTACAGCCTGCAAGGTGTCCATCCCATAGGCTGAGAAGGATAGCCTCCAGAAAGACTAGAGACGGGCACTTCAAAGGAGGAGTGGTTGGGGTAGGAGCTTTATGCTGAACAGTTTGGTTAAACGTACACATTCAACAGGTTACTGGAGAAACTCTGAATATTCATAAAGGTGATCCTGACACATAGGTATTGAACAAACATGCATGTAACATATTACCGATGTTCACTTTGGAGTGGATATTTAATACTTAAATGTATTATAATTAGGTCCTATATGTCAAAAGCTCTTTTCAAGACACGAAGTCATGCAAGTGTGCAGCCTCTGAAAGCCTGCCAGAATCAGTCCATGGTTGGCGGTCTTCTTATCAGGAGAAAGTTACTGAAATCAGTCTCTTATCCAATCAAAGCTGGTGGAACGGGGATCAGTTATTCAGTGTCTGATGGTGAGCTACAGTTGTTTTAATATTGCTTATCTGTAGGCCAGTGATGGTTTAGCTGTTAGAGAAAAAGGAAAACCCTGGGGCAGTTAGAACACAGTTTATTCTTTAAGTGTAGGGGTATATGACTTAACCCTTACCTGGCATGGCCTTGGGTCTTGTTTATCTTTTGATACCTTTTTGCCACAAAAAGTCCTTTCTGTCAGTCTTGATATCTCTTCTTTAACATCAATGCTGGTCGGTTGTTGTGTCTAAACTTCAAAAGGGAGGGAGTTTAATGAGGCATGTCTGCCCTCCTGTCCTGTTATGATCAGGAACTCTGTTTTAAAGGTTTTTCTGGGGTCACCTTGGCCATGAGGGTACGTTCATGCAGTTGGCAGAGGGCTCAGGATTTTATTTATTTTACATCACTGACTGAATGACTTTGAAATTCATTTTTGCTAGTTTGCTAATTTTGATCATTTGATGATGCATCCTAATAAAGTCAACATAAATTACAAAGCAAAACAGTACTGACATGCAAAACTTACTGTGATGAAGTCATTTTGACAACTAACATTATTTGAGTCACAAGTTAAAACAAAAAGCAAGCTCTCTATCCTCACACAAGTTTGCAGTGGTTATATTTTTCAAGCTCAAACTACAGTTTTAGTGGTGTTTTACGGATCTCTGCAAACACAAAGGAAATTTCCATATTTCAAAATCCATTTAACTGTGCAACTGAAGAGCTTCCACCTAACCATCAGTTAGAAATGATTCATCTGACATGCTAAAAGGCAGATATGAAGAGAATAATATGTTTCTGTAATTGTTTTCCAAGAGCATAATATACTTAATTTAAATCATATGCCCTTGGATTGACATCATATTGGGCAGTGCCTACATGTGTGAAAATATATTTTTCAAAGATAAAATCTGTAAAATTTCATTACAGATCATGATTGACAGATGAACATTTGCAATAGATTTTGATAGGGAATAAGAACTTTGAAACCTAATTAAGAAAAATGTTATTCTCCATCTCCCCACAAAAAGAATTTCATTCTTCTGATTAGCATACCTGATTTACAAAAATTTGTACTCGATATTATTATATTTTGAATTTCATCAGTGAAAATGTTGTGGAAATTAGTTTTCCCTGTTTTTCTACAAGTATCTACATAAAATCTTCAATTTTGCCCCTTAGCCCATAGAACCTAAAATATTTACCCTCTGGCCATTTACAGAAAAAGTTTACTGATTCTTATTCAGAAAGTAAAATCTAAGTAAGAAGTTAGTGGAAGAGAAGGAAGATTTTCAGCTTGGGCACAGGAGAAAGAACCAATGGGGTATGTAAAAAATAAGCAATCATTCCATACCAAATCATATTTTTAAACCATATTTTGGCCAGGCACAGTAGCTCACATCTGTAATCCCAACACTGGGAGGCTGAGGTGGGAGGATCGCTTGAAGCCAGGAGTTCGAAACCAGCCTGAGCAACAAAGCTAAACCCTCACCTCTACAAAAAATAAAAATAATTAGCCAGGCACATGCCTGTAGTCCCAGCTACTTGAGAGGCTGAGGTGGGAGGATCACTTGAGCCCAAGAATTTGAGGCTGCAGTGTCCTGTGATCTCTCCACCGCACTCCAGCCTGGGCAACAGAGGGAGACGCTGTCTCAAAACAACAAAAACCAAAAAAAAAAAAAAAAGTTTTCTTGCGCTTGCCTTTCTGAGCCAATCAGTAATACCAATTTCTTCCAGAAGATGTCTCCCTTTATTTTCCCTAAATAATAGGAAAAATTTCAAACGTACATAAAAATTCAAATAATTGTGCAATGAACATTCATTTACCTACACTTTGATTCTATTTTGTGGGGCGATCGGGGAGACAGGGTCTGGCTCTATCACCTAGGCTGGAGTGCAGTGGCGTGATTAAGGCTCACTGCAACTTCTGCCTCCTGGGCTCAAGTGATCCTCCCAAATCAGGCTCCTAAGTAGCTAGGACTACAGGGAGCACACCATCACACCCAGCTAATTTTTTTTTTTTTTTTTTTTTTGAGACGGAGTCTCGCTCTGTTGCCCAGGCTGGAGTGCAGTGGCGCAATCTCGGCTCCGCAAGCTCCATCTCCCGGGTTCACGCCATTCTCCTGCCTCAGCCTCCAGAGTAGCCGGGACTACAGGCACCCGCCACCACGCCTGGCTAATTTTTTATATTTTTAGTAGAGATGGGGGTGTCACTGTGTTAGCCAGGATGGTCTCGATCTCCTGACCTCGTGATCCGCCTGCCTCGGCCTCCCAAAGTGCTGGGATTACAGGCATGAGCCACCGCGCCCGGCCCACACTCAGCTAATTTTTGTATCCCTCTATCCATCCATCAGTCTATTATGGGGTTTTTTTTTGTTTGTTTGTTTGCTTTTTTTTTGACACAGGGTCTGGCTCTGTCACCCAGGCTGGAGTGCAGTGGCACGATCTTGCAATCTTGGCTCACTGCAACCTCCTCCTCTGGGCTCAAGCCATCCTCCCACCTCAGCCTCCCAAGTAGCTGGGACTATAGGTATACACTACCACACCTGGCTAATTTTTGTATTTTTTGTAGACATAAGGTTTCATCATGTTCCTCAGGCTGGTCTCCAGCTCCTGGACTCAAGCCATCCGCCCACCTCAGCCTCCCAAACTGCTGGGATTAGAAGTGTGAGGCACCACACTGGGCCCACGATGTTTTTAGTGGACAAGTACATCTCTCCCTAAATACTTCAGCATGTATTTCATTAACTAGTGTTCAATATTTATTTAGTTTCCTTTCTGCTGAAGTAAAATTTATATACACTGAAATTTTCAAATCTTAAATTAGCATCCCCTGAGTTTGACAAACTGTATTATTAAACCAAAACTCATCAAGATATAGAAAACTGGCTGGGCCCAGTGGCTCATACCTGTAATCCCAGCACTTCGAGAGGCCAAGGCTGTTGGATCACGTGAGGCTAGGAGTTTGAGACCAGCCTGGCCAACATGGTGAAACTCAATCTCTACTAAAAATACAAAAATTAACTGGGCATGGTGGCGGGCGCCTGTTATCCCAGCAACTTGGGAGGCTGAGGCGGGAGAATTGCTTGAAACTGGGAGGCAGAGTTTGCAGTGGGTCAAGACTGCACCACTGCACTCCAGCTTGGGCAACAAGAGCGAAACTCCTTCTCAAAAAAAAAAAAGGATATAGAAAATTATTATTCACATGGAAAGTTCCCTCCTACCCTTTTCCGGTTAGTCCTTCCCCTCCCATATAGAGGCAACCAGTGTTCTGACTTTTTCCCCCCACCATAGGTTATCTTGCATGATGTAGAACTTGATATATATGGAATCATATGGTATGTACTTTCAATGTAAGTCTTTCAATTAATATAATGTCTGAGACTCATCCATGTTGTGTAAATCAACAGTTCATTCTACTTTATTGTTAAGTAGTAGTACATTGATATGTATTATAGTTTGCCTATATATTCACCTACTGATGGGCACCTAAGCTGTTCCCTGTATTTGTCTATTATGAATACAGCTGCTATAAGCATTCCTGTATAAAGTATGGGGATTTTTTTCCCGCAAAGTATTTTTTTAATTACAAAGTAATACAATTGGTGCTTACTTTATTTTTCAGGACTGAATTGTGGGACATAAATTAATCCCAAGATACATAATAATTGTTTGAAACTTTTCATCATGGAAAAGTAATTTAAAAGTATATAATAATATAGAGACTATTTTGATGAACCCTGGTACCTAATATCCAGCTTCAACCATTACCCACTTCTGGCCACCATCTTTCTTTTCTTTTCTTTCCTTTTTTTTTTTGAGACAGAGTTTCACTCTTGTTGCCCAGGCTAGAGTGCAATGGTGCGATCTCAGCTCACTGCAACCTCTGCCCACTGGTTCAAGCAATTCTCCTGCCTTAGCCTCCCAAGTAGCTGGGATTACAGGCATGTGCCACCATGCCCAGCTAATTTTTGTATTTTTAGTAGAGACGAGGTTTCACCCTGTTGGCCAGGCTGGTCTCAAACTCCTGACCTCAAGTGATCCGCCCGCCTTGGCCTCCCAAAGTGCTAGGATTACAGGCGTGAGCCACCATGCCTAGCCCTTTATTTATTTATTTTTAGAGACAAGGTCTCATTCTGTTGTCTAGGCTAGAGTGTATGATCATAGCTCCTGTGCAGCCTGCAGTTCTTGGGCTCAAGCAATCCTCCCACCTCAGCCTCCCAAATGCCTAGGACTACATGAGTGTACCACCATGCCCAACGAATTTTTAAAATTTTTTGTAGAGATGGGTCTCACCATGTTGCCCAGGCTGGTCTTGAACCCCTGGCTTCAAGCAGTTCTCCCACCTCAGCCTCCCAAAGCACTGGGATTACAGGAATAAGCTACCCTACCCATGAATCATTTTTCATAAATGACTTACACACAGTATTAGTCAGGGTTCTCCAGAGGGACAGTGTGGGGAAAAGCAAGAGAGATCAGATTGTTACTGTGTCTGTGTAGAAAGAAGTAGACATAGGAGACTCCATTTTGTTCTGTACTAAGAAAAATTCTTCTGCCTTGAGATTCTGTTAATCTATGACCTTACCCCCAACCCCGTGCTCTCTGAGACAGGTGCTGTGTCAAACTCAGGGTTAAATGGATTAAGGGTTGTGCAAGATGTGCTTTGTTAAACAAATGCTTGAAGGCAGCATGCTCCTTAAGAGTCATCACCACTCCCTAATCTCAAGTACCCAGGGACACAAAAACTGCGGAAGGCCGCAGGGACCTCTGCCTAGGAAAGCCAGGTATTGTCCAAGGTTTCTCCCCATGTGATAGTCTGAAATATGGCCTCATGGGAAGGGAAAGACCTGACCGTCCCCCAGCCCGACACCCGTAAAGGGTCTGTGCTGAGGAGGATTAGTGTAAGAGGAAGGCATGCCTCTTGCAGTTGAGACAAGAGGAAGGCATCTGTCTCCTGCCCGTCCCTGGGCAATGGAATGTCTCGGTATAAAACCCGATTGTACGTTCCATCTACTGAGATAGGGAAAAACCGCCTTAGGGCTGGAGGTGGGACACGCGGGCAGCAATACTGCTTTGTAAAGCATTGAGATGTTTATGTGTATGCGTATCAAAAAGCACAGCACTTGATTCTTTACCTTGTCTGTGATGCAAAGACCTTTGTTCACGTGTTTGTCTGCTGACCCTCTCCCCACTATTGTCTTGTGACCCTGACACATCCCCCTCTCGGAGAAACACCCACGAATGATCAATAAATACTAAGGGAACTCAGAAGCTGGCGGGATCCTCCATATGCTGAACGCTGGTTCCCTGGGTTCCCTTATTTCTTTCTCTATACTTTGTCTCTGTGTCTTTTTCTTTTCCAAGTCTCTCATTCCACCTAACGAGAAACACCCACAGGTGTGGAGGGGCAACCCACCCCTTCAGGACAGAACCAATAGGAGATAGATAGATAGATAGATAGATAGATAGATAGATAGATAGATAGATAGAGATTTTATTAGGCGGAATTGGCTTACACAATCACAAAGGTGAAGAAGTCTCACTAACAGGGTGTCCACAAACTGGAGAACCAGAAAAGCTGGTGGCTTCATTCCAGTCCAAAAGCCTTAGAACTAGGAAAGACAAAAGCGTAGTCCCCAACCTGTGGCTGAAGGCCTGAGAATCCCCGAGAGGCTGCTGGTGCAAGTTCCAGAGTCCAAAACCCAAAGAACCTGGAGTATGATGTGCAAGGGCAGAAGAAAGATGGCATCCCACTCGAGAAGGGAGCAAGAGAAATAAAGCAGTATGAGCTGAGTATCCCCCTTCTTCTGCCTGCTTTGTCCTAGTTGGGCCAGCTGATTGCATGGTGCCTGTCCACCTTCAGGGTGAGTCCTTCCCTCTCAGTCCACTGACTCACAAGTAAATCTCCTCCGGAAACACCCTCACAGACACACCTAGAAACAATGATTCAGCATCTAGGCATCTGTCAATCCAATCAATTTGATATCTAATATTAATTATCACACCCACTAACTCTGCCTTCAGATTATTTTAAAGCAAATCTTAAATATGTTATTTCTTTTTTTTTTTTTTGAGACAGAATTTCTCTTGTTGCCCAGGCTGGAGTACAATGGCGTGATCACGGCTCACTGCAACTTCCACTTCCTGGGTTCAAGCAATTCTCCTGCCCCAGCCTCCCAAGTAGCTGGGATTACAGATATGCACCATCACACCTGGCTGATTTTGTATTTTTTTAGTAGAGACAGGGATTCACCATGTTGGTCAGGCTGGTCTCAGACTCCTGACCTGAAGTGATCCAGCCACCTCAGCCTCCCAAAGTGCTGACATTACAAGCGTGAGCCATCATGCCTGACTCAGACATGTTCTTTCATCTGTAAATATATTTAGTATGTACTTTGAAAAAATAACTAAAAAATAACCACAGTACAATCATAAAACCTAAAAAATTAACAGTAAATCTTAATAACAAAAATCCAATAAGTACTCTAATTACCCCAGGTCCATTTAAGCAGGGCTTAAATGAAATCCATACATTGTAACTGGTTAACAAAGTCACTAAAATTTTTTCTTTTTTTTTTCTGAGACAGGATCTTGCTCTGTCACCCAGGCTGGAGTGCAGTGGTACAATCACGTGTCACTGCAGCCTCAAACTCCTGAGATCAAGCGATCCTCCCACCTCAGCCTCCCAAGTAGCTGAGACTGCAGGCATGCACCACCATGCCCAGCTAATTTTTTTTTTAGATTTTGTAGAAACAGAGTCTCTCTAGGTTGACCAGTCTGGTCTCAAATTCCTGGCCTCAAGCTATCCTCTGGCTTTGTCCTCCCAAAGTGCTGGGATTACAGGCATGAACTGCCACACCCTGCCCAAATTTCTTGTAATCTAAAGGCAGAGCCAGCTTCAAGTTGTGTGACCAGTGCAGTTGCATACGGCACTGTGCTAAGGAGGGTCCCATACTTGGGGTTTAATTTTCTGCTGTTGCTGTCTTGAAAGTCTAATTCTATCTTTAATTTTGTGTTTTATCAGTGAAGTAGTACAAGAGAATAATAGAGCATGTGCCTAGGGCTTGGTGTCTCAGCTAACGTGCAGTACCGCTTTCTGCTGCTTCCCCAGCTGCCTCCACGGGCTGAGTCTGCAGTTCCCTGACAATGGCCTATCTTTCCCCTCCCCTCCAATACTACTGCTGCCCTCCTCCTTCCCCCAAGCTGGCAGCACCATCATACATTCTGCAAGTGACTTGATGCCCACCCCAGATCCAAGTACAAAACACATACAAGGGGGTTTACCTGTCCTCTGTGGGTTTGGCCAGGAGGACAGTGGAATGAAATGGTTTGTTAGACTTTCCTGCCCCCAGCCAGGGCACTGCATGTTGGTCCAGTGGCTGGCTGGAGGTGGAACTCAACAGCTGGTGGGCCATGTGGGTGCGTCAAATCACCTATGGCCCCTGGATACCAGTGAGTGCTGCACTGGCTGAGTAAATGTCCTCACCTGACAAAACATGATGTTAAATAACAAATGAAAAAATACTATGAAAAGTGGAGAGACAGATTGCAGAATAAAGGAAAGTGCCTTATATTTTGGTATCTTTAATAGCACCTTTTTCTGTTTTTTTTTTTTTTTTTGAGACAGAGTCTCGCTCTGTCACCGAGGAGGCTGGAGAGTGCAGTGGCACGATCTCAGCTCACTGCAACCTCCGTCTCCTGGGTTCAAGTAATTCTTCTGCCTCAGCCTCCTGAGTAGCTGGGACTACAGGCGCCCGCTACCACACCCAGCTAATTTTTGTATTTTTAGTAGAGATGGGGTTTCACCATATTGGTCAGGCTGTCTCGAACTCCTGACCTCATAACCTGCCTGCCTCAGCCTCCCAAAGTGCTGGGATTACAGGCATGAGCCACCGCACCCGGCCTTCTACGTCTTTGAAAAAGGGACCTCACACTTTCATTTTACACTGAGCCCTGCAAGTTATTTATGTAGCTAGTCCTGTCTATAGGTGGGGTTTTTTGTTGTTTTTTTGAGACAGAGTTTCACTCTGTCCCCCAGGCTGGAGTGCAGTGGTGCAATCTCGGCTCACTGAAACCTCCCCCTCCCAGGTTCAAGCGATTCTCGTCAGCCTCCCAAGTAGCTGGGACTACAGACACCTGCCACCACACCTGGCTAATTTTGTATTTTTAGTAGAGATGGGGTTTCACCATGTTGGCCAGGCTTGTCTTGAACTCCTGACCTCAGGTGATCCACCCACCTCTGAAGGGATGGGTTGCCCCTCCACACCTGTGAGTGTTTCTCTTAAGGTGGAATGAGAGACTTGGAAAAGAAAAAGACACAGAGACAAAGTATAGAGAAAGAAATAAGGGGACCCAGGGAACCAGCGTTCAGCATATGGAGGATCCGCGCCGTCTCTGAGTTCCCTTAGTATTTATTGATCATTCGTGGGTGTTTCTCTGAGAGGGGGATGTGTCATGGTCACAAGACAATAGTGGGGAGAGGGTCAGCAGACAAACACGTGAACAAAGGTCTTTGCATCATAGACAAGGTAAAGAATCAAGTGCTGTGCTTTTAGATATGCATACACATAAACATCTCAATGCTTTACAAAGCAGTATTGCTGCCTGCATGTCCCACCTCCAGCCCTAAGGCGTTTTCTTCCTATCTCAGTAGATGGAACGTACAATCGGGTTTTATACCGAGACATTCCATTGCCCAGGGACGGGCAGGAGACAGATGCCTTCCTCTTGTCTCAACTGCAAGAGGAATGCCTTCCTCTTATACTAATCCTCCTCAGCACAGACCCTTTACGGGTGTCGGGCTGGGGGACGGTCAGGTCTTTCCCTTCCCATGAGGCCATATTTCAGACTATCACATGGGGAGAAACCTTGGACAATACCTGGCTTTCCTAGGCAGAGGTCCCTGCGGCCTTCCGCAGTTTTTGTGTCCCTGGGTACTTGAGATTAGGGAGTGGTGATGACTCTTAAGGAGCATGCTGCCTTCAAGCATTTGTTTAACAAAGCACATCTTGCACAACCCTTAATCCATTTAACCCTGAGTTTGACACAGCACCTGTTTCAGAGAGCACGGGGTTGGGGGTAAGGTCATAGATTAACAGAATCTCAAGGCAGAAGAATTTTTCTTAGTACAGAACAAAATGGAGTCTCCTATGTCTACTTCTTTCTACACAGACACAGTAACAATCTGATCTCTCTTGCTTTTCCCCACATTTCCCCCTTTTCTTTTCGACAAAACCGCCATCGTCATCATGGCCCGTTCTCGATGGTCGCTGTCTCTTCGGAGCTGTTGGGTACACCTGCAGACTAACAACAGACAAAACAGGCACACAAGGATTAATATGAGATTTATAATCATAGTACTTCCGATGGTCTTAACCCAAGTGACAGGGTTAAGATTTGCGAGGCCATCAGCAACTCCTGCAATTGCCTCAGTTCCTGGCATCAAATTTAAATGGGCTTTTGATGCTTCGAAAATTTGTTATTTTAATTTGGAAATGTCTAAAGTGAGATTATCTTCTCTTCCCTGTAGATGGCGTCTAACCATGTCCCAGTGATGCTCAGACTCATTATAAATTTGGGGTGTAATACAAAAATCTGACGTATTCCAGTCACACTGTAACTGGAAACAATGTTCTAAGCTCATGAGTCTGTCTCCCATCCAAATGACAGTTTGTCTAAGATCATTAATTTGATTTGCCAATTTTTGATCAATACTAGATTGTGAATTCCACAATCTTGTAGAATTCTTTTGCCAATCATTAACAAAGTTTACCGACTGAACAGAAGAGTGCAATGCAACTCCTGCCACAGCAGCCGTAGCTGTGACTGCAATTAATCCCATAATCACTGCAATTAAGGTAAAAATGAATCTTTTGGATCTATTTAAAATGCCTTTTAATACTTCAGTCAAAATATGGATGGATGGCGAGGCCTCCCACGGTCAGTCCACGGACACAGAGATCCACACGCCCTCTCTTGCTCTCACCAGCAGAATACGGTGCCGCCAATTAAAAGTTGAATCAATGCAAGTAAACAATCTACAATTTTCACAGGTTATAGTTTGGGAGTCTGGTTTAATAACTATATTTCCTACAACTAGCATATAAGAGGGCTTTACGCAACTTTGTAAAGGAACCGTTAGACTGGAATTTAGGTCGATAGTATAAAATGGCTTACGATCTCTTGTTTCTAAAGTTTGATTTCCAGACCAAATTCTAATGTGGTGTCAGGCCAAAGCCTCCATAATTCTGGATGTTCAGGACCAGAAACAGGACTTATTATTTCTGGTCTTGGGGTAGAGATTCCTTTTTCTCCCCATTCCCAAGGGTAGAAAGACTGTAATTTTTTATGCTTATGTTTGTCTAGACTTTCTGTTAAGTCGCTATCAACAGCTGGACTCACTTGTGCACTTGGACACGACTGAGTTTGTCCTGAGCAATTGTGGTAGAATTGACCTCGAGGTGCCCAATCTATAATAGTTCCGAATTCATTGTTTTGTAATATCACCGCACTATTGGCCACACATTCTTCCCAAACTAAAACTTCTGTATTTTTTGATTCTTTGGGAATTTCCTTGGGGCAAGGTTTCCCTTTAGGTCTAAATTTTAATGATCTTTGATAAGAAAAGTCTTGTAAATAATTTACCCGTGGCCTGAGTGACATCCCGCTTACCATGTGATAAGTGAATCTACTGTTAGGACTGACAGTAGGTACTTCTACCAACCAATTTTGGACTGCAGGCATTAAACATCCTGGTGCTCTCCCTAGGCAAATAGGAGGATAACGATACACAATGGAAATATTTATCATCATCCCTTCTTCCTCAGGTTTGGCAGGGCAGCGATCATCTGTGGGGCCAGGTACCCATACACTATCATTAACATATACTTCTATAGGATTATCCATCCATGTGACTGGGGTTACCATCTCTGTGGAGGCCCTTTTCTTTGCATCTCCGATGGGTTCATTGTAGAACTTCAAATGTCTAGTGGGTATCCAAACAGGAAGCTGATTTTCTCCTGGTGAAACACAAGCAAAACCTCTCCCCCACGTTATCACCTTCCCTATTTCCCATGTCTTATTTTTATTATCTTTCCACCAAATTAGTTTTCCTTCATGTGGGCTGTGCTTTTTACCAGTAAGATGTTGTTTTGCAGAAGTAGTAGTCTGATTTCTATAAATGTTTAAAAAATTTAAAGTATAGAGTGCTAGATTAAGTTGCATCTGAGGAGTGGTACACTCCTTACTGTCTCCCCCTTCTTTTTGTTTAACTAATTGAGTTTTGAGTGTTCTATTAGTTCTTTCAACTATGGCCTGTCCTTGGGAATTATAAGGAATTCCTGTTGTATGTGAAATTTTCCACTGACTTAAGAATTTTTGGAAAGCTTTACTACAATATCCTGGTCCATTGTCAGTTTTGATTTTTTCTGGAACTCCCATTACAGCAAAACAAGATAATAAATGTTTTTTAACATGGGAAGTACTTTCTCCTGTTTGGCAAGTTGCCCATATGAAATGTGAATAAGTATCAACTGTTACATGAACATATGATAATCTTCCAAATGAAGGAACATGCGTGCCATCCATTTGCCATAACGCATTAGGACACAGACCTCTGGGATTAACTCCTGCCTCTTGAGTGGACAGGTGTAAGACTTGACACTGGGTGCAATGTTGTACAATATCTTTTGCCTGTTTCCATGTGACATCAAATTTGTTTTTTAATCCTGCTGCATTTACATGAGTCAAAGCAAGAAGTTCTTGTGCTTTTATGAATGCAGATGATACCAGTAAGTCAGCTTGTTCATTTGCTTTAGTCAAAGGCCCTGGTAAATTAGTGTGTGCTCGAATATGAGTAATATAAAATGGGAAATTTCTTTTTCTTACAGTTTGTTGTAATAAATTGAATAGCTGGTTTAAATGATCGTCCGTGCTATATTTAATTAGAGCTGTCTCAACATCCCTTGTAGCCTGTACTACATATGCAGAATCTGATATAATATTGATAGGTTGGTCAAAATCTTGTAACACTGTAATGACTGCAACCAACTCTGCTCTTTGAGCTGATTGATACGGAGTTTTGATTACTCGTTCTTTCGGCCCTGTGTAAGCCGCTTTTCCATTGCTGGAACCATCAGTAAATACTGTTAGAGCATTTTCTAAAGGTTCACGTCTGGTAATTTTAGGTAGAATCCAAGTAGTCAATTTTAAGAACTGGAAGATTTTTGTTTTTGGGTAATGATTATCAATAATTCCCAGAAAATTAGCAAGACCAATCTGCCATGCACCAGAACTGATAAAGGCTTGTCTAACTTGTTGCTTGTTGAAAGGAACAGTGATTTTATCTGGGTCATTTCCACACAATGTTATTATTCGTAATCTTCCCTGACCAATTAATGTAGCCATTTGATCCAAGTACAATGTAAAAGTCTTAATTGTACTATGAGGAAGGAAGGACCAATCCACAAGATCTGTGTTTTGAACAATGATGGCTGTTAGAGAATGTGCAGTACCAAAAATCAAAATTTGGAGTGGGGCCAAGTGATCCTATTTACTTGTGCTGACCGAATTTTTTTCTTCAATTAATTTAATTTCTTTAGTTGCCTCTGGAGGTAACATTCTTTCACTATTTAATTCCAAGTCCCCTCTTAAGAAAGAGAACAAAATTGACATGGCATAAGTAGGAATGCCTAGAGTTGGCCAAATCCAATTAATATCTCCGAATCCAATTAGTATCTCCTACCAACTTTTGAAACTCATTTAATGTTTTTAATGTGTCTTTTCTTATTTCTATTTTTTGTGGTTTAATTTTCCTTTCCTCTACCTGCATTCCCAAGTAATGGAAAGGAGGAGAGGTTTGAATCTTATCAGATGCTATTGTCAGTCCCGCGTTGGCAACCTCTGTCTGAGAAATGTGTAACGGTCAATTAATTTGTCTCTCGTTTCTGCAGCACACAAAATATCAACATAATGAACGATATAACAGTCTGAAAACTTGTCTCTAACTGGTTGCAGAGCTTGAGCTATGAAAGTCTGACAAATAGTTGAATTATTAAGCATTCCCTGAGGCAATACTTTCCACTGAAACCTGGTGGCTGGTTCTTTATTATTTAGGCTGGTATAGTAAAAGCAAATTTTTCAAAATCCTCTTTTGCCAGAGGAATGGTAAAAAAGCAATCCTTCAGATCAATTATAATTAAAGGGGACCATGGCTGGAGAGGGCAACCGGGATGGGAGAGCCCCCATGGGTTGAATTATGGCATTAATGGCTCTTAAGTCAGTTAGCATACGCCATCTGCCGGATTTTTTCTGAATTACAAACAGGAGAATTCCAAGGCGAAAATGAAGGCTCAATATGTCCTTTTTCTAACTGTTTCTTTGCTAATAAGTGTAAAGCCTCCAGTTTTTGTTTTGGAAGCGGCTACTGATTTACCATACAGTTTTTTTTTTTCCCCCCAAATTAATGGAATGGGTTTTGGAGGCTCTACAGTGACCGCTTCTAAAAAGGATGCCCTATTCCTTTTCTTTTTTTGATTTTTTTCAGCCTCAGTTGGGACTTTAATGCCATCTTCATTCTTTCCTAGTCCCTTTTTAGGGAGCTATCCCATTTTAGTCATGATTTTTTGATTCCTGGGGCTGTATAGGGAGGCTGGGATAGTAATCTCTGCATGCCATTGTTGTAACAAGTCTCGGCCCCATAAATTGATTGGAATAGAAGTGATCATAGGCTGAACCGTACTTTCTTGATTATCAGATCCTAGACAATGTAAAATCATGGCACTCTGATACACTTCTGAGGCGGTGCCTATGCCGATGATAGAAACATCAGCCTGGGTATCCACTAATCCTTCAAACTCTTTCCCTGAATAGTGACTGTACACACGGGTCTATCCTCTGAGACCTGATTAGCCCAATAAGTGGCTTTTCCTGCAGGGTTGGTACTTCCAAACCCTCCTGTTCTTTCCGTTTTGTTTTCCCCAATTTTAACATAAGGCAAAAGCAGTAATTGAGCAATTCTATCACCTGGATTGGCACTCCAGGGAACAGTGGAGCTGATCACTAACTGAATTCCCCCTTTATAATCTGAATAAATTACCCCAGTATGAATTTGGACTCCCTTCAAATTTAGACTTGATCACCCTAAAATAAGGCCTACCCTCCCTTCTGGCAGCGGGCCATATACCCCTCTAGGAATCTTTTGTGGGGGCTCTCCAGGGAGTAAAGAGACCATTTGGGTGGAACATAAATCTACTGTGGCGCTGCCTGCTGTGGCGCGGGACAGCTGTTGGATTGTTGTAATTGGCTGACTCCCTGAAGTGGTGGTATTTTCTGTAGGGGTTGTTGTCCTTGAAAACCCTGAGGAACAAACAGTTGAACTGGGAATGCCCCAGTTTGTTGGGGGGCCTGAGGCTGGCCCCTCTTCCTGTTTCCCGACAATGGTTGCCCATCTTTATCAAATTTAGAATGACATTGATTGGCCCAATGTTTTCCTTTTCCACATTTTGGACACAGGCCAGATGGCTTTTTATTTTTTGCTGTAATAGCTTGATTTATTATATTCTGTTTATTTAAGACTGGGCAACTCCTTTTCAGATGACCGATTTGACCACAATTATAACATTTTTTCCCAAATGTTCTAACTTGTCCTCCTAGAGTGAGCCCCCTCATTGCTTGAGCCATTAGCATTGCCTTATGCATAGCTCCTCCAATCCCATCACAAGCCTTCACATATTCTGTAATTACATCAACTCCTGCTGGAACTTTTCCTTTTAATGGCTTTATGGCCGACTGACATTCTGGATTTGCATTTTCATAGGCCATTAATTCTACAATAACTTTTCGGGCATTGTCATCTGTAATAGACTTTTGAGCAGCATCTTGTAATCTTGCCACAAAGTCAGGATATGGCTCTTTAGAGCCTTGTCTAATTGAATTAATAGGGAAAGCTGTTCCTGGGTCCTGAATTTTTCCCCAGGCCCTGAGGCAAATAGCCCTTACTTGTTCAATAGCCTCATTCTGCATCACTGATTGTTGGTTAATGGTGCTCCAATTTGGACCTGTTCCTAACAATTGGTCTGCGTCTATATTAACAGTGGGCTTAGTAGCCTGATTTTTTCGTACCTGTTCTTGTACTCCATCAATCCACCAGGTTTTAAACTGTAGATACTGAGAGGATGAAAGGGAAGATTTGGCCAAACTTTCCCAGTCATAAGGAGTAAGTCTATTTCCATGAGCAATGGAATCTAATAATGTTCTTATATAAGGGGAGTTGGATCCATATTGTTTAACTCCTTCCTTTATATCTTTTAACATTTTCATGGTGAAAGGTTCACATCTAGTCTCAGCTCGGGCAGGCGCTCCTACTTGAGTCTCTTCCCCGGCCTGTACCAGTTGTAAAATTACCAGGAACCGCCATGCCTCAAGATCTCCCTGTTTTCTGGCTTCATCAATGACTGCGTGCAGTGTACCACCTTGTCCACTACGTGATGCTGTAGGATTAAGTCTCACAGTGGGCGGCTGAGGATATGGCGCCCTGCCCTGTAGTGCTGGGGGCATTCCTGGATATCCATACTGACTTTCTGGGGGTGGCAGATACTGAAGTTCAGCCGGCGGCCAGTATTGATAAGCTACTGGCGGTTGGGTCTTATTTTCTTTAACCTGCGTTTGAGGTTGTAATGTTACGGGCACCTGACCTGCTGGAAGAGGACTTGGCCCTCGTGGTTTAGACTCTGATGGCCCCACTAATTCTGGACCTTTTCCTTCTAATTTTAACGTTTCAGGATATATCACCCCCTGTAATTGATTATAGTCAACATTTTGCGTTGACTGAGCCATTACTGGCTCTGTTACATATTCGCAATGTAAACTTTCTGTTTCTTTCTGGGATTTTCTCCCTGTCTTTTCATTACAATCTATTACACAGCTTCCAGGGGCATCAGAAACTGAAACGCTATCTTCTTTTGTTTGAAATGGTTCTAAAGCTGCTTTAATAATGGCCCAATCATTCCATACTGTAAGTGGAATGATATTACCCTTTCTACCTGCTTGTTTTAGTTCCTCGCCAATTCTTTTCCAATCTTTTAGATCTAAAGTTCCTTGTTCTGGAAACCATGGGCAAAATTGTTCTATTATTTGAAATAGCTTGATTAGATTTTTTGTAGATACTCTAACTCCCCCTCTTTTTAAAAGAATTTTAATAAAGCTGAGATAAGAGGCATATTTACTTTTAGTTTTACTTTTAGTTTGCCCCATTATCACCCTAGCTTCTTCCGAGCGCACAAGCTTACCGCAAGGCTGACTGTAGATGTACTCGGGATCTCTCGTCAACTTGTCCTCAATGACCACGCTCGAGCGTACCTTCACCCTAGAGAAAAGCCTCCACGTTGGGCACCAGATGAAGGGGTGGGTTGCCCCTCCACACCTGTGGGTGTTTCTCGTAAGGTGGAACGAGAGACTTGGAAAAGAAAAAGACACAAAGTATAGAGAAAGAAATAAGGGGACCCAGGGAACCAGCGTTCAGCATATGGAGGATCCGCGCCGTCTCTGAGTTCCCTTAGTATTTATTGATCATTCGTGGGTGTTTCTCTGAGAGGGGGATGTGTCATGGTCACAAGACAATAGTGGGGAGAGGGTCAGCAGACAAACACGTGAACAAAGGTCTTTGCATCACAGACAAGGTAAAGAATCAAGTGCTGTGCTTTTAGATATGCATACACATAAACATCTCAATGCTTTACAAAGCAGTATTGCTGCCGGCTTGTCCCACACCTCCAGCCCTAAGGCGTTTTCTTCCTATCTCAGTAGATGGAACGTACAATCAATCGGGTTTTATACCGAGACATTCCATTGCCCAGGGACGGGCAGGAGACAGATGCCTTCCTCTTGTCTCAACTGCAAGAGGCATGCCTTCCTCTTACACTAATCCTCCTCAGCACAGACCCTTTACGGGTGTCAGGCTGGGGGACGGTCAGGTCTTTCCCTTCCCACGAGGCCATATTTCAGACTATCACATGGGGAGAAACCTTGGACAATACCTTGCTTTCCTAGGCAGAGGTCTCTGCGGCCTTCCGCAGTGTTTGTGTCCCTGGGTACTTGAGATTAGGGAGTGGTGATGACTCTTAAGGACCATGCTGCCTTCAAGCATTTGTTTAACAAAGCACATCTTGCACAACCCTTAATCCATTTAACCCTGAGTTTGACACAGCACCTGTTTCAGAGAGCACGGGGTTGGGGGTAAGGTCATAGATTAACAGAATCTCAAGGCAGAAGAATTTTTCTTAGTACAGAACAAAATGGAGTCTCCTATGTCTACTTCTTTCTACACAGACACAGTAACAATCTGATCTCTCTTGCTTTTCCCCACAACCTCAGCCTCTCAGAGTGCTGGGATTACAGGCATGAGCCACCGCGCCCAGCCTCCCTTTTAAAGCACTTTCTGAAGTCAAGCCTGATTCAGGATTGCAAGCCTGCAGAGAACTATGGTGGTAAAGCCTAAAAAGATAGAATCCTTCCCACACCTGAGAAGGCAGTATTTTTAGAAGGAAACAACAGAATCACACTTAAGTCACTGCAAAGGCATTCATGTTTATACATTTCTGAAACTGTCTTACTTGAACTTTATGTGGCTTTTAGCACTGTCAAAATGCTTCCATAAGCTTCTATGAGGTTACTGTTATGGATCTCTATCTTCTTTGACCTCATCTGCTCAGCCTCCTTCAATTGATTATTTTCCTCCATTCACCTATCCTTTAAATATTAGTATTTCCTGATTCTTTTTCTTTTTTCTTTTCTTTTCTTTTTTTTTTTTTTTTGAGATGGAGTCTCACTCTGTCACCCAGTCTGGAGTGCAGTTGTGTGACCTCACCTCACTGCAACCTCCAACTCCCTGGTTTAAGTCATTCTCCTGCCACAGTCTCCTGAGTAGCTGGGATTATAGGCACCTGCCACTACACCAAGCTATCCTGATTCTTTTTGTGATGACTCACTCTAGGCACCATTTCTAGGGGTGGTAGACACAGAAACATACTATCCAGATCCCCCTTCAAGCAAGGGCTTGCTGCCTCACAGTGGGCAGCATGGGCAGCAGCATCCTCCAGCTATCAGTAGGGCCTGGCTCAGCTGCTGAGTACTTCCTCACTTGAGGTCATGACCTCTCTGGGGCAGCCCCCATATGGTGACTGAGTAAGGTAGAAGTATAAAGAGGCTTCACATTTAGCCCAACACAGAACACTCCAACAAACAATAATTGTTCCATAGCTCCTGGCAGGGTTGACTGAAGTTTATTGATTGATTGATTGCAGTGGTGCGATCATAGCTCACTTCAGCCTCAAACTCCTGTGCTCAAGCAATCCTCCCACCTTGGCCTCCCAAAGTGCTGGCATTACAGGCATAAGCCACCACACACGGCCTGACTGAGGTTTAGTTGGGCCTATAACATATGCAACTTCTTCCTCTGCCTAACACTGTTTTCTCCCCCTTCCCTTCACAAGACTTGATCTGTAACAAATATCTTGAACCCCAAAGTCAGTCTCAGTAACTGTTTCCAGAGAAGCCAGCTTGTGACAGTAGGTGACGTTATCCCACATATTCTGTCACCATAAGTTCATTACTACTAAAATATATCCTTGGCTGGACATGGTGGCTCACGCTTGTGATCCCAGCACTTTGGAAGGCTGAGGTGGGCTGCTCGCTTGAGTCCAGTTCAAGACCTGCCAAGGCAACATGGTGAAACCCCATCTCCACCAAAAATACAAAAAATTAGCTGGCCATGGTGGCAAACACCTATAGTCCCAGCTATTCATGGGGCTGAGGTGGGATGATCACTTGAGCCCAGGAGGTAGGGACTGCAGTGAACCCTGATCATCCACTGCACTTCAGCCTGGGAGACAAGGTGAGGCCCTATCTCAAAAAAAAATTAAAACATAAAATAAATCATATTACAAACACTCTTCTGAACATGTTTAACTTCCCACTACACAGTTGTACCTTAATATCCCTATCAGCATCTTGAACCCAGCCTTTTCAAAATTAACCCTTTCGGGCTGAGCGCAGCGGTTCATGCCTATAATCCCAGCACTTTGGGAGGCCGAGGCGGGTGGATCACCTGAGGTCAGGAGTTCGAGACCAGCCTGACCAATATGGAGAAATCCCATCTCTACTAAAAATACAAAATTAGCTGGGTGTGGTGGCACATGCCTGTAATCCCAGCTACTCGGGAGGCTGAGGCAGCAAAATCACTTGAACCCAGGAGGCGGAAGTTGTGGTGAGCCAAGATCATGCCATTGTACTCCAGCCTGGGCAACAAGTCTCCAAAAAAAAAAAATTAACCCTTTCCCTGACAAACCTACTCCCTTCCTCTTATCTGTCAACTCTTGACAAATGATACCACGATTCACCAAGTCCTCATTGTCAATTTTTCCTTACCTCCTATATTACCTATTTCTATATTAACAAATTACTCCCCTAAACAGTTTAAAACAACACACATTTATGATCTAACAGTTTCTATGGGTTAGGAATTCAAGAGTGGTTTAGATGAGTGGAAATTGGAAGAGCAAGGAACACGTTCTGCCTTAGATCCTTGATCCAGAGAGCACAAAGATACCTTGATTTCAGCCTAGTGATACTGATTTTGAACTTACTGCCTCCAGAACTGTGAGAAAATATGTATCTGTGTTGTTACCAAGTCCATAGTAATTTGTTACAGCAACTACAGGAAACTAATATAGCAGGGAAATATGTACAAATGGGTGACGAAACTGTGAAGGGAAGCAACACACTGTTCTCACAGGGACAGAGGCTGAAAAGGGCACCAAGTTTGGTTCAGTATTGCTCCATAAATGAATAAAAAGAGAATAGAGTGTAGCTGAACCTTTTGCCTATGATAAAAGCAAAAGCATGGATAAAGTCAGCAATAATTTACGGATGGTGTCAGAAGCTCTACTTTATGACACTGTATAATATAAATTCATTTAGAGGTCTCTCTCTGCAAAATTTCTCCCTATTCTAAGAGCATTTTGAGCACAATTTGTTTGTTATGGGAGTGTGTTACAAGGAACCCTGACAAGAAGGCCCTCCAGTAAAGAGTGAAATACAGCCAAAATCCCTAAGGTCCAGTTTCCTGCATTTCTTCCACAGAACCAGTCAGGCCAAACGTAATTTTAAAGAACAATAAAACAAAATCTTTCTAAAATATTGGGAAGGGACTATAAATTCTGAGGTTCTGTGGAACAAAAAAGGACTGCATTCCTTCAGGTGGATCTTGGTTCCACCGGCTACCTAAACTCAGCTGTGCCTTGGATCTTGTAGAAGCCAGGACTATTTCTGAAAGATGTTTTGTTTTGGTTTTTTGTTGTTGTTGTTTGTTTGTTTTCACACGGAGTCTCGCTCTGTCGCCCAGGCTGGAGTGCAGTGGTGCGATCTTGGCTCTCTGCAACCTCCGCTTCCCGGGTTCAAGCGATTTTCCTGCCTCAGCCTCCCGAGTAGGTGGGACTACAGGCGCGCACCACCACACCAGGCTAATTTTTTTTTTTTTTTGTAGAGGCGGGGTTTCATCGTGTTACCCAGGCTGGTCTCAAACTCCTGACCTCGTGATCCGCCCGCCTCGGCATTCCACAGTGCCGGGATTACAGACGTGAGCCGCTGCACCCGGCCTCCTTTTTTTTTTTTTTTTTGATATGGAGTTTTGCTCTTCTTGCCCAGGCTGGAGTGTAGTGGCGCGATCTTGGCTAAATGCAACCTCTGCCTCCCGGGTTCAAGCGATTCTCCTCCCGCAGCCTCCCGAGGAGCTGGGATTACAGGCGTGCGCCACCACGCCCAGCTAATTTTTGTATTTTTAGTAGAGAAGGGGTTTCACCATTTTGACCAGGCTGGGCTGGAACTCCTAACCTCAGGTGATCCGCCCACCTCGGCCTCCCAAAGTGCCGTAATTACAGGCATGAGCCGCCATGACTGGCCACCTAACATCATTCTTAAGACTGGTTCCAGGCCCGGCGCGGTGGCTCACGCCTGTAATCCTAGCACTTTGGGAGAACGAGTGGATCACCTGAGGTCAAGAGTTTGGGACCAGCCTGGACAACATGGTGAAACCCCATCTCTACTAAAAATACAAAAATTAGCCGAGCGTGGTGGCAGGCGCCTGTAATCCCAGCTACTCGGGAGGCTGAGGCAGGAGAATCAATCGTTTGAACCCAGAGGGCGGAGGTTGCAGTGAGCCGAGACCGCGCCACTTCACTCCAGCCTGAATGAAAGAGCGAAACTCCGTCTCAAGGAAAAAAAAAAAAAAAAAAGACTGGCTCCAACACAATTGTACAGTTTTCATGACATTAGTCAGCCAACTTGTTAGACATTCCAAATATCTTCAACCAGCTACCTTACAAAACGTTTTTAGGGTGAGTTGCATACATAGAAAGCAGAACTCAGTCATTACATTTGTTTCCTAGTCATATACTGCAACCTCCCACAGAATTCAAGAATTGCCTCTGGCCACTCCTTGTCATACGATGAAATATGTAGCATCATAGAAGGGCTCAACAGATTGAGCCCTTGGCCTCCCAGCGGGGCTCCACCGACCCCCTCAACTTCACTAGGCAGCAACTCCGAATTGTAGTTCTTAGGCAGGTACTTAATAGGAATTTTGGAAACTGAATGAGCTCATGTTTAAAAAGCCTTTGGCATAATTCCCGGCACAGAGAAAGCGCTCAAAGAATGTTAATTATAATTAATGCAAAGCGCCAACGCGCACTGTTCGATTCGCACAGCCTGAGAAACGGTTCGGTTGTCATTACTTTCTTATAAATGGTGAAACTATTAATTTGTTTGGTTGAGGAAATGGGCCAACAGGGAAGGCAAAATGTGACTGGTTTTACCTGCGGGGCATTCGTCTTTGGGTCTCTTTATGAGAAGAGAGGACACCTTTCTCTTCAGTTCACATTCCCTGCAGCCGGAAGATGGCTCTAGGATACTTGGCAGTAAGAGAGGCAGAATGGGCCGGGCGCAGTGGCTCCCGCCTATAATCCCAACACTTTGGGAGGCCGAGGAGGGCGGACCACCTGAGGTCAGGAGTTCGAGACCAGCCTGACCAACAT
The DNA here is from genome assembly GCF_000001405.40 of Homo sapiens. NCBI lineage: Eukaryota > Metazoa > Chordata > Mammalia > Primates > Hominidae > Homo > Homo sapiens. Next base: position 101,687,170 of record NC_000003.12, on the reverse strand, counting down.
GGAGAAACCCCGTCTCTACGAAAAATACAAAATTAGCCGGACGTGGTGGCACATGCCTGTAATCCCAGCTACTAGGGAGGCTGAGGCAGGAGAATCGCTTGAACCTGGGAGGCGGAGGTTACGGTGAGCCGAGATTGCGCCACTGCACTCCAGCCTGGGCAACAAGAGCGAAACTCCGTCTCAAAAAAAAAAAAGAGAGGAGAGACAGAGACAGAATGACTCATAAACCAACTGTCTGACTGCCTTTTTGGCAGGCCCTCTGGGCCCGAGAACCCTCCAGCGCCTCTGGATGAATTGCGCCAGAGGAAGTCAGCTGTCAGGGAAAACGAGATCTTTCGCCTCGCGATGATTACGTCATCAAGGAGGGCCAGGAGCATCGAAGGATATTGGGGAGGAGATTTCCGGCCCCCATCCCCGCAGCGACCTTATAAGGTCTCTTCCCATGATTCTCTCTTTCTTTTCGCCATCTTTTGTCTTTCCGTGGAGCTGTCGCCATGAAGTAAGCACGACCCGTGGTTCCCAATCCGCTTACATCCTCGGGCAGAACTCCTCTCTGTCGTCCCTGGCATGGCTGTAGACACCCTCCCTGATGGACTTTCACTTTTTGTTGCAGGGTCGAGCTGTGCAGTTTTAGCGGGTACAAGATCTACCCCGGACACGGGAGGCGCTACGCCAGGACCGACGGGAAGGTAAAAAGCCGCGTCGGCTTCACCTACCTTCTTGTACTCCGAGGAGGAAAGGCTGGTTTAATTCGGTTTAGGCGGGTTTATTCCCCACATCACCACTGGCCTCTGGAAGTCTTCGTGGACGCTCTGTGGACTGGTCGTTAGGACCAGAAACCTCTAAGTGAACCAGTGTTGATTATTTATTGTGAGCCAGGTCGGACATCAGGAGGGGTTTATGTAACTGATGTCCCGGTGTAAGGGAAATAACTGAGGTACGGAGGTACCCTTTGGAATCCTGGGACGGACAAGAGCAGAATGCTTCCCAGAAGGACGCACCACCCTGTCCTTTGCTATGAGCCTAGATTTCCTGCTCTCGAGAAAAGACTAAACGCAAGGACCTTCATAGTGTGACACAGTTACCTGCCAGTTATGTGACAGCCTTTTGGTCCTTGTGGGCCTCAGTTTTGTAAAATGATAAGCCAGAACTAGCATATTGATCTTCTAAGGATTCCAAGCTTACTCAGCCTCTTGTACTTTGTATAGTTAAATAGTAATTCCTTTGCATTTGTCACTCTAGGTTTTCCAGTTTCTTAATGCGAAATGCGAGTCGGCTTTCCTTTCCAAGAGGAATCCTCGGCAGATAAACTGGACTGTCCTCTACAGAAGGAAGCACAAAAAGGGACAGTCGGTAAGTGGAATACGCCTTGATGTTGGGGGCTATCTCTTAAGTTGTCAAAGCTCTCTGAACGTTGGTTTTCTGCTCTGTAAAATTAAATCAGACTGTATGCGAAAGAGCTCTTAAACTGTAAAGCGTCAGCAAAATGAAAAAGATATTATAAACTGTCTCTATATATTTTAGGCTAGTAGCAATACCGAGTTGAAATTTTAAAGTCAGATAAATTACGTTAAGCACCTTTGCGTTATAGGGCAGGGTGGAAGGGCTTAGTTTTCCAGTGGGAGGAAATTGAGAAGTTACCATAATTTGGTTTTGATTGCAATATTTACAGGATTAGTCCTAACATAGCCAGTGGACCATGAACCAGTCCACCATACACTAGTTCATTCACTAGAAAAACAGTGGTTTTTCTGGTCCTTGTTAAGTGTCCTTTTAGCTGGGTTATACATGAGAAAAAGTTTGAGTGCCATGGTAGGACTAGTATTCAGGAGGCTTGGGAATACTTACTGAACACCTTCTGGATGAAGGACTTTTCTAGGTATTGTGAGAAATAAATGCCATCAGACATAAAATATGTTGAAAGTTCAGAGGAAGGAGAAACTTAAAAGTGGATATGACACACCTATTAGGGTGACTATTCAGGAAAAAAAAAAACAGGAATTACAGGTGTTGGTGAGGATGGGGAGAAATTGGAACCTTTGTGCATTGCTAAATATGCAACAGCTGTGAAAAATCATTTGGTGTTTTCTCAAAAGGGTAAACATAAAAATTATCCCAGCAGTTCCACTTCTAAGTTATACCCTAAAACAGTTGAAAGCAGGGACTCTATAACTTGTATATCAGTGTCATAGCAAATCCGGGCTTGGTGGCAGCGGCTGTACTCTAGCTCCTCCGGAGGCCAAGGTGGGAGGATTGTTTGAGGCAACATAGGAGACCTTTAAAAAAAAAAAAAGTTATTTAGATGGATAATGGTGATAGCTACACAGCGCTATGAATGTACATAAGGCCACTATACCTTTTTTTTTTTTTTTTTTTTTTTTTTTTTTTTTTTTTGGGGAGACAGGTCCTCTGTTGCTCAGGCTGGAGAGCAGTGGCAGGATCACAGCTCACTCCACCTCAACCTTATGGGCTCAAGTGATCCTCCCACCTCCGCCTACCCCGTGGTCCACAGGCACATGCCACCATGGCCCAGCTATTTTTTAAATATATTTTGAGGAGACAGAAATCTTTGCGATGTTGCCCAATTTCGTCTCAGATTCTTGGGCTCAAGTAATCCTCCTGCCTTGGCCACCCAAAGTACTGGCATTACAGGCGCGAGCCATCCTGCATAGCTAAATTATAATTTAAAAAGTTAAAATGAGGCTGGGCATGGTGGCTTACATGCCTGTAATCCCAGCACTTTGGGAGGCCAAAACGAGTGGATCACCAGGTCAGGAGTTCAAGAACAGCCTGGCCCACAGAGTGAAACCCTGTCTCTACTAAAAATACAAAAAAAAATTAGCCGGACATGGTGGCAGGTGCCTGTAGTCCCAGCTACTTGGGAGGCTGAGGCAGGAGAATAGCTTGAACCCAGGAAGTGGGGGGTTGCAGTGAGCTGGGATTGTGCCACTGCACTCCACCCTGGGTGACAGGGTGAGGCTCCATTTAAAAAAAAAAAAAAAAGTTAAAATGGGCCTAGTGCAGTGCCTCACGCCTGTAATTCCAGCACTTTGGGAGGCCCAGGCAAGAGGATCCCTTGAGCTTGAGCCCAGGAGTTTGAAACCAACCTGGCAACATAGTAGTGAAGACCCCAGTTTCTACTTAAAAAAATAGAAAACAGGCTGGGGATGGTGGCTCACGCCTGTAATTCTACCACTTGGGGAGGCCAAGGCGGACAGATTGCCTGAGCTCAGGCGTTAGAGACCAGCCTGGGCAACATGGTGGAACCCGGTTTCTACTAAAAATACAAAAATTAGCCGGGCGTGGTGGCGGTTACTTGTGATCCCAGCTACTCAGGAGGCTGAGGCAGAATTGCTTGAACCCCGGAGGTGGAGGCGGAGGTTGCAGTGAGCCAAGATCATGCCACTGCACTCCAGCCTGGGCAACAGAGCAAGGCTGAGTCTTTAAAAAAAAAAAAAAAAAAGAAAAGAAAAACCAAAAGGTTAAAATTGTCAACTTTACATTTTTACCACAATAAAAAAAATGTTTAAGTGTTCGTTTGAGACAAGAATATTAAACAGGTAAATACTGCCATTTACTGTAGAAAAACTGCCATTTTACTGTAGAAACAATAAGATTGCATCTTTCTAAAAAGTTTAAAATTAGCATGTCTGTAAACCACCAATGTGCCTTATTTTTGTTAAAAGTTTTTAAGGTAATTTTGCATGTCAGTGCCTTAATAAACAACTATTCGAATATACTTTGTTCTTGACTTAAAGGTGCACTGCAAGATCTTTTTCTCATAAACACTGTAGTATAGATTTCCAGTAATCTACAGAAAGTGTTAGATTCCACAATACCTTCTCAGACAAATCCTACCTAACATTTGGTGGCTCTCCTGTCAAATAATTGTCTTAATTTATTTCTCCTAGTGACAGTCCTTTGAGTTAAAAAAGCTGAATATGATAATTTTTTTCAATAAGTAAATTATTAAAAGTATAAACAGTCTTCATTTATACTACTATGCAGTTCATGGAATAACCATTTTCCTTAGAGTTCAATTTTTTGTGTGTCTTTTTAAGGTAGTAAAAAAATGGCTAGGATTTGTAATAGAGGGCTTAATCCATAAGGGAAAACATGTTTTATTTCAAATATATGAATTATTTTTTGTTGAATATGAATCTTAAAATACTTCATTTGCCCTGTCTTAAAAGACTTAATTTTTCCTCCCTCTAAATTCTTGAAGGAAGGTTCCTAAGTGTGCCCCTCATCTTTGTTTTGCAGGAAGAAATTCAAAAGAAAAGAACCCGCCGAGCAGTCAAATTCCAGAGGGCCATTACTGGTGCATCTCTTGCTGATATAATGGCCAAGAGGAATCAGAAACCTGAAGTTAGAAAGGCTCAACGAGAACAAGCTATCAGGTGAGGAATGCTTTCATTATGAGCATTTTACCTATTCGGATGGATTTTAGGTTTGGGTCTTCAGTAATTAAAGTTACCATATAGATTAATATATGTTAAGCTGATTTGGTGGTTAATGAAAATTATTGACAAATTCTTTGGATTTAGCCTACAAATAAATGGAGGTAGGGAAGGAAGGAATATGGTCATTGTACTTGTCCAGTACAGTCTAACTCTAATAATAAGTTGTACCACTAAGGAGTAAAGTGCTTTTGCCTTAAGTTACTTTTACCCCACAGGGCTGCTAAGGAAGCAAAAAAGGCTAAGCAAGCATCTAAAAAGACTGCAATGGCTGCTGCTAAGGTAATTATGGGGTTTCTTTACTTTCTTGAACAATACAACAGGAAAATTTTCTTTTTTTGAGACGGAGTCTTGCTCTGTTGCCCAGGATGGGGTGCAGTGGCGTGATCTGATCTCAGCTCACTGCAACCTCTGCCTCCCGGGTTCAAGTGATACTCCTGCCTCAGCCTCCCGAGTAGCTGGGAGTACAGGTGCGCGCCATCACGCCCGGCTGATTTTTTGTTTGTTTGTTTGTTTGTTTAAGTAGAGACAGGGTTTCACCATGTCGGACAGGCTGGTCTTGAACTCTTGACCTCAGGTGATCTGCCCACCTCAGCCTCCCAAAGTGCTGGGGTTACAAGTGTGAGCCACTGAGCCCGGCTGGAAAATTTATTTTCAGTCTAAATTGTGATAAATGAAAGTTTCACAGTTTTAAGGTATTGAATGCAAGGCTCAATTGGAAATGATGTTTGTAACCAATTACTTGGCCAATGGTTCAGGTCTCCAGAGAGGTGGTCCTCTCCATAAGCCAAAGCATGTGTTACTGTTAGGAACTGGGAAAAATAAAGGTTGGCCTTTTTGTTTGTTTGTTTGTTTGTTTTTTTCCCCCTTCAACACAGGGCCTCACTCTGTAGCCCAGCTGGAGTGCAGTGGCACAATCACGGCTTGCTGCAGCCTCAACCTCCTGGGCTCAAGTGATCCTCCTGACTCAGGCCCCTAAGTAGCTGGGACTACAGGCAAGCACTACCAAACCCAGCTAATAGGTATTTTAGTTGAGATGGTTTCGCCATGTTGCCCAGGCTGGCCTCAAACTCCTGAGCTCAAGCGATCCACCTGCTTTAGCACCCCGAAGTGTTGGGATGAGCCCCTGCACCATGCCTGGTTTTGAAAGTTACTATGGTTATCTACATTGATAACATTGAGAAAAGCTGAGTAAACACTGTACTGTTACTGAGATCTTTTCTGTGAGTTTCTGTTAGGATGCATTTCAGGATCCTACACTGCACTTGGTTGTGTCTCATTTCATCCAGTCTGTGAGGGTATCTTAGTCTTTGTCTTTCATTGTAAAGATGGGCTTTAAATATTTAAGGGTAGTCACATTAAAAGATTGGCATTAGGAATGCAGTTAAATTACTAAGAAAGTGATCTAAGCTACATAAACAATCTGGATGTGAGAGATGGGTAATAATAGGGTAACAAAAGTTTTGTGGAGTAATATTGTGTTATCTTTTTACAGGCACCTACAAAGGCAGCACCTAAGCAAAAGATTGTGAAGCCTGTGAAAGTTTCAGCTCCCCGAGTTGGTGGAAAACGCTAAACTGGCAGATTAGATTTTTAAATAAAGATTGGATTATAACTCTAGGTTGTGCTGGATTTTTTTTTTTTCTTGTAACAGGCATGTTGGACTTTACACGGTCATAGGTGACCTAACAAAGAATGTAAGACGTAGGTATTTTATTAAAAAGTCTATTGCTCAGGAATAATGCATCCTATAAAGTTTTAACTTCTTTGTTGGAGAGAGGTTAAGCAAAATAATGTAAGATGGGTAAGGTCAGATGCTATCTTGGCTTGGCTGGGGTGTATAGGGCACATTAGAAAAACTTAATTGCCTTAACTTTTTGGTTACATTGCTGTAAGTATTAGGATGTTGCTGGTGCAGTGGCTCACGCCTGTAATCCCAGCATTTGTAAGACCAAAGCCAGGTGATCACTTGAGCTCAGGAGTTCAAGACCAGCCTGAGTGACATGGCGAAACCCCATCTCTACAAAAACATTCAAAAGTGAGCCAGGCATGGTGGAGAGTGTATATAGTCCCAGCTGGGAAGCTGGGAGTGTGGAAGGTGGAAGGATCGCTTGAGCCAGGGAGGTCAAGGCTGCAGTGAGCTGAAATCGTGCCACTGCACTCTAGCCTGGGTGACAGCAAGACCCTGTATCAAAAAACAAAAGTACTTTTTAAATGATTTTCTTGTTAAATTACCTTTTCCCATGATAGGCAAATGTAGTTTATATTGGTTTCCTTGTAGTCATTGGTATCTCACCTACCATTTGCTAATAGCTGAGTTGAAGGTGCTAAAAACTCTCAGCTGTATTAATCTACTCTTGCTTTCAGAAAGTAATATCTAAATGAAAAGCACTACTGCTTGAATAAAGAGTATCCTTAGCTAAATTCCCGGAGTAGTTTGTTGAGCTGGGGGCATGCCAGAGCTGTGTTAAACTACAAAAATGTCTGAATAAACTGATACTCAAGAGATTTTGAGATAGTCTCTCTTGTTGCCCAGGCTGGAGTGCAATGGCTCGATCTCTGCTCACCGCAACCTCTGCCTCCTGGGTTCAAGTGATTCTCCTGCCTCAGCCTCCCAAGTAGCTGGGATTACAGGGATGTGCCACCATGCCTGGCTTATTTTGTATTTTTAGTAGAGGCGTGGTTTCTTCATGGGCAGGCTGGTCTCGAACTCCCGACCTCAGGTGATCTGCCTGCCTTAGCCTCCCAAAATGCTGGGATTACAGGCGTGCACCACCACGCCCAGCCTGAGATTTATATATTTAAGATGTGATAAAATAGTAATCAAAACTTACATGTGAAGAATAGGCTTCTACTTCTACAGAAAGGTCATTTTTACCTGCCAACCTGTGCCAAGTTGCAAGGATGCAACTGGACAAATCAGAGTCCTCTTTAGGGAAACATGATTTTACACAGAATACTAGGTGAGAGTATATAGTCAATGTCAACATTTTCCTCCATCACTATCCTATCCAAGGTGATAGAATTTTTTTTTTTCTAGTGCATGTTACATTCAGACGTCCAAGTGTTACAGGTAAAATGAGTAAGTCCTTTTGAGAACCTGAAAATGTAAACTAAAATCAATATAAGAAATATGTAGGCCGGGCGCGGTGGCTCACGCCTGTAATCCCAGCACTTTGGGAGGCCGAGGTGGGCGGATCATGAGGTCAGGAGATCGAGACCATCCTGGCTAACACGGTGAAACCCCGTCTCTACTAAAAATACAAAAAATTAGCCGGGCGTGGTGGCGGGCGCCTGTAGTCCCAGCTACTTGGGAGGCTGAGGCAGGAGAATGGTGTGAACCCCGGGGGACGGAGCCTGCAGTGAGCCGAGATCGCGCCGCTGCACTCCAACTGGGCGACAGCGAGACTCTGTCTCAAAAAAAAAAAATATGTAAAATACAGGCTTTTGCTCATAAAAGCAAAATGTTAAGATTTTGCACTGGGAAGAGTCATTTTTTGTAATAGTTTTATTTAGGGAATTACTGGGAAAATAAAGTCATTATACCCAACTTGAATGTAAAGCTATGCTTGCTGATTTTTGGAGAATAAAATGTCTGGGCTAAATGTTGGCTTTTAATAAAGTGGAGCTGCCCATTGTCATTACCCTTGGGTCTTAGGTAACCTGGGACCCAGAAGAAGCTAGAAATAAACACTACCTGTTCTCACTACAGCAAGTTTAGCTTTACTCAGGAAGACAATTTGACCACTGGGAAAGCATTTTATTAAAACGTTTGTTTCTATTGGCCCAAAGGATAATGCGTGCATCAGTAGGCTTCTCAGTGCTTACAGGTGGTGTTTTGGCAAAAACTGAGTGGAGGGATTTTTTTAACTCTTCTACAACCTAGCTGTATTGTTTGCAGATTTGAATGTATTCACTTAATATATTAAATATTTAATATTAAATATCAATTAACTTAAAATGTTTAGTTTTTTTATTTTTTTGAGACGGAGTCTCCCTCTGTCACCCAGGCTGGAATGCAGTGGCACAATCTCGGCTCGCTACAACCTCTGCTTCCCGGGTTCAAGCGATCCTCCTGCCTCAGCCTCCCGAGTAGCTGGGACTTCAGGCCCAGTAGAGACAGGGTTTCACCATGTTAGCCAGGATGGTCTCCATCTCCTGACCTCGTGATTTGCCCGCCTCGGCCTCCCAAAGTGCTGGGATTACAGGCGTGAGTCACCGCGCCCGGCCAAAATATTTAAAGACAGTATGACAGGAGAGTGGGGTTGGCCTGACACGTAGACCAGCCTCCTGGGTTCGCAGAGGGTGCATTTGGTCTTCTGCTCTCACTGCCCGACCCCATGGGGGAAAGAGGTGCATCTCCATTTTTAAATTCCTCCTTTGAGCTATAGTGGCAAACTCAGCAACTAAGTAGATCCCAAGCCTGGTAGTTTCTTTTTTCTTCTGGGCCTTGAGAGCTCATGTCCCCGCACCTGGAATCTTTCAAGGATGTCCGGGCCATCCGGGAATTACTGCGTGTGCACACACACAAAAACACGCCCCTAACACCAGAGGCTGGCTGTATGATTCTGTTTTCGAGCCTACTGTATTCACCTGTCTGCCCGTCAGCTACTTCTAGGAGCGTCAAAGGGCCTCACCCAGAGACTACAGACCCTCCGGTGGAGAAGTGTACTAGGCCGTGTCTGCAGCTGGAGCCCTCGGCCTGAAATGTTCTGGCTTTAGCAAAGCGGCGACAGTGTCCAACCCCAGTCCCCGAGGAGGGATGTCAGCCCTGGGCCCCTGTGAGCGCTGCAGATTCGTCCCAGGAAAGGGTGACCGGGGTCGCTGCTCCGGGATTACCAGCTAAATACCTGTATTAGCATCCTCAGCACGCACTGGGAGACGCAGCTCAAGTCCGCTCCCCTTCTTGCACCCTCATATATATTTGGTGCAAAATGGAGAACCTTTTCCCCTACGTTTGTGTAAAAATATATGTAAATAAAGCCTTAAAATAGTGTTACCGACCCCCTTTTCCACTCGCAATAACATTGACTATAAATGCTGATAATTCCAAAAGAATCTCGACTCTTCCTTGAGTAGTCTGGAGCTAGCAGGTGCAAGTTTAGAAACAATAACTCATCACTGAGGGAGGCACTGAAAATTTTATAACTGTTAACTGGAATCTAAATTTCCATGTAAATGGGCTGTCTCTGGTCCCGTGTCAAGAGACTAATATTTTTCCAGAAGCCTGAAAATATGCTTTTATGATGTTGGGAGTCTCAAACGTAAAAACGGACTCCTAACCCTCTGGATGTTTCGGCTGAACTCTCAACTGTCCACCAGCTCCCCCTACACGTGGCTCCTTAGAAAGCGTGGAAAAGGGAAAAATGAAAAGAGAAACTGCCAGGACTTAAGATGTCTGCTTAAAGACTCCCTCGAACTGCAGTGAAGGGTCCTACCCGCTTCCAAAATGTCCACCCGCATTCCTGACGTCACTGGATCGGCTCCATCAAGCCAGAAAACGAGAGTGCGCTCCAATCAGGGCTCAGTCCCCGCCCTTGCCTTGCGTCACTTCCGGTGGTGCAGCAGCCATTTTGTCAGTCGCCAGCGGATCCCGCGCGCTGGAGAAGTGCAGTTCCCCCTGGTTACCAACTCGCCCGCTTTTCCTTCGGACTAAGGGAGCCGTCGAAGAGCGCTCGCCAAAGGCGCAGCCGTTTCTCCCTACGGTGCCGCCGCTCCTCCTGCAGCCGCCCGTAGGTAGCGGGCCGTTTTCCTCACCTGTCCCTGACAGGCGCCCTCAGGGAGCCGCGGTCCGCGATGTCAAGCGAGGAAAGCTACCGGGCCATCCTGCGTTACCTGACGAACGAGCGCGAGCCGTATGCGCCGGGCACCGAGGGCAATGTCAAGCGTAAAATCCGAAAAGCTGCCGCCTGCTACGTGGTGCGCGGCGGGACTCTGTATTACCAGCGGCGGCAGCGGCACCGCAAGACCTTCGCGGAGCTGGAGGTGGTGCTGCAGCCGGAGCGACGCCGGGACCTCATCGAGGCGGCGCACCTGGGTCCCGGCGGCACTCACCACACCCGGCATCAGACCTGGCACTACTTGTCCAAGACGTACTGGTGGCGAGGTGAGACCTAGCCCGCGGCGAGGGGGCGGGCTGGCGACTCGTTGCCTGGGCAAGGCTCGCTGGCGAGGCCTATGCGTACCCACGAGTCGGAGGGTCTCGGACGCCTCTGGGCGGCGGAGCTGCTGCCAGGCGGAGCCGAGAGGGTGGGGGACGCGAAAGGAGCCGCACTTCCCACAGGAAGGAGGCCGGCGAAGCTGGGGGCGGGCCCTGGCCCTGGGTGGGACCAAGGGGGCTTCCCCGGAGGCCGGGCCAGCCGCGGGGAGGGGCCGGACGCCTGGGCTGCGCCAGGTCCGCCTCCTTGGGCGGCCCCTTGAGGCTGTAGGCCCCGGCCCTCTGGAGGTGGCGTGTGGCTCGCGGCAGTGGAGGCTGCGGGGTGCACGTTTTCGACTGTGCTGACGTTTGGAAGGGGGGACGAGTCACCCGAAGCCGGGTCTCCCGTTTCTTTAGTGCTGCGCTTGGGTTTTGGCGAGCGAGTATGAGCTGCTCTGGACACATTCGCTAGTGTTCCTCAAATTTTGCCGCTGCTGCGTAAATAAGGAATAATACAATTATTTGCAGAAGTGATAAGGAGTGATTGAGAAATCGCCTTGAGCGTTTTTTTTTAAGAACAAGAAGTAAATGTAAAAGATATCAGTTACTGTTTTTGTTGTTTGGTTTTGCGGGGGCGGGGTGTTTGAGTAGACACGGGTCTCGCCTCGTTCCCCAAGCTGGTCTCCATCTGGCCTCAAGCCATCCTCCCGCCTCGGCCTCCCAAAGTGTTGGGATTTCAGGCATGAGCCACGGCGCCCAGCTTGATATTCGTAACTCTGAATGTTTTAATAATCTTTCCCCTAATGATGTGAAAAACGCGTTTGGGAACTGTGTAGCATTGTATATACGCAGAAAAGGTACGATTACTGTGACTTTTTGATTGTCAAAAAATACAGCTCTGAAGTTACTTGACTCCTTGGGAACCAGTTGTAAGGGAGGATAGCAAGTGTCCTTGGCTTCTTAACCATCTTCACTCTCCACAGTTAATGAATATTCAAACTGTCAGAATTAGTTAATAGTTTATAGTCCCATTTAAGAAATTTTGTTAGGAACAGTGCTGTCACTCTCCAATATGGCTACAGAAAAGTTATTTCATTCAAATCTTGGTTACTTCGTCTGTGAATAACGAAATTACTGAATAGTTTCTAAAGTTCTTTTCGGTTTATAAACATCATCAAGTTTATTCGTTTACGAACTATTGGATAATCAAATTCTTCCATTTATTTTCCACTTTAAACCAATATCTGAATTAAATTCCTGTAAGGACAGACAAATGCGAAGATTAAATTATGAGGTAATGAAGTAATCAGTGCATTTTGTTTGGATGGGTTTGGGTAGACATTAGTTTGTTGAACAAATGTCTCAGATTTAATACTTCAGGATTTGTTAAAGATGATAATTGTAACTATAGGTAACATTGATCAAGCTTGTATATGCAGGATGTAGTCGTTAGCCCTTGACATTTATTTAACCTTCATAAAACCTTAATACTTATCTCCCTTTTTTGGAGACAGAGCGTAGGGGGTCTTGCTTGGTGCAGTGACAACGATCACAGCTCACTGTAGCCTCGACCTCCTAGGCTCAGATGATCCTCCCTTTTCAGCCTCTATCTGTTTTACAGATGAAAAAACTAAAAGCACTAGGATGTTAAATAACACAACAAAAGTCACACAGCTGACCTTTGTGATCTCACACTTTTCTTAACCCAGTGTTATGTGGTATTTTGTGTTCAGAATTTTTCTTTTTCTAAGTTCATTATCTGTGAGTGATTCTAATCCAGTTGTTTTTTTTTTAATTTTTAGTGTGCAGTGTCTTAAAAGGCAAAAACCTGAGACGATGTTTATTTATTTATTTATTTATTTTATTTATTTATTTATTGAGACAGAGTCACTCTGTTGCCCAGGCTGGAGTGCAGTGGCGCGATATCGGCTCACTGCAACTCCACCTCCCGGGTTCAAGCGATTCTGGTGCCTCAGTCTCCAGAGTAGCTGGGATTACACCACGCCCAGCTAATTTTTCTATTTTTAGTAGCGACGGGGTTTCACCATGTTGGCCAGGCTGGGCTCGAACTCCTGAGCTCAGATGATCTGCTCACCTCGACCTCCCAAAGCGCTGGGATTACGGGTGTAAGCCACAGCGCCCGGCCAATACAACCTCTTTTGGTCTCTAAATCTACACTCATATAAATGCTTTTTTGATAAAGTTATATTTAACTCGAACCCATTGTTCCTTTCTTTCTTTTCTTCTCTTTTTTTCTTTGAGACAGAGTCTTGTTCTGTCACCCAGGCCGGAGCACAGTGGCGCGATCTCGGCTCACTGCAGCCTTCGCCTCCCAGGCTCACGTGATTCTGGTGCCTCAGCCTCCGGAGTAGCTGGGACTACAGGCGCGTGCCTCCACACCTAGCTAATTTTTGTTTTGCTCTGTTGGCCAGGCTTGTCTCGAACTTCTTACCTCAAATGATCCGCCCACCTCAGCCTCCCAAAGTGTGTGAGCCACGCCCCAAGCCCCATTGTTTATGTTCTGCAAAAAAAAAAAAAAACAGTCTCTGTGAATCCATAAATTTGACAAATTCCTAGGTTAAACAGGTTTCTTCACCGTAGAAGTCAGAGGTTCTAATAATAAATGTCAATTGCATATAGCTAAAATTTTTCTGAATTTATGACTTCAGTGTATACTTTTATAATCAGTGTGGGACATAATACAATTTGGAAAATATTGCTTGAATACTATTTGAAGATTGAAAGTATAAGGAACTTGGTGGCCAGGCAAGGTGGCTCATGCCCGTCATCCCAGCACTTTGGGAGGCCAAGGCGGGCAGATCACTTGAGGTCAGGAGTTTGAGACCAGCCTGGCAAAAATAGTGAAACCCCATCTCTACTAAAAATACAAAAAATTAGCCAGGTGTGGTGGCGGGCGCCTGTAATCCCAGCTACTCGGGAGGCTGAGGTGGGAGTATCACTTGAACCCAGGAGGCGGAGGTTGCAGTGAGCCGGGATCCCACCACTGCACTCCAGCCTGGGCAACAGAGAGAGACTCCATTTCAAAAAAAAAAAAGTGTAAGGAGCTTTGTATAATTCGACATTTTAAAACACTTTTCAGGAATATTCTCTATACCATACCTCTATCATTTTACCTCATAACCTTTTCATTTGTACTTATTTGAAGATTTGGGGGTAACTTTCTGCCCTAGGAATGGACAAGCGTGCTCTTGTGTAAGTAGAATAATATACCGAAAATCCCATGACTTCTGGAGGCCTAGCTCTGCCATTTTACTAGATGTGACTTTGGACAAGCTACATACCTCTTAGGGCTTTATTTTCCTCTTGTATAGAATGGGAATTAATTGTTCTCTTACAAGGATGATAGTGGGATGTGTGTACATATACATAAAGCCTTGTCCCTGCCTCCTCACCCCTACCCTAGCATGCTGGGAGCTGGAAGTTGAAATTCAAAATCTTTTGTGAGTGGCTTGTATATAATCAACTTTTGTTAGATTGTGTATGCTTTTATTTCACACAACCCTAAAATCTCATAACTTTCAAAAACAAAAGATTTATTTTAAACTTTCATTACAAGTTTTGTAGTAGTCCTGTTCCAGGCTACAGATTGGTTTCAGCTTTTTTCATCTGAAATTCAGGTTTAAGAACAACATCCCTCTGGGACATTGCTGTTCTTTGTGAGAGGGGACAAAGATCAGAGAACTGGTGCAAAATACTCAGTACCTCTTAAGGTTCTGTTCAGATATGGTACACATCACATGTGTGCAAATCAAATCACACGGTCAAGCCTAATGTCACTGGGGTGGAGAAGTATTAGCTTGAGCCATATTAAATTGTTAATTTGTTTGGTTTTGTTTTGAGACAGAGTCTTGGTCTGTTGCCCAGGCTGGAGTGCAGTGGCACAATCTCAGCTCACTGCAACCTCCGCCTCCCGGGTTATTAGTGAGTCTCCGGCCTCAGCCTCCAGAGTAGCTGGGATTACAGGCGTGCGCCATCATGCCCTAAATTGTTAATTTGTGTAGGTCAAAAAAAGGTGAATATTGGCAGTTTCATATAGTTCCTCTTGCATGAAAACATTGCAACTCACATGAAAATGGGTGGAGCTATATAGTCATCTTATGATTAGAGAAACAAATAACTGGGAATAAATAAAAAAAATTACCTCAGCAGGAGAACATCATTTATAACTTTATATTTTTTGGGAAAAAAGTATATTTTACATTCTAATAAACTCTACATATTTTATGGGACATGAATGTCTGCACATATGTACTGAAATGTGTTAATGTGCACAGACTAAATAATATATTCTGTTTTCAGTTAACAGTATTAAATTTGACTTGTTAATATTTTCATTGTAGGTATATTGAAGCAAGTCAAAGATTACATTAAACAGTGTAGCAAATGCCAGGAGAAACTAGATCGATCCCGTCCAATATCAGATGTTTCAGAAATGTTGGAAGAATTGGGACTAGACCTTGAATCTGGAGAAGAAAGTAATGAATCGGAAGATGACCTGAGCAACTTTACTTCATCTCCAACTACAGCATCCAAGCCTGCAAAAAAGAAGCCAGTATCCAAACATGAACTTGTGTTTGTAAGTGGTACTCTCCAGTCAGCTTTAAGATTTGTAACTAGTGTACTAGTATTTGCAGCCTTGGTGACTTATTTTTCTCAAACCACTAAGACTGCTTATTGAATAAGACAAAATGGCAGTGTACTGTGTTATATAAGCTGAACTGCCTCTTCATTTATCATAAATGTTCCTGTTATTTTTTCAGAATGAACTTAATAATTACCTGTTGGTTTGTTGTTAATTATCCTCCCTCCCTTCTTTTGTGATGATATATTGGTACAAGTAGACAGATTTACATTTCTGGAAGCAGTCTCTGAGTTTACGCCCCAAGGTAAAATTAATCTGGCCAGGTCTTTGTTTTTCACCTGCATCAGTTTCATACATCATCATATTTCTGATTAGTAAGAAGAGGCAGCCAGAAGTGAGATACAGATTTTCATTAGGTGAGGTAGAATGAACATGGCAGAAAATAGGATAGGACAACATATCTTTTTATTTAAATACATAGGTAACAAAGAAAATATCAAATTATTCATACCTGGTAAAAGGTAATATGTAATGTGTCTTGTTTTAAAGCTTGTTAAGGGTAAAAAATACAGGTAATATGTTACTCTTGCTCTCAAACTTATTTTGACAGGTTGACACCAAAGGAGTGGTAAAACGTTCTTCTCCAAAACATTGTCAGGCTGTCTTAAAACAGCTGAACGAACAGAGACTTTCCAACCAGTTCTGTGATGTTACTTTGTTAATTGAAGGAGAAGAGTACAAAGCTCATAAATCTGTTTTGTCAGCAAATAGCGAGTATTTTCGAGATCTTTTTATTGAGAAAGGAGCTGTTTCCAGTCATGAGGCTGTGGTGGATCTTTCTGGTAAGGGTTTTGTATTACTCTTGCTTTTTGTTTGTAATGACATTCTAGAAGAGGGGGATATGTATGTCTTCCACACACGGACTTTATGCCAAAGTAAGAGAAGCCCACTAACAACAGTAGACTAAGCTGTACTGAAAAGGTTCTTTTTAGCAAGATTTCTGTGGTAGAGTTATGGAAAAGGGTGTCATTTCCTTTCACTACGTCTTAAGTGAGACAATTATAGCAGAAAAAGAATTTCTAGGATTTAAACTGTTAAAAACAGTTTGAGTGAAATCCATAAGTGCAACAAAATTATTACATTAAATGAATATGTTATTTAAAAATTGATTGTTTAAGCTAGGTGTGGTGGTGCCCGCCTGTAGTCCCACCTACTTGGGAGGCTGGGATGTGAGGATCTGCTTAAGGTCAGGAGTTCCAGGCTGTGGTGTGTCATTGTACCTGTGAATACCCACTGCTCTCCAGACGGGGCAATATAACAAGACCCTGCCTCTAAAAATAAAAAGCAAATAAAAATTGACTGTTTATGTCTTATTTTGTGGGACATGTAATTATAGAGTATTTTATAAGTCTTTTGGTTTTTAAAGATTAATCCTTAGAGTTTATTAAGTTCAATAATCAAATTATCAATATAGAAAAGTCAAAATCCCAGGTTTGTTTTTTGTTTGTATCATTATTGTAAATAAATAGTTCAACTTTCTTTTGGCTTCACTAGAATTTATATATTGGCTTATGAGTCATCAAATGAAAATTTAGGAAGAATTATAGGTAGCATTATTTATACGTTTTCTCATCATATAAAACTTGCTGTAACTTTTGAATTACTTAAATCACTTTGAAATATTTTTTCCTTTTTGAAACAAAAAAGTGACTTTTCCAGGTATGTAAATTCTTAATTATTTAACCACTTATCCTTTTATGCTTTATTGTTTTTAGTCCTACCTCTTCTGGGAAGATACATTTTTCCTTAGCAGTGGCTTTATGTTTATAGAAAGCAATAATAACGGCCAGGCGCAGTGGCTCCTGCCTGTAATCCCAGCACTTTGGGAGGCTGAGGCAGGCGGATCACCTGAGGTCATGGGTTTGAGACCAGCCTGATCAACATGGAGAAACCCTGTCTCTACTAAAAATGCAAAATTAGTTGGGCACGGTGGCGCATGCCTGTAATCCCAGCTACTCGGGAGGCTGAGGCAGGAGAATCGCTTGAACCTGGGAGGTGGACGTTGCGGTGAGCTGAGATCACACCATTGCACTCCAGCCTGGGTGACAAGAGCAAAACTCCGTCTCAAAAAAAAAAAAAAAGCACTAATAGCTTTCTCTATATAAATAAATATTTATTAAGCATCCACTGCATACAAAGAACTAGCCTAGGCTCAGGGGGTGTACATATGAGCAAAAACTTTTTGGAGCTTAGAGTTGGCATTACATTCTAGATTAGTGGTATTTTTTTTTTCTGGGTTTGGTGACTCAAAGGAGAAAATACGTCTTACACTGAGCCATCTGAATATAAAAACCCATCACAGGTTATTCTTTTGATATGTTTGCTTTGGAATTTTTTCCCTATATTTCATGCATCTGAAAGCATGAGTGTTGCTCTTTTCTGGTTTCTCAGCAGTTTATAGCAAATGAAATGTCTGCCTGAAAAAAACTATGGCACAGCATCCTAATATTCCAACATAATACATCATTTAGTCTTCATTCCATATGCATATTTTTGTATATTGTTCAGCAAGTATTATGTAAGCCAATCATAGGTGAAATAGGCATTATTTTAAAAATATGTTTGATTTAAATATTAAGTAGATAAGGCTGGGCACAGTGGCTCACGCCAGTAATCCCAAAGCTTTGAGGCAGGTGGATTGCTTGAGCTCAGAAGTTCGAGACCATCCCGGACAACATGGTGAAACCCTGTGGCTACCAAAATTTACAAAAATTAGCCAGGCATGGTGTCACATGCCTGTAGTCCCAGCTACTTTGGAGGCTGAGGTAGGAGGATCACTTGATCCCAGGAGGCGGAGGTTGCAGTGAGCTGAGACCACACCACTGCACTCCAGCCTGGGCAACAGAGCAAGACCCTGTCTTAGCCACAAAAAAAAATTTTATCATAAGTGTGTCATTTACGGTATCTTAGTCTGCCGTACCCCTGGATTTTGAAGTCCTCACCATAATTTTTCCTTCTGTTATAATTGTCCATTTCATTTGAGAGGATATTTTTATAAAGTTTTCAAATTGTAAAAAAAAAACAAAATTTGCCCTCTTAATGATTTTTCCCTTTTATTTATTTTCAGATAGTCCCTGAAACAGAATAGGCTCAGAGAGGCTCGCTCCTTTTATTTTTAGTTGACATGTAATAGTTGTACATATTTATGGTGTACAAAATGATATTTTGGTACATGTATACAATTAGTAATGATCAAATGAGGGTAATTAGGATATACCTATCACCTCAAACATTCACCTTTCTTTGTGTTGAAAACATTCAAAATTCTTTCAGCCCTTTTTTTTTTTTTTTGACAGAATCTTATTCTGTCACCCTAGGCTAGAGTGCAGTGGTGCAGTCATAGGCTCAAGCAACTTTTGGGCTCAAGCAATTTTCCTGCTTTGGCCTCCCGTGTAGGTGGGACCACAGGTGCACACCACCTTGTCCAACTAATTTTTTCATTTGTTTATAGAGATGGAGTCTCACTTTGTTGCCCAGGCTGGCCTTGAACTCCTGGACTCCTCCTGCCTCACCCTCTCAAAGCACTGATATTACAGGGGGTGAGCCACTGTGCCAGGCTTCTTGTAGCTTTTTTAACATATACCATAAACTGTTGTTAACTATATACCTTGCGGTGCTATAGAACACTAGAAGTTGTTCCTTCTATCTATCTAGCTGTAATTTTGTATCTATTAATCAACCTCCTCCTATACTCCCCTCCTGTCACCCTGCCCATCTTCTAATAACCATAGCTCTTCTCTCTACTTGTATGATCTAAGTTTTTTTTTTTTAGCTCCCCCATATGAGTGAGGACATTTGGTATTTATCTTTCTGTCCTTGACTTACTTAGCATGATGTCCTCCAGGTTTATCATGTTGCTGCAAATGACAGGATTTCATTCTTTTTTATGGCTGAATAGTATTCCACTGTGCATATTTACCACATTTTTTCCATTCATCTGTTGATGAACATGTAGGTTGATTTCATTTCTTGGCTATTGTGAGTAGTGCTGCAGTAAACGTGGGGTGCAGGTATCTCTTTGATATAATTTCTTTTCTTTGGGTAGATACCCAGTAGTGGGATTGCTGGATCATATAGTAGTTATATTTTTAGTTTTTTGAGGCACTTCTATAGTGTTTTTCATCCTGGTGTACTAATTTACATTTCTACCAACAAATGGGAGGCAGAGGTTGCAGTGAGCCAAGATCACGCCATTGCACTCCAGCCTGGGCAACAAGAGCGAAACTCCGTCTCAAACAAACAAAAAAAAAGAATTAGCTTTCCTAGGAATGGCTGAATTCACCATAATGATAATGTTGGTGGGGAGTCCCCTCAGTTTTTTTCAGCCTGAGTCCTAACATCTCACAAGTTTAAGGCTTCTCTGTATGTTTGTTCATCCTTCGTGGGTTCTTTTGCATAAAATACCACACTTTACATACCTTGAGTCAGAACTGAAAATTACAGCAAATATGGCTCTCAATTGTATATTTAAAAATCTCTAAGATAAATTATTGTATTAGAAAAGCAAAGTGCAGAAAAGTATGTGTAATATGACACCTAGTGTGAGAAGGCGGAATTAGAATATTTGCCTCCGTCTAGGTGTAGTGGCTCACACCTGTAATCCAAGGACTTTGAGATGCCAAGGCAGGAGTATCCCTTCAGGCCAGGAGGTCAAGATCAGCTGAGACAACATGGGGAGACCTCCATCTCTTCAAAATATAAAAATAACCAGGTGCACGCCTGCCCTGCTACTTAGGTGGCTGAAGCAGAAGGACTGCTTGAGCCTGGGAGGTCAAGGTTACAGTGAGCTGTGGTCAATCCACTGCGCTTCAGCCTGGATGACAGAGCAAGGGCCTGTCTCAAAGTACCTAAATAAAAAAGAAAGCCGAGTGCGGTGGCTCACGCCTGTAATCCCAGCACTTTTGGGAGGCCGAGGCAGGCTTATCACAAGGTCAAGAGATAGAGACCATCCTGGCCAATATGGTGAAACCCCGTCTCTACTAAAAATACAAAAATTAGCTGGGCATGGTGGCGTGTGCCTGTAGTCGCACCTACTCCGGAGGCTGAGACAGGAGAATTGCTTGAACCTGGGAGTTGGGAGGTTGCAGTGAGCCAAGATTTCACCACTGCACTCTAGCCTGGCCACAGAGCAAGACTCCATCTCAAAAAATAAACAAAAATAAATAAATAAATAAAAATATTGGCTTGGCTGTATAATGAAATTCTGGAGAGCTATACAAATTCTTAATCATTCTGGTTATGGAATTATCACTGTGTAATCTTTTTTCTGATTTTTGATTCATGTGAATATTAAGAATTAACAATGGCTTTTGAAAGTGAATCACTGAGAATTTTAGAAAAGAAACTGACCTTGTTTTCCCGCAGAAGAATGTAATACCTCATGTGTATAGTAATTATTTCATTCCTTAGACCTGGTATAGGCAAACTACAGCCCAAGGACCACTCTTTCCCTCCTTCCGCTTTTGTAAAGAAGGTTGTATTGGAACACAGCTGCGTCCATTGGTGTATATCTGCTTTCCAGCTACAGTGGCAAAGCTGAGCAGTTTTAGCAGACATCTCATGGCCTGCAATGTTTATTATCTTACTCTTAACAGAAAAATGTTGCTAACCTCTCCCTTAGGTATTGTTTTTTTACTTTTAGTCATAGAATACTTTGTTCAATCACATTTTTATATGTACCACTATTACTTGGAAGTACAGCTATATTTACTGAAGTGAGATTAGGGGACAGGTTGGTTGAACCCTGCCACTCACCTGTCTTCCTCTTTTTTTTTAACCCTCCATCCTCCAGCAGCTGTTTCTTGAGGGGAATTTGAGGAATCCCCAGGGTTCTAAGGAGTACAGTTTGAAAATGACTGCCTTACAGCAACTCTTGAGGTAGTAAGTCTGATACTATTTTCTATATTAGGTACTGAGACTTAGCTCATACAAATGAGTTAGTCAAGGTTTAATAAGAAACCAGAACAAAATGCAAATCCAGGGATGATTAGTTGCAGAACAAATGGTCATATTTGCCTTTGAATTATATTTTATATTGTCATAATTCTGTATTGTTTCATTGATAATTGACTTTTTTGTCTTTACCTTCTTTGTATTCATACAGGTTTTTGTAAGGCCAGCTTCCTTCCTTTACTGGAATTTGCCTATACTTCTGTACTAAGTTTTGATTTCTGTAGCATGGCTGATGTAGCCATCTTAGCTCGTCATCTTTTCATGTCAGAAGTCTTAGAGATTTGTGAAAGTGTACATAAGCTAATGGAAGAGAAGCAGCTAACAGTATATAAGAAGGGCGAAGTACAAACAGTTGCATCCACCCAGGACTTACGAGTACAGAATGGAGGTACAGCACCTCCTGTTGCTAGCAGTGAGGGAACCACAACAAGTTTACCTACTGAACTTGGGGATTGTGAAATTGTACTACTGGTAAATGGAGAATTGCCAGAAGCTGAGCAGAATGGAGAGGTAGGACGACAGCCTGAGCCCCAGGTTTCTTCAGAGGCTGAATCTGCCCTGTCATCAGTAGGATGTATAGCTGATTCCCATCCTGAAATGGAGTCTGTTGATTTAATAACAAAAAACAACCAGACAGAACTAGAAACTTCAAACAACAGAGAAAATAACACAGTTTCTAATATACACCCTAAACTTTCAAAAGAGAATGTAATTAGTAGCTCGCCAGAGGATAGTGGTATGGGAAATGATATATCAGCTGAGGATATTTGTGCCGAAGACATTCCAAAACATAGGCAGAAAGTTGACCAACCTTTAAAAGATCAGGAAAATCTAGTTGCATCAACAGCAAAGACAGACTTTGGCCCTGATGATGATACTTATAGAAGCAGGCTTCGACAACGTTCTGTTAATGAAGGGGCATATATTCGACTACACAAGGGAATGGAGAAAAAGCTGCAGAAACGGAAAGCCGTTCCCAAGTCAGCAGTTCAACAGGTATGATGTAAGAAGGGTTGACCTTTGTAGTTTTAGCTTTAGGTTGAAAGCATTGTATTGATGAACTTATGGCTATAATGAAAATTATTTGGGAGGTGAGATGGGTACAAGGTAGCAACTTAATGTTTTAAATGCCAGTATTAATAAGATAATGTGAATTTGAAATCTTTTTGTTAGAAATTTACAACATGACTTTAAAAATTAAAATTGAGTAGATTTACTTAGATTGTGATTTCTATCCCTTACTAGGTGGCTCAGAAGTTAGTTCAAAGAGGAAAAAAGATGAAACAGCCAAAAAGAGATGCTAAAGAGAACACAGAAGAAGCATCTCATAAATGTGGGGAATGTGGAATGGTTTTTCAGAGACGATACGCCCTTATAATGCACAAACTGAAACATGAAAGAGCTAGAGATTACAAATGTCCAGTAAGTATTTGGAAAGCTAATTGAAGGTAACTCTAATTCATAATATATAGAATCCAACTTACTGCATGGTTATCTTTTCGCTTGTATTCTATGTCTTATATGGCTATAAGAGTCATCTTCTTATTTAAATGTGCATGTCATTTACTTGCCTCCCAAAAATATTCAGTGACTTAGCCTTATCTCTGCTTCCTCTTGATACCGTAGTAAGACAATAGTAAAAAGATCATTTTAAAAATGTAACTCATGAAAAGGCAGAACAGGAAATCTTGAAACAACTAAATTCTGGATACAAATAAATAGATGGAGTAACTTATTCAGCAGAGTTGAAAGGGTTCACTTCCAGGTTTTCAGTGGGGAAAGCTAAGAATCAACCCAAATTGAATTGTAGAACCACCAAAATGTCTCAGGAATTAGTAGTGCTAGCTACCTTGAAAGCAGAAGCAATTAAATCACTACCCCTGTCCCTTTAGCCAAAGATCCATCTTCTACTCTCTGGAAAGGATAAAACCATAACTCCACTGGGGAGTACTGTGTACAGTGAAGCTAAATGTACTGTACTCAAAACAGGGAAGAGTGTACTGTACTCAAAACAGGGAAGAGTAAAAGCTTACTGAATATTAAGTTTTTGTTTTGTTTTGTTTTGTTTTTGAGATGGAGTCTTGTTCTGTCACCCAGGCTAGAGTGCAGTGGCGCAATCTTGGCTCACTGCATCCTCCATCTCCCAGGTTCAGGTGATTCTCCTGCCTCAGCCTCCTGAGTAGCTGGGACTACAGGCACGAGCCACCATGCCTGGCTAATTTTTTTGTATTTTTATATGCAGGGTTTCACCATGTTGGCCAGGCTGGTCTCAAACTCCTGAGCTCAAATGATCCACCTGTCTCTGCCTCCCCAAGGTATGGGATACCAGGTGTGAGCTACCACACCCGGCCCAAGGTCTTTCTTTACTCAAGTCCCAGGATATAGCCATCTAGACCCCACCATCTCAGAGATGAAAAATCTGAAGCCCAGTAACAAAAGACAGCTACTGACAAAAGCTCATGGTTGACAACAATCCCCTCCCCATTTACATGGAAATTCCAGTGAATTTTTTAATATCTTATTCTGAAATATGAACAGATATTAGGGATTATTGACTCATGACAAAAGATTTCAAGAAAAACAACTTTGGCTGGGCGCAGTGGCTCACACCTATAATCGTAACATTTTGGGATGCCAAGGCAGGCAGATTGCTTGAGCTCAAGATTTCAAGACCAGCCTGGGCAACATGGTGAAACCCTGTCTCTACAAAAATACAAAAATTGGCTGGGTGCGGTGGCTCACACCTGTAATCCCAGCACTTTGGGAGGCTGAGGCGGGCAGATCACGAGGTCAGGAGATCAAGACTATCCTGACTAACATGGTGAAACCCGCCTGTACTAAAAGTACAAAAAATTAGCCAGGCATGGTGGCGAGCACCTGTAGTTCCAGCTACTCGGGAGACTGAGGCAGGACAATGGCTTGAACACGGGAGGCGGAGCTTGCAGTGAGCCGAGATTGTGCCACTGCACTCCAGCCTGGGCAACAGAGCGAGACTCCGTCTCAAAAAAAAAAAAAAAGAAATACAAAAATTATCTGGGCATGGTGGCACACACCTGTAGTCCCAGCTATTTGTTGGGGGCTAAGGCAGAAAGATGGCTTGAACCCAGGAGGTCAAGGCTACAGGGAGCCAAGATTGCCCTACTGCACCCCAGCCTGCATGACAAAGTGAGACCCTGTCTCCAAAAAAAAAAGACAATTTTGAGGAATCCAAGACTAGCGAGAAAATAAAACTACTAAAAAGAAAAAAACTTCAGAACATATGATTTATATAAGAGATAAATGAAAAAATTACGTTTACAAAACAACCATGTACTGTGGGGTTTTTTTGTTTGTTTGTTTGTTTTTGTTTTTCTGGAGACGGAGTTGTGTTCTTGTTGCGCAGGCTGGAGTGCAGTGGCATGATCTCTGCTTCCCGGGTTGAAGCAGTTCTGCCTCAGCCTCCCGAGTAGCTGGGATTACAGGCATGCGCCACCATACCCGGCTAATTTTGTATTTTTAGTAGAGATGGGGTTTCTCCATGTTGGTCAGGCTGGTCTCGAACTCCTGACCTCAGGTGATCTGCCTGCCTCAGCCTCCCAGAGAGCTGGGATTATAGGCATGAGCCACTGCTCCCAGCGGTACTATGTTTTTAAAAGGGCACACTGAGGCTGAGCGTGGTGGCCTATACCTGTAATCCCAACACTCCAACACTTCGAGAGGCAGAGATGGGAGGATCACTTGAGCCCAGGAGTTCAAGACCAGGCAATATAGCGAGACCCTGTCTCTACAAAAAAAAAAATTTTTAAATGTCATATTGGCTGGCCCGAAGTTAGTTATCTCAATTGACTGTTCACAGTTACAGATCGAACTCCTTGTTCTACTCTTTACCCCCTTCTCACTACTGCACTTGACTAGTGTAAAAAAAAAAAGTCTAAAAAAATTTTATTAATATAAAGGGCACATTAAAATAACTAGAGTATTTTAGGAATAAAATATATAATACCATATAAAAAATCTCAGAAAAGTTGGAAAATATAACTAATGAAATCTCCCAGAAAATAGAGCAAAAAGACAAGTTAGAAATGGGAGTGAAAGAAAATAATAGAATTGGTCTGAGATACTCAGTATACAAATATTATTTTCAAACAGAACATGGAAAACAATATAAAGAAAAATTTCAGAACTTAAGGATAGAAGTTTCTGTGTTAAAGGAGTACGCTGAATGCCCAGAACAGTGGATGAAAATAAAACTGTATTAAAGTACATTATAAAATTTCAGAATCAGTGGACAAAAATAAAATAAGTTGCCAGAGGACAAACAATAACATTGTCAGTCTCATAAAAAGGATAAGGATCAGAATGGCTTTAGGTTTTTCAACAACAGCAACAGAAACTAGAAGACAAAGCCACACCATGTGTTTAAAATCTAAAGAGAAATGATTTCTGGCTTGAATTCTTACAGCCAATCAGTCAAACTTTTAATTATTTATGATGGTAGAATAAGAATATTTTCAGACATGCTAGGTCTCAAAATTATTACTTCCCAAATTTTCTCAGGAAGCTGTTGACAGACATGTTTCACTAAAATGAGCAAGACGTGTTAAATACAAAACATGGCATCCAGTTCAACAGAGTCCAAGGGATTCATCAAGACAATAGTGAAGGGGATCCCAGGATGAAGCCATGTATCAGGCAGTTAGGGAACAGTTAGCCCAGGACATAATGATTTTTTTTTTTTTTTTTTTTTGAGACAGGGTCTTGCTCTGTATCCCAGGCTGGAGTGCAGTGGCACTATCACAGCTCACTGCAACCTCCACGTCCCAGGCTCAAACGATCCTCCTGTCTTAGCCTCCCAAATAGCTGGGACCACAGGCATGCACCATAATGCTCGGCTAATTTTTCTATTTTTTTTGTAGAGACAGGGTTTTACCATGTTGCCCAGGCTGGTCTCAAACTCCTGGACTCAAGTGATCCACCCTCTTCGGGCTCCCAAATGCTGGGGTTCCAGACGTAAGCCACCACACCCAGCCCAGGACATAATGATTTGACAGAGATTTCCAAAAAGGGGATGGGTTTTAAATCTCCTCCCAGTACAGCTGGGGGCAGGGTATTGCAAATTAGTAAGTGCAAAGAGAAATAAAACAAAAAGCAAGAAAGGAAAAAGAATTACAGTGTACTGTATGTGGCCCAGTGGTAATAATATTTACATCCTAAAAATGTAAGCCTTGAAATTGGTCTACTCAAGAATATGATATAACTATATTGATAAAGAGGGGTAATGGAAATCATTTACATATCTAAGTAGGGAGTAGAGGAGTAAAAATGCAAATCAACTTCCATTATGTGTGTTACATAGAGTTACAAAGGGAAGCATCAAGAGAGAGTCATCCAAGCACAGCTGCACTTAAAAACAAAGTCAGAGATAACTCTAGAAGCAAAATATGGTGGAGATGGTTGGCCAGGAGACCAGTTGTACTTATTGTTTTAAAAAATAGGTTTTGCAGAGGGTAAGCATATATAACTTTGATTTTAAAAATCAAAGATTTTTTAAAAATTGAAGATTTCTTGAATCTTCAACTATGAGATAAAATCCAAGGACCATCAATCACAGCCTTACCTTTCTATTTCCAGCCCCTACTCCTGTTCCACCTGATAACTGTTAGTACTCATACTAATGATAGAATTCTATCTTTGTTTTACCATTCCTGAAAGACCCATTTCAAGCCCAACCTTGTTGATATAAATATTGTGCTGTTGTTAGACTTTAGCCTCTGCAGAATAGGGATTGAGTCTTATCCCTTTTATCTTTACAATCTAGTACCTATTGTTTTTTACATAGTGTGTTTATTGATTTATATAATTGTAACAAAAACAAAGTCCAAATATGAGTTGAGTTTCAGTTAACATTTTGTAATGGAAATACATTTAGAGAGAATTTTATTTTTCTTTTAGTTGTGTAAAAAACAGTTTCAGTACAGTGCCTCTTTGCGAGCACATCTTATTCGTCATACCAGAAAAGATGCACCCTCTTCATCCTCGTCCAATTCCACGTCTAATGAAGCATCGGGAACATCATCTGAGAAGGGCAGAACCAAGCGGGAATTTATATGTTCCATATGTGGAAGAACATTACCTAAATTATATTCTCTCCGAATACATATGTTAAAGCACACAGGTGTAAAGCCACATGCATGCCAGGTAAAGCTATAACGTTTATTTTGCTATTTAAAGAACATTAGAACTTAACTATGTGTGCCAAAGAGACTGGTGGGATATGTATTCTCAAGTCACTCTCATTTGTAAAATGTCAGGTAAATTTATGACTTCTTTATTGCCTAGATCAAAGGTGATTCCCTATGGTGTTTTTTAATTTGCTCTCTGAAGTTGTAATTTGAATCTATTTAAGATGTTTGTGAAAACTTACTAGGGTC
This sequence comes from Homo sapiens, assembly GCF_000001405.40. Taxonomy (NCBI): domain Eukaryota; kingdom Metazoa; phylum Chordata; class Mammalia; order Primates; family Hominidae; genus Homo; species Homo sapiens. The sequence continues at coordinate 101,659,549 of NC_000003.12, read as the reverse complement.
CAGAGGATGTATAGGGTGAAAAATAACCAGTTTATCATCCCAGTCATTCCTTAACCTTCAACTGGACCAACCAGGACTAGAAAGGAACCCATGGCTTAAACAAATCTCTGTGGTCCGTAAAAGTCCTGCCTAAGCTGTGTTCTTCTCTAGAGCTAAGGATTGAGAGTACCTAAATGCCAAAATAAGACTCAAGGGTAGTGAATCCTGTGATTAGCCAGCTTTGGGCTATTTGAAACAGTGAAAAATTTCTAGTAGCACCTGTAGCCTTATATATGAGTATGACTCAGTTTGGGTTTTTTTGTCTGTTTTGAGACAAGGTCTTGTTCTATCTCTCAGGCTGGAATGTAGTAGCATGATCACAGCTCACTGCAGCCTCCATCTCCCAGAGGATTAAACCATCCTCCCACCTTAGCCTCCCAAGTAGCTGGGACTACAGATGTGCACCACCACGCCTGGCTAATTTTTTTAAATTTTGTGGAGATGGGGCCTAACTATGTTGCCCAGGCTGGCCTCAAACTCCTGGGCTCAAGTAGTCTTCCTACGTCAGGCTCCCAAAGTACTGGAATTATAGGCGTGAGCCACTATGCCAGGCCTGACTTAGTATTTTTATTAAAAAACAGTTTTGGAACCAATGAGATTTTTTTTCTTTCTGTATTTTAATAGTTTTTGGGGAACAGGTGGTGTTTGTTTACATGGGTAAGTTTTTTAGTAGTGTTTTCCAAATTTTGGTGTACCCATTACTTAAGCAGTATACACTATACCCAGGGTGTAGTCTTTTATGCCTCACCCCCAACTCACCCTTTCCCACAAGTCCCCAAAGTCCGTTGTATCATTCATAGCTCAGCTCCCAATTATGAGTGAGAACATACGATGTTTGGTTTTCCATTCCTAAGTTACTTCATTTAGAGTAGTGGTCTCCGGTCATTTGAACCTGGGAGGTGGTGGTTGCCGTGAGCCGAGGTGGCACCACTGCATTCCAGCCTGGACAACAAGAGCAAAATTCCATCTCAAAAAAATTAATTAATTGGCCGGGTACAGTGTGGCTCACACCTGTAATCCCAGCACTTTGGGAGGCCGAGGCAGGCGGATCACAAGGTCAGGAGATCGAGACCATCCTGGCTAACAATCCTGGCCATCTCTACTAAAAATACAAAAAATTAGCCAGGCATGGTGGCACACACCTGTAATCCCAGCTACTTGGGAGGCTGAGGCAGGAGAATTGCTTGAACCCGGGAGGCAGAGGTTGCAGTGAGCCGAGACCGCACCACTGCACTCTAGCCTGGGCGACAGAGTGAGACTCCGTCTCAAAAAAAAAAAAAAAATTAATTTTTAAAAGAGGTAGTGGTCTCCGGTTCCATCCAGGTTGCTGCAAATGCCATTATTTTGTTCATTTTTATGACTGAGTGGTATTCCATGGTATATTTATACCACATTTTCTTTATCTGCTCATTGATTTATGGGCATTTGGGCTGGTTTCATATTTTTGCAACTGAATTGTGCTGTTGTAAACATGCATGTGCAAGTATCTTTTTCATATATCAGATTTTTTAAAGACAGGGTCTTTCTTATTACCCAGGCCGGAATACAGTGGCATTATCTTAACTCAGTAAACTCGAACTCCTGGTTTCAAGCAATCCTCCTGCATCAGCTACCCGAGTAGCTAGGACTTCAGGTGTATGCCACCACACCCACCTAATTTTTTTTTTTTAAGTTTTTATAGAGACCCTGCCTTTTTATAGATCTTGCTATATTGCCCAGACTGGTCTTGAACTCCTGGTCTCAAGCTGTTCTCCCACCTGGGCCTCCCAAAGTGCTGGGATTATAGGCATAAGCCACTGTGCCTGGCCTCCAGTGAGGTTTTTTATATTTCTCTTTTTTGTTCCTTTTTATTATTTTAGAAGAGAATGGGTTGAACTCTCATGTACCCTTCACTCAACTTCAGTAGTTACCAGCTCGTGGTACATGTGTTTTATGTATACTGTTATTTACTACCCTACTCCCACCTCCACCCCCACCCTGCCAGGTTTTTGTTTTTTTTTTTTGGAGGCAGGGTCTCACTCTGTTTCCGCAGGCTGGAGTGCAGTGGCGCCATCTCAGTTCACTGCAACCTCCACCTCCCAGGTTCAAGCAATTCTCCTGCCTCAGCCTCCCGAGTAGCTGGAACTACAGGCACACGCCACCACGCCTGGCTAATTTTTTGTATTTTAGTAGAGACAGGGTTTCACCATGTTGCCCAGGCCAGTCTCGAACTCCTGAGCTCAGACAATCCAACCACCTCAGCCTCCCAAAGTGTTGGGGTTACAGGCATGAGTCACTTTGCCCAGCTCCGCCAGTTATTTTGAAGCCAAGTCCTTCCTAAGGATCACTTTATTTGTAAATTTATGGGTTTTTTGTTTTTTTTTTTTTTTTGAGACTGATTCTTGCTCTGTCACTGAGGCTGGAGTGCAGTAGCACGATCTTGGCTCACTGCAACCTCTGCCTCCTGGGTTCAAGTGATTCTCCTACCTCAGCCTCCCGAGTAGTTGGGATTACAGATGCCTGTCACCACACCTGGCTAATTTTTGTATTTTTTTTTTTAAGTAGAAACAGGGTTTCACCATGTTGACCAGGCTGGTCACGAACTCCTGACCTCAAATGATCCGCCCGTCTCAGCCTCCCAAAGTGCTGGGATTACCAGCATGAACCACCACACCCGGCCATAAATTTAAATACCAAGTATTAGTTGGGCCTCTGGTCTTCCCATGTGGCACTACTCAATATGTGTGGTCTGTGGACAATAAGTACAGAAATAGAGAGTAAGCATGTAGAAACTGTCATAGCAATTTGGCATTGTCACGTCATTTTTAACAAAAATTTTTGTGTTTAACAAAAATTTCTCCCAGTGGATTGTGGAAAAGGAAAAAAAAATAATTAGTTCTTCATCACAGTTTGAAAAGCACTGTTCTAGTTGGTGTAGCAGGAAATGGTATATTGTTCTTGATTAAACTTCCATGTCTCTTAATATAAGGTATACTGTTTACCAGTCTCAAAGATAGCATGAGGTTTGTCTGATTTTTACTATTTTGAGAATCTCTGGTGATCACATGGATTTAAGAAAGATAACAATATTTGTTGAATACTGAATCAGAAGAGGGGTCAACTTTCAAGTTGGTTTCAACTTTCACTTTGTCATTATGTTTTATTGTAAATTAAATAATTTAAATATTTATTTAAAATAATATATTCATTTTCTCTGTCTTCATTGTTCAGAAACAATCTCCCTTTTTGTTTTATTGACTTAATCACCCCTGTTCTATCTTAGGTCTGTGGAAAGACTTTTATCTATAAGCATGGTCTAAAATTACATCAGAGTCTTCATCAATCACAGAAGCAGTTCCAGTGTGAACTGTGTGTTAAGTCATTTGTTACCAAACGGAGTCTTCAAGAACATATGAGTATTCACACAGGTAATGAGAAATTTATATTGACATAGTTACATTTCATAAACTATTAATGATTATGCTTTAATTATACCAGAAATTATATTGATAAACTGATAGTCGTGTGTGCTCAATTTTGTATTGAGACAGTATTTTAAATTAAAAGTGCAGGCTGGGCGCGGTGGCTCACGCCTGTAATCCCCAGCACTTTGGGAGGCCGAGGCAGGCAGATCATGAGGTCAGGAGATTGAGACCATCCTGGCTAACACGGTGAAACCGTTTCTCTACTAAAAAGACAAAACATTAGCCGGGCATGGTGGCAGGCGCCTGTAGTCCTAGCTGCTCGGGAGGCTGAGGCAGGAGAATGGCGTGAACCCGGGAGGCGGAGGTTGCTGTGAGCCAAGATCGCGCCACTGCACTCCAGCCTGGGCGACAGAGCAAGAATCCGTCTCAAAAAAAAAAAAAAGCGTTTTCTCAGATCTGGTTTTACAGCTATGTTTGTGTATGGAATATTCATTGTTTCCCTCAGTGTAGAAAAATGTGTACTAAGTGTTAAAATCATGCATAATTTAAATCCAGTCATAAAGAAATGATCATGCTTTTAAAAAGTTAAATGGTAGGGAGACATAATGTCAACATAGTAGTTGGCTTATATTTTTTTGTCCATACATACTTATTTTTAGATGTTTTAAAGCAAAAATGTGGGAATAGCCAATGAAGGGTAGATACCTGCTGCAACTTGTATTCAACTCTAGTACTATTACAATCCATAGATCATACAACCGTATCACATGACTAGGGTCATACCCTCTGATAGTACTATGGTTGTTGACAGGAAATGGGGATTTTGACATGGGTTATTGTTAATCTTAGATGTCTGCCAAATGTTATAGCTTCCATGTCCCCTTGGTAAAGTAACTTCTGAAATATGACATGAAGAATTCTGTTTATTAAAGGCCAGGCGTGGTGGCTCATGCCTGTAATCCCAGCACTTTGAGAGGCCAAGGCGGGTAGATCACAAGGTCATGACATCGAGACGCTCCTGGCTAACATGGTGAAACCCGTCTCTACTAAAAATACAAAAAATTAGCTGGGTGTGGTGGCACGTGCCTATAGTCCCAGCTACTCGGGAAGCTGAGGCAGGAGAATCACTTGAACCTGGGAGGTGGAGTTTGCGATGAGCCGAGATCACGCCACTGCACTCCATCCAACCTGGGCAACAGAGTGAGATGCCACTCAAAAAAAAAAAATTCTGTTAAAAGAGGACTGATTGCTGGATATGTGACAGGGTTTTAATTTTTTCTAATAGGAGAGTCCAAGTACCTTTGCTCAGTTTGTGGAAAGTCTTTTCATAGGGGCTCTGGACTCAGCAAGCACTTCAAGAAACACCAACCAAAGCCTGAGGTTCGAGGCTATCATTGTACTCAGTAAGTATTCAATATGTGAGGCATTCAGTTAATTTAATTATGTTTTTACTCAGTTTTCAAAAAAATATTTGAAGATAATATTAAACTGTAACTTCAGTTTACTCTTGATTTTAATGTCCTTTTTTTCTTGCTTAAGGGTTACTATTTTTAACATCTTCGAGATGTAAATCATTTACCATACAAATCACTCATTTAAAGTGATTTCAGATTTTCAAATGTACTACCTGGAAGTGGGGACTGTGGGAAAGAAGAGTCTCACTGCCAGCCAGTTTCTTTCCCCCCCTCTTCTTCATTTTCCAGATCCTCCTAAAATAAAATCTCTGTTACAATCGAGGTAAAATTCATATAACGTAAAATTAATCGGGACAGGCACAACAGCTCAAGCCTGTAATCCCAGCAGTTTGGGAGGCCAAGGCGGGCAGATCATCTGAAGTCAGAAGTTCGAGACCAGCCTGGCCAACGTGGCAAAACCCCATCTCTACTAAGAATACCAAAATCAGCCGGTTGTGGTGGTTCACACCTGTAGTCCCAGCTACTTGGGAGGCTGAGGCAGGAGAATCACTTGAACCCTGGAGGTGGGAGGTTGCAGTGAGCCAAGATCACACCACTGCACTCCATCCTGGGTGACAGAGTGAGTCTCCGCCTCAAAAAAAAAAAAAAGTCATTTTAGGGTGGTAGTGTGGGCGCAGTGGCTCATGCCTGTAATTCCAGCACTTTTGGAGACAGGTGGGAGGATCGCTTAAGGCCAGGAGTTCAAAACTAGTCTGGGCAGGCAGCATAGCAAGACCCTGTCTCTTAGGAAACAAAAGCCAGGAAGCTCTCTCTTTTGCTTTTCTTTTAACTTTTAGGTTCAGGGGTACATCAGAAAGCTCTCTTACAGGGATTCGACAATTTTTTTTCTTTGTTAAACATTTGCCTAGTCACTATAAGCTTTTCATTAGTTTTTAGAGTTCCTGGTAAGGTTGATTCTAACAGTTTGCCAGTTTGTCCTCTACTTTCGTGGAGAGATGGGCTTTTGGAGCTTCCTACTTGATGTATTTGTTGATGTTACTCTAATTAGTCTTATTTTGAAACAAAGATAGTTTGTTATCAATACATTTTTAGTTATTAATGAAAGTACACCCAACCCAAACAGGCTTGAATTAAATATAAAGTCTAGGAGTCTGGGTGGTTTAATGTAAACTGGATTCAAATTCATTAGCACTTGTTTTCTCTGAGGCACCATATGGACAAGACAATGGCAGTGGTTTCAGTCTCATATCCTCTCAAATTCCAAATTGTCAAACTTCTTTTCTGGTAGTTCCATCAAAGCCCTGAGAGTTACTCCATTTACATCAAGTTAAGTCAGTCATCCCTGAGTCAATCACTATGGCCAAGGGAATGCTTTGTTGTGATTAATTTAGGCCCAAGTCATTTGCTCTATCCCTAGGGTCAAAGGTAAAGTCTACCCTCAACACATGGACTAAGAATGAGAGGGTTGAAATAGGGATCTCAAAGTGGGGTAATTTAGGAGAGAGAATAGTAAATTTCCTCTGTAATAACCTTTGGGAACTATGCACGATTCTTTCTAAAACATTTCTAGTAGTCTTAAGATGAAAAGAACCTAAAACCCTGTAGCCTTTATGTAAGATTAGAAAATTAGGGAATTCTTTTAAGTTGAGATCATCTTTTGGAGTTCTAAAAAACTAAAAATAGTTACTGAGTTCTTGGAAACTTGTTTTAAAGGAATAAGATTATCCAATTGGGTAACTGAACTTTATTGCAGATGTGAAAAAAGTTTCTTTGAAGCTAGAGATCTTCGCCAGCACATGAACAAACATCTTGGTGTGAAGCCATTCCAGTGCCAATTTTGTGATAAGTGCTATAGTTGGAAGAAAGATTGGTATTCCCATGTGAAGTCTCATTCTGTCACTGAGCCTTATAGGTGAGTAAATTTGAGAAGGAGCTGAACTTAATTGATAACGTGTGTACTCTGATTGTTATGGCTGCTACTTCTTTGGACAAAATAATTGGGTCTTTTCCCCTATTTTAGGTGTAATATATGTGGCAAAGAATTTTATGAAAAAGCTTTGTTCAGAAGGCATGTAAAGAAAGCTACCCATGGGAAGAAAGGAAGAGCAAAGCAAAACCTGGAACGGGTGTGTGAAAAATGTGGAAGAAAATTCACTCAGCTAAGAGAGTATAGGAGACACATGAACAACCATGAAGGTAACTATACTTTATATTATATGTATCCTTATAGAATAAAAGCCAGTCCAGTAGTGATTCTCCCTTTACCAGCTCTTTCACCTTCCTTGGTAAAAGGTTAATTTCATATCTTTATTCAAATGACAGAGGTGATCCTGAACCTGAGTACCTAATTATTGTGTATATAAATAGATTCCTTTTTTAGTGAACTTAATTCTGTATCCACATTGTTATGCTGAACTAAACTATTTGAAGCCTCTGCTTTGAAGGAATGAAGGAATAAATGAGTTTATGCACAGAAACTAAAATTTGTCTCAATCACATCTGTCCGCAGGAAGATCTTTAGAGAGATTTATAGTTCAGAATCTTGTTTATTCTTTTTTTTTTTGAGACAAAGTCTTGCTCTGTCACCCAGGCTGGAGTGCAGTGACGCGATCCTGGCTCACTGCAACCTCTGCCTCCCAGGTTCAAGTGATTGTCATGCCTCAGCCTCCTAAGTAGCTGGGACTACAGGCACCCGCCACCACGCTGGGCTAATTTTTGTATTTTTAGTAGAGATGGGGTTTCACCATGTTGGTCAGGCTGGTCTCAAACTGCTCAGGTGATCCACCTGCCTTGGCCTCCCAAAGTGCTGGGATTACAGGTGTGAGCCACCGTGCCCGGCAAAGAATCTTCTTTATTCTAAGGAAAGTCCTAAATAAAAGATTGCCACAGTCCAGATAGAAAGGCTTATGAGCTACTGTACTTTTTAATAAAAGGAAGTTTGGTAGGCAGTTTAAGTATATTTTGGTGCTTGCACCTCACTACACATGCTTTTTTTTTTTTTTTTTTAGGAGTTAAGCCATTTGAGTGCTTAACATGTGGAGTAGCTTGGGCTGATGCCCGATCTCTAAAACGCCATGTCAGAACACATACTGGTGAACGGCCCTATGTCTGTCCTGTATGTAGCGAAGCCTACATAGATGCTCGAACACTCCGTAAACATATGACTAAATTCCACAGAGACTATGTGCCTTGCAAAATTATGCTGGAAAAAGACACCCTTCAGTTTCATAACCAAGGAACTCAAGTGGCACATGCTGTTAGCATCTTAACAGCAGGCATGCAGGAACAAGAAAGCAGTGGTCCTCAAGAACTTGAGACTGTGGTAGTGACAGGAGAAACTATGGAAGCTCTGGAAGCTGTTGCAGCTACTGAAGAGTATCCATCGGTATCTACACTTTCTGACCAAAGTATTATGCAAGTGGTTAATTATGTATTAGCACAACAGCAAGGACAGAAGCTATCTGAAGTTGCAGAAGCTATTCAAACTGTTAAAGTAGAGGTAGCACATATTTCAGGAGGAGAATGAGTATGTTAATGAAGATAAAAAGAAGTGACATCTCTTGTACACTGAACTCACAGAACATTTGTTTACAATTCTGTGTGACTGTCTGCTTGGAGTTTACATATCAAAGTTCTGGGCTGTTTGGTAACGTAACGTTTCCAAACATTTTGTCTGGCCAATGGGTTCTATAGAAAAGTCCGTTTAGTGTAGAGAAATTGAAAACAGATCTATTAGGTTGGTGCAATTGCTTTTGCACCAACCTAATATTTGATGGCAGTGGTTTATCATGATATACCTTTTATGAATTAATGTTTATAAATGACTGTACTGAATTTAAAACCGTACAGTTTCATTTGCATTTTGACATTACTTTATTATACATTTTGCATTTAAAAGGCTGCACCAGTTGGCTTTTCTTCTGTTTTATTCTCAAAATATAGAGATTCTGTGATTTATTTGCCCTGTTTATGGATTAAAAAGAAAATTCTAATATAAAGCATTTCAATAGGATGCATAGGTATATTACGTTTTTTAAATGCTTTAGATCTGTGATTCTTGACTTACTATTTATTTTATCCCCTTTTAAGTCAGGGATGCTTTATTCTATTTTAAAGCACTTATGAGTTACATGTTGTAATCAAGTTTGCACAATATATTTATCTATATGAGGAACCCATAAATGAATAGCTAATTTTTAAAATGCCATTAAAATGCATGAAATGCTTATTAAAACCTTACTATACTATTTCTTCAAGGCAAGTAAATTGACCATGAGAAAAGAACACAGTTATTAAACACTGTTGACAGGAAAATTCTCCTTGATAACATAGGACAATTAATGGAAAAAAAAATTCTCATTATTTGCAAAGAATGAACAAGTTAATGAACAAACAAACTAGATTTGGTATGTTTTCAGCTTTTGTATCATGTTTAATTGTTTAATTTGGTTGAAAAACTGCAGTTGAGAAATCAGATAGCAATATAGACATTCACAGCAGCTCTGTGGATACCATGTAATTGTCAGGTAATTTCAGAATGTTGAAAATTATTCAGTGCAGCCCTCATAGTATCATACTTGAAGAAATTGATTACAGTTCCACTAAATTGTTGAAGATAAATTATTTTTAAAGGTTATGAAAACTAAGTTATATTAATTCATATGTTTGATTTTTAAATCCCACCTCCTCAAGCTATCCAATTTTCTGACTTTGAAAATAACCATGAGAGATGCCACATTTCTCTCTGGGAAACTACCACTCAAAGAATAATTGTTAAAAATTAAGCTTTTAGGTATTAGAAGCTGTTATAAAGTATAAAATTAAGATATAAGCAGATCACATGTAAATCATTCCTAAAGCACAAGAAAAGAATGTGCCTTGATGTACATATATTACTAAGTTGCCTCTCCCAGTTTACTTTAAAAATGGCTTTAAGGATAAAGAATAAATGTGATAGCTGTGCATGCATTATATATTTGCATTTGCAAATTTCCCATTGTTTTAACAGCTGTGTGGCTGACTTTCAATTTTAAGACGTGAATTGACATACAGCCCATAACTTTATAATGGCTGCTCATTTATCTTATCTTTCAGTTAGTGGAAAAACATTTCAACCTGACTAAAATTTGGAATTGTGTCTTTTATGTTCCATCCTCTGTTGTTACTAGATTTAGTTTAAAAATTGTGTATGACCATTAATGTATGTCATAAACATGTAAATAAAAGATGTTGAATCTTGTTGAAAAGCATGAACTTTGGAGTTGAGCTTGTTACTATTTTCAGTTCATAAATCAGTTGTTACTTGATGTGTTATTAAGTTAATTTATTTTTAAAGGGAAAGGAAATAAAACACTAAAAAATAACGATTGGAGGAACACAATATTAAAACTTCTTACTCTTACATATAATTGATATGGACAAGAGGCAAGGAAATAATGGGTAGAAGAGGGCAGTTCCCCAGCAAAAGCCTGGAAACCCATGGCCCTAAATGGGAACAGGCATTCCTGTTTTCATGCCCAAATGTTGCCTTTTGGCCCACCACGCCCTCCTATCCTGTATCCATATAAACCCTAAACCCCAGGCTCCATGAGCAGAAGAGTGTTGCGGCAGAGGAGAGAAGAGAGGAGCATCTAAACGTCCAGAGGAGTTCAGCTGGGGACGGTTGGAGAGGAGATCATCTTCCCACTCCATCCCCTTTCCAGCTCCCCATCCATCCTGCTGAGAGCCACCTTTATCCAGCAATAAAATCCCCTGCATTTACCATCCTTCAATTTGTCCATGTGACCTGATTCTTCCTGGACGCTGGACAAGAACGCAGGTACCAAGAGGGCACTGAGCTAGTTAACACTTAAGCTATCTGTAGACAGCAGAGCTAAAGGAGCCCTGTAACATTCCCACTGGGGCTTTGGGAGTTGCAGACACCCCCCACCAGATGCTACTGTGGGGCCAGAGCCCAAAAGCACTCAATCCAGCTCCTGCACTTGCCCATCTGCATGCTTCCCCTCCTGTAAGGGGTTTGGGTGAACAAATGAGCCACACCCCTGTCTCATGTCCTGTGAGGATATCTGGGAACTTCCTTTTCATAATCTTGTCACAGGATTATATATTGTGCCATCAACCATCAGCTTTGAATAATGTAAATTTGTAAATTATATAAATTCCATGTAGAAACAAATGTTAAGAAGGTTCCAAAAATTCAGTGCAGTTTTAATGTTACCAAGAGGGCATTGTTAATTTATAACAATTCCTTTTTAGAAACATAAAGCATATTGCTGTCATGAGATGACTTCCAAAAACTATGGGTGTCTCCTGATCAAATATGGACGCCTTAAGCACTTTTGGCTACTTGTTACTGCTACTGCTACTAAGCAATTTGAATCACTGTTGTTATTCCCTGAAATGCATGTATTGTCAATCGAAGTGAATTAAGTAATGCTCTAACAGGTTTTAATATGTTCATTTTACTAAAAGCCAATGGGGGTTTGCATAATTGCCCAAGTTACTTAAACTGTTGGATTTAGAGCTAATCCAAACCTTCAGGCTTTTTTTCTGCCCCCTGTTGTTGTTTTTATAGCATTGGTATAAACTAGTGTGGGCATGTTTTTTTTTTGTTTTTTGTTTGAGACAGGGTCTCTGTTGCCCAGGCCAGAGTGCAGTGGTGCAAACACAGCTCTCTACAGCCTTGACCTCCTGGGCTCAAGCAGTGCTGCCTCAGCCTCCCAGGTAGTGGGGACCACAGGTGTGCACCACCATGCCCAGCTAGATAATTTCTTTATTTTTTGTAGAGATGGGGTCTCGCCATGTTGCCCAGGCTGGTCTCAAACTCCTAGGCTCAACCGATCCTCCCACCTAAGCCTTCCAGAGTGCTGGGATTAACAGGTGTGAGCCACTGCACTGGGCCAGTGATGCTTTTTGGGCCGATGATGCTTTCTGTTCCTGATTCTTTCTTTCAAATCTAATCTTTTTGGAGGTTCCTAACAGGGGTTTTACATCCAATGCTTGGCACATATGCAGTAAAAGTTAGCCTTTGCTTCCCCCAATCCTATAAATTTATCAGAACTAGTTGTTGAAATGTGTGGAGCAAAGATACATAATTTCTTTAATCACTTAAAATACACCATACTTATTTTGTAGTTTATTATTTGAAGATTTCATTTTGTTTTGGTTTTTTTTGGCTAGTCAAGTGAAGCAGTGGGAATGGAGAAGGAACAAAGAAATCTGTAACTAGTTGTGACCAATGAGTTATAAATACCACTGCAATCTTACCAGCCATCTGAAGTTTTGAAGTTTAATACTACAGTTATTAGATTTTTTTGTGGGTGGGTGTTGGACAGGCTCTCCTGTCGCCCAGGCTGGAGTGCAGTGGCACTATCATTGTTCACTGCAGCCTTGACTTCCTGGGCTCAGGTGATCCTCCCACCTCAGCCCCCAGAGTAGCTGGGACTACAGGTGTATGCCACCACATCCAGCTAATTTTTTGTATTTCTAGTAGAGATGGGATTTCACCATGTTATGGAGGCTAGTCTGGAACTCCTTGCTCAAGTGATCCACCCACCTCAGCCTCCCAAAGTGTTGGGATTACAGGTGTGAACTGCTGTGCCCAGCCCTTCAAGGAGTTTTATATTTTAGAGTATGAGTTCAACTCCTATAGGGCCTGCTATGTTTGAAATGTTTGTATCTTACAGAATTCATGTTGAAACTAAATCCCTAATGCAGCAGTATTGAGCTGTGGCTTTGGGAGGTGATTGAGTCATGAGGGCCTTGCCCTCATGAATATATTAGTGCCTTGTAAAAGGGCTGGAAGCTACTAGCTTTTGCCTTATGGCCTTGTGCCATGTGAGAACACAGCAACAAGGCTCCATTTTGGAAGCAGAGAGCAGCCCTTGTCAAACACTGAGCCTAGCGGAGCCTTGATCTTGAACTTCCCAGCCTCCAGAACTGTGACAAAATAAACTTGTTATTTATAAATTATGCAGTTATGGTATTTTGTTATAGCAGCCCAAATGGACTACTGACCTTATTTTAGGGAATCTTATGCCACCTATCTAGGTTGAAGATAGTTCCTTCCAGATCAATTTGTTTTCTTCTGCTAGGTTTCTGCAGGAGTTATCAGTGGCTAGGTACTATATTTCCATTAACTTCTCAGCCTATTGTTTCCCAGGTGAATAATTGTAAATTTGAACTCTAAACCAGTATTAGAACAAGCCTATTTTGTGCAAATCTTCAGGGTGCCATGGCTCACGCCTGTAATCCCAGCATGATGGGAGGCTGAGGTGGCCGGATCACCTGAAGTCAGGAGTTCGAGATCAGCCTGACCAACATGAAGAAACCCTGTCTCTACTAAAATACAAAATTAGCCAGGCATGGTGGTGCATGCCTATAATCTCAGCTACTCAGGAGGCTGAGGCAGGGAAATGGCTTGAACTTGGGAGGCGGAGGTTGCAGTGAGACGAGATTATGCCATTGCACTCCAGCCTGGGCAACAAGGGCGAAACTCCATCTCAAAAAAAAAAAAAAAAAATCTTCAGGGGACGCTTTTGGCCCACCTGAAGCTTGGCATGAGACAATATCCTTTTCTCTCTGGGGTGGTGAATGGATTTTTTTTCTGGTTTTGTGTTTTTGCTGAAAGTAAAGCTCTTCATTGGTCCCAGCTTTGTGTAGAGCTGTCGGTTTCTATTTTTGTGTACCCAAATCCTGATCTCTTGTCACTGTTTGGCTGTCCAAAGCCAATCCCTTTGAGACTGGCAATCTCATCTACTAGAGGCTACTGCAGTTTCAACTCAGTTTCATATTTGGAGCCCTAGGACATTCCCTTTCTTACAAAGTAAGTACTTTGACTTTCAAAGGATGTTATTAAGCAGAAATTTTCAGGTGTCTTAGTCTGCCAAATAAAACCATGTCGTGTTGTTTTTAAAAATATTTTTACTGTCTAGTTACTCTCTTTTTTCTTGGTGTGTCGTATTTTAGCAGTCTTCCTTTGCATTGAACGTATTTTGGCAGTTTTTTTTTTTACCCTCTGTACCTTTGTCTGTCAATTCTCTCCATCTTCTCCCTTCCTGATAACCTATGAGAGTCCCTTGACCTGATTTTTAACTGTTTTTATTCAATATCTATTGAATTCTTTATTTCAAAAATTATATTTTTATGCTAGAATTTCCACGTTTCTTCATAGATGCTTGTTTCTGCTTCCCATTTCCATTCAGCTTACTTTGCTGATTTTATTCATATGTTCATTTAAAATTCTTACTGAGCCGGGTGCAGTGGCTCACGCCCGTAATCCCAGCACTTTGGGACCCTGAGATGGGCGGATCACTTGAGGTCAGGAGTTCAAGACCAGTCTGGCCAACATGGCAAAACCCCGTCTCTACTAAAAATACAAAAAAATAGCCAAGGGTGATGGTGGGTGCCCATAATCCCAGCTACTAGGGAGGCTGAGGCAGGAAAATTGCTTGAACCTAGAAAGCAGAGGTTGCAGTGAGCTGAGATTGTGCCACTGCACTGTAGGCTGGGCGACAGAGCAAGTCTCTGCTTCAAAAAAAAAAAAAAAAATTGGCTGGGCATGGTAGCACATGCCTATAATCCCAGCTACTCAGGCGGCTGAGGCAGGAGAATCGCTTGAACCCGGGAGGTGGAGGTTGCAGTGAGCCGAGATCACGCCACTGCACTGTAGCCTGGGCAACAGAGGGAGAGTCCGTTTCAAAAAAAAAAAAATTGTGTCTGTTCTATGTGCTGTGCTATAAAATTATTACTTTGAATATATCACAAGTTATACTAGCATTTTACTGGAAAGTAGTCCCAATCCAGACCCCAAGAGAGAGGTTCCTTTGACCTCGCGCAAGATTTTGAATTCAGAGTGAGTCCATAGAGTATAGTGAAAGCAAGTTTATTAAGAAAATAAAGGAATAAGGCTGGGCGCGGTGGCTCACGCCTGTAACCCCCAGCGCTTTGGGAGGCCGAGGCAGGCGAATCATGAGGTCAGGGGTTCCAGACCAGCCTGGCCAACACGGCGAAACCCCATCTCTACTAAAAATACAAAAATTAGCTGGGCATGGTGGCACGTGCCTGTAATCCCAGCTACTTGGGAGGCTGAGGCAGGAGAATCACTTGAACCTGGGAGGCGGAGGTTGCAGTGAGTCGAGACCTTGCCACAGCACTCCAGCCTGAGCAACAGAGCAAGACTCCGTCTCAAAAAAGAAGCAAGAAAATAAAGGAATAAAAGAATGGCTATGCCATAGGCAGAGCAGTGGTATGGGCTGCTCCACCGAGTATACTTCTAGCTATTTTTTGATTATATGCTAAACAAGGGGTAGATTATTCATGGGTTTTTCAGGAAAGAGGTGGGCAATTCCTGGAACAGAGTTCCTCCACTTTTTAGACCACATAGGGTAACTTCCTGACATTGCCATGGCACCAGTGGGAGTGTCTTTTAGCATAACACATTATAATTAGCATATAATGAGCAGTGAGGATGATCAGAGGTCACTTTCATCGCCGTCTTGGTTTTGGTGTGTTTTAGCAGGCTTCTTCACCACATCCTGTTTTATCAGCAAAGTTTTTATGACCTGTATCTTGTGCCAACCTTCTATCTCATCCTGTGACTAAGAATGCTTAATCTCCTGGGCATGCAGCCCAGTAGGTCTCAGCCTTATTTTACCCAGCCCCTATTCAAGATGGAGTCACTCTGGTTCTAACAGCTCTGACATCATTGATGGGCATTTGGGTTATTTCTAGCTTTGGGCTGTCATGAAGAATGCTGCAAACAACATTTTTACCCTTGTCATGTCTCTTGGTATATATGTGCATGCATTTCTATTGGGTACATAACTAAAAGTGGGATTTCTGAGTCATTTGGATTTGTGACTGTGAAATTGCTTTGGCAAAGATTATATCAGTGAGAAAATTATGGTAGTCTGGGAGATCTGATTTAGCCAACTTCCCTCTTGTCTTTAGCCTTCAAGCTGTCCTAATTATTCCTGGGTTTAAGATAGTTTAAATGATAATCACCCTTTCCCTAAACAACTGCCTTTGTAAGGCTAATGAGAGACCACCAGGTTAGGAGGATGGATGAGCCTGAATTCTGCTAAGGTGTGGACAAAAGCAAATGCCAGCATTATTCCAGAGGTCACAAGATACGTGACTTCCTCAGTTACTCCTGAAGATAACATCACTACGTAGAACCTGAGATTGGCCTTTCGAGATATCTTTTCAGGTTTTTTGCATGTCTTACCCAAGTGGCTTCACCTGGACCCACCAACGATCCTGTGGCCCCAGCCAGAAGTGACTCAGGGCAAGAGGACAACTTCAACTCCCTGTGATTTCATCTCTGAACTAACAAATCAGTAGCAAGCACCCATAGCTTAGAAACCTCTACCCCTTTCCCCGAACTACCTTTGAAAAATCTCTAATTTATGAGACTTCAAGGAGATTGATTGAAGTAGTAACTCAGTCTCCCAGGTGGTGGCATGACTGGCCTTGTATCAGTTAAACTCTTTACTACAAGGCAATGAATTTATTTTGTTTTTGCAGTGCACAGAAAGAACCAGTCAGATGGTTACAAATGTTCAACTTTTGTAAGATAATATGTTCAGGCTGGGTGTGGTGGCGCCTGTTATCCCAGCACTTTGGGAGGCCGAGGCAGGCAGATCACCGGAGGTCAGGAGTTCAAGACTAGCCTGGCCAACATAGTGAAACCTTGTCTCTACTAAAAATACAAAAATTAGCCGTGCCTGTAATCTCAGCTACTTGGGAGGCTGAGGTGGGAGAATTGCTTGAACCCGGAAGGCAGAGGTTGCCATGAGCTGAGATCATGCCACTGCACTCCAGCCTGGGTGACAGACCAAGACTCTGTCTCAAAAAAAAAAAAAAATCTGAGACTAGGTAGTTTATTGTAAAAAGATGTTTATTTGGCTCACAATTCCAAAGGCTGTACAGAAAGCATGGCTGGGGAGACCTCAGCAAACTTACAATCATGGTGGATGTCAAAGAAGAAGTAGTCACATCTTACATGGCCGGAGCAGGAGGAAGAGAGTGGGGGGAGGTGCCACACACTTTTAGACAACCGGATCTTGTGAGACTCTGTCAGGAGAATAGTACCAAAGGAGGAAATCCACCCCCATACTCCAATCAAGTCCCACCAGGCCCCACCTTCAACACTGGGGAAAACAATTTGACATGAGATTTGGGTGGAGACACAGACCCAAACCATATCGGCCATTCAGATATCCTTTTTGTGAAGTAATTATTTCTTAATATCATATCCGATTTCCAGTGGGATTTTGTATCTTTTTCTCTTTCTGAATGCAAACTCTTTATCATTTATGCTTTGCAAATTCCACCTCCCACTTCAGAGCTTGACTTTTCATTCTCTTAATGGTATCTTTTTGTGAATGTCCTTAACTTTAATGTCACCCAATTTATAAATCTGTCTTTTTAGAGACTTTCCCTGTCAGAAGATCATCACATTTCCTCATTTTAAAAAAATTTTATGGGCCGGGTGCAGTGGCTCACACCTGTAATCCCAGCACTTTGGGAGGCCAAGGTGGGTGAATGCCAAGGTTGGGAGTTTGAGACCAGCCTGGCCAACATAGTGAAATCCCATCTGTACCAAAAATACAAAAATTAGCCATACATGGTGGTGGTGTAACCAAGTGAGTTACAGAGAAACGCCACACTCTGAGACGAATTCAGGAGTCCTTTATTAGCCGTCGACTGAGAGACGGCTAGTGCTCAAAGTTCTCTCAGTCCCAAAGGGGCTACATTTTCTTTTATACTTTGGTTTAGAAAGGGGAGGGGGTGTCTAGTGAGAACAATCTTACAGAAGTAAAGTAGGCAAGAAGTTAAAAGGATAAATGGTTACAGGAAAGTAAACAGTTCCAGGTGCAGGGGCTTTTAGACTATCACAAGGTGATAGACGCGGGGCTTTGGGCGTTATCAACCGGACACAAACGCCGGGGCTCTGGGTGCTGTTAACCAGGCAAATTCCTGGGAACTGCGGATATAGCTCGCCACAGTATCTTATCAGTTAATTGCATTCTTGGATGTGCTGGGAGTCAGCTTGCACAAGTTAAGTCCTTGAGGAAGTGGGTGGGTAAGGGGCTGCAAGTGAAGGAGCCAAGATGGAGTCTGTCTGGCTCTCTCAGCTAAGGGAGAGTCAATTCAGGTTAAAACAAAGTAGGGTGTCATATTCCCCACTTGTGTTTTTGGGGAATCAAATCATTGATTCCTCAGTTATAACAAGGGGGTTATATTGGGTTTTAAGACACATAAGCTTGACAGAAGCTATGCGTTGCTTTATAAAGTTAAGAAACCAATTTAATATACAAGGCCCGAAGACTAAGCCTAACAATAGGAGGAGAAGGGGTCCAGCTAACCCAGTGATTAGAGTAGTTAGCCATGGATTCCAGTTAAACATGCTTTGGTACCGGGGGTGTTATTTTCCCATTGCTGTTGGCGTCTATCTAGATTCTCTCAAACTTTTTGGAGAGTATCTTTTATGACCCCAGACTGATCGGCACAGAAGCAACAACTCTCTCCCCCAGAGTGGTGCGTAACCCTCCTTGAGAGAGAAATAGTGATCTAAGCCTCGGCGGTTTTGAAGAGCTACTTCAGCTAGAGACTCTACTTGGGTATGTAGTATATTTATGGCTGTTGGAGATTGCTTAAATCAGCATCTACTTGTTGAGATAGGGACATTAGCCCAGTTTCTCCCTGAACCAGGGCAGCCGTGCCAATGGCTGCTGATCCGGCTATGCTAAGACTGGCCGGAAGGGGTACGAGGAGTGGGGCTGCTCGGCGAAACCTGGAATGTAATTCAGGGGGAGCAATGAGAAGTTGTGCTTCTGGCCCGCTATACACATAGACCTGGGGGAGCACATGAACCAAAACACACAGGAGAGGTCCTGGTTCAGTCCCATTGATGCAGCGTGTGAGACCTGAAGTGCAGGCTAACCAGGTATTGTTAGGTGCCTAGTAGGAGACTGAGGCACTTAAAGAAGTAAGTAGAGACTGATTACAGGTAGCCTGAAAGGGAGAAGAGACAAGTTATATCCGGCGCTAATTAAACAAGAAGCATTTCCCGACATGTCTCCTAATGTGAGGGCAGGGGGCGTGTACAACAAGAAAGAGAGCCAATTTTAAATGCGGCTTCTACTCCTAATCCAGCATAATATGGGGGTTTGGCCTTTAGGCACAACCAACAATCTTGGGCTAGTCTAGGCTGGATGAGATTGAGAAGGTGATATAACCCGCCCAGAATGGACATCAGGCTGGGTTGGAGGTACTGTCGTTGCAGCTGAGGTTTGGGAACCAGGAATGGCGGCAGGACAGTTAAATCAACCCTGTCTGGATGTTTTTGGAATATAGGGTCACCTAAATCAGTTACAGGCCCGATTGGCTTCGGAGGGCTCCATGAGACCAGGATTTTCTTCTGGATAGTGAACATAGTTCCGACATCAAATCCTGGGATATAAAGCCTTAATCCCCATGACATGCTGTAATACCATTGAGCTAAATTAGGGTTATGGACAGTTACAGTAAGGGGATTACAATTTCTCTTAGTACACAGTTTAGGTCAGGAAGCACAAGCTATGGAAAGGGTAGAAGATTGGCTTGATCCCCCAGAGTAGGTGGCCAAAGTTACACATGTCCAGTCAGGGCAGAAAAACTGGTAAGAATCTTGACAACTAGAGTCAGGGTGATTTCCAGGACAGAGGTAAAAGTCAACATTCTGGAGTCCTTTTTCTGTACCTTTGGAGCTTCCACATCCAGTCTGGCTTCCAGAGTTTCCAAATCCTGCAGCAAGGTTGACGCTCCCCACTCCCATGACCGGCAGATTGCGTTGTTCTTCATGGGTACGGGCAGGCTCTGGGAACAAAGCACATAAATCAACTGCAAAAGAGACTTCCTTGGAAGTTCCTGCCTTCCAAGTAGTGTTTGTAGACACACGTCCCGTCGTGAAAGAAGTGAGGAGGAAAGAGTAGGATGGAGCAGAGGACATAATAGGCGGAAACAAACAATAGAGGTAAATAAAAAGAATTAATCTGATGGCTTCACTTGACTTAGGCGCAGTTTTAAGGGACCTGGCCCAGGCTTGGGGAGCTATGTTTCTTGTTGGACTCTGTTAGACTTTTTGATGCGAGAGTGATGAATCCAAGCCGGAATGCCATCCACTTTCAGAGCCGTCGGCGTGCTGAGGATGACGGTATGAGGTCGTTTCCAGGCAAGAGTGAGTCCTTCTTTCTGGAACTTTTTAACATACACCAGGTCACCTGGCTGGAAAGAGTGGCAGGGCCCCATCTGGTCAGGAACTGGATTGGGATGAGCTCCCCAGACAAGCGGCTGGATGATGTCTTGTACCTGTTGGAGAGACTGCACGTACTGTAACAAATTAGCTTGTGAGATTTTTGCTAAATGGGTATCCCTTAGCTTAAGCAAGATAGGCGGAGCCCTTCCATACATGATTTCAAAAGGTGAAAACCCAGCCCCATAAGGAGTGCATCTTAATCTAAGAAGGGCTAGAGGAAGGAGCTTTACCCAGTTTTCACCAGTTTCTAGGATTAATTTTGTAAGAGTACTTTTTAGGGTGCGGTTCATGCATTCTACCTCCCCAGAGCTCTGGGGTTGATAGACACAATGGAGCTTCCATTGAATGTTTAGTGCCTTACTGACCGAGCTATGGACAAGGTGAAGGCCAGTCCGTTATTAGACCCTATGGCAGCAGGCAGCCCATGCCGACGGATGATCTCATTGAGTAAAAGCCTAACTACCGTGGTGGCAGTCTCGTTTCTGGTGGCAAATGCCTCAGTCCATCCGGAAAAGGTGTCTACCAGTATCAGGAGGTATTTATACCCTGCCTGGTGCAGTTTTATCTCTGTAAAGTCAATTTCCCACCTTTCTCCTGGTAGTCTCCCCAGAGGCAGTGGCCTGGTCTGGGTTTAGGACGCTGCTTGGCGTTTACCTGAGCACAAGCTGTACACCGAAGAGCTGCTTGGTTAGCTAAGTCCTGAAGGTGGGGGATCTTGAAACGGCTCCTCAGAAGCTGGGCCCATTTTACTCCTCCCAAATGGGTGGTAGAATGCAGACGACTGATTAAAGTTTTCCCGAGGGCTCGGGGCATGACGATTCTGGAATGAGGAATAATCCACCAACCTTCCTGATTTTTACTGGCCTGAAAATCCAAAGCCTGTCTTTCTTCTTCTGTGGAGTATTCTGGGTGAGCTGGTGAGTCAGGTTGCAGAAAGGACACTGCAGGCAGTAGGGTCAGAGGTGCGACTGGGAGCCGGGCTGCCTCCTGAGCTGCAGAGTCTGCTCTTTGGTTACCACGAGCTATGGCTGTGTCCTCTCTTTGAGGTTCTTTGCAGTGAATTACAGCCACCTGCTGAGGGAGCCAAATGGCTTCAAGCAGGGCTAAAATTTCTTCTTTATTCTTGATAATCTTTCCTGCTGAGGTGAGTAGCCCACGCTCTTGGTAGATGGCTCCGTCCACATGCACAGTAGCAAAAGCATACCTGCTGTCAGTGTAAATGTTAATACGTTTGTCCTTACCCCATCAGAGGGCCTGAGTGAGGGCAACCAACTTAGCCCTCTGTGCCAAGGTACCTGCTGGTAGTGTCTGGGCCCACAGTATATCTGTCTCCGTAGTGATGGCCACACCAGCCTTTTGAACTCCCTGCTCAAGGTAGCTGCTACCGTCTGTAAACATGGTGGTGTCCACCTCCTTTAAAGGCACATCTTGGAGATCAGGTCGGCCAGTTTCTGTAGTCTCTAACAGTTCCTGGCAGTCATGGACAGGTGTGGTGAAGTCTGGATCTGGGAGCAAAGTAGCTGGATTTAAACACATTGTGGGAGAGAAAGTTAAACGAGGCTGATCTAACAGTAAATTCTGATACTGCAAAATGCGAGCATTTGACATCCATTTGCCAGAAGCACTTCGCAGCAAAGTCTCTACGGCATGAGGCGCCATAAGGGTTAAATTTTGACCTAGAGTCAGTTTATCAGCCTCCTGAACCAGGCTTGCTGTGGCTGCTACAGCTCCCAGACAACTTGGCCACCCGGAGGCAACAGGATCCAGTCTTTTAGATAAACAGGCCACTGGGCGTCGACATGGCCGCAAAGTTTGAGTGAGTACCCCTTTAGCGACTCCTTGGCTTTCATGAAAAAAAGGTGGAATGGTTTTGAGATATTTGGGAGGGCTAGGGCAGAGGCCTCAGTTAATGCTTTCTTTAGGTTTTGAAAAGACTGTTCTTCAGTGTTAGTCCAAACTAGTGGGCCATTCTGTCCAGTAGCGGTGTACAGGGGCTTGGCAATTTCCGCGAACCCCGATATCCATAGGTGACAGTATCCCACAGCCCCCAGGAATTCATGTACCTGTCTCTTGGTGGTGGGAGTGGGGATTTGCAGGATGGCTTCCTTCCGAGCACTGGTGAGTGCCCTTTTTCCTTTATCTCATACCCCAGGTAGGACACTCTGGGAAGACAAAGTTGGGCCTTCTTGGCTGAGACCCGATACCCAAGCTCCTAAAGGAGGTAAAGTAGGTCCTTAATATGTTGCAGGCAGCTGTCAGTAGTTTCAGTAGCCAATAAAAGGTCATCCACATACTGAAGAAGAGTTACAGTTAAGGGGACTGGCTCAGAATGGTAGAAGATCTTGTTGGAGGGCTTCCCCAAAAAGGGTGGCGGAATTTTTAAAACCTTGAGGTAACCGGGTCCAGGTCAATTGGGTGGTGTCTCCTGAGCCAGGATCTGTCCATTCAAAAGCAAAGATAGGTTGGCTTTTGGGGGTCAGAGGAATAGCAAAGAAAGCATCCTTCAAGTCAAGGACAGTGTATACTGTATGTTCTGGCGGGAGCAGGCTGAGTAAAGTTTAAGGGTTAGGGACAGTTGGATGGACAGTAACTGTCCACTTGTTAACTTCCCTCAAGTCCTGTACCGGCCGGTATTCATTTGTTCCGGGTTTCTGGACCAGCAAAAATGGAGTATTCCAGGTGGACTGACACGGTGTGAGTATGCCAGCTTGTAACAGTCACTGAATATGGGGATTGATCCCCTCTGTAGCCCGCTGACTCATAGGATACTGTTTCACCTGGACTGGCAGGGCAGTGGCCAGAAGTTCCACAACTACCGGCGGATGATGCTTTGCTAGTCCCAGGGGGTTTGACTCGGCCCAGACTCGAGGAAAGAGAGTCTGTAGATCCAATAGGAGAGAATTAGTTTTATTCTCCAGTGGTTGTGATGGTGAAACCAAAAGATATTCCTCTGACAGAGGGGTAGTTAGCAGGAGTTGGGCAGTAGGGGGCGTTGTGTCCCCTAACGGGAGGTGAGCCTGCTGGGCTGAGAAAGAGATAGAAGCCTATAACGGAGCAGGTCTCGTCTGCAAAGGGGAAAGGGGCACTCTGGGACTACAAGAAATGAGTGGGTTACTCTTTTCTGTCCCAAACTCACTTCTCGTGAGTGGGTGACAGGATATTCCTGAATAGCTCTGGTGGCCCCTTGTACAGCCACTCTTTTATTAGAGACACTGCCTAAAGGTGTCTGCAGTACCAAGTGTTCCACCCTGGTATCCATTAGGAAGCATACAGGCTGTCCCCCCTACTGTAGCGCTCACCATGGGCTCTCAGGGGCCAAGAGAGAGGGAGCCCCAGTCCCGTCAGTCATCAGACACCTCCGCTGCGGGGAGGGTGAGGGCCTTTTTTTTTTCTGGTTTTTCCTCTGGCTTTAATGGGCATTCCTTCTTCCAGTGTCCAGCCTGCTTGCAATAAGCACATTGGTCTCTTTGTAGGGAAACCTGCTCACTTTTCTGGCCTTTCTGGCATGGACTGGGGTCCCCTGGCTAGTGCTTTGTAATGGGGGCCCTTCCCTTCTGGCTTCCTGGATGGCTGCCACTAAGATTTTCGCTTGTCTTTTGGATGCTTTACCGGGAGCCCTTTCAGCTGCCTGAGCTACTTGTTTTTGTTTTTCAAACTCTCGATTGTCACAAACTTTCTGGGCTACTTCTAAAAGCTGGCTAATGTTCATTCCAGCAAATCCCTCCAGTTTTTGTAATTTTCTTTTAATATCAGGGGCTGCCTGAGCCACAAATGCCAAATTAATAGCACGGCTATTCTCAGGAGCCGCCGGGTCAAAAGGGGTGTGAGTTCGATAGGCCTCCTGGAGGCGTTCTAAAAAGACTCCAGGTGACTCATCAAGCCCCTGGACAACTTAAGTTTTATTAGACAGATTCACGGGTTTTCGAGCAGCTCCCTTGATGCCTGCAAGGAGATACTGGTAAAAATCATCCAAAGCTCTCCTCCCACCTGAGGAGTTTGGATCCCAATCAGGCCGAGTAGAGGGAAAAACCTGCTCAAGGAGGTTTTGGGCTTCCCCCTCCGGTCTACCGGCTGATGTAAGGAAATACTTTCTGGCTTCTCTTCAGATACGATCCCTCTCTTCAGAGGTGAAAAGGATTAAAAGGAGTTGCTGACAATCATCCCAGGTGGGCTGGTGAGTCTGGAGCACGGACTCCATCAGTGAGGTCAAAACCTGGGGCTCTTCAGAGAAGGGGGGATTGTGAGCCTTCCAGTTGTACAGGTCAGAAATAGAGAAAGGGACATAAACTAAGAATGGAGCTGAGTGCTCATCACCCAGAGGGATTTGTGCCTCTCTCAGTGGGAGGAGGGGTGCTACCTCCTCCTGCCAAGGCTGTCTCGGGAGGCTATAGGCGGAGAACCCACAGGGGATGTAGTCGAGGAGACTAGGGAAGATTCTGAGGGAGCAGGAGGATTATAGGGCGGTGGAACTGTATGAGGAAAACTCTTCTTCAGAGGGAGGCAATACAGGAGGAGCCGAGGGAGCTGAGGATCAGGACAAAAGTGTGGTCTGGCTTAAAAGGATCTTGGAGGTTGGATTACAAATGGCGCATGAGCAGAGCCAAGGGGGAGGGCTCTGGACCAAACTCAGCCATTGATCAATGTAGGGAAACTGATCGGGGTGACCAGGAGTTCCAGCAATGACCCTCCATACAGCCTGAACAGCTGTGAGGTTTAGTGACTCTTCTGGGGGCCACCCGGATCCAAACTTTGGTCATTCTACTTCACAGAGTGTCTGGAGTTTGCCTTTTTTAGGGCGGACTCCGTAATCATCTGAAAAGCCCAGAGAGAAATTTTGTAACATACATTGGAGAGGGCTCCAATCTTTACGAGGTCGGGAAGAAGAGTTTCCCATTCTGGAGGCAATTTAACAAGGTTTGAGCAGAAATATTAAACCCAGCATGGACAGAGAAATTCACGACCTGGAGGGCTGTTGTATCGGAAGAACAGAAGTATTATAACCAGAAGAAGTGGGAAAACAACTATAGCCAACACTTCTTGCCACATAAGGTCAGTTTTTTACACTTCGAGATCTAGGGAGAGGAAAAGAGGTGGGTCCGAGGCCAGTGGGACCTATGTGATCCCCCCCTCCTCTTTGACCTATAGCCTAAATATCTTTGGTGTCTCCACGACTCGAAGGCAAAAAGTTCAAACTTGGCCCTTTCTTTTAAGGGTTTAAAGAGGGAGGACAGGGCCAAGTCTTCGAGACGCTGGACTTGCTGCGACACAGGAAAACGAGATGTGCGGGGTAAAGGATGGGGATGAGGAGGAAAAGGGCCACTCGGATCTTCCCAAGTTTGGAGAGTAGTCATGAAGGGGTAAAATAAGGGTCCAGATGGAGTAAAGCAGTATGGGCGTAGGTTTCTCTGCACAGTGCCTTATTTAAGGGCACAGGAAAAGTTACGGGATGACAGAAAAGGTAAGCAGGATGTCAGCAGGGTGGCTATTTTGGATCCACCACGGGTCTAAGAGGAAGATGGATCGGTCATTGGGGCATGGGGTATGGCAATCTAAATGCCAGCAATCTGTATGGTGCCAGAAATCCCAAACGGGCAAATATTTCCCACATAGGCGAATGTTTCCCACACCCCTCCCTGTAACAACACCTGATTTGTTTCTGGCAGAAAAGGCAGGATGCGGAAGGCCAGCCCAAACGACTGATGAGAAATTTGACCTCCTGTGTTAGAAAATCTGTACTCAGGACTTTGAAGAAGTCATTGCCCAGTCATCTTGGGCAGTATTGATGACCTGACATACGAAACTTAGATAGACACCAGACAGGACAAGAGACACTGGGGTATATAAACAATTATGACAATTTTTATAGACAGACAAGGGGAGGGGGTCCTGTGATGGGATCAGTCAGATGCCCACCTGGCCGCTCCCCCGGAGGGGACTTAGGCTCCTCCTGGCATTGGCAGGCCAGTATAAACCCCCGGCTCGGATTGAACTATGCCCGATGCTGCCTTAAGCCTTATGAGGTCACCACGGAACCACAGGTGAGGGCCCTCTCAAACTCCGTAGCTTTCGCCGTAGGGCTACAAACTGGAAATTCAAGCACAAGCCCTTGAACTCCCCATTCACAACACACTCACACAGAGTTTATTACAATTCTTATTTCTGTTCTAAAACAGAGGTCTCCTGGAGACCTGAACGAGAGAAGGAGAAGACAGGGAGGGAGAGAGAAAGAAAGAAAGAGAGAGAGACAGTGACTAGCCTTACAGAGAAGCCTGACAGAAACCAGGACTCTGTCCTTCAGCATCCTGGAATATGAACAGAATTAGAGGGACGCCCTCGTTCAGGGCCCCTTCCCTCTCAGAGAAACAGAATCAGACAGAAACCAAAACTCTGTCCTTCAGTGTCCTGGAATATGGGAGGAGTCAGAGGGAGACCCTCGTTCAGGGCCTCTCCCCTCCCAGAGAAACAGAATCAGAAACCAGAAACCAGGACTCTGTCCTCCAGCATCCTGGAATATGGACAGAGTTGGAGGGATGCCCTCGTCAGGGCCGCTTCTCTCCCAGAGAAACAGAGTCAGATCTGACTTACCTTCCCGGGACCAGAAATGGAGGACTCAGAAGTTGATTTTGGTGGGCACACACTAGCAGTCAATCCGTTCCCTTCTGGAAGACGGGGGCCTATGGGGCCCCTGAACGTCTCAGGTGGCGACTCCCCTATAAGCCTCCCATCTGTCCAGGGGAGCCAGGAGTGAGTTCGGCACTCACCCGGTGGGGATAAATCTCGCTGGGCCTCCAAGTGTTGTAACTGAGTGAGTTACAGAGAAACGCCACACCCTGAGACGAATTCAGGAGTCCTTTATTAGCCAGCTACCGAGACAGCTAGTGCTCAAAATTAGCCAGCTACCGAAGAAGGGGCTAGATTTTGTTTTATACTTTGGTTTAGAAAGGGGATGGGGAGGGGGTCTAGTGAAAACAATCTTACAGAAGTAAAGTAGGCAAGAAGTTAAAAGGATAAATGGTTACAGGAAAGTAAACAGTTCCAGGTACAGGAGCTTTAAGTCTATCACAAGGTGATAGACACAGGGCTTTGGGCGTTATCAACCGGACACAAACGCGGGGGCTCTGGGTGCTATTAACCAGGTGAATTCCTGGGAACTGCGGATATAGCTCGCCACAGTATCTTACCAGTTCATTGCATTCTTGGATGTGCTGGGAGTCAGCTTGCACAAGTTAAGTCCTTGAGGAAGTGGGTGGGTAAGGGGCTGCAAGTGAAGGAGCCAAGATGGAGTCTATCTGGCTCTCTCAGCTAAGGGAGAGTCAATTCAGGTTAAAACAAGGTAGGGTATCACAGTGGCGCATGCCTGTAATCCCAGCTACTCAGGAGGCTGAGGAAGGAGAATTGCTTGAACCCGGGTGATGGAGGTTGCAGTGAGCTGAAGTCATACCACTGCACTCCAGCCTGGGTGACAGAGCAAGACTGTCTCAAAAAAATTAAAAATAAAAATAAATATACGTTTTATGATTTTACCTTTTTTTTTGAGACGGGCTCTTGCTCTGTCACCCCGGATGGAGTGCAGTGGCTCAGTCATAGCTCACTGCAGCCTTGAACTTCTGGACTCAAGGGGTCCTCTCCCCTCAGTCTTCTGAGTAGCTGGGGACTACAGGCACCACCAATGCTGGCTTATTATTATTTTTTCTTTTTTCCATAGAGATGGGAATCTCTTTTTGTTGTCTAGGCTGGTCTTGAGCTCCTGATTTCAAGCTATCCTCCCACCTCAGCTGCCTGAGGTGTTACAGGTATTACCTGGTATTACAGGTGTTACCTTGTATTACAGGTGTGAGCCACTGCACCTGGCCTTACTTTTTATATTTAGATCTATAATCCATCTTGAATAGAGCTAGAGGCCAAGCTTCTTTTTTTAAGTATAGATTCCCAATTGTGCATACATAATTTTTTAAATGTATTGACATTTCACCACTGTTCAGCAATGTCATCTTTGTCATGAATCTAGGGTACATACACATGTGGGTTTCATTCCAGACTCTTTATTCTGCTTCTTTGCTCTATTTTTGTATCCTTGCACCAATAACACATTGTCTTAATTAATGTAGGTTTATGATAATTTTGACATCTGGTAGAGTAAGTCCTCCCACATTGTTCTTATTGCAGTTTGTCTTGGATATTCTTTCCATGTGAATTTTAGAATCACATTGTCAATTTTTCTTTCTTTCTTTTTTTTTTTAATATAGAGTTTCACTCTTGTCGCCCAGGCTGGAATGCAATGGTGGGATCTCAGCTCACTGCAATCTCTGCCTCCCGGGTTCAAGCGATTCTCCTGCCTCAGCCTCCTGAGTAGCTGAGTTTACAAGCACCCACCCACCATACCCACCTAATTTTTGTATTTTTAGTAGCCACGGGGTTTCGACACATTGTCTAGTCTGGTCTCAAACTCCTGACCTCAGGTGATCTTGGCTCACCTCGGCCTTCCAAAGTGCTGGGATTACAGACATGAGCCACTACACCTGGTCTACTTTGTCAATTTTCATAGCAAAAACCTGCTTGGTTTTGACTGGAATCGCATTGACACTATACAGCAATTTGGGGAGAATTGATATTGTCAATGAAAAGAGTCGAACTCTGTAAAATATTTGAAAATATTTATTCTGACCCAAATATGAATGACCACGGCCCATGACACAGCCCTCAGGAGGTCCTGAGAACATGTGCCCAAGGTGGTCGGGGTGCAGCTTGGTTTTTTACATTTTAGAGAGGCATGAAACATCAATTAAATACATTTAAGAAATACATTGGTTTGGTCCAGAAAGACAGGACAACTGAAAGCAGAGGCTTCCAGGCTATATATGAATTTAAGCTTTCTGGCTGACAATTGGTTGAATTTGTCTAAAGACCTGGGATTCACAGAAAGGGAATGTTCAATTAAGATAAAAATTGTGGAGACCAAAGTTATTTTGAAGTCTTATAGTGGCTGCCCTTAGAGACAATAGATGACAAATGTTTCCTATTCAGATCTTAGTTAATCTCTTTAGGATTGGGAGGGTCTGGAAGAAAAAGATCTAGCTATATTAATAGAGATTCTTTACAGATGCAAATGTTCCCCCACAAAGAACAGTTTTGTAGGGCCATTTCAAAATATGGCAAAGAAGTATGTTTTGGAGTATATTTTGATTTTCTTCCTTGTCTCGTAATGTTATGCCAGAGTCAGGTTGGAAAGTAAATCATGATATATAGGGTTAAATAAAACCCATCTGATGAGAATTTGATTTGTAGGGCATGAGTCCCCAGACCCCTTAGACAGGAACTTGGGCAATATAAAAAATTAGAGTTTAGTCCTCAATATCTTTATAATACTGAATTTTTGTGTATAATGTTTTATGTGAATGTTGTATATTTCTCCACTTATTTAGGTTATTTTTAATTTGTCTTATAGTGTTTTATACTCTGCATGTGTACATTTTTTGTTAGATTTATTTTTAGTTACATTTTTATACAATTGTGAGTTGTATTTGTTGTGGCTCAGAAAACAAGGCTGGGCATGGTGGCTCACGCCTGTAATCGCAGCACTTTGGGAGGCTGAGGCAGATGGATCACATGAAGTCAGGAGTTTGAGACCAGCCTGGCCAACATGGCGAAACCCTGTCTCTACTAAAAATTAAAAAAAATTAGCTGGGTGTGGTGGCACGCACTTGTAGTTCCAACTACTCAGGAGGCTGAGGCAGGATAATCGTTTGAACCTGGGAGGCAGAGGTTGCAGTGAGCCCAGATCATGCCACTGCACTCCAGCCTGGATGACAAAGTGAAACTCTGTCTCAAAAAATAATAATATGCCCCAAAATACAGTGCTTTGGGCATGCTGAGTGCTTTGAACTAAAGGAGAATAAGGTCTCTTTGACCTTCTCCAGCTCCCCTGTCCTTCCTCCTCTTTACCTCCCTAAGCACAGGAAGGGGCTTTCTCTGAAGTTTCCTTATCTGACTAAGGGAAGTTCCTCCAGAAGAAATGCAACTGTCATGAGCACCACCCCCAATCCCCAAATAATCTCATGCATAGGGAAAATTAACTCATGGCAAGACTAAAGGTCAACACCACCTATTCTGAGGACTGCTACCTAAGAGACATTACCTGTATAATAAAACAGCCTTTGTTCACCATGCATTTCTTCCCCTCAACATCCCATAACCTGTCATTACTTCTCCCCAGAAATCCCAAGCCCCTATTTCTATTTTTTGTTTTCTTTTTTTTTTTCTTTTGAGACAGAGTGTCACTGTCGTCCAGGCTGGAGTGCAGTGGCATAATCTCAGCTCACTGCAACCTCCGCCTCCTGGGTTCAAGCGATTCTCCTGCCTCAGCCTCCCTAGTAGCTGGGATTACAGGTGCCTGCCAACACGCCCAGTTAATTTTTTTTGTATTTTAGTAGAGACGGGCTTTCACCATGTTGGCCAGGCTGGTCTTGAACTGCTGACCTCAAGTAATCCACCTACCTCGGCGTTCCAAAGTGTTGGGATTACAGGCATGAGCCACCATGCCTGGCCCCCAAGCCCCTATTTCTTCCTGTAGGTTATGACACTAGAACAACTTAAGTCATCTGGTCCTTCTTTATGTCTCATGATTTGTGGGACTCCTGTACACATGCATGTAATAAATTTGCATGCCACGGCCTGGCAAGGTAGCTCATGCCTGTAATCCCAACATTTTGGGAGGCTGAGGTGGGAAGATCACGAGGTCAGGAGATCGAGACCGTCTTGGCTAACACGGTGAAACCCTGTCTCTACTAAAAGTACAAAAAATAGGTGGGCGTGGTGGCACAGGCCCGCAGTCCCAGCTACTTGGAAGGCTGAGGCAGGAGAATCACTTGAATCCAGGAGGCAGAGCTTGCAGTGAGCTGAGATTGTGCCACTCCACTCCAGCCTGGGCGATAGAGCGAAACTCCATCTCAATAAAATAAATAAATAAATAAATACATTTGCATGCCACTTGTCCAATGGCAGTGGATTATCAGAACTTATTAACATTAGTGCCACTAAAACTGGTATACAAACTCGTCACTGTTAAATTTGACTGGCTTTTAAAAACTTGCATACCTTTTCTCCTGCTAATTTATCTACTGTCAGTGTATTTCACAAACTCAAATTACTATTATTATTGTTATTATTATTTTGAGACAGAGTCTCATTCTGTCCCTCAGGCTGGATTGCAGTGGAGCAATCTTGCTCACTGCAACCTTCGTCTCCCAGATTCAAGCGATTCTTGTGCCTCAGCCTCCGAAGTAGCTGGAATTACAGGTGTGTGCCACCACACCCAGCTAATTTTTGTATTTTTAGTAGAGATGGGGTTTCAGCATGTTGGCCAGGCTGTTCTCGAACTCCTGACCTCAGGTAATCTGCCTACCTAGGCCTCCCACAGTGTTGGGATTACAGGTGTGAGCCATTGCGCCTGGCCAGACTCAAATTATTGAAACTTTACAGTATTGAAACTTTACAGTATTAAAACTTTACAAAAACTTTACAAATATTAAATTATTGAAACTTTATAGTAGAGGGAAAGTTGAAAACTTCCCTAAGGTTTGTCTTTTAAACTTTATTTTTCAATTATCATATATATATATATACACACACACATATATATCTAGACAAAACAATTTAGTATATGAATAGAATTTTCTTCATCTATTAAAAGAAGTCTGGGCTGGCTGTGGTAGCTCATGCCTGTACTCTCGGCACTTTGGGAGGCTGAGGCGAGAAGATTGCTTGAGCCCAGGAGTCCAAGACCAGCCTGGACAGCAAAGGGAGACCCCATCCCTATATTAAAAAAAAAAAAATAGCCGGGCATTGTGGGGCACAGCTGTAGTTCCAGCTACTTAGGGGGCTGAGATGGGAAAATTGCTTGAAGCCATGGGGTTGAGGCTGTAGTGAGCCATGATTGTGCCCACTCCACTCTAGCCTGGGTAACAGATTGAGAACATTCTTTTTTTTTTTTATTGTCAGCTAAGCTGCCAAGATTTTTTTTTTCTGTAAACCTTTTTAAGTGGTGAAATGTCTAACGTTTTCTCTGAGATGAGAAATAATACCTTTTATACAACAAACTTGTTTAGTTATCTTATTAATTCAAATTGCTTGAATTTTTTACATATACAATTGTGTCGTCTGCAAATAATGAAATTTTATATCGCCTTCCTATTCCTGTTCTAGCTTGCCATCTTTCTCTGTATAGGATTTTCCAGTACAATATTAAATAGATGTGATAATTGTCATTTTGTTTTTTTTCCAATTTCAGAGTGAAAATTTTCAACATTTTACCACTTAGAATGTTTTGCTGTAGGTTTTTGTAGACATCTCTTGTCACATGAAAAAAGTCTCTAAGCTTTCTGAGAGGATATTTTAAAATTATAAGTGTAGGCAGGTGCAGTGGCTCACGCCTATAATACCAACAGTTTGGGAGGCCAAAGCGGGCAGATTGCTTGAGCCCAGGAGTTCAAGACCAGTCTGGGCAACATAGTAAGACCCTGTCTCTACAAAAAAAAATAAAAAATAAAAATAAAAAAAAAAGTACATGCTGAAGTTTATCATAAATTTATCAAGGCTGGGTGCAGTGGCTCATGCCTGCGATCCTAGCAATTTGGGAGGCCTAGATGGGAGGATTATTTCAGCCCAGGAGTTCAAGATCAGCTTGGCCAATATAGTGAGACCCTGTCTCTACAAAAAATTTAAAAATTAGGCCGGGTATGGTGGCTCATGCCTGTAATCCCATCAATTTGGGAGGCCAAGGCGGGCAGATTGCTTGAGCTCAGGAGTTCAAGACCAGCCTGGCAAACATGGCAGAACCTCATCTCTACAAAAATACAAAAAAACTAGCTAGGCATGGTGGCTCCCAGATTTAAATAATAAAATAAATGTTATCATCTCATTGTATTAGTGTGATGAATTTAATAGATATTTTGAATGTCAAACAAGTTATCTTCTTTTCCAGAACAGTCCTAAATCCATTAGGCATGAAACAATGAAGTAGGCATTCTGTGGACTACAGTGAGTTTCTGAAACTGAGGTAAGGTAAGGATGATGTCTATCTTATGCAGGAGGGCTGGACAGCATGGGTTATCAAAGCCTGAGTCAGGAGAAGAGGACATCTGTAATATAATTTTTTTAAAAATCTGATCTTTGTCCCTGCTTTAAAAGCCTTGGAATTTCCTGAGTGATCCAACTGTCTTTTGTTATTCACAATGAGCCCCTTTCTCTCATTGGCCATACCTGAGTTTATGCCAAACAGGTGACTCATGGTAGGGCCCCTAATTGTTTCACAGTGGGCGCTTATCTTAGGAAAAGCCAACCTTCTAAACATTGAAAATTTCAGTCCCACCCCCTGACCTCCTGGGGAGGTAGGGGCTGGACATTGAGGTCAATCATGACCATAGATTAAATCAAAGGTGGCCACATAAGGAAACCTCTAGAAAAACTCTTAAAGAGGATCAAGGCCGGGTGCAGTGGCTCATGCCTGTAATCCCAGCACTTTGGGAGGCTGAGGCGGGTGGATCACCTGAGGTTGGGAGTTTGAGACCAGCCTGACCAACATGGAGAAACCCTGTCTCTGCTAAAAATACAAAATTAGCAAGGCATGGTGGTGCATACCTGTTATCCCAGCTACTCAGGAGGCTGAGGCAGAAGAATTGCTTGAACCTGGGAGGCAGAGGTTGAGGTGAGCCAAGATCATGCCACTGCACTCCAGCTTGGGCAACAAGAGTGAAACTCTGTCTCAAAAAAAAAAAAGAAAAAAGAAAAAAGAGGATCAGAGGAGAACTTCCTGGTTGGTGAACATATGAGGTACTGATAGTGACAAAAGGCAGTCAAATGGCTAGTCAGATAGGGGCGGGTCCCCAGTGAAACTCCATCTCCAAGCCAAAGATAGTTTAAAGCCTGAAAGCCCCAAGCTACAAGTTAAATTCTCGGACCAGATTAAGAACTTGTCTTCCCATTTGGCATGCTTTCTTCTGATTGATCCCCACCCTTCCCCTATTTTACATATACCTACCTTTTCCTAATTGGTTTTCTACACTGTCATGGCCACCTTTAAGTAGTGTCTTCGCTTTAAACTTTTTTGCACACTCACAAACCAATCAGCACACACTCATCATTCTGAGTCCATAAAAGGGCCTGGACCCAGCCACATGGGGGACTTTCCTGCCTTCAGGTAGGGGGACCACCCCCACATTCCCTCTCTGCTGAAACCTGTTTCATCACTCAGTAAAACTCCCTGCCTTGCTCACTCTTTGATTGTCAGAGCATCCTCATTCTTCTTGGGCACAGGACAAGAACTCAGGAACTGGAGTGCAAGTCAGAGTCAGCCTGGCTGGGCTGAGTGGGTGGGCCATCTCCTGCAGCAGGTAGGGTGGCCGAGTGAGACCTGAGTGGGTGTCACTGGCCGGAGGTCCCCAATCCCATGCCAGTACTGACACACTGTGACTCCACAAGGACAGAAGCTTCTGTGTTCCTCCCTGTCACACCTTGCCTTATGCATCTCTTTCACTTGGCTGTTCTTCAGCTGAATCCTTTATAATAAAACTTTAAGTACAATACTTTTTCTTTTTTTTTTTGAGACGGAGTCTCGCTCTGTCACCCAGGCTGGAGTGCAGGGGCCCGATTTCAGCTCACTGCAACCTCCACCTCCCGAATTCAAGTGATTCTCCTGCCTCACCCTCCTGAGCAGCTGGGACTACGGGCAAATTTTTTTACTTTTAGTAGAGACGGAATTTCATCATGTTAGCCAGGATGGTTTCAATCTCCTGACCTCGTGATCCGCCCACCACGGCCTCCCAAAGTGCTGGGATTACAGACATGAGCCACTGCGCCTGGCCAGTACAATACTTTTGTAGCCTGGTGCAGTGGTGCACATCTGTAATCCCAGCTACTAGGCTGAGGTGGGAGGATTGTTTGAGCCCAAGAGTTTGAGAGAAGACTGGGCAAAATAATGACCCCACGTAATTAAAAAAAAAAAAAGTAGTGTTTTTAATGAATTCTGTAAGTCATGCTAGTGAATTACCAAACCTGTGGTCAGAAGCACAGGTAGCTTTGGGATATCTAAGACTTGCACTGGCATCAGAAGTCAGGAGCAGTTTTGTGGAACAGAGCCCTCAATTTGTGGAGTCTGCATTAACTCCAGGTAGTGGCAGAACTAAATCATACAACACCCAGTTCGTGTCAGACAATTGGTGTCAAAACATAGCATTCATGTAGAGGGCTGGTCTGGATTGGAGTGGCAGAGATCAAGTTGGGAGTATCCATGTGGGAAGTATAAGGATTGGAGGCAATAAGGATTGGCTGCCTAAACAGAAGATAAAATACATAAACATATTAAGGATATCTGAAAACCACAATGAGATTCTATATCACACTGAGGTAGGAGGCGGGACTTGACTCCAGAGGTGAGGCTCAGACACCAGAACAAATTGAGGACTAACTAAAACAGGGGCTGGGAGGAAGCAGCTTTCCATAAGACATGCCCACAAGTGTGCCATGTCAGTTTACCATTGCCATGGCAACACCCAGAAGTTACCACTCATTTGCATGGCAATGACTCTGTGACCTGGAAGTTGCCACCCCTTTTCTAAAAATGTCTGCATAATCTGCCCCTTAATTTCCATATAATTAAAAGTGGGTAAAGTCTGGGCATGGTGGCTTACACCTGTAATCTCTGCACTTCTGGAGGCCCAGGCAGGAGGATCACTTGAGGCCAGGAATTCAAGACCAGCCTGGTCAACACAGCTAGACCCTGTCTCTATTTTATAAAATTTAAAAAATTAAAAATTAAATAAAATAAAATTAGATTTAAAATTTGGTTATAAATATGACTGCAGAACTGCCTCGGAGCTGTTCCTCTGGGCACACCGTCTGTGGGGTAGCCCTGCTCCACAAGGAGCAGAACCTCTGCTGCTGCTGTCCACTGCCACTTCAATAAAAGTTACCACCACCACCAGCTCACCCTTGAATTCTTTCCTGGGCAAAGCCACACACCCTCCTGGGCTAAGCCCCAATTTTGGGGCTCATCTGCACTGCATCAACACCTGTCACAATGACTATTATTAAAAAGTCTAGGCCAGGCACAGTGGCTCATGCCAATCAGCTTGCACTCCACATTCTGAGTCCATAAAAGGCCCAGACCTAGCCAAACAAGGAATTTCCTGCCTTCGGGTAGGAAATCCCAGAACTTTAGGAGGCCAAGGCAGGTGAATTGCTTGAGCCTAGGACTTCAAGACCAGCCTGGGCAACATGGTGAAACCTTGTCCCTACAAAAAATACAAAAATTAGCTGAGCATGGTGGCATGCACCTGTAGGCCCTGCAACTCAGGAGGCTGAGGTGGAAGGATTACCTGAGTCCAGGAAGTCAAGGCAGAAGCGAGCTGTGATTGCACCACTGCATTCCAGCCTGGGCGACAGAGTGATGAGACCTTGTCTCAAAAAAAAAAAAAAAAAAAAGGATGACAAATCTGCACATGACATGTAGCCCTGAACCTAAAATAAAAGTAAAAAAAAAAAAAATCAAAAAATAACACGCTGGCAAGAGGCTGCAGAGAAAAGGGAATGCTTATACAATGCTGGTGGAAATGTAAATTAGTTCAGCCACTGTGGAAAGCAGTTTAGAGATTTCTCAAAGAACTTAAAACAGTTCTGGATCAAAACTACCATTTGATCCAGCAATCCTATTACTGAGTATACACCCAAAAAACATAAATCATTCAACCATAGAGATGCATGTACACGTATGTTCATTGCAGCACTATTCACAATAGCAAAGACGTGAAATCAACCTAGATGCCCATCAATGACGGACTGGATAAAGAAAATGTCATCTGGGCATGGTGGCTTATGCCTATAATCCCAACACTTTGAGAGGCTAAAGCAGGAGGATCGTTTGAGGCCAGGAGTTTGAGACCAGCCTGGGCAATATAGTGGGACCCTGTCTTTACAAAAAAAAATTAAAATTAAGTAGGCATGATGGTGCACACCTGTGGTCCTAGTTACTAGGGAGGCTGAGGTGGGAGGATCACTTGAAACTGGGAGGTTGAGGCTGCAGTGAGCCGTGATCTCACCAATGCACTCCAGTCTGGGTGACAGAGTGAGATCCTGAGTAAAAATAAAATAAAATGTCGTACATATACACCATGGAACACTATGCAGCTGTAAAAAAGAACAAAATCATGGCCTTTGCAGCAATACAGATGGAACTGGAGGCCATTATCCCCAGCGAATTAACACAGGAACAGAAAACCAAATATCGCATGTTCTCACTTATAAGTGGGACCTAAATATTG
Source organism: Homo sapiens (assembly GCF_000001405.40). Taxonomy (NCBI): domain Eukaryota; kingdom Metazoa; phylum Chordata; class Mammalia; order Primates; family Hominidae; genus Homo; species Homo sapiens. The sequence goes on along the minus strand of NC_000003.12, from coordinate 101,622,078 downwards.
AGTACACATGGACACCAAGGAGGGGACAGTAACACCGAGGCCTACTTGAGGGTGGAGGTTGGGAAGAGGGTGAGGATTAAAAAACTACCTATCAGGCCTGGCGTAGTGGCTCATGCCTGTAATCCCAGCACTTTGGGAGGCTGGGGTGGGTGGATCACCTGAGGTCAGGAGTTCGAGACCAGCCTGGCCAACATGGTGAAACTTCACCTCTACTAAAAATACAAAAATTAGCTGGGCGTGGTAGTGGGTGCCTGTAATCCCAGCTACTTGGGAAACTGAGGCAGGAGAATCGCTTGAACTCAGGAGGGGGTGGTTGCAGTGAGCCAAGATTGTGCCATTGCACTCCAGCCTGGGTGACAGAAAACGACTCCATCTCAAAAAAAAAACAAAAACAAACAAACAAAAAACTCACAGAAAAACTACCTATCGAGTACTATACTCATTACCTGAGTGATGAAATAATCTGTACACTGAACCTCCATGACTGCAATTTATCTGTGTAACAAACCGGGACATGTACCCCCTGAGCCTAAAATAAAAGTTGGAAAGAAAGAAATAATAATGGCTGGGCATGAAGGCTAATGCCTGTAATCCCTGCACTTTGGGAGGCTGAGATGGGTGGATAACTCAAGGCCGGGAGTTCAAGATCAGCCTGGTCAACATAGCAAGACTCCATCTCTAATTTAAACAAAAAAATAAAAAGAAAGTAATAATTTTGATTCTGAGACAAAGAAGTTAATAGAACCAGACAGAGAGATGAACCAGTTACTGAAAAACTCTGACCAGGACTTTAGAATAATTATGGTTAATATGTTAAAGGATCCAGTGTAAAAGGTTTCCAGCCTACTTGAGCACATGGACATTTTCTGCAGAACAATGGAAACTATAAGAAAGTATTCAATGGAAATGCTAGAAATAAAAGTCATAATTTCAGGGATGAAAAATTCCTTGATGGCTTTGCCAGGATACTTGATTCATCTAAAGAAAAAAAATTTCTTTCTGACCTATGTATTAGCTTTTTTTTTTTTTTTTTTTTTTCATTTGACAGAGTCTTGCTCTGTTGCCAGGCTGGAGTGCAGTGGCACAACCTTGGCTCACTGCAACCTCCAACTCCCTAGTTCAAGTGATTCTCCTGCCTCAGCCTCCCGAGTAGCTGGGATTACAGGCACGAGTCACCACACCCAGCTAATTTTTTGTATTTTTAGTAGAGATGGGGTTTCACCATGTTGGCCAGGATGGTCTCGATCTCCTGACCTCGTGACCACCTGCCTCGGCCTCCCAAAGTGCTAGGATTACAGGCATGAGCCACCGCACCTGACTTATACCAGCTTTTTAAAAAAGGAGAAAAGAGGCAGGGCGCGGTGGCTCACACCTGTAATCCCAGCACTTTGGGAGGCCGAGGCGGGTGGATCATGAGGTAAGGAGTTCACAAGAAGCCTGGCTAAGTTGGTGAAACCCCATCTCTATTAAAAAATGCAAAAATTTGCTGGGTGTGGTGGTGGGTGCCTGTAATCCCAGCTACTTGGGAGGCTGAAGCAGAAGAATTGCTTGAACCCAGGATGCGGAGGTTGCAGTGGGCCGATATCATGCCACTGCACTCCAGCCTGGGTGACAGAGCAAGACTCCATCTCAAATAAATAAATAAATAAAATAGGAGAAAAGAAGTTTGAGCTAGTGTACAGCAAGTTTCTTATATGTATTATAGTACTATTAACTAAGTCCTCACATTTGATTTATGTTTTATCCTTATAATAAAATCTGATAAGGTTGTGGTTAGGTTACAAAAAATAGGATATCAAAAGCCAGCTTTCTTGCTGTCAGAGTAGGGAGTTATAGAAAGGAGAATGATGAACTGGAATTGGAGGCATTGATATAAACTAGTAGTTGTCAATATATAGATATATAGACGTATTTAGATGTGTATATACATATATGTACATACAGTCCCAGTTTACTCAGATGGCCTGGGAGCAATGACCTCCTTCAGCAATGATTGCAACTTAGCATCCATAGCTATGGCTGAATATTTGTGTCCCTCTGAAATGTGTATGTTGAAATCCTAACCCCCAAGGTGATTTAATTAGGAAGTTGGGCCTTTGGGAAGTGATTATGTCATGAGGGTGGAGCCCTCACGAATGGGATTAGTGCCCTTATACTTCATTTGCCCCTTCTACTACTTGAGGACACAGCAAGAAGACCCCATCTAGGAACCAGGAGGTAGGCCTTCACTGGATGATGAACCTGTTGGCATCTTAATTTTGGACTTCTTTTTTGTTTGTTTGTTTTTGTTTTAGAGACAGAGTCTCCCTCTGTCGCCAGGCTGGAGTGCAGTGGTGCGATCTTGGCTCACTGCAACCTCCGCCTCCTGGGTTCACGCGATTCTTCTGTTTCAGCCTCCCGAGTAGCTGGGACTACAGTCGTGAGCCACCATGCCCAGCTAATTTTTGTATTTTTAGTAGAGACAGTGTTTCACCATGTTGGCCAGGATGGTCTCAATCTCTTGACTTCATGATCCACCTGCCTCAGCCTCCCAAAGTGCTGGGATTACAGGCGTGAGCCACTGTGCCCGGCCAGACTTCTTAACCTCCGGAATTTGTCAGAAATAAATGTGTTGTTTATAAGCCACTTGGTTTATGATATTTTGTTATAGTTACCCACAAAGCCGTTTCCCCCCATAAAATGGGGTCTTTCCCTGTTCAGTGCTACAAGGCCAATATGCAAAACCAAAAGTGAGTGTCAAGCAGTACAGGCTTTATTCAATGGCCATACAATTGAGGGAGTTTGGCTCACAAATCAACTTCTTGACTAGTGAGGGATGAGGGGGTTAAAATACAAGGTTTCTCGCCTTGGCATGCAATGGTTCATGTATGTAATCCTGGCACTTTGGGAGGCGGAGGTAGGAGGTTCTGTTGAGGCCAGAAGTTCAAGAACAGCCTGGGAAACATAGTGAGGCCCTCTGTCTACAAAAATTTAAAAATTAGCTGGGCATGGTGGCACATGCCTGTAATCCCAGCTACATGGGAGGTTGAGGCAGGAGGATCACTTGAGCACAGGAGTTCAAGGCTGCAGTGAGCTGTGATTGAACTACCACACTCCAGCATAGGAATATTCATAGATTTTCTGGAAATGAGCAGTGAACTTCTCAGAACTGAAGCCCTACCTTCCTTTTTGTCCTTTTATGGCTTCTGGTAATTCTCATGCCAGTGTCATTGTCATGGTCAGTGTCATTTAGCATGGAAATGAGATTTAATAAAGCCTGAGGTGTTTTGTTTTGTTTTTTTGAGATGGAATTTCGCTCTTGTTGCCCTGGCTGGGGTGCAATGGCACAATCTCTGCTTCCTGCAACCTCCACCTCCCGGTTCAAGAGATTCTCTGAGTAGCTGGGATTACAGGCGCCTGCCACCACACCTGGCTAATTTTTTGTATTTTTAGTAGAGACAGGGTTTCACCATGATGGCCAGCCTGGTCTTGAACTCCTGACCAGCCTGAGGTCTTTTTGAAGTCGTTTGTTCAGCTATCTTGGTTCTAACCAGTCTCAGCTGGTCTGGTAACAAAGTGAACTTTTTAACACAGACGTCCTGTTTCTTAAAGGTAAGCTGAGTTAGGGTGGGGTAGAAATTTAGCTATTTCAAGTAGGCATGAAACCAGGTAACAGTAGCCACCCAAACAGACTAAGACAGGGGTCTCTGGGGATTCACTAGAAATACTCACAGGACTCAGTAAATAGTCATACTCTTCTCATATGATAAGTAACTTGGCAAAAAAAAGATCATACTCATGTCCGTGATTTTTATTTTAATTTATTTTATTTTATTTTATTTTGAGATGGAGTTTCCTTCTTGTTGCCCAGGCTGGAGTGCAATGGCACCATCTCGGCTCACTGCAACCCCTGCCTCCCAGGTTCAAGCGATTCTCCTGCCTCAGCCTCCTGAGTAGCTGGGATTACAGGCGCCTGCCACCACACCCGGATAATTTTTGTATTTTTTTAAGTAGAGACGGGGTTTCACCATGTTGGCCAGGCTGGTCTCGAAATCCTGACCTCAGGTTATCCACCTGCCTCGGCCTCCCAAAGCGCTGGGATTACAGGCGTGAGCCACCGTGCCCGGCCTATGTCTGTGATTTATTACAGAAAGGATACACAACAAAATCAGTGAAGGGAGAAGGTGCATGGAACAAAGTCTGAAGGAAACAAGCACAGGTTTCCAAGAACTGTCCCACAGTGGAATTATTCTTAGTTCCTCCAGCACTGAATTGTGATGAGACATGCAAAGTGTTACTTACCAGGGAGGCCCATTAGAGAACCAACACCCAAGGCTTTTACTGGCGCAGGTCATGTAGGCATCCTCTGCCTAGCACATTCCAAAAATCCAGACTCCCAGAAGGAAAGCAGGCGTTCAGCATAAACCACATTGTTTGTTTGTTTGTTTGTTTGTTCTGAGATGGAGTCTCACGCTGTTGCCCAGCCTGGAGTGTAGTGGCATTGTCTTGGGTCACTGCAACCACCACCTCCCGGGTTCAAGTGACTCTCCTGCCTCAGCCTCCCGAATAGCTAGGGCTACAGGAATACGCCACCATGCCGGGCTAATTTTTGTATTTTTTTTTTTTTAGTAGAGACGGGGTTTCACCATTTTGGCCAGGCTGGTCTTGAACTCCTGACCTAAAGTGATCTGCCTGCTTTGGCCTCCCAAAGTGCTGGGATTACAGGCATAAGCCACTGCACCCAGCCATAAACCACATTATTTATACAATAAATTTAGGCACAGTGAGCCTCACTTATTGTTTAGGAAAGGTTTTATATCAGTGTAGGGAACTGTTTACTAGTCATGTTCCCAGACGTCAACCAAGGGCCAACTTTGCACGGAAGTCTTCGTAAGGATAGAAATCTCAGACCTATGTTGTCTTTTTTCTGCACATCCACTTATCTAAATACATTGAAAATTTGATAAACAGTGGGCTATTTACATAATTTTCCTATAAAATACTTCTTAATTACAAATAGGAAAAAAGAACCTTATGGTGGAGAAGGCTGACAGATATCACCTTAATCAATTAATCATAATAAGCATCGGTAACAGGATAAATCAAAATTGTATACCATTTGGCACAGAATATGATTAGAAGAACACATTACTTGTGATATTTCTGTGAAAGATACATAACTTAAATTTAATCATAAGGAAGCATTAAACAATCCCAAGTTGAGGGATCTTCTTCAAAGCAACTGGCCTGTAATATTCAAAAGTGTCAAGGTCACTAAAGAAAAACTGAAGAACTATACCAGACTAAAGGTGCCTGACAACATGTGACAACTAAGCATGACCCTGAACTAGATCCTTTTGCTGCAAAGCAATTGATGAAGCTTGAACTAAAAATTGTATATAATCAAGTAGTAATGTAAATTTTCTGACTGTATCGAGGTTCTGTAAAAGATGTACTTATTTATAAGAAACATGGCTGAGCATGGCAGCTCATTCCTGAAATCTCAGCTCTTTGGCTGAGGTGGGAGGATCACTTGAGGCCAGGAGTTCAAGACGAGTGTGGGCAACATAGCAAGACCCCATCTTTAGCTGGGTGTGGTGGTGCACCTATAGTCCTAGCTACTTGGGAGGCTGAGGTGGAAGGATTGTTTGAGCCTGGGAGTTTGTGGTTATGGTGAACTATGATTTTGCCACTGCACTCCAGCCTGGGTGACAGAGCAAGACCTTGTCAAAAAAAAAAAAAAAAAAAAAAAAGGCTGGGTGCAGTGGCTCACGCCTGTAATCCCAACACTTTGGGAGGCCGAGGTGAGCGGATCATGAGGTCAGGAGTTTGAGACCAGTCTGACCAACATAGTGAAACCCCGTCTCTACTAAAAATACAAAAATTAGCCAGGCGTGGTGGCACACGCCTGTAGTCCCAGCTACTTGGGCGGGTGAGGCAGGAGAGTCGCTTGAATCCGGGAGGCGGAGGTTGCAGGGAGCCGGCGTCGCACCATTGCACTCCAGCCTGGGTGACAGAGTGAGACTCTGTCTCAAAAAAAAAAAAAAAAATTACACATCTATCGCCTCACACAGTTATGTAGTAGTGTGGTAGAGGGTTAGTCGTCCCAATTAAGATCTATTATTTTAGCAAATTTCTAATTAAAAATACAGTGTTTTTTTTCTCAGAAAGGAAAGCATGGACTGTTTCAGGAATTTGCATGTCATCCTTGCTCTGCGGCATGTCAATCTCTGTATACTTCCAATTTTAGTATATGTGTTGCCAAAGCGAGCATAAAAAATACAGTATTATTAACTATAGTCACTGTGCTGTACACTAGCTCCCTGAACATATTCATCTTACAACTGAAAGTTTGTACTCTTTGACCAACATCTCCCCATTTTCCCCATGCTTCAGCCCCTGACCACCAACTGCCATTCTACTCTCTGCTTCTTCTTTTTTGAGACAGAGTCTAGCTCTGTCGCCCAGGTTGGAGTGCAGTGGCCAATCTCGGCTCACTGCAACATCCGCCTCCCGGGTGCAAGTGCTTCTCCTGCCTCAGCCTCCTGAGTAGCTGGGATTACAGGTGCCCACCACCATGCCCAGCTAATTTTTGTGTTTTTAGTAGAGACGGGGGTTTCACTGTGTTGGCCAGGCTGGTCTCGAACTCCTGACCTCATGATTCGCCCACCTCGGCCTCCCAAAGTGCTGGGATTACAAGCGTGAGCTACCGCGCCCAGCCTACTGTCTGCTTCAGAGATTGACTTTTGTAGATTCCACATATACGCATATAGTATTTGTCTTTCTATGTCAGGCTTATTTCACTTAGTGTAATATCCTTCAGATTCATGCATGATATTCCATTGTATATACCACATTTCTTTCTCCATTCATCTGTCAAACATATCTTCGCTATATGCTCTATGTAGCATATATATCTTTGCTGTATTCAAGATAGTCCATATCTTGAAAATGCTGCAATAAACATGAAAATGCAGATATCTCTTTGAGATACTGGTTTTATTTCCTTTGGATGTATATCCATAAGTGGGATTGCTGGATCATATAGTAGTTCTATTTTTAAATATAAAACTATTTTTTATTTTTATTTATTTTTTTGAGACAGAGTTTCACTCTTGTCGCCCAGGCTGGAGTACAGTGGCACAATCTCAGCTCACCATAACCTCCGCCTCCCGGGTACAAGCGATTCTCCTGCCTCAGCCTCCTGAGTAGCTGGGATTACAGGCATGCCCCACCACGCCTGGCTAATTTTGTATTTTTAGCAGAGAAGGGGTTTCTCCATGTTGGTCAGGCTGGTCTCGAACTCCCGACCTCAAGTGATCTGCCCGCCTCAGCCTTCCAAAGTGCTGGGATTACAGACGTGAGCCACCATGCCCAGCCTAAAACTATTTTTTAAATATGTTGGAATAACATAGACTTCTAGTATGAAGGATGAGGAGCTCCACTGACTTGTTCCTCAAGGTACCTGGCAAAAATTATAACAAACAAAAACAAACCCCAACTATTTAAAGCCTGTGATCATGAGCCTAAGGGCAAACAGCAAAAGAAGAAACACCTATTCAAGACAACCTATGAAAACTCATTAAGAAAGGCAAGGGTCTGTGGTATTTTATCAAGATCACTCCCTCCCTCTCCTATCTCAACTCAGTGAGGTGAAGCCTCCACTCCAGCCTGCTATATCCTAAAACACAGGGCTCCCTCTCCCACCAGCTCCCAGGTGGAGGGCTGTCTTCCCAGGAGAATAGGGATGTCAGTATTTTATTTTATTTATTTTATTTTATTTTATTTACTATTTTATTATGACAGGGTCTCACTATGTTGCCCAGGCTGGTCCTGAACTCCTGGGCAACATAGTGTTACATAGAGTTACAGGCTGGGCAAGGTCACTTACACCTGTAATCCCAGCACTTTAGGAGGCTGAGGAGGGCGGATGGCCTGAGGCCAGTCTGGCCAACATGGCAAAACCCCGTCTCCACTAAAAATACAAAAATTAGCTGGGCGTGGTGGCGTGGTGCCTGTAATCCCAGAGACTTGGGAGGCTAAGGAGGCAGGATCACTTGAGCCTGGGAGTTTCAGGTTGCAGTGAGCCATGATTGCACCACTGCATTTCAGCCTGGGCGACACAGCAAGACTCCATCTCTTAAAACAAACAACAAACCAAAAAAGAACTCTCTTTGAGGAATACATTAGAATCTACTGTTGTATCTTACATTGAAGTAGAAAAAAAAATCTCAAAAGACACTGATAACATCTACGATGACGTTCAATAAGTATCTGGGGCTGTGCGCAGTGGCTCACGCCTGAGATCCCAGCACTTTGGAAGGCTGAGGCAGATGGATCACTTGAGGTCAGAAGTTTGAGACCAGCCTGGCCAAAACGGCAAAATCCCATCTCTACTAAAAATACAAAAATTAGCCAGGCGTGGTGGTGCACACCTATGATCCCAGTTACTCAGGAGGCTGAGGCACAAGAAGCTCTTGAAACCAGGAGGCACAGGTTGCAGTGAGGAAGAGATTGCACCACTGCACTGCAGTCTGTCTCCAAAAACAAAACAAAACAAAACAAACAAACAAAAAAACCCACCACCACCAACAACAAAACAAAGTGTTGGAGCTGGGTGCAGTGGCTCACGCCTGTAATCCCAGCACTTTGGGAGGCCAAGGCGGGTGGATCGGGTGGATCACTTTGAGGGAAGAGAGAGACCGTCTCACATTGTTTTATATTGTTTTATACTCAGTACCTGTTTTAAGAAAAAAAGAAAAAAACAAGGAAGTGAAATCAAAGACAAGCAGCCCGGCGCCAGGCCCAAAACCAGGCCTGGGCCTGCCTGGCCTAAACCTAGTAGTTAAAAATCAACTCATGACTTAGAAACCGATGTTATCCATAGATTCCAGACATTGTGTAAAAGAACATTGTGAAACTCCCTGCTCTGTTCTGTTTCTCTCTGACCATTGGTGCATGCAGCTCCTGTCACGTACCCCCTGCTTGCTCAAATCAATCACGACCCTTTCATGTGAAATCCTTAAAGTTGTGAGCCCTTAAAAAGGACAGGAGTTGCTCACTCCGGGAGCTCGGATTTTAAGACGGTAGCTTGCCGATGCTCCCAGCTGAATAAAGCCCTTCCTTCTACAACTCGGTGTCTGAGAGGTTTTGTCCGCGACTCGTCCTGCTACAACTTGAGGCCAGGAATTCGAGACCAGGCTGGCCAACATAATGAAACCCTGTCTCTACTAAAAATACAAAAATTAGCCAGGCATGATGGTGGGCACCTGTAATCCCAGCTACTTGGGAGGCTGAGGCAGGAGAATTGCTTGAACTGAGGAGGTGGAGGTTGTAGTGAGCTGAGACTGCACCATTGCACTCCAGCCTGGGCAACAGAGTGAGACTGTCTCAAAAAAAAAAAAAGTGTTGGTATTACAGGTGTGAGCCACCGCACCAGGCAAGGATGCCAGTATTTCTTATCCTGCCCCCAGCTACCTGTTGCTGAGGCTAAGTCCTGGGTATGTATGGTTAAGGATTTTCTTTTTCCCCCACCCAATCCTCACTTGTAGAATGGAAGTTCCACCTTGGACAAAATGTGATGAGAGGACTGAGACCTCTTTAAGCTTGTGAAGTGGTGGTTCCACACCAGGAGAGGAAAGGAAAGAGGACCTCAGGCTGCTGCATCTCGTGCTTAGCTTGCAAAGCAAGGATGTCACTCAGAAACTCGCTATTGTCCCCACCTCCACCTCCAGAATCCTGGCTCAGATATTTTGTCTGAAGAGAGGAGCAGGTTGTAAAACAGAGAGAGTCTAATCTCCTCCCAAAGGACTAACTTTAATTTTTTTTAACAGTTTGGACATATTTAGATGTAAAGACTAAAAAAATGCAAACAAGAAAAAGAAAAAATGTATATAAATCTAAGGACACACCCAAGCATGATGGAGATTCAGGTGAAAGGCACTTGGGAGGAAATTCAAGTTACAGGATAAACTGTAGACCTGATTGTTTTTAGGACAGAACTAGGGAATAATACTGGGAGAAGCGGCCAGGCACGGTGGCTCATACCTGTAATCTCTGCAGGTGGCCAAGGCAGGTGGATCACCTGAGGTCAGGAGTTTGAGGCCAGCATGGCCAACATGGTGAAACCCCAAGTCTACTAAAAATACAAAAATTAGCTGGGCATGGTGGCCCACGCCTGTAATCCTAGATACTCGGGAGGCTGAGGCAGTAGAATCACTTGAACCCAGGAGGCAGAGGTTGCAGTGACCGAGATCATACCACTGCATTCCAGCCTGAGCCACAGAATGAGACTCCATCTGAAAAACAAAACAAAACAGGCCAGGCGCGGTGGCTCACGCCTGTAATCCCAACACTTTGGGAGGCCGAGGTGGGCGGATCACCTGAGGTCAATAGTTTGAGACCAGCCTGACCAACATGGAGAAACCCCATCTCTACTAAAAATACAAAATTAGCCGGGCGTGGTGGAGCATGCCTGTAGTCCCAGCTACTTGGGAGGCTGAGGCAGGAAAATCGGTTGAACCCGTGAGGCAGAGGTTGCAGTGAGCTGAGATCGCGCCATTGCACTCAAGCCTGGGCGACCAAAGCGAAACTCGGTCTCAAAAAAACAAAAACAAAACAAAACAAAACAAAAACCTGGGAGAAGCCCTCCCAGAGTCAGAACAAATGTCAAACACTGACCTTAGAAACTCTCCATGAATTAGTTTGTAGAGCAATTTGTTTATGCCCTTAGTATTATTCAAAACAACTGAGCAATCAACCATCAATGAGAAGAGTTTAACAGCTGGGGGTGATCAGCGAAAAGGGAAGGAGGTTTCCGGAAATCACTATCATCTCAAGTTGACTGTGAGCATACTCAGTGCTACACCTTAGACTGTGGAAGGGGAAACAGACCTCACTAAAATAACACAGCCAGTCACTAGACACATGAACAAGCAAATAAAGATAACCAGACCTTGGAGGGAGAAAGATAGGGGACCAGTACTCAGAGTTGCTACAATAAATATTATATTATCTAAAATGTCCAGTTTCCAGTAAAAAATTAAAGACATGCAAAGAAGCAAGTCTTATATAAATATATAAAATTTAGGCTACACTAAATTTATTTATTTATTTATTTATTTATTTTTTAATAAATAGAGATGGTGTCTCACTATATCACCCAGGCTGATCTTGAACTACTGGCCTCAAGCAATCCTCCTGCCTCAGCTTCCCAAAGTGCTAATATTACAGGTGTGAGCCACCACACCAGGCCTTCACTAATTTATTAAAAATTGCTTTTCTTCAATAATAAACTTAGCTTACTACAGTTTTTTTCACTTTATAAACTAATTTTTTAAACTTTTAAATTCTTTGTAATAACGCTTAGCTTAAACACATAGCCAGGCGCAGTGGCTCACACCTGTAATCCCAGCACTTTGGGAGTCCGAGGCGGGCGGATCACAAGGTCAGGAGATGGAAACCATCCTGGCTAACAACGGTGAAACCCTGTCTCTACCACAAATAAAAAAAAAAATCAGCCAGGCATGGTGGCACACGCCTGTGGTCCCAGCTACTTGGGAAGCTGAGGCAGGAGAATCGCTTGAACCCGGGAGGCGGAGGTTGCAGTGAGCCAAGATAGGGCCACTGCACTCCAGCCTGGGTGACAGAGCGAGACTCTGTCTAAAATAAACAAACAAACAAACACCTTATACAACTGTATAAAAATATTTTCCTTCTTTATATCCTTATTCTATAAGCGTTTTCCTATTTTTAAAATTTTATATTTTCTTTGTTTTACTTTTTAAACTTTTTTTGGTTAAAAATTAAGACACAGGCCAGGCGCAGTGGCTCAAGCCTGTAATCCCAGCACTTAGGGAGGCCGAGGTGGGCGGATCACGAGGTCAAGAGATCGAGACCATCCTGGCCAACATAGTGAAACCCCGTCTCTATTAAAAATAGAAAAATTAGCTGGGTGTGGTGGCATGCACCTGTAGTCCCAGATACTTAGGAGGCTGAGGCAGGAGAACTGCTTGAACCTGGGGGGCAGAGGTTGCAGTGAGCCGAGAGAGTGCCACTGTACTCCAGCCTGGGCAGCTAAGCGAGACTCCATCTTAAACAAACAAACAAAAACTAAGACATGGCAAGGCACGGTGGCTCATGCCTATAATCCCAGCACTTTAGGAGGCTGAGGTGGGTGGATCACAAGGTGAGGAGTTCGAGACCAGCCTGACCAACATAGTGAAACCCTGTCTCTACTAAAAAAACACAAAAAATTAGCAAAGTGTGGTGACGGGCACTTGTAATCCCAGGTATTCAGGAGGCTGAGGCAGGAGAATCACTTGAACCCAGGAGGCAGACTTTGCAGTGAACTGAGATCGTGCCACTGCACTCCAGCCTGGGCAACCGTTTGAGACTCTGTCTCAAAAACAAAACAAAACAAAAACTAAGACACAAACACACAGATTAGCCTAGGCCAATGCAGGATCAAGATCATCAACATCACTCTCTTCCATCTCCACATATTTTCTCATTGGAAGGTTTTCAGGGACAATGACAGGCATGGAGCTGTCATCTCATATGATTAAAAAAAAATGCCTTCTGAAATACTTCCTGAAGGACCTACCTGAGGCTGGTATTACAATTAATTTTTTTAATAAGTGGGAGTACACTCTAAAACAACAATAAAAAGAATAGTATAGTGAATAAATAAGTTAGTAATATAGTCATTTATTGTCAAGTATTATGAATTATACATAATTGTATTGCTGTAATTTTTTTTTTTTTTTTTTTTTGAGACAGAGTCTCGCTCCCTCACCCAGGCTGGAGTGCAGTGGCGTGATCTCTGCTCGCTGCAAGCTCCGCCTCCTGGGTTCTGGCCATTCTCCTGCCTCAGCCTCCCGAGTAGCTGAGACTACAGGCGCCCGCCACCACACCCGGCTAATATTTTGTATTTTTAGTAGAGACAGGGTTTCACCGTGTTAGCCAGGATGGTCTTGATCTCCTGACCTCGTGATCCACCCGCCTCGGCCTCCCAAAGTGTTGGGATTACAGGTGTAAGCCACTGCACCCAGCCATTTGTGGTTTTTTTTTTGAGACAGAGTCTTGCTCTGTCGCCCAGGCTGGGGTGCAGTGGTGTGATCTCAGCTCACTGCAACTCCCGCTTCCCGGGTTCAAGTGATTCTCCGGCCTCTGCCTCCCGAGTAGCTGGGATTACAGGCGCCCACCACCATGCCCAGCTAATTTTTTTTTTATTATTATTATTTTTGAGACAGAGTCTTGCTCTGTTGCCCAGGCTAGAGTGCAGCAGCACGATCTCAGCTCACTGCAACCTCCGCCTCCCAGGTTCAAGCAATTCTCCTGCCTTAGCCTCTCAAGTAGCTGGGATTATAGGTGCCTGCCACAGCGCCCGGCTACTTTTTTTTTTTTTTTTTTTTTTTTTTTTTTTTTTTTAGTAGAGACGGGGTTCCACCATCTTGGCCAGTCTGACTTCGTGAGCCACCTGCCTCGGCCTCCCAAAGTGCTGGGATTACAGGTGTGAGCCACCGCAGCTGGCCTGTATTGCTATACTTTTATAGGTGTGGCAGTGCAGCATACACTAGCATCAGCACAAACGTGAATAATTCATTGTGCTATGACATTACAATGACTGTGATATCACTGGGTGCTAGACATTTTTCAACTCCATTATAATCTTATGAGACCACCATCATTTATGTGGTCCGTTGTTGGCCAACATGTCATTTTGCAGCACATGACTGTATGTGTATAACAGGAATACCAGAGGGAGGGGAGAGAAAAAGGCAGAAAAATATATTTGTAAAAATAATAATGGAAAACTTCCAAAATTTATTTTAAAATAATAACTTATATATCCAAAAAGCTCAACAAACTCCAAAAAGGATAAACACAAAGAAATGCCAGAAGACATCATAGTAAAAATGCTGAAATGCAAAGATAAGAATGAAATTCTAGTCCAGGCACTGTGGCTCACGCCTGTAATCCCAGCACTTTGGGAGGCCAAGGCGGGTGGATCATGAGGTCAGGAGATTGAGACCATCCTGGCTAACATGGTGAAACCCCGTCTCTATTAAAAATACAAAAAATTAGCTGGGTGTGGCGGCACGCGCCTGTAGTCCCAGCTACTCCGGAGGCTGAGGCGGGAGAATGGTACGAACCTGGGAGGTGGAGCTTGCAGTGAGCTGAGATCGCGCCACTGCACTCCAGCCTGAGCGACAGAGCGAGACTCCGTCTCAAAAAAAAAAAAAAGAATCAAATTCTAAAAGAAGCAAGAGAAAGACAAATCATCACTTACAGGGAAATCCCAATAAGATTAACAGATGGCTTCTCAGCAGAAACAATGAAGGGCAGAAAGTAGTAGGATTACATATTCAAAATGCTCAAAGGAAAAAACAAAACAGTGTCTATGAGAAGTCCTATATCCAGTAAGGTATTTTTCAAAAATAAGAACATAAAGACTACCAGATAGACAAATGCTGTGAAAAGTTGTTAGCAGATCTGTGTTAACGAAATACTAAAGGAAATTCTTCAGGCTGAAAGCAATCAACACAGATGATTATTCAAATCCACATTAAAAAAAGCACAGGTAAAAGTAGTAATGAAATTATAACAGACAGGTTAAATGTATAATCATTCTCCTTTCTTAACTAATTTAACATGCATTGTATAAAATAATATGTATATAATGTACAGGTGAGCCAATAATACATATAATGTAATATGTGTAATATAATAACTGCACAAAGAGGTGAGTGACAGCAAACCTATATTGGGCTAAGGAAATGGTAATGGTAAAGTAATAATTATAATAATATATTGTTGGGGTTGTATCATTAGTAGATATAATACGTTTAATAATAATACTACAGGCTGGGCACAGTGACTCATGCCTATAATCCCAGCACTTTCAGAGGCTGAGGTGGGTGGATCACCTGAGGTCAGGAGTTTGAGACCAGCCTGGCCAATATGGTGAAACCCCATCTATACTAAAAATACAAAAATTAGCTGGGTGTGGTGGTGGGTGCCTGTAATCTCAGCTACTCGAGAGGCTAAGGCAGGAGAATTGCTTGAACCCAGCAGGCAGAGGTTGTGGAGAATGAAGATCGCACCACTGCACTCCAGTCTGGGTGACAGAGCGAAACTCTGTCTCAAATACTAATAATAATAATAATAATAATAATAATAGTAATAATAATACAAAAGTGAGGAAAAGGGAATAGAGCTGTAAGAAAAATAACCTTTCTATAGATAAAAAATTAAGCAAGTATAAATCTGACACTGATTTTGATCAGAAGGTTGCATGTTCATGTTATGTTGGGGTTAAAAAAAATTTATGGTAGACCCTAGCGCAATCACACAAAAAAAATACTCAAAAAAGAAGTCAAAAATGATTAAATTTAAGTGCTACATTAGAAAATATCCACTCAAGAAAAAGCAGTAACAGAGAAACAAAAAAAGACATGAGACATACAGATAACAAAAAATAAAATAGACAAAAATACAACTATATAAATAAAACATTAAATGTGAATAGATTGGCTGGGCATGGTGGCTCATGCCTGTAATCCCAGCACTTTGGGAGGCCAAGGCAGGTGGATCACCTGAGGTGATCAAGACCAGCCTGGCCAACATGGTGAAACCCTGTCTCTACTAAAACTACAAAAAATTAGCTGGGCATGGTGGCAGGTGTCTGTAATCCCAGCTACTCAGAGGCTGAGGCAGGAGAATCACTTGAACCCAGGAGATGGAGGTTGCAGTGAGCCGAGATTGCACCATTACATTCCAGCCTGGGCAACAAGAGTGAAATTCCATCTCAAATAAATAAATAAATAAAGTGAATAGATTAAACAATCCAATCAAAAGGCAGAGATTGTCAGGCTGGATAGAAACAAAACAAGTGACCCAAGTATATGATGTCTACAGGAGACACAATTTAGATTCAAAGATAAAAATAGATTAGAAGGATGGAAAAAGATGTATCATGCAAAAAGTAACCAGAAGAAATCTGGAGTGGCTATACTAACTGTCAAACAGTATAGTCTTTAAAACAAAAAATGTTACTAGAGATAAAAACATTTTATAATGATAAAATGCTAAATTCCTCAGGAAGACATGACAATTAAAAACATATATGCACTAAGAATAGAGTGCCAACAAGAGACCAAGATGGCCGAATAGGAACTGCTCTGGTCTGCAGCTCCCAGTGAGATTGACATAGAAGATGGGTGATTTCTGCATTTCCAGCTGAGGTACCTGGTTCATCTCATTGGGACTGGCTGGACTGTGGGTGCAGCCCACGGAGGGTGAGCTGAAGCAGGGTGGGGCATTGCCTCACTTGGGAAGTGCAAGGGGTTGGGGGATTTCCCTTTCCTAGCCAAGGGAAGCCATGACAGACTGTACCTGGAAAAACAGTACACTCTCACCGAAATACTGCACTTTTCCCACGGTCTTAGCAACCAGCAGACCAGGAGATTCCCTCCCATGCCTTGCTTGGTGGATCCCACGTCCACAGAGCCTTGCTCACCGCTAACTCAGCAGTCTGAGATCGACCTGCGAGGCTGCAGCCTGGCTGGGGGAGGGGCGTCTGCCGTTGCTGAGGCTTGAGTAGGTAAACAAAGGGGCTGGGAAGCTCAAACTGGGCGGAAAAAACAAAGAACCCCATCAAAAAGTGGGCAGAGGATATGAACGACACTTCTCAAAAGAAGACATTTATGCAGCCAAAAACACATGAAAAAATGCTCATCATCACTGGCCATCAGAGAAATGCAAATCAAAACCACAATGAAATACCATCTCACACCAGTTAGAATGGCGATCATTAAAAAGTCAGGAAACAACAGATGCTGGAGAGGATGTGGAGAAATACAAACACTTTTACACTGCTGGTGGGAGCGTAAATTAGTTTCAATGATTGTGGAAGACAGTGGCGATTCCTCAGGGATCTAGAACTAGAAATATCATTTGACCCAGCGATCCCATTACTGGGTATATACCCAAAGGATTATAAATCACGCTACTATAAAGACCACATATGTTTATTGCGGCACTATTCACAATAGCAAAGACTTGGAACCAACCCAAATGCCCATCAATGATAGACTGGATAAAGAAAATGTGGCACATATACACCATGGAATACTATGCAGCCATACAAAAGGATGAGTTCATGTCCTTAGCAAGGGCATGGATGAAGCTGGAAACCATCATTCTCAGCAAACTATCACAAGGACAGAAAACCAAACACTGCATGTTGTCACTCATAGGTGGGAACTGAACAATGAGAACACATGGACTCAGGACGGGGAACGTCACACACCAGGGCCTGTCGGGGGTTGGGGGCTGGGGGAGGGACAGCATTAGGAGACATACCTAACGTAAATGACGAGTTGATGGGTGCAGCAAACCAACATGGCACATGTATACCTATGTAACAAACCTGCACATTGTGCACATGTACCCGAGAACTTTAAGTATAATAATAAAAAGGTATTATTGAAAAAAAAGTGCCAAAGTACATGGAGCAAAACCTGACAAAAATGAAGAGAAAAAATAGAGAATTCAACAAAAATAGCTATAAACTCCAATAATCCACTCTTTTTTTTTTTTTTTTTTTGGAGACGGAGTCTCACTCTGTCACCCAGGCTGGAGTACAGAGGCGCGATCTCAACTCACTGCAACCTCTCCACCTCCCAGGTTCAAGCAATTCCTGCCTCAGCCTTCCAAGTAGCTGGGATTACTGCACCCGCCACCATGCCCAGCTAGTTTTTGTATTTTTAGTAGAGATAGGGTTTTGCCATGTTGGCCAGGTTGGTCTTGAACTCCTGACCTTAGATGATCCACCTGTCTCAGCCTCCCAAAGTGCTGGGATTGCAGTCGTGAGCCCCTGTGCCCCACCGTAAGACGTTTTTATAAGCCTCATGGTAACCATAGTGCAAAAAAATAATAAATTCCCTAAATAAATGTAGTAGGTCAGGCATGGTGGCTTACGCTTGTCATCCAAGCACTTTGGGAGGCTGAGGCAGGTGGATCACCTGAGGTCAGGAGTTCAAGACCAGCCTGGCCAACATGATGAATCCCCATCTCTACTAAAAATACAAAAATTGGGCCAGGTGTGGTGGCTTACGCCTGTAATCCCAGCACTTTGGGAGGCCAAGGCAGGCAGATCATGAGATTAAGAGATTGAGATCATCCTGGCCAACACAGTGAAATCCTGTCTCTACTAAAAATACAAAAATTAGCTGGGCATGGTGGCGCATGCCTGTAGTCCCAGCTACTTGTGAGGCTGAAGCAGGAGAATCGCTTGAACTCAGGAGGCGGAGGTTGCAGTGAGCCAATATCATGCCACTGCACTCCACCTGGCGACAGAGCAAGACTCTGTCTCAAATAAAAAAAACAAAGACAAAATTAGCTGGTGTGGTGGCACCCACCTGTGACCCCAGTTACTTGGGAGGCTGAGGCAGGAGAATGGCTTGAACCCGGGAGGCAGAGGTTGCAGTGAACCAAGATCGCGCCACTGCGCTCCAGCCTGGGCAACAAAACGAGACATTGTCTCAAAAATAAAAAATGCAGTAAATTAAAACATTCTGTCAGAGATAATAACTCAACCACAAAGGAAGGCAATAAGAACAGAAAAGAGGAGTTTCAAAACAACCAGAAAAGCAAAAACAAAATGGCTGGTAAGTTCTTACCTATCAGTAATAACAATAAGTGTAAATGTTCTATGTTCTTCAATTAAAAGGCATAGAGGCTGGGTGTGGTGGCTCATGCCTGTAATCCCAGCACTTTAGGAGGCTGAAGCTGGTGGATCACTTGAGGTTAGGAGTTTGAGACCAGCCTGCCCAACATGATGAAACCCTGCCTCTACTAAAAATACAAAAATTAGCTGGGTGTGGTGGCAAATGCCTGTGATCCCCACTACTCAGGGGCATGAGAATTGCTTGAACCCAGGAGGAGGATGTTGCAGTGAGCCAAGATTGTGCCAGTGCACTCCAGCCTGGGTGACAGAGTGAGACTGTCTCAAAAAAAAAGGCATAGAGTGGTTGCTATGATTTGGACTTGGGTCCCTGCCCAAATCTCATGTCACATTGTAATCCCCAATGTTGGAGGAGGGGCCAGGTGGGAGGTGCTTAGATCATGCGGCAGATTTCCCCATTGCTTTTCTCATGATAGTGAGTGAGTTCTCATGAAATCTGGTTGTTGTAGCAACATTCTCTTCTCTCTCTTCCTCCCACTCTGCCCATGTAAGACATGCCTGCTTCCCGTTTGTCCTCTGCCATAATTGTAAGTTTCCTGAGGCCTCCCCAGCCATGTTTCCTCTACAGCCTGTGGAACCGTGAGCCAATTAAACTTCTTTTCTTTGTAAATTCCCCAGTATCAGGTATTTCTTTATAGCAGTACAAGAATGGACTAATACAGTGGATGAATGGATAAACAACACCAAACAGTATGCTGCCTTCAAGAAATCCACTTCACCTGTAAAGACACACCTAGCCTGAGAGTGAAGGGGTGGAAAAAGATATTCCATGCAACTGGAAACCAAAAAAGAGCATGTAGCTATACTTATATAAGATAAAATAGACTCCGAATTGAAGACCATAAAGATAGACAAAGAATATCACTATATAATGATAAAGGGGGTCAACTCAGCAAGAGAATATAACAATTATAAATATCTATGTATCCAAAATAGGAGCTCCCAAGTACATAAAACAAACATTAATAGATCTAAATAAGGAGTTAGACTGCAATACAATAATAGTATCAGACTTTAACACCCCACTCTTGGTGATGGAGAGTTCATTCACAGAGAAAATCAACAAAGAAACAGCAGAGGTTAACTACACACTAGATCTAATAGGCCTGATATTTATAGAACATTTCACACAACTGCAACAGAATACATTATTTTCATCAGCATATGACACATTCTCCAGAACAGACCATATCTTAGGCAACCAAACAAGTCTGAACAAATGGCCAGGTGTGGTGACTCACGCCTGTAATCCCAACACTTTGGGAAGCCAAGGTGGGCAGATCATCTGAGGTTAGGAGTTTGAGACCAGGCTGGCCAACATGGCAAAACCCCATCTCTACTAAAAATTCAAAAATTAGCTGGGCATCGTGGTGTGTGCCTGTAATCCCAGTTACTTGGGAGGCTGAGGCAGGAGAATCGCTTGAACCCAGGAGGTGGAGGTTGCAGTGAGCCGAGATCATGCCATTGCACTCCAGCCTGGGCGACAAGAGCAAAACTTTGTCTCAAAAAAAAAAAAAAAAAGTCTGAACAAATTAAACAAAAAACATACTAACTATCTTTTCTGGTAACAATGGAATAAAACTAGAAATCAATAACAAGAAGAACCCCAGAATATACACAAACACATGGAAATTAAACAACATGCTCCCGAACGACCCACGGGTCACTGAAGGAATTGAGAGGGAATTAAAAATTTTATCAAAACAAATGAAAATGAAAATACAACACACCAAAGGCAATGTAATATGGCAAAAGCAGTTCTCTTTTTTTTGAGATGGAGTTTCGCTCTTGTCACCCAGGTTGGAGTGCAGTGGCGTGATCTCGGCTCACTGCAACCTCTGTCTCCCAGGTTCAAGTGGTTCTCCTGCCTCAGCCTCCTGAGTAGCTGGGATTACAAGCGCCTGCCACCACGCCCGGCTAATTTTTGTATTTTTAGTAGAGATGGGGTTTCGCCGTGTTGGCCAGGCTGGTCTCAAACTCCTGACCTCAGGCAATCCACCCGCCTCGGCTTCCCAAAATGCTGGGATTACAGGTGTGAGTCACCGCGCCCGGCCTGCAAAAGCAGTTCTAAGAGAGAAGTTCATAGCAATAAACACCTATATCAAAAAAGGAAAGAGTTGCCCCATATGCTGTTAAGACTTCCTTGCACTAACCAGGTGAGATGGCTCATGTCTGTAATCCCAGCACTTTGGCAAGCTGAGGTGGAAGGATCACTTGAGTTCAAGACCAGCCTGGTCCACATGGTGAAACTCCATTTCTGACCAGGCACAGTGACTCATGCCTGTAATCCCTTACTGTGGGAGGCCAAGGGTGGGGGCAGATCACCTGAAGTCACGAGTTCGAGACCAACCTGGCCAACATGGTGAAACCCCATCTCTACTAAAAATACAAAAATTAGCCAGGCATGGTGGTGTACACCTGCAATCTCAGCTATTTGGGAGGCTGAGGCAGGAGAATCACTTGAACCTGGGAGGTGGAGGTTGCCCTGAGCCACAATCACGCCATTGCACTCCAGCTTGGGTGACAAGAGTGAAACTCTGTTTCAAAAAAAAAATAGTAGAAAGACTGACTAAACAACCTAACAATGTACCTCAAGGAAGTAGAAAAACAAGAACAAACCAAGCCCCAAATTAGCAGGTGGAAATAAATAATAAAGATCAGAGCAGAAATAAATGAAATTGAGACTAAAAAAAAATTAAAAAGAAAGCTGGGAGTGGTGGCTCACACCTGTAATCCTAGCACTTTGGGAGGCTGAGGCGGGTGGATTGCCTGAGGCCAGGAGTTCGAGACCAGCCTGGCCAACATAATGAAACCCCATCTCTACTAAAAATACAAAAAATTAGCTGGGTGTGGTGGCAGGCACTTGTAATCCCAGCTACTAGGGAGGCTGAGGCAGGAGAATCACTTGAACCCAGGAGGCAGAGGTTGCAGTGAGCTGAGATCGTGCCATTGTACTTCAGTCTGGGCAACAAGAGCAAAACTCCATCGCAAAAAAAAAATATATATATACACACACATATATATACACACACATATATACACACACATATATACACACATATACACACACACATATACATACACATATATACACATATATACACACATATATACACACATATATATACACACACATATATATACACACATATATACACACATATATATACACACATATACATATACACACACATATATATATACACACATATATATACACACATATATATATACACACATATATATACACACATGCATTCCAGCATGGGCGACAGAGACTGCCTAAAACCAAAACCAAAACAAAAAAAACCCCAAAAAATTAAAAACTAAAAATAGCTGGTCGCGGTGGCTCACACCTGTAATACCAGCACTTTGGGAGTCCGAGGCGGGCGGATCACGAGGTTAGGAGATCGAGACCATCCTGGCTAACACAGTGAAACCCCATCTCTACTAAAAATACAAAAAATTGGCCAGGCGTGGTGGCGGGCGCCTGTAGTCCCAGCTACTCGGGAGGCTGAGGCAGGAGAATGGCGTGAACCCAGGAGGCGGAGCTTGTAGTGAGCCGAGATTGTGCCACTGCACTCCAGCTTGGGTGACAGAGCGAGACTCCGTCTAAAACAAACAAACAACAACAACAAAAAACTAAAAATAGCACTCTCTTCCTCCGTGTTGCCTACAGAGGTGGCAGCCATCTCCTTGGCATCATGGCTGCCCTCAGACCCCTCATGAAGCCCAAGATCGTCAGAAAGAGGACCAAGAAGTTCATCCAGCAGCACTCAGACTGATATGTCAAAATTAATCATAACTGGCGGAAACCCGGAGGTACTAACAACAGGGTTCATAGAAGGTTCAAGGGCCAGACCTTGATGCCCAACACTGGTTATGAGAGCAGCAAAAAAACAAAGCACATGCTGCCCAGTGGCTTCTGGAAGTTCCTGATCTACAACGTCAGGGAGCTGGAAGTGCTGCTGATGTGCAACAAATCTTACTGTGCTGCTATCACTCACAATGTTTCCTCCAAGAACCGCAAAGCCATCCTGGAAAGAGGAGCCCAGCGGGCCATCAGTCACCAATCCCAATGCGAGGCTGTACAACGCAGAAAGTGAATAGACAGCTTATGTGCACGTTTTGTGTTTAAATAAAACCATAAAAACTGTAAAAAAAAAAAACAACAAAAAACAAACAAAAAAACCCCCTAAAAACAGGATTACCATGTGGTCCAGCCATTCCACTACTGGGTATATACCAAAATGAAAGTAAATCAATATATCAAAGAGATATCTGCACTCTCATGTATATTTCAGCATTATTCACAATAGCCAAAATATGAAATTAACCTAAGTGCCCATCAACAGATGAATGGATAAAGAAAATGTGATGTATTTACACAATTGAACACCATTTGGCCATGAAAAAGAATGAAATCTTGTCAATTTCAGCAACATGGATGGAACTGGAGGCCGTTAAGTGAAATAAGCCACGCACAGAGACAAATATCACATGTTCTCACTCACAGGTGGCAGCTAAAAAAATAGATCTCATGAATAGAGAGTAGATTGATTATCAGAGGCGAAGAAGGGGAGGTGGGGGATGAAGGTGAAAAACAAGAATATAAATGTATTACCACTGAACTGTACACTTAATAATGGTAAAGATGGTAAATTATATATGTATAGTTTGCCTCAATTAAAAATTTTTGTATAAAAAGAAATAACTCCAATTCTTCATTAACCCTTCCAAAAAACAGAAGAGGGAACACTTCTCATCTCACCTTATAAGGCCAGTATTACCCTGATACCCAAACCAAAGTCATCATAAGAAAAGCACAGACCAGTATCTTTTATGAATAAGGATGCAAAAATCCTCAAGAAAACACTAGCAAACTGAATCCGACAACATATCAGAAATACTTTCCCTACTTTCCTTTCTGTCTTACACATATTACTTCCAGATTAGTATTTAAAACTGCCCTTCATCTTTAAGCTTCCCAATTTTCTAATGGCTCTGTCTGTAATAAAGAAGCCATGCAAAAGAATTAAAGTAACTAGCTTTTTATATGGCCAAGATATGGCTGTTACCATTATTCTCCATTTCATCATGGTGGTACCACCAGCCCTGTCTTAAGAGTTAATACAGAATAGCAGTTGCTTCTTAAATTACCCCTACCAGAGAAAGCAAGGCATCTGGTAAAAATCAATACTTAATATTCCCAATTCTCTTCCTTGGAGCATGACATAGCTAATGGCTACTATAAAATTCAAATAAGAATAAAATGGAAGAAACACCTGTGTTTAAAATTACCTGGGAAAATGACATTTTCTTCTCAAAGTGGACCCACAAGAATATAATTGACTACACTTAAATCCTGTTGGGGAAATTATACTTACATATAAAATGAGGGTTACATTAACATCCACACAGAGCATTATGGTAATGTTAATGTTACCAATATCTTGAGATTTTATATCCAACTATTACTTACTTATATTCATGGTGAAGAGAGGAACCTTGTGAATCTTCCAAGTCAAACCATGCTCGCACATTCACTTTTTTTTTTTTTTTTTTGAAACAGGATCTTGCTCTGTCACCCAGGATGGAGTGCAGTGGTGTGATCACGGCTCACTGAAGCCTCAATTTCCCAGGCTCAAGCCATCCTCCTGCCTCAGCCTCCCAAGTAGCTGAGACTACAGGTGTGCACCACTATAATGGGCTATTTTTTTTTTGTAGAGATCAGGTCTCACTACGTTATCCTGAGTGGTCTTGAACTTCTGAACTCAAGTGATCCTCCCACCTTGACCTCCCAAAGTGTTGTGATTATAGAGGTGTGCCATAGCATCCGGCATACCTCTTTTGTTGTTGTTAGTAAACTTTTTAAGAGTAATTTTAGGTTCATAGCCAAACTTAGCAGAAAGTACAGCATTCCCACATAACCTTTATCCCCACACATGCACATCTTTTTACTCCCAATTCAATCTTGTTATATTTGCTTTAATCATTTGCAAATATTCCAATATCTATTACTTGCATTCCCTGAATGTCGCTTTCTTTGCATTACTTAGTTGTTCAGCTTCTTGTTATAATCTTTTTCCTCATTGGGTAAAATACTTTATTTTCAGTCATGGTTACATGGGTTATTTTGTAGTTTCTACTGACCTATTCAAAGTTTCATATCAACCATAATTTAGTTATGGAATTCCTATAGCGGGAATGAAATACTGAGGTATTGCATAAATGCATAAACTGAATTTAATTATATGGAAACATAGGCAAACCTAACGTTTGAGGTATCTTTTAAAAACAATTGGCCTGCCGGGCGCAGTGGCTCACGCCTGTAATCCCAGCAATTTGGGAGGCTGAGGCAGGTGGATCATGAGGTCAGGAGTTCGAGACCAGCCTGACCAATATGATGAAACCCCCATCTGTACTAAAAATACAAAAATTAGCCGGGTGTGGTGGTGCGCACCTGTAATCCCAGCTACTCAGGGGGCTGAGGGAGGAGAATTGCTTGGAGCCGGGAGACGGAGGTTGCAGTGAGCTGAGATCACGCCATTGCACTCCAGCCTGGGAAACAGAGTGAGAGCGAGACTCTGTCTCAAAAATAATAATAAAATAATAATAATAATAATAATAATAATAATAATAATAATAATAATTGGCCTGTACTTTCGTCTAGGGTCATGAACAATAAACATCGAAGTGTCCTAGATTAAAAGAGACTAAAAAAAGATGAAAATCCACAAAGTGATAATGAAGATCTTGGACTAGGGTTCTATTAGTGGGGCAAATCTGAAGGTCTGTAGAATAGTATAAAGTAGTATAACAGATAATATTGCAATTATGTTAATTTATTGATTTCTACAATTGTCCTGAGGTTTTGGAAAAGAACATATGGGGAACATGAGTAAAGGGTATATGAACATACTTTGTAATATTTTTGTAGTATGTTTTGTAAGTCTGAAGTTTTTTCAAAATGAAAATTAAAAAAAATTAAAAAGTATTTTTACTTAGCCACTAACATAATTTGAGCCATCCCTTCGTGTCAAGCAACCTTGATATAAGAAAAAAACTTGACAAGACACCATCTCTAAAAAAAACCAAAAAACTTAAAAAAGAGAAAAAACCTTGAAACGCATAGCCTTTATTTATTAGTCAAACTAGAAACGAATCTTAATTCCACAATGTAGTTCAAGTTTTCCATTAACTAGGACCTGACCTGTTAAGCAGCAGCACTGTATAAGTTAAGAAAATACATTATAGCCAAGCATGGGTGGCTCACGCCTGTAATCCCAGCACTTTGGGAGACTGAGGCGGGTGGACAACTTGGGCCCAGGAGTTTGAAACAAGCCTGGGAAACATGGCGACAGCCTATCTCTACAGAAAACACAAAATCAGCCAGGTGTGGCTGCATGTGCCTCTAATCCCAGCTGCTCAGGAGGCTGAGGCTAGAGGATGGCTTGAGCTGGGAGATGGAGGTTGCACTGAGCCAAGATTGCACCACTGCTCTCCAGCCTGGGTGACAGAGCTACTCACTCTGTCTCAAAAAAAAAAAAAAAAAAAAAAAGAAAGAAAGAAAAAAGAAAAGAAAAAAAAACGTATTTCTAAAAGGGAAATACCTGACAAGTTCTTGTCAAGTAGAGGAAACTAAAGGGAAAAGCTGCACTAACCACATGGGAGCAAAATGGTCAGCAAAAGTCAAAGTGATAAAAAACGAAAGAAAACAACTATGTGGTCTTAAAATTCATGATAACCAAAGAAATGAAGTTTTGGCAACTACAATGTGTTGACAACACATAGTATGCAAACAAAGAATGCAAACTGAGTTAAAAATATCAATAAATTATCAAGTGGAGATATTTAAGCTGTGAGGGGGGAGGCAGAAGTGCAGGGTAGAAACAAAATTCAGGCCGGTCAAGGTGGCTCACGCCTATAATCCCAGCACTTTGGGAGGCGAGGCCAAGGCGGGCGGATCACAAGGTCAGGAGATCAAGACGATCTTGGCTAACATGATGAAACTCTGTCTCTACTAAAAATACAAAAAAATTAGTCGGGCGTGGTGGCGGGCGCCTGTATTCCCAGCTACTCAGGAGGCTGAGGCAGGAGAATGGCGTGAACCCGAGAGGCAAAGCTTACAGTAAGCCAAGATCGCGCCACTGCACTCCAGCCTGGGCAACAGAGCGAGACTCCATCTCAAAAAAAAAAAAGAAAGAAAGAAACTTTAAATATTTGAAGAAAGCCATTAGGTAGAAGTGAAATTACGTTTTTCTTTATGGTCTAAATCCATACGTACAGTTAATGGACAGAAGACACTAGTGAAAGAATACCTTCTAGGCTGGGCGCAGTGGCTCATGCCTGTAATCCCAGGACTTTGGGAGGCTAAGGCAGGTGGATCACCTCAGGTCAGGAGTTCGAGACTAGCCTGACCATATGGTGAAACACTGTCTCTACTAAAAATACAAAAATTAGCTGGGCATGGTGGCATGCACCTGTAGTCCCAGCTACTTGGGAGGCTGAGACATGAGAACTGCCTGAACCCGGGAGGCAGAGGTTGCAGTGAGCCGAGATCGTGCCACTGCACTCCAGCCTGGGCAACAGAGTGAGACTCTGTCTCAAAAAAAAAAAAGAATACTTTCTAATATTTAGTGATTGTCAAAGAAAAGCTTTGGCAAGATTTTCTAAAGAACTGGACAGACAATCCTTTGGCACTGGAGGAGGATTAAGTCTTTTTGAGTCTGAGATTCTGTAATGCTATAGAACTAGGTGCTGAGCTAGGTAGACACTAGTAATTCAGAATTTTAAATCCCCCATTACTTTGGTCAACAAAATGAACAAGAGCAACACTTGACATTTGTCTCAACTTTAAAAACAAAAACCAGTAAGCAACAATTAAATGGAATAGAAAATAAAAACACTATTGAGTTTGACAAATTTATTGGTACTTTAGTAAAGACATTCATCTCAGTCATTTCTCTCTCCCAGCTTGACCTTAGGTTAATATTTCATTTGGGTCAAGAAAATAATACGTAGGAGAGGTATGTTATTTTAACAAACAGGAAAATGGACAAAAAATTGATAGTTTGCCTACATTAAAGTAAGTTAAATTCATGTATCGATATAATTAAATCATGTAAGAACTAAGAGTTCTATATACATTTCCATTGTCTTACTTGGGCTTATTCTAAACTTAAATGCTAGTGAACAAAGTGTTAGGAATATACACAGGCTGCTTCTCTGGAGTTATTACCAACTAAAAGACCTCAGCAAGCAGCTACCACCAATAAAACAGTCTGAAGCTGCCTCCAAATATAATATTGTAGGAGTTTTCAAGGAAATTTTTATACTGTATGCTTTTGTCTGTGACTATGCTTTTAAAGATGTGTTTAACTGTCACATTTAAAAAAAGTTCATATACAATACAAAAATACAAAACAAACACCCTACAATACACAAATCTAACAAAGTATATGTGGTGAGATTCCAAAAAATGTTTGAAGATGCATTTTCTTTCCTTCAATTTCA
Organism: Homo sapiens; assembly: GCF_000001405.40. Classification (NCBI taxonomy): domain Eukaryota; kingdom Metazoa; phylum Chordata; class Mammalia; order Primates; family Hominidae; genus Homo; species Homo sapiens. The sequence continues at coordinate 101,593,832 of NC_000003.12, read as the reverse complement.
GTATCTAAAATGTGCTTTTTCAGAGGCCATTGGTCAATATGTACGCATTTAAAATAAACCATATAATTTTACCAGTAAGAAAGCCGATAGTTAAGTTCAATTCAAATTGGAGTTCATAAGTTAGTAATTTAAATCCTTAGACAAAGTTACAGAAAGTGCATCTTCTTATTTTCCATCTTCATACAATGTTAATTTTTTTTTTGGTGTTTATACCTTTTAAAAAATAAAAACAGCCAAATACTTAAGCAATATGTACATTTAAATTTTTGGTGGTGGTTTGTGTTTTAAAAGAAACAGCTTCCTTACGATTTGCCTCAAGTTCTGGTGGAAATGCTTACAGGAACTAGCTAATAAACAAAAAACAAGAGAAGCACATTCAAAATACTGATTTACTTTGGTAGCAAATGGTTTTTCTTTGAAGACTAATGAAGATAGACAAGACCCATTAAGGTGAAGTGGACTATTTCAAATATTCAACAGTTTACATAAAAAAAAAATCTTTTAAGAGCTAAGCGTCTGTATCCACGGATAGCAATGCAATACCTAGTTTATGATGACTTGAAACAAAACAAATGCCCATAAGGAAAAAAGCTGTATTTTATCTAAATTTACTTTCAGTCAATAGTTCAGTAACATTTTCTTCCCAATACAATACTCCCTCTCTCTATAAGGCTGTTCCTGGGAGCCAGACAAGTTTAGGTAATAAGGGAGTTAAGAGAGTTAACTGCTTGCAGTTTTAAATAGACAGTAACTTTGCTTCCCTCTTAATGTACTAATAGTTGTGTCTAAAAAAATATGCAATTCTTAAAAAGGTACCATTTCTGATTTCTTTATTATCTGTAACCTTTGGAAACTAATCACATGAAACTACAAAATTAGCAAATGTCTTGAAATCTGTATATAAAACATAAATTACCTCTAATTTCAAACTCTCATTTATTAGTGTACCACTCAATCTTTTAAAAAAATGAAAAAGAAAAAAAAAGCGGCTCCAAAGATAGTCTTATACCATTCTTTAAAAAAGGAAACTGTTCCTTTTAACTTTACACCCACCCCACACCCCAATTTCAAAACATCATTTAATTGTCTTGGTCATGGACATTTCCAAGATGAGATTTTATATTTCGCTCCCACAGCTTCTGGTTATCAGAAAACCCATGCTTTCCTTTATTGAAGGAGTTTGGTCCAGCTGATGTTGGTGTATCCCTGTGTTAAAAGAAAGAAAATTTATTTAAAATGTTATATAAAGCCTTTCAGGTTATGATTTTGATTCATTCAATACATGTTTGTTTAGCACCTATTATAAACACAGACTGAACACTGGAAGGCCCTACAGAGCTTTTTAAAAATACATTTCACAGGCCAGGCATGGTGCTGATACCTGTAATCCCAGCACTTTGGGAGGTCGAGGCAGGTGGATCACCTGAGGTCAGCAATTTGAGACCAGCCTGGCCAACACAGTGAAGCCCCGTCTCTACTAAAAATACGAAAATTAGCCAGGCATGGTGGTCCATGCCTGTAGTCCCAGCTACTTGGGAGGCTGAGGCAGGACAACTGCTTGAACCTGGGAGGCAGAGGTTGCAGTGAGCCGAGATCACGCCACTGCACTCCAGCCTGGGCAACAGAGCAAGACTCTGTCACAAAAAACAAACAAAAAAACAAAAAACAAAAAACACACAAAAAAACAAAAAACAAAAAACACTTTACAGACACAGTTCTAGAATTTCAGATCCAGCAGGCCTAAATTGGGGGTGAGGATAAATCTGTAGTTTTAACAAACATTTAAGGTAATTCTGATATACAGCTAAGTGTGGCAACCACTGCAGTTTTAAAAACTGTTGCCTCCCAGCCAGAGCAACACGGTGAGACCCTGTCTCGACAAAAAATTTAAAAATCAGTCAGGTGTGCTGGTGTGCGCCTGTGGCTCCAGCTGCTTAGGAGGCTGAGGTGGGAGGATTGCCTGAGCCCAGGAGGTCAAGGCTGCAGTGAGCTATGATCACACCACTGCACTCCAGCCTGAGTGACAGAGCTAGATCCTGTCTTAAAAAAAAAAAAAAAAAAAAAAACACCAAAATCAAAACAAAAAAACAAAAAAACCTGTTGCCTGTAATCCATTAACAGCATCATGAAGTCAATGTGATAGCTGGCCACCAGCATTTGTAAAAAATGAAATAGAAGAAAAACATGAAGATACATTACACATAGAAAGGTTCAGTGTCATTTTATGAACTTCTGCTTCAATTATTTATGTTTAACTATATTAATATATGTGCTGGGTGTTTAGGCGGGACAACAACGTCATATGTACTTCCTACTTTACGCTCAGTATGAAAGGAAGGCATGCAGGCAGCCACTGGGACTGACTCTACTTGAATCACATAATGGAAGTTTGGAGACTTACGCTTGTGTATAGATTTAGCACTTAGCATTATCATACTGGTAGTTAAATAAGAAAAGGAAAAAGATTTACCACTCAGTTCTTTGTGGGTTCATACATTTGGAAGAAATGGGGACATAGTATGGGGTTGAGGTGGTATTAAGCTTTCTTACTGATCTCTAAGCTATCCATTAATGCACACAAAGACAGGAAACTGCACATCGTGTTAACTTAAAAATAAATGTTATCTCCATGACAACAGCAACAATGGAGAAAATTAAAATACTTTCATTTATCTTATTTTGGTATTTGGCATCTAAGTCATTAAAGAAAAAAAGAAATATAAGATAAAGTGGTAGAAATTATATCGTAAGTGAAGTGGCTGGGCATGGTGGCTCACACCTATACTCCCAGCACTTTGGGAGGCTGAGGCAGGACTGCTGGAGGCCAGGAGTTTGAGACCAGCCTGGGCAACACAGCAAGATCCTGTCTGTCTCTACTTACAAATTTTTTTAAAAAATGAAGTGACTGAAAGCCATTTGTTTCATACCAGCAAAAATTTTGAAATCAGAAACATTTCTCATAGCTATTTCTTATTTGAAAAAACAGCTGGGCATGGTGGCTTACACCTGTAATCCCAGCACTTTGGGAGGCTGAGGTGGGGAGATCACTTGCACTCAGGAGTTACAGACCAGCCTGGGCAACATAGCGAGACCTTGCCTCTACTAAAAATAAAAAAAAAAATCAGCCGGGTGTCATGGCATATGCCTGTGGTCCCAGCTTCTTGAGAGGCTGAGGTGGGAGGGCAGCTTGAGTGTGGGAGATCGAGGCTGCAGTGAGCTGTGATTGTGCCACAGCATTCCAGCCTGGGCAACAGAATAAGACCCTGTCAAGAAGTAGTCTTAAATTATTGTTATGTCTTAAGATACTCATTTTCTTTAACTGGAGACTAAATAAGATCACTGATAGTTCACAGAATAATTAGTTATCTTTCTTCATGAGGATTGAACCATGTCTTATTCATCTTCAAAATCCTAATTAATCATCTAGTACACAGAACATGCTTTTAAAAACTGTTCTGCCCAAATGCACAAGAAAAGCCTGAACTGTAAGAAATCATGTGCAAGTTATTTTTGTTAATTCACCTTTGTATCTTTCTATAATATTTATGAAAAATTATAATACCTTCCAATATTCTTCATCCTCATCTTTGCTTCTGGAGGCATTTCCTCTGGTTCACTCTAAAGAAAAAAGTAAGTAAACCAAGATAACTGCATACAAACTTATTCAATTCCTGATTACTAATACGCTAAATTTTATATCTAAGTCTTTTAGCATTTTCACTACTGTAAATTTTGGTAAAAGGAGAAAATTAGTGAGTTATTTACCTTAACTACATTTAAAAAATAAATGCCTGTCTTCTACGGTGCTGATTTTGCATAAAGAAAAAAAACTGCTGAAAAAACAAACATTCTAGAACTAAAACCATTTAGCTACTAAATGCTGCCCATTGTGTTGTTTGTGTATGTCCTATCTCTTAAAAATCCTAACATAATCGCATGAGGGAGGTATGATTATCATCATTCATATTTTGCAGGTGAGGTAACAAAGTTAACTTGCTCAAGGAAACAAAGCAAATGAATAGCAAAAGAGTTTGACACCAAAGCAAAGGTTCTTAACCACTTTAAGGTACTGCTCCTCAAAAATATCTACTACAATAAAGACATCTTGAAAGCTCATTCCTGGCTGGGTGCAGTGGCTCACACCTGTAATCCCAGCACTTTGGAAGGCTGAGGTGAGTGGATCACCTGAGGTCAGGAGTTCAAGACCAGCCTGGCCAACATGGTGAAACCCCGTCTCTACCAAAAGTATAAAAAATTGGCCAGGTGTGGTGGCGCGTGCCTGTAATCCCAGCTACTCAGGAGGCTGAGGCAGGAGAATTGCTTGAATTCGGGAGGCAAAGGTTGCAGTGAGCCGAGATCGTGCCACTGCACTCCAGCCTGGGTGACATGAGTGAAACTCTGTCTCAAAGAAAAAAAAAAAAAGAGAGCTCATTCCTTACTTTTTCTATACTTATAGGTGTTGAAAATTGTGGGGAAAGTTCCTTTCAAATATAAGTTTTTATGTATAAATGCTGCTGCTTAGCTAAATACTACTTTTTAAAAGGGTGTTGATCCAGCTTAAAGGGACTTCTACTGGTTAAATCTGTGACAATTTGAGCATTATAACCTATTGAATAAAGTAAGATTCCATGAGTATACACTTGAATAAATAAAATTTAAATGTGATAATAAGAAGCTCTTCCAAGCTCTTCCTTACAGTAAGAGACAGTTAATAGATGCAGAAAGGATGATGGAATCAGAAAAATCATCATTTGGCAAACCTTATAATAATAATTCTGGCAAGAATTATCAACAGATGTTAATGCTAGTGAGAAAACGTCCTCAATCATATTATTTTCACATATTCTCAAAGCCTATCCCCACAAAATAAATTTTAATTACAAAAGGTAGAATAGTAATTTGACAGTGAAGAAATCTGGCAGGCACCACTTTAACCAAATGATCAAAGTTAACACTCTTTTAGTGATGGGGCATATTGATAGCATGTGCTCCCTGATATGACACACTGATAACTTGGCATCACTTTTGTGGTATTTGTGCCAAAAGTAAGAAACGTGAAACTAATCATGAGGAAACATCAGACAAATCCAAATTGAGGGAGCTTATACAAAATAACTGGCCTGTACTCTTCAAAAATGTTAATACCATGAAATATACACAAAGACTAAGGAATTTGTCCAAATTAAAGGAGACTACACATATGTAACAGCTGGAAAAATATTTTAAAATTTCAAAATTAACTAATTAAGTGGCTATCTTCTCTGTTCAGTATATTTCAAACTCAAATATATATCCAAGGTTACTTAATTATGATTTAAAAAAGAAAAAAAAAGATGATTTCGGATACATGTGTTTTTTAAATCTATGAGACAGTTTATCCTTTATTACTGTTATATTATAGGAGAAAGAATGTTGTCTAAATGCATCCGAAATTTACTTAAAAGCAGGGAAAACAGCAGGGTATGACACAAAGAACAAGAAACAGGAAGACCTAAAAGACAACATGTGTGTGCACTGGCATGTGCTCATGCATACTTGATTTCTCCATTTTCATTTTTTTTGGAGATGGAGTCTTGCTCTGTTGCCCAGGCTGGAGTGCAGTGGCGCGATCTCGGCTCACTGCAACCTCCACCCCCCGGGTTCAACCAATTCTCCTGCCTCAGCCTCCCGAGTAGCCGGGATTACAGGCTTATGCCACCACGCCCAGCTAATTTTTTGTATTTTTAGTAGAGACAGGGTTTCACCATGTTAGCCAGATGGTCTTGACCTCCTGACCTCGTGATCCACCCGCCTCGGCCTCCCAAAGTACTGGGATTACAGGCATGAGCCACCATGCCCAGTCAATTTCTCCATTTTCAAAATATGAATAAACATATCACACAACTCACAAATTAAGGGTAAAATAATGTGAAAAGATATCCAAATCGTTAGGCATTCAAAGTAAGCCATTGTTGTAATGTAGGTGCTTACAATTTCCAACCTCTGCACTTTTGCACGTATTCCCTGCATCCTGTATCGTTCTTCCCTCCTACAGTCTGTACATATCTGAATAGGCTGAATCAAATGGTACCTGATTTCTTAAGAATGTTAGAGATGCCAAGAAACTTCAAATATTATTTAAGTTAGTGCTTCTCAAACTTAATTCAGGTCTTCCAACTGCCAGTCCAGTGGTCTTTTACATGCTGCTGCATCTAGTATCTGGCCTTTACTCCTTCTCTCAATTTCCACAGTATCATTTATTCAGATACTTTCGATTTTTATCTTGTACTGTTTTACATTTAAGTCTGCCCTGCTAGGCTGAGTTCCTAGGTGAACGTTTCTGATTTATCTTTATAACATCGCAGTGGCTAACATATAGAAAGCACTCAAATGGATAGAATGAGTGAAAGTCCAAGAGAGAATACACTGATGACTACAGTAATTTTCTGCTTACTGATTTGGGCTCCAATCATTAAATATTTACCCTTGCTCAAAATTCCTCTACAAAACTCTCCAGTTCAGTCAAATGCAGCTACTCAGTATTTACTGCTTGTGACCTGAAAATTGATAGCTAGGCTTACAAAAGTATTTTTTTTTTTTTTTGAGACAGAGTTTTGCTCTTGTTGCCCAGGCTGGAGTGCAATGGCACGATCTTGGCTCACTGTAACCTCTGCCTCCCAGGTTCAAGCAATTCTCCTCCCTCAGCCTCCTGAGTAGCTGGGATTACACGCATGCACCACTACGCCCGGCTAATATTGTATTTTTAGTAGAGACGGGGTTTCTCCATGTTGAGGCTGGTCTCGAACTCCTGACTTCAGGTGATCCGCCCGCCTCGGCCTCCCAAAGTGTTGGGATTACAGCCATGAGCCACTGCGCGCGGCCACAGAATTATTTCTTGATTCACTAAAACCCTGCCTAATGTTTTAGTATCTACTTCATATATATTCTTCCCAAATCACTCCAGTCCTCTGAACATATTAAGTCTTATCCACTTAAGAACATATGGCTGTGTGGTGGCTCACACCTGTAATCCCAGCATTATGGGAGGCCAAGGCAGAGGATCACTTGAGCCCAGGAGTTTGAGACCAGCCTGGGCAACATGGTGGGGCATGCCTGTGGTCCAGCTACTTGGAGGGCTGAGGTGGGAGGATCACTTGAGCCTGGGAAGTCAAGGCTACAGTGAGCTGTGATTATGCTACTGCACTCCGGCCTAGGCAACAAAGCAAGACACACTCTCTCTCTCTCTCTCTCTGAAACAAGAAACTCTCTCTCTCTCTCTCTCACACACACACACACACACACACACACGAATATACGCCCACATATGCTTTTGGGAACAACTACTGATGTATCCTGAAACACTTATTTGCTACACAATGACGTCACATCATGAGTGGGGGTTAGGTTTTAATGTCAGAGTCTAGTACAAAAACATCAGTCAGAATCATGCTTGAAACTTCCATAGGTCATTCATAACATGGGAAGATAACGACATTGTGAGGGGCATGAGGAAATTGGGACAAAGACACTATCAGATAAGCATCTCATGCTCATTCTGGACCACATGCTTTTTGAGTAGAACTTCTGGCAGAATCACCAGCACTATTGAATTGTTATCCCTCCTAGGGATATGGGAAGTGAGCACAATAGTTGACATTTTTTTTTTTTTTTTTTTTTTTTTTTGAGACAGAGACTAGCTCTGTTGCCCAGGCTGAAGTGCAGTGGCATGATCTTGGCTCACTGCAACCTCCATCTCCTGGGTTCAAGCAATTCTCCTGCCTCACCCTCCCAAGTAGCTGGGATTATAGGCCTGTGCCACCACGCCTGTCTAATTTTTGTATTTTTAGTAGAGATGGGGTTTCACCATATTGGCCAGGCTGGTCTTGAACCGCTGACCTCAAGTGATCCACCTGCCTCAGCCTCCCAAAGAGCTAGGCTTACAGGCATGAGACACCGCGCCTAGCCAATAGTTGGCTTTTTAAAATTGAATGCATGCATAATGTATCATTACTGAAGACCCCAACTATAAAAATTATTAAGGCAACAGTATTAGATTTTTCTTTTTTTGGATCCTACATACTTCCTAGCACAAACTACTCATAATAAACATTTGCTGATTTCATCCTTAAGCTTCTTGTCCCCAAAGTCAACAATACTCTAAAATAATCTTACAACCAAATAAAATGCAAAAATAGAGTATCCAGTTTTTATGGATGTCACACACAGACACAAAAACTATTATAAAGAAAATTCACTAATACTATTATAACCTATAATTTGCCACTAATACCTTCCTTAAATAACTGGTTAAAGTAAAAAAACAAAACTCGATATCAACTTACATCTTCATCTTCATTAAAAGCTGCTGCTACTGAAAGAGTTTTTGGAGCAAGAGTTGGAACAGTTTCTTTAGGCTTCTGAAGAAGAAACATATTAAAAAGAATATCATGTAGATAACATTTATACAAGCTTGTTTAATGATATGAATAATTTATCTTGAATGATTTAACTATATTTCCACAGAAATTTGTATAGTAACGAACCCAATACTTTGGACAAATCCATTCTCTCTTTTCAAAAATGTGGATTATCAGTGGGTATGTTTTACTTTACTAACTTGTGGCATCCATTTGTTGCCCTCCTATAAAAGATTTTCTAGTTAGGATCTACAATATCACTTACCTAAGGGGTACTTGGTACAGGCAAGAGAAAATGATTAGTAATACCTTCCCACAGTAACATTAAATACAATGTGCCTTGAAAGCATAAAAGGGGCTTTCTGCCTCTAGGCCTATAAACATAATTAATCCAAACCATCTCTTCTCACTATGTTTTTTGTTTTTCTTTTTGAGAACAGAGTCTTGCTCTGTCGCCCAGGCTGGAGTGCAGCGGCATAATCTTGGCTCATTGCAGCCTATGCCTCCTGGGTTCAAATGATTCTCATGACTTGGCGTCCTGAATAGCTGGGATTACAGGTGTGTGCCACCATGCCCAGAGAATTTATTTTGTATATTTAGTAGAGACGAGGTTTCGCCATGTTGGCCAGGCTGGTCTTGAACTCCTGACCTCGTGATCTACCCGCCTCAGCCTCCCAAGGTGCTCTCTACTAAAAACACAAAAAATCAGCCAGGTGTGGTGGTGAGTGCCTGTAATCCTAGTTACTTGGGAGGCTGAGGCAGGAGAATCGCTTGAACCCAGGAGGCAGAGGTTGCAGTGAGGTGAGATCACGCCACTGCATTCCAGCCTGGGTAACAGAGTGAGACTGTCTCAAAAAATAAAAATAAAAAAAATAAAAAATAAAAACACCCTTTCCTTGGCTTCTGTAACAATGCTTTTTACTGGTTATTCTCCCAATTCTCCCACCTTTTGTTCTGTCCCTTTCCTGCTACTCCCCATTTAGAAGATATAGATACCCAGGCAGGCACAGTGCCTCACATGTGCAATCTCAACACTTTGGGAAGCTGAGTCAGGAGGGCTGCTTGAGACCAGGAGTTCCAGGCCAGCCTGGTCAACACAGCAAGTCCCCCATCTCTAAAAAAATTTTTTTTTAAATTAGCAGACAACCAGAATTTTGTTGTCAATGACTTTTCCTTCTCTGGTCGATTTCATTCATTCCTAGTTTTAACTACCTAATCCTATGTCTACCCCTAAATGGGCTATCATCTGCCTACTGGGCAGCTCCACTTAGGAGCTCCCCTAGGTACTTTAGTTTCACAGTGTTCATAAGTACTCAAACCAGAAAATCTTTTCTTCAACTTGTAAGGTCCTGTTGATTAGACACCTATTAAGTAAACTTAATTCTCCCTCTGCCTTTTCAATCATGCTATCACATTACCAACTTAAGGTCCTTAGCATTACCTGCCTGGACTACTGTCAGAAATACATCACCTAGCCGGGCACAGGGGCTCATGCTTGTAATCCCAGCACTTTGGGAGGCTAAGGCAAGTGGATCACTTGAGGTCAGGAGTTCCGAGACCAGCCTGGCCAACATGGTGAAACCCTCTCTCTACTAAAAAAAAAAAAAAAAAAAAAAAAATTAGCTGGATATGGTGGTGATGCACACCTGTAATCTCAGCTACTCAGGAGGCTGAGGCAGGAGAATTGGTTGAACCCAGAAGGCAGAGGTTGCAGTGAGCCAAGATCACACCTTTGTACTCCAGCCTGGGTGACAGAGTGAGTCTCTGTCTCAAAATCCAAAAAACAAAACAAAAAAATCTCCTGACCTTTCTTTCTTTTTTGAGACAAGGTCTTACTCTGTCACCCAGGATGGAGTGCAGTGGTGCAATCTTGTCTCACTGCAGCCTCGACCTCCCTGGCTCAAGTGATCCTCCCACCTCAGCCTCTCAAGTAGGTGGGACTATAGGCACACCCTGCCATGCCCGGCTCATTTGTTATTTTTGAGACAAGAGTCTTGCTCTGTCACCAAGGCTGGAGTGCAATGTCACGATCTCAGCTCACTACAACCTCCACCTCCTGGGTTCAAGTGATTCTCCTGCCTCAGCCTCCCAAGTAACTGGGATTGCAGGTGTGTGCCACCATGGCTAATTTTTTGTATTTTTCAGTAGAGATGGAGTTTTGCTATGTTGGCCAGGCTGGTCTCGAACTCCTGGCTTCAAGAGATCCACTGACTTGGCCTCCCAAAGTGCTGGGCTTAGAGGCCTGAGCCACCGCGCCCAGCCTTGTTTACTTTTTGTAGAGAAGAGGCCTCACTATGTTGCCCAGGCTGGTCTCAAACTACTGAGCTCAAGCAATCCTGCCTCAGCCTCCCAAAGTGCTGGAATTATAGGCATGAGCCACTGCACCTGGCCTCACCACTTTCTGCATCCTCTTCCCACCAACCATCTATATGGTACCATAGTGATGCTTCTAAGATGCAAATCTGTTTAAGTCTTGAGACTCATTATGGAATACAAGCCCTTAAATTCGGTCTCATGGTCTTAATTTTGGGGGCTGTTTATCCCTACATTTCCCCACCAAACCCTGTCCAAATATTAATGATTTTCTCAATGTACTATATGGCTTCACATCTTAACTGCCTTTGCATGAAATGCCCTTTTGCTCCTGCCTACATTTAAGTCCAACTCAAAGATCACTTCATCAGTAAACTCTTCTCTGATCTACTGAAACAAAATTAACCATTCCTTCTTTTATACCACACACATTTTTTACAGTGTTTTCTTTTGAAGGAATAAAACATGTTCAGTTAGAGATTATGCATAGTAACTCTAGAAACACCCTTAATTTTTTAAAGATGTCATGTATTTAATGTTGTGGACACAAATAAGCATTTGTTGGCTGATTAACTATCTTCACATAATCAATCCAGCAATTTCAATTTTTTTTTAATATCCTACACCTCACCCTCCCAATAAGACTGTGTTTACACTGTAGTTTATCTATTTTTGAGACGGAGTCTCACTCTGTTGCGAGGCTGGAGTGCAGTGGCACAATCTTGGCTCACTGCACCTCTGCCTCCCGGTTCAAGCAATTCTCCTGCCTCAGCCTCCCCAGTAGCTGGGACTACAGGCGCCCGCCACCACACCCAGCTAATTTTTGTATTTTTAGTAGAGATGGAGTTTCACCATGTTGGCCAGGATGGTCTCGATCTCTTGACCTTGTGATCCACCCACCTTGGCCTCCCAAAGTGCTGGGATTACAGGTGTGAGCCACCACGCCCAGTCTTGCAGTTTATTTTATAAAAACAGATTTGTTTTCCAAAACTAAAAAGTTTTACTGAGTAGTTTTTTCAAAATATAACCCTCCCACCCCAAATTATCAGAAATTACGAATCATGTCAATTATTTAGAAAGAGTAGGCCGGGCGTGGTGGCTCACACCTGTAATCCCAGCACTTTGGCAGGCTGAGGCAGGCAGATCACCTGAGGTCGGGAGTTCGAGACCAGCCTGACCAACATGGAGAAGCCCTGTCTCTACTAAAAATACAAAATTAGCCAGGCGTGGTGGTGCATGCCTGTAACCCCAGCTACTCGGGAGGCTGAGGCAGGAGAATCACTTGAACCCCAGAGTCAGAGGTTGCAGTGAGCCAAGATCGCACCATTGCACTGCAGCCTGGGCAACAGGAGTTAAACTCCGTCTCAAAAAAATAAAAAAAAGAAAGAGGGGCCGAGCTCGGTGGCTCATGCCCATAATTCCAGCACTCTGGGAGGCTGAGGTGGACAGATCACCTGAGGTCAGGAGTTTGAGACCAGCCTGGCCAACATGGTGAAATCCTGGCTCTACTAAAACTACAAAAATTAGCCAGACGTGGTGGCGTGCACCTGTGGTCCCAGCTACTCAGAAGGCTGAGGCAGGAGAATCGCCTGAACCCAGGAGGCAGAGGTTGCAGTGAGCCGAGATTGTGCCATTGCACTCCAGCTTGGATGACAGAGTGAGAGACTCCATCTCCAAAAAATAAATAAATAAATAAATATAAATAAATAAATTAAAAAAAAGAGTAGGGATTTAGATTTAGGAACTATGTTCATGCACAGTAAAATCTATTCTCAAGGGGACCATCTATAGTAGAAGTACACCTGAGAATATATATTTAACATACTGCCTATCAAAAAACATTAAATATTTATGCAGTTAGGTCTATACAAGTTTTATAACTACATATTAAACAAAAACTACCAGCTGAAATACAGAAATAGAGTAATGAAGTACTGATGTTATAAGCTCAATGTTTTTTGTTCAGACTGAATTTTTTAAAAAATAGAAATAGAAAAAGGGCAAACAGAGCAGAGTGAGGGTGGGGATTCTAAGTAATAACAGCTTTTTAAAATGAGAATAGCCCAAATATACTGACTGCTCCAGACCATATTTTTAAGATCTTTGAATAAACATCTAATGTAGAATAAAGCTATGCACATCTGGCAATTGAGCATTAACTTTCATAGCACAAATAAAAATAACCAACTCAAAGGCAATTTTAGGATTTTTCTCCTCACACAAGAATGTAACCATTTTCCAAAGCCAATAGCAATACACTATTTAAGTAACTTCCTTTTTCCTTAAATAAGAAATCTATTTGGTTGAAGGTTATGAAATTTTCATATTATAGGTCAGAAACAAGTATCTACAACTTCATATGCTTCAAATTAATATTTCAAACACTTCCAGAGGTTCCATGGTTAATAAGTATTAATCTAAGGCTGACATCTTAAAACAAAGGATCAAATATTGACCTGTAAAAGACTACCAACATAAGATATACAGTATTCAATTCCCATTTGTCGTTCCAAAGTAAGATAATTAGGTAGATCTTATCAAGCAATACCTTACTAATATTCATCTTTTAAGATACAAATAACTGATTGCTCAATATTATTTTTAATACTACAGGCACTGAAAGATAAAAAAAAAACTTTGGAAAATCTTTCTGACAATATTTTTCAGAGGACTTGCTCAACTTAGAAAAAAGATTTTTTTTTTAATTATATTTTTATTTTTTGTAGAGATAGATCTTGCTATGTTGCCCAGACTGGTCTGAAATTCCTGGGCTCAACTGGTCCTCCCACTTTGGCCTCCCCAAGTCTTCAGATTACAGGTGTGAGCCACTGTGCCCAGCCAACGCAGAAAAATTCTAAGTTTATTATTTTATAAATCATATTCCCTATAATAGTTGTTCCTAATATTCCAAATCTTTGTTTCTTAACAGCTTTATTGAGATAAAATTCATTCAGACCCTTCTTAAACAGGGTGCTAATCATCTAAGTTCATACGTCAAAGATTACTTCTCAAACAATGTACCTTTTCACCCTTAATTTACCATAACCTAGTAAACGCCACGTTTCCAAAGCAAATCCTTAAGACCCATTACAAACATCATATATGAAATAACAACTCACACTTGATCCAAGTTTGATGGATATGGCTGATGCTTTCTTTGTCGTCTGACTACCTATGGCAAATCCAAACTTGGAGATCTTTGTAGGCTTTGTTGGGAGGTCGGCAGCTTCTTCTTCAGCTGATCGCTTCTCAGCGCTGCGACTGGAACTTTCCCCTCCATTACTGGAAGAAACAGTCTTAGTTTTCACAGGTTTTTCTGCTTCTTCTTCAGGTCCTGGTGAAGTCGAAACAACTTACCAAGATGAGCTATTTTTACTGAGCAGATTGATGGGAGCAGCAACCTCAAAAAGCATCGTTATAAGGAAGATACCTCTGCAGTTGTCACCTACTGACCCAACAGTCTCTTCCACTGTTTGTTAGAGTATACAGCAGGAACTGAGATTGTGTGGCAGTAGAAGAGGCTCCCATGAATTAACTAGCATAAAATACAGAGCAATTTAAAATTATAAACACAGAGTTCACAAAAAGTCAAGACCCTTCAACTAAACACTACAATTTGTACAATAATCTGGTTATTTGTGGGATTTTGCTTTTTAGAAATCAGATCTATCTAACATCTTTTACACTTAGTAGTTTGTGAGCAATTGGTCACACGGTAAAATAATACACTTGGCTAATAAATTTTAATATTCTTCAGTAATGTAATAATCATACAAAGTACCTAGTTATAAACAGGCCCATTATTACCCAAATGACAGTGTTAATACAGCCCAGTTATTTCCTTGAGTGATGTGTTCCTCACGTACATCTCACACAATCTTAGGAGTTGAAAAGGAACTTCAAGGTCATTCCCTCTTGAGAAATTTAATTCTACTCTGACAATTTGGTTATTACCTGTTTTAAGCTACCCATAAGAGCTATTTAAAAAAAAAAATCATACTTTGGTTTATATGTTAGTTTTTTTCATGAAAGATGAGCTAATCATAATTTCAAACAGTAGAAGGCATACATATGTAGGTTTGGAAGGCAAAATGTCTTGCTAATTTTGCTTCTGTTTGTATGAAGTCAATGATGAAATTAGTTCACATTCTGACTTTCTTGGGTCTGTTATATGAGACTAAGAACATATCAGGCGGTAAGACAGAAGAAGGCTGGCTGATGATTAAAACTTTTATTTTCTTTCCCCAGTTTGCCCGTTCACCATATGGAATGTATTATGCTACACTGGATCAAGAGTTTATTTATGGAGAAAAAGAAGATGCTCCAAGAGATGGCCTTGATTAACAGTTAAGAAAGCAGGACACAGAGCTAGAATGGGGAGAAAAAAAGTCGAACACAGACTGACAAGTAAAGGATTAAAAGATCAGAGGCTATAGATATAGATCTATACAGTTTTGGAATAATGGGGTCTCTAGATTAATAAGCACTTTGAACAAAACATTTGATTCTGTTTAGATGAAAAATAAAAGAAACTCTTTATTCCCTTTGGACAAGGAGTAAAAGTTGTAATGACAGTATAGGGCAGGGAAATTAAGCAGGATTATGTTTTGGGATTTCCCTAAGAGACAAAGATAGCACTGAAATGGCTGCTTGAGGTGCCATTCTCTTACTTATATATAAAATCACAAAAGCACCTGAAGAATTAAAGAATCAAGATTGCTATTCAATCACTGAAAAACGGAACTCAATTTATGAAGCACAGAATATCTCTGAAAGAGTATGATGCAAACAGTTTTTTCAGAGTCTGTTTATAACTAAAAGCACTTACGCTAATTTTATTCTGTATTCTATTTGTAGCTCTAATCAAGTATGACATTTCATAGTGGAGCCCAAACAATAACTACTTTCCTGTGACTGACACACAGTTAAAATAAAAACCTCTTTGGCTCTACACAATGGAACAGAGAAACAAACAGAAAACCTGCTGGCTTTATATGTAGAAACAATCTATACACTAAAGAATGACTAAATACATGATCAGTTTTTTTAAAAATGAGAAAATAACTTATCAATTTAGAACATAAAACATGGATAAAATAGCAAATTACTAGATTCTTTACTAAGGAATATTTTAATAAAAGGAATTTTATCTAATTTGTACTCTGAGCAAATAAAATATGTAATTAACATGAAATCAAAATACACATGGTACTAGCATTTTTTTGTTTTTTCATTGAGTAGTTGGAGAGGGGTGAGCCTTAGAGCACAAAGGTACCTTACTTTGAAAAAATTACCTAGTAAGCTGGGCACAGTGGCTCACACGTGTAATCCCAGCACTTTGGGAGGCCAAGGCGGGTGGATCACCTGAGGTCAGGAGTTTGAGACCAGCCTGGGCAACATGGCAAAACCCCGTCTCTACTAAAAGTACAAATTAAGATGGGCGTGGTGACAAGGGCCTGTAATCCCAGCTACTCAGGAGGCTGAGGCAGGAGAATCGCTTGAACCCAGGACGCAGAGGTTGCAGTGAGCTGAGATCATGCCACTACATTCCAGCTTGGGCGACAGAGCGTGACTTCATCTCAAAAAAAGGAAGAAAAAACTACCTAATAAGAAAGTTTAAGTCTGTAAGGGTACCCTTCATAACCCATTTGCATTCTGGTTGCTTCCTTTTTTGAAAGAAGGGCAGAGCTACCTCTCTAGTATGCAGAGGTGTGCAGCCTAAATGAGAAGGTATTCAAGACCCTACTAGTGTCTGACATAATAAATGTCAACTTCATTGACGCAGTTCTTGGTATAACCAAAAAAGCTTGAGATGGCCATGATTATGTATGACTAGCTCTTCTTTAACATTTTTCTTAACATTATTTCTCCTAACATTATTTCAAACAGCTACAAAGATTTAACCAAAGGGAGGAGAAAAAAAAACTACCAATTTTACCCTATTATTTAAAGCAGGTAGTTCAAATAAGTAGCTTCTCTCATAGACAGAAATTAATGTTGGCCGGGCGCGGTGGCTGACGCCTGTAATCCCAGCACTTCGGGAGGCCGAGGCGGGCGGATCACGAGGTCAAGAGATTGAGACCATTCTAGCCAACATGGTGAAATCTCGTCTCTACTAAAAATACAAAAATTGCTCCTCCACAGGAGGCCTACACGCCGCCGCTTGTGCTGCCGCCATGTCGCTAGTGATCCCTGAAAAGTTCCAGCATATTTTGCGAGTACTCAACACCAACATCGATGGGCAGCGGAAAATAGCCTTTGCCATCACTGCCATTAAGGGTGTGGGCCGAAGATATGCTCATGTGGTGTTGAGGAAAGCAGACACTGACCTCACCAAGAGGGCGGGAGAACTCACTGATGATGAGGTGGAACGTGTGATCACCGTTATGCAGAATCCACGCCAGTACAAGATCCCAGACTGGTTCTTGAACAGACAGAAGGATGTAAAGGATGGAAAATATAGCCAGGTCCTAGCCAATGGTCTGGACAACAAGCTCCGTGAAGACCTGGAGCGACTGAAGAAGATTCGGGCCCATAGAGGGCTGCGTCACTTCTGGGGCCTTCGTGTCCGAGGCCAGCACACCAAGACCACTGGCCGCCGTGGCCGCACCGTGGGTGTGTCCAAGAAGAAATAAGTCTGTAGGCCTTGTCTGTTAATAAATAGTTTATATACCTATGAAAAAAATAAAAAATAAAAAAAATAAAAAATAAAAATACAAAAATTAGCTGGGCGTGGTGGCCCGCGCCTGTAGTCCCAGCTACTTGGGAGGCTGAGGCAGGAAAATCACTTGAATCGGGGAGACGGAGTTTGCAGTGCGCCCAGGTCACGCCACTGCATTCCAGCCTGGCGACAGAGCTCCATCTCAAAAAAAAAAAAAAGGAAACCATTCATAAAAAAAAAAAACTTATACTTCCAACTTAGTAGACTGCTCGACAGGAATTAAAATTCAGAATATTCTCTAGTTAAGCCCCTAAGACAAACTTGACAGTGTTTTCAAAAAAGTGACTATCTGCCACAAAATTACCAATTTTGCAATATCCATGGTATGACATATTTTAACTATGATTCCTATGCACAATTTCATTAAAAATATCTGACATTCAAAAATGGCTTAAACTTAACAGCACTACTTTCTTGTAACGGCAAGGAGACAAATTATGTAGAAGTTAAGGGATATTTACTTACTCTAAGTTACCAAGAAAAAGACCATAATAATTTTTCTGATACCAATTAGCAAAGTAATTCTCTACTACTTCTCCCCACATGCTAAAATGGAAACATCAATATTCATACTATAGAACTAATAACCCTCAACTGAAAGAATGGCAGGTAAATTATACAGTGGATTTATAATGACACTCAAGGTACATTTTGACAGCACATTAAACACGTCTGCTACCCTCGGTCAAGACAGTTAACGAGATGGCCTTAAAATCAACACATGATTCTTTAGGCTTTTCCTCAAACTACGTCTAAAATTTTTTGCTTTTCCTCAAACTACTTTTAAACTTTTATGTAATTTTATCCCACAATTTCCAATACAATTTTTTTGGGAAAAAAAATTCCCTAGTGAGAAAGTAGTAGATGGTTTAAATTTAAATTGTTCTTTCATAAGGTATTTTACTAGTTATAAAAAAAAAAAAAGACAGGGGGTGGGGAGGGAAGAGAGAGATGGAGTTCCAGCTTAACTAACAGAATTGTACGTGTTTTTTAAAAAGGAAATCCTGGGTCCAAAGTAATTAACATTACACTTAATCTTTTCAATAATTTTTGTTCCCAAGGCAATTAACATGAAACATTATGTTAGTAGGTCTACTAGTGGCCTTCATATGCTATTAATCGTTTCTATTTTCTCATATTAAATAATTTCGGGAATGATAACTAAGGTGGTCAGAATAGAGAATAATGTTTAAAATGTTCTAAAAACATTTTAAACAGCTCGCACGTGTTAAGTCACTTGTCTTGTTATGTGCAAAGAGGGAGCTGGAGAGATTACGTTTCTTTTCCTTCACGCACAAGACCCGAATTTAGGGAGTGGAATGGACAGAATAAGGATAGCTGTAACCTGAGTTTAACGTCGTAACAAAATACAGGAAGAGTCACGCTAGACTATTTAGTCGCCTAAGTATCTGGCAAGCGGTCAGCTGGCAACAGCCTAAGGGAGATACTTCAAAGAAAAGCAACCAAACCTTAGCCCTAGACCCCGCAGCTTAAACCAGAGGGCAGGCAAAGGCATTCCTCTTCCCCTCCATCACCTCGGCCCATCCTGTCACAGGGTCAATATTAAACTTGGAAGTAAAGGAAAGAGAGCAGGCCGGAGTTGTCCACCTCCTCAGTGAAAAGGGAGCAGCAAGCGTAATTAACTCCTGCGTGTAACTGAGAGGCCGGCACCGTCAGAAACTCAGCCTGCGGCCAGTTCCCGCGGCAACTACTCGGTGGCTCGCACTGTGTGTATGTTATGTCTCATGAGCGTCTCCGGTGTGTGTGTTTTGTGTGATGTGCGTCTCCGGTGTGGCGGTAGCGGCTCCTGCACCGCCGCTCCTGGTCCCACCCCGAGTTCGGTCTCCCTTTCTGGCGCCCATCTCCCTTCTCCTCGGAATCAGGGCCTCCGCTGGGGCCAGGAGGTGACGAACAGTGGCCGGCTCTCCCCAGGCAAGGAGGCGATGTAGGCCCGGAGCCCAGAGGGCCGCATCGGGCGTGCCCGAGGCAGGTCTGGGCCCAACACCTGGCCGGGTGAGGTCCAGATCCGCCCATTCTCGCCCCACCCCACTCCCCCCACCCTGGGAGCTCAAAGAAAGGCCCGGAGCATCCCACGCTGCCCACGACGCTGGGGTTGTGTTCACCTCCGGCGGCTCCAGCTCGCTGCGACTTTTCAGGCTTCTCGTCTCCCGCCTTCCCGTCCGCCATTTTCCCCGCCGCGGCCTCCCCTGCAGCCACGCCAAGGACGTCACGACCCCGCCCAACAACCATCGAGTTTTTGGGGCCAGCCGGCGTGGTGGCAGCCTAGAGCGGTCCCGAGGAATGAAAAGAGGCCGCCTTCGGAAGCGGAAGTGGATGTGATGTCATCGAGTAGCCGCCTCGGAAGGAAGAGCTGGGAAGGTTGGGCGGTCTAAGAGTGCTGGCTAGGCACTTTATTAGAGGGCAGTCAGGTCTTCATGGTCTAGCGACAGGTCCGGAGAAGTGAGGGGAAATGGAGCATCTCCCTGGAAACGCTGGGATCTTAGAAGGTTTCTGCATACCCAGATGTGGTTGCAGCTGAGGCTGAGAGTGTCTTCCGTTCCGGCCTTGCTGGATAACGCATGCCTGCCAACTCTATGTAAACAAAAAGCCTGCATTCTTTTTCCCTAAAGGGGAAATCAGTGTTTATCTAGCGCCCCCTAGCTTCAGACGCCTTTCATACACTCGTTTAATCACGGCGATTGTCCAAATATAGAATTCTCCTCTCAATTACCTGTAAGAGTTGAGGTCAGAGAGAGTAATTTGTCTAAGTCACGTAGCCAACTGTAAAGTTACTTTTTGTATAGTCTGCTTCTACCAAGTTGAGAAACTACTATGTCAAGTTAAGACTGCAGTAATTTCTGCCTTAATAAGAAACCTTTAGTGGATTCCTACAGTCTGCATTCTGAAGTCCGTGAGTTACATTAGGCCCTAGCCTACCTTTTCGGCTTCATCTTCCCCCTTTCTCAGTATTTATCCAGCCCTCCTAGCCAAATGGGGTCTATTACTTGCTTAGGGAACTGGAGTTTCTGGGTTTGTCTTACCATATATAGTTAGAGAAAGTCTTAGGAGTCAGAACTTGGATTTGAATCTGTTTTGCCCTTTCCTGCTTGAGTAACCTTGAGACTTGCTTACTGCCTACAGAGCTACCTTTTCTTCTCTATAAAAGAGCAATAATAATAGTACCTCCTCAAAGAGTGGTAATAGGGATCAAATGAGATCATCTTTGTATACCATTATTTGGTCACTTCATACTTCCCTCAGTTTGTGTGTGTGTGTGTGTGTGTGTGTGTTTTAAGTGTTGTCTCTCTGAATGGCTCAAAAGTTCCTTGACAACAGAGACCAGTTTTTAAAAACTGTGTACTGTGCGTTTCATATATGAATATAAAAAGTGTTCAATATTTGCGGATGGATTACTTCTCGGGCTTCAAGTCCAGGGAGTGGAGAAAGAATGAAGAAATTATCAAAGTGTGTTTCCCATGACAGAAGCAGGGCAGTGTGGTGGTGATTTTGTGATCTAGGTTGAAGTCCCTGATCCATCATTTATCATATATGTAAAAGTAACCAGCAAACTATCTTACAGGTACTTAATTCATGTTTGTTTCATTTTCCTTGTGATCTTTTCAAGGTAATCATTGAGACTCTCGTTTCTATCATTTTAAAAATGGAGATATACACGAAGATTTTTATTTGAGATTATGTATTTACAGATGCTTGTAATTTTTTATGGGGGGTGGAATGGAGTCTCTCATTCTGTCACCCAGGCTGGAGTGCAATGGCATGGTCTTGGCTCACTGCAACCTCCGCCTCCTGGGTTCAAGCGATTCTCCTGCCTCAGCCTCTCGAGTAGCTGGGACAACAGGCGCGTGCCACCACACCCGGCTAATGTTTGTATTTTTAGTAGAGACGGGGTTTCACTATGTTGGCCAGGCTGGTCTCGAACTCCTGACTTTGTGATCCGCCCACCTTAGCCTCCCTAAGTGCTGGGATTACAGGCGTGAGCCACCGTGCCCGGCCGATGCTTGTAATTTTTAAGTGAAGAAGATAAAGCTCAGAGAAGTCACATACCTATTTAGGAGCGGATCCAGTTCCCATATACCACACTGCAGAAGTTAAGGATGCATGTGCAGGACTAGGTATGAAAGGAAAAAAACGAAACAAAAAAAGGATGAAGATAGTAATCCATTCACCTTTCAGTTCTGTGAGTTTCATGAGGTGTGCCTGTCTTGTTCACCACTGTTTCCCCAGCACCTGGATTATACTAGTCTGGATAAATATCTATTGAAGAAATTAATGCAAGCTTCAGTAACCTCCTACAAACGGGTTAGGAAATGGAAAGGTAGTGTAGTATGAAGGGGTGGAAAGGGGGTGATCACTTTCCTCCCCATCAAAAGAGTCATGACAACATGCTTGTTAATAAAAGACAGGTTAACAAGAGAAAATTAATGTGCATAAGCATGGGAATGATACAACAAAATAAGAAAACTAAAAAAAGGGTCAGATGGTTGAAGTTTAATACTTTTCATAGGGGAGAGAGAGGTGGGGGGGCTACAGGCAATTTTAGAGGAGTAGTAAATGATTTTAGGAGAGATTAATGCAGAAATTCACTTGTAAATTATTCTCTTTGTAAACCAAGTGAAACTAGAGAACCAATAATAATTCGAAGGCCAGTCGTGGTGACTCACTCCCATAATCCCAGCTACTAGGGAGGCTGAGATAGAAGGATCACTTGAGCCCCGGAGGCAAGGTTGCAGTGAGCCAAGATCTCGCCACTGCACTCCAACCTGGGTGACAGAGTGAGACCCTGTCTCAAAAACAAAAAACAGTAGTTTGAGGCAAAGTTTGGGCTCTAAGTGTGGTGGTTAATTTTCAGTCTCTTCCTCTATGATGTGAGTTTTGTTTTTTTATGAGACCAGGTCGCACTGTGTTGCCCAGGCTGGAGTGTGGTGGCTATTCACAGGCATGATGATAGCACACTACAGCCTCAAACTCCTGGCCTCAAGAATCCTCCCATCTGAGACTCACAGGTAGCTGGGACTACATGTGTGCACCACTGTATCTGGCTTTGTGATATGTTTTAATTTCTTCTGGTTAATGAAATTTCAGGGAGGAAGCAGATAGAAAGCAATTGTGTTCTTTGATGTGTGTGGTTTCTAGGTAGATAAGAAACTTCAAAGAACAGTCTTATCCCGTGTTTTGGGGGAGGCAGAGGATTGAGAGGCAGGAGGTGGGGTGGGGAGATCAGAGA
This sequence comes from Homo sapiens, assembly GCF_000001405.40. Lineage (NCBI taxonomy): Eukaryota > Metazoa > Chordata > Mammalia > Primates > Hominidae > Homo > Homo sapiens. The sequence goes on along the minus strand of NC_000003.12, from coordinate 101,571,157 downwards.
AACCTTGCGGCTGCTTCTCTAGTTCAGCATGTCAAAGCACCAAATTTTGGGGTACCGTTTTCTGACAATGAATAGGCAATGTAGTCCAAGGCAAAGAGCATTAGTTTTGCACCACACAAAAACTCGACTTAAATTCTAATTCTGCATTTTGCTAATTCTGTGAGTTTGTACTGGATAACAATGTTATGGAATATGTTATAACTATACAAATGGAATAATACATATAGGGTTACTGAGGGCATTGGGATAATAAAGGTTAAATCTATAATATGCTGCCTGGCCATGGTGAGAGCTTGCTTCATAGTAGCTATGGATTATAACCTCTAGTGAGCTATTTAAGTGGTTTAAAAGGCTGGAAATGGAAGGTAATATGAGCAATTATTATTTTAATTTAGATGTGTAATTTGTGAGGCGACAACTATAATATCTAACATTTATTCAAGCTTACTATACACCAAGCATTGTTGCAGGTATTCTACATGAAATTCAGTACATTAAATCATTACAACCCTGTGAATTAAGTGCTACTGTTACTCCCATTTTTATGGAAGAGGGAATTTGGGCACGGAAAAGATAAGTAAGAAGTGGAGCTGAACTTGAAATTCAGGCCAAGAGCTACCAAAAAAAAAAAAAAAAAAATTAGAGTGGAGAAGAAAAGTGGCTAATCTTGATTTCACTAACCTTAAGTAGGTTCTTTTTTTTGTTTTGTTTTTGTTTTTGTTTTGAGACAGGATCTCGTTCTGTTGCCCAGGTTAGAGTACAGTGGCTCATAGCTCACTGCAGCCTTGAACTCCTGGGCTGAAGTGATCCTCCTGCCTTAGCCTCCCAAAATTCTCGGATTACAGGCATGAGCCATTAAGTAGGTTCTTAATGTAGCCTTATAATTCTATTACATGTCCTCAGACTATTCTCAATTTCAGTGTACATCAGAATCACCTGAAGGACATGTTAAAACAGATTGCTGGGCCCCATTGCCAGTTTCTGATTCAGTTGACTCAATGGCTGGAGCCCTAAAATTTGCATTTCTAACTAGTTCCCAAGTAATGCTGATGCTGCTCGTTGGGGAACCACACTTTGAGAACCACTGCCCTAATTCACTCACTTTCCTATACTATTTCATGTTTTGTTGGCTCTCCAAAAATGTCCATTACGTCCTCCCACTTGGGATGATTTTGCTTTTTATTTTCAGTGAGAAAATAATAGTAATCAAACAGAACTTCTATATATTCTCAACCATATCTGAGGTGTGGTACCTGCATTTATACCTATATACTATGTGTTCTGTTACTTATGAAGTGGAGCCTGTCCTTGTTTACACACATCACTATTGTTCCATCCGATTTTTCTTTCTACTATTGAAACATTCCCAACATCATACATACATGCTTTTATGTCTCCTATCTTAGTAAAAGACTCTTCTCTTGATCTCATATCTTCCTGTAGCTCCTCATTCCTATTTTCCTTCATATAGAAACTTTGAAAAGATTGTTCATACTCTGTCTCCTATATCTCTGTCCATTCTTTTTTTTATCTTTTGAGACAGGGTCTTGCTCTGTTACCCAACCTGGAATGCAATGACATGATCTTGGCTCACTGCAACCTCCACATCACACGCTCAAACGATCCTCCTGGCTTAGCCCGCCAAGTAGCTGGGACTAAAGGTGAACACCACCATCCCTGGCTAAGTTTTGTAGAGACAGGGTTTCACAATGTTGCCCAGGCTGGTCTCAAACTCCTGGACTCAAGGGATCCACCTGCCTTGGCCTCCCAAAGTACTGGGAGTACAGGTATGAGCCACCACACCTAGTCCCGTCCCTTCTTTTCGTTTTTGTTTTTTTTGAGACGGAGTCTTGCTCTGTCACTCAGGCTGGAGTATAGTGGCACAGTCTCGGCTCACTGCAACCCCCGCCTCCTGGCTTCAAGCAGTTCTTCTGTCTCAGTCTCCTGAGTAGCTGGGATTACAGGCCTGTGCCACAACACCTGGCTAATTTTAATTTTTGTATTTTTAGTAGAGCTGGGGTTTCACCATGTTGGCCAGGCTGGTCTCAAACTCCTGACCTTTGAGCCACCGTGCTCCGCCTGTCCATTTCCTTTTTTTTTTTTTTTTTTTTGAGGAGTTTTGCTCTTATTGCCTAGGCTGGAGTGCAATGGTGTGATCTCGGCTCACCGCAACCTCCACCTCCAGGGTTCAAGCGATTCTCCTGCCTCAGCCTCCCAAGTAGCTGGGATTACAGACATGCACCACCATGCCCGGCTAATTTTTTTTGTATTTTTAGTAGAGATGGTGTTTCTCCATGTTCGTCAGGGTAGTCTCGAACTTCCGACCTCAGGTGATCTGCCTGCCTCGGCCTCCCAAAGTGCTGGGATTACAGGCCTGAGCCACCACACCCGGCCTTGTCCATTCTCTTTTAAACCTACTCCAGTTGGCTTTCTTTTCAATCCTCTATTGAAATTGCTGTTGTCAAGATAATCAGCAATGTCCTCATTCCTACATTCAGTGGTCAGCTCTCAGACTTCATCTTACCTGATCTGCAGCATGAAACACTTTTTTTCATTTTGCCTCCAGGACATTTTCTCTCTTTTCTTACTGGTTGCTCTACCTCAGTCTTACTTGCTGGGTTCTTCTCATCTCTCACACCTCTAAATGTTGGAGTACCTTAGGGCTCAGACATCTGATATCTTTATCCACACAGACTCCCTAGATGGCCTCAACTAGTCTGGAGCATTTAACTAATTACATTATTAACATCTCCAGCCAGACCTTGTCTCTGAACTCCAGGCTCATATATCCAACTGACCACTTGATATCTCCACTTGGACATCTAATAGGCAACTGTAAAATGTCCCAAAGTTAACTTTGGATTACCTGCCCCCTCAAAGCTTCTGCATTTCGGTAAATAGTAACAAGTCCTTCCAGTTTCTCTAGTCAACAATCTTGAAGTCTTCCCTAAATTTTCTCTCTTACTAAACACATTCAGATCTGACTGTGTCTCACTACCTACTCTGTTACCACCCTCCTACAACCTACTATTATCTCTCACTTTTGTTACTGCAATAGCCTCCTAACTGGTCTCTCTCATAATCTATTCTCGACATAGCCAAAGTCATCATTTTAAACTGAATCCAATTTGGGGTGGGGTGGGGCAGGTGGGAGGAGAAGAAGACAAGAGGAAGATCCCCAAATGGGGCGGTGGTAGCAAGTGGGCAAGAAAAGACAACAAGAATCAGAGACAGAGGAAGAAAAGAAATCATCCAAGGAGGGGAGGGAAAAAAAAAATCACCCATCTGAGATCTATATCTGGGCTGGAGGAAAAAGTTTGTTACGTGTTTTCACAAAGAATAAATATACAAAACCATGGGGGTGGGGGGTGGAGAATGAGTCAGATCCTCTGATCCTCTGGTAAAAACCAAAGTTCTTACGGTGGCTTAAGATGCCTTACTTGACAGACCTAGCTACTCCTCTGACCTGATCTTCAGCTCTTTTTACTCATTTTGCTTCAGGCGCACCAGCCTTATTGGACCTTGAACCCTCTCTCAAGGGCTTCTGACACTTGTTCCTTTTGCTTGGAATTCCCTTCCCTCATATCTTCATAGCTTACTCTCACTTCAAGTCTGTGGAGATGTCACCTTGTCTGTCTTTGGGCAAATTAAGAAAGGAATACCTCCTTAGTGGATGCAGTCTTTTAAGCACATGGCCTAAAGGCAGACAGTCTTTGTATGAAGAAATGGCGTCTCTTCCTTCTAGCAAATGCAACCCTGCAACAGGGCATCATTCGGGGTTCTAAAATTCCAGCTACTTGGGAAACTGAGGCAGGAGGCTTACTTGAGCCCAGGAGATTGTGGCTGCAGTGAGCCATGATCACACCACTGCACTCCAGCCTGGTTTACAAGGTGAGACTCCATCACAAAAAAAGAAACAGAAAGAAAAGAAATGCATTGGACGTTTATGCCAATTTCCAATTCAGAAATTGGGAATAGTTGCCTATATCATTCCTATTTCCCATGTTTTCAAAAACTTTATTTTTAATTTCTCAGACAGGGTCTCTCTCTGTTGCCCAGGCTATAGCACAGCAGCACAATGTTGGCTCACTTGCAACCTCCACCTCCCAGGCTCAAGTGATCCTCCCACCTTAGCCTCCCAAGTAGCAGGGACTACATGCACACACCACCACACCTAGGCTAATTTTTGTATTTTTTTTAGAGATGGGGTTTCACCATGCTGCCCATGTTGGTATCAAACTCCTGGGCTCAAGTGATCAGCCTGCCTTGGCATCCCAAAGTGCTGGGATTACAGGAGTGAGCCAATGCACCAGACATAAATCCCTTTTTCTGTAAGAGGACAAGAAATCAGTTTTATCCCTGTGAACCCGTTTTTCATAGTTGTATAGAAAACCCCCCACAAAGTCCTTTTTCCTATTTTCTCACTCAACAAGCAACACAGAAGACCTCTGTGACCAAATGTCGGGGAATTTCTCAACACACAAGCTATCAGTTCTGCAGTGGACACCAGCTAGGTGTTCTGTAATTCAATTCAGACGCTATCTACCTGGAGATAGTGTCAGAGCCCACAGATTGAGGGCCTGGTCCCCAAAACTACTCCCTTCTCCCACCAGAAACAAGTTGCAAATCTGGGCCTACAGAACTTCTGACTGGCTTCAAGTTGGGGTACCAACTCCTTCTCTTGATTAATTTGCTTGAATGGCTCATAGAATTGAAGGAAACACATTTACCAGTTTACTGTAAAAGATATTACAAAACATACAGACAAAGAGATGCACGGGGAAAGCTATGGGGGAAGGGGTGCAGAGCTTCCAAGCCCACCCCAGGGCACCACCCTCTAGGAACCTCCATAAAAAAGTCTACCAATGGTACAACTATTTAACTGGGATAAAGATTATTCTGTTCAACAATCTTGGACAACTCTTTTTATTATCTTTCTACAGTAAACAAAGTATAATCCCAAAGTTCTGCAGATATTTAATTGGGAAAAGACACAACCCTACAGTCAGTTGGGAAAGACTACCTTTAGAAGAGAAAAATGAATTGTTTGGGAAGAAATACATTAACAGAACTGTATTTCTAACGCATTTACTTTTTAAGCCATCAAATGTTCTCATTTGAGCCACGTGTTCTGTGCACATTCAGAGAACCTTTTGAAAATGAATTAAGTCTTTGCCTTCTTTAGTCTGTTGATAAACTCTTGAGAATGCTGAGAAATCTCCAGAAAACCAGTATGTTTTCTCTTGGGAACGAATTGCAGAGCCTCTTGCCAATTACCATTGTTTTTCAGACATAACAAAATACGTATCATTTGATCTAAGGTGAGATTTTTGTTACCAATTTCCCATTGTAAATATTTATCTAATGGAAGGCATTCAGTTGCCAGGTTCAGCCGTTTTGCCTTGGCTAGGGATGTGCCTGGCTGCATACTCTTATCAACAAAAGACCCAATTACATAAACTTTGTCATGCCTGAAAGTAGTCATAACATTGGGAGAATCTGCAGTTAAATAGATAATACTGTCCTTTGGAAATAAATCTACATGAGACTTTTCTGTTGATGTTAAAAGCAATTTGTCCCATTTTTCTTGATACCGTTTAACTAACTCTCTGTGCAAAGCACCATCTATTTTTAGATTGCAGAAATAAATATGGAAAGGATCAACATTTCTTCTGTTCCATCCTTCACTTTCTAAAAGCTGGGAAACAGTATTCTGCAATTCTTTTCGTTTCATATAATTTTCGTAAGCCATGTCAAAAACCAAAGGTTGTCCAAACTGCATGGCCTGGGCACCCTTCCAGCCCATTGCTATGTCCATATTCCTATCCCAAAGTCGTAAAAATAGAAAGTTTTTCTGTTTATCTTCCTCAGTGGTTTCTAGCAGCTTGATATTTTTTGCTTCTTCCCTTGCTGCTGCTTTCATTTCCTTTTTTATTTGCCTAGCTTTTTTCACTTTTTCCTTCGTATATAAATATTTTAAATATTTTTTTTTTGCTGTGTTAGAAACACATTCCATAAGGGTTTTGAGCTCTTCTTCAGTGATGTGTTCTGGTACTTCTCTGCCAAGCAATCTCCACATCTCAATGAACTCTCTGGTGGCAGCTAGAGGATCTTCATCCTTACTGCTTGAGATTGTTGAAACACATTCTTCTTGCACACTAGATTTCATGGTAGTTTTCCACTTATCCAACTCTAGCTCTTCAGAAGGGGGTGTACTCTCATTTTTAGGATAAGTAACAGCTGGTATTTTGGAAGACATGTATCTCTGCAAAATTGTTAAGTTATTTCTCTTCCTATGAAGGGTAAATGGCACCAAAAACCTGGTGAAAGGTCTGAAGAAATTGACACTAACACTCATTTTGAGGAAAGCAGCCATGTAACAAAACCCCTGTAAAAGAAGAAAAATGCAATTAAAAATTAGACAAAGATTTTTATAACTTCTCAACTAATTGTGCAAGTATAAATTTGAAATAGCAAAATAAAATCAATTTTTGAAACACAAGGTAAAATCTTTGTACCAATTTTTTTCCTAGACTCCTGTGGTCTACAGCCTGTGATCACTCATTGAGTAAAAAGTTTAAAACTTAGTTGGGTTCTTGGCCGGGCGCAGTGGCTCATGCCTGTAATCCCAGCACTTTGGGAGCCTGAGGTGGGTGGATCACCTGAGGTCAGGAGTTCAAGACTAGCCTGGCCAACATGGTGAGAAACCCCATCTCTACCAAAAATACAAAAATTAGCCAGGTATGGTGGCAAGCACCTGTAATCCCAGCTTCTCGGGAGGCTGAGGCAGGAGAATTGCTTGAACCCGGGAGTTGGAGGTTGCAGTGAGGCGAGATTGTGCCACTGCACTCCAGCCTGGGTGACAGAGTGAGATTCTGTCTCAAAAAAAAAAAAAAAAAAAGTTGGGTTCTTATTTTAGACATGAATTTCACTATTGCTTTAGCTAAAAGGATAAGTTGAAGATCCTTTTTAGATTTTTATCTAGGGGCCCAGAGAATCAATGTTACTGGGCAACAAAGTTATGTACCACCGAGGCAGCTGACATCATGATGCTGCATACTCCTCCATTCTACACTAAGCCCAGATACAGAACCAAACATAAGATCCTTCACAAAAGCAACAAATAAAGACAAAGGACATGAAAGGTACTGAGAATGGCAACAGGTAAAAAGCACTTAGAAACTGCTGTACCAATGCCCTCGTTACAGAAATATACCAAGATCTACTGATCAAAAAATAGCAACAAATTCTTCCCCAGTTCAGGCTTTATTTTGCAGCAAATAATGTTATTAACAAAGAAAATGTCCAAGATTGAGACAAATGTATATAAATGTATATAAAGCTCCACAGTTTTATCCTAAAAGCCTGGATGTCCATGAGATATTGAAGATGCTTAAAGATGTAAAACTTGTCTCAAATTTGAAGGAAAAGAAATAAAGGGAATTCAAATTTTTACAAAATGCAAATAAAACACTTGAAAAATTCCTTCTTCCCTTGGCTTCATTTAATGACCCTGCACAGGCTCCTAGGTTTCCTGCTCTCTGACCTGTGCACTGATGTCCAGATGCCCCTCCCTTAAAGGTGGATGTAACTCCGCATTCTATCCTATTCTTTTTTTTCAATCTATACATTTCCCTTCTGAGATGTGACCTACTTCTGTGGCTTCAATGACCATGCATTAGAAAGACATCTCAAATGCAGGCCGGGTGCAGTGGCTCACTCCTGTAATCCCAGCACTTTGGAAGGCCGAGGAGGGAGGATCGCTTGAGGTCAGGAGTTTGAGACCAGCCTGACCAACATGGCGAAACCCTGTCTCTACTAAAAATACAAAAATTAGCCAGGTGTGGTGGCGCATGCCTGTAATCCCAGGTACTCGTGAGGCTGAAGTGGGGCGATTCTTCTACTTCCCAGGTACTCGTGAGGCTGATGTAGAAGAATCGCTTGAATAAGGGGGGCGGAAGTTGCAGTGAGCCGAGATTTTGCAACAAAATCTGTTGCAGTGAGCGACAGAGTAAGACTGTCTCAAAACAACAAAAACAAACAAAAAACACCTCAAACGCAACAAATCGAAATAACCCCTCTACCTTTGCTTCACAATCTGATCCTCCTTCAATGTTCTGTTTCAAGGGATATTGCTATCCATTGGTATTGTTCCCAACATATATTTCTAAGCTTATTGCGGCCAGGTCAGCAGCATCTCTAGCTATTCTTCACCTCACACTTCAAGTATTCCACCATTACTTTTCACAGCACTCTGGTGCCTATGACAGTACTTCTAACACTGCACTGTAATTGCCTGGTTATCTATTTGCCTCACTAGATGGTAAGGACTAACTAGTGTCCATGAGGACAAGGACTTTGTCTATAATGTTAACATTGAATCCAATGCTTGACAGTATTTGGCTCACAGTAATCACGCAAATATTTTTCTAATACCCTAGATCGATGCTTCCTTCATTAAAAAAAAAAAAAAGAAAAAAAAAGTTCAGCCTCCCTTTATTATTTTTTTTGAGACGGAGTCTCGCTCTGTCACTCCAGGCTGGAGTATAGTGGCGCGATCTCGGCGCAAGCTCCGCCTCCCAGGGTTCACGCCATTCTCCTGCCTCAGCCTCCCGAGTAGCTGGGACTACAGGCACCCGCCACCACGCCCGGCTATTTTGTATTTTTAGTACAGACGGGGTTTCACTGTGTTAGCCAGGATGGTCTCGGATCTCCTGACCTCGTGATCCGCCCACCTCGGCCTCTCATTGTGCTGGGATTACAGGCGTGAGCCACCGCGCCCGGCTCAGCCTCCCTTTAAAGAGAAAACAATTTACTTTAGAATCCCGGAAATATTTAACTGGGGTCCCCAGGCCCCAATCTAATAAACATTGATTTCAGAAGGAGTTTTAAAAGTTTTATTCTTGTAACTGGCAAGGACTTAGAATACCACAGAAATGAAAACCCCAATTGTAAAAAGCAATCAAGTACATCATTTCAGGAACCACTGATTTTGTTTCAGGTACTGTACTAGTTATAGTTTATTAAAATCACTGGGCTTCCTCTTACCCGTGGGCCTTCCGAACGCACATGCTCCACTAAGTGCATCTTGGAACGTCTCCGGCGTCCTCCCACCCCCAACACACACATTAGGCGAAAGAAGAAACTCGCTTACCAGGAGTGCAGAGATAGTGGTTCCCGCTGGCGCAAAGAACAGGGACCCTGGAGGACGAAGGACTCCGACGTACGGACGCCCAGGGATCCGCGCCGAAGCTAGCACGCAGCCTACCCAACAGTCTACACAGCCGACCAGAGCGGTCGCTGGGGCTCAGCCGGAAGTTCCGCCCTCTCCCTTCCGGCGCTGCTTTTTACGTCACAGCACGCAAAGAACGCTTTCTTGGCTAAAAGAAGCGCCTTAGAGGAGACGGCTGTCAGTAGGCAACTGGGTACTCGAAGACTACGCTCTCAGTTGTCACGGAGTTGTAGCTGTGTTGTGTTGTGTTTTCCTCCATATATCCTAAAAACTTCTTCTGGGCCGGGCCAGTTGGCTTACGCCTGTTATCCCAGTGCTTTGGGCGGCCGAGGCGGGCGGATCACTTGGGGTCAGGAGTTTGAGACCAGCCTGGCCAACATAGTGAAACCCCGTCTCTACTAAAAATACAAAAATTAGCCAGGTGTGGTGGCGCGCGCCTGTAATCCCAGTTGCTCGGGAGGCTGAGGCAGGAGAATCGCTTGAACCTGGGAGGCGGAGGTTGCGGTGAGCTGAGATCGCGCCACTGCACTCCAGCCTGGGCGACAGAGCAAGACTCTCTGTCTCAAAAAAAAAAAAAAAAAAAAAAAAAAACTGTTTCTAATCCTCTTTTCAACCTACTCTCTGTTTGGGCCCTGTATTTATAAACATTTGCTGACAGAGTACTAAAATAAAGTATGTTTTTTTCACACGTCTTCTTACTCAGCTTCAAACTCCTTGACGCTAGGACTTTAAACTCCTAATCTTTTTGACCAGTTTATCACCAGTACCTGGCACTATGCTTGGAACGTGATAAGCCACGGTAAGTTTCTGTCTCCTCCTAGCTCATTTGGAAAGTTTAATGTGAAATGAAATTAAAACACATTTGTAAATTGGTGGCCTTTGGGGCCAATTCAGCCTCCACATATATTTGTAACCAAACACAGAATGAACATATTCTGCAGCCATTCTACTCCTAGTAATATACCCAAAGAAATTGAAAGCAGAGACACAAACAGACACTTGTACTCTAATGTCATTGTAGCATTATTGATAATAACCAAAAGGTGGAAGCAACCCAAATATCCATGAACAGATGAATAGATTAAAAAATGTTGCATGTACATACAATGGAATATTATTCAGTCTTAAAAAGGAATGAAGTTCTGATACATGGTACAACATGGATAAACTTTGGAGGCATTATACACTGAGATAAGCCAGGCACAAAAGGACAAATATTGTATAAGTCCACCTATATGAAGTGCCTAGAATAGTCAAATCATAAAGAAAGAAAGTAGAATAGTGTTTACCAGGGGCTGGGGAAAGGGAAGAATGGGCAGTTACTGTTTAATAGGTATGAATTTTCAGTATGGGATGATGAAAAAGTTCTGGAGATGGATAGTAGTGATGGTTGTACAAGAACGTGAATGTACTTAATGCCATTGAACTGTACACTTGAAAATGACTAAAATGGAAATGTTTATATTGTATATAGTTTACTAAAATAAAAGAAGGTAGGCATAGTCTTTTCCAAATGATTTTAAAAAACGAGATCTTGTCTAAGAGACTGATTACTATCATGTTAGAAAGGTGAGGTGGTGATAGCAAAATAATCATGAGTTTACTCCCAAACATGGAAAAAAATCAAGAATAAATATCGTCTAGTAGTTATAACAAATAGCAGTGTAGAGGTTATTTTTTCTTGTTCCTGTTCTTTAAAGAGATACATCTGAAGTTTTTCCATTAATATTTTATGAAGGTTTTTGCTATATGATCTTTGTCAAGTAAAGGAAATTTCATTCTGTTAAGTTTACTAAGATTCTTTATGTGAAAAATCTTTGGAAGTGTTTCTATAAATATAGCAGAACATAATTTATTCAATATGTCTGGGATCTGACCTATTCTAGATTAAGAATATTTCCAGGTTTCAGACATCTTACCTCCAACAAAAAGCACAGTGATTTTCAAAATACGTTTTTTTGTTTTTTTTTTTTGAGACGGAGTCTCGCTCTTTCACCCAGGCCAGAGTGCAGTGGCGCGATCTCGGCTCATTGCAAGCTCCGCCTCCCGGGTTTACGCCATTCTCCTGCCTCAGCCCCCGAGTGGCTGGGACTACAGGCGCCCGCCACCGCGCCCGGCTAATTTTTTGTATTTTTAGTAGAGACAGGGTTTCACCGTGTTAGCCAGGATGGTCTCGATCTCCTGACCTCGTGATCCGCCCGCCTCGGACTCCCACAGTGCTGGGATTACAGGCGTGAGCCACCGCGCCCGGCCTCAAAATACATGTTTTGGCATAGAAAAATAGCTTGTAATATGGGATGTAAGGTATCAAAAAAATAAAAAATAAATTGTAGGCCAGGAGCAGTGGCTCATGCCTATAATCAGCATTTTGGGAGGCCAAGGCAGGCAGATTGCTTGGGCTCAAGAGTTCCAGACCAGCCTGGCCAACGTGGTGAAACCCTCTCTCTACAAAAAATACACAAAAAAAGAAAAGAAAAAGAAATAAATTTTAAAAGCAAGGAAATATATAAAAACCCATAAGACAATGTCACATAAACACTAGAATTGAAAAACTAGAAGGTCTGAATGCTCTCTCTTGGCTCATATTTCTTCTTGGAAACAATGGTTAGACCTAAATAAAGGCTGTTTTGTAGTCAAGGCACCCACTCTCCAGTTCCCCAGAGCTTATTCCACCACATGTTATCTTTTCTACACTGGTGCAAATGTCATTTGCCATGTATTTTGCCTGCACTGTTTATTATATAATAGAGAACGATTTCTCTATACCAACGTCTCTTTCAAGAGTTGGAAGACAAAGCATGGATTCAAAGATTTAGGTGTTACTTACAAAGTAGAGAACTCTTGTATTTGATTCTCTGCTCTACCTTCAATGTCTACAACAGTGCTTGGCAAGTATCGGAAACTCAATAATAATTTGCTGATGAATGAATACTAAATAGATCAGGTAAGTGATGTTAGTGGCTTGGACAACAGTGGTGGCAGTAAAGGCAAAGAAAAGGGGGAATATTTGAAAGATATTTAAGAGCTGGACATGACAGAATTTGGTGATCAATTTGGGAGAGAAGGAGAGGAACAAGTCAATAGTCTGGTTTGAGCACCTGGGCAGACAGTGAAAAGGAGTATATGGTGTGAGGGCAGAGATGGTAAGTATAGTGTTAGACATGCGGCTTTTCATCTCTCTTCAAAATAGCCAAATGATATCTCCTTTAGGATATTTGGCAGTTGGCTGTATGGGTCTAGAGTTTAGGTGAAAGAAGAATGCACCAAAGATACATATTTGAGAGTTATTAACATAGAGTCTGTGAAACCATATGGGTGGAAGAGATTACCTAGGGCTTGGGTAGAGAACAGGAATGGACAAAAGAAACTGAAAATAAGCAGCTAAAGAGATGGGAGGAAAACAACCAGAATATGACATAGAAATCAAGGAAAAGGTGTTTTCAAAGACAAGTGGATGGGTAACAGGGTCAAATATTGCCTAGAGATCATGCAATGCAGACTGAAAAGTATCTACTAGATTTAGCAATACAAGGGCCACTGGGACCTTCATTGTGAGGTTTGGGGGCTTTAGCCAGATGAGAGTGAATAAGGAATGAGGAGATTATGAGAAAATAGAATCAGCAAGTTTAAACATTTCTATGAAATTTGTCTAAAGAAAAGACAGCGTGCTCAGTCCCTGGATGTGGAGTCCAGGAAAATTTTCTTCATTATTATTATGTTAGATTGGGAGAGGCCTGACATTTTAAATGCTGTTAGAATCATCAGCAAAGGGGTAAGAGAAAGAAAGGATAATGGGATGGGTAGACTTCCTGAGAAGATTAACAGAGATGGTATATAGAGGAGAGATGCTATTTAGAGGAGAGATGGAGAGATTGGTTTCGTATAAGAGGAAGAAATACCACTTTCATTGTAACAAGAAGAAAGGAAGAAACTTAAGGTGGGTATGGAGGACAATTTATAGACATGATGGCTATAATTTGATACAGTTCGCATTCTCTGTGAAAGAGGTAGACAGACTACCTCTGCGGATACTAAAGATTGGGTGAAGGTTTGTTATTGTCATAAAGAATAACATATAACAAATGTACAGAAACAGAAAGTAGAATGGTTGTTACTGTGGAGTCCTAATTAGGGAAAAGGAGTCAGGCTGGCGGGACCAGAGGAAAGCAAAGAGATAAAGCAAATAAGCTATAAATATGCCTGTCTTCACGGTTCAGGACATATAAACAAAAAAGGAAGAGGATGAATTATAGGTCTGTTTTTCTTTATGCCCAAGGACATATTGCCCAATACATATGGCCCTCCTACTCAGATAATGTACGTAACTCAAAAACTTACTGCTTACCAACAAACGCCTCAATTTATCAAACATCTCAGCTGACAAAAGAAAGCAAGTTATGCTGCCAGTGCATTGGCATTATCAATCAGCCCAAGTTCTATGTTATAAAATCTCCAGCTAATCTTTGTCTCTTTGCAGTCGGCTCCTCTTTTGCAGCCTTCCGGTTGCTTTATTGCAATGTATTTTCCTACTTTCTTTCTCTCTCTCTCTTTTTTTTTTTTTTTGAGAGGGAGTCTCGCTCTGACACCAGGCTGGAGTGCAGTGGTGCGATCTCAGCTCACTGCAACCTCCGCCTCCTGGATTCAAGCGATTCTCCTGCCTCAGCCTCCCGAGTAGCTGGGGCTACAATCATGCGCCACCACGCCCAGCTAATTTTTGTATTTTTAGTAGAGACGGGGTTTCACCATGTTTGCCAGAATGGTCTCAATTTCTTGACCTTGTGATCTGCCTGCCTCAGCCTCCCAAAGTGCTGGGATTACAGGCGTGAGCCGTGCCTGGCTTTTCCTACTTTCTTTAATAAATTTGCCTTTCTTTACAAGCGTTTTTGGTAAATTCTTTTACTCCAGAGCCACCGGCCCAGATAGTTGTCCCTGCCACCCCCTGTGACAGTTACCAGGAATGGTGGAGTTGTTTAATGAGTTTCAGATATGCAAGATGAAAAAGTCCTGGAGATCTGTTGCATAGCAATGTAAATATAGTTAACACTACTGAACTGCACACTCAAAAAATGGTTAAGATGGTAAAGAAAGAAGTATGAGTTGACTAGTGAGACAGCCATGATATCAGGCAGTGCTAATAGTCTAGTTCAGTTTGGGGATCATGAATTTATAGTGATACCAATCTGTGTTACGTGATCTTTCTCCCTATTTTGCTAATGCTGCTAAGGGCTAAGATGGCTGGGTAAAACTCAGTTTACAGAAGGGGAGTGGTGTAAAGTTGTTAAATATTTTGGTATAGGGGAAGAAATATGACTATCTATCTTCCCTTCATGAGTTCTTAGCTGAGACTCTCTGTAACAAAAGACAGATTGAACAAGAGAAAAACAAGTTTAATAACTTGTATACCTCTTGTATGCATGGGAGATAACCCAGAGAGATGAGTAAATCTTAAAAAATAAAAATTAACAAAAAAAGATTTTAAACTTCAGGGTTGAATATTATCATTTTCTGAAAACAACAACAACAACAACAACAACAAAGAAGGATGTGGAGACAGATTCAGTTAAGTTGAGATGACCAGCAAAATTACCTTAAACGGAGATAAGGTTTGTTATGCAGATTTCAGGTGATTCTGCCTTGATTGTTTAAGAGTCTCTAGTGATTTAGGGCCAGACTGGTGGCTCATGTCTGTAATGCCAGCACTTTGGGAGGATGCGGTGGGCTGATCACCTGAGCTCAGGAATTTGAGACCAGCCTGGCCAACATGGCAAAGCCCCATCTCCACTAAAAATACAAAAAAAAAAAAAAAAAGATTAGCTAGACGTGGTGGTGCATGCCTGTAGTCCCAGCTACTTAGGGGACTGAGGCAGGAGAATTGCTTGAACCCAGGAGGCAGACATCATGCCACTGCACTCCAGCCTGGGCAACAGAGTGAGACTTCATGTCAAAAAAACAAAAAGTGTATCTAGTGATTTAATAATCAGTGTCTTCTTGGTGCAGAGAGGGAGACATCCTTATCAATGGAGATTTCCTTTATTGAGATAAAAGGACAACTTTTCATAGCTGCTTCTGTGTCTGCAGCTTCCCAGAATAACTAGATCAGAATAATCAATATGTCAAAGAGGCATATTTTAGGGTGATGTGTTCTAGTCTCCTATGGTCATATTTTGGGTTGGTGTATCCTGAGCCCCATCATCAGCATCAGAGTGGCTGCAGGAGTGGTCTGTAGAGTCTATAGGAGATCAAAATATACCATCCCCAAAAATGTCTCTCTGGTGTAAGGATTATTTTGAGCTGAAGACAATTAATAAAAAGCAGACATAACATGAGCTCTCTGCCCTCTCCTATCTGCCTGAGAGTAAAACATACATTTCCTCTTGTGAAGGTGTTCCTCCCACCACTCACACACTTAATGAAGTTGTTGTCACGGGGTTAGCAAGAATAATGGACAGAAATACAATTATAATTAAGCATTAATCAAGCTGCACTTTGACTCACTTCCTCATAACCAAAAGTTACATAGCACCAGATTTGCATCCCCATTGTTCCTATAAATAGAATTTCTGATGTTAAAATCATAAAGTTTTTAAGATAGGTAGGAGCTCTGATATTAGAATCATAAGAATTTTATTTAAAAAGTGCTTGGCCAGGCATGATGGCTCACCCCTATAATCCCAGCGTTTTAGGAAGCTGAAGCAGGAGGATCACTTGAGTCCAGGAGTTTGAGACCACCCTGGGCAACATAATGAGATTCTGTCTCTATAGGAACTAAAAAAAATTAGCTGGGCATGGTGGTGCATGCTTGTAGTCCTGTTACTGTTGGAAGGTATCTGAGTTACCGGCAGCAGCGACTTTGTATGGGTCTGCAGCAACTTCAATTCTTGTCTCCTCAGAAGAAAGATTTCAACTGAGGAGCAGAAGGCAGAAGAAGAGACAGAGGTGAGTTTCAGAGCAGGAGTGGAAGTTTATTTTAAAGGCTTTAGAACAGGAAAGAAGGAAAATTCACTTGGACGAGATCCAAGTGGGCACCTGAAGGTCAAGTGTGGTGTTTAATCTTGATCCTAGGACTTTATAGGTGTGTTAGTCTGTTTTCATGCTGCTGATAAAGACATACCTGAGACTGGGCAATTTACAGAAGAAAGAGGTTTAATGGGCTTACAGTTCCATGTGGCTGGGGAGGCCTCACAATCATGGCAGAAGGCAAAAGTCACTTCTTACATGGTGGCAGCAAGAGAGAGCTTGTGCAGAGAAACTCCCATTTTTAAAACCATCAGATCTCATGAGACCCATTCACTATCATGAGAACAGCGTAGGAAAGACCCACCCCCATGATTTGATCATCTCCCACCATGTCTCTCCCACAAGTGGGAATTATGGGAACTACAAGATGAGATTTGGGTGGGGTCACAGAGCCAAACCATATCATTCTGCTCCTGGCCCTTTCCAAATCTCTGATCTTCACATTTCAAAACCAATCATGCCTTCCCAACAGTCCCCCAAAGCCTTAACTCATCTCAGCATTAACTCAAAAGTCCACAGTCCAAAGTCTTATCCAAGACAAGGCAAGTTCCTTCTGCCTATGAGCCTGTAAAATCAAAAGCAAGTTAGTTATTTCCTAGATACAATGGCGGTACTGGCATTGGGTAAATACAGCCATTCCAAATGGGAGAAATTGGCCAAAACGAAGGGGCTATAGGGCCCCTGCAAGTCCAAAATCCAGCAGGGCGGTCAAATCTGAAAGCTCCAAAATCATCTCCTTTGACTCCATGTCTCACATCCAGGTCATGCTGATGCAAGAGGTGGGTTCCCATGGTCTTGGGCAGCTCCGCCCCTGTGGCTTTGCAGGGTAAAGCCTCCCTCCTGGCTGTCTTCACAGGGTGGCATTGAGTGTCTGCAGCATTCGAGATGCATGGTGCAAAGCTGGCAGTGGATCTACAATTCTGGGGTCTGGAAGACAGTGGCCCTCTTCTCATAGCTCCACTAGGCAGTACCCCAGTAGTAGGGACTCTGTTTGGGGGCTCCCACCCCACATTTCTCTTCTGCACTGCCCTAGCAGAGGTTCCATGAGGACCCCGCCCCACAGCAAACTTCTGCCTAGACATCCAGGCGTTTCCATACATCTTTTGAAATCTAGGCAGAAGCTCCCAAACCTCAATTCTTGACTTCCGTGCACTCGTAGGTTCAACACCACATGGAAGCTGCTAAGGCTTGAGGCTTGCACCCTTTGAAGCCATGGCCCAAGCTCTTTGTTTGCCCCTTTCAGCCATGGCTGGAGTGGCTGGGATGCAGAGCGTTAAGTCCCTAAGCTGCACACAGCAGGTGGACCCTGGGCCCAGCCCACAGAATCACTTTTTTCCTCCTAGGCCTCCGGCCTGTGATGGGAGGGGCTGCCACAAAGGTCTCTGACATGCCCTGGAGACATTTTCCCCATTGTCTTGGTGGTTAACATTCAGCTCCTCGTTACTTATGCAAGTTTCTGCAGCCAGCTTGAATTTCTCCTCAGAAAATAGGATTTTCTTTTCTATTGCATCATCAGGCTGCAAATTTTCTGAACTTTTATGCTTTGTTTCCCTTTTGAAACTGAACGCCTTTAACAGTATGCAAATAGCCTCTTGAATGCTTTGCTACTTAGAAATTTCTTCCACCAGATACCCTAAATCATCTCTCTCAAGTTCAAAGTTCCACAAATCTCTAGGGCAAGGGCAAAATGCTGCCAATCTGTTTGCTAAAACATAACAAGAGTCACCTTTGCTCCAGTTCCCAATAAGCTCCTCATCTCCATCTGAGACCACCTCAGCCTGGACCTTACTGTTCATGTCATTATCAGCATTTTTGTCAAAGCCATTCAACAAGTCTCTATGAAGTTGCAAACTTTCCCACATTTTCCTGTCTTCTTTTGAGCCCTCCAAACTGTTCCAGCCTCTGCCTATTACCCAGTTCCAAAGTCACTTCCACATTTTTGGGTATCTTTTCAGCAACACCCCACTCCACTGGTACTAATTTACCATTTTAGTCCATCTTCATGCTGCTGATAAAGACATACCCAAGACTGGGCAATTTACAGAAGAAAGAGGTTGAATGGGTTTACAGTTCCACGTGGCTGGGGAGGCCTCACAATCATGGCGGAAGGGGAAAGGCACTTCTTTTTTTTTTTTTTTTTTTTTTCATTTTGCCTTTAACCTTTATTCTACTATTTTTCTTTTTTTTTTGAGATGGAATCTCACTCTGTTGCCTAGGCCAGATGGAGTGCAGTAGCATGATCTCAGCGCACTGCAGCCTCTGCCTCCCGGGTTCAAGCAACTCTCCTGCTTCAGCCTCCTGAGTAGTGAGATTACAGGCATGCACCAAAACGCCCAGCTAATTTTTCTATCTTTAGTAGAGAGGGGGTTTCACCATGTTGGCCAGGCTGGTCTGGAACTCTTTTTTTTTTTTTTTTTTTTTTTTTAGTATTTATTGATCATTCTTGCGTGTTTCTCGGAGAGGGGGATGTGGCAGGGTCATAGGATAATAGTGGAGAGAAGGTCAGCAGATAAACACGTGAACAAAGGACTCTAGTTTTCCTAGGCAGAGGTCCCTGCAGCCTTCTGCAGTGTTTGTGTCCCTGGGTACTTGAGATTAGGGAGTGGTGATGACTCTTAAAGAGCATGCTGCCTTCAAGCATCTGTTTAACAAAGCATATCTTGCACCGCCCTTAATCCATGTAACCCTGAGTGGACACAGCACATGTTTCGGAGAGCACGGGGTTGGGGGTAAGGTTATAGATTAACAGCATCCCAAGGCAGAAGAGTTTTTCTTAGTACAGAACAAAATGGAGTCTCCTATGTCTACTTCTTTCTACACAGACACAGTAACAATCTGTTCTCTCTTTCTTTTCCCCACATTTCCCCCTTTTCTTTTCTACAAAACTGCCATCGTCATCATGGCCCGTTCTCGATGGTCGCTGTCTCTTCAGAGCTGTTGGCTACACCTCCCAGCCGGGGCGGCCGGGCACAGGTGTTCCTCACTTCCCAGCCGGGGCAGCCGGGCAGAGGCGCTCACTTCCTAGACGGGGCGGCTGGGCAGAGGCACTCCTCAGTTCCCAGATGGGGCGGCCGGGCAGAGGCACTCCTCAGTTCCCAGATGGGGCGGCCGGGCAGAGGCGCCCCTCAGTTCCCAGACGGGGTGGTGGCCGGGCAGAGGCGCCCCCCACCTCCCAGACGGGGCGGCCGAGCAGAGGCGCCCCCCACCTCCCAGACAGGGCGGCCGGGTCGAGGCGCCCCCCCCACCTCCCAGACGGGTTGGCCGGGTCAAGGCGCCCCCCACCTCCCAGACGGGGCGGCCGGGCAGAGGCACTCCCCACGTCCCAGATGGGGCGGCCGGGCAGAGATGCTCCTCACTTCCTAGACGGGGTGGCGGCCGGGCAGAGGCGCTCCTCACTTCCCAGATGGGGCGGCCGGGCAGAGGCGCTCCTCACATCCCAGACGATGGGCGGCCAGGCAGAGATGCTCCTCACTTCCTAGACATGGTGGCGGCCGGGCAGAGGCACTCCTTACTTCCCAGACGGGGCGGCTGGGCAGAGGGGCTCCTCACATCCCAGACGATGGGCGGCCAGGAAGAGACGCTCCTCACTTCCTAGACGGGGTAGTGGCTGGGCAGAGGCTGTAATCTTAGCACTTTGGGAGGCCAAGGCAGGCGGCTGGGAGGTAGAGGTTGTAGTGAGCCGAGATCACGCCACTGCACTCCAGCCTGGGCAACATTGAGCATTGAGTGAGTGAGACTCCGTCTGCAATCCCAGCACCTCGGGAGGCCAAGGTGGGCAGATCGCTCAAGGTCAGGAGCTGGAGATCAGCCCGGTCAACACGGCGAAACCCCGTCTCCACCAAAAACGCAAAAGCCAGTCAGGCGTGGCGGCACGTGTCTGCAATCCCAGGCACTGGGCAGGCCGAGGCAGGAGAATCATGGGAGCCCGAGGCAGGCAGGTTGCAGTGAGCTGAGATGAGGGCAGTACAGTCCAGCCTCGGCAACAGAGGGAGACCGAACAAAGAAAGGGGAGAGGGAGGGGGAGGGGGAGGGGGAGGGCCAGTCTGGAACTCTTGACCTTAGGTGATCCGCCTGCCGGAAAGGCACTTCTTACATGGTGGTGGTAAGAGAGAGCTTGTGCAGAGAAACTATTGTTTTTAAAACCATCAGATTTTGTGAGACCCAATTACTATCATGAGAACAGCACAGGAAAGACCCATCCTCATGATTCAGTTTTCTCCTGCCAGGTCCTTCCACAACACATGAGAATTATGGGAGCTACAAGATGAAATTTGGGTGTGGACACAGAGCCAAACCACATCAATAAGCTTGCCTCTTTCCCATGTTTCTTCCCTTAGGATGGGCTGTCTGCATGCGCAGTGCCCTTCTTACCCTTGGAAAGTGAGCACACACATGCAATCTGTTTAGGCAGTTGTACGCATGCCCATCTGAGGCTTTCTTCCCTTTTCCAATGGAGTGTCCCTGGAAGGTCATACTTCACCATTTTGTCTCTTAATGTGCATGCCCAGGAAATTGTTTCTCCCTGGCGTCTGCATTCAGTTAACACTTTAATGTTTTTTTTCGTTTTTCTTTTTAAGACAGAATGTCACTCTGTCACCCAGGCTGGAATACAGTGGCACAATCTTGGCTCACTGCAACATCTGCCTCCCAGGTTCAAGAGATTCTCCCACCTCAGCCTTCCGAGTTGCTGGGACTACAGGTGTGTACCACTAAGACCAAATACTTCTTGTATTTTTTGGTAGAGACAGGGTTTCACCATTTGGGCCAGGTTGGTCTTGAACTCCTAACCTCACATGATCCACCTGCCTTGGCCCCCCAAAGTGCTGGAGTTACAGGCATGAGCCACCCTGCCTGGGCTTTTTTTTTTTTTTTTTTTTTTTTTGAGACAGAGTTTCACTTCTTCACCCAGGCTGGAGTGCGGTAGTGCCATCTCGACTCACTGTAACCTCTGCCTCCAGGTTCAAGTGATTCTCGTGCCTCAGCCTCCTGAGGAGCTGGGATTACAGGCATGCACCACAATGCCTGGCTAATTTTTTTTTTTTTTTTGTATTTTTAGTAGAGGCAGGGTTTTGTCATGTTGGCTAGATTGTTCTTGCACTCCTGACCTCAAGTGATCCAACTGCCTTGGCCACCCAAAGTGCTGGGATTACAGGAGTGAGCCAATGTGCCTGGCCTAACACTTGAATGGTAATAGCTGTGGGTCATCAGGAGATTGTCCCTCCCTGTCACTGGCTGCCAAATTATTTTTAGAGTCAGTGTGAAAATTTTTGAACCATCACCTGACGTTCTTAGTGGGTGGGGAAGAAGAGCCCTGTCCTGCCCCACACATGCCTATTTAACTACCTGTAACAGTCCCAGCCACTCAGGAAGCTGAGTTGGGAGGATTGCTTGAGCCCAGGAAGTCAAGGCTGCAGTGTGCTGTGATTGTGCCACTACATTCAGCCTGGGCAACAGAGTGGGACAGTGTGTAAAAAAAAAAAAAAGAAAGTGCTTAAGCAGATTCTGAATTCCAGTGGTACAACTTGAATGTTTGAAGACCCCCACAGAGGAACTGAATCAACATGAGAATACAGTTTCTTTGAGCCCAGGAGGTCAAGGCTACATTAAACTGTTATTGTGCCTATATATATATATATATAGTCATGGGTAGTGTATATATATATATACAGCTTATTCATCTCCTTCTTCCATGACTTCACTCTACAATTTTCTACAAATCAACAGTCTCCTTACTTCAGCCCACTGCAAAACCCTTAAAATCTCTAACCCCAAACCCCCTGGGGAGATGGATTTGAGGTTTCTTCTTGTCTCCTTGTTTGCAGCCCTATGATTAAAACGCTTTCTCTGCTGCAACCTGGTATCTCAGTATATTGACTTGCTGAGTGCATCAGGAAACAAATCTATTATGGTTACATACCAGGAAGAAAACAACTTATCACCAGAGATGAGATGGCACTGAGAAAGAGTCTACATAAACAAACCTACTGGCTAGCCCTTATCTATCATCAGTTTCCCCATATATTTGCTTTCCCTCAATTTGTTACTCATAGAAGCTCAAAGTCCTTTTCCTTTGCCTTGTCTCTTCTCTCTAAGTTTATCTTTCTTATGAAAAAACTAGCTGAGCATGGTTGTTTGCACCTGCAGTCCCAGCTACTTGGGAGGCTGAGGCAGGAGGATTGCTTGAGTCTGGGAGTTTAAGACTGCAGTGAGCCATGATCACACCACTGCACTTCAGCCTGGGTGACAGAGTGAGACCCTGTCTTGAAAAAAAAATTATCTTTCTCAGTCCAAATTCTCCAAGCCTAGCTGTTTTTTGGGGATTTTCTTTTTTTCTACGAGGACTCCTGTGCCATGTAAAACATTTAACATCAAATAAATTTGTATGCCTTTTCTCCTGTTAATTTGTATGTTGTCAGTTTATTTCAAAGACCCAGCTGGAGAACCTGAGAGGGTAGAGGACAGTTTTCCTCCCCTACGAGTCCCAGCTGTATAATGAGAGGCAAATAATAATAGAAGGTGGGATGAAAGACTGTAGAAAGTAAATGAACAGTTGACTGAAGATTTCAAAGGAGTTGAGAAACAGGTTAGTAGATGTAATTGAGTAAGCAAGCTGAAGTGATAGGAGGTTGTGATAGAATCAGATATCTGCTTTTGTGAATGTCATGGTGGAGCAATATCAGGTAATGCCAAGATTTATAATATAACCACAAAAGTGAGTGGTAGGCATGTAAGAGAAGAGGTCACTAGAGATGATCTAGGAATGGAGGTCAAAGTATAATTATTTTTGTTTCAAAAGTCAGTTTTGTTCTCTGTATTTAGTACCATATGAATGTTCTCTTTTCCTTTTGGTGTAGGTATTTCTGTCCTAGAGTCTGCCAAAATTAGGAAGGCCTCTTCTTTCTGGGCCTGTAATTGCCTGATGAGTTCTTCCTGAGTGCTGCACAGACAAAATCAATTCACTGAGATCCCCACATTTCAGTAATGAAAGTTTAATTGACATGAGGCCAGCCACATAGAGGAATTTGAATTCTCAAATCAGTTCTCTGAGAACTAACAGGCTAGACATTTTATGGACCATTTGGTGGCCAGGTGGCTAGGGAATGGGTGCTGCTGATTGGTTGGAAATGAAGTCATGGGGGTGTGGAAAACAGTCATCATGTGCTAAGTCTACCTCTGGATGGGCCACAGGACCAGCTGAGTCAAGAGTCATGGGTCCTGGTGGGATCAGTTGGTTGCCAGAAAGTCTGAAAAAATCTCAAAAGACAAATCTTAGTGATGTTATCTATAGGAGCAATTGGGAAAGTCATAAATCCTGTGGCCACATGACTCCTGAGGAACAAGGGATTATAGAAACTATACTAGAATTCAGGCCCCTCCCATAATCCTAATCTTGTGGCCTTTCATCAATCTTATAAATGTGGTTTTCAATCTGTGAACAAGGAGGAGGTTAGTTTTAGAGAGGAACTATTATTGTCCTTGCTTTTAAGTTAAAATATAAATTCCTCCCATTGTTAGCTTAGGCTACACTGAGGAATAAGCATAGACAGCTTAGAGTTTAGAAGCAAGATGGAGTCAGCCATGTCAGACTTCTTTTACTATCATAATTTTGCAAAGGTTGTTGAAGGCCAGGCCTTTTTTGCTTTTTAAAACTTTAATGAAATGAAAGTCTTTGGACAACGACAGTCAGAGGCCAAACAAAAGAATTGTGCTGTACAGCAGGTACTCAAATAATATGGGTGTGGGTTTTCTCTTAGTACTCCAGTTTCCTTTCACAATCCAAAGATGTGCACATTAGGTTAATTGGCATGTGTACATTGTACCAATCAGAGTTAATTCAGGTGTGTGTGAGGGCACTGTGCAGTAGGATGATGTTCTGTTCAGGTCTGGTTTCTGCATTATGCCCTGAGCTGCTGGATAGACTCTGGCTATACCTGACCCTGAACTGGTGGAATAAATAGATTGGAAAATGAATGAAAGAGTTAATACAGATTATTGTAAAATAAAATTTGTAAATTATACAGTGATCATACAAAATGTATGACCATAAACAATGTGGTATGAAAGCGCTCAATGAGCCTGCCATGTTTGTGATTGTTATTGAACTGCATGGTGGGAGGAAGTGCTGTTTATGTCAGAGGCATTTGAACTAAAGCAACTCCATCTTTTTTTTTTTTTTTTTAAGACAGAGTTTTGCTTTTGTTGCCCAGGCTGGAGTGCAATGGCTCGATGTCAGCTCACCGCAACCTCTGCCTCCTGGGTTCAAGAGATTCTCCTGCCTCAGCCTCCAGAGTACCTGGGATTACAAGCATAGGCCACCATGCCTGGCTAATTTTTTTTGTATTTTTAGTAGAGACGGGGTTTCTCCATGTTGGTCAGGCTGGTCTCAAACTCCTGACCTCAGGTGATCCACCTGCCTCAGCCTCCCAAAGTGCTGGGATTACAGGCGT
This sequence comes from Homo sapiens, assembly GCF_000001405.40. Classification (NCBI taxonomy): domain Eukaryota; kingdom Metazoa; phylum Chordata; class Mammalia; order Primates; family Hominidae; genus Homo; species Homo sapiens. The sequence goes on along the minus strand of NC_000003.12, from coordinate 101,546,461 downwards.
GAGCCACCATGCCTGGCCTGCAACTCCATCTTCTGTAGGGACTGGGTAAAATAAGGCTGAGACCTACTGGACTGCATTCCCAGGAGGTTAGGCATTCTTAGTCACAGGATGAGATAGGAGGTTGGCACAAGATACAGGTCACAAAGACATTGCTGGTAAAACAGCATGTGATAAAGAAGCCGACCAAAACCAAGATGGTGACCAAATTGACCTCTGATAATTCTCACTGTTCATTATATGCTAATTACAATGCATTAGGATGCTAAAAGACACTCGCATCAGCACCATGACAGTCTACAAATGCCATAGCAATGTTGGGAAGTTACCCTATATGGTCTAAAAAGGTGAGAAACGCTCAGTTCTGGGAATTGTCCTTTCCTGGAAAACTCATGAATAATCCACCCTATGTTTAGCATATAATAAAGAAATAACTATAAGTATTATCAGTTGAGCATTCCAAGCTGCTGCTCTGCCTATGCAGTAGCCATTATTTTGTTTCTTTACTTCTCTAATAAACTTGCTCTCAGTTTCTGGATTCGCTTCAAATTCTTTCTTGCATGAGATCCAATAACCCTCTCTTGGGGTCTGGTTTGGGACCCCTTTCCAGTAACCCCTTTCCAAAAACTTAACAGTTTTTGCTTTGCAAACGTTTATTTCTTGATTTAACCCAACACGCTTGTGACCTTCATCACTTACTGATTCACCAAAAGTTGGGCAATTATCTTGTTTTTATTAATCCTTTAAAAATGTATGTATAGCTCACATTTATTTCAGTGTTTAATATTAGATGTGTTTTTTCTCTTTATTTAGAAGTTTTGTAATGTTTTCGTTACTGGAAATATGCCTTAGGAACTTAACTCTTGTTTATATCAATTAGCCTAAGGTAAATTTGGTTTTATTATGCATTATTTAGCTTAAAGTCACAGCTTCAATAACCTATTGAGGAAAGAAAAATAGCTCAGAGCAGTCTCAGTTATGTGAGGTTTGCAAAATTTTTAAGCCCAGAGAAACATGAGTATGGGACTTTGGTCACATATACCCCCATTCTCATTGCTCCCCAACCCAGGCCCAGGGGTGTTTTTTTTTTTTGTTTTTTTTTTTTGTGACCGAGTCTTGCTCTGTCGCCCAGGCTGGAGTGCAGTGGTGTGATCTCAGATCACTGCAACCTCCGCCTCCTGGGTTCAAGCAATTCTCCTGCCTCAGCCTCCTGAGTAGCTGGGATTACAGGCGCCTGCCACCACGCCCAGTAATTTTTGTACTTTTAGTAGAGACAGGGTTTCACCATGTTGGTCAGACTGGTCTTGAACCCCTGACCTCGTGATCCACCCATCTTGGCCCCCCAAAGTGCTAGGATTACAGATGTGAGCCACCGTGCCCAGCTGCCAAGGGGTAATTGTTTAAAAGCATTTGTTCTCATGACTAGGTGCCTCACTTATTATTTTCATGCTCCTGCAATTTGAGATACAAAGAACAATGTATAGACGATCAATAGCATATGTTATTTTGATGTAAATTCTTGGTAAAAAATGTATGAACTGCCTCTTCCCTTTTGCTTTAAAAAGCCACTTGTAACTGCTGCTAATCAGAGTGTACATTTAGTACAACTTGAATCTATGATCCTGGGTAGCCATCCTTAAGCTTTGAGATCAGATAAACTATATTTAATCATATTTTCTGAATCTCATTATTTTAAGGTTGACACTATCTATGAAGTTAAATGAGGACTTACTGTGGTTTAATGCTTTGCAAAATTCATTGCTCTGTAATACCTTGGCTGCTTCCTCCTCTCTCTGCCTGAAGGTGGTGTCTTCTATTACCTGATTGCTCCAGGACTTAGGAAATGGTATATTATTGTTGGGAAAATACAATTAAAAGCAAAATCTTCCCAGCATTTTGGGAGGCCAAGGCAGGAGGATCACTAGAGCCCAGGAGTTCAAGACCAGCCTGGGCAACATAGTGAGACCCTGTCTCTCTTAAAAAAAAAAATCTCCCAACCCCAAAATCCTCTCCACAATGGTAGTAGAGATAGAAAACAGTTTCATTATTGAATGAGCATTAAACCACAATGTGATAGACATCATAGGCGACTCATTAAGAGATTGAAAAGACACAAGGAATCTCACCCCTTTATACTGACAAGCAGATGCAACCCATTACATGCATGTTTTCAAGAAAAACAAAAATAGGCTTCAAGTAAGAAAACTTGACAGCATATTTTGTCACATATAGTTCATCTTAAGTTTAGCATAATTGTTAGGAGGACCACCAGTGTTAGCTAATTGGTTTTATCCAAGTGAGAAGAAGCAAACTCCCTAAATCTTTTCATAAGGATATAGTTTTGAAGATTGGGCCAAGGCACCCTGCCCACCAAAATTCAGTTCTTACCCTCCCAGAAGAACTATGAGAGCTGTCTCCCTTGAATACGCATTTTGAAACATGACTCCCAGGTCCTAAATTGTGAGACTGAGAAGAGGTTTATTTAGCCATTATAAAGATGTAACATACATTTGAAAAGGACAGAGGATTAAATTCTGAAAGAAAAAGGAGAGGTCAGAGCTGTGCCTTCCCTTATTTCCACAGAAAAAAAAATTAAGTCTTTTACTTTTTTTTTTTTTTTTTTGAGTTAGAGTCTCACTCTGTCACCCAGGCTGGAGTGCAGTTGTGCAACCTCTGCTCACTGCAACCTTCACCTCCTGGGTTCAAGCAATTGTTGTGCCTCCGCCTCCTGAGTAGCTTGGATTACAGGCCCACACCACCATGCCCAGATAAATTTTGTATTTTTAGTAGAGATGGAGTTTCACCATGTTGGCCAGGCTGGTATCGAACTCCTGATCTCAGATGATCCGCCGGCCTCAGCCTCCAAAAGTGCTGGGATTACAGGTGTGAGCCACCATGCCCAGCCTGGGGCAATTATTTAAAAGGCATTTTATGCCTGACTAGCTACCTAAGCCATTATCTTCATGTTCCTAGAATTTGTGATACAAAGAAAAATGTATAGACAATCAGTAGTTTATTTTAATGTAAATACTTGCTAAATAATTTAGGAACTGACTCTTCTTTTCTGCTTTAAAAACCCACTGTTACTACTGCTAATTGAAGTGTATATTCAGGGCAACTTGAATGTATGCTCCTGGGTGGCCATCCTCAATCTTTGAGCTCTAGTAAACTCTATAGGTAATCATACTTTCTAAATCTTTTTATTTAAGGTTGACACATTATTGTAAAACAACAGGAAGATTGGTCTTATGAAATGCACCACTTCCTTTACTACAGGAGGAAAAGATAAATATTTCAGTTTGAGTCTTTGGGTGAACAAAACAGTGGTTTAGCTAACAACCTCCTTTTGTTGCTTTTCTCAGGGGTGGAACTATGGGGCTGATAATATCCATCATAACTCACACTTCATGTAAGGTAGATTCAACTTTCTCTTTTTTTTTTTTTTTTTTTTTTTGAGATGGAGTTTTGCTCTTGTTGCCCAGGCTGGAGTGCAATGGCATGATCTTGGCTCACCCCACAACCTCTGCCTCCCGGGTTCAAGTGATTCTCCTGCCTCAGCCTCCTGAGTAGGTGGGATTACAGGCCTGTGCCACCATGCCTGGCTAATTTTGTATTTTCAATTGAGATGGGGTTTCTCCATGTTGGTCAGGTTGGTCTCAAACTCCAACCTCAGGTGATCTGCCTGCCTCAGCCTCCCAAAGTGCTGGGATTACAGGCATGAGGCACTGTGCCTAGCCAGATCTAACTTTTTTAATGTAAACCAAAAATAAAATTATAAGCCCCCAACTGACTGATGGACCCTCCTCTTGGCCAAGGGCATTCCAAAATTAATCTGAAAAACTAGTTCAGGCCATGATGGGAAGTGGAGGGTGGTAAGTGTTAGACATGCCTCACACATGACCAACATTAACATAAACATAGAGACCTTAAGACTGATAGAACAGACTCCAAGTCTGATAAGAAACATCTATAATCTATTCTCTCTGAAGCCTGATACCTGGAGGCCTTATCTGCATGATGAAACCTTGGTCTCTACAACCCCTTATCATAACCCAGACATTTCTTTCTATTGATTCCAGGTCTTTAGATAATAACTCTTTAAACCAATTGCCAATCAGAAAATCTTTAAATTTCTAAAATGTATGACCTGGAAGATACCCACCCCCAAACCCCACTCCCAGTTGTCCCACCTTTCTGGACCAAACCAATGTACATCTTACATGTATTGATTAATGTCCTATGTCTCCCTAAAAGGTATAAAATCAAGTTGTAGCTCAAGTTGTAGGGCACATGTTCTCAGGACCTCCCAAGGGCTGTGTCACAGACCAACGGTCACTCGTATTTGTTTGTTTGTTTTTGAGAAAGGGTCTTGCTCTGTCACCCAGGCTGGAGAGCAGTGGTGTGATCTTGGCTCACTGCAGCTTCAACTTCTTGAGCTCAAGTGATCCTCCCTGCTCAGCCACCTGAGTAACTAGGACTACATGCATGCACCACCATGCCAAGCTAATTTTGCTTATTTTTTTTTAGAGATGATATCTGACTATGTTGCCCAGGCTGGTCTCAAACTCCTGCACTCAAGCTATCCTCCCATCTAGGCCTTCTAAAGTGCTGAGATTATAGGCATGAGACACCATGCCTGGCCAGTCACTTATATTTGTCTCAGAATAAATATCTTCAAATATTTGAGACTTATTTGACTCTTTTCTTTTTTTTTTTTCTTTCCGAGATGGAGTCTTGCTCTTTCACCCAGGCTGGAGTGCAGTGGCACGGTCTCGGCTCACTGCAACCTCCATCTCCTGGGTTCAAGCAATTCTCCTACCTCAGCTTCCCTAGTAGCTGGGATTACAGGCGTGCACTACCACGCCCAGCTAATTTTTGTATTTTTAGTAGAGATGGGGTTTCACCATGTTGGCCAGGCTGATCTCAAACTCCTGACTTCAAGTGTCTGCCCGCCTCGGCCACCCAAAGTGCTGGGATTACAGGCGTGAGCCACTGCACTTGGCCTATTTGACTCTTTTCATCAATATAACTGACAAGGATTGTTTCCTTGAACTAACTTTACTCAAGTTCCCAAAACTTCTCCTGAGCCCATCTGTGCACTTCTTTGTAAAATCCAATTTTAGGAATGTAGGCTTGCAGTTCCAAGATGGCCAAATAGGAACAGCTCCAGTCTACAGCTCCCAGCATGAGCGATGCAGAAGATGGGTGATTTCTGCATTTCCAACTGAGGTACCGGGTTCATCTCACTGGGGCTTGTTGGACAGTGGGTGCAGGACAGTTGGTGCAGCCCACCGAGTGTGAGCCAAAGCAGGGTGAGGCATCGCCTCACCCGGGAATTGCAAGGGGTCAGGGAATTCCCTTTCCTAGCCAAGGGAAGGGGTGACAGATAGCACCTTGAAAATCGGGTCACTCCCACCCCAATACTGCGCTTTTCCAATGGTCTTAGCAAACGGCACACCAGGAGATTATATCCCACAACTGGCTTGGAGGGTGCCACGCCCATGGAGCCTCGCTCATTGCTAGCACAGCAGTCTGAGATTGAACTGCAAGGCAGTAGCGAGGCTGGGGGAGGGGCGCCCGCCATTGCTGAGGCTTGAGTAGGTAAACAAAGTGGCCAGGAAGCTCAAACTCGGTGGAGCCCACCACAGCTCAAGGAGGCCTGCCTGCCTCTGTAGACTCCACCTCTGGGGGCAGGGCATAGCTGAACAAAAGGCATCAGAAACTTTTGCAGACTTAAATGTCCCTGTCTGACAGCTTTGAAGAGAGTAGTGGTTCTCCCAGCACGGAGTTTGAGATCTGAGAATGGACAGACTGCCTCCTCAAGTGGGTCCCTGACTCCCGAGTAGCCTAACTGGGAGGCACCTCCCATTAGGGGCCGACTAACACCTCACACAGTCGGGTGCCCTCTGAGACGAAGCTTCCAGATGAATGATCAGGCAGCAACATTTGCTGTTCTGCAGCCTCCACTGCTGATGCCCAGGCAAACAGGGTCTGGAGTGGACCTCCAGCAAAGTCCAACACACCTGCAGCTGAGGGTCCTGACTGTTAGAAGGAAAACTAACAAACAGAAAGGACATCCACACCAAAACCCCATCTGTACGTCACCATCATCAAAGACCAAAGGTAGATAAAACCACAAAGATGGGGAGAAACCAGAGCAGAAAAGCTGAAAATTCTAAAAATCTGAATGTCTCTTCTCCTCCAAAGGAATGCAGCTCCTTGCCAGCAACGGAACAAAGCTGGATGGAGAATGACTTTGATGAGTTGAGAAGAAGAAGGCTTCAGATGATCAAACTTCTCCGAGCTAAAGGAAGATGTTCGAACCCATCACAAAGAAGCTAAAAACCTTGAAAAAAGATTAGATGAACGGCTAACTAGAAAAACCAGTGTAGAGAAGTCCTTAAATGACCTGATGGAAATGAAAACCATGGCACGAGAACTACGAGATGCATGCACAAGCTTCAGTAGCCAATTCGATCAACTGGAAGAAAGGGTATCAGTGATTGAAGATCAAATGAATGAAATGAAGTTAGAAGAGAAGTTTAGAGAAAAAAGAGTAAAAAGAAATGAACGAAGCCTCCAAGAAATATGGGACTATGTGAAAAGACCAAAGCTACATCTGATTGGTGTACCTGAAAGTGACGGGGAAAATGAAGCCAAGTCGGAAAACACTCTTCAGGATATTATCCAGGAGAACTTCCCCAACCTAGCAAGGCAGGCCAACATTCAAATTCAGGAAATACAGAAAACACCACAAAGATACTCCTCGAGAAGAGCAACTCCAAGACACATAATTGTCAGATTCACTAAAGTTGAAATGAAGGAAAAAATGTTAAGGGCACCCAGAGAGAAAGGTCGGGTTACCCACAAAGGGAAGCCCATCAGACTAACAGCGGATCTCTCAGCAGAAACTCTACAAGCCAGAAGAGAGTGGAGGCCAATATTCAACACTCTTAAAGAAAAGAATTTTCAACCCAGAATTTCATATCCAGCCAAACTAAGCTTCATAAGTGAAGGAGAAATAAAATCCTTTACAGACAAGCAAATGCTGAGAGATTTTGTCACCACCAGGCCTGCCCTAAAAGAGCTCCTGAAGGAAGCACTAAACATGGAAAGGAACAACTGGTGCCAGGAACAAATGCAAAAACATGCCAAATTGTAAAGACCATCGAGAATAGGAAGAAACTGCATCAACTAACGGGCAAGATAACCCGCTAACATCATAATGACAGGATCAAATTCACACATAACAATATTAACCTTAAATGTAAATGGGCTAAATGCTCCAATTAAAAGACATACACTGGCAAATTGGATAAAGAGTCAAGACCCATCAGTGTGCTGTATACAGGAGACCCATCTCACCTGCAGAGGCTCAAAATAAAGGGATGGAGGAAGATCTACAAAACAAATGGAAAACAAAAAAAAGCAGGGGTTACAATCCTAGTCTCTGATAAAACAGACTTTAAACCAACAAAGATCAAGAGACAAAGAAGGCCATTACATAATAGTAAGGGGATCAAATCAACAAGAGGAGCTAACTATCCTAAATATATATGCTCCCAATACAGGAACACCCAGATTCATAAAACAAGTCCTTAGAGACCTACAAAGAGACTTAGACTCCCACATGATAATAAAGGGAGACTTTAACACCCCACTGTCAACATTAGACAGATCAACGAGACAGAAAGTTAACAAGGATATCCAGGAATTGAACTCAGCTCTGCACCAAGCAGACCTAATAGATATCTACAGAACTCTCCATCCCAAATCAAAAGAAGATACAGTCTTCTCAGCACCACATCACACTTATTCCAAAATTGACCACATAGTTGGAAGTAACGCACTCCTCAGCAAATGTAAAAGAACAGAAATTATAACAAACTGTCTCTCAGACCACAGTGCCATCAAACTAGAACTCAGGATTAAGAAACTCACTCAAAACTGCTCAACTACATGGAAACTGAACAACCTGCTCCTGAATGACTACTGGGTACATAACAAAATGAAGGCAGAAATAAAGATGTTCTTTGAAACCAATGAGAACAAAGACACAACATACCAGAATCTCTGGGAAACATTTAAAGCAGTGTGTAGAGGGAAATTTATAGCACTAAATGCCCACAAGAGAAAGCAGGAAAGATCTAAAATTGACACCCTAACATCACAATTAAAAGAACTGGAGAAGCAAGAGCAAACACATTCAAAAGCTAGCAGAAGACAAGGAATAATTAAGATCAGAGCAGAACTGAAGGAGATAGAGACACAAAAAACCCTTCAAAAAATCAATGAATCCAGGAGCTGTTTTTTTGAAAAGATTAACAAAATTGATAGACTGCTAGCAAGACTAATAAAGAAGAAAAGAGAGAAGAATCAAATAGACGCAATAAAAAATCATAAAGGGGTATCACCACAGATCCCACAGAAATACAAACTACCATCAGAGAATACTATAAACACCTCTACGCAAATAAACTAGAAAATCTAGAAGAAATGGATAAATTCCTCAACACATACACCCTCCCAAGACTAAATCAGGAAGAAGTTGAATCCCTGAATAGACCATTAACAGGCTCTGAAATTAAGGCAATAATTAATGGCCTGTCAACCAAAAAAAGTCCAGGACCAGACGGATCCACAGCCGAATTCTACCAGAGGTAGAAAGAGGAGCTGGTACCATTCCTTCTGAAACTATTCCAATCAATAGAAAAAGAGGGAATCCTCCCTAACTCATTTTATGAGGCCAGCATCATCCTGATACCAAAGCCGGGCAGAGACACAACAAAAAAAGAGAATTTTAGATCAATATCCCTGGTGATCATCGATGCAAAAATCCTCAATAAAATACTGGCAAACCGAATCCAGCAGCACATCAAAAAGCTTATCCACCATGATCAAGTGGGCTTCATCCCTGGGATGCAAGGCTGGTTCAACACACGCAAATCAATAAACATAATCCAGCATATAAACAGAACCAAAGACAAAAACCACATGATTATCTCAATAGATGCAGAAAAGGCCTTTGACAAAATTCAACAGCCCTTCATGCTAAAAACTCTCAATAAATTAGGTATTGATGGGATGTATCTCAAAGTAATAAGAGCTATTTATGACAAACCCACAGCCAATATCATACTGAATGGGCAAAAACTGGAAGCATTTCCTTTGAAAACTGGCACAAGACAGGGATGCCCTCTCTCACCACTCCTATTCAACATATTGTTAGAAGTTTTGGCCAGGGAAATCAGGCAAGAGAAAGAAATAAAGGGTATTCAAGTAGGAAAAGAGGAAGTCAAATTGTCTCTGTTTGCCCGTGACATGATTGTATATTTAGAAAACTGCATCATCTCAGCCCAAAATCTCCTTAAGCTTAGAAGCAACTTCAGCAAACTCTCAGGATACAAAATCCATGTGCAAAAATCACAAGCATTCCTATACACCATTAACAGACAAACAGAGAGTCAAATCATGAGTGAACTCCCATTCACAATTGCTACAAAGAGAATAAAATACCTAGGAATCCAACTTACTTTGAGATGGAGTTTCGCTCTGTCGCCAGGCTGGAGTGCAGTGGCGCAATCTTGGCTCACTGCAACCACCACCTGGGTTCAAGTGAAGCCTGCCTCAGCCTCCTGAGTAGCTGGGACTACAGGTGCCACCACACCCAGCTAACTTTTGTATTTTTAGTAGAGACAGGGTTTCACCATGTTGGCCATGATGGTCTCGATCTTTTGACCTTGTGATCTGCCTGCCTCGGCTTCCCAAAGTGCTAGGATTACAGGCATGAGCCACCGCACCTGGCCACTTTCCTACTTTATTAAATGCAGCATTTATGGTTTTCAATAGCTGGGAGGAAACATCAAAAATAAGAAAGGCCCAATAGCAGGAGGAAAAATGCTGCCACCAAGCTGATTATATGGCAACAGCATTGGCATATCATTTTTCATTAGCTGATAACTGCAAGGCTTATCCCTATAATACTAACAGAATGGGGCCCTGTCATTTTGGCAGGAATCCAGGACACTGGAATAGAGAACATTCTAAACCTCTGGGTTACAAGCCATCCATGGGACCCTATCCTCATTGCAAACAAGAGGGTCACTGGAAGAGTGAGTGCCTCTCTCTCCCTCATGATTGGGGGCCACCTCTTCCTTCTAGGCTATCACACCCACAACCTCGCCAACCCATCTGACAAAGAGGTCCTGCAGAACGAGGACAAGGGCAAGGGCAAAGGCAAAGACAACACCTCTAACTCTTTTCCAGGATTCTGATCAAGCCTCTGAAAGTCATCCTCTAGATGACTGATAGGTCCTTGAGGCCATCCAGGCTCCTATCATTTCCATCTCTACAGACAAGCCTTGGGTAAATCTGATTGTGGCTGAACAGGAGATAATGTTCCTCATAGATACAGGAGCCAGTTATTCAGCTTTAAATGTTTACTGTGGCCCGATATGCCAGTCCTCCATTTTCCTCACGGGTACTGATAGAAAACCCCAACAAACCTGTTTCATGCCACTACTCCCTTGAATAACGGAAGGCTTTTCCTTTACCCACTTCTTTTTCATCCTGCCAAGCTGTCCTGTTCCATTATTAGGTTGTGACTTAACTCAAGTTAATTTATAATTACAAGCTAATTTATAGACAAGGCCCCACCTTCTGGCTGTATTAACTCACACTTCACAAAAAGAGCTCCTGCAGTCGATAAAACTGTACATTCTGGCTGGGCATGGTGGCTTATGCCTGTGATCCCAGCATTTTGGGAGGCCAAGACGGGTGGATCACCTGAGGTCAGGAGTTCGAGGCCAGCCTGGGCAACATGGTGAAACCCTGTCTCCACTAAAATACAAAAAATTTGCCAGGCATGGTGGCACAATCCCTGTATTCCCAGCTATTCGGGAGGCTGAGGCGGGAGAATCACTTGAACCTGGGAGGTGGAGGTTGCAGTGAGCTGAGACTGCGCCACTGCACACCAGCCTGGGTGACAGATCAAGACTCCTGTCTCGAAAATAAATAAATAAATAAATAAATAAATAAATAAATAAATAAATAAATAAAACCTTACATTTTAAAACAAATGCCATTTGAGTTTTGGAATACGTCTATTCCTGTCCATTCAATATCAGCTGCTCCCATCATTATTCAGCTTAAAAATCCCAATAAGTTCCCTGGAAACCCTCAATACCCCTTGAAACCTGAAGCACAAAAATGGTTAAAGCCCCTAATAACAAAATTTTTAACCCATGGATTATTATGCCCATGCAATTCACCTTGCAACACTCTTATTTTAGCTGTATAGAAAACCAATGGCTCCTATTGACTAATACACGACCTTATGATTATTAATGAAGCTGTTATTCCTATTCATCCTATTGTCCTAAACCCTTGGGCTCTTTTTGGACACATTCCCTCCACCACAGCTTGGTTTACTCTACTTGATCCTAAGGATGCCTTTTTCTGCATATTTGGAAACCCAGGTAGCCAATTTTTGTTTGGTTTTGAATGGCAAGACCCAGATACTCAAATTATCAACAGTTAACTCAGACACTTTTTACCCTAGCAATTCAGAGAGTCTCTACTCTTTTGGACATGTCCTAGCTAAAGACCTGTATACCCTGCAGCTTCTCCCAGATAGCAATCTATTCCAGTATGTGGACGACCTACTAATCTGTAGTCCTAACAATGCTGTTTCAGACCAAAATACGGTATTAGTACTAAAAGAACTTGTTGATTGTAGGTACAAAGTATCTCCTTCTAAGGCACAAATATGCATACAGATAATTCAATTTTGGAGTCTTATTTTAACCCCTGTTACAAAGAGCCTCCCTAGTGTTCATAAAGATCTTATCTTACACGTGACAACCCCAGTAAATAAACAACAGCTTTGGTCCTTCTTGGGTATGGCCGGGTTTTGCAGTATATGAATTCCTTCCTTTGGAGTACTAACAAAACCTTTATAGGAAGCTCTCAGGGAACTGAGGAAAAACCTCTATGCTGGACTATTGATATGAAGTATGCTCTAAACAATTTTTTAGGGGGACACAGACTCCAGTGTAAACTAAAAGAATGCTCCCTCTAAACACTGTAAAACAAACTTTAATCTGAGCTCTGGCCTTATCCCTACCAGATCTGACTAAGCCTTTCTTTTTGTATGTGTATGAATGAAGAGGAATATCTTTGGGAGCCTTATCCCAAGATCTGGGGTCCTCTAAGTGCCTTGTAGCATATTTTTCAAGAACTTTTGATCTAGTATCCCAGGGATGGCCCCTGGCTTAAGAGCCTTAGCAGCCATGGCCCTCTTAGTCCAAGAAGCCTCAAACTATATTATCTGCCCTTCCTGAACTCTTATGGCTTTATGGCACTGCTAATACTTATTTAAACCCTTTTCAAGCTGTGGCCCTATCCCACCTTGATAATTCTCTTCATTATAGTGATTGTACTCTGGGAACAATGGCTCCCACTGAATTCACTGTCTTGAACATAACTTCCAAACTAGAACTGCATTCTAGAAGAAAAAGTGCCCTAGGAGTTATTGTGGCTGGAGTTGTGGGAACTATCACAACTCTCACCCCTTGGCAGGTTTTACTTACCATGAAATCATAACCATGAGAATTTAATGCCTCCCTTGAAATAGCCTTAGCAAAAACTGGCACAAGTCTATCGGCACTAGAAAAGTCTTTAAACTGACTAATAGGAATGGTTTTTGATAATAAATGAACTCTGGTTTAAATTCTAGCTGAACAAGGAGGAGTCTGTGCTGTCATAAAGAAAACCTGTTGCACCTACATTAATGTGTCTGGAGAAGTAGAAACTAATGTCCAAGGAATTTTCAAAGAAGCCAAATGGCTACACACACACTTTTTTGAAGAAACCAAGACTGAGTCAAAACCTTTACTGATTATTTTCCAAAAATAACTTGGCTTCTCCCATTCCTTGGACCTTTGCTCCTTTTCAATCTTCCTTTAATATTTGGTCCCTGCCTTTTTAATGCTCTCATTAAGTTTATATGTTCCAGATTACAACGATTCTATTTATAGATGACTATGCAATCCCAGTACTGGCCTGCAACAGCAACTTCCATTTACACGAGGCCTCTTAATGAAATCTCATTCCTCTGCGACCCCTGTGCCTGCCCTGTGAACAAGTTTTTCATGACCCTTCATCGCCTAATGACAGAGAGCAAGAAGGAGAAAAACACAACTTATCCCTTCAATGTCCCCTTTCAGCAGAAAGTAGCCAGACAGACTCGACGTCCATTTTCACTGTGCTGTTTTTCCTTTCTTGAGACCCTAATAGGCAGCAGATAGACATGAGCATGGGGGAACACAAAAGGTCAAAGACTTGACCAAGATATTTATTGGGGGGAAATGAGGACAGCAAAGATCGCCTGGTGACCATCAAGCACAAAACTCCTTATCTGAGGAATTCGGAAATAGACTTCCCTATTATCTAAAGCAGGCATCTGGTACGAGGCTTAAGAAAACTGTAAGTAACTAGAATTTCTATACATCTCTGGAATGTATGCATGTCAAAACTTGTTGTACAGCCCTCACTGACATCAAGGCACCAAAATGTCTACAAATGTAATCATCTATCATGACCTATGTGGCTAATATGGTCCAAATTACCCTTAAGCTTCCACTTTAAGTTCCATAGATATCCCTAAGGAAAAATCCACCATGTCTGCACTGTGGCAGTCCTCTCTTTCTGAGGCAACCTACTGCACTCTTCTGCAGTGTTCTTTCTATCTGATAAAATTTTCCTTTTCAAACCTATTCTGTTGTCAGTAAATTCTTCTTACCAACCTGTGAGTCGACCAGTTTCTGATGCTGGGGCTCTGACACCTCACCTGGCAAATATATGATCAAGTTCCTCATCTTCCATCATTCCCCAGTTGATGTTTGATCACACTGGCCTGTTTTCAGCAAGAATTGTGTTAGGTTTAGACATAATCCCCTTTATCCTGTCCTCCAGAGAACTTTCTGTCACTGACACTCCACTCCTTGGCTATAAATTCCCACTTGCCCATGCTGTTTACAGTTGAGACCAACTTTCTTCCTCACTGTAAAATCACACTACTATAGTCCCTATCCTGATTGCACAGTCCTGAATAGTCTTCCTTACCATGCTTTATTAAGTATCATTGATTATTTTTTTCTTTAACATTACCTCCCTAGCCTGTCAACTGAAATGAAAGACTGAGGCAGGAGTCTCAATCAGTTGAAGTTTATTGAGCCAGAGTTTGAGGATGCCCCTGGGAAAATCCCAAGTCAAAGAGGCATCTGTGGCCTGTGCTCTCCAAAGAGGTTTTCAGGAAGCTCAGTATTTACATTTTTCTTTAAGGAGGAGAGAACATTCAGGAAAATGTGGAGGTGGGGTGGGGGTGGGGGAGGGTAGGAAGTGAGGCAAATGATTACATTCTTGTGAGGTTCCAGTTAGTACCCAGTAATCTACATTTTACATAAGATAATGTGAACATTCAAAGAAAAGGGAATAAAGAGTCAATTATACAGTCGTTTCAATGTAGGCAGAAGAATGATTGATCTCATCTTGTCCTTGTTCCGACCTGTGAAGATAAACTTGTAACTGACATTGTCAATGTGAGATTTAACATATCTTAGTTTTAAAAGTTAAACAGGTTGCAGACCTATGGTAACAATTGGTAAGTGCTTATTTTATAGAAGGATATATGTCCTGAAAGATTTAGGAGCCACCAAAGTTTCCTTGTAAACAATTTGTGAGGGCAGCCCTTTGGAGAGGCATGAAGCCTTTTGTCTGTGGGGATGTGGTTTGACACAGGGTTTCAAAGTAACAGTTATCTGTTTGGGGAAAAAGGATGGCAATGTTGCATGACTCATTTCCCAGGCTTAACTCTCCCCTTGGCATAATGAGTTTGGGCATCCTGAGATTTTTCTTTTCCTTTACAAGCCATTCTTATCATTTCTTTTCTTTTCTGTTTTTTTTAAGATGGAGTCTTGCTCTGTATCCCAGGCTGGAGTGCAGTGGCACGATCTCAGCTCACCGCAACCTCTGCCTCCTGGGTTCAAGTGATTTCCAGTTAATTTTTGTATTTTTAGTAGAGACAGGGTTTCACCATGTTGGCCAGGCTGGTCTCTAATTCCTGACCTCAAGTGATCCACCCACCTTGGCCTCCCAAAATGTTAGGATTACAGGTGTGAGCCACCATGCCCAGTGCATTCTTAGTCTTTCTAACAGTGGTTCATGAAATGTGGTCCTTGGACCAGCAGCATCACCATCACTTAGGAACTGGTTAGAAGTGGAAATTTTTGGCCTTCACCTACTGATTTTACTGAATCAGAAATGCTGACAGTGGGCCCCAGCAATCTTTGTCTTAACAAGACTTCCAGGTTATACTGATGCATTCTAAATTTAGAGAACCATTGCTTTTGAAGAAACATTGAAAAGCAAATAAGTGTAATTTCCAGTTAATGAGACTTCCCATAGCAAATCTGTAAAAATAATGATAGAGGAGATAGAAATTATTTAGGTAGTTAGGGTAAAAGAGTCCCTGACAGAAACTTTTCTTCTAACAAAAAGCAGCTCAGAAATTACTTCCTTTCTAACCACGTGAAGTTCAAAGAAATCACTTCTAATAGAAACAGCCTAGAAGATTGGGCTATAAAAATAGATAAGCAACTCTGACACGGAGGGAGAGTTTCCTGGGTAATCACCAAACTTCATATACATACAATGGGTCCCAGTAAAGACAGTGGGCCTTAATGAGCACATTCCTTTCCCTTTTTGGGGGACACTAATATAGGGAAACTGGAAGCTTGCGCAGGGTGGCGGATGCCTGCAGTTACAATGAGGTACCTGCGACCAGGCACAGAAACTCCCCCTCTGCTTTTTAGCATATGCATGGTGGAAGGAGATAAGCAGTGTGGAGTAGCCCAAGCTAAGAGCCCAACTGCATGATAAAGGAGGGGGGTGGAGGCTGCCAGAGTCTCTGCTCTATGCAGATGGGACACCTGGTTCTAACTGGTTTTTCATGCCCTATGTAGATAAGATACCCCCTCCCCACTAGCTCATTTATAAAACCCTTACATTTTACTGCAGCACAGCAACCCATTTGGGATCCCTCTCTGTGACAGAGAGCTGTTCTTTTCCTTTCACCTGTTAAACTTCTGCTCCAACCTCACCCTCTGTGTGTCTGTGTCCTTGATTTTCATGGCCATGAGACAAAGAATCTCAGGTGATGTCTCAGACAATGCAGCTGCTTCAATAACATGTTCTCCTTTTTTGTTGAGCTATATTTGGTCTAGTATTGGAAAGTAATACACCAATTTTCGTGTGCCTTGCTTAAGAACAATGATCAATTGATCAATTATCTCCAACATTTTCCACAAGAAAGCAAAAAAAATCATTACATGGTGATATCAGAGGTTTTAGGATTTCCCTAAAGGCCTCCCATATCAGTCTCTGTCAGCATACATCCCTGGTTTTCAGTTGACAGCCAAAAAAGCAGAGATGTTCTTTATTGACTTCAAGCTGCAAAGATAGATCAATATCAGAAGTCAGAGTAAGGGAATAATAAGGGACTAGGAGAGAAAGCTTAAAATAAGCTGTGTTTTCAACACAAGCATTTCCTGTCTGGAGCAAAAATGATGATGTTTTGCATAGAAAAACTGTTTCTAAATATACAGAGCTGTTTATCAAAACATGAAATATTTTGAAATGACAAGATAAACATTCTGCTTTGGTCTATTTGGGCTGAAATTGTTGAAAAAATTCTTCAATGATACTTGTTAAAGCATGGTGAGGAAGACTTTATTCAAGACCATGCAATAGGTATAGGGACCACAGCAATGGCACCACAATATTAGCAAGTAGGAATTTATAGCCAAGTAGTAGGGTGGGGTCAATAGATGAAAATTTCCTAAGAGGAAACATCAAGGATAAGGAGGATTATGGCCAAACCAACCTAACAGGATTTTTGCTGAGGATAGGCCAGGGTGATCAGGCATCACTTGTGGGTGGTAGAGGATGAGAAACCTGATCAGGTATTGAGGGTGATCTGGCATTAAGGGTGAGGGATTCTTGCTAAACTGACTTAGCAGGGTTCTTTACTAAAATTGGATTTTACAAGGAAGTGCACAGTGGGCCTAGAGCAAGGTTCAGGAGCCTGAGTAAAGTTTGGCCAAGCAAAGAATCGTTACTTTAGCAAAAATACCACAGACTAGGTGGCTTGTAAACAACAGAAGTTTGGCCAGGCATGGTGGCTCACACCTGTAATCCCAGCACTTTGGGAGGCCGAGGTGGGTGGATCACAAGGTCAGGGGTTCAAGACCAGCCTGGCCAAGATGGTGAAACCCCGTCCCTACTAAAAATACAAAAATTAGTCAGGTGCGATGGCAGGCACCTATAATCCCTGCTACTTGGGAGGCTGGGGCAGGAGAATCGCTTGAACTCAGGTGGCAGAGGTTGCAGTGAGCCAAAATCGCACCACTGCACTCCAGCCTGGGTGATAGAGTGAGACTCCATCTCAAAAAACAAAATCAAAAAACAAAACCCCAACACACACACACACAAAACCCAGAAATTTATTTCTCACAGTTCTGGAGGCTGGAAAGTTCAAGTCAAGGCACCAGCAAATGTCTGGGTCTACTTCCTGGTTCACAGATGGCCATCTCTTCACTGTGTCTTCACATGGCAGATGGGGCAAGACAGCTCTCTGGGCCCTCTTTTATAAGAATACTAACCCCATTCATGAGGGTGGAGGCCTTATGAACTAATAACCTCCCCTAATCACACCCTACCTCCAGATACTATCATATTAAAGATTAGGTTTCAACATATGAATTTTGTTGGTGGGGAGAGAAGGGGACACAAATATTTAGTCTATAGCACTCCCAGAGCAATATAATCTTATAACCACAACTGAGTTGAGCTACTTCATTTTTTTTTTTTTTTGCCATTTAAATGGCAAAAAATACAATAACTTTTGCACCAACCTAATAGTTTCAGTTAGCCTGCTTAGTCCAGTTTTAGCAAGAATCCTGTTAGGGCTGGGCACAGTGGCTCATGCCTGTAATCCCAGCACTGTGGGAGGCCAAGGCAGGAGAATTGCTTGAGCCCAGGAGTTTGTGACCAGCCTGGGCAACAGAGCAAGACCTCATCTCTACAAAAAGTTTTAAAAATAGTGAGGTTTTGGTGGCACTTGCCTGTAGTCCCAGCCACTCAAAAAGCTGAGGTGTGAAAGTCACATGAGGCTTAGGAGGTCAAGGCTGCAGTGAGCCATAATTGTACCACTGCATTTCAGCATGGGTGAGAGTGAGACCCAGTCTCAAGAAAAGGAAAAAAAAAAAAGGAATCCTCTTGAGTCATTTTAGTGAAAATCTCCATCCTTGATAGCTGAAAACCTTTGATATCTGATCAAATTCCTCACCCTCCATGCATGATATCTTATCACCCTGGCCTGCCTTAGCAAGAATCTCTCTTAGCCTGTATTAGTCAGGGTTTTCTTAGAGAGACAGAACTAATAGGACATGTGTGTGTGTGGGGGGGGGGCGGGGGTGGGGGGGTGAGGGAAGTTTATTAAGTATTAATTTACATGATCACAAGGTCCCACAATAGGCTGTCTGCGAGCTGAGGAGCAAGGAGAGCCAGTCTGAGTCCCAAAACTGAAGAACCTGGAACCGATGTTCAAGGGCAGGAAGCATCCAGCACACGAGAAAGATGTAGGCTGTGAGGCTAGGCCCATCTCTCTTTTTTCATGTTTTTCTGCCTGCTTTATATTCGCTGGAAGCTGATTAGATAGTGCCCACCAGATTAAGGGTGGATCTGTTTTCCCCAGTCCACTGACTCAAATGTTAATCTCTTTTGGCAACACCCTCACAGACACACGCAAGATCAAAACTTTGTATCCTTTAATCCAATCAAGTTGACACTCAGTATTAACCATCACATAGCCCTGATATTTTCTTTTAGTAATTTTTCATCCACTGACCCCACCTTGCTCCTTGGCTATAAATCTCCACTAGTCCTTGTATTCAGAGTTGAGCCTGATCTTTCTCTCCTACTGCAAATTCCTCACTGCAGTAGTCCTTGTATAAGATCTTCCTTACTGTCTTCAACAAGTATATTAGGCCATTCTTGCATTGCTATAAGGAAATACCCAAGACTGGGTAATATATAAGAAAATAAGTTTAATTGGCTCACAGTTCTGCAGGCTGTACAGGAAGCATAGCATCAGCATCTACTTCTGGAGAGGCCTCAGGAAGCTTACAATCATGGAAGAAGGTGAGGGGGGAACAGGCATCTCACGTGGTAAGAGCAGGGGCAAGCAAGGTAAGGAGAGTACCACACACTTGTAAATGACCAGATTTTTTGAAAACTCACTATCATGAAGATGGCACCAAGCCATCAGGAATCTGCCCCCATGACCCAAACACCTCCCACCAGGTCCCACCTCCAGCATTGGGGATTACAATTCAACATGAAATTTGGGCAGGGACAAATATCCAAACTTTATCATTCTGCCCGTGGCCCAAATCTCATGTCCTCATCACTTTGCAAAATACAATCATGCCTTTCCAACAGTCCCCCCAAATCTTAACTCATTCCAGCATTAACTCAAAAGTCCAGAGTCTCATCTGAGGCAAGGCAAGTTCCTTCCATGTATGAACCTATAAAATAAAAAAGAAGTTAGTTACTTCCAAGATACAATGGAGGTATAGGCATTGGGTAAATATTCCCATTCCAAAAGGGAGAAATCAGCCAAAAGAAAGGGGCTACAGGCCCTATACAAGCTTGAAACCTAGCAGGGCAGTCATTAAATTTTAGAGCTCCAAAAACAACCTCCTTTGACTCTATGTCCCACATCCAGAGCACATTAGTATAAGGGGTGGGATCCTAAGGCCTTGGGCAGCTCCACTCCTGTGGCTTTGCAGGATCTAGCCCCTACAACTGTTCTCACAGGTTGTTGACAGCCAGGAGCTTTTCTAGGTACAGGTTGCAAGCTGCCAGTGGCTCTACCACTCTGGGGTCTGGAGGATGGTGGTCCCCTTCTCACAGCTTTCACTAGGCAGTGCCCCAGTAGAAACTCTGTGTTGGGCCTCCAACCCCACATTTCCCCTTGGCACTGTACTAGGAGCAGTTCTCTGTGAGGGCTCTGCCCCTATAGCAAGCTTCTGTCTAGACACTCGGCTTTTTTTTTTTTTTTTTTTTAAGACAGGGTCTCACTCTGTTGCCCAGGCTGGAGTGCAGTGGCACCATCATGGCTCACTGTGGGCCTAGGCATTCCAGGCTCAGTCTTCCCAACTCATCTTCCTGAGTAGGTGGGACTACAGGTGTGTGCCATCATGCCTGGCTAATTTTTGTATTTTTTGTGGAGATGGAGTTTTGCCATGTTGCCCAGGCTGGTCTTGAACTCCTAGGCTCAAGTGATCCACCTACTTTGGCCTCCCAAAGTGCTAGGATTACAGGTGTGAGCCACCATGCCTAACCACTCAGGCTTTTTCATGTATCCTCTGAAATCCAGGCAGAGGCTGCCAAGCCTCAACTCTTGCACTCTGTGCACCCACAGGCTTACCATCATGTTGAAGCCCCCAAGGCTTATGGCCTGCACCCTGTGGAGCTGTGGCCTGAGCTGAACCTGGGCCCCTTTGAGTCCTAGCTAGAGCTTGAGTAGCTGGGATGTGGGAAGCAGTGTCTGAGGCTGCACAGGGCACTGGGGCCCTTGGTCTGACCCATGAAACCATTCTTCCTTCCTAGGCCTCTGGGCCTGTAATGGGATGGGCTGCCTCAAATGTCTCTGAAATGTCTGTCCTCAAGGACTTTTCCCACTGCCTTGGATATTAGCACTTAGCTCCCTTTCAGTTATGCAAATATCTCTAGCAAGGGGTTACTCTACAGCTCACTTGAATTCCTCTCCTGAAAAAGCCTTTTTTCTACCTCATGGGCAGTTTGCAAATTTTCCAAACATTCACGCTCTGCTTCCTGCTTAAATATAAATTTTAAATTTGAGTCATTTCTTTGCTCCCACATTTGAATGTAGGCTGTTAGAAGTAGCCAGGCGACATCTTGAATGCTTTGCTGTGTAGAAACTTTTTCTGCCAGATACCTAAATCATCACTCTCACGTTCAAACTTCCACAGAACCTAGGGCAGTGGCACAATGCAGCCAAGCTCTTTGCTAAGGCATAACATGTGTGAACTTTGCTCCAGTCCCTAAGTTCCACATTTCCATCTAAGACCTCGTCAGCCTGGTCTTCACTGTCCATATCACTATCAGCATTTTGGTCACTACCATTTAACTGGTCTCTACGAAATTACAAGCTTTCCCTCATCTTCTTATCTTCTTTTGAGCCCTGCAAACCATTCCAACCTCTGCCCATTACCCAGTTCCAAAGCTGCTTCCACATTTTCAGGTATCTTTCTAGCAACATCTTTCTCCTTGGGACTAATTTTCTGTGTTAGGGTGTTCTTGCATGCTATAAAGAAATACCTGAGACTGGGTAATTTATAAAGAATAGGGGTTTAATTGGCTTATGGTTTTGGAGGCTATACAGGCAACATGGCACTAACAACTGCTTGGCTTCTGGGAAGGCCTCAGGGAGCTTTTATTCATGGTAGAAGGTGAAGGGGAGCAGGCCACTCACATGGCAGAGCAGGAGCAAGAGAGAGAGAGGGTGGGGGAGGCACCACACATTTTCAAATGACCAGATCTCACTAGAACTCACTATTGTGAAGACAGCACCAAGCTATGAGGGATCTGCCCCCATGACCCAAACACCTCCTACAGGGCCTCACATCCAGCACTGGGTATTACAATTCAACATGAGATTTGGGTAGGAACAAATATCCAAATCTAAACTGTATCAACAAGTGTCATAAATAATTTATTTCTGAACATGCTATTCCTTCTCAGTCTTTCAGCTGTAGCTGAGCTAGCCTTCTTTCTCCTGCCTGAACACCTTTGCATAGGCTGTTCATTTGCCTGTGACTTTGTTCCCCTAGCCAACTACTATTGTTCTTCAAACTAAGCATCATTTTCTTTGGGAAATATTCCCTGAACCCCAAGGCTGGTTAGCTCTCATGGTAGATATTCCATGGCACCCTTTCCTTTTTTTTTTTTTTTTTTTTTTTTTTTAAGATGGAGTTTCACTCTTGTCGTCCAGGTTGAAGTGGAGTGGCACGATCTTGGCTCACTGCAACTTTTGCCTCCCAGATTCACGTGATTCTCCTGCCTCAGCCTCCCAAGTAGCTGGGATTACAGGCGCTTGCCACCATGCTTGGCTAATTTTTGTATTTTTAGTAGAGATGGGGTTTCACCATGTTGGCCAGGCTGATCTCAAACTCCTGACCTCAGATGATCCGCCCACCTCAGCCTCCCAAAGTGCTGGGATTACAGGTATGAGACACCGCGCCCAGTCTCCTTTACTATTTAACACTCTTCACGTTTGTAATTTCTCAGCCATTGTAAACTCTGTAAAGAGAAAGGCAATGTTGGGGTTGTTTGCTACGGTGTCCCAAACACCTAGTCTTGACTGGCACATAGTAAGCACTCAGATATTAGTTGAAGATGTGAGTGAACATATGCACAAGACCAACAAATTTATTTAAAATTTATTTTTCTTCAGACCTGGTGAACAGGGAGTACAACAAATTTTAACAAAAAACATAAACACACAAAGAATGCAGTTTGCTTATGATGTTTAATTTTTATGTTCACTTTTAATTTTACTATGGTATTATTATAGAAATCAAAGATTGATTCAATATCTAATTTTTATCAATTGCCATTTTGTTGTCATTATATCAAACCACAGCTTTTTAAAAGAAAGATCTTCACACTTAACTAACACTGTAAAATATTAATGATGACACTGAATTCCCAGTTCATCAACAGGCTACAAAAGAGAGAATATGTTCACTTTTCAAAAAAGCAACAAAATGGCCAGGTGCAGTGGCTTATGCCTGTAAGCCCAGCACTTTGGGAGGCCAAGGTGGGTGGATCACCTGAGGTCAAGAGTCCTAGACCAGCCTGGCGAACAGCCCGTCTCTAGTAAAAATACAAAAATTAGCTGGGCGTGGTGGCATGTGCCTGTAGTCCCAGCTACTTGGGAGGCTGAGGCAGGAGAACTGCTTGAAACCAGGAGGTGGAGGTTGCAGTGAGCTGAGATGGTGCCACTGCACTCCAACCTGGGTGACAGAGACTCCTCCTCCTCCTCCTCCAAAAAAAAAAAAGCAACAAACCTGGCCATGGCCATGTGCAGTGGCTAATGCCTATAATCTCAGCACTTTGGGAGGCTGAGGTGGGAGGTTCGCTTGAGGCCAGATTTCCATACCACCCTGGGCAGCAAAGTCAGACCCTGCCTCATAAAAACCAAATAATAAAAAGTAACAAATCAAACCTCAAGCCAGAACATCATATTGTGTGTGAGTTGAAAGTGTTCTTTTTTCTTCCAGAATCTGTATTAGCAAAGTTGCAGAAGGACAAAAAAATCTTAGATGACAAAAGTAGTTTAAGCACTTTGCTTTCTTTTTGTGGAGCTTCTAGTCACTATTGGCATTCGAGAGAAATTAATGGTTGTTCTGGCTTTTAAAGCTTTTTTAAAGTACTTAAAAATTGACTGAAGGCTAGAGGAAGGGGCTAAGATGTACTTTTCTGTGCCAGCAGAAACCATAGGAAATTCCTTTTTGAAAACAGTAGCTGCAGGTTTATCCAAAGGCTTAGGACTTGTCACCCATTCACGGCAGTGGTGCTTTATCCATGCTAATAATTGTACATCACTTCCCAGCTGGTGTCCTACGTGATGTTCAGAGTCGATAAGTGCAACAGCATATACTTTGCTCATCACTTCCCACCTTCTACGAACAAGCAAGTCCATAAAAACCAAGCCTCCATAACCATGTACAATGAAGGCAATATCCTTGCCTTCAGTCTTTGAAATGAAGTAATCCCATATGTAAGCCGTGTGTTCTTCGGGGGTGTTGCTGCATCTTTTTGGAATGCATTTGGGAGGATGCTGGAGAGAGAAAAAGCTCCCACCTTGAACCATTTTTAGAGAAGATGACTCAATATTTTGTGTTAAAAGGCCTTTCCACTCTTTTTCCACCTTTGGTTCCACAAAATTATCATTGGGGTTTAGCACAATTACATCATAGTGTGCCTGCAATGCCATTTGAATACATGGTATCTGACTTCCATGTTGGAGACCATGATGTATTATTGCCTGTTGACTCCACTGACCAGCTCGAAAGACCCCATGGTCTTGAAGAAGGATAAGAAGAGCAGAATGGTGATTTGTTAATGCTTTCTCGCTCATGAAAAAGAAGCTTCTTGGTTCTTCTTTATCAGCCTCAGGTGGGATATATACTTTTTCTAATTTGCACACTTTCTCCAAAAGCTCATAAATGTATTGTTCAAGCAAATGGCCAAGGGCCTGGTAGCGCTTGCTATTTTTCTCAAGGACATTTTCATAATAGTTAAAGACAAAAGGCCTTTGTGTCTCAGTATGTCTGAATTCATCTTTTTCATTGAAGTCATATTTAAGTTCTCCTAGTAAGTCAGATTGTTCAATAAATTTTTGGAAGCTCAGCTCCTGTGTCATTGGTAACCACTGAAAGTTAAAAGAGTAATAGTATATAAGTGCTAGCAAAAGTAAAATGAAAATTTCAGCTTGCCAAATTCTTCCTATGGCACATGATGCTAAATTAAGCATGTCAGAAAGACATTAACCTTCTAACCTATGGTAAAGACGTCAATTCAAAATAATTGTGAATGATTCAAAGCAGTGAAAGACTGAATATATGAAGAGACAATGGAGAGACCATATGTAAATATGGATTTTTTGACATAACCTGCAGCAACCTGCCCAGGAAGCCAACCCCTCATTTACAATAAACAACTCAGGAAGTCAGTCTGGTATGTCAGACTGGCAGGAAACCAGATTTCTATCACTAGTGAAAATTCAGGAAACTAACCAGTAACTTCTATAACAATTGGTGCCAAATGGCAAGAACTTCATTAATAACTGACAGCTTTCGTAATTTTGTCCCTATTTCCAACTTGAGACCAACCAGAGAGAGCCAAATATGTACCCCTAACCAATCACGCAAGATGTCCCCATTTCTAGTTAGCTCACCTACAGCTTCCCCATGACAACTTGCAATCAGGGCAAATGCGAAGTCTTCTCTTTTTTCCCCCACTATACAGCTCTCCTACTCTTCTGCCTGCCTTGAGTCTCTGCCAAAACGCAAGTGATAGTGGTGGACTCCCTTGCTACAGCAGGCTCAGAATAAATAGGCTTTTCTCATTTGGTTGGTCTTCATTTATTTCTGCAGAAGATATTTAATAACTTTTGCTGTTAAATGAACGGCAGAAGATAGAAGCGGGAGTGAAATGTGAATCAGGCAATGGAGATTATGATCAATTCAGCGAATACTAGAAGATACAGTTATTCTGATGTCTGAGAAGGAAAAAAATAGGCTAGATGAGAAGTTAACTTAGTTGCTGTAGGTAGAGCTTAAAGCGGGGGAAAAAAGGCTTTGAAAGGTTAAGTGGCTTTCTCTAAAGCCAGACAACTATCAAAGAAATGATTGCATATGAGGCTGACTCTCAAATGCACTCTCTTAACAGATATATTAACACTCTCCCTTCTTAATTTCTTAACACTGACACTGGCAAGCTACAACCTACTTCCAATAAGTTGCACTCAAAATGATTTTCAGTGCAACTTGAGTTGCTATTAGGCCTAAGGCAAAATTCAAATGGTGGTTGCTTGGATGTCTTAAATCTCTTTTAATTTTTTTTTTTTGAGATGGAGTCTCACTCTGTTGCCCAAGCTGGAGTGCAGTGGTGTGATCTTGGCTCACTGCAACCTCCACCTCCCAGGTTCAAGCAATTCTCCTGTCTCAGCCTCCCAAGTAGCTAGGATTACAGCATATGCCACCACACCTAGCTAATTTTTTTGTATTTTAGTAGGTTTCACCGTGTTGCCAGACTGGTCTTGAACTCCTGAGCTCAGGAAATCCACCTGCCTCGGCCTCCCAAAGTGTTAGGATTACAGGCATGAGCCACCACACCTAAATTTTTAATTTTTTTCCCCACTTCAATAAGCTGGTCTAAGATTTCTTAACTCCCTTCTCACTTTCTAAATCTTATTCTCTGACCCCTCTAACGCAACAGGTACTTTATAAAGGTTTTTGGTTGTCCAAAGCACTATCCACACTGCTCTCCATTCCTTCCTTTTCTATGAAAAATGCTTCTAGTCTTTGCTGATCTCAGGTGTTATTTTGGAGAGACAGGGTCTGACTCTGTCACCCAGGATGGAGCGTGGTGGTGTGATCACAGCTCACTGCAGCCTTGACCTTCTTATCTCAGGGAAAAAAAAATATTAAAAGAGATTTAAGACATCCAAGCAAGCACCCCCTCAGCCTCCCAGGTAGCTAGGACTACAGGCACATGCCACCGTGCCTGGCTAATTAAAACAAATTTTTTTTAGAGATGGGATCTCACTATGTTGCCTAGGCTGGTTTGAAACTCCTGGGCTCAAGTGATCCTCCTGCCTTGGCTTTCCAAAGTGCTGGGATTACAGGTGTGAGTCACCATGCCCAGCCTCTCTCTCAGATGTTATTACGTAATTAATTTACTTTTTCTAAAGTGTAAATAATTGACAGACTTAACTATCCTTTAAAAAAAAAAAAGCCTTGAAAATGGATGCAATGCACGGCAAAAATCCATGCTTCAAAAATCCAAGAATTTTTTTTTTTTTTGAGACAGAGTCTCGCTCTGTTCCCTAGGCTGGGGTGCAATGGCACGACCTTGGCTCACTGCAACCTCCACCTCCCAGGTTCAAGCTATTCTCCCGCCTCAGCCTCCCAAGTAGCTGGGATTACAGACATGTGCCACCACGCGTGGCTAATTTTTTGTATTTTTAGTAGAGACAGGGTTTCACCATGTTGGCCAGCCTAATCTCGAACTCCTGACCTCAGGCGATCCACCTGCCTCGGCCTCCCAAAGTGCTGGGATTACAGGCGTGAGCTACCGCGCCCAGCAAATCCAAAAATGTTTTACATCGAGGCCGTGGTGAAACAATCTAATGGGATGTCACAACCTTGTTCAAAATTTTCAATGGTGATGTTTGTTGACTTCTTGTTTCCAGACTGGCATGTAAAAATCTTGGAAGTTGCTACTCAGTCCTAACAACAAGTAAAAAGCTAGACAAACCAAAAATCAACAGCTCTTCTTCATAAGTTCCATAAAATAAGTAAGGTTACTGGGCATACTACTGCCTCCAAAATTGGAGGGACTGAAAGCAAGTGAATGTAGAGAATCACAACTTACCAGAGCAGAAACTAGCCGCTGAAGCCTCCAATGGAACAAGTACCAGGATAGGTAAACCTGAAGGATCAGTGTGGACAAGTCAGAGGGACCTAGCCATTCCCTCTTCCCCGCTCCCCAATTTTTTTTAAGCTCCTGGATCTCTCACAGGTCCTCAGGGTGATTATCCATGCCTCTGGTAGTGGGTGGGGAAAAGGAGCCATTTTGAAATACGCCAGAGCATTTTGTTCTTCTTAACAAGGTCTGCCCTCAGGAGAAGCTATTTAATGAGAAGCTAACCTGCTGGGGTTTTATCAGAGCCTAACTGACTTGGGGGAAGGGAAATACCCAACTCTAGCCCGCTCTAGCTACCCTGCCCAACCCAAGGGGGTTGTAGTGAACTGAGACCTGTGAAGTTCACAGTCTAGATGCATAGGCTTACTAAAATTCTCAATGGTCTCCCTTCTCACTCAGAATGAAAACTAAGTTCTTACCATGGCCGACAAGGTCTCACATGGCCCTTAGCTCTCCAATGTCATTTCCTACCACTCTCTCACTGGCTTACTCATCCAGTTACATGATCCGGGTCTTAGCTCTTTCTCAGGTGCCATTTCCTACCACTCTCTCACTGGCTTACTCATCTAGTTACATGATCTGGGTCTTAGCTCTTTCTCAGGTGTCATTTCCTACCACTCTCTTGTTTACTTCACCATAGTTGCACCTGGTCTACTTTGCTGTCAATTTGTGAAGGAAGCTCCTGTTTTAAGGGTATTCACTCTTGCTATGCCCACAGCCTGGAATATTCCTCCCCATTATAGATATCTATAGGGCTTTTATTTTAAAGTTTCTGCCCACTTTTTATCTCATCAGAGTGATTTTCTTTGAGCAGTCTATCTGAAAGAGCAACTCTCTCCCTTCCTTTTTTTTTCGGCACTTATTACCAACTGACGTATGTTTGCTTACTGTCTACTTCTCTCCATTAGAATGTAAGTTCTATGACAGCAGGAACAGGGACTTTGTTTTGTTCACTACTGTATCTCTAGTTCTTGGAATAGCGTCTGGTGCACAGTAGGCACTTAAATATTGTTAGAATTTTACAATTTTTTGCCAAGCACATAAAGAAGTAAAGCACACTTTAAAAGTCCTCTAGCAATATATTAATACATAAGAGAAAGATGCAAAGCTTTTGAAAAATTATAGAGACTTCTTTTATAATTCTAAACTTAATAAATGTCAAAGGTTTATTAATTATTCTTAAAGAATATTCCATCCATCAATTTATATATGCTTTGTCTTTTGCAAATAAAGATAAACCATCTCTCAAGCAAATTCAACATGGTTCATCAAAATAAAAAGGGAGAGAATCAAACAATTTTTATGCTTAATTTTCCAAAGACTGGATTAGAATAAGATAGTGTAGGGGAGGAAAAATAATTATTTCCTTAACCCTCATGAGTTCTTAGTTGGAATGAACCCTTGTAACAACAGAAAAACAAAGAAGTTTATTAATGCATGCAGCGCATATCACCTTAGAGAAACGTAAATGCGGAGTAACTCAAAACAGTGGCTTACAACTCTGGCTTATGTAAGTATCTTCAACGAAGAACAATAAATTTCTGGAGAGAAGAAAGAACAAAGGAAAGAGTTTTAGGCTTCCAAGGGTGAGAAACTGTGGGAATGTAAATCTACAGAAGGAAACTAATACAGTAAGGTTTGTTTGCAGATTCGTCTGGGGCTTTCTGGGCTGGTAAGAGCCTAGACAGAATTTATGTCCTGCCTTTTAGGCAGAAAAAGGAGAGAGCGAGCTTTCCCTCCTTAATTGCCTTCAGCTCAAAAATAATTTTTATATAAAAGAGGTATATTTTGGCCTGGCACAGTGGCTCACGCCTGTAATCCCAGCACTTTGGGAGTCTGAGGCAGGTGGATCACGAGGTCAGGGGTTCGAGACCAGCCTGGCCAACATGCTGAACCCTTGTCTCTACTAAAAATACAAAAATTAGCCAGGCATGGTGGCAGGTGCCTGTAATCTCAGCTACTCGGGAGGCTGAGGCAGGAGAATCACCTGAATCTGGGAGGCGGAGGTTGCAGTGAGCTGAGATCGTGCTATTGCACTCCAGCCTGGGCAATAAGAGCAAAACTCAGTCTCCGGGAAAAAAAAAAAAAGGCATATTTTGAGGTGACATTCTGGTTTCCTTCAATAGTTTACCTTCAAGAATAAGATTGTTAGAGCTAGAAGGGACCTTATTGATATTCTTAGCTAACATGTTTATTTTATAAATGGAGAAGTTGAGGCTTTCAAAGGTAAAGTGGCATGCCCAAAGTAACTGAGGCAGCCCAGGAGCCTGAGAGAAGATTTTTTTTCCCCTTTTTTGACTTTTATTTTAGGGTCGGGGGAATGTGCAAATGTGTTACAAGGGTAAATTTTGTGTCACTGGGGTTTGGTATACAAATGATTTCATTACCCAGGTAGCGAGCATAGTATCTGATAGGTAGTTTTACAACGCTCACCCTCCTCCCACTCCAAGATTAGTTTTTACCAAAGATTTAAAAATGCATAGTATTTGACTTTTTATTTCATTCATTTACCAAAAATTTAGTGAGGCCATTTGGTAGGCACTTTGTTTCCTATGTCAAGTACTCCAGTCGTTTTACGCAGAATAAAATTTTAAAAAAGGAGAACAGCATATACGCATTAAAGAAAATTTGAAATTAGGCTTTTCCAGTATCCTGGATTAGGTGGTGACACAGCTGTAATGACTTGTTCTAGGTGTGGTTATTTCTTAAAAAACAATTGTGAAAATATACATAACAAAATTTACCATTCTAACCATTTTTAAGTGTGCAGTTCAGAGGCATTACGTACATTCATATTGTTGTGTAACCATTACTGACATCCATCCACAGAATGCTTTTCATCTTACAAAACTGTAACTCTATACCCATTAAACAATAACTCCCCATTCTCCTCATCCTAGGCACTAGCAACCACCATTCTACTTTCGATCTCTCTGAATTTGACTTCTCTAGGTTAGGTGTGATTATCTTTAAAGAAGAGGGTGGGTGGGACACCAGAATCATAGATGCAAATAACTTTAATTAGCGTATTTGGATTTTTAAGGAACCCCTTTCCTTTCTAGGATCAAAAGTGGTTACATTTAACAATATTTACATTTTTCACAGGTGATTAGTAAGCTTTTATAAGAAGTAATTTTATAATCTGAGAAGTTAGGAAATCCCCTGGTTACAGAGTAATAATCTAATACAGTAATTATAATCCTTTTTTATATTTAGGAACAAGGTCCTTTTGTATATACCATGCCATTAAGAAGCACAGAATGGAGAATACTTTTACTCAGAATATTTAAAAATATCTAATGATACTTTTTTTTTTTTACAACGAGTAAGTTTTCATTTATTTTCATATTTAGGAAAGCAAAACAAAACAAAAAACCTCTAGAAAATATGTTTGAAAGAAAGAATACTGTTTTGGTACAAAAGCAGCACTATTTTTCTTTTCCCAACACAGAAAGCAATTATGCAGTTTTTTAGAAAAATAATAATGCCTGTATTACAATTCCATTTAGTAAATTGTAGAAAATAATAGTGGTTGTGAAATTATATCTGTAGAAATTTCAAAATAAGATGAAAGTACATAATGTCCCTCCTCACTGTTCACCTCTCCCTAGGGAACAAAAAAGTTGTATTTAATCCACCAGAGGCAAGGACACATAGAAAAAAGAATATTAGAGATAGGAAAAAGAAAAAAGCAGATGTCACTAAGTGTTGGTTTTACCAAATTGGAGTATGCAACAGAATCGTCTGGGAAGTTTATTTTTTATGTTTTTTGGAGACAGGGTATCTGTGTGTCGCCCAGGCCGCAGTACCGTGTAGCGATCATAGCTCACTGCAGCCTCAAAGTCCTGGACTCAAGTAATCCTTAAATCTCATCTTCCCCAGTAGCCGGGGACTATAGGTGTGCTCCACCGTGCCCGGGTCATTTTTTTTTTTTTTTCCGAGACAGTCTGGCTCTGTCGCCCAGGCTGGAATGCAGTGGCCTGATCAAGGCTCACTGCAACTTTTAACTCCATGGGCTTAAGTGATCTTCCTGCCTTAGCCTCTTGAGTACCTGGGACTACAGGCATGCGCCACCACGTGTGGCTAGTTTTTTTCTTTGTAGAGAGGAGGTCTCACTATATTGCCCAGGCTGGTATCAAACTCCTGGGCTCAAGGGTGAGTCATAGCATCTGGCCTGTATATTTTTGTGGAGAGGGGGGTCTTGCTTTGTTGCCCAGGATGGTCTGGAATGTCTTGGCTCAATCTATTCTGCCTCGGCCTCCCAAAGTGCTGGGATTACAGACGCGAGCCACTGTGTCCGGCCCAGCTTGACTTTAGAATCAGTTAAGTTCTTTAGTTAAAAAAGTTAATTTGGGCCAGGCGCAGTGGCTCACGCCTGTAATCCCAGCACTCTGGGAGGCTGAGGCGGGCGGATCACGAGGTCAGGAGATCGAGACCATGCTGGCTAACATGGTGAAACCCCATCTCTACTAAAAAATACAAAAAATTAGCCGGGCGTGGTGGCGGGCGCCTGTAGTCTCAGCTACTCGGGAGGCTGAGGCAGGAGAATGGCGTGAACCCAGGAGGTGAAGCTTGCAGCGAGCCGAGATTGTGCCACTGCACTCCAGCCTGGGCGACAGAGCGAGACTCCGTCTCAAAAAAAAAAAAAAGTTAATTTGTGAGGAAACTGAAAATTCAATTATTTTTCAGAAAGCAATGTTTTTGTTAAACAGAAATTAACCAAATAAAACGAAATCCTTACAGTAAACTTCAATCCCAGCAAGACTTAAAGTATTTCTGCTTTGCAGTCATTCCTGCCATGTAGAACACTTCCCCAGGCCCAACACCCCACAACACCTGGGGCCTTACCTCTACCTGGGGACTGACCACATTATAATTAAGAAGGCTTAACTCACGATGAAGGGGACTGCTCTAGTGGACGAGTTGGGCCGATCCCTTTATTGACTCCGTTAGGATGGGAGATGGGGGTTGGAGGGATAGGCGTTAGGGGTATAAAGGGGCCAGCTTGGGAATCAAACCCTACTTCCAGAGTCCCTTCGGGCTTTGAACATGCCAGAAACATTTTCCCTGCTTAGAGCACTGTGCTGAATTTTGTTAAACTTGTGATTAAATCGTCATGAAAGCTTACACGTGCATTTAAAAATTATTCAGATATGCACCATTAGGGATAATCAGGCTAATAGTACCAGACCTTGAGTTCATTGAGGACTGGATTAGTCCCTTAAGTATCGTGGTAAATGTTAATTGAACAAATTCCAAGTTTATAGCCACCCACTTTCTGTCATATCAGCATTTCAGTTATTGAAAAATTAAGTTCTAGCTTTTCTTTTAAGGAACTTTAAAAATCACAAGTTCGAATTTTAAAAAGGAATCCTAAGACATTTTTCCTCGTCTGCTGACATATTTCCACAGCAAATGCTAAACTAATAGCTAGGCTATTATTAGGTGATTTTGCCATCTTAAAATCTTTTGGTTTCTGAGTTCGAGGAAAGGCGTTGGGGGCAAATATGTAAGAGAGGCTGTGAGGGATGTAATACTGCAAACGCTAACGTTTTGTTTTCATAGTTGTTTGGCCACCTCGCGAGATCCAGTGAACCGGAGGAGTTCCTGTTTTTCCCTTTTAATTTTTGTCAATCTAATCTTCAAAGTCAACAAAGCTAAAATCGAGCACCCAGGTGGTTCACCTCCCCAGAGGGGCTCAGATCATGAAATAAACGCCACCAAAAAAACGCTGGAAGAGGCAGCCCACAGTGAAAAGTCCCAGGAAGTGATTTCCGGTCGAAGGTGGGAGGGGCGGCTGATTTCCGGTCGAAGGGCAGGCGACGGCTCTTGCGCAAGCGCGCTTCGCACTTTGCGGGCTTTTTTTTTTTTTTTTTTTTTTTTTTTTTTTTCCTTTCCCCTCCCCCTCCCTCTCCAAGCCGGAGGGGTCCTGAGGTGACAGCGCCTGCAACTGAAATTTCAGCAGCGGGAGAAGATGGACAAGAGAAAGCTCGGGCGACGGCCATCTTCATCCGGTGAGAAAGGGTCAGAGAAGGGCTGAACATATTGTCTCCTACCCGGGGGAAACGGGAGGCGCAGGCGGCAGCTGGGGTTGCGGCCCGAAGCCGCGGGGGCGAGGGCGGGGGCGGGGAGAGGAAGGGGCGCGCACAATGGAAGGCTCCCGGGTCGCCCCCGCCCCTGGAGTCGAAGACCCGGTCCGAGCTGTCATCGAAGCCTCGGGCGCTCTTCACCTCAAAACCCCTTTTATTTTTTCCCTCCTCCCGCGAACACCCTCCTTGCGTCTCATCGGCCCATGGATCTTCCCGGTTGGCTTGTCACTCTCTGCCACGCCTTCCTCGTAATTCCACCAATGTTCCAATTTCATTTCGGCTTCTCAGCGCCTGACCCCACTTTCCTCTCTTCCTTTGATTCTCGACTTTGCGTCCCTTCCCCTCTCCCTCCTCTTTCCCTCAGCAGGTAGCTGCTGCTGGGGAGGAAAGGTGGGGCTTGCGACCGGAGACTCCTTTTCTTTGATACAATGCCTCTCCGGGTCTCGTTCTGCTGAACAGGCCCGCCTAATAGCCTTTTTCTTTTCCAGCCTACCCTGCGTCTTCCAAAAGTGATTGGAAAGTCAAACAAAGGATTTGAAGCCGTGCTTTCGTTGTGTTTTTATTTTCAGCATATTTTTTGTTTTGGACGTTACTTTGTTTTAAATGACTATCTTCAGTTTTGTGTACAACGTCTTGGAAACAAGAAAGTGGAGTTATAAAAACGTGAGGTAGAGCTCCTCCCAGTTGAGAAGTTTTTATCAAACATTTCATCCATTAGGGGGTCCTCAAGTCCTTGTGTTAAGTCCTATGGATGGTAGGAGGAGAGGACGAGGACTCATATGCTTACAGTCCAGTACACAAACGAACGCCCAATGAATCAATTATTTCATTTCATTTTTCTGTTTCTGATGGTACCGTTGGTTTCTGCAGAGACAGTTAACAATTACAGATTTATTGGCCGGGCGCGGTGGCTCACGCCTGTAATGCCAACACCTTGGGAGGCCGAGGCGGTCGGATCACAAAGTCAGGAGATCGAGACCATCCTGGCTAACATTGTGAAACCCCGTCTCTACTAAAAAATGCAAAAAATTAGCCGGGCGTGGTGGCGGGCGCCTGTAGTCCCAGCTACTCAGGAGGCTGAGGCAGGAGAATGGCGTGAACCCGGGAGGCGGAGCTTGCAGTGAGCCGAGATCGCACCACTGCACTCCAGCCTGGGCAACAGAGCGAGACTCTGTATCAAACAACAACAACAACAAAAAAAAAACAAAAAAAACCAATTCCAAATTTATTTAGGAGTGCCCTGTGGCAGTGCATCTCAAACTGCTTTCAGCCTTAATTGCAAAGGAGAGTGATTATGGATCTCTGGGGACACTGCTTGAAGCAGTTGAAAACCTGAAATCCCTTTTCATATGCAACCAATGTTATCGATGTTCTTGGTGTATATTCTGGAGATAATAGTTTTTTCCTTTGAAAGCACATGTATAAATGATATATATGTATATTTATACATACATGTAGGTATATGCCTCCAACTGATGAGTGTTTTAATAGTCTCCACCCCCCACCAAACCTCTAAGTAAAATGGACACATTAGGAAAACGCACAATGCTTAGCTGGTGTCATTTGCGGGCTTCCTAACACAGAACTTTAGGTGTGATCATATCTTCCTTTGAGATGCACAACCTTTTTTAAATAAATGCATTTCATCTAGGTTTAATACATTTTTGAGGAGGGAAGGTAAGATATTTGCCTTGTAATTCAACAAGTCACGTTCCTTTTTACCTGATTACACTTAGATTTATTTATTTGTCACAGTAACTTGATGTAAGTAGTTGTGGGAAGTGGATTTTGATAATAAAGCTGTTAATCCTTAAAAGACATTGATATTTACGTTAGTTATATCTCTAGAGAGCGTTTTCTTTTTCTCGTGATCTCTCTTTTGGAGCTGTCCTTTCTGAAAAGTAAGGTATAATAAAATCCATACCCAAATCTAATGTTACCTAGCTGTTCTCCAGTATGCCTCTAGTTTTAAGATGTGCACTAATTAATTTTTAAGTATGCTTCTGCTTTTCTTAATAGCGTATATTTAATTTCCTGAATAAATTCTCAGAAATAAAACATTGGCTGGTTGAAAGATTCCGTGTAGTGGTTGTAGGCATGCAGTTGCCATTTCATTGTAAGTTGTTGCTAACTGGAACCCAAATGAAGTGACTTTTTTTTTTTTTTTTTTTTGAGATGGAGTCTCGCTCTGTTGCCCAGGCTGGAGCGCAGTGGCACAATCTACCACCCCTGCCTCCCAGGTTCAAGCGATTCTTCTGCCTCAGCCTCCCTAGCAGCTGAGATTACAGGTGCCTGTCACCATGCCCGGTTAATTTTTGTACTTTTAGTAAAGATGGGGTTTCACAATGTTGGCCAGGCTGGTCTCAAACTCCTGAGCTCAGGTGATCCACTTGCCTCGGCCTCCCAAAGTGCTGGAATTACAGGCGTGAGCCACCGTGCCCGGCCATGAAGTGACATTTATAGTCATCAAAGTTTCCTAAGTATGCAGAAGAGTTTGATTAATAAAACAGGAAGAAGAGGTAGAAGGAAGGTGGGTAGCAGTAGAAAGATAAAATAAAACACAAAATTTGAAGTTTTATCTGTGAGACTACATTAGGCTGCCCTAAACTTTCTGCTAAACAAGGAAGAACTGTAAAATGTTCACAGTGTACCGCTCAAAACTTTTTCAGTTGCAAGTAGCAGAAACCCAATTCCAGATGGTTTAAGCTAAACACATGTATTTGTAACTCATGTAACTGATAACTATACCATTTAAAGCAGTATATTAGATGGTGATACACATTAAAAAACGGCTGGCATCAGAGACAGGTTCACTGAAGTTGAATGATAAAGTGTCTGGGAGCAAGGGAGAATGACCATTAAAAGTGTTAAACAACAAAAATACAGCACAGATAAATTAGAATCATAGACTGCAATTTTCAAGTGAATTTTTGAATCAAAATAGGAAACGTCAAGTAAATTTGAACCAGTTTTCAACTGATTGCTTCAGGCAACATTCTTGGAGGCCTGTGTCACTCTCATTTGTAGTTAAGGATAACGTATGTTCTTTAAGTACTTAGGCACTAGACATTGTGCTAAGAACTTCACAAACTTCAATATTTTCAAAAGCCTTATAAGGTAATTGTTTTTCATTTACAGATGAGAAAACCGGGATTTAGGGGCAGGATAAAGATTAGTAATAGCTAGTAAGGAACAGAATTCAAAATGTGGTCTCTAATTACAAAATCTATAGTTTTAACTTCATTTACTGCTACTAGTGTCCCTGATGGTATAACTTTCTTAAATCTTTCAGTAGGTCCAGGTGATGTTTGCTTTGCATTGAAAGTGTAATGAATGATAATTGAAGCTCAAGATGAGAACTTAACGATTAGTTATGATAAAGCTGCATTATTTGCAGCAATCTTAGTTGAAGTCATTGGAATGAATGGAATTGCCCACAAAAAATAGTATAGAGTGAGGAAGGTCTTAAATCACATACAACTAATTTCAAAGTGCGGAGGAAGAGATATTACTAAGCAGTTAGATAGGCTGATTAGGATTGTGACAGGTTCGGGAAGAAAGGGAGGAGAGTAAAAAAAATGTTAGCCTTTCAGAGAGTTAAAGTAGCATGAGGGTACTGGATTTGGCAATTAGGAGGCTACTTTTACTGATGGTAAGAGTGGTTAGTAGACTAGTAGACAAAAGCCAGATTTCAACAGGCTAGAGGAATGAGTGGCAGTGAGGAAATGGGGCAGCAAAAGTAAGCTGGGAAAATGAGATGGGAAGGAAATATTTCTAGAACAAGCTTGAGTAGGAAATTAGGTAGAAAGGCTTGTTTTTTTTAGGAATATGAGAGACTTAAATCAGGTTGGTAGGGAGTGGGAAAGGGGTGGAGAGGGAAAGATTGAATATATATCAGGTAGGAGATAATGGAGTGAGGTCCCAGAAGAAATGGGAGAGAGGGATGACATCAAAGAACAGTTTGGTGAGATATAGGGAAAGGAGAAAAGATGGATAAAGATATAGACAGATCTTGAGAAGCTAAAGATATTGCAGTTTTGGCTTCTAAAATGAAATAAGGTAATTTTTTGAGAAAGGGGCTTTTAAATGGTACTGGGAATGCAAGATAGGTCAATTAGGGATGAATATATATTAAGTACTCTTGCAGTCTTAGTTATAGCAAGTGTGAGTTTTATAGTAGTTGGAGCTGTTAGTACTTTGTGACTTAGTAGTGCCAAGCATTACAAGAGCAAGAGTTTGGAAGAAAAATGAGTTTAATTTTACTTAAAGGGTGTGGCAAGATATAAGGGCAAAGAGTGGATTTAGTGGCAGTGAGGAAGACAGTATATAGAATGAAAGGTTTGCATTTGAGAACTTGAGAGTTTTCCTTAAAGCTGTAAGGAACAGTTTTCCTTAAAGCCTTTCTTTTATTTTTTTGGAGACGGGGTCTCACTCTGCCCCCCAGGCTGGAGTGCAGTGGCACGATCTCGGCTCACTGCAAGCTCCGCCTCCTGGGTTCATCCCATTCTCCTGCTTCAGCCTCCCGAGTAGCTGGGACTACAGGAGCCCGCCACCACGCCTGGCTAATTTTTTTTTGTATTTTTAGTAGAGATGGGGTTTCACCATGTTAGCCAGGATGGTCTTGATCTCCTGACCTCGTGATCTGCCTGCCTCGGCCTCCCAAAGTGCTGGGATTACAGACGTGAGCCACTGCGCCTGGCCTCCTTAAAGCCATTCTTGAATGCGTATTGCTGAAATGGAGATATGTAGAAGTTTGTACCATTAAATGAAGATGAGTCCATTGTTTTGAGTGAGTTGATTAATGGATGTTTTAGTGCTTCAGAATGATGGTGAATTTTGATGATACGTAAACTATGAACCAAGAATCAGAGTATTCTAGACATGTTGGAAAGGATCTTGGGTCAGTAGATGGCAGTCATAAATATGGGCAAGGGAATATATCCAATTTTTTTTTTTTTTTTTTTTTTTGAGATGGAGTCTCGCTCTGTCGCCAGGCTGGAGTGCAGTGACGTGATCTCAGCTCACTGCGACCTCTGCCTCCTGGGTTCAAGCGATTCTCCTGCATCAGCCTCCTGAGTAGCTAGGACTACAGGTGAGTGCCACCATGCCCAGCTAATTTTTGTATTTTTAGTAGAGACGGGGTTTCACCATGTTGGCTAGGATGGTCTCTATCTCTTGATATCATGGTCCACCTGCCTTGGCCTCCCAAAGTGCTGTGATTACAGGTGTGAGCCACT
Organism: Homo sapiens; assembly: GCF_000001405.40. NCBI lineage: Eukaryota > Metazoa > Chordata > Mammalia > Primates > Hominidae > Homo > Homo sapiens. The sequence goes on along the minus strand of NC_000003.12, from coordinate 101,507,778 downwards.
GTGCCCAGCCAGGAATGTATCCAATTTATGTTAATTTTAAAGGAGGAATTATTGTAATAAAGTTAGAATATTAATAGGAGATGGTGGCGGTGGGGAAGGAGATTTTTTTTTTGTCTTCCCCCCAAAGGAAACAATGGAGATTGTTCATCTCTACTTCTGTTTTATAAGTGGGAGAGTTTTAACAAAGTAATATATCTAATAAAAAGCTAGGATTTAGTTAACCTAAGGTGGAGGAGAAATTCAAGGAAAATATTCAAAATTTAAGGAAACTGTATTGACTTTGGAAAAGAATTTGGTAAACTAGGGAAGAGATGAAGAAGATGTAGATGAGGGGGTAGAATTCAATTATATGAGGTGTGATAATAAGAAGGTGATAGGCTATAGGGATTGACACCTTGGTGGTGATTCCTAGGCTTGATGATGGAAGGCAGAGGATTGAAAAGTAAATTAAGGGGGTATGGTAACACAGAGAATGGGTTATGAATAAGATTGAGTAGCTCCAAAGATCCAGACTAGAATTCTGTTATAATGCCTTCCTGATGAATAACTTTCATTTGGGTTTTCAGTAATTTATGAATCTGGCTGATGTGGTCTGCTTCATCCTAGTTCGTGTGTGCTCGTATTGGTAAATCACCCTTGGGTTGTGCCTGGCTCCACCCATTTCTGCCTGTCTAAACCTTATTCTTCAAAGCCCAGCTCTTTTTTTTTTTTTTTTTTTGAGATGGGATCTTGCTCTGTTGCCTAGGCTGGAGTGCAGTGGCACGATCATAGCTCAATGCAGCCTTGAACTCCTGGGCTCAGGCTATCCTCCTACTTCAGGCTCCGGAGTAGCTAGGACTACAGGCCCGCACTATCATGCCTGGCTATTTTTTAAAAAAACTTAGTTTTTCTAGAGATGGTGTCTCACTGTGTTACCTGGGCTGTTCTTGAACTCTTCGCCTCAAGCGATCCTCCCACCTCGGCTTCCCAAAGTGCTGGGATTATAGGCATGAGCCACCATGCTCAGCCCAAGCCCAGTTCAGTTGTGCCTTTCCAAGAACCATTTCCTTGATTAATTCAAACTTAAATTTATGCCTGTTTCTGCACTTCTGTTGGTCTTTATGCCTCTTATATGATAATTATCAGATTCCATCATATATTCTAGCTTGCTGAGTTGTCTAATGTCTACTTCTATACTATTAACACTGTGACAGGGACTGTCATTAATTTTATTTCCCCATAGCATCCAGTATGCCTAGAGTGTACTGGTTTAGAGTACCATCTCTGGAATATGACCGGTGATGGATCACTATGGTAACGTTGGGCAAGTTATTTGGATTCCTCAAATCTTAATTTCTTAATCTATAAGATGGAGATTATACATTATTGATTTCATGATATAAGGATTAAGGAAAATAATTTGTGTAAAGCACTTAGCATAATTCCAGGCAATGATAATTACTATTATGTCAAATAAATAGGCTGGGTGCTGTGGCCCATGCCTGTAATCCCAGCACTTTGGGAGGCCAAGGTGGGCAGATCACTTGAGCTCAGGAGTTCGAGACCAGCCTGGCCAATATGGTGAAACTCTCTCTCTACTAAACATAAAAAATTAGCCAGGCATGGTGCTTCCTGCCTGTAGTCCCAGGTACTGGGGAGGCTGAAGCGGGAGAATCGCTTGAACCTGGGAGGTGGAGGTTGCAGTGAGCCGAGATCGTGCCACTGCACTCCAGCGTGGGTGACAGAGCAAGACTCCGTCTCAAAAAAAAAAAAAAAAAATTATGGAATAAATAAGTGAATGAGTGGGAAAAGTTATGCTTTTAGTTTTTTGACTCATATATTTAGAATGAGAGTAATTGGAGAGATTTTCCTATATGCTAATGCTAATATACTACAGTCTTTTAAAGGGAGATACTTGACTATAAAATGTTATAGTTACCATTTCTTTTGCACTAACTATGTGTTAGTCATAATGCTAAATGCCTTAATATGGACTATCATGCTTTAATCTGAACGATTAAAAAGGCAGATATTCTCCGCCATTTTACAGATGAGAAACTGAGACTCAGAGAAGTCACAACTAGTAAGCCGAGATACAAATTTAGGTTGTCTAGCTTTAAAATATGTACTCTTGAGCATGGTAACTATACCATACAGTCTCAAGTCGAGGCACATCATATGCTTATTTAAACACTCCAGAGCTAACCTGGTATAAGATGGAGCAAGTCAGCTATAAAAAAATTGTAAATTTTTTTATTAGACAAAGTTGGCCAAGAAGAAAAAAACATAAATATTTGGGAATTCACAGTAGCATTAATGAAAGGAAATAGGGGAACATACTACAAAACAGGATGGAAGCACTTTTAACCCAGTGAGACATTTTTGGGATATAAATTTGTAAATTAAAATTTAAGAAACTGACATTCCTTTTAAAATGACATGTACTTTTTTATTTGTATAAATTTAAGGGTTACAAGTACAGCTTTGTTATATGGGTATATTGTGTGGTGGTGAAATCTGGGCTTTTAGTGTAATCATCACCTGAATAGTGTACATTGTACCCATTAAGTAATTTCTTATCCCTCACTGCACTGCTCCTAGCCTTCCAAGTCTTCAATGACTGTTATTCCACACTCTATGTCCATGTGTATACACATTATTTAGCCCCTACTTATAGTGAGAATATGTGGTATTTGACTTTCTGAGTTCTTTTTTTTTCTTTTTTCTTTTTCTTTTTGAAATGGTTTCGCTCTGTCGTCCAGACTGGAGTGCAGTGGTGCAAAAACGGCCCACTGCAGCCTCGACCTCCTGGGCTCAAGCGATTCTCCACATGCCTCACTGCAGCCTTGACCTCCTGGGCTCAAGCGATTTTCCCACCTCAGCCTCCCAAGCAGCTGAGACCACAGGTGGTGTCACTGTACCTAGCTAATTCAAATAAATATTTTTAGAGACAGGGTCTCACCATGTGGTGCAGGCTGGTCCCAAACTCCTGGGCTCAAGCAGTCATCCTGCCTTGGCCTCCCAAAGTGTTGGGATTATAGGTGTGAGCTTCTAATCTGAGTTGTTTCACTGAAGATGAAGGTCTCCAGTTCTGTGTTACTGTAAAAGACGTGAGTTCATTCCTTTTTCATTCCGGAATAGTATTCCATTGTGTATATGTAGATATGTGTTTTGTTAAATTTAAAATTGACTAGAAAATGAATTTCTACAGGATACTTTCTTATCACTTATTTAAAAAATTCTTTATTTTTGGTAGTCAACTTGAGTACTAGTTTATTTAAATTATTTGAAGTTATCAAAAGCTTAAGTGTAGAGGTGAAAATAATTTTTTTTTTTTTTTGAGATGGAATTTTGCCCTCGTTGCCTAGGATGGAGTGCAATGGTGTGATCTTGGCTCACTGCAACCTCTGCCTCCTGGGTTTGAGCGATTTTCCTGTCTCAGCCTCCTGAGTAGCTGGGATTATAGGCACCTGCCACTACACCCAGCTAATTTTTTTTTTTTTGTATTTTTAATAGAGACGGGTTTCCCCATGTTGACCAGGCTGGTCTCGAACTCCTGACCTCAAGTGATCCAACCACCTCGGCCTCCCATTAGTGCTGGGATTACAGGCATCAGCCACCGCGCCTGGCCCAAAAATAATTTTTTAGATCAGGAAAACATTACATGGTTTCTCAGCAAGTGCATGTAGTGAAACTAATGCTGTGTATTATGAACTTAGAAGAAATCATTTCAGCAATATAGATTTCTGGGTAGTCTATATTTCATTAGTTATTATTATTATTTCTGATTTTAAGTACCATACAGTACACATATCTTTAGTGTATAGTTCAGTGACTTTTTTTTTTTTTAATTTGAGACAGTGTCTTGCTCTGTTGCCCAGGCTGGAGTGCAGTGGTGCCATCATGGCTCACTGCAGCCTCAACTGCCTGGTTCAAGTGATCTTCCCACCTCAGCCTACTGAGTAGCTGGGAGTGCAGGTGCACACCACCACACTCAGCTAATTTTTGTACTTTTTTATGCAGACGGGGTTTCACCCTTTTGCCCAGGCTGTTCTCAAACTCCTGAGCTCAAGCGATCTACCCACCTCAGCCTCCCAAACTGCTGGGATTACAGGCATGTGCCACCATGCCTGGCCCCCATCACTGTTTTAACTAGTGTTACCATAGGTTTATTTTAACTCTTCTTGAATTTCTGAGAAATAGAATCATATACTCTTCTGCATCTGGTTTCCTTTGAGCATGCCTGAGAAATGTATCCATATTGTGCGTAGCAGTAATTCATTATCTTTTATTGCTATACAGTTTTCCATTATATGAATATGTTTATCCATACTTGATGGATATTTGGGTTGTTTCCAGTTTTTGGATATTAAGAACAAAAATACCTGAATATTCTTATTTCTGTTGGTTATTTATCTAAAAGTGTAATTGTTGGACATTGCATAGGCAGGTGTCTAACTTCAGTAGATGCTGGTGAAGCAGATGTACTCATTTACACTCTTAGCAAGAGTATATGAGTTCCAGTCTCTCACCAATATTTGGTGTTGTCAATCTTTTTACTTTTACCCATTCTAAAGGCTGTTTAATGGTTTTCATTGCCATTTAAATTTTGCATTTCCCTAGTGATTATGAAATTGAGCACCTGTTTATATGTTTATTGGCCATTTGGATATTCTTTTTTTGTGAAGTGCCTATTCAGACTTTTGTCCATTTTGAAGATAGGATTATCTTGCTTTTGCTTTGTAGGAGTTCTTTATATATTCTGGTTATGAATTCTTTGACAAATACATGTATTATAAATATTTTTCTTTTATTCTTGACATGCCGTTTCACTCTTGATGATTTTTGATGAACAGAAGTTCTTTTTTTTTTTTTTTTAAATCTGAGACAGGGTCTTACTCTGTCACCCAGGCTGGAATGCAGTGTTGCAGTCATGGCTCGCTGCAGCTGTAACCTCCCAGGCTCGAGTGATCCTTCCATCTCAGCCTCCTGAGTAGCTGGAACTACAGGCATGTGCTACCGTGTCCAGCTCCTTTTTAAATATTTTTATAGAGATGGGGTCCCACTGTGTTGCCCAGGCTGGTCTCGAACTCCTGGGCTCAAGTGATCCCCATGCCCTGGCCTTCCAAAGTGTTGGGATTACAGGCATGAACCACTGTGCCTGACCTTTTTTTTTTTTCTTTTTTCTTTTTCAAAGCAAATCCAGCCAGGCGCGGTGGCTCATGCCTGTAATCCCAACACTTTGGGTGGCCGAGGTGGGTGGATCACCTGAGGTCAGGAGACCAGCCTGACCAACATGGAGAAACCCCGCCTCTACTAAAAATACAAAATTAGCCTGGCATGGTGGCGCATACCTGTAATCCCAGCTACTCGGGAGGCTGAGGCAGAAGAATCGCTTGAACTCGGGAGGTGGAGGTTGCAGTGAGCCGAGATTGTGCCATTGCACTCCAGCCTGGGCAATGAGTGAAACTCCATCTCAAAAACAAAACAAAACAAAACAAAAAAACATGCTAATCCAGTGTGGTTCTTTATTTTTCTTTCATGTCAGATGGGTAATACGCTGACCTGGTAACAAGGTTCAAGGTGGCATATCTCACAGATGCGTGTGAACACCCAGTCATCATGCTCATGAGCTACAGTAGGATCAGAAGTTCTTAATTTTAATGAAGTACAGTTTATTAACGTTTTCATTTGTGGTTAGGACTACTTGTGTCCTCTTTGAAAAATCTTTGCCTACCCAAAGGTCGTGAATATATTCTCCTACTTAAATCTAGATGCTTTGTTTTTATCTTTGACATTTCAATCTATGATTCATTTCAAATTAATTTTGTGTATGGTGTGAGGTAGTCAAGGGTGTTATTCCCCCATTTGGTTATCAGATTGCCTCAGCATCATTTTGAAAATCATCCCTTTCCTATGGAATTGCAGTCGTGCATTTGTCATAAGCAGCTGACCATATGTTGAATCTCTGCCATTTATTTTTTTAGTAAAATCTGTGATATATTCCAGTAGACTCTAAGTTCCAGGAAAGTTTGGAATTTGCCCACTATACTGTACTGCCTAATTTGCCCACTATACTGTACTCATTGCCTAGCACAGTGTCAGGCACATAATAGACATTGAATTAATGTTTGCTGGTTGGAAGTTATAACTCAGAAAAATCCACAGCAAGTCTGAAAAATGTTGGTGAGTAAAAGAGAGTTAAGCTGTTCCCTAAGCATGTTGCCCAGCATGCTTAGATATGTAGTAGAACTGAAAGTGTTTTTATAGAATATTCTCAACTTCTAACTTCTAGAATTTCACCTGCTTCTACCTCCCCCATTATAAGAATTTGTCTGATCAAATGGTTCTACTACTAGGTGTGAGGTCTTTGGTCAGGGAATTTCTGTTTAGTTCTTAGAGCCAAGTTTTCCTCTTTCTTTTCTATTGTCATTATATATATATTTATATATATAAATATTTTACTGGGGACATTTTGTGAGAATCTGCTATTCTTCTGACACATGTAGTTATTTTTTGACTTTTATGTTTAGCCCTTCAGTTTCTGTAAAATGTGTAAATTCTAAATCTAACAAGTTAATTTAAAACAAAGGATGAATGTGAAAGAATCTCCTTTGTCAAACTGTTTATCTCATTTAGATGTTAAACGATAATTTTTACCACGTCTTTGGTTTTTGTAGAAATCATCACAGAAGGAAAAAGGAAAAAGTCATCTTCTGATTTATCGGAGGTATGCATTTGTTTTGCTTTTAACCTATTATCTTTGGAGTTACTGATATTGAAAGTATTTTGCTGTTTGTCTTTTTAATAACATTTTAAAGAAAACAGTATAAAACTTTAGTCAGTGTTTTGGGAGAGTGGTGTATTCTAATTAACTGAAGGTTAACCAGGAGACTTTTCTACCAACTTTGTTTAAATAGTTGACTAGTATACTTTCTGGACCAGATGACCAGTATACTTTCCAGAGCTCATTTTAGATTTTATTTAAAACATAGCACAACATTTCTTTGATGACTTAATCTATTAGAGTACCAATGTGCATTCATTAGTAATGCTATAGATGCAGAGTAGTTGTACTCAAGGTATGTGCTGAACATTACTATTGGGAATATGTCCTTTTAAGCCTCTTTTTTTCATTTATTTCTTCTACGTAAGCCAAGAGTAGCAAAACAAACAAAACGAAGTTTCTACCTATATAGGAAGTGTTTTAAAAAATTAATTCCTTTTAAGAAAGATAATCTTTTTCTTTTTTTTTAAGAGACAGGGTCTTGCTCTGTTGCCCAGGCTCAAGTACAGCTCACTGCAGCCTTGAACTCCTGGGCTTTAGGGATCCTCCTGCCTCAGCCTCCCATGTAGCTGGGAATACAGGGATGTGCCACCATGACCAGCTAATTTTAATTTTTTCTTGTAGAGACAGGGGTCTTGCTATGTTGCCCAGGCTGGTCTCACATTCCTGGCCTCAAGCAATCCTCCTGCCTTGGCCTCCCAAAGTGTTGGGATTATGGCATAAGCCACCATACCTGGCATATAGAGATAATTTTTTTTCTAGAATTTTGTTCTTTAAATGCAGTAATATCCCGATTTACATTATAAGAATTTATTAAACCCTTTTCTCTGAAGCAGTCTAAGTTATGCACAGAGAACTTTAATATGATACGTCTTCATGTTATATAGTTATAGCATTTAACAAAGAAGGAGAAGAAGTCATAAAGGAAGACAATGAGAGGAAATCAAGAGTACCTTAGAAGACCATATAGAAAGTATGGCTTTAGATACACTTTCTTTTTTGGCTTAAGATTTGCATGGTGTGGTTTCTCCATTTAAAACTCTGGATTTAGTTTAAGTGGGGTAAATAGGAGGTTAAAAAAAATCTTGTGCTGAGGCGGGCGGATCATCTTAGGTCAGGAGTTCAAGACCAGCCTGGCCAACATGGTGAAACCCCGTCTCTACAAAAATACAAAAATTGGCCGGGCGCAGTGGCTCATGCCTGTAATCCCAGCACTTTGGGAGGCTGAGGTGGGCAGATCACGAGGTCAGGAGATCGAGACCATCCTGGTTAACACGGTGAAACCCCATCTCAACTAAAAATACCAAAAATTAGCGGGGTGTGGTGGCAGGTGCCTGTAGTCCCAGCTACTCGGGAGGCTGAGGTAGAAGAATGGTGTGAACCTGGGAGGCAGAGCTTGCAGTGAGCTGAAATCATGCCACTGCACTCTAGACTGGGCGACAGAGCGAGACTCTGTCTCCAAGAAAAAAAAAAAAAATTAGCTGGGCATGATGGCAGGTGCCTGTAGTCCCAGCTACTTGGGAGGCTGAGGCAGGAAAATCGCTTGAACCCGGGAGGCAGAGGTTGCAGTGAGCCGAGATTGCGCCATTGCACTCCAGTCTGGGTGACAGAGCGAGACTCTGTCCCCCGCTGCCCCCTAAAAAAACCTTACATTGCCAGGATGAATACTATCATATCTACTTTGAAATACCTCTGTATTAACTACCACTATTTTTGTTTTTATTATATCCAGTGAAGTGAAATATCGTGCTTTAGACTATTGCATTATTCATGCAATTAATCTGAAATCCTGCCATTAGAAATTAATACTGAGTTAATCCATTTCTCTGATTTTTAGATGTACTACAGTGTTTCTTAAACTTTTTGTTTACAAGGAAGTTGAGACTTACAGAAAAGTTACAGAAATTTTACAGAGTTCCTGTAAAATTCACTCAGGTTCTCCTAATGTTATCTTATATAACTACGGTATGATTACAAAAAACAAGGAATTTATATTGATACAGTACCTTAAACCAGTGGTCCCCAACCTGTTTGGCACCAGGGACCAGTATCGTGGAAGACAGTTTTCCCATGGACAGGGGTCGGGAAGATGGTTTCGGGATGAAACTGTTCTACCTCAAATTTTCAGGCATTGGGTTCTCATGAGGAGCATGCAACCTAGATCCCTTGCATGCACAGTTCACAATAGTGTTTGTGCTCCTATGAGAATCTAATGCCACTGCTGATCTGACAGGAGGGGTAGTGCAGGCCCTAATTCTCCCGTGCTGCTCGCCTCCTGCTGTGTTGTCCTTGGCCTGGGGGTTGGGCACACCTGCTTTAAACTATAGACATCATTTGGATTTCTTCAGTTTCACTAATGTCCTTTTTCTGTTGCCAGATCCAATCCAGGATCCCACATTGCATTTAGTTGTTAGGTCTCCCTAGTTTTCTTAAGTCTATGACAATTCTTCAGTCTTTTTTCTTTCATGACCATGACACTCTTGAAGAAAACTGGACAGTATTTTGTAGAATATCTCTCACTTTGGGTTTGTTTCAGGTTTCTCAAGATTAGATTAAGGTTATGACTTTTTGGGAGGAATACCACAGAAGTGATGATGACCTTCTTAGTGCATTATATCAGGGGGTACATGATAGTGATATATCTTAATACTGGTAATATCAGCCTTGATTGTTTGGTTAAGATGGGATCTGCCTGTTTCCTCCATTGTAAAGTTACTTTTTTCCTCTTTATAATTAATAAATATCTTAGGGGAGATGCTTTGAATCTATGCAAATATACTATTTCTTCTCAAACTTTTGTTTACTATTTTAGCATCTATCAGTGTATCTTGCCTCCAAATTTATATATGTGGTATTTTGGTGGTTTTCTCTTTTGCCCATTCATTATAGATTTATGAATGTAAATTCTTCTATAAGGGGCCAGTGTGGTGGCTCACAACTGTAATCCTGGCACTTTGGGAGGCCAAGGTGGGAGGATCACTTGAGGTCAGGAATTTGAGGCCAGCCTGGGCAACATAGTGAGACCCCATATCTACAAAAAAAATTAGCTGGGCATGTTGGCATATGCCTGGAATCCCAGCTACTTGGGAGGCTGACATAGGAAGATCGTTTGAGCCAGGGGAGTTGAGGCTGTGATCAGCTGTGATCGCACCACTGCATTCCAGCCTGGATAACAGAGTGAGACACTGTCTCTAAAAAATAAAAATTCTTATGTAAGGCAGAGCTGATCCTCTTCCCCCACTTACTTACTTACTTATTTATTTATTTAGAGATCCTCCTGCTTCAGCTTCTCAAAGTGTGAGGATTCTAGGTGTGAGCCACTGTGCTTGGCTTCACTTATTTATTTGTATCAATATGGACTCATAGAATATTTAGTTTATTCTATGAGTTATAATCCACTACTGTCATTACAGATTTGTTGGTCAAAGTATTCCAGCCTTGGGAGATCTTTCATGTTGGCTGTACCCTTGTGACGTGCTCCTATCTTTTTTTTTTTGAACACTTACTTTCTGACACTGTATATTTTTTGGCACTGCAAGATGCTTATGTTGTGTTTTCCCTGCCCCAGGCTTGGAATCAACCACTTTCCCAGGGAGCCTTGGTTCTTTCAATTGAAGGATGATATTTAGAAACCCATGTCTGTGTGCTAGGTATACTTGCAACTGGGATGTCATTGTTTTTAGGCTTTCTCAACAGACAAGACTAGAAAAATATATGTTCACACATACAACATACATATGTCTATTTATTTTCCCACACAAACACATGTATCTATATTTATTTCTGTATCTCTATCTATATATCTATAAAAAATTAATACTGATACTTCTGATTCCGGTCCAACACCACAAGGCTTATTCTAGCTTTTCCTCTTTCCTTATTTTTTTCTGTCTCTCATTATCTACAATATATTTACTTATTTCTTAATCCCGTAATTTATATATAAAGTTGTGTTAGTGTGTTTAAAAAAGGTAGACTTTCTTAGAAAATTAGCATATTTCATTATTGTTAGTAGTTTATATTACTGCCTTTTCCCTCCAGGCTGCTAGTGGAAATAAGTTACCAAAAGGATAAGAGCTTTGATGGATATAGGGAGAAGATACTAATACGTGTTGAATTTAAAGTGTTTGGCCTGGGCCTGGTGGGTTGGCTCATGCCTATAATCCCAGCACTTTGGGAGGCCAAGGCGGGTGGATCACTTGAGGTCAGGACTTCAAGACCAGCCTGGCCAAGATGGTGCAAGCCCATCTCTACTGAAAATACAAAAATTAGCTGGGTATGGTGGTGCATTTTTGTAGTCCCATCTACTTCGGAGGCTGAGGTGGGAGGATTGTTTGAACTCGGGGGCGGAGGTTGCAGTTAGCTGAGGTTGTGCCACTGCACTTTCAGCCTGGGAAACAGAACGAGACTCTGTCTCAAAAAAAAAAAAAAAAAGTGTTTGAAGTGTTTGGCTGGGTGTGGGAGCTCATGCCTCTAAACCCAGCACTTAGGGAGGCCAAGATGGGAGGATTGCTTGAGCCACAGAGCCCAGGAATTTGGGACTAGCCTGGGCAACAAAGTAAGACCCTGTGTCTGCAAAAAATAAAAAAATTAGTCAGATATGATGGTGCATGCCTGTGGTCCCAGCTACACAGGAGGCTGATGCAGGAAGATTGCCTGGGCCCAAGAGGTAGAAGCAGAAGTAAGTTATGTTTGAGTCACTACACACCAGCCTAGGTGACAGAGCGAGACCCTGTCTCGAATAAATAAATACATGTTTAAGAAATATTTCTAAAATGACACTAGATTGTTGTAGAGATATTCTAAAGTTCAATTAAGAACTTATTTCACTGGGTGAATTAAGGCCACCCAGACACAACCAGAATTAATACTTTGGTGTGTATCCTTCTAGTTTATTTGTCTGTTTATAAGAAACATATTAAAAAATAGAAAACCACAAAATACTGTCTTGTAATCTTTTTTCCTACTTACCTATATATCATGAACATTATTTTCTGAAATCTAATTTATTAAAGCATTGGTCAGTAGATATTTATTGGGTATTCAACATGTATTGGACACTGTGTTAGGCATAAGTACCAGGGAAACAGTGGTGAACATTTTTTTCTTCGACTTTTATTTAAGCTCGGGGTACACTTGCAGGATGTGTAGGATCATTGCATAGGTAAATGTGTGCCATGGTGGTTTGCTGCAAGAACAACCCATCACCTAGATATTAAGGCCAGCATCCATTAGCTATTCTTCCTGATGCTCCCTCTACCGGTCTGACAGGCCCCAGTGTGTGTTGTTCCCCCATTGTGTCCATCTGTTCTCATCATTCAGCTCCCACTTAAAAGTGAGAACATGCATTGTTTGGTTTTCTGTTTCTGCATTAGTTTGCTGAAGATAATGGCTTCCAACTCCATCCATGTCCCTGCAAAAGACACGATTGTGTTCCTTTTTAGGGCTGCATAGTATCCTATGTATATATGTTTTATATTTTCTTTATTCAGTCTATCATTGATGGGGATTTGGGTTGATTCCATGTCTTTGCTATTGTGAATAGTGTTGCAGCAAACATGTGCATGCATATATCTTTGTAATAGAATGATTTATATTCCTTTGGGTATATACCCAGTAATGGTGTTGCTAGGTCAAATGGTATGTTTGCCTCTAGGTCTTTGAGGAATCACCACACTGTCTTCCACAATGGTTGAACTAATTTACAATCCCAGCAGTGGTGTAAAAGTGTTCCTTTTTCTCTGCTACATTGCCAGCATCTGTTGTTTTTTGACTTTTTAATAATAGCCATTCTGAGTGGTGTGAGATGGTGTCTCGTTGTCGTTTTGATTTGCATTTCTCTAATGATCAGTGATGTCGGCCACATGTGTGTCTTCCTTTAAGAACTGTTTGTTCATATCCTTTGCCCACTTTTTAATGGGAATTTTTTTTCTTATAAATTTATGTTCCTTGTAGACTCTGGATATTAGAGTTTGTCAGACGGATAGACTGCCAAATTTTTCTCCCAATCTGTAGGTTGTCTGTTCACTCTTTTGCTGTGCAGAAGTTCCTTAGTTTAATTAGATCCCATTTATCAATTTTTGCTTTTATCGCAATTGCTTTTGGCATTTTTGTTATGAGATATTTGCTTGTGCCTATGTCCTGAATGGTATTGCCTTGATTTTCTTGTAGGGTTTTTATAGTTTTGTGTTTTACATTTAAGTCTTTAATCCATCTTGAATTAATTTTTGTATATGGTATAAGGAAGGGGTACAGTTTCAATTTTTGCATATGGCTAGCCAGTTCTCCCAGCACCATTTATTAAATAGAGAATTATTTCCCCATTGCTTGTTTTTGTCAGGTTTGTCGAAGATCAGATAGTTGTAGGTGTGTGGTCTTATTTCAGAGTTCTCTGTTCTGTTCCATTGGTCTGTTCCATTGATTCTGTTCCAGGAATGCGTGGTATGGCATGATGGTTGTATAGATAAAATAGTAATTTTGACAAGAATCTGGAGTACTTCACTAGGGAGAGAAGGAAGAGCATTCTAGATTGTGGGAAGAGTATATGCAAAGGTTTAGAGATATAAAATAATATGATGTGTTTGAAGAAGGTTGATTTCATTCATTGTGGTTGGGTTGTAGTTTTGTAGTGATGTGATGTGAAAGAGCCCAAATGGTAAAGAGTTTTACAATTGTTAAGAGTTTTATCTGTAAGTAATGGCTACCATTGTTGAATTTTAAGTATTGCAGCCATAATTAGGTTTTATGTATTAGAGAACTCTGGGGCTGACATTTGAAAGGTTAAAAGGGGAAGAGACAGCAGACAAGAGAATAGTTAGGAAGCTCTTCTGATTCTTCATTCAACTTTCATTTGACTTTCAGAGTCAAGGAGAGGTTTTTTGTGAATAAAATTATATTTAATTGTATATAAATTAAGCACTGAATTTAAAACTCCTTAAAACAGTTAGCAAATTATTGATGCAGGGTAGTATAGTGGTTCTGTTAGCTGAATTAGCTCTTGTATATAGTTCAATTAAACTAATTATTTTCTCATCCTATTTTCAGATAAGAAAGATGTTAAATGCAAAACCAGAGGATGTCCATGTTCAATCACCACTGTCCAAATTCAGAAGCTCAGAACGCTGGACTCTCCCTTTGCAGGTGGTAAATAAAATTAATTTATTTTAAGTATACAGTTTTATTTGGTATGTTTAAAATATTGTAATAAAACTGAATGTTTATTTTCTGATATGTCCCTTTTTTGGTTTTCTTGTGTTATTTAATTGCAGATTTTAGTTCATTTTTGGCATGTTGAAATGATACTTTGAGGTTAGGCTCTTCGTTTAAAACTATGTATATATAATTATGCATAATTGATTACTTCATGAAATTTAAATCTTATTATTGTAAAATAAATTCTGTTTTAAGTTTACTAAAACGATAATGTTTATAGAATTGTTTGTTCTTATGCACTTGACCCATTTTAAGTTTTAAAATGTATGTTTTAAGGAGTAATATAACTATATTTCAAAAGCTATTTTGATTATAAATCTGGACTTTATCTCATTTTTAAGCATTATAATCAGACTTTGATGAATAAGGATTAAGATAGCAGTTTTTTGTGTTTTGTTTTTTAACTTTTATTTTAAGTTTAGTGGTACAAGTGCAGGTTTGTTCCATAGGTAACTTGTGTCATGGGGGTTTATTGTACAGATTATTTCATCGCCCAGATATTAAGCCTAGTACCCATTAGTTATTTTTCCTGTTCCTCTCCCTCCTCCCATCCTCCAACCTCTGAAAGGCCCCAGTGTGTGTTGTTCCCTCTATGTGTCCGCGTGTTCTGATCATTCAGCTCTCACTGATAAGTGAGAACATGCAGTATTTGGTTTTCTGTTCCTGTGTTAGTTTGCTGAGGATAATGGTCTCCAGCTTCATCCATGCAAAGGACATGATCTCATTCTTTTTTATGGCTGCATAGTATTCTGTGGTGTATATGTACCACATTTTCTTTATCTAAACTACCATGGAAGGGCATTTAGGTTCTTTAGAGTCAGGGTCTGTGTTGCTCACACTGGAGTGCAGTGGCACACTCATAGCTCATTGAATCCTTGAACTCCTGGGCTCGAGTGATCTTGCTGCCCAGCCTCCTGAGTAGCTGGGAATACAAGCAGGTGCCTGGCTACTTAAAATTTTTTTTCTGTAGAGGTGGGATCTTGCTATGTTGCCTAGGCTTGTCTTGAACTTCTGGCCTTAAGAAGTCTTCCTACTTTGGTCTCCCAGAGTGCTGGGATTAGAGGTATGAGCCATTATGCCTGGCCTTGGAATGTGGAAGTCCAAGATGAAGGTGCTGGCAGGGTTGTCTTCTGAGGCCTCTTTACTTGGATTGCAGATGGCTTTTTCTCTGGGCACACGTACCCCTAGTGTCTCTTCTTCTTATAAGGACATTAGTCCTATTGGATTGGGACTCCACCCACATGACCTCACTCAACCCCTTTTAAGGCCCTGGGAGTTGGGGCTTCAACATATGAATTTTGGGGGAATACAATTCAGTCCATAACTGTAGCATTTATTTTAGGATAACGTGTTTTAAGTAATCTTAAAATGTATATTTTTGGTTACAAGTAAAATTAACCCTTATTTATTTACGTATTTTTTTTTTGAGACAGGGTCTTGCTCTGTCACCCAGGCTGGAGTGCACTGGCACACTCACGGCTCATTGCAGCCTCAGCTTCCTGGGCTCAAGCTGTGCTCCCACCTCAGCCTCCTGAGTATCTCGGATTAGAGGCATGCACCACCATGCTTAGCTAGTTTCTAAAATTTTTTTGCAGAGACAAAGTTTTGCTGTGTTGCTTAGGTGAACCTCCCACCTCAGCCTCCTGAAGCGCTGGGTTTACAGGCGTGAGCCCCCGCACTTGGCTCTATTAACCATTTTTTTTTTTTTGAGATGGCGTTTTGCTCTTGTTGCCCAGGCTGGAGTGCAATGTCGCGATCTCGGCTCACCGCAACCTCTGCCTTCCGGGTTCAAGCGATTCTCCTGCCTCAGCCTCCCCAGTAGCTGGGATTACTGGCATGTGCCACCACGCCCGGCTAATTTTGTATTTTTTAGTAGAGGTGTGGTTTCTCCATGTTGGTCAGGCTGGTCTCGAACTCCCAACCTCAGGTGATCCACCTGCCTTGGCCTCCCAAAGTGCTGGTATTACAGGCATGAGGCACCGTGCCCGACCTCCTATTAACCATTTCTAAAATTTGTTCTTGGAGGAGAGATTTGTCCTCAGTATTCTTTGCTTAAAATTAGTGTAAAAGAACATTTAGAAATTTTGTTATTAAATAATACATTTGTTGGTTTGTATTGGATACAAAGAGTACATAAAAAGGGAAACAATAAAGGAGACCAGGTGACTTCTGTTTACTTAAAAAGAAAATAATATATTTGCATAAGGTTAGAAAATTTGGGCTGTGTAGAAAGATACAAGGTGGGCTGTGTGTGGTGGCTCACACCTGTTATCCTAGCACTTTGAGAGGCTGAGGTGGGAGGATCTCTTGAGCCCAGGAGTTGGAGACCAGCCTAGGAAATATAGCGAGATCTTGTTTCTACTAAAAATTAAAAAATAATCTAGGCGTGGTCTTGTGCACCTGTAGTTCCAGCTACTCAGCAGGCTGAGGTGGGAGGATCTCTTGAGCCCAGGATTTGGAGACCAGCCTAGGAAATATAGCGAGATCCTGTTTCTACTAAAAATTAAAAAATAAGCTAGGCGTGGTCTTGTGCACCTGTAGTTCCAGCTACTCAGGAGGCTGAGGTGGGAGGATCCTTTGAGCCCAGGAGTTCAAGATTAAAGAAAGCTATGATTGTGCCACTATACTCCAGCCTGGGAAACAATGAGACCCTGTCTCAAAAAAAAAAAAAAAAGTATAAAATGAAGCAAATAAAATCTCGTTCTGTCCTTTTTCTCTAAAGGCAACCACTATTAATGAGTTTTTTTCATTTATTTCTAGAAAAAAGCATATTTCCATATATATGGGTTTATACTGTTTTTTGATATTCGCAAAAGTTAAGTGATACTTAAATTTTGGGAAATCGAAATCCTGTTTGAGATTGGAAGTGGCATATGTCAGCCTTACTGTGCTCTGTGGTTGGCTTAAAGTTCACCATATTTGCTAAATATTTGCTCATACTTTGTGTAGTGTTTGAGGCTGTGCAAGTATCTTGCCGCATTTCCACTACTCAACTTTTTTGTTGTTGTTTTTAGTGGTTTTCAATGGAAGAGAAAGGAATAAATGCCCCTTTCCATAGTCTTTAGGAGAATTTTAACTCATTTATTGATTTGTTTGTGATTTTTATTGACATATAGTTACATTAAACAGGCAATCTTAAGAGTAAAGTTAGATGAGCTCTGACTAGAGTAACATATTGTCATGCTCCAGAAATTTTCCTTGTTTTCATTTTATCTTTTAAAAAAATCAAAAGAATTTAATATATTTTTAATTAATTCATTTTTCTTTTTTATGTGACTCAAGTATATGACTCAACCATTGTGTCTTTTCCTCTTCTGTTGCTTGTACCTCCACCATGATTCTGGCAACCATTCTTCTGATTTCTGTTTCCATAGTTTTGCCTGTTCTTAAATTTCATAAAAATGGAATCACATAATATGTACTCTTTTGTGTTTGGCTTCTTTTTATTCAGTATAATATTGCTAACATTTATCCATGTTTTGCATCTATCACTGGTTTGTTTCTTTTTATTGCTATGTAATATTCCATTATGTGAATATATTATGGTTTATTTAATTCTCTATTGACTGACTTTTAGGCTCTTTTTTTTTTTGTTTGTTTGTTTGTTTTTTTTTTGAGACGGAGTTTCCCCCTTGTTGCCCAGGCTGGAGTGCAATGGCACGATCTTGGCTCACCACAACCTCTGCCTCCCGGATTCAAGCGATTTCTCCCACCACAGCCTCCCGAGTAGCTGGGATTACAGGCATGCACCACCACATCGGGCTAGTTTTGTATTTTTAGTAGAGATGGGGTTTATCCATGTTGGTCAGGCTGGTCTTGAACTCCTGACCTCAGGTGATCCGCCTGCCTTGGCCTCCCAAAATGCTGGCATTACAGGCGTGAACCACTGTGCCCGGCCTGGGCTTGGTTTTAATTTGCATTTTTGTGATGACTAATGACGTTAAAAACATTTTCTGTGGCTGTTAGGTGGAGTGTTCTGTAGATGTCTATTAGGTCCAGTTAATCACTTCCGAGTTTAAGTGAGAGTCTCTTTGTGAGCTTTCTGCCTCAATGATCTGTCTAATGCTGTCAGTGGGGTGTTGAAGTCTTTCACTATTATGATGTGGTTGCCTAACTAAGTCTTTTTGTAGGTCAAGCAAAACTTGTTTTATGAATCTGGGTGTACCAATAGTGGGTGCATATATAATTAGTTAAGTCTTTTTGTTGGATTTTACCATTTATCATTATGTAATACCCATCTTTGTCCTTCTTAATTGTTATTTGTTTAAAGTCTATTTTATCTGATATAAGAATAGTGGCTCCTGCTCTTTTTTATTTTCTGTTTGCATGGTAGATCTGTCTCTTTCCCTTTACTTTGAGCCTGTGAATGTTGTTAGATGTGAGATGGGTATCTTGAAGATAGCAGATGGTTGGGTCTTGTCTTTTTATCCACCTTGACACTCCATGTCTTTTAAGAGGGACGTTTAGCCATTTATACTCAGGATTAGTATTGATATGTGAGATTTTGATCCTGTCATTATGTTGTTGGTTGTTGTATAGACTTGACTGTATAGTTGCTTTGTAGTGTCTGTGGGCTATGTGCTTAAGTGTATTTTTGTGGTAGTAGGTGTCATTCTTCTGATTCCATGTTTAGTACTCCCTTAAGGACCTCTTTCTTGTAAGGCTGGTGTAGTTGAAGCAAATTCCCTCAGTATTTGCTTGTCTGAGAAGGATTTTATTTCTCTTTCACTTATGAATGTTGGGCTGGTAGGATATGAAATTCTTAGTTGTAATATCTTTTCTTTAAGGTTGCCTAAAAGAGGCCCCCAATCTCTTCTGGTTTGCAAGGTTTCTGCCAAGAAGTCTGCTGCTAGCCTGATGGGAGTTCCTTCTGTACATGACCTGACCCTTCTCTCTAGCTGCCTTTAAGATTTTTTCTTTTGCGTTGACTTTGGTGAATTTGATGACGATGTGCCTTGGCGCAGGCAAGGCTCTCTCTGTCGCCAGGCTGGAGTACAGTGGTGCGATCTTGGCTCACTGCAACCTCCACCTCCCAGGTTCAAGCAATTCTCCTGCGTCAGCCTCCCAAGTAGCTGGGACTACAGGCACATGCTGCCATGCCCAGCTAATTTTTTGTGTTTTAGTAGAGACAAGGTTTCACTGTGTTGCCCAGGCTGGTCTCGAACTTCTGAGCTCAGGCAATCCAGCTGCCTCGGCCTCCCAAAGTGCTGGGATTGCAGGCATGAGCCACCGCGCCTGGCCTGCATGTCAACCTTTCTATTGTGATTAGGGAAATTTTTGTGGACCATATCCTCAAATGTATTTTCCAGTTTGCGTATTCTCTCCCATTCTTTCTCAGGAATGCCAGTGAGTGATAGATTTAGTCTCTTTACATAATCTCACATAAATTATCCCTCCACTGATGAAATGTTTCTATACCTATAAAACTCTGAAGACTCTGATGAAGAGTTCCTAGAACTGATAAAGGACTTTAGCAACCTTTCAGGATACAAAATCAATGTAGAAAAAATCAGTAGCATTTCTAGACACCAAATAATGTCCAGGCTGAGAGTCAAATCAAGAACACAATCCCATTTGCAATAGGCTTAAAAAAAATGAAATACCTAGGAGTACAGTTGACTAAGAAGGTGAAAGAGTCTACAAGAAGAACCACAAGACACTGCAGAAAAAAATCAGAGATGACACAAATAAATGGAAAAACAATCCATGCGCGTGGATTGGAAGCATCAGTGTCACAAAAATGACCATACTGCCCAAAGCAGTCTACAGATTCAATGCTATTCCTATCATACTATCAATGTCATTTTTCAGAGAATTAGAAGAAACTATTCTAAAATTCATATGGAACAAAAAAGAGCCCAAATAGCTAAAGCAATCCTAAACAAAAAGAATAAAGCTGGAGGCATCACAGTACCTGACTTCAAATTATATTATAAGCCCACAGTAACCAAAACAGCATGGTACAGGTATAAAAACAGACACATAGAGCAATGGAAAAGAACAGAAAACTCAGAAATAATGCTGCACACCTACAACCATCTGATCTTTGAAAGGCTGACAAAAACAAATAATGGGGAAAGGATTCCCTATTCAATAAATGCTGCTGGGACAGCTGGCTAGCCATATGCAACAGAATGAAACTGGACCCTTACCTTTTACCATATACAAAAATTAACTCAAGATGGATTAAAGATTTAAATGTAAAACCTCAAACTATAAAAATCTTAGGAAAAATACCTAGGAAATACCCTTCTTGTTATCAGCCTTGGCAAAGAATTTTTGGCTAATTCCCCAAAAGCAATTGCAACAAAAACAAAATTGACAAATGAAACTTAATTTAATTAAAGAGCTTCTGCACAGCAAAAAAACAAAACAAAATCCCTAAGGAATGGGAGAAAATATTCACAAACTATTGTCTCTGACAAAGGTCTAATATCCAGATTCTGTAAGGAACTTAAATCAACAAATGAAAAACCAATAACCTTATTAAAAAATAATATATGTTTTTACATATATATATGTAAATGGTAAGTCTATTTGTTTTAAGGTATGGTTTAAATCCATTGTGTCTTTTTTGACTTTCTGTCTTCATGACCTGTATAGTGCTGTCAGTGGAGTATTAAAGTCCCCCACTAATATTACGTTGCTGTCTATTTCATTTCTTAGGTCTATTAGTAATTGTTTTATGAATTTGGGAGTGCCAGTGTTAGGTGTGTATATGTTTAGGATTGTGATATTTTCCTGTTGGACAAAGCCTTTTACCATTATATAATGCCCATCTTTGTCTCTTTTAACTGCTGTTGCTTTAAAATTTGTTTTGTCTCATATAAGAATAGCTACTCCTGCTCGCTTTTGGTGTCCATTTGCATGAAATGCCATTTTCCACCCCTTTACCTTAAGTTTATGTGATTCCTTATGTGCTAGGTGAGTTTTCTGAAGGCAGCAGATGGTTGGTGAGTTCTTATCCATTCTGCAGTTCTGTATCTTTTAAATGGAGCATTTAGGCCATTTACATTCAATGTTAGTATTGAAATGTGAGGTACCATTGCATTCATCATACTTTTGTTGCTGGTGTACTTGGGTTTTTTGTTTTTGCTTTTTAACTTGTATTTTTATTTTATAGGTTCTGTGTAATTTATGCTTTGAAGAGGTTCTGTTTTGATGTGTTTCCAGAATTTGTTTCAAGATTTAGAGCTCCTTTTCTCAGTTCTTGTAGTGGTGGCTTGGTAGTGGCAAATTTTCTCAGCGTTTGCTTGTCTGAAAACAACTGTATCTTTCCTTCATAAATGATACTTACTTTCGTTGGATACAGAATTCTTGTCTGATAATTGTTTGTTTGAGGAGGCTGAAGATAGCCCCAATTCCCTTCTAGCTTCTAGGGTTTCTACTGATAAATCCACTGTTAATCTGATAGGTTTTCCTTATAGGTTAGCTGGTGCTTCTGTCTCACAGCTCTTAAGATTCTTTCCTTTGTCTTGTCTTTCGGTAACCTGATTGCCGTGTGCCTAGGTGAAGATCTTTTTGTGATGAAATTTCCAGGTGTTCTTTGTACTTCTTGTGTTTGGATGTCTAGGTCTCTAGCAAGGCCAGGGAAGTTTTCCTTGGTTATTCCAGAATATGTTTTCCAAGCTTTTAGAATTCTCTTCTTCCTCAGCAACACTGATTATTCTTATGTTTGGTCGTTTAACATAATCTCAGACTTCTTGGAGACTCTGTTCATATTTTCTTGTTCTTTTGTCTTTGTTGGATTGGGTTAATTCAAAGACCTTGTCTTCGAGTTCTGAATTTCTTTCTTCCTACTTGTTTAATTCTATTGCTGAGACTTTCCAGAGCATTTCACGTTTCTAAAAGTGTGTCCAAAGTTTCCTGAACTTTTTATTGTTTTTTTTCTTTAAGCGATCTATTTCCTTGAATATTTCTCCCTTCACTTCTTGTATCATTTTTTGGATTTCCTTGCATTGGACTTCACCTTTCTCTGGTCCCTCCCTGATTAGCTTTATGACTATCCTCCTGAATTATTTTTCAGGTAAATCAGGGATTTCTTCTGGGTTTGGATCCATTGCTGGTGAACTAGTGTGATTTTGGTGGGGGGTTGTTGAAGAGCCTTGGTTTGTCATATTATCAGAGTTGTTTCTGGTTCCTTCTCATTTGGGTAGGCTCTGTCAGAGGGAAGGTCTAGGGCTGAAGGCTGTTGCTCAGATTCTTTTGTCCCATGGCATATTCCCTTGATGTAGTACTCTCCCCCTTTTCCTATGGATGTGGCTTCCTGTGAGCTGAACTGCAGTGATTGTTGTCTCTCTTCTGGGTCTAGCCACCCAGCGAGTCTTCCCAGCTCTGGCCTCATACTGGGGGTTGTCTGGACAGAGTCCTGTGATGTGAGTCATCGATGGATCTCTCAGCCGTGGATACCAATGCCTTTTCCAGTGGAGGTAGTGGCGGGGTGCAATGGACTCTATGAGGGTTCTTAGCTTTGGTGTTTTAATGTTCTATTTTTGTGCTGGTTGACCTCCTGCCAGGAGGTGACCCTTTCCAGAAAGCATCAGCTATGGTAGGATAGAGAGGCACTGGCGGTGGGAGAGACTCTAGAACTCCCAAGGTTATATGTCCTTTGTCTTATGCTACCAGGGTGGATAGGGAAGGACCATCAGGTGGAGGTGGGGCTAGGCGTGTCTGAGCTCAGATTCTACTTGGGTGGGTCTTGTTTTGGCTGCTGTGGGGGGTGTGGGTGAGATTCCCAGGTCATTGGAGTTGGGTACCTAGGAGGATTATGGCTGCCTTTGCTGAGTCATGCAGGTTGTCAGGGCAGTGGGGGAAAGCTGACAGTCACAGACCTCACCCAGCTACCAGGTAAAATGAAGGGCCGGTCTCTGTCCCACTGTGCTCCCCTCAACAGTCCCAAGTCTGTTTCCAGTCTGAGGGTGTGAATGGGCTTCTCACCCCGTTCAAATGGTTAGAAAGTTCTGCTAGAGATTTCCTTCTCCCTGTGGAGTTATACCCCTGCTCCTCTGGTCATCCACCCAATGGATTCCTGTGGTGCCAGGCAGGAATGGCTTGCTAGGGGACGCAGCGAGCTCCCAGGGCCTTTTTGCTGCTTCCTCTACCCCTGTATTTCACCTGGCTCTCTAAATTGGCTCAGCTCCAGGTTAGGTCGGAAACTTCTCCCGCAAACAGACCTTCAGCTTCTCCATTGGGGGCACGTGTTCGGGAGAGGGAGGTCTCCCTTTCCCACTTCCGCAGTTGGGGCACTCACAGTATTTGGAGTGTCTCCTGGGTCCTGCAGGAGCAGTCCACATCCTTTAGAGGGTCTGTGGGCCCTCTCGGGATTGCTGGTTTGTTGTTGCTGTCGATCTGGGGCTAAAATCCACAATGAGAGCTTCTGCAAGCTGCTCTGCATGTAGCTGCAATCTGGTCCTGCCTCCTGTCCACCATGATGATTTCAAGCTGTTCATTTTCTTACTGTTGAGTTGTAAGAGTTCTTCGTATATTTAGATAACAGTCCTGTAGCAGATACGTCATTTTCAAATATTTTCTCTCAGTCTTTGGCTTGCCTTCTCATTCTCTTGACATTGTCTTTCCAGAGCAGAAATTTTTAATTTTAATGAAGCCCAGCTTATCAATTCATTCTTTCATGGATTGTGGCTTTGGTGTCATGTTTAAAAAGCCATTGATAGACTCAAAGTCATCTAGATTTTCTCCTATGTTATCTTCTAGGAGTTTTATGGTTTTGCATTTTGCATTCAGGTTTGTGATCCAGTTTGAGTTAATTTTTTTTTTTAGACAGAGTCTTGCTCTGTTGCCCAGGCTGGAGTGCAGTGGTGTAATTTCAGCTTACTGCAACCGCCGTCTCCTGGGTTCAAGCAATCTCATGCCACAGTCTTCTGAGTAGCTGGGATTACAGGCACCTGCCACCATGTCTGGACCTGGCTAATTTTTGTATTTTTAGTAGAGGTGAGGTTTCACCATGTTGGCCAGGCTGGTCTCAAACTCCTGACTTCAAGTGATCAGCCAGCCTCGGCCTCCCAAACTGCTGGGATTACAGGTGCAAGCCACCATGCCCAGCCCAGTTTGTGTTAATTTTTATGAAGGATGTGAGGTCTTTGTCCAGATCATTCTTTTGCATGTGGATATTCAGTTGCTCTAGCACAGTTTGTTGAAAATACCGTTTTCTTTTTAATAATTTGAACTTTCAGACTCAGCTAGTACATATGCAGGTTTGTTACATGGGTATACTGCTTGATGCTGAGGTTTAGGGTACTATTATACCGTCACGCAGGTAGGAAGCATAGTATCCAATAGTTAGTTTTTCAACCCTTTTCCCACCCCCTTTATTCCCCACTAGTAGTCCCCAATGTCTGTTTTTGCCATCTTTATGTCCATGATTACCCAATGTTTAGCTCCCACACTGGATGCTCATGGACATAAAGATGGCATGGGTGGCCATAAGTGAGAACATGTAGTATTTTGTTTTCTGTTCCTGCATTAATTAGCTTAGGTGATCCTATGTTGCTGCACAGGACATGATCTTGTTCTTTTTTTATGGCCGCATAGCATTCCATGGTGTGTATGTACCACTTTTTTTTAATCCAGTCCACCACTGATGGGCACCTAGGTTGATTCCATGTCTTTGCTATTGTAAATAGCGCTGCAGTAAACATTTGACTGCATGTGTCTTTTTGGCAGAATGATTTATTTTCTTTTGGACATATACTCAGTAATGGGATTGCTGGTTCAAATGGTAGGTCTATTTTAAGTTCTTTGAGAAATTTCCAAACTGCTTTCCACAGTGGCAGAACTAATTCCCACCAACAGTGGATAAGCATTCCCTTTTCTTTACAGCCTTGCCAGCATTCGTTGTTGTTGTTTTGACTTTTTAGTAATAGCCATTCTGACTGGTGTGAGATGGTATCTCCTTGTGGTTTTGATATGGATTGAAAGGAACTTTTTTCATTCTATTGCTTTTGCCTCTTGGCCAAAGATCAGTTGACTGTATTTATTTGGGTCTATTTTTGGGCTGTATGTTCTGTTTCTTTGATCTATTTATTAAAAAAAATAAAAAGATAGGTCACCATAGTGTCTAAGAAAAAATAAAAAAATATTCTTTCACCCATACCACACTCTCTTGATTAGTGTAGCTTTATAATAAGTCTTGAAGTTTGGCAGTGTCAATCCTCTATGTTTTTCTCTTTAAAAATTGTGTTTTTTATGCCTAGTCGTTTGCTTCTCTATAAACTTTCTAGTCAGTTTGTTGATATCCACAAAGTAACTTGCTGGGATTTTGATTGACATTGCATTGAATCTGTTGATCAACTTGTGAAGACATGACATCTGAATAATATTGACTCTTCTTATCCATGAACATGGAATATTTTTCTGTGTATTTGGTTCTTTGATTTCTTTCATCACAGTTTTGTAGCTTTCCTCATACAGATCTTGTACATATTTTGTTAGAGTTATACCAAAGTATTTCTTTCTTTTTTTTTTTTTTGTTGAGACAGAGTCTCGCTCTGTCGCCCAGGCTGGAGTGCAGTGGTGCAATCTCGGCTCACTGCAAGCTCCGTCTCCTGGATTCATGCCATTCTCCTGCCTCAGCCTCCCGAGTAGTTGGGACTACAGGTGCCCGCCACCACACCTGGCTAATTTTTTTTTGTATTTTTAGTAGAGACAGGGTTTCACCTTGTTAGCCAGGATGGTCTCGATCTCCTGACCTCATGATCTGCCCACCTCGGTATCCCAAAGTGCTGGGATTACAGACATGAGCCACTGCGCCTGGCCAAGTATTTCATTTTTTATGTGCTAATGTAAACGATATTGTGTTTTTAATTTCAAATTCCAGTTATTTATGCAGGCATATAGGAAGGTGATTGACTTTTGTATATTAATCTTGTATCATGCAACCTCGCTGTAATTGCTTATTGGTTTCAGTTTTTTTGTTCATTCTTTTGGAATTTCCACATCGACAGTTACGTCATCTGCAAACAAAGACAGTTTTATTTCCCAATCAGCATATCTTTTTAAAAAGTTATAAATATTTGTATATATTTATGGCATACATGTGATATTTTGTTACATGTGAAGAATGTGTAATGACCAAATCAGGGTGTTGAGGATATCCATCATCACAAGCATTTATTATTTCTATGTATTGAGAACATTTCAAGTTCTTACTTCTAGTTACTTTGAAATATACAATACATTGATGTTAACTATAGTCACCGTATTCTACTACTGAATATTAGAACTTACTCCTTCTATCTAGCTGTATGTTTGTAGCCATTAACCAACCTCTCTCCATTGTGACCTCTCCCCTCTACACCCTTCCCAGCCTCTAGTATCTATAATTCTACCCTCTACCTTCATGAGATCAACTTTTTCAGCACCCACATATGAGTGAATACATGGAATATTTTTCTTTCTGTTTCTGGCTTACTTCACTTAACATAATGACCTTCAGTTGCGTCCATGTTTCTGTACATGACAGAATTTTATTCTTTTTTATGGCCAAATTATGTTTAATTGTGTAAATACACCATATTTTCTTTATCCGTTTGTCCATTGATGGGCAGTTTGGTTGGTTCTATATCATTGCTGTTGTGAGTAGTGCTGCAGTAAACATGGGAGTGTATGTATCTTATTGAAATATTGTTTTCCTTTCCTTTGGATAAATACCCAGTAGTGGGATTACTGTATCATGGGTTAGTTCTATTTTTAGTTTTTTTTTTTTTTTGGGGAAATCTCCATACTGTTTTTCATAATAGCTATACTAATTTACATTCCCACCAACAGTGTATGTGAGTTCCTTTTTTCCTGCATCCTCACCAGCATCTGTTTTTTTTTTTTGTCTTTCTGATAATAGCTATTCTGACTGGGATAAGACGATATCTCATTGTGGTTTTATTTACATTTCCCTAGTGGTTAGTGATGTTGAGCATTTTTTCATGTACCTGTTGGCCATTTGTATGTCTTTTAAGAAATGTCTATTCATGCCCTTTGCCCACTGTTTAACGGGATTTGTTGTTTTTGTTGAGTTTTTGAGTTCCTTGTGTATTCTGGATATTAGTCCCTTATCAGATGAGTATTTTGCAAATATTTCTCCTATTCTTTAGACTGTCTCTTCATTCTATTGATTGTTTCCTTAGCCGTACAGAAGCCATTGTCTATTTTTGTTGCTTTGCTTTTGAGGTCTTAGTCATAAAATCTTTGCCTAGACCGATGTCCTGAGGTGTTTCCTTTTAGTAGTTTTATAGTTTCAGGTATTATATTTAAGTTGTCAATCCATCTTAAGTTGATTTTTGTATATGGTGAGGAATAGGGGTCTGGTTTTATTTTTCTGCGTATGGATATCCTGTTTTCTCAGCACCATTTATTGAAGAGGGTGTTCCTTACCCAGTGTATGTTAGGGTGCCTGAGTTGAAAATCATTTTACTTTAAATACGTGGATTTATTTATGAGTTCTTTATTCTGTTCCATTGCTCTGTGGGTCTGTTTTTAATACCAGTACTATGCTGTTTTGGTTACATTGCCTTATAATATAGTTTGAAGTCAGGTAGTATGATGCCTCTAGCTTTGTTCTGTTTTCTCAGGAATGTTTTGGCAATTTGGATTCTTGTTTCCATACAAATTTTAGGTTTATTATCTTTCATTGCTATGAAATAGTCATTGGTCTTTTGATAGGGATTGCATTGAATCTGTAGATTGCTGCATAGTATGGTCATTTTAACAATATGAATTCTTCCAGTTCATAAGCATGATATATCTTGCATTTGTTCCTATCCTCTTCAGTTTTTTCCATTAGTGTTTTGTAGTTTTCCTCATGGAGGTCTTTTACTTCTTTGGTTAAATTTATTCCTAGTTTTTTTTGTTTGTGTGTGTGTGTGTGTGTTTTTTTTTTTTTTTTTTTTTTTTTTTTTTGTAGCTGTTGTAAGTGGAATTGCTATCTGGATTTCATTTTCAGTTAGTTCATTGTTGGTGTATAAAATCACTACTTTTTTTTTTTTTTTTGACAGAGTCTCACTCTGTTGTCCAGGCTGGAGTGCAGTGGCATGGTCTCGGCTCACTGCATCCTCCACTTTCTGGGCTCAGGTGATCCCACCTCAGCCTCCCTATTAGCTAGCACATAATCACTACATTTTTGATGTTGATTTTGTGTCGTTCATCATATCTGCATATGAGATCTGAGTCTTTCTTTTTTTTTTTTGACACAGTTTCACTCTGTCACCCAAGCTGGAGTATAGTGGCATGATCATCTGCAAGTTCACTGCATCTTCCTGGGCACAAGGAAACCATCCTCCTGCCTCAGCCTCTCAAGTAGCTGGGACTACAGGCACGTGCCATCATGCCTGGCTAATTTTTATTGTTTAAAATTGTTTTGCAGAGGATGGTGTCTTGCCATGTTGCTCAGGCTGGTCTTGAATTCCTGCCTTGGCCTCCCAAAGTGCTGGAACAGCAGGCGTGAGCCACTGCACCCAGCTGAGATCTGAGTCTTTTTTGGTGAAGTTTTTAGGTTTTTCTAAATATAAGATCGTGTCTTCTGCAAAGAGGGATAATTTTACTTCCTCTTTTTCAATTTGGATGTCTTTTATTTTTTCTCTTGCCTGATTGCTCCGGCTAGGACTTCCATTACTATGTTGAATAAGCATGGTGAATATGTGCATCCTGTTTTGTTCCAGTTCTTAGAGGGAAGTCTTTTAGCTTTTCTTCATTCAGTGTGATGTTAGCTGTGGATTTGTAATATATGACCTTTATCCTGCTGAGGTATGTTCTTTTTATAGCTAGTTTCTTGAGCATTTTTATCATAAAGTGAGACATTATTTTATCAAATTTTTTTTTGCATCTGTTGAGGTGACTGCATGGTTTTTGTTTTTCATCCTGTTGATGTGATGTGTCATGTTTATTGATTTGCATATGTTGAACCATTCTTGCATCTCTGAATACAATCTCACTTAGATTATGGTGTATTATCTTTTTAAAGTGCTTTTGGATTCGGTATGCTATTAATAATATTTTGTTGAGGTATTTTGTGTCTGTTTTCATAAGGGATATTGGCTGGAAGTTTTCTTTTTTGTGTGCATTTCCTTGTCTTCTTTTGGTATAAGGGTAGGAATGACTTCGTAGAATGAGTTAGGAAGAATTCCATCATCTTCTATTGTTTGGAATAGTTTCAGAAGATTTGGTATTCTTCTTTGTAAGTTTGGTAGAAATTGGCAATGAAGCCATCAGGTCGTGGGCTTTTCTTTTTTGGGAGCCTTTTTATTATTCAACCTTTTAAAATTTTCTTTAGTGACAGGGTCTTGCTCTGTTGTCCAGGCTGTAGTACAGTGGCATGATCATTCTCCTTGTAGCCTAGCTTAGAATTCCTGGGCTCAAGTGATCCTCTCACCTCAGCCTCCTGAGCAGCTAGTATCACAGGTATGCACGACCATGGCTGGCTAATTAAAAATTTTTTTTTGGTAGAGGTGGGGTCTTGCTGTATTGCCTAGGCTGTTCTTAAACTCCTGGACTCAAGCAGTCCTCCCAACTTGGCCTTTCAAAGCGCTGGGATTGCAGGCATAAGCCACTGTGCTGGCCTACTCACTCAGTCTTGTTATTTGTTATTGGGTTGTTTAGGGTTTCTGTTTCTTTCTGGTTCAGTCTCGATAGGTTGTATGTGTCCAGAAATTTATCTATCTTTTTCTAAGTTTTTCAGTTTGTTAGCTCGTAGTTGTTCATAGTAGTCTCTGATAATCTTTTGTATTTCTCTGGTATCAATTGGAATGTCTCTTTTTTCATTTCTGATTTTGTTTATTAGGGTATGTGTGTGTGTTAGCCAGTCTAGCCAGTTGTTTATCAAGATTATCTTTAAAAAAAACAACGCTTTTTTTCATTGATTCTTTGTATTATATTTTTAGTCTTTCTGTTTTCTTTAGTTTTGCTCTGATGTTTATTTTTTTTTCTCTACTAACTTTTTTTTTTTTGAGATGGAGACTCACTCTGCCACCCAGGCTGGAGTGCAGTGGCGTGATCTTGGCTCACTGCAACCTCTACCTCCCAGGTTCAAGTGATTCTCCTGCCTCAGTCTCCCAAGTAGCTGGGATTACAGGCACCCACCACCACACTCAGCTAATTTTTGTATTTTTAATAGAGAGGGCGTGTCACCATGTTAACCAGGTTGGTCTCAAACTCCTGACCTCAAGTGATCCACCCACATCAGCCTCCCAAAGGGCTGGGATCACAGGCATGAGCTACCATGTCCGGCCATTTACTAATTTTGTTTTGGCTTGTTCTGACTTTTCTATTTTTTTCAGGTGCATTATTAGGTTTTTTTTACTTAAAATCTTTATACTTTTTTGTCATACGTATTTATTGCTATAAATTTCTCTCTTAATAGTGCTTTTGCAGTTACAGGTTTTAAATGCTGAATTTATATTTTTACTTGTTTCAAGATGTTTCTTGATTTCCCTCTTAATTTCTTCCCTGACTCTGGTCATTCAGAAGCATGTTGTTTAATTTCCATGTATTTGTATTGTTTCCAAAGTTCTTGTTATTGGTTTCTAATTTTTTTTTCCATTGTGGTCTGCAAAGGTACTCATATTATTTTGATTTTTAAAAATTTGGTGAGGTTTTAGGTAATACCATTCAGGGCATAGGCATGGGCAAAGACTTCATGACTAAAACACAAAAAGCTATTGCAACAAAAGCCAAAATTGACAAATGGGATCTAATTAAACTGAAGAGCTTCTGCACAGCAAAAGAAACTATCATCAGAGTGAATAGGCAACCTACAGAATGGGAGAAAATTTATGCAATCTATCCATCTGACAAAGGACTACTATCCAGAATCTACAAGGAACTTAAACAAATTTACAAGAAAAAAACAAATAACCCCATCAAAAAGTGGGCGAAGGATATGAACAGACACTTCTCAAAAGAAGACATTTATGCGGCCAACAAACATGAAAAAAAGCTCATCATCACTGGTCATTAGAGAAATGCAAATCAAAACCACAATGTGATACCATCTCATGCCATTTAGAATGGCAATCATTAAAAACTCAGGAAACAACAGATACTGGAGAGGTTGTAGAGAAATAGGAATGCTTTTACACTGTTGGTGGGAGTGTAAGTTAGTTTAACCCTTGTGGAAGACAGTGTGGCGATTCCTCAAGGATCTGGAACCAGAAATACCATTTGACCAAGCAATCCCATTACTGGGTATATATACCCAAAGGATTATAAATGGTTCTACTATAAAGATACATGCACATGTATGTTTATTGTGGCACCATTCACAATAGCAAAGACTTGGAACCAACCCAAATGCCCATCAATGATAGACTGGATTAAGAAAATGTGGCACATATACACCATAGAATTCTATGCAGCCATAAAAAGAATGAGTTCATGTCCTTTGCAGGGACATGGATGAAGCTGGAAACCATTATTTTCAGCAAACTAACACAGGAACAGAAAACCAGACACTGCATGTTCTCACTCATAAGTGGGAGTTGAACAATGAGAGCACATGGACACAGGGCGGGGAACATCACACACTGGGGCCTTTGGGGGATTGGGGGTAAGGGGAGGGATAGCATTAGGAGAAATACTTAATGTAGATGACGGGTTGATGGGTGCAGCAAACCACCATGGCACATGTATACTTATGTAACAAACCTGCATGTTCTACACATGTATCTCAGAACTTAAAGAATAATAATAATAAAAAAACTGGCAATGTTACCTTTGTGGCCTAACATATGGAGAATGTTCTTTGTGCTCGTGAGAAGAGTGTGTAATCTGTAGCTGGTGGATGAAATGTTCTGTAGATGTCTCTTAGGTCCATTTGGTCTATAGTGCAGAAATGTTCAATTTTTTTTGGTTTATTTTCCTTCTGCATGTTGAAAGTGGGATGTTTAATTCTCCAAGTATCATTGTATTGGGATTTATCTCTCTCTTTAGTTCTCATATTTGCTTTATTTATCTGAGTGCTCCTGTATTGGGTGTAAATATGTTTATAATTGTTATGTTCTCTTGCTGAATTTATCTCTTCATCAATATATGATGACCTTTTTGTTTCTTTTTATTTTTATTTCAAGTTTTGCAATATATTTTTTTCCTTCAATTTTATTTTAAGTTCCAGGGTATACGTGCAGGATGTGCAGATTTGTTAAATAGGTAAACGTGTGCCATGGTGTTTTGCTGCACAGATCAACCCTTCACCTAGGTATTAAGACCAGCATCCATTAGCTGTTCTTCCTGATGTTCTTTTTCCCTTCGTCCCCCTGACAGGCTCCAGTGTGTATTATTCCCCACCAGTGTGTTCTCATTGTTCAACTCCCACTTATGAGTGAGGACATGTGGTGTTTGTTTTTCTGTTCCTGCATTAGTTTGCTGAGGATAACGGCTTCCAGCTCCATCCATGTCCCTGCAAAGGACATGATCTTTTTCCTTTTTATGGCTGCATAGTATTCCCTGATGTACATGTACCACATTTTTTTAATCCAGTCTGTCATTGATGGGCATTTGGGATGATTCCGTGTCTTGGTTATTGTGAATAATGCTGCAGTGAACATATGTGTGCATGTATCTTTATAATAAAATGATTTATATTCCTTTGGGTGTATACCCAGTAATGGGATTGCTGGGTCAAATGGCATTTCTGCTTCTAGATCTTTGAGGAATCACCACACTGTCTTGTCTCTTTTTAAGTTTTTTTGGTAACTTAATGCCTATTTGTCTGATGTAAGTATGGCTACTCCTGCATACTTTTGGTTTCCATTTACATGGGATATATATATGTATCCATCACATCCCTTCACTTTCACTTCATGTGTGTCTTTATAGGTGAAGTGAGTTTCTTGTAGGCAGCATTCTGTTGGGTCTTGTGTTTTATCTATTCAGCCAGTCTAAATCTTCTAATTGTGGAGTTTAAACCAGTTACATTCAGGTTGTTATTGGTAGTGAAGACTTATTCCTCTCATATACCTCAAAATAATAAGAACCATGTATGACAAGCCCACAGCCAACATCATACTGAATGGGCAAAAGCTGGAAGTATTCCCCTTAAAAACTGCCAGAAGACCAGGATGCCCACTGTCATCACTCTTATTCAACATAGTATTGGAAGTCCTGGCCAGGACAGTCAGGTAAGAGAAAGAAATAAAGGGACCTAAATAGGAAGAGAAGAAGTCAAACTATTCCTATTTGCAGACAGCATGATCCTAGATCTAGAAAACCCCATATTCTCAGCCCAAAGGCTTCTTAAACTGATAAGCAACTTCAGCAAAGTCTCAGCATACAAAATCAGTGTCCAAAAATCACTAGCACTCCTATATACCAACAACAATCAAACTGAGAGCCAGACTAGGAACGAACTCATTCAGAACTGCCACAAAAAGAATAAAATACCTAGGAATACATCTAAGGAGGGAGGTGAAAGATCTCTTCAAGGAGAACTACAAAACACTGTTCAAAGAAATCAGAGATGACACAAGCACATTCCATGCTCATGGATAGGAACAATCAATATTTTTAAAATGGCCATACTGCCCAAAGCAATTTATAGATTTAATGCTATTCTTATGAAACTACCAATGACATTCTTTACAGAACTAGAGAAAACTATTTTAAAATTCATATGGAACCAAAAAAGAGCCTGAATGGTCAAGGCAATCCTAAGCAAAAAGAACAAAGCTGGAGGCATCATGCTATCCAACTTCAAGCTATGCTACAGGCACACTGACCAATGGAACAGAATAGAGAGCCCAGAAATAAGACTGCATACCTACAACTATCTGATCTTTGGCAAACCTGACAAAAACAAGCAATGGGGAAAGGATTCCTTATTCAATAAATGGTGCTGGGATAACTGGTTAGCCATATGCAGAAAATTAAAACTAGACCCCTTCCTTAGCCCATATACAAAAATTAGCTCGAGATGGATTAAAGACTTAAATGTAAAACCTCAAACTGAAAACTCTGGAAGACAGCCTAGGCAGTACCATTCAGGAGATAGGCACGTGCAAAGATTTCATGATAAAGATACCAAAAGCAATTGGGACAAAAGCAAAAATTGACAAATGGGATCTAACTAAACTAAAGAGCTTCTGCACACCAAAAGAAACTGTCAACAGAGTAAACAGACAGTGTACAGAATGGGAGAAAATTTTTGCAAACTATGCATCTGACAGAAGTCGAATATACTGCATCTATAATTAACTTAAACAAATTTACAAGCAAAAAACAACCCCATTATAAAGTGGGCCAAGGGGGGCATGAACAAGTGCTTTTCCAAAGAAGACGTACATGCAGCCAACAATCATATGAAAGAAAGCTCAACATCACTAATCATTAGAGAAATGCAAATCAAAACCACAGTGAGATACCATCTCACACTAGTCAAAATTGCTACTATTAAAAACTCCAAAAGTAACAGATGGTGGTGAGGTTGTGGAGAAAAAGGAATGGTTATAAAGTGTTGGTGGGAGTGTAAATTAGTTCACCCATTGTGGAAGACAATGTGGCCATTCCTCAAAGATGTAAAGACAGAAGTACCATTCACTCCAGCAGTCCCATTACTGGGTATTTACCCAAAGGAATATACATTGTTCTATTATAAAGACACATGCACACATATGTTTATTGCAGCAGTATTTATAATAGCAAAGACATGGAATCAATCTAAATGCCCAGTAATGTTTTACTGGATAAAGAAAATGTGGCACATATACACCATAAAATGAGATCATGTCTGTTGCAGGGACTTGAATGGAGCTGGAGGCCATTATCCTTAGCAAACTAATGGAGGACAGAAAACCAAACACTGCATGTTCTCACTTATAAGTGGGAGCTAAGTTATGAGAATACATGGACACAGAAGGGGACAACACATGCTAGAGCCTTTCAGAAGGTGGAGGGTGTGAGGAGGGGAGAGCATCAGGTAAAATAGCTAATGAGTACTAGGCCTAATATCTGGGTCATAAATATTCTGTATAACAACCCCCCATGACATAAGTTTACCTATGTAACAAACCTACACAGGTACCTCTGAAATTAAAAGTTTTAAAAAAAGGACTTACTCATTTTGTTAATGATTTTCTGACTGCTTTTATATCTCTATTTCTCTATTCTTTTATTGTTTACCTTTATGATTTGGTGGTTTTTAAAAAATTATTTTTTATTATACTTTAAGCTCTAGGGTACATGTGCATAATGTGCAGGTTTGATACATAGGTATACATGTGCCATGTTGGTTTGCTGCACCCATCAACTCATCATTTACATTAGGTATTTCTCCTAATGCTATCCCTCCCCCAGCTCCCCACCCCGCGACAGGTCCCAGTGTGTGATGTTCCCCGCCCTGTGTCCAAGTGATCTCATTGTTCAGTTCCCACCTACGAGTGAGAACATGCGGTGTTTGGTTTTCTGTCCTTGTGATAGTTTGCTGAGAATGATGGTTTCCAGCTTCATCCATGTCCCTGCAAAGAACATGAACTCATTTTTTTTAAGGCTGCATAGTATTCCATGGTGTATATGTGCCACATTTTCTTAATCCAGTCTATCATTGATGGACATTTGGGTTGGTTCCAAGTCTTTGCTATTGTGGATAGTGCTGCAATAAACATATGTGTGCGTGTGTCTTTATAGTAGCATGATTTATAATCCTTTGGGTGTATACCCAGTAATGGGATTGCTCAGTCAAATGGTAATTCCAGGTCTAGATCCTTGAGGATTCGCCACACTGTCTTCTACAATGGTTGAACTAATTTACATTCCCACCAACAGTGTAAAAGCATTCCTATTTCTCCACATTCTCTCCAGCATCTGTTGTTTGCTGACTTTTTAATGATTGCCATTGTAACTGGCGTGAGATGGTATCTCATTGTGGTTTTGATTTGCATTTCTCTGATGACCAGTGATGATGAGTGTTTTTTCATGTGTCTGTTGGCTGCATAGATGTCTTCTTTTGAGAAGTGTCTGTTCATATCCTTTGCCCACTTTTTGATGAGGGGGTTGTTTGTTTTTTTCTTGTAAATTTGAGTTCTTTGTAGATTCTGGATATTAGCCCTGTGTCAGATGGGTAGATTGTAAAAATTTTCTCCCATTCTGTAGGTTGCCTGTTCACGCTGATGGTAGTTTCTTTTGCCATGCAGAGGCTCTTTAGTTTAATTAGATCGCATTTGTCTATTTTGGCTTTTGTTGCCATTGCTTTTGGTGTTTTAGTGATGAAGTTCTTGCCTATGCCTATATCCTGAATGGTATTCCCTAGGTTTTCTTCTAGGGTTTTTATGGTTTTAGGTCTAACATTGAAGTCTTTAATCCGTCTTGAATTAATTTTTGTATAAGGTGTCAGGAAGGGATCCAGTTTCAGTTTTCTACATATGGCTAGCCAGTTTTCCCAGCACCATTTATTAAATAGGGAATCCTTTCCCCATTTCTTGTTTTTGTCATGTTTGTCAAAGATCAGATGATTGTAAATGTGTGGTGTTATTTCTGAGGCCTCTGTTCTGTTCCATTGGTCTATATCTCTGTTTTGGTACCAGTACCATGCTGTTTTGGTTACTGTAGCCTTGTAGTATAGTTTGAAGTCAGGTAGTGTGATGCCTCCAGCTTTGTTCTTTTTGCTTAGGATTGTCTTGGCAATGTGGGCTCTTTTTTGGTTCCGTATGAACTTTAAAGTAGTTTTTTCCAATTCTGTGAAGAAAGTCATTGGTAGCTTGATGGGGATGGCATTGAATCTATAAATTACTTTGAGCAGTATGGCCATTTTCATGCTATTGATTCTCCCTATCCATGAGCATGGAATATTCTTCCATTTGTTTGTGTCCTCTTTTATTTCATTGAGCAGTGGTTTGTAGTTCTCCTTGAAGAGGTCCTTCACATCCCTTGTAAGTTGGATTCCTAGGTATTTTATTCTCTTTGAAGCAATTGTGAATGGGAGTTCACTCATGATTTGGCTCTTTGTTTGTCTGTTAAGGGTGTATAAGAATGCTTGTGATTTTTGCACATTTATTTTGTATCCTGAGACTTTGCTGAAGTTGCTTCTCAGCTTAAGGAGATTTTGGGCTGAGACAATGGGGTTTTCTAAATACAGAATCATGTCATCTGCAAACAGGGACAATTTGACTTCCTCATTTCCTAATTGAATACTCTTTATTTCTTTCTCTTGCCCGATTGCCCTGGCCAGAACTTCCAATACTATGTTGAATAGGAGTGGTGAGAGAGGGCATGCCTGTCTTGTGCCCGTTTTCAAAGGGAATGCTTCCAGTTTTTGCCTATTCAGTATGATATTGGCTGTGGGTCTGTCATAGATAGCTCTTATTATTTTGAGATACG
This sequence comes from Homo sapiens, assembly GCF_000001405.40. Taxonomy (NCBI): domain Eukaryota; kingdom Metazoa; phylum Chordata; class Mammalia; order Primates; family Hominidae; genus Homo; species Homo sapiens. The sequence goes on along the minus strand of NC_000003.12, from coordinate 101,470,493 downwards.
TTCCATTGATACCTCGTTTATTGAGAGTTTTTGGCATGAAGGTTTTTAATTTTGTCAAAGGCCTTTTCTGCATCTATTGAGATAATCGTGGTTTTTGTCATTGTTTCTGTTTACGTGATGCATTACGTTTATTGATTTGCATATGTTGAACCAGCTTTGCATGCCAGGGATGAAGCCGACTTGATTGTGGTGGATACGCTTTTTGATGTGCTGCTGGATTCGGTTTGCCGAATCTCCTTGTGTCTCTATCTCCTTCAGTTCTGCTCTGATCTTAGTTATTTCTTGCCTTCTGCTAGCTTTTGAATTTGTTTGCTCTTCCTTCTGTAGTTCTTTTAATTGTGATGTTAGTGTGTCGATTTTAGATCTTTCCTGCTTTCTCTTGTGGACATTTAGTGCTATAAATTTCCCTCTACACACTGCTTTAAATATGTCCCAGAGATTCTTGTATGTTGTGTCTTTGTTCTCATTGGTTTCAAAGAACATCTTTATTTCTGCCTTCATTTTGTTACTTACATAGTAGTCATTCAGGAGCAAGTTGTTCACTTTCCATGTAGTTGTGTGGTTTTGAATGAGTTTCTTAATTCTGACATCTAATTTGATTGCACTGTGGTCTGAGAGACAGTTTGTTGTGATTTCTGTTCTTTTTTTTTTTTTTTTTTTTTTGAGACGGAGTCTTGCTCTGTCGCCCAGGCCGGACTACGGACTGCAGTGGCGCAATCTCGGCTCACTGCAAGCTCCGCTTCCCAGGTTCACGCCATTCTCCTGCCTCAGCCTCCCGAGTAGCTGGGACTACAGGCGCCCGCCACCGCGCCCGGCTAATTTTTTGTATTTTTAGTAGAGACGGGGTTTCACCTTGTTAGCCAGGATGGTCTCGATCTCCTGACCTCATGATCCACCCGCCTCGGCCTCCCAAAGTGCTGGGATTACAGGCGTGAGCCATCGCGCCCGGCCGTGATATCTGTTCTTTTACATTTGCTGAGGAGTGCTTTACTTCGAATTATGTGGTCAATTTTAGAATAAGTGTGATGTGGTGCTGAGAAGAATGTATATTCTGTTGATTTGGGGTGGAAAGTTCTGTAGATGTCTATTAGGTCTGTTTGTTGCAGAGCTGAGTTCAAGTCCTGGATATCCTTATTAACCATCTGTCTCGTTTATCTGTGTAATATTGACAGTGGTGTGTTAAAGTCTCTCATTATTGTTGTGTGGGGGTGTAAGTCTCTTTGTAGGTCTCTAAGGACTTGCTTTATGAATCTGGGTGCTCCTGTATTCTCTAAGGACTTGCTTTATGAATCTGGGTGCTCCTTTATTGGGTGTGTATATATTTAGGATAGTTAGCTCTTCTTGTTGAATTGATCCCTTTACCATTATGTAATGGCCTTCTTTGTCTCTTGATCTTTGTTGGTTTAAAGTCTGTTTATCAGAGACTAGGATTGCAACCCCTGCTTTTTTTTTGCTTTCCATTTGCTTGGTAGATCTTCCTCCATCCCTTTATTTTGAGCCTAAGTGCGTCTTTGCATGTGAGATGGGTCTCCTGAATACAGCACACTAATGGGTCTTCCCATCAGTGACTCTATCCAATTTGCCAGTCTGTGTCTTTTAATTGGGGTATTTAGCCCATTTACATTTAAGGTTAATATTGTTAGTGTGAATTTGATCCTGTCATTATGATGTTCGCTGGTTATTTTGCCCGTTAATTTATGCAGTTTCTTCATAGCACTGGTGGTGTTTACAATTTGGCATGTTTTTGCAGTGGTTGGTACCGGTTGTTTCTTTCCATGTTTAGTGCTTCCTTCAGGAGCTCTTGTAAGGCAGGCCTGGTAGTGACGAAATCTCTCAGCATTTGCTTGTCTGTAAAGGATTTTATGTCTCCTTCACTTATGAAGCTTAGTTTGGCTGGATATTAAATTCTGGATTGAAAATTCTTTTCTTTAAGAATGTTGAATATTGGCCCCCACTCTCTTCTGGCTTATAGGGTTTCTTCCGAGAGATCCACCATTAGTTTGATGGGCTTCCCTTTGTGAGTAACTCGACCTTTCTCTCTGGCTGCCCTTAACACTTTTCCCTTCATTTCAGCCTTGGTGAATCTGACAATTATGCGTCTTGGGGTTGCTCTTCTCACAGAGTATCTTTGTGGTGTTCTCTGTATTTCCTGAATTTGAATGTTGGCCTGCCTTGCTAAGTTGGGGAAGTTCTCCTGGATAATATCCTGAGGAGTGTTTTCCAACTTGGTTACATTCTCTCCATCACTTTCAGGTACAGCAATCAAATGTAGATTTGGTCTTTTCACATAGTCCCATATTTCTTGGAGGCTTTGTTTGTTTCTTTTTACTCTTTTTTCTCTAACCTTGTCTTCTTGCTTTATTTCATTAATCTGATCTTCAATCACTGATACCCTTTCTTCCACTTGACTGAATTGTCTATCGAAGCTTGTGCATGTGTCACGAAGCTCTCGTGCCATGGTTTTCACCTCCATGAGGTCATTTAAAATCTTCTCTACACTCTTTATTCTAGTTAGCCATTTGTCTAATGTTTTTTCAAGGTTTTTAGCTTCCTTGCGATGGGTTCAAACATCCTTCTTTAGCTTGGAATAGTTTGTTATTACTGATCTTCTGAAGCCTATTTCTGTCAGCTCGTTAAAGTCATTCTCCATCCAGCTTTGTTCCGTTGCTGGTGAGGAGCTGTGATCCTTTGGAGGAGACGAGGTGCTCCGATTTTTAGAATTTTCAGCTTTTCTGCTCTAGTTTCTCCCCCTTTGTGGTTTTATCTACCTTTGGTCTTTGATGTTGGTGACCTACAGATGAGGTTTTGGTGTAGATGACCTTTTTGTTGATGTTGATGCTATTCCTCTCTGTTTGTTAGTTTTCCTTCTAACAGTCAGGTCCCTCAGCTGCAGGTCTGTTGGAGTTTGCTGGAGGTCCACTCCAGGCCCAGTTTGCCTGGGTATCACCAATGGAGGCTGCAGAACAGCAAATATTGCAGAAGAGCAAATATTGCTGCCTGATCCTTCCTCTGGAAGCTTCGTCCCAGAGGGGCAGCCACCTATATGAGGTGTCTGTCATCCCCTAATGGGAGGCGTCTCCCAGTTAGGCTACACTGGGGTCATTGACCCACTTGAGGAGGCAGTCTGTCTGTTCTCAAAGCTCAAACGCTGTGCTGGGAGAACCACTGCTCTCTTCAGAGCTGTCAGACAGGGACGTTTACATCTGCAGAAGTTGTCTGCTGCCTTTTGTTCAGCCATGCCCTGCCCGCAGAGGTGGAGTCTAGAGGCAGTAGGCCTTGTTGAACTGTGGTGGGCTCTGCCCTGTTCTAGCTGCCCGGCCACTTTGTTTACCTACTCAAGCCTCAGCAATGGCGGATGCCCCTCCCCCAGCCAGGCTGCCGTCTTGCAGTTTGATCTCAGAGTGCTGTGCTAGCAGTGAGCAAGGCTTTGTGGGCGTGGGACCTGCCGAGCCAGGCACGGGGAGAGAATCACCTTGTCTGCTGGTTGCTAAGACCTTGGGAAAAGTGCAGTATTTGGGCGGGACTGTCCCATTTTTCCACGTAGCCTGTCACAGCTTCCCTTGGCTAGGAAAGGGAAGTCCCCTGACTCCTTGCACTTCCCGGGTGAGGCGACTCCCCGCCCTGCTTCAGCTTGCCCTCTGTGAGCTGCACCTACTGTCCAGCCAGTCCCAGTGAGATGAACCAGGTACCGAAGTTGGAAATGCAGAAATCACCCATCTTCTGCGTCAATCATGCTGGGAGCCGCAGACTGGAGCTGTTCCTATTTAGCCATCTTGGAATGCCCGATTTTGTGGCTTTTTGTAGTGATAACATGTGACTCCATTCTCTGTCTTATTTGTGTGTCTGCTCTACTATTGAGTTTTATACTTTTGTGTGTTTCTTTGAGAGTTTTAAGACTCTATTAAGCATTTTTGTAGTGTAGTGTGATAAATTCCCTTAGCTTTTGCTTGTCTGGGAAAGATGTTATTTGTCCTTCATTTTTGAAGGATAGGTTTGTGGATCTGGTATTATTGACTGACATTTTATTTTCAGCACTTGTAATATATCATCATATGCCTGTAAGGTTTCTGCTGAGAAATTTGTTTTTAATCTTATGGGGATTTTCTTATGTGTGATTTGATATTTTTCTTGCTATTTTTAGAATTGTGTCTTTGACTTTTCACAGTTTGACTATGATATACCTTGTAGAAGCCTTTTATGGATTGAATCTATTTGAGGAATTTTGTACTCCTGTATCTTCATGTTTTTGTCTTTTGCAAGACTTGGGAAGTTTTCAGCTATTATTTTTTTCAAATGTTTTCTTCCATTTCTCTTTCTTCTGAAACTCCCATAATTTGAATATTTGGTCGCTTTATGGCATCTCATATGTTATGTAGGCTTTCTTCATTTTTTAAAGTTGTTTTTTACTGTTATGTCTGAATGGGTTATTTTTTTAAAAATCTGTTTTCAAGTTCAGAAATTCTTCTGCTTAATTTTGTCTATTGTTGAGGCTCTCAACTGTATTTTATATTTCATTGAAATCTTCAGTTGTAGGACGTTTTAAATGATATCAATCTTTGTTGAATTTCTAATCGAGATCATAAATTGTTTTCATAATTTTTTGGATTATTTACTTTTTAAAAAATATCTCACTTAGTTTCTTTTGTATCAGAATTTTGATTTTTTTTCCAGCATTCCATACATTTCCTTTTCTTATGGGTCTCTTATTGGAAAATTATTTTGTTTCTTTGGAGGTGTCTTGTTTCCTTGCTTTTTCATGTTTCTCATGTCTTTTTGTTAGTGTCTGTGTTTATTTCAACAGCTGTTTTCTTCCAATTTACCATTAACATTGGTAGGGAAAAACTTTTTCCTATAGATATATTTATAGTGCTGGTTCTGTGAAGTGGTTTGTCTGATTTTTACATAGACACAGTCATGTAATCTTTTATGATTTTTTGGATTGTAACTCATGTCAGCAGTGTCACAGTTCCTAAGTGATGCAGACTGCTTTTGTTAATGGCAGCCATGGTGAGGCTTTGCTGAGCATGAGGACTCCAGGTGGGCTGTTCCTTAAGCACCAGTAGTAATGGCAGTGGGCTAGGTGGACTTGTCATTAGTTGCCTGAGTGGTGTGTGTGGATGCCAGTATGGCTGGGTGTGTTGAGCCAATCCCCAGACCTCTAAATGATTTGTGTAGGCAATGGCAGTGGCAGCTATAGGTGGAGTTGGCTTGTCCTCAGGTTTTTGGAAGGCATGTGTCTGAGCCAGTGGCGGGGGTGAGGGGGGTGGATTGATCCCTAGGCCTCTGGAGGATGATGTGCACAGGTGCTGATGGTGGGCAGAGTGGGTCTCCCTTCATGCCCCCTCCACCCCCCTAATGGTGTGTGTGGGTCTTGGTAGCAGTAGGTGGGTAGGTTGTTCCCTAGGAACCCTGATGATGTACATTGGTGACATTGAGGAATGTGGATTGATTTTTGTTTCTCCGGATGACATGTGTGGGTGCCAGTAGTGGTGGGTGGGCCACTTTAAGTTTTTTGTTATAATGTATTTTCATTCTTTTTTAAATAAAGCATAACATTAAATTTACATAAGCATCTGTTTCCTTTCTGTTCTTCAGATTGAATATTTCTATTGGTCTATCTATTTCCAGATCCACTTACCCCTTTTTAGTCTCCTTTCTGCTTTTTAGGCCAGCGGTCCCCAACCTTTTTGGCATCAGGTTTCATGGAAGACAATTTTTCTATGGATCCAGGTAGTGGGGCAGGTGGGATGGTTTTGGAATGATTCAAGCATGTTACATTTATTGTGCACTTTATTTCTGTTATTATTACATTGTAGTATATAATTAAATAAATATACAACTTACCATAATGTAGAATCAGTGGGAGACCTGAGCTTGATTTCCTGCAACTAGATGATCCCATCTGGAGGTGATGGGAGACAGTAACAGATCATCAGTCATTAGATTCTCATAAGGAGCATGCAACCAGTATCACTCATATGCACAGTTCATAATAGGGTTTGTGCTTTGAGAATCTAATGCTGCCACTGACCTGACAGGTGGTGGAGCTCAGGTGGTAATGTGAGTAATGGGGAGTGGCTGTAAATACAGGTGAAGTTTCAGTTGCTCACTTGCCGCTCACCTCCTGCTGTGCGGCCTGGTTCCTAACAGGCCATGGACCAATACCAGTCCATGGCCTGGGGTTAGGGACTCCTGCTTTAGGCCATTCAGTGCTTTTTAAAATTTGGTCATGTTACTTTGTAGTTCTCAAATTGCCATTTGTTTCTTTTTTAATTTTGTTCCTCTGTTGAGATTTTCTGTCTTTTTACTTCTTTCAGAGAGTTCATCCTCTCAGAGAACAGTATAATAGCCACTTTAAAGCTTTTTCCTGGCTGGGTGTGGTGGCTCACACCTGTAATTCCAGCACTTTTGGAGGCTGAGTGGCTGGATCACCTGAAGTCATGAGTTGGAGACCAGCCTGGCCAACATGGTGAAACCCAGTCTCTACTAAAAATACAAAAAATTAGCTGGGCATGGTAGTGGGTGCCTGTAATCCCAACTACTTGGGAGGCTGAGGCAGGAGAAGTGCTTGAACCTGGGAGGCGGAGGTTGCAGTGAGCCGAGATCGCGCCACTGCACTCCAGGCTGGGCAACAAGAGTAAAACTCCATCTCAAATAAATAAATAAATGAATGAATAAATACGTAAATAAATAAATGAAGTTTTTTTCTGGTAATTTCAACATCTCTGTCTTCTTCTACTTGGCTGCTCTTGATACTCATCTTTTGTGAGTTGTTGAGATTTCCTAGGCTTTTTATATGCCAAGCAGTTTTTGGATTATATCCTGGACATTTTGAATATTAAGTTGCAGGTCTCTGGGTCTTGGTTAGATTGCAGGTTTGGTATTACTTTGAGTTCACCAATGTCATTCTTAGCATATACTCTTCAGGGTCCTAAGATAGCTTCTCCATGAAGTCTGTCTAGAATTCTTAGTTGCACTCAGTGGGAGAAGCAGAGAAGATTATTCTTATTCCATTTTATTTCAAGTAGAATTCTTGCTCATTTTTTAAATCTGAGTTTTTATTTTATATGTGTGTGTATATATATATATATATATGTATATATATATATATATATATATATATATATATTTATTTATTTATTTATGATACATGGTTTTGCTGTGTCACCGAGGCCTGACTGCAGTGGTACGATTATAGCTCACTGCAGCCTCAAACTCCTAGGCTCAAGTGATCCTCCTGCCTCAGCCTTCTGAGTAGCTGGGACTACAGACATGTGCCACGACCTTTATTGTAGACATAGGGTCTCACTGTATTTATCAGACTGGTCTCAAACTTCTGACGTCAAGTGATCTTCCTGCCTCAGCCTCCCAAAGTGTTGGGATTACAGGCATAAGCCACTGTACCTGGCTCAAGTCTGAGTTTTTAGTCTTTGTTATTGATGTGTAGAAATTCTTTGTATAATAAGGATATGAGTCTGTTGTCAGTATGTGTATTGCAAATACTTTCAATCTGTAGCTGTTTTATTTCTTAATTGTATGTCTTTTGATGAGCAGAAATATTTGATTTTGATGAATGTAGTTTATCAGTCTTTTCCTTTATTCTTAGTGGTTTCTTCTTTTTTTTTTTAGACAGAGTCTCGCTCTTTTGCCCAGACTGGAGTGCAGTGGCATGATCTCGGCTCACTGCAACCTCTGCCTCCTGGGTTCCAGCGATTCTCATGCCTCAGCCTCCCCAGTAGCTGGGACTACAGGCATGCACCACCACGCCCAGCTAATTTTTGTATTTTTAGTAGAGACAGGGTTTCATCGTGTTGCCCAGGCTGGTCTCGAACTCCTGGCCTCTAGCGATCCATCCACCTTGGCCTCCCAAAGTGCTGGGATTACAGATGTGAGCCACTGCACCTGGTCTCTTTATTCTTAGTGTTTCTTTTCTTTCTTTCTTTTTTTTTTTTGAGACAGAGTTTCACTCTTGTTGCCCAGGCTGGAGTGTAATGGCGCGATCTCGGCTCACCCCAGCCTCCACCTCCTGGGTTCAAGTGATTCTTCTGCCTCAGCCTCCCGAGTAGCTGGGATTATAGGCATGTGCCACCACGCCTGGCTAATTTTGTATTTTTAGTAGAGACGGGGTTTCTCCATGTTGGTCAGGCTGGTCTCAAACTCATGACCTGAGGTGATCTGCCAGCCTCAGCCTCTCCAAGTGCTGGGATTACAGGTGTGAGCCACTGTATTCTTAGTGGTTTCTTAATGCTGTATTTCTTACTGGAGATTTAGTCATATGCTTTTTTGCTATTGTTGTGACAAAATACATACAACACAAAATTTACCATGTTAGCCGTTTTATGGCATTCAATTTAGTGGCATTTAGTTCACTCACAGTGTTGTGCAACCACTTTCTCTGTCTAGTTTCAGAACTTTTTCATTACCCCAAATGGAAACTCTTTAACCATTAAGCATTCACTTCTTAATTTATCTCTCTATTCTGCCAACTTCCCAGCCCCTGGAAATTACTACTTTGTTTTCTGTTGCCTGGATTTTCCTGTTCTAGATATTTCACAAAAACAGAATCACTCAATATATGATCTTTTGTGTCTATGGCTTCTTTCACTTAGCACAAATGCTTTCAAAGTTCATCCATGTTATAGTATGTGGTAGTAGTTTAGTTCTTTTTATGGTCTAATAATATTCCATTGTATGGATATATCACATTTGTTTATCTGTTCATCTGTTTGTATTGTTTTCACCTTTTTTTCTGTTATTGAATAATGCTTCTATGAACTACAAGCATCTGTTCGAAAACCTGTTTTCCATTCTTTTGTTTTATACTTAGGGTGAGAATTGCTGTGTCATGTGGTAATTTTATGTTTAAGTTATCGAGGAACTGCAATACTGTTTTTTTTTTTCTTACGGTACCTGTACCATTTACATTCCCACTAGCAATGTATGAAGGTTCCATGTTCTTCATATACTCAGCAACACTTAATTTTTTTTCTCTCTTGCTCTTTTACTTCGTTTTCCTTCTCCTCTCTTCCTTCATTCTTCATCCTAGTGGGTACGAAATGGTATGTCACTGTGGTTTTGACTTGCATTTTTTTGTGTTTCCATATAAATTTTAGGGGTATTTTTCCTTCTTCTGGGAAGAATGTTATTGATATTTTTATAGGGATTTTGGTGAATCTATAGATTTCTTCATTTGGTGTGGACATTTTAACAACATTGATTCTTTTTTCATTTTTCTTTTTTTGTTCTTGAAGGAGATAAACAATATTGATTCAAACCATGACCGTGGAGTTATCTTTCCATTATTTTGACATTCTCCAGTTTCTTTCATCAATGTTTTATGGTTTTCATTGTGGAGATCTTTCACTTCTTTGGTTTGGATTTGCATTTCCTAATGACTAATGACACTGAGTGTCTTCTAATGTGCTTTTTGTCATTTGTGTAGTTTTTTGGAGAAATATCTATTCACATTCTTTGCCCATTAAAAACTATTTTTGTCTTTATCTTACTGAATTGTAAGAGTTTTTTTTTTTAAATTTTGAATACTATACCTTTTTTTCTTTTAAGAGATGGGGTCTTACTATGTTGCCCAGGCTGACCTGAAACTCTTGGCCTCAAGCAATCCTCCTGCCTTGGCCTTCCAGAGTGCTGGGATTACAGGTGTGAGCCATTGTGGTTGACCTGGATACTATACTTTTATCAGTTATATTATTTGCAAATATTTCCTCCCATTTGGTGGGTTGGTTGCCTTTTCACTATTCCAGTAATGAATAAAAGTTTCAAATTTTGCTGATGTCCACTTTATCATTTTTCTCTTGTTACTTGTGGTTTTTTGGTCATATCTGTGAAGTCATTGCCAAATACAAGTCATGAAAATGTACTGCTGTGTTTTTTTTTCTAAGAGTTTCATAATTTTAGCTCTTGTATAATGTTTAGGTCTTCTCTCCATTTGAATTCATTTTTGAATATGATGTGAAGCAAGTGTGCAAGTTCCTGCTTTTGCATGTGGCGGTTCAGTTGTTCTAGAACTATTTGTTGAAAGTTTATTTTTCTCTCATGAATGGTTTTGGCATCCTTGCTGAAAATCAATTATTGGTCCTAGATATATGGGTTTATTTCTAGACTTTCAATTCTGTCCCATAAATCTGTATGTTTACCCGTTGCCAACATTATTTTGATTACTCTAGCTTCATAGTAAATTTTGAAACTGAAATGTGAGTCCTCTAATTTTGCTCTCCTTCTTCAAGATTGTTTTGGTTCTTCTGAGCCTCTAGCAATTAATCATCAGATCAGTTTGTCCATTTCTGCAAAACAGGCTGTTGGAATTTTGGTAGGGAGTGAATGGAATCTGGAGGTCATTTTGGGGAGTAATGCCCAACTGCTAACCAAAATAGTTGATATAGTTAATAAAGTCTTTCAGTCCTTGATTAGGGGATGTCTTTTCATTTATTTAGGGTTTCTTTAATTTCTTACAGCATGTTTTGATATTTTCAGCAGAAAAGTCTTACATTGCCTTGACTAAATTTATTATTGAGTATTTTATTCTTTTTGATATGCTATTGTAAGTGGAATTTTTTTTCTTAATTTCTCTTTCAGATTTCTCATTGCTATTAAATAGAAATACAACTGATTTTGGCCTTTCGATCTTATATCCTGCAAGTTTTCTGAATTAGTCGAGCAACCTTAACATTTTCTTTTTGGTGGATTCTTCCCTCTTTTGGTTATTGCGAATCGTGGACTACAAACATGATTGTACAAATATCTCTTTTATGAAGACAGTCTTGTAAATTTACTACAAATGTCTGTTCTGTGATGTGGAAGTAAAACCAAAACTTAATACAGATGTAATCATTGTATATCTTTGTGAGGTAGCTACTGTTACTATATCCCTTTTCAGATAAAGAAACTAAGGCATAGAGAATATAAATGACTTATTTGCCTAGGCTAACACTGTGTATTAAATAAATTAATTTGAACCTTTTATTCTAGTCATATTTAATCTAAACTCTGTCAATAAGGTGTCCGGCTCTTTCCTAAAATTTTCCACATGGCAGTTCCTAGGTAACTAATTTTAATATCTTTCAATTGTTATAAGTACAGTTACTTTAGAATCATAGGCCCTATTTAACCTTCTATGTAATAATTTTTATTCCTTTAAGTACATTCCAGATTTTAATAGCTGTTTAAGCTTTGGAATCTCAAAGTGTTGATTTTTTGATTAAAGTTACCTTGGTACTTTAAAATGTCTTCCTAGTATTTTTTGGTGGACTTACATTTATGCATTAGTAAAAGAGCCAGATATTCCATAGATTGCACTTATTATTTTTCTCTGTGAACTATGTATTTGATCGTTTATAACAAATTTCCAAATAAAAAAGAACAGTTTAAATGCCTCTTGTCATATTGATATGTTTATTATTAAAATTTCATTTTTTTTTTCCTAGTGGGAAAGAAGCCTAAGGAATAAAGTCATCTCTCTAGACCATAAAAATAAAAAACATATCCGAGGGTGTCCTGTTACTTCCAAGTCATCACCAGAAAGGTAAGATATGTGTGTGTGCGACATAGTATGGGCTTAACCTATAAAGTTGACCATAAATGATTCATTTAAGCTTGTTGGTTCTCAATTATGACCACATGTTTAAAATAGAAGGTTTGAATTCAGTGGACTCTAAGATTCTTTCAGTCTCTAACTTTCTGTGATTTTAAGTATCTTAACTCCCTTGTTTTTGTGCATTTGGAACATCTTGATAAGCTTTCGCTGATAATGCAAGAGTTATACATAGACTGATAATGATGATTGAATCATTGTTTGCGATCAGCAGTGAGAAAGGGTGTTCCATTTCTGCTGCTTCTTCTTTTTTATTTTTTAAAGGCTAGTCAAATGAAGCAGTGGGAGTGGGGCAGAAACAGACATCTGCAACTTGTAATCAACTGGTTGTAAACACCTCTGTACTTGGGCCAGCCAAAAATGCTCTGTTTAGCAACTATGGTCCTATAGTCATAGTGTTAAATTATTTGTATAGGGGAATTAAATATCTGGAGGATTCAAATTACAGTTGTTACTGGAAATAATTTAGAGCATTTCAGAATTGGACATAAATCAATTATTAGAAAGTTATTTTAAAAAGAGTATTGAATTTTCTTTTTAACATAGTGAATGAAAAAATGACAATAGCAAATTATAATTATTGGAAAGTCACACAAATTTAGAAGACTCATTGGGGTCCTTGAATTTATGTCAAAGTACTTCTATAAACTACTTAGTCTAATTCTCCCTTTTCAGGTAAATTGTGTGTAGGAAATATAAACATATATTGGTGACTCCATAGCAGTTTATGAGCCTTTTGACATTATTACCATACCATGGATAAATTGTCAAGGTGAATAAGGCAGGTCTATTGATGCAATGATGATGCTTTCATCCTTAGAACAAGCACACACTCAGTTTTCAGACTTGGTTTCCCAAAAAGATTTACATAAATAATTATACTTGGTTTGAGAGATGGAATGCTAGAAGTAAAGGAATGGTAATTTTTAATTAATAAAAACCAAGCCACATTTTCGGAAAGGTTTGCACATACAAAGTTGTTTTATCTTATGGGAGACATATCCTGAAGACTTTGCATGCTTCACAACATACATCATTCCCCTTTAGCTGCCGTCTTGCATCTCCGCATGTGTGCGCCTAATCTCAGCTGGTCCACCCAGGACCCTCTTAGCACCAACCCTAGTTCTCTGCATGGCCCCTTATCTGCTCTGATAGGATGAAAGAAACAATCATGAATCAGGAAAAACTTGCCAAACTGCAGGCACAAGTGTGCATTGGTGGGAAAGGAACTGCTCGTAGAAGGAAGAAGGTGGTTCATAGAACAGCCACAGCAGATGATAAAAAACTTCAGTTCTCCTTAAAGAAGTTAGGGGTAAACAATATCTTTGGTATTGAAGAGGTGCATATGTTTACAAACCAAGGAACAGTGATCCACTTTAACAACCCTAAAGTTCAGGCATCTCTGGCAGCAAACACTTTCACCATTACAGGCCATGCCGAGACAAAGCAGCTGACAGAAATGCTACCCAACATCTTAAACCAGCTTGGTGTAGACAGTCTGAACAGTTTAAGCAGACTGGCTGAAGCTTTGCCCAAACAATCCATGGATGGAAAAGCACCACTTGCTACTGGGGAGGATGATGATGATGAAGTTCCTGATCTTGTGGAGAATTTTGATGAGGCTTCCAAGAATGAGGCAAACTGAATTGAGTCAACTTCTGAAGATAAAACTTGAAGAAGTTACTGGGAGCTGCTATTTTATATTATGACTACTTTTTAAGAATTTTTGTTTATGGATCTGATAAAATCTAGATCTCTAATATTTTTAAGCCCAAGCCCTTTGGACACTGCAGCTCTTTTCAGGTTTTGCTTATACACAATTCATTCTTTGCAGCTAATAAAGCCGAAGAAGCCTGAGAATAAACTTTGAAACAAAGGTTAATAAAGTTCTTTGCCTAGTAAAACAAAACAAAACAAAACAAAACAAAACAAAACAAAACAAAAAGCTTATATCATTAAGGCCAGGCGCAGTGGCTCACACCTGTAGTCCCAGCACTTTGGGAGACCAAGGCAGGTGGATCACTTGAGTGCAGGAGTTCAAGTACGGCTTAGGCAACATGGCGAAACACCATCTCTACAAAAAACTAATAAAAGTAAAATTTAAAAAATACTTATATTATTTAAATCTCACTTTTCCATAAGAATGCTTGTAAAGTGGTGGGCACAGGTTCTTTGGGATAACAATCAATAATTTTGTTACATATTATTATTTTAATTTTGTTTTTTAGTTTTCTGGCATTATCTCTAATATTTTTTTCAGTTTATTTTCTGCTAAATTATCAGCCTAGCATAAAAAGATAATTGTTTGGCCTTCCTTATAGAATTTACGACATCTGACTTCTGTTCCAGAGTTAGTGATTTTCAGGCATGGTCACAGCATTAACATTATAACATCTATTTAATATACACTTAATGATATTGTTAGGGGATAAAAAGATTTTAAAATTCAATAGCAGTAGAAATTGAATTAAAAATACAATAATGACCCAAATCACCATCTTCTTAATAAAGAACAATGTGGTTGACGTGATCCTGACAAAGGAAAATGATGTATTTTTTAAACTGATAAAAGTGATGTAGCCAACAGGCAATAGTGTAATTAATTAGTTTTATAGTTTACTCAGCCAATTTTTGAATAATAGAATGTGATTTTTGACAGATTTTTAAAATCTAGAGGGCTTTGTATCATTTCAAAATTTTGTACCAAAGACACATATATATGTCTTTTATATATATAACTAATTATCTGTATTAATACATAATTAGTTCAAATTCACAATGTTAAAATGTTCATAAAATATTTCCGGGGAATGTGTATGAATATTAAAAAGTGGAATTTAAAAAAGTATCTCTGTTGTATGGTAGAAAGGACCTGAGTCATTTCCAAATCCTAGTTGTCTTAAGCTAGGAGCAGGCATCTTGTCTATACTTTAGTTTTTCTCTACTGAAAGTTCTGGAGCTTTTGATTCTTAACCTTTTTCTGAATGTTCTACTTCTAAAAGGTAGGTGAAATGGGATGGTTAGGATATCTAGAATATCTGGAAACTAAGGTGGGATAGAACATGATGAGTTATTTAGATGAAACTGGATTATGACAGTTAAGTTAGCAGGCAGAATTAGGAAGTGACTTGGTTCAAAACAACAGGAATGAGAAATTATGATGTATTTGCTTCACAGCACAAGAATTTTGTAAAATTCTCTTGGGCAGATTATTTTTAGAAGAGAACCAGTTTGGTTTTTCTCTTTTAATGGGATTCTTTATTCCTCGCTTGATCTCATTTTCACTATCAATGAGCTTACATAATTTGTATCTACAGATTTAGTTCTCTTGTAGCGTATTTTTTTTTAAATCAAATTATGCTGTTCTTCCTACTCCACTAATTATTTGGCATATCAGTCATAAGAGTACATGAGCAATATCAGTTTGGAACTGAAAACCCTCTATTTATAATTACGGCAGCTAATATCTATTAAATACTTATTATATGTTAGGCATTAGGCTAAGCCTAAACTGTCTTATTTAATTTTCATAAGTCTGTGAGATGTAAGTAGCATTGGCCTTATCTCATAGTTGAGGAAATTTAGGCCTTCTTACTATAATGGAGAGGAATGTTGTTAATGCATCTCTAGGAAACCTAGTTCAGTATTAACAGACTTAAATTTTTGTTTTAATAACATTGAATTCTCCTGGGCTATCTGAAACATTTTATAAATCGCTGCTGTGCTAAGGGAAATCAAACAACAAAAATACACCTGGGGAGGGGGAAAGTTTCCATATGTTTGTATTACTTTGGAACTGCTGACTCTATCTCCTGTGTTTGATCTTACTTTAAAGATTGTAATACTTTTTAGTGCTTTTTTAAAAATTAAGTTTTATTGTGATATAATTTACATATCATAAAATTCACCCATTTTAATTCAATAATTAAATAATTTTTAGTATATTTACAGAATTGTGAGCCATCACTACAGTCTGGTGATGGTTTTAGAACATCCCATCATGCTCCAAAAGAAACTACTCATTTACAACCACTTTCCATTCTCACCTACAGCTGTAAGCAACCACTAACCTACTTTCTGTCTCTATAAGATTTGATTTTTTGGACATTTCATATAGACAGAATCATACAATATGTTTGATCTTTTTCATCTGGCTTTCACTGAGCATAATGTTTTTGAGGTTTATTAATATTGTAGCATATATCAGTATTTCATTTCTTTTTATACCACATTGTGTTTATTCACCAGTTGGATTTTTATGTTGTTTCCACTTCTTAGCTATTATGAATAATATTGTCATAAACATTCCTATACAAGTGTTTGCAAGTGTTTGTGTAGACATATGTTTTCTTTTTTCTTTTTCTTTTTTTCTTTTGAGATGGAGTCTCACTTTGTTGCCCAGGCTGGAGTGTAGTGGTGGAAAACAGCTCACTGCAGCCTCCATCTCCCAGGCTCAAGCGATCCTCCCGCCTCAGCCCACCAAGTAGTTGGGACTACAGGCACGCACCACCATGCTTGGCCAATTATTCTGTTTTTTGTATATTTGAGGTTTTGTTATGTTGCCCAGGCTGGTCTTGAACTCCTGAGCTCAAGTGATCTACCCACCTTGGCCTCCCAAATTGCTGGGATTACAGGCGTGAGCCACTGTGCCCATTCTTAGACATACATATGTTTTCATTTATCTTGAATAGATAACTAGGATTAGAATTGCTGTGTCATGCATTAATATTGTTTAACTTTCTGAGCAACTGCTGAACTTTTTTTCAAAATGACTGTACGATTTTGCATTCCCACCAGCAATGTATGAAGGATTCATGTTTTTCTACATCCTCACCAGTGCTTATCTCCTTCCGTTCTTCTTTCCTCTCTCTTTCTTTTCTTTCCTTCCATCTTTCCATCCTAGTGAGTGTGAAGTGGTATCTCATTGTGGTTTTGTTTGCCATTTCCTAATAACTAAATGATGTTGATTATCTTTTCATGTGCTAATTGGTCATTTGTTTTTTTTTTTTAATTTTTTAAATTATACTTTAAGTTTTAGGGTACATGTGCACAACGTGCAGGTTAGTTACATATGTATACATGTGCCATGTTGGTGTGCTGCACCCATTAACTCATCATTTAACATTAGGTATATCTCCTAATGCTATTCCTCCCCCCTGCCCCCACCCCACAACAGGCCCCGGTGTGTGATGTTCCCCTTCCTGTGTCCATGTGTTCTCATTGTTCAATTCCCACCTATGAGTGAGAACATGCGGTGTTTAGTTTTTTGTCCTTGCGATAGTTTACTGAGAATGATGGTTTCCAGCTTCATCCATGTCCCTACAAAGGACATGAACTCATCATTTTTTATGGCTGCATAGTATTCCATGGTGTATATGTGCCACATTTTCTTCATCCAGTCTACCATTGTTGGACATTTGGGTTGGTTCCAAGTCTTTGCTATTGTGAATAGTGCTGCAATAAACATAGGTGTGCACGTGTCTTTATTGCAGCATGATTTATAATCCTTTGGGTATATACCCAGTAGTGGGATGGCTGGGTCAAATGGTATTTCTTGTTCTAGATCCCTGAGGAATCGCCACACTGACTTCCACAATGGTTGAACTAGTTTACAGTCCCACCAACAGTGTAAAAGTATTCCAGTTTCTCCACATTCTCTCCAGCACCTGTTGTTTCCTGACTTTTTAATGATTGCCATTCTAACTGGTGTGAGATGGTATCTCATTGTGGTTTTGATTTGCATTTCTCTGATGGCCATTGATGATGAGCATTTTTTCATGTGTCTTTTGGCTGCATAAATGTCTTCTTTTGAGAAGTGTCTGTTCATATCCTTCACCCACTTTTTGATGGGGTTGTTTGTTTTTTTCTTATAAATTTGTTTGAGTTTATTGTAGATTCTGGATATTAGCCCTCTGTCAGATGAGTAGGTTGCAAAAATTTTCTCCCATTCTGTAGGTTGCCTGTTCACTCTGATGGTAGTTTCTTTTGCTGTAAAGAAGCTCTTTAGTTTAAGTAGATCCCATTTGTCAATTTTGGCTTTTGTTGCCATTGCTTTTGGTGTTTTCGACATGAAGTCCTTGCCCATGCCTATGTCCTGAATGATATTGCCTAGGTTTTCTTCTAGGGTTTTTATGGTTTTAGGTCTAACATGTAAGTCTTTAATCCATCTTGAATTAATTTTTGTGTAAGGTGTAAGGAAGGGATCCAGTTTCAGCTTTCTACATATGGCTAGCCAGTTTTCCCAGCACCATTTATTAAATAGGGAATGCTTTCCCCATTTCTTGTTTTTGTTAGGTTTGTCAAAGATGAGATGGTTGTAGTTATGCGGCATTATTTGTGAGGGCTCTGTTCTGTTCCGTTGGTCTATATCTCTGTTTTGGTACCAGTACCATGCTGTTTTGGTTACTGTAGCCTTGTAGTATAGTTTGAAGTCAGGTAGCATGATGCCTCCAGCTTTGTTCTTTTGGCTTAGGATTGTCTTGGCAATGTGGGCTCTTTTTTGGTTCCATATGAACTTTAAAGTAGTTTTTTCCAATTCTGTAAAGAAAGTCATTGGTAGCTTGATGGGGATGCCATTGAATCTATAAATTACCTTGGGCAGTATGGCCATTTTCATGATATTGATTCTTCCTACCCATGAGCATGGAATGTTCTTCCATTTGTTTGTGTCCTCTTTTATTTCATTGAGCAGTGGTTTGTAGTTCTCCTTGAAGAGGTCCTTCACATCCCTTGTAAGTTGGATTCCTAGGTATTTTATTCTCTTTGAAGCAATTGTGAATGGGAGTTCACTCATGATTTGGCTCTCTGTTTGTCTGTTATTGGTGTATAAGAATGCTTGTGATTTTTGCACATTGATTTTTGTATCCTGAGACTTTGCTGAAGTTGCCTATCAGCTTAAGGAGATTTTGGGCTGAGACAATGGGGTTTTCTAGATATACAATCATGTCATCTGCAAACAGGGACAATTTGACTTCCTCATTTCCTAATTGAATACCCTTTATTTCCTTCTCTTGCCTGATTGCCCTGGCCAGAACTTCCAACACAATGTTGAATAGGAGTGGTGAGAGAGGGCATCCCTGTCTTGTGCCAGTTTTCAAAGGGAATGCTTCCAGTTTTTGCCCATTCAGTATGATATTGGCTGTGAGTTTGTCATAGATAGCTCTTATTATTTTGAGATACGTCCCATCAATACCTAATTTATTGAGAGTTTTTGGCATGAAGGTTTTTAATTTTGTCAAAGGCCTTTTCTGCATCTGTTGAGATAATCATATGGTTTTTGTCATTGGTTCTGTTTATATGCTGGATTACGTTTATTGATTTTCGTATGTTGAATCAGCCTTGCATCTCAGGGATGAAGCCCACTTGATCATGGTGGATAAGCTTCTTGATGTGCTGCTGGATTCGGTTTGCCAGTGTTCTATTGAGGATTTTTGCATTGCTGTTCATCAGGGCTATTGGTCTAAAATTCTCTTTTTTTGTTGTCTCTGCCAGGCTTTGGTATCAGGATGATGCTGGCCTCATAAAATGAGTTAGGGAGGATTCCCTCTTTTTCTGTTGATTGGAATAGTTTCAGAAGGAATGGTACCAGCTTCTCTTTGTACCTCTGGTAGAATTCGGCTGTGAATCCATCTGGTCCTGGACTTTTTTGGGTTGGTAAGCTACTAATTATTGCCTCAATTTCAGAACCTGTTATTGGTCTATTCAGAGATTCAACTTCTTCCTGATTTAGTCTTGGGAGGGTGTATGTGTTGAGGAATTTATCCATTTCTTCTAGATTTTCTAGTTTATTCGCGTAGAGGTGTTTATAGTATTCTCTGATGGTAGTTTGTATTTCTGTGGGACCGGTGGTGATATCCCCTTTATGATTTTTTATTGTGTCTATTTGATTTTTCTCTCTTTTCTTCTTTATTAGTCTTGCTAGTGGTCTATCAATTTTGTTGATCTTTTCAAAAAACCAGCTCCTGGATTCATTTATTTTTTTTGAAGGGTTTTTTGGGTCTCTATTTCCTTCAGTTCTGCCCTGATCTTAGTTATTTCTTGCCTTCTGCTAGCTTTTGAATATGTTTGCTCTTGCTTCTCTAGTTCTTTTAATTGTGATGTCAGGGTGTCAATATTAGATCTTTCCTGCTTTCTCTTGTGAGCATTTAGTGCTATAAATTTCCCTCTACACACTGCTTTGAATGTGTCCCAGAGATTCTGGTGTGTTGTGTCTTTGTCCTCGTTGGTTTCAAAGAACATCTTTATTTCTGCCTTCATTTTGTTATGTACCCAGTAGTCATTCAGGACTAGGTTGTTCAGTTTCCATGTAGTTGAGTGGTTTTGAGTGAGTTTCTTAATCGTGAGTTCTTGTTTAATTGCACTGTGGTCTGAGAGACAGTTTGTTATAATTTCTGTTCTTTTACATTTGCTGAGGAGTGCTTTACTTCCAACTATGTGATCAATTTTGGAATAAGTGCGGTGTGGTGCTGAGAAGAATGTATATTCTGTTGATTGGGGGTGGAGAGTTCTGTAGATGTCTATTAGGTCTGCTTGGTGCAGAGCTGAGTTCAATTCCTGGATATCCTTGTTAACTTTCTGTCTTGTTGATCTGTCTAATGTTGACAGTGGGGTGTTAAAGTCTCCCATTATTATTGTGTGGGAGTCTTAACTCTCTTTCTAGGTCTCTAAGGACTTGCTTTATGAATCTGGGTCCTCCTGTGTTGGGTGCATATATATTTAGGATA
This sequence comes from Homo sapiens, assembly GCF_000001405.40. Lineage (NCBI taxonomy): Eukaryota > Metazoa > Chordata > Mammalia > Primates > Hominidae > Homo > Homo sapiens. The sequence goes on along the minus strand of NC_000003.12, from coordinate 101,450,162 downwards.
GTTAGCTCTTCTTGTTGAATTGATCCCTTTACCATTATGCAATGGCCTTCTTTGTCTCTTTTGATCTTTGTTGGTTTAAAGTCTGTTTTATCCGAGACTAGGATTGCAACCCCTGCCTTTTTTGTTTTCCATTTGCTTGGTAGATCTTCCTCCATCCCTTTATTTTGAGCCTATGTGTGTCTCTGCACGTGAAATGGGTTTCCTGAATATAGCACACTGATGGGTCTTGACTCTTTATCCAATTTGCCAGTGTATTTTAATTGGAGCATTTAGCCCATTTACATTTAAGGTTAATATTGTTATGTGTGAATTTGATCCTGTCATTATGATGTTAGCTGGTTATTTTGCTCATTAGTTGCAGTTTCTTCCTAGCCTCGATGGTCTTTATAATTTGGCATGTTTTTGCAGTGGCTGGTACCAGTTGTTCCTTTCCATGTTTAGTGCTTCCATCAGGAGCTGTTGTAGGGCAGGCCTGGTGGTGACAAAATCTCTCAGCATTTGCTTGTCTGTAAAGGATTTTATTTCTCCTTCACTTATGAAGCTTAGTTTGGCTGGATATGAAATTCTGGGTTGTAAATTCTTTTCTTTGAGAATGTTGAATATTGGCCCCCACTCTCTTCTGGCCTGTAGAGTTTCTGCCAAGAGATCAGCTGTTAGTCTGATGGGCTTCCCTTTGTGGGTAACCCGACCTTCCTCTCTGGCTGCCCTTAACATTTTTTCTTTCATTTCAACTTTGGTGAATCTTACAATTATGTCTTGGAGTTGCTCTTCTCGAGGAGTATCTTTGTGGCGTTCTCTGTATTTCCTGAATTTGAATGTTGGCCTGCCTTGCTAGATTGGGGAAGTTCTCCTGGATAATATCCTGCAGAGTGTTTTCCAACTTGGTTCCATTCTCTCCGTCACTTTCAGGTACACCAATCAGACGTAGATTTGGTCTTTTCACATAGTCCCATATTTCTTGGAGGCTTTATTCGTTTCTTCTTATTCTTTTTTCTCTAAACTTCTCTCTTCATTTCATTCATTTCATGTTCCATCACTGATACCCTTTCTTCCAGTTGATCGAATCTGGTACTGAGGCTTGTGCATTTGCCGCGTACTTCTCGTGCCTTGGTTTTCAGCTCCATCACGTCTTTTAAGGACTTCTCTGCATTGGTTATTCTAGTTAGCCATTCGTCTAATTTTTTTTCAAGGTTTTTAACTTCTTTTCCATGGGTTCGAACTTCCTCCTTTAGCTCGGAGTAGTTTGATCTTCTGAAGCCTTCTTCTCTCAACTCGTCAAAGTCATTCTCTGTCCAGCTTTGTTCCGTTGCTGGTGAGAAGCTGCGTTCCTTTGGAGGAGGAGAGGTGCTCTGATTTTTAGAGTTTCCAGTTTTTCTGCTCTGTTTTTTCCCCATCTTTGTGGTTTTTTCTACCTTTGGTCTTTGATGATGGTGACGTACAGATGGGGTTTTGGTGTGGATGTCCTTTCTGTTTGTTAGTTTTCCTTCTAACAGTCAGGACCCTCAGCTGCAGGTCTGCTGAGTAGCCTAACTGGGAGGCACCCCACAATAGGGGCAGACTGACACCTCACACAGCCGCTTACTCTCTGAGACAAAACTTCCAGAGGAATGATCAGGCAGCAACATCTGCTGTTCACCAGTATCCGCTGTTCTGCAGCCTCTGCTGCTGATACTCAGGGAAACAGGGTCTGGAGCTAATTCGTCGTTTGTATGTCATTTTGAGAATTGTCTACTCAGATCCTTTGCCCATTTTAAAATTGGATTATCTTTTTGTTGTAAGAGTTAAAAAATATTTTCTTGGTACAAGTCCCTTATCAGGTATATGATTTTCATATATTTTATCTCATTCTTTTGGCAAGTTTCTCACTCTCTTGATGGTGTCCTTTGAAACATAAAAGTTTTTAAATTTTGATGAAGTCCCATTTATCTGTTTTTCTTTAGTCTCTGTGCTTTTGGTGTCATATCTAAGAAACCACTGCCTAATCCAAGGTCATGATCCATTACTACTGTGTTTTCTTCTAAGAGTTTTATAGTTTTAGCTCTTAGATTTAGGTCTTTGTTCCATTTTAAGTTAATTTTTGGGTATGGAATGAAATAGGTACCCTAATTAATATTTTTGCCTTTGGATATTCATTTGTGCCAGCACCATTTGTTGAAAAGACAAATGGTGCGTCTTCATTATTTTCCATTGTATTGTCTTGGAATCTTTGTGAGATATCAATTGATAGTAAATGTTAGGGTTTATTTCTGCATTCTCAATTCTATTCTGTTGATCTGTATGTCTGTCCATATGCTGGTACTGCTATGTGCTATTGCAACTTTGTAGTAAGTTTTGAAATTGGGAAGTGTGGGTCTTACAACTTTGCTATTTTTTTTTCAAGATTTTTTGGAGCTGTTCTGGGTTTCTTGCATTTTCAGTTGAATTTTAGAATCAGCTTATCATTTTAACCAAAAAACCAGCAAGGATTTTGACAGAGATTGTATTGAATCTGTAGACTAAATTGGGGAATATTGCCATTTTAACAATACTGTGTTCAGATTAATAAACATGGGATGTCTTTCCATTTATGTCCTTTACAATTTTTTTCAATAGTGTTTTGTGGTTTTCAGTGTGTCTTTGACTTTTTTTTGTTAAGTTTATTCCTAAATACTTTCTTATTTCTGAAGCTATTATGAATGGAATTGTTTTCTATTTTTAGATTTGTATTTATTTATTTTTTTTGAGACAGGATCTTGTTCTGTTGCGTGGACTGGAGTACAGTGCCATGGTCATAACTCACTGTGGTCTTGACCTCCTGGGCTTAAGTGATCCTCATTCCTCAGCCTCCAAGTCTCTGGGACCACCGGTGCATGCCACCACGCTTGGCCAATTTTTTGAATTTGTAGAGACGGGGTCTCATTGTGTTGCCCAGGTTGGTCTTGAACACCTGGTCTCAAGCAATCCTCCTTCCTTGGCTTCCCAGAGTGTTAGTATTATAGGTGTGAGCCATTGGGCCTGGAATTGTTCTCTTCATTCATTTACTCTTGGATTTCCAACTTTTTAGCATATAGTTGTTGATATTAATAGTAGTGTCTAATGATCCTTTGTATTTGTATGGTATCAATTTTTATGTCTCACTTTTTGTTTTCGATCTTACTTGGGTCTTTTTTTCTTGGTTGGTCTAGCTAGTGGTATATCAGTTTTATTTTTGCACAATGTCAACTTTATGTTTGATTTTTTTTAAGTCTTCATTTTGTTTATTTCTACTCTGATCTTTACCATTTCTTTCCTCCTACTAATTCTCGTTATGTTTGTTCTTGCTTTTCTAGTCCATTGAGGTTCATTGTAACCACTTTTTATTTGAAATAACCACTTTTTATATAAGCATTTATTGCTGTGCATTTCTCTCTCAACACTGCTTTTGATTGTCCATAGTTTTGGTATGTTGTGTTTCTGTTTTCATTTGTTTCAGGAAGTAAAAAAAATTTTTTTCTTTTAATTTCTTCAGACCTAGTGGCTGTTCAGGAGCATGTTGTTTAATTTCCAGGGGTTTGTACAGTTTCCGGTGTTCCACTTGTTACTTGATTTATGGTTGTATTCCAATGTGGTCTCAGGAGATACTTTATATGATTTCAGTTTTTAAAAAATTATTGAGATTTGTTTTGTGTCCTTTCATAGGATCTGCCCTGGAGAATGTTTCTTGCACTGGTGAAAAAAATGTGTATTCTGCAGCTATTGGATGAAATGTTTTGTAAATGTCTGTTAGGTCTATTAGGTCTATAGTGCAGATTAAACCTGATGTTTTCTGTCTGGATGATCTGTTTAGTGTTCAAAGAGAGTGTATTAGTCCATTCTCACATTGCTATAAAGAACTACCTGAGACTGGGTAATTTATAAAGAAAGGAGGTTTAATTGGCTTATGGTTCTGCAGGCTGTCCAGGCTTCTGTTTCTGGGGAAGCCTCAGGAAACTTACAATCATGGCAGAAGGTGAGGAGGAAGCTAGTGCATTGTACATGGCTGGAGCAGGAGAAAGAGAGAACGAAGGGAGAGGCACTACACTTTTATAAATAACCAGATTTCGTTAGAACTCACTCACTATTAGGAGAACATCAAGGGAGACATTCTCCCCCACGAACCAATCACCTCCCATAAGGCCCCTCTTCCAACATTGGGGATTACAATATGACATGAGATTTGGGTGGGGACACAGACCCAAACCATATAAGAGGATGTTGAAGTTCCAAACTATTATTGTATTGAGGTCTGTTTTCTTTTTAACTCTAATAATATGTACTTTATATTTCTGTGTGCTTTGATGTTGGCTGTATGTATTCAGAATCTTTATTTTCTTGCTGAATTTATGCTTGTATCAGTATGTGATGACCTTTTTGTTTCTTTGTAAGTTTTTTGACTGAATGTCTATTTTGTCTGACATAAGTGTGTATAGCTACTAATGCATATGTTTTGTTTTCATTTGTGTGATATATATATTTTTTATCCCTTCACTTTCAGTTTATGTGTGTCTTTATCTAGGAAGAGTATAGTTTGGTCTTGTTTTTTTAAATCCACTTAGCCTGTTAACATTTTTAAATTGGAGAATTTAAACCATTTACATGTAAGGTTGTTATTGGTAGTGTAAAGACATTTGTCATTTTGTTAGCTCTCTGATTGTTTTGTATATCCTTTGTTCCTTTCTTTCTCTTTATTGTTTACTCTTATGTCTTGGTGGCTTTCTATAGTGATAATGACTGATTCCTCTCTCTCATTTGTGTCTGCTCTTCCAGTTAGTTTTATACTTTTGTGTGTTTTCATGATGGTAGATACTTTTTGCTTCTAGATGTATGACTCCCTTAAGCATTTTTCACAGCATCAGTCAAGCAGTTATAAATTGCCTGTTTTTGTTTGTCTGAGAAAGACTTTATTTATTCTTCATTTCTGAAGTATAGTTTTGCTGAATATGTCATTCTTGGCTGGTAGCTCTTTATTTCAGCGCTTTGAAGATATCATCCCATTCTCTCCTGGCCTAGAAAGTTTTTGTTGAGAAATTTAGTTAGTCTGATGGAGATTCCCTTATATGTGACTTGATGCTCTTCTCTTGCTATTTTTAGATTTCTGTCTCTGCCTTTGATTTTTGACAGTTTGAGCATAATGTCTGGGAGAAGTTTAGTGTCTTGGATTGAATCTATTTGGTAAAATTTGAGTTTACTGTATCTTAATGTGTATGTCTCTCATAAGAGTTGGGAAATTTTAGCTATTATTATTTTTATTTATTTATTCATTTATTATTATTATTATACTTTAAGTTTTAGGGTACATGTGCACAATGTGCAGGTTAGTTACATATGTATACGTGTGCCATGCTGGTGCGCTGCACCCACTAACTCGTCATCTAGCATTAGGTATATCTCCCAATGCTATCTTTCCCCCCTCCCCCCACCCCACAACAGTCCCCAGAGTGTGATGTTCCCCTTCCTGTGTCCATGTGTTCTCATTGTTCAATTCCCACCTATGAGTGAGAGTATACGGTGTTTGGTTTTTTGTTCTTGCGATAGTTTACTGAGAATGATGATTTCCAATTTCATCCATGTCCCTACAAAGGACATGAACGCATCATTTTTTATGGCTGCATAGTATTCCATGGTGTATATGTGCCACATTTTCTTCATCCAGTCTATCATTGTTGGACATTTGGGTTGGTTCCAAGTCTTTGCTATTGTGAATAATGCCGCAATAAACATACGTGTGCATGTGTCTTTATATCAGCTTGATTTATAGTCCTTTGGGTATATACCCAGTAATGGGATGGCTGGGTCAAATGGTATTTCTAGTTCTAGATCCCTGAGAAATCGCCACACTGACTTCCACAGTGGTTGAACTAGTTTACAATCCCACCAGCAGTGTCAAAGTGTTCCTATTTCTCCACATCCTCTCCAGCACCTGTTGTTTCCTGACTTTTTAATGATCGCCATTCTAACTGGTGTGAGATGGTATCTCACTGTGGTTTTGATTTGCATTTCTCTGATGGCCAGTGATGATGAGCATTTTTTCATGTGTTTTTTGGCTGCATAAATGTCTTCTTTTGAGAAGTCTCTGTTCATGTCCTTCACCCACTTTTTGATGGGGTTGTTTGTTTTTTTCTTGTAAATTTGTTTGAGTTCATTGTAGATTCTGGATATTAGCCCTTTGTCAGATGAGTAGGTTGCAAAAATTTTCTCCCATTTTGTAGGTTGCCTGTTCACTCTGATGGTAGTTTCTTTTGCTGTGCAGAAGCTTTTTAGTCAAATTGCTCCTGTTTGCAGACGACATGATTGTATATCTAGAAAACCCCATCGTCTCAGCCCAAAATCTCCTTAAGCTGATAAGCAACTTCAGCAAAGTCTCAGGATACAAAGTCAATGTACAAAAATCACAATGTACAAAAATCAACAGACAAACAGAGAGCCAAATCATGAGTGAACTCGCATTCACAATTGCTTCAAAGAGAATAAAATACCTAGGAATCCAACTTACAAGTGATGTGAAGGACCTCTTCAAGGAGAACTACAAACCACTGCTCAATGAAATAAAAGAGGATACAAACAAATGGAAGAACATTCCATGCTCATGGGTAGGAAGAATCAATATCGTGAAAATGACCATACCGCCCAAGGTAATTTATAGATTCAATGGCATCCCCATCAAGCTACCAATGCCTTTCTTCACAGAATTGGAAAAAACTACTTTAAAGTTCATATGGAACCAAAAAAGAGCCCGCATCGCCAAATCAATCCTAAGCCAAAAGAACAAAGCTGGAGGCATCACACTACCTGACTTCAAACTATACTACAAGGCTACAGTAACCAAAACAGCATGGTACTGGTACCAAAACAGAGATATAGATCAATGGAACAGAACAGAGCCCTCGGAAATAACGCCGCATATCTACAACTATCTGATCTTTGACAAACCTAACAAAAACAAGCAATGGGGAAAGGATTCCCTATTTAATAAATGGTGCTGGGAAAACTGGCTAGCCATATGTAGAAAGCTGAAACTGGATCCCTTCCTTACACCTTATACAAAAATCAATTCAAGATGGATTAAAGACTTAAACGTTTGACCTAAAACCATAAAAACCCTAGAAGAAAACCTCGGCATTACCATTCAGGACATAGGCATGGGCAGGGACTTCGTGTCTAAAACACCAAAAGCAATGGCAACCAAAGCTATTATTTTGTTAAATAGGTTTTCTTTCGCTTTGCCCATCTCTTCTCCTCTGAAACAACTGAAATCTCAATATTTGTTCTTTTTATAATGTAGCATGTGTCCTGTTGGCTTTATTAATTCTTTTTTTTTTGTCTGACTGGTTCATTTCAAAAGAAATGTCTTCAAGTTCAGAATTTTTTTCTTCTGCTTAGTCTATTGTTGAAGTTCTTAATTGTGTTTTTTATTTCATTAATTGAACTCTTCTATTGCAGGATTTTTGTTTGGTTCTTTTTAATGATACCTATCTCTGTGTTGATTTCTCACTTATATCCTGAATTTCTTTTCTGATTTTTTTTTGTATTGTTTTTCTGTGTTCTCTTGTAACTTTTTGAGTTTCCTTAGATTGGGATCCCCAACCCCTGGAGCCATGGACTGGTACTGGTCCGTGGCCTGTTAGGAACCAGGCCGCAGAGCCAGGGGGTGGGTGGCAGGTGAGTGAATATTACTGCCTTAGCTCTGCCTCCTGTCAGATATGTGGGAGCATTAGATTCTCACAGGAGCATGAACCCTATTGTGAACTGTGCATGCAGGCGACCTAGGTTGCATGTTCCTAGTGAGAATCTCATGCCTGATGATATGAGATGGAACAGTTTCGTCCTAAAACAGTCCATACTCCCCTGCCATCCCGTGGTCTGTGGAAAAATTGTCTTCCCTGAAACTGGTGCCTGGTGCCAAGAAGTTGGGGATCGCTGCCTTAGATAATTATTTTGAGTTTGTTTTCAGGCATTTCATACATATATTTTTCTCTGTGTTACGTTACTGGAGAATTATTGTATTTTTTTGGAGGTGTCATGCTTTCTTGCTTTGTCATGTTTCTTATGTTCTTATGTTGATATCCATGCATCTGGTGTGACAGTTGTTTCTTTCAGTTTTATGGATTAACCTCATTTGGTAGAGACTTTTTCCTGTAGATGTATCTGTGATGTTTGTTAGGGTTGTATTCTGAGTGGATGCAGTGGTATAGTCTCCATGTTATTTCTTTGGTCATAATCAGTGATATTGGTGTCTGCAAGGTCCTTATTGTCTTATGCTGCAATTTATTTATTTATTTTTAAAATTTTCAGACTCGTCAGCAGGAAGTGAATCTGTGGTTTCTAACGGAGACTGTGGCAAGGCTTTACTGGGGACAGGTACAATAGTCTTTGGACCCCTGGGTGGCATGTATGAGCACCAGTCATGGTAGGGATGAGCCATTTGTGCCAGTTCTTGGGATTCCTGGTGGTAACATGGGTTAGGGTGGTGGTTAGGGTCCAGGCAGGTCAGTTCTTGGGTCCCTGGTCAGCATGTTTGGTGCCAGCTGTGGCCGAGGTAGGTGACAGGAAACAATGGGTGGGTTCTCAGGCCACTTGGGCATTGGCAATGTACTTGGGCATTGGCAGTGTACTTGGGCATTGGCAATGGTGAGTAGGGTGGGCTAGTGCTTAGGCCCCTTGACAGTGTGTATGGGCTGTGGTGGTGGCAGTGGACAGGGCAGCCCTGTCTTTAGGCACAGTATTGTGCGGGCAGGTCCTGGTGGCAGCAGATTGGGTGGGCCTGTTCTTTCTTCCTGGGACAGTGCCTGCGGATACTGTTTGCAGGGGCAGGGTGCACCTGTCCTTGGGTCCCCAGGTGGTGTGCATGGGTGTTGGCTGTAGCCATCCATAGTGGTGGGTGGTGGCAGCTGTTTTTCAAGTTATTGGTGCTGTTGGGCACTGGCAGCAATGAGTGGGCCTGGCCAGTACTCATGCTTCTGGACAGCATGGGCATGGGCTTGTCCTCAGGCCCTGTACTGTACATGTAAACACTGGTGGCAGCAAATGAAGTGTTACTATTTGGTTCTGGGATGACATGCTTGTGTGCTGTTTGGAGTAGGCAGGTCTCACTTGTCTTTAGGCACCTGGATGGCGGGTGTGGGTGCTGATGGTGGTGGTGAGCTGGGCAGGCCTCCATAGATGTACTTTATCATGTTGGAGAATTTCCTTTCTATTCTTAATTTGGTAGCGGCTTTCAAAATAATGTATGCATGTTTGAATTTCCTGCATTCTCATATGGTAATTTATATTCTTTATTTTACTCATCAAATTTATTGGATAAATTCATTTTCATATATTAAAGTAACTGCATTCCTGGGATAAATCTCCTTGATCTGATTTATAATATTCTTAATACGTTGCTGGATTCAGTTTTCTTGAGGATGTTTATGTTTGTATACGAGAGGGAGATTCATATATGGTTTTTTTTCTTGTGCTGTCTTTTTCTGGTTTTGGTATTAGGCTAATACTGTCATTATAGAATGAGTTGGAAAACTTTCTCTCCTTCATTGTTTTCTGGAAGAGTTTTTGGGGAAATTGATACTCATTCTTTTTTTTTTTTTTTTAATTTATTTTTTTATTGATAATTCTTGGGTGTTTCTCACAGAGGGGGATTTGGCAGGGTCATGGGACAATAGTGGAGGGAAGGTCAGCAGATAAACAAGTGAACAAAGGTCTCTGGTTTTCCTAGGCAGAGGACCCTGCGGCCTTCCGCAGTGTTTGTGTCCCTGATTACTTGAGATTAGGGATTGGTGATGACTCTTAACGAGCATGCTGCCTTCAAGCATCTGTTTAACAAAGCACATCTTGCACCGCCCTTAATCCATTTAACCCTGAGTGGACACAGCACATGTTTCAGAGAGCACAGGGTTGGGGGTAAGGTCACAGATCAACAGGATCCCAAGGCAGAGGAATTTTTCTTAGTGCAGAACAAAATGAAAAGTCTCCCATGTCTACTTCTTTCTACACAGACACGGCAACCATCCGATTTCTCAATCTTTTCCCCACCTTTCCCGCCTTTCTATTCCACAAAGCCGCCATTGTCATCCTGGCCCGTTCTCAATGAGCTGTTGGGCACACCTCCCAGACGGGGTGGTGGCCGGGCAGAGGGGCTCCTCACTTCCCAGTAGGGGCGGCCGGGCAGAGGCGCCCCTCACCTCCCAGACGGGGCGGCTGGCCGGGCGGAGGGCTGACCCCCCCACCTCCCTCCCGGACAGGGCGGCTGGCCGGGCGGGGGGCTGACCCCCCACCTCCCTCCCGGACGGGGCGGCTGGCCGGGCAGAGGGGCTCCTCACTTCCCAGTAGGGGCGGCTGGGCAGAGGCGCCCCTCACCTCCCAGACGGGGCGGCTGGCCGGGCGGAGGGCTGACCCCCCCACCTCCCTCCCGGACGGGGCGGCTGGCCAGGCGGGGGGCTGACCCCCCTACCTCCCTCCCGGACGGGGCGGCTGGCCGGGTGGGGGGGCTGACCCCCCCATCTCCCTCCCGGACGGGGTGGCTGGCCGGGCTGAGGGGCTCCTCACTTCCCAGTAGGGGCGGCCGGGCAGAGGCGCCCCTCACCTCCCGGACGGGGCGGCTGGCCGGGCGGGGGGCTGACCCCCCCACCTCCCTCCCGGACGGCACGGCTGGCCAGGCGGGGGGCTGACCCCCCCACCTCCCTCCCGGATGGCACGGCTGGCCAGGCGGGGGGGCTGACCCCCCACCTCCCTCCCGGATGGGGCGGCTGGCCGGGGGGGGGCTGGCCCCCCCACCTCCCTCCCGGACGGGGTGGCTGCCCGGCGGAGACGCTCCTCACTTCCCAGATGGGGTGGCTGCCGGGCGGAGAGGCTCCTCACTTCTCAGACGGGGTGGTTGCCAGGCAGAGGGTCTCCTCACTTCTCAGACGGGGCGGCCGGGCAGAGACGCTCCTCACCTCCCAGACGGGGTCTCGGCCGGGCAGAGGCACTCCTCACATCCCAGATGGGGCGGCGGGGCAGAGGCGCTCCCCACATCTCAGACGATGGGCGGCCGGGCAGAGACGCTCCTCACTTCCTAGATGTGATGGCGGCTGGGAAGAGGCGCTCCTCACTTCCTAGATGGGATGGCGGCCGGGCGGAGACGCTCCTCACTTTCCAGACTGGGCAGCCAGGCAGAGGGGCTCCTCACATCCCAGACGATGGGCAGCCAGGCAGAGACACTCCTCACTTCCCAGACGGGGTGGCACCGGGCAGAGGCTGCAATCTCGGCACTTTGGGAGGCCAAGGCAGGCGGCTGCTCCTTGCCCTCGGGCCCCGCGGGGCCCGTCCGCTCCTCCAGCCGCTGCCTCCCGGGCGGCGCTCGCCGGCGCGGCGGCAAAGACCGATACTCATTCTTTTTTAAATGTTCAGTTGAATTCATCAGTGAAGCCATCTGGTCACGCCCTTATAGGACAATTCAAGTTTTCTATTTACTCATTCGTTGAAACCGACTTTATTGATGTGTAATTTACATAGAATAACATGTATCTATTTTAAATATAAATTTGTATGCTTTTGGACAAGTGTACTAAATGAATTTTAAGACTCTAAAGTTTTTTTATTGTAGTAAAATACACTTAACATAAATTTTATCATCTTAATCATTTTTAATTGTACAGTTTAATGTTGTTAAATAAATTGATAATGTGCAGCCAACACCATCATCAATCTCCATAATACTTTCCATCTTGTAAAACTGAAACCCATTAAAAAAATAAATTCCCATTTCTCCCTCCACCCCATTCCCCTTATGACCACCAGTTTGCTGTTTGTTTTGATGATTTTAACTTTTTAAAGTACCTCATACAGTATTTGTCTTTTTGTGACTAGCTAATTTCACTTAGCTTAATGTCCTCAAGGTTCATTCATGTTGTAGAATATGCCAGATTTTCTTCCTTTTGAAAGGTGAATAATTTTCCATTGTATTTACATGCCACATTTTGTTTCTATATTTATTCATCTGTGGGCACTTGGTTTACTTTAATATTTTAGCTATCGTTAACATGGGTGTACAAATACCTCAGCTCACTGTTTTTAATTTTTTTGGGTGTATATCCAGAAGTGGAATTGCTTGGTCTTATAGTAATGATATTTTTAATTTCTTGAACAACTGCTGTATTATTTTCTGCAATGGCCGTACCTCATTTTATGTTCCTGCTAGCAGTGAGTAAATTTCCAGTTTCTTCACATCCACATCAACACTTGTTACTTTCTGTTTTTTTTTTTTTAAATTTGTAGTAGCCATCCTAATGGTATGAGGTGGCATTTCATTGTAGTCTTAATTGCATTTTCCTATTTATAAATGATACTAAGCATCTTTTTATGTATTTATTAGAGATTCATATATCTTCTTTGGAGAAACGGCTACACAAGCCCTATGCTTATTTTTAAATTGGCTTTTTTGGTTTTTTATTGTTGAGTTTTAGGATATTTTTTCTTTTTTTGAGACTGGGTCTTGCTGTGTTGCCCAGGCTGGAGTGCAGTGGTGTGATCACATAGCTCACTGTAGCCTCATCCTCCTGGGCTCAAGCCCTCCCACCTCAGCCTCCCAAGTAGCTAGGACTACAGGCACATGCCACCATGCCTAGCTATTTTATTTTTTATTCTTTTTTAGAAATTTAAAATCATTTAAAAATTTTTTTGTGGGTACATATTAGGTGTATATATTTATGGGCTACATGAGATGTTTTGATATATAGGCATGCAATGTGAAATAAGCACGTCATGGAGAATGGGGTATCCATCCCCTCAAGCATTTATCCTTTGAGTTATGAACAATCCAGTTACATTTGTTAAGGTATTTAAAAATATATGATTAAGTAATATTGACTATATTACTCTATTGTACTATCAATAGTAGGTTTTATTCATTCTATTTTTATTATAGCCATTAACTGTCCCCACCTGCCCCCCTCAGCCCACTAGTTCTCTTCCCAGCCTTTGGTAACCATCCTTCTACTCTCTAGGTCCATGAATTCAATTGTTTTGATTTTTAGATCCCACAAATAAGTGAGAACATGTGATGTTTGTCTTTCTGTGCCTGGCTTGTTTCACTTAACGTAATGATCTCTAATCCCATCTGTGTTGTTGCACATGATTGAATCTCATTTTCTTTTATGGCTGAATATACTCCATTGTATATATGTACTACATTTTATTTATCCATTCATCTATTAATGGGCACTTAGATCACTTCCAAATCTACTGATTTCCTTTTTCTGGTGTATACCAGCAGTGGAATGGCTGGATCATACGGTAGTTCAATTTTCAGTTTTTTAAGGAACCTCCAACGTGTTTTCCATAGTGGTTATATTAATTTACATTCCCACCTAAAGTGTGTAAGTGTTCCCTTTTCTCCACATCCTTGCCAGCATTTGTTATTGCCTGTTTTTTGGCTATAAGCCATTTTAACTGGGGTGAGATGATATCTCATTGTAGTTTTGATTTGCATTTCTCTGATGATCAATGATGTTGAACACCTTTTCATATGCCTGTTTGCCATTTGTATGTCTTTTTTTTTGGAAAAATATCTATTCAAATCTTTTGCCTATTTTTTTGCTCACATTATTAGATTGTTTCCTGTAGGGTTGTTTGGACTCTTTGTATATTCTGGTTATTGATCCCTTGTCAGATGGGTAGTTTGCAAATATTTTCTCACATTCTGTGGGTTGTCTCTTCACTTTGTTGATTGTATCCTTTCATGTACAGAAGCTTTTTAACTTGATGTGATCTTATTTGTCCATTTTTGCTTTGGTTGTCTGTGCTTGTGGGGTATTGCTGAAGAAATATTAGCCCAGACCAATGTCCTGGAGATTTTCCCCAGTGTTTTCTTGTAGTAGTTTCATAGTTTGGGGTTTTAGATTTCAGTCTTTAATCCATTTTGATTTGATTTATGTATATGATGAGAGATAGGGGTCTAGTTTATTGTTTTGCCTATCAATATTCAGTTTTCCCAGGATCACTTAATGAAGAGGTGTCTTTCCATCAGTGTATGTTCTTGGCACCTGTGTCAAAAATGAGTTCACTGTAGGTGTATGGGTTTGTTTCTGGGTTCTCTATTTTGTTCCATTGATCTATGTGTTTGTTTTTATGCCATTTCCATGCTGTTTTGGTTAGTATAGCTCTGTAGTATAATATGAAGTCAGGTAATGTGATTCTTCCAGTTTTGTTCTTTTTGCTCAAGATAGCTTTGCCTATTCTGGGTCTTTTGTGGTTCCATATAAATTTTAGGATTAGTTTTTCTATTTCTGTGAAGAATGTCACTGGTGTTTTGATGGGGATTGCATTGAATCTGTAGATTGCTTTGGGTGGTATGGAGATTTTAACAATATTGATTCTTTCAATCTATGAACATGGAGTAATTTTCTATTTTTTAGTGTTCTCATATTTCTTAATAATTGTTTTATAGTTTTTATTGTAGAGATCTTTCCCTTCTTTGGTTAATTCCTAGGTAATTTTATATGTGGCTATTATTGTAAATGAGATTACTTTTTAATTTTTTTTCGTGTTTTTTGCTGTTGGCATACAGAAATGCTGCTGACTTTTGTATGTTGATTTTGTGTCCTGCAACTTTACTGAATTTGTTTATCAGTTCTAATAGTTTTTTCATGGAGTCTGTAGGTTTTTCCAAACATTGGATCATGTCATCAGCAAACGAGTAATTTGACTTCTTCCTTTGCAATTTGGATGCCCTTTATATCTTTCTGTTATCTGATTGCTCTAGCTAGGACTTCCAATACTATGTTAAATAACAGTGGTGACAGTAGACATCCTTGTTGTGTTCTAGATCTTAAGGGAAAGGCTTTCAGTGTTTCCCTATTTAGTATGATACTAGCTAGGATACTAACTATGATAGCTAGTGGGTCTGTCATATATGGCTTTTATTATGTGAGGCATGTTCCTTTTATTCTCAGTTTTTTTTTTATTATGAAGAACTGTTGAATTTTATCAAATGGTTTTTCAGCATGAACAGAAATGACCATATGATTTTTATCCTTCATTCTGTTGATATGATGAATCATGTTGATTGATTTTTGTAAGTTGAACCATCTTTGCATCATAGGGATAAATCCCACATGGTTATGATGAATGAGCTGTCTAATGTATTGTTGAATTTGGTTTGCTAGTATTTTGTTGAGGATTTTTGCATCAGTGTTCATCAGAGATGCTGGCCTGTAGTTTTCTTTTTTTGATGTTTCTTTGTTTGGTTTTGGTGTTAGGGTAATACTGGACTTGTAGAATGAGTTTGGAAGTATTCCCTCCTCCTCTCTTTTTCAGAATAGTTTGAGTAGGATTGGCATTTGTTCTTATTTAAATGTTTGGTAGAATTTAGCAGTGAACCCATTGGGTCCCGGGCTTTCCTTTACTGGGAGACTTTTAATTACAGCTTTGATCTCATTGCTTGCTATTGGTCTGTTCAGATTTTGGATTTCTTCGTGGTTCAATCTTGTTAGATTGTATGTATTCAGAAATTTGTCCATTTCTTCTAGATTTTCCAATTTATTGGCATATAATTGCTCATTGTAGCCACTAATGATCCTCTGAATTTCTGTAGTATCAGTTGTAATGCCTCCTTTTTAATTTCTGATTTTGTTTGTATTTTCTCTTTTTGTTTTTCTTTAGGTTGGCTAAAGGTTGGTCAATTTTGTTTTAACTTTTGAAAAAACCAACTTTTTGTTTCATTAATCTTTTGTATTTTTAAAATTTCAATTTCATTTGTTTTTTTCTCTCTTTATTTTTTCTCTTCTAATTTTGGGTTTGGTTTGCTCTTGCTATTTTAGTTTTTTAAGATGCATCATTAGATAGTTTATTTGAAGTTTTTTTCTTTTTTTTGATGTATGCATTTAAAACTATAAACTTTCCTCTGAATATTACTTTTTCTGTATCCTATAGGTTTTGCTGTATTGTGTTTCCAATATCATTTGTTTCAAGAAATTTTTCAGTTTTCTTTCTTAATGTCTTCATTGGCCCATTGGCCATTCAGGAACATATTGTTTTATTTCCATATATTTGTATAGTATCTAAAATTCCTCTTGTTATTGATTTCTAATTTTCCTTTGTGGTCAGAGAAGATGCTTCATATTATTTCAGTTTTTTGGAAAGTTTTAAGACTCGTTTATTGACCTAACATATGGTCTGTCCTTAAGAATGGTCTATGTGCTGAGGAAAAGAATGTATTCTGCAGCTGTTGGATGAAATGGCCTATAAATGTGTATTAGATCCATTTGGTCTATAGTGTGGATTAAGTCTGATGTTTGTTTGTTTGTTTGTTTGTTTGTTGATTTTCTGTCTGGAAGATCTGTCCAGTGCTGAAAGTGGGGTGCTGAAGTCTCCAGCTATTATTTTATTGAGGTCTATCTCTCACTTTAGCTCTAATATTATTTCCTTGGTATATCTGGGTGCTCCAGGGTTGGGTGACTATATATTTTAAATTGTTATATCCTCTTGCTGAATTGACCTCTTTATCATTATATAGTGACCCATTTGTCTCTTCTTATCATTTTAGTCTTGAGATCTGTTTTGTCTCATAGAAGTATAGTGACTCCTGTTCTTTTTTGGTTTTCATTGGAATGGAGTACATTTTTCTATCCCTTTATTTTTAGTTTATGTGTGTCTTTATAGGTGAAGTGTGTTTCTTTTAGGCAACAGATCAATGGGTTTTTCATCCATTCAGCCAGTCTGTGTTTTTAAGTTGGAGAATTTAGTCCATTTATATTCAATGTTATTATTGATAAGTAAGAACTTATTTCCTGCCATTTTGTTAATTGTTTTCTGATTGTTTTGTGGTCTTCTCTTTCTTGTTTTTTTTTTTCCTTTTTTTTTTCCTTCCTGTCTTCCTCTAGTGAAGGTGATTTTTAATATGATTTGGTTTAATGCTTTTTATTTTTTGTGTATCCATTGTATGTTTTTTGGTTTGAGGTTACCATGAGGCTTGAAAATACTATCTTATTACCCTTTATGTTAACCCGATAACAACACTATTTGCATAAACAACAAGCAAAATAAAAATTAATAAAAACTCTATGCCTTAACTTTGTCTCCCTGCTTTTTAACTTTTTTGTTGCTTCTATTTATATCTTTATTGTATTGACTGTCTTGAAAAGTTATTGTAGTTATTATTTTTGGTTGGTTTATCCTGTAGTCTTTCTACGTAGGATAAGAGTAGTTTACACACCACAGTTACAGTGTTATGATATTCTTTCTTTTTCTATGTACTTATTACCAGTGAGTTTTGTAGCTTCCAGTGATTATTTTCCTTGGTGATGTTGATGCTAGTAGATGTTCTTCATTGTCTGGGCATTGAAGAGTTAGGTTTTTATTGTAGTCTTCTCTATCTGTGCTTACTTGTAGCCATCCTTTTTGGGAAGGCTTTTCAGATATTTGAAAGGAGCTGGGTGTTATGCTCTAAGCTTTAGGGTGCACCCCAACTCAGTAATGCTGTGATTCTTACAGACTCATAGAGATACTGTCTTGATAGTCTTGTACAAGAACTGGGAGAATTCTCTGGATTACCAGGCAGAGACTCTTGTTCTTTTCCCTTACTTTCTACCAAACATACAGTCTCTATTCCAAGCCACCTAAAGATGGGGGTGGAGTGACTCAAGCACCCCTGTGGCCACCAGCATTGTGACTGTGCTGGGTCAGACCTGAAGCCAGCACAGCCTGGGTCTCTCCCAAGACCTGCTGTCACTACTCCCTGGCTACTGCCTATGTTTGCTTAAGGGTCCAGGGCTCTATGATCAGCAAGTGGCAAAGCCAGCCAGGCCTGTGTTCTTCCCTTCAGGATGGCAAGATCTCCCAAGCCCTTGGTCAGTCCAGAAGTGCTGTCCGGGAGTCAGGGACTGGAGTCAAAAACCTTAGAAGTCTACCTAGTGTTCTATTGTATTATGGTTGAGCTGGCACTCAAATGACAAGATGCAGTCCTCCCCACTCTTCCCTCACTTTCCCAAAAGCAGAAGAGCCTCACCCCATAGCCATTGCTATCCCAGGCCACAAGGAGTATGGCCAGACTACCTACAATTTCCCTTAAGGCCCGAAATCTCTTAAGATGGCTTGTTGTGAATGCTGCCTGGCCTGGGACTCAACCTTTAGGGCAGTGAGCTCCCCTCTGCTCCAGGTCAGGTCCAAAAGTGCCATCATAGGGTCACGTCCTGGAATTAGGGACCCCAAGAGCCTCTTTGGTGCTCTACTCCGCTGTGGCCATGCTGGTACCAAAGGTGCAAGACAAAATCCCCTTTTAATTTCAAAGAATAAGATAACTCCTTTTCTTTCAAAAACTGCTTCTTTAGTATTTGGCCAGTTGTCAAGTAACAAATGCATGTGCTGGAAAGGTAGAGTCTAAGGCAGACCTCAGGGATGGATGATTTTTTTTGAGACGAAGTCTGGCTCTGTCCGCCAGGCTGGAGTGCAATGGCGCAATCTTGGTGCACTGCAACCTCTGCCTCCCGGGTTCAAGCGATTCTCCTTCCTCAGCCTCCCGAGTAGCTAGGACTACAGACCCACGCCACCACACCCAGCTAATTTTTGTATTTTTAGTCGAGACAGGGTTTCACCATGTTGGCCAGGATGGTCTCGATCTCTTGACCTCAAGTGATGTAGGAAGATCTACCAGGCAAATGGAAAGCAAAAAAAAAAAAAAAAAAAAAAGCAGGGGTTGCAATCATAATCTCTGATAAAACAGACTTTAAACCAACCAAGATCAGAAAAACCAAAGAAGGGCATTACATAATGGTAAAGGGATCAATGCAACAAGAAGAGCTAACTATCCTAAATATATATGCACCTACTACAGGACCACCCAGATTCATAAAGCAAGTTCTTAGAGACCTACAAAGAGACTTAGACTCCCAAACAATAATAGTGGGAGACTTTAACACCCTACTGTTAATATTAGACAGATCAATGAGACAGAAGGTTAACAAGGATATCCAGGACTTGAACTCAGCTCTGGACCAAGCAGACCTAATAGACATCTAAAGAACTCTTCACCCCAAATCAACAGAATATACATTCTTCTCAGCACCACATTGCACCTATTCCAAAATTGACCACATAATTGGAAGTAAAACACTCCTCAGCAAATGTAAAAGAACAGAAATCACAACAAACTGTCTCTCAGACCACAGTTCAATCAAATTAGAACTCAGGATTAAGAAACCCGCTCATACTGCACAACTACATGGAAACTGAGCAACCTGCTCCTGAATGACTGCTGGGTAAATAACGAAATGAAGGCAGAAATAAAGATGTTCTTTAAAACCAATGAGAACAAAGGCACAACATACCAGAATCTCTGGGACACATTTAAAGCAGTGTGTAGAGGGAAATTTATAGCACTAAATGTCAAGAGAAAGCAGGAAAGATCTAAAATCGACACCCTAACATCAAAATTAAAAGAACTACAGAAGGAAGAGCAAACAAATTCAAAAGCTAGAAGAAGGCGAGAAATAGATCAGAGCAGAACTGAAGGAGATGGAGACACAAAAAACCCTTCAAAAAATCAGTGAATCCAGGAGCTGGTTTTTTTGAAAAGATCAACAAAATAGATAAACCAATAGCCAGACTAATAAAGAAGAAAAGAGCAAAGAATCAAATAAATGCAATAAAAAATGATAAAGGGGATATCACCACCGATCCCACAGAAATACAAACTACCATCAGAGAATACTATAAACACTTCTATGCAAATAAACTAGAAAATCTAGAAGAAATGGATAAATTCCTGGACAAATATACCCTCCTAAGATTAAACCAGGAAGAAATTGAATCTCTGAATAGACCAATAACAGGCTCTGAAATTGAGGCAATAACTAATAGCCTGCCAACCAAAAAAAGTCTAGAACCAGATGGATTCACAGCTGAATTCTATCAGAAATACAAAGAAGAGCTGGTACCATTCCTTCTGAAACTATTCCAATCGATAGAAAAAGAGGAAAATCTCCCTAACTCATTTTATGAGGCCAGCATCATCCTGATACCAAAACCTGGCAGAGACACAACAAAAAAAGAAAATTTTAGGCCAATATCTCTGATGAACATCGATATGAAAATCCTCAATAAAATATGGGCAAACCGAATCCAGCAGCACATCAAAAAACTTATCCACCATGATCAAGTATGCTTCATCACTGGGATGCAAAGCTGGTTCAACATACACAAATCAATAAACGTAATCCATCACATAAACAGAACCAACGACAAAAACCACATGATTATCTCAATAGATGCAGAAAAGGCCTTTGACAAAATTCAGCCCTTCATGCTAAAAACTCTCAGTAAACTAGGTATCGATGGAACATATCTCAAAATAATAAGAGCTATTTATGACAAACCCACAGCCAATATCATACTGAATGGGCAAAAACTGGAAGCATTCCATTTGACAACTGGCGCAAGACAAGGATGCCCTCTCTTACTACTCCTATTCAACGTAGTATTGGAAGTTCTGGCCAGGGCAATCAGGCAAGAGAAAGAAATAAAGGGTGTTCAGATAGGAAGGGAGGAAGTCAAATTGTCTCTGTTTACAGATGGCATGATTGTATATTTAGGAAACCCCATCGTCTCAGCCCAAAATCTCCTTAAGCTGAGAAGCAACTTCAGCAAAGTCTCGGGATACAAAATCAATGTGCAAAAATCACAAGCATTCCTATACACCAATAACTGATAAACAGCCAAATCATGAGTGAATTCCCATTCACAATTGCTACAAAGAGAATAAAATACCTAGGAATCCAACTTACAAGGGATGTGAAGGACCTCTTCACGGAGAACTACAAACCACTACTCCAGGAAATAAAAGAGGACACAAACAAATGGAAAAACATTCCATGCTCATGGATAGGAAGAATCAGTATTGTGAAAGTGGCCATAATGCCCAAAGTAATTTATAGATTCAATGCTATCCCTATCAAGCTACCAATGACTTTCTTCACAGAATTGGAAAAAGAACTACTTTAAATTTCGTATGGAACCAAAAAAGAGCCCGCGTAGCCAAGACAATCCTAAGCCAAAAGAACAAAGCTGGAGGCATCATGCTACCTGACTTCAAACTATACTACAAGGCTACAGTAACCAAAACAGCATGGTACTGGTACCAAAACAGATAGATAGACCAATGGAACAGAACAGAGGCCTCAGAAATCACACCACACATCTACAACCATCAGATCTTTGACAAACCTGACAAAAACAAGCAATGGGGAAAGGATTCCCTATTTAATAAATGGTGTTGTGTAAACTGGCTAGCCATATGCAGGAAACTGAAATGACTCCTTCCTTAGACCTTATACAAAAATTAACTCAAGATGGATTAAAGACTTAACTGTAAGACCTAAAACCATAAAAACCCTAGAAGAAAACCTAGGCAATATCATTCAGGACATAGGCATGGGCAAAGATTTCATGACTAAAACACCAAAAGCAATGGCAACAAAAGCCAAAATTGACAAATGGGATCTAATTAAAGAGCTTCTGCACAGCAAAAGAAACTATCAGCTGAGTGAACAGGCAACCTATGGAATGGGAGAAAATTTTTGCAATCTGTCCATCTGACAAAGGGCTAATATCCAGAATCTACAAAGAATTTAAACAAATTTACAAGAAGAAAAAGAGAACCTCATCAAAAAGTAGGTGAAGGGTATGAACAGACACTTCTCAAAAGAAGACATTTACGCAGCCAACAAACTTCTGAAAAAAATTCTCATCATCACTGGTCATTAGAGAAATGCAAATTAAAACCATAATGAGATACCATCTCACGCCAGTTAGAATGGTGATCATTAAAAAGTCAGGAAACAGCAGATGCTGGAGAGGATATGGAGAAATAGGAACACTTTTACATTGTTGGTGGGAGTGTAAATTAGTTCAACCATTGTGGAAGACTGTGTGGTGACTCCTCAAGGATGTAAAACTAGAAATACCATTTGACCTAGCAATCCCATTACTGGGTATATACCCAAAGGATTATAGATCATTCTACTGTAAAGACACATGCACATGTATGTTTATTGCAGCACTATTCATAATAATAAAGTCTTGGAACCAACCCGAATGCCCATCAATGATAGACTGGATAAAGAAAACATGGCACATATACACCATGGAATACTATGCAGCCATAAAAAAGGATGATTTCATGTCCTTTGCCAGGACATGGATGAAACTGGAAACCATCATTCTCACAAAAGAAACACAAGAAGAGAAAACAAAACACTGCATGTTCTCACTCATAAGTGGGAGTTGAACAATGAGAACACATGGACACAGGGCAGGGAACATCACACACCAGGGCCTGTTGGGGAGTGGGGGGCTGGGGGAGGGATAGCGTTAGGAGAAATACCTAATGTAAATGATGAGTGGATGAGTGCAGCAAAGCACCATGGCACATGTATACCTATGTAACAGACCTGCATGTTGTGCACATGTACCCCAGAACTTAAAGTATAATAATAATAAATAAAAAATTTATTTGATATTCTTTTCTTCAAAAGAAAAAAAAGAAAAAGAAAAAGGAAATTCTGTGCTGATGCATTGTACCTGAATGAAAGCAGAGGTGCATTTTGCCAGGTCCCACAGAAATTTAATTTTGCATGTATTGAGGTAATCATGTGGTTTTTGACTTTAGCTCTGTTTATGTGATAAATCAAATTTTTTTTTTTTTTTTTTTGGAGACAGTGTCTTGCTCTGTCACCCAACCTGGAGTTCAGTGGTGCTATCTGGGCTCACTGCAACCGCCACCTCCCGGGTTTAAGCAATTCTCGTGCTTTAGCTTCCCGAGTAGCTGAGACTAAAGGTGTGCACCACCACTCCCGGGTAGTTTTTTGTATTTTCAGTAAAGACAGGGTTTTGCCATGTTGCCCAGGCTGGTCTCAAACTCCTGAGCTCAGGCAATCCTCTTGCCTCGGTCTCCCCAAGTGCTAGGACTACAGGAGTGAGCCACTGCACCTGGCCTCAAATTTCTGATTTGCATATGTTGAACCCCCGTTTCATCCCAGGTGTAAAGCCTGCTTGATCGTGATGAATAAGCTTTTTGGTATGCTGGTGGATTTGATTTGCCTGTATTTTGTTGAGGACTTTTGCATTGATGTTCATAAAGGATATTGGCCTTAAATTTTTCATTTTGTCTCTGCCAAGTTTTTGTATCAGGATGATGCTGGCCTCATAGAATGAGTTGGGGATGTTAGCTAGTTATTATGCAGACTTGTTTCTGTAGTTGCTTTATGGTGTCACTGGTCTGTGTACTTCAGTGTGTTTCTGTAGTGGCTGGTAACATTGTTTCCTTTCCATATTTAGTGCTTCTTTCAGGAGCTCTTCCAAGGCAGGTCGTGTGGTAATCAATTTCCTCAGCATTTGCTTGTCTGAAAAGAATCTTCTTAGGCTGGGTGCCATGGCTCATGCCTGTAATCCCAGCACTTTGGGAGGCTGAGGTGGGAGGATCACTTGAGGTCTGGCGTTCAAGATCAGGCTGGCCAACATGATGAAACCCCCGTCCCTACTGAAAATAAAAAAAATTAGCTGGGCATGGTGGTGGGTGCCTGTAATCCCAGCTACTCGGGAGGCTGAGGCAGGACAATCACTTGAGCCTGGGAGGCAGAGGTTGCAGTGAGTCAAGATGGTGCCACTGAACTCCATCCTGGGCAGCAGAGCGAGACTCTATCTAAAAAAAAAAAAAAATCTTATTTCTCCTTCACTTATGAAGCTTAGTTTGGCTGCATATCACATTTTGGGTTATAATTTATTTTCTTTAAGAACATTGAATACTGTTCCTCAATCTGTTCTGGCTTTTATGGTTTCTGCTGAGATGTCTGCTGTTAGTCTGATGGGCTTCCCTTTGTAGGTGACCTGACCTTTTTAGCTGCCTGTAACATTTTTTCTTTGATTTTGACCTTGGAGAATCTGATGATTATGTGTCTTTGGGATGATCTTGTGAAATATCTTACTCGGGTTCTCTGCTAGGCCTCTCTAGCTAGGCTGGGGAAGTTCTCATGGGTGACAGAACTCATGAATGATAGGTTGGGGAATGTTGGCCTCTCTGACTAGGTTGGGGAAGTTCTCATGGATGATATTCAGAAATATGTTTTCCATGTTGGTTACCATCTCTCCATCTCTTTCAGGTACACTAGTGAGTTGTAGGTTTAGTCTCTTTACATAATCCCTTATTTCTCAGAGGTTTTGTTTGTTTCTTTTCATTCTTTTTTCTCTATTTTTGTCTGACTGTCTTATTTCAGAAAGTCAGTCTTCAGGCACTGAGATTCTTTGCTCCACTTGGTCTATTCTGCTATTAATACTTGCGATTGCATTATGAAATTCTTGTATATTTTTCAGCTATATCATGTTAGTTGGTTTCTTTGTGTACTGGCTATTTTGTCTGTTAGCTCCTGCATTTTTTTATTGTGATTCTTAGCTTCCTTGGATTGGTTTTCAACATACTCTTGCATCTCAATGATTTTCATTCCTACTCATATTCTGAATTCTATTTCTGTCATTTCAGCCATCTCAGCCTAGTTCAGAACCCTTGCTGGAGAGATGGTTCGGTTCTTTGGAAGAAAGAAGGCACTCGGGCTTTTTGAGTTTTCAGTGTTCTTTTGCTGGTTCTTTCTCATCTTTGTGGGCTTAAGTTCCTTCAGTCTTTGAAGTTGCTAACCTTTGGGTAGAGTCTTTTTCTTTTATCTTGATGACTTTGAGGGTTTGATTGTGGTAAAAAGTGGAGTCAGCCAACTGGCTTTGTTTCTGGAAGATTTTAGGGTACCAGTGCTCAGCTCCCAACTTCTCCTGGACTGTGTGCTCTAACTCTGTGGGACTTGTATCAGACCCCAACTTTGTTCTCTGTTACCTCAAGGTTAGGAATCCACTGTGTTGGGGGGCTGAGGTGCTCCTGGACTGCTGGTCACTACTCTCCAATGGGTGGTGTCAGCTAAAGCATTTCATAGTGCAGTAGTGCAGTGGCAGCTGGATGTATCCTCATTTGCATGTGCCAGCAGCAGTGGTAGTGTATTAGTGTGTTCTTAGGCTGTTGATAAAGGCATACCCCTGACTGGGTAATTTATAAAGAAAAAGAGGTTTAATAGACTCACAGTTCCATGTGACTATGGGGGGACTCACAATTATGGCAGAAGGTGAAAGGAACATCTTACATGGCGGTGGACAAGAGGGAATGAAAACCAAGTGAAAGGGGTTTCCCTTTATAAAACCATTAGATCTCATGAGGCGTATTCACTTCCATGAGAACAGTATGGGGAAACTGACACTATGATTCAGTGAACTCCCACTAGGTCCCTCCCACAACACGTGGGAAGATGAGATTTGGGTGGGAACACAGCCAAACTGTATCACGCAGTGTGGCCTAGTGCATGTCTGTTGGCTGTGGCAAGGTGCTAATGGGTGCCAGGGTGCCTGTCTTCATATGAGTGTTCACCACAGTGGCAGCGGCAATGTGGCTGATGGGGAGCAGGAGTCCCTGCTGGTGACTGTGTGTGTGGTTGTGCTGTTGGTGATGTTGGCACGGGTGTGGTGGTACTGGTGGGTACAGGTCTTTGTGCTTTCTCTGTGCGCTGTAGGCAGGGGTGGTTGCTCAGTGTGGGGGGAAGGTGTGCTGTTCTTTGTGTCTGGCTTCACTTCCTGTCAGTGTTGGTGCAAGGGTGAGGTACTTCCAGGGGCAAGGCTGGCTGGCTTTGTGCTCGCCATGGTTTGCACTGCAATGGTGGTCAGTTGTGGGAGCGGGGTGGACTGCACTCACACAGTGGCAGGGCAGGGTGCATGCACAGTCACATGCTGCTGGGGCAAAGAAAGCAAAACCCTCCTGCACACATATACATCAGCAAAGCAACGTGCGGGGATGGGGGGTGGGTTGCCATGGGCCAAGGGGAAGCTGCGGTGTGTGGAGGGAGTGGCAGGCTTGTGCATGGTTTTGGGGGCCACCCCACTGGAGCTCTCTGCCTGTTAGGCAGGTCCCCCAGTGATACAGGACCCCAGGGCACCCAATGCTGCCCTGCAAGTAGACACCACCAGGCTGCGGCCCTGGGAGTGGCCACAGACCAAGGATGGTCAGGTCAGACTGGCCTTGTTTGATAGGCAAGACAACCCTGCAGAGTTCAGGTCCAACAGTTCCCCTAGGGCTAAAGTCTCTTATGGGAGCAAGTCAAGCCTAGAGGGATGGCCCTCACTGGCCATGCTCTGCTGCAGACTCTCCCGCACCAAACCTTCTGGGCTCCACATCAGCTGGTGTGCTGCCCCTACCACTTCTCTAAGCAGCTCTCCCTGCCAACTGAAGTGTCCGTGGTGGTTGAGGGGTCTCCTCCTGCTGGGATTCCAGAGACCCTTCGGGAGAGTGGATTGCCCCTTGCCAGTTCAACTCACCCATTGCCCCCCAGAGTCACTGGGGGCTATGAATGAGTCCTGGTACATGGTAAGCCTGTGCAAGGTTCCCACCTTCCTCCCTCTTCAGCCTAGCTTCTGTGTCTTCCCTCCATCCAGTCTCTGTGCCTTCCCTCTGAAGATCTATTAGGAGTGCACCCATCGTCTTGGTCCCTTGGTGGTAGCCATTCCACTTGGCTGTGTCTAGTCAGCCACTGTGTTGGGAGCCTGTTTTCATTTCTTTTGGGTAAATACCTAGGAGTTGGATTGCTGGGTCATATGGTAGGTGCATTTTTAACTTTGTAAGAAACTGCCAAGCTGCCATAAGTGATTGTGCCGTATTATATTCCCACCACTAGCCATGTAGAAGGGTTTCATTTTCTCCACACCCCTGCCAACACTTACATGGTCATCTTCTTTATTATCACCCTTTCTAATGGAGGTGTAGCAGTATCTCTTTGTGGTTTTAATTGCATTTCCTTGATGACTGATGATGTTGAACATTTTTTCATGTGCTTTATTGAACTTTAAGAAATCTTCTCTAGGATATCTGTTGAATTTCTTTTGTTCCTTCCTCTTTTTTAAAACTTTTTTTAAAGACCAGAAAAATAAGATTAATGATATTGAATGTCTTTTTGTATGCATGTTGGCCATTTGTGCATTTTTTTGGTGAAGTGTCCAAATGTTTTGTCCATTTTTTTTTGAAGGACAAGAAATACTCTAAATAAAATTATGACAAAAGGCATGAAAACAATGCCTTCATCCCAATTGTTAGTTTATTTTCCGGAATCAAAATGTAGGACTCCAAGTCTGAGGGAGAATTCTTTTTTCTGATTTCTGAATTTATTTGGCCAAGCTATATAATTAAGTCATGTTTATGTATTCATTGATAAACTACTTTTGTTGAAAAATTTTTAAAAAATTGAGGTTTTCTGGAAAACCAGTGTATTTTTTTTTATTCATAGGCAAACATGTTATTTTTTTTCTGCTGTGATTATGCTGGGTCTTCCTACAATTATAAAATTTCTCATATGTAAAATAGAAAAGATACAGTATATTTCTTATTTTTTAGGAATGCGATTTTTTAAAGAATCTGAGTATATGGATCAATGATCATTTCCCCTCATAAAAAATTAAGTGAGTATTAGTATAATGGTTTGGAGCTTTCAAAGGAACACTTTATAAATAGACAGTTGGATGGTTCTAAAAAGCCTAGGCAAGTAACAGGAACCAGCCTACCTAAGTATATAGATTGTTGGGTTAGGTGGAGTTCTCTGTTTAGCTGCCTTTTACTTTTCATTTTTGCTGTGAAATATAATGTAATTAACAAAAAATGACTAAAAGGTAAACAGTTCAATGAATTATTCATTAAATTTAATCTATTTTTAATAAGGTAGATTTTAACCACCACTGAGGTACAAAACAGAAAACTGCCCCAGAAGTTCTCAACCCCTGCAAATGATAACCCTTTAAAGCAGCAGTCCCCAACCTTTTTGGCACCAGGGACTGGTTTCATGGAAGCCAATTTTTCCACGGATGGGGTTGAGAGTGGGGTGGGTTGGTGTTGTGGGGAGTGGTTTAGGCATGAAACTGTTCCACCTCAGATCATCAGGCATTAGATTCTCATAAGGAGTGCACAAGTTAGATCCCTCGCATGTGAAGTTCACAATAGGGTTCGTGCTCCTATGCGAATCTAATGCTGCTGCTGATCTGACAGGAGGCAGAGCTCAGGCGGTAATGCTCGCTCACCCACCGTTCACCTCCTGCTGTGTGGCCCAGTTCCTAACAGACCACAGACTGGTACAAGGCAGTCTGGGGGCTGGGGACCCCTGCTTTAACGATAACCACTCACCTAACTTTCAAAGTAATTACTTTCTTAGTTTTGTTGGATAGTATTGTTACCTAAGTATATATCCCTAAATACTAAATTTAGGTTTTATTTTGCCTGGTTTGAATGTTGTTCTTTACTCTTAAGTTTCTCTTCTGGTATACAGAGAAATCTTATGACACTTAAATGTTGTAGATGTTTAGAATTTTTTCACCTTACTAGTTTGGGGGGAAAAAGATTACTGACTTCTGTTGCCGGATATTTTTAGTCAGACAAATTATAATAAAGTCAAATGTGAAATAAGTATTTTCCCGGAGAAGCCAAATTGTCCGTCTCATTTAGAGCCTCACTATTAGAATAATCAGTAAAATTACCAATGATTTGTTATTTTCCAATATAAATTCTTATTTGGTCTGAGTGAATAGAAAAATGGCTTTTTCCAACATTGAATAGTCTCATATTTGAAATTATTAAAATTACCATTGAGATAATAATTTCCTCAATAATTTAGCAAATACCTAAGTCATATAGTTTTTCCATTAGACTTAATTACATTTTATCCTTAAAATAAATTTCCTTAAAGTTTTGTTTGCATTTTTATTTGGTCATTTAGAATTTTAAATTGTACAGTTGTAAAATGTATAAATAATAGACTGGTAGTCTTTAAACATTTTGGCACATTTGCCGTCTCTCGGTGTCTCTTTATGCATGTATATAGATGGGCATCACATATATACATATATACATGCACATATACATACATTTTTTGGGGAACCATTTGAGAGTAAGTTGCAGGCATCATGGTATTTTATCTTCAGATACTTCAGCTTGCTTTTCCTAAGAACAATAACATTCTCTTACATAACAATTATAATATACTATCAAGAAAATTAACAGTAATTTCATATCATCATCTGCTATAAAGTCCACAATCAGAATTTCCCGAGTATTCCCAAAATGTCTTTTATTTATTTATTTTTAAATCTATTTGGCCAAAACTGCAGTTACTTTTGTACCTACCTAATAGAATCAAGTTCAGGTTCATGCATTGTATTTGGTTATTATACCCCATTAGTCTCTTAATCTAGAAGAGTTCCCACCTGCTCTGCCCTTTCCCTTTTAACCATCACATTGAGTTTTGAGGAGTCCAGACCAGTTGTTCTGTAGAATGCCTCACAGTCTATATTTTTATTATTTTATTGGTCTTGCCCATATGATTAGGTCCAGGTTACATTTTTGGCAGGAATATTTCATACCTGATGTCATGTACTTCTTACTGCACATATCAGGGGGTAACATAATTTCTGGTTGTTTCACTCTTAGTACTCCTATGTTTGATCACTTGCATAAGATGGTGCCTGCCAGATCTGTTCATTGTAAAGACACCTTTTCTTCTTTGCAATTAATAATCATCTGTGAACTCAATTATCTGTTTGCAGGAAAAAAGGATATTTGTGGCATTATAAATGTGTTAATCTCACAGGGATTTCTTAACTGTAAGACAACGTGTGTTTCTTTAGTAAGCTTGTGTTCCCCCTCTCTACAAGGATTATTTGAAAACTTTTTTCAAACCTATGTTCCTTTATCTTTCCTATCACTTTTTTTTTTTGAGACGGAGTCTCGCTCTGTCGCCCAGGCTGGAGTGCAGTGGCGCAATCTCGGCTTACTGCAAGCTCCGCCTCCTGGGTTCACGCCATTCTCTTGCCTCAGCCTCCTGAGTAGCTGGGACTACAGGTGCCCGCCACCATGCCCGGCTAATTTTTTGTATTTTTTAGTAGAGACGGGGTTTCACCATGTTAGCCAGGATGGTCTCGATCTCCTCACCTCGTGATCCACCTGCCTTGGCCTCCCAAAGTGCTGGGATTACAGGCGTGAGCCACAGCGCCTGGCCTCCTATCACTTTTAAGAGAAGGTCTTGGTTGGAATGCCTCTTCTCCTGTCATAAACCAGTGTAGTGTGAAGCAGTTAAGAGTGCTGGCAAGAAATTTGAGAGTGTGTGGTTCTGAATCGCATTTTCACTACTCACTCGTTTTACTTAGATATTAATCAGCCTATCTTGGTCTCCTCAGCTGCATGAGAAGAATAATTTGTAAGCCCCTCATGGAGTGGTTGTGAGGATTAAATGAAATAAATCATTGTAAAATGCTTAGCACAGTGCCTGGTATATAGTACATGTTCAATAAATATTAGCACTTAATGCAATTTCTTGGGAAACTTACTGTGTTAATTATCCTGCCTTCTGTGTCTTTAACCCTTACGTGCTTCCCATAAGCATTTAAACTTACACAAATCTTTCCTATCTTTAACTAATCAACCAGTAACTGACTAAAAACCCTTTCCTGCTTCTCATGTCTATTTTCAGGTCTTGTCTTATTTTCCACTTTCACAACCATATTTCTCAACTACTTTCATTTGCTATATCCCTTTGCTCCTTTCCCTTTGCTG
Organism: Homo sapiens; assembly: GCF_000001405.40. Classification (NCBI taxonomy): domain Eukaryota; kingdom Metazoa; phylum Chordata; class Mammalia; order Primates; family Hominidae; genus Homo; species Homo sapiens. Next base: position 101,419,531 of record NC_000003.12, on the reverse strand, counting down.
ATCCCACTGTATTCTGGTTTCTGCTCCCACCATTCTTCTAAACTACCTCTGATAAAGTCATCATCTCCGTAAATTAATTTTTATTCCTCATTATTCCTAGCACTTCCATTTTATTCTTCATAAACATCAAAATGATCTTTTAAAAGTGTAGCTCTGATCTCAGTGTTTCCTAATTAAGACTAGTGGATTTCCATTGTTGTTGACATAAAGTCTCACATCCTTAATATGGTTTGCTAAGTCCTGCCTAACTGCCCATTCTTAGACACATTACCTCTTTATTCTAAGTACATGAGTCAGGTAAGTCCTTTAATTTCTTTGAAGAAGCTTTACTCAAAACATTTGCATTTTGTCCTGTTTTTTGGACCTTTCTCCATTTTTTACTTGTTTCCTTTGGATAGTGCCTGTCCTTCTTTGAGACTTCAGCTTCAAGGTCATATTCTCAGAAACTTGGCTCAGAAGAAGTGCAACATCTGTATTTCTTCTTCATAGCACATATTAGAATTCTAATTAAATAATGAATTGGTTTATTCTCTGTAATGTACACCCCATGAAGGCAAAAACTCAACTATTTTGTTTGTAGCTGAAACTCCAGATTATACTAGCATCGTTGTTTTGCTGGAAGATGTTCAGTAAGTGCTTGTAGAATGAATTATTATTGATCCATAGAGATGTCATTTATTTTTTAATAATTTTAAAACTAATAGCTTAATTTTTTTTTGTGTGTGTGCAACATGTTTGGAGTTTTCAGTGTTCTATGGAAGTACCCTGGGAACTTGTACCCTCTTCCCACTAGATGGTTTGGGGATATACACTCAAATGGCTGCTGCAAACAAGTGGTTTTTTTTTTTGAGAGTTCCCGTTTTATCTTGAAAATATGTGAACATATTGCTGTTTCTTAATATTCTTGTGTTTGTTAAGCAAACAAACAAAAAGTGCCTAAAACTGTTTCATAGGTAGTAAAATAGACACTCTTCTGATTAAACATTTCCCAGTACTTTCAGCCATTCCTCACTTGACATTGTTTTAAATGCACTTGGTAGCCTGTTCACACCACTGCAGAAACTATATTCCATAGTTTTTGGAATTCCAGAACTAAACATAGTTATTCAAATATTCAGCATAAAGATGTATTGAATGAGAAGATGGGTAAAACATGATGGGCAAAAGTGTTGCTGGAACTGCTTGCATTTGTCAGTCTTTTTTTTTTTTTGAAATTGGTATAGGTACAGTAAGGTAAATTTTTTAAGTTGACCTATTTTAGAAATAAGATAAAATTAAATCTGTATCTTAAGACTGTATAGCCTTAAGAATGTAAGTGATGCAGTAGTGGACCCTTAGTTTTAATAATGTTTTCTGAATCAACAAATGCTAAAACAAAAACACATTTTTAGCACAAACAGTGGTTACATCTGTGATGAGATCTGCAAATGAACACTGTCCTTCAACTAACATTGTTAATAAACATGAATGCATTGCCAGGAGTCTAGCAGCTGTACATGTGTAATGATAGTTGTAGTAAACTTGACAGAATTCTGAAGAAAATCCCAACTTAAGTGAAATAGATTTTACTTTTTAAGGTATCTTTGATAATAGTTAGGCATTTTTTCTTTTTTCTTAGGGTATTTACTATAGTTGCTTGAGGAACTGAAGTTTACAGTTTCTGGAGATATTAGTTTGTGATGAATTCATGTATTCTACAATGTGTAGTACCATATATACTAATTATTTATGTGTATAACAGGCAACTCAAAGTTATGTTGACGAATGTCCTATGGACGGATTTAGGACGAAAATTCAGAAAGACCCTACCTAGAAACGATGCTAATTTATGTGATGCCAACAAGGTGCAATCAGACTCATTGCCTTCGACATCTGTTGACAGCCTAGAGACATGTCAAAAATTAGAACCTCTTCGCCAAAGCCTTAATTTATCTGAAAGGTATGTTGTTCAGTATTGATTTTGTTCAACTTACCACATTTGAAATAATATGAATCCCGTACTCCTAATGATAAAATTGTTGAAATGACCTGAAAGGAGATTTGCATATATAGGCATACCACACTCTAAAGCAAATCTTAAAGCTGCCTATCTTAATTTACAGAGTTAGCTGATGTTTCTGTACTTCATTAAGCAGATTGACATGGAATTATATTTAAAAACGAGTATCATTAGTACATTTAACTTATTTAAATTTGATACATGTACACATCTTTTTAGGGATTATTTTATGATTAAAATGAAGATACATATATATACGTGTGTGTATATGTATTATATGCATATAAATGTGTGTGTATATATGTGCATTAATATTTTCTTCATCTTTAACATTCTTTCAAAATGTTATCTAATCTAGATCCTAACCACTTTTGACTTTTTTGAGCTTGTATTTTAAATGAATTTTTAAAACAGGAGATGATGTTAAAATATTGCCTCTAGGTTTTTAATAGTAAATGTTCAGTTTAATTTTGTAGAGTAACAAGACCAATTTCTGTTTTGTGTTTTTTGAAAGAATTATATGGGAGTTTGGGGCTGAAAACTAGGAATTAGCTCTAGGAATCTATAACATAATATCTTTTATACATCACGATTTACAATTTCAGCCATTAAATGAATGTTTTGGAGGGAAGGTACTTTATTTTCAGTTAGAATAACTTACAATTAGCGAGACAGTACTTTGGTTATATGGTCTGTAATCTGAATGACAGTATATAAGTACTTTAAACCAAGACCCAGATAAAAACTGCTAACTTTCAACACAGTTATTTTTAAAATAAAAGTAGAATTCTTGTCAAAACATCTGAAGATATTACACATTAATTTTTAAAGAGAATACTTCTTTTAAAAAGACAAAATCATAAAAAGCCAAGTTTAACGAAGAAATTTCTTACTAGCTCATACCTGATATAAATTTAATTTTCTAAAACACTGTAAATCTTAAGAGTCAGACAGCTTAGCATCAGTAATTTATGAAGCAGCTTGCTCTCATTCTATGTTCTAGCAGATTTCTTCCCCAGTACAGGTTAATCTCTTACTGCACTGACAGATGTAAATAAAAGGGCTACTTAAAGGAATGGCTTTCTAATATCTTTGACTCTTTTGAAAGGAACCTTTAAACTCTCTTCAAATGACAACAAACTCATCAATCGCCTCATCCTACATCTGTCCTTTTTCCAATCAGAACAGTGTGGTAGTCCATTCTCTCAGAATAATAGTTTTACCACTAGGAATTTTTAGCACATAGATTATGTGCTCATGAAATTCAAATATAATATGAAGTAAAGAGTCCCAGTAAGATTCTAATTTGTTTTTTGCTGTGTTTTAAAATTGTTGTTGTCTATTGTTCAGTTAGTGGGTGAGCTACCAGCTAGTCCAGACCTCTTTCCTCAGCTCCAGGTGTCCTAAACTCAACTTGTTGTAAAGTGAGAACCTCATCTTTTCTCAAACTTGTGCCTGTTTTTGTATTCCCCTCTATCTGAGTGATTGACACTACTTACAAATTAGAACTTGGGAATTGTCTTTGACTCCTCTTTTTTCCTTATCCTTATATCCAGTCATTTAACATATATACATATATATATTTTTTTGGGGGGCGGTAGAAAATTAAACCTTATTTAATTTTAAAACCAAACCACTAGGAAAATATATCATAGCCTGGAAACAGTAAATGGACAGGCTGTGTTATCACTTCAAGTAATAAGTTGGTGAAAATACAATGAGGTTGCTATCAAAACAATAAGGTGCCATGCTGGGGCAGGAACACTGTGTTGCAAAAGCCCCAGGCAAAAATGGTATTTGGTAATGGGGGCTGCCTCTCCTTTGCTTTAAAGAAGTCAGCTCATCCTAGCCCAAGTTGCTTACTTTTTCTTCCTTGAATTTCCTGCTGCCAGGGGTTTGTCTTAGTTGTGCTCTGTTAATTCAGGGGGCTAAGTATGTAATGCTAGGTTTAGGCTTTCATTCTATCTGTTCTATAAAAACCAGGTTTTTCCAAATCCAGTACTTCATAACTTTTATAATCAAGTAGCCAACTGCTCCTCTTTTACTGTTCATTCCTAGATACTAGTATATATCACAATCAAAACCCCTTTCTCTTCCAAGGGGAAAGTGTTACTGCAAGATTGTCCTGTCATTTTGCTACACACAGCCTCAGGGTCCATCAGGCAGTAATTATGCTTCCCGTAATTAGTGTGTCCTCGCCTCTCATGTTTTTGCATGGTCTCCAGGCTGAAAGATGCAGCATGTAATAATTTTAAGAAATGTACATCCACATCTTGATGACCAGAAATGGGGATCAAGGAACCTTTCAAAGTTCTTATCTAAACTAGTCTCCCTCCCAATTCCACATCTTAAAATCAACTTGTATGCCCTTGTATAAATTACACAAAACCAAGAAAACAAAGACCCAGAAAACTTTTTTTTCCCTTCTAAGTTAGTGACCTCATGGATTTTGTTTCACAGCTTATGGAAAATGGTGTGGTGACACTTCTGGTAAACAGGATGTTGGCAACAAAGAGAAAATATCTTTCTTCAAACTCCACCAACTCTAACCTGCCAGCCTATTGGTACCTGTGTAGTAAGAAGAGTCTGGTGTGTTGGAGGGCTCTGGCCTGTTACAGGGGAGATCCTTACTGCCAGGACAAGCACTGGCCACAGGAAATATAAGATCTAAAACTCTCCTGTAAATCTCTGACCCAATTTAACACCACTTTTTTCCATTTCATGTTTTAGGACTGAAACATGAAAGAACCAGTGTCTAGAGGCAAGTGACATATGCATTACACTTGTGGCCATCCTTAATTTCTTCATTCATAAACTTTGCTTAAAATACTAAAGTTCCCAAATGCCTTATAAAAAATATATTCTTGCCCTCAGCCCCCATGGCCACTGGCAAAGACTTTTATTTCCCAATGGCTAAGAGAGCTTCCTTCATCTTCTTGGTCATAGTTGGGATGAGGTGCATGTGGTCATCCACACACTTGGTCACACAACCGTCCAGCTGCTGCTTCACCTGAAGCTCCTTACTCCCAGCAGCTATTGAATCTTTGGCTTTGTTGTTGCATTGCGTGGTACACTGGGCCAGGTGGTCCTGGAACTTCTCCAACTCACTGGTGACCAAAGCCTGGGCTTGAGCCAGAAGCACATGGCAGTGCTTGATGCACTGGTGCACCTGCTGCAGGGAGGCCTGGCTGTCCTCACAGCAGCTGGTGCTGCACCGGAACATGAGACCCTGCATCTTCCGGATGTTCTCTCTCTCCAGACTCTTCACCATCGATTCTACCACTCGTCACCTGCAGCTGCTGTAGCTGTTATGGTGACCCCACACTGCCCCATGCTGTGCGGCCATATATAGTTATTTTTAACCCCTAAATCTGTCTTTTAAAGGATCTGTTCTCCATCTTTATTGCCAGTGCATCAGTTCAAGCCCTAATAACTTCGTGCCTTTATTACTATGGTAGTAACTTGATTAGGTTTCCTTTACGTAGTCTTTTTCTTCTTGTTTTATTCTTTATGTTGTTGTCAAAATATTTATTCTAAAAGGCAGATCTTACTTGCCACTTACTAGTTTAACATCTTTCAATGGCTCCACATAATCTTCTGGATAAAGTTCAAACTTCTTAGTTTGGCACACAAGGCCCTTAATGATCTCGCCTTTGCTTATCTCTAGCTTTGTGTCTGTCTGTTCCTCCATATTCACAATGTACTTCAGGTTTAGGGAACTATTTTCAGCTTACTGAATGTATATACTGTTGTATACATCCTGTTTGTTTTCTTGTCTTGGAAACTATCCCCCCCCTCCCTTTTTTTTTTTAAGGAAGCCTTCCTTGATTCCACCCTCCAAATCTATATATGATCCCTTTCTTTTTCTTGCTAAACAGCTTGTTAGTATATCATAACGCTTATCACACTATGTTGTGATTTTTAGTTCTCTTCCTCCCTGTAGCAAACTTCCTGAGGATAGGAACTATATTTTATTTCTTATTTTTTCTTTATTCCTAATATAGTACTGGACACTTATTAAATGCTCAATTAATGTTTGCTGGATAAAAGAAAGAGATTGCTTCTCACCAGAGTTACATCTCTAGACTCTTTGTCTAACATATATTTTCCCTGTAAGAACCAATTATATACTCAGTAATTTTGGTGACAACCAGGAAAAGAGATATTACAAGCGTCAAATAAGGAAACTGGAGAACTCTTGTGTATGGCTTTGGATAGATGTTTTCTACCTGATACTTGCTATATATAATAGGAGACTTAGGCTTTTTTCAGTCTTTGCTTAACTTTGATATGAGGCTTTTTGTTTTATTTTCATTTCTACTCAGGACTTAAAATTTTAGAAAGATAAGAGGGAGAAACATTTATTTTTGCATTTTAATTTTATCCTAAAGTTTAATCATTGAGTAAACTGAAATTACTCATTCAGTTCCAGAAATGGTATTTTGTTGGACATTTTATTTGCTTTCTGGAATCTAAAGTAGTGAACTAAGTATCTTGCCTTTTATGTGAGGGCAGTTTGGCTTTTTGATTTCAGGATAAAATTGAGAAGAAAAATAGAAAAGACAGTTCAAATCAATCTTGTAAGTAATGGAGAAAAGGGTTTTAGCAGTATCAAAAGAGTTTTAGAAATATCAAACTAGCAGTATGTGGAATGCACATTTATTTTTTAAAAATATGTAAACTGCATTTTAGTGTTAGTTTTATCTCCATGTATGGTTCATATCTATTTTCCTGGGAGAAAATTCCAGACATCTATAAGTCTTTGTCAATAGGAAAGAAAGAACCTAGTGGGACACTTATACAAGGCTTTTGAGAAAATAAACTATCTTTCTTCTGCTTTCATCAGTTTGTACCAGAGATCGTTAGAGAAATATGGAGATAGTGTACCCATATTCCATTAAGAAGAGTTAGCTGCTGGTACTTGGAATTTCTGTAAATATATTTATTTATCTTTGTCTTAAATTTATATGTGTTTAAAATTAAAAAGAATTACGTATTCCAGATATGTGATGGTAAAACTATTTGGATATTGCAGTGTTCCTGTCATTTTAAGATTTTTAAAGCCAGTAATCTAGTTGAGTGATAATTATTCACTTAAAATTTAGCTTAATAAAAGAACAAATTTAGAAACTAATCTGTGAATCTCTTTAATAAAGTTACTCAAAGATTAAATTTTTTATACATACCTTTAAGATGCTGATTTAGAAGGTATATTTTAAATTATATCATCTGGGACAAGCATAGAGTTATGAGAATCCTCTTAAAATGCCACATAGCACAATTTTAGAAAGGAATTCATTGCAGCAAAATGAAAACTAAATTAGTATTGTAATTTTTGGCTCATTATAGATTTATTAATGGATATAATTATGTTATCTTTCAGCAAAGACTTCATTTCTCTAAAAATTTGCTCTATATATGAAGTTGTATGTTAATAGCTCTTTCTAGTTCCTCAGAGTTTTCCCTGCATTATTAAGTTATTTGAATATGACAGTTTCCTTGCTATTTAAACAAGGAAGGAACCTGTAGTTTGCAATTGAGAAAACTAAGAGTCAGAGAGAATAATCATGCAGAGACACAGTCAGAAAATGATACTACTTCTCAGGCCAGTATACTTTCTGCTACCTCTCACTGCATTTCAAAATTTGTTTCTGCTTTGGTTTAGTGTATTTATGATATTTCGAAGTGGGATTTCATAGTATTAGTAAATAAAATTAAATAAATAATACCTTACGTACTGATACTGTTTACATACTTAGGAAAAAATTGGGTAAATGTGTGAAATGACAACTTTAGTTCTTCCTTCCAGATTCAGATAGTATGAAAGATGAAGTATACACCTTTATATACTTCAATTCCTTGCAGAAATTCAGAACTTCTGAAATGCTGGCTAGCCCTGGAATGTCCTTGACTGTGCTAATTTATAAACCTGTACTGCAAAAGACAGCTAGGTATTGTTAATTTAGCTCTCAGTTTATAGATTTGTGTTCTTCAAGCCTATCACACAAAGTTCCTTGTTTCCTCAGGGTACCCAAACTGGATAAGTTTTCAATAGTTGATGAAAGGTGTTTGGGCTGTGGCTGTGTGCTATGAAGAGCTATGTGTACTGTAGTCATTGCTAACTGTTTAATTATATACTTTAATTGTATATTGAAAATTGCAAACATCTAATAAGATTTTTTATCAAGATTGCAGAGCATAGTAAATTATAAGTATTATTTGAAAGGGTAGTTTATAGCTTTGAGCAAGACTACAATAATATGAAAATTATTACAGAAATATGAAAATTAAGTGATATTCCATTTATTGTGTATTTACTATGTGCCAGGAATTATGCTAACTGCTTTCCATCTATTATCTCATTGAATCTTAACAACTTTGTAAGGGAGATATTATTCTTCCCATTTTAGAGATGAGAAGATCAATGTGTAGAGGTAGAAATTATGGTAATTAACTTGCCCAAGGATTTATAGTTATAAGGTGGTAAAATAAGAATCCAAACCTATGTTGGTCTAACTTCAAAGTCCTTGCTGTTAATTCCTGTGCCATACTGCTTCTCTTTGCATTTTCACCCTTCTGAACTTTAATTTTTGTCATCAGTAAAGTAGGAATTGGACTTTGCTACAGATACCATATCTAATTCTTTTATTTTATTTTATTTTATTTTATTTTATTTTATTTTATTTTTGAGACAGAATCTCACTCTGTCATCCAGGCTAGAGTGCAGTGGCGCAGTCTCTGCTCACTGCAACCTCCGCCTTCCAGGTTCAAGTGATTCTTGTGCCTCAGCCTCCCGAGTAGCTGGGATCGCAGGTGTGTGCCACCATGCCCGGCTAATCTTTGTATTTTTAGTAGATGGAGTTTTGCCATGTTGGCTAAGCTGGTCTCGAACTCCTGACCTCAGGTGATCCACCCATCTTGGTGTCCCAAAGTGCTGGGATTACAGGCGTCAGCCACTGTGCCCGGCCTATACCATGGTTTCTTTATCCACTTGTTGATGGATGGGCATTTGGGTTAGTTCCACATTTTTGCAGTTGTGAATTGTGCTCCTATAAACACGTGTGCAAGTAGCTTTTTCCTATACTTCCTTTCCTCTGGGTAGATATCCAGGAGTGGGATTGCTGGATCAAATGGTGGTTCTACTTTTAGTTCTTTAAGGAATCTCCGCACTGTTTTCCACAGTGGTTGTCCTAGTTTACATTCCCACCAGCAGTGTAGAAAAGTTCCCTTTTCATCACATCCATGCCAACATCTACTATTTTTTGATTATGGCCATTCTAGCAGGAATAAGGTGGTACCGCACTGTGGTTTTGATTTGCATTTCCCTGATCATTTGTGATGTTGAGCACTTTTTCATATGTTTTTTGGCCATTTGTATATCTTCTTTGAGAATTGTCTATTCATATCCTTACCCCACTTTTTGATGAGATTGTTTGTTTTTTTCTTGTTGATTTGTTTGCATTCATTATAGATTCTGGATATTAGTCCTTTGTCAGATGTATACATTGTGAAGATTTTTTCCCACTCTGTGGGTTATCCGTTTACTCTGCTGACTGTTCCTTTTGGTATGCAAAAGCTCTTTAGTTCAGTTAACTCCGAGCAATTTAACTTTGTTTTTATTGCATTTGTTTTGGGTTCTTGGTCATAAAATCCTTGCCTAAGCCAATGTCTAGAAGGGTTTTTCCAATGTCATCTTCTAAAATTTTTATAGATTCAGGTCTTAGATTTAAGTCCTTAATCCATCTTGAGTTGATTTTTGTACAAGGTGAGAGATGAGGCTCCAGTTTCATTCTCCTACATGTGGCTAGCCAATTATCCCAGCACCATTTGTTGAAAAGAGTGTTCTTTCCTCACTTTATGTTTTTGTTTGCTTTGTCAAAGATCCACTTGGCTGTAAGTATTTGGGTTTATTTCTGTGTTCTCTATTCTCTTCCCTTGATCTAGGTGTTTATTTTTATATCAGTACCATGCTGTTTTGGTGACTTTGGCCTTATGGTATGAGATCAGGTAATGTGATGCCTGTAGATTTGTTCTCTTTGCTTAGTCTTGCTTTGGGTATTCAGGCACTTTTTTGATTTCATTTGAATTTTATAATTGTTTTTTCTAATTCTGTGAAGAATGATGGCGGTATTTTGATAGGAATTGCATTGAATTTGTAGATTGCTTGTAGCAATATGGTCATTTTCACAATATTGATTCTACCCATCCATGAGTATGGGATGTGTTTCCAGTTGTTTGTGTTGTCTGTGATTTCTTTCAGCAGTGTTTTGTAGTTTTCCTTGTAGAAGAGGCCTTTTGACTCTTTGGTTAGATATATTCCTAAGTATTTTATTTTTATTTTTTGGCAGCTATTGTAAAAGGGGTTGAGTTTTTGATTTGATTCTCTGCTTGGTCGCTGTTGGTGTATAGAAGAGCTGCTGATTTATGTACATTAATCTTGTATCCAGAAACTTTACCGAATTCTTTTATCAGTTCTAGGAGTTTTCTGGAGGAGTCCTTAGGGTTTTCAAGGTAAATGATCATAGCGTCAGCAAATAGGGACAGCTTGACATCCTCTTTATCGATTTGGATGCCCTTTATTTTTTCTCTTGTGTGATTGCTCTGGCCAGGACTTCCAGTACTATGTTGAAGAGGAGTGGTGAGAGTGGGCATCCTTGTCTTGTTCCAGTTCTCAGAGGGAATGCTTTCAACTTTTCCCCATTCAGTATTATGTTGGCTGTGGGTTTGTCATAGATGGCTTTTATTATATTGAGGTATGTCCCTTGTATGCCGATTTTGCTGAGAGTTTTAATCATAAAGAGATGCCGGATTTTGTTGAATATTTTTCTGCATCGATTGAGGTGATCATGGGATTTTTGTTTTTAATTCTGTTTATGTGGTGTGTCACATTTATTGACTTACGTATGTTAAACCATCCTTGCATTCCTAATATGAAACCTATGTGATCATGGTGGATTATCTTTTTGACATGTTGTTGGATTCAGATAGCTCATATTTTGTTAAGGACTTTTGCATCTGTGTTCATCAGGGGTATTGGTCTGTAGTTTTCTTTTTTTAATGTCCTTTCTTGGTTTTGGTATTAAGGTGATGCTGTCTTCATGGGATGGTTTAGGGAAGGTTCCCTCTTTCTCTATCTTGTCGAATAGTGTCAATAGGATTGGTACCAGTTTTTCTTTGAATGTCCAGTAGAATTCTGCTGTGAATCCGTCTGGTCCTGGGCTTTTTTTTGTTGTTGGTAATGTTTAAATTACCATTTCAATCTCACTGCTTGTTATTGGTCTGTTCAGGGTACCTAATTCTTCCCGATTTAAGCTAGGAGGGTTCTATCTTTCCAGGAATTTATTCTTCTCTTCTAGGTTTTCTAGTTTATGAGTATAAAGGTGTTTATAGTAGCCTTGAATGATCTTTTGTATTTCTGTGTTGTCAGTTGTAATATCTCCCGTTTTGTTTCTTATTGAGCTTATTTGGATTTTCTCTCCTCTTTTCTTGGTTAATATTGCTAATGGTCTATCAATTTTATTTCTCTTTTCAGAAAACCAGCTTTTTGTTTCATTTATCTTTTGTATTTTTTTTGTTTTAATTTCATTTAGTTCTGCTCTGATCTTGCTTGTTTCTTTTGTTCTGCTGGGTTTGGGTTTGATTTGTTCTTGTTTCTCTAGTTTTTTGAGGTGTGACCTTAGATTGTCTGTGCTCTTTCAGACTTTCTGATGTAGGCATTTAAGGCTATGAACTTTCCTCTTAGCATCGCCTTTGCTGTGTCCCAGAGGTTTTGATAGGTTGTGTCACTATTGTTGTTCAGTTGGAAAAGTTTTTTAATTTCCATCTTGATTTCATTTTTGACCCAGTGATCACCAGGAGCAGGTTATTTAATTTCCATGTGTTTGCATGGTTTTGAAGGTTCTTTTTAGAGTTGATTTCCATGTTTTATTCCACTGTGGTCTGAGAGAGTGCTTGGTGTAATTTCAGTTTTCTCAAATTTATTGAGGCTTGTTTTGTGGCCTATCATATGGTCTGTCTTGGAGAAAGGTCCATGTGCTGTTGAATAGAACATATATTCTGCGGTTGTTGGATGGAATGTTCTGTATATATCCATTAAGTCCATTTGTTCCAGTGTATAGTTTAAATCCACTGTTTCTTTGTTGACTTTCTGTCTTGATGGCCTGTCTAGTGCTGTGAGTGGAATATTGAAGTCCCCTACTATTACTGTGTTGCTGTCTATCTCATTTCGTAGGTCTATTAGTAGTTGTTTTATAAATTTGGGAGCTCCAGTGTTAGGTGCATATATGTTTATATTTTCCTGTTGGACTAATCCTTTTGTCCTTATATAATGCCCCTCTTTGTCTTTTCTAACTGCTGTTTCTTTAAAGTTTGTTTTGTCTGATATAAGAATAGCTGGTCCTGTGAGATTTATGTTTTAAAGAGGTTCTGTTTTGATGTGTTTCTAGGATTTGTTTTAAGGTTTAGAGCTCCTTTTAGCAGTTCTTTTAGTGCTTGGTAATGGCGAATTCTCTTCCCATTTGTTTGTCTGAAAAAGACTGTATCTTTCCTTTGTATATGAAGCTTAGTTTCGCTGCATACAAAATTCTTGGCTGATAATTGTTTTGTTTGAGGAGGGTGAAGATAGGGCTCCAGTCCCTTCTAGCTTGTAGGGTTTTTGCTGAGAAATCTGCTGTTAATCTGATAGTTTTTCTTTACAGGTTACCTGGTGCTTTTGCCTCACAGCTCTTAAGATTCTTTCCTTCATATTAACTTTAGATAACCTGATGACAATGTGACTAGGTGATGATCTTTTTGTGATGAATTTTCCAGGTGTTCTTTGAGTTTCTTGTATTTGGATGTCTAGGTCTCTAGCAAGGCCAGGGAAGCTTTCCTCAATTATTCCCCAAAATATATCTTCCAAACTTTTAGATTTCTCTTTTTCCTCAGGAACACCTATTATTCTTTTTTTTTTTTTATACTTTAAGTTTTAGGGTACATGTGCACACGTGCAGGTTTGTTACATATGTATACATGTGCCATGTTGGTGTGCTGCACCCATTAACTCGTCATTTACATTAGATATATCTCCTAATGCTATCCTTCCCCCCTCCCCCCACTCCACAACAGGCCCTGGTGTGTGATGTTCCCCTTCCTGTGTCCAGGTGTTCTCATTGTTCAATTCCCACCTATGAGTGAGAACATGCGGTGTTTGGTTTTTTGTCCTTGCAATAGTTTGCTGAGAATGATGGTTTCCAGCTTCATCCGTGTGCCTACAAAGGACATGAACTCATCCTTTTTTATGGCTGCATAGTATTCCATGGTGTATATGTGCCACATTTTTTAATCCAATCTATCTTTGATGGACATTTGGCTTGGTTCCAAGTCTTTGCTATTGTGAATAGTGCAACAATAAACATATGTGTGCATATGTCTTTATAGTAGCATGATTTATAATTCTTTGGGTATATACCCAGTAATGGGATTGCTGGGTCAAATAGTATTTCTAGTTCTAGATCCTTGAGGAATCACCACACTCTCTTCCACAGTGGTTGAACTAGTTTACAGTCCCACCAACAGTGTAAAAGAGGAACACCTATTATTCTTAGATTTGGTCATTTAACATAATCCCAGACTTCTTGGAGGCTTTGTTCATATTTTCTTATTCTTTTTTCTTTGTCTTTGTTGGATTGGGTTAATTTGAAGACCTTGTTTTCAAGCTCTGAATTTCTTTCTTCCACTTGTTCAATTCTATTGCTGAGACTTTCCAGAGCATTTTGCATTTCTATAAGTGTGTCCAAAGTTTCCTGAAGTTTTGATTGTTTTTTATTTATGCTATCTATTTCCTTGAATATTTCTCCCTTCACCTCTTGTATCATTTTTTGGACTTCCTTACACTGGGCTTCACCTTTCTTTGGTGCCTCCCTGATTAGCTTAATAACTAACCTCCTGAATTCTTTTTCAGGTAAATCAGGGATTTCTTCTTGGTTTGAGTCCATTGCTGGTGAGCTAGTATGATTTTTCAGAGGTGTTAACCTTATTTTGTCATATTACCAGAGTTGGTTTTCTGGTTCCTTGTCATTTGAGTAGGCTCTGTCAGAGGGAAGGTCTAGGGCTGAAGGCTGTTGTTCAGATTCCTTTGTCCCATGGGGTGTTCCCTTATTATAGTACTCTCGCCCTTTTCCTATGGATGTGGCTTCCTGAGAGCGGAGCTGTAGTGATTGTTATCTTTCTTTTGGATCTAGCCACCCAGCTATTCTACCAGGCTCTGGGCTGGTACTGGCGGTTGTCTGCACAGAGTCTTGTGACCTGAACCATCTATGGGTCTCTCAGCCATGGATACCAGCATAGTATTTGGGGTGTCCTGGGTCATGCTGGTGTACTCTGCTTCCTTCAGGAGGTGTGTGGGTCCTCTTAGGCTTCCTGATTTATTCCTGCAGTTGTTCTGGAGCAAAAATTCACGATGCGAGCTTCCACATGCTGCTCTGTCTGTCGAGTCAGAGCTGCAATCTAGTCTGCCTCCCATCCACCATTATCCCCTTTTGTTCCCAATTCTGGAGGCAAGAAATCCAATCAAGGTGTTTTGAGGGCTGTGAGAGAACGCCTGTGCCAGGCCTCTCTCTTTGGCTTGTAGATGGCTGTCTTCTCCCTGTGTCTCTTCACATTGTTTTCTCACTGTGCGTCTCATTGTGGTTTTGATTTTTATTTCTCTAATGATCAGTGATGTTGTGCTTTTAAAATATGATTATTGTCTGCATGTGTATCTTCTTTAGAAACGTGTCTGTTCATGTCCTTTGCCCACTTTGTAATGGGATTGTTTGCTTTTTTTCATGTTAATTTGTTTAAGTTCCTTGTAAACTCTGGAAATTAGACATTTGTTAGATGGATAGATTGCAAAAACTTTCTCCCATTCTATAGGGTGTCTGTTCACTCTAATGATAGTTTCTTTTGCTGTGCAGAAGCTCCTTAGTTTAATTAGATCCCATTTGTCAATTTTTGCTTTTGTTGCAATTGCTTTTGGCATTTTTGTCATGAAATCTTTGCCCGTGCCTGCCTACGTCCTGCATGGTATTGCCTAAATTTTCTTCTAGGTTTTTTATACTTTTAGGTTTTACATTTAAGTCTTTAATCCATCTTGAGATAATTTTTATATATGGTGTAAAAATCGGGTTCAATTTCAATTTTTTGCATATGGCTAGTTCTTTTCCCAGCATCATTTATTAAATATGGAGCCCTTTGTCCATTGCTTGTTTTTGTCAGGTTTGTCAAAGATCACAGAATTGTAGGTGTGTAGTATTACTTCTGGGCTCTTTATTCTTTTCCATTAGTCTGTGTGTTTATTTTTGTACCAGTACCATGCTGTTTTGGTTACTATAGCCCTATAACATGGTTTGAAGGGATGTAAGGTGATTCTTCCAGTTTTCTTCTTTTTGCTTAGGATTGCCTTGGTTATATGGGGTTCTTTTTGGTTCCATATGAATTTTAAAGTAGTTTTTTCTAATTCTATGAAGAATGTTGTTGGTAGTATGATAGGAATAGCATTGAATCTGTAAATTGCTTTGGGATATATGGCCATTTTAATATTGATACTTTCTATCCATGAGCCTGGGATGTTTTTCCATTTGTTTGTGTCTTCTCTGATTTTTTAAAGTAATGTTTTATAGTTCTCCTTATAGAGATCTTTCACCTCCCTGGTTAGCTGTATTCAGAGGTATATTATTCTTTTTGTGGCTGTTATGAATGAGATTGCCTTTGTGATTTGGTTCTCCACTTGGCTGTTGTTGGTATATAGGAATGCTAGTGATTTTTGTACATTGATTTTTTTTATCCTGAAACCTTGTTCAAGTTGTTTTATCAGCTGAAGGAGCTTTTGTGCTGAGACTATCGGGTTTTCTAGATAGTTGTTGCAGCACTTTTTATTCTGATTATGGTATAAATGGATATTTTCAAGAGTTTCCTGAAGTATCTGTTGGCAATCTCAGTTATCTGGAATCCTTTGGCAAATTAGCATTGAGGATGTAGTATAATGTAATAGGACAGACAAAAAACCCCCAAAGATAACAGGCCCAGGTTCTTCCACTAGGAAAGCTACTTATACTTGGGCAGCTTATTTAACTTTTCTGAGCGTTGGGTTCTTCATGTTTACAATAAAGAGAGGACTAATTTATTTTAAAGTTCTCCAAGGATCTAAAATTTTATGCTGTCTGGAACATAATGAAATGAACATAGTGTCTTTATGTAGGGAAAAATAGTAAAATTTTTAATTAGGGGATGTGCATTGTTTTAGTCATAGTGCCATTGCACACTTAATAGACTACAGTATAGTGTAAACATAATTATATATTCACTAGGAAGCCACAAAATTTGTGTGACGTGTTTTATTGTGATACTCACTTTATGGCGGGGGTCTGGAACTGAACTGGCCCTGTCTCCAAGTATATGCGTATACTTTTGTTTAAGTGAAAATGTGAACTTCACTGTACTTTGTTACCTTTGTTGTTTTATGCAGAGGCATCTAGAATGATGAATCCTTTCCGGAAGATTTTCAGTTTACTTTTCCCAGACCCATCAGAGGAAATCACTGTTTGTGGTAGCTATATGAAATGTATTTCTTAAATTGTAAGACTTGAAACTTGAAATTACTTCTTGATCCATGGGCTATAGAATGGATGTTTTATTAGCAGGCATGAAAACAACACGAATTCTCTTGTACCTCCCCATCAGAGCTCTTGGGTGACTAGGTGCATTGTCAACGAGCTGTAATATTTTGAAAGGAATTTTATTTATTTTTTTTCTGAGTGGCAGTTCTCAAAGATGGTGTTAAGTGATTCAGTGATCCACGCTGTAAACAGATGTGCTGTCATCCAGTCATCCAGACATTGTAGTTCCATTTTTAGAGTACAGGCAAAGTAGATTTAGCATTTTTTTTTTTTTTTTTTTGAGACGGAGTCTTGCTCTGTCGCCCAGGCTGTAATGCAGTGGCATGATCTCATTGCAACCTCCGCCTCCCAGGTTCAAGCGATTCTCCTGCCTCAGCCTCTGAAGTAGCTGGGACTACAGGTGTGCACCACCATGCCTGGCAAATTGTTTTTTTTAGTAGAGGTGGGGTTTCACCATGTTGGCCAGGCTGGTCTCGAACTCCTGACCTCAAGTTATCCGCCGGCCTCTGCCGCCCAAAGTGCTGGGATTACAGGCATGAGCCACCATGCTTGGCCCAATTTAGCATAATTCTTAAGGGCCATTGGATCTTTTGCATGGTAATTGAGCACTGGCTTCACAGATAAGACACCAGCTTCATTAGCCCCTAACAAGAGAGTCAGCCTGTCTTTCGAACTTATGCATTGACTTTTCCTTTCTAGGTATGGAATTCCTAGATGTCATTTTATTCCAATAGAAGGATCTTTCATCTACATTGAAAATCTGTTGTTTAGTGTAGCCACCTTCATCACTTATCTTAGCTAGATCTTCTGGATAACTTGCTGCAGCTTCTCCATCAGTACTTGCTGCTTCACCTTGCATTTCATGTTATGGAGATAGTTTTTTTTTTTTTTTTTTGAGGCAGGGTCTCATTCTGTTGCCCAGCATGACTCATTTCAGCTTTGACCTCCCAGCTAGCGTCATCATGGCTCACTACAGCCTTGATCTCCCAGGCTAAAGTGATCCTCTCACTTCAGTCTCCCGAGTAGCTGAGGCTACAGGTGCATGCCACCATACTAAGCTAATATTTTCTATTTTTTGTAGAGACAGGGTCTCACTATGTTGCTCAGGCTGAGACAACTTCTTTTCTTAAAGCTTGTAAACCAACTTTTCTTCTGCAGCTTCCTAACCTCTCTCAGTCTTCATAGAATTGAAGAGAGTATCTTGCTCTGAGTTAGGCTTTGGCTTAAGGGAATGCTGTGGCTGATTTGATGTTGTATTCAGACTACTATAACTTTCTCCATATCATCAGTAAGACTGTTTTGCTTTCTTATTATTTGTGTGTTCATAGGAGTAGCACTTTTTTTTCCTTTTTTTTCCTTTTTTTTTTTGAGATGGAGTGTTGCTCTGTCGCCCAGGCTAGAATGCAGTGGCAGTATCTTGGCTCACTGCAACTTCAGCCTCCTGGGTTCAAGTCATTCTTCTGCCTCAGCCTCCCGAGTAGCTGGGATTGCAGGTGCCTGCCACCACACCTGGCTAATTTCTGTATTTTTAGTAGAGACGGGGTTTCACCATGTTGGCAAGGCTGGTCTTGAATTCCTGACCTCAAGTGATCCTCCTGCCTCAGCCTCCCTAAGTGCTAGGATTATAGGTGTGAGCCACTGCACCTGGCCAGGAGTAGCACTTTTAAATTTGTTCAAGAACTATTCTTTCTCATTCACAACTTGACTCTGCAGCAAGCAGTCTTGCTTTCAGCCTGTCTCAGCTTTCAACATGCCTTCCACACTAGGTTTAGTAATTTTTAGTTCTTTTTTTTTTTTTTTGAGACAAGGACTTGCTCTCTTTCCCAGGCAAACAGAGGTGGCGCAATCCTAGCTCTCTGCAGCCTTGAACTCCTGGGGTCAAGTGATGCTCCTCTCTCAGCTTCCCAAGTAGCTCGGACTACAGGCATGTACTGCCATGGCTGGATGGCTCGTTAATTATGTTTTGTAGAGATGGAGTCTTGCCGTGTTTCCCAGGCTGGCCTCAGTCTCCTGGCCTCAAGTGATTGTCCCACCTTGACCTCCCAAAGTGCTGGGATTGCAGGTGTGAGCCACCACACCCAGCCATTTCTAGCTTTTGATTTAAAGTGAGAAACTTGAGACTCTTCCTTTCACGTGAATATTTAGAGGCCATGGTAGTGCTGGAATTGGCATAATTTCAACATTGCTGTGTCTCAGGGGATAGGGAGGAGGCCTGAGGAGAGAGAGAGAGATAGGGGAATGGTTGGTAGGTGAAGCAGTCAGAACACACACAGCATTTGTTAATTAAGTTCAATGTCTTATGCATGCATGGTTTGTGGTGCTTCAAAGCAATTACAATTGTGCCATCAAATATCACTGATTACAGATCATCATACTAGATATAATAATAATGAAAAGATTGAAATATTTTGAGAGTTACCGAAATGTGACACAGACACACAAAGTGAGCACATGCTGTTGGAAAAGTCATGCTGATAGATGTGTTCTACTCAAGGTTGCCACAAACCTTGCATTTGTGAAAAACACAGTATCTGTGAAGTGCAGTAAAGTGAAGCACAATAAAATGAGGTATGCTCGTACTCTGGCTCTTTCTATATATTGTTTCTTACAAACAAAGTATAAGTAAAGTATTGCTAGTGGCATATTGATAACAGTCAACTGGGCATCTAATAAAGAGGAGTTAGGAAAACTTTAAAATTACATAACAGGAACTTAAAAAAATCACAATAATTTGGCTTGGGCCAGTGAATTCTGGGCTGAATATCAATATTGAAGGCATTATTGTAGTGTGGCAAAGTAATGTTCATAATAATGACTGGCCAGCAGAGTAAATATTGCACTAATTTTATACCAAATGTACTTCTTTATATATCAAATGTACATCTTCTGTTTAAGAAGATATCAGGCTTATATAGTGCATTTGATATAAAACTCACCAATTTAAGGTCTGGAGACTTAAAAATACAGTCCAGGCTAGATGCAGTGGCTCACACGTGTAATCTCAGAATTTTGGGAGGCTGAAGTGGGAGGATTGCTTGAGCCCAGGAGTTTGAAACCAGCCTGGACAACATAATGAGACATAGTCACTACAGAAAATAAAAAAGTTACCTGGGCGTGGTGGCTTGTGCCTATAGTCCCAGCTACTTAAGAGGCTGAGGTAGGAGGATTACTTGGGCCAGGAGATCGAGGCTGCAGTGAGCTGTGATTGTGTCACTGCACTGCAGTCTCAAAAAAGAAAAACCAACTAAACAAAAACTTTAATTTTCTAAACATTTAAATGTATTGACTCTTTTCCTGATGCTATTACATATTAGCATATATGTTATCACCATTATATGTGCTGTTTCAGTTACGGAATCTTTCATTACCAGAGATGCAATCTGAATGATGTCTTGTTGGATTTATTATTTGTCATTTCCCAATTGCAAGTATGTAAATTACTTATCAAAGACATTTCTGTTAAATGAGAAGAACAAAGATTTCTTGAATTGATTTGTAGTAAGCTGTGTTTTTAATAATTTCTGGAAAAGGAAAGAAAGCATTTTTAGAGAAGAATTTGTTAAAATTTTAAGCCTCTCAATGGCATCCATTAGTATAATTAAAGATATTGTAGTGGCAGGCTAATCTATGTTATAAGTGATAAGAAACAAGTGCTTCTATAAACCAAAAGATTGTGTTTTTCTAAATTTTTAAGTATTTATGGGTTAATTTCTAGGGTGGTGTAGTTCGAACAGCTTTCTTGTGCTAAGATGGCAATGATTGAAAATTCACCTTCCTGGAATACATTTTTTTTTAACTGAAAACTTCAGTACAGTACAGTGTTTGTTATTCTATGTGACAGGATACCCAGAGTTATATTGACGAATGTCCTGGGAACGGAGTTAGGAAGAAAATACATAAGGACCCCACCTGTAACTGAGGGAAGTTTGAGTGATACAGACAACTTGCAATCAGAGCAACTTTCTTCATCATCTGATGGCAGCCTAGAATCTTATCAAAATCTAAACCCTCACAAGAGCTGTTATTTATCTGAAAGGTATGTTTAGTGATAACTTTACTCAAAATAATTATATTTATTTTTATGTATCCTTCCCTGTTCTTTTTCACAGATACATTATTGCTAAATGTGAGGTAAATGTGCTCTGATAGCTGGTATTATTTTTCTCCCCGGGTGGCTGGAATGGCTATTGGAACCAACAGTCCATGGCTAATAATGTGTTTCAGAAGCACTGGCCACCATACTTGTATTTTGGAAAAATGGATACAGACACTTAATGAAAATCTGGTAACCTATTTCAGTATCCCAGTTTGTCTGGTGTAATTGAAATCCATTCCTCTGACATTAGTCTATTGCCCTCTCTTTTTCTGTTCTATTTGTCCATCTATCCATCTACCCATTCAGTCTTGTCTGTTATTTTGTTTTACTTTAATTTTTTTGAGGCGGAGTCTCGTTCTGTCGCCCAGGCTGGAGTGCAGTGGCATGATCTCGGCTCACTGCAACCTCTGCCTCCCAGGTTCAAGCGATTCTCCTACCTCAGCCTCCCAAGTAGCTGGGACTACAGGCACGTGCCACCACGCCCAGCTAATTTTTTGTATTTTTTAGTAGAGACAGGGTTTCACCGTGTTAGCCAGGATGGTCTCGATCTCCTGACCTTGTGATCTGCCTGCTTCAGCCTCCCAAAGGGCTGGCATTACAGGCGTGAGCCACTGCCCCCGGCCTTGTCCGTTATTTTTATATTCAGACTCTAGAATTTTAACTAGTACTTAGTGCTCAGTAAATAGTTTTTGAATGAATGGCTGAACACATTCCTTAAAAAAATGGTTTGAGATTTTCCATTAACAAATGGAAAAGCTGAATTCCATTGACAAATGTAGCTTGTTGTGCCAATAAGAGAAATGCAGATCTGAAGTTGCCTTTGTTTTAAGCTCTAGGAGAGGATTGTGTGTGGACTGGAAATAAGAAAAAATCTGTGGCACAAAGCTAGGGATGGTCAGTTAGTACATTCTGTTAGATTTATAAACTTCCATTTGCTACAAGCTTCTGAAGCTTCTCTTTTTATTTTCTGTGTTCAGCCTGTAGGATACTTTTTATATAGATGAAAAGTTGATTATCCTAATTTTTTTCCCCCCAAACTATCCAAAGCTAACTTCTGGTTTGTATTTCTATTGTAAGCCTAATTACATTAAATAGTACTTATAGTTGCCTTTTTAAATATCTACAACAAATTTTATTATTTAAAACTCTTTATTTTCTATGAATTCTTGAATTTTTCTTCTTTTGGAAAATATTTTCACCTAGGTTCTACTTAGTGAATCAGTAACGACAATTTTAACTTTATATTTTATTAGGTCTCTTGCTAAGTTTTCCCCCCAAAATGAGAATTTCAGTGGCATTATTCAGTTACTAAATTTAATGTGTAATTGGGGAAATTAGTAATGTATCTATCAAGTGGCTCATGCCTATGTATCTATCAAGTGGCTCATGCCTATAATCCTAGCCCTTTGGGAGGCTGAGGCACGAGGATCACTTGAGGCGAGGAGTTCAAGACCAGCCTAGGAGGCATAGTGAGATCTTGTTTCTGCTAAAAATGAAAAAAATGAGCCAGATGTGATGGTGCATGCTTGTAGTCTCAGCTACTTGGGAGGCTGAGGTGGGAGGATCGCTTGAGCCCAGGAATTCAAGATTGCAGTGAGCTATGATAGCCACTGCATCCTAGCCTGGGTGACAGGGCAAGACTCTGTCTCAAAAACAACAGCCGGGTATGGTGGCTCACGCCTGTAATCCCAGCACTTTGGGAGGCTGAGGCGGGTGGATCATCTGAGGTCAGGAGTTCGAGGCCAGCCTGACCAACATGGTGAAACCTTGTCTCTACCGAAAATACAAAATTAGCTGGGCGTGGTGGCAGGGGCCTATAATCCCAACCACTTGGGAGGCTGAGGCAGGAGAATTGCTTGAACCCAGGAGGTGGAGGTTGCAGTGAGCTGAGACCGCACCATTGCACTCCAGCCTGGGCAACAAGAGCAAAATTTCATCTCAAAAAACACACAAAAAACAATAACAACAACAACAAAAGTACCTATCCACGTTGCAGTATAGCTGTTTATTTCCACCTCCTCTGCTATACCATGAGCTCCTTGAGAAGAAGAGGTATTGTGTCTTATTTGCATTTATACCTAGGACTTAGCTCAATGTATACTAAATTTTTTGCTCTTGGGTTAATGCTTATGTCATTTAATGTAAAATTCAGTTTTCTGAGTTGTAAACAGAGAAGTAATTTTGAATGCCCTATGTACCTCACAAAAATGTTATTTTTCTTTTCTTTTAAATCTCACTTCTGAGAATTCTTTGAGCCCATAAAATAAATGAAAATATTAAGGAAGGTACTTTCTGTTGGAGAAAAAGTTGTGATGATTGAGCTTTAAGTCAAATGATGAGCAAAAAAAAAAGAAAAAGATTAAAAGAAAAAACTTATGATGTGCCATTGCCCATGGAACTCAGATGATGTCAGTGCACATTTATGTTGTTAAGAAAAATCACACTTTTGAAGATTGTATGAAACAATCAAATTGTAATCTGTACGCTTCTGCCTTTATGCCATTCTGGGGCTAAGGTTTAATAATATTAATAGGTATAATATTTCTGGTCATTCCCCAAAACTATTCAGTGGGAACACTAGCTCTCCTTTAAATCCTTTCTAAATAGATGTGGAATTTCCAGGTGGTTTTGATGTGGACCTTGAAAATTCATTCCCTTAGTGACAATTTTATTTGATTCATGTATTTGGAATAAGCATGAACTTTGGAGCCAGACATCTGGATTAAGATATTAGCTATACTGCTAATACACTGACTTACCTTGGACAGGTTTCTTACCGTGTCTTTAAAGCAGGGATAATAATACACACCTTATTGGGTTAGTGTGCAGATATAAGGAGATGATCCATGTAAAGTCCCAAGTATAATGCCAGGAAGTTAGTAGGTGATTATTAAAAGTTAGTCATTATTTTTGTGTCTCTCTTATTGGTGCTGATATCAGAAGTATTATAAAAGGATATTACTATAGTTGATGTTACTGAAATCTTCTACAATGAGGGTGCCAACATGTGTTCCTGAGTCCACTTATCGTCATCACCATTGCTGCCAAAGCAATTGTTATGGCTTTGTTAGCCTCCCCATTTAATTTAGCAAATACTGAACTCCTTAAACCAAGCTTTAGTTCTTTCTTCCCTTAAGATGAATTTGTTAATCTTAACCCTAAGATCATATGGAATTAAAAAAGAGCCCAAATAGCCAAAGCAGTCCTGAGTGAAAAGAATAAAACTGGAGGCATTACACTACCTGACTTCAAAATATATTACAAGGCTATAGTAACCAAAACAGCATGGTATAAAAACAGACCCATAGGCCAACGGAACAGAACAGAGAACCTATAAATAAATCCATATATTTACAGCCAGCTGATTTTCAGCAAAAGGTGCCAAGAACATACACTGGGGAAAGGACACCCTCTTCAGTAGTGATCCTGGGAAAATATGCAGAAGAGTGAAACTAGACCCCTGTCTCTCACCACATATAAAAAATCAACCCAAGATAAATTAAATACTTTAAACGTAAGACCTGAAACTATAAAACTGCTGGAAGAAAACATAGGGGACATGCTTGTGGACATTGGTCTAGGCAAAGATTTTTTGACTTAGACCTCACACAGGCAACAACAAAAAATACATAAATGAGACTATATTAAGCTGAATGGCTTCTGCACAGCTAAGGAGCCAACCCATCAACAGAGTAAAGAGACAACTTCCAGAATGGGAGAAAATGTTTGTAAACTATTCATCCAAGAAGGGACTGATACCCAGAATATATGAGGAATCCAAACAACTGAACAGTAAAAATAAACAAATAATCCCACTAAAAAGTGTGCAAGTGACATAAAAAGACATTTCTCAAAAAAAGACATACAAATGACAAACAGGTATGTGAACAGTGCCCAGCATTGCTAAGTGTAAGGGAAAAGCAAATCAAAACTACAATGAGATATCATCTTACCTTAGCTAGAATGGCGGTTAGAAAGACAAAGAATAGCAGATGTTGGCAAGGATGTGGAGAAGAGGGAACTCTCATACACTGTTGGTGGGAATGTAAATTGGTGTAACTATTATGGAAAGCAGTATGGAGATTTCTCAGAAAACTAAAATAGATTAAAAAAAAGAAACAAAAAAGAAAAAAACAAATTTTAAAAAGAAGTCCCAGCTACTCGGGAGGCTGAGGCAGGAGAATGGCGTGAACCTGGGAGGCGGAGCTTACAGTGGGCCGAGATTGCGCCACTGCACTCCAGCCTGGGCGACAGAGCCAGACTCCGTCTCAAAAAAAAAAAAAATTTTTAAAAAGAAACATAAAAATAGAACCACTGTACAATCCAGTAGTCCTGCTACTAGTATTTATCTAAAGGAAAGGAAGTCAATATACCAAAGAGATACATGCACCTACCATGTTTTTTTGCAGTACTATTCACCATAGCAAAGATACAGAATCAACTTAAGTGTCCCATCAGTGGATAATGGAAATACGGTGTCTGTATACACAATGGAATACCATTCAGCCATAAAAAAGAATGAAATCCTGTCATGTGCAGCAACATGGATGGAACTAGAGGTCATTACATGAAATAAGACAGGCACAGAAAGATAAATGTTGGATGTTCTCTCTCACATGTGAGAGCTTAAATAAGTTGATCTCATAGAGGCAGAGAGTAGAATTATAAACACTAGAGGCTGGGAAGTGTATGTGTGGTGGGGGGCAATGGAGAGAATTTGGTTAATGGCTACTATATAGTTAGAAATAATATGTTTTAATATCCAGTAGCAGAGTAGGGTGACTGTAGTGCATTGTATATTTTAAAATAGCTAGAAGAGAGGAATTGAAATGTTCCCAACACATGGAAATGATAAATACTTGAGGTGATGGATACCCCAGATAATTTGACTTGATCATTACACATTCTGTGCATGTACCAAATACCATATGTACCCGTGAGAATGAGTTGTTATAAACCTGTTTGTCCTATTTAGTCTTTTTGCGCACTTCTGCTTCCTCTTACACTTTTCTACCATGCTATGAAGAGCAGGAAGCCCTCACTAGAAGCTGCCAGATGTAGCCACCCAGTCTCAAACTTTTCAGCTTGATTAACTGTGAGCTAAATAAATTTCTATTCATTATATTGTATTACCTGGTCTCAGGTATTCAGTTACAGCAACACGAAACAGACTAAGACATTTATATTTCCCTAATTAGTGAAGTTGAGCATTTTTTCATATGTCTATTGGACATTTGTATATCTTCTTTTGATAAATGTCTATTCATTCTGTTACCCATTTTTTAAATTGGATTATTTGTTTTCTTTTTATAGAGTTGTTTGAGTTTCCTTACATATTTTAGATATGTACGTATCCCTAGTGAGATGTATGATTTGAGACTATCTCCCAATCTATAGGTTGTCTCTCCACTCTGAAAATGATTTCATTGGTTGTACAAAAGCTTTTAATTTTGATGTAATCCCTTTTGTCTGTTTTTTGCTTTTGTTACCTGTGCTTTTTGGGTGAAATCTAAAAAATCATTGCTCAGACCAATGTCATATAGTTATTCCCCTGTTTTGGAAATTTTACATTTTCAGGTCTTATGGTTAAATTTTTAACCCATTTTGAGTAGATTTTTGTATATGGTGAGAAATAGGGGTATAGTTTCATTCTTCTGCATATGGGTATTTAGTTTTTCCAGCAACATTTATTGAAGAGGGTATCCTTTTGCAGTATATGTTCTTGGTGCCTTTGTTGAAAGTCAATTGGCTCTAAATATGGGGATTTATTTCTGGGTTTTCTATTCTGTTCCATTGGTCTATGTATTTGTTTTTTAAAGAGATGGGGTCTTGCTTTGTCATCCAGACTGTAGTGCAGTCCATGATCATAGCTCACTGTACCCTTGAACTCCTGACTTCAAGCAATCTTCCCTCCTCAGCCTCCTGAATAGCTGGGACTACAGATGTGTACCACCACACCCAGCTATTTTTATACCAATGTCATGCTGTTTTGGTTACTATAGCTTTGTAATATATTTTGAAGTCAGATAGTGTGATGCCTCCAGCATTGTTCTTTTTGCTCAGTATTGCTTTGGTTATTTGGTGTCTTTTGTGGTTCCATGTGAATTTTTGGATTGGTTTTTCTGTTTCTAGGAAGAATATCATTGGCATTTTGATTGGGATTGCATTTTATTTGTAGATTACTTTGGGAAGTATGGTCATTTTAACACTATTAGTTCTAATCCATGAGCTTGGGATATCTTTCCATTTGTTTATGTCCTCTTTAATTTCTTTCATTGGTGTTTTGTAATTTCCAATTTAGAGATCTTTCAACTCTATGGTTAAATTTATTCGTAGTTATTTTATTCTGTAGCTATTCTAAGTGGAATTACTTTATTTTTTTTCCAGCTAGTTCGTTGCTGGTATATGCTACTGATTTTTCTATGTTGATTCAGTGTCCTGCAATTTTAATGAATTTATTAGTTTTTGGATGGAGTATTTAGGTTTTTCTATATGTATGGTCATGTCATCTGGAAAGAGGGATAATTTGACTATCTCTTTTCTAATTTGGATGCCCTTTATTTCTTTCTCTTACCTAATTGCTCTGGATAGGACTTCTAGGACTGTGCTGAATAAGAGTCGTGAAGGTGGGCATCCTTGTCTTGTTCCAGTTCTTTGAGGAAAGGCTTCCAGATTTTATTCAATCAGTATAATTTGGCTGTGGATTTGTCATATAGGGCCTTAATCATGTTGCAGTGTGTTACTTCTGTGCCTATTATTTTGAGGGTTTTTATCATGGGGGGATATTGAATATTATCAAATGCTTTTTTTGCATCTGTTGAGGTGATCACATGGTTTTTGCCCTTCGTTCTAATATGAGGTATCACAATTATTGATTTGTGTGTGTCTTGCATCCCTGAGATAAATCTCACTTGATCATGGTGCATTATCTTTTTTGATGTGTGGTTGGATTCTGTTTGCTAGTATTCTGTTGAGGATTTTTGCATCTGTGTTGCTCATATTGGCCTGAACTTTTTTTCTCATGTCCTTGTATAGTTTTGTTATCAGGGTAGTGCTGGCCTTGTAGAATGAGTTAGATAAAATTTCCTCCTCTTAAGTTGTTTGGAGTGGTTTGAGAAGAATTGGTGTTAGTTCCTCTCTATAAGATTGATAGAATTCAGCAATAAAACCGTCCAGTCCTGGGCTTTTCTTTGTTGATAGACCTTTTATTACTGCTTTGATCTTGTTGCTTGTTACTGGTATGTTCAGGTTTTCTCTTTCTTCCTGATTCAATCTTGTAGGTTGTATGTCTCTAGGAATTTTTCAGTTTCCTTGAGATTTTCCAGTTTGCTGGCATATACTTGTTCATAATATCCTCTAATTATTCTTTGTATTTCTGTGGTATCAGTTTTAATGCCTCCTTTTTTTGTTTCTGATTGTATTTATTTCAGTGTTCTTTCTTGTTTTTTTTTTTAATCTTGGTTGGTGTAGCCAGTGATTTTTGTTTGTCTTTAAAAAACAATTTTTATTATGTTGATCCTTTTAATTTTTCTTACTATATTTCATTTAGTTCTTCTATGACTTTATTATCTTTTTGTTTCTACTAATTTTGGGTTTAGTTTGTTATTGCTTTTCTAGTTTTTTGAGATGCATCATTTGGTTGTTTATTTGAAATCTTTCTACTTTTTGATTTAGGTGTTTACTGCTATAAATTTCCCTCTTAGCACTGCTTTTGCTGGATCCCATATGTTATGGTATGCTGTATTTCTGTTTTCATTTGTTTTAATACTTTTTAAATTTATTTTTTATTTTTTCCCTTGATCCAGTGGTTCTTCAGGAGCATGTTGTTTAAGTTCCATGTACAGTTTCTAAAGTTCCTTTGTTACTGATTTCTAGTTTTATTTCATTGCAGTCTCAGAAGATAGTTGATATGATTTTGATTTTTAAAAAGTTATTGAGATTTGTTTTGTGTCTTAACATATGGTCTATCCTGGAGAATGTTCCATATGCTGATGAGAAGAATGTATATTCTGCAGCCATGGGTGAAATGTTTTGTAAATGTCTGTTAGGCCCATTTGATCAATAGTGTAGATTAAGTCTGATACTTTGTTGTTCAATTTCTGTCTTGATGATCTGTCCACTGCTGAGAGTAGGGTGTTGAAATCCCCCATTATTTTTGTATTGGAGTCTGTCTCTTCTTTTAGATCTAATAATATTTGCTTTATATTTCTGTGTTCTCTAATATTAAGTGCATGTATATTTGGAATTATATCCTCTTAGCTTATCTCTTTATCATTATATAATGTAGTTCTTTGTCTCTTTTTACAGTTTTTGACTTAAAGTCTACAAAAGGAAACCAAAAGCATGACTTAAAATTTGCAAATGGAAACCGAAAGCAGTCTTAAAGTTTGATGTATGTATAGCTGCTCTTGCATGCTTTTGGTTTCCATTTGTGTGGAATGTATTTTTTTTTTTTTTTCGGTCAATGTATGTCTTTATTGGTGACGTGAGTAGGGAGCATACAGTTGAATTGGGTCATTTTAAAAAAATGGATTCAGCCAGTTCATGTCTTTCTGGGTTTTTTTTTTTTTTTTTTTTTTTTGAGACAGAGTCTCGCTCTGTTGCCCAAGCTAGAGTGCAGTGGCACAATCTCGACTCACTGCAACTTCCGCCTCCCAGGTTCAAGCAGTTCTTCTGTCTCAGACTCCCAAGTAGCTGGGACTACAGATGCCCACCACCATGCCTGGCTAATTTTTGTATTTTTAGTAGAGATGGGGTTTCACCATATTGGTCAGGCTGGTCTCTAACTCCTGACCTCAGGTGATCCACCCGCCTCAGCCTCCCAAAGTGCTGGGATTACAAGCATGAGCCACTGTGCCTGGCTCATATATTTCAAGTTGGCAATTTAATTCCTTTACATTCAGGCTATTATTAATAGATGAGGACTTAACTCCTGCATTTTGTAAATTGTTTTCTGGGTGTTT
Source organism: Homo sapiens (assembly GCF_000001405.40). Classification (NCBI taxonomy): domain Eukaryota; kingdom Metazoa; phylum Chordata; class Mammalia; order Primates; family Hominidae; genus Homo; species Homo sapiens. The sequence continues at coordinate 101,389,837 of NC_000003.12, read as the reverse complement.
TGTATATCCTTTTTTTCTTTCTTCCACTTTTATCATTTATCACTTCAGTTTGGTGGTTTTCTGTAGTGACAGTGTTCAACTCCTTTGTCATTTTCATTTGTATATCTGTTCAACAGTTAGTTTTGTACTTTTAGGTATGTTCATTATTTTAGATAGTGCCATTTTGCTTCTGGGTGTAGGATTTTCTTAAGCATTTAATGTAAGTAGGGCCTGTCTAGTGGTGAAGAGTTCCCTCAGCTTTTGCTTGTCTGGGAAAAACTCTTACTCATTTATGAAGGATAACTTTGCTAGGTATGGTATCCTTGGCTGGCAGTTTTTTTTTTCTTTTAGTACTTTGAATATATCATCTCATTCTCTTCTGGCCTGCATGTTTTCTGTGGAGAAATCTGCTGTTTGTTTGATGGAGATTCTCTTATAAGTGTCTAGACATGTTTCTTTTGCTGTTCTTAGAATTTTCTTGTTGTCTCTGACTTGGTAGTTTGACCATGATGTGCTGCGGAGAAGACCTTTGTATTGTATCTATTTGAGGATCTCTGTATTTCCTGTGTCTGTATGTCTAAATCTCTTGCTGGATTTGAAGGCTGAGGTGGGAGGATTGCTTGAGCCCAGGAGTTCAAGGCCGCAGTGAGCTAGGATTGCACCACTCTACTCTAGCTTGGGTGGCTGAGGGAGACCCCACCTCTAAAAAAGTAAAAATTAAAAATAAAATAATAAAAATAAATCTTTTGCTCAACTTGGGAAGTTTTCAGCTATTATTTCTTGAAGTATGTTTTCTATCCCTTTGTTTTTTCTCTTTGCCTTCTGGGACATTGAAAATGGAATATTTGGTCATTTTATGATGTCTTATATGTCATGTAGGCTTTCTTCATTTTTTAATTCTTTTTTTCTTTTTTTATGTGTCTGTTTTTTCAGAAGATCTGTCTTCAAGTTCAGAAATTCTTCTTGGTCTAGTCTATTGTTGAAGCTTTTGATTGTATTTTTTGTTTCATTAATTGGATTCTTAAGTTCCAGGATTTCTGTTTAGTTCTTTTTTTTTTCTGGATATCTATTTATTTCCTGAATTTCCCCTTCAGATCCTGAATTGTTTTCCTAATTTCTTCATATTATTTATTTGTGTTCTCTTATATCTCTCTCAGTTTAAAAAAATCATTATTTTGAATTCTTTTTCAGATATTTTATGGATTTCCTTTTCATTGAAATATGTTATTGGAGAATTATTATATTCCTTTGTACATGTCATGTTTCCTTTTTCATGTTTCTTATGTTCTTACATTGATATCTGCACATCTGGTTGAACAGTTATTTCTTCCAATTTTATGTATTAGCTTTTGTAGGGAAACTTTTTCCTGTAGATGTGTATATATAGTGTTGCTTGAGTAAGATGCTATGGCTTTGATTCTGTCTGAATGGGCATTATGGTGCAGTCTGTGTATAATTTTTTTGGCTATAATCAACGTCAGTGGTGGCTGTGTTCCTCAGTGGCTTAGGTTTTTGTTGTTAGTGGAGGCTGTGGTGAGGCTCTGCTGAGATGGAGACTCCAAGCAAGCTGGCCCTTAGATACCTGTGGTGGTGGTGGCAGGCTGGATGTGCTGGTCCTTGGACCCCCAGGCTTCTAACAGTTGTGCTGGTGGTGGCAGGTCCTGGTGGGCCAGTTCTTGGGCCTTCAGGTGGGCTTGCTCAGGTGTCATGGTGGCAGTGGTGGTTCATAGACTTTTGTGATGTGTGAGTGGCATTGGTGATGGTAGTAGCTGTGTCTGGTCAATCCTTATTCCTTAAGCACTGCACAAGTGGGTGTCTGTGGTGGCTGGGCTAGCCAGTCCCCGAACTTCCAGGAGGCATCTGCAGGAACTGCCAGCAGGCTGGGTGGGCCTATGCCTAGGCTCCCAGACAGTGCATGTCAGGTAGGCTTGTACTCAGTCCGCCAGAAGCCATGTGCAGGAGCCATTGGTGGTGTGCTCCCTAGTCGATCCCTAGTCCCCCTGACAATACATGTGCTCATTGGCAGTGATGGCAGTGGGTAAGATGGACTTGTCCTCTAGCCCCACTGATGGTGTGTGCAGATGGTTACAGATGGGGCAGGTTGATTTTCAGGCTCCCGGAAGAATCATGGGGGTAATGACTTAAGCGGTGGCTGGCAGGAAGTACCTGTCCTCATGCTCCCTGATGGAGTGCACAGGCAGTGGCTGTGGCAACCTGGGTGTGTCATTTCCCAGGCCTCTGGATGGCGCACTGTGGTGCTGGCAATGGTGGTCATGATGGCTCTGTGGACACCAGCAGTGGTGGGCAGGGAAGGCCCCAGGTCCCTGAATGATGTGTGTGGGTGCCGCCAGCAGAAGTTGTGAGGGGGCAGGTCTCTAGTCAGGCTCCCCAGTGGTGTGTGCAAGGCTCTGGCCATAATGGGTGGGTTGGATTAATCCTTAGACGTGTTGACAGTGCACTTGGGTGCCAGCAGTGGTATTGGTGGGTGGGGTGGGCCTGTTTTCAGGCCCCAGAATGGCTCATGCTGCCTGTGATGTTGGTGGGTGGGGTAGGCCTATTGTCAGGCCTCTCAATGGTATGTGCTGGTACTGGTGGTAGTTGGTATGGTGGGTTGATTTTTTTAATCCCTGGACAGCACATTCATGTGCTAATGGTGGCAGTGAGCAGGGCTGACCTAGTCTTATGCTCTCTGATTGTGCATGTGGGCACCGGCTGCATTGGGTAGGGCTGGTTGCTTCCCAGGTCCCTGAACCATGCACTCAGGCCCTGGTGATGGTGGCAGTGGCCAGGGAAGGCATGTACTCAGTCCCCTGTATGGTGCACATGGGTGCCAGCAGCAGCAGTTGTTAGGGTCCATTGATTCCCAGGCTCCCAGATGATGTACTTGGGTGCCAACATTGGTGGCGTTGGCAGGGCTTGCCTATTTTTAGGCCCCTGTATGGCATGTGCTAGTGCCTGCAACAGGTAGGAGACACTTATTCTGGGGGCCTGGGATGTCAGCTGGGAAGGCTGGTCCCCAGACCCTCTGAAGATGTGTGCAGATGTTGTAGCAGCTCTGCCCCTGGAGGGAGCTGGGTTGCTGTTAGTGCCTAGGCAGGCACCTCTCAGACTTTGGGAGAACATGCTTTGACTCCTTTTGTCCTGGGGGCAACCTTCCTGGAGCATTGCACTACTTGTTTTCTGGCACGCAGGATACTGTCTGGGCTAGAGTGCTGGGGATCTGGCCACACTACTGGTTCCAGCCAACCTTGCAATGCTGCAGCCTTCTAGGTGGATTTGGGGAATGTTAGCAGGCCTTCAGGGATGTGGAAATAGAGGGGCTGTTGGGCCTCAGGGCATGATGTCGTCTGTTGGTAACTAGGCTCTCAAAATGGTACTGCGTTGCAGCTGCTTGAGTCTCAGGGGATGTGTGGGATCCAGCATGATCTCTCCCTGTTGAACAGTGCAGTTATGTGGACTCCAGGCAGCCCCCATATTAGTCTCAGGTCCTGCCAGGGCCAAGGGGCTCTCCTTTACCTAGGATTACAAGAGTCTTCAGTGGAACATGGACTTCCGGGGATTTCTTGCTTACCTTTTCTTCACAGCAAGGAGTCTGTCCTGGCTCTGAGTGCATCTTAGCCAGGACAATTGCTTCATTTCCCTTTTTCTGTGCCTGAGAGATTCCCTGTCAGTTCTCTGCTGAATTACAGTGTTATTTTTTAGGAGCTCTATTTGATAGGTGGTTATCTAACAGCTGTTTTGGTTCTTAATTGTGGAGGAGGCAAGTGCCAGATACCTCTAGTCAGCCTCTTGAAGCCCCTCATTAATTTTTTTTTTATCCATGTATTCTTGTAGTTCACTGACGTTCTTTAAGAGGATTATTCTGTATTTCCTATCTGTCCTTTCACAGATCTTTCTTCAAGGTCCTGTTGTTAGCGGCTTTGCTCATTTTATTTTGGAGGTGTCTTGATATCCTGATTTTTCTGGTCCTTGTGTCCTTGTCTTGTTGTCTGCTCATTTGAGGAGAGCTACCTTTTTTAGTTTTTACAGTTTTGGCAGAGATGGACCTTCTCCATTTAGTCTGGCTTATAATTCTAGATGTGTCAGCTGGTAATGATCCTTGGTAGACAGAGTTTGCTGTTGGGTTCTCTAGATGACTGGGCTGCTGCCTTTGCTCTGAGTTTGGGTAGGTCAGCTGACTGGGCTTTGCTATCGACTGAGAGCACTGGAGGAGCTCTGCAATTCATTTGAGCTCTGGATGGTAGTGCAATTGTCTTAGATGGAGAGGGTCACAAGATGTATTCTCTGGCTGTGTGATACTGCTATTTGAGTTCAGCAGTTGGACGGGGTTGCAGGAGAGGCCCTAAGTTTAGGTGGAGTTGCCCATCAGATGGATAGGACCACCTGCTTTGCTAAGTAAAAATGCATAGTTGACGTTAGACTCTGCCTATGTGGGGCCTTGGTGTAGGCTTTGAAGCTGGACTGAGCACTGTTTAATCTCCTAAATGTGGCAGATTTAGCCCCTGCCTTTTGCCAAAATCTGCTGTAGTGGTCATCCTTGTCCTTGGGTGGGGTCTGAGGGTGGGCTTTGAGGTTGTGGGGTGTGTTCACTTCATTTACTTATGTGTAATTCCTCATGAGAAGACATTCAAGGTATTTTTTTTGTCTATATGTCAATGCTTCAGTAAGTGGCACATATATATATACTGTATATATACACACACACATGCACACACACACATCTCCATATATTTATTCTAGTAAATCCTTTCAGTTTGAATCTGTTATACTCTAACAAGATTAGGTGTTACGATTAAACTTTTTTTGATAAGCCGTAGGCAAAAATATATAATTGTTTTCATTAAATTGTCTTCATTTCATTCGTCTTTTATTTTTTGTATTAGGCCATTCTTGCACTGCTATTAGTGAAATACCCAATACTGGGTAGTATGTAAGAAATGAGGTTTAATAGGCTCACAGTTCTACAGACTGTACAGGAAGCATAGCAGCATCTGCTTCTGGGGAGACCTCAGGAAGCTTACAATCGTGGTGATGTCACAGGATCCTTGTGGTGTTGCTTCGCCAGCTGGTGACCTCTTTGCCTGAGTTTTACTTGGGTCTGCTGGGCTTGTTCTGCCCACTTGGCCTGGCAGGCTGTGCTTGGCTCCCACTACTGGCCCGGATTCCATACCTGCCAACGGCGAGCCAGGTGCAGAGTGGCGAGGGGTGTGTGAGCGAGTGAGTGCTGGGTCTGGCCACTGTGCACAGCCAGGCATGTCGGCTGTGGTGGGACGGGCAGCTCCAGGTGCTGGCACGGGTGCTGGCTTCCCACAAGACTGCAGTTGGACCAGTCGTACTGCAAGTGGCTTCCACTGCTGGCACTGGGGATTGAGGTGGTGCCCAGAAGCTTGGAGACACCAGGAACTGCAGAGCCCCAAAGAGGGTGTCACAGCCCTGGCTAGGGGAACTCTTAGGTGGGCTCCCTTAAGGGCCACAGCTCTTCTTTCCTTCTGTCTTCTCTTCTTCTAGTCACCCGCAACGTGGCAAGAGTGTGTAGCACCCTTTTTAGCCCTGTTTGTATTATAGCTCTTCCAGTCCTGCCACTTGGCAAGTCCTGAATTCTTGTCCTGTGTTCAGGAAGAATTAGGTATGTGGACAACTGGAGGGTGAGTAAGGTAAAGTGGTGTTTTATTGAGTGACAGTACAGCTCTCAGGAGACCTGAAGTGGATAGCTCCTATTTGCAGGCAGGTGATCCTGTCGAGTATACAGCTCTCAGCTGAGAGGGGACCCACAGTGGGTAGCTTCTCTCTGCAGGCAGGTAGTCCTGATATCTGCCCAAGTCTGGCTGAGTCCAGGGGTTTTTATGGCCTTTGGAGGGTAGGAAGTGCACGCTTATTGGTCCATAGGCAGCCATGGCTCAGCCTGGAGAAAGCACCATAAGTTGTCACTCTGGTCCACGGAACTGGGAGCCTGGGCCCCAGACTTCAGGCTGTCCCAGGCCTGAAGGAGGGGCTTCACTGGGGACACTCCCCTTTCTGCCCAGGAACTGGTCTGCCTCCCACTGCCATCAACCTCCTATCCCCAGTGCCCAGGCAGTTCATGCTGAGGGGTGCCTGCAGGCCCACACTGAGCTGCCCTCAGCATCCCCTTCCCTCCTGTGCTCATTGGCCCCCAAAGTCCAGAGGGGGCTGAGGTGGCAGGGGGCTGGCGTGTACCCGAGCATGTGTACACCTGGCCAGGTTGTGACAGTGCCTCGCCTTGGCCTCAACTTTGCTCTAGAATTGGAGTGGGCACTGAGAGTGGAGAGGCTGGGCAGTGGGAGCAGACACTTCTGAGTGTGCGGGGGCATGGGGGCCTTCCTGGGCTCCTTAGAGTACAGGAATGCCCAGGTTTGCAGCTGTGGCTATGTGGCTGCAGCAGTGCTGGGGAAGGCAGGACTCCCGCCCCTCCAACTTGGAAGGAGGGTGGGGCTTCTGCCTGTTCCCAGCTCCCACCAGCTCTGTGGAATTTGCAGTCCCGGCTGTGCCTCCCCCACTGCAGCCGGCCTCTTTGCAGCAGCTGCTCCAGATGGGCTGCTGCTGCTGCCATCAGTGGAAAGCAAAGGGGGAGCAGGCACATCACATGGTGAAAGCAGGAGCAAGAGAAAGAGTGGGGAGGCTGCTACACACTCTTAACCAGATGTAGCAAGAACTCACTCACTTATCATGAAGACGGCACCAAGCCCTGAAGGATCTGCTCCCATGACCTAAACACCTCTCACCAGGCCTCACCTCTAGCATGGGGATATAGTTCACTATGAGATTTGGTCAGGGACAATTATCCAAACTTAATCATTTTTAGTGAATATGTTTTAAAAAATTTCTTATATGAGTTTCTGTTAGTATTTGTCCTTATTAGGGTGCTCATCTCTTATTCATTTTAAAAACTCTCATTAAAGGTATTGACTCTTTGTAATATGTATTGTAAATTGTTTTTCAAGTTTGCTATACTACACTTTCTTTATAGTATCTTTGATATAGAAGACTTTTAGTTTATTTTGCAAAATATGTTAGTGTTTAATTCCTGTGTTTTGGCTTATCCCTGGCAAGACCTCTTTAACCCCAAATATGGAGATAAGTCAGCCAGCTACTGTTCTCATTTGTACTGCTTTAGATGAGCTATCAATTCCTGAACAAGTCTGTAGATTACTTTCCTAATTGAAGTTCTGATTCTTTTTTTGCCCTTCCATTATAAATATTTATTAAGAACTCCCTTTTAGGTCAGACTGAGCAGAATGTTTTAGTATTTTTAAATTTTACTTCCCATTGGGATTTTTAGAAATACTTTATAACTGCTAATGTAAAGAAGTCTAATTTAATTTCCAAATAATATATACCGAATTGTATTAGAAAATAGGCTTGGGTGTGGTGACTCATACCTGTAATCTCAGTGCTTTGGGAGGCCAAGATAGGAGGATGGCTTGAGGTCAGGAGTTCAAGATCAGCCTGGGAAGCATAGCAAGACCCTGTCTCTACAAAAAACTTTTAAAAAAAGAATTAGTCAGGTGCAGTACTGTGTGCCTGTAGTCCTATCTACTAAGAAAGCTGAAGCTGGAAGGTTGCTTGAGCCCAGGAGTTAGAGGTTACAATGAGCGATGATCAAGCCACTGCACTCCAGCATGGGTGACAGAGTGAGACCCTGTACCTAAAAATAAAAAAAAGAAGAAAAATATTTCATAAAATTATGTTTTACAAAAGTAATAAAGGTTTTATTGTAGCTAGCCACTCAGCAGGGATTGGTAATTAGCCTTGAGTGAAAGGGATCAAATTGCTATTTTAAATTGCAAGACTCTAATATAGACTTCCAACAGAGGGAGCCCAAAGCTTTTAAATGGAAGTGGAGGAGGTTTCATTTTTATTAATGTATTCCAGCTCTGTCATAGTTTCCTATATTCATGTCAGTTGATTTTCTTTTTAAGCTTTCCTTTGGTAATTTGGTAATGACAATAATCCACATAAACACTAAAGAAGATACTCTATTTTGAGATCATTTTCCCCTGTTAACTTAAAATTTCTCTTCTATGTTTTATGTCATAAATTTTCTTCTGACTAGCAATTTGAAAAACACTGATACAAATAGTGCATATATCCTAAGTTCAACTCCTTTATGCTAGAAACATTAGTCAGTTTTGAATAAAATTACTAATAATGATACTCATTTGCACGGTTAACTCTTGAACATTTGCATTATATGGTTATCACTCTTTTCAAAATAATATTTCATTATTATCTATATGTAATTTATGTAAACATTTAAACTTTTTCCTAATTTGAACAATAATGCATATTTATATTAAGAGATATATAGAAAAGTATGAAATTGATATTACCCATAATCCATTCCTCAATAATAAGCATTGATAATATTTTGATATGCTTTCATCTAAATATTTTTCTGGATTAAATGATTATAATCATGAAAAATAGTGTTATTTTTATTCATTTCACACTATCCTCTTTTGATATTAATCTTTACTTTAGGCCTATGAGATAGATAGGAGAGCAGTTAATATTTCTATTTTATAAATGTGGAAACTTTTTGAGGTTCAAAGAGATTAAGTGGCAGAGGTAGAACTATAACACAGGTCTAATATATATGAGATGCATTTAAGTTAAAAAACATAATGTTAAAATAAACACCCAAATGTTCACCTTCTATTAAAAAATAGACTATTATCAGCATCACCGAAGCCTTCTGTGTTCCCCACTTTGCCCATTCTGTCCCATTCCCATGCATTCGCCTTAGAATTAACCACTTTTCTGAATTTTAAGTTTTATATAATTGTGAACTTTAGAAAAATGATTCAGGTTACTGAACAATATGTATTACATGGCATGCATTTTTTTTGCCTAACATTTTTGTGAGATTCATTCATGTTGATGCATAGAGCTAGAGATCATCCAGTTTTACTTATGTATTTATTGTATTAATATTAAAAATAGATCTACCTACTTTTTATTGATGGAGTTTGGATTGTATCCAGTTTTTTTTCTCTCATAAACAATGCTCCTTTGGACATTTTCATTTTATATGTGTTGCCAGTAAATAGTATGTATCTGGATACTTCTCTTTTTACATTCAGTCTACATTTATTTTTAACTATAAGGCATAGTCTGTTTATATTTTATACTACTATTTTTCTTTATGCTTTTTATTTGGTCTGCTTGACTTTTTTTCCTTTCTTGTATTTTTTTTTTTTTTAGAGATAGGTCTTGCTATGTTGCCCAGGCTGGAGTGCAGTGGCTATTTACAGGCATGATTATAGTGCACTACAGCCTTGAACTCCTGGCCTCAAGTCAGCCTTCGAAGTAGCACACTATAGGTGTGCACCACTGTGCCCCACCCATTCTTGTATTTTAAAAATTAGTTATGTTTTGTTTTGTGTGTGTGTGTGGGGGGGGGGGCGGTGGTTTGCTTTACGTTCTAGAAGATTTAGACTCTTTCTATTTTTAAATAGTTTTCTATAAATTATAATATACTTGATAGACCTATCAAAGTCCAAAGTTAATTAGTATCTGTGTTCTCATTTTGAATAATAGGGACTTTAATCTATTTTAAGTACATTCACATTATTGTACAACCATTACCACCATTCATTTTCAGAACTTTTTTCATTTTTACCAAACTGAAACTCTGTATCTATGAAACAGGAACTCCTCATTCCTCTCTCCCCCTAAACCCTGACAGCCACCATTCTACTTTCAGTTTCTATGATTTATTTCATGACCCTAAGTACCTTAAATAAGTGGAATCACAGTATTTGTCCTTTGCTAACTGACTTATCTCGCTTAGCATAGTGTCTTAAAAGTTCATCTATGTTGCAGCATGTGTCAGAATGTTCTTCCTTTTTAAGGCTGACTATATTCCATTTTATGTATCAACTAAATTTTGTTCTATTCATCTGTTGATAGATAGTGGTGTTGCTTCTACATTTTGGCTATTGTGTGTAATGCCATTATGAACATGGGTGTTCAGTGTGTGTTTGTATCTCTCCTTTAAGTTCTTTTGGGTATATATCCAGAAGTAGAAGTGCTGGATCATATGGCAATCTATTTTTAGCTTTTTGAGGAAACATCATACTATTATTCATAGTGGCTGCACCATGTTACATTGCCACCAGCAGTGCACAAGGGTTCCAGTTACTCCATATCTCGCCAATACTTGTTTTCGTTTTTTTGATAATAACCATCCTAATGCATGTGAGGTGGAATCTCATTGTGATTTTGATTTTCATTTTCCTAATGAATAGTGATATTGAACATCTTTTCGTGTTGTTGGCCATTTATATGTCTTCTTTAGAGAAATGTTTATTCAAGTACTTTGCCTGCTTTTGAATTGGATTTTTTTTGTAAGTTGTAGGATTTCTTTATATATTCTGGATACTGATCCCTTAATAGATATGGGATTTGCAAATATTTCGTCTCATTCTGTGGGTTGCCTTTTTACTCTGATGAAGTCTACGTAATCTGTTTCTTTAGTTGACTGTGCTTTTGTTGTCATATTCAGAAATGTTAACAAATCTAATGTGAAGATTTTCCCCTATGTTTTCTTCCAAGAATTTTCAAAATAGCTTTATGCCTTATGCTTAGGTCTCTGATCCATTTTGTGTTAATTATTGTATATGGTGTTAGGTAAGGGTACAGATTCATTGTTTTGCATGTGGCTATTCAGTTTTTCCAGCATCATTTGTTGAAAAGGCTGCCCTTTCCTCATTGAATGGTCTTGGTACCCTTGTTGAAAATCATTTGACCATGTATTTGAGGGTTTATTTCTGGGATCTCTATTCTGTTCTGTTGGTTTATGTGTCTGTTTTTATACTAGTACCACACTGTTTTGATTACCGTAGCTTTACAGAAAGTTTTGAAATCAGAGAGTATTAATCCTGCAACTTTGTACTTTATTTATTTATTGGTAGGTTTTTTTTCTCTGAACACTTAAAAGATTTCACTCCACAGTGTTCTTACTTGCATGGTTTCTGAGAAATGAGATACAATTCTTGTCTTTGTTTTTCTATAGTTAAGGGCTTATTTTTTTCTGGATTTTATTAACTGTTTTTAAATCTTTGATTTTTTTGCAGTTTAATATGATATGCCTAGGTGTTATTTTTTGGGCATTTATTCTCTTTGGTGTTCTCTGAACTTGCCAGTCTGTGATTTGGTGTCTGACATTAATTTGGGGAAATTCTCATGCATTATTGCTTTGCATTTTTCCTCTGTTTCTTTACCTCTTTCTTCTTATGATATTCCCATTATGCCTATGCTACACCTATTGTAGTTGTCCCACATTTCTTCAATATTCTGTTACGGGTTTTTTTAGTCTTTTTTTCTCTTTGCTTTCCTGTGTTGGAATTTTCTATTTCTATATACTCAAGTTCAGAGATTCTTTCCTTTTCCATATCCTGTCTACTAGTGAGCCCATCCAAGGCATTGTTCATTTCTGTTACAGTGTTTTGATCTTTAGTATTTCTTTTTCATTCTTCATTACACTTTCTCTCTGCTAACATTGCCCATAAGTGCTTATATGCTGTATACTTTATCTGTTGATCATATTTGTTTTAAATTCCTAATCTGATAATTCAACATCTCTGACATGTCTGGTTCTGGTTCTGATACTTGTTGTCAAACTGTGGTTTTTTTTCTTTTAGAGTGGCTTTTAATTTTCTTTTTGTTTTTTGTTTTTTTTTGGATAGTTGGACATGACGTACTAGATAAAAGCAACTACTGTAAATAGACCTTTAGGAATGTGGTGGTAAGATGTGAGAGGAAGAAAAGCATTCTGTAGTCCTGTTAGGTTTCAGTCTTTTAACCCATTTATGCTTAGTGTTCTATTACTGGAACGCTAGGCATGTGGAAGTTATTTATATCCTACTGCTAAAGGTTATCACCAAGCTGTGATTGCAAAAATTCAAAAAATTGCAACCTCAGGCGTTAATGAGCCTTTGTCCTTGGCCTGTTAACTTTACAAGTGCTTCTCATTCTCTTCTGAATGCTTTGGTGCAACAGCATACCTGGAATATAATGAAGTTAGATATTTCCCTTCTCCCACATGGAAAGCTAGATGGTCTTGGAATTGTGTATTTTCCTTGCTTTTCCTCACACAGAATGCTAGACGGAGCTAGAGTTGGGTATTTTTTATTTCCCCTGCTTGATTAGGCTCTAAAAAATAACTCATAGTTTAGGCTCTGGTGAAATAGTTTTTCTTGAGGGCAGGCCTTGTTAAGAACAGAATGCTCTGATATATTTGAAAATGTTTTCCTTCCTCTGCTGAACCATGAGGGGATTTTTCTGATATTCACTGTGAGAACCTGGTTGAACTCCTGGAGATAAAACTCACAAAAGTGTGCGACCCCCTTTATGACTAAGTCCTCTGGGATTTTTAACTCTTAGACTTATGTACACTGAACCCTCAGCAATTTGTCAATTGCAGTTTAGGTCTTCATACTCCAATAGTAGTTACTGGGACTGTTTCTGCTTGTGGGTTTTTGCTTTAGTAAGTTGCGATTCTCTGTATTCACCTGGCTGTCTTTCTCCCATTTTGGGGGCAGCCATTCATCCTGTGACTTCACTTTTCTGTCACGTCCAGGAAGAGTTGTTGATTTTTCAGTTTTACCCGTTAGGATAGATAACTTCCAAGCTCCTTTCATGTTGGACTGGGAACTCCTGTGTATTGCACTTCGTTTGATGCAGTTTTGGGTTTAATTTCTCTTTTTTATTTTGATGCTCTTAGTTTATCATTTATTAAAAGTTTACCATGTATGTGGTTGAATCCGATCATATTTTTCTCTATAATTTCTTTACTTCCATTCTCAAGAAATTCTTCTTCCACAAGGCTAATAAATATAGTGTTTTTCTTCTGATGGTTGTTTAAAAAAAATCTTACAACTTTTAGTCATTAGCATATGATAGTTCATTTTACCTTAGAGTATTGGATGTAGTTCTGAATTCTTTTTTTTCTCTGTTGTTACCCAGTTAGTCCACTACAACTGAATTTGAAAGCTTTGTTTCCCAGCTTTGTTTCAAATTCTTCTGTTTTTTTTTCTTTTTGCATTTTTTTAAATTATACTTTAAGTTTTAGGGTACATGTGCACAACGTGCAGGTTTGTTACATATGTATACATGTGCCATGTTGGTGTGCTGCACCCATTAACTCGTCATTTAACATTAGGTGTATCTCCTAATGCTATCCCTCCCCGCTCCCCCCACCCCACAACAGTCCCCAGAGTGTGATATTCCCCTTCCTGTGTCCATGTGTTCTCATTGTTCAATTCCCACCTATGAGTGAGAACATGCGGTGTTTGGTTTTTTGCTGTTTGCCAGCCATTTCTTATATACTAGTCTGTAATACTATACTTTACTTGTTGATGTTACTCTGTATTATGTTTTATTATGAAATTAGTAGAACTAGTTCTCCTATTCCCTTCATTTATTGTATATTTTAATACCTTTTTTGTATTTTAAAGATTGTAATAGAATATCAGTAACCTAAAAATTGCCATTTTAACCATTTTTAAGTGTACAGTTCACTGCCATTAAGTACAGTCACATATTTGTGCAGCCATCACCACCATTCTTTTCCAGGACTTTTTCCATCTTCCCAAACTGAAACTCTGTATCTATTAAACTCTAACTCCCTATTTTTCCCTTCTTCCAGTCCCTGGCAATCACCATTCTACTTTCTGCCTGTATGAATTTGACTATTCTAAATATGTCATCATATGAATGGAATATCAGTATTTGTCTTTTAGTTAGTGGCTTATTTTTTCTTAGCATAATGTCCTCAAAGTTCATCCATATTGTTGTGCAACCATTATCACAACTTTTTCATCTCAAGCAGAAACTGTGTTACCATTAAATAATAATTCCCCATTCTCCCCTCTCCTAATCCCCTAGTAGCCTCTAATCTACTTTCTGTCTCTGTGAATTTGTCTATTTTAGTTACCTCTTTAAGTGGAATCACACAATATTTGTCCTTTTGTGTTTGGCTGAGTTTACTTAGCATAATGTGTTCAAAGTTCATTCATGTAGCACTTATCACAAGTTCATTCCTTTTTATGGCCCAATAATATTTTATTGTATGAATATACCACATTTTGTTTTTCTTTTCATTTCTTGATGGACCCTAAGGTTGTTTTCACCTTTTGGCTATTGTGAATAGTGTGCCACAGTGAACAGTGGAGTACAAGAATCTGTTCATGTACCTGCTTTCAATTCCTTTGGGTATATACCTAGGAGTGGGATTGCTTGGTAACTTTGTGATTATGTGTTTAGCTTCTTTTTTTTTTTTTTTTTTTTTTTTTGGAGATGGAATTTCGCTCTTGTTGCCCACGCTGGAGTGCAATGGCATGATCTTGGCTCACCGCAATCTCCGCCTCCCGGGTTCAAGCGATTCTCATGCCTCAGCCTCTGAGTAGCTGGGATTACAGGCGTGCGCCACCACGCCTGGCTAATTTTTGTATTAGTAGTAGAGACGGAGTTTCTCCATGTTGGAAAGGCTGGTCTTGAACTCTCGACCTCAGGTGATCCGCCCGCCTCAGCCTCCCAAAGTGCTGGGATTACAGGCGTGAGCCACTGTGCTCGGCCTGTGTTTAGCTTCTTATATCGCAGTTCTCTATTTAGCTTTTTGAGGAACCACCAAACCATTCCACAGTGACTGCACTGTTGAACATTCCCACCAACAATGTACAGAGGTTCCAATTTTTCTACATTTTTGCCAATGTTTAACTTTTTTTAATGAAAAAAAAATTTTTTTTTAAATTACTCTGTCCTAATCTGTGTGAAATGGTATATTGTTGTTTGGGCTTGCATTTCCTTAGTGATTAGTGACGTTGAACATCTTTTCATGCTAATTGGCCATTTGTATGTCTTTGGAGAAACATCTCTTCAAATACTTTGCCCATTTTTTAATTGTTATTTATTTTTTGTTGTTGAGCTGTAGGAGGTCTTTATTATTATCAGTATTAATCCTTTAATATATATGTGGGTGGGAGATATTTTCTCCCATTCTGTGGGTTGTCTTTTCACTAGTGTCCTTTGATAAACAAAAATTTTTGATTTTTTTTTTTTTTTTTTGAGACAGAGCCTCATTCTATTGCCCAGGCTGGAGTGCAGTGGCACAATTGTAGCTGCCACCTTGAACTCCTGGGATCAAGTGATTCTCCCCTCAGCTTCCTGAGTAGCTAAGACTACAGGGGCATACCATCATGCCCAGCTAATTATTAAATTTTGTGTGTGTGTGTGTGTGGGTGGGGTGAAACCCCATAATGAATTATGTTCCCCAGGCTGTTCTTGAACTCCTGGCCTCAAGCAATCCTCACTCCTCAGCCTCTCGAGTAGCTGGGATTACAGGCGTCAACTACCATGCCCAGCCATAAGTTTTCAATTTTAATGAACTCCAATTTATCTTTGTTGTTGACTGTGTTTTTGTTGTTATATCAAAGAAATCACTGCCAAATCTAATGTCATAAAGATTTCCCCTATGCATTCTTCTAAGAGTTTTATAGTTTTCTGCCTTATATTTAGGTGTTTGATCCACTTTGAGTTAATTTTTGTAGATGGTGTTAGATAACTGTCCAACTTCTTCCTTTTGCATATGACTATCCTATGTTCACAGCACCCTTTATTGAAAAGACTGTCCCTTCCCTATTGAATGGTTTCAGCATCCTTGTCAAAAATCTTTTGAGCATATATTTGAAAGTTTGTTCCTGGGTTCTGTTTTCTATTTCTATGGTCGATATGTCTCTCTTTATTCTAGTACCACGCTATTTTAATACATTTTTATAATTTTAAAGTATATTTGCTTGGCTATTTAAAAAAATTCTTAGAATTTTGTTGCATTGGAAAATATTTATTTTGAGCTTTTATTACATTTACTTGTTAACTTGAATAATGTGAATATTTATATTTCTTGTTCAGGAACTTGGGTGTTTCCAGTCCATTCATTTCCTTTTCTTATAAGAGGATGGAAGCTAACAGTGTTTGAACATTGCTGTCCTTATCTTTAAACACGTGACTTTCCACCATGTACAGTTTAGAACCAGATTGTCATATTCTGCAAAAAACTGTTATTTGGATTGAGATTATATTACAGATGTGTTTGGCTTCACTGTTGTGCATTTGAATCATATGACATTACCTTTTGAAAATACTCATTTTTATTTTTGGTTTCATGCCAACTACTTAATGCTTAGCGTTTAGTCAAGAAAATCCTCTGTTATAAAGTCTTTTTTCTACAACCATATAACTTTTAATGTGATTTACATGTGAAATCTTATTTTGTTTTTCAGTGTTCATTGTGCTAGAAAAACAAGGACTATTACACTGTTTGCTTCTTATATCAGGGGAAACATAAGTACCTAAGCATCTTTTTAGATCGTCTTTTAGGTCACATTTTATTTTTGTTTATAGTGCCTGTAGTGATAATTCTTTCAGGGAGGACAAATTTTTTTTGACTTCTCTTTTGGTTTTCATTTTCAGTAAACAAAACTCTATGGTATAAATTTGCTTAGATGCCCTTATTCTTCAAGAATGATTCTTGAGGGTTGAGGAGTGGAATGATTTGACTCAGTCAGAACCTCTTTGCAAGTGAAATTGGCTCACCCTTACGATTTTGATTATTTTGGCCTTTTAATTTCCAATCTGAAAATAAAGAAAATTTTACCAAAGTAAATATGAAAATGAGCAGTGTAATAGCAGCAATAACCCTTTCTTTAACTATGACACTACACTGGTGATGTTTGGATACTGTAGCTTTTTTTAATTTATAAGTCATTTTTAGCCTTCCAAATAATTCTCTCAAAACAAGGAAGCATTACGTGTAATTGGTCTTTATAGTCCTTGTTTTTGACTTATACTAGTTGCCTTAGTTGTAAATAATTTATATATTTTAAAATTATGAAATACTTCAAATATGTACATAAGTATAGAGAATAATATGCCAATACATATCACTCAGATTTAACCAATATAATTCCTATTTTTTCAGATTTAAATTTGTTTTTAAAGAAGTATTATAGAAAGTTGAAAACTTATTTATTTTATATTCCCTGATTCTAATACTCTCCCTCTTTAGAGTTATCTACTACCCAAATAGGCTTGAATCCTTCCAGTCTAAGTTTTTATATTTTGTTTCATATGTATGCACTTATACATTATAGTATGTTTTATATTTCTAAATTTTCCTTAGTAGTAACATTGTGACTATCATTCCAAAATTTGTTATTTTACCAGTACCTTAGACTTTAAATTATTTTCTCTGTAGGTAAAATTTATTACCACATACTACTGAAAATTTGTTACCATACTTTTGGTATATGAACCACGCTTGAAATATATTAACATTCAGCTTTGGCTTATAATTGTTTGCCTATACATAGGTTTAATTATTGAGGTACTTGTGTCCTTGGAATTTTACTTTTTAAACCTAATTTAATACTTGTATAGTATTACTCTTTTGCTCATTTTGCATGTACACAATCCTCCAATGTTGATATCTCATTTTTTTTCCCCCTAAACACACATGGGGAATTTAAAGGTAGAAAAGGGAGGATAACTTATTTCTTAAATCTGAGTTCAATATTTTTTTTACTACCCAGATCTTATAGTCTGCCATGTGGGACTGTGTTTGTAATGTGTTGGATTTTTAAATACATGCTAGTTGGCTTCTAAATTCATTTGGGCTTTATTAGAATTGAGTATAATACAGTTCTCTTTTGCAGGGGCTCACAACGAAGTAAGACAGTAGATGACAATTCTGCAAAGCAGACTGCGCACAATAAAGAAAAACGAAGAAAGGATGATGGCATTTCTCTTTTAATATCTGATACTCAGCCTGAAGGTTTGTGAACCTTAGAAAACTGTTGGAATTTGAATTTTTTCTTATTGTATTAATAATAATTTTTGTTATAAATAAATTATTTTATTTTACTTTGAAAGGATATGTGAAAGTAAAGGGAGATTATTTGGCAACACAAATAAAATTGCTAAACCTACTCTTTATGTAGCGTAGTACTCATTTCTAGATTTATTTACTAATCCCAAAAGTTAAATTTTAATATATTTTTTTCTTCTTTGGGGAGACTTGGATATAGCTATGAAGTTATGTTCATTTAGCTGTTTCTAAGTGTTGTTTCCATGGATATTAATGTTACTGCTAACTGGGTTTTTATTATTAGCTAATCACTGTCTATTTGCCTACCATGAAATACATTCTCTATTCATTAGAATTTCTCTCAACTTCAGGAGGATGCCAAACAAGCCACTATTAGCAAATTTGAAGGTAAATACTTCCTAGACTTGTGAAAATTTTTTGTAGGCCTCCTTGCATATAGGATTTATGATTCGACTTCTTTTTCTTTTTTGCCTCTCTTTCAAGAATTAAAAATATTTTACTGATACTTGAAGAAAAACAATTTTACTACATTATTTATTTGTGAAACTAACACCTTTAGGGGTCTGTTGGATTATTGATAGCTTCA
Organism: Homo sapiens; assembly: GCF_000001405.40. Taxonomy (NCBI): domain Eukaryota; kingdom Metazoa; phylum Chordata; class Mammalia; order Primates; family Hominidae; genus Homo; species Homo sapiens. The sequence goes on along the minus strand of NC_000003.12, from coordinate 101,371,367 downwards.
AATGTTGTTGAAGTCTCTTTGTTGCTTGCTTTCTTTCTTGCTTTTCTCTTTCTCTTTTTCTTTTTAAGACAGGGCCTCACTCTGTCACCCAGGCTGGTGTACAGTGGCATGATCACACATGATCACAGCCCACTTCAGCCTCTATCTACCTCCTGGGCTCAAGTGATCCTCCCACATCAGCCTCCCGAGTAGTTGAGACTATAGTCATGCACCACCACGCCTGGCTAATTTTTTGTATTTTGCAGAGACAAGGTCTTGCCGTGTTGCCCAGGCTGGTCTCAAACTCCTGGGCTCCAGTGATCTGCCTGCCTCGGCTTCCCAAAATGCTGGGATTATAGGCAAGAGCCACCGCGCTTGGCCACTGTTTTATTTTTGAGTGATTTCATAAGTTATTCACAATACAAAAAAATCTTTTGATGATGCTGTGCAAAAATTCATTACACTTCATTTGGAGCACAGCTATTTAAAGATTCTTTTTAGTAGCCTTTTTAATAGAAAAAAATTTAAAATGAAACTACAGTAATAACTTTTATTTGTACAAGAAACCAGCTGAAACTCTTATAAAGGCAGTCTTTGGAGAATGTGCTGTGACTTTGTTCAGACAAGCTTCCAATTAGTCACTGTCAGTGTATAATGAAAAACATTTATTTTCTTATAAACTGTACTTTTCTTAGAAGTAATTACAATCATCTCTGTGTATCTTTGTGTTCTGCATCTGTAGATTCAACCTAGCAAAGATGGAAAATATTTGAAAAAAACTTCAATAAAAATAATACAATCATAAAAAATACATATAACAACTACATAACATTTATGTTGTATTGGGTATTATAAGTAATCTAGAGATTATTTAAACTATACAGGAGAATGTATATAGGTTATATGCAAATACTATACCTTTAGGGGCTTATGGATCCATGGAGTTTGGTATCCTGGGTCCCTGGGACCAATCCCCTGAGGATACTGAGGGATGACTGTATTGATTACCAAGTAAAAATGTAAGTATTTGTACAAGTGGGCTCAGTTCAGGTACTATCAAGACAAAGATTCCTACTCTACCCAGGAAAGCAGTAGAATGTGAGGACTAACAGTCCTCACATTGACTTGAATAAAATACTTTCTGATTTGTACCCAGGAGTGTTACCTCAAGATCACAGTGGCATTTTAGACATGCATCAGGGAAGAGTACATGACAAAAGAAACATTTTTTAGTTTTTCAGTATCCCTGAAGGTACCACTACTGGTAGGGAAAGTGTTTCTAATACAATTAGCTATTGAATCTTTATTAAAGCAGTGTTTACTCTCCTACATCTGATACCAGTTATTTTTTAAAAACCTGTAAATTAATGGAAATTCTGAATGAAATCTTAGGTGTACCATTTTTTTCCATAGCACATTAAGTTTGCCTTGTGGAATTTGCTTTCACCAACATAATACCTTGGAAATACTTAGTATTCTTTTGTTTACAGGATTTTGTCACCTCTTTAGTTTTATATGCTAGTAATATTTGCAGGTTGAATTATATATTATGCAGGTGGAATTCTATTTTTACAATATTTCATTCTATATAATAAAGTTATTCCTTTTTCCATGAGACAGGCTTGACTGATATGCAAATAATAAATTGTTTAAAAGAAAACTCCTGTATAATCAAGTTTTTCTCAAGCCCCTTTCCTTTCATGAATCATTTTACTGTAGTATAATATTTATGTTTAGAAATTATAGTTTGATACATTGTGTGTAGAAATTGTATTAGACCACTTTTATAGTTTACAATATTACATATAAAATTTAATGTGCTATCCTAAATATTGTGTTGATGATTTGGGGGGAGTTTTATTTTCCTTAGGGAGTAAGGTGTTTTCTCTGGAAATTGAAAGGCGATTGACTATCTTGGAATTTTTACCCTCAATCCTGTTCCAGTGCCTTCCTTTAAGTAATGTCAAAGACAAATTATCATGAATATTAGTTATTAGGAATTGTTGAAGCTACAGTAAAAGCAAGAATAGTTTGAAGAGAAGATGTATGGTGTTGAAGAACGTTCCGTGAATGGAAAAGTCAGGCCAGTCAGATGAATTGAAAATTGTGAATTAAAGGCAACTGCTTTGTGACTTGCTGTGTATAAACTTTGAGTTGGTACTTGTATGACATAGATTCAGAAAGCAAAATAATTCAGGATAACTTTTAGTCAATTAGGTGGAAACTTTTGGAAGGTATTTTTGTACAGTACATATATTTGATAACAAATATTAAATATTTTTAGTAATGATTGGCATGAGTTTCAAAATGATGTCTTGTTGACTTAAAAAAGGAAGTACTTCTCTAGAATGATGGATTTATTGGAGACTTAAAATGACAGGGTCTTGATTATTGAAAAGAAGAAATAAACTGGCAAGTAAATTGGTAACCTTGTGAATGATCACATATTATAGCCAACTACAGAGCAAAGGTATTTTGTCTCCTTTTAAAGAGCAGTGATCAACACTCTTTCAAATTATAGTCCCTTTCCACTAAAAATATGTATTTATGTAAATTACATTTTAAAAGACTTAGTTTATAAAGTCACATTGAATTATCAAACTTTAAGACATGAATTTTCTGGATTTTAATAAGACCCCCCCTTTTTTATTATTATTATTATACTTTAAGTCCTAGGGTACGTGTGCACAACGTGCAGGTTAGTTACATATGTATACATGTGCCATGTTGGTGTGCTGCACCCATTAACTCATCTTTCACATTAGGTATATCTCCTAATGCTATCCCTCCCCCCTCCCCCCACCCCCCACCCTACAACAGGCCCAGTGTGTGATGTTCCCTTTCCTGCGTCCAAGTGTTCTCATTGTTCAGTTCCCACCTATGAGTGAGAACATGTGGTGTTTAGTTTTTTGTCCTTGTGATAGTTTGCTGAGAATGATGGTTTCCAGCTTCATCCATATCCCTACAAAGGACATGAACTCATCCTTTTTTATGGCTGTATAGTATTCCATGGTGTATATGGGCCACATTTTCTTAATCCCCTTTTTTTTTTGATAGTACAGCCAAATGCATTTATAGCAAATGGAAAAACAGTTTGGTGGCTTTGCTTTGGCTACTATGAAAAAGGATATTTCTTCTTTATATATTTTTCTCACCTCACAACTATTGTATAATGAACATTTACTTGGTATATACCAATTAAAATAGGGCATGCCTTTACCTTCATCCAGTGTCAGTATGAGAATTTAACAGTACATTTCTGTTTTAATGAGCTTTGGAAGTAGTATAGCAATCCTGATGATGTTACTTCGAGCTTTTCTAAAAGAGATTCTCTCTATACTTTTTTGTCCATATTTATGCTTCATTTGTTTTTTAAGACCTTAACAGTGGAAGTAGAGGTTGTGATCATCTCGAACAGGAAAGCAGAAACAAGGATGTTAAATATTCTGATTCAAAAGTGGAACTCACTCTGATTTCCAGGAAGACAAAGAGAAGGCTTAGAAATAATTTACCTGATTCTCAATATTGTACTTCTTTGGATAAGTCAACAGAACAGACAGTAAGTAGAGGTATTTAGATATTATAGGAAATAATTTCATGCTATGATAAAAACGAGTTGACTGTGGCCAAATAATGTTCCTCTAGCTTTCAGCTTTTATTATGAGATTTCTTTAGTTTTTGGTTCACTGTTAGCTTTATTATTAAAAAACAATTCTAAATGTAACTTTTCTTGGTGATACAGAGTTATTGGAACACATTTCAAATACTATGAATGATTAAAAAAGTTAAAATTGCTTATTTTCTTGTATCGCTCTTTCCTTAGTAGGTAGTTGTACATCCTTCAGACTTTTCTTTTTCTTTATTTCAGCCAAATACTATTCATACTGTCTAGTCATTTTTTTTTGCTTGCTCTGTAAAATTATTATTAGATTTATTTTATCAGTAGCAATTTACTTATCAAATTCTTTAAGCTTCTGTTTATCTAGAGTTTAGGGAATTTATTCTAAGTAAAGAATTATCATATTAAATACATACATTTTCTATTTTCAAAGACTTAGTATATAAGTAGCAATAAAACAGTAAGACAGCTTTTCAATTTCTTTGATCCATAAATCATTTCAGGACCTTGTAATGTTTTTGGGTTGTAATTATAAACATGATTCAGATTTATATAGTAAATGAGATATTGAAGGCAGTGGTTGATTTTCATAATTTTTAATGTTGTTATATTGTTGATTTTTAAATTTTTTTACCAAAGTAGTTTTACCAAAGTAGTCACATTGGCATTATTACTTTTGCAAAATAAAAATATGTAAATACATCTTCTCATTCTAAAGTTGACTTAGATCATGGGAGACCGTCTGACAAAGCATTTGTAATGATGGAAATCTCCCAATTTCACCCTTTAAAAAATTATCAGGCATCAGATTGGACAGACCAAATCCTGTATCTTTAAATTTGGGAGACATTGGCAAGTATAATGTAGTATAATTGTTTAGTTTTCTATCCATGTAGTTATAGAAGTGATATAATATTTTTACTTTTTTTTAGGAATTTAAAAATGGTTTAAGCAAGCCAAATTTGAAAAATGCTATTTTTTTCTATGTGTTTATGTTTAGAAAAAACAAGAAGATGACTCAACAATATCCACTGAGTTTGAAAAGCCAAGTGAAAACTATCATCAGGATCCAAAACTGCCTGAAGAAATTACAACTAAACCTACAAAAAGTGATTTTACTAAACTATCCTCACTTAACAGTCAGGAGTTGACTTTGAGTAATGCCACCAAAAGTGCCTCTGCCGGTTCAACCACTGAAACCGTTGAGAACTCTAATTCCATTGATATTGTGGGGATTTCTTCCCTGGTTGAGAAGGATGAGAATGAGTTGAATACCATAGAAAAGCCTATTCTAAGAGGACATAATGAAGGGAACCAATCACTGATCTCAGCTGAACCAAGTAAGTGACAGGAGGATTATAAAGTTACTTAATTTCCTCTGCTTTACTTAGTTATTTTTTTATTCTTCTTGAACAAATTTGGCTAAGGCCATAAGCTGTTTATGACATCATTGTGGAATATATTAACTTTAGGAAAAAAGGGCTTGGGGTTTGGGGTCTCCTTCATGAGTTTTAAAATATCGATTTAGGTAAACTAATGGAGGACTTGAAAACAGAAGTAATTTTTTTCTTAGATTAGTAAGTACACTGTCATCTCAATAGTTTTAAAATAGATTATTTAAAGACCATCATTACTGTCATTTGGTTGATGAATTATGCAGAGTTTAAGTGCTATCTGATTATTATCATTAATTTTCATTTAATCAGCTTCTGAGTAGTTGATGCCATCACATGGTACAAAGAAATTCCAAAGGTTTTAAAGGATCTCCAGTGAATACTCGCCCACATCTTCCCCTAGTTATTAATTTCCCATTCCTTGAAGCAATTCATGTAACAGGACTTAAAAGTACAATTTAGAGTGATGGCACAATACACTGTTAGAACTAGAATTTGTTACTAAGGCCTCCTCATGGCTTTATCCATTTTTAAACATCTTTATTCTTTAGAAGGTAAGGGTACAGGTAACTGCTGAATAATTGCGCTGATATAGAGTCATTGTCTGTAACTACTATAAATCAGATAACAACTGATAGGCCTGTTTCTAAATTGAATAAATTTAGATGATTCAGTTTAACAGGATTATTAAAAATAAATTGCATTAATTAGAAAGTTCTTTTTTTTTTTTTTTTTTTTTTTGAGACAGAGTCTCTCTCTGTCGGCCAGGCTAGAGTGCAGTGGTGCGATCTTGGCTCACTGCAACCTCCCCCTCCTGGGCTCAAGTAATCTCCTTAATCAGCCTCCCAAGTAGCTGGGATTATAGGCATGTACCACCATGCCCGGCTAATTTTTGTATTTTTGCTAGAGACAGGGTTTCACCATGTTGGCCTGGCTGATCTTGAACTCCTGACCTCAGGGAATCTACCCACCTCAGCCTCCCAAAGTGCTGGGATTACAGGAGTGAGCCACTGCTCCCGGCCAAAAGTTCTTTTTTTGATATGTGATTGTTACACATTTAAAATACATTTTTCGTCTGGGTGCAGTGACCCACACCTATAATCCCAGCACTTTGGGAGGCCAAGGCAGGAGGATCACCTGAGGTCAGGAGTTTGAGACCAGCCTGGCGAACATGGTGAAACCCTGTCTCTACTAAAAATACAAAAATTAGCTGGGCATGGTGGCGCATGCCTGTAATTCCAGCTACTCGGGAGGCTGAGGTAGGAGAATTGCCTGAGCCCGGGAGGTGGAGGTTGCAGTGAGCCGAGATGGGGAGACTGTGTCTCAAAAAATAAATAAATAAATAAATAAATAAACAAAAATACATTTTTCTTTTCCGTTTTAGTTGTTGTTTCCAGTGATGAAGAAGGACCTGTTGAACATAAAAGTTCAGAAATTCTTAAGTTACAATCTAAGCAAGACCGTGAGACAACTAATGAAAATGAGAGTACTTCTGAATCAGCATTGTTAGAACTACCATTGATTACATGTGAATCTGTACAGGTAATTTATTTCTGTCTTCTCATAGATTAACAATGAAATGTACACTATTGGTTAATGACTGTTATTTGTTTTATCAAGCTGAATATTGTAATGAAAATTACAAATTTTCTTAGTTTGAATTTTCAGACAACTTTTATAGTAGTTTGAGTGAAATACGTAGTTGTCTTTATTTTGAAATGAAAAGATTATGCCATTTTCTTCTGGTGATTTATATTTTTCAGTCTGAATAGTCTATTACTTGAATATTTTTCTTTTTTTATGGCTTTCATTGGACATTTCACTAACATTTTGTAGAATTAAACACATTTTCTAGTATTTATATGTCTGGTCTTGGAGTATTATGGCTACTTGGAATTACTCCTTTTCCTCACATACTATGAAGGCAGTATGATATAGAGGAAAGAACATGGCTTTGGAGATATAGGTCAGAAACCTATCAAGTTTGGTAAGTCCTCTGCCTCTTCATTCTTATAGAAAATCATAAATGGAAGTGTGTTAGTTTAATATCAGTCGATTAATTCAGTCCTTTGAAGAGAGTAGGTCTAAAATAAGGTTCAAATCATTTATTATCAGTATTCTTTCTTTCTTTCTTTCTTTCTTTCTTTTTGAGACAAGGTCTTGCCCTGTCACCCAGGCTGGAGTGCAGTGACATGATCATGGCTCACTGCAGCCTCAACCTCTTGGGCTCAAGCATCCCTCTCATTCAGCCTCTCAGGTAGCTGGCACCATAGGCTCATGCCAGCAAGCCTGGCTAATGTTTTTAAAATATATACTATTTTTAGAGATGAGGGTCTCTCTTTGTTGTCCAGGCTGGTCTCTAACTACTGGGCTCAAGCAATCCTCCTACCTCCACCTCCCAAAGTGCTAGGATCACATGCATGAGCTACCGCTCCCAGCTGGTACTCTTTCTTATTATTAGTCTGTGATTATTCTATTTGTAAGAAAAGATCATTGACCACCAGTGCAGAATTATGGTAAACTTATCTTGTTTTGTTTTTGAATAATGTCAGAGGCTGTTATTTTGCAGAGTATGGTGAAGAGTTGGCCCGATCTATGAAAACAGTTTGGTCTGATTATTGTTTCATGGGTATTTTCTTTTGTATTTGGTATTCCACGTAGAAATCACCTCAGCAGCTTTGTTCTGAATTTTTGCAAAAATGTAACCATTTTTACCAGATGGGGTCAATATCCTACTTGATGGTTTAGTTGTATATATAATTAAAAGTGTCATTATTGATAATGAATTTAAACTTGTAGAAGAATTAGGTCTTGGCAGGGTATAAATTGACAATGTAGTATGAAATGATCATATTATAAGAAAATAACATATCTTGTGGAATTTACTACATTCATAATCACAACCAAGCAGCCAATACTGTGGAGATCTACAAAGACATATAAGGCAGAATGCCACATCTCTATGCTCTCTCTTGTTCCAGTTTTAAATGAATTATGAGAAATATGGATTGGTCATTTTTAGGAGCCAGCTAGTTTTTACAAAATGTGAAACCCAATGAGAAATTATTTCTATACCAACTTCTCATTTTATCACTAAAAAAGCCCACAGTTATTTGTCTGACTGATGTTGGAGCTACCTGATTTGATTTGATTGATTGATTCCCTTTTTTACTTAGGGAATAAGAAGATATTAATAGTATACTAAGCAATAAAACATGAGAATGACAAAGAAATTCAATTAAGCAGGTAAATGGCGTTATGAGCTGGGTTTAAAATAATGAGTATGATATATGTTTTAGATAAGGATTAGTCACATTTGCGAGAGGTAAGAGGGGAGTGAGTACATATGCATAATAACTGCTTTAGTAGTAATCTGTTTGGTAATGTGTGATGTTACGGATAATGTGCAGAGGTTAGGCACATTTGAAAAAGTTGAAAAAGTCATCTGAAAGTAGTGTAAATTTCAGAAGAAACAGTGGGAAAGAGTTGCTGCTGATATTGCCTGGTTTTCTATTATAATTTAAAAGCAAAGTTATATAGTCACTTGAGTGGAAGTGATATGATTTTTGAGGTTTTAGGCAAGTATAAGCCATTTCTGGTTGGTTGTCTTCAAACATAGAGTATACAATAAAGCATATAAATTTGAGATAACAGATGGTTCTTAGGTACTTACATTCCTTCACGGCATATTAAAAGTGCAGTAGCACACAGGCATAAAGATGGGAACAATAGACATTGGAAACTCCAAAAGTAGGGGGAGGGTTGAGGAGAGCCAGGGCCATAAAACTTCCTGTTGGGTATTATCTGGGTGACAGGTTCAATAGAAGCCCAACCCTCAGCATCACGCAATATTATCCTTGTAACAAATCTGCACATATGCCCCCTGAATCTAAAATAAAAAAATTTTAAAGTGCAGTAGCAAGAACATTATTTTGGTTAATGGAAACAATTTTATGTGGTTGAAGTGACACTGGACCTGGAGAGAGAAACGTGCATTTGAATCTTTGTTTTGCTTCTTACTAATCGCATGATTTTAGGCAGGTCGCTTAACCAATCTAAACATCTGTTAACTTTATTTATGAAATGGGAAACTGAAAAACCTGCCTATAGGGTGGTTGTGGGGATTAAAAGAGATAATATATTTAAAAACCTATTTTAAACAAAAGTACAATATATGTTTAAAACTTTCTTCTGTCAAGTTAAAAATGAATAAAACCTATTAGAGACTATTGAATGTGAAACCATGGCTTTGATACAGAGGAGTATATATTTCTGGAGCTTAGGCTGTGGAATTAATTTTGGATTCAGCTATTTAGTGTAATTTTCTCAAAGGTAAGTCATATATTTTTTCAGAAAAAAAATCTAGATAGCTATTTCTTCACAGTAAGAACAGTATAAAGTTCTTCAAAAATTCACTAATAGTAATTTAAAGAAGAATTTGATGGTGAAAGTCATTTTCAGCATTTATATAGTACTTAAGAATTATATGCATTTTATGATTTATTCCTTGTTAGATGTCATCTGAATTATGCCCATATAATCCTGTCATGGAGAACATTTCCAGTATTATGCCTAGTAATGAGATGGATCTACAACTGGATTTTATATTTACTTCTGTTTATATTGGTAAAATAAAAGGAGCTTCTAAAGGTTGTGTTACAGTAAGTATATTTTCTTTAATTTTCTTTTAGTTTGGATCTTGGACAAGGCATTTTAATTTTTTTCCTTTTTTTTCTTAGCACAAATAAGAATAGAATTAAGATTTATTTTATATGGGACACTTTGGATATGTTGAAAGTCATTATACCTAATTTGAAATGTGTCTTTCATTCTCCCCTCCTAAAATCCTACCTAATCTGACTACTCTAATGAAAATCATGTGTGAAAAAAAATCACATGTATTGATAATCTTTGGGTTCTAAAAGTTATTTGATGGTAAAGTAAAATTTTTTTCAAGGTATAGTTTGGAGCATAAAGAAGAAATCTTGTTTTACCAGTTTAAACGGTTGTAAACTGACTTCTCCAAATTTCTAAATTAAGGATATCCAGGAACTAATCCTACGCTGTTTTTCTAATTAAAAAAGAAAATACTCCTCCTCACCCACTGTATATGAAAGTGAGACTGGATTCTACTCGGTTCTCTATTTTTTTTTTTTGGGGGGGCGGACAGAGTCTCACTGTTTCACCCAGGCTGGAGTGCAGGGGCGCACTCCACTGATCTTGGCTCACTGCAACTTCTGCCTTCTGTATTCAAGCGATTCTTGTGCCTCAGCCTCCCGAGTAGCTGGGACTACAGGTGCGTGGCACCACACCTGGCTAATTTTTGTATTTTTTGGTAGAGATGGAGCTTCACCATGTTCGCCAAGCCGGTCTTGAACTCTTGGCCTCAAGTGATCCACCTGCCTCAGCCTCCCAAAGTGCTCGGATTACAGGTGTGAGCCACTGTGCCCAGCCAGTTCTCTATATTTTCTTACCATTTTGACCTTTTAAAATCCTAATCATCTTTTAAAGCTTCTCTGATATACTGACTCTTCCAGGAAACTTTCCCTAATCCCTCCTTTTTAGACGGAATTAACTTCTCCCTTTGCTATACACTTATAACACTTCATTTGACTTCTAAGATTTATTCTGTGTGTTTTATAATTACCTATATTCTTATATAAACTTCTCCATTAACCTTTTAAGCTGCTTATGGTGAAGAGCCACAGTTTTAGTTCCTTTTATAGCTTCCATAAATGTTTCCACTCTAAGCAGGCACTTAAATGTTTGTTGAAGTGACTGTGTCAGATTTAGTAACTCAGGCATTTTTTATAGCAGTTTCATTCATATTTCACTGTGTTAGGGATAAGGCAGAGAATATAAAAATGCTAAGATATGGTTTCTGCTTTCAGGGAGCTTTTAATCTAATGGAAGAGACAGACACATAAATATTTACTTTACATTATGGTAAAATATAAAACAGAAATATGTACAAGAAGGGTGCATATGGCAATGGATATCTATCAATGTCTGGAGGAATCAGGAAAGGCTTCACAGAGAAGACAGCACATGAATAAGACATGAAGTACCTGTTGTTTACTTGGTACCCATGCAGACAAAGACCTAATCCCAAATTCTGGGAACTGCAAATAATAGTAGTTTGTGATACAGTCACCATTGCTTCGAAAGCTCAAGAATGAATTAAAATTAACATTTTTTTGGCCACTGGTTTTAACTGATTTTGGCATGTCTGGGGTGATTTTACAATTCTTTTTCTTTAAGGAATTTTATTCATTTTTCAGGATTTTCTCCCCTATTTTACTTTATTATTTTAAATTCAGGTTTACCCAGTTATTTCTGTTGAGTTCTTTTTGATGGCAAAAAGTTGGATAACCTAAATATATGAGAGTGATGATTAGCCGGGGGAAGGAAAATCCAATATAAATATTAAACAATGGGATTTCTATTAATTAATATATTAATTATATTATTACACAGTCAGGTGGACATGTTATGCTCAAAAACCAAGATCAAGCAAAAAACCACAAACAAATTAGTAAAGGAACAATATTACAAACACATATAATCTTGCCTATTTAGAGACAACTGCCATTCACTGTATAGTATATATCGTTGCATATTCTTCATACATATATAGATACATTAAAACAAAGGGATATTACATAATATGTACTATTTTGTAACTTACCATAATTTCATTAATTTAATTCCTCTACTTATTTTGGGATATTTGGGTTGTCTTTAAAAATTTTTAATTGTTGGTCATTTCAAATTGTCCCAATATTTTACTATTACAAACAGTAGGGAACTGCAAATATTCAGTAAGCATTGTAAAGTGGTCCTAAAAATTAATTGTCAGAAGTCCTGGCCAGGGCCATCAGGCAAGAGAAAGAAAGAAAGTACATTCAAATTGGAGGAGAGGAAGTCAAACTATCCCTGTTTGCAGATGATATGATTCTATGTCTGGATTCTATATATATATTTATATATATTATATATAAATTTTCTAGATATAGGATCTCAGCCCAAAAGCTCTTTCAGCTGATAAACAACTTCAGCAAAGTTTTAGGACACAAAATCAGTGTACAAAAATCACTAGCATTAATGGCTTTTCCATATTCTTTATATGTGGACAATTTTTCTCAAGGGTAATAGCTTTCCTGTGAAATAAGGTGTAAGCACAGATTAAAAGTTTTGCCACATTCTTTATACTTGTAGGAGTTTTGCCAGTATGAATTATCTTACCTACAATCAAGTGTGGCAACCATATAAAGGCTTTGTCACGTTTTATACATTTCTAGGGTTTCACACTAGTATAACTTTTTTTTTTAATGTATTGCAAAGTTGGAGGTGTTTGTACAAGTACTGTCACATCTTTCAGGTTTGTAGAGTTCCTTTTCAGCATGAATTATCGTTTGTCTCTTAAGAATTGAGAACTTATGACTAGGCATGGTGGCTCATGCCTGTAATCCCAGCACTTTAGGAGACTGAGGCAAGTGGATCATCTGAGGTCAGGAGTTTGAGACTAGCACGGCCAACAAGGTGAAACCCCCTCTCTACTAAAAACACAAAAATTAGCCAGGCATAGTGGTGGGCACCTGCAATCCCAGCTACTTGGGAGGCCGAGGCAGGAGAATGGCTTGAACCCAGGAGGCGGAGGTTGCAGTGAGGTGAAATCATGCCATTGCCCTCCAACCTGGGTGATAAGAGCAAAACTCTGTCTCAAAAAAAGAAGAAAAAAAAAGAATTGAGAATTTGTTGTAGGCTTTGCCACGTTCTTTACACTTGTAGAGTTTCTGTCCAGTATGAATTATGTGTAATAAGGGTTGAGAACTTCCTTAAAAAGCTTTGTCACATTCTTTATATTTGTAGGGTTTATGTTCCATATAAATTCTCATATTTACTAAGAGTTGAGGGCTGGTTAAAGGTTTTCCCACATTCATCACATTTATAGGGTTTCTCTCCAGTATAAATTATCTTATGCTTATTAAGGGTTGAGGAACATTTAAAAGATTTGCCACATTATTGACTCTGTAGGTTTCCTGTGCAATATGAATTATTTTATGTTTATTAAGGGCTGAGGACCAGTTAAAAGCTTTGCCACATTCTTCACATTTGTAAGGTTTCTCTCTAGTATGAGTTCTCTTATGTTTAGTGAGGCTTGACTAAACCAGGTGAAGGTTTTGCCACATTGATCACATTTGTAGGGTATATCTCCAGTATGAATTATCTTATGTTTAGTAGGGTTTGAGGAACAGTTAAAATTTTGCCACATTCTTCACATTTGTAGAGTTTCTATGAATTATCTCATGTTTAATAAGGGTTGAGGATGAAATGAAGGCTTTGCCACATTTAACACACTTGTATGGTTTCTCTCCAATAAGAATTTTCTTATGTGAAAAAAGGGGTGAGGGGTGGTTAAAAGCTTTGCCACGTTCTCTACATCTGTAGGGTTTCTCTCCAGTGTGAATTATCTTATGTGTAGTAAGGTTAGAGGCAGCTTAAAGGCTTTGCCAGATTCTTCACATCTGTAGCGTTTCTCTCCAGTATGAACTTTCTTATGTGTAGTAAGGGTTGAGGACTGGTTAAAAGCTTTGCCTCATTCTTTACATTTAAAAGTTTTTTTTCCAGTATGTCTTATGTCTGTTTGACTTTGAAAATTTATGAGAGACTTTCACATATTTATCACATTGAAATATTTTTCTCTGGGTAGTTGTCAAACATTGGTTAAGTCCATTATAACCGCTTTTGTGCACCTTACACTCATCCACACTTTTACAGCTTTTTTTAAACTGTAAATTGTCATGTCCACATTTTTCATATCTTCTCAGTATCACTTTTTGGAAAGAATCTTTTATGCTCTGCTCTGGCCAAAGATCTTGGGCAAAATGAGAACATATAACTGGGGGTCTGGCAATCATCTTATGTCTCTTCGTAGTCAAAGGTTTTTTCCCTTGTTCCAGACAGGTCATCAGGTCTGGCTTAGAGACAACAATACCAAGGAAGAACAGGTTTCTGTAGTTCTCTAACATCACATCCTTATATAAATTCCACTGTGCAGTGTCCAGGCAATGCCACTCCTCGCGGTGGCTCACGCCTGTAATCTCAGCACTTTGGGAGGCTGAGGTAGGTGGATCACCTGAGGTCAGGAGTGCGAGACCAGCCTGACCAACATGGTGAAACCTTGTCTCTACTGAGAATGCAAAAATTGACTGGGCATGGTGGGGCATGCCTGTTGTCCCACCTACTTGGGAGGCTGAGGCAGGAGAATTGCTTGAACCCAGGAGGCGGAGGTTGCAGTGAGCCGAGATTGCGCCATTGCACTCCAGCCTGGGTGACACAGCGAAACTCTGTCTCAAAAAAAAAAAGAATGTTCATAGTTAATAAAAGCATTAAAAGTGCAATTACTGTCAAAAATTCTTTCAGAAAATATAAGCCTTTAAAGTGAAGAAGAGTATTTATTCTGAAGACAACCGTTACAAATATAAAGGGGGTTGTAGTACCTTTACTTGTATCACAGATCTTATTGCACACATTTTGTACTAGAGGAAAACCCTCAAGCAATTGCTCAAGCTTTTTTCAGCATCAGGGAATTTATATTGGAGAAGAGTCCTGCAAATGTAATGAATTTGGAAACACTTTTTTTTTTCAAAAATTACTGCTTAGAAAACACCAGAGTTTATATGAAAATATATTTTTGCCGATGCAGTAAATATGAAAAAATATTTAATTCAAAATTGATTCTATGTAAATATCAAAGAATTTACAGTAGAATAAGGTACTGACACTTCAGACATTACACGAAATCAGAGTGTTGAGTATAAAAACTAATCTACAACTAAAGTTGTTAAATTATTTGTATATAACTTTAAAGGGAGTAGATTTTTTGAAGTATTGTAATTACATTGAAAATGTACTTGTTTCCTTGAAAAAATTTTTTTGAAAAGTGAATAATGATGTAATACAGCTTTCAAATTACTTTATGCTGTTATTTTATTCCTATTGTATTCACATGGGAAAGCATATGATCAATTGTTGCTGCATCAGAGATATTAGAAATTCTTTTTTATTAGTTGGGCATTATTTATGACCTTTTCTATAAATGAATAAGGAGATTAAAATGTGAGATGCATGATGAAAATGTAAGTGGAGAGGCTCTTTGTAGTTAACTTACATTAAGTAACGTATAAGGTAGGTGTTCAGAGTAATACTTTTCAACATTATAGT
Organism: Homo sapiens; assembly: GCF_000001405.40. NCBI lineage: Eukaryota > Metazoa > Chordata > Mammalia > Primates > Hominidae > Homo > Homo sapiens. Next base: position 101,356,148 of record NC_000003.12, on the reverse strand, counting down.
GAGAGGAAGGAATGATTAATTATAGTTAAAAGTATATTCAAATAAATTACTATATTATTTTACTAATTGTACTTTTATGTAATAAAATGCAGTACATTAAAAAAAAATCACTAGCACTCATATACACCAACAGCAACAAAGCCAAGAGCCAAATCAGGAATGCAATCCCACTCACAATTGCCACAAAATGAATAAAATACCTATGAATACAGCTAACCAGGGAGGTGAAAGATCTCTACAATGAAAACTGCAAAACACTGCTCCAAGAAATCAGTATGACACAAACAAATGGAAAAACATTCCATGTTCATGGATAGGAAGAATCAATAGAATTAAAATGGCCATCTTGCGCAAAGCAGTTTATAGATTCAGTGCTATTCCTATCAAATTATCAATGATATTCACAGAAATATGAAAAAGTATTTTAAAATTCATATGGAGCCAAAAAAAAGAGGCCTGATTGCCAAGGCAATCCTAAGCAAAAGGAACAAAGCTGGAGGCATCATGTTACCCAGCTTCAAACTGTGCTATAGAGCTATAGTAACCAAAACAGTATGGTACTGGTACAAAAACAGACACATAGGTCAATGAAACAGAATATAGAGCCTGGAAATAAAGCTGCACACCTATGACCATCTGATCTTTGACAAAGCAGACAAAAACAAGCAATGGGGAAAGCACTCACTATTCAATAAACGGTGCTAAGATAACTGGCTAGCCATATGCAGAAGACTGAAGCTGGACCCCTTCCTTATACCATACACAAAAATCAACTCAAGATGGATTAGAGACTTAAATGTGAAACCCAAAACTATAAAAACCCTGGAAGACAACCTAGGCAGTATCATTCTGAATATAGGCACAGGCAAAGATTTCATGACGAGGATGTCAAAATCACAACAAAAACAAAAATTGACAAATGGATCTAGTTAAACTAAAGAACTTCTGCACAGCAAAAGAAACTATCAGCAGAGTAAACAGACAACCTACAGAATGGGAGGAAATATTTGCAAAGTAGGCATCTGACAAAGGTCTAATATCTAGCATCTATAAGGAACTTAAATTTACAGGAAAAAAACAACCCTATGAAAAAGTGGACAAGGGACATGAGCAGACACTTTTCCAAAGACATACATGTGGCCAAGAAGCATATGGTAAAAAAGCTCAATATCACTGATCATTAGAGAAATCCAAATCAAAACCACAGTGAGATACCATCTCATACCAGTCAGAATGGCTATTGTTAAAAGGTCAACAACATGCTGACGAGGTTGCAGAAAAAAGGGACACACTTGTTGGGGGATGCAAATTAGTTCAATCATTGTGGAAAGTAATGTGGCGATCCCTCAAAGAGCTAAAAACAGAATTACCATTCAACCCAGCAATCCCATTACTGGTATTATACCCAGACAAATATAAGTCATTCTACCATAAAGACATATACATGTGAATTGCAGCACTATTCATAATAGGAAACATATGGAATCAACCTAAGTGCCCAACAATGACAGATTGGATAAAGAACATGTAGTGGGAGTACTATGCAGCTAGGAAAAGAATAAGATCATGTCTTTTGCGGGAATGTGGATAGAGCTGGAGGCTATTATCCTTAGCAAACTAACATAGGAACAGATAACCAAATACCGCATATTCTCAGTTATAAGTGGGAGCTAAATGATGAAAACTCATGGACACAAAGAAGGGAGTAACAGACTCTGGAGCCTACTTGAAGGTGGGAGGAGGGAGAAGAGCAGAAAAAATAACTATCGAGTACTAGGCTTAATACCTGGGTTTCAAAACAATCTGTACAACAAACCCCTGTGACACAGGTTTACATGTATAGCAGACCTGTACATGTACCCCTGAACCTAAAATAAAAGGTAACAAATTTTATTTATGTTTGCTGGAACATTTCATATAATTAGATTAAAAACTTAAATGTTTAATTATAGGAAAGTGATTTAGCAATTCAAAGTAAATATATGCATGTGAACAAAGGCTGAGAAGAATCCTACAAAAATTAGGACAGTTATGATGGAGAGAATATAAGCAATTAAAAAAAATTTTAAGTATAATGAATAACCTAAAAAAGGGAAAAGGGTAAAAATTTCAGGTTTTTCAGGTTTTTAGGTATATTCTTTTTCAGACAGTTCAGGATGCACTGTAACAGAAATTAAAGAACTTTTTTTTCTTTTTTGGTGGGTAAAGATATTAGAGAATTAAATTAATTTATTCTCCATATATTCAGTGACTACCTACTATGTGTTAAGCATTATTGTAGACACTGGAGATACTGTTCTGACTCTCACAGTAGTTACAATTTAGCTGAATTAGAAAAATACTTATAGCTGGAAATTATTACATAAATTAGAGCCATGTTCCTATAGTTAGACACTGGTTATTTTTTTAGTGTAGCAAATGCTGCAATAAATGTAAACATTGTCTTTCTTAAAAGTCTTTGTTGATAGTACGAGAAATTAAGTAATACTATATTCAGATAACTATTAGCTATTGTAAGAAATTATAAAATAGCTCTTATTATTAGCTTTATTCTTAAGTTTAAACAAAGTTGGTATGATTTCAGAGAACTAGGTTTACCTTACTGCCACAAAATTTTTCTTATTTTTAAATCTAGGGGTTAAGTCTGCTGGGAGTAGGGTTTTAACTCTGGAGAGGTAACCTATTGGCTTAGTCATTATTCAGAGGGATAAATGAATATCAGATCCTTGCCAAGTAGAAACATTTGATAGCTCCCGAGCATTTGATGGGGGAAAGTGAGAGAATAGTGTAGTAAGTAGTGGGTGGGGACATGCAGATGCACTACTTCTACTTTATAATTTGGAAGTTATGGCTGTGCAAATTCTGAAAGGCAAACACCGCTTCTGTTTATTTTTTAGTACTAATGATTTACGTTTGCCAAGATATATTTTATAGGATTAAAGACCCTGTGAAACATGCCAGAAAGAGTTTGGAAAGGGGCAGTATACATTAAATATGGTGGCAGTTATATGAAAGTAACAATAATTAGATATTTGATTAAATTATGTAACATTCTTGATCAGATGCTAGTGTCTAATGATAACAACTTCCTTGATTAAGGATCTTACTAAAGCTGGAAAAAGTTCAATAAGTTACCTAAGTTTACCTACTTACTACTTGTGTAAGTGGTAGAGACAGTAGAGGCAGGATTTTAACTCCAAGCTCAGCTTTTAGTTAATTATGATCTATTGCCTCACATTTGGTTTTCATGGCTCACTTACTCTATGGAATATAGGGTTTTATATTTGTGAAAGTACAAGATGAAATAATTTTTAAATTGGAAAATAAGTGGAGTCAAAATAAACCTGTGGTTTCACTGAACATTGTTTGATACTTAAATGGAGCTCACATACCAAGAACATTTTGATTTCGTTTTGTGCTCACAGACCATACCCGATTTGATCAACAAAATGTATTGAACAACAACAACAAAACTTAACCAAGTAATAAATAAATAGGTACAAATTCATTTGATATTAATGGAAACACAAACTTCAAAGCAGAAGTCTGCTTTAGATAGTACATGTAAGATTTAGCTAGGTGCTCCACAACCCTATTATAAAAGCAGCTCTTAAGGAAGTCAGATATATACAAAAGGTACCTAGAGAAAATAAGTGTCCTGGGACAGAAGGAGCAGAAAGAGCAAGAACCTCAGTTGGAAGGGAATTTATAACATGAAACAAAGAAAGATGAATGCTAGGAATGAAGACGGTGGTGCCCACCTAAAAGTCATCCAGGGAAGAGGTTGTTCTGGCTTAGGGACTTAATTTATATTACCATTTTGACAGGTGCATCACTGCTGTGAATGAAGTTGAATCTATGACTTTTGTAGCCATTTCACATTAAACAACTGAATTTTTTAGTTCTGCTTTTATGTGGTAAAAGCAAATTTTAAAATTATAATTGGTAGTTTTTGTACAGAAACAGAATATTCACATCAGGTTGGACACAAGCCTTCTGACAATTTTAATTTCTCATTATAAAATAGTATGTTGGCATTTTGGTTTGTTTAGCAGTTTCTTGTGAGTTTGGTTAGTGTGAGTTCATCACCAAGGGAATCATCGTCAGCTGCTGAGTCAGCAAAGCCAAAAATGAAACTCTGTTTTATGGACTATTTATATTTACCAGAGTCACTGCTACTTAGAGGTCTCTTGGCAGTTTCTTCTGGGCTTTGTCTTAGTCTTTACATTTTCAGAAAACATTTTTGAAAAATATATTTATTAGTCTTACTGGTTTTTGTAAATGAGCATATTGAGAATTAAATTACTTACATGGGGTTCTTAAAATTTCCATAAAACTAAGTCTTTGTAGTGAAATATTTTATTGGTTTATTGATAAAAAGGCTTGAGCACTTATAATGTAGACTTTGAATATGTACTTGTGATTTGAAAAAAAAAATTTGAATAGTAACACATTTTGAGTGGTAACTCATTGTTTGCTTTTTAATTTTTTCTTCAGATCACAAAAAAATATATTAAGATCCCATTTCAAGGTAAGTTATCATTCTCTTATGAACTTGTCTTTTTACTATAGTTTTTAGTATAAATTTAAGTAAAACTAAGTTTAATAATGTTTCACCTTAATATTTTTTAGCAATTCCAAATGGAGTAAAAATGTTTTATAATGGACTTGTTCTGAAAATCGTATGCTATTGTTTTAATGACTATAAATCAAACAGTGTTAAAGGATTCATGGTGATTTCTTAGGATTAACAGAAACACAGTTCTGATAGATAGCAACAATATTTTGGTATATATAAAAATGGATAACAATAGTAACTATAAGAAAAGAAGCATAAGGAAAATGTTTAATATTGCACACAAACATGTAAAATGTTTTTGCATAGAGGGTAAGAGAATGTTATACAATTGCATATCTTAGTAAGGGAAAGTAGACTGGAAAATGTACCTGTAACTTATAGAGACTCACACCATTTTCTCATTCTCTTCCCAACTGAAAACCTTTCAGAATAAATTATGACACTAAGAAAACCAATATACAATAGAGGATAATCTATTTATATAATGAATTCTAAAAAGAACAAGGAAGAAAAACACACAAATGGCATAGATAGGAATTAGAGAAGAAGAGGCTTCTGTTCCAAGATTGGAGATGCTATCAAAGTAGCTTTAGTTGGATTAGTTGGATTTAGTTGGATTCCACAGATACTTTATGTACAGAATCCAAAACTATGTTATGATAATTGTTCTAATAATTTGATTGCTTACTGTATCTTAATTAAGTATTAAGAATATAAAGGGCACAGAATAAGTATATTGATAGTCCTAAATAGGAAATATTAATAAATTATTAAGGAATAATATTTGTTCTGTAGAAGAAACAAAAAAAGTCATGTGATTTTAAAAGGGGATGATAATTTCAGAAAAGATAGCACTACAGTTTATAGTTAAAGACCTGGGTAACAGAGCTGCCTCTCAAATTCTTGCGATACAAACATCAAAAACGATATTTTAGATTTTCACAGTTAATATTTATAATATTGCTTTCTTATTTTATAACTTTTCTATTGCATATAATTTTTAAAAGAAATTTTATTACAGATTGTGGAAAAATACTCTCTTCAGTGATAATAGGTTTATAATTTTATAATGAAAGAAGAAAATATTAGTCTTCTTCCTCAAGTCCTGTCCAAGTTCCCATAAATCTTTTTAAAACAAAGCATGCATATAAAGGTTTTTGTAGGTGGGAACCTGAGGGTCTAAATGTTTCCACTTTTTCTGTGCAGCTGGGGAAAAATTGATTTATCCGTATTTATATTAGGTATTAATTATGTTTGGCTGTTAGTAACAATGCATAAAGAAAATATTTTATTTTTCTTTCACATAGAAGAAATCCAGAAGTAATCTGAACTGATGTGATGTTTCCTTGGTCATCGGGGGCACATGACCCTGACACATGAGTTGCATTTTTCTATTCTGTCATTCCTGACGTATGACTTGCATCCTCAAGTTTATCTCATGGCCATTATTGTAGCTCAGACTCCATCATCATATTGATATTTTAGACAGAAAGCAGTAGGAAGGGGAAACCGTAAACAGAGCACATGCTACCAATCTCTTGCCCTTTTAAGGAGCCTTCTTGGATGTCCATGCGACATAACCTTTTCTGCTTACATTTTATTAGCTAGCTAGTCAAGCCCACACACCCGTTTGTAAAGGAAGCTAGGAAATAGAGTTTTCAAAACTGTGTATCTTGCTTCCCTCAGTAAAATTAGGGTTCTGTTACTGAGGAAGAAGAAGAAATGGATAAGTGGGTAGGCAACTCCCACTTTTAGTATCTGCTATACACCTGTAACAGAATAAACCATATATTGGGGGCAGACTTGGTAATGAGGTATAAATTTTTCTCATGATGGTGTTAAATTCCCTTTTTTTAAAAAGATAATCTTTTTTTAAATTATTATTATTATACTTTAAGTTTTAGGGTACATGTGCACAACGTGCAGGTCTGTTACATATGTATACATGTGCCATGTTGGTATGCTGCACCCATTAACTCGTCATTTAGCATTAGGTATATCTCCTAATGCTATCCCTCCCCGGAAACCATCATTCTCAGCAAACTATTGCAAGGACAAAAAACCAAACACCACATGTTCTCACTCATAGGTGGGAATTGAACAATGAGAACACATGGACACAGGAAAAAGATAATCTTTTAAAGTTGTCTTCCTAAAGAAAATTTAGCTTTCATTCTAAACACCAAGAACAATTAGATTAGTAGTAGTTGTGTAGATTTCACAGAAATAGGATCAAATGTACCTATGGGGCTGTGAGCTTCATGAGAAAGAAATGCTGAGTAGCATTCTGAGGGCTCTCATTCTGGTTTTGATTTAAGCTTTGCTGCCAGTTTTTACTGACAGTTTTCAGAATGGAAGAGTTACAGTATGAAGAATAGAATGACTGGCTTGGGAACATTAAGATGACTGGTAAATACTCATCATGGAAAGATTTTCATATTTTAATGTTCATGTGAATCACGGGGTTGGAGTGGGCTATTAAACTGAGATCTGCTGGTTCAGTAGATGTAAGGTGGGGCCTGATACTCTGCATTTCTAACAGTCTTCCAGATGTTGCTGATACTAATGTCACAAGCTCAGCTTAGACTATACTTTGAGTAACAAAGTTCTAGGAAATAATGCTGGGAGGAATACTAAGAGGTGTGTTTCAAATAGGTGCCCATCTTGGGTTTACGCTTGACTGATATTTGTATTCCAGTTCAGTTGCTTGCTGTCTTGCAGTTGAACTAAGTGACCTTCAGGACTTCTTTAAATCAGTTTTTTTTTTTTTAATGTTTCTTTGAATTAAAGAGTAAAAGTCCTCAGAGGAGATTCCTTTAGCTCCCTAAGAGGGAGAAAGACCAATAATTTAGAATGATCATCTAGAAGTTTTGAGAAATAAAACCTGGAGGAATTTTAAAAGAAATGTCTCCTTAGACCATTCAGAACCTCCTAATTTTCTTGAGACTCTTTTGATAGTGGCTTATCTGTATAGCGGAATGCAAATGCCTTAGGAGAAGAAAGATGGGCAGGAATTGGCCTATGATAGCACTTGTGATCTTGGTTTATATAGTATTGACCAATATAGAAAAGGTGGAAATATATCATTTTCTGAGTTATACTGTGCTTAGTTTTCTGCACTGATAGACATTTTTTTCCTTTTTGCTAACGATTATCAGAATTCCTGGAGAGAATTCTCTCCAGACAGAGTTTTTATGCTATGAATATTTAATCTCAAATTTTCCCTCTCTGGTTATAACTGAAATCATATAATGTGAGAGATTCAATCTCTATTTAATTGTCATTTAATAATTATTTAGCCCTTCCTAATTGTAATGTGATTTATTTTTACTCTAATAATACTGCTGGGGGCATTTTAGCTAAGGTTAGCAAAGTGCACTGGAAATATATTTTTGAAAAAACTATATAATTCTCTTTTTTTTAAAAAAAGTAGTGTATTAACAAGTGTCATATAATGTTTAAGTGGTGTATTCTTAAATGGATTAATTTTTTAAATTGTTGTCTTTTATTTGTTTCAGTGTCCCTGAATGAGATTTCATTGCTAGTGGATACCACACATTTAAAGCGGTTTGGGTTATGGAAAAGTAAGGATGATAATCACAGTAAAAGGAGTCATGCTATTCTTTTCTTCTGGGTCTCTTCAGATTATCTTCAAGAGATTCAGACCCAATTAGAACACTCTGTATTAAGCCAGCAATGTGAGTATAAAATGATTTCTAAATTTCAGGATAACTTGAAATTGTCATAAATAGTTTTTTCCTAAAATAATTTAATAGAATGTTATTTCAGTGAATTGAAATTAATTTTATTTAGTGAAAATAATTTTGTTTCTTTTTTTTTTTTTTTTTGAGATGGAGTCTCGCTTTGTCACCCAGGCTGGAGTGCAGTGGCACTATCTCTGCTCACCGCAAGCTCTGCCTCCCGGGTTCACGCCATTCTCCTGCCTCAGCCTCCTGAGTAGCTGGGACTACAGGTGCCCGCCACCGTGCCCGGCTAATTTTTTGTATTTTTAGTAGAGACGGGGTTTCATCGTGTTAGCCAGGATGGTCTCGATCTCCTGACCTTGTGATCCGCCCGCCTCAGCCTCCCAAAGTGCTGGGATTACAGGCGTGAGCCACTGCGCCTGGCCCTAATTTTGTTTCTTAATTTTAGGATAGATTATTTAATTCACATAATTTCTCCTTATAGTTGTATTCAACCAATTGAAATTCTCATCTAAAATAAAAAGAATAGCTTAAAAAATCTTAAATGTTTACCTTGAAAATTTTAAGTTCTTAAAAAAAGAATGCCTTATCTTTTAGTCATTTGCCATGTTTGACTACTTTCCTTCCTTTTTTTCTTTTTGTTTGAGACAGAATCTTACTCTGTTGCCTGGGCTACAGTACAGTGGCATGTTCATAGCTTCCCACAACCTCAAACTCCTGGGCTCATGTGATCCTCCCACCTCAGCCTCCCAAGTAGCTGGGACTACAGGGGTGCAGCACCATACCTGGCAATTTCTATCCTTCTTTCTTCTTTCTTCCTTTTTTCTTCCTTCTTCCATTTTCTTCCTCCTCCTTCCTCCTCTTTCTTCCTCCTTCCTCCCTCCTTCCTCCTCCTCCTTTCCTCCTCCCTCCTCCTCCTTTTTTTAAACAGATTGAAATCTTTTATTAAATTTTTTTTTTATTTCCATGGGTTTTTGGGAAACCGGTGGTATTTGATTACATAAGTTCTTTAGTGGTAATTTGTGAGATATTAGTGCACCCATAACCCGAGCAGTATACACTGAACCCAATTTATAGTCTTTTATCCCTCACCCCCTTCCTACCCTTTCCCCCTGAGCCCCCAAAGTCTATTGTATCATTTTTATGCCTTTGCATCCTCATAGCTTAGCTCCCACTTATAACTGAGAACATGGGCTGATTGGTTTTCCATTCCTGAGTTACTTCACTTAGAATAATAGTCTCTAATCCTATCCAGGTTGCTGTGAATGCCATTAATTCATTCCTTTTTATGGCTGAGTAGTATTCCATCATATATATGTACCACAGTTTCTTTATCCACTCATTGATTGATGGGCATTTGGGCTGCTTCCACATTTTTGGAATTGTGAATTGTGCTGCTATAAACGTGTGTGCAAGTATCTTTTTTGTATATTGACTTCCTTTCCTCTGGGTAGATACCCAGTAGTGGGATTGCTGGATCAAATGGTAGTTCTACTTTTAGTTCTTTAAGGAATCTCCACACTCTTCCATAGTGGGTGTACTAGTTTACATTCCCACCAGCAGTGTAGAAGTGTTCCCTTTTCACTGTATCCACACCAACTTCTATTATTTTTTCATTCTTTGATAATGACCATTCTTGTGGGAGTAAGGTGGTATCGCATTGTGGTTTTCATTTCTCTGATTATTAGTGATGTTGAGCATTTTTTCATGTTTATTGGTCATTTGTGTATCTTCTTTTGAGAATTGTCTATTCATGTCCTTAGCCCACTTTTTGATGGGTTTGTTTTTTTCTTGCTAATTAATGTTTGAGTTCCTTGTAGATTCTGAATATTAGTCCTTTGTTGGATGCATAGATTGTGAACATTTTTTTCCCACTCTGTGGGTTGTCTATTTACTCTGCTGACTGTTCTTTTTGCCATGCAAAAGCTCTTTAGTTTAATTAAGTCCCACCTATTTATTGTTGTTTTGGTTGCATTCGCTTTTGGGTTCTTGGTCATGAAATCTTTGCCTAAGCCAATGTCTAGAAGGGTTTTTCCAATGTTATCTTCTAGAATTTTTATAGTTCCATGTCATAGATTTAAGTCTTTGATCCATTTTGAGTTGATTTTTGTATAAGGTGAGAGATGAGGCTCCAGTTTCATTCTCCTACATGTGGCTTGCCATTTACCCAGCACCATTTGTTGAATAAGGTGTCCTTTCCCCACTTTGTTTGTGTTTGCTTTGTTGGACAATCCAAATCTGTAAAGGGGAAGTCAAACTGTCACTGTTTCAGGATACAAAATTAATGTACACAAATCAGTAGCTCTGCTATACACCAACAGCGACCAAATTGAGAATCAAATCAAGAACTCAACCCCTTTTACAACAGCTGCAAAAAATAAAAATAAAATACTTAGGAATATAGCTAGCCAAGGAGGAATATAGCTAGCCAAGGAGGAATATAGCTAACCTCTACAAGGAAAACTACAAAACACTGCTGAAAGAAATCATAGACAACACAAACAAATGGAAACACATCCCATGCTCATGGATGGGTAGAATCAATATTGTGCAAATGACCATACTGCCAAAAGCAATCTACAAATTCAATGCAATTCCCATCAAAATACCACCATCATACTTCATAGAACTAGAAAAAACAATCCTAAAATTCATATGGAACCAAAAAAGAGCTCACATAGCCAAAGCAAGACTAAGCAAAAAGAACAAATCTGGAGTCATCATATTACCTGATTTCAAACTATAAGGCCATAGTCACCAAAACAGTATGGTACTGGTATAAAAATAGGCAAATAGACCAATGAAACAGAATAGAGAACCCAGAATAAGCCCAAATTCTTTCTTCTCCTTTTTTTTTTTTTTTTTTTTTTTTTTGCTTTCTTTTTTTCTAGAGATGGGCTCTCGATATGTTCCTCAGGCTGGTCTCAAGCACCTGGCTTCAAGCTATCCTCCTGCCTTGGCCTCCCAAAGTTTTAGTGTTACAAGTGTGAGCCACCATGCCTGGCCAACTACCTTTCTTATGAGTTTCTTGCCCTTGGTCATGACAAACTCTGACAGAATTTGCAGCAAAGTTAAATAAAATATAGAAGTCTTTGCCTTCAGTCTTTAGTTTCTAAAAAGTGAAATTCAGTTTACTTATATATTATTCCTTTAAGATTCGGTTGAATACTTTCCCATATGCACCTATAACACTTATCTATATAATATACATCTTGAGATATTTTTCAGCTTTGTTTAGTCTCCAGCTCCTGAAGGAGTTGGGTTTAGAACTACATCAATCAAATTTAGTAAGGTTCTTTCTTACCTGTTTGATCCCTCTACCTTTTTCCTACTCTCCTGCACAGTAAAGATGTTAAGTAGTGAACTAAATTTTATAACTTTCAAATTTGTTATTTTCCTGTCCTAATTACTTCTACTAGGAAAATTCATGATTAAATAGCAGAGAAGGTGGGGAAAATAGAAACAGCCATTTATAAGCATTCTGTGGGAAGAGAATGTCTTCAGATCACCATTGAAATGACTGAGGAGAAAATGTAGGAGGTGTTTAATTGGAATATGTTTCTAGTTGATAGAGTTGATTCATAAAGGAGGCTAGAGAAAAATAATTATTAATTATTCATTCATACATTCATTAACAAATGTTTATTACTAAATGTCAGGCACTGCAGATATAGCAATCAGTACTATTATGACATTTTAGTGCAGTAGAACAGGAGTCCACCAATTGTGAGTTTTGGTTCTGGATTACTAATGGCCTACTTTTGGGATATTAATTTGCCTTGGTTATTACCTAAAATACAAAATACTTGGGGTTATATTCCAACCTTACTATTATTAATAATTAAATTACTTGTATTATAATCCTCTTGAAAAATAATACTATTGATACAAATTATTTTTTCCTTTTGTAGCAAAATCTAGTGAATTCATTTTCCTTGAACTACACAATCCTGTTTCACAAAGAGAAGAATTGAAGCTGAAAGATATTATGACGGAAATAAGTATAATCAGTGGAGAATTAGAGCTTTCTTACCCGTTGTCTTGGGTTCAGGCATTTCCTTTGTTTCAGAACCTCTCTTCAAAAGAAAGTTCTTTTATTCATTATTACTGTGTTTCAACTTGTTCTTTCCCTGCTGGTGTTGCTGTTGCTGAAGAAATGAAGCTGAAATCAGTATCTCAGGTTAGCATATCATTAATATAATTGGCAGAGAAGGGGGAGGTTCAGAAAACATTTATTCATTGATATTAGGCTGCTTTCAAATGCTACATTTTGTGAAAAGGGCATAGGAACCAACCCAAAAGAACTCCCGTTGCCAATGCTGGAACAATTTGTTAAACAAAATCAATAATGACAGCATGGGATTATAACCAAATAAAAAATAAATATTAGTCTATATTTATATAAATAGATAACTGAGTAAATGAATGAATAAATAATACATGGTGGATAAGGGACAATTATATCTTAGAAAAAAATCCAATTAATAAATGAAAAGGAATAAGAGAAATACAAAACCACAAGTAGAACACTATGTTTATGAGTATTGCAAAGTCCACCAACAGATGCTAAATTTAATGAGTAAAAATTTAAGTAGAAACAAAATATATGCATAATCTCAAAGTCTCTAGCATAAAATATGTATTATTTACAAAAAGAAAAGTGGTAACTTTGCAGTGGAGAAACCTTGTAGACATCACTTTAACCAAGTTATCAAAATGAACATCACCAGTAATAAGACATGTTGACATAACACACCCCTTCGTATCATGCACTGAGAAGTACCACATCACTTCTGTGGTGTTCTTTCCAGTAATATGTAATCTCAATATAATTATGAGAAAAATGAGACAAGTCCTGTTACAAAATAATTGACCAGTACTCTTTAGAAGTATCAAGGTTGGCCGGACGCAGTGGCTTACACCTGTAATCCCAGCACTTTGGGAGGCCGAGGCAGGTGGATCACGAGAGGTCAAGACATTGAGACCATCTTGGCCAACATGGTGAAATCCTGTCTCTACTAAAAATACAAAAATTAGCTGGGTGTGGTGGCGCATTCCTGTAATCCCAGTTACTCAGGCGGCTGAGGCAGGAGAATCGCTTGAACCCGGGAGGTGGAGATTGCAGTGATCGAGATTGTGCCACTGCACTCCAGCCTGGCTACAGAGTGAGACTGTCTAAAAAAAAAAAAAGGTACTAAGGTCATGAAAAACAAGGAAAGACTAAGGAATTGTAGGATCCTGTAACAGAAAAAGGATATTAATGGAAAAGTGAAATCAAAATGAAGTCTGTAGCTTAGTTAATACTATTAGGCCAATGTTAATTTTTTAGTTTTGGTCATTGTATTATGGTTGTGTATGATAAGATTAGGGGAATTTGGGCAAGGTTGATTTCTTTCAACTCTTTTGTAAGTCTAAAATTATCTTGAAAACAATAGTAAGTTTTAAAATGCTATGTTTATTTTTATAGGAGGTTGGTAATATACATGTAGCTTGTATATCTCTGCCAAATAGTTCTAGAAAGAAAAGAATTTATTAAGAAGCTATGGCATACTCATATATACACCTGTGCACATGCATGCACATACACGGGTTTGGCCAGAGGCTAATCTTTTATTCAAAAGGCCTATAGAAAGCCACATTAGTGTTAGATAAAGTATAAGACTTCATCTCTATCTTTCTTTATGTATAATGTTGTCAATATTTTGCATCCTAATTATATTGTTTATATATTTTCCATTTAGTGGAATTACATTATTATAAATGTAGCCTCTTAATTTTAAATTTTATTTCCTCCTATTTATTACATTTTTTGATTATTTTGAACTGCAAAATTGTTATATTCTTCTTTAATTCTGTAGTCCATATCTGCAAATAGTACTTCAAGTTAATCTTTGACCATTGTTTATACAATATCTTTTCATCACCAGTATTATTTTGGTTTGGTTATATCTATGGAAAATCTAAAAGTATAGATATAATTCATAGGGATTTTTAAAGTCACATTTTCTCTCACACGTCTACGTTTTGACTTTGTTCTTTTGAAAGTTATGATGTTTGAGACCCTTTTTCTTGCCACTTTCTGTCAGCCCTCAAACACAGATGCGGCCAAGCCTACTTACACCTTCCTGCAGAAGCAAAGTAGCGGTTGCTACTCCCTTTCTATTACATCTAATCCAGATGAAGAATGGCGAGAAGTCAGGCACACTGGACTTGTTCAGAAGTATGTACTGTCATAGCATGTTTGTAGTAGATGGGCATATTAGTAGTTTTTATTCATGTTGCTGCTTTTCAGTAGTTTAACTTTTGAAATGTTTTAAGTTTTACTTTCATGCTGATAGTAATGGAAATAGGTTTTTTTAAAGAAATTATGAGGAAGTTAAAAAATTTATTAAGAAAACAATAGGTGCCATTTTACTTTTATGTCAGTAAGACATAAATGGCAGACAAAGTGTCATATTTGGTAAGATTAAAGTGTTTATTAAAAACATTTGAGTAGCAATGTATGATTTTAAAAATTCTACATTCCTTATCTGAACATATGATAGGGAAAATGAAATTGCTTACTGAAATATGCTTCAATTTAAGGTACTTTGGAGTTTGTTACAAGTTCTCTTTCAGAAATTGCTTCTTTGTTCATATTTCATCCATGTCTTCTCATGGTGCTAAGGAAGAATATGGAGTCTGTGCATTTAATGGTGATTTCTGTACCTCCATGTGATTCTATTTCTTTGTTTTGAAAAAAGACACTTGAAAGACTAGGATAGGAAAATAGCCAATAAGGTAGAAACTATCATATTAGCACTTTAAATTTACAGTTTTCTTTTTTGATTTAGGTGCCATGATACTAAGATTAAATCAATGTGGATGACTCTTACCATACTGAACCTTTCTGGCGCAAGAAGTACATATTATACCTTCATTACTGACTACATTTTTCATTGAGTACTGCTCTACCTATTCCAAGATTATAGCCCGGAATTCACAACTGGTCTTATTTCTAAGCTTTAAGAGAGAATGCCAGCAGGAGGATGACTAATTAGTTGTCATCTCTTCTCTACTACTTTCTGGTTGTGATTAAATTATATGTCTCCTTTGTGGTCTCTTAAGTTTTATGTGGCAGGCACTTTTTATGGGGAGACTTGCCTCCTAAGCTCCCATGTTATTTCTTTTTTGTCCAGCTGCTGGTATAGATTAGCCACCAGGAGCAGAGCACAATTTTTGACTGCTGGCTTTTCTGAAAGGAAGGGAACTAGTCTTGAGGATTCAAACTTAGAAAGCGGAGAAAGGAAAAGCTATATTTTATTACATCAGTTTATTCAAAGTTAAAAATTATGAAGAAGAGCAACATCTTCAATGGTATAACTGATTGTGAGATAAAACCTATTGATTAGAGACTAATTCAGATAGTAGCCTATTAAGACTAGCCCACATGGGAAGTATTGGAAAAGAAAAGATAATACTCAATCGGAGTACCATTAGTAGCTTGTGAGGATAAAGGAAGGAAAATATCATTATTTATGCCTGGTCAAATGTTTTTTACCCTACAGATTTGAGTTACAGAATACCACTGCCCAGTTATTGTTTCATATAAGAAATCTCTTAGATAATAGGATTTTCAATATCAGTATATGTTAACTTTATTTTTACTTTTAAGGTTGATTGTATATCCTCCACCACCTACTAAGGGGGGATTAGGAGTAACTAATGAAGATCTGGAGTGTTTAGAAGAAGGAGAGTTTCTTAATGATGTAATCATTGATTTTTACCTTAAGTAAGTACAATGATAAATGATCCTACATATTTTACAGATTTTACTGAGAAACTTAAAATAAATGTCTTTATCTCTGAATTATTTTAAATTCTGTTAAAAGTAGCCTGCCAAGATTTCAGATTTGGAAAATTTTTGCTTACCAAGGTTTTCTAGAATTGACTTATTCAGTTTCATTGCTTTACTTACTGTGGATGCTATATAGTTAAGAAGAGTTGCTGCTTTTTTGCTTTTTTAGCTTTTGTTAGTTTTTGATGTAAATTTCTTTAACTATTGTATTATGGTGGTGAAAGAAGTTACTTACAAATTACAAATCATTTTGGGAACTAAAAAACAGCAGCTCTATTGAGATATCTGTTGTATCTTTTTTTTTTTGTTTGAGATGGAGTCTCACTCTTGTCACCCAGGCTGGAGTCCAGTGGCACAATCTCGGCTCACTGCAACCTCTGCCTCCTGGGTTCAAGCTATTTTCCTGCCTCAGCCTCCTGAGTAGCTGGGATTACAGGCGCCCGCCACCACGCCCGGCTAATTTTTGTACTTTTAGTAGAGATGGGGTTTCATGTTGGCCAGGCTGGTCTTGAACTCCTGACCTCAGGTGATCTGCCCTCCTTGGCCTCCCTAAGAGTTAACTATCATTTTAAGAATCCATATCACTTAATTTCTCCCCCAACTTTTTGTATAGCCAGAGCTGCAGGAATTGGTATGAAAACATTTAAAACTTTATGCAAAGGAAATTTGCTTCTAGCCGTCATTTTGTACTGTATCTCTAGACCTAGATTCCCAACAGTTGATGGAGATATCTCCTAATTATTTTACACATCTCTCCCAAACCAAATTTATTATAATCTTACCTAAGCTCTATTGTTTTACTAATAATACTAGTAATCTTTATCCCAGTAACTCAGGTCAAAGTCTCACATTATATTTACAGACACTGTAGATTTAATCTCTAGGAATTAAATGTGGGTCTTTTTTATATCTTCCATGTTTCTTTTTGAACATATGGAATACAGTTATAATTGTTTTAATATTATTTTCTGCTAATTCTAACAACTCTGTCAGTTCTGGGTTCAATTGACTGATTTTTCTCTTCATTATGAGTCATTTCTTTGCACTTTTGCATGTCTGGTAATTTTTTGATTGGGTGCTGGATATTTTTGTATTTATAAATATGCTTGAATTTTGTTTTGGGACACAGTAAAATTATTTGGAAAATGTTTGATGCCTTTAAGATTTGTTAGATGAGGCCAATAACTTAATCTTACTACTGAGGAAAGACCTTTTTGAGTATTCTACCCAATGTCTCAGGAATTACGAAGTTTCCAATTTGGCTGATAGGAACAGGCACCATTCTTGGTCTCTGTGAGCACTTGGTATCATTCTCTCTGATCTTTTTGGGTAGTTCTTTCCCTATCCCTGGGTACTTTCCTCACATACATTCGGTGTTTAATACTCTCCTGAATACTTGAAGAGGACTTTGCAGCTGTCTGGAGTTCTCTGTATAGCTCTTTCCTTTCCAGTATTCTGATCTGCAAACTCTAGCTACTCCATTTTTAAAAAACAATCACACATTTTCAAGCCTGCATAAACTATAAAGAATAGCAGAGTTTTCTAATCATGAAGGGGTTAATTACTAAGTGATTGGATTATAAGCTTATATGGAAGGATTGTTTTAGTACAGAAATGGACTAAGAATTTAGAGATGAATCATATCACACAGTTATTAACATTTTTCTAGATTTGTTTAGCAGTGTCACAATTTCACTTTTATATTTGAGTATATGATTATTTGATTAATATTTTCTACCCTCACTCCTCTGGATTATAGGCTCTACAGGGGCAGGTACTTTATTTTTCCCCTCTTGTTTTGTGTCTCTAGTGTAAACATGGTGTTTGGCACATGTTAGGAATTTTTAAAAGTTTTTTAATTTTTTTTTTTTTTTTTGAGACAGAGTCTCGCTGTGTCACCCAGGCTACAGTGCAGTGATGTGATCTCAGCTCACTACAACCTCTGCCTCTCGGGTTCAAGTGATTCTCCTGCCTCAGCCCTCTGAGTAGCTGGGACCACAGGTGCACACCACCACACCCAGCTAATTTTTGTATTTTTAGTAGAGACGGGGTTTCACCATGTTGGTCAGAATGGTCTCGATCTCTTGACCTCGTGATCTGCCCGCCTCGGCCTCCCAAAGTGCTTGGATTACAGGCGTGAGCCACCGTGCCTGGCCACATGTTAGGAATTTGATAAATATTTGTTAAGTAAATGAATGAATAAGTGGGTAATTTCTGCTTTACATGATGGAAGGCTAGGTAACTAACCAAACTGAAAGCTGAAATCAGAGGAAACTGCAAGATTGCTTTGAATCAAAATAGATAAAAAATAAAGATTTCCAGAACACATAAGACAACTGGGGGACGACCAAGTAAAATCTAAAAATAATTTACTTTTGTGGGGTTACTACTTTACAGGTATCTTATATTGGAGAAGGCATCAGATGAACTTGTTGAACGAAGTCACATTTTTAGTAGCTTTTTCTATAAATGCTTGACAAGAAAGGAAAATAATTTAACAGAAGATAATCCAAATCTTTCGTAAGTTAATCCTCTAATGTACTTAAGTTTTAAGAGAAAATGTACTATTTTTGATGCTCCTAGTAAAGTGGCTTCTTTATAGTATTTCCTCAAGTAGGCAGTACTACCATTTGTTCAGGTCCTGGGTCTGTTTGCCATGAGAGCCATTTCTCATCCTTCCACTGTTTTGCTGCCCATGACAGGGAGGCTGACACTTGCAGTCTGCATTTCCAATTGCATGTCCCTGGGGGAAATCCTGGAAGTTGGAGGGCAAGGAAGAAAGAAGCTAGGTTATTTCTTCCCTACTCTCTTTGCATTGGGAAATGATTCTGACAGTGGCTGTATTTCCTCTGTGAGTCCACCTCTCACAGGACAGACCTGCTATAACTCCAGCTTTCATCTGGAGGTACTGCTTCCTCTCTTTGCCCTCTACCCTACAGGTATAGCAGTTTCCTCCTCTGCTAATCTTTGCTGTCTCACTGTCCCCGTTTTTGGCTTTGTGTTTTTTTGTTTTTCTTTTTTTGTCAATGCTATAGCCAATTTCCTGCATTGAATTCTATCTGTTATATAGGGCTGTTTTTGTTTTCCTGGTTGGATCCCCAATGACAGACTATTTAATTAAACCTATGCTACATTATACGAAATACCCTATTTGTTTGCACAATTTAGCTGATTTTTGCCCAAGTATTTTTTTGGTTAATACTAAAACTGTGGAGCAGTGGCTAGGGATAGGCAAAAAGGAGGTATTTCTTAGACAGTAGAAACTTGGATAGTTGTTGCAACATGAGGCAT
Source organism: Homo sapiens (assembly GCF_000001405.40). NCBI lineage: Eukaryota > Metazoa > Chordata > Mammalia > Primates > Hominidae > Homo > Homo sapiens. Next base: position 101,336,737 of record NC_000003.12, on the reverse strand, counting down.
TTCTCCCCTTTCCCCATACTTAACAATTTGTATGATAATCTATCTGAGTAGACTCATGATAAAGCTGAGTTATTGTTATTTTAAAAGTTAGTGTAAACATTTCTCTACTGCTTTACAATTTACAACTCCATTTATTGACATTATTTCAGTTTTTCCTATCATGACAGTACCTTTTGATAGGGCATATAAACTGTATCCCAATTTTTCATATGAGGAAGCAGTCTAATGAAGATTAATAAATTTTACTTAAGATGAACAGCTAGTGAGTGGCAGAACTAGTTGGTACTTAAATCTTTACCTTTTAACTTCTAGTCCAAAGTTTTTATTGTACTAGATTGCTTTAAAAAATGGCTATGAGAGTTTGTTTCATCTCGTTAAAATAACAGGAGTAATAAACAAGAGTTAGAAGAGGATTAATGGATAAACTGCTTGAATTTGATATATTGTTGGAGAAAGAGGGTAGGAATAGGGACACTAATTAATATTTATTGAGTGCCTGCTAGGAACTAAGACGGTGAACATAAAGTTATTTGATTCTACAGTATTATTGTCATTGTCTTTATGAATTGAAGCTTAAGGAAGTTATATGAGTTTTTCAAAGTTGGATATAGCTTTCCAGTTTCAAAGTTCAACTCTTTCTGTTGTTCATAGTGTTGTGATTATATAATTAATGGTCTAAATTGGGATGCTTGTGAGAATAATAGGAGGCTGTCTTAGTGGGTACACTAGACAACGAGTGCGTATACCAGGGCTTTTCTAGACAAACTGGGATGTATGATTAACTCCATTTTGAGTGTCTTTACAGGTTTGGAATTTGTCCTGATGGACAAGACCTGCGAGGATCAGTTAAGGAGAAAACTGCAATTTGAAAATATTTCTGATAATCAGGGCTAGGAGAGGGATATATGGAAGGGGGAGATTTATTAAATAAATTAGGTAACATTTCTGATGCCCTCCTGTTCTGTTTTATGTATACAGAATTTAATGATTGGTACCATGCACTTAATCTCATGTTTTATTTCAAGATTATTCAAAGTAGAGATTGTGAATTTTGTATACTCACCTTCAAACTAAGGAAATGAAAGTAGATAGATTCTGCTGTATTAGTAAGCTTTTCAAAAAACAGATATTGTGTACCTGATTATTATATACATAATAAAAATAAAGTTACGTGAGTGGCATCCTCTAGGGTAAGATGCATAAGATACTACACACACACACACATGTACACATGCACATGAATGTGTGAATACTAATGCTTGGTCTGTTAAGCATTCACACAATTTGATATATCAGATCAAGCATTAGTGTTTACACAAAGAATCCCTACAAATCAGTTTTTAAAAGTCATCAGAGCAGCAAGAGATATGAATTTTAATGGCCAATAAATCCACATCAAAAGGCTCTAACTACTAGTGTTGAGAAGCTACAGATTCCTTATCATGCTTTATGAGATCCTGAAAGATCTGGTTTCTTTCCATCTCCTTAAACTCATCTCATAATATTGTTTCCTCTCATTTACCATACTTAAGTTCAACCTACCTCATTTCCATTTTCAAATATGCTGACCGCTTTCCTATTTTCTGCCTGAAACAACTTATCCTGGCATTTAAAAAATTTGTTTCACAGCGTGATCTGTAATCATTTTATTCGTTTGTTTACGTCTTCATTTTCTGTTTCTCATTTGAAGCTACATGAAGTTAGGGACTTTATCTGTCTTATTTTCCACTCTATCCTCAGTACCTTGCTCGGTGCTTGGAACATATTAGGAACTCAAAATATGAGATGATAACAGTGCCTATTATTGATTACTGAGAGAACTGTTAGACATTTAGTTGAAGATTTTCTACACAGGAACTGAGAATAGGAGATTATGTTTGGCCCTCATATTCTCTCCTATCCTCCTTGCCTCATTCTATGTCTAATATATTCTCAATCAAATAAGGTTAGCATAATCAGGAAATCGACCAAATACCAATATAAAACCAGATGTCTATCCTTAAGATTTTCAAATAGAAAACAAATTAACAGACTATACACTAGTTGAAAGTAATTGTTTATACTGATTATAATGGTTGGGTCCTTTTGAAATGAGAAAATTCAATAAACGTGACTTTGATTTTTTTATGTGGTTAATCTTCCACATAGTGTCTAATTGCTGTCAAATCTTTTAGCTCATTCTGGATCCTATGTTACTCCTGATGTTTACCCATAGAGTTTTGGCTAGATATTATTCAAATGAACAAGATGGGGCAATGATTTCAGTTTCCTATATGACTTGATAAAAATTATATAAGAATGTAATGGTTTGCCTTTTTTTTTTCCTGCAATAAGAGTTCCATCCAAGGGACTGAGCCAGAAGTCACATACCACCTTTATCCCCCTGTTAAATGTCATTTTCTTCCTTCCTAAAACCTTTCTTTTGACAGTCAAACTTGGTTTTATATCCTTCTCTTTTAACTCCCCTGATTAGGTAAAGAAAAGAAACTAGTATTTGTGTGTATGCAAGCCAACCCTGTTCAAGGTGGCTGTCTCAGATGGTTTAATAAGGGGGTCCCCAACCCCTGGGCTTCAGACTGGTACCAGTCTGTGGCCTGTTAGGAGCCAGGCCACTCAGCAGGAGGTGAGCAGCAGTGAGCGAGCATTACTGCCTAAGCTCTGCCTCCTATCAGATCAGTGGCAGCGTTAGATACTCACAGGAGCGCGAACCCTGTTGTGAACAGTGCGTGCAAGGGATCTAGGTTGCGTGCTCCTTATGAGAATCTAACTAATGCCTGACGGTCTGAGGAGGAACAGTTTCATCTTGAAACCATCCCCCCTAACCTTGTCCCTGGAAAAATTGTCTTCCACAAAACCAGTCCCTGGTGCCAAAAAGGTTGGGGACTGCTGCATTACCATAATTCCTTTGTACCTCTTATGACACATTTTAGTTATTTGTTATAGTTTTTTCTGCCCATATTAGATTATGAATACTTCTAGGGCAGTGTAGGTGACTTTCATTATTTGTTTTTAGGAACCTAATAAATATTTGTTGAAGAAATAAAAGGAAAGATGGATGAGTGGTAGGTACATTTAACATCATCCTGTAGTTTCCTTGTGTATGAAAGGAAGGGAGATGAATTTTATTTTAAAGAATCTGAGAATAAAAGCCTCATTTTTCCTCCTCCATTAAGATTTTTAATTAAATTAAGTTAACTGATTAATTTATTTTTTAGAGATAGGGTCTTCCCTTGTTACTGAGGCCAGAGTGCAGTGGTGTGATCACAGCCTCAAACTCCTGAGATTAAGCAATCCCCCAAGTAGCTGGGACTGATTATTGGTGTGTGTCACCACCCTGGCTAATTTTCTTTATATTTTTAGTGACAGGAGTCTCGCTATGTTGCCCAGGCTAGTGTTGAACTCCTGATCTCAAGTGATCCTCCTACCTTAGCATCCTAAGTAGCTGGAATCACAGGCATGAGCCACCACACTCAGCCCATTGAGTTTTAAAACCTCCCTAATGACAGATATAACAGTTGGAGAATTCTGTTAAGGTTTAATGACAGTATTTTATATCATGCCCAGATGGAGCTAAGCAAAATAAGTAGATTTAACTGTGTTTATACTAAGTTGCACAGCCAGTTTTGGAATCTGAAAAGCATTTAATAAATTGCTGCCTTTATTCTGTCCATTTCATTATTGTTTATAGTTATTAAATTTAAGAATAACCAGGGGTTACTATAAGGAGATATATTTATAATGTGTTAAATATGATATATCTTAAAGAAGATGGTTAAACTAAATTTAAGATATTTCAATATATAAAAATGGCTCTTGAAGTCCCTATCTTAAATGAAAAAATTTTTATATATCAAATCTGTCTTTCATACTCTCAGAATGGCACAGAGAAGACATAAAAGAGTAAGAACATGGACTCGTCACATAAACATTTTTAATAAAGATTACATCTTTGTACCTGTAAATGAGTCGTAAGTATTTCAGATTATTTAAGAACATATTGGAAAGAATTCAGAAAAAAATTTTGTAGTGTTTTTAGATTCATAATCAGTAAAAATTATGGCCACATACATCTCAGGTATTATTTTAATTTTTTTAAATAAAAGTAGCTAAGGCAATGAATTCCTTATCTTGGATTTTGGTTTGACAATGGTTATGTTGTAAAAGTAGTGAAAAAAAAATAAAGTGACAAATGACCACAAGACTATAATGACTGAGACATTGAATGTTTTTTTGTTTGGATTTAAGAAAAAATTTTCTAAATAAAAAAATAAAAATATTTTTGAGTGAATCTTCAAATACTTAAGAAAACAAACTCTTCAAGCACCAATACAAAAAAAATAATGCTATGAGTCTATTTATTAAGGCAGATCCTTAATAGGAAACACCGATTGTATGAAAGTAAATAAATTTGAACTACTCAGCTGTTACCCTAAATAGTGTTACTTATGCCTTGGTAACTCTGGATATTTAGTGTTGATATGTATGCTCTATATTATAATGAGATGTTACAGTGGATGTCTTCAAAATTAATATGAAATTTATTCTCACTTTCTCAGATGTATCTCTAGAATATATTATATGTTGTTTAGACTTTGCATGGTATTAAGATTGTAGTTCTTTTTCAACAGGTCTCACTGGTATCTCGCAGTCATTTGTTTTCCATGGTTAGAAGAAGCTGTGTATGAAGATTTTCCACAAACTGTATCCCAGCAGTCCCAGGCTCAGCAGTCCCAAAATGACAACAAAACAATAGGTGACATCCATAACGTAGATGGTGTTTTTAATAATGATGACAATAATTTAATGGTTACAGGGAAGAAAATGAAGTTAACGGTAGTATAGTTATTTACTATCATTAAACCTACTTTAACAGGATGAATAAAAAATCTGAAATTTTTAATGATAGACAAAATATAATTCTGAAGTTGTACTGTTATATCAAGTTTTATTATGGCACTTAAAATTACTACTTATTGATCTTATGAAATATTTCAAACATACAAAAAAGTATAACTAATATGACCAACATCAATACCTGTTTCACCTGGATTAAGAAATTAAAACTTTTCTGATATAATAATAATCTCCTCTGTGACCACTCCCATTTCTCTTTCTTTAATCCAGAAGTAACCACTACCCTAAATTTTATGTTTATTCCATGTATTATTATTATTTCCATTGACATTTTTTGCTTGTTTTAACTTAAAAAAATTGACAGATAAAATTGCATGTATTTACTATGTACAACATACTTTTTTTTTTTTTTTAAGAGACGTTGTCTTGGTGTAGTGCAGTGGCTCAGTTATAGCTCATTGCAACCTCGAACTCCTGGGCTCAAGTAATCCTCCTGCCTTACCCTCCTGATTAGTCAGGACTACAGGGGTGCACCACCTTACCTGGCTTATTTTTAAATTTTTTTTTGTAAAGATAGGATCTCACTATGTTGCCCAGGTGGGTCTGGAACTCCTGGCCTCAAGCAGTCCTCACACCGCAGGCTCCTAAAGTATTGGGATTATAGGCATGAGCCACCACACCTGGCTACAACATGATATTTTGAAATACATATACATTGTAGAATGACAAAATCTAGCTAATTAATAGTATTATACCATTTTAAAAAATACACTAGGTTTGCTAACATGACTAGGAATTTATGCCTTTGATTTCCAGACAATGCTTGAAATCCCCCATTTTTACTTAATCTAATTTCCTGTAGACTCCATTAATTTGGCTAGGTAATATAGGATCTCTTATAATTCTTCCACGAGTTTTCTTACAAGCCAAAATCTAAAGTAAATAAGCCTACTTTCTTTGAGAAAAAAGTAACAAAATTAAATGTTTTATAGCTGTAGCCTAAGCAGTAAGCTGATTGAAAAATAGCCATTAGCATTAATACTGGCCAAAACCCATGTGGGGAAAAAGAAAAACTGATGAAGCAACTGATTATGTTTAATTATCTTGAAACCTCAAATGTGTACTTACACAAAACTATATGGTCATAGTTAGAAGCACCATTATTAGGCAGATTAACTACCTTCTGCATTAAATAGCAGACATTTTGATTAATGAGCTATTTTTGAAGATTATCTTTTTATAGAGAATTTGCCTAGCTAACTGGTATTTCCAATCATGGCTCTGGGGTTTACCTGTTATTTGATAACAGCCAACCATTGTCAGTTTTATCTGTTGATTGAATTTTATTCATAACATTAATCATGAAAAAAATTAAATCTCAAGTATTTTTACTGTGCATCCAGTAACTGCATAAAAATTATAATTTTAAGCTTTTCTAAGTTACCTGTATAAAAACATGCAATAAACACTCATAACTGCTTAATTATTTCTAACTAGATAATGATCTACGTACTACTTCGACACTGTCTTTGAGTGCAGAGGATTCCCAAGTAAGTGTGTTCTTTACAGATGGGAAGGAAGGAAAACTCATGAATATAATAATGTTATCTGTAAAATAGAGCATAGCTAGGTGGGCTATGCTGGCCCATCATTAGATTGTGCTGCTTTGTGATTCTTTGACAGTTTTTGTGGGGCTGGGGAAGAGAACGAGATTAGTTATTATTCTTATATCTGTTTAGCTTGCTTTAACTTTTAGGTTATTTAGTAGTTTATCTGATGTTCATCTTGGTTAACTACTTTTCTAATTTCTAAGGATCAGATTCACTTTTATTTATGTCAGTAACTTTTTGAACTTAGGTAATTAATCATCTTAAGCACATTATATATTCTACTTTATTTTCTTTCTTTCTTCCTTTTTTTTTTTTTTCTTTGTGATGGGGTCTTGCTGACACCCAGGCTGGAGTGCAATGGTACAATCTCAGCTCAGTGCAACCTCCCCCTCCTGGATTCAAGCGATTCTCCTGCCTCAGCCTCTCAAGTAGCTGGGATTACAGGTGCCCACCACCATGCCTGGCTAATTTTTGTATTTTTTTTTTTTTTTTTTTTTTAGTAGAGATGGGGTTTTGCCATGTTGGCTAGACTTGTCTTGAACTCCTCACCTCAGGTGATCTGCCTGCCTGGGCCTCCCAAAGTGCTGAGATTAGAGGCGTGAGCCACCGAGCCCGGCCAGAAAATTATTGGTAAAAATCATTCAAGGTAGACTGAAAGTGAATCCATGTAACTCCTTAGGCTAAAATAGTTATCATTAACTCTTCCTTATTTGGAGCTCCAAACAGATCTGCATAGCCTAGATTCAGTGTTCTAAATTAAGATTGCCACTTAATGATTTTTTTTTTTTATATGTACAAATAGCAGCAGACTCCCTGGCACAGGCCTATGTCTTTACTGTCACTGATACGAACTGTCACTTCTTACGGAGGAAGGCTTCCTTTCCTGCTGTCACGGCGGCAAAATAGGAGCATTCCTTCTTGCCTGTAGGGCCAGATTTCTCAAATTGAGTTTCTTAGAATATTCATTCTAAGACTCAGTTCGTGATAAGCAGGATTCCAAGGTCAATTAAGTTGGGCAAACTTTGTATACTCTTTCTGTCTTAGAGAGCCAGTGTTTATGTTAGAATAATAAAGGCACTGAGAAGGTCTGCATTAAATAAATGTGCTTAAGTTTGATCTGTAGTTTCTCAAACTTATGAAGAAAACAAACAACATCAACAAAACAAAATTCCCTATCCCTTTTCCCTTAATATAGATTAAGGTTCTGCATCTTAGGCTTCAAAGGGAAGAAATGTGTCTCTACTGACATCATAAATTGGAGAATGTATGTAAAGACACGTTAAATTAACTTGTTTATCTTTGCTTAAGATAATAACTTGGAATGGAAGTAATTAAAGTTCCAGATTGCTTTTTAGGAAAAGTTAAAACTCCTTAACTGCTTGAGACTGCATGTAAAAGTATATAGCCTACTGTTTTAGCAGTATAATAAATTTGTGGAAAATGAAGTTAGCTCACTTTTGATGATGAAGATAACTATTACTTGAAATTTTAACTTCAAAGTTTGAAACACTTTAAAGGAGTAACTGAATAGTAAATTATTCAAAATAGCTTTAATTGCAGTCATAAAAATTTATGTTATTTCAGAGTACCGAGTCGAATATGTCAGTACCAAAGAAAATGTGTAAAAGGTAGGTACATGCTGTAATAATAATACAGTTTTTTGAGGTATTTAGATATACTTTGTATACAAGTATGTAAATCTTGATTTTGTCCTTTGCTTTTCATAGGCCATGTATTCTTATACTAGACTCCTTGAAAGCTGCTTCTGTACAAAACACAGTTCAGAATTTACGAGAGTAAGTAATGACAATTTTACCATTCCAGTCTGTTATCTAAAACCTCAGTAATTTTGAAGTTACCTTCAGAATTATTGAAAAGACTATATCAGGAATTATATTTTATTATCTATTTCAACAATCCTATAAATTTAATCAATAATAAATATCTTCTATTCTGTTAATATTCAAGTATTAATATTTCTAAAGGATTATATTAAAGGTAAATTCAGAATTTGTATTCATAATTGAACAGAAAGTATAGTTTTACAAAGAAGCATTGCATTGATTATCAAAAGTACCACTTTAGAAAAAAATAAGAACTCTTTCACATTTGTATAATTATGTATATGTATGTATGTGTAATTTTGTAATTTACTGTAGTACTTGGAAAAAACTAATGATGAAACTTTTAAAATGATTTCTTAGTTTACTTTGTTGAGTTATGAAAGTTGAGTTGTTGAAAAAAGTCTAGCTTTTACTTTGAAAATCACATTACATATTTTCTTTAAAGTAGTACTTGTGAGCCTTATAAAATGTAGGTTGCACTGCTAAAATTCAGTGTGGAAATTTGGCTTGAGACAGCACATCTGGCAACAAATGTTTTTCCGCCTTTCTGAAAATGTTGCATACTGATAAATAGATTTCTACTTTAGTCACTCTTATTTGTTGATTATTTCAGGTATTTAGAGGTAGAGTGGGAAGTTAAACTAAAAACTCATCGTCAATTCAGCAAAACAAACATGGTGGATCTATGCCCTAAAGTTCCTAAACAGGACAATAGCAGTGATTGTGGAGTATATTTATTGCAGTATGTGGAAAGCTTCTTCAAGGTATGTGAAGCTATAAATAAGTTTTTAATTCACAGTTACCACCATACGGTCACAAGTTACTGGGTGTAATAGTCCGTTCTCATGCTGCTAATAAAGACATACCCAAGACTGGGTAATTTATAAAGGAAAGAGGTTTAATTGACTCACAGTTCAGCATGGCTGGGGAGGTCTCAGGAAACTTACGATCATGGTGGAAGGGGAAGCAAACATATCCTTTTTTACATGATAGCAGCAAGGAGAAGAATGAGAGCTGAGCGAAGGGGGAAGCCCCTTATAAAACCATCAGATCTCATGAGAAGTTACTATCAGGAGAATAGCATGGGGGAAAACCGCCCCCATGATTCAGTTACCTCCTACCAGGTCCCTCCCACCACAGTGGGGATTATAGGAACTACAATTCAAGATGAGATTTGGGTCGGGGCACAGCAAAACTATATCACTGGGCAAGCAAAGAGGCAGGCACATGTTACAGGTAATCAAGATTTTTTTTAAAGAGAAAGAAATAGAACCACAGGTGATCCAGATACTGTAATTGGCAGATAAGAACTTTAAAATGATTTGATTAATAGGTTAGAGAAGATAAAGCCAAAGATGAAACAAAACGGATGAAGACATGGAGTATACAAAAAAAAAATCAAATAGACGTTCTAGAGCTGAAGATGTATAATGACATATCTGAAATTAGGAACTTATTGGACAAGTTTAATAGAGGACTAGATACAGTAGAAGATAGGATTAGTGAACTCCAGCTATAGCCCAGAGAGAAAAAAGAATGTAAAGAAGAGAACAGAGCTTAAGAGACAAATATAAAACAGTATAATTTACTGTTTGAAAGGTATAATTTACATGTTACTGGAGTCCCAGCAAGATTGGAGAGAAAGAGAATAGGGCAGAGACAGTATTTTAAATAAAATTTTCTAAAATGAAAAGATCTGTTTATTCAAGAAGCTCAGAAAACTATAGCTGGAGAAGTACAATGACAAACATAGGTGTTATTTTCTAGCTCACAGAGACTTTGTAGGAACTGTAGCAGTATTAAAGATGAAATTTTAAATAGCAAGGAATCACTCTTTGCTTTTTGAACTGTCATCTCATTACTTCAGTCATTGCCACTATTATTTACAAAGATGGGTCTAGTAGCAGAATGTTTTTGACCAGAAGTCGGCTTGGAGAATGCTTAACGGTACTTTGAAAGCATGAGAGTTATAGTATGCAGCTACAACTTTTTGATGTCTTTAATATGAGAGAGGAAGGATAATATATAGTAAAATACAGTACACATTTTGGAAATCATTAAATATCTATTATGTTGGGTTTTTTCTCCCTTTTTTATTCCACACTAGAACTTCATCATAGGGTGTCAGGTTCTGCCCCTCTCATACCCTTTCCAGATGGATTTGATTTTGTGAATATACTAAAAATGCTTAATTGTATGCTATTGGTGAATTGTATTATGTGAATTATATCTTAATATAATTGTTATTTTAAAAAAGTTAGCAATTTGTCATTTCTTATAAAAATGAAATTAAAACAAATTTGAAATTATGCTGCTAAAGTGATTACACTCTTTTTTTCCTCTCATTAGGATCCTATTGTTAACTTTGAACTTCCAATTCATTTGGAGAAGTGGTTTCCTCGTCATGTAATAAAGACCAAACGGGAAGATATTCGAGAGCTCATCTTGAAACTTCATTTACAGCAACAGAAGGGCAGCAGTAGCTAGTTAATCTGTACAAACATGACACAGATGTTCTCTAAGATTACTGGAAAGCCTCTTACCAGCATTTGTGTTAGCCAGCTCACAGAGAAGAAAATAACTTGCAGTAGTTTTATAATAAGTCATTGGAACATTATTTAAAATATGTAGGACACATTATTAGAATTGTTGGGATCTCATAGATGGAATGGGAATGGGGGTGATATAGATAAACTTACTAGATATAAATTAAAATTTTATAAATATTTCATATTTTTCTGAGTAAATATGATTGGATTATGCAACAGCATATGTAATATGGGAATGTTTTGTAGATAATAAAACTTACATGATCTGTACTTCCACGTGACTGGGTGCTGAGGGGAGTTAAAGCCTCCCTGGTGCCAGCCCCAGTGCTTGTCAAATTTGCTGACAGGTCACATCATATTGTAATTCTATTCTTTGCAGCTCAAGCATGCAGTATGAATACTGTGTATTTTTTAAAAAAATAATTTAGTATCAAGGCTTCAGAAAATGCCATTTACGGCATCCCTTCTGTATGTAACAAAAAGACATTCATAATGTTAGGAAGATGATAAAAATTCGCTCTTTTAAAGTGCAGCTTATTATTCTCAATTGCTAAATACGATTACTCTGCTTTTTTTTTTTCATTTCTTTTGATGTCATATGTGAGTATCTTATAATTTAGTTCATTTGTTCAGGGTAAAATTTGAAACAAAAAATTTTACCTGTGCAAAATAGTTTTTTAAAAATTATACATGTAGCTCAACTTGAGGTACTGCTATATAAATATTCACTCACATTATCACGGAATTTATGTATAGTTTCTCTAATATAGAAGATAAAATTGGTGTCCTCATAACTTTAACAAAGAAAACCCTCAGTCCTATTTATTAATGGGTAGAATTAAATATATAATTTTATAGCTCAGTTTACCCAGTATTCATCTGCAAAGCCAGATTGCTCTCATTGCTTTTATATTTTTAAATTGTAGCTTTTAGAGACCTATGATCCTCATGGAACTTAATTTTTTATTAAATATTCAGGTAACAGTTCTGAATTCATGTGATAATGGTGGCATTATATATGATTAAACACTTCAGAACTTTCTAATGTTATCAGGAGTATTTTGAGGGAGATATGATTATATTGTATTTTCTCAGATAAGAAAAATGTTTTTTAACAATATTATTTTAATCTGTTTTAAGCATCTCTTAGATTTACATTATAACTACATAAAGCAGTGAAGCAAAGGCAAATTAAGATAAAGCTAGAAAGTCTGAACATTTTATTTCAAAATCATACGAATCGGGGTCAGTTAAGCCTCAGTATTCTTAGCTTTTGTTGATTTTGGCACTATCTTTATATTATTAAATATATTTGTTGTTTGGATATTTCATATAAAGATGGCTATAATTACATATTTCATTCCCAATTTGTGTGTGTTGGGGGGTACTTTTAAAGGTGACTATTGTTTTGTACATCTAATTTTGGGAAAGCAAGTCTATAAGACATCTTGTGATTTCTTAATGTTTTTGTTTGTATGTTTTTCAAAGATATCACTGTCCTTTATCATGTTTTGAAGATTGTTTAAAATTCATTTTCCTAAATTAATGTGCAAGTAATGTTTTGAGGATATCAGTGTTTTATATTAAACATATTTCCAATTCATTAAATTGAGGTGTAATTTTTTTCCTTAAGAAACATGAGCTACTGTTAGAAATAAATTTCCAGTTGTATGCTGCTCTGTGTATATCATGAAATTGATGCTTATATTAATTATTCTTCATATTTTAAAAGCATATAGTTTATTTGAGTGTCATTTCAGTTCAGGGAAATTATTTTAGCTTCTACTACTAGCAGGCATTTTGCTAGGCACAAAAAATGAATGATATTTGTTCCTGAGTCATTTATGGACATGTGAACATTTTAAATATTTTCTGGTAAGAACAACCATAGAGTTTCTTTGGGAATGCAGGAGGGAGCTCAGCCTAGAGGGGTGTGTGTGTGTGTGTGTGTGTGTGTGTGTGTGTGTGTGTGTGTATGTTAGTGAGGAGGTAGAGAGGTAGAGAGAGGGTTGTTAGTGAACAAAGCAAGCCTTCCTAGAGAAGATAATATTATTTTAATTTCACAGCTCTTGGGATGTTAAAAAAAGAAGTTATTTAAATCATATCCAATCACCTAATTAGGAGTTTAAAAAAGTTTAATACCTTTTGAAATCAACTTTTTTATGCCAAGAGGAAAAATAGGTTTAGACTTGGCCTATAGAGCCCATCCTTAATCTTGTTCCAGCCTATATCCTATTCTTATCTTTCCATTGTCCTCTACTTTTGCAGTTGTATAAAATTATTCGTTCATGTATTTAGGTACTTCCTCTGCGGTCTCTTGTAACTAAACTTGTCCTTGTGGAAATTTGGAAACTGCCCATGCGTTGTTAAGAGGCATAGTTCTGTGTGTATGAGGCTTCTGTCTGCTTCTGTGGCCTGCTCCCACCCAGGTGGTCTCTTCTGTTACAACTTAGTGCATCCTTCTTGGGGGCTGGAGAAATCAGGGCTCTTATAAAGATTCCAGATGAAGATGTACTTCACTTGAAATTATTATTATAACACTGTTTGCTGTGCCATATTTTTCTACAAAGTAAGCCTGGAGCCACATTTTGGACTGTTGTCCCATGAGTGTGAATATCACTTTGAACCCAAGACTATAGATGCTTGTGTGGAGTGGGGGTTGTGACATTGTACCTCCATACCTTTTCACCACTTCTTGTGAACTTTATTTTTTCAAAGTTGAATGTAAATGTTACCACCCCTACACCTACTCAAACAATAGTTCATTCCCCCTCCTGCTCCCCTATAGCAATTTGTATATACTTCTCTAATTACTGTTTTATATTATTTGTATACACGTTTTTCTCCTTAGACTGTAAGCTCCTCAAAGACTGGAAGCATTTTTCCATTTCTGATATTAAGTATCTTACTAGCATATAGTAAACACTCAGAAAATTTTGTTGAGTCAATAAATGATCCTTGACTTATTTGTAATTAAGTTTAGATGAAGGAATCTGTATTTGTTGTCTCTAAAGCACAGAGTTTTATGTTTAGTTTCTCATATGCTTATGATTCTGGGACATTTCTTGAAGCATAAAAAGATTCAAGGACCATCCTATGAGATTGTGAAATATTACCTAAAAAGAATCTCCTTAAATAAAAACTCAAAGAATATACTTTTTTGAGTAATTAAACATTAGAGAGACAATGTTTCATCTGTAGGTAAAAATCCAAAATTCTTGCTAAAACTTTGAAGGTATTCCATAATCAATCTCAACTTTTCAGCCTTCATTCCCAACGTATTTGCTGTATGCTCCTATCTTGCGTGCTCCAGCAAATATCTTCCTATTTTCTTTATAAACAGTATACTTTTCCACTTTATTGATCACGACGAGGGATTTCTCTCCTAACTCTTAGTTCTTCCCACTAACAATCCTTACTTCTGCCCACTAAAATACTGAAATGCCAAGTAGGCCATTCAAGGCGCAGCTGAAATACCCGCCTCCTGCTTCCCCCACACCCTCTTGCTTTTTCTAGTTGGAGTTACTCTTGCTTTTGGATTCCTATGACACAAACTTAATAGCGGGCATCACCTGCTTTGTATCATAGATACAAAGTTACAGTTAAAAGTTACAAATAAATGTCAAGTTAAATTGAATTTGTAAAATGATGACCATATTTAGAAACAAATGAACCCATCTAATTTCTTATATTTCTTTTTTTAAAGTACAGGTTTCTGAAATTATACCAACTATATTTTATAGAACATAATATAATAAATGTTTAAGAAGTTTTTATGTGAATTCTCTGTTTGAAATATAAGTTAATGGAAAATTTATTTTGGAGCTTGAGCAAAATAGAATTTCAAAGCTTGAAACATGTTTGGACTCTGTGAACACTTGTAATACAAAACAATTCCTATTTACAAAGTTTACTGGTAATACAAATACAGTAGTTTACAGAGAACTTTCATGTCTCTTAATTCTTAACAACGACCCTGTGATACAGGTAGAGATTATCACATGTAATTTCTTTGGTGAGTAAACCGGCTCAAAGAGCTTAGGTTATTTACCAAAATCAAATATTAAGTGATAAAACCAAGATTTGAGTCCAGGGTTTCTCAATCTAAATACAGGAATCTTTCTAGATTACTATGATTCTCAGAAGTTTTTTTTAGCTTTTTGGTCAAGGCTGTCAAAAAGAATAATTGCCAACTAATATTTGTTACCTAAGAGTTGTCCCTTGTTCTGAATTGTCAATATGAAGCTTTTCTTAAGATTAAACTTTGACTCAGCTAATAAAATTTTCGGCTTTTTTCTCCTACTCATACAATAAATTTGGCAAGTAAGTTTCTTATAAGCTTACCAGTATTTTGCAAATACAACTATGCAAATATATTTAATGGTCATTTAGGTTTATTAGCTTTTATAAAGGCTGAAAATGTGGTTTATTTGAGGCTGTATTGAAAAAATATACTTGAGCTTTTCCTAAAGCATAAAATAACATTGAGGGTGATTTAGCTAACACAATTAGTCAAGGATTCTCAAGAGGAATGTGGTTTAGATCTTTACAATACACTTTTTTTCAGAGAATTTTGCCAGAGATAACATGAAATAAAATATAATTTCATTGCTATTTGATAGTAAATCCAAGCTTCCACAGGGATTCTGATGAATTGCTTTCTACTAGGTTTACTTGATTTAAAAAACTGTTCTAATATAGAGAATTTCATCTGCAGGGAAAATGTTTTCTTGGTTAAGAGTTCCTCATGTAGATAAACACACTGGGCCTCACATTTAATGGCAAATTAAGCAACAAAGTTATCGCACAGCTATCATTTATATTAAGTGCTTAATATGTTCCGGGCACTACTCTAAGCAAAGTGAAGATTGAATTAGTTAATTAGTTAATTTAATCCTCACATTAGCTCTACCATGAGTTTACTATTTCTATTCCATTTTATACGTAAGGAAGGAGACAAAGTAAGTGATTTTTCTATCAAGGAAGGAAATTTGCAAGAGAATAGTTTCATTACAAAAACTAAATTTGTACGTAGCTCTGTATTATTGAAATAGGTAGATATAGTCAGTCTGGACTTTTTATGCTTATACATCTTAGTCCCTAGGAAAACCCAGAACTAACAGATTCAGAAAAGTTGGAAAAATCAGTGAATTATATGTGAAACACATTATTCTTAGTGGACTGCTTGTTAAAGGCAAGGAGAGTGTTAGTAAAGAGCTTAGGTAGATTAGAATAAAGAAATTGTCTCTCTCCATCTGCTCTAATTAGCTTATCTCACCAGCTTTTATAGCATGCTGGTTATTTCAGAAAAGAAGTGAGAGCTACTTTGAAAGGACAACCATTTTTCTTTCCGCTAATTTATAATGGTTTTGAAGTGGTTGTTCATTCTCAAACATAGACTTTTAAATGTTAGGTCTTTCCTATAACTCTTTGTTATTGGAAGTTTCAAGGATTTGGACACTCAATTAAGGATTCTGTCCTCTCCTCATTCCTTTGGTTTTGGCCCAAATGATTATGTTTCCTCTTTTTGGGAAGATTTCTCTGGGTATTTTGATATTTGTCCTGATAGAAGGAGACTTTCCATCATTAACAGGTATTTAAAAATCTACATTTGTTTTTATCTTTCCATATCTGTAGTATATGTTCTTCAAAAATAGGATTATTTGATGTGATTGCTGTAAGAAATGGAATCAAATACTACTTTATTAATCTTTGATATGGCTTCATTTAAACCGTTTTAAAATATCTCCAATAATTTTGGTTTTCCCTCATTAGTAATTTCTGGTTTAAACCTTACTTTTATTTATTTTGTTGAAATTGGATGTGTATTTACTTGATTTTGATAACAATCTTGAATGAAAGGAGTGGGAGTTAAATGGAAAAAGATGGACTGCCTCACTCCTCTTTTCCTTAGATATGCATGCCTGCCTATGATTTGGGCACTGGCTTCTCTATCTTAATGTAGCCCAAGTGTCAGTTTTTCTTTAGTTGTTACCTTTTGTACTGTATCTTCATTATCGAAGACTTGACTATACTTTCACTCTGTAGCACAAACCTACTTATCTATAGAGGAGATCCAAGAACCCAAGAGTGCAGTTTCTTTTCTCCTGCCTGAAGAATCAACAGACCTTTCTCTAGCTACCAAAAAGAAACAGCCTCTGGACCGCAGAGAAACTGAAAGACAGTGGTTAATCAGAAGGCGGAGATCTATTCTGTTTCCTAATGGAGTGAAAATCTGCCCAGATGAAAGTGTTGCAGAGGCTGTGGCAAATCATGTGAAGTATTTTAAAGTCCGAGGTAAGCGAACATCCAAATCCTTCAGCTCCATAATGAAATTCAAACATAGTTTAATCATTTGTTAGGTAACATTGTAAATCAAAATTTACGATAATTTAGACAGGACTGAGCCAAAACTACCTTTCTACTGCTAAGAATATAGTGTTAATGGTAACTTCAGAGAACAGTTTACATTAAGAGAGGAGGTTTGTTTTTTTTCCAGTGCCCTCCAGTTAAGGCAATAATATCATTTAATAATGACATGCACTTTGAACCAAAGGAAGAACGCTTTCATGATTTGAGTTTGTAGCTTTTGGTGCGTTATGTAAGAAACTTTTTTCACATGAGGGCAGTCACAATAAGATGTCTTTCATTAATTTCAACAACATATTCAGAGAGGAAATGTCTTAAATCTTTTTAAGCACTTCAAAAATACCAGTTTATGTTTTGGGCTACATTAATTTTAATTTTTACTTCTTCATTACAGTAAATGCCTAAGTATACCCACAAAATAGCTTTACCAAAGTATACTCACCTGCTTGCCTATTTATTAATAGTTATTATATATACAAATATAATGTTTCTATATTTTATAGTTTAGATATTCTGCAGATTCACACAGGTTGCTCTCTAGTTGGTACACATAAAATTTTCACATCTAAAATGATGGCATTTCTCAAAATCTCACATTTTATTTTGTCTTTAAACAGTATTCTTGATCTCATACTTTTTATGTAAGTCAATTCTGTTTCTCATATATTTACTAAATTGCTTAATTGACCTTAGTATGTCCCTTAGACATTTGAAGGATTCCCAAACTTTGCTTTTTACTGCTCAAGAACCAATAAAAAGCCATAATATGGATGTGATGTTAGTAAACAAGGTGAAATTAGATGATGAAGTGATTGTAAAATGAGGCTTTTAAATTCATGCATTTATTCATTAATTCATTCAACAAATGTTTATTGAGCCCGAATTTTCCAGGCACTGGATTATATGAACCTTCTGTCTGAGCTGCTACTTTATCTTCTTTTCCTCTTCCTGTCCTTCCCTTCTTCCCTTCTCATCAAAGTTTTAAAAACACAATAAAAATTTAATATAATACCAGCTATTACACATATTTATATATTTGATATTTTTGTTAAAGTAGTACAATGTATATTGGCAGCTCTTTGTTATGAGTGTATTTCTATTTCTTGATTGTATTTGGGAGCTATCAAATATTACTATGCAATAAGCTTTCCTTTTACTTTTTAAATGGAGATCCACAGACCTGGCATTTTGAGTATAGGCCATATGCCAGAAATGGAAAATTCCAAAGACAGTGGGAAGAGAATAAAGGAACTGAAGGTGAATGAGGATGACAGTTAATAATTTATCAAGATTCGATTTCTACCACCTGGATTTTTACTTTATATTATTATTATTATTATTATTATTATTATTATTATTATTTATTACTATTTTTTGGGACATACTCACATTCTGTCGCCCAGGCTGGAGTGCAGTGGCATGATCTCGGCTCACTGCACCCTCCACCTCCTGGGTTCAAGTGATTCTCCTGCCTTAGCCTCCCAAGTAGCTGGGATTACAGGCACATGCCACCATGCCCAGCTAGTTTTTTTTGTTTTGTTTTTTTGTGTTTTTGGTAGAGATGGGGTCTCACCGTACTTTATATTATTTTAAAATAAGAATATCTTGGTATTTTGGGAACTGATTAAATAGTGAAGAGGAAATAACCAATCATGTAAGGGATTTGGTCATACCTTTTGATTGCTTTGCTCTTGTTTTTATAAATTCAAGAGATACTGTTGAAAAAGAAGCTGACAAAAATGAACATAAAGCATTCCTAGAATAATTGATTTTAAAATACAGATGCTATGAATAGGATCCTTGAAAAGGGATCTCATACAGCTAAGATGGTTGGCACACCACATCAAGATTATAGCTGAGATAGCTGTTATGGTCATGGTAAAGAATAAATATTTCATTTGTTTTTAAAAATTGACAGAAATGAGTATTTTAACATAGGTCTTGCTTGATTTTGAAGAGATAATTTGTATTATGCCCTTAACACCAAATGTTTGCAATTTAGAGGGAGGGAGTTATTCAATATCCAATTAAGGATCTTAGCTCTTTCTACCAAGCTAATTCAGTCTAATGGTTTGCTCAATTTTTCCTTCATAGAGAATTTGGTATCAATTGCTAGTTGTTGTAACAAATTTGAAAAGTGTTTCTAAGCAAGACACAACTATATTTAACCTAATGTTTTGTAAAATTAAACAGCATACTAGGATGCCCCTCTCTTTTTTAAAAAAAATATTCGTTGTTGGACTTTTTAAAATATAGCTTTATTGAGGTATATTTTAATGAAATACAGCCTGCATATATTTAAAGTATACCATTTCATTAGTTTTGACGAATTTACCCTTGAAACCATCATTATAGTTAAGATAATAAACCTATCAATCACTCTTAAACATTTCTTCATGACCATTTATAATGCCCACCTCCCTCACTACCTCTCCTTACCCCAATACTGAGGCAACCATGAATTTGCTTTCTATCGCTATGTATTAGTTTGCATTTTCTATACTTTTATATATAAATGGAATATACTCTTTGGTATATACTCTTTTTTTGGTCTGGTTTCTTTTACTCAGTGTAATTATTTTGAAATTTATGCATGTGTTTTGTGTATCAATAGTTTGTTAGCTTTTATTGTTGGGTAGTATTCTATATTACGGATATACCACAATATGGGATATTTGGGTTGTTTTTAGTTATTACTGATTACAAGAAAAGAAATTATGGTCATTTGGGTACAAGTTTTTCTGTGAACATATTTTCATTTCTATTGAGTAATAATAGTGGAACGTCTGGGTCACGTGATAGGTATACGTTTAACTTTCCAGTAAATTGTCAAGTTTTCCAATATGACTGTATCACCAACAGTGTAGTAGGATTCCGTTTTCTTCACATCCTCTCAACACTTGGTATAGTTGGTCTTTTTTAACTTTAGCCATTCCAGTGGATGTATATCTTATTGTGGTATTAATTTGCATTTTCCTAACCACTTATGACTAACAATTTTGAGCATTTTTTTTACATAATTATCTGTCATTTATATATCTTTTTTTAGTGAGGAGTCTATTTGAATATTTTGCCCATTAAAAAATGGGTTGCTTGTCTATTATTGAGTTGTAATAGTTCTTAATGTGTTCTAAATTTAAGTTCTTTGTCAAACATATATTTTGCATACATTTTTCTTGCAATCTGTAGCTTGCCTTTTCTATTTTCTTGATGATGTATTTTAAGGAGCAGAAGTTTTAACATTTGATAAAGTCAAATTTATCAGGCTTTTTGGGGGAGCATCCTTTTAGTTTTTGATCTTAGTTTGCTAACCCAAGATCACAAAGTTTTTTCTTTCTCAGTCTTTTCCTGTAGAATTTTTACAGTTTTTAGGTTCTAGACTTAAAACTGTAATCTTCTTTAATTTTTGATTATGACATATGGATCAAAGTTAATATTTTTATATGCATAGCTAATTGTTCCAATACCATTTGTTAAAAAAAGATTATCCTTTCTTGGCTTTGCACCTTTGTTGAAAATCAGTGTTTATATATGGTGGATCTATTTCTGCCCTCTTCATTCTGTTCCACTTATTTGTCTATTTTTATGCCAATACCATAGTGTCTTATTTACTGTAAGCTTTATTATAGGTCTTGAATCAGATAGTCAAGTCCTCCAACCTCTGTTTTTTTTTCAAATTTGTTTGGTTATGCAGTCTTTTATATTCCATATAAATATTAGAATCAGCTTACCAATTTTTACAAAAGGGCTGCTGAAATTTTGATTTGGATTGTGTTTCATTCTATAGATCAGTTTGGGGAGAATTGCCATCTTAATACAGATTGACTATTTCTTATCCAAAATGCTTGGGACCAGAAGTGTTGTGGGTTTCAGATTTTCCTGGATTTGTGAATATTTGCATAGACATGAGATATCTTGAGAATGAGACTGAAATCTATACACAGAATTCAGTTATGTTTCGTATACACCTTATACA
This sequence comes from Homo sapiens, assembly GCF_000001405.40. Classification (NCBI taxonomy): domain Eukaryota; kingdom Metazoa; phylum Chordata; class Mammalia; order Primates; family Hominidae; genus Homo; species Homo sapiens. The sequence goes on along the minus strand of NC_000003.12, from coordinate 101,315,535 downwards.
CTTATCTGAAGTAATTTTATACCATATTTTTGATAATTTTGTGCACGAAATAAGTTTTTGTACATTTAACCATCAGAAAGCAAAGGTGTCACTATTTCAGGCACCCACGTGGACAGTCTGTAGTTGTTTGGCATCATCATCGTCCCTGACTCTGAATTTACATTCTACAAAAAAACAATAATTTTCTTACACTTACTTACATATCAGTACTTCACAGTAAAAAATATGCTATACTGTTAGTACAGTGAAGAAGAATGTGTTCAGGGTACTAAACAGAACAGTGGCATCACCAGAATACCTGCCTCAGCTGTTAAACAACAGTAACAACAAACAATGGCAGGCTTCTAGTTTCTTTCTACAATTCTGTGTTTCGATTAAAGGTTATTGTACAACATACTTTATTTATTACTGTTGTTCGTGTGTCTGGTCTGCATGGGTGCCATTTTATGACCCCTTGTAGGTATGCTTGGTGGAGTAATCTGGACATGGGCAGAAAAGATATAACACAGCTGAAGGGAGCTGGGAGAGTCTTTTTTCCCTTGGGTACTCTTGTCTAGTGAGCCTGCATTTTGACTGTCACCCATCAAAAGAGGTCAGGTGTGGAATTTGCTACTTGTGGTATCATGCTGGCACTCAAAAAGTTTCATATTTTGGAGCATTTTGGATTTTTGGATTAGGGATGTTCAACCTATATTGAGTCTTCTGATCTATGAACATGATATATCCCTCCATTTATTTAGGTCATCTTCAGTTTCTTTCAGGAATGTTTTCTGATTTTTATTCATTCATTTATTCATTTGTTAATTTACACATGAAATCTTATTTATACTGATTCTACCAGGTATAGTATTAACCACAATAATTAAAACACTGTAGAGTGTGCAATAGTAAAGGTTTGTACAAAGTGTATATGTGGGAAGGACACAAGTGGGAATGGCCATCCATGCCTGGGGTGATAGAAGTTAGTTAACCTGGATTTCGAAGAATGAGTTGGCATTTTCCAATGAATCAGAGTGGGAAACAGCCCATGGAAGGTTTCAGGACCCAAACGCTGGGTATAGTTTCATTTGTTTAAAACTTACTATACAAGTTTAGAGTCCTAGGGAGTGAAGCCATCCACAGCCCATACTTGACTGATATATATGGTTACCAGATTTAGCATATAAAAATGCAGGACACCCAGTTAAATTTCAATTTCAAATAGACAACAAATAATCTTTTTAGTGTACGTATGTCCCATGCAATATTTGAGCCACAGGGCTATGCAAATCTGAGTCTGAGATACAAGTTTATTGGCTGTTTGTTTTTAGGAATATTATTCAATTTGTTAAAATCTTAGTTTCCTCACCCTTGAAATGGGAATAATAATAATATAAAATATATTTAAAGGTTTTAGTGAATTTGGCTAAGAGTTCTAGGGCCATTGTAGATCCCAAATAAATGACAATGTTATTGATTGAATGGAAGGAACATATAACCAATGTTTAGTGTATGGATCTTGCATATCTTTTATCAGATTTATTTATAAGGATTTCACATTTTTTCATCTATTATTAGTGATATTTTAAAAAATGTAATTTCTGATTATTCCTTGCTAGTATATAGAAATACAACTGATTTTTGTATATTGGCCTTTTATCCTGCAACTTTGCTGAACTCACTTACCAGTTCTAGTAGCTTTTTTGGGTATATTCCTTAGGGCTTTCTACATAGATAATTATTTCATCTACAAATATGGTTATACTACTTAACAATTTCTATGCCTTATATTTCTTTTTCTTGCCTTATTGCACCAAAATGGACTATTCCATATGCTTTGGGCTCCACAATTCTGAAAGGAAAATATATTACACTAAAAAAAGATAATTCCATGCTGGATTTCTGGATTCCTAAGTTTTAGATAAGACACAGCTGGAGATCTAGTAGAAGGATTAAAGACAGGTTAAATGCTGGCATTTTCTTCAGAATATTATAACATTTTTCCCTTCCACCACTAGTTTCCAGGGCAGGTTATTTCTGCTAGAAGAGAGCCCATTTGTACATCTTCTCAAAATAGAAAGCTCTCTTCAGAAGTTACCAAAGGCTATAATATCCTTATTTGACAAGGATGGGAATTCTGAACTGTTTAGTTACAGGCCAAGTAGTGAAGTATGCAGTATTTATCAGTGATGGAATTTTACCTTCCTTAGTACCTCTTTGCCTGGAGGTCATGCTGATTTTGCTCTTCTCTCTTCTGCCTACAGTGTCCTATCTAGGTTTCTCCTTTCTGAGCTGTGCAAATGCTTCAGAACATGTAACCATTCTGAATCCTGTTATTCCAAGTTAGTTAGTTGAACCTTCTTGTCAGATAGCTCCTAATTGAAAAGCCATTGGATTAAGCATGCATTCCCTTTCCAGAGGGAATTGCATTTTTTACAGCTTTTATTGGGATGTAATTCAAGTTTGATACAATTTACCCATTCATACTACAAAATTAAGTGGCTTTTTAGTATATTCACAGATATACCAAATCACCACAGTCAGTTTAAGAACATTTTTATCACCTCAAAAAGAAACATGTGACCCTTTAGCTATCATCCTTTTATCCTTTTATCTCCCTTCCCCCTCTTCCCAGGCCTAAGTAAACGCTAATCTACTTTCTGTCTTTACAGAATTGTGTATTCTGGATATATCATAAAATAAGATCGTATAATATATGGTCTTTTGTGACTGGCTTCTTTCACTTTGCATATTATTTTCAAAGTTCATCCATGTTGTACATGTATCAGTACTTTATTCCTTTTTATGGTCCAATAATATTTTAGTGTATGGATAGATCACATTTGTCAGTCAATGGGCATTTACATTGTTTGCATTTCTCTTAGGTATTTATCTAGGAGTAGAATTTCTGGGTCATATAGTAACTTTATAACTACATGAGGAACTGCCAGACTAATTTCCAAAGTGATTGTACTGTGTTATATCCCACCAGCAGTGTATGGGGGTTCTGATTTAGTCATATCTTTGCCAGCAATGTTTTCCTTTTTTTTAAAAAAAGTATAACCATTCTTATAGGTTTGAAATGATGTCTCATTGTGATTTTGATTTACATTTCCCTAATGATTAATAACGTTCAACTTTTCATATGCTTATTTATCATTTGTATATCTTCCTTTGAAAATGTCTGTTCAGAACTTTGCCCATTTTTAAATTATGTTATTTGTCTTTTTATTATTGAGCTGTAATTTATTTATTCTGGCTATAAATCCCTTATCAGATAAATGATTTGAAAATATTTTATCCCATTCTGTAGGTTGTTTTTCACTTTCTTGATGGTATCTTTCATGCACAAAAGTTTTTTATTTTGATGAAGTCCAATTTATCTATTTTTTTGAGCCTTTGGTGTCATAACTAAGAATCCATTGCTGAACCTGAGGTCATAAAGATTTATTCCTGTATTTCTTTCTAAGAGTTTTATAGTTTTGGTGTGTACGTTTAAGTTTTTCATCTATTTTGAGTTGATTTTTTTTTGTATATGATGTAAGGATCTAAATTTATTAGTTTGCATGTGGCTATCCAGTTCTCCAAGCACCATTTGTCGAAAAGGCTATTCTTTTCCACTGAGTGATATTAGCACTCTTGCTGAAAATCACTTGACCATGACACATGATTTATTTCTGGACTCTCAATTGTATTCCATTGATTTATATGTCTATTCATGTGCCAGTTCTGTAGTCTTTGCTTTTAGTATGTTTTGAAATTAGGCATGAATTCACCATCTTTGTTGTTTTTAAAGATTACTTTGGCTATTCTAGGTCCCTTGCAATTCCACATAAATTTTATAGTAAGGTTGTCAGTTTCTACAAAGAAGTCAGCATGTATTCTGATAACATTGCATTGAATGTGTAAATCAGTTTGGAGATAATGCCATCTCAACAGTGTTAAATGTTCCAGTCTATAAATATGGGACGTTTTTCCATTTATTTAGGTCTTTATTTTTTAAAATAATTTTTTGGTTCTCAGAGTATGTTTTGCATTTTGGGAGACTTAGGTTTATTCCTAAGCATTTTAATCTTTTTGATGCTTTTGCATACATACTTGTTTTCTTATGTTCATTTTTTGATTGTTCATTGCTATCATACAGGCATACAACTGATTTTTGTATATCAGTTTTATATCCTGCAACCCTGCTGAACTTGTTTATTAGTTCAAATAGTTTTAAAGTGGATTCCTTAGGTTAGGCTTTCCTAGATACAAGCTCATGTCATCTGTAGACAGATGTAGTTTTACATCTTTTCCAATTTGGCTGCCTTTTATTTCCTTTTCTTGCCCAATTGCCCTGGTTAGAACCACTGATTTTCACTTTTTTTTTTTTTTACCTAGTTGTAGTAGATTTTCCTAAGCAAATGTTTCTTCATTAGTCATGTGCCCCTAGGACCATTTCCAGAGCTTTAAATGATTGTTTTCAAAATGATTTTTGCCCATTTCTCTTGGGGGTGGATCTGTGTAGCCCCTCACTCTTCATGCTGGAAATGGGACTCTGGCAATTGAATTTGAATAGACTACAAGGTATAAAAGGGTTAAATGTAACTTAAAAGAATGAATTTCTATGGAGTATTTTAGACAAAGCATTGAACTACTGAGAGAGCTTTTTATAGGAGGTGGGGAAACATTGCCCAAAGCATAATTTATAGGAGACAGCTTGTGCTATTCTGTGAAGCTAGGAGTGAGGTCAAGGGGAGGTCTGCTATGAAGCCTGGTGATTTATATCACTTCTGGAAGCTCTCCCATATTCCTTCCAACTACATTTCTTCGGCACACAATAATGTTTTTCTAAGATTTTATGAAAACATTTTAAACAGAAAAGTGAAAGAATGATGTCGTAAACACTCATATTCTCACAGCTTAGTTCTACAGTTAACATTTTATTATGTTTGCTTTATTATGTGTCTATCTCTGTAACCATCTTTTTTTTTTTTTTTTTTTTTTTTTTTTTTGAGACAGGGTCTCACTTTGTCACCCAGGCTGAGGTGCAGTGGTGTGATTACACCTCACTGCGTACTCGATCTCCCTGGGTTCAGATGATCCTCCCACCTCAGCCTCCGGAGTAGCTGGAACTATAGGCACGTGCCACCATGCCCGGCTAATTTCTTTGTAATTTTCGTAGAGACAAGATATCGTTGCCCAGGCTAATCTTGAACTCCTGGGCTCGAGTGATCTGCCTACTTTGGCCTCCCAAAGTGCTGGGATTACAGGTGTGAGCCACCATGCCTAGCTTAACCATCTAATCCTTTAAATGTATTTCATAAGTTGAAGACATCAGTGCAATTCCCTCTAGATATTTCAGTATGAGTATCATTAACTAGAGCTCAATATTTGTTTACTTTCTTAAAGGTGAAATTTACAGAGTGAAATGCATAAATCTTATATGTACTACTTGGTGACTTTTGACTAATACACACTAACCCCAACCTCTCTTAAGTTTTAGGGTATTATCACCCCAGAAAGTTCTCTTATACTCCTTCCCAGATACTTCCCATTCTAGTATGTGACCACTCTTTGAACCATTTTTAAACTCATAGATTATTTTCACTTTCCTAGGACTTTATATAAATAGAATAGTATGTGCTCTTTTGTGTAATGCTTCTTTCACTCAGCCCATTGAGATTCATCCATGTTGTTGCATGAATTAGTAATTTCCTTTTGATTCCATTATATGGCCATTTGTTTATTTTTCTATTGATGGATACTTGGGTTGTTTTCATTTTTAAGTTATTATGAATAAAGTTGCTCTGGCATTGAACATAAATCTTTCTGTGGATATATGCTTACAGGAATACCTAGGAGGAAATTGCTGGGTCATAGGTGATATGGTTTGGCTGTGTCCCCACCCAAAATTTCATCCTGAGTTATAATCCCCATATGTCGGGTGTGGGACCTCATGGGGGGAGATTAGATCATGGGGGGTGGTTCCCCCATGCTGTTCTTATGATAGTGAGCAAGTTCTCATGAGATCTGTGGCTTAATAAGGGGCTTTCCCACGTTTAAGTGGAATTTTGTGGAATTTTGAACTTGAGAGAGAGCACTTCTCTATCCCGATGCCATGTGAAGAAGGATGTGTTTGCTCCCCCTTCCACCATGATTGTAAGTTTCCTGAGGCCTCCCCAGCCATGCAGAACTGTGAATAATTTAAATCTCTTTCCTTTATAAACTCTTCAGTCTTGGATATTTCTCCACAGCAGCATGAGAATGGACTAATACAGCAAATTGGTACCAAGGAGTAGGGCATTGCTGTAAAGATACCCAAAAATGTGGAAGCAACTTTGGAACTGGGTAACAGGCAGAGGTTGGAAAGGTTTGGAGGGCCCCGAAGAAGACAGGAAGATGTGGGAAAGTTCAGAACTTCCTAGATACTTGTTGAATGTTTTTGACCAAAATGCTGATAGTGATATGGACAATGAAGTCCAGGCTGAGGAGGTCTCACATGGAGATGAGGATCTTGTGGGAACTGGAATAAAGGTGACTCACTATGTCTTAGCAAACAGACTGGTGGCATTTTGTCCCTGCCCTAGAGATCTGTGGAATTTTGAACTTGAGAGAGATGATTTAGGGTATCTGATGGAAGAAATTTCTAAGCTGCAAAGCATTCAAGAGGTGACTTGGGTGCTGTTAAAAGTGTTCAGATTTATATATTCACAAGGATATGGTTTGGAATTGAAAGTTATGTTTAAAAGGGAAGCACAGCATAAAAGTTTAGAAAATTTGCAGCCTGACAATGTGATAGAAAAGAAAACCCATTTTCTGAGAAGAAATTCAAGCTGGTTGCAGAAATTTGCATAAGTAGTAATAAGCCAAATGTTAATCACCAAGACAATGGGGAAAATGTCTTCAGGGCATGTCAGAGGTCTTCACAGCAGCCCCTCTCATAACAGGCCCAGAGGCCTAGAAAGAAAAAATGGCCAGGCCCAGGGCCTTGCTGCTTTATGCAGTTTCTGGAGTTGGTGCCCTGTGTGCCAGCCATGGCTAAAAGGGGCCAACATAATGCTCAAGCTGTTGCTTCAGAGGGTGCAAGCCCCAGGCCTTGGCAGCTTACATGTGGTGTTGGGCCTGCAGGTGCACAGAAGTCAAGAATTGAGGTATGAGAACCTTCACCTAAATTTCAGAGGATGTAGTGAAATGTCTGGATGTCCAGGCAGAAGTTTTTTGCAGGGGTGGAGCCCTCATGGGGAACATCTGCTAGGGCAGTGTGGAAGGGAAATGTGGGGTTGGGGCCCCACACAGAGTCCCCACTGGGGCACTGACTAGTGGAGCTATGAGAAGAGGGTCACTGTCCTCCAGACCCCAGAATGGTGGATCAACCAACAACTTGCACCATGCACCTGAAAAAGCCAGAGACACTCAATGCCACACTGTGAAGGCAGCTGGGAGGCGGGCTGTACCCTGCAAAGCCACAGCAGTGGAGCTGCCCAAGACTGTGGGAGTCCACCTCTTACATCAGTGTGACATGGATGTGAGACATGGAGTCAGAAGAGATCATTTTGGAGCTTTAAGATTTCACTTAATTTTGGCCAATTTTGGCCAATTTCTCCCATTTGCAACAGGTGTATTTACCCAAAGTCTGTACCTCCGTTGTATCTAGGAAGGAACTAACTTGCTTTTGATTTTACAGGCTCATAGGTGGAAGGGACTTGCCTTGTCTCAGATGAGACTTTGGACTTGGACTTTTGGTTAATGCTGGAATGAGTTAAGACTTTGGGAGACTGTTGGAAAGGCATGGTTGTGTTTTGAAATGTGAGGACATGAGATTTGGGAGGGGCCGGGGCAGAATGATACAGTTTGCCTGTATCCCCACCCAAAATCTCATCTTGAATTTTAATCCGAATTGTAATCCTTATGTGTTGGAGGCAGGACCCTGTGGGAGATGATTAGATTATGGGAGTTGTTCCCCCATGCTGTTTTCATGATAATGAGCAAGTTCTCACATGATCTGATAGCTTTTTAAGGGGCTTTCCCCCACTTCACTCAACATTTCTTTCTCCTGTTGCCATGTGAAGAAGGATGTGTTTGCTTCCCTTCCACCATGATTGTAAGTTTCCTGAGGCCTCCCCACCCATGTGGAACTGTGAGTCAGTTAAATCTCTTTCCTTTATAAAGTACCCAGTCTTGGGCATTTCTTCATAGCAGCATGAGAATGGACTAATACAATAGGATTGGTGTATATTTTGTTATATAAGAAACAATTAACATTTATTTCAAAGTGGTTATACTATTATACATTCCTACCAAAAATGAGGCTTTTGGTTGCTCTGCATTTTTGCCAAATTTTGGTGTTGTCCATGTAAAAATTTCAGTCATTCTTGGTTTGTGTGTGGATACTTTAATTTGAATTTCTCTGAAAAATGAATGATGGTGAACAGTTTTTCACATACTCATTGGCTATTTTTATCTCTTCCTTTGTGAAGTATATATTCCAGCCTTTTACCTATTGTAAAAATTAGGTTGTTTGTTTTTTTGTTAGGGAGTTGTAGGAATTATTTCAGTGCCCTAAATACCAGTTCTTTGGCAGATATATGTATTTGGAATATTTTCTGCCAGATATGTGGTTTGCCTACTCATTTTTATTAACAGTATCTTTTGATAATCAGACACTTTTTAGTTTTGATGAATTCTAATTTATTGTTTTTTTCTTTCATAATTGTTGCTTTCTGTGTACTGCCTATAAAATCTTTGTCTATCCTCAAGTGATGTAGATATTCTTCTATGTTTTATTTTAGAAACTTCATAGTATTAGCCCTAATATTTCAAATCATTTTTTGTGTATAGTATGAAGAAGGCATTGAGATTTATTTTTTCTTTCCCTATGGGTAGATAGTTATTTTTTTCAAACATTGTTTTATACTTTCTCTGAATCACTTCATTTCATTACCAGACATTATAGACATTCACTTTTTGTTAGTTTTTACTGACCCAGACTTTTCACCTTTGCATTGTCTTTTGGAATTTACTTTAATTTTCATTTCGAAGTTTTAAGAAGAAGAAATGAAAAACAATGATCTACAAATAGTTCAGCTCTGCCTCAGTCAGTGCCCGCTGTATGCTGTATGGTCAGAAGTTCTTAATAACAATAATAAGGATACAGGTAGTTCACTAAAAGACAAATTAAGTTTGTAATGAAAGGTTTGGTTTAGCCCTAAAACCCAATTGATAGAGAAACTTTCAATACTCATACATTTCATAATCTGTTAAAGCTTAAGAATTTTTTTGGCTTAGACTATCTTCTTCTACCAAATAACTATTGGACAATTAGAATTGAACACGATAATAACATATGATATTCATGTAGCACTTTGCAATTTGTAAAATACTTTCACAGATAAGATAATAAGGCAGTAATTATTTATCCTGTTAAAAAGAGAGATGAGTCAATTGAAGCTTTGAATAGTTAGGTAAGTTACCCATGGTATCAAACTAGTATACTGGAAAGCTAGAGCGGGAACTTAGATCTTCTGACTGTGGGAGTCCAGAGGCTCCACCTCAATGTGGATCCTGCCTGATGTGTGTTCAATCTTCTTGCTATGAAAAATAGTTTTTTTAATCTCTGTTAAATCTAACTTTCTCTCTTACCACTCTCTTCCTTTTCCCTTCCATCCTGATGTATCTGTTACCTACAGTGTCCTGCGCCTCTGAAATGGTTACAGAACAGCAGTACATTCAGTACTATACAAAAAGCACAGAGATACTATTTAGCAGCCTTTCAGATTTGATGCTTTGGAATAACTTAGCAAATAAATTGATTAGTTTTTATTATAATACAGCAATATATTTCTCCTGAATATCATTTTAAAGTTCATGTGTATGTATGTATGTGTGTATATATATTTTTTTTTCTTAAATTAATAGGCTATATTTCTTAGAGCAGTTTTAGGTTTACAGAAAAATTGAGCAGTGTGTTTAGAGAGTTACCATGTATTCCCTCAACTCCCCCACCACTTTTCCCTGTTATTAACATTTTATAATATTGTGGCATATGTGTTACAATTTATGTGCCAATATTGACACATTATTCTTAACTGAAGTTCATAGTTAACATTAGGGTTCACTTTTTGTGTTGTACATTCTATGGGTTTTGACAAATGTATAACGACATGTATCCTCCATTATAGTATCATATGGAGTACTCTCACTGCCCTAAAAATCTGCTATGCTCCTCCTATTCATCCCTGTCTCCCTCAACCCCTGGAAACCACTGATCTTTTTACTGTCTCCATAGTTTTGCCTTTTCCAGAATGATATTGGAATCACCAGTATGCAGTCATTTCAGATTGGCTTCCTCTACTTAGCAATGTGCATTAAAGTTTTCTCCATGTCTTTTATGGCTTGAAAGTTCATTTCTGTTTATCATTGAATAATATTTTAGATATATCACAGTTTGTTCATCCTTTCACCTATTGAAGGACATCTTCATCACCCCCAAGTTTTGGCAATTATGAATAAAGCGACTTTAAATACCCGTATGCAGGTTTTTGTGTGAACATAAATTTTTATGTATAAAAAAGATTATTATTTTCTGTTCTCAGATATGAAATATAGTAGTTTGAGAGTGATAATTTCAGGTGGATATCTTCTACTTGATTTTATGTAGTACTTTCTGCTTCCTGTAAGCTTTGAGGAAAAGTTTGAATACTCCTGTTTTTTTTTTTTATCAGAAATATGTGATGACTTTTTGAGCAAGTAGATGCAATGCAGTTATGTCACTGCATTTAGCCAAAAAGCTCCAGGCCATTTATAAACGTCAGTGTCTCCTTCCCCAGTGATCATGAAAAGCAAAGAAGCTGATTTTTGAAGTTATGATTTCAGGAGAACATCTGCAAACATTAAGGAAACTGAAAATCACAGTGTCCATTAGGAAAACATTGGATTAAATACAGTATACTCAATATCAGCTCCACTTTTGTGAAGTATAAACATGGACTTTTTTAAGAGATGGGAGAGACACTCCAGCTCATGAAGAGATGAATCAATTCTCTTTGTAAGAGAAAGGAATGGGAAATATAAATTCTCTTCAGAAATGAAAAGTTTAAACTGGACATACATACAGAAGGCCTTTGACTGAGAATCATTCCTACATCCCTCCAGAAAGGACACTTCAGTGTCTCAAGGAATCTGTACGAATCAGTCTATGATCATTGTAAGAACCCCAGAGCATGTTAGCTTTTTGTAAAAAAACACCTCTCTATTTTCTAGTGTGTCAGGAAGCTGTCTGGGAAGCCTTCAGGACTTTTTGGGATCGACTTCCTGGGCGTGAGGAATATCATTACTGGATGAATTTGTGTGAGGATGGAGTCACAAGTATATTTGAAATGGGCACAAATTTTAGTGAATCTGTGGAACATAGAAGCTTAATCATGAAGGTAAGTGTCACAACAAAGGAAGGGATTCCTGGACTATTGTAGGAGCATTTACACAGCTAAGGCCTAAAGGAAGCAAAAGCAAGTGGCAAATGCCTGTATTACTCTTTTGTTGAATTGGGCTATCTGAGTAAGCTGCCCTAGGGTGTGGCCTAGTCTTTTATTCCTAGCTCTGGCCTCTATAATATACATTATTAATATTTTCATGTTATTCTGTCCACAAAAAGAAAAAGAAGACATTATTAACTCAGACAAGAGCCTCAGCCTTGTTTATAGATGTAAATATTTGGAAATAATATTCAGCAAAGGTTTAGGTTAAGAATATAAATCCGTGAGAGTCAAACATTTTTGCCAAAGTTTTACATGTTATCAACTCAGAGTGAATAGCAATAACTCTAATTAAGATAGAGGACATAGTTCATTTGAATAAATGTTTAGTGAGGCATAGGTATGATTCTAATAATGAGTGTGCTCACTTGTTTTCCTTGTTTTAGACATTGTTTTACTCTTAGCAAAGGATAAATAAACATGCATAAAGACAAATTACCTGCCACTTTTCCCTTTTCGTGTAGCACATATGTATTCATGACAAGAAAGTGAAACTGTCCAGACGTACGTGGCAAATTGTTCATGCTGTTTGTTATTCCGTATATCTCCCTGTCCATCTATTCAGTTCCTCTGTGTCCTCATATGTAACTTCCCTTGCAAGGAACCAAACCTCAGCCTAGAAGATTTAGCTACCATTATTCTTCGAGCTCCCACAATTCTTTATTCATTTTTAATACTGTACTGTTTATATTTTATGATGATTGCTTGTATATGTGACTAATTCCTCTTCTAGACTATGAGTCAAAAGGCAAGGATTATGTCATTGTTTGTTCATTTTTGCATTCCCATAAGGTAGTAAATATGCAATAGATGTTTGTTTAAATGAGTATATGAGCAATAACCACATTGTATTTTTTTACTTGGTACAATTTATAAACTTTATGAAGATTATTTTAAGTACTGGTTCTAAGTATTACATACCTTACAGAGACTGAGGAAATAATTATTGACTGAATAACACTGAGCTATTTTGTGTATAATCAAATCAGATTAGTATATCGTAAAGGTAATAAAATATATTATCCTATTCTATTTTTAAATTTTATTTATAGTAGAAGAATTATATTCTTTTAACATTTAGTCCAAGAGAGGAATGATCTTATTAAATGGGGGACGTTGGGGAGAGAAGGATGGTTTGATAAACGTGGGTGGACCAAAGACAAATTTTGCGAGGGTATAAATGTTTTGAAGCTGTGCAGGGTTTTGTGTGTTTTAAAATGAACGCAACTTTTAATCATGGCACCTCACATTTTAATGAAACGTATTGCATGTGTTTTTTGCCTGCCACATTTTTAACTGCTCAGTATTAATAACTATGTTGATAGCTACTATTTATTCAGTATCTACCATGTACCATGTCATGTATCAAGCTCATCAATAAATTATTAGATGTTATAACAGCAACCTTATAAGGAGGTGGTAATGTCCCCATTTTACAGATATGGACATATAATTATTAAATTCTTTATTCTATAACATAAAACCAGATATGATGGAGCTTAAATCCAAACCCAGTTCTCTTTTCCAAAATTGATGTCTTTTCCCTTCACACCATTGGGCCTCCTTTCTCAATCATTACCAATTTTACAAATTGCAGTGGCTAACATGGGATAGCTATTTAATGGAAAATATATAGACATACACACACATATACATACTTATATTTCTAATTGCATTGCCTATCTTAATTATGTCCGCAATATAGGATCAGCCATTAGTGTGGCAAATATATATGATGGGTTAGTATTACCAGAAGAACAGAATCTTCTGATGTTACCTTGGAATGTATCTCTTACAAGTGGAACTTTTAGTAAATTTATATTTGAAGGCATAGAAAATATACTTCCAATAATTATTTAATAGAAAAAGCAGATGAAGGGAATGATGTGTTGCCTAGATAGAGTTGTAAATGATAAGTACAAGTTACTTAAATGAAGAAGAGCTGGGGATAAACATTCTAGGCAGAAAGGACAGCACGAGCCAAGTGTTTGTAGGGAATGACCTCGGTCAATATACCAAAGAGGTAGACTAGGAATGACAGGAGATCAGACTAAAACAATGGATAACTGAACAAGCTTGGATTTAACTCTGTAGATCGCAGGAAACCATTGAAGGGTTGTAGGTAGGTAAGTTGCAGGAGCTGATTTGGCAGTTTTGAATTTTAAAAAGGTCGTTACGGTTTCTACATAGCATAGGATGGATTATAGGAGATAAAACTGGAACAGAGAGACAAGGTAGGGTGTTGCATCAGTACTCCAGGCCAAAGAGGATAAAGATACCAACCAGACCATGAGATAGACAAAGGAAACTTGAGAGATGTAAATAGGAACAAAATTAGTAGGACACTGATGGGTCGAGACAGGGTGAAGGAATGGCCCAAGAAGCCTTCCAGTTTCTGGCTTGGGTAACTAAGACCAATAACGAGGGCAAAGAAGCAGCTTTGTAGATGTGGCAGGGAGAATGAGTTCACTTTTGATGTATTCATTTGAACCACCTGTGTGAAATGTGAATTGTTTGCTATTTGGGTATGAAGCCAAGGATAGGGGTCTGGGATGCCAATGTTGCTATAGGAATCACCATTTTGGACTTAGTGCGGGCATACTTTATTTTATTGTGCTGCCCTTTATTGTGCTTCACAGATACTGCATTTTTTACAAATCAAAGGTTTATGACAACCCTGTGTCAAGCAAGTCTGTTAGTACCATTCTTCCAACAGCATGTGCTCACTTTGTGTCTCTGTCTCACATTTTGGTAATTCTCAAAATATTCGAAATTTTAAAAAATTATTTTCTTTATCTCTTATGTGATCTGTGATCAGTGATCTTTGATTATTACAATTACAATAACTATTGTAATTGTTGTGGAGTGCCATGAACAATATCCATGTAAGACAACAAGCTTAATTGATAAATGTTGTTTGTGTTTCAACAACTCCACCGACTGACTTTTCCTTGGTCTCTCAGGCCTCAAGCCGTCTCCTCAGGCCTCCCTATTCCCTGAGTTACAGCAATATTGAGATTAGGCCAGTTAATAACCCGACAATGGCTTCTAAGTGTTCAAGTGAAAAGAAGAATAGCATGTCTCTCACTTTAAATCAAAAGTTAGAAATGATTAAGTATAGTGAGGAAAGTATGTCAAAAACTGAGATAGGCCTTAAGCTAGGTCTCTTGCACCAAATAGTTAGCTAAGTTGTGAACGCAAAGGAAAAGTTCTTGAAAGAAATTAAAAGTGGGGGGCGGGGCCAAGATGGCCAACTAGAAGCAGTGGCAATCTGTGGCTCCATCTAAAAGAACCATAACAGCATGTGAATCCTGCACTGGCAGCCAAGGTATCCAGGTTTTGTCATCAGAACTGACTAGGCAACTGGCGTGACCCACGGAGAGGAAGGAAGAGCAGTGTGGTGCCGCAGCCCCCAGCCAAGGGAGGCAGTGAGTGAGCCTGCTACCCAGCCTGGGAAAACGTGCTTTTTCCACGGAACTGTGCAACCCACAGATCAGAAGATCTCACTTGGGAGCCCATACCTCCGGGGCCTAGGGTCCCAACCACAGAACCAAGCAGATTTTCAACAGCCACTAAGCTAGAATCTGCTTAAGCCTGCGGAGCTCCCCGCGGGAGGGGCAACCAGCACCACCGCTGTGGCTGCCTGCTGTCTAAGCCCTTTGAACTCCTTTGCAGGAGGGGCTACAGCCAACACTGGGACTGATAGCTGCCTAACACACTAAGCTCCCAGGGTGGGGGAAGGGTGGCAGCCATCTCTATAGCTCCAGGCCATGTCTTTCCCCTGCTGGAGCCAGGGAGGCTGGACGGCTTGCTCCCAAGAGGTATACCCCACAGTCCAACACACTAGCTGTGGCAGACTGCGGACAGAGCGCCTCTTCAGGCCGGACCTTGACATGTCCCTGCTCACTGGGTGGGGCCTCCTTGCAGGAACTCCAACAACTCCATCCAGGGACTTAGGGACAGACTCTAATCTTCCTGGGCTTGAGCCTCTAGAGGGAGGGGTGGCCACAGTCTCTGCGGACGGGTAGATTTAGTCTTCCCTCCTGGTAGTGCTGAGGAATCTAGGCAACCCAGATGAGTGGGTTTCCCCACAGTGAAGCACACCCCCTCCACCAAGGGGCAAAGTGCTTTGTTAAGTGTGTCCTGTTCCCTGTGTCACCCAACTGGGTGAGACCCTCCAACAGGGGTTGTCAGACACCCTATACAGTAGCATTTCTACTGGCATCAGGTTGGTGCCCCTTGAGGTCAGAGATCACAGAGGAAGGAGCAGGCACCCATCTTTGCTGTTCTCCAGCCTCCTCGAGTGACATCTCCAGGCATGGGAATGAACCAGATGAGTAGGGCCTGAACAGTGAACCCCTAGCAAACTGCAGCAGCCCTACAGAAGAGGGACCTGACCATTGCAAGAAAAACAAACAAACAGAAAACAACAACAACAGCATCAACAACAAAAAAATTCCCTACAAAAACTCAATCCAAGGGTCAGCATCCTCAAGGATTGATACTAGACAAACTTAGAAAGATGAGAAAGAATCAACAAAAAAAGGTTGAAAACCCAAAAGGCCAGAGTGCCTCTTCTCCTCCAAATGATTGCAGTGCCTCTCTAGCAAGGGTGAAGAACTGGATGGAGGATAAGATGGATGAATTGACAGAAGTAGGCTTCAGAAGGTGGGTAATAACAAACACAGCTGAGCTAAAGGAGCATTTTCTAACCCAATACAAACAAGCTAAGAACCTTGATAAAAGGTTACAGGAGCTGCTAACTAGAATAACAAGTTGAGAGAGGAATGTAAATGACCTGATGGAGCTCAAAAACACAGCATGAGAACTTCATGAAAAATACACAAGAATCAGTAGCTGAATCGACCAAGTGGATATTAGAGTTTGAAGACTATTTTGCTGAAATAAGGCATGCAGGCAAGATTAGAAAAAAAGAATGAAAAGGAACAAATGGAACCTCTGAGAAATATGGGACTATGTAAAAAAAACCAAACCTATGATGAGTGGAGTACCTGAAAAAGACAAGGAGAAAGGAACCAAGTTGTAAAACATACTTCAGGATATTATCCAGGAGAACTTCCCCAACCTAGCAAGACAGGCCAACATGCAAATTCAGGAAATACAGAGAACACTCTAAGATACTGCATGAGAAGATCAACCCCAAGACACATAATCATCAGATTCTCTAAGGTTGAAATGAAGAAAAAAACGTTAGAGGCAGCCAGAGACAAAGGCAGGGTTGCCAACAGAGGGGAGGAACATCAGAATAACAGTGGACTTCTCAGCAGAAACCCTACAAGCCAGAAGAGAGTGGGGGCCAATATTCAACATTCTTAAATAAAAGAATTTTCAACCCAGAATTTCATGTTCAGCCAGACTAAGCTTCATAAGTGAAGGAGAAATAAAATCCTTTCCAGACAAGCAAATACTGAGAGATTTCATCACCATCAGGCCTGCCTTGCAAGAGCTCCTGAAGGAAGCACTGAATATGGAAAGGAAAAACTGGTACCAGCCACTGCAGAAACACACCAAAATATAAAGACCAATGACACTATGAAGAAACTGCATCAACTAGTGTGCAAAAATAACCAACTAGCATCATGATGACATAATCAAATTCACACATAACAATATTAACCTTTAGTGTAAATGGGCTAAATGCCCTAATTAAAAGACACAGACAGGCAAATTGGATAAAGAGTCAAGACTCACTGGTGTCCTGTATTCAGGAGACCCATCTGACATGCAAAGACACACATAGGCTCAAAATAAAGGGATGGAAAATTTACCAAGCAAATGGAAAGAAAAAAAAAAGCAGGGGTTGCAATCCTAGTCTCTGACAAAACAGACTTTAAACCAACAAAGATAAAAAAAGACAAAGAAGGGCATTACATAATAGTAAAGGGACCAATTCAAAAAGAAGAGCTAACTATCCTAAATATATATGCACCCAATATAGAAGCACTCAGATTCATAAAACAAGTTCTTGGATGCCTACAAAGAGACTTAGATTCCCACACAATAATAGTGAGAGACTTTAACACTCCACTGTCATATTAGACAGATCAACAAGACAGAAAATTAACAAGGATATTCAGAACTTGAACTCAGCTCAGGATCAAGTGGACCTAATAGTTATCTACAGAACTCTCTACCCCAAATCAACAGAATACACATTCTTCTTAGTGCCACATGGCACTTGTTCTAAAATTGATCACGTAACTGGAAGTAAAACACTCCTCAACAAATGTGAAAGAACTGAAATCATAACAAATAGTCTCACAGACCACAGTGTAATCCTATTAGAACTGAGGCTTAAGAAACTCACTCAAAACCACATGGTTACATGGAAATTGAACAACCTGCTCCTGAATGACTCCTGGGTAAATAATGAAATTAAGGCAGAAATCAAGAAGTTATTTGAAACCAATGAGAACAAAGATACAACATACCAGAATCTCTGGGACACAGCTAAAGCAGTGTTAAGAGGGAAATTTATAGCACTAAATGCCCACAAGAGAAAGCAGGAAAGATCTAAAATTGACATGCTAACATCGCAATTAAAGAGCCAGAGAGGCAAGTGGAAGCTAATCAAAAGCTAGCAGAACACAAGAAACAACTAAGATCAGAGCAGAATTCAAGGAGACAGAGACACAAAAAATCCTCCAAAAAAAAAAATCAATTAATCCAGGAGCTGGTTTTCTGAAAAAATTTACAAAATAGATTGACTGCTAGCTATCCTAATAAAGAAGAAAAGAGAGAAGACTCAAATAGACACAATAAATAATGATAAAGGGGACATCACCACTGATCCCACAGAATTAAAAACTGCCGGCCGGGCGTGGTGGCTCACGCCTGTAATCCCAGCACTTTGGGAGGCTGAGGTGGGCGGATCATGAGGTCAGGAGATCGAGACCATCCCGGCTAACATGGTGAAACCCTGTCTCTACTAAAATACAAAAAATTAGCCAGGCGTGGTGGCTGGCGCCTGGCGCCTGTAGTCCCAGCTACTCGGGAGGCTGAGGCAGGAGAGTGGCGTGAACCTGGGAGGCAGAGCTTGCAGTGAGCCGAGATCACGCCACTGCACTCCAGCCTGGGCCACAGAGTGAGACTCTGTCTCAACAACAACAACAACAACAAAAACTGCCGTCAGAGAATACTGTAAACACCTCTATGCAAATAAACTAGAAAATCTAGAAGACACGGATAAATTCCTGGACACATACACCCTCCCAAGACTAAATCAGGAAGAAGTCCTGAATGGATTCAGAATCCCTGAATAGACCAATAACAGGTTCTGAAATTGAGGCAGTAATTAATAGTCTACCAACCAAAAAAAAAATCCTGGGACCAGATGGATTCACAGCCGAATTCTACCAGAGATACAAAGAGGAGCTGGTACCATTCCTTCTGAAACTATTGCAAACAATTGAAAAGGAAGGACTCCTCCCTAACCCATTATATGAGGCCAGCATCATCCTACTACCAAAACCTGGAAGAGACGCAACAAAAAAAGAAAACTTTAGGCCAATATCCCTGATGAACATTGATGCAAAAATCCTCAATAAAATACTGGCAAACCCAATCCAGCAGTACATCAAAAAGCTTATCTAGCACGATCAAACTGGCTTCATCCCTGGGATTCAAGGCTGCTTTAACATAGGCAAATCAATAAACGTAATCCATCACATAAACAGAACCAATGACAAAAACCACATGATCATCTCAATAGATGCAGAAAAGGCCTTCGACAAAATTCAACGGCCCTTCCTGCTAAAAACTCTCAACAAACTAGGTATTGATGGACTATATCTCAAAATAATAAGAGCTATTTATGACAAAAACCCACACCCAATATCATACTGAATGGGCAAAAGCTGGAAACATTCCCTTTGAAAACCGGCACAAGACAAGGATGCCTTCTTTCACTCTTCCTATTCAACATAGTATTGGAATTTCTGGCCAGGGCAATCAGGCAAGAGAAAGAAATAAATGGTATTCAAGTAGGAAGAGAGGAAGTCAAATTGACTCTGATTGCAGACAACATGGTTCTATGTTTAGAAAACCCCATTGTCTCAGCCCCAGAACTCCTTAAGCTGATAAGCAACTTCAGCAGTCTCAGGATACAAAATCAATGTGCAAAATACACAAGCATTCCTATACACCAATTATAGACAAGTGGAGAGCCAAATCATGAATGAACTCCCATTCACAATTGCTACAAAAAGAATAAAATACCTAGGAATACAGCTAACAAGGTATGTGAAGAACCTCTTCAAGGAGAACTACAAACCACTCACTGTTCAAGGAAATAAGAGAGGACACAAACAAATGAAAAAACATTCCATCCTCATGAATAGGAAGAAACAATATCATGAAAATGGCCATACTGCCCACAGTAATTTATAGACTCAATGCTCTTCCCATCAAACTACCATTGACATTCTTCACAGAATTAGAAAAAACTACTTAAAAAGGGCCCGTATAGCTAAGACAATCTTAAGCAAAAACAACAAAGCTGGAAGCATCATGCTACCTGACTTCAAACTAGACTACAAGGCTACAGTAACCAAAACAGCACGGTACTGGTGCCAAAACAGACATATAGACCAATGGAACAGAACAGAGACCTCAGAGATAACACCACACATCTACAACCATCTGATCTTTGACAAACCTGACAAAAACAAGCTGGGGAAAGAATTCCCTATTTAATAAATGGTGCTAGGCAAACTGGTTAGCCATATGCAGAAAACTGAAATTGGACCCCTTCCTTACACCTTATACAAAAATTAACTCAAGATAGATTAAAGACTTAAATGTAAAACCCAAAATCATAAAAACCCTAGAAGAAAACCTAGGCAATACCATTCAGGACGTAGGCATGGGCAAAGACTTCATGACGAAAATGCTAAAAGCAATAGCAGCAAAAGCCAAAATTGACAAATGAGATCTAATTAAACTAAAAAACTTCCACACAGCAAAAGAAACTCTCATTAGAGTGTACAGGCAACCTACAGAATGGGAGAAAATTTTGCAATCTACCCATCTGACAAAGGTCTAATATCTAGAATCTACAAGGAACTTAAATTTACAAGAAAAAAACCCCATCAAAAAGTGGGCATAGGATATAACAGCATTTCTGAAAAGAAGACATTTATGCAGCCAACAAACATATGAAAAAAAGCTCATCAATACTGGTCATTTGAGAAAAGCAAATCAAAACCAAAATGACATACCATCTCACACCAGTCAGAATGGCAATTATTAAGAAGTCGAGAAACAATTGATTCTGGCGAGGCTGTTGAGAAATAGGAATGCTTTTACACTGCTGGTGGGAATGAAAATTAGTTCAAGTATTGTGGAACACAGTGTGGTGATTCCTCAAGGGTCTAGAACCAGAAAAACCATTTGACCCAGCAATCCCATTATTGGGTATATACCCAAATGAATATAAATCATTCTGCTATAAAGACACATGCACATGTATGTTTATTGCACCACTATTTACAATAGCAAAGACATGGAACCAATCCAAATGCCCATCAATGAGAGACTGGATAAAGAAAACGTGGTGCGTATACACCATGGAATACTATGCAGCCATAAAAAGGAATGAGAGCATGTCCTTTGCAGAGACATGGATGAAGCTGGAAGCCATCATCCTCAGCATACTAACCCAGGAACAGAAAACCAAACACTGCATGTTCTCATTGATAAGTGGGAGTTGAACAGTGAGAACACATGGAAAAAGGAAGGGGAACAACATAAACCAGGGCTAGTCGGGGGGTGGGGGCCAAGGGGAGGGAGAGCATTAGGACAAACAGCTAATGCATGCGGGGCTTGAAACCTAGATGATGGGTTGATAGGTGCAGCAAACCACCATGGCACATGTATACCTACGTAACAAACCTACACATTCTACACTTGTATCCCAGAACTTAAAGTAAAAGTAAATAAATAAATAAATAAAAATAAATTTAAAGTGCTATTCCAGTGAGCATATTAGTGATAAGTAAGCAAAACAGCCTTCTTGCTGATATGGAGAAAGTTTTAGTGGTCGGAGTGGAAGATCAAACCAGCCATAACATTCCCTTAACCAAAGCCAGATCCAGAGCAAGGCTTCACTCTTTTCAATTCTATGAAGGCTGAGAGAGGCGAGGAAGCTTCAGAAGAATAGTTGGAAGATAGCAGAGGTTGGTTTATGTAGTTAAGAATAGAAGCTATCTTTATAACATAAGCAAGTGCTGATGCAGAAGCTGTAGCAAGTTGTCTAGAAGATCTAGCTAAGATAATTTATGAAGGTGGCTACATGGAACAACAGACTTTTAATGTGGATGAAGCAGCCTTCTATTGGACAAAGATGCCATCTAGAACTTCAATAGCTAGAGAGAAGTCAATACCTGGCTTCAATGAAGGACAGACTGAATTTCTTGTTATGGGATAATGCAGCTAGTGACTTAAATTAGAAGGCAATACTTATTTACCATGCCAAAAATCCTAGGGCCCTTAAGAAATTTGCTAAATCTACTCTACTTATGCTCTATAAATGGAACAAAAAAGTCTGATGGCACCACATCTGTTTACAGTATGGTTTACTGAATCTTTTAAGCCCACCTTTGAAACCTACTGCTCAGAAAATTTTTTTTTTCCAAGTATCACTGCTTATGGGCAATGCTCATAGCCACCCAAGAGCTCTGATGGGGATGTACAAGGAGATTAATGTTGTTTTCATGCCTGCCAATACAATATTTATTCTGCAGCCCATGGAGTAAGGAGTAATTTCAACTTTTCAGTGTTGTGATTTTAGAAATACTTTTCATACAGCTGCCGTAGATAGTGATTTCTTTGATGGATCTAGGCAAAGTGAACTGAAAATCTTCAGGAAAGGATTTACCATCTAGATGGCACTGACAACATTCATGACTCAATAGGTGAGATCAAAATACCAACATTAATAGGGATTTGGAAGACGTTGATTCCGACTCTCATGGATGACTTCGAGGGGTTCAAGACTTCAGTAGAGGAAGTAACTGCAGATGTGGTGGAAATAGCAAGAGAACTAGACGTAGAAGTACAGCCTGAAGATGAGGCTAAATTGCTACAATTTCATAATAATACTTGAATGAATGAGAAATTTCTTCTTATGAATGAGCAAAGAAAGTTGTTCCTTCAGATGGAATCTACTTCTGGTAAAGATGCTGTGAACAGTATTGAAATGACAATAAAGGATTTAGACTATTAGATAAACTCAGTTGATAAAGAAGTGACAGGATTTGAGAAGATTGACTCCAATTTTAAGAGGACTTTTAGATAAAATGTTATCAACTGCATTACATATCACAGGGAACTCTTTCGTGAAAGAAAAAATCAATTGATGGGGCCAAATTCATTGTTGTCTTATTTTTATGAAATTGCCACAGTTACCTCAATCATCAGCAGCCATCATTCTGATTAGTCAGCAGCCATCAACTTGGAGGCAAGACCCTCCAGAAGCAGAAAGATGATGACTTGCTGAAAGCTCAGAGGATTGTTTGCATTTTTTAGCAATAAAGTATTTTAAAATTAAGGTATATACCTTTTTTAGATGTAATGTTATTGCACTTTTAATAGACTACAGTATAATGTAAGCATAACTTTTATATACACTAGGAAACCAAAAAATATGTGACTTGCTTTATTGGGATATTTGCTTTATTGAGCTTTTATTTGGTCTGGAACCAAACCTGTAATATATCAGAGGTATGCCTGTAACTGAAACCATGAGAGTGGCTGAGATTATTCTGGGAGAGTCTGTAGAGCAAGAAGAGCAGTGAGTCATTTCTAAATGCAATGAGAGGTATTTAGAATAACAGTCTCTTTGTTTTACTGATGAGGAAATTGAGGCCTGGCACCAGAGAGATTTTGGGATTTTCCTGTATAGCTAAGGAGGGGAAACTGGAACTTGAAACTGGGTCTCCTGATTCCAAGTCACTATTCCTTCTATCATATTGATCTCAAAATAACAATCCTAATTTAGGGGAAACTTGCAGGAAATTTGCTTTAGAATGCCCCTGGGGAATAATCCAATTATTGATATGATATGTCTTTTTTGTCTGAATTCTGTAGAAACAAACATCAATTGTTTTATCCACATGTTTACATTGTTCTAGGATGAGAATTACTATAAATACATTAGATAAAAAATTATTTGATTCTAAATCCATGGCAGGTTTATGTAAAACTCTGCAAGTCTGTAACTTTTATATGTTCATAAGATGATTGGCAGATCAAGCCTGTTATTTGAGCCCATTAAGAAAGAACATAGGAACTTCTGTGCATATAAGCAGAGACTGAATGTCAGGGTGTTGCTATAGTCACAAAACAAACTTGGTATCATTATTACCTGTTTTAATCACTTGTCTAACCATAGAGAGTACTAACATAGATTCTACCATGGTAGGGCAGTAGTGGTCTCTATGAAATAAGTTTTATTTACTCCTTAATAACTGTTGTTAACTCAGTCATTTTTATATCTTTGTTTTCCTTAGAAACTGACTTATGCAAAGGAAACTGTAAGCAGGTGAGTGTCTCTTTTTCCCAAAATTCATGTTTGGCAACACAGATGTGTCATAGCCTAATTCAAGACTCACCCCAAATTTAATGGTGCCTTTCTATTTTCTTGCCAGTTCGCAATGACCAGGCCTGTGGATAAGTCCCAAATATTTTTCCTCATTCCCAAGCCACCTTTCTTTTCAGACCATGACCACAGCCACTGTGCGCATTTGCTGTCTGAACTTATTATGAGGCAAACTTGCTCCTCTCTTAGATAAGAAAACAGATTTATGGTTTATATGGAGTGACCTATTGTTGAGGTTTAAAGGCTAATGATGAAATTGTTATGAAATTGTACACCACAGTGGAGAATAGTTTATTAAATGATGGGTGGTGCTATGGATCAATTTATTGACTATTGATGATTATGTTCTTGAAACATAGGAATAGCATAACCTATTATGATTCTTGACTCTGTTCACTGTGGGCTTAGAGCTAAGGTCGTTTCTGGCTTCTGGGAAGTATTAGTACAAAGAAGATGACAGAAGGTAAGGGATTTTGAGCCTACAGGGGCTAAAGCTTTCCAATTCTATTCATCCTCGGAGCATCTAAATTATAACAGCATGTGGGTAGTTATATAGGAAGGTACCACTAGAGCATGCAATCCAGGTCATAGTTCAGAATTTTGCCTCAAATTAGAGGGAAGGACAGATTGAAAAAACCAAGTAGGTGAGTCAGTGTACAGAGATCCAACCTGGGCATCAGAGTCAGGGCAAAACCATAAATGGAATATATATGTGGGTGGTAGTGGGGTATATCCAGGTTTCAAATCAAACACAAATGAATAGGAAAGAAGTGGGACTCTGTGTGGTCTTATTCAAACAGCCAATGGCACTGAGTCTATACCAGGGTGTGGGATTGAGCATTTACTTAAATATGGGCCAAGTGGTCTCTTGGGTGTGGTTTACTCTGTTTTATTTTTTACATTTATTTATTTAGAGACAGGGTCTTGCTCTGTCGCCCAGGCTGGAGTGCAGTGGCATGATCACACCTCACTGCAGCCTCGTGCTCCCAGGCTTAAGTGATCCTCCACTTCTGCCTCCCAAGTAGTTGGGACTACAGGCACACACCATCATGCCCAGCTAACTTTTTTGTATTTTTCTGTAGAAACAGGGTTTTGCTATGTTGTCCAGGCTAGTTTTGATCTCCTGGGCTCAAGCAATTGGCCCGCCTCAGCCTCCCAAAGTGTTGGGATTGATTGCAGGTGTGAGCCACTATGCCTGGCCGGGTGTGGTTTCTTCACCACAGAGAGGCAGAGCTCAGAGATTCCTTGTGATTGCCATTGCAACAGACAGTGGATCTGTAAATCTATAGTTGTACTGATAGAACTAGAAGGAACCTTAGAGGTCACCTCATCCAACTTTCACAGTCTATTGGCTCGATTAACTTCTCTAAGCTCTCTCTAAGTTCATCGTGCCCGAAGCTATATCAATCATTTCGTCACAAATCTGTTTCTTTCTACGTTCCTCTCATCAGTGAATGAATGGCATTATCATCCATCTAGTTGCCCATATTCTTTTCTCTTTCTTTCTCCCTTCCTTCTCTTCTCCTATTTTCTAATTATCTCTTGATTCCATCCATTTCTCTCTGACCCCACAGTCCCTATACTAATTCATATAATCAACACTTATTTGCTGGTACAAAGGCTTGCCAAGAGGTCTCTCTACTTCCCTCTGAGCCCTCCTCTCCACCCTGGCCAGAAATCTTCAAAAGAATAAATTTGATCATGTGCCTCTCCTCTGTAAGACAATTTAATAGTTCCTCATTGCTTTTAAGATCAAAATTAACATGACCCGCAAGGCTCTTCACAGTTAGGCCTGTGCCCAGCCTCATCTGTCTCAGTTTCCTTCTCAAACTCTATGGTTCAGCCATAGTTTTTTAGAGTACCCTTGAGCCATTATATTTCCATATTTGTTGCCTGACTAACATTATCAAACATGTAATAGCATTTTAACATTTATTGATTGCTTACAGTATACTAGATATTTTACATGTATTAATTTATTTAATCCTCTGAGTTTAGCCCTCTGAATTATGTACTTTTACTATCTTTATTTGATAGATGAAGAAGCAGTATTAGAGTTTAAATAACTCAAGGTAATCCAGGTCATTTGATTCTTAAGCATCTGATTTTTAACCTCTATTAATACTGCCTTTTACTGTGTAAAATATGTCACCTCACTTAATTATTACAATAACAACAACCAAAAACCTAAGTTAGTAATACCCTTACAGGAATCCAAAATATGAATAAAATCAGTAATTGCACAAAATACCTAAAGCCTGACTCTTCTTGAAAAACCTACCATGTAGCCTTTAGCAGGTTTCTGTAGGATCCTGATGAATGAATAAAAAAAGTATCTTACTCATTTTTGTAACCCTAATAGGTAACATTCTTGAGGAAATGAACTGTGTTTTAGGATTTGTTGTAAGCTCTACATTAACTAGCACCAAGCGTGTATGTAGTATAATCTTAATATGTACAGTTTATATTGCTTTGGTTGACTTTGTTTAACCAATCAGACCAATATCAAAACATACTTGTGTTCGTAGTGTAGCATATGTGCACACACACCCATACATAGAGAGAGGGAAGAGAAATCAATTCGAAAGGATGACTTAAAAAATTTAGCTGTTATTTTAGATATTAAGGATACATGTGTAGGATTGTTACATGGGTATATTGGACCCAGGTAGTGAGCATAGTACCCAATATGTAGTTTTTCAACCCACACCTACCCGCCTTCTAGTAGTCCACAGTGTCTATTGTTCCTATGTTTATATCCATATATGCTCAATGTTTACCTCTCACTTATAAGTGAGAACATGCAGTATTTGGCTTTCTGTTCCTACATTAATTCACTTAGGATTATGGCCTCCAATTCCATCCAAGTTGCTGCAAAGGACATGAGTTCATTCTTTTTCATCGCTGCATAGTATTCCATGGTGTATATGTACCATATTTTCTTCATCCAATCCACCATTGATGGGCACCTCGATTGATTCCATGTTTTTGCTGTTATGAATAGCTAATGATGAACATATGAGTGCATGTGGCTTTTTGATATAATGATATGGGATTGCTGGTTTGAATGGTAGCTCTGTTTTAAGTTCTTTGAGAAATCTCCAAACTGCTTTCACAGTGGCTGAACTAATTTACATTCCTACTAATAGTATATAAGCATTTCTTTTTCTCTGCAACCTCATCAACATCTGTTATTTTCTCACTTTTTAGTAGCCATTCTGACTGGTGTGAGATGGTATTTCATTGTAGTTTTGATTTGCATTTCCCTGAGTGTTACTGATGCTGAGCATTTTTTCATATATTGACCTCATGTATGTCTTCTTTTGAGAAGTGTCTTTTCCTTTGCCTACTTTTTAATGGGGTTATTTGCTTTTTGCTGGTTGAATTGTTTAAATTCCCTATAGATTCTTGATATTAGACCTTTGTCAGATGCCTAGTTTGTGAATATTTTCTCCCATTCTGTAGGTTGTCTGTTTAGTATGTTGATAGTTTATTTTGCTGTGCAAAAGCTCTTTAGTTTAATGAAGTCCCACTTGTCAATTTTTGTTTTTGTTGCAATTGCTTTTGGGGGCTTGGCCATAAATTCTTTGCCAAGGCCAATGTTGAAAAAGATATTTTCTAAGTTTTCTTCTAGAATTTTTATAGTTTGAGGTCTTACATTTAAATATTTAATCAATTTTTAGTTAATTTTGGTATATGATAAAAGGTAGGGTTCCAGTTTTTTTTATTCTACATATGGCTAGCCAGTTATCCCAGCAGCATTTATTGAATGGGAAGTCCTTTCCCCATTGTTCATTTTTGTCAGACTTGTTGAAGATCAGTTGGTTGTAGATGTGAAGCTTTATTTCTGAGTTTTCTATCCTGTTCCATTGGTCTATTTGTCTGTTTTTGTACCAGTACCATTCTGTTTTGGTTACTGTAGCCTTATAGTGTGGTTGGAAGTTGGATAGTGTGATGCCTCTGGCTTTGTTCTTTTTGCTTAGGATACTTTGGCTATTCAGGCTCTTTTTTGGTTCCACATGAATTTTAAAGTAGCTTTTTCTAATTCTGTGAAGAATGACATTGCTAGTATGATAGGAATAGCATTGAATCTGTAAATTGCTTTGGGCAGTATGGTCATTTTAATGACATTGATTCTTCCAATCCATGAGCATGAGACTCTTTTGATTGATTCAGCTTTGGGTGTGGCCAAGGTTGCCACACTGTAAATTTTGCAAAGGCTATGTTTCCATATTAATTAATCATGGTTACAAGCTAAGTACATTTTGTTCCAATAGATTCTGTGTTACTATACCCTGACAGTAACACAATATTCCTGAAAACCTAACTTCAGACCTTACTGGATTTCATCATTCAAAGAGGAAAAATTTAGATCTGTGCTTTTTTCCTGCTAAGAGATTTATTTCTTGCATAATGTATCAACTAATAAATACCTGATCACAGTGCACCTCATTCACAACTACTAGGAGGTGATTAGAGAAGGAGGGGAAATGAATGAAAGTCTGTTAATTGGCTAAAGCATAATGGGTTTTCTCTGGAGCTGCCCCAAATTGATCATCTCATTCATTTCCTTGGGTTCTCCTGCCTGCTGATTCAAACTGTCCCATCTTTCTGTGCATCAGCTGGAAACAAACACCTTCATTCTCTCCTTCACCATCCCAACTCCCAAGAGGAATTTTTACAGAGAAGGTAGAATGATTCTGCTCATGTGAAGAGAAGGTTTTCCATCATGAGAACTAGCCTATAATGCAGCACATGCCATCGGAAGCTAGACTGGTAATGCGAGGCATATATAGTGTGAGTACATATATCTACAAATGTTGAGGCAGTATAATTTCCAAGCATTCAAAGTACTGATATGCACTTGAATGTTAAAACATCATAAAGATGCCAAGGGGAAGAGAGATGAGACTTTTTCTTCATTATCTTGTCATAGAATTAGGCTGGTAGACTTCATGGTAGACCACTATAAGAGGTAGACCATAATTTATTTTTCTAGATTGGATATTGAAGCATGCCATTTCACTGTAAATCTGGGCCTAATAACTAAAAATACTAACATATCAGCAGTTACTTAGAATATTGTAAAAAGCTTCTTACTCACAAGAATGGACAATGATATTTGCCCTTTTAAATGTTTTAGAATAACCATACTCAATAATCACCTAATTAGAGTCATTTTAATAAAATTAAAAATATTAGCTAATACTAATGTATTAGTTATAGGCCAGACATTGTTCTAGGTACTTTATTACTTGTATTAATTTACTTAATCCTCTGAACAATATAATGAGGTAGGTATTAATATTATCCTTCTCTTAAAGAGAAGGAAATTATGGCGTAGAGAATTTAAGGGACTTGTCCAAGGTCACAAAGCCAGTATTCAACCCCTATGCTATAATGCATATGTATTTAAATTATTAGGATATTTTACATCATTCAGAGATTAAAAAATCAGTTTTCTTTGTTGTACATATATGTGTGTGAATGAGAAAGACAAACATGAAGAATGAAAAGAAGTATTTAAATGGTTTCTATAATTTACATACTAAAAGCCCAGACTTCATCACTACACCATGTATCCATGTTACAAAATGGCACTTGTACCCCGTAAATCTACCAAAATTTATAAAAATTTAAAATTAAAAATGATATAATGAACTTTTCTGTAGATATTTGTACCAATTTCAAAATCATATCTGCTGAAATTCAAAGGCACTAACTTCAAATGAAGAAAGATTTAGAAAGTAACTACTTTATATTAGACAGACTTCTCCATGATAATGTTTCTCAAACCATCAGTTGTCAGCATATTGAATACGTACCATGTGGCCTGGCTGTGAGTCCATGCAATAAGGCAGTATATGAGAGAGACAGAGCTGTAGACAGGAGAGATATTGAAATTTTAGTGTTTCTCTTATCAACAACTTGTGCTAAATCTTGGTTGTTTCACTTTAAATAAAAATACCTGTTTCTCAGGCTTTAGGAAAACATCAAATGATCAAGAATAGGATTCCTAGAAGAGCAGGAAGTCTATGTCTTTCTGTGTCTGTAGCACATTCAGTGAGAGTAGGGGCAGAATGTACTGATCCCTGTGTGTCTTTCTGTCAGGGATGTGGCCTAGCGCAGCATTATCCTTTTGGTGCACACTGGCAGTACTCTTGGGGCAAAGATGGACCAGTAGAGGAATGGATAGTGGTGTTACTCCCTGACCTCTTATGAGATGACATATCTCCAACCCTACCATCATCCCTTACACATCTGCATTTATAGACATATAGAGCTTTACATTTTAACAAGATTTTTTACATTTAATTGTCACAATTACCCTATGAAATTTTTACAGGATGAAATTCTCTGAGTTCACAAAACTTAATGAGACTTGTTTACAATTCCAGTCGTTAAGTGACAGAAAAATGGAGCTATCAAATTAGTTAACAGTCTCTGGGACATTCTAGCAATGTCAGCAAAAGGAAAGTTAACTAATTTGATGGTTGTGGTTTATTAGAAAGCAAGAATTCAGTAATGGTTCTATTTTTTTTACAGTTTTGTTTCTTTAAAAAAAAGGTTAAATTATGAAATATCTCAGACATAGAGACAAATATTAAGCCTACTCTGACTCTGGCCCTCTCAAACTTGTGCTGCAGGAGATGATGGTAACTACAGTAAGCAGATGGCATTGGAAGTGCATTGAAATCCTGTGTGCACAGCTAGGACAAGGAATATTACTTCTTTTAGAAACTGCTAGGCACAGATTTTGAGTCTGTCCTAAATATACATGAATTTGTTTGTTTAATACCTACTAAGGATATTTATGCATTCTCCTTTTGCCATTCAAATGATTTTGTTTTTTTTTGTTGTTCATATTGATAAATAAATCTTGATTTAGTTTCTTGAATTGAATATTAGAATTTGTTTACCAATAAAAATATTGATTCATTGGATTCATTAAAACAATGAGTCTCTTTTACTGGAAAGTTCTCTACTCTCTGGGAAGGTTTACTAAGAAGAGCACTGGACTGGGCATCAAGAGACTTTTTCTTTTTGCCTCTACCTGGCTACTTTGATTTTGGATAAATGACTCAAACAATCTGATGCAATGTTTTTTATCTATAAACTGAGAAGATGGAAGACAACTCATTTATGATGACATCTCTATGTGAATGTCAAGTAGACATTTCAAACTCAACACATCCACAACTGAACTCCTGGTTCTCCCATGCCCCCAACCCAATTAACTCTGCATTTCTATTGGTGACAACTTTATTGTGTCTGTCATGCAGACCAAAACTTTGTGATCATGCTTTATATTTCCGTTTCTCCCACACCTCACATCCAATCCATCAAGAAATTCTGTTGCCTGTAGATTCAAAATATATCTCGAATCTGATCACTTTTCACCATCTTCACTGCCACCACCCTGGTATGAGCCACCAGCATCTTTTATTCTTATAATAGCTTCTTAACATGTCTAACCCTTTCCCAACTACAGTACATTTTCAACACAG
This sequence comes from Homo sapiens, assembly GCF_000001405.40. Lineage (NCBI taxonomy): Eukaryota > Metazoa > Chordata > Mammalia > Primates > Hominidae > Homo > Homo sapiens. Next base: position 101,283,913 of record NC_000003.12, on the reverse strand, counting down.
CAGCCAGAGTTATTTTTTATTTTTCTTATTAGTCTATATATTCGTCAGCTAAGGGGATTTTAACATTTGCTTAGAACAGTGTTTATCAAACTTTTCTCCCAAAGTCCTCAATGGCAGAAAATATGGGCAGTATAGCTCAGAGTTTTTTGTTTTGTTTTGTTTTTGCAAATCCAAACTTCCTTTTCTTAAGACTTCATGCACTCTTTTGTATTTTGCTATGTAGTATATCAGTATGTATAAATTTTATATAAATTGATTTATTTCCTCAAATATCACACAAAATGGAAGCTTTGGAAATGGAGCCAAGTCTACTCTGTGGCTTCTGGCCATCTACTGTATACTCTGTATATATGTACCATGTTGGAAAGAGTCTTAGAACAAACAAATTTATGGGGTTTATTCAAAAACTTTCTATGAAAACAAAACACCTTCATCATATAGTTAGTTCTACTATAACATGATATATTATTTCCTAAAAATTGTTGAAAATCACTCAATAAAAACTACAGGGGCAATGGGAATAATAAAGTTGGGGCACAATACCCAAAAACTTTGTCAACAATACATTTTTTAAAAAAAGGAAACTAGTGGCTGGCATGGTGGCTCAACGCCTGTAATCCCAGCACTTTGGGAGGCTGAGGCAGGCAGATTACTTGAAATCAGGAGTTCAAGACCAGCCTGGCCAACATGGTGAAATCCCGTCTCTACAAAAATACAAAAAAAATTAGCCAGGCATGGTGGCGTGCACCTGTAATCCTGACTGCTCGGGAGGCTAAGGCAGGAGAATAGCTTGAACCTGAGAGGCAGAGGTTGCAGTGAGCCGAGATTGCGCCACTGCACTCCAGCCTGGGCAACAACAGAGTGAGACTCCATCTCAAAAACAAACAAAAAGTAAACTAATAAAAATGGTGGCACAGTTTACATGTCCCATGTGGTTAAGAAATACACAAATACCATAATAAATATGTCACTTAACCTTGATGAATTTCTGACATTTGTTCGTAAAATTGGACACTGGAAAGATTGTAGCTTATAAATTATTGTAAAGTGATGGAAGGAGAGTTATGTGAAGAAGGACAGAAAGTTGTAACACTATACGAGGGTAGGTGTGGTTCATAACTCATGGGTGAACTAAGGTAGCTGGAAGATGTCTGAAGTGTTGGGCATGAGAGTGCTTGGTGTATTCCTACATGGTCTCTATTCATCTGGGTGGTTTTGTTTGTTCATCTAGTGTTTCTCACAATGAAATTGGGTATAGGTAAAGGAGAAATCTGTATTATGCTCAACTGTTTCTTAATATATTAATCATGTTGAAACAAATTTACAAATAAATAGCATAGCAGAACTGACTGTATGTATCATGTATCTCTATTGATAAGTCACTGCCTGTACTAGGTATAAATAATAGAGGATACAAGATATTCACTATTCTTAGAAAATAAGGCATATAAAGAAATAACAATACATAACTAAAATATAAGTTAATTTTGAAAATTTAAAAATTTGTATTCTGCCTGAAACTAGGGCAGATGAGGTTGAAGTGGGGTGGAGACTGCCGACTGTGGGAGATGCTGAAGGGGATGACATGGGGCTAGCTCACACTGGGAGTGATACCATAGGAGTGGCCTAAGAATTTACTCAGCCTATCTTTCTCCGCTTGAATATTACCATCATCCATTAAAACCCTTATTTGCCCACGATTTCCATGGACCACAAAGCCAAATATATATTTTTTTCAGCAAATATTTTATTCTCTTTGGGATGACATGTGTCACTACTCCATTAACTCCCATTTCCACTATTCAAATTTATTTTTATAAATTTTTTGAGATTATTTTTGTATTCTCTGTGTAAAGAGATTCTTGTATTAGTTTTCTACTGCTGCTTTAACTAATTAGTCTGACCTTGGCAGCTTAAAACAACATAGATTATCTTATAGTTCTGCAGTTCAAAAGCCTCCTTTGGGTCTCAAAGTATCAGCATGGCTATGTTCCTTTTTAGAAGCTGTAGGGGAGAATCTGTTTTCTTGCCTTTTCTAGCTTCTACAGACCACCCACATTTCTTGGCTCATGGCCCACTTCCATCTTCAAAGACAGCAATGGCCGGTGGAGTCTCTCTCACATTCCGTCACTCTGACTTTCTTCTGTCTCTCTCTTCCACATGAAAGGGTCCCTGTGATTACATGGAGCCTACTGGATAACCCAGCATACTCTGCCTATTTTAAGATCTGCCGATTAGCAAGCTTAATTCTACTTGCAACCTTAATTCCCCTCTCTGGGAATTAAGATATGGCCCTCTTTGGGAGGCTAGTATTCTGCCAATCACAATTCTCTGTAATTTAAATTGCAGACCTCTATGCAAACTCTAATACATCTGCTAATGTATGTCTTGCACCAAATACTCTGCTATATCCTATTTTAAACATCTCCTGCTATCAGTTGCCAACTCTTAAAAAGAACATTTTCTGCCTGTATTCAGGACCTTAAATTCTGTCTTTCCTCTTAGAAACCTCTGCCTGTCATTGTTTCTCTCTTTCTCCTGAGTCTCCAACTTCCTTCTTTACTAACTCTTTCCCATTAGTATTTAAACATGCTGAAGTCCCTCTCATGTTACCTATTTTTAAAACAGCCCGCATTTATCTCCATTATAGCCAGACATCTTGAAAGAATGTCCACTTAGCTCCAATCACTCCTTAAACTCCTGCCATCTGGTTTTACGGTTACATCCCCAATAACGAGTGCAAGGCTCATCCTAGGATATGTGCTTACTAAATATTTGTTAAATTAATAACAGAATTTCTACCTAATCACCCAAGTCTATTATCAGGTCTCTGGTGATATTCTCAGTATAAGGACTGCTCTTTGGGATTGTGTGTGTGTGTGTCTCAATTAATTTACATTTGTAGTTGAGAATTGTAGTTGAGAATACCCATCATGGATCACTATATATATATAATTTTTTTTTTTTGCAACAGTCTCGCTCTGTCACCCAGGCTGGAGTGCAGTGGCCCGATCTCAGCCCACTGCAACCTCCACCTCTGACGTTCAAGCGATTCTCCTGCCTCAGCCTCCCGAGTAGCTGGGATTACAGGCATGTGCCACTATGCCCGGCTAATTTTTGTATGTTTTTTAGTAGAGATGGGGTTTCGCCATGTTGGCCAGGCTGGTTTCGAACTCCTGACCTCAGGTGATCCGTCCACCTCGGCCTCCCAAAGTGCTGTGATTACAGGCATGAGCCACTGTGCCTGGCCTATATATATATATTTTCAGCAAATGTTTTATTCTGTTTGGGATGATATATGTCACTGTCCCATTAACCCCTGTTTTATATTTGTTTAGCATTTCATACTTTTTCTGATGCTTCTGCATATAATATTTTATTTAATTTTTGTCAACACCTTCTTGAAATAGGCAGACGTGGAGGTGTTCTTGTTTTAAAGGGTAAGTTTTTGAGGCCCAGAGCAACTAAGGTATTTCCCTAAATCATACACAAAGTTAATGATACATCTAGGACTAGCACTCAGGTTTCTTAACTCCTTTCTTTGAGTTCTTTTGTGGTCACATGTGATTATAGTAACATATTCGAGAGCAAAGCAAAGTATAGAAGATATCAAGGGGAGCAGGAATCTGCATATGAACCTGTGCTTGGCTTGTTTTACAATGTCTTTAAATATATGTTCTATGTGGCTATGAGCAGCTGTTGACATGATCCCACCTGAATTCCATTGACATGATTAGGTAGTAGTGGTGAAGAATGAATAATGTGCTGGATGAAATGAGGAGAGGAGATAGTAAGGGGTTGTATGTTATTAGTATTAAGCTAAAGATCTTAGCTGAACAGCTTCAACTTTGTGGTTTGACTTAGAAATTAAGTAGTATTTCTCTTTCCAAGCTCAATACACCTCTGTGTTCCAGTGCTGTGGTGAGTGACATTTTAAAGGATCTCTGCAGGGGGAATACTTAATGAAAACATGTAAAAGGATTCTTGTTGTTAAGTGTTCTTTACTGTCTCTTGAAAGGAGAGTGGGTGGTTGAGGGATTAAGAGTTGGAGTGTAGGCAAGTGATTTAAATTACTAAGAGTTTCCTACTTATCACTATTAAAATAATGTTATTTTGAATTCAGCAAGGTGAAATCTAGTTCAACTGAAGTAAACTTCTCCATTCTGAATGTTTGCTTAGTTAGAGAATTAGCGTAAATTTGATTTGACGTCGGAGACAATTTAACTCACCCCAGGTGAAGTCCGGTTTCTCTGCTACCTCATTGCAACATCCTATTCGAGTTGCTGTGTTGTGCTTTCATACCTTTGCCTTATTGTGATCCTTATATCTGGTTGCTCTCCATAGAGCAACTCTAACCAGGTTCCCCTTCCTCTTTCTGGGACCTTACACACTGACTTTTAGGTCATTTAGTTTTTATAGGCCAGTATCATGAAGGCCAAGTGAAACCCTTCTAAAGAGTAGGGATCACATAAGGGCCATGTTGTGAAGCAGTGATTTGAGATGAGTAAGAATGAGGTTTCTGGCATCCAGTGGGCCTATTTTACATAACAGCTTCTCCATTGGCTTAGCTGTGTGACCCTGAGCAAATTCTTAACCTCTTCTAGCATTAGTTTCCTCATCAGTCTAAATGGGATCATAGGATCTCCTTCTTAAGGTGGTTGCCAGAATTAAGTTAGTTAACCTAAATAAAGCACTTAGCAGTGTATGACACATGATGAGGGCTCAGTAAAGTTAGTTGTAATTATTCTTGCTGTTATTATTGAAAGAGAACTGGATACAATTAGGAATTTTTGTGTGAGCCTGGGAAAGTTGCTTTACCTGTTTGGACCTTATTTCTTTCATCTATGAAATGAAGGTACTGGGAAGGAGTACTGCCATGTGGACAATTGATGGACCCTATTCAGGCCTGATTATGTTAATGTTTCTTCTGAATGCATCTGAATCCCATTTTTTTCAGCTCCATCCTCTGTAACCCAAGAAGCCTCTTAATGCTTCCTCATCACTCATGCTGTCCTCTGCTCATCAAAATAACTTGTCCAGATGTCATATCCCTTTAGGTTCTTCTAGATGAAACTTAATAAGCAATTTTATGCAAATGTGCTCTAAATAAACAATACTGATGAGTTTTGTGTAATAGTTTAACATCTTACTTTTTTAGATAGAATTTTTAAAACCAGAAAGATCTTTATGGTGAAGTTTGTTTTTTTTTTTTAACTTATGTTTCTCAAATTTTCTGCCAAAGCCTGGGCATTTAGAAAACATGCCCCTAATTTACCCTCCCATACCAGCTCCAATCATAAAATGTCTTTGAATTATCATATTTTATCTTCATATTCACTTAAACTTTATATTCTATTCCATAATATAGCTATGTTTGTTATAATATTAAAACGTTTTAAATTATACATCAGTTCTTATTTAGCTCCTAACCTGTTTAAGCTTGTAGTAAAACTGATGCCTCAAAGTGTGTGCCATGTTTATCTCCAGGCTTTGAGTACCTCTGTAATCTACTTTAGAGCAGTAGGTTGATCTAAAAGTGTGTGGCTCTGAAGATGTGACTTACTGGGCACATCACAGACCTGGGCACGTCTATGAGGGAGATATTTTTGACTGTTGATCAAATTACTTTAGGAAGTTGACTTGGTAGCATTGAAGAGTTTTTATTTATTTATTTATTTAGAGGCAGAGTCTTCCTCTGTCACCCAGGCTGGAGTGCAGTGGCACAATCTTGGCTCACTGCAGCCTCTGCCTCCTGGGTTCAAGTGATTCTCATACCTCAGCCTCCTGAGTAGCTGGGATTACAGGCATGTGCCACCACGCCTGGCTAATTTTTGTATTTTTAGTAGAGACGGGGTTTCACCATGTTGGCCAGGCTGGTCTCGAACTGCTGGCCTCAAGTGATTGACCCGCCTGGACCTCTCAAAGTGCTGGGATTACAGGCATGAGCCACTGTGCCCAACTTGAAGAGAGTTTTTAATTGCTATGAGTTGAAAACAGACAATCACCACTGATCCAATATCTTTGGAAAAGGTTAAGGGAATAGCCCTTTTCCTCTTAGGACATGTGTACAAACTTGAAAATTCTAAAATGTTCCCAGATTACTGTAATTTAACTTTTATAGCTTTGGGATATGTGAAAATATGGACTTGTGGAAACCTATTTTCTTTCCTTTAGGAGGAGAGGCTTTCTTAGATTATCTTCTGATCTCTTCTTATCTTTGCTTGCAATTGCAGAGTGGCATGGTAAAACAACAGCCAGGAGACCTGATGCCTGTTAGCAATGGGGCCTACAGCAAATAATTTCTCTAAGCTTGACTTTCTTTATATAAATAGGTTTTATGATTTCAATGATCTCTCAGATGAGATCAGGTGTGTGGTTTTATGTTCCTTCTAGCAGCCACTACTTTCTTGTCTGTACTACTTGTCTCATCTGTAATTATTGATTTAGTGTGTATAATTTCTATAAGACTGTAACCTTCATATACAATGGGTGTTTTGCTCACAATTATATGCCAAGTACCTTCTACATTGCCTGGCACATAGTATTCATTTATCCCCAAAATATATTTTTAATGCCTACTAAATGGCAGGTACTGTTTTAGGCACTGGAAAATACAGCAGGAATATATTAGTCAAGGTCTCCAATCTCATGCAGTTTAGATTCTTAATACATTCCTGTTCAACAGAACATCTGTGGTGATGGAAATGTTCTTTACCATCTTGTCCAGTATGATGGCCATTAACCACATGCAGCTATTAAGCACTTGAAATGTGGCAGGTGTAAATGAGGAACTGAGTTTTTAACTTGGTTTAATTTTAATTAAATTGCTATGCATGTCCAGTGGCTACCATTTTGGGCAATATTGTGCTAGAGGACTAAGGCATTAGAGACAGAGATAAATAAGAAGATAAATAAAATTTCACATAGTGATAAGAACTGAGAAGAGAGAAAACAGGGTGATGCAAAGATAACTAGGGAAGAATTCTAGGTAGGGTGATTCTAGTGGAGTAGGCATCAATAAATATAAAATAAATGAATTATGAAGTTTTAATTTTAAAAAACTTTGCTTTTTGGTACTTTTGCTTGGGAGCCCTTACTTGGTGATCTAGTGCTTTCCTTTTTGGAAAACAACCCCAAAAATCCCAAAATAAACTCTCATGTGTCTGTCATTTTATTAACTGCAAACATTTTTTTTTCTAGCTCTGAACTGTCTTCTCCAGTTCCTGTTGGTGATACTTCAACATTGGGAGGTATACTTTTGTGTCTTCATTCACTTTTCTTTTAAAATTATTTATGGTTTAAGACAGGCTCACAAACAAGTACATTTTTTGCAGCTTACCTTTTAAAAATATCAGATTTCTCTTTTTTAATACGTTTTTCAAGAGTCTCAAGAAAAAGTAATTTTTAAAAATTTATTTTATGGCATTATGTTGTGGGTACCTAAAACTCCTTAATCATTAAGTATATAATACAAGTCAGAACACCACTTAAAACAAATGTATGAGCTAATGAATTATTTTAAGGCAAACACTCTGTAGCCACCACTAATGTCAAAACGTAGAACCATTCTAACGCCACCATTTGTCATTCGTCCCATGAGAGGTTCCCAGAGTAAGGATTTTCTTATTGCATTCTGTGGTATAGTTTAACATGTTCCTTTGCCCAGTATATTTCTTGTAAATTGGTAATTCATTTCTTTATTTTTAATTAAAAAACCCCACAAACTTCTCTGTGTTAGAAATTTCAAACATCTACAAAAATAGAATAACATGATAAGGTCCAGTTTTAACACTTGTCAATTCACAACCAATTTCCAACCTTTACCCACTTCTCCTCTCTGGTAGAGGAGTTACTTCTTTTAGTATGTGTCCCCTTTACTAGATAGCTCCTTAAGTAGAGGAATATTGTCTTTGTGTTCCTAGTGTCTTGTGCAGAGTCTGGCATATAGTAGGTGCTCAATATATGCTTGTTGAACGTACCACAATTATTTCTTGTTCTGAGAAGGCTCCATACAAATATGTCCTGAGGTTAGAATGCACCGAATTTCCAGGACAATAAAACAAACTATTTATAGGAATGGTTTTTGAAGTCAGTTCCTTATTTCCTGATAGGAATTCTGACTTAATCGAGGACTGAATTCATGCATATGTTTTTGCTTTTCTTCTTAGACACTACTCTCAGTGTTCCACATCCAGAGGTGGACGCCTATGAAGGTGCCTCAGAGAGCAGCTTGGAAAGGCCAGAGGAGAGTGTGAGTGATGCTCTGTTTTGTTAGTTAGTTTCTAACATGGAACATAGAGATTAAGAGAGAGTTTATCTCCCATTGCTGGACTACACAGGACTTCATGTAGTGTCCTGTTAGAAAAATGACATGGATCCTAAAACCAGTACATTAAAAACAATTTTGAGATTCCTTGGAGAACTGAGTAAATCTGCTCTTATTGGTGAGTTTTTGGTGAGAGCTTCGAATTATAAATGAAGTGGACTGTCATTGAGGTAAGCCCACTGCCTCTTGTGGCCTCTGTGACATGATTTTCTATGGTGGTTTTGCCTATGTTCTTCTCACCCTTAATAGACCAGATCTTAGCCTTCTTTAGTGGGTAATAATATACATTTTATGTAGTTTAAAAGTCAAAAAGTACCATGCATTGTGAATGTACCATTATTAATAGAAACCTGTCCACTAAACAACACTAAATCCTATAGGTGAGTCTCTATCACAAAAGATACATACAGGTTAACAAAAAATTTACACATCGCCCAGGAATATAGAAACATTTTGTTAGATAAGATATTTAAATACTGAATTTAAAAAATTAGGGGGTTCACAAATCCTGTTTTTTTTTTTTTAATATAGAGCTAACTCTGACAAAACATATCCACTAGGAAGATGCAATTTAGTTCTCTTGCACCTTCACTTCCCAACGTGGACATTTTAACTTACATGAAATCAGGTTAAGTCGCTCCACTCTGCCTCATCACCCTCCCTGTCACTGAACAAGGCTGGTGGTAATCCCTAGAGTGGATACCCGAATCAATACTTTTATCCTAAGTATAACCGTGTTCCAAGTAGATGGTGCTAGCAAATATTGGCATTTGATAAATATTTGTGAATGAATGAATAAAAAGTGATACTGCAGCTCTGAACTTGAGGCAGAATAGCTATGATTTAGATCTGGAAACATTTGTAGAATGAGATATAATTCACTTTAATAGAAATTAAGGAATTGTATGCAATCAATTGGAACGTTAATATCCAAAACAGAGGATTTAAGCCAATTTATAGAGCCAGTAGGAAAACAAAACAATATAGAGATACCTAACAAAAATTAGTTTGCTGTAGCTCTGGTTCAAAATGAAGCCCAAGGTAGTTTTATTGTGCACCTATTTTCCTAATGCATTTTCCCATCTACTCTTCTAGAAATTATATACCGTATTTCAGTTCTGTTGGGATTTATCCTATAATTATAATGTGTATTCAACCTAACAAATTTTAAGTTTTTCAACATCTTTATTCTTATCCTGAGCAACATAGGAACATTAGAACATTGTAATTCAAATGATCATTTTGCTGACCTGTATGCTGCTTTTCAGTATTTTTGTTCTTTCTTTTTATTCTACTAATTAGACTGTATTATATTCTACTTACACAGCTAAAATTTGTTTAAGATTTACCCAGATGTTTACTATTTTATTAATTTATTTTATTTATTTATTATTTTTTTGAAATGGAGTATTGCTCCGTCACCCAGGCTGGAGTGCAGTGGATCTTGGCTCACTAAAACCTCCGCCTCCCAGGTTCAAGTGATTCTCCTGCCTCAGCCTCCTGAGTAGCTGGGATTACAGATGCATACTACCATGCCCAGCTAATTTTGTATTTTTAGTAGAGATGGGGTTTCAGTTGGCCAGGCTGGTCTTGAACTCCTGACCTCAAGTGATCTGCCCACCTCGGCCTCCCAAAGTGCTGAGATTACAGGTGTGAGCCACTTCTCCTGGCTGTTAGCCTGTGTCTTAAAGTCTACCCAATTTGTTCCAAAGTCAAATACGAAATAATAAGATTATCTTCAGAAGCTGCCTTTAGCACAGTTCTGACACATTGAAACAATCAATAAATGTTTGTTGATTGAATGAATAAGCCTTGACATTTATTGTTCTTTCTCTAAAAATTCAGATTAGCAATGAAATTGAGAATGTGATAGAAGAAGCCACAAAACCAGCAGGTGAACAGATTGCAGAATTCAGTATCCACCTTTTGGGGAAGCAGTACAGGGAAGAACTACAGGATTCCTCCAGCTTTCACCACCAGCACCTTGAAGAAGAATTTATTTCAGAGGTGGGTGATTAAAAAAAAAACAAACAAGGCAGTATGCCTGCTATGTTAGTTTCCTATATTCACAACACTGTTTAAAGATAGGTTTAGGTTTCAAATTGTTTGTCTACTTGGTTCCTGGAGTGGTTACTTAGCCATTTCTTCAGAAAACTCTGTGAAAAGTCATAGGACAGATGAATTCTTTCACAGAAAGAAAAATCTTGCCATCTGCTAAAAAATAAATGCAATTTCCAACTTTTGCTGCACAGCCAAGAAAGAATGTGTTCTGTGGCATGGTTTTGACTTGAAAATATTTGGAGAAATAAGCTTCTCTAAGAAACTACACACACTGTATTGTTTTTCTTAAGGGAACATTACATTTAATGTCTTTTAATTTCATCTTTAGTATTTTTAATTGAAAAATTTTCAATAGTTAACACATAGGTAATAACTGGTACAAAATTTAGAAGCATAAAAGGGCATCCAGTGAAAAATAAATGTTTCTCCTATCCTTGGTTGGAGGTATTTTTAAAAAGGGATTTCTTTAAAGAATTGTGGATTAGACCATCCCATAACTTCACTTTCTGGGAAAATTCTATATAGGACTTAAACTCAAGAATTTTTCAGTCAAAAATGACCCATAGTCCCCGTCTAGTTTGCCTTTGCTTTTGTGCAGTAAGACATTGAATGCTTATCTACCCCTGTCTGTCAGATGACAGGGCACATCATTCCTTCGTTTATTTTTTCCCATTCCTTCTTGATGGGGTTCTCTTTAGCCAAGTTTATCAATTCCATTACCTTAGATTAATTTTCTTCCCCAGATACTGTGTCCAGATGAGAAATAAAAATGTGCATCTCTCAGCCAAAGCATTATTGTAGCCATCAGATGTGGGAAGGGGAGGCCAGACAATTTATTTTCCTAGTGGTGTGGCCAAGTTGCAAGGCTATATGGTATGTGGAAGAAATGTCAGCCAGGCCAGTGGCCACCTGGCATCAAAGAGTGTCTTGGGCTGGCTGTCTGGTTTTCTCTGTCCTTTGATTAAGGAACTTTTAATATAGCTTAGTGTTTAGGTAAACAATTGCATGGAATGACTGCAGATTTAGAGAAGTCCAATAAACACTCTGAAAAATATCTTCATCAAGGACTTGATGAGGTAGGTAGCTATTGAGGTGATTAGAGGGTGTTGAAGGTTCTGGGCCTACCATGGAAGACCTCCTTCTCTGGCCTATCTCTGTACTCCCTGTCCCCTTACCTGGAATGAAATGTCTACCAACAGTCACTTTGCATGAAACAGCAGAGGCAGGGGATCATGTCTCAAACTGAAGGGGATCCTCCAGCTCCCTCCCCTTAGGACACCATCACATGGATTTTTCCCTCAGCTTCTCTGGGTATTACTGGAAGACACACAGGGAGAAAGAAAGCCTGCTTGGAGGGGATGAGGTTTAGGAGCTATTAGTCTTTGTGTGTCTGTGTGTGTGTGTATGTGTGTGTGTGTGTGTGTGTGCGTGTGTAAAAGGATAAGAAGTGGGGGCATGATAGGCTTGGGATAACACGAAGTACAACATCAGAGAGGGAAAGGTCAGTGTGATGGGCCTGGGAGGGTTGGTGCCTGAGGGCAGTTCCAGTGTCGGTGTGATCCTCACATAGTTCCTTATGCTCCACAGGCGACTTTCTATTTGTTTGCTCACAGCAGTCATGTATTCAAGCATCTCTAATTTACAGATGAGGCTCAGGAGGCCAAATAACTTGTTCATTGTCATTCAGTCTCTCTAGGAACAGAAATGAAAATCAGGTCTCCTACTGCCTTTCAAAGTACTCCTTCTTCTACAGAGTCCCCTTCCTTTTAATTCAAGGGAGAAGTTATAGTGAACCTTAGTTTTCCCAGTCTTGGTCCCAATTCTAAAGCACATTTATCATGAGGCAGGGGCAATGTAATTCAATGGGAAGAATATGGGCTTCAGTGTTAGAGAGATCTGGGATTGAATGCATTCTGATTCAGTCACTTACCAAATGTGTGACCTTGGCCAAGTTAGTTAATATCTTACAATCTCCATTTTCTCATCCATAAAACAGGAATAATATATTATCTCTTGGGATTGTCACAGAGATTTGAAGTAAAGCAAAGCACCAGATATATTGCAGTCCTCAATAAATTTTACTGACTATTAATATCAATGTTGAAGTCGAATGACTTCATGCAACTGGATATCTATACATGTTTAGACTCCAGAGATTGCAAAGCCTACACTAAGATGGGTTTAGTAGTAATGATTTTTTTCAGTTAATGGAGTGCTTTTAGGTACATTTCTTTTAATCTTAAAATCAATATGGTAGGTGAGCAGGGAAGTATTAGTTCTGAAAAAAGAAGGCCTGTGCATGGACTGTCTGCCAGCAGAAACAGAGCTGAGACTAACCCTCAGCCTTCTGATTTCTAGTCCTGTGTCTTCTACCCCTCCCCACCACCCTACAAGAATTATAACAGTTTTTTATTTCCTTTCAGAGAGTAAAACAGGGCACATTACTATAGCCAAAGAGTTTCATTCTTTGGCTTTGGATCTTTATTCTTAAGGCATAAAGATCTTCAGTCAACCAAGATTTTTTAAAAATCCCACTCTCCTCATATGAGGACTTGGTTAAAAGCAGATGCCCAGAGATGTTGCCAAGGTCCATCAATTTATTTCCTTTGTTCTGATGTTGGCCCCATCATGACCCATCTGGTGAGGCTGTCACCTTCTGAAATGTTACAGATTAAATGTTTATTTTTGTTAAAATATGCATTTTTGCCTAACCTGATTATTATTATTTTTTTTGAGACGGAGTATGTCGCCCAGGCTGGAGTGCAGTGGCGCGATCTCGGCTCACTGCAAGCTCCGCCTCCCGGGTTCACGCCATTCTCCTGCCTCAGCCTCCCGCCTAGCTGGGACTACAGGCGCCCACCACCACGCCTGGCTGATTTTTTGTATTTTTTTAGTAGAGACGGGTTTCACCATGTTAGCCAGGATGGTCTCCATCTCCTGACCTCGTGATCCACCCGCCTCAACCTGATTATTTTTACATCTTTAGTCCAATCTGGCATACTATTTTCCACCTCCAGTCACTAAGCTCATTTGGAGTTACATGGCTAGATTTTAAAGACTCAGTAATAAAACTGGCTCCTGCAAATGTGATGCTCATGAATTGGTCTTTTGACCAGCGGAGTTACCTGACCACAAGGCCTCTCGTCTGGGTGTTGAGTGTGTTTGTGGTTCTCTTTCGTTGTAGGAGCAGGAAAAAGATGCCAGCAGCCACTTTCACACTTACAGAAAACAAACACTAGACTGTTTTTCAGTGTGTGTGCTGTGGCCAGATTCCAAATCCAAACAATATCATTTAAAAATGCTATTACAGGCCTGTAATCCTAGCACTTCGGGAGGCTGAGGCAGGTGGATCACCTGAGGTCAGGAATTCGAGACCAGCCTGGCCAACACGGTGAAACCCCGCCTCTAGTAAAAATACAAAATTAGCCGAGCATGGTGGCGCACACCTGTAATTCCTAATTCCAGCTGCTCAGGAGGCTGAGGCAGGACAATTGCTTGAACCTGGAAGGTGGAGTTTGCAGTGAGCCAAGATCGCACCACTGCACTCCAGCCTGGGCGGCAGAGTGAAACTCTGTCTCAAAAAAAAAAAAAAAAAAAAAAGAATAAAATAAAATAAAATGCTATTACAGCTTCTTTTGAAACAATTTTTTTTTCACATTTCATCACATAAGGGAAAAACAGTGCTTTGCCAACAAGGAGTATGCTTTTTATAATTTGGAAAAATTAATATTAAAGCACATTGAAACCTTGAAAGACAAAATGAAAAAGAAAAATGTGGCAGTGTTTAGGTAAAATTTTTTCTTTCATTTTCTGACCTGGGTATGCCTAGCTAAGTGTATAAGCTTCTAATAGTTGTGAACAGTTCACTTTTTATTCTACTCTTAAAAGCATTATTTTCTATATATTTTTCCATATTTTTACATAGTTATCATTTTTATTTGTACTTTTAACAGGTTGAAAATGCATTTACTGGGTTACCAGGCTACAAGGAAATTCGTGTACTTGAATTTAGGTAAATAGACTTATCTAAATATGCACATTTTCAGTAGTATTCTTTATTCTGAATGGAATGTCCATTATATTTATCACACATATTCTAACAATAAATGGTTTGAATGCTGTAACTCAATGCTATTTCTGGTAAATTAGTATTCTTGATGTTAGTTTTTCAGGTGAGAAAATTGAGTTAGAAAAAGACCAAATAATAACTCAAAGAGATATATTAGGTCTAAAATTGGCTAGGTTAAGAATTCAGGAATTCATGTCCCCAGCTTGCTGCTGACAAGTTACGTAGGTCTTATTTGGCACTGATAGGAGGCAGACGAGATGTGGCCCCAGTGTTTTCCTAAAGCTTGTCAGTGTGGTGATTTTGACATCTTGGTATGAGGCCACTCTGGAAGGGATGCATTAGTCCTTGTTTTAAACATAACAGTTCTGAGTAAACCAGACACCTCTTTTAAAGACATTTATTCCCTGCTTAAGACTCACAGTGTAACACTTGTGAACATTTACTGAATGAATACTTTACTGAGTGAATACTTTGTGTTGGGTATGCCACATTGCTGAGCTCACTTAATCTTCAGCCCTCTCAGGATAGATATTATTAATACTCATTTTTAAGAGGAGGAAACAGGTTTAAAGGGATGAAGTATTAGCCCAAAGTCAAGAGTTTGTAAACTGGGGTGGAGGAGGAATTTTGAAACAGAGCAGCTGACTTTATAGCTTTTCTTGCTCTGAACCTTCATGCTAGACTCAATGCCATGATTTAGGTGATGCTCTAGCCCAAGTTTAGATGTTATCCATCTCAACTTTGGCTTGTTCTTGACAAAACTTCTGAGTTTACCAGAAATAACAGCAAGCACTTATATAGCATTTACAGTGTGCCAGGCTTTATATATATATATATGTATATTTACACACACACTATTTAATTCCAACATCAATGCTATGAGATAGTTACTATGCTCATATTTTCCAATAAGGAAACCAGAGCACAGGGAATTTAAATAATTTTCCCAGTGTTGTTTAGCTAGTTAGTGATGCAGGCTTAGTGGAAAGAGGCCAAATATTTGAAGTTGTCCTACTTACCTAGTCTCATATCATGACCAGTCGCCCCCATTCAACTTTAGCAGTTTTCAAACAGGATGCTGCCTCCAGTTGTATGCTCAGATGAGAACCTGAGAATGTGAGGCCTTTGAAGACCTCCCTTATTTGGCAGCACATGAAGGGCAACACAGTCTTTGGAGCCAACTTGCCTGGCTTCAGATCCTGCCGTTGCACTTCTGGCTGGATGCTTTTGGGTGTATTTCCAGGATTTAACTTTTTGTTTGTATAAAAAAGACAATTTACCTTAATCCTGCTTTATTAAAAAAATGCTTTTGAAATGCCATCAGCAACTTATTTATCTTCTTTGGTCTGTAGTTTCTATACCTATATTATGAGGATACTAATAAATCTTAATGAAGATTAAATCAATTTTTATAAAATGCTTAGCATAGTTCCTGGCACATGGAAAGTTCTATTTAAGCATCTGCTACATAAAATAATAAATATTAAAGGTTATGCAGTATACTGTGGATTAGTCAGTCCTGACATTTACCTATACCCTTACTACTTTACAGTGTACCATCTGATTTTAATACTGCATAACATGTTGTATCCCAAAAAAGAAGGTTCCCAATTTTGTTAAAGCCAACAACTGGAGTCCTCTGCTGATTTACTGAAAAAAGTTTCTTTATGAAGAAATAACCATATGTGAATTATTTTAAAGTATTTTTAAAATTTAGAAGAAAATAAAGACCATGGTTTTAAAATAAAATGCTTTTTTCACCTTTGCTCACTTCCTTCAATCCATAGGAATTTGTCAGCATTTTTATTTAAGGAAGCATTTCAAAGAAATTCAGAGGAAATACATGAATAACTTGCACTTTGATGAATGATGTGACAATAATAACTGTCTCAAACTCTGTTTAATATTTTTAATTTTTGTTTTCAGGTCCCCCAAGGAAAATGACAGGTACTTTTTGGCACTTTCTCTAATGTCCATTGAATTGGGAGACAGTTTAGTAAATATAGCAGGCCGTAGGTCCAGGGGAGCATAACTCAAATATTATATCACTTCCAATATCACTGTCTGACTTTTTCAGATCAGGGTTTGTCAAACTTTTCTATTAAGAGTCAGGTAGCCAATAATTTAAACTTTGTAGGCCATATAGTCTCTGTTGCAACTACTCAATTCTGCCACTATCAGGTAAAAGTAGACATAGACAATATATTGTAAACTAATGAGCTTTGCTGTGTTTCACTTTATGGACATTGAATTTTATATAATTTTCACATGTCACAAAATATTGTTCTTTTTTTGATTTTTTTCAACTATTAAAAAATGTAATATTCAGTAACTCTTGGGTAGTAGGCTGGATTTAGCTCACAGGCTGTTTAATTTTATGTTCCTGGCTTATTTCACTTAACAAAATGTCCTCCAGTCCATGCGTGTTGCTGTGAATCACAGGATTTCCTTCTTTTTATGGCTGAATAGTATTCCATTGTGTATGTGTAACTGAATGGAGGCTTGGCTGCTCACTGCTTGCAAAGCCAGTAACAAGGACAATGTGCAGTGAAAGGAAAGTGACTTTATTTCCAAAGCTAGCAGTGGGGGAAGTGGCCAGCTTAACCTCCAGAAATGATTCAAACTTCAGGCTGGGAAGAGGGGATTAAAAAAGGAAACTTGGAATGGGAGGCATGCAGGAGGGGTGCTGGGTACAAGGTCTGCATGTCTTGTTCCAGTGGCTATCTCAAGCCATGGTCCACAGGAGCACAGCTGGCATCATCTCAACAATGGCTGGGTTGTTGACTAACTGTCTTGAGATAATCTCTGGAATTTTGCAGCTGGGTCTCCATGCTTGGTCTGTCTCAAGATTAGCCCCTGGAACTTCTAAGTAAGCATATAATTAGATATAAGCACGCAATTTAATAAATGTGCATGGGGTAAAGGAGTACATGGTGGGAGATGGTAGGAGGGAGTTAAGTTTCAAAGTATGTTTCAGGGCTATATTTTAAAACTAAGGGGGAAAAGGCTCCTACAGTTTGTTTCAAGGTTACAACTTGAGACTGGGAAGAAAGGAGAAAAGAAAAAATGTTTTAAAATGCATTTGGAAGTTAAACTACTTGGTTGCATATGTATACCACATTTTCTTAATTCATTCATCTGTGTTGGACACCCAGGTTGACCCCATATCTTGGCTGTTGTGAGTAGTGCTGAAATAAATAAACATGGGTGTGTGGATATCTCTTTGATATACTAATTTCCTTTCCTTTGGATAAATGCCCAGTAGTGGGATTGCTGGATCATATGGTACTTCCATTTGTTGTTCTCTGAGGAACCTCCATATTGTTTTCCACAGTGGCTATACAAGTTTACATTCCCACCAGAAGTATGTAAGAGTCCCCTTTTCTCTGGATCCTCACTAGCATTTGCTATTTTTTGTCTTTTTGATAATAGCTATCCTAACTGGCATGAGATGATACTTCATTTTGGTTTTGATTTGCATATCCCTGTTGATGAAAATGTTGAGCATTTTAAAATATATTTTTTGGCCATTTCTATGTTTTCTTTTGAGAAATGTCTATTCATATCATTTGCACATTTTTAAATTGGATTGTTTGTTATTTTGCTGTGGAGATATTTGAGTTTCTTCTATATTCTGGATATTGATCCCATGTCAGATAAATAGTTTTCAAATATTTTCTATCGTACTGCGGGTTACCTTTTCACTCTGTTGATTGTTTCCTTTGCTGTGCAGAAGCTTTTTAGTTTAATATAATTCCATTTGTTTATTTTTGCTTTTGTTGCCCATGCCTCTGAGGTCTTATTCATAAAATCTTTTTCAAGACCAATGTCCTGAAGTGTTTCCCCAATGTTTTCTTCTAGTATTTAATAGTTTTTCAAGTCTGACATTTAGGTCTTTGATCTATTTTGAGTGGATTTTTTGTATAGAGTGAGAGCTGAGGGGTCTAGTTTCATTCTTCTGCATATGGATATCCAGTTTTCCCAGCACCATTCATTGAAGAGAGTGTCCTTCCTGCAGTATATGTTCTTGATATTTTTGCCAAAAATTAATTGGTTGTAGATATGAATTGATTTCTGGATTCTCTATTCTGTTCCACTGATCCGTGTGCCTGTTTTTATTGCTAGTACCAGGCTGTTTTGATGACTACAGCTTTGTACTATATTTGAAGTCTAGTAGTATGATATATATCATCAGCTTTGTTATTTTTTCTTAGGATTGCTTTGGCTATCTGGGGTCTTTTGTGGTTCCATACAAATTTTAAGACTTTTTTTCTATTTCTGTGAAGAATGTCATTGGTATTTTGATAAGGATTGCTTCAAATCTGTAGATTGCTTTGGGTAGTATGGTCATTGTAACAATTTTAATTCTTCTGATCCAGGAGAATGGGATGTTTTTCCATTTTTTTGTATCCCTTTCAATTTCTTTCATCAGTGTTTTGTAGTTTTTCTTGCAGAGGTCTTTCACCTGCTTGGTTAAATTTATTTTTACGTATTTTATTTTTCTTGTAGCTATTGTAAATGGGATTGCCTTTTTTTTCTCAGCTAGATTGTTACTTGTGTATAGGAATGCCACTGGATTTTTTTAAGTTGATTTTGTATCCTGCAACCTTACTAAATTCATTCATTAAATCTAGGAGTTTTTTTAATGGAGTCTTTGGGTTTTTCTCCGTGTAAGATCACATGATCGGCAAACAGGGATAATTTGACTTCCTCTTTTCCAATTTGTATGTCTTTTATTTATTCCTTTTGCTTGATTGCTCTGGCTAGGACTTCTGGTACTATGCTGAACAGGAGTGGTAAAAGTGGGCATTCTTGCCTTGTTCCAGTTCTTGGAGGAAATGCTTCCAACTTTTCCCCATGCAGTATGATGTTAGTTGTGGCATTTTCATATGTGGACTTTATTGTATTGAGGTGCTTTTCCTCTACCTAATTTTTTGAGGGTTTTAATCATGAAGGCATGTTGAATTTTATTAAGTAGTTTTTCTGCATCATTATGATGATCATATGGTTTTTATACTTCATTCTGCTGATGTGATGTATCATCCTTATTGATTTGCATATGTTGAACAATCCTTGCATTCCTGGGATAAATCCTACTTGGTCATGGTGTATTATCTTTTTGAGGGGCTATTGGATTTGATTTGCTAATATTTTGTTGAGGATTTTTACATCTGTGTTCATCAGGGATTTTGCCCTGTAGTTTTCAATTTTTGTCAGGTACGTGTCTTGTTTTGGAATAATTAAATTTTTCTGCTTTAATTTTTTGGGATAATTTCAGAAGAACTGGTATTCATTCTTCTTTAAAGATTCTGTAGAATTCAGTGGTGAAGCAATCCAGTCCTGGACTTTTCTTTTTCAGTAGACTTTTTGTTACTGATTTAATCTTGTTATTTGTTGTTGGTTTGCTCAGTTTCTTTTTGGTTCAATTTTGGTAGGTTAAATGTGTTCAGGAATTTATTTCCACTAGGTTTTCAAATTTATTGGCATATGGTTATTCATAGTAGTCTCTAAATTATCCTTTCCATTTCTGTGGTATTTGATGTGATGTCTCCTTTTTCATTTCTGATTTTATTTGGGTCCTCTCTTTTTTTTTTTTTTTTGAATCTGTAGATTGCTTTGAGTAATGGTAGAATGCTATAGACCATAAGTCTAACTAATGGTTTGTTGATTTTTATCTTTTCAAAAAATCAGCTGTTTGTTTTGTTAATCTTTTGTATATTTATTTTGGTCTCCATGTCTTTTATTTCTGCTCTGATCTTTATTATTTCTTTCCTGCTGCTAATTTTTTGGTTTGGTTTGTTTTTGCTTTTCTAGTTCTTTGAGATGCATTGTTAAGTTGTTTATTCGAAATCTTTTTAGTTGTTTGATGTAGACATTTATTGCTATAAACTTGTCTCTTACTACTGCTTTTGCTGTGTCCCACAGGTTTTGGTATGTTGTGTTTCTATTTTCATTTGTTACAAGGAATATTTTGTTTTTATTTTAAATTTCTTCACCCATTGATCATTTAGGAGCATATTGTTTAACTTTCCTTTATTGGTATAGTTTTAAATTTGTCTCTTGTTTTGATTTCTAGTATAATTCCATTGTGGTCAGGTAAGATACTTGATATAATTTTGATAAAAAAATTTTTTGAGACTTGTTCTGTGTCCTAACATATGGTCAGTCATGGAAAATATTCCATGTGCTGATGAAAACAGTGTGTATTCTGCAGCTGTGCATCTGTTCAGTGAAATGTTCTGTAAATATCTGTGAGGGCCACTTAGTCTGTGGTGCAGTTTAAATCTGGTGTTCCTTTGTTGATTTTTCTTTCTAGATGATTTGTTCTAGGGAGATAATGGGGTGTTGAAGTCCTCAACTGTTATTGTATTGGGGTCTATCTCTCCATTTATATCTAATAATAGTTGCTTTATATGTCTTGGTGCTCCATTTTGGGTGCAGGCATATTTATAATTGTTTTATTTTCTTGCTGAATGGATTCCTTTATTATTATACAATGTCCTTCTTTGTCTCTTTTTTCAACTTTGGACTTGAAGTCTGTTTTGTCTGAGCATGGTTACTCCCACTTGCTTTTGGTTTCTGTTTGTGTGGGATATATGTTTCTATCCCTTCACTCTAGATATTTATGTGTCTTTATAGGTCATGTAAGTTTCTTGTAGGCAGCATATAGTTTGTTTTTTTTTTTTTGTTATCCTTTCAGCCAGTCTATATATTTTAAATGGATAATTTAACCTATTTAACTTCAAGGTTATAATTCACAGTAGAGAACTTATGTCATTTTGTTGTTTGTTTTCTAGTTGTTTTGTATATTCTTTGTTCCTTATTTCTTCTCTCATTGTTTATTTTTGTGGTTGCTTTGATCCTTTCTTGTAGTGTGGGGATGAGTACCAGGTGTCTCTAGTCAGCCATATTAGTGATGTCACCCAGAATTGCTAACCTAGGTATAGTTTTCAAAATTATTCAGCATTGTCAGGAATTAACCAGCTGATAAAATTTATTTGTAACTTTTGGGTGTACTTATATTCTGAGCTGTGTATAAATGAATGTATAGCACAGAAATAGTCTATGAGATATATAACATACCGTTTCTCTCTCTCTCTGTAAGCATTTATATGCACATGAAGTTTTTTTATTTGCTCTGTACCTCTTTTAAAATGTACTCATTATTTTAATTCAGTAGTATGCATTTGAAGTGAATCAACAACATATCCATCTGGTATACCCAATTTATATATTTAGCTTCAGGCTTTTTCAGTATGTATCTTCTTCCTAAAAGAAGCTATAAAAGAAGAGATGTCTGAGTTTCTCCAAAATATCCTTATTTTGGTTGATCTTGATGAAATGTGATAGCACTATTTTTAATTTTTTAAAAATATATGCATCAAACAGTCAATCAGGGCATCTGAGGAGAAAGAATAAGAAAGGATAAACTTCACTTCCATGTGATTAATGTCTTTGGAAATAGCTGTCAGACACAGAAACTCTCCTCTGTATAGCAGCTGCATGAGTCCAGTTCAAAAGATGAAAGATGATGATCCAGTGGTGGTTAGTTAACTTGGAGTTGCTGAATATGGAGAGCCAGCACAGCTTTCTTCAATCACATACCATTTTATCTACCAATGTGTATTCTGCTTCTCATGTATTTCCTTGGCCTCTTGGTTTTCTTTTATTCTGTACCTCATCCTGAGATATATTTGTACCCCATTACTATGCCAGAACTCTGTCTGTTCTGAGTCACAGTGATGTTCTTGGCACTCAAAATAGATGGTTTTCTGGTATCTCAAGCACTTATTTGAGTTCCCTTTCCAGAACAAAAACATGGTAACAAATTATAACATCTCTCTGAGGCATTTTATCTTCTTTAATGAACTTATCTGTACTAGACAAGGTAGATTATAATAGAAGTATTATATTTAGATGTCCAATGGAAACATTGAGAGGCAAATATTTTGCCAATAAAGAGTAACACTAGTAATCTATTCCAGACTGCTTGATTTGCATAGCTTTCTTGATCCAGGAACATTTCTCTTGATCTTTTCCCTATTACATTTAAAAGTCATGCAAGGCATATGGTAGGCTCCCAGTAAATGCTTGACTCTCCTTGTCTGATTTTCTGCATAGCCTAAGAACCAACTGAAGTGCTAACTGACATAGCCTTTCCTCCTCCTCCTTTTTCTTTTTTTCTTAAAGTTTTTTTATCTTAGAGTCATGTTTACACTAGAAGTAAGTTTAATAGGTTGTGCAAAAATCCGAAAAAGAAACTCACCTTTCTGGAGAGGTAGATATGGTCTATCACGCTAAGACTTGGAAGAGCATGCACATCCTCACAGAGCTGGGCTGTGGCCAGGAAACAATGTCTCTAAAATGATTAACCAGAAGATACAAATATATGAAGCTAATACGAACGTTCTTTAGGGTTAAAAATTGCTCTGTTATATTTAGAGTCTGAAGATGCTTCAGATTAAGTCAGGCATATCATGTACTGTTGTTTAAGTGGCATAAATTCAATTGTCTTATCTGCCTTCATTAGGGAACAAAATTGACCATTTGTTTCTTCATTATTTTCACAAGTATGTATTGAACTGCTATGAGCCAGGCATTGTGCTAGATGCTGGGGACATAGAGCCAAAAAGTAATTGTGCCTGTATAGTTGGTGAGGAGATAGAACATGAGCACCAACCACGTCTTCATGTTAAAAAGAAGTTTCCCTGGGAGATGACAGCTAAGCTGAAGTAAAATAGAAATAGCCAGGTGAAGAAGGTATCTGTATGTGTGTGTACATGTGTATGTGGAAGATATAAGGGTTGGGAGGTAATAACAGGAATTGGAGAGAGAAGGAAATGTATGTGCAAAGATCCAGAACCAGAGCAGGTGCCTATGGTCTGCCAGTCTATCAGAATGACTGAAGGCTAATAAAGAGCAAGGGTGACTATGGTGTGGTGAGTTCTGATCGGTAGGTGACCCTCTTATTGTTTTATTCTATCTTGGAACCATCATTTGATATTTTAGCATATTTTACTGAATTGATTTCTTTATAAATAATATTGGGAATTACCTATGAATCAACATACTCAGATGTGCAAAATTGAAATACTTTAATTGCTTAGAGGATTGAGGAAAGTTCTAGAGACAAGCAGATGTTCTTACTACTTAGAGCATCAGGGTGTCAAAGTGCTCAGTTACTACTTTTAAGAGCTCTGAACCACTGCATTAGAAGAGGTATCCTGTTATATCTGGGAGGAAAACAGTATTGTAGTCACTCAGAGTAAGACAGGAACATCCAAGAGGCCTGGCTGCTTCCTTATATGGCAGGTGGAAGTGTCACGTTTATGGCTTTCCCTGCAGTCCAGGGTGTGTGATCTGTGCCATGTAGGCCAGGCCAGGTCCAGACCAGTGCTCCCAGGAAGAAGTCTCTTGAGACGATTCATGCTTACCAAACCATAAAAGACAATGAATTCTCTAGGATGCCTGTTGATCTACTTAAAAATGAGAAATATATGTGCCAACAGACCAATCAATTATTATAGCATTGACTGGCTCATGCATTCTTTCCTCATAAGAAAATCTGTAGGGAGTTATAATCAAAAGTTTCTTTTACAAGCTTGAAATCAAAAAGAGGAAGTTGGATGATCTCAACAGCCAGTATCATCTAGCCATGATAGCTTATTGTAGCCATCTCCAATCTAGGGATCTATTTCACAAGGAACTCCCAATATACTGGTCAGAAGCTTTCCACTAACTAGTAACATAAATTAGCTGACTAATATCTTTTTTCCTAGACTCTATGATATCATCCTTATTATGTTGATACTTTCCTTTAGATATGTAAATACCTTGATTGTGCTGCGGTTTTCTTTCTGCCTTCAGACAAGTATATATTTCTGTTCATCTAGTAGGCACTGGGTACCTCTCTGTGCTAGGTACCAAGCTGAGCACTGGGGATAGAAACTCAAGGAGAGACTGAGACACCGTCACTGTGAACAAAATCTTTGTACAAAACAACGAAGGCTAAAGTAAAGAAGTAGATAAGAATATATAAGTTCAGAGGAAGAAGCACATTATTTTAAATTTTATTCAATTTTTCATTAATTTATTTTTATGCTTTGTTTTGAGAATAGTTTGCTGCTGTGGAATGTCTGAAAGTGGTGAATTACTTTTACTGCACGTCTGTCTTGAGTGGTTTGTCTCTTGGAAGGTAGTATTCTCCTTTCCTCTGGAGGGATCTTGGTGTGACTTGCTGGGTTCTTACTGCCTATGATGGATGTCCTGCAGAGACTGGCTGGAAGCCAGAGTGATGAGTGGTATTGAGCTGCCCTCATAATTACTTTTTTGGGTAATAGTTTAATTGAAGCTACTGAGAGGGTAACATACTAGTTCAGAATGTAGGGGCTGGGGTTGGACAGATCTGTGTTGAAATTATGACTCTGCCACATATTACATCTTAAGAAATCTAAAGGAAGTCTTTTAACTGCTCTAAGGGCTTGTTTCCTCAACAATATTCTGAAGCTAAAATATCTTTCATCAGGTTATTATGAAAATTAAATGAGATAAAGCATGTAAAATACCTATCACATTATCAGCACTTACAAACTGTTAGCTTTTAGTTAGAGGAATCTGAGTTGGAGTCTAGAGGAATATTTTTATTTGGTTTAAAATTTTATATTCTGATGTTATTTCTCCAAAAGACTAGTTAAGAAAATGTCAACACATCAACTCATGCTTATTTATTTTCTGTCTTTCTGTCCTGTGTTCCAAGAAGTCTCCTCTTTTTTGCTTGTGGAAAGGTTGATGGAGAAAAAGCCTAATTCCCAGACAAGTGCTGTTTGTTAGTACTTGTTGAGGTTTTACATAATTCATTAATGAGGGAGTTAGCTTTAAAAAGAGAGAGAGAGAGCTTGTTTCTAGAGTATCTGAAAAAGAGAAATTCACATAGTTAATTGGGAACAGATTACTAAGTTACATACAAAATTGGTTAATGCCCTGGAGGGTGGTAAAAATATAACTTTAGAGATATTTTTCCTACCAGGCCAAGAAAAAAATTACTTCATAATAGTTTTTTTACAATTTAGTCTTAAACTTTATAGAACTGTAAATTGTCTAGGTTATCAAACAAAAGTATGTCTCCTGAAAGAACTGTCATATTAGAAAATACTCCAGCACAACATTTTAAAGGAAAATAATCATCAATTTGCTTTAGTACCAAGTTTTTCATAATTTTCCTACCACAATAAATAACTATGTTCCAGTACATAATTTGTCTAACAACAATAATGAAGTGATTTTGCATTGTGAGGAGGAATTAGAAAGACTGTTTTTAAAAATTAGGGGGAAAATGCTAATAGGAAAAGAAGGAAGTAGGCTCATAGTGAAGAGGGAGGACTTGCCTTTGAAAGAGGATAGGAGAAGTGAGAACATAGGGGAAGAAGATGCTCAGATCATCCTGCAGGGTTGCCTCTGTGGCCTCCTTAGAATTCTTTTCCCTATTCTTAGAGCTATGACCCCTCATTCTCTGGGAAGGAGGAGAGGATGGCAAAATGTTGTCCAGGCTTTTCAGAGAAAAGTGATGGAATCCATGCTCTTTGAGACTCCCCCTCTAGGTCCAATGTTTGTTCTTCATGGGTTCAATGCTCCTTTCTTTGTGCTTCCTTAGCTGAACCTAACCTGTTCTCTCTTTCCATCCATAGTGGCGTAGATGTTTACTATGCAGTTACCTTCAATGGTGAGGCCATCAGCAATACCACCTGGGACCTCATTAGCCTTCACTCCAACAAGGTGGAAAACCATGGCCTTGTGGAACTGGATGATAAACCCACTGTTGTTTATACAATCAGTAACTTCAGAGATTATATTGCTGAGACATTGCAGCAGAATTTTTTGCTGGGGAACTCTTCCTTGAATCCAGATCCTGATTCCCTGCAGCTTATCAATGGTGAGTTTGATATCCATCATGAAGTCCTTGTATAGTTTCTTTTCCAGTATGCTCTGGTGTAAACTAATTTCCTGAAATATATAAGGTTCTGACCATTCTCTAGACTTTATGAGACAGGAGCCAACCTGATATGAATGGAGTTTTAGCCATGCAGCTATTTTGGATAGATTAATCCGGGGCTTTCTGGAATATTTGTAGACAAAAGGCCACAGAGTGTGGAAAGTGGCAGTTAGAAGTAGTTTAGAGAAATAGGAGCAAAGCATAAGAAAAAGGAAAGTAGTACTTGGAAGTGTGCATTGAAACAGGCTATAATACTTCCCTGACAACCGAGACATGACCTCTCTGAGGTAAGTCAGCTAGTAAAGGCTTAAAAATCAGAGTGTAGAGAAAAAGGAAGAGCTCAAGAAAGGTCATGGGAGATCTAGGTCAAAGAAGAAGTGATAATGGTTGCCATGCAGAATCTCAGATAATTCAATACTGACTTTAAATTCAGATTGCTGTGGAGATCCTGTTATGATCCATAATGAACAGGTGGATATGACAGATCATGAAGAAGAGGGTGTTTAACCTGGATTTGGAGGCTACAGGGTGCCCAGTCAACCTGGGACTTAAAACTTGCTAAGATTCTGGCTACCAGTATGCAGCATCTTAACTCATCAGGGCCACGGTATCCTGCTAACTCACTTGCTACTTTGCATTTGCTTCTATTCTCCATGATTTCTTTACTCATCGGTAACTTAGCTTTAAAATGTTCAGTGGAATATACGTTATGGAAGTGACAGCATGGGAGAAGTACCAGCTGCTGAGGAGGAAAATCTTCATGTGAGGCAATGCTAATGATGCATTTTTACAGCCTCTCTAGCTCCCACACATTTTAAAGAGGAAAGAGCCTCTGTCCTGTCCTTCCAGGCAGCTACTACCTAGTTCTCTGTGTGTGTGTGTAACAAATAAATAAACAAAAATAGAGAAGCCAGAGAGGCTTGTTGGATTTACATAGGAAGATCAGAAAATTAATAATGAAAGAGAATAGTAGATTTAAAAGGCAAGGTAGGGAAGAACATAGGAATCAAGATTTTTTTGAGTTGGGGCTTGGAAGGAGAATTTTTAGAGAGAGACAAAGAAAAGTCTTGTCTTTCCAGGCAGTTATATGTGTATGTGTGTGTGTGCACATATGTGCATGTGTGTGTGCATTTGTGTGTATGTGTGTGTGTGAGAGAGACAGAGAAAGTGAGAAAGGGAGAGAAAAAAACTTTTAAAAAGATTTTACTGTGTGTGATTTAATCTCTTATTTCCCAAATAAGATATTTTTTTCTTTCTTTCTTTCTTTCTTTCTTTCTTTCTTTCTTTCTTTCTTTCTTTCTTTCTTTCTTTCTTTCTTTCTTTTCTTTCTTTCTTTCTTTCTCTCTTTCTTTTTCTTTCTTTCTTTCTTTCCTTCTTTCTCTTTCTTTTCTTTTCTTTTCTTTTTTCTTTTTCTTGAGAGGCCAGACTAAAACTTTACATTGCTTTCAACTATTTTGGCTGCTGGACTAACGTTTTTTTTAATGTGACACTCTGCTGAGACAGGGTCACAAAGTGGTCTGGGCTTTATATGAATTACATAGGACTTTAAGATGGAGAAATGCTCTCTTCAGTGAATGAGAGTATTATAGAACTATTCATTCTTAAACATTAGGGAGGCTTTATATTTTGGAGCAGTTATCCTGGGCTCACTTCCTTATATACTTCTTTGTCATTGTTGAATCTCTGTTGGAATACTAGGGCTAGATAAAATAGTGAACAGATAAGAAGCTTGTTATAATCTGAAACTGCTGAAGTCCCTCTGGCAATGCTAATAGAGATTAGCCGGGGCTAACCATGGAGATGGCATATGGGCAGAAGATTCTAGGAATCAGGATATTGGGATCAGACAGAGAAAAGATATAGTTAGGAGATCATGACCTAAGGGAGTTAAGAACCTACATTGAGCAGAAGGTGCAAACACCAAGGTCAGTAACTGGAGTGGTAGGAGAATGGCGTGAAGATTAAGGTCTACAATAAACAAAGAGGTTGCTTAGGAAACTATATCCACAAACAGTATTGCAAGATCTTCCTTTTATGTGGAGCCTGTTGGTGGAGCTACTTTCATAAAGGTATCCTAAAAAGAGGTAAACAACTTTCTTAGAATTTGTAAGCAAGTTCAACAAAAGCTTTACAATATCTAGTACCAACTAATTCAAGTGTCTTGGGCTTTCATTAGACATATATTTCAATTACTCAGAATTTTGTCCCTAAAATTTATTGCTATTGTCAGGCCAACTTCAGAGTTCTGAATGGCGGCAGCTTTCTACGTAACTTGATCACTATCTCAAAAGATATGATCCTCCTTGTATTAGTCCATTCTCACACTGCTATAAATAACCTGAGGCTTGGTAATTTATGAAGGAAAGAGGTTTAATTGACTTACAGTTCCACAGGCTGTACAGGAAGCATGGCTGGAAGGCCTCAGGAAACTTAAAATCATGGCAGAAGGTGAAGAGGTGAAGGGGAAGCAAGCACGTCTTACCATGGTGGAGCAGGAGGGAGGTAGGGGAAGAGACTGAGAGAGAGAGAGAGTCAGAGAGAAAGAGACAGAGAGAGAGAGAGAGAAAGTGCCACACACTTTTAAACAACTAGATCTCTGAGGACTCACTTACTATCATGAGAACAGCAAGGAGGAAATCTGCCCCCATGATCCAATCACCTCCCACCAGGCCCCACCTTCAACGCTTGGGATCGCAATTCAACATGAGATTTGGGTGGAGACATAGAGCCAAACCACATCACTCCTTGATCTTGTGGAGCTTATTTTTCATAGAAGACAAGATAATTGTATACATAGTTTTTAAAAGTTTTGGAAAATACTTAAGCCAAATAGGGTTTTTGACTTTTGCTTGATATCTCTATGTGAGGCCAGTGGGAACAGGTGGATAAAGAGACTCTACTTCTGTTTTTGGTTGCATACACCAGATCACTCTCCTGGCAATCCCTTCTTTTTAGCTTTTATTGATTCCCTCTCCCCCGTGGGCAAAATCAGCTACTTCTTTGTCTGTATTACCATACATTGTATACATGCCCCTCATGTTGTTTTGTAATTTGTGTTTATTTCTCTGATATATGCAATGCTTCTAGAAGAGAAACTTGGCTTTATTGATGTTTATAGCCTCAACTTTGGCAAAGCCTGTGGTAACTAGCAAGGATTCATTAAATTTTTGTTGAAATAAATGATATAATCTACTCTCTATGTTGCTCTTTAATATCATTACAGTGACAAAGATTTTTGGTGTCCTAGCTCAGTTTTCAAAGGTACTTTCTTCCCAAAAGGCAATTATTTTTGCATGCTTTTCTACCATTCTTAGCATAAACCAAAGGAATTGAAATTTCAGTACAACTTTTTTACTTAAAAATTAATTTAAAAATAAGCGCTTCATAGGAATCTTGAACAGAATAAAAACTAACTTGAGAAAGGAAAGGAAGTAATAGAGGAGTGTCCTAAATGTGATAATGGGAAGAATCTTTATTTTATGTTAGATTCTTATAATTCAGGCAGATTGTGCTAATATAAATAAAATATCTGAATAAAGTAACAAACATTTTCTAAGTAAGTGTGTCCCGTATTTTCTGCCAAAATCTAAACAATGAAGAGAAAGAACTTGACTTTCAGTTGTCCCTGCACCTCAAATACAATAGGGCCTCATCTAAAAATGTTCTTTAATATTGTTCTTTCCTCAGTGAGAGGAGTTTTGCGTCACCAAACTGAAGATCTAGTTTGGAACACCCAAAGTTCAAGTCTTCAGGCAACGCCGTCATCTATTCTGGTATGTTTTTATGTTTTATGCTAGAACCAGGCCCTCAAGCTTCTCTTCTTTCTTCCTGCACCTGCTTACTTTGGCATTATAAATTTCCCAAGCTGTTCTCATTTCAATTATTCTCTTGCATCATCCCTAGACCATTACTCATAGCTGTCAGCTCATGGGTACCAAGTGTTGGTTCAGAAAATTTAAGCCTTCTGCAGTGATTAAATAAAGTCTGCATTGCCAAACTCCACACAGGGTAGAAACCTTATTTATGGTTCCTACTTGTTCAGTGATAATTAGGCTATTAAGTGCCCACTGATTGTTCTCTGAGAGTTACCCAGAAATAGATTTTATAGCCAACATGATAAATTGATGTACTAGGTATAGAGCGTAGATTTTTTGTTTCAAGGATTATAGTGAAAAAATGATTAAACTCCAAAACACATAGAACAGTGTGTGTATGGAAGGGAGAGAAAGAATATCATCCACTAGCTGACAGATGACAGGGATTCTAAATCAGGCCTCCTTGTAACCTGGACTGAAAACATTCCCGCTTGCATAGAAACAGCATGGGATGAACTTTCCTTTTTGTTCTTACCACCCAGATGCATCAGGAATTCCTCTTCCCCCTCTAAACCTCCACTTGCCACTTCACTTGTAGGGAGTTACATAGTAGAAAAGAAACAGCATAGTTTAAACAACAATGATAACATCTACAACTAAAAACCACTACAGAATTACTTGTCTACAATGAATACAGGAATCTTTTGTTATCATATACAAACAGTAGGGGGACTCCCTTGTCATCTACATTCCTTGCTTTTCTTCCCTCTTAAAATTTATTTTCTGTCTCATATCAGCTATTTGAATTACTTGTTTCTCGACTTTAATGGAGCGATGGAAATTCAGAAAGCCTGCCCTTAATTCATGTAACCATTAATCTCTGCAGCCATTTCTTCTACTAGGTTATAGAGCAACTCAATATTACAATGTAGAATTACTAAAAACAATCTTTTCACTGAGTTACATATTAGACAAAATAGGTTAGAAGAGATTTACAGAGAGTACATTCATTTGGTGTGTATTTATTCATTCACTTATTCATTCATTCAAATATGTTTGTTTTGTGCTTTCCATGTGCCAAGTGCTTGTGAAACTAAGACAAATAAGGTGTGGCTCTGCCTACACAAATTTCTAGTCTGGTGGTAGTAGACAGATTTCTAAACAAGGTGATGCAGATATTGTCCAAGAGGTCCATCCAGGGTCCAGTGGCAGGGAGTGATGACAGCGCCACTACTCTCTGCTTTTAATCACATTCTCTAACCACAGGAGGAGCTTTGTGATGATATTTTAGAATCATATTGTAAAGATGAGAATTTGTATATAAGCCAGAGGCTGCAAACTGGAGACTAGCTGGATCCAACTATAGACACGCAGCTTGGGACCAAATTTTAAAAAATAAGTCAATATTTTAAAACTAGGAGATTTTTACATAAAAATGTAGATTTCTGGCTTCTTTTGAACACCAGGAAGATCTGCTACTCTGAAGTTCATATTCCCTTGTGGCAGAAAGTGGCTGGAGCTTGTGGCTGCCGCTTAATGATGGCAAGCACCAATAGGGCTCACTTGTTCATTTACGTTGCAGTGCTTTCATTTGCATTGACGCCAACTCCTTTCTTTTTTGAATAGTGATTACTGTAGGACAATCATTAACAATTGAAGGAGACATCAGAACGTTAATGGGAGATAAGACATGAAAACAAGGAATGATTAATTAGAAATGTCTAGTTACTACTTTCTTTTTAATTTATTCCTTCCCTCCCTTTCTTCATGCCCTTGCCAATTGTTAGCAAGATTTTACTCTACCATAGAAGTGAGGTGGGTTTTTTCCCCCCAGATCTTATTTTTAAAAATTATTTTATATACAGAGCTGCCATAATTGTATTACTAGTCATTTTATTGTTTTTATTATTAGTAATAAAGGCTTTATTCAAAGAGTTAAAAAAAAAGTTATTTTAGAGCTAGGAATGTTGGGAAATTGAATTTGACACTTTTCTGGCACCCTGACTTGGAAAATCACTTGTACAGTGTGCTTTCTTTAGGACTAACAAACTTTTCAATTGGCGGTAGCAGAAATGAAACTGGCCAATATAATAAAGTTGTCAATATACTACATTGAACTAAAAGAATGCACAAGTTAAATTTGTTACTACGGGAACATCTATGGATAGAAAAATTAATGAAGGGCTATTCCTGGCATGTATGTGTTAACCTTTCAAAATGTATAGGAAAGCTTCATTGCCATGCCATTTTTTAGGGAATATTTATCCTGGAAGGGATGGTCTTTCTTCTTTATTTGAAAAGTCAAGTTGTTTACTTTCACATTTTATGTTGCCTGTTAGTGACTTGACTTTTTAAAAGATTTTATGTATTGTTTTACTTTTAATTTTTATGAAGTGAAAAGGCATTTTGTTTACAGATATACTGAAATGGTATATTACTGCTTGAGGATTTCTTTTTCATTGAGGATTCAGCTGCTTTCCTAATGTGTGCCAGGTTATGCGCTCTGTCTGATAAAACTCAATTTCTTAAGCATGGCTTGAAGGGCTTAAGCTATCTCACATGAATTTTTTTTAAGGTACATTTGGAATTTGCAAGAATATATGAGTAGCTTTAACACATCTCTGGAAGTAGTTTTAGACAATTAAAAGGAAAAAAGTTAATTCCCTCTTATGGTATGATCATCATCATTGTAACTACTTTATTGAAGAACAGAACTTGGTATTGAGCAAATGGCCTTCTTTCCCCTGACTACATATGTAGTTTTCAATCCTAGAAAAATAAAGGGGAAGGCTGGAAAGTTTTTTCTATGTAAATAGGCTCCATATTCCATAGAGCAGGTATTTGAATATTAGGAGATGGCCTCCCACACTCCCTATCTGTGTTGACCTGGGTCTTATAAACCTGTGGAATATGCTAACCCAAATGAGAGCATGGACTGCCAAGTCTGTTTGCTCTAGTTTCTCCTCTGAAAATCCTTTTATCACTTGGGAATATATACTTGTAGAGACCTCTGGATGAATAGCTGTTAGTGGGAAAAGCACTGGCACTGAGAAATCTAGAGACTTGGCTGCTTCCAGTCTGTTTTTTTCTCTTTTTTTGTGTGTCCTTGAGCATTTCACTTCTATGATCCTCAGTTCTCTAACAGGCATGGTTGTACTACATGTGTTCTTGAGTCCTTCTAAGTGTAAAATGTGATAATTTTGTTATGTTCACATACATGTGCATGCTCAGCCCCTCTTCCCAACGTAAGATTTTTCCAAGCCAAAGGATGGCCTCATAAAGCACATGAGCAAGACAAGAGCTGATGTTTTTACTTAACTTTTTGCCTTTCACTTTCTGGACTTTAATTTGTTGTCTTCCATTTCTCTGGAAATGAACTCTTGCTCTATCTCCTATGTTCTTGAGGACTCAGAATAACTTAGACCCTCTAGGCAGAAATATGAACCAGCTTTATGTCTATTTGGTGCTAAGTTATGTAGGAGCACTCTGCACACAGGTCAGCAATTGCAAGCCACCTCTACTGAATAGAGTTATGTAAGGTTAACAGTACTCCTGGTAATTCCATGGTGTTTTTTTGAGACAGCGTCTTGCTCTGTCACCTGGGCAGGAGTGCAGTGGTGTGATCATAGCTCACTGAAGCCTCAAACTCCTTGGGTTCAAGTGATCCTCCTGCCTCAGCCTCCAGAGTACTATAGGAATGCACTATAGGAGTGCACCAAGGCACCCAGCTATTTTTTTTTATTTTATGTTTTTCGTAGAGACAGAGTCTTACTCTGTTTCCCAGACTTGCGTGCTCCTAAAGTTTACTAGAAAAGTGCGAGAAGTCATCTCTCCAATTAGATCTTTTTTTTTTTTTTTTGACATGAATCATGAAACATGTCATATTATCCTCAGGGTCACTTCTGTTAGGGGATTCCCCAGGAGGGAATTTTGTGTCCTCAGATCATTTGATGATGGCCTCTGGCTTCCTCTTTCTTTACAGATGTCTTGCTTTTTCTCTCATACATTTCATGTCAACAGATTCAGAAGATTTGGTTATTAGACTCCAGTCTAATTCCTAGATATATCTTGCTTCTATTTCTTTTTTTTTTAACCAAAGCTACATTGCCAAAAATGTTTGCTAACATTGCATCATATACTTTTTATCACTTTTCTTTTCCCTTTCCAGATTTTTATTTTCTGGCTAAATTTACATTTAGCCAGAATGATATCATTTTTGGTTCATGTTGTTGTTTTAAGTGATTCTCATTCCTTATTTGCTGGGCATTTATATTTCATTTTGGATTGTCTAATCACTTTTTGACAGAAATGACTTAAACTTTAATGGATTTTTAAATGCACTGTATTATAAAATGATGGCACATTTGCATAATATCACTCATCCAGGGTCTCAACAGTAACAGAATCATCTAGAAGAATCTACCAATGGAGATGTGGATAGGGTTAAAGGAGCAAAAAAAGAATGTTGAGGTATGCAGAGACTAACAACAGTGGGAAGCAATTGCCACTACCATCCATTGGATTACAGAGGAAGGAGAGGAAATGCTGTTACTAGAGCCCACTGACAGCTGGAGCTGTAATTGTGGAGGGAGAAGCACAGCTATGCTAGACACAGAGTATTGAGGCTTGGCGGAAGCAGGGAAGAAATACCCTGACCTCTCCTTCCTCTTGTCGTTTGATCTGCTTATGTTTCCCATTGGCCAAACTCAAACAGAAAACAAATGCAAGGGAGCAGGGGTGGTGCAGATCACAGGGGTCAGCCTCCTAGGGCAGAGGGCAGGAAGAGAAGGATCTGAAGTGGTGGTGACAAATACAGAATAATCAGCATGGTGACCCACTTAAAATAGGAACCAATGAAAACAACATGGACAAGGCAGGAAATGATGTTGTAATTGAGTTCCACAAAAGAAAATAAGATTGTTAGACAGAGTGCTTTTAGTTTTAAGATGGTAGATGAAACTGTGGGTAACACTCTATAGAGCCAATGACTTTCTGTTATTACCATCTTTCCTGTGCATTTGTCACTAGGGGAAGGGACAAAGTAGGACATGCCTGGTGGTTTCTTGCCTCATGGTCCCTCCTCTGTGATTGGGAGAGTGTGTAGTTCAAAGCCTTCTCACACAGATCTTTGACAGAGAGACAAGGGGCACTGTGAAGACAAAGCATAAAAGACTAATTAGGCCTTGTGTATTAATCTGTTTTCACGCTGCTGATAAAGACATACCTGAGACTGGGCAATTTACAAAAGAAAGAGGTTTAATGGACTTACAGTTCCATGTGGCTCAGGAGGCCTCACAATTATGGCACAAGGTGAAAGGCACGTGTCACATGGTGTTAGACAAGAGATGAGCTCTTGTGCAGGGAAACTCCCCTTTATAAAACCATCATATCTCATGAGACTTATTCACTATCACGAGAACAGCAACGGAAAGACCTGCCCCCATGATTCAATCCCCTCCCACCAGGTCCCTCCCACAACACGTGGAAATTCAAGATGAGATTTGGGTGGGGACACAGTCAAACCATATCACCTTGTTTTGGGTTAGCTCTCTTCATGGGCCAGTATGTTCTGTTTTATTTCACGGCCATAGACTAAACTCTAGTTAGCCACCCTAAAATTGTGTGCTTTTGTTCAAAAAGCATGTTAGACTAGAGACTGTCAGTGCAAATTTAATATTGCTGATAGAAGTCTCCTGGAGGAGGGGGAGGAGGTTCGATTCAGCATTTCTTATTTGCGGTTTTCATTTTGTTCATAGCTATAGCATGAATTCAAGTCTTTTGATAGACTTATAAATATGGGAAATTTCTTAAAGGTTCCAGTTGATAAGAAATAAAATCATTCAGCAATTGAAGAAGTACATTAGAAACACAGGCTGGAATATTATGCCCAGAACATGATCCAACCATTTCCTCTACTAGGGAACTTTTACAAGTACCCATGTCTAGGTTCCCCTCCCAGACCAATTAAGTTAACATTTCTGAGTGTCAGGCCTGGGAATTTGTGTTTTTCAAAAGCTTCCATGTTATTCAAATACCTACTTTTTTTTTTTTATTTTGAGACGGAGTTTTGCTCTTGTTGCCCAGGCTGGAGTACAATGGCACAATCTTGGCTCACCACAGCCTCCGCCGCCCGGGTTCAAGTGATTCTCCTGCCTCAGCCTCCCAAGTAGTTGGGATTACAGGCATGTGCCACCACACCCAGCTAATTTTGTATTTTTAGCAGAGGCGGGGTTTCTCCATGTTGATCAGGCTGGCCTCGAACTCCCAACCTCAGGTTATCTGCCTGCATCAGCCTCCCAAAGTGCTGGGATTACAGGCGTGAGCCACCACTCCCGGCCTCAAATACCTTCTTAGGACTGAAAAGGATTGTTCTTTTCTCTTTTCCTTTTTCAGTTTTCATACACCCAGGAAATATTTTACGAGTTTTTTCCCTGTGGATTGTAGTTATCTATCTTTGTTATTCAGAATCCAGAATAGACTGAACTATATAAACTTCTGCCAAATACCATGGTCGTTTTACCTCTTAGCATTATTGTTAAACATTTTTTTTTTTTTTAAGAGACAATGTCTTGCTCTATAGCCCAGGCTGGAGTGCAGTGGGTTGATCTTAGCTCATGGTAGTCTTGAACTTTCAGGATCAAGTGATCCTTCTCCCTCAGTCTCCCAAGTAGCTAGAACTCCAGGTGTGTGCCACCATGCCTGGCTAATTTTTTGTTGTTGTTGAGATGCGGTCTTGCTATATTGCCCAGTCTGGACTGCTGGCCTCAAGTGATCCTCCTGGCTCAGCTTCCCAAAGTGCTGGGATTATAGACCTGAGCCACTGTGCCTGGCTGATCATTGTACATTTACATAGACAGTTCTTCATAAAATTAAATAATTAACATGTTCAAGGATTGTGTTTCTGTATTCTTCTCCATTTCTGAAGCTACATTTTAAGATAATATTAGTAGTACATTAGTAAAACATCACTAGAAAGAGGAAATTGTTAATGTTTCCTAAGTGTGATACCATTTCACAGGAGTGGCTATTCATTTGAGGTAACCAGACTACATTTTGATGTGGTGACATTTCTGACCAAACTAGAGGGCCTTCATTAACTAATTATCTTTTCAGAATGATGAATAAAATTGCCAGTTGTTCTTTCCTGCTGTGGGCAATGTACTTAGATCTTTGCCAACAAGTTACAGATAACAGTAACTTCTATATATTTAAAGTCATTTAAGCTAAAAACACAGAGGAAAATGAACCATCTAAAGCAAAAAAAATTTTCTCTCACAAATTCACTTTGTTTGAGGGCTTTTAAATATGTTACCTCATCTGTCCTTGGTTTTCAGGTGAGAGGTGATATACTTTTTCTCTAGATATTGGAATTTGACTATAAATCTGTTTGATTCTGGAGCCCATGTCTCCTCCTACTCCTAATATTATTAATACACCGCCTCCTTGTCCCTAGAAGATCTGGGAATATAGACAGATAGGTGGTATTTAAAATCACTTTTTATATGTTTCTTTTATCTATGATATGATTTAGCCTTTTTTTCCCCCCAGGATAATACCTTTCAAGCTGCATGGCCCTCAGCAGATGAATCCATCACCAGCAGTATTCCACCACTTGATTTCAGCTCTGGTCCTCCCTCAGCCACTGGCAGGGAACTCTGGTCAGAAAGTCCTTTGGGTGATTTAGTGTCTACACACAAATTAGCCTTTCCCTCGAAGATGGGCCTCAGCTCTTCCCCAGAGGTTTTAGAGGTTAGCAGCTTGACTCTTCATTCTGTCACCCCGGCAGTGCTTCAGACTGGCTTGCCTGTGGCTTCTGAGGAAAGGACTTCTGGATCTCACTTGGTAGAAGATGGTGAGAAACTTTAATTGCTTTTCGTACTTCTTATTGTATCCGATGACAGGGGTTTTAAAGAGAGGAAGAGACTATGGCTATGAAAAAAACATGGTAGCATTCATTAGGGGGAAAATGTCTTGGTAAAATTGTGTGTGAGAGGAAACAATCAAATTTAATTTGTTGGAATGGAGAATCCAAATAGGTAAATAATAAGAAATAAACTTGGGGAGCTGGGGTGGGGATCAATTAACAGACATTTTGAAGGTCATATTGAAGGGTATATAGTTTAGTTAAATTACTGCTACTACTATTAAAGAGCCACTTTACTTAAATATTGGAGTAATAAACAAATAGCACCAAAGAAGATTATTCAACTAGGTTATAATACAATTAGTTGTGGGGGCCAAGTCTAAAGATTTTTACTTGTAGTAGTATTGTGAAGGGAAGAAGCGAAATCATGGAGCCACAGCAGAGATAAAGAAGTGAAAATGAAATAGATAATCTAGATGTTGTGGAAGAAAGGAAAAATAAATGTGACTTAGGAATGGAGTTTACATGTGAAATGAGGAAGATGAAGAAATATATAAATAATGAGTTCAGGATTGTGAACATCGAGTGAATCTGAAGGATGATGGACAATAAACATAACAGGCAAAATGAGAATTCAAAGAGAAACACAATGTTCAGGGAATTTTCTTCCTAAATTACTGCTGGATTTAGTATTTGTTGTCAAAATTACTACCAGCAGTTCTTTATTTTCGTGGAATTAAAAAAAAAAACAAGTGTTTGAAGATTATTTCAATAGTCAAGGTATTGTTATCCTCGAGAAGGAGATAATATTCATGAGTGACTGTCCCATATTGCAAACACATGATCAGATCTTCTTGTTGTTTGCTAGATATAGAAAAGCAAAAGTCAACAATTGTCCCTCTTAACTTCACAGGGAAAAAACAGGCAACTAGTTTTATTAGGAGAACTAGGAATACATTTTGGCAACTCTGTAGATTAATTAATGGAAAACTTTATTTTTAGGATTAGCCAATGTTGAAGAGTCAGAAGATTTTCTTTCTATTGATTCATTGCCTTCAAGTTCATTCACTCAACCTGTGCCAAAAGAAACAATACCATCCATGGAAGACTCTGATGTGTCCTTAACATCTTCACCATATCTGACCTCTTCTATACCTTTTGGCTTGGACTCCTTGACCTCCAAAGTCAAAGACCAATTAAAAGTGAGCCCTTTCCTGCCAGATGCATCCATGGAAAAAGAGTTAATATTTGACGGTGGTTTAGGTTCAGGGTCTGGGCAAAAGGTAGATCTGATTACTTGGCCATGGAGTGAGACTTCATCAGAGAAGAGCGCTGAACCACTGTCCAAGCCGTGGCTTGAAGATGATGATTCACTTTTGCCAGCTGAGATTGAAGACAAGAAACTAGTTTTAGTTGACAAAATGGATTCCACAGACCAAATTAGTAAGCACTCAAAATATGAACATGATGACAGATCCACACACTTTCCAGAGGAAGAGCCTCTTAGTGGGCCTGCTGTGCCCATCTTCGCAGATACTGCAGCTGAATCTGCGTCTCTAACCCTCCCCAAGCACATATCAGAAGTACCTGGTGTTGATGATTACTCAGTTACCAAAGCACCTCTTATACTGACATCTGTAGCAATCTCTGCCTCTACTGATAAATCAGATCAGGCAGATGCCATCCTAAGGGAGGATATGGAACAAATTACTGAGTCATCCAACTATGAATGGTTTGACAGTGAGGTTTCAATGGTAAAGCCAGATATGCAAACTTTGTGGACTATATTGCCAGAATCAGAGAGAGTTTGGACAAGAACTTCTTCCCTAGAGAAATTGTCCAGAGACATATTGGCAAGTACACCACAGAGTGCTGACAGGCTCTGGTTATCTGTGACACAGTCTACCAAATTGCCTCCAACCACAATCTCCACCCTGCTAGAGGATGAAGTAATTATGGGTGTACAGGATATTTCGTTAGAACTGGACCGGATAGGCACAGATTACTATCAGCCTGAGCAAGTCCAAGAGCAAAATGGCAAGGTTGGTAGTTATGTGGAAATGTCAACAAGTGTTCACTCCACAGAGATGGTTAGTGTGGCTTGGCCCACAGAAGGAGGAGATGACTTGAGTTATACCCAGACTTCAGGAGCTTTGGTGGTTTTCTTCAGCCTCCGAGTGACTAACATGATGTTTTCAGAAGATCTGTTTAATAAAAACTCCTTGGAGTATAAAGCCCTGGAGCAAAGATTCTTAGAATTGGTAAGCATAAAAAGTGAAACATGGGCACTAGTGAATAATCATGTATGACCGACTCCTCCTCCCCTCTAGCACATAAGGTCTGAGCCAGGGAAAGTGTGATCTGCTGTGAACATTCACTTCCTATCATTCACAAATAGTATCATGGCCTAGGGTTGGTAAGAAAACAGTAAGACATACAAGAAATGGAAAACACAAAAGTGGCATGAGAGTGATGTGATAATTTACAAGGAAGATTGTTTTCCATGAATTATGGGACTACAGTAAGTTTGACATTTCTCTTCACATTTTACTGTGAAGCTAATGTTTTGTGGGTACCTATGTTGCCTCCACTGTTGTGATCCTTTAGTGAAACAGAGAATAAACTCTCTGAGTGTCTAAAACTATGTATGAATTCCATGGGGTTCCTAAATATCACTATGAAAATCTTATAGCATTTCTAGTTTATACTGTCAAATCATTCCTAATTTGTACTTTTGTTAATTAACAGTTTAAGTGTAGATAAAATACAATTAGGAAAAGTGAGGCAGGGTCTTACCTGTGTTTTTGTTTTGTTTTGTTTGGGTATGTATTGAACAAAATGTGACACGCTGTCAATAAACTTACCACTTTTGTATATTGTAGCTGGTTCCCTATCTCCAGTCAAATCTCACGGGGTTCCAGAACTTAGAAATCCTCAACTTCAGAAATGGCAGCATTGTGGTGAACAGTCGAATGAAGTTTGCCAATTCTGTCCCTCCTAACGTCAACAATGCGGTGTACATGATTCTGGAAGACTTTTGTACCACTGCCTACAATACCATGAACTTGGCTATTGATAAATACTCTCTTGATGTGGAATCAGGTATGATATTGCCTAGCATGGTGGTTTCTTAGTAGAATCCAGTGATTATTCTTGTGTGTTTTCTTCCTCATTGCATTAAGGTGAATCCAATACTTGCAGGAAAAAAGAGTACTATGTCAGACAAATCTTCCACATCTTGGTAACTAGTAAAATATTTCTCCCAAGAACATCAATATCATTCCCTTTTCAAAACATCGTCCAAACATGTTACTTTATTATTTCACCTCCATTCCTTTCTCTACCCACTACATCTGGCTTTGGTTTTTATTTACCTACTGGATCTATTCTTGCTATGCCTTCATGTTGTCACTGCAAGGTTTGGGCCATCTTCCCTTTAAGTTTTTGCATCCATGTGCATTGTCTTAAGCCTTATATAAATGTCAATAACTCTCCACATTTTTTATATGCAGACCAAACATCTCTCATAACCTCCAGAATCAATATCTATCTACTTACTTGACAGTCTCCACTTGAATGTATTCTGTGTATATCAAATTTAAGATAGCTATGAGTGAGCTCTTCTTTTCCATATCTCACCACTCTCCAGCTAAATCTACTCTTTCTCTCAGCTTCTCTCTCTCTCTCTCTCCATAAATGTAAGCTTTATCTACTCAGCTACTTAAGCTGGAAACCTGATAATTTTTTTTTTTTTCTTTTTGAGATGGTGTTTCACTCTTGTTGCCCAGGCTGGAGTGTAATGGTGTGACCTTGGCTCACTGCAACCTCTGCCTCCTGGGCTCAAGCAATTCTCCTGCCTCAGCCTCCCGAGTAGCTTGGATTATAGGCACCTGCCACCACACCTGGCTAATTTTTTGTATTTTTAGTAGAGATGGAGTTTCTCCATGTTGGCTAGGCTGGTCTTGAACTCCTGACCTCAGGTGATCCACCTACCTCGGCCTCCCAAAGTGCTGGGATTACAGGTGTGAGCCACCGCACCTGGCCAGAGAAGTCATCCTTGATACCTCAATTCCTAACACCTGGAGCTTTTAGTCACTCACCAAACTTACACTGATTCTGAATTCTAAGTATATCTCAAATCCATGCTCTTTTCTCTATCTCCATTGGTACGACTCCATCCAAATCACCATGATCTCTCCTTTGGACCAGTTTCCCCACATCCTCTCGTGCTCCTCCTCCTATCCATCCTCCATATAGCCCCCATGGTACTCTTGAATGGCTGTCTGGTTCAGTAGCCACAAGGCCTGGTCCCCATCTTCTTCCCCGATATCCAATGTAACTAACCTCTGCTCAACATGTTCTAGTCAAACCAGCTTGTTTTTTGTTACTCAGATACAAAACCTTCTTCTTGCCTTAAAGTCTTTGCACACACTGTCCACTTTTGCCTTCTTACTGACTCCTGCTCACCCATGTGCCTCAGTTCAAATGTCGCTTCCTCAGGACTTTTCATTGACTCACCTGTAGTCTAGACTGAGTCTTTCCTGTCAGTTTTTATATTACCAGTACAATGTTC
The DNA here is from genome assembly GCF_000001405.40 of Homo sapiens. Lineage (NCBI taxonomy): Eukaryota > Metazoa > Chordata > Mammalia > Primates > Hominidae > Homo > Homo sapiens. The sequence goes on along the minus strand of NC_000003.12, from coordinate 101,241,216 downwards.
TTTTCCCCTAGAGAGTTATGATCATTGTAATAATGTTAATTTATGTGCATAGTTGCTTAATGGCTATTTTTTCCAGATGAGCTTTTTACAAGGACTGAGAATGTGTTTGTTTTATTAAATACTTTTTAGCCAGAACTTAGGATAGTGTCTTGAACACAGAAGGTACTCAAAAATACTGTGAATGAGTGAAATGAATCATTGCTTTTATTTGGAAGCCTTGGATGCAGAGAACACTGTTGAAATGTAAAATTTTCTTCTTCCTTCCTTTCTACATACCAGAGACAGAGGTTGAGGAGTGAGAAGGAATGCCTGGCTTTGTATTTCTCCAGTGCCTTTGAATCTCAAACTGGTTTGAAAGTCAGCCCTATTCTTTAGGAAAGAAGTGAACTTTCTTCTGAAATCTTTAAGAATCATTACTCATTGAAAGTGAAGAAAATGGTTTCACTAATCCTTCATATCCAAATCTCTTACCACTTGAGTTCTCTAAGGCCATTTGCACATTCTTTGTCATGTGGTATAGTGGAAGAGGCAATTAATTATAATTTGTAAGGAATGATTTCTTCTTCTGCTTTACAATTTATTATTTGTGTGACCCTAGATGGGCTATTTTATCCCTGACCCTTAGTTCCTCATATATTAAATGGGGGTAATATTGCCTGGCCTCTGTATTTTATGAGACTATTCTAAGCATAAACAAGTAGTATATATAAAACATTTGACTAACTATACAAATGCAAACAGTTATGATTTATAAAACTTTTGCGAAGGTCAATCTACTTATTTTTAAACAGAATTACAGGCCTGGTGCTGTGACTCACACTTGTAATCCCAATACTTTAGGAGGCTGAGGGAGAAGGATTGCTTGAGGCCATGAGTTTGAGACCAGCCTAAGCAACATAGTGAGTCTCCATCTCTACAGAAAAACTGAAAAATTAGCTGGGCACTGTGGCATATGCCTGTAGTTCCAGCTACTTGGGAGGCTGAGGTGGGAAGATTGCTGGAGTCTAGGAGGTTGAGATTACAATGCGCTATGATCACACGACTACACTCTAGCCTGGGCAACATAGTGAGAACCTGTCTCTAAAAAAAAATAAAAAATAAAAAATAAAGAGAATTACAATAAATACATTTACTTCAGTTTTTTTTTTTATTATACTTCAAGTCCTGGGATACATGTGTAGAACGTGCAGATCTGTTACACAGGTATACGTGTGCCATGGTGGTTTGCTGCACCCATCAGCCAGTCATCTACATTAGGTATATCTCCTAAAGCTATCCCTCCTCTAGCACTCCACCCCTGACAGGCCCCCATGTGTGATGTTCCCCTCCCTGTGTCCATATGTTCTCATTGTTCAACTTCCACTTATGAGTGAGAACATGCAATGTTTGGTTTTCTATTACTGTGTTAGTTCGCTGAGAATAATGGTTTCCAGCTTAATCCATGTCCCTGCAAAGGACACGAACTCATCCTTTTTATGGCTGCATAGTATTCAATGGTGTATATGTGCCACATTTTCTTTGCCCAGTCTAATATTGATGGGCATTTGGATTGGTTCCAAGTCTTTGCTATTGTGAATAGTGCCGCAATAAACATACATGTGCATGTGTCTTTATAGTAGAATGATTTATAATCCTTTGGGTATATAGGCAGCAATGGGAGGTATTTCTAGTTCTAGATCCTTAAGGAATCACCACACTGTCTTCCACAATGGTTGAACTAATTTACACTCCCACCAACAGTGTAAAGGTGTTCCTATTTCTCCACATCCTCTCCAGCATCTGTTGTTTCCTGACTTTTTAATGATCGCCATTCCACTGGCTTGAGATGGTATCTCATTGTGATTTTCATTTGCATTTCTGTAATGACCACTGATGATGAGCTTTTTTCATATGTTTGTTAGCTGCATAAATGTTTTCTTTTGAGAAGTGTCTGTTCATATCCTTCACCCACTTTTTGATTGGGTTGTTTGTGTTTTTCTTGTAAATTTGTTTAGGTTCCTTGTAGATTCTGGATATTAGCCCTTTGTCAGATGGATAGATTGCAAAAATGTTTTCTCATTCTGTAGGTTGCCTGTTCACTCTGATGATAGTTTCTTTTGCTGTGCAGAAGCTCTTTAGTTTAATTATATCCCATTTATCGATTTTGGCTTTTGTTGCCATTGCTTTTGGTGTTTGGTGTTTGCTTGGTAAATTTTCCTCCATCCCTTTATTTTGAGCCTATGTGTGTCTTTGCACATGAGATGGGTCTTCTGAATACAGCACACTGATGGGTCTTGTCTCTTTATCCATTTTGCCAGTCTGTGTCTTTTAATTGGGGCATTTAGCCTGTTTACATTTAAGGTAAATATTGTTATGCATGAATTTGATCCTGTCAGTATGATGCTAGCTGGTTATTTTGCCCGTTAGTAGATGCAGTTTCTTTATAGTGTCAATGTTCTTTATAATTTGGTATGTTTTTGCAGTGGCTGGTACTGGTTTTTCCTTTCCATATTTAGTGCTTCCTTCAGGAGCTCTTGTAAGGCAGGCCTAATGGTGATAAAATCTCTCAGCATTTGCTTGTCTGTAAAGGATTTCATTTCTTCTTTGCATATGAAGCTTAGTTTGGCTGGATGTGAAATTCTGGGTTGAAAATTATTTTCTTTAACAATGTTGAATGTTGGTCCCCACTCTCTTCTGGCTTGTAGGGTTTCTGCAGAGAGATCCGCTGTTAGTCTGATGGGTTTCCCTTTGTGGGTAACCCGACCTTTCTCTCTGGCTGCCCTTAACATTTTTTCCTTCATTTCAATCTTGGTGAATCTGACAATTATGTGTCTTGGGATTACTCTTCTTGGGGAGTATCTTTGTGGGATTCTCTGTATTTCCTGAATTTAATGTTGGCCTGTCTTGCTAGGTTGGGGAAGTTCTCCTGGATAATATCCTGCAGACTGTTTTCCAACTTGGTTCCATTCTCCCCATCACTTTCAGGTACACCAATCAAATGTAGGTTTGGTCTTTCACATAGTCCCACATTTCTCAGAGGCTTTGTTTGTTCCTTTTCATTGTTTTTTCTCTAACCTTGTCTTCATGCTTTATTTCATTAAGTTGATCTTCAATCTCATATCCTTTCTTCTGCTTGATTGATTCAGCTATTGATACTTGTGTATGCTTCACAAAGTTCTCGTGCTGTGTTTTTCAGCTCCATCAGGTCATTTATGTTCTTCTCTGCACTGGTTATTCTAGTTAGCGATTCGTCTAACCTTTTTTCAAGGTTCTTAGCTTCCTTGCATTGGGTTAGAACATGTTTCTTTAGCTCGCAGGAGTTTGTTATTACCCACCTTCTGAAGCCTACTTCTGTCACTTCATCAAACTCATTCTCCATCCAGTTTTGTTCCCTTGCTGGCAAGGAGTTGTGATTCTTTGTGGAAGAAGAGGCATTCTCGTTTTTGGAATTTTCAGCCTTTTTGTGCTGGTTTTTCCTCATCTTCAGGGATTTATTTACCTTTGGTCTTTGATGTTGGTGACCTTTGCATGGAGTTTCTGTGTCTGGACGTCCTTTTTGTTGATGTTGATGCTATTCCTTTCTGTTTGTTAATTTCCCTTCTAACAGTCAGGCTTCTCTGCTGCAGGTCTGCTGGAGCTTGCTGGAGGTCCACTCCAGACTCTGTTTGCCTGGGTATCACCAATGGAGGCTGCGGAACAGCAAAGATTGCTGCCTGTTCCTTCCTCTGCAAGCTTTGTCCCAGAGGGGCACCCACCAGATGCCAGCCAGAGCTCTCCTGTATGAGGTGTCTGTCAATTCCTGCTGGGAGGTGTCCCCCAGTCAGGAGACATAGGGGTCAGGGACCCACTTGAGGAGGCAATCGTCCCTTAGCAGAGCTTGAGTGCTGTGCTGGGAGATCTGCTGCTCTCTTCAGAGCCAGCAGGCAGGAATGTTTAAGTCTGCTGAAACTGCGCCTACAGCTGCCCCTTCCCCCAGGTACTCTGTCCCAGGGAGAGGGGAGTTTTATCTCTAAGCCCCTGACTGGGGCTGCTGCCATTCTTTCAGAGATGCCCTGCCCATACAGGAGGAATCTATAGAGGCAATCTGGCTACAGAGGCTTTGCTAAGCTGTGGTGGGCTCCACCCAGTTCAAATTTCCGGGCGGCTTTATTTACACTGTGAGGGGAAAACTACCTACTCAAGCCTCAGTAATGGTGGACGCCCCTCTCTGCACCAAGCTCGAGCGCCCCAGGTTGACTTCAGGCTGCTGTGCTGGCAGCAAGAATTTCAAACCAGTGGATCTTAGCTTGCTGTGCTCCGTGGGGGTGGGATTCGCTGAGCTAGACCACTTGGCTCCCTGGCTTCAGCCTCCTTTCCAGGGCAGTAAACGGTTCTATCTTGCTGGCATTCCAGGTGCCACCAGGGTATGAAAAACAAAAACAAAAACAAACCAACTCCTGCAGCTAGCTTGGTGTCTGTGCAAATGGCCGCCCAGTTTTTTGCTTGAAACTGAGGGCCCTAGTGGTATAGGCACCCAAGGGAATTTCCTGGTCTGCAGGTTACGAAGACAGTGGGAAAAGCATAATATCTGGGCTGAATGCACTGTTCCTCATGGCACAGTCCCTCATGGCTTCCCTTGGCTAGGGAAGGGAGTACCCCAACCCCTTGCACTTCCGGGTGAGGTGACGCACCACCCTACTTTGGCTCACCCTCTGTGGGCTGCACCCACTGTCCAATCAGTCCCAATGAGATGAGCCAGGTACCTCAGTTGGAAATGCAGAAATCACCCACCTTCTGCATTGATCTCGCTGGGAGCTGCAGACTGGAGCTGTTCCTATTTGGCCATCTTGGCAGCCACCACCTTACTTCAGTTTTGTATGTAACTCACATGTCAGCTGCATGCAATATCATCAAGGTTTATAAGCTCACCTTTACTTTTAATATTCAAATTAGCTGGCATTAGCCCCACCCCTGTGCAGTATAAAACCTGCATCTATGTTCCCTCAACTCCTCAGTATTTCTGGGCATTGTTAAGGAACTTAAATATCTCTTAATCCTCCCCAGTTCTGAGTTTTCTTTGCTGGATTTTCAGTCTCACGGGAGTCTTGACTCTTGTGGTGTTAACCTAATGCAAATCACAATCCTGTTTTTGATCTGCTCAAAGCACCTCCAACATAAGGCAGTTGATTCTATCAGGCATTTGCTAATGGAATGAAGGTAATGGAGAAGGCTTTATCTCAGCACGGCAGATGGCTTAAAAATATTAGTTAGGCATAACCATCCTTAAATTCCTCTGCCACCCTCTCAAGGGCATCTCTTACTGGCCAACTTTTTTCCCAGGACCCAGCCAGCTATGATGTTGCTCAGGCCATAAAGCTGTCTTTCCAGACCATCTACACATCTTTCCTCTACTCTCATTTTTCTAGACCCATCTATCCTTGTTTTAAGCTGCTCCTAGAAAACCAGATTGTAATTAACTCCACCATTTAGATCCCTGTCTCCCATCCTAAATTTACCTCCAACTCTACCTTTGTTTCCCCAATAGAATCATTAAGGCACTTTTCCAAACATACAGTTAGCTACCTGGGCACCCTTTCTTAACTAGCACAAAGGAGTGGAAAGAGACTTTGAAACCACAGCCTTTTATTTACATTATTAAAATATTAGGCTTTGTCTTTCTCCTTGGCCTGGAAGCAAAAAGGCTATATTTTATCTTTTTCCTATGGCTATATCTTTTTCCTAATGTATAGAAAAGATAGACTCTATTTTTCTCACCTCAGACACATATACCTGCAGAATGGTTACAAAGTTTCAAAATTTTTAAATAGAATCATTTTACTACATGTATAGTGGTTAAGCATTCCTAATATGAAAATCTGAAATCTGAAATGCTCCAGTCTGAAACTTTTTGAGCACTGACATGATGCTACAAGGGTAAATTTCTTCACTTGGCCTCATGGGATGGGTTGCAGTCAAAACACAGATGCACAACAGTTTATTCAGAGGGCCCAGGGGAAAAAAGACTCTCACACTTTCCTTCGGAGTGATACAGTTTTTCCATGCACAGCATGATGGTGATGCCGAACAACCACAGATTGTCCACATGGGTGGCTGAAATAGTGACCTCTTTGCTTTCTGGTGGTTCAATATACACAAACTTTGTCTTACGCACAAAATTATTTAAAATGTTGTATAAAATTACCTTCAGTCTATGTGTATAAGGTATATATGAAACATAAATGAGTTTTTTGTGTAGACGTGTGTTCCATCCCCAAGATATCTCATTATGTAAAGGCAAATATTCCAAAATCTGAAAAATTTGAAATCCAAACTTCTCCTCCCAAGAATTTTAGATAAGGGATATTCAATCTTATATTTTTAGTTAAAGGCCTTCAGATTAAAGTACTTTATTTCAAGATTGGCTAGAGACAAGATTGACTTGACTCTTGCCCAACTTACTTTAACATGCAGTGTCTCAGAAGCTCTTGAACTTCCATTAACAAAGGAGAGCTATGCAGTACCATCTTCCTCACCCCTATAGACACTCCTATCCCTCACTGCTGGGTAAGGATCAGATTATTTTCTGATTACAAAGTCACAAAACGAATACCCGGATAAAGATGTGAAGACTTAGGAAATATACAGTGAAATCTGGCCATGCAGTTCCCTTGTAGAAATTTCCCACCTGTCAACACATTTGTATGTTTTTCCTGTTATGTGAGCATCTTGGCAGTGGTCCCCTGTATTAGTTTCCTAGGGCTGCTGTAACAAAGTACCACAAACTAGGTGCCTTAAAACAACAGGAATTTATTCTCCCACAGTTCTTGAGGCTAGAAGTCCAAAATCAAAATGTTGGCCAGGCCCTGTTCCCTCTGAAAGATCTAGGGAAGACTCTTTCCTTACCTTTTCCTGGTTTCTGATGTTTACCAGCAATCCCTTGGCATCCCTTAGCTTATAGGTGTATCACTCTAATATCTGCCTTTGTCTCCAGATAGCCTTGTTTCCTGTGTGTTTCTGTCTGTGTCCAAATTTCCCTCTTCTTATAAGGACACCAATCATTGCATTAGGGCTCATTCTAATCTCGTATGGCCTCTTCTTAACTTGATTACATATACAAATGCTCTGTTTCCAAGTAAGGTCATATTCTGCGGTTCTGGATGGACATGAACTTCTGGGGACACTATTCAACTCAGTACATTTCCCCTGTTACCACATGCAGCCAAAGGAGATCAACTTCAGTGATCTCCAAACTCCAAGGGCACAGACTTGTGCAAAATTGTCTTCAATTTCCAGAGCAGCAAGGAAATCATTGCTTTTCAAAACATTATGTATGTAGATCCTTCCATTATTCTGGAAACCAAGAGGCTATGCTATTTCTTTTTATTCCCTATAGCCTTCTAGCTAAACTTTATACTTTTTAATACAGATGAGTCTATGGATCATTTCCACCTGTTTTCTCTATTTTCAATGTCTGTGTCACCATTTGCCCACTTACCATTCACAGATTACCATTGACCAGTGAAGAACATGTGGGAACTGTGGCAGGATGGAAGGCCCATTCATGGTCAATGTCATATCTTTTTTGACTGATTACTATCCTAATTCATTTTTAAAAATAGTCATTTTCCCTCACCCTATCAATGAAAAATTAAGTTATGAAGGCAAAAATATTTTGTTGGAAATGGCCTCAGGAAGTGCAGGGCTGACTTATTTTCCTAACATTGATTTTCACAAATCTTGACTGTTCCTAGGCTGCTCTTACTGGGCTATACCCATCCCTGAGGCTCCTACCAGTTCTCTTCTGAGCTCTCTCTCCCCATTCATGTTCTCAGTGTTGTGCAAGGCATGTAGCAGTGTATGTAGAGTGGAGGTCAACTGCAGCAGGTTGGGGTTGGTGGAAATGAATGGTCCATGAAAACTGCATTTAATTTAGATCTACAATTACTATTGTGTTTAACTTAGATCTGCAATTACATGGCATGGATTTCTAAAGCTTCTACATGCTCCCTAGATAAAATATGTTAAGGCTTAGATAGGTCATAGGGTTTTATGATTTGGCTCTGAGTTGCACAAAAATTTGACAAAAGCTTATTGATCTATGATGAGTGAGAGTTTTTGTGTGTGGTATTGGTGGCGATGGTGTACTTTAATGGTTCTGGAAAGGAGTTGTCCCATATACTTTGGGGGAGAACTTTAATGAAGGGCTTTGTATACCCCAGTTTCTGTGTTTTGCCTTTTCTTGCATTATTCTTTGTTTAATGTTTTAGGTGATGAAGCCAACCCTTGCAAGTTTCAGGCCTGTAATGAATTTTCAGAGTGTCTGGTCAACCCCTGGAGTGGAGAAGCAAAGTGCAGATGCTTCCCTGGATACCTGAGTGTGGAAGAACGGCCCTGTCAGAGTCTCTGTGACCTACAGCCTGACTTCTGCTTGAATGATGGAAAGTGTGACATTATGCCTGGGCACGGGGCCATTTGTAGGTATGTTGTAGTTACAGATTTTGACTTTAGAGGCTATAGATATTTCCTCTAAAGAAAAGGGGCCTGCACCTATAATTTTAGGATACTTATTATAGTATGCATTATAGAAGTTATATCTAGGCAATAGATGGGAGCCATCTAACTGTCATGTGAGGATGAGTTGTTTAACAGGCCTGAATTTCAATTCAGTAATTTATGCTGTTAGGGAACTGCAAAAAAAAAATTGTCTAAATATGTCCTACTGGCTGGGTGCAGTGGCTCACGCCTGTAATCCCAGCACTTTGGGAGGCCAAGGTGGGTGGATCACCTGAGGTCGGGAGATTGAGACCATCCTGGCCAACATGGCGAAACCCCATCTCTACTAAAAATACAAAAATTAGCTGGGTGTGGTGGCAGGCACCTGTAATCCCAGCTACTTGTGAGGCTAAGGCAGGAGAATTGCTTGAACCCGGGAGGCAGAGGTTGCAGTGAGCTGAGATCGTGCCACTGCACTCCAGCCTGGGCAACAAGATTGAAACTCTGTCTCAAAAAAAAATAAAAAATAAATAAAAAAAAAATAAAAATCCTACTGAGACTACTTGGAGCAGATGGAGATCTTTGTATTGTAGTTTTTAATGGTGATGGTAAGGAAACTGGTGTTCAAATGAGGTTTAGGCATAAGATCACGTTCCTCTATATCTGAAAGTGAAAATGAGTTTTATTGTTATACTTGAATTATATTTTTAAAGGTTTTGGGCCCCTCTTATTCATACTTAGTATTCATTCAAAAATAAAGACAAACATTTAAAAACTTTAAAGTATTTAAAGTTTTCAAAGTGGTGACAAAAATATTTTTCTTTAAGTACATCTGAGATCCATTTTCTAAAGGTAGAACCAATGAGAAGATGAGCAGATTCAGTTAGCCCGACTGTCATCTGCCCACTCCCCTTAAACAAAGTCAAACAAATCAACTTTCCAACCATACACAACCAAAGCTGCGTGGTTGAAGAGGAGAGGATGCTGAGAATAAGGAGGAGAAACAGAAAGTAGAGGACAGTCTGCAAGGTCAAAATGGGCAAATGTTGGCATAGATGCCAGAAACAGGAAATAAGTAGAAATAATCCAGACTCTTCTATATGAAGAAGGATAAAGTTTATAAGGAGAAAAACAGTCCCTTCATGTCCAGAGAAATTAATATTACCTAGAAAAGCAGTGATTTCCTTTCCCTGTGGCCTTAGGGTTTGAAGGATATCTTTAGCATACTGAAAGGACATGGGGCGTCTGGAGGCCTGGGTTCTAGGCCCAGTTCTGCAGCAGACTAATTGTATGGCCTAATGCCAGTCACTTTCCTTCCTAGGCTTGTTTTTTGGTTATCTATAAATAAGGATGTTAAGTAGAATAATTTCCTTAAACCTATTTAGCTTTTTATTCAGTTTTCTTTCAAACAGTCATTGAGGACCTACTAGGTCTGTGCTGGGCTTTATTCACTGCCTTAAATTGTATGATCTTTTAATCTGTCTATTCAACTCTTTATGAAGCTTCACGTGGTCAGCATTTATTTCTCTACTTTCCTCTAGTCCCTCAGAAGGTTCTGCTGTTAATTGTCAGTGTGAGCAGAGTGATTCAGATATCGGACTTGGTGACTGTTGGTTGCAGGTGCCGGGTGGGTGAGAACTGGTGGTACCGAGGCAAGCACTGTGAGGAATTTGTGTCTGAGCCCGTGATCATAGGCATCACTATTGCCTCCGTGGTTGGACTTCTTGTCATCTTTTCTGCTATCATCTACTTCTTCATCAGGACTCTCCAAGCACACCATGACAGGAGTGAAAGAGAGAGTCCCTTCAGGTAAATAAGGAAAAGAGCTCTCTAATGGAATACAATGTTCCATTTACACATTTATTTAGTACTTACCAGGTGCCAAATATTGGACAAGGAGCTGGCTGGGTGGAAGAGAGCTATGAATTTGAATAAACACATGGTCCTTGTCCTCAAAGGGGTGTCAAATTGAAGAAAAACAGAAGTAGCACTAAGAATAAGATGCTAAGGAGCCTTGATGAGGTACAAATAAGTTTTGCCTGGGGAAAGAGTCTTAAAAGTTTTAATGATGGCTGTGGTAATTTGCTGGAGAGAAAGAGTAGACATTTGCTATGTTTGGGCTGGGATGCTTTCTAGCTGGTTGAATGAGCATGAGCAAAGTCAGGGAGGCATGCGTGAACTTCAAGGCTCATCGAAGGAAAGGCATGGTTGAGTGTGACCAGAATGCCTATTTCATGGCCAGAAAGAATTTGGAGAAGCAATGTTGGAGATGAGATAGAAGAGGTGAATTTCCCTTCAGGGAGGACCAGATCTGTTACAACTTGCTCCTCTTTGGCTCAAGCTAGTGGTAATAAGCCAGAATTTAAATCTAGGTAAGGGTCTGTCAATAAATGAAATCTCATTCTCTGTTTAGTTAGGTGTTGCTTCATTGATGGGGAAATAAAACCTGGTCCATTTGCTAGACTCAGGATGCAAGGATCATAATCACATATTGTACTTTGCTTCTGTGCGTCTGAAGTCTGTAAGAGCTACAACTTGAGGTCTAGTTTACTTCTCTCACCATCAACTTGGCTAAGTCCTGGAGCACCTGGGACATACCTCCGTCATTGTTATTATATTCTTATTGTGTCTGACTTTTCATTAGACTGTAACCTCATCCAGGGCAGAGATAAAAGATTATTTGTGTCAGCAGTGTGTAGAACAGTCCTATGCACATGATCAATGCTCGGTAAATATGTGTAGACCTGAGTTGAATTTAATTGAGGCTCTGCTTCCCCTAGACCGTAATATTTATATTTCAGTCAGATTTGCTGCGTGGCTACACACTGATTTTCAATGTGTATAACTCTGGGAATGATGAAGCTACAGTTTATGAAGCACCATCTACTGGCAGACATAGTTTCCAACATTTATGAATGCCAGGCGCCATGGCAAATAAGATGAATGAGACATGGAACAAGTCCACAGGGCACTTGCCATGGGTGTGAGGAAATCATAATGATAACACCTGACAAATAATTTTTGAGGTTGATCTAGATGTTTTTCACAGTTATGTCCCACCATTTGTGTAAAGTGCACCTGTTTTTCTTCAACAGAAATATTGTCCCAGGTAAATAGTCTTCCACATAGTTGAGCATCCAAACAAGAGCCTGAATCCATCATATCTTTCTTTTAGTGGCTCCAGCAGGCAGCCTGACAGCCTCTCATCTATTGAGAATGCTGTGAAGTACAACCCCGTGTATGAAAGTCACAGGGCTGGATGTGAGAAGTATGAGGGACCCTATCCTCAGCATCCCTTCTACAGCTCTGCTAGCGGAGACGTGATTGGTGGGCTGAGCAGAGAAGAAATCAGACAGATGTATGAGAGCAGTGAGCTTTCCAGAGAGGTGGGAAACTTTGCATTTATGTTGCTGTCGCAGCTACTGCTGGTGTGTGTGTGGGGGAGCAGGGGGTGGTGGGTGGGGGTGTGTATGAGTGTATGTGTGCATGCACATGGACTTTAAGAAAGTGTAAAAAATATTTAGTAATTGGTTTTTACCTCGTATCTCCTAGTCTATGATATGCACAGAGTATTAAATTCTAAGCGGTACCTTATTTCCCCCACAATGGCGCTTTTTTTTTTTTTTTGCGTTATTAACTGGTACTCTCTCCTTCCTCCCTTTCTTCCTTAGAAATATGTCTGATTTAGAGCAGGACATGTAATATCCAGAGTAGTGTATGTAGATCCTTCCATTTCTCTGAAAGTGCACACTCCTGCACTTCTTTCTTATAGCATACTTCTGAATAGCCCAGAATGTAACAATTCCTTATGAAAATTAGAACCCCTTTTAAAAGGCTGTTGAGGTTTTTCTAATGCAATGTGTGGCCTATTGTTTCTTTTTTGTTTAAGGAAATTCAAGAGAGAATGAGAGTTTTGGAACTGTATGCCAATGATCCTGAGTTTGCAGCTTTTGTGAGAGAGCAACAAGTGTAAGCTTTTGAAACAGCCCCCCACCCCGACCTACAGACTTAACAGTTTACTCTAGAGTAATGTCACACCTGAGTGAGCACATAATTTCCTGTCCATGTGACAGGAGTCTCCGTGATAACCAACATTTGTTGAGTTCTTCAAAGTTTATGCATGTCCAGGCAGATTATCTCATTTCTTCCTTATAAGGGCTTTGTAAATTGAGTGTTTCTTATTTGAGGAAAGGAAATCTTGGAGACATGAAGGGACTTACTTAAGATGACAGTGATAGCCAGTGGCAGAGAAGATTTAAAACTAAGATACTGTCTGTTTTGGACTAGAGACGCCTGGACTACACATAGTCTTTTCATATTTTCTCTCTTGTTGTCATAGATCTCACTAGTGATCTGATTGATCTGATGCCATAAAATATTTTTCATAGATAGTTCCTTTGAAGAACATTTGAGTAGCCATAAGTCCTCACATATTTCAACATATTCTTTCAATTCTATCTCTGTAGATACTTTTCAGTATGCTTTGAATTACAAATCTCATTAAACTGTATCTCTTGCCTCTATCAAGTTTATCTTAATTTTCCCATTTGCTTTTCTCAGGATGCATTTTGGGCAAATGTCTGTACTTTTTTTCTTTGTTCCCACAATCCATAACTAGACATAGGTTACAAAATAAACTATCTTGAAAAGAGGCCATAATGGGCGTTAGCTGAGTGTATTGGGTAGGATTACAGTTTGGTATTGATATTTGGTCCTACTGTTGCCTTCGTGGAAGTGTTTGTTCGTGGAGGGCCAGATAAGTATCTTCTGGCTTGGCTTTTAGAAGAGAAAAATCAGAGCAATTCATGCATGCTTATAAGAGAAATTAATGAAGGGTCACAATAACACCCATGGCCCTGAGTGGAACACCTGCCCCTTTACTCAAAATTCTTTTTCTCTGATAGGTGGCTCCTTTGCTCGTGGTTCCTCTGTAAGAGAAGGGACAAACTGATAACTGAGGAAACTGAGAAAGGTGCTTTTCTAATTCCATGTGCATGGTAGAGATAACTCTAAAAATCTCTGAACATCTGACTTGGCTCCTAGGAGGTGCTGCCAGTCTTGCTGAATGCAGCCAGAGCAATATCACCAGGCGTCTGCCTTTTAAACCAGAGAATCCATTCATCTCTGCATCTTCAGCCAGCAGATGACCCACGGCTCCATTTCAGTAGTATCCAATAGAAATAACAGGAATGTTTCAACCCTTTAGAAGCCTCTCAAAGCTACCTGCCTGAATGTGTTCACTGAATTAAAAATGCATCTTTTCTAGGCTAAGACATGCAAAGGAAGGATTCAGGAGAGCCTTATAGGAATAGGCAGATTGACTACATGTTTCTGTTTCTTCTGGTGCACTGTCTAACATTAAAATACACACACAGAGTCTATGAAACAAAGAAGATTTGAACTAGAAGACCCTGTGAGACAAAAGAAAGTATACACAGGCTCTGTAACCTTAGGAGGTTCACAGAAGGAATAAGACATTGGAAAGATGTCAGGCATGTAATCCAAACAGCATTTTCAGTTTTCACTTAGTTTCAGAGTTTTCATCTATCAGGTAGCCGAAAAAATGTTAATGGAGTTGATTCAGGATTAAAGCATCACATGATCTTTGTAGAGTGGATTAAAAAAATTTTTAGCACAGAACAGAACAACTTTCCTTCAAATAAAGAAAAAAATAGAAAGTATTCATGATTTTAGGAGTATAGCTTAGTGATGTATGACAGTAATTGCATTTTATTACATTCTTGCTTTTTTTTTACTGAATTGCTCTTTGTGTTTTCATGGCAGGGAAGAGGTTTAACCAAAACTCCTGTTCTGAAACTGATTAGAAGCCTGGAGAAGATGGAGATTACTTGTTACTTATGTCATATAATTAACCTGGATTTTAAACACTGTTGGAAGAAGAGTTTTCTATGAAAAAATTAAATATAGGGCACACTGTTTTTTTTTCAGCTTAAGTTTTCAGAATGTAGTAAGAGATGTTACCATTTTTATTTCTATAAAGACTGAATGCTGTGTTTAAATAAATTGAAAACTACGTAAACTCTGGAAAGTATTCTATAAGAAAAAGCTGGACCTAGGATTTAGGGCTGCAGTTGCTGTCTGCTTCTGAATCACTGGGGGTGTCTCCTAAGAACTGTGCCTCGGGTTTTTCAATAGGAAAATAAGGTGAGACTCTTCCATGGAGAAGTCTGGCTTAGTAAGGGAATATTTTGGAGCATATTTGTTATTGTTGGGTAGAAGGGGAAACCTTTGAAATAGTCTTAATGGATAGTTTATAATCAGGCATTCATCTAAATAAAATTCTTTCTTTTTTTTGATCAAACTGCTAAAGAAAAAGCAAACTTTTTTGCTGCAGGATAGAATTCGGGTTGTATTTTTATGCTTCTATCAGTGTCTTGCATTTCCTGAGCATATTAATCAAGACCATGTTATTGTTATGTTAACTATGTTAATATCCTTTTTTTCTTAGTTTTCAGGATGAATGCATATATATATATATATATATATATATATATATATATATATATATATATATATATAAAGTTTAGAAGATTCCCATTAATCTAAAGACAAATTTAATCACATGGGCAGGGAGGGAGTGAGTGTCGGGTCAAGACCCCAGTGCTGAGAATATATTTTGTTTCTTGATTGCTGGACTGAGGTTCCCTGATTGCTTCTGAAATCTAAAGATGTCTTGGGCAAATCCTGTCTCTCCTCTAGTTCCTGGTGTATTAATTTGGAAAACAGCACTTAACTACCTCACATAATATAGATGAGCTCATTTTCATTGCTTCTCCTTTGTGTAATACCTCCTGTCTAAATTAACTCCTGCTTATACAAAACAGGGCAAAGCTTTTATTACAATTAAAATATTTTAAAAACTGAACAGATAGGAAGTCCATACCTTATATAAATTTTGACAGAAAATGGAAA
This sequence comes from Homo sapiens, assembly GCF_000001405.40. NCBI lineage: Eukaryota > Metazoa > Chordata > Mammalia > Primates > Hominidae > Homo > Homo sapiens. The sequence goes on along the minus strand of NC_000003.12, from coordinate 101,225,832 downwards.
TTTTCCTCTTTCCCCCTAGTGTTTTTTTTGAATGGGTTGCTTTGGAGGGGGAGAGGAGGAGGCCAAATCATCATCATCATGATATTAAATTGCATATGCAATAGGTTATTATTAATGCAGATACTTTATGCTAGATGTCTTCATGCTTGCCAAAACCAATTCTGAACATTTTGATTTATTTCTGACCAGATATAAATAACCAGTATAAACTGACCATAAGATAAAATACTTGGTTCACTTTTTTTTTTCTCAACTTGATGACTGCCAATTCTGCTCATTATGAGGACACCGGAAACTAAATATCTGGGCTCAGTGCATGCCACAGTAAAGCTAGTGAAAGCCTTGAAGATGGCCAGGTATTTTGCAAAGTATGTATGGATAACAGGTTGTGTGTGTGTATGTGTGAATGTGTGTGTGCGTGTATGTGTGTGTGCGTGTGCGCGCTAATGCGCATGTGCGCCCGCGCCAAGGTGGCTCCCTTATCCTAGCATTTCCTTTCATTCCCTACTCACATAATGGATCCTCTAACAGTTCAGTATAGGTACACTTTCCACTATTTTATTGACATGTTCTAGTCTTAATATTGGATAATTAGACACTTTCCACTGGGCCCATTTGAAAAGTAATTGATAATTACCTTTAAGACATTTTAAGTGTTAATGATATTTGTCACTACTAAGTGCTTAGTTTTATTTATAAAACTTTCAAAGTTTTCTGTTTAAGACTGTAAACTGTTTTCCTATACTACGTGTTAGATGAAAGTGTATTTTATCACAAATTAACCTTAGAATGCAACTCTTTGAATGTGTGCTTGCTGGAAGAATTCCAGATGGACACAAATCCCTCTAGGGCAGGTCACCATGCAGAACACTTAGGAGAAGCACGAACTGAGCCAGAGGAGGGTTGTTGTTTTCCACAAACTAAGCAGTGAAGTGGGAATTTGGGAATTCTGACACACGTCACCATCTCTGATTTCCTTTTGCGTGACCTTTTCATGCAAGAGCAAAACACTTAGCTCTTCATGAATGTCTGCTCCACACCAATGAAATGGAAGAGTAAAGGAGCCCCTCAACTATCAGGGAAAGAACAGGAGGCCTCAGTTGAGGAATACAACTTTTGTCCTGCCTTTGCTATAGCTGAACCACTGTTGAAAGGTTGAAGAACACAGTTTGCCCAGCAAAGATCCATCCACTCATGTACAAAGCAAAGCACTAAAGGAGCTATTAGTTTGATGGAAAAAACTACCCCTAAAGAGCTTCTTTCTAAAAGACCTTCCTCGAAGGTGATTTAATGGCATGTCATCATTTAAAAGTCTTAGGCTGAACTGTCATTTACACTGCACAATTGAGGAATGAAATTTTCTGAGTATTAGAACGTTCTTCTTAACCTAGCAATATAATATTCAACAAGACTATCACCTTATGTGAAAATACTAAAATGCAGTTAGCAATAAAATGCATGGTAAATAACCATTTTAAAAATGTTATTATAAAAGGTTGTAAGATACTGTGGTGTTTTACAGATGTAGCCTTTATAATTGAATTATATACACTATCCTTTTTTATGGGTTATGGATAAAGGGGAATTTATTTGATAAATAGGGCTCCATTTTCACCATTGCAATGGTTTAAGGGTGTTTGTTCACGTTTATGTGGCCTGAAGTCCCATTTTTATCACTATTATTATTTGAGATGGAGTCTCGCTCTGTCACCCAGGCTGGAGTGCAATGGGGCGATCTCAGCTCCTGGCAACCTCTGCCTCCTGGGTTCAAGCGATTCTCGTGCTTCAGCTTCCTGAGTAGCTGGGGTTACAGACACCCACCACCATGCCCAGCTAATTTTTATATTTTTAGTAGAGATGGGGTTTCACCGTCACCATGTTGGCCAGCCTGGTCTCAAACTCCTGACCTCAGGTGATCCACCTGCCTTGGCCTCCCAAAGTGCTGGGATTACAGGCATGAGCCACCGCACCTGGCCCCATTTAATTTATATAATAAAACAAGTGCAGGCTTTACCTGATTTTATTCTCACCTTCTGTTTTCTTCTTCTGCATTATCTGTCACCATGGGTTGGCTCCTCCCCACTTTCTCTTTTTTATTCTTTTCTCTCTTTTTTGCCACACTAAATTGTAATGTGTTTGAACAACTCTGACTTAATATTACCTCTAACAAAAAGCTGGAAACTGCACAAATATTCTTTGTAGGCTCTAAAAGTAGGTTGGCTGAAGTATGATACCTGAACTAATTATTCATTTGTATGCTTGTTTTATAAGTTTGACTTCCATTTCATGATTTTTTTGGTAGCTTTATGTTATTTCTGTTTTCAGCAATGGGTACTTTGACATCTTTCTGTCTCTGAATTGAATTTTCATTTTGCAACGGAAGAGAAGACAACATATTTATTCCATAATGAAAGAGCTAATGAAGTAGAATAACTATTAAATTGAGATGTTTTAGCAAAAAAACAAAAACACAAACCCCAAACGGGTTGTTTTGTTTTATTTTTTTCTAAAACATTTCTAACAATTCCCAGTAGGAATGGGTGGGGCCAGCCTTCCTCATTTACAATCCAGCTGCAGTGAGTCAAGATCCTAGCTTATTCTCCCAATTGTGTAATAAATGCAGAAAAATGATGTGACGGTCACTATTCTCAAATCCATTGCATTGTATTCCACAAAGGATATCCTGGCGGAAGGTGGAAATATGGGAGGGTACCATGATGTAAAGAATTGCCTGGAAATTTCCTTGAGTCATGCATTTTGTAAAACCTTACATTACTGCTATGAGTTAATAAGAGACAGGTTAAACCACTCCCCTCAGGATAGTAAGACTGGTTAAAAACACTGCTCTCAGCCCACACAGTTATAGCTACAGCCTAGGTTAAATGATTCCTCATCCTGGTGTTTTTATTCTCATGTTTAATTACTTCTTTAAAGATTAAGATTATATATAGAAAAAATAATTGTGGTATCAGAGAATACAGGTATAATTTTTCATATATCAGGACTATGTGATGATACTTAAGCAATAGTGTACATACAGTAATATATGTTTAATATCGAGTATGGATAATGAAGGACTTTTCTTTTTCACCTTGTTTATAATGACATTTTATCCAGGGTTTGAATCAAATAAATTCATGTTAACTGTACTATTTTATTGAAATGTTCTAGTCTTATTATTGGATAATTAGAAATAAACATTTTAAAGTCTTTATGAATAAATAAGGATGTTTTCCTATGTATACAACTGTACTATTTTCATTAGTAATAAACATCACTTTCAAGAACCTGTCTACATTTGTTTTTGTCAATTAGAGGAAAATTGTAGATCTTAGCAACAGTTGAATTGTAATGACCATTTAAAGACACATGCTATGTAAGCATTGTGTGAAAATGAAAATCTTTCTTTGATTTATCTTTGCGAAGTGAAGATTAGGAGAACTGGAGATGAATTTGGAGCCTCAGTCTTGCCTCAAATTTTGTTGTATTTAATGATGATGGGTCATTATTTGGCCGTTCTTAAACTTTACTCTTTTAAACTGTTAGAAACTCTCTTTTTTTTCCCCCTCATCTGCTTAAGGTAGGAATGGAAGGAAAACTGATGAAGCTGATTAAAGAAAGATTTGATGGTATAGCTAGCACCAGCTGTCTGTAAGGAGAGGCGAAATGGGTGACCTGTCTAAAGAGAAAAGAGAAGAAATAAACATGGTAGCAACGATCTAAAGCAATCTTGCATGGGAGGGGCAGGAGGAAAATCAGCTACCAGTTATCCAAGCAGGTGATTCCTCAGTGCGTTGGCCATCAGAAACCTCAGTTTTCAGTTTTATTCCTTCCTACCTTTGCATGATGTCTTGCTGGCAACAGGACATGAAGAAATCGTAAATCAGTCTTAGAAAATAGGAGGGTGGTCTTACAATGAGAACATTTGGACACAGGATGGGGAACATCACACACCCGGACCTGTCGTGGGGTGGGGGGAGGGGGGAGGGATAGCATTAGGAGATATATCTGATGCAAATGACGAGTTAATGGGTGCACCACACCAACATGGCAGATGTATACATATGTAACAAACCTTCACGTTGTGCACATGTACCCTAGAACTTAAAGTATTATATAAAAAAAGAAAAAAAATAGGAGGGTGGTCTTGATTTGACTCCAAAGACCATATTATAAAAACAAAAAGTAGGGGAAATATGCCTAATAAATATCTGTTGATTGATTAATAAGTGACCTGGTTTTAGGAGAAACAGTGAGTAATAACCCTGCTTTTAAGAAGTCTGGTCCGGACAAGCCCTAGTCACTTTTAGCTCATGCTCTCACAATGCTGGTCCACTTTCTAGTTCCTCTGAATTTATGTCCCATATGAACTAGTCCTTATGGGCTGTGCTTCATGAGCTAATCTTGAAATTATCTTCTCACCAAAACTCACATATCTTGTCCCCCCGCCGCACCCCCTGTCTGTAAGAACAAATGAATTGATGCTAATATGATAATAGGTGTTCAGAAATCAGTCTTTTCCAAGTAACACCAACATTGTGTGTGGACTTTTGGGAAACAGCTCATTATCTCAGATTAATAATTCTCATTGTCAATATTGCACACACCATGGTAGGTTTCGGGAAGAGTGTGCATATTTTCATCAGGTGGGCCTTTCAATGAGCCTCAAAAAATTATTCGTTCATGCCTTTTTCTGTACACGTATATGCTTCCATTCTGTTATTCACTAAAGCTGTATTATAATTTTTTATTCATGTCATTAACTTCCCACTAAACTGAGTTTTTTTTGATGTTAGGGCCATGCCTTATTCATTTGCTATTTGCAAAACCAAAGAGTACTTGATGTAGAGTTGGTTTACAATAATGAGCAATTCAGTTAGCTTGAAATAATGGGAGGTATCTGTTTTATCACCAGCAAGCAAATGGTTACCTTGTATACCAGGAACAAATTAGGTGGACCCTGAATGGTTTAAAAATCACTTTTAAAGAGATGGTTTACAGAGATTTAAAAATAGCACTAAATATTTCACGAGATAAAATTGATACATTTATATCTACCTTATTCTCCTCTGGTAATTCATAGAATGTATGGACTGCTACATTCCATACATTGTATGTCCACATGTAGTAACCTTTCCGAGTTTCCTAACCATAGACTCAATGAAGAAGGCAGGATGAAGAGGTAGAATGGTTTGGGGACTGGTGGTAGGATAGTAGGAAAAATTTAGGTGCTGTGGCTCAGAGAGGGGTAAAAACTGAGGAGCTTGTGGGGATAGATGGGAACAATAATCAACTTATTTTCTGCTTGTAGAGTTTGGAGTATGAGGCATATAAAGGCGTTTGTTTAATCTTGAAAAATGTTCCTATAAAGTGACTTCATGCTTTGTCTATTTCTTTATCATGTAGGGCAGAAAAAAGGCATCAGAAAGCAAGACATGGGTCAAGGTGTGACTCAGTTCTTCCCTTTCTTAAAAAAAAACCTGAGAGATGAGTAGTTGGTTACACCTTTCAGTTTTATTCAAGTTTCTGTAATTACCTTTTTTGAAAGTTAGTGACGATGTGCCTTCAAAATTGATCATGTTTGTCCTGAACATAGCAGCAACTGATTTTGGTATTTCCCCTCAGTTTCCCAGGGTTTTCCCTAAGGGGAAAATTGCTTGACTTCCTATTTCTGTAACTCTACCCTCACATAGTGGCAGGTATCCTGGTGCTCCAAAGGAAAGGCCCTTAAGAGAGAAGCCTTCAAGCCAGGTTTGTCCAGGACATACTACTCCTAATGTGATGTAGGTATTTGGAAGCATCTATGTGATTCTACACTCCTAGAGAACAGGTATTAGTTTTGCTCAGTGTTAGATAATTGGCAAATACTCAACAAGACTTATATTGGTGCTGACACAAGATTCTTCTCAGCCACTTTGCCAACTGGCGACCTCCATGGCCAGTGATGCCCCCCAACCACTCAGGCCTCACGGAACACCAGGCTTGCCACTGGAGGCACCCTGCCTACTTGGCCCACCTGTGTTATAGCTTGTACCCAATGTTGGGTGGTTCCCGAGCTCTTGTCCCATGTCCAAGAAGAATGAGAATAGACTGACGATTTGAAGGGTGAGGATAGCAGAGAAGAATTTTATGGAGCAACAGAACAGCTCTCAGCAGAGATGGGATGTAGGGGTGGTTCCCCAACCCCACAGTTGGGTGGTTTCTCTCTCAATGTGGCTGGTTCTGGGGCTTTTTATGGACTCAGAATGGGGAGTGCATGCTGATTGGTTTGCGACTATGCAAAAAAGGTTAAAGTAAAGACACCATTCAAAGGTGGGCACAACAATGCAGAAAACCAATTAGGAAAGGGTAAGTATACGTAAAATAGGTGAAGGGTGGGGATCAGTCAGAGGAAAGCATGCCAAACAGGAAGACAGCTTCTCAATCCGGTCTGTGGATTTACCCAGGACTTGTATCTAGGCTTTAAACGGTCTTTGGCTTGAAGGTGGGGTTTCACTGGGGACCCGCCCCTATCTGCCTAGGCATTTGACTGCCTCCTGTCACTGTCACTGCTACTATGAAACCATCAAAGGTTTATGTAAGGGAGGCACTCTGAACATATTCTGGATCAGCAGGGCTGCCTGATGTAAAAATTTTTTATAAAAAGGTTTGTGTAATAACAATTGTTAACTATTTTCTATAATGAATGAAGAAAACCCATTTTTGATTCAGATTTTAAATTGCTCTCGCTTGGAAGGTACAGAAAATATAATAGATTAGAAATTCTTCAAAATTTGAGGGAAAACTATATTATAGTGATTTGAAAACAGATATTGGTTTTTTTTTTTTTTTTTTTGAGACAGACTCTCACCTTGTCACCCAGGCTGGAGTGCGGTGGCATGATCAGGGCTCACTGCAGCCTTGACCTCTGAGGCACAGGTGATCCTCCCACCTCAGCCTCCCAAGTAGCTGAGACTAGAGGTACCTGGCACCACTCCTGGCTAATCTTTGTATTTTTTTGTAGAGATGGAGTTTTGCCATTTTGCCCAGGCTGTTCTTGAGAGACTCCTGAGCTCAAGTGGTCTGCCTGCCTCGGCCTTCCAAAGTGTTGGGATTACAGGTGTGAGCCATTGCACCAAGCCTGATTTAATTTTCTACTTGCTTTGTAGTGATAATTGGTTGGGATGTCTCCTCCCCTGCCTTTTTTCTTTTGCCATGGACACCACTTTTCTACTTTTAAAGTTATCATATAGGAAACTTTTGAGAAATAATTTTTTCCTCAAAGAATTTATGCTTTCTGCTATCTCAGTACCATATTTACTATAAATGAGGGAAGGTTAATGATCTAAATTAAAGAAAAATTTATTTTTTACATTTTCTTTTTGAAATACTATTTGAATTTGGGATGCCACAAATAAAATGAGCACCTACATCTCCTTCTGTCATTTAGTGACAATTTTATTTCTGGCAAATAATCAATAATTCATGTTGCAGTTTTTACCAGGAAAAAGTATTGAGTGGCCTATTTCCAGAGCAGATGATATTCTTCGAAGTATGAAGAGAAGGAGACTGTTAGGTTGAAATTGCCTTTTTAAAACGTTGCCTGTTTCTTTTAAAAATGTAAAAGTAAAGGTAATTTTATTTCTACAGAAATTTATTTTCCTTATGAAATGATATCCATGACACAGTAGTGGATGATCTTTCTTCTTCATAAAAGAAAGCTCTAAAACACATGTTGAGGATTAGAAATACCTTCCATTCAATACTGTGGGCCAGGGGAGATTTTTCCATTGCTTCAGTTTTTCTTATTTTACTTTCAGATTTGCCAGTGATGTTTCAAAGTCAAAATTCAACTTGGAATGGCAAAGCTTCAAGCTTAAATGGACTTTCCATTAATGAACAGGTTTAGACATTCTATTTTGAGGACAGTCTTAATTTTGGCTTGAAAACATAAAAGTGATAGCTTGGAAAGATCTATAAAATCAAATGATTCCTCTCAGTTTTATTAAACCATGCTGGAGAGAGTAGGAATCTGATAATGTTAATGAGCATGCTATAAAACACTAGCTTTGCCAGTATTTCTGTGCTGTCCAGGCAGGAGCCACACTGACTGACGGCATTGAATCGTTTCTTCTTGTTCCTGGCCTGTGATATACTGTGCTGCTCTCTGTGGACACGTTTACATCAGTACCTCACAGTGACCCTCTCTTGAGATGTCTCAACAGTGCACCAAGTGAAAGTCCTTGCTATCTGTTTCAGAACTCTCTGGATACAGAGGAGAAAGTTACATGGCAACCTGCAGAGATAAACATGTTAACTTGCAATTCAGTTGCCCTAATGTTTCCATCTAAGTGTCTTAGAAAATTTTGTCCCCAGTACTGTTTGATTTAGAGAATAGTGTTGAGTTAAATTATTACCTAAAATATTCACTGTTGAGATCATCTTTTATGGCCAAATGATGTGAACCAAAACATAATGTTTTTAACCTCTCAACTTTTATACTGATTTAAGGAGGAGATAATAGTACTTCTTTCCAGATTATAAAACTGTGCCTCAGGAGCAGAAAGAGGAAGTGAAAAATCTTGAAAATGTTTCCACTTCAAGTTTCCTTCTGTTATCTAGAAGACTGGAAAATATGGTAATTCTATCCAAGAGAAGTGGTCAGGTAAGACTCAGTTTGCTAGTGTTAATCTACTTGTTAAAACCTAAGCCGTGATGGTATAGAACTCACAAGCCCACTCAGGCCTAGAAACTTAACTCCTATTCCAGCTGCTACTGAGCAGGGAAGTGAGTTGTGTTGATGGGCACATGCAATGTCTCTATCTTGCCTCTCCCCTTTAAGTGACGTCTTGTTGCTTTGCATGTTTTGAGTTGCTCGTGGCTTCCAGCTCTGGCATCCTCTTCTCTTCTGGCCATGGTGACCTGTGTGTACTCATGGTTACTATGTGAGCTCAGTGTCTGAGTTTCAAAGTCATAACTTCTCAAAAGGCTGTGTCTGAGGTTGTGCAACACAGTGCTGAGTGGATGAGAGCCCAATGCCTATTGGACTGAGTGGCCACAAACAGAGGCTGAAGGTACAATCTGTTGTTAAAGTGGCCAGTGGAAAGTGGCAGATAAACAATACCACTTCTTTCTTCCTTGTCCAGAAGCTAGACACTCTTGTTAAGAAGAGTAGCTAAATAAAAGCAGTTGTTTGTTTGTGAATATTATCAAATTTACATTTCCAAAGGGATAAATTTTTATGAGGATATTGTTATTCTTTTTTATATGCCTATCTTTGGTCTGCTACTTGCTTGGGTATCCTATGTGATTCTGAAATTATTGAAAAATATGACAACAATCACCCCTCATTTACCCATGGTAAAATTTTATATCTTCTTGACAGGGAGGTCAATTTCTTCTCACTGTTATTTAATCTGAGTTAGGAGAATGCAAAATAATTTTCATATTTGGCTAATCAAAACATAAAAGTAGATATGGGTGAATTTGCTTCATTAAAAGTCACCTGATTACTTCACGATTAATATTTCAACTCATTACTTTCTGGGGCTGATTACATAAGAGAGCATGCTCTTCTAAGTCTCCAAACACCTTTTCTCCAGACAGTTCTAGAACAGTGCAGAGTGTAAAAATAAAGGCTACAATGAACCACAAATATTGGCTAAATAGGGATCAGAAAGAGAAGAGGGGAAATAGGTTATGATAAACATATATTTTAAAAACCACTATTTGACCTATGCTTTCCTTAATGAGTTACATTTAGATTCACATTTTATTGCTGACTTGTAAGAAATCAGGTGTTAGGGGCATGGTCAAGGAGAACCTGGAGGGACGAGGGTGTGGTTCCAGTCAACAATGCTGATGAGAATCTGAGACACAGGTAGGTTTGTGGTGCAGAAGAAGGCAGGGAGAGGGTTCAGAAACGCTAGTAACTGAGCTGTAGATAATGGTTTCAAAGTCAGGGTGGGCCGAGGTCAGCATCAACGCAGGCAAGACAAAGGTGAATATTTCTCAAGTCAAGTCAGTGGGTGCCAGAAGCTGCTACTGAATGCGAGAGTCCAACACAGGAGTACTGAAGTCTAAATTGGGGCCTGGTATGGAAAGTCCATGGCAGGTAAACGGATAAAAAATCAGTAAGCAAAAGGCACACTGTAGAGGTTGGCTTTCATCATGAGGAAGTTTCCTGTTCCTGCTCCCAGGTTTAAATGGCTGCTGAGAGGCAAGAACTTCTGTCCTGCTGCTGCCTAGGCTCTGCATTAGAAGCAGGCAATTGGAAGGGCCTAGTGGGAGCTGGGAGGTGAAGGAAAGGAATGGTAGTGTGAAAATGACCCAGGGATGCATAGTTTCCCAGGGGAAGCCCTACTGTGCTGGCCACCTAGTTACTCAGCTGGTTTTTAATTCTGAAATTTATATTAGGCTATATACATAGACTTGGTCTAATGATTCTTCTTTTTTGTAAATTAGTCTACATAAAACCATACCAAATGCAGTCTCTGAAATGCAATGGAAAACATTCAGTATATGCATATAATTCTGCCTTATAGTAATAACCTCTAGGCATAGTATTGAAAAGTAAACACAGCTTAATGTCTACTTGATGGCATATGTATTAGTCCGTTTTCATGCTGCTTCAAAGAACTACCTGAGACTGGGTAATTTATGAAGAAAAGAGATTTAATTGACTCAGAGTTCCACAGGCTGTACAGATGAATGGCTGGGAAGCCTGGGGAAACTTACAATCATGGCAGAAGGCGAAGGAGATGCAAGCATGTCTTACCATGGCAGAGCAGGAGAGAGAGATAGAGTGAGTGAGAGACTGCCACATACTTTTAAACTATCAGATCTTGTGAGAACTCACCATCATGAGAACAGCACAGGGGAAATCAGCCCCCATGATCAAATTACCTCCTACCAGGCCCCTCACCTGACATGTGGGGTTTACAATTTGACATGAGATTTGGGTCAGGGCATAGAGCCAAACCATATTATTCCACTCCTGGGCCCTCCCAAATCTCATGTCCTTCTTACATTTCAAAACCAACCATGCCTTCCCAACAGTTCCCCAAAGTCCTAACTCATTCCAGCATTAACTCAAAAGTCCAAGCCCAAAGTCTCATCTGAGACAAGGCAAGTCTCTTATGCCTGTGAGCTTGTAAAATAAAAAAAAAAACAAGTAGTTACTTCTGTGATACAATGGGGGTATGGGCATTGGGTAAATGCTCCCATTCTAAAAGGAAGAATTTGGCCAAAACAAAGGGGCTACAGGTCCCATGCAAGTCTGAAACCCTGCAGGGGAGTCATTAAATCTTAAAGCTCCAAAATAATCACCTTTGACTCCATGCCTCAGATTCAGGGCATGCTGATGCAGGAGGTGGGCTCCCAAGGGCTTGGGCAGCTCTGACCCTGTGGCTTTGCAGGGTATAGGCCCCATGGCTGGTTTCACAGGCCGGGATTGAGTGCCTGTGGCTTTTCCAGGAAGATGGTGCACACTGTTGGTGGATCTACTGTTCTGGGGTCTGGAGTACAGTGGCCCTCTTCTCACAGCTCCACTAGGCAGTGCCACAGTGCAGACTGTGTGTGGGAGCTCCGATCTCACATTTCCCTTCTAAATTGCCCTGACAGAGATTCTCCGTGAGGGCTCTTCCCTGTAGCAGACTTCTGCCTGGACATCCAGGCATTTCCATACATCCTCTGAAATCTAGGTGGAGGTTCACAAACCTCAATTCTTGCCTTCTGTGCACCCACAGGCCCAACACCACATGGAAGCCACCAAGGTTTGAGGCTCGCACCCTCTGAAGCCACATCCCAAGCTGAGCTGTACCTTGGCCCCTTTTAACCATGGCTGGAGCTGGAGTGGCTGGGACACAGAGTGCCATGTCCTGAAGCAGCACAGAGCAGCGGGGCCCTGTGCTCAGCCCAGGAAACCATTTTTCCTTCCTAGGCCTCTGGGCCTGTGATGGGAGGTGTTGCCATGAAGATCTCTGAAATGCCCTGGAGACATTTTCCCCATTGTCTTGGCTATTAACATTCAGCTCCTAAAAAAACAAAAATACAAAGAAGAAAAAGAAAGAGGAAGAAAGAAAGAAAGAAAGAAAGAAAGAAAGCAAGCAAGAAAGAAAGAAAGAAAGAAACATTCAGCTCCTCATTACTTATGCAGATTTCTGCAGCCAACTTGAATTCCTCCCTAGAAAATAGTTTTTTCTTTTTTACTGCATGGTCAGGCTGTAAATTTTCCAAACTTTTATGCTCTGCTTCCCTTTTAAACATAAGTTTCAAACTCAGACTACCTTTTTGTGAACACATATGATTATATGCTCTTAGGAGAAGCCAGGTCACATCGTGAACGCTTTGGGGCTTAGAATTTTTTTCCACCAGATACCCTAAATCATCTCTTTCCAATTCAAAGTTCCACAGATCCCTAGAGAAGGGACACAATGCCACCAGTCTCTTTGCTAAACCATAGCAAGAGTAATCTTTGCTCCAGCTCCCAATAAGTTCCTCATCTCTATCTGAGAACTCCTCAGCCTGGACTTCACTGTCCATATCACTATTAGCATTTTAATCACACACATTCAACAATTCTCTAGGAAGTTCCAAACTTTCCCACATTTTCCTGTCTTCTTCTGAGCTCTTTAAACTGTCCCAATTTCTGCCTTTTACCCAGTTCCAAAGTCGTTTCCATATTTTCAGATATCTTTATATCAGTGCCCCACTCTCCTGGTACCAATTTTTTGTTTAGTCCATTCTCACACTGCTATAAAGAACTACCTCAGACTGGGTAATTTATGAAGAAAAGAGGTTTAATTGATTTAGAGTTCCACAGGCTTACCATGAAGCATGACTGGGAGGCCTCAGAAAACTTACAATCATGGCAGAAGGCAAAGGGGAAGTGAACACATCTTACCATGCTGGAGCAAGACAGAGAGCAAAGGGGGAAGTGCCATACGGTTTCAAATAATCAGAACTCATGAGAACTCACTCACTATCAAGAGAAAAGCAAGGGAGAAGTCCACCCTCATGATTCAGTCACCTACCACCAGGTCTCTCCCCCGACATGTGGGGATTACAATTAGAACTGATATTTGGGTGAGGACATGGAGCCAAACCATATCAGCATAAAGAGCAAACTGCCACTGAATGTTGTTGCTACTCTCTTTTTAGTGAGAATGATTGCTTTTATGTTTATAGGAATTGTATTTTTGTTGTCAATTATCCATTTTACAAGTTTATTTCTGTTTTCACTCTTAAATGCCTATTTTTGGACTAAAAAAGTAATGTGTTCCCTCATTTTTAGTTTTCATTTGAGAACGAGGCACCAGTACTTCCTACTAATTCTGAATACTTTATTTTTAAATTACCATTTATTGAGTGTGTCTATGGGTTAAGTACTTTATATGCAATATTTCATGGCATTATTTTTACAACTGCCTTCAGCAGTGCTCTCAATCTGTTAAAGATGTTAAATTTGTCTTCCAGCAATTCACAGCTGTGGGGCCTCACAGTTGTTTCCACACAAAATTTAGCATTACTGATTGGAAAAATGAATAGACATTATCATTTCTGAGGTGCCCCTTCTTAAGAACATCACCCAATCAGTAATGCAGCATTAATGCTGAACCCTGATGAAAGACTGAGCAAAAGTATTTTTCATTCTTTATGATGGTTTTAAAAAGTTATTATAAAATAAGAAATCCTCATTTGAAACTAATTTTGAAATTACATAAAAGTGTGAAGAAAACAAATCATCAATAGTCTCTCTCTACATATAGCTATTATTGTTTTGATGTCTTTCCTGCTAGTCTTTTTTTCTACCCATATGTATCTTAAGTAATTAGAATAATACTCATTTTCTCCAGATATTATACAAAGAGCATTTTCATTAAAATTATTTAACAATTTTCAAAAACATTTCACTACATAGATCAGATGTAGCAAGCTGATGATATGGGGGCCAAGTATGGCCCATAGACATATTTTCTTTGGACTTTAAAATATTAAAAATGTTTGAATTAGTTGTCAGTATTTTAAAATCGGGAGATTTCACATCCCCTAGCCAACTTCACTAGTCTAGGTGACTGGTTTGGCCCCCCTTGGCATATTCTTTCAGAGTTCTGAGATGGCCCTACCAAAACTTACTCTAGCTATTTACATATAGTGATCTGTTTTAGATTATTTCAATTTTTAAATTGTCAGAATGAACACTATAAGGAATATTATCATATTTTCTGCATTTCTGAATGTTTCCTTAAGAAAGATTTCAGAAGTAGATTGATTTCATTGAGGTTTCAAGTGTTTTTTTTTTTTTTAATTATACTTTCTGGACATTCACCTGACAACAGCCTTCTTTCCATTTGGCCAATCTGTTCATACTGTCAGCTAAGTTGGGTCTCAGACTGACTGCATGGGCATTAGCCGGACCAGGCCTTCTGCTTGTCTGGGATGGAGGGGCTCTCAGCAGCCAGCAAGAGAGTGTGCCCAGGCCTGGCTTTCCACTCACCTCTTTGCTCAAACTAATCTGGCCAGGGTCTCCTTTATTATTTTAAAAATCAAAGATGAGTTAGTACAAGTGAGGTTGTTTTATGTTTTGTTTTGTTTTTTGGGCAGGGTCTCACTCTGTTGCTCAGGCTAGAGTGCAGTGGTGTGATCATGGCTCACTGCAGCTTCGATCTCCTGGGCTCAAGCCTACCTCAGTACCCCCACCCACTGCAAGTAGCTGGGATTACAGGTATGTGCCACCACGCTTGGCTAATTTTTGTATTTTTTGTAGAGACTGGAGTTTCACCATATTGGCCAGGTCTTGAACTCCTGACCTCAGGTGATCCACCCACCTTGGCCTCCCAAAGTGTTGGGATTACAGGCGTGAGCCACTGTACCCAGCCACAAGTGAGTTTTGTGATGTTTATTCAATGTACTGGAATATAATGTCACTATAACAATGAATTTTTACTTTAATTATTAAAGATATTCTTTTTATTCTCAGTTACAAATTTTGGGGGATTGTTTCAGTGTATTACTATACTTTAGTGCTTATAAAAAATATTTGCTTTATGTGATAAAAGTCCCTATTGAATAGAGATTTGTCAATACTACACAAAATGAGAAGCTGGTAATTATTATATAAATACCCTGAGCACATGTATCTTTATTCAGTGATTTATTCTTCAACAATAAATGTCAAAGAAAAAATAAATGTCTGAAAGTGAATAGAAGATCAGTGTGTCTTCATGTTCAAAATGTTGACCTGGGTTTTAGAAAAGAAGATAAGGATAAACAGGTCTTCTTTTGCTGTAAACGTTACTCTGGATATTTTACCTTAATATCTATATGGAAAGATGAATAACTTTCATTATCTAGTTGGGAAGTCAGGACACAAATGCATGAAATGATTCAGAGAATAAAATTAAGTACAGTCATACGTTCGCTTAACATCGGGGATAAATTCTGTGAAGTACATTCTTAGGCAATTTTGTCATTGTGTGAACATCCTATGGTGTACTTACACAAACCTAGATGGTATAGCCTATTACACACCCGGCACGAGGAACATTAAGGAGTTTTTAATTAGAAACAAAGAAGCTTAAAAGGCATAAGAATGACAAAATGAACTTTGAGGACTCAGGGGGAAAGGGTGGGAAGGGGGCAAGGGATAAAAGACTACCAATTGAGTGAAGTGTACGCTGCTTGGATGACAGGTGCACCAAAATCTCACGAATCACCACTAAAGAACTTACTCATGTAACCAAACACCACCTGTTCCCCAATAACCTATGGAAATAAAAAATTAAAAAAAAAAAAAGAAACAAGGAAGCTTAGATTTGTTCTCACTTTATGGCAGAAAGTATTACATATCCAGTTTTAGAAATGTTTTTTTCTTCTCCGTGGGTCTCTCCTGAGTTTTTCTTTTGTTTTGTTGGTATTAGAATGCTAGGTGGTAAACTTGAGGGTGGGCAGAAAGTTGAATGGTGGGCTAATAGCTTAGTCTTGAAGAATATACAGTTTTCTTCTAAGTTTCATGAGCCGTTTATATTCAAGCCTAATTAGCTAATTAGCATAATGTTACTAAGACAAATATCACAAATTTCATTTCCCTTTATTTAAATATGAGCTACTTAACTTGCTCTGTTCTTTGGTAACAGAATTTGCTCCTAATTGTGAACTCACCAGTTTGCAAATTCATGCTGTTGACACCAGGGGTATTGGGAATTTCAGAGAATGGATCGATGCAAATCAGTTTCTGCTATTAAAACATGCATATATGTGTATGTGCACACACACTCCTTCAGATCCATGCCTTGCCCATAGTAGATTCATGCTTTCTTAGGACCCTGACCATATATTTCTTTATGCACTAATTTATTCTTTAACAATAAATGTCAAAGAAAAAATAAATGACTAAAAGTGAACAGATTAGTGTGTCTCAATGTTCAAAATGTTGACCTGGGTTTTAGAAGACAAGATAAGGATAAACAAGTCTTCTTTTGCTGTAAACATTACTCGGATATTTTACCTTAAATCACCGTAGCATATCATTGCATAAACTTAAGAGGAACAAAACTACTAATTTTGAACCCTTTGGCAGGGAAATTAACTAGCACAAGCATTCTTTCAATAAGCATGTTGGAATCCATTTTCAAAGCTGTTCCTAGGTCCTCAGATGAGTATAAAAGAGGCATCAAGTATTTCCATCACCTTCAACAGTTGTAAAGTTCAGAAAACAATGATATCTTTCTTCAGTTTTTCAGACACATGAGTTCTTAGTTGGTCTAAGAGAAAAGCATCATCGAATAGCAATGGTAGCCAAGTTTCCCTGGGAGGGAATAGTGACTTCATAGCTTGTAAACATGGCATTGCCACACACTGACCTGTCTGCAGCTTTGACCTCATATGACACATTTCTAGATTCTTGTCTGTGCAGTTTTGGGGTCCAAAGGAATGGCAAGAGAGAAGGTGAGTTGAAGCATTTGGAGCCAGGAGGAGCTGATACTTTAAAGAGCAGTAAAGACAGTTTGATAGAGCAACAAAAATTAATTGGTAAAGACGAAGTGAGTCATAGAATGCAAATGATAAGAGAGGGATTGGAAATTGGACCAAACTAGGATAGAGCGGAGCAAGAGCAAGATTAGGGACAAAACAAGGGGATTCCAGGTTTACAGAGTAGGATTGCCTGTGACCTGCTTTTATGGGCTGCTGGCTGAATGCTGCATGAGCAGTTTGGTATAATTTAAAGAATGGGATGGACAACACAAGACTCAGAAACTTTATTTTAATGACATAATGCTACCTCGGTTAGATTCCATAGTTCCAGATGTGTGTTAAAATTAAGTAAAGAGTTGATGTAGAAAAACAAAAACAAAAACAAAACAGGATAAGGTATTCTGATTTGTGTTAAATATTCTTCGATCTGAAAAGATATTAAGACAACTTTTGCAAAACTGCCTTATAATATGTCAACAGAATTACTTCCTGTTGCTAAACATAGAGGGGCATCTTGAATAACTTAGTTGGCCAGGGTGTTTTCACCATCCAGACTAGGGTGTCCTTAATCTTCTGTACCATTCATTAATAATGGCTCTTTGCTTGGTAATGGAGAGATACAGTAGTGACAGTCCAGATAAATTTCCTGACCATAAATCCCTTCCATTCAAATGGGGTCCAGGGTTCATGGTGAGAAATACGGACTCCTATTAACACGAAACTATCTGACATTCATACTACAAATGGCAAGAGCTGTGGGGCAGAGTGGAAAAAGCACTATTTGAGGAAAGAGGGTGGTTAGGACTTAACTTTCAGTTGTGGAGCCATAGATCAACCCCAAAATAATTAAGTAATCTTGGTCAAGTTACTTCTCTGAATTTTGAGTTCCTCATATAAAAAGTAAGGAGATTATCAGCCATAAAATGGGATGAATTAACGGCATTTGTAGCAACCTGGATGAGATTGGAGACTGTTATTCTAAGTGAAGTTACTCAGGAAAGGAAAACCAAACCTCGTACGTTCTCACTGATACGTGGGAGCAAGGATACGAGGACACAAGGGCATAAGAATGATACAATGGACTTTGGGGACTTGGAGGGAAGGTACCCTTTATGGATAGATGGTTAATGCTCACTATTTGTAAAAACTTAAGTTTTTCCATCAGTTTTTCGTCCAGATCCCTCCATCCACACCCAGCTTAAGATATGAAAAAGTCAACCAATGATTTGATCAGCTTGCAAAGGTGAGTTGGATAGTGTTTCTTATATAAATCTTCACAAAAGGCTGCACTTATGGCAGTAGTTAGTAGCATCAGCAAGCAATTCTACCTATAAGCAGGAAGTCATGGGCACTGAGTTAAACTCTAGGGGCAACCTACATAGTAACCAAAGATACTAAAAAGGCTTATATTTGGAAAAAAGATCTAACAATAGCTTGATGATAGAAAAAACTGTCAAGGCTTGATATTATAATTATTTTGGAAATTCTTGCCTTTCATGGTAACCCCCAAAGCTTCTTTGTTAATCTGAGTGCAAATCTTTCTTCTATGGGACATAATAAATGAGTAGTAAACACAGGTTGCTCTGTGACAGCTGGTATTTTATGGCTAAGCTCAGTTCCAAAATAATTAGATAAAATGTCAGTGGTAAGAAACAGAAATTTATATTTATGCTAATGTGCTAGCTCAAAATTGAAGTAAACATTACTTGACATTTTGGAGACTGTCTTTAGACAAAGACCTGTCAAGGATTGCCTTTCCTATAGGTGATGAAGACTCAGTAGTAGCTGCCTTTTGTGAAAGGAAAATACAAGTTGCATAGCTATGGTTTTATATATCTTTTGCTTTCACCTGTGTTTTGAAACATTGTATGGCTGCTTCTAACTTGTTCCTTTTTAAACCTTCCGATCCATGTCATCATTGGTCAGAGACAATATGGTATAGAAAAAAGGCAAAAAAAAGTCTGGGAAGATAGGAATTCAAATCTGGGCTTCTTCATAGACTGTGTCATATTGGGGAAGAAAATTTACCCCTCTGAGCCTCAATGTCCTAATCTTTTAATTGGGAATAATAATAAGTCCTGGCCAGAAGTGTGGCTCATGCTATAATCTCAACACCTTAGGAGGGCAAGGCAGAAGGATTGCTTCAGGCCATGAATTCAAGACAAGCCTGGGCAACATCATGAGACCCTGTCTCTACAAAAAAATTTTTAAAGAAATTATCCAGGTGTGGTGGTGCATGCAGGTAGTTCTAGCTACTCGGGAGGCTAAGGCAGGAGGATTGCTTGAGCCCAGACTTTTGAGATTGCAGTTTGTTATGGTCATGCCACTGCACTTTAGCCTGGTGATGGAGTGAGACTCCATCTCTGTATTAAAATTAACAGTAAGTCCAACCTCAAAGATATTGAATGAGATAATATTTATGAAAAATTATATCTTAAACTATAAATGCTGTGTTATAATTACTATTCATTACATCATGAGCAGATCTGGAATCCTAGAAAGCAAGGTCTCTATAAAGGAATGAAATTTATTTAAGGGACAATAAGAATTTGCAAGTGAAGCATTCCTTAACTAGGAATGCTCTTCACAGAATTAGAAATATTTTTGTTCAATATAGTGTCCTGTATCTGTTGATGTACTTGGGCATGATCAGGTTTTGCAGATTCCAAGGAGAACAATCTAGATTTGGTGCATTGAGAATGTCTACTACCTAAGGGCCACATTACCAGAGCACACCTCATTCCCTCAGTCTTGTTTACCATCATTATTTGTTGATGGTATAACCAGTGGGATCCTCTAAGTATACAGCTGATGTTCAGGCTTTGCTTCAGTGTCTTTTTTTTGTTCCCTTTTTTAAAAAATTAAATGGATTGAAGAAAAAGTTTGATTCTCATGGGTTGACACCATTTCCTTCTTTTATATATTTGGAGTTCCTTCTCGAATACCATGGGGAATTTGTTATTAGTTTCTGTAGCTGGATTATCTCAGCAGTATCTACACAGTGGCACTAGTTCTACTATCATGAAATTGATCCTTCTCAAGGGAGTTGTGGAAACACCCTTTATAAGGAGGCTCTTCCATTCAGACGAGCCATATGATATAATTGCACACCCAGTTTTGGCCATGTAAACATAAAGATCTTTATCATCTTGCAGCATGGCTGGGGATCTTAACATTTTGGATATACAGCGTTTTGTGAAAAAATATTGTGAAAGTTATCTTTATTAGTGTTTACCACGGTTGGAGTGACTTCTATTTTACTTATGGACATTTATGAGTACTGTTACAAATTCCACGTCATGCTG